>NC_000004.12:35339016-37839016 GCF_000001405.40 Homo sapiens | reverse complement strand
TTCCCAAAATGGGAGAAGGGGTTGGATTATTCCCCCTACTGTGGCAAATGACATTGATTACACACAGGCAACCTGAGATTTAAATTGTCCGTCCCCTCCACCCTTTCACCAAGAATCACTGCAGTCATTGAACACCCTGGAAGTTATGTCACATCTCTCAGGTGTTCTGGGCCAAAGAAAAGGGGAGGACGACTCCTCAGTGTGGGCAGAGGATCATGATACACTGGTTCAATTCATGTCTGACATAAAATTAATAGCTATTAACACTTAGTACAGAAGGTAATTAGGATGCTTGAATACATGACAATTTTTCCATCAAACAATGAAACCTGAACTACATTTAGATGTGAATAGAGTGTCTAGCAGGTTATTTACAGCCTAGGGGTGCTGCATCTACCTGTCAGTGCACTAGAGCCGGCAAACACAAAATGAATTGGAACCTCCTTCTGTAGCAATACAGTCTCATTTCTACTAGATGTGACTAACTGCATCCAAATCACATTTTCCAAAACATATTCTCAGCATCTGGCCCAGCTCTTAAAAGTTTTGTCTATGTCAAAGCAACAACTGTCATAGTCCCTACTGTCTTCTTCTTTAGATTGTGCTACATGAAGGATTTGATGAAAGTCTTACTCAAATATGCCGAGCATGCTCTCTGTACTAGCCATGAATAGTATTTAGAATAAAACATTTGTATAAAACAGGGGTGTGCCAGCTTGTCAAAAATATTCATGACAAGACAGGGTTTGAGGTGAATTCAGATTTCGACACAAGAAGTTTCCTAATTGTGATAGCTGAGAAAAAGAACTACAAACCAAATTTAAAAACAGAGAAAAGGCCGGGCGTGGTGGCTCATGCCTGTAATCCCAGCACTTCCGGAGGCCAAGCTGGGTGGATCACCTGAGGCCAGGAGTTCGAGACTAGCGTGGCCAACGTGGTGAAACCTCGTCGCTACTAAAAATGCAAAAATTAGCTGGGAGTGATGGCAGGCACCTGTAATACCAGCTACTTGGGAGGCTGAGGTAGTAGAATTGCTTGAACCCGGGACACGGAGGTTGCAGTGAGCCAAGATCGTACCATTGCACTCCAGCCTGGGCAACAGAGCGAGACTCTGTCTCAAAAAAAAAAATTTGCTGACTCTCTCGAATACCCTTAGAATGCAAAGAAAAGGAAAACTGCAATTTAAAAAAACCAATTCCAATGAATCAAAAGTTGAATACCAGAGAAATATTACTAAGATGTGGGAGAAACATTCCAGGAGAGAAGGAAATGTCTCATACATGCCAAGGAACTCCTCTGTCATTCAAACAGTCCAATCCCAATAGCCCTAAAGACTATAAAATTCAGCCAAGTCCCATCCCTGATCATGTGACAGGAAATTATGAAAGGAAATGGCTACTTACCACAAAGGGGGTTGGCGTTATATCAGAAAAGAGGTACACAGGAATCCCCTGACTGATAAATGTGGTTGCAGCAAGTCGGGCAAACCTGAGAATGCAGAGTGACAGGGAAGAAAAGGAGAGTTGAGTGATCAGGACTGTGAGTGATGGAAAGAAGGAAATGAATGCTGAATGTTCTTTAGGGTGAATGCAGCATCCAGATCAAGGACAGCATTTATTATAATCTTTACCCTGGCATGGGACAGTAAAGCTGGAGGACTCTCAGGAGTCATCTCATTTCACTCTTTTGTTTTATAGAAATGGCACTAAAGCCAAGAAAGGTCAGGCCCCTTTCCCCGGTTCTAACAGCCACTTAGTGGCAGAGCCAGGCTGCTTCCTGGCCTTTCAGCTCTCTGTCTATCTCAGTGGTTCTCAGCCAGGGCAAGTCTGCACCTTCTCCTTCCAGGCATCTGAAATGTCTCGAAACATTTTTGCTTGTCATGCTGGGAAATGGAGAGAGTTGCTACTGGCAGCTAGTAGGGAGAGGTCAGGGGTGCTGCTGAACACCTTACAATGTACCCTACAACCACAACAAAAGATCATCCAGCCACTGTGCAGTCACATGTCAACAGTGCAGAGGCTGAAAATCCCAGCCTAAGCCTATCACAATCCAGCGTACACCACACAGACTGGAATTTGATTAGAGATTGCTTTATTTGAAATATAAAGACATCCTGGAGTACGCATGTGTGTATACACACACACACACACACACCCATACACATATATACATCTTGGTTCCAATCAGCCTTTGAAAGAAAACTTAATTCTTTGACATTTTTCTCAACTTCCACAGAAACTTGCTTAGGGTAAGACGCAGAAAATGGCATCAAATCTTCCTTCAAGCTGGTGTAAAATACGTTACCACAAATAAATGAGCGATTTACTTAGAATGAACAACATTATACCACCCCTGTGAGTTAAACAATCAGATCATTCTTACTCTCCCCAAATACTTCTTGGGCACTAGCTTCGCCGACACTATTCTGAAGGCTGGCTGGGGCACAAAGAGCAGATCGCCACTCTCTCTCTCTGTTACAAATGTGCACAAAAAAATGCAATGCGTTCTCTGCATATACTTAACAGTTACTGCTTACGTTCCCCACCAGATATTTAAAATTGGAAGATTAAAGGATAAACATCTCCTCGGGCGAAATTCAGAAACTGCAATAGTTTCCAACTCCTTACGAAGATTCCATTCACTCATCATGAATATTTTACCATGTGTTGGTTAAACACTTACATTATGATCTCTAAATGTCTCACGCGTTACAGGTGATAGAGAGTAGCCTTGAGTTCCACTCCATCCCATCCCATCAAACTCTGAGACTTGAACCATAAGCTTAAATCAGTAACATCACTCACTTTAAGGAAATGATACGGCTCCAAGGCCAGGGCAAAAAAATCTGTACCTTAATTGATAATGTTAACATATCTCTGAAGGTTGTATCAACCAGAAGCAGGGCAGTCAGCCCAAAATGAAGAAATTTACGCAGCTCAGCAGACAGACTTAGCCACATACGTGCACTTTGCATGCTCTGAGCAAAGGATCTGACTTGCCCTGGGGCGGCAGAGGAACACGGTCACGATTTAGTTCTGATTGTACATCCACTAACTGTAAATGACAAGCTGATATGCTGGTTTATACCACATCATTCTCTTGTGAATGTAGTTCATGTGCATCTATCCCCCAGAGCTATAACTTTTCTCTTGCTTTATTGACAAAAAGCACATTTTTGAGCTGCAAAGCTAAAGACTAAAAATCTTATGCCCTCCTGAGTTGAACCTGGGGCTGATGCCACCGGGTGATTTTCCCCGGCTATGCACCCTTCCTCACGGCCACACGTTTGTCCCCACGAGTGCTTCTGTCTTAGATTGGAAGCTCCTGATGGGCAAAGATAGGACTCTATAAACTCATCCAGCTCTGTAAAGCTAATAAGACTTTTCATTAATATTCAATATGTGTAATTCTAAGCTACTACTAATACTGATACTCTAGAATGATTAAAAATTCATCATAACAGAGGAAGTGTTCAAGTAAAAAAGAGGGTTATGTAACATGGTTACGGGCAGGGGTTGGTAACTACAGCCCATTTTGTAAGTAAAGTTTTACTGGAACACTGCCATGCTCCTGTGTTTATGCATTGTCGATGGATGTTTCTCTGCTTCATGGGAGAGGTGAGTAGTGGTGATGGGAATCATGTGATATGCAATGTGTATGATATCCACTATTTGCCCTTTAGAGAAAAAGTTTGCTGACCCCTGGTACTAGTGTCCTTAGGCTTAAATTGCGACTCCTCCTTTCACATTATAATCTCAGGGTAAAGAGATAAAAGTACATACCTTACACGTTGCTGTGAGGATAGAATGAGTAAATACATAAGTGTCTGGTTCATAATCAGCACTCAAATGATTGCTGCTATTACTATTATCATTGTCACCATCAGCATCATATGCCTTCAGCTACATAAGAGAGTCCCATTGGTTTGAGAATGTTTCAGAAATGCAGCTTGACGTGGGCGTTCAAGAGAGGGAAGGGGGTCATGAGGTTTATGAATAGCAGGGTAAAAATTATGTATAAAAAGGCAAATGAGAGGGAAAAATAATATTGCCAGTTTAAGAAATTTCTTTCTTTTAGCTAGGTATTACATTCTAAATTGTCTAAATAATTTTATTTCCTTAACCTAATGTAAAACCAGAATCTTTAAAAGTTGCCAAGAGAATTTACCCATTGTTTTTACAGTTAAGCAATGAGGCTAATGAATATATTAAAGTCAAGTTATTGAGATGGTGATTAAAATAAAACTGCAAAATAAATTATAAAAACATCATTTTGTAAAAATGTTTAAATACCTTCTGCTGCTACCCCCACTGGATGGATGAGCTCGGGCGTCAAAACTGATCACGATGCCTTTCTGCTTTAAGTCACTGAATTGTTTTTCCAGGTATCTGCAAAATCCCTACAAATACACCATAGATTTAAAAAGTATGTTTTAACATATTTTTATATATACCATATAGAAAAATTAGCCAAAAATTAAGTTTTCTCAAATTTCATAGAACACTATGGGAGAGAGGGAAAAATTCATCTCAGTAAGGAAGCAAACTGAACAATAATAAAATAACAGCTTTGTTTATTATCTATGTTTTTGTATTGGGCACTGTGTTAGTCATTGATCACTTAGTAGCTGTTATCTCTAACCTCAGATCAACTTTGTTAGGAAATTTTTTTTTTTTTCCAGAGACAGGGTCTTGCTCTGTTGCCTAGGCTGGAGTTGCAATGGCACAATCATAGTTCACTGCAACCTTGAATTCCTGGGTTTAAGCAATCCCCCCCTACCTCAGCCTCCTGAGAAGCTAGGACCACAGGTGCATGCTACCAGGCCCAACTAATTTTTAAAAATTTTTTGTAGAGACAGGGTCTTGCAATGTTGCCCAGGTTGGTCTTGAACTACTGTCAAATAATCCTCCTGTCTTGACCTCCCAAAATGCTGGGATTACAGGTGTGGGCCACTGCACCTGACCAGAAAACCCATTTTATAGATGGGTAAAATAAGCCTCAGAGAGGCACAGTGACAGTTTCAGATATTCGAGTAGCAGAGCCTGGATTTGTATCCAGGGCTGGTGAGAGGTAGTTCAGTGTAGGGCTTAAAAGCACATACTCTAGAAGCACAATCTGAGAATTTGTACTCCACGCTGCCACCTACAAGCAAATGACAAGTTCCTTAATTTCTTGGTGCCTTAGTTTCCTCTTCTGTAAAACAGGAATAACAATAATACCTACCTCATAAGGAGTAAATGAATGAAAACATGCAAAGTGCTGAGAATTCAACACCAACTAAGTACTATATTAAGTGTTTGCTGTTTTACGCATTATTTTTGTTGTTATTTTCCTTCAAAGCCATATAAAACAAAGAGAACTCTGGTTGATTGGGCAAAAATAATGATTCATTTTATATTATTTATTTCACTTTTGCTAAAGGAAGTCTTATTAAAATATACATAACTCTTTTTCTTTTGAGATGGGGTCTCACTCTCTCCCATGCTGGAGTGCAGTGACACGATCATGGTTCACTGCAGCCTCAATCTCTCAGGCTCAAGTAATCCTCTCACCTCAGCCTCCTGAGGTGCTGGGACTACAGGCACATGCTACCATGTCTGGCTAATTTTTAAAAAACAATTTTTGTAGAGATGGGATCTTGCCATATTGCCCAGGCTGGTTTCAATCTTGTGGGCTCAAGCAATCCTCCTGCCTTGGCCTCCTAAAGTGCTCGGATTACAGGCATGAGCCACCATGTCCAAGCCATAATTTTTATTTTGGGTAGGAGGGGATACATCACAGTCTTGTTGCGAGAGCCAAGCTAATTTAGAATGCCTTTAGCTTTTCCTTGACAAATACATTGCACTGGGATTATCTTCTGAGGCTGAGTGATACAAGGAAATAAGGCCATGTGTATTGGTTTTGTGGGTTCCCCAGAAGGTACCCAGATGCCTGATACTTCAAGACTTACAACAGTGACAGTACCCCTCTTCCTGCTCAACCCTTGAGCTGTGGCCCCAATGCTCCATGGGGCAAAAAAGCATTCACATCTCCAGATTCTCTAAAAATCTCGGAGGCCTGCTGAGGATGAGGACCTGAAAGAATGGCCAAGGGAAAAGGGAATTCTTATTCTAGATGAAAGACTCAGTGGGGGAAGAGGGAGGTTTTCAGAAATAAAATGTTATTATAAAACATAAGAAGCAAGTTTATGTGTATGACCTTCAAAAAGTAGAACTAAGACCAATATGTAAAGTCTACAGAAAGGCAGATTTTGGCTTAAAATAATGAAACCATCTTTTAATGAGAATGGTCCAAAGATAGAATGGCCTCTTTCAGAGGACAGTGAGTTTCCCATCACTGGTATGCTATGGCTAAATTAAATAATCTATGAACACAGAACCCAAAATAGAACATAAATAAAGCATAAATTAATTGGCAGGAGGAAATTATAACCTCTATCAATGAGGCAAACAATACAAAAGTTTCCTCCAGTCTCTGTCCTGTTTCCTTTGACATATTTTTGAATCACATACATCTGCTTCTTAAATGAACCAGGCAAACTTTGGGGTACCTCAGAATGAGGCTCCACACCCAGAGACCAGCAGGAAGGGCACCTATGCCACCATGAAAGTCTGATCAGTGAAAAGTGACAAATATATTTGCATATCAGCATTCTGCCAGGGAACACTACCCAAGACTGGGTAGAAACCTGGGTTGTTTGTTCTGGGAATCCTCTTGCCTCTAATTTTGAATCCACTCCTAAGATTTTAAAGATATACTTGCTGCTCAGATAAAACTTTCTTAACTCTTCACATCTCTGTCTCCTATTACAAGTATCCAAGAATAGGCTGAATGAGCACTTCAGAGTGGTGGGGTCATGGAGAAAATTATCCCAAGGGGTGTCTGGTTGAATTACATGACCTTTAGAATATTGATCATCTATGTTTACCACAGGGTTTACCCCCAGAGGAGATGAATTCTAGGATAAAAATGGGTAAGATAGTCCTTAATGGGAATACATTTCATTATTCTCAGAAACTAGATATAGAAAAATACAGGGGAAAAAGCTCTAGGTTAATCTAGAATCCCTTAGAAACCCCTAACAATTAGGCCCAATGGCAGGTGTAACCAACTGGATTGTCCAAAGATGGCCCCAGTAATATAAGCCATCTCACATGTTCCTCTTACAATGTGACATCAATGCTCCTTTAATGAGAAGTGGGTATCTATGTGCCCTCTCCTTGAATATGAGACAGCCTTATTGACTCACTTTTAACAAACCGAATACGGTAGAAGTGACACTGTGTGACTTTCAAAGCTACGTCATAAAAGTCAGCACAGCTTCCAATTGGCACATTCTCTCTCTCTCCCTCTCTGGATACTTCACTGAAAGCCAACCACCATGTTATAAGGAAGTCCAGGCCACATGAAGGGGTTCCAACCCCAGCTAAGATCCCAGCCAATAGCCAGTAATAATTTCAGACGTGTGAATGAAGGTGCCTTCAAATGATTCCAACCTCCAAACTGGCCCAGATGGTGCTGAGTGGAGCAGAGACAAGCTGTCCCCACTGAGTTCTACCAAAATTGCAGATTTGTGAGCAAAATAAATGTGGTTGTTGTTTTAAACCATTATGTTTTCAATGATTTGTTACATAGCCCTAGTAACTGGTACAGAAGGCAACCTTATTCAGCAGCACAGTTCCTATGTTATCCATGAACCAAACAGGATTCCCATACTTACCCCATTCTAAGTCTTTCCTCCAGCATCTCAGGGAGCCCTATTGCTTAATAACAATTTGTGACCAGGAGTTCCCATGGCAATTCTTTTTTTTTTTTTTTTTTTTTGAGACAGAGTCTTGCTCTGTTGCCCAGGCTGGAGTCCAGTGGCACAATGTCGGCTCACTACGACCTTGCCTTCCGGGTTCAAACAATCCTTCTGTCTCAGCCTCCCAAGAAGCTGGAATTACAGGTGCACACCACCACGCCTGGCTAATTTTTGTATTTTTGGTAGAGACAGGGTTTCACCATGTTGCTCAGGCTGGTCATGAACTCCTAGGCTCAAGTGATCTGCCTGGCTCAGCCTCCCAAAGTGCTGGGATTACAGGTGTGAGCCATCGCGCCTGGCCCCTGTGGTAATTCTATACCCTTAGATAAGCTTTCCTTGTTGGAGTTTTGTTACAACATGCCCAGCTCTGCCTTTTACACTGGGATGTATACGTGAGGCACATGTAATCACTATTAGGCAATTTTTTCTAGCCTTTCTTTTCCCACAATTAAAGTGACATTCATCATCAACAGGTCTAAGGTGAAGAAATACTGATGTGAATAATCTGTTCTATTTCATTTCCCTCATAAACAGTACTGCCAATACCCAGTAGAAGCACTTCTGTTTTGTCAAATTATCTCCTTCCTAAAAGCTGGGTCTAGATTCTGACAAAAATATTCACAAATTAAGACAGACTCAATCCATACTATAAAACAAAGGAGAACAGGCTCTTGGTAACTCCGGCAGTTAGAAAAGCTTTTTAGCACTTGCTATGTAATCATGGCAAAAATTACAGGACCTTAAAAGTTGTCAGCTTAGTTGGTGCATTTATACTGGAATGAAAGCTCCATGAGAGAATCTGTTTGTTCGAGTCATTCTTATATCCCCAGTGCTGGCACATGGTATGTACTCAATAAGTGTGTTAAATGAATGAATGAATGGATGGATGGCTATATGAGTCCTGAATAAGTGCTACTTCGACCTATTGTGCAAGCCTTACTTTATGGAGTAAATGGTGGTGACTTCCTGTGTCTAGCCAAGCTGGTAAGACATGTCTATAATTAGAATAAATTAGGTCTGCCAAATAGAAAATGAGCTAGGGGATACATTGAGTTACTAAGAATTATAAAAAACATGGTACCTGTGTAGTCTGGATGATGGTCAAGTCATTCATACGAGAAATTCCAGGTCCCATAGCAGCTCGGAGGCCAGCTGTCCCAAACTCCATTCGGGCCCCAAAACATTTTCGTAGTTCTTCTTTATTACCTTCTGCTATTAGTCGTTTCACTGCCTCCAAAGTTAAGGAATTCTGAAAAACAAAAATGTATAGACACAGCCAGACAAGTGAATGAAAAATCAGAAATGTAAAAAAATTCACAATCATTCTAATCTATAGAAAATATATATATATGTATATATATATATGTAGACCTTTCAATTTTCTGATGCTTTTGAAATCTGAAATATGAAGTCAGTTTGACATTATAATGTAAGTGTTCTTTTCTTTCCTGTCAAGGTAAGCACCTTTGGAGAAATCAAAGTAGAGATTTTAGCATATGAGTCTAACCCCCAGAATGGAATCCCAGAATACCACTTGCCAACTCTAGGTGCTTGCGCAGATTATTCCAGTTCTCAAATTCTGTTTCCCTATTTGCAAAATGGGAATAATCTAGAACCTCCCTTACACGATTTTTAAGGTTTTAAGGTGGTTTACTTCAAATTAATGTAAAATATCTTTCTCTACCTGGCATTTAGTTGTGATTAAATGTCCATTTTTTTCCCTAATGCCCTCAAATTTTCCAGAGTGATAGATTACACAACTTAAGTCAAAACCTTACTTTTGTAATGTTTTATAATTCATACCAGGCATTCACATACCTGGTCAAGTTTGAATATTGTAACATCTCCAAGAAGTAGACAAATAACAGAAACCCAATTTTATAGATGGGGAAGCCTCAGAGATTGGGTGACTTGCTTAAATTGCAAGATAAACATTAATCTAGTGCCTTTTCTATAACATTAACTGCTTCAAATAGACGCTAACATGATTCATTTAAGTTCATTATACATTGCCCTATTTTTTTTTTGTATGGTAGTTGCAGAAAATGTTATGGTTGGAGAAAAATAATGACAATCACATTAGTTTCATATGAGACTTTTAAGTTATGAATTCAGGAAAACAACAGAGGAAGGACTTTATATTCCTGTTTTACAGTCATTATCCATTTAGATGAGCACTCACGCAGGACGTGGCCATTTAATTAAACTTTGAAATACTACTGCAATAAAACCTTGGCTTTCTGGAATTAAGCCCACATTTCCAGATTGTGGCAGATTCAATGGGAATCAAGTAAACCCCATCTTTTTTGGTGAAAAACAGCAGATGCTAATTACAGAACACAGTCTTACCTATCAGATTGTCAGGTGCCCCAAAGAAAGGCTCAGATCAGGTACATAAAAGAGGCTCATAAAAGAGCCTCAATAAATATTAGTGGAGTGAATCAGAAAACATGGACTTCACTGCCACACTCAATATCGAGTGATCCTCCCTTGTTCATAGTGTAGGTCTGGAAAATCTTAATTGGTCTTTGATATCTATGAAAGACTAAGTAGCCTGAGAGAAACAAAGGAGACAGACAGGTAAGAATGACAAGTCAAGAGTACAGCAGGATCAGAATCAGCCCTGGCAGTGAGCAAAACTGACAGCAGAGAAAAGAGCAGGGATGAAGGCACGGTGGAAAGACAGAGGGCACCTGCCAGGGCGCCTTGCCAGTCGCCGGGGGTAGTCTGACTAGAGGGCTGCAATGCTTTTAGCTGGTGGGAGGTTCACTGGAGAATGAATGGGCTTCTTCTCAGGTGCCAGTCTCAAAGCAAAGAAGAAATTAACAGAGGATAGAACATGAGAAGTGATTAAAAAAAAAAAAGGACATCTCATCTCTACCCAGAGAAATACAATTTTTCTATACACAGATGCAACACTGTGTAGAAATTAGATTGTTTTCTTCTTCTTCTTAGAGAAAGTGCATTATGAACTCTGACTTCAAAAGAATTCTGTACTCTGCAAGCTACAAGTTATCAGAAATGGAAACATTTTTCTTCCCTTGTGAATCACAAGGTTATCTTCCCAGGAAAAGAAAAACGCCCCCAAGGAGTTGCCAATAGCATCCTGGAAATGGGATTTGCTGACATTTTATTTGTAGGGGCCAGAGAATGGTAAATAAAGACAAAGACCTGACCCCTACTGACCTTGTAATCTTCTTTGTTCATTCAAGTATTTCAGTGACCTACTATGTGTCATGCACTATGCCTATGCCAGGCACTACAAACCAAGGTAGTGAGAATAGAGAGGCCTGGCCACATAATTTATGGAGGTCCAGTGCACAATGAAAGTGGGTGACCTCTTGTTTTACCAGTAAGACTTTCAAGACAGGACAGCAGGACATTAAAACAACAGTGGGCCCTTCAAGGAGCGCGAGTCCTGTGAGACTGCAGGGGTCTCTCGCCCCTGAAGTCGGCCCTGGAGACAGACATTAAACAAACCTACAAACAAGTGTTTTTGGAGTTTTTTGTTTTTACCATTTGTAGTAAGAGCTATAAAGGAAAATAACAGACTGTTTAGAGTGAATATTAGGGATAAATAATTTAACGCTTCGGAGCCAAGGAAGGACTGACTCTCTACGTAAGCCACATTTAAGTTCAGGCACAAAATATGAGTCACAACGGGAGAAACAAGTTCAGCAGGAGAGCAGCGAGGGACATTCCGAGAAAACCTAACAGCAAGCAGAACAGGTCGAAAGGGCGAGACGCAAGTTTATAGAGAGGAGAGGGAGTGATGTCCAGAGCTGGGTTCCTGATTCTAAGAAACGGAATGAAGAGAGAGAAAACCGTGCTGTGTCCCAGGTGTGCCTCCCTGGCAGTCAAAGTTCTAAGGGGGACTCCTGAAGCCAGGCGGGCCCACCCGGGAGGACAACCCACGTTTGTAACCAAGCCCTCGGGATGGGAGGACCGGACCAGAACGCTGCTCTGCAAAGGTCTCAGCGGCCAAAGGAATACGCGGGACGGAGCGATTCTGGGTCCATGGGGATGCACAGCCGACTACCGACGACGAGCCAGCGGTCTGAGTGACAGTAAGGCGTGCGCCCCTCAACTAGACAGCGTCCAGGGTCTGGCCGCGCTTACACCACCCTGGCTCGCTCCTCTACTCCGAACTTGCAGTCCGGCCGGCCGGATGGCTGGTTTCGTCCGGGGACAAGCCTTCCCGGCCTAACTCTGAACGTGCCGCATGCCGGCCAGGTCGAAGGAAGCCTAGCAGCGGCCGTACGCTCCTGGGTCTTCCCGGGGGAGAAGCGGGATGCACTGGGCGGGAAGGCAGCTCAGGCAGAGCAAGCAGCGCCGCGCCTGGAGAGGGCAGAGCACCCGGCCCCGCTCCAGGCGCTCCCCGCCTGCTGGTGCCCCTCACCTTGTCCCAGCGCAGCCACTGGGCGGTCTCCTGGTCCAGCCGGGCGTCCTCGCCTAGACCGCTGCCTTCTGGAGCCGCCATCGCTGAGCTTGTGCTACCGCTGCAGAGGGAAGCAGGCGGTGAGATCTGCCTTCCGGCCCGGCCCCAAGACGTGGAGGCGGAGGCGGGGGCGGGGAGAGCCGCGGCGGAGCCAGTCGGTCCGGGGGAAAGTGACGCGCGCCGCGGCGGGCACGCCTCCTTGCCGTTTGCGGGTGCGCTGCAGGGGGTGGGAGTGAGCGAGGAGGAATTGCGGGGCTAGGGTGGGTTGCTGGAACCTGGCACGTGTGAGAAGGGTTTGCCATCGTCTCTGATGCATCCAGGCTACAGCCAGCCGTGAGTTCCTGCTGCGCGCCAGGCACATGTCAGATGCTGGGATACCAGGAAGTGCACCCAGATAGGGGCCTGAAGACTATGTAGAAACTCAGAGGGTCAAGAACAGCCAGAAAAAAATCTTGAAAAAGAAAAGCAAAGTAGGAAGACCAGTGGAACATAAGATAGAGACCAGAAACAAAAATACACGTGTATGGACAATTTATTTCAGAGGCGGGGCTGCAGAGCACAGGAAGGAACTATTTTTGGTTAATGGTGCTCGGTCAAAGGGATATCCACGTAGGGAAAAGAAAAAAGGGAACTTGGCCCCCTACCTCCCATCACACACAGCTCTGAACTCCAGATCAATTGTATCTCTAAGTGCGAAAGGTAGTGTAGCAGGAGGAGCCGCAGACAAAACTCCTCAGACACCGGATTAAAGAAGGAAGAGGTTTTTATTCGGCCGGGAGCGTCGGCAGACTCGCGTCTTAAGAGCCGAGCTCCCTGAAAAAGAAATTCCTAGCCATTTTAAGGGCTTACAACGCTAAGGGGTCTGTCTACGTGAAAGGGTCATGATAGATCAAGTAAGCGTGAGGAACGTGACTGGGGGCTACATACATCAGCTAACAGAACAAGAAGTTTTACAGTGCTTTCTCATACGATGTCTGGAATTTACGGATAACGCCAGTAGTTTTGGTCAGGGGTTAATATTATTATTATTATTTTAACCACCAGGGCCAGGTGGTGGCGCCAAGGTCGTCTAGCTATTTATCTTACTTCTGTTTTTTTCCAACTTTTTGCTTTCTCTCTTTTCTCCTGTCTTATAAACTAGGGAAAAGGGGAGGTGGGGGAGAAGCTGGGAAGGACAGCAGAAATGGTGGTCTCTTTCCATAGTAGCGTGAAACTTAGGGAAACTAACATAGGAGCACATCTTCCTGACGCTGGTATCACCAAGCCATAAAGAAGATGCATACCCATAAGCATAAAAAAGCACGGGCAAGAATATTTCTAGCAGCATTATTTGTAAAAGCCTCAAACTGGAAACAACCCAGATGACCATCGACAATACAATGGATAAATACTTGGTAGTATATCCATACCAATTCATATAAATAAATCATGGCACATTGATAGAGCAATGCAGGTGAACTACTGTTATACACAACATCATGAATGAATCTCACAAACACTGAGTGACAGAGTTCAAACACCCACCCCCATACCCCGTCACCCCAAAATACTGCATCATTCATCTGTAGTCCCAGCTATTTCGTGGTGGGGGAGCTGGAGGGAGTCCTGAGGAGGGAGGATCGCTTGAGCCTGGGAGGTCGAGGCTGCAGTGAGCCCTGATTGTGCCACTGTTCTCCAGCCTGGGAGACAGAGGGAGACCCTGAAAAAAAAAAAAAAAAAAACACTGAAATATATAAAATTATAGGTAAAGGAAACAAATCAGTGATTTTCAAGAGCTGGGGGTTGGGGGAGGGGTTGACTACCTAGGGCACAAGGGAATTTGAGGGAGTTGTGGAACTGTTCCGTATCTTGATTGAGTTTGGGGTTTACTTTTATCAAAACTTATAGAACTGTACGATATAAAGGGTAAAATTCACTGTATGTAAGTTATATCTCTTTTTTTTAAGTTTTAAGATTAAAAACTAAAAAGGAGGCAAAACTAACCTATGGATGTCAGCAGAGTGGTAGCTTTGGGAAGGAGGGAAAGTGCCTTCTGGGGTTCCGGGACTGTTCTGTTTCTTGACCTGGACGATGGTCAACAGGTGTGTTGACTTTGTAATATTCACTAAGCTGCAATCTTATGAGTTGTGCATTTTCCGTATGTTCTTCAACTTTATTTTATTATTATTTTTTGAGACACAGTGTCGCTCTGTCACCCAGGCTGGAGTGCAGTGGTGTGATCTCGGCTCACTGTAACCTCTGCCTCCTGGGTTCAAGAGATTCTCATGCCTCAGCCTCCTGAGTAGCTGGGATTACAGGGGCGTGCCACCATGCCCGGCTTATTTATTTATTTATTTATTTGAGACACAGTCTTGCTCTGTCACCCAGGCTGGAGTGCAATGGTGGGATCTCAGCTCACTGCAACCTCCATCTCCTGGGTTCAAGTGATTATCCTGCCTCAGCCTCCTGAGTAGCTGGGATTATATGTGTGAGCCACCAGGCCCAGACTTTTTTTTTTTTTTTTTGTATTTTTAGTAGAGAACGGATTTCGCCATGTTGGCCAGGCTGGTCATGAACTCCTGACCTCAAGTGATCTGCCCACTTCAGCCTCCCAAAGTGTTGGGATTACAGGGATGAGCCACCGCGCCCGGCTAGTGTGTTCTTCAATTTTAAAAAGAAAAAATATATATCCAGGATCTGTAATATCTGTTTAGTGTCATGGGAAAGGCATACTAATCATGTAATCACGGCAGTTAATACGTAATTACAAACTGATAAAATGCTGGAAGGAAAGCAGAGAGATGTCATGAGGCTGCAGGTTAACAGAGGCCACCTCAGTCAGGAAGCTTGCCTGAGCACTGGAAGCTTAAGAGAGATGTGAGGGAAGGATGTAGTTAATGTGAGAGTGTGGTCCTTCCCCTGACTGCAAAACCTGAGAGGCTGGAGCACAGAGAAGAAGAGAAGGACAGTCTGCCTCAGTTTCCCCAAATGTTAGGTGGTCTGCAGGTCCACCACACTCAGGCTATCTCTTTTCTCTGCACCAGATAAACCTTCTTCTCAGTCATGCTCTGGAAAAAATTGCAGGACATGGAGAATCACAGACCCAGGCAGATCTCACTCACCCTTGTTTTTATCTCAAATGCCAGTTTTCCCAGATGAGTCTGTGCAGCCTCCAGCCTTCTGCCAAGGTAGGACGGGAGCTGGTGGGTCTCTAAATATCCAGCAGTTCTGGGCCTCAGAGTTCACATCTGTCCTTCCGTGATAGGGATGGTTGCAGCTGAGTCTCTACTATGGTTCAAAACATGTGGGGAGTGGTGTCTAAGGAAGTTATTTTGGCACCTTTTTTTTTTCTTTGAGATGGAGTCTCATTCTGTTACCCAGGCTGGAATGCAATGGCGTGATCTTGGCTCACTGCGACCTCTGCCTCCTGGGTTCAAGTGATTCTCCTACCTCAGCCTCCTGAGTAGCTGGGACTACAGGTGTGTGCCACCACACCCAGCTAATTTTTGTATTTTTAGTAGAGACGGGGTTTCACTATGTTGGCCAGGCTGGTCTTGAACTCGTGACCTCATGATCTACCCACCTCGGCCCTCCAAAGTGCTGGTATTACAGGCGTGAGCCACCACACCTGGCCAGGCACCTTTTATTTTATTAGAAATTGTGGGCCCAAGATGATATCCAATCAGAAATATTTTAACTTCATTTGAGACACCAAGAAGCAGATTTTTCAATATTCCTTTATGGAAACAAGGAAATAAAGCAAGTGTAGTTTCCAAGTAGAGAGGAACTTTTAACTAGTAAGTTGCCAAATGTAAATAAATTCTCTTATCTTACTGAGAAGGGCACCAAGATTTTAATTACTGCGTTGAAAAACAATGCACGCAGTCACACTCTATTCCTTCCATCTGCTTCTCATGTGAAGCAGACGGTTATGTCAGGGACTTTTCTGGGGTTGCCTGTAGCAAAGATGCTGACATTGGAGGTTCTGACAGTGATGCTGCAGAGACCTGAGGTTGATAATTTCTTACATATGACCCCACCATTATCATTTTATGTCTGTGGAAACCCACATAGAATAGTAGATTGAAGAAGGGTTCTCAGGGAATAAGTCAGGCCTTCTTGTTTTGTAAACAAGGAAATGGAGACACTCGAAATTTAAGAGCCTTTCTCCAAGACATACGACTGGTTAATGACAGAGCCAGGATTGTCACTCTGGATCTCCTGATATCCCAGTCAAACGTTCAGTCCCTCTCCTGTTTCACTCAGCCCATTTCTACACATATCCATTTCAAAGGAAGTTCCATGAACTCTGGCAACCTGTTTCCATGTGATAATAGCCTGCTCTTGATGAAAAACAAATACTAACCATGTTTGATATCGATGATGTTAGGTGATGCTTAAAATAACTTAATTTGTTTGTTCATGCTCTCTTGCTGCCTAGGAACGCTTTCACATGAGTGTCCCAATTTCCTTGGAAGTCTTCCCAATGCCCTCAAATACCTTGTCAGCAATTCTGTCAGTCCTTTTGTATCCAGTCCAGAAAAAGTTCTTACAAAACTTTTTATTATGGAGTTTTAATTATTTACAAAATTGATCCTTATGTAACCACCACGCAGCTCAACAATGATCAATTCATGGCCAATCTTGTTTCATCCAGCCACTTCCCCTTCCTGTGTTAGTTGGAGGAAGATACCAGATATCATATCATTTCACTTATACATATTTTGGTATGTATCTCTGAAACATAAAAACATTTGAAAATAACCACAAAACCATTATCTCACCTAAAATTTTACAAATTAAAGTAGTAATTTTTAAATACCATCAAATGTCCCTTTAATGTTTAAATTTCCACATATCTATAATTTATATTAATTATACTTTTAACTTACATCTTTTTTTTTTTTTTTTTTTTACAGCCCAGAGGTCCTTTATTATTATTTTTTTTAAACACCTATTATGGCATGAATTCATAGGGAGTAGGTTCCAGCAGCTCAGGCTCCTTCCCATTGGTTCTCACAAAGTGTGCTTCTCTGGGTGGAGCAGGCTGGTGCTTTAGTTGAACCCAGGTACCTTTCTCTTTGGCTTCCTTCTTTTTCTGATCATTTTCCTTCATGCGTTTCAGGAAGCTATCTCGGCTCTTAGAGTGCTTAATGTGCTCAATACGCACGTTAATTCTCTTGGCAAGAATCTTGTCCTTGTTTGTTTACAACAATGCCAACAGCATGCTGGGTAACACTGTAGACTCCTCCAGTTTTGCCATGGTAACACTTGCGGGGCATTCCTTTTCGAACAGTACCCATTCCCTTGATGTCTACAATATCACCTTTCTTATAGATTTGCATATACGTGGCCAAAGGAACAACTCCATGTTTTCTAAAAGGCCTGGAGAACATATATCGGGTGCCTCTCCTCTTTCCCTTTGTGTTCGTCATTTTGGTGAATTACTGGAAGATGGCGGTTCTGGCAGAAAGGCTAAATCTTTTTTTTTTTTCTTTTTTTTTTTATTGATCATTCTTGGGTGTTTCTCGCAGAGGGGGATTTGGCAGGGTCATAGGACAATAGTGGAGGGAAGGTCAGCAGATAAACAAGTGAACAAAGGTCTCTGGTTTTCCTAGGCAGAGGACCCTGCGGCCTTCCGCAGTGTTTGTGTCCCTGGGTACTTGAGATTAGGGAGTGGTGATGACTCTTAACGAGCATGCTGCCTTCAAGCATCTGTTTAACAAAGCACATCTTGCACCGCCCTTAATCCATTTATCCCTGAGTGGACACAGCACATGTTTCAGAGAGCACAGGGTTGGGTTGGGGGTAAGGTCACAGATCAACAGGATCCCAAGGCAGAAGAATTTTTCTTAGTACAGAACAAAATGGAGTCTCCTATGTCTACTTCTTTCTACACAGACACAGCAACAATCTGATTTCTCTATCTTTTCCCCACATTTCCCCCTTTTCTATTCGACAAAACCGCCATCGTCATCATGGCCCGTTCTCAATGAGCTGTTGGGTACACCTCCCAGACGGGGTGGTGGCAGGGCAGAGGGGCTCCTCACTTCCCAGTAGGGGCGGCTGGGCAGAGGTGCCCCCACCTCCCGGACGGGGCGGCAGCTGGGCGGGGGCTGCCCCCCCGCCTCCCTCCCTCCCGGACGGGGCGGCTGGTCGGGGGGGGGGGGGGCTGCCCCCCACCTCCAGGACGGGGCGGCTGCCTGGCGGAGACCTCCTCACTTCCCGGGCGGGGGCGGCTGCTGGGCAGAGGGGCTCCTCACTTCTCAGATGGGGCGGCTGCCGGGCGGAGGGGCTCCTCACTTCTCAGACGGGGCGGCTGCCGGGCGGAGGGGCTCCTCACTTCTCAGGGTGGCGGGGCAGAGGCGCTCTCCACATCTCAGATGATGGGCAGCCGGGCAGAGACGCTGCTCACTTCCTAGACGGGATGGCGGCTGGGAAGAGGCGCTCCTCACTTCCCAGACTGGGCAGCCGGGCAGAGGGGCTCCTCACATCCCAGACAATGGGCGGCCAGGCAGAGATGCTCCTCACTTCCCAGACGGGGTGGCGGCCGGGCAGAGGCTGCAATCTCGGCACTTTGGGAGGCCAAGACAGGCGGCTGGGAGGTGGAGGTTGTAGCGAGTCGAGATCATGCCACTGCACTCCAGCCTGGGCACCATTGAGCACTGAGTGAAGGAGACTCTGTCTGCAATCCTGGCACCTCGGGAGGCCGAGGCTGGCAGATCACTCGCGGTTAGGAGCTGGAGACCAGCCCGGCCAACACAGCGAAACCCTGTCTCCACCAAAAAAATACGAAAACCAGTCAGGCGTGGTGGCACGCACCTGCAATCGCAGGCACTCGGCAGGCTGAGGCAGGAGAATCAGGCAGGGAGGTTGCAGTGAGCGGAGATGGCAGCAGTACAGTCCAGCTTCGGCTCGGCATCAGAGGGAGACCGTGGAAAGAGAGGGAGAGGGAGACTGTGGGGAGAGGGAGAGGGAGAGGGAGAGGGCCTAAATCTTAATTTTATAATTTTTTTGCAGTTTGCTTGAATCAGGCGCCAAATAATCTTCCCATGGCTTCATATGTCTTTGAGGTCTCTTTTATTTTACAGATTCTGCCTCAATTTCCTTGCAGTTGATTTGTTGAAGAAACTAGATTGTCTGTCCTATAGGGTTTCCCAGCCTGGATTTTGCTGATTGCATCTCTGGTGTTTTTTTTTTTTTTTTTTTTTTTTTTTTTTTTTGATAGAGAGTCTTGCTCTGTCACCCGAGCTGGAGTGCAGTGATGTGATCTCAGCTCACTGCAACCTCCGCCTCCCGGGTTCAAGCGATTCCCCTGCCTCAGCTTCCCGAGTAGCTGGGATTACAGGCACACACCACCATGCCCGGCTAATTTTTTTGTTTATTCTTTTAGTAGAGATGATGTTTCACCATGTTGGCCAGGCTGATCTCAAACTCCTGACCTCAAGTGATTCGCCCACTTCGGCCTTCCAAAGTGCTGGGATCACAGGTGTGAACCACCACACCTGGCCAATCTCTGGTGTTCTTTAGCATGTTCCACTCCCTTCTGCCTTTTCTGTAAGCTCATTTCATTATCATTTTCTGTTTATGGTCTCTCCCTCACTGAACTGACTTCCTGGAGGACAGAAATGGTATCTTATTTGTCTTCACCTACCTAGAGCCATGCTGTTCTCTGGGCTGATCCTCGAACATGTCAAGCAAGTGCTGGTCTAAGGCCTATATCTGCATTGCCCTCCCCCAGATATTCCCACATTTAATTCAGGCTTCTGCTCAAATACTAGCTCGTCAGAAAGATCTCTCTTCCGTAAAATGCTGGTAAATGTTTAAAATCTGGCTCCCTGGGATAAAAAGCCCTGACTTATAGTGTTTGCCAATTTCCATGGTGTAAATACATCCGTCATAGCCGATTTAAAGCTACAATGTGATATCACTGAACACAGAGTTGGGAAGACATTGGAGCAGCACACCATTATATAATATTTCCAGTACACAGGTATCATAGATGTAAATAACTTAAAGGGCATAGATCATGGTAATAGTCAGTAATCTACATAGAGGATGCTGAGTTTGAGTATTTATTACCTTTGTTTTTAATATAATATGTTGACTTTGAAGTTTATATAATTTAATTTTCAATAATGGCAGTATTAGATTGTTCTCACACTGCTGTAAAGAAATACCTGAGACTGGGTAATTTATGATGAAAAGTGGCTCACGTCCCGCAGGCTCTAAAGGAAGCATGATGCTAGCACCTGCTCAGCTTCTGAGGGGACCTCAGGAAACTTACAATGATGGAAGGTGAAGAGGGAGCCGGCACTTCACAAGGGCTGAGCAGGAGGAAGAGAGAGTGGGGAAGTGCCACACACTTTTAAACAACCAGATCTCCTGAGAACACACTCACTGTTGTGAGGACAGTACCAAGGGGGAAATCCACCCCCCTCACCATGATCCAATCACCTCCCACCAGGCCTCACCTTTAACATTGGGGATTACAATTTGACATGAGATTTGGGCGGGGACAAAGATCCAAACCCTATTAATATCTGTGTTTAACATCCTGCTCTCACAATTCCTAAAAATTGAAGAGTGTGCTGTCATGAATAAGGATGAACTGTCGCCAGTATACCATTGACTCTCTTGTTGACTGTACCTAAAATGGGATCTTCACCACTCTCGTCTCGTACTTTGTTTTTCTTCAAACTCCATCCCATGCTGTTAAAAATTTGATTTAAAAAATATTGACTGTCTTTTCTGCTGTTTTTTCCTAACTCAGCCTTCAGCACCTAGAACAGTGCTTGGTTTGTAATAGATGTTCAGTAAGTATTTGTTGAAGAATGAATCACTGGGTCCCTTATGCTCATAAAGAAAAAATAAACATAGAAAATAATAATAATATAAGACACGGGTATAAAACCTACCAAACCTTTTCTCTAAAACAAATGAACCTTTCTGAATTTATTGAAGAAAAATGTCTCATCACCATTATCTCAGTGTCCCAATTTCAAGGCTGATGAGAAAATGAGTAAATAATGTGCCAGTAGACTTTATCAGTGTACTCATTACTGGCCATAAACTCAAAGTACACCACCAACAAATCTTTTTTGGCAGACCATCTGGAGTTTAATGATCTTTCTCAGTAAAAATTTAAAATATCTATTATTTATGCCTATTTTCTTTTTCTTTTTCCTTTTTTTTTTTTTTTTTTTTTTGAGACGGAGTCTTGCTCTGTCACCCAGGCTGGAGTGCAGTGGTGTGATTTCGGCTTACTGCAGCCTCTGACTCCCGGGTTCCAGCGATTCTCCTGCCTCAGCCTCCATGGTAGCTGAGATTACAGGCACATGCCACCATGCCCGGCTAATTTTTGTATTTTTAGTAGAGGACAGGGTTTCACCATGTTGGCCAGGCTGGTCTCGAATTCCTGACCTCAGGTGATCCGCCCGCCTTGGCCTCCCAAAGCGCTGGGATTACAGGCATGAGCCACCGCGCCCGGCCTATTTATGCCTATTTTCATTCATGAAATTGTCTGATTTTTCTCTCATTACTAATTTTAATAATTCTTTGCACTTAAACTACCACTAGGCCTTCTAATACTAAAAGTTCGACACCAGAGCTGGTCTGTGATCCTTGGCTCCAATTTCCTCTGCTCTTTTTCCTCCTGCCAGTGCCCAGTTGTCCAGCACACCTCACCACCTGTCCCTAGATCTCAGGGCAGGAGTCATTCATTCTCATTAGGGGGTTGGCGTTCAGTTAAGCATCATTGTGTCCTTTTGCCTGCGGCATTTGGGTGATTAACCAGGTATGAAGTTGCTGGTGAGCTAGAGAAGCACTGTCACTGAATTGCCCTGTGCTTTAGTTTCTGCCTTGGTCAGAGAGATGCCCTGACCACATCCTCAGAATGTGTGAGGATAAAACTGTGTAAGAGATTTGTGTTTGAAAACTTCAGCACCCTCTAAAGTGCTAGTATACTCATTCCAGCTTGGGACTGAGCCTGACCCTTTTTTTTTTTTTTTTTTTTTTAAAAGAAGCACCTCTACAAAGAGTTAAATTTAAGAGACTTCGCAGGAAGGGAAAGTTGGATATTTGTTTTGTTTTGTTTTGTTTCCTGAGCACCACATAATTCCTGATGTTTCTGAAACATCACTGTTTTGAAAACTGAATATTTAGCCTGTTTGGGCAGCCACTGTGTAAACTGCTGTGCTCCAGATGAAGCTGCCTGATCCATTGTGTTGTTCTTTTTCATCAAAATTACCTTGATCTACCACCTTCTCACCTCTGTCGTTTCTAATTGCACCCGCATTCATATGGAATATGGTCTGTATTTCCTAAAGTGAACGATATTACATAGGAGACCTAGGTGTACTCTTAAAAGAAATACTGGCCTCAAATAAACTTATGTGTCAAAGATAACCCACAAGTCATAATTTAAGGTGGATCATACAGCCTTAAATTCTTAAAGGAACATTGTGTTTGATACGGTTTGTGTCTGTGTCCCTGCCCAAATCTCATGTCATATTGTAATCCCCTATGTTGGAGTTGAAGCCTGGTTGGAGGTGATTAGATCATGGGGTGGATTTCCCTTTGGTCCTATTCTCATTATAGTGAGTGAGTTATCACAAGATCTGATTGTTTAAAAGTGTGTAGCACCTCTCCTTTCTTCTTCCTGCTGTGGTCACATGAACACATGCCGCCTTCCTCTTCACCTTCCTCTTTACCTTCTGCCATGGTTGTAAGTTTCCTGTGGCCTCCCCAGACATGCTTTCTGTAGAGCCTGTGGAACTGTGAGCCAATTAAACCCCTTTTCTTCATAAATTAATTACTCGGTCTCAGGTATTTCTTTACAGCAGTGTGATAATGTACAAATACAGTGTTTAAGTCAAGAAAAAAGAATTTTAAACCTGTAGACTTTCCCATACTAACTGGTATTCAACTTCTTTCTAATCCCATTTTTTTCAATGATTTAAGTACTCAATATGTCTCTCTCTTTCTCTCTCTCTCTCTCTCTCTCTGTGTGCGTGTGTGTGTGTGGGGGCGGGGGGGGGTATGATGGTTTCAGATGACAGGCATCCTTCCTGTAAGAGGATTGTACATCCACCCTTTGTCCTTTGTAAGGGATAATCAGGGTTCTTAGCCCCCTCTTAATGTTAAGAAAACCAATTGTTTTTCAACAAACTTCAGACATGATGTACATAAAATAAGTTTAAAGTTTTTACCATTACAGTTTTCATATTTTGCCTTACAAAATGTTCTCTGACTAGCACAAAGATAAAGACCTGGAGAAAGCAGAAAATTCTCGAGTACCTGTCATTATCACATTCTAAAAAATAGTGTCATCATTTGACTTGATAAGATCTTATTAAAATGTAGTTTGACAAATATAATTTGCTGTAGACAGGCTCATTTTGAAATTAAAGGTTTAGGTGATTATATAGTTGGACATCTAAATAATTAAAGGTTTTCAATAAGTTTAGTCATTCCTGTATGTCAAATATCCTGTTCCATATCTTTGTGTCTTAATGCTCAGTTAACATTTTAATGTATGTGTCTTAGTCCATTCAGGCAGCTATAACAAAATATCATAAACTGGAGTAGCTTATAAACAACAAAAAATTTATTTCTCACAGTTCTGGAGGCTGGGAAGTCCAAAATCAAAGTGCCAGCTGATTCACTGTCTGCTGAGGGCTACCTTCTCACTGTGTCCTCAAATGGTGGAGGAGTGAGGGGACTCTTTTTGACGTCATATATAAGGGCACTAATTCCATCCATGCGGGCTCTACTCCCATGACCCAATCACCTCCCGAAGGCCCCACTTCTAATATCATCATCTTGGTGGTTAGGATTTCAACATATGAATTTGGGAGGACACAAGCATTCAGTCCATAGCAGTGTGTATTAGTTTTTAGTTTTAGTAATGGAGAAAAAAATTCCGTGTTCAACCATAAAAATACCCTTTAAAATGTTTTTCACAAGAATTTGCTAAAACATTGAATGGTTAATTTTATGTAACATTAATGGTATATCTAATACACAGATACAAGAGATTGTAATGAACAAGAGAGGTAGAATTTTTAAAAAGGCTCAGAAAAGTAAATTAACAACCCCAAATCACAGAATCAATCTGATGGATAAACATTAAATATTAGTTTTATTAATGGTAAAACCTGGATTGAGGCTTTGCATCAAAAATAACACATTGTCCACATACATTGACTTCCACCTCTTCTAAAACCACACTAAAATGGAAATAAAGGGATATATTTGGAAGACATAAATCCACAAGGACAAAGAGAATGAGACGAGGTGGGAAACCACAGCAAATTGTGGAGGGTGGAAAGTGGTTGGAAGAGTGGGGACTGTCATGGCAGCCTTGAGAGAACTGAATCCCACACTGGCTGTGGGAAAGCCAAGAGCAACTAGTTCAAAGGTAGACTCCCTCTACCACACACAGATTCAGGAATTGATAGACCCAGATACTTCTGCAAGTCAAGGTGAAGGTGGCTTAGACCAGAAAGATTGAACAAAAATCTGTTTAAGAAGCAGTTAGATCTCTAGACTCCTTGTACCCCATGTTAGTGGTGATTGCCCGTTTACTACACACACCAGCAGAAGGCTGGAGATTTATTCTCTAGCATTTACATTGAGGATTTCTTGACTGAGGAACCCTAGATATGGATTAAGTTCAGGACACCAAAGTGAAGATAGGAGGAATAAATAAAAATTGATATACTATGAATATTGATACCACCCCATGCTTCTTGTTGATCTATTTTCCTGGAATGCTGGTAGAACCTTATGAGATTGTAACCTGCCCATAAAGAAAGAACAAGAACTATTGATGTTGACAGTTCCCCCAGTGAAATGCTCAGCCAAGTCACCTAACAGTGAAGCCCATATAGCACGCAGAACTTCTGATCAACTTTTTGTCCCCTACCCTTAAATACGAGATGACAGCCGAAAGTCACCACATTTTGAGCAAACCCTCCAATATGAAAGACAAAGGCCAAAATAAAGAAACCACAAGAAGAAAATAATCTATATGAAAGAGAGATTTATGCATGGAAAAGATAATGTGAAAAAAACACAAAATTAATATCTTAAGAAAGATGAGGAAAAATTGTGCTTTTCTTATAGTTAAATATGAGATTATATGTATATAAGAATATTATTATCTTATAATTAAAAATAAGAGAAGATTTAGGGAATAGAAAATAGTTCATGAAAATTAAAAACATAATAGTAAAAATGAAAATTTCCAAAGCATGTTTAGAAGAAGAAAAAGCGCAGGAAGTCTTCCTAAAAGCAGAACAAAAAAAATTAAAAAATAAAGAGAAAATTTTTTTTTGACAGGATCTTGCTCTGTTGCCCAGGCTGGAGTGCAGTGGCATAAACACAGCTCACTGCAGCCTCAACCTCTTGACCTCAAGCAATCCTCCCACTTCAGCCTCCTGAGTAGCTGGGAGCACAGCCATTTGCCACTAGGCTCAGCTAATTTTTAAAAATTCTTTGTAGAGATGGGGGTCCCACCATCTTGCCCAGGCTGGTCTCAAACTCCTGGGCTCAAGCGATCCTCCTGCCCTAGTCTCCCGAAGTGCTGGGATTACAGGCATGAGCCACCACACCCAGCCTAGAAAAGTGTTTTATAAATGAGAAATCAAAGGAGTAATTTAGGAATTACAGAAAAGGAGAGCAGAGAAAGTGGAGGGAAAGAATCATCAAAGAAATAATTCAAGAAAAATTCCCAGATGTAAATTTCCAAATTAAAAGGGCCCTCTGAGTACACAGTGAAATACATCTAAGACCCATATTAAGACACATGATAGTGAAATTTCAGAGCATTCTTGCCAAATGAGGGAGTGAACCCAAGAAGATGACATGGGATCTGAGAAACAGGTGATTCATAAGAGAAAAATGAAAAGTATCTCTAGAACCATGTTACAGGAAGACATTGAAATGACCTCTGCGCAGCTGACCTATCAGTCAATCCCAATGGAGCAGGTCAGAAAGCACCAGGAGAGACAGCTTCATAAAGTTCAGAATGGTAGAACACCTAATGGATTTGAAAGCACTGAGAGGAGATTGACTCAACTGTAGGAAAAGTTGGGAATAAATTAGCATTAGGTATTAGAAATGTAGGCCGTCTTTTAAAAAGGCAATTATATAAGTTCTAGAGAAATAAATTGTCAGGAAAGGAAAATAAGTAATATATGATTTAGCTGCCAACAGTGTTTCCATTTTACATGGCCATAAAATAGAAACACTGAATATTGATCTAACCAAACTTACAACATAGTGGGAGGGTGAGACATTGGGAGGAGTGTTTGTGTGTCTGTGTCTAGACGTATTTTTTAAAATGTAAAATCAGGCCTGGCACTTTGATTCACACCTGTAATCCCAGCACTTTGGGAGGCCGAGGTAGGGGGAACGCTTTGAGCCCAGGAGTTTGGGACCAGCCTGGGCAAGACAGGGAGACCCCATCTCTACAAAATTTTTTGTTTGTTTGTTTTTGAGATGGAGTTTCACTCTTGTTGCCCAGGCTGGAGCACAATGGCATGATCTCGGCCTATTACAACCTCTGCCTCCTGGGTTCAAGCGATTCTCCTGCCTCAGCCTCCTTAGTAGCTGGGATTACAGGCATGCACCACCACACCCGGCTAATTTTGTATTTTTAGTAGAGACGATGTTGGTCAGGCTGGTCTTGAACTCCTAACCTCAGGTGATCTGCCCACCTCGGCCTCCCAAAGTGCTGGGATTACAGGTGTGAGTCCCCACGCCCCGTCAAAAAAAATTTTTTTTTAATTAGCTGGGCATCTGGTCCCCGCTACTTGGGAGGCTGAGGTGGGAGGATCACTTAAACCTGGGAGGTTGAGGCTTCAGTAAGGCGTGATTGTGCCACTTCACTCCAGCCTAGGTGATAGAGTGAGACCCTGTCTCAAAAAATAAAAATAAAAAGTAAAATCATCTCTACAGTGGGAAATAAGTGTTTAAAAGTAAAACAAACAAACAAACAAACAAACACCAAGGCATATCTATATAGGAATGTTCTTCAGAACTATTGAGGGAAATACAAAAGAATTGGTTGAAAAGAATGAAATGTAGTTGCATTATTGGAAATGGTGAAGTTGTAGAGCTGCCATTTTTCTTAACAAGCCTTTTAGAATTATGTAACTCTTTAAATTATGGACGTGTATAACTTTCATTCAAAAATATAAAACAAAAAAATCTGTATTGAAGAAGAGGCTGTGAGGTGAAGTCAAATGGGCTGCACATTAATTTGGCCCACTTGGTCTTTATTCAAGAGTTGAAGTCTGGGGCACCCCAAAGTTTAGAGGTACCTGAGAAGGCACAGCCAGAACTGTAGGAGAAAAACAGAGAGTGTGGTGTCTTGGAAGCCAAGTGGGTCGAGTGTTTCAAGGACAAATTGTCAGCTTTCTCAAATGCTTCCAAGAAGAAAGTAAGAAAGTTCATAAATTGGCCAGGCACAGTGGCTCACGCCTGTAATCCCAGCACTTTGGGAGGTCCAGGCGGGCGGATCACAAGGTCAGGAGATTGAGATCATCCTGGCCAACGTGGTGAAACCCTGTCTCTACTAAAAATACAAAAATTAGCTGGGTGTGGTGGTGCATGCCTGTAGTCTCAGCTACTCAGGAGGCTGAGGCAGGAGAATTGCTTGAACCTGGGAGGTGGAGGTTGCGATGAGCTGAGATCGGGCCACTGCGCTTCAGCCTGGAGATAAAGCGAGACTCCATCTCAAAAAAAAAACAAAAAACAAGAAACAAAAAAGAAAGTTCAGAAATTACCATAGGAATGAAGAATACACAAATCCCAGGTATTTTCTTGGGATTTCCAGCCGACAGAAAAAAAGCCATTGGCTTCCTAGTTTAAAATTACCTGGGGACTTTTAAAAACAAATAGACAAAGAACCGTCCCGCCAACCCGGATCTCTCTGTTTCTCTCTCTCTCTCTCTCTCTCTCACACACACACACACACACACACACACACACACACACACACACACTCAAAGCCTGAGCTATGGTGAGACCTTTGGACTTTATGGGGTACAGCTTAGGCATTTGTCAAGATGTTCAGTTCTGATTCTGATGGTCAGCAAAGCGTGGGGAACACTGGCTTGGCTAGATAAAGTGGAGAACACTAGCACATAGCTGTGCATTGAGCTCACCTACAGATTTTTTATATATTCAAACTGCAGATATTTTGCCCTCATCAGTAATTCACATATCTGAAGTTTTCATTAATATTCACCTCATATATAGCATGTTTCTAGCATCCTATTTTAAAATATTCATTTTACGTTAAAGAAAGTGAATGGACTACTCTTTGTAAGGGATTTTTCTCCTAGAGTTTTACATTATTACACATGATACCTATTCTCATACATAACCACACTTGTCTTTCAGATGTTAAAGACTTTCTTTTGGATGAAAGTGTTGGACTTTGAGACAGACAGGCAAGCTGTTATTTCAAAGGTTTTTGTAAAAGAACAACTTATACAGCCACCAAATAGTTCATAATTTGGTTATTAATTCTACAGCCATCTTTTAAGCCATAAAGGCTTTCTGGAACAGTAAGAATAAAAAAAAACTTTTCTTGCACTAATGCCTATTCATTCATATTATGCAGCCACATAGTATTCTTTTCTTTGAAAATTTTTAACTATTTAAAACATCTCTTTTTTATTGTAATAAAATTTGTTATATTAAATTGACCATTTTAACCTTTTTAAAAAAATGTGCAGTTCTGTGGCATTCAATACATTCACATTGTCATGCAATCAATACCCATCCATCTCTAGAACTAAAACGTATCTTTGTTTACATTGTACATATCTAAAAATAATTGTTTTATATGAGTAATGTCTGTTAAAAATTAAGTATTGGCCAAGCTAATCAAAACTAATATAAATATTAAGCGAATACTAAAAAACCAATTTATGAGTATCTTGAAATATCTCATTTTCTTCTTTTTTTACTGTATTAGTTTTCTATTGCTAGATAACAAATTATCTTAGAGTTTTGCAGCTTAAAACAACAAATATTTTACATTCTTTTTAATCATATTAAGCCTTTGAAATCTTATGAGTATTTTACATTACCATTACTTCTCAATTCAGACTAGCTGCCTTTCAAGTGCTTGATAGCTGCCACGTGGCTAGTAATTATCATTGTGGGCACCACATTTCTACGTGCTGCAGTTACTGTTAAGTTTTAATCATTTGTTTCTGTCTCTAGCTCTGTCTGTATCCGTAGCTATATCTATGTAAACATCAATTTAGTACATTTTTATTACTAATTCTTTAATAAATGTTGGATTCTACATGAAAGTTAATTAAGAGAACTACCAGATTTATACAAACAGCTGGCAACACACAGGCTGCAGGAGCCCACACCTTCATCTCTAGGGTAAATTGTAAGAGTTCATAATTAGTAGAGGGTACTTTGGGCATAGTTCACCTCTCCAAGCCCTGTGTTATTAGTATTCCTGCATTAAAATAGCAGATTCAAAATAAACAGTAATGAAACCACGACTGTAAAGAGAAGAAACAAAATGCAAATTACTTCTTGTCCTTCATTCTGTATGATCACTTCAAGTTTTTATGGGTGTTTAAATGTTAAAACAATGAAACATAGTAGAAACTATGAGGTGTAATATTTTGTTAGGTAAAATGCAAATTTGAGTTGTTATGTGAATCATTTTAGTGTGTTTGAATAAATGCCTTTACAATGGAATCATATTCATCTTTTTTATTGTTAAACTATAAAATCAAGAAAATAAATATGACTAATTATTACATGATATTTATAGAAAATATTTTTGTCATATAAAAGAGCAAAGAGGTAAAAAAATACCTTCTAGGTGCCAGATACATTGGGTTTTCCACTGCCATAAGCCTAACCTCTTTTAAATACTATCCTTCTCTCAATGTTTTTTTTTTATTTTTATTTTTGAGATGGAGCTTCACTCTTTTCACCCAGGCTGGAATGCGATGGTGCGATCTCAGCTCACTGCAACCTCCACGTCCTGCATTCAAGTTATTCTCCTGCTTCAGCCTCCCAAGAAGCTGGGATTACAGGTGCACACCACCACCTCCAGTTAATTTTTGTATTTTTAGTAGAGGCGGGGTTTCGCCATGTTGGCCAGGCTGGTCTCAAACTCCTGATCTCAGGGAATCCACCAGCCTTGGCCTCCCAAAGTGTTGGGATTACAGGCGTGAGCCACTGCACCCTGCCTACCCTTCTCTCAATTAATATGAAAAAGTAGAATTAGAATAGGTTAAAGCGCTGACACACTTAACTGAATCCGGTATTTTCTTTCTTAATACACTGTAATTATTTTGTATTAAATATAAAAGGGGCTTCCTTATTATAGTGTTTGAGTTTTGGGCACTTTTTTCTCTAATGGATGCCTGTTTTCCTTCTTTTCAAAGCCTAGAACAGAACACATAGTAGATACTAAATTAATTGTTGGCATACTTGCTGTATGAAGACTCATCAGTTATCATGAGAGTGGCCTGGAAAATAAGCTCTGGATTAAGCTTTAGGGCTCATTTTAGGTCTCAGGAGCAGGGGATTGCAGGACAAATTCACAAGCACGTGGAAGTTGCACCAGTTACACTCAATTCACTTGGTACCATCCTGGTTTTGTAGGGCCCATGGATGGGCTCAGCCAGATGAAATCCCTCTATATGGAGGAGCTGGGTACCCCAGGGCTTGGCCTTGATCAAATATCGTGAGAGGATATTGTCTAGACAACATCAACATTCCAGGACCCTGTCTACTGACGAGCTTGAACTCAGGAAAGTTATCCAACATTAGCCAACATACAGTCATAATTATTATTAATAGTTTATTGCAGGTACAGAAACAGTGTTGGAAATTTCCACCACAACTCCTAGGTACACAGAAGAGTAGTTTCTTTATTTCTATAGCTGATGTGTTTTTTCTGCATATACCACGAAAACATTGAGAATGCTCATACACTGGTGATGGGAATATATGTGGGTAGAGTCACTTTGGAAAACAAGGGAAATAAAAAATGTTCAGGGCTGGGCATGGTGGCTCACACCTGTAATCTCAGCACTTTGGAAGGCTGAGGTGGGAGCATCATTTGAGCCCAGAAATGTGAGACCAGCCCAGGCAACATGGTGAAACCCTTTGTATTAGTCTGTTCTCAAGCTGTTGATAAAGACATACCCAAGACTAGGTAATTTATAAAGGAAAAGAGGTTTAATGGACTCACAGTTCCACGTGGTTGGGGAAGCCTCACAATCATGGCGGAAGACAAAAGGCACGTCTTACATGGTGGCATGAGTCAAGTGAAAGGGGAAATCACTAATAAAATCATCAGATCTCATGAGACTTATTCACTACCATGAGAAGAGCATGGGGAAAATGCCCCCGTGATTCAATTATCTCCCACTGGGTAACTTCCACAACACATAGGAATTATGGAAGCTACAATTCAAGATGAGATTTGGGTGAGGACACAGCCAAACCACATCGCCCTGTCTCTACAAAAACAAAACAAAACAACCCCCCAAAAAACGAAAAAACAAAAATTAGCTGGGTATGGTGGCATGTCCCTGTGGTCCCAGTTACTCAGGAGGTGGAGGTAGGAGAATCACTTAAGCCCGGGAGGTTGAGGCTGCAGTGAGCAAGATGGCGCCACTGCACTCCAGCATGGGTGACAGAGTGAGACACTGTCTCAAAAGAAAAAAGAAAGAAAGCACGTACTTCATGTTTTGCTATTTCCATCTTAGGTATTTATTTATTTGTTTTTACCTTATAGCTTGCATATTTATTGAACAAATACTACTAAAATAGCTAAAATACACTGGGTACTTGTCATGAGTGCATTAGTAAAGCTCACGTTGTTACAAAAGCCCGCATTTTCCACAGTACACAACTGCAACTCTACATAAATGCCACAGGTGCGGAATACTGTTTTTTTTTCTCTATTTGCACAGCTGATGTACCTATTCTAACAAAGGAAAGAGAGGAGGAATGCACAAGAAACTCAGGCCAATGGGGAAGCAAGAAGAGAACGAAGATGTGCAGTGCATGGGTCATCAGTGTGTTGACGAAGAGTCAAACTTGGCTGAGCGAGGTGATTCACACCTGTAATCCCAGCACTTTGGGAGGCCAAGGCAGGTGGATCATCTGAGGTCAGGAGTTCGAGACCAGCCTGGCCAACATGGTGAAACCTCGTCTCTACTAAAAATACAAAAATTAGCCAGGTGTGGTGGTGCACACCTGTAGTCCCAGCTACTCGGGAGGCTGAGGCAGGAGAATCACTTGAAGGCAGAGGTTGCAGTGAGCCGAGATCACACCATTGCACTCCAGCCTGGGCAACAGAGTAAGACTCTGTCTCAAAAAAAGAAAAGAAAAGAAAAGAGTCAAACTCTAAAATCTTTGAAGAGATTTATTCTGCACATAAGAATAAATCTTCAGGAGATCCTGAGAACATGTGCCCAAGGTGGTTGGAGCGCAGCTTGATTTTACACATTTCAGGAACACATGAGACATCAATCAAACACATTTAACATATACACTGGTCCGGTCCAGAAAGGTGGGAAAACTTGAAACGTGCAGGAAGGCGAGGGCTTCCAGGTTGTAGGTAGATTTAAAAAGTTTCTGATTGGTAATTGGTTGAAAGAGGTTGTGGAGACCAAAGTTTAGTGTGCAGATGAAGCCTACAGGTAGCAGGATTCAGAGAGAATGGATCGTAAATGTTTCTTTTCAGACTTAAGGTCTGTGTTGATGTTAAAGCTGGAGGGATACAATGAGGCCTGTTTATCCTCCACTTCCCATCACGGCCTGAACCAGTCTTTCAGGATAAATTTTAGAGTGCCCTGGCAGGAAGTCCATTCAGATGGTTGGGGGGCGGGTGGGGCTTAGAATTTTATTTTTGGTTTACAGATATTTAACAGTCAGAAGCAGAACAATTCCAAACAAGGCCTGCTCTGTCAAAGGAAGAGCTAAAAGATGGCTATATAAAAATTAGGATGGGGTTTCAGACTGGCTAACACAACATTCCATGAATAGATGGTATTTTATTTTTGTTTATCCCATTTCAGTGGAAGCAAGGACAAAAATGTAAAATCTATGCCTTGCTTATCAAAACTGCCAATAAAAAAGAGTGTTCTACCTTTCAAAAATTATTCTTATTTTGTAAAGACATTTTTTCTTAATTTTTGGAAAAGGCGTAATTTTCATATTCCTACTCAGATGCCAGTGTTTTGGATTTTTTTTTTCAGAGGGAATTTATTTAAAAAGAGTTTGCCTCCCCACCGCCCCACCAAATTCCCTTTGAAACAATAAGGATCCAAAAAGACACCTCAAAATCCCTTTAAAATTATTCTTTCTCTTTCTCTAAACAGGCAGGCGAGGTAATGGAAAAGAAGAAATTTGGTAAGTAAATTACAGTTTTGTGATTGCTCTTGCTACTGTCACCGCACGTCTATGAGTGTCAGTCACGCTACTGTGACTGTATGTCTTTAAGTGCCAGCTGGTGAGACACTAGTCTCTCACACACTACGGCAGCATTCACTCAACCTACACCATTGAGGAAGAAAACTGCACTGAAGACACAAGGAAAACAAATCAATCCAGTCTAGAGAACAACATTCAGGGAAACAGAGTACCAACACCTTCTTAGAAGATGGAAAGAAAAAATTAAAAATTAAAAATTCCCTCCATCTCCTTGTTTGAAAATGGTTCTTGACTGACCCAGACAGAGAGTTCTGGGTAATAAACCATTTTGAGAATCCTAGTGTTTGGTTTCTATTCTCCCTCTCTTCAGTCCAGGGAGACCAATAGACAAAAGACCCCCTCCCTGTTCACTCACTCTCCCCTCTACACCTGAAACACAAATGTCCATCTTAGGGCATTTTTAACCTACAGCAGGGATCTGCAAACATTTTCTGTAAAAGCTGAGATAGTGTTATAAAAGTTTTGGGCTTCCGGAGATCTGTGCCATAGACAACATGTAAGTGACTAGGTGTGTTTGTGTTCAATGGAACTTCATTTGTGGATACTGAAATTTAGATTTCATATAATTTTCACATGTCACAAAACACTCTTCTCTTCCTTTTTCTTTTTTTACACCCGTTTAAAATGTAAAAGTTACTCTTAGCTGTGGGCCATACCAAAACAGGCAGTGGGCTGGGTTCGTCCTGTGGGAGTCATGCTTTGCCCATCTCTGTCTTAAAGGAACTGTTGTGTATATGTGCTGCCAGGCTCATGCATAACAGTTCACAGCAGTGTTACCTGTAACAGCAACAAAACAAAAAGTCTACCATGGAAGCATAGGTAATAAGTAAAAATTTCTGATATAGTCATAGAATGGAACACTGCACAGTGCCAAAAATGCATGTACCAGTATCAGTGTGATACATGTATCAGTATGATTGGATCTGAATCACTTAATATTGATCAAAAAAGGAAGTCACAGAAGAATTCATACAGCCTGATACAGTTATAGTAAGGTTAAAGAAGGCAAAATTAAACAATATATGGCTAATAAAACTATAAAGAGGCCAGAGGCGGCCTGTAATCCCAGCACTTTGGGAAGCCTGTAATCCCTGCACCTGTAATCCCCGCACTTTGGGAGGCTCAGGCAGGCAGATAGATTTAGGTCAGGAGTTTGAGACCAGCCTGGCCAACATGGCGAAACCCTGTTTCTACTAAAAATACAAAAATTAGCCAGGCGAGGTGGCTCACACCTGTAATCCCAGCTACTCTGGAGGCTAAAGCACGAAAATTGCTTGAACCCAGGAGGCAGAGGCTGCAGTGAGCTGAGATCACACCAGTGAACTCCAGCTATCTCAAAACAAACAAACAAACAAACAAACAAACAAACAAACCCCAGAGCTATAAAGAAAGGCAAGGGAATTGTAAAGACAAAATTCAGAAAAGTGATTCCCTTAAGGATGAGAGACGAAGGTACACTGGGAGAAGCATATGGGAACCTCCAAGTTACTGGAATGTTTCTATTTCCTAAATTTAATCCTGGGCATACAGGAGTCATTTTTCTTCTCATGCTTGAAGCTGTATTATTTATATAAATAATATACGCTTATATATGTATATTTGACTAAAAATTTAACTTAATTTGGAACAGCGTTGCTACTGAAAATGAAGTTGATATAGTGCTTTTATCCCACAGGTTTGTTTACATATTAGGGGTTTAGCAAATAGATTTTGGTGTTAAAGGAAAGGGTGCCCTCTTCAGGCAATATGTCTCATATTGCTAAAGATTTTGACTAGAAAAATGTGGACTTAAAAAATACTAAAAACTCATAGAATCACACCACGAAGAGGCATTTTGTTTGGTGTTCTGTGTCTATTCTTACTCAGTACAAAGTATTTTATTTTTAGAAAACTCCAGGTAAGGATTTTTAAATTTCCATTTCATAATGTGACTTAGTTTAGTTTTTTTTAAATCTCTATTTCCTTTTTATCTTAATATCTATTTCTTTTCAACATATGGGATACCTTAGGCTCCTTTCTTGGAAGATTTAAGGTACAACTACAGAAATGCTTGTCATGGGATACCTCTTTTGGCCTGTATTAACAGCAGTGATGGGAAAGCATTCCAGAATTCGATTTCTTTTCAAAAAGGAAAAACCTACTAAGATCTAAGATTTAATGGGGACTACCATGTTTAGCCTGAATATTTAACACATGCTTTCATTTAATGTGTATATTACACAATATTCTATGAAAATAATGTAAGCAAAAATTACAATTTAGTCAATAATTGCTAAAAAAGAAAAGTTGAAGTTATAGCATTAGTAGTTTGGAATTAATAAATATATATTTTTTGACCAGGCATTACAATCTACTTAAATAAAACGTATTCCTTGTTAACTAAGAGGGCACTTGTTTATTATTACTATTATTTTTTAACCTTAAGTCAAACATAATATTTATTCACCCATATCATCTTATAGTACCATTGTATTTCAAATAATCTGTTAAATCAGTTTTTTTGTATTACATGTTAGTTTAAAATAATTGTTAAATAGTTTAGTTAATCTATTATTTTCATTTTTTTATGACCATTTTAAACTTAATTCACATAAAGAATTTTATTGGCCCTAAAATTATGCTTTGGAAACATATTTTTAATAAAATCAAAATGGGTTCTACTTCTTTTTGAAATTTGTACTCTTCCTATTTTTATTACTTATGGAAGAATGAAAAGTGGACAGTGGAAATTAGAATCCTAGGATATTAAAACTGAAAGAGACTTTAGAGATCATCTTGTCTGTTGCCCTTTTTTGACAGCTGAGTTAATCGAGTTCTAAAGTGGTCACTTGATTTGTCCCAGGTCACACAATTTTAGTAATTGGGATGGCTCTTTTAATCAGTTTCAAACGAAGTTAGTAGATGATTGGTTTTTGTTTTAATGGAGTAGGTTCTTCAGTGGGAGCTTGGTTGGCATGCCTTGCTTTTTATCACCAGGTAGCTGGGAGGCAGTGTGGTGCAGTGGAAAAATGCTTCCTTCTGAGTCAGGGAAACAGAGCTGGGACCTGCTTCCTGCCACTTGGTGGCAGCCCTTGGGCAAATTACTAGGGACAGGAATGGGAATAATAATACATATCCTAACGAGTCAGCATGGGCCTTCAAAGAGATGCACAGTGCTTGGCCTACAGTACATCTTCGGTTACTGGTAGCTGCCATTATTATTAGCTGTATATTTTTATTAGTAGTGCTATATTTTATTATTAGCTGTGTATTTCTATACATTATTAGTATATATTAGCAGCATTTTTTTTGCTTATTTTTTATCTGAAATCCATGTCCCTAATTTCTAGTTACTTGCCTTAATTCTCCATTATTTTCCCACATCTCTTGCAGAGTGACTTGTACTGTATTTAATTCCTTGGTGCCTCAGTTTCCTCATTTGTAATAGAAGAGAGGAGTTGAACAAAATAATTTTTAAATCCCTTTAGGCCTAACTTTCCATGTGCTGACCAGTGGGATTTTTGGAGCCAAAAATCCCTGCTTCTCAAAGGAAAGCTTTCAGGCCTATATTAGTTGCCTCCAGTGATTAATTCCTTTGACTGCACAATGAAAAATATTGGATCAAAAAATCATTGTCAGGAGTTTTAAAAAGTGCTGGTAGTGGGGGTGGGGGATAAATCACTGTTTGATAAATATTGTCAAGCAAACAGATAACAGCATGGAGAAAAATTAAATTTGATCCATATTTCATATGGTATTTTGAAGTGAATTTCAGATAGGTCAAACAGTTAAATATTTCATGGCAACTGTTAATGAAAAAAAATCTTTTGAAAACATCATACCAAATGTAATTCAGCTGTGGAGGAGAAATAAGTATTTTAAACTTTTTTCTTTCTTTTTTTTTTTCAGACGGGGTCTCGCTCTGGTGCCCAGACTGGAGTTCCATAGCACTATCATGGATCACTGCAGCCTCGGCCTCCCAGACTCAAGTGATCCTCCCACCTCAGCTTCCCTAGTAGCTGGGACTACAGGTGGGCACCACCATACTCAGCTAATTTTTGTATTTTTTGTAGAGAGAGTTCTTTCTATGTTGCCCAGGCTTGTCTCAAATGCCTAGACTCAAGCCATCCTCCTGCTTTAGCCTTCCAAAGTGCTGGGATTATAGGTGTGAGCCACTGTGCCCAGCCTATTTGAAGTTTTAAGAAGTACAGGCTATGACCAGAGATGCAATGCATATGATCAAATATGTCAAGTCAAACTAAAATTTCCATACACGTGCTGTATTAAAATAAATATTGAAAGAAGTAAACAAGGTAGAGGAAATACACTAAACATCTGATAAAAACCTCATTATTCAAACATAATGAGCACATGCATGTAAGAATTACAGGTAGAATACATTTAGTAGATGATTACAGGTGATCCAAAACAACAGATAGTATATTATCTCATAGAAAAAGAGTCTATGAGCCAATAGAATAAAAGGAATATAAAACAGGAAACAAAATTAATAGCAATAATAATGTCCAGTGTAGCCAGGGCTACACCATCACCATCGGAAAAGAAAATATGCTTTTCCACTGCAGAAGGGTTACGTCTTTCTGGAGAATAAATTCGCATTATGCAGCTGGCTCTCTAAAAATTCTTTATGCCCTTTAACCCAATAATTCTATTTTGGAAATATATCCTAAAGGAATTAACTAAAAAGAAATGACACCAGTTATAGCTGCTCCATTTATAGGACAAAATAAAAAAAACAGAAAGGGAGAGTTTATTCCAACAAAAAGATGAAACGTGTGTCATACGTTCATGCACACACACACACACACACACACACACACAGTACACACATATTAACATACTCTCTAAGCAGAAAAAGTGTATGTGGTCTATGTAAATACTTGGTAGTTTTTTAGGGAAAATAACCTTAAGGTGAAAAAGAGAAGCACAAGATACTAGTTACATAATGAGTGTAGCTGCAACGATTTCATACAGTGATTGTTTATTCAGTCAAGTTTGTATCTCATGGTCTCTAGTTTGCCTGTGAATCAGAGACAAGCTATTTGTTGTTATGTTGTTTGCTGCAAGTTCTTGGGAATGAGGAGGGCAAGAGATGATGGAAGTGAGGCTTGAGAAGAATGTCTAAGAATTGAAGTGGCTCTTTGGGGGAATGGGATGAGGAGCTAAGGATTCCTGGAAGGATTGTGCCTGAGGTTATAGAGCCTGAACTTCTCAGTTGGTTCCAATCTGAAGAATGTGATTTTTTTTCCCCAGCAATGATCCAAAGTCAGGATGTGGGAACAAAGAAGGGGACACAGTCAAAAAACAAAGGCTGAAGTTTGCAGACAGGTGAAAAGAACGACAAAGGAGGGAGTGAGTTGAAGTATTGGTAGATGTGTCAGGCATTGGTTGAAGCAATAGAAATGACCCATTAATGTAAGCAGATAATGAATAGCTCATAGATCAAAGGGAAGTTTGAAGAATGAGACTTAAAAAACAGGTAGGAACCAAGAGGGATCAGACAGCCATGATTGGCATGAGCAGCCAGAACACCCTGCTGGAATGACTGTTGGAGCTGCCCAGGGGCCCCACTGGATCTGCCTTGTGTGGATGCTGGTGCTGTGAATACTTTCTAAACTCTCCAGTTGTTTCTGGTGGTCAAGAGTTGAGACCTCAGGTGGGAGCATCTAATTGGCTAAGCCTTGGTCATCTGTTCAATCTCTTCTTCCAGGAAGAAGAAGGAAGTATCTGTCCCCTTCAGCTCCCATACTAGTTGTGAATCTCCACCTCCCAACAGAATCTCATTACAGAAATTCTCCATAATTAGAAAAGGTATAATGAGGTGTGTCTGTTTCATCATGGCTGGGAAACCAGTTTCTCTGGAGTTTCCTTGGCCAAGAGGGGTACATTCAGTTGGTTGGGGTACTTAGAATTTTGTTTTTAATTTACAAGCCAAAATGAGGCTCTAAAGGAAGACTTGGGGCAATGAGGAAGAGAGTCCCTCTTTCTCTCTCTCCCTCCCTCTTTGGTAGTTGGGTCTCCTTTGTGGCTTCACCCCCTGCCCAATAGCCCGTCCCTCCTTCTGGGCATCTCCCACTAGAAAAGCCCCAGCTTTGGGACTCTGATGACACCACTTCATCCTAGTGACCTTCAATTCCTGGGGATGGTGCTGGCCTCCTGTATCTCTAATCTCTGGGTAGTCTTGCAGTTCCCTATTTGGCTTCTCAGTCCTTGTATAAATTCCTTTTATTAAATTTTCATTGTTTGAAAGACCTAGAGTGTTATCTGTTCTCCTGACTGACATGATATTGACAGCAAAAACTAAATATTGTGGAATCCACTTGATCTTCATCTCATTCTCTGGTCATCAGGTTGAGACAGAGCCTCCTGTCACCTGAGAACAATTGGGGAGTTATAATTGGAAGCAGTGTGAGTCTTGCTGTCTATCAAATCCTTTCTCTTTCCTTTTAGACACTCAGCTAGACTTGATTTCCCAATCATACAATGGATTCCTGTCTAATGGAATAAGGGTAGAATTTATGTCTGGAATTTCCACCCCTGAATCATAAAAATCTTCTTTCTCTCTCTCTTCTTTCTGCTGGCTGGACTTTAGCACTCAGGACAACATGGGAGGTACATGTTGAAGAGGTCAGAGCCTCTGTCTACCTGGGTCTTGAACTGTTGAGCTAGAGTGGACTCTTCCCACATGAACCACTACCAACTGGACTTGATATGAGTGAGAGATAAATGTTATGGTAAATCGCTGACATTTGGGGGTTTATCTGTTAATGCATCCTATGTTACCTTAGCTAACACATGATATGAGAATTTTTTTTTATTAGGGAGCATAGTGGTTAATAATGGAGATAGATGGGATTACAATCCCAGCTCTGCCACTTACTAGCTTTATGACTTTGAGCAAGTCACTAAATTCTCTCTAAGCCTCAGTTTCTTCTGCTATAAAATGGGAATAATACTATTATTCTGTGGTGGCATTGTAAGAAATTAGTAGACACACTTCTATACATAATATCTATATGCATAATTCCATACATAATTATCATATTAATACTATAGGTTTAGTTGAGAACTCAGTAACTGTTAGACATTTTTGTTACTACTCAACTAGGAGGTAGATTAGGTCTACTTTCACTGTATGCTATTTTAAGTAGGTAGTGTCTCATAACTGTAAGGTGCGTTAGTGTAAGTTAAGCAAAGTACTATTTTTAGATAAATGGAACATCATTATATAGTCAATCACATGGCCATTGAACTTTCTTCCTGGGGTTGTCATCAGATTTTTCCACTGCCATTGCTGGAAGATAACGTGATTGATTTCATGTTCTTAGAGAAACTTCAGCATGCAATTGAAAGGGTGAATAGGGACAGGACTTTATAGACCACAGCCTCACCTGACCCCCCCCCCCCCAGTTAGGACTGATTAATCCTTTCTTGCCCTCATTGTACACTTGACACTATAGGATATTTGCTTATTGCCCAGCTAACCTTGTTATGTCATCATACAGGAAATAAATGAAAGAAAGCTTAATGGAGGGGCCATGTAGAGGTCAAGGAGAACCAAGAGTGATAAAGCACTTCCAGGCTACACTGTGGGGGGCCACTGTCAGCCCTGGGCCTGGAAAAGCCAGGAACAGAAGAGCTGGTTGTAGTTCTGGAAGCAGGCTGCTTCTCAGCAGTTGTGGCTTTAGGGAAGTGCAGCCATTGTTAAGCCTTAGCAGGCATGAAGGAAGCCAGGGCAATGCTTCACTTTCCTCTTCTGCCGCCCTTCCTCTCCTGCTACCCTTCCTCTCCTCTTGTGCTTCCTAGTGGCTGAGCCCAACTGAAGCTGGAAGGCAAGGGAGCCCTGTTGATACTTTCCAGAAAAGTCAGCTTCCAGGAGCCACTGGGCAAGGTGGCGAAGGGCAGAGAATAGATCTAGAGGGGCAAAGAACATCCCACACCCAGCTCCTAAGGAACTGTGAGATTCTTACAAACAGAGTTCCTTTCTTAATGCTTTTTGTATCTTCAGCGTGCAGCAAAGAACACATAATGGATGTTAGTTGAATAAACGAATGAATGAACAAATAAATGGGGAGAACAAAAATGCTTGCACTTAAATTTTTTAAAAAATGTATAATGTCCACATATCCTTCATTTGCCCTGGAGACAGTGAAACTTCCTACTGGAAATGAGAGCTCTCACGGACTCCAGGTAGTCAGTGCTTTATGAGCCCATTGCATCCCAGGCCTCATCCATCCTTCATCACGCATTAGCAGTTGCTCTTCTCGGCTGGGGTCATTCCTTGCCAGGAGCTACCATGTCTTCCAGTGTAGATCAGCCTTTCCAGGCTATAGTGTTGTTTCTGAAGCTCTTCAAAAAGTCAAAGGGCCTCCACTGATGCCCGCTTGCCTGCCGCCCCTTATCCTAGACCTCCTTGACCTTTTCCTTGATAGCTGTTGAATTGCACTAAAACTTGCATTCCCACATTCAGGCTGATATTCCTTGTTTCTTTACTGCTGGTCCAGCACTATCCATTACTCCAGTTTTGTCAGCCAATGGATGAAAACTGTTTGCTAATAATGGCAGAAAAAGAGGGCACATAGAAATGCAATAGCTATTTCAGAACATCTCAACTCAGGGCAGGGCAGTAGCTCTCACTGGTCACACTGGGAGTACACTATGGAGTCTCTGACACTTCCCTCCTTACACAGGGTACTGTTCCGTATGATGTGTTCTTCTCCTTTTTGGCTTAGTAAAACATTTTAGAGATAAATAATGTATAATAAATAGATACCATCCCAGAGCTGTAGAAATAGGATACGTATTTACCGGCAAGAGGAAAACTTTTTTGGAAAGTTATAAAAACTCAAAGCAAATGCATAGTAGACATAGTTTTATTATGAAACGTCACTTTTTAAAAGATATAATGTTTCACATATTTTAAATCGATTTATTTGGAGACAAGTCTTTTGTCGTAGGATCAAGTATGCGTCTAAGAGGAAAATAGACGGTAGGTATATGGAAAGTGTGTTTTCTGTGGCTTTTCTGGTTGGCTTACTTGCTCTGTTTGCTCTAAAGACTATTAGGAGGAAAGTGATAACTAAGAAAACAGAAAGTTTGTTCAAAATGGTGTGGAGGAAAAAGGAAGGAAAGAAAATTTTTATCTGAAGAATGAGAGCCCCTTTAAATTATCAGGCCCCAAAAGGCACTGAATGAAACAGCAGTCACATCACTCCCCCTTGAACTAAATAATTATCTCTTGAAGCCACTTGCCATGTGGGCTCTAGACTAACTGATGCCAAGTAGCCATCAAATGCCATATGCCAGACACTATAACACTATATCCTGCAGTCCCACAGTGCATGGCCAATCATTAAGCAATGTTATTCTCTGAAAACCAGTGAGAATTCCTGTCAAAGAACTTTACATCAGACCATTCCTTGTTCCCTTTGCCTTTAGAAACCTGCTTACAACAAAAGCTAACAGAGCACTCCCCAGTGCAACTGGGAAGAGCGTCTCAACAGCTGTCTTCCCTTTGGCTCAAGTAAATTCTTTAAATTATATTTTGTGCCTCAGCCTCCTCCTTTTAGGTCAACAAGGACATCAACTAATACCTCCAGGTGTGTGCAGCTTTAGTATTCACATAAATAAGATTTTTTAAAGCCTTAATTTTTAGCAACCGTCACTAATCATTAAGCCCATTCACATTTTCTAAATCGAGTGTGTTACTGAAGGTCACAGATCAAGTTTCTTTTTGGTCATGAGTTAGTCATGTGAAATGTATCCAAGCTTACTTACAATTTTTATTGTAGGAAAGATTTTGTCATGGAAATGAGATGCTTTTCCTTCAATTCATGGTGGCCAAATTAGGACTCTGAGGACATAAAGTCATATGCTCATGTCATCTCAAATATATAAACTTATTATCTACATTTTACTCATGAATTCAATAGTCAATGGATGCCTTTTTGTTTGAGTCCTATACCTGGTGCTTCAGGATGTCATGAAAAGTGAGACATTGTCCCTGCCCAAAAGGAGCTTCTCTAGTTGGAGAGAAAATACATGTTTAATAGCTGTATGAACCAAAATGTGAGCGCCATCACCGACATGTATTTGACCAAGTACCACTTCCACTAAGTGGAAGAGAGCAGATACACAGAATTCTGAAGGGAGAGAGCTGATTGAAGACAAATTCAATAAAAACTTCCTTTTAAGAAGCAACAGAGCTCCAAAAAGGGAAGCATAGATGAGACTGGTTGAATTGGAAATAACAAGGATCAGTGGAGGAAATGATGAGTATAGGTACCCAGAGAACATGATTTCTCTGTGAAGCATAGAAGTGGTAAGCATGTAAGCCTGGAGGAAAGAGGTTAATTGCAGCAACACAATGATGGCCATCTAACTGTTATGGTCCCAACAATCATGTGCATGGATTAACACGTCTGTAGTCTTTCCTAGGTGAAATGCTAAGATTGGGATAGAGAAAAAAAAACAAAACTGGATAAATCATTTTACTTTAGAAAGGATGTTAAGGGATTATTTTGCTTTCAGACTAAAATAATGTGATATAAAAGAAGGTAGGTAAGAGAATATAGACAGATGATATCAAACATCTAGTTACTGTCATTGGGTTATAAAAATATGTTACTTTACAATGAAAGTAATTACAGGCACTGTTGAAGCCACCTTTGCAAAATTATGAAAGTAAGAGAAATCTGACATAGCTGACTCTAATCTTGCTTCTAGCTTCATAGGTTGACTGTATTTGCTCCTGGGAGTGGGCCAAGCTAACTTAGAGAGAAATTTAGTTTATAGTTTAAATGATAATAGCCTTTCTCCAAAACTAAGCTGTTCTTGTAAAACTAATGAAAGACCACCAAGTTAGGAGGATAAGAGGGGTTTGAATTAGAAATAATTACAAGGCATTATTCCGGAGGTCATAAGATTTGAAACTTCCCCAATTACTCTTGCAAATATAAATAACATCACTATTGTAGAAGCTAAGATTGCCTTTTGGAGATGTCCAGATGGCTCCACCTGGACCTGCCAACAAGTCCTGTCTCACCCCACCCCGGCTCCAGGAACTGACTCAGCACAGTAAGACAGCTTCAATTCCCTATGATTTCATCTCCTATCCAACCAATCAGCATGCCCCCTACCCTACTCCCCTGCCCATCAAACTGCATTTTAAAAACCCCTAATCTCCTATATGGCATGGCCAGCTCTGCCAATTAAACTCTTTCTTTACTGCAATGCTATGGTCTCAGTGAGTCAATTTTGTGTGAGCAGTGGGTGGTTGGGTGGTTACACTGCCAAAAAATAACACAGCAAATAAATTATAATTACATCAATACAACTAAGAGCTAAGCCTGAGTTTAAGGGGACTCAAAAGCACTCTACTTTTCTCTCTCTCTTTCTAAATTTTTACTGGTCTTTGAGTTTGAGCAGGTGTCTCAACCTCAGCACTACTGGCACTTTGGACAGGATAATTCTTTGATGTTTGAGACTGTCCTATTCACTGCAGAATGTTTAGGAGCATCCATGGCCTCTACCCACTAGATGACAGTAGAACCTCACCTACCCCCAACAGCCCAGTGGTGGCAACCAAAAATGTCTCCATACATTGCCAAATGTCCCCTGGCAGCAGGACACAAAATCACCTCTTGAGAACCACTAGTTTAGACAAAAGAATGTATTTTTTTTTTAAAGTAAGTACTGAATATATTTAACAAAAATCATACATGTGAGGTTCACACAGAGAGGAAAAACATATATATAAATACATAAAGTGACATTCCCTATGATTTCATCTCTGACCCAACAAATCAACATGCCCCCCAACCCTAATCCTTTGCCCACCAAACTATATTTGAGAAACCCCTAACCTCTGTGCCTTTGGGAAGACTGGGGCCGATGGAAATCTTCTGTTTCACCCCTTGAAGGTTTGTTGAACATCCAACTCACAAAAGGAGATTAATAGGAGAAATGGGATACCAGTCTATTAATGTGCACACAGGGAAGAACCAGTGATTACCCCTGTATTAGTCCATTTTCACACTGCTGATGAAGAAATACCTTAGACTGGGCAATTTACAAAAGAAAGACGTTTATTGGACTTACCTTTGCCCTTCTCTGCCCTTCTCTGCCCTTCAATCCCCACGTGGCTGGGGAGGCCTCACAGTTATGAGAGAGGGTGAAAGGCAAGGAGGAGCTAGTCATGTCTTACATGGATGGTGGTAGGCAAAGAGAGAGAGAGAACTTGTGCAGGGAAACTCCCATTTGTAAAACCAACAGATCTCGTGAGACTTTTCATTATCATGAGAACAGCATGGGAAATATCCACCCCCATAATTCGATTAACTCCCACTGGGTCCCTCCCATACTACATGGGAATTGTGGGAGTTACAATTCAAGATGAGATTTAGGTGCGGACACAGCCAAACCATATCATTCCACCCCTGGCCCCTCCAAAATCTCATGTCCTCACATTTCAAAATCAGTCAGGCCTTCCCAACAGTCCCCCGAAGTCTTAACTCATTTCGGCATTAACTAAAAAGTCCACAATCCAAAGTCTCATCTGAGACAAGGCAAGTCCTTTCTGCCTATGAGCCTGTAAAATCAAAAGCAGGTTAGTGACTTTCTAGATACAATGGAGTATAGGCATTGGGTAAATACAGCCATTCCAAATGGGAAAAACTGGCCAAAACCAAGGGCCTACAGGCCCCATGCAAGTCCAAAATCCAGCAAGGCAGTCAAATCTTAAAGCTCCAAAATGATATCCTTTGACTCCATGTCTGACATCCATGTCATGCTGACACAAGAGGTGGGTTCCCATCATATTGGGCAGCTCCATGCCTGTGGCTTTGCAGGGTACAGCCTCCCTCCCAGCTGCATTCACGGGCTGGTGTTGAGTGTCTGTGGCTTTTCCAAGCACATGGTGCAAACTGTAAGTGGATCTATCATTCTGGGGTCTGGAGGATGGTGGCCCTCTTCTCACAGCCTCACTAGGTGGTGCACCAGTAAGGACTCTGTGTGGGGGTTCTGACACCATATTTCCCTTCTGCACTGCATTCACCATGAGATGCTGACCCTGCAGCAACCTTCTGCTTGGGCATCCAGGCATTTCCATACATCCTCTGAAATCTAGGTGGAGGTTCCCAAACCCAGTTATTGACTTCTGTGCACGGGTAGGCTCAACACCACATGGAAGCTGGCAAGGTTGAAGGCTTGCACCTTCTGAAGCCATGGCCTGAGCTCTACATTGGCACATTTCATCCATGGCTGGAGTGGCTGGGACGCAGGGCACCAAGTCCCTAGGCTGCACACAGCAAGGGGACCCTGGGTCCAGCCACGAAACCACTTTTTCCTCATAGCCCTCTGGGCCTCCTTCTTGGCTGCCATGAAGACCTCTGACATGCCCTGGAGACATTTTCCTCATTGTCTTGGGGATTAATCTTCAGCTCCTCGTTACTTACGCAAATTTCTGCAGCAGGCTTGAATTTCTCCTCAGAACATGGGATTTTCTTTTCTATCACATTATCAGGCTGCAAATTTTCTGAACTTTTATGCTCTGTTTCCCTTTCAAAACCGAATGCTGTTCACAGCACCCAAGTCACCTCTTGAATGCTTTGCTGCTAGAAATTTCTTCTATCAGATACCCTAAATCATCTCTCTCAAGTTCAAAGTTCCACAAATTGCTAGGGCAGGGGCAAAATGCCACCAGTCTCTTTGCTAAAACATAACAAGAGTCACCTTTGCTCCAGTTCCTAACAAGTTCCTTATTCCAGCTGAGACCACCTCAGCCTGGAATTCATTGTCCATATCATTATCAGCATTTTGGTCAAAGCCATTCAACCATTCAACAAGTCTCTAGGAAGTTCCAAACTTTCCCACATTTTCCCATCTTCTTCTCATCCCTCCAAACTGTTCCAACCTCTGTCTGTTACCCAGTTCCAAAGTTGCTTCCACATTTTTGGATATCTTTTTAGCAGTGCCCCACTCTGCTGGTACCAATTTGCTGTATTGGTCTATTTTGAAGCTGCTGATAAAGACCTACACGAGACTGGGTAATTTACAAAAGAAAGAGGTTTATTGGACTTACAGTTCCACTTGCCTAGGGAGGCCCCACAATCATGGCAGAACGTGAAAGGCACATCTCACATGGTGGCAGACAAGAGAAGAGAGAGCTTGTGTAGGGAAACTCCCTTTTTTAGTATCATCAGATCTCATGAGACTTATTCACTATTATGAGAACAGCACTGGAAGGACCCGCCCCCATGATTCAATAATCTCCCACCAGGTCCCTCCCACAACACATAGGAATTGTGGGAATTACAATTCAAGATGAGATTTGGGTGGGGAAACACACAAACCATATCACCCCCAAATCCCAGTGGGGCCCAGATACTTATATAGCCTTATTTCAGAGGCTGGGGGAGAGATGGGGAATATAGGTAATTCTGTTTAGGGGCAGTACATGATTACTAGGGAGAATGAATGGATGGGAGTGGAGATTAACTTGTAAATGGTTCTCTTTGAAAACAGAATGAGCCTGAGAGACAGTTATTATCTTGTGAAAGAGTCTGTTCAGGTGCGGTTACATTTGTGATCTTCTTTTCTGCAAAAGATAATGAGATAACAGGGAAGGAAAGGAAAAACCATTATTCTCCTTGGTGGGTCTGTCCTGTCTTTATGTAGCTAGAGAAAAAGTCTCTTCCAGCTTTTGCTGAGCTCTAAGGGACTTTAATTCATTCCTTACACCAAGGAGCCAAATTTTAAGGTGAAGTTCCCTGTACTCCCTCATTCATCAGGAAGTACATTCTCAATTATTCCTAGTAATCTCAATTATTGCTTGGTAGAGAACACACAGATTCATATTTCTGAGGAAGCCACTAACTGTCTTGAGCTTTTCCAAGCCAAGGTTGAGATGGTCTTGTCAGCCGACCTCTGCTGGCTGAACACACGAACTTTCTGAGCCCAGTGTGGTACAGATTCTCATGTTTTTACCTGGTATATGGCAGATGCACCTTACAACAATAATTTAAACATACCCTGAGAATGATTTTAGGGTCTAAGAAGCATGTGTGTTTGGAGTTCCAAGCTAAGGAATCCAGGAGTGGCCAACCCAGAGATTGAAGGGATTGAGGCCCTTTGTTTTGGGTTAAATGGAGGTTGCTGAGAGGAGGGTCCTAAGTGAAAATGCTGTATAAACTGCATGCTTTTTATAAACAGTAATGGTGCTACTGTCCAGCTTGCCACCACTGGGCCATTCCTGTATGGAGTTTCCCTGATAAACCCTATGTCTCATTCATTGTCTCCAGGTCTCTTATTTGCCCTCTAGGGTATGGTGCCATCCCTATCGGAGTCAATAGGGGCCTGGCATGACATCTGGTGAGCACTTCATGGCTGATCAAGCTCAGGGCAGGGTCTTAGGTGCAGCTGGTTGAGGCAGATGGCTTTTCTCTGGGGTTTAAGTATCATCTCAAAGTGGAGGTGCAAGATACTGGGAGCATGCTCAGTTGAATTGAAACCACCTTTGCAAAAATTATAACTGAGGAAATGACAGTGATAGAGATCAGACCTAACCAATTCCATCTTGCTTCTAATCTTTAAGCTGTCCTTGTTCATTCCTGGGCATAGGCTGAACTAACCTTGGGTAATAATTTAGTTTATGGTTTGACTCTGAAACAAAGTTGATAATAGCCCTTTCCCATAAAGACCCCTTTCTTGCCTGGGGACCAGTCTGCCTTTGCAGGACTAACAAATTAGCTGCAAGATTAGAAATTACAGTTTAGGGGTCATGCAGCCTCTGGCTGCAAGAGTCTGAACCTCCCCAAATTGCTCCCGGGGATAACATCACTATTGTAAAACCTAAGATCAGTGTTTGAGATATTTTGCAGACCTTGCACTCGATGGATCATCTGACATCACCCAGACCCGTAATCTGGGTCAACCAATTCTGTGATCCCACCCACGAACAGAAGACAGCAAGAAAACCTCATTTTGAACCCCCCTATAATTTCATCTCTAACCTGACCAATCAGCACTCCCTACTTCCTGAGCCCCTACCCACCAATTTATCTTTAAAAACTCTGATCCCCAAATGCTCAGGGAGACTAATTTGAGTAATAATAAAACTCCTCTGGTCTCCCGCACAGCCGGCTCTGTGTGAATTACTCTTTCTTCATTGCAGTTTCCCTGTCTTGATAAATCAGCTCTGCCTAGGCAGCTGGCAAGGTGAACCCATTGGGCAGTTACAGAATAAGCCCCACAGTAACGACCTTCCTTGGCTGGAGAGAGAAGTCCAATATTTCAGCCTTTAATAGACAGCATGCTGCACTCCAACAGAGTCAACACTGTCATCGATTCTCACTGCTATGCAGAATTAACTTATCAATAGTGGCAGTGTTGTCCTGTTTTCAATCTCTAGGACTTTAAGCACTGGTATCCTTTTTAGAAATGCTTTATATTTTATGTTGGAAAGTAGAAGATATTTTTATCTGAACCACCTGGCATCAGAATTCTCTTTAGGGAGAGAGCTGACTTCATTGGGGGAAAAAAAAGGTAAATATTTGAAATGGAGGAAGAGATGTCTAAGTTACATTTAAGTTAAAAAAGATCCATCATGATCACAAATGCTCTGTAGAAAACAAGGAGATAATTCCGCTTCGCTCTTCGGAGGAGATGGGGAAATGAAAGAGAGAAAAATGAAGAGAGCATAGAGAGAGTAGGTGTATTAGTCCATTTTCACGTGACTGATAAAGACATACCCGAGACTGGACAATTTACAAAAGAAAGAGGTAAAATTGGACTTATAGTTCCACGTGGCTGGGGAAGCCTCACATTCATGGCGGACAGCAAGGAGAAGCAAGTCACATCTTACGTGGATGATGGCAGGCAAAGAGAAAAGCTTGTGCAGGCGACAAGCTCTTTTTAAAGCCATCAGATTTCATGAAACTTATTCACTGTCACAAGAACAGCATGGGAAACACTTTCCCTCATGATTCAGTCACCTCCCACCAGGTCCCTCCCATAACATGTGGGAATTCAAGATGAGATTTGTGTGGGCACACAGCCAAACCCTGAATTTGGGTTTCAGCCCCTGGCCCCTCCCAAATCTCACATCCTCACATTTCAAAACAAATCATGCCTTCCCAACAGTCCCCCAAAGTCTTAACTCATTTCAACATTAACTCAAAAGTCCACAGTCCAAAGACTCATTTGAGACAAGGCAAGTCACTTCCTCCTATAAGCCTGTAAAATCAAAAGTAGGTTAGTTGCTTCCTAGATACAATGTGGGTACAGGCATTGGGTAAATACAGCCATTCCAAATGGGACAATTTGGCCAAAACAAAGGGGCTACAGGCCCCATGCAAGTCCGAAATCCAGCAGGGCAGTTAAATCTTAAAGATCCAAAATGATCTCCTTTGACTCCATGTCTCACATCCATGTCATGCTGATACAAGAGCGGGGTTCCCATGGTCTTGGGCAGTTCCACCCCTGTGGCTTCGCAGGGTACAGCCTCCCTCCCAGCTGCCTTCACAGGCTGGCATTGTCTGTGGCTTTTCCAGGTGCATGGTGCAAGCTGTCAGTGGACCTATCATTCTGGAGGATGTTGGTCCTCTTCTCACAGCTCCACGAGGTGGTGCCCCAGAAAGGACTCTGTGTGGGGACTCCAACCCCACTTTTCCCTTCTGCACTGCCCTAAGCAGAGGTTCTCCATGACAGCCCTGACCCAGCAGCAAACTACTGCCTGGACACCCAGGGGTTTCCATACATCCTCTGAAATCTAGGCAGAGGTTCCCAAACCCCAGTTCTTGACTTCTGTGCACTCGCAGGCTGAACACCATGTGGAAGCTGCCAAACTGCCATGTGGAAGCTTCAGAGGGTGTAAGCCTCTGAAGCCATGGCCCAAGCTCTATGGTGGCCCCTTTCAGCCATGGCTGGAGCGGCTGGGACGCAGGGCACCAAGTCCCTAGGCTGCACACAGCAGGCGGACCCTGCACCTGGCCCACAAAACCACTTTTTCCTCCTAGGCTTCTGGGCCTATGATGGGAGGGGCTGCCATGAAGACCTCTGACATGCCCTGGAGACATTTTCCCCATTGTCTTATGGATTAACATTCAGCTCCTCATTACTTATGCAAATTTTTGCAGCAGGCTTGAATTTCCTCTCAGAAAATGGGATTTTATTTTCTGTTGCATTGTCAGGCTGCAAATTTCTGAACTTTTATGCTCTGTTTCCCTTTTAAAACTCAATGCCTTTAACAACACCCAAGTCATATCTTGAATGCTTTGCTGCTTAGAAATTTCTTCCACCAGATACCCTAAATCATCTCTCTCAATTTCAAAGTTCCAGAAATCTCTAGGGCAAGGGCAAAATGCCCAGTCTCTGCTAAAACATAACAAGAGTCGCCTTTGCTCCATTTCTTAACAAGTCCCTCATCTCTATGTGAGACCAACTCAGCCTGGACCTTATTGTCCATGCCGCTATCAGGCTTTTGGTTAAAGCCATTCAACAAGTCTCAATGAAGTTCCAAACTTTCCCACATTTTCCTATCTTCTTCTGAGCCCTCCAAACTGTTCCAACCTCTGCCTGTTACCCAGTTCCAAAGTCACTTTCACATTTTTGGGTATCTTTTCAGCAGTGCCCCAGTCTATTGGTACCAATTTACTGTATTAGTCCATTTTCATGCTGCTGATAAAGACATACCTGAGACTGGGCAATTTACAAAAGAAAGAGGTTTATTGGACTTACAGTTCCATGTGGCTAAGGAAGCCTCACAATCATGGTGGAAGGCAAGGAGGAGCAAGTCACATCTTACAAGGATGGCAGCAGGCAAAGAGAGGAGCTTGTGAAAGGGAATTTCCCTTTTTGAAACCATCAGATCTCATGAGACTTATTCACGGTCATGAGAACATCATGGGAAAGATTTGCCCCCATGATTCAATTGCCTCCCACCGGGATCCTCTCACAACATGTGGGAATTCAAGATAAGATTTGGGTGGGGACACAGCCAAACCATATTAGTAGGGGATAAGCAAGATGGTGAAAAGTTGCATAATTTTCACCTTCCCTGGGACCTCCAAAATATCACAACAAAGAGTTCTTTGTTTGTTAGGAACATATTAGGCTGCAAATAATAGAATACTAGACTCATGGTCGCTTACATCAATGGGAGTTTATTTAAAATCAGAGCTATGTAGCAGTTGGCATGGATTCAGCTGTTCAACGATGCCATCAGGGACCCAGACACTGTCTATATTTCCACTTTACCATCCTTGTTCTGTTGGCTTTTGTGCTCATGCTTGCCACATTATGGTCTTAGGGTAGTTGCTATGGGCTCACACATTACGTTTATATTTCAAGGCAGGGAGAAGGAAAATGAGGAAAAAGGTACCAACAATGGCCATGTTCTTCTTTAAGAATTAACTAACTTAAAGATAGTTAGTTCTTTCCCAGAAATATCCTCACCAAGTTTCTACTTGCATCACGTGGCCTCCCTGAATATAAGGGATGAAAGGAAATAATTTAGCTTTTATATCTTCTATAATAGATGCAGGCAAGGGAGAAGGCATGGTGCTGGATCAACCAAGCCTATAATATCTGCCATATTTATGGAATTCATAAATGTGGGCTGTGTAGGAGCTAGTTTGGGAAATCAAAGAGAGTGATGAGTTTTCCACTGGGAGTTTGTCTGGTGTGAACAGATGCAGCTCTTGAGAAAGAAAGAGGTCACAGAGGAGAAGAATCCAGGGAAATGCAGCCCTTGAGAATGGACAGAATCCAGGTGAGAGCTTTTGGCTTCCACAGACTGCAGATTGGAAGGATGGGATGTGTCACAACACTGAGATTTCATGGTTGATGTCCAGCTTCTACTGATCTTTAGTTAATCACCAACCCCTGCTAATTCTTCCTCTCCTACAGTCTTCAAATTTGACACTTTCACGCAGTCCTTTCTTTAACATCACTACTAGTGAAGCAGGATATTTCCCTGACCCCTTCGAGGGACTTGTGACAGGTGTGCTTCATTTACTCAGCCTACCACTCTCAACTCTTCATGAGAGGGAGCACATGATCAAACGAGTGTGGCAACTGGAGTAGATGAGTGCTGGAATCAGCTCCTTTGGCACTGGTGGGATCACACTCCACTCACTCAGACCTGCTGCATTCCAGCCCTTGTAGGAGGGAGCAGACAGGTGAGAAGGTGCAGGAACTGGCTGGATGCTTTAGCGCCAGCAGGAGCAAACTCCATGCAGGCCCCACAGCAGCATCCAGGCAGGGGTGTCTGCAACCCCCAAAGCCCCAGAGGGAGTGTTACAGAGCTCTTTTAGCTCTGCCATCTTTGGATGGCTTAAGTGTTAACAGCTCAGTTAACAGCTCAGGCCCTTTGCCTTTTCATGTGAGGCAGCTGCCCTCCACCTGTGAAAGCAAAGGGACAGTGTGACAGCCTTTTGAATCCACGCTTGTGTCTCCCAAGCTCTTATCTGGCATCCGGGAAAAATGAAGTTGCATGAACGAATTGAAGGATGGTAAATGCAGGGGGATTTTATTGCCAATGAAAGTGACTCTTAGCAGGAAGGAGGGCTGAAAAGAGGATAGTGAGGGAAGGTAATCTTCCCCTGAGGTCCAGCTGTCTCTGGCCAGATTCTTCTCTGAAGTTACACCAACAAGTTGTCTCTCTGAAGACAAGCCACTTCTCTCCAACATCTAGCCATAGTTCCTGCCTACTGGCTGGAACTTTTATAGGCACAGGATGGGGTGGGGTGGGGCCATGGGTAGTTTAGAAAAAGGCAACATTTGAGTGGGAAAACAGGGATAAAACAGGGATAAAAATTCTCATTTTGGGCCACAGTTGCAGACTTTTTGGCTTGAGGATGGGGTTTCACTGGGGACCTGCCTGTTTGCCTAGAATTTCTCTGCCCCCGTCCCTATCACTAATGTCTCCCTTGCCATTCCTGAAATTTCCATAGATGTCTTGTCTGTCTGCCTTCAGTTTTTCTCCTTCTAGTCCATCCTCATTTCGCTTGTTTTTGTCTAGCAATTGCCCTGTACTTTAAAGGCTGCAAAATCACTTTCATGGGGAAAGAGTATAACTAATAAATGGCTGGAAAACAAAATGTCTTGGACCATGGTGAGAAATTAACAACAGAATTAGTCATCATCATGGATAGAGCTGGAGGTCATTATCCTTAGCAAAGTAATGCAGGAACAGAAAACCAAATACCGCATGTTCTCACTTATAAGTGGGAGCTAAATGATAAGGACACATAGAGGGGAACAACACACACTGGGGCCTATTGGAAGGTGGAAGGTGGGAGGAGGGAGAGGATGAAGAAAAATAACTAAGGGGTACTAGGCTTAACACCTGGGTGATGAAATAATCTGTACAACAAACTGCCCCCCGACTTCATGACACACATTTACCTGTGTAATAAACCTGCACATTCTGCACATGTACCCTTGAACTTAAAAGTTAAAAGAATTAGTCATTTTAATGCTTGGGTTGTGATGTCCCCTCCTTTGCTTCTGAGAGCTCACTACAGAAACACAGGCCCTTCAGCTTCAGGTCCTTGGCATGTAGTTTCTTTGGATTTTCAGATACCAAAGAGGGCCCATCCAGTAACTTATGGTGCACATTATTTGTAAAGTTCATATAGATAAGTCACATTCTCCAAAACAAGCAACAAAAATGTAATTATGTGAAAACATTTTTGAATAGTAACCATACATAGAAAACGTGTTTTAGAATATTTCATTGTTGTGGAAAGATGGTTAAATATCTTGTTAAGTGGAAAAAGTGGGCTCCAAAACAGCATGTATGATTTGAGTTTTACACATGTATGTGTGTGTGTGTGCATGCACGTGCACACGCATGCACACACACACACACGCAGAGAAAGAAGAGAATGAGAGAGGAATTTCACCCTAGGTGTTTCTTAGGCACCAACTTTAGAATTTAATTCCAGTAAGGTGTGACTCCATTATCTTGTTTAATCCATCCATTAAATACATCTGTTAATAGGTATTAAGGCTATAGCTGCTTAATATTAAAACATAACAGATTAAATACTGCCAGGAAGCAGAACTACTTGGAATTTTCCCTGTCTCCCAGGTTATTTTAAGATATTACTTTTGTTTCTTCTTTTATTCTAGTTGAGCAATTCCCAAAACTTCTTATATATAAGAAGCACTCTCCAGGGTTATAAACACAAAACTGTGTATACTGAATCTTATGAGTGATTTAAGGACAGTTCAGTGATAATTTGTAAGTTTCCCCTCCTTATTAGCTGATATGGTTTGGCTGTGTTCCCACCCAAATCCCCTCTTGATTTGTAGCACCTATAATTCCCATGTGTTGTGGGAGGGACCTGGTGGGAGATAATTGAATCATGGGGGTAGTTTCCCCCATACTGTCCTCATCATAGTGAATAAGTCTCATGAGATCTGATGATTTTATAAGGGGAAACCCCTTTTGCTTGGCTCTCATTCTCTCTTGCTTGCTGCCATGTAAAACATGCCTTTCTCTTTCTGCCATGATTGTAAAACCTCCCCAGCCACGTGAAACTGTGAGTTCATTAAACCTTTTTCTTTTTTTTTGAGATGGAGTTTTGCTCTTGTTGCTCAGGCTGGAGTGCGATGGTGCGATCTTGGCTCACCACAACCTCCACCTCCTGGGTTCAAGCAATTCTCCTGCCTCAGCCTCCTGAGTAGGTAGGATTACAGGCATGCACCACCACGTCCAGCTAATTTTGTATTTTTGGTAGAGATGGAGTTTCTCCATGTTGGTCAGGCTGGTCTTGAACTCCCGAACTCAGGTGATCCACCTGCCTCAGTCTCCCAAATTACTGGGATTACAGGTGTGAGCCACCGTGTCTGGCCAAACCTCTTTTTCTTTATAAATTACCCAGTCTTGGGTATGTGTTTATCAGCAGCATGAAAATGGACTAACACATTAGCTGACTTTGGAATCAAAGCTTGAGTCACATGCTTTCACCATACTTACACTATAAAGAAAAATCCAGATGGATATAACGCACACTAAAAAGTGGAGAGGATTTCTTCTTGGTAATGGAAAGTTTTTAAAAGTAAAAAAACTTTTACTTTATTCTTACCTGTATTTTTTACTTTTTCTATAGTGAAGCCCTATTAAATGATAAAAGTTCATGAACAATATTCAATTCACTTGTTCTCCCACGACCTACTTTGCAGACTGAAGATAGAGTTCATTATCAAAAGCAACCTGGGTGATTCTAGCAGTGAACCCCAACCTGAGCCAGCTCCTGGACTCACAGATCTGCTATTTTTCACTGCAAGACAGGAACTAGTAGGGTGACAGTATTGGGGATAAAGTAATCCAGCTGAGGCCGGGCGCAGTGGCTCACACCTGTAATCCCAGCACTTTGGGAGGCTGAGGCGGGCAGATCACAAGGTCAGGAGATCGAGACCATCCTGGCTAACACAGTGAAAACCCGTCTCTACTAAAAATACAAAAAATTAGCCAGGCGTGGTGGCGGGCGCCTGTAGTCCCAGCTGCTTGTGAGGCTGAGGCAAGAGAATGGTGTGAACCCAGGAGGCGGAGCTTGCAGTGAGCCGAGATCGCGCCACTGCACTCCAGCCTGGGAGACAGAGCGAGACTCCGTCTCAAAAGAAAAAAAAAAAAAAATTAATCCAGCCGAATTGAGGGATACACCAACTGACTCATTGTGTTACAATGCTAGTTCAGAAACTCCCAGGCTACCCTTGTTCTATCATTCTCTTTGGAATGATCAGTTTTGTGATTTGTACACAAATCATAGTCCTAATACAGTCTGTGTTTTGCTAACACAGTCCTAGTTTTAGCTAACCACACAGTATCATTTCTGCATAGAAGTAAGAATTCTCATTTTTCCAATGCTTAATTGATTCTTAAGGGAAGAGTACTTCATGTGATAGGATAATTTGGTTTAGATTTATCATGCTGAGCATCTGATAAGACAAATTAGTAACTCTGCCTGTTTGAAAGAATTTAGAAACACAACCAGTTTAGCCACCCCATGTTGTTCAGCCAGTATACAAACCCGTCTTATGTTCTTGGATTTTTCAGAACCTCTCCCTATAGAAAAAAACGCCCTTTTTCTTTGCTTGTTAAGTTCTTTTATCTTGGCACATGTGCTCAGAAATTGTAGGTAATATCTAAAAGGGTAAAGAAATATAAACAAAGCATCCTTCCAAACAAATCTTCATCAAGTAAAGTTTTATTTGATGTTGAGAAGTCTATTTGTCTAGCAGGAACAATGAAGATCAATGGCCCATCCGGGGGCACTCTCTCCCCAGGAAATTGCAGTGGTTTTCAGCCCAGCCTCTTTCTTCTCTTTGCCTGCGTCTCAGCTGGGACAGCTTTGAAAATCTAGAAGCAGCCATAAAAGGACCCACACAGGAAGTTTTCATATTCTACTGAGAAAGGGGACATAGTAAAAAACAGGTCATTTATTTTTACATGCTCCTTTGCCTTTTTCTCCTCTCCTGCTTATTGTCCCATCACAAAAATTGTGAAAAGGAGTAAAATCTTGTCACCTTAAGATCCACCTAAATGTAAAATGTAGAGCAATTGTAGTTACCACTGTTCTGTTCAGAAGCAAACAAGATAATTCACATATGTAAGGTAATATGGTTTGGCTGTGTCCCCACCGAAATCTCATCTTGAACTGTAGATCCCATAATCCCCCTGTGTTGTGGGATGGACTCAGTGGGTGGTAATTGAACCATGGGGGTGGTTATCTTCATGCTGTTCACATGATAGTAAGTGAGTTCTCACAAGATCTGATGGTTTTACAAGGGGTTTTTCCCCCCTTTACTCTGTATTTCTCCTGGCTGCCGCCATGTGAAGAAGGACGTGTTTGCTTCTCCTTCTGCCATGACTGTAAGTTTCCTGAGGCCTCCCCAGCCCTAAGGAACGTGAGTCCATTAAACCTCTTTCCTTTATAAATTACCCAGTCTCAGGTATATCTTTATTAGCAGCATGAGAACAGACTAATACATAAGGGATGTTGTACACATCAGGGACTATAAATCTGTACAGTTTATGTTAGCATGTAAGTGCACAAGCAGTGGTGTAGGTTCTTGGTTTTGTTGTGTGCTGTTTAGTTCAGCCTGATGAAAAATGATATCACTGCATTTGCATAGTGCACAAACTTTCTTTGAGCAAGAACTTCCTTTTCCCTTGGATGGGCCATGGGAGATACTACAAAGGACAAAACAAGCCTTGTGAACCTAGTGAGATGATAGACAGCATTCTTTAGGAGGTTACAAAAGAAGGTCATGAAGAACAACTATTGTCCCTGACCCAAATCCCCTAATAAGGTTTCTAGGAGACTTTAATTCAGCATTAAGCTTCCACAGGACATACTTTAAGAAAGGGTAGAACTGAATGAAGGTCTACTCAGGCTAGCTTTCTCTTTTCTGGCAGCATCATCAGGCACATTGAATTTCACATTTTTTTTTATTTTTTAGTTTTTTGAGACAGAGCCTTGTTCTGTCACACAGGCTGGAGTGCAGTGGCATGATCTTGGCTCACTGCAGCCTCTGCTTCCTGGGTTCAAGAAATTCTCCTGCCTCAGCCTCTTGAGTAGCTGAGATTACAGTCGCACGCCATCATGCCTGGCTAATTTTTGTATTTTTAATAGAGAGGGGGTGTCGCCATGTTGGTCAGGCTGGACTTGAACTCTTGACCTCAGGTAATACACCTGCCTTGGCCTCCCAAAGTGCTAGGATTACAGGCATGAGCCACCGTGCCCAGCTGAACTTCACATATTTTTAAATGTAAAAAACATTTTTAAATGGAAGTCAGTCATGATTTTCTTCACAAACATTTCATTTCACTGCAATTCTAGCTTTTCTCCCCATTAAGAATAGAGAGTGTGTTAGTCCATTTTGTGTTTCTATAAAGGAATACCAGAGACTGGGTAATTTGTTTTTAAAAAAGAAGTTTATTTGTCTCATGGCTCTGCAGGCTGTAGAAGCATGGCATCAGCATCTGCTTTGCTTCAGGGGAGGCCTCAGGAAGCTTTTACTCATGGAAGAAGGTGAAGGGAAAGCAAGTGTGTCACATGAAGAGAGAGGGTGCGAGAGAGAGAGAGAGAGTGGGGAGATGCCACACTCTTTTATACAACAAGATCTCAGCTGAACTTACTACCACTCATTACCTTGAGGAAAGCACCAAGCCATTCATGAAGGATCCATCCCCATGGCCCAGCACCTCCCACTAGGCCCCATCACCAACACTGGGGAATCACATTTCAACATGAGATTTGGAGTGAACAAATATCCCAGCCATATCAAAAGGGTTATTTTCAATTGTTATTGTGAACGTGTTCTCTTCTGTCTTGTCAAAGCTCATTAACACTGCACACTCAATCTGCAGACAAAATGGTGGACAAGATTGTTGAATGGGTCAGTGAATATCCGTCCAAGGCTGAGGCACTTCTGTAGGGCTCAACAAGCTGTGGCAATCAACAACAGTCCAACCGAGCAACACACATATACCATTGAGCCAAGCATGGTGCTCAGCGTAGTGGGAGAAAACAGAGACTAACATGGTGTGTATTTTAAGGAGAAAAGGGGAGGAGGAATTAATACTTATTGTGCACTCACCATATACTTGGCACTGTGCTAGCCATTTTAAAAATACACAAAGAAATTACAGGCCACAGCTGCTGCCCCTAGGAAGCATGCAAGCTAATTGAGGAGTAAAATGCACACACACACACACACGCACACACACACATTTACACACACTACCTTACATTCTTTTTGGAACAAACCAAGGCATAAATAACAAAACAATTACTATGACTACTGCTAACAGCTAATACTTATGGAGTGTTTTCCATGAGCCATGTTCAATTGTAAATACTTTATATGTATTAACTCATTTAATCCTCTCAATTTAATGGGATTGGCCCTATTATTTTTCCATTTTACAACTATGGAAAATGAGGAAGAGAGGTAGGCTGGTAAACAGTAGAGCTGGGGTTTCAACCTGGGCAGTCATGCTGAAGACCCTATACCATTAACCCTACAGACTATGCTGCCTTTGTACATCATGTATGTACATGAAAAGTAAGTTGTGAAATAAAACTATAATCAGGTAGCCTTGCTATCCAATATCAGGAACTGATTAGATGTGTGTGTGTGTGTGTGTGTGTGTGTGTGTGTGTATTTATTTATATTAACATACTGCTTAGGGCCCTCACTATCCATACACTTAATACTTGCTCTTTGAAACTGGGAACCAAATATATTTAAATAATATAAGTATCCCTTGCTACCCAAACTCACTACTAAACCTTCACCATTCAATCTCAGAAACTGAATAATTTGGAAAGGAGTGATACTCGTATAAGGGTCAAATAATTGGAACAAATAATGAACGCAAAAAGAGATGGCAGTTGAAGTAAAGTTCTCAAGGACAAATAGATGTTAGTTCAAAGAAGGAGAAGGCCAGAGCAGCTGAGACATTCAGGTAGGAAATAACAACATGTGTTCACAACAAGTAGATTCGAGAGCCTGTGTATGGAGAGGGGCCAGAGATGAAGCTAGACAGGGACGCAGGGTCTAGATTGTCAGGGCATTGATTGAACTTCACAGTGTAGACAATGGTGGTCATTGGGTAATTTTAAGCAGGTAAGTGATGTGATCAGATTTGTGAATTTAAAAGATCACTGTGGCTTTGGGATTTCAAAAGATTCCATGTTAAATGGTTCTGCATGTTTTAGAATACTGTGTGGAAGGAATGGTATCTGTGCTGCAAACCACAGAATCCTAATGGTGAGACTTTATTGCTAGGTAGCCATGCTGGTGTGAAAACCCTTGGAAGAGCTACGGGGAGGGTGGGGAGTGGATGTGGTGGCTCACGCCTGTAATCCTAGCACTTTGGGAAGTTGAGGCAGATGGATCACTTGAGGTCAGGAGTTTGAGATCAGCCTAGCCAACATGGTGCAACCCTGTCTCTATTAAGAATACAAAAATTAGCCGGGTGTGGTGGTGCACACCTTTAGACCCAGCTATTCAGGAGGCTGAGGCACTAGAACTACTTGGACTCAAGAGGTGGAGGCTGCAGTGAGCTCCAGTGTAGGTGATAGCATGAGACTCCCTCTCAAAAAAAAAAAAAAAAAAAAAATGAAGAAGAAGAAGTAGAAGAACAAGAAGAAGAAGCTACAGGGGACAGTGGAGCTGCCAAGCTGCCACCTGGACACATCTCCAAATATACAGATTATGAAATGTGGCTACCTGTGCAGCATTGAATTTCTTGTTGATCCTTCCATCGCACAAAATAAATTGGAAAGCTACATTTTGTTTATAAATGGCATAGACATTATGTACATTTATGAAGGGATTTGAATTCTTCAAAACAACATGGAACTGCTTCTTCAAGGACAACAGAGAGTGTCTTCTGCTGCTTCAAATCTCTCTGTGTTCTGTCTCTGACTCTTAGGCCCTCTTTTAATGGGCTCACCTGATTAGGCCCACACAAGATAATCTTCCTTTGGAGTAACAATTCTCATTTTATATGTATATAAAAGAATAGGCTAGTGCCGTTATGGAGGCCAAGAAGCGCCGTGAGAACCAGAGAAGCTGGAGGTGTAATTTACTCTGAATCTGAAAGCCTTAGAGCCAGGGGTGCTGATGGTACAAGTCACAGTCTGAGTCCTAAAGCCTGAGAACCAGGAGCTTCCATGACTGAAGGCAGGAGAAGATGGATGTCTCAGCTCAAACAGAGAGAGCAAATTCCCTCTTCTTCTCCCTTTTTGTTCTATTCAGGCCCTCAGTGGATTAGATGACACCTACCCACTTTGGTGAGGGTGATCTTCTTTTCTCAGTTACCAATTCAAATGCTAATCTCTTCCAGATACACACAGAAATAATGTTTCACCAGTTATCTGGGCATCCCTTATCTCAGTCAAGTTGATGCAAAATTAACCATTGCACTTTCCTACAGAAATGGATATAAATGGAGTTACTTTGAAAATTAGTTGCTTTGTATTGTGTTGGGAGAGAGATGCTGGCATGGCAGTAATTACTATCCTGTTTCCTTTTCTTCCAGGATGTAGAACCAGACTCAATTTCCCAGTCTTGCTCCTGGGTATGTGGTCTGTTGACTATCTTCCTCCCAAATCCTCCACTCTTGTTTTCTTGTTATCTGCGAAGCTGGAAGTCAGAGGACTCTGATGCCCTAGGTGATGGCGGAGATACAAGATTGAAGGAGCCTGGGTCCCGAGTCATTGCTTGGAAAGAGCCATACAGCAGGGCCACCTGTCCAGGAACACTCACATTGTGTTATTTCACAAATGAAAAATGAACACTGGAGTGCTGGGGCTGATTGTCACAGCGGTTAGCCTCCTCTGAAGAACGCAGCTGGATTTCACCCTCTCTCTAGCTATGGAGCTCATCCACATTTGCTTCCTAATTGATGCTTTGATGAGTATCATTAATCCATTTTTTTATGACTTTTTTTAAAAAACAAAATGCATCTTCCATTTTCCATGACTACTAGAACTATAGACAAAAGATGCAAGAAAATATTTACTCTATTAGGGGCATTAAATAGTATTTAATTTCTTTCTTTTGACTACACAAACTTTTGAAGTTTTAGGACAGTAGCTGCATAGATCTACTTGTAAGAGAAAAATTAATTTTTAATTTCTCTTATTATTTGGAATGTTCTCTTGAAATTAGTAAGTTCAAAATCCAGTTGATTTTCCCTTTGTTAATCTGATATAATTAATTTATATAAATGTTTTCCAGGCTAAAGCCCAAGTACATGGAAATTTACATAGTAAAAACCAGGAAATAATGTTACTGTTTATCATGTTGGCTCCTGCACTTTCAAGTTACCTTTCTTACCTTATTACTTGGGAACAATGATGTCATGGCTTAGAATTTAGATGTTTCTAGGTACTTACTTTGTGATTATCAGCAACCTTACTATATGACAGCTTGTTTTGTACACTGAATTTAAAAAGAGTTAATACAATACTTCAAGTGTATTTAATAAAATGGCTTGGCATTTCACGTGCAAACATGTTTTGGAAACTTAAAGTAACTTTATTATTTCCTGGACTTTATTAATTGATTGACATCAAGATAGGCTAACTCAGACCAAAAGTATTCATATTTCCACAGGAATAGTTATTAAAAAGGTGAGGAAAGAAAAACAAACAATGATATAAACACTGAATAGATCAGAAAAACAATGTTTGAATTATGATAATTCAGATGTGAAAGAAGAGTGACCAAATGCAAGAAAAATGAACATGAGGGAAGTTAAATAAAGGGAGATGTGAGCTGAAAGAAAACACAATCAATATAGATGGGCATATTTTGTAAATTATAGGCTTTAGAAGGAAAAAGAGCAAAATAAACACTTGACTCAAACTAAAAGAGATAAATGTTTAAACTGAAGACTATTAGTAAGAACAGAAAGGAATGTAGAGTACCAAGTGTTTAAGAAAATGCAAGGAAAAGATGCTTTAAAATCCTGTAGTCTTGACTTCAGATTCCAGTTCCACTTTCAACTACAGGTATGACCTTGGATTAATTAATTACTTTATCATTCTGAGCTTAAGTGTCCCCAGCTGTCAAATGAAAATAATAAAACCCGTAAGATGCATGCAAGGCTGTATTTCTCAGGCTTTTGCCACCTATGGTGCTGTAAGAGAGTGTCACTCTCCCCCAAGTCAGTTTTCTCTCCTTCCATGGTAACTGAATGGTAGCCGCCTTGCAGTTGTATGTGGCCCTGGGACTAAGTTCTCTCCAATAGAATGTGAGTGAACACCATGTAGGCCATTTTGAGCTACTGCCTATGACACTGGATGTGCCTCCTCTATGCTGTTTCACCTTGCCTGACTAGAACCAATGGCACCCAGACTCGATCATGCAGATGAGATGAAGGCCCCAAGGGCCTCAATGATTGTATGGAACAGAGCTCTTAACAACCTTGACTACTCACCTCCCACAGCAATAAACTTCTAGCTTTTTTAAGTTCTAGGTTAATTGTTGTACCCCTTTTGATATAGTTTGGAGGTTTGTCCCTCTAAATCTCATGTTGAAATATAATCCCTCAGTACTGGAGGTTGGGCCTGGTGGGAGGTGTTGGGGTCATGGGGGCGGATCCCCAATTAATGACTTAGTGGCATTCCCTTAGTGATGAGTGAATTCCCATTCAGTTCACATGAGATCTAGTTGTTTAAGAGTGTGGCCCTCCCCCTACCTCCCCTCTTGCTCCCTCTCTGGCCATGTGATGTTCTGGCTCACAATTGCCTTCTGCCGTGCTTGAAAGCTTCCTAAGGCCTTTACCAGAAGCAGATGCCAGCACCATGCTTCCTGTACAGCCTACAGAACTGTGAGCCAATTAAACCTCTTTTCTTTAGAAATTACCCAGCCTCAGGTATTTCTTTAAAGCAATGCAAGAATGGACTAAGATGCCTTTGTTACAACATCCTTGTCCTATCCTAATATGGCTCCCTTTAGACCAACACAAACGTCTCTTTCCTTCCTCATCATGTATTTCCTCCACTGCTGACCCGGGGAGAGAATCATGGCAGAATCAGATATTCCACCTACCAGGAAAAGGAAGTCAGATTTTACTTTATTTGATGTTCCAGAACAATTGACTTTTTTTCCCAAATATAAAACAATATTATTTAAGTTTTCCCATGCAACTTCCTCCTTAAAAAAATCTGATAACTTCCTGACTGCTTTAAACTACAGAGTATTCATAGAAAACTCGACGTACAGTTAAGATGGACAGATCAGGAGGTGACTGCCATTGAAGAGATAGTTTGTTTCTCAAGGTTCCCAGGAAAGGGGGCACACCATAGCATGGGGGTAGGGGTGGGGCAAACAGGGAAGCCTCAGTCTTGGTCAGGAGGCAGAGGGAAAGGGAATAACTGTGGGCAATGCAAGGGCGAGGTGGTGGGGGCAGTCTTAGGATTGGATAATTTGAATAACTTCAGCAGGCTCTGAGGCATAGGGACTGTCTGTAGTTACCCGATACCTGCTCCTGTGGTGATTAATAGATAATGGAGTATGACAGCCCCATTAAGGAAATGGTTGGGGTGCGGGCTCTGTTTTGGTTTGCATTTGAAGAACACACTAGAGAGCAAGTTGTTTACTACCTCTAGGGATTGGTTAACACTGGGAGAAGTTCCTCCAGGGTCAGCAAAACCCGAGATGTCAAAGCATCCAAATATAGCAAATACAAGACAAGATTAATACACTTACCTACTCCCATAGTTTTGAAAATTTCTTTCCCTGGAAAATAATAAGCACTCAATACATGATAAATATCATTTTTATTGCATGCCAATTTGCTTTACCACACAAAAATATAAAAGGCTGCTTCTATCCTCAAACATTTAAAAGTCAAGCTGCATAGGTAATACATAAACACAAAATGTAACATAAAGAATTGTAAGTACCAAAAGAGCAATACAAACAATGAGAGCTAGGGAAGTTCTGCAGGTACCATGTGACTCTGGGCTGGGATGATTTGAGTAGAGGTGGGAAGAACTCAGGGGGGCTCTTGAAGAAGAAATGAGACTGATAAGAAGGGAGAAAGGCAGAGGAACATTGCACCAGAATGTAGATTCCAGGAAACCATGTCTGGCTTGTTCACCACTGTGACCATTAGCACCTAGCACAGTGCCTGGCACAAGATGGGCAGACTGGTAAATATGGGTTGGATGAAAATGAATTCTGGGCCCGAAGGGATGTGGCTGCATGATTGAGGGACTCTAATGAGACAAATTTGAATAATGAATAAATATGTTTGGAAAAGTAGGTTGTTAATTTGGGTCCTCCGAGAAGCAGATGACAAGATGGGATTAAATATGCAAGGGTTTTATTAAGGGAAGCATCTGAGACAAGGCGGGGCTGGGGATCCAGGCAAGAGCTGGGGAGTCATCAGCCCATGAGCAAAGGGGAGAAAGGGAAGGCTGGGTAGACAAATTCACGATGCAGTCTAGGGAAGACCATCAGGGAGCCCTTGACTCAAAGCTGGCTGTCAGATGTTTGGGAAATTGCCCAAGAACAAATATCAGAGTCAGAACCAGAACCCAAATCTCCTTCTTTATTCCCAGGGTCAGTGCTCTTTCCTTTTTTTAATGAGTAAAGAAAAGCGTTTGGAGGTCAAATGGCCGTCCCTGAATTGAAGAAGAATTTTGGCTCAATCCATTCTGAGTTCAGTGATAAGGCATAAAACTTACTGGAAAATTATGTAAAAAGATAATCTGTAAGCCATATGGCTTGCTGGTACTAGGTCCAGGCTGGCACCTAAAAAAAACACCTGAAGAATGTCAGTGCCAACTTCCTGCTTTGTATTTGCAACTCTTCTTTAGCAAGGAGAAGCCATAGAATATAATGAACAAAGCACTGGACAAGGTCATTGGCCAGGTGGCTGACCTCTCTAGGCTCTATTTCCTCATGAATGAAGTAAGGGTTTAGACTAGATGTGTACAACAGCCCACCCAGCTCTCTGCATGAGAATTCTAAGAACCCAGATAGGTATGAATGTCGTGGCTTCAGTAATGGAGGGCGAGAAAGATCATGACTGTCACAGGTGGGGTGGGGTGGTGCCAGTGATGACTTCCTTTGGAGTTGTGCTGAAGGTGTGATGAGAGCATTGCTCTCTTTTTTGAGATGGAGTTTCACTCTTGTTGCCCAGGCTGGAGTGCAATGCTGCAATCTTGGCTCACTGCTACCTCTGCCTTCCGGTTTCAAGCGATTCTCCTGCCTCCACCTCCCAAGTAGCTGAGATTACAGGGGCCCGGCACCAGGCCTGGCTAATTTTTGTATTTTTTGTAGAGATGGGGGTTTCACCATGTTGGCCAGGCTGGTCTTGATCTCCTGACCTCGTGATCCGCCTGCCTCGGCCTCCCAAAGTGCTGGGATTACAGGTGTGAGCCACCACACCCAGCTGAAAGCATTGCTTTTTGTTCAAATACTTTTTATGTACCCAGTTCTGTGATTAGGCTCTAGGAGTAAAATGATGAGTAAGACATGGCACCTGGCATTGAGGAGCTCATAGTTTAGCTAGAAGATATGGTGAGAGGTAGTGTGGGATGAGGAAAGGAAGAGGGTGTGAGGGGAAGGCCTGTGGAACCACATAACTCTACATTGATTTCTTTAAGTACCTAATTCTCAGGGTTATGGGGAAGATTAGAAATGGCATAGATCAGCACTTTGGGAGGCGGAGGTGTGAGGATCACTTGAGCCCAGGAGTGCGAGACCAGCCTAGGAAACATAGCAAGACCCCCATCTCTACAAAAATAAAAAATTAAATAAAAAAATTAGCTGGACGTGGTGGTGCATCCCTGTTGGTGCATCCCAGCTACTCAAGAGCCTGGGGTGGGAAGTTTGCTTGAACCTGGGAGGTCAAGGCTGCAGTGAACCATGATCATGCCACTGCACTCCAGCCTGGGCAACACAGGGAAACCTTGTCCCTAAAAAAGAGAAAGAAATAGCATAGATAAGCAGACCGGAGCAGCATCAGAAACAAAAGTGGTATTCATACAAAGGTTTGCTGTCATCACTCGTGTGACAGGGTGAAAGATGGCTGATGATAACTCTCTCCAGGCTGCCCCTTTCCCCCATCTTCCACTGCTGGAGATGAAGAGACCCTTCCTTACCCGGCTCACCAGTGGACTGCCTCTGGTGTGAAACACTCTCTGAAGTGAGGCAAAAAATTGTGGTGCAGAATTTTAAAAAGCTGATGAGAGGAGATAAAAGATGTAGAGGGGAAGCTAAGGAGATCTAATAAGGATTTAGAGAGCGAGAAAGTGAGAAAGAGAGAGGAACAATGTCGCTTAGGGCCAGGGGAGAAGGGAGGAGAGAGGATCTGGAGGGTGGGTGGTGAACATGAGGCTGTGGAGTGCAGCAGAGAAGACTGGAAAAGGGAAAGGGGATAGAAATGTGTGGCTAGAGACTTGGGTCTTCCCTCCTTTTTTAAAAAGACAAAGAATAAAGTTTCCTTTTTGAATGGTTTTGGCTGCCTATGCCTCTTTAATCATGACATCATATCAAGACTGAGCCACAAGGGTTTGGCATTCTAACAGCTTGTATTACATACATGCATAATTGAAATGCATTGTGGTAATACAGGCATTTACAAAGACCTGGAAGAATTCAAGGGAGAAATAATTATTTCTTATGAATGGGTCAAAGAGAATAAAACGTTTGATTTGTTTGAGGGCTGGCTTTGACTCTTACTGGATGAATGGTCTTGGCAAAATCGCTTAAACTCTCTGAGCTTGAGCTTTCTCATCTATAAATGAAAGACTTTTTAAAAAATAAATGATCTTGTAAGACTTGACATAAGAATCAAATGAGATATCAAATATATAATATAAAATGAAAGGCAATTGAGAATAGGGGTTGTGAAGTTAGACACTTGGGTTTGAATCTTGGCTCAATGTGACCACGGGCAAGTAATAGGATATTTGTGGGAACCAGTAGTCAACGCATACAGTATTTGCACAATGCCTGGCACCTGGTAAGCTCTCAGGTGTTAAGATTCTCTTGGCACATCTTGAAGCTCTATGCAAGTGGCTGTTATTATTTTTGTTAGGCCAATGTCTAACAGTACCAAGCTGTAGAGGCAAAAATACCCAGGGGGTGAAGGTGAGGTACTGTATTATTTCCCCAATGCTGCTGTACCATTTACCACAAAGAACACAGACATATGTTCCTACAGTTCTGGAGGTCAGAGATATGAAACCCATTTCAGTGGGCTAAAGATAAGGTGTCTCAGGCTCGGCCTCTTCTGGAGGCTCTAGGGTAGAATCTGCTCCCTGGCCTTTTCCTGCTTCTAGAGTCCGACTCCATTCCTTGGTTCACTACCTCCCCCATCCATCTTCAAAGCCAACATCAGAGCATCTTCTCTCCTTTGTGACCTTGGCTTTGTCCTTACAACTTCTCTTTCTGCCCCGAACTCTACTGCCTCCTCTTATAAGGATGCGTGTGATTGCAACAGGCTCGCCTGCAGAATTCAGGATATTTTCTCCATCTCAAGAACCTTAACCATCTCTGCAAAGTCCTTTTTGCTATATAAGGTAACATCTTTACAAGGTCTGAGGATTAAGATGTCGACATCTTTGGGTGGCCATTATTCAGCCTATCACAGGTACCCAGGGAAGGAAAAAGGAAATTTCCAAGAAGGAAAAACTTGAAAATTGGGAAGGCTAATTGCAAATGGTGACTATTGAATAATTAGAAATATAATGAAGGCAGTGATGAGATGACAGCACAGATGCATGACCCAGTGCAGTCCCAGTGACTCCTGATAGGTAAAGGAGTGGATTTATTTGGCTGACTGCCGCCGGCCACCCTCACCTTCTTTAGGGCATCTCTCAATTGCTACTCTCACCTCTCTTTGTGTCTGTCCTTCTATCCCTTTTCCCCTGTTCCCCTCTGTGTCAAGAAGCTATCATGAGACCTGATTTATGAGACTTTGTCTTGAGGACCTGATTTTAAAATTTTGGCTCAGTCACTCCCACACTTCACGACCTTGGTCCAATCACTTAACCTCTCTGCACTTGAAATACCTTATTTATTAGAATAGGCATAATGCCAATTTCCTGAAGGGCTTTTGCAAGATATAATGTGAGATAACTCTTTGAGAAAATACTTGGCTCCAATCAATGCTAGCTTTCCTGTCTCTTTGTTGTTCCTCCAGTCCTCCTGTCTTTTGGGGTTCAGCAAATCTTTCTTTGAGACGTCCTCTGTGCTGGTCACTATTCCAGGAACTTCCACATATAGTGCCTCATTTGTTTCTCCTGACAACCTTACAGGACGGATTTATTTATTTCTTGTTATTGATGGGCATAGTGAGCTCCAGAGAGTCAAGGTAGCTTAGCAAGTCCATGTCACAGGAGGTGGCAGAGCTGTGATTCTGGTCTGAGACATCTGACTCCATTCCTGGCTGTGACATGGAACCACAGTGTACATTTTGTTGCTGAAAGATACAGTTCTAATTCCTTGCCACTTATTTTCAAAAGTAGAACAGTCAGAACATTCATTTACTTTTTTTTTAATAAAGCAACTGCAGTAAACACCTTCTTTTTTTTTTTTTTTTTTAAAGAAATAAAAGTCTTGTTCTGTCACCCGGGCTAGGGAGCAATGGTGCAATCACAGCTCACTGCAGTCTCAAACTCCTGGACTCAAGCCATCCTCCTGCCTCAGCCTCCCCAGTAGCTGGGGCTACAGGCACGTCCATGATGCCCAGTTAATATTTTATCTTTTTTAGAGAAGGGATCTCACTATCTTGCCTAGGCTAGACTTGAACTCCCAGCCTCAAGTGATCTTCCCACCTCAGCCTCCTAAAGTGTTGGGCATACATGCATGAGCTACCACACACAGCCTCAACAAATACCATCTATGGCAGAGCTTTTAACTTTGAATATGGCCCTTGGTTTTGTTGTGGGAGTCCACACCCATCCCCTAAAGAGCCACCCAGGGCCTGCTCCACGTGGCATGGCAGGCAATGCAAAATTCTGCTCTTTCCATTCAGAGGTGCTTGGCAGGTGGCCAGCCCATCGCTCTGAGCTCATGTTCCTGGTAGTTCATTTCTGCTGGGCTGGTCATGTGAAGGGAAGTGAATGACTGAAGGACACACAAGCTGTAATTAGTAGGAGTGGGAGTAAAATGTATCACGACGGTTTGTACCTGCACCAGCACGCACACCAGCAGCTGAGACACACACCAGTGGGCCACCCTGAGTGCTAACCTGTACTAGTGAGAGGTGGCATAGAGGGTACTGCCAGGCTCTGCCTCACTTACAGGAGAATAGAGAACAGTGTTGTCTCTGGAGAGCTGCAGTATTGAGAAGACAGGAATTGGCCAGCAGAAGTCTCTTTGAGCTAATGAGAAAATGGTGCCCCTTCCTGTGGGCAGGCATAGTTTCATGCCAAGGCACAAAGTCTGCCACACAGTACCTGAGTTGCATGTCAGTCCCCACCCACCCTGGGCTTCGGCAGCACCGCAGAGGGGCAAGAGCCTTGACTCTGGGTTTGAAACACAGCTTACTCACCTCTGCTTCTCTTCTTACAACCTCTCTATCTGACTCTGATTCTGCTTTACTGCCTCTCTTTTATGAGGACACCCCAAAGAAGCTGAGGGTGGCAGGATACATTTCTTTACCTTTTAGGAGTTGCTGGGACTAGAGTCATGCATCTGTGCTGTCATCTCATCACTGCCTCCATTATGCTTCTGACTAACCCTTCAGTAGTCACCATCTGTAATTAGCCTTCCCAATGTTCGTATTTTCTCTTTTTGGAAATTCCTTTTTTCTTCCCTGGATACCTGTGATAGGCTGAATAACGACCACCCAAAGATGTCAACATTCTCATCCTCAGAACCTGTGAAGATGTTATCTTATATGGTAAAAAGGATGATTAAATTAATGTTCTTGAGATGGAGAGAATAGCTTGACTTCTCCAGGTGGGCCCACTGTAACCACCCAGTGTTTTTATGAGAGGGAGGCAGTGGAGTTAGGGTCAGAGAACCATTTACTGCTGTCTGACCTTAGGCAACTGACTTCACTTCCCCTGTGACTTGGGTTCATTATCTATAAATTGGGGTGAACCATTATACCTAACTCAAAGGTTCTTGTCAGGGCCAGGTGCGGTGGCTCATGCCCATAATCTCAGCACTTTGGGAGGCCGAGGTGGGCAGATCACTTGAGGTCAGGAGTTGGAGACCAGCCTGGCCAACATGGTGAAACCCCATCTCTACTAGAAAAAAAAAATTAGCCTGGCATGGTGGCAGGTGCCTGTAATCCCAGCTCCTTGGGAGGCTGAGGCTGGAGAATCACCTGGACCCAGGAGGTGGAGGTTGCAGTGAGCCAAGATAGTGCCACTGTATTCCAGCCTGGGCAACAGGGCGAGATTCTATCTCATAGAAGAAACAAAAACAAACAAACAAACAACAACAAAAATCAAAGGTTCTTGTGATGGAGGAAGCAACAATTTAACCCATATGCAAGACAGAATGGTTCCTAGTCGTAGCAGGTACCACATGGAGGTGAGTTAATTTTATGCTTACTAGAGCTGCAAATTCAATTACTGGGAGGGAATAGAATCCTCAGTTCTCTCTCTTCTTCCAGTCCCAGGCCCCAGGCCTTTTTTACCCTACATGTCCTCTGTGAGTTTAGAAATGTACCCTGTGGTACCTCATCCTCACTGATCCCCTCGTGATAGCAGCAAAGTCACCTGGGAACTAAGCTTGCACTGATGCATGCTTCAACACATATTTGCTTAAGAGCTTAATTTGTATTGCTGAGTGTATTTGTTCAGAGAAAAGCTAAGCTGTTGAAACAAAGAAATCTAAAACTGTAGTGGTTTCAAGAAGGTAGACACTTACAATTTATGACCACCAGTAACTGTTTTGGGTCAGATGAGTCAGAATTTCCACCCTCAGACTGTCTTTCCAATAAGGTAACCTGTACATCCCCTAGTTAAAGTAGTCACATGCCAGTTATTTAGCCATGCACAGAAAATGGGACTCATTTACATGATCTCTAAACTTCATTTTATTTTATTTTATTTTCTTGAGATGGAGTCTCGCTCTGTTACTCAGGTTGGAGTACAGTGGTGTGATCTTGGCTCACTGCAACCTCCGCCACCTGGGTTCAAATGATTCTCCTGCCTCAGCCTCCCTAATAGCTGGGATTACAGGTGTATGCCACCACATCCAGCTAATTTTTGTATTTTTAGTAGAGACGGGGTATCACCATGTTGGCCAAACTGGTCTTGAACTCCTGACTTAAAATGATCCACCTGCCTTGGCCTCACAAAGTGCTGGGATTACAGGCGTGAGCCACCACGCCTGGCCTTAAACTTAAGATAATATTTAGACACAACCTGGGCTGTAATACATCTTAAAACATGTGAACAGTTCCATTATATCCTGCATCCCACATATCCTACTGGTTCCCGGCTCACTTTCCCCCTTCATCCTAGTAAACACCGTATTCTTCTGAGAAATCCACTCCAATGTTTTTCTTGTAGTGGTTGGATCAAAATGTCTACAGTCAAAAAAAGACTATTTTTACCTTAAGACTTAATTCAGTAGCTCTCTGCAACAGTTTTCTCTATCTATTAGAGTTGACAATAAATGTTCATTGTGGTAGAAGTTGCCAACTAAGAGAATGTCAATAATTGTAACTGCTGATTGTTATTAGCTGTAAATGGATCTGGCAAAATGAGCTCATTATCCATAAGAAATGGCATACATGTTGATTGCACACAAAAAGTGTAATGTGCATACAAGACAAAGCATAGAAATCACAATTTTTTTTTTTTTTTTTTTTTTTTTTTTTGAGACGGAGTCTCGCTCTGTCGCCCAGGTCGGACTGCAGACTGCAGTGGCGCAATCTCGGCTCACTGCAAGCTCCGCTTCCCGGGTTCACGCCATTCTCCTGCCTCAGCCTCCCGAGTAGCTGGGACTACAGGCGCCCGCCACCGCGCCCGGCTAATTTTTTGTATTTTTAGTAGAGACGGGGTTTCACCCTGTTAGCCAGGATGGTCTCGATCTCCTGACCTCATGATCCACCCGCCTCGGCCTCCCAAAGTGCTGGGACTACAGGCGTGAGCCACCGCGCCCGGCCAGAAATCACATTTAATCAAGTCTTTATTTTACCATCTGCTTAATTTTTCTCTTAAAAACCTCTGACACATAAACATTTGTGATGGGGGTAGTAGGTGATGCTGCTGTCTGTATTTCTTAGAACACCTGGAGGCCAGAGTTCCTACCCTAATTTCTCAGTGTCACACTAGCAGTTGCATGACACAGAGGTGGACCCATCACCCCCCTCTGCAGCTGGCACTCCTACCCAGGCACAATGTGACTCAGTGTGACCCTGTTCAGGTTGGAGCTATCTTTGGAGACACTGTCCCAGAAACAAATAAAACAATATAGGATGCTACATTGTCCTAGATGTATGAGGAAATTTGTATTCACTAACACATTGCTTATACATTTATTCATTTATTCAGCAAATGTTGATTGTCTACTCGCTCTGTTTTACTCAGTGTATTTGTCAGGATAAAGGTTAGACAGCTATAAGAAAGAAATTTAAAAATGCAGTGGCTTAAGAAAGAAAGAAGCCTTTGCTCTTTCCAATCACAGTCCAGGAAGTCCACGTTGGCAGAGCACCTTGGCTACACCTGTTCATTCAGGATCCTGTTGCCTCTCTATCGCATAGAGTATGTCTTTGCAATGCTTGTGTTTTGTGTAAGTGTTTAAAGGCCGCCTCACTACTCCTTTCCACATAAGAGGATCTGTATTCTCCAACACACTTTGAGAGTGTTTACACTTCGAAAGTGTTTACATTTGGACAGTGTTTACACTTCACTTTGACAAATCAGAAACATGTTAACTTAAGAAATGTCATTAAAATGTTCCCATGAAATTTATTTTTGAATATGTTGTCTTTTAGAAAAGTTTTTAGGCTGGGTGCAGTGGCTCATGACTGTAATCCTAGCACTTTGGGAGACCAAGGTGGGTGGATCACCTGAGCTCAGGAGTTCGAGACCAGCCTGGGCAACATGGCAAAACCCTGTCTCTACAAAAAATACAAAAATTAGCCAGGCAGGGTGGCATGCACCTGTAGTCCCACCTACTCTGGAGGCTGAGGTAGGAGGATCACTTGAGCCTGGGAGGCAGAGGTTGCAGTGAGCTGAGATCACATCAGTGCACTCCAACCTGGGTGACAGAGTGAGATCCTGAGATCCTGTGATCCTGTCTCAAAAAAAAAAAAAAAGAAACAAAGAAAAGTTTTTTTAATGTTTATACTCAAAAAGCAAGCAGTGTAAACAAGTTGTCTGCATTGGAAAGAAAGCCTGTGGAGGCACCAATGTGTATCTAAGCTAATACTGTAACCCCCAGTTCTGCTTGCTGCTGTAACCCCCAGTTCTCTAAGGAAAGGTTTTGCATAGAAGTCCAGACTGCTCTGCTCTACTGTTACTGAGCACGGAGCATTGATCTCATAAATCTTTTTGAAGAATGCTGACCTGGCTTTTACAGTTTTTGACATGCAGTATGGGGGAGAGTCCAACCTCCTTCTATGGACAAGAGAAAATAATCTTGCTAGCTGAGGTCATAGACACACTGCCTGGGGTCAGCAGCAAAGGAGGCAGAGAAAGACTGACCAGCCAGATCTCTCCCGCTATCGTCTCTCTCCCTACTTGCCTTGTTAGAGGAAGTCAATGTTGCATTAACGGTGTGTGTGTGTGTGTGTGATCAGAAGCTTTTTTGATAAGCCTATGCTTTGACATCCTAAACCTCAGAGTTTGACCTTAGGAAGGGGTTCCCAATACTTAGAATAAACCAGCCCTCTTCTGTATGCTCAAAACTACATCAAAAGCTTCCAGAAAGTGGAAAAGCAATTTCTTTTGAACAAAAGAGTTGGATGTGGCACACTCACCCTGTATTAATGAGAATGTGGTCACATGGCCATACCAAGCTGCAAGGGATGCTGGGAAATGTAGTTTCTGGCTGGCAGTCCTGTGCTTAAGTGAAACATGAGAGAAAGTAAGAAAAGATTGTGGTAGAGTAATTCCTCACTATGAGGTGGATTTTCAGTGCTCCACAGGAGTTCATTCTCATTTTCTCCCACCCTTTTCCAGAGATGTATTATATTTTAAAAGTTTCATTAAGCACAGTGAGACAACTCAACAGAGTAGAATCTCATGCCTTTCCCCCACTCCCCAACCCTCGCTCCCTGAAAGAGAGGATTGCCCCATCACTTACAGGGCAAGTGCAATCTTGCCATTCACTTCTTTCTTCCTTAGAGCACTGATTCATTGTTGCCATGAATTAAACATTGTTGCCATGCATTTCAAACACTCAGGTTCGCCCCAGGGGCTGCATATCCTACAAATGTTGAAAATGAACCCACCATCACGTGATTAGACATCAGGATACCATTAATTCTGCCACACATGTGACAAATCCTACCCAGCCCCAGACACCTCTATGCCAAACCAGGAGGGAACTATCTCAAGGTAATAATTAGACATACATCCTTCCCTGCTGTGATCAGGGCTTTGTGCTTGATGCTTTATGGACATTTTCTTTCATCTCTGAAGCTGTGTTTTCAGGCAGTTTCCTGGGATCACCTCCCAAATAAACTACTTGAAGCAACTCTTTGTATTTGACTTTACTTGAGAAGGAACCCAAATTATGATAGTCAGCTTAGATTAATCAAGATTTACTCCCCACTTCCACTTCCTAGAGCCAGGAAGAAATCTGTGTAACATGTGGGTGCCCAATATTACAGAACATTAGGGCTCTGATAGCAAGGAATAAGGGGAATGATTATGGGATAGGCACCTAGCAGTTCCCTCCAGTGTTTTTAGCAAACTCTATCTTTCTATATCCAAATGAATGGCTGGGCGCAGTGGCTCACACCTGTAATCCCAACACTTTGGGAGGCCAAGGAGGGCGGATCACCTGAGATCAGGAGTTCCAGCCTGGCAACATGGCAAAACCCTGTCTCTACTAGAAATGCAAAAATTAGCCAGGCCCGCACCTGTAATTCCAGCTACTTGAGAGGCTGAGGCAGGAGAATTGCTTTAACGCAGAAGGTGGAGGTTGCAGTGAGCTGAGATAGCGCCACTGCACTCCAGCCTGGGTGACAGAGTGAGAATCTGTCTCACAAACAAAACAAAAATTAATGAGTAGCTATCTGTCCCCACACTCTTGAACATGTATCTTACATTTTACAATTGTCTTGGGATTGCAATTGTCCTGTCTAGAAGGCTAAGGCTGCTAGAATGTCCACTTAGGTTTGCTCTGCTCAGGGTGAATTCAGAGAGCAGGCTCTGAATGGGCCCAGTACTCCCATTCATGTGGGGAGCCTTCTGTTTGGCAGCCCTGAGTGTCGTGTGACCAGACTAGGTGGCCCACTGGACCTGTTTAAGTCTGGATGTGGCAGGGTGAGCAGCCACATGCCCCTGTCCTGGGTCACTTAGCTCTCTGGGGAAGTCTCTTGCTCAGTACTTACCATGTTCCATTGTCATCATCTGCTTTTCAGGCTGCTTTTGAGATCCTGGGGCCAGGGCTGCCGTTAACCCAACTAGGAGCTTCACTCAATTTGTAATGCTCTTCCGCCTCTGGTTAGCGTCAGCTTCATAGACACATCTTGGCTTGTAGAATTTGTGCAATGTAGCCAGGGTCAGGGCCAAGGTTTATGAGCAGAACTTGGGCTAAATTTCAAGCCTCATCCTCCTTTGCCCTCTGCAATGGATGAGGCAATTTTGTGCAGTGCTCAAGCTGGGCAACCACACACAACAGCCTTGTCAGGGGCTATGTCTCCATCTCTGGCTCACAATTGCATAGCATAGTGCCTGAACATGACCTTGAGTAATTTGCTTAACCTCTTTGAGTCTTATCTCATTGCCTGTAATACAGTGGTTTTAATAAGACATTACCTCATGGGATTTTTATGAGAGTAAAATGGTCAGAACATGAAGAACAACGGCCCTGTGGTCAGATTCCCTTAGGTCCAAATTCTGGCTCTGTCACTCAGAGGTATGGCTTTGGGCACGTTCCTAAGTCCTCTGAACCTCAGTGTTCTCAACTGGGGATGATAATAGTGTTTACCTCATGGTGTTATTGGGGAGATTAAATAAGAATACGTTTAGAATACATATTTTAGAATCTGGCATGTATCAAATATTCATTCAGGTTTAGCTATTATTACATTTAGCTTTTATGTACAGCTCCTAGAGTAGTTCCTGACATACAGTAACTGATCAAAAAATGGTAACTATCAGGTGATACATATGATCAAATACAAATGATACATAAATGGATGTGGAACAAACTGAAGCAGGATGTTCAGTCCTGAGAGAGCAGACATGTCTTTGTCCACATGACTCCTTTTGGTAACTGTTCTCCTCCCCCACTCCATGAGCTCCTGGAGTAACTCTTACACCTCTGCCTCAGGAGTAACCTTGGGCCCCACACTAGCTGATCTTAGTACTCCATCTCTGAGCACAGCAATTTGCTCAGGCGTGGGCAAGGACCCAAGAAGACCCCTTGGAGTCACCCTTGAATAATGATGCATGTCTGCTGGAGAAGACAGGGCCTCTTTCTCTGAAATTGTGGATAATAGTGCTTGAGGCTCAGGGTGTCACCTAACTGCCAGTGGACAATTTGCCCACCTTGTGGAGAGAGGCTGCGTTACCCACCACTGGAGAAAAAGCAGAGCTGAGCAATGGAGAAGAGAGGGCCTTAATGCCATTGTTTTAATCCTAGATCTAGCCATACCTGAAGCTGTCCCTGCACTTGGACTTCCCAGCCAGATGATCCTCTTATTTCCACTTTTGAGTAAAGTTATTTCAAATTAGCCTTCTTTCATTGGCAGTGGAAAGGACCATCTTACTCAAGGGAATGTCTGATGAATAGTAGTAATAATACTTACAAGATTGGATAACATTTATTGAGGCTTACTAGATGCTAGGCACTCTTCTAAGTGCTTTGCATGTATTAACTTATTTAGACTTTGTAACTGTTTTAGGTAGGCATGTTACTCCTATTTTACAGATTAGAAAACTGAGTTTCATAAAGATTTCTTGGCTAATGATTACAGTCAGGATTCAAACATATTATTTATTTATTTATTATTATTATTATTTTTTTGAGACAGGGTCTCACTCTGTTACCCGTGCTGGAGTGCAGTGGTGCAATTTCGGTTGACTGCAACCTCGACCTCCCGGGTTCATGTGATCCTCCTACCCCAGCCCCCCAAGTAGCTGGGACTACAGACACACACCACTACACCTGGCTAATTTTTGTATCTTTTGTAGAGAGGAGGTTTTGCCATGTTGCCCAGGCTGGTCTTGAACTCCTCGGTTCAAGGGATCCATCTGTCTCAGCCTCCCAAAATGCTAGGATTACAGGCATGAGCCACTGTGCCCAGCCTAGTATTCAAACTTAGGCATCCAAGGGAGCAATGGACCATCCAAAGCACTGGCCTTATAATGTCTTTCAAGTATCATTAGCATGTCTAAAACATTTTGAATTGAATTTTAAATGTAATTTTATCAGAACTAGTTTATTTTAGAAAATAAATATTGCCATGCACAATCATACTTTGTGTTTGGCCAGAAGGGGCATTCCTGTGTTTGCTTAATTACTTTATTTAGCACATGTGACCCTCAGTGATATTTAGCTGTTCACACAAATCAAATATGCCCTTCAAACACAAAGGAATGTAAATTACATAGAAATGTAATTTACAAAGAAGAATGTAAATTAGACTCTCCAGGTGAGCCTAAAAGGCAGACTTCCAAACCTGTGTTGTCCAAGGCTTTTGAAGACAACATTTGGATACATAAATTACAGTATGCAATTAAAATCTCAATCAGATCACGCTATGTTCACACATATTACTTTGTCTTTTACCTGTGTTTCTGACAAAAGTAAGGTATCAGCCACTTGCAATAGGGGGTAAGGTAACTCTAGCTGGTGTCCAGAGGGTGACCCATTTCCTCAGATGACCCTGAGGAAAGCCACCGAAATAACTCGAGAAACATAATGTTGAGATTGAGACTGAAATCGTCCATTGATGTGGCTGGTAACTGCCAGAACAAAACTTTCCATTGAAATTTAATTTTTTCCCTCTTTGCAGAAATGGTATTTTTTTTCCCTTTGCAATTAGAAACCTGTGGGGGAGATAATGTTGCACCATCCACATATCCTTGTCTGCAGCAATTTTTCACTGAATGGCTGAGTCCTTAAGGACAACAACCTTATCCGTCTTGCATGCTCAAGGGCAACTCAAGACAGCTTCATATCACTATTGCTAAAATACCTTCAACACACTTTGTTTTTTGTATTTCTTATGAATCCTAGGTTACAAGTGTTCATTTGGCTATTTGGCTGTTCTTCAAAAACAGCACAAACTTGCTCAATGCTGATGGAGAAGTTCTGCAAATATGTGTCAACACTTCCTGTCAGGGGCAGCTGGAAACACTCAGCTTTGCTATGCAAACCTCCTTTCCTTTCCACCAATACCTAGAGTTTTCAAAATAACTTACAAAACAGGTAGGATTCCATTGTGTCCTCCTTATATAGGGGGTTTCAACTCTGATTAAATTTTAGAATCATCTGGGGAGCTTTAAAACTATATCCTGGTCCAAATTTAGATCATTGGATCAGAATCTATAAGGGAGAAGCCAGTATAAGTATGTTCTAGAAGCCTCAAGATGATTGAATTGGGCAGCCCAGGTGGGAACCACAGAAAAAGAAGCCACTTCAGGCAGGGAAAGTAACTGTAATGTCTCCGTTTAACATCAAGGCACTATATACCTTCCTCCAGAATATTGGTTGCTCAACTTTGCCGCACATTAGAATCACTTGGGGAGCTTCTGAATTCCTGATGGCCTGGTTGCATCGCCTGCCAATGAAATGGCAATGCCTGGGCATGCAAACCCGGCATCAGAATATTTTAAAGATGCCAAATGATTTAAATGTACAGCTACATTTTGGAACCACTGCTCCAAAGACTGTCTTCTGAAAAGGCACTTACAATTTGCTTGAAAGAATTCAAGAACCAAACAGTTCTGCTGCTTACTACCTATATGATCTTTTAGCCTATATTTCCTTATTAGAAAGAGAGAGATAATAATGCTAACTTATGGTTGTGTTGTCTGGGCTGAAGGAGAATATATTTACAGCACATAATTGTACCTATCTTATCCCTTGTATTATTTTTCTATTGCTGCCATAACAAATTACGGCAAAGTTAGTGGCTTAAAACAACACAGGTTTATTATCTTACGATTCTGGAGGCAAAAAAATTCAAAATGGGTCTCACTGGGCTAAAATCCAGGTGTGGGCAGGACTGCCTCCCTCTCTGGAGGCTCTAGGGGAAGGTCTGAGTTCCTGCCTTTTCCAGCTTCTGGAGGCCAGCCGCATTCTGTGGTTTAGGGCCCCCTCCCATCTTCAAAGTCACCATGGCCTGTAGCCTATCTCACATTCCATCACATCGCCTCTGAGCCTCCCTTTTTCACACTGAAGGACCCTTGGGATTATACTGGGCCCCTCCAGACGATCCAAGAGAAACTTCCTGTTGTAAAATAGCTGATTTGCAACCTTCATTCCCCTTTGCCATGTGTATTAGTTCATTCTCACGTTGCTATAAAGACATACCCGAGACTGGGTAATTTATAAAGAAAATAGGTTTAATTGACTCACAGTTCCACATGGCTGGGGAGGCCTCAGGAAACTCATAATCATGGCAGAAGGGAAGGGAGGCACATTTTACATGGTGGCAGGTGAGAGAGAAAGCAAGCAAGAGTAGGGAAAACTGCCTTATGGAACCCTCAGATCTCGTGAGAACTCACTCACTATCCCAAGAACAGCAGTCAAAAACCGCCCCCATGATCCAATCACCTCCCACCACGTATCTCCCTAGACACTTGGGGATTACAGGGATTACAATTCGAGATGAGATTTGGGTGGGAACACATAACCAAACCATATCACCATGTAAGGTGACATATTCACAGGTTCTGGACATTGAGAGGTGGCCATCTTTGGGAGGCCATTATTTTGCCTCTCACACCCTCATACCTTTTCCCTCTGATCAGGACACAAAATGTAATTGCAGGTTTATGTCAATTGATATCTTACAAATACATGAGAATCTTATTAACGTTTTATTAGCGTGAAAACAGCTAAATGATACCTATTGCTTTTATTTCTTTTATTATTGGTATTTCTTTTATTATTTGTCTAACAGATTCCTTCCCTGCTGTCTGTTGAAGTGACAGGCTTAGGCACCCTTGTATGTGACTTGATCTTCTGAATAGTCACAGTCAACTGGACCACGGGTAGCCCCTGACCCCTGGCGAGACCATGAACTGGCTTGTGAGCACTTCTTTAGAATTTTTCTTAAGAACTTGAGGTAAAGATTGGCTCTAGAGTGCAGCAATAACTAACTACAATTATCCATACCTCTTACCTAACTGGTTTTGCTGCAAAAACCTTTAATGGCAAAAACCGCAATTACTTTTGCACCAATCTAAGAATTAGAACTGGAGGCTGGGCGTGGTGGCTCACACCTGTAATTCCAGCACTTGAAAGGCCAAAGCGGGCGTATCATTTGAGTTCAGGAGTTCGAGATCAGCCTGGCCAACATGGCGAAACCCTGTCTCCACTAAAAATAAAAAAATTAGCCGGGTGTGAGTGGCATACACTTGTAGTCCCAGCTACTCTGGGGACTGAGGCAGGAGAAACACTTGACCCCGGGAGGTGGAGGTTGCAGTGAGCTGAGATCACGCCACTGCACTCCAGCCTGGGTGACAGAGCAAGACTCTAACTCAAAAAAAAAAAAAAAAAAAAAAAGAATTAGAGCTGGAATTGGCAACATGGTAATTCAATGCCATATACAAGTCAGAATCTGAAAGGAGCAAGAACCACCAGAGCACAGAGGAAGAAGATTTCTGGAGAACTGAGAGAAGCTGAGATGTGAGACATTTTAGCCTCCAAAAGAAAGGTGCTTCCGTTTTTTTCTTTTTCTTTTAAGAAAATTCCTGTTCCCATAGCCTTGGCTGTCTTTTGGAAAAAATGTTTAGAATGAGTTATTGAAAACTAAAACTTGTGACAGCAAAGAGAGTTAGAGAGCTAAATTATGAGTTCTAAAGGTTTTTATAAAGTCATCACAGCTTTTTTGTTTTCTGATTTTTTTTGAGACTGAGTCTCGGTCTGTCGCTCAGGCTAGAGTATAGTGGTGCGATCTCGGCTCACTGCAGCCTCTGCCTCCTGGGCTCAAATGATTCTCCTGCCTCAGCCTCCCAAGTAGCTGGGATTACACACCCACGCCACTACCGCCCAGCTAATTTTTGAATTTTTAGTAGACACGGGGTTTCACCATGTTGGTAAGGCTGGTTTCAAACTTCTGACCTCAAATGATCGATCCGCCTCGGCCTCTCAAAGTGTTGGGATTACAGGCATGAGCCACCACACCCGGCACATCACAGCTTTTTCTTATCCATGTAACAGGGCAAATGAAGGGGGAAAAATGAAAAAAATCTTTAAAATCTCATCATCCTAATGTTCCCGACCTTCCATTTTTTACAAATAACAACATGGGAAGTTCTATAGGGAAGAAAATGCATTGGTTAGAAAGGTTTTTGGCTAAGTTAGCAGCAAAACCAGTTAGTGGCAGCTAAACTCAAAGAGCATTTAATTTTGCTGAACAAGAAGCCAGGAGGTGGCTCTGGGGTTTGTTCTGAGGCTCCACAGTGTCACCAAGGATCCCTGCCTTGTCCGAAGGAGGACATGCTCAGCTAGTGGCTTCTATTCTTGTTCTCATTGCCTCATGGTCTAAAGATGGCTGCTGTAGCCTTAGGTATTTTGCCTTCATATCAGCTTTCCAAGGTAAAATGAAGAAGCAGGAGTACTACATAAGGACTTTATCCCTCTGAGTTTCTGTCATTTATCTGAGAAGGGGATTTCCCCAGCCAACTTCTTCCTATATCTCTTTAGCCAGAACAGGCTCACGTGCTGATCTCTAACACAGCACTGTCAAAAGAGATGGAACAACATGAAGATTTAGAGCAAACACTCCTGCTACAGGAGTGGATGCCTCCCTCCCTGAGGCGAATGGATTTCTACTGATGGACGTTCTGTTAGCAGGGAAGAAGTGGGATGGCTGGTTGTTGGGCAGCCAACGAACTGTCTGCAGCAAGCAAGCAACGAAATGGCTGCAAGGAGGAAGAAGGGGAGAACAGGATTTAGGAAACCACAAGCTTCTTGGTTTTGCAAGAAAGGAGCTCTAGCTATGCCTATCACAACAGCTCTGGGTGAGGCTGCTGGTACCACATCAGAAATACATTTTTCCTATAACATCCTTAAGGAATCTTCCAGGTTCTGGGTGGAAGGCCTCGCCTGAGATTCACTCTCAGCTCTTCATCTTCAAATTCTGTTTGAGAAATTCCTGTGGGTGGCAACGGGCAGGGCCAGTTAACACCACGAGAACTTTAAAGCACTGAACAGATTTTGGTGTCGCTCTTTCTCTCTCCCGCCCTGCCCCAAGTATTTGCAAATAAAAACAAAGTCCAACCAATAGCTATCCAAGATTCCCCCGTGACTATTACCCACTTCGACAATGATTTCTTTTAAGTAGTATCAATTTTCAAAAAACTTTTTTTTCTTGGTGATTGAGGCTTTTCCGATGCCCTAAAGTATATGTTTAGTCTCTATGTTGTGTAAAACAACACTGCTCATCCATCCATTCATGGGGGATCTCTGGCTTCTCATGTGATCGCTGGAACTGAAGGTAATATTTTTAAAAATAGTTTATTATTTCAACGCTTGGAGAGTTAATCCAGACCATCAAAGGGTAACACTCCCAACACAAAGCTCTAATCAATTTTGGTAACTAAGCCAACGTAAGTAAAATAAATAAAATACTGCTTGACCCATAGTGAGCCCTATATATTAATCACATGTGTGATTGTGTTGTTGTTATAGGTCTCAAAATATTTTTAAAATAAAGAGACTGCACAATTTACACAAAAATATAATCCTAAAGAGAAAGCAATGGAGAGAAATGCTAACGCTTTTTGAGCATCCTCCTTATTCCAGGTGCAGGAAAGAAAATATACATGCATATGTTGTTACATTTAATCCTCATAGCCAACCCCACAAAGTAAGTATTATTACAGCCACTTGACCCGTGAGGAAATTGAAGCTTACAAAATGGGAGTGACTTACACAAGATAACAAGTTAGTTAGCCGCAGCTAACTCACTTAACTGAGCCATATCTTCCTTAAGAATACATGCTCTTTCTTTTTTTGGACAGATTTATGGGGCAAAATATTTGGTATATGGGTAGAAGTGTTACCAGAAAGGGGTCCCTATCCAGACCCAAAGAGAGGGTTCTTGAACCTCATGCAAGAAAGAATTCAGGGCGAGTCCACAAAGGATCCTGAAAGCAAGTTTATTAGACAAGTAGAGAAACAAAAGAATGGCTGCTCCATAGGCAGAGCAGTGGTATGGGCTGCTTGACTGAGTATACGTATAGTTATTTCTTGATTATATGCTAAACAAGGGGTAAATTATTCATGAGTTTTCTGGAAAAGGGGTGGGGATTTCCCCAGAACTGAGGGTTCCTCCACATTTTAGACTATATAGGATAACTCCCGGACGTTGCCATGGCAATTGTAAACTGCCGTGGCACTGGTGGGAGTGTCTGTTAGCATTAATGCATTATAATAGCACAAAATGAGCCACGAGGATGACCAGAGGTCACTTTTGTAGCCATCTTGGTTTTGGTGGGTTTTGGCCCACTTCTTTTACCACATTCTCTTTTATCAGCAGGGTCTTGGTGACCTGTATCTTGACCTGACCTCCTACCTCATCCTGTGACTAAGAATGCCAACCAGGCTGAGCGCAGTGGCTCACGCCTGTAATCCCAGCACTTTGGGAGGCCGAGGCGAGCAAATCCACTGAGGTAAGGAGTTTGAGACCAGCCTGGCCAACATGGTGAAATCCCATCTCTACTAACAATACAAAAATTAACCAGCCATCGTGGCGCATGCCTATAGTCCTAGCTAAACGGGAGGCTGAGGCAGGAGAATCGCCTGAACCCGGGAGTTGGAGGTTGCAGTGAAGTGACATCTCCCCATTGCACTCCAGCCTAGGTGACAGCAAGACTTGGTCTTAAAAAAAAAAAAAGAATGCCTAGCCTCCTGGGAATGCAGCCCAGTAGCTCTCAGCCTTATTTTACCCAGCTGCTATTCAAGATAGAGTCGCTCTGGTTTGAATGCCTCTGACAGAAGCTTTACCTGTTCATTAAAAAGGGCACCAAATCCACTTTAGCTGGGTCATAGTTGATGTCCCTAGAGGCAAGTGTGGTGCAGCTTTTGTGGATAACTGTTGTTCATTTTTTACAGTTTTGCAGTTACAAAGTAAAAAATATTATTCCTGTCCACAGATAACTTATGGACCAGCGAAGAAACAAAAATGCAAACCAATGATTAATTTCTGACGTAACTGCTGCAATGGTCACAGGTTCAGAGTAGAGTTAAACCATGAAAAAAGAAGTCCCTACCCAGAAGAATACTGCGGAAGGATTCATGCAAAGATTCACATAGACAGTGGCTTAAGGAGTAATAGAAGTTTGCCTGGCAGATAGTCTGTAGGGGAACATTCCAGGCAGAGGGGACAGTCTGTGCAAAGGCAGGGAGGTTCAAGACAGCTCTGGGAATTACAAGTAGTTCAGAATTGCCAGCTTGCAAGATTTAAAAACAAGAGGTAGAAAATGAATCTCTATAGAAAAGCATGTGCCAGATCTTCGTTAAAGTGTTTAGCTTTTATTTTTTAGGATAAAAATAATAATTCTTTAGCAATGTGATATCGTCAAATAAGAGATGATATAAAAGGGTAGAGCCCCAAATCAATTAATATTTTAAATATTATGCCTGCAAAAAAAAAAATTGATGATCACCTAAATATTTACCAGTAGAGGACTGGTTAAATACATTTTGTACATCCATAAATAAAAAAAAATAGGCAGCTATTTTAAAAGAATGAGGCAGATCTATAGTGGCCAAGATCAGGTTCTCTAGCAAACAAAACTAACAGTATTTGGAAGGTACAAGCCTAGGGTAGTGAGGGTGAGGCAAACGGGAATTGAGCTAAGAGAAGGTGCAATGCAGTGAATTACCATGCAGAGTAGGTCAACGGATTATAAAGAGACAGCAGCATTGCACTCAGCCAAAGAGTTACAAGTATCTCTGATGCATCTCAGAGTTGTCCATGTGAGAGAGAAAGGAGCGGCTCCCGCTGCATCCTGTTCCCAACTGGTCAAGATTCACACTTTCCAGTTATGCCCCTTAGAAGCACATGGGAAGCTGGGACCTATACCCGTGGTGTGTGGTGTTTCATTCAGGACCAGAAGCAGAGAGGCACAGGTGCTGGAGGAGGACTGAATAATAGAGAAAAAAGGAGGCTATTGAGGGAAATTTAAATGACATCAAAGATTTTTATCCCCATGCGTATACTACCTGGCTGTAGGGTCTGGAAACATATTATTTCATCATGTATTATATGTCAGTAAGCTGTCTTTTAAAAAACATATTCCAAATGTTCTTAGATTTAACTGCGACCCAATATTTTGGTATAAAATAAGCTCCAAAATGTACTCTGTGATAAAACAAGGTACAGAATAGTATATATGATATTCTAATGTTGGATAAAATAAAGAATTGATGTATGCTTATTTCTTCATGGAATACCTATGGAAGAAGACACAAGAACTTAGTAGCCGTATTTGTCTTTGGAAGAAGGAATTGTATGGTTGAGGGATTGGGTAAGGAGGCTCCCTTTCTACCATAGACCTTTTTGTACATTTCTAACTTGGTACCATGTCAAGCCATTATCTGTTAGTGCAAAAAATTACATTAGACTGTGTCTTAGTCCATTTGTGCTGCCATAACAAAATGCCACAGACTGGGTAATTTATAAAGAATGGAAATTTATTTCTTACAGCTCTGGAGGATGAGAAGTCCAAGATCAAGGCACTGGCAGGTTTGGTGTCTGATGAGGGCTGCTCTGTTTCCAGGATGGCTCCTGTTGCTGCATCTTCTGATTGGAACAAACACTGTGTCCTCACATGGTGGAAGGGATGGAAGGGAGCAGATCCACCCCCTCAAGCCCTTTTATAAAGGTCCTAATCCCTTATAAATCCATGAGGGCTCTCCCCTCATGACCTAATCATCTACTAAAAGCCCCACCTCTTAATACTATCGCATTAATGATCAAATTTTAGCACATGAACTTTGGGAGGCATTCAGATCACAGTATACTGAGAAACAAATTTTTAATGTTGGGAGTAATTTACTGGCAGTAGTAAAGAAGAATTTGACAGAGAACCTGGAACTCAACTTGTGTGTGTGTGTGTGTGTGTGTGTGTGTATGTGTGTGTGTATGTGTAATATGTATATACGTATATACATATTTGTGTGCATATATACATGTGTGTATACGTATATACGTATATATGTGTGTATGTGTACATATGTATATGTATATATGTATATATGTGTGTATATACACACAGGTGTATATATACGTGTAGACGTGTATACGTGTGTATCTATATGGGTATACATGTATATATACATACATGTGTTTATGTATATACGTGTGTATGTATACGTATATATGTGTGTATACGTATATGCCCATATACACACACACGCACATATATATAAAAGCATGAGGATATTAGAGTGGATACTGAAGGAAATATGGCAGACCCAGCTCCTGCCCTGAGAGTGTTTACAATTCAATCATGAAGACAGACCATTAGACAAGTGTTAAGGTAACCACATGTGCTATGGAATTCTAACCCAGTCAAGACAACAAATCTTTGCTATAAGTCCATAGTCTTTAGTGTAGAAGAAGTTATTTTTGTAGCAAAATAGCAACATAGCAGGCCTCAGTTCCTCATTTTTAAATTGTTGAACTAGAACAGGAACCAGCAAATTTTTTCTGTAAAAGTCAGACAGTGAATATTTTAGTTTAGCTTTGCATATTATGACTGTCTCTGTCAGACTCAACTCTGTTGTTGCAGCACAAAAGCAGCTGTAGTCAACACATAAACAAATGAGCCTGGTTGTTTTTCAATAAAACTTTATTGGAAGTTTTGGAAGTCTATTGGGAGCCCCAATAGAAACTTGAATTTGATATAAACTTTTTAAAGACATGGTCTCACTCTGTTGCCCAGGCTGGAGCACAGTGGCACAATGACGGCTCACTGCAGCCCCTACCTCCTGGGCATGAGCAATCCTCCCATCTCAGCCTCTTAAATAGTTGGGACTGCAGGTGTGTGTCTCCATGCCTGGCTAATTTTTAAAAAAATTTTTGTAGAGATGGAGTCTCACTGTGCTGCCCAGTCTGGGCTCAAACTCCTGTGCTCAAGTGATCCTCCTTCCTCAGCCTTTCAAAGCATTGTGATTACAGGTGTAAGCTACTATGCCCAGCCTCATATAATTTTTATGTGTCATGAAACATTATTTTTCTTTTGCTTTTTCCCAACCCTTTAGAAATGTCAAATCCATTCTTAGCTTACAGGCTGTACAAAAACAGGCAGCAGACCCTATTTGGCTTATGGGATACAGTGTGCTCACCCCTTAGAATATTGCTCCCATGTTAAAATTCTATTTGTGTAAAATCTTGACATCCCTCCAACCAATAGTTAGAACTATAATCTAGCTCTACTAGCCTACTAAAGCTTTACAAGTATATATAAATTGTTGCTGATTGTTTAATTTGCATTTCATTTTCGTTTAAATTTGTGGGTTTTTTTCCCTACCTCTGTCATACTTATTCTTGCTGCAATGTGTGCTGATTTGCAATGGACTCCTGGACTGTAATGAAGGTCACAAAAAGATTTATTTCCTATGTGATTTCTGGTTAATTCATTTCTGGATGTTAGAGCCACTTTTATGAGCCACACACAATATGCCATATGGAACATCATTATGTGCTCCCTAGAGCTTCTGTTATTGCCATCTGTCTGTGACTTCCTGTGTGGTTTTTTGGCAGTGGGGGATTCATCTATCATAAATGATTCTATACAGCAAGTTTTGAAAACCCAGTTCTAAACAACATCTGCCTCTGAAGTTAGATGTATATTTTCAAGGCTTACGCATTTGAAGCACATTAATAATGATCCCTATGAGTCCACAGTTGAAGTTACAAGAGTATAATGTAGTCCGTCACCAGGGTAACAGCTAGATACTAGCACTGCCAATACTGCAAATCCCTCCACAAGCAAATCTTTAAAATCTCCCACTTTGAGGACTCTGACACTTTGGTCAAAACCTTGGCATTGTGCCTAAAGTAGTCTTCTGTTCTCAACATCCAGAATTTTCCATCCTTAACAGTAGAAGCTATATTTGTTCATTTTGTTTTTGTGTCTCACTATCTAATACAACATCTAGCACTTTGTAGAAGTTCAATTAATTTGTGTTGACTTGAATTGAAATGTTGAATCGTACCTTGCAAGGTTAGAAACTTGCAATGGTCATATCTCCGTGCAATATCAGTAACCAGATTTTCACGCAATGTGACACTGGCTGCAAAGACGGTGAATTGCTTGTTACATGTTGATATAGTTTGGCTCTGTGCCCCCACCCAAATCTCATGTTGAATTGTAATTCCTAGTGTTGAAGGAGGGGCCTGGTGGGAGGTGACTGGATCATGGGGGCGGACTTCCCCCTTGCTGTTCTTGTGATAGCGAGTGAGTTCTCATGAGGTTTGATTGTTTAAAAATGTGTAGCATTTCCCCCTTTTCTCTCTCTCTCCTGCCAGCCATGTGAAAATGTGCCTGCTTCCTTCCCCTTTGCCTTCTGCCATGATTGTAAGTTTCCTGAGGCCTCCCAGAAGCAGAAGCCTGTACAGCCCACAGAAACATGAGCCAATTAAACCTTTTTCCATTATAAATTACCCAGTCTCAGGTATGTCTGTATAGCAGTGTAAGAACAGACTGATACATATATAGATGGTTGATTATGAATGTATATCAAATACATAGTTATATTATGAGGATGAATGAGATATTCAGAATAAAGCATTTTTAGATCTTTAGATAAATGCGTATTCTATATCACCCAGGATCAGCTGGTGTGGAGTAAAGAGGCTTGACCTCTGAGTGAGATCTCAGTCTGAATCCTAGTTTTTTAAACCCTAAAATAGTAAAAAAGACCACTTACTATCTCAGCTCTATTTTGGTCTCTGTGAAACAACAACAATAACCCTTTCCCTGCTATGCCAAAGAATTGATATAAGAATTGACTGAGATAGTGTACATGACAAAAATTTACAAATGAAAACTCACAAATACAAATATAGAATTTGTTTATTCATCTGCACATTTATGGCCCACCAGGGCAAAGCACTGGGGAATATAGACATGATAAACAAAGGCAACTTATTTATTTGTTTATTTTTGAGATGGAGTTTTGCTCTTGTTGCCCAGGTTGGAGTGCAATGGCATGATCTCGGCTCATTGCAATTTCTGCCTCACAGGTTCAAGCAATTCTCCTGCCTCAGCCTCTCAAGTAGCTGGGATTGCAGGCATGCGCCACCACACCTGGCTAATTTTGTATTTTTAGTAGAGATGGGGTTTCACCATGTTAGCCAGGCTGGTTTCGAACTCCTGACCTCAGGTGATTCACCTGCATTGGCCTCCAAATTTGCTGGGATTACAGGCATGCGCCACCGTGCCTGGCCAAGGCAACTTATTTTTAAAGGCAAACCAATAAGTGACACACAAAGGGAGACTGCAGGAGTAGCCTTCAACTTAAGTGGACATAAGAATCAGGTGGAGGTCATGTTAAACATACAGATTCCTGACACTTACTGGAGGCATTCTACTGTGATAGGTCTGGGATTGAGCATGAGGCTGCAGAGATTTAATAACTTCCCCAGGAGATTCTCCTGCAGGTAGTTAATGGACCAGACTTTGAGAATACTAACTTAGGGCTCAGTAGGGAAGATAGAAAATTAATTAATTAATTAATTAATTATAATTTTAGACCTCCAAAATAGGCCTGCAATAGTTTATTAAGGTGGTATTCACAGACTGTGAGGAAGTGGGAAACCAGTGAGATGACAAGATCAAGGAACGTACAACAATGGTACAATAGGTGTGTTCTCCCTCTTCCCAGATTTTCTGTGCTTGCCACCAGTGACTCTAATTCCAGCTCTTATTTAAGAGTTGGCATATTTGTTAGTTGCCTTTTATCTGTGAAAAAGAAAAAAAAAGCAGTGGCTTATACAAAGTTGAAGTTTATTTCTCTTACTTGAAAACAAGGTCCAGAGATAAATAATCCAGGGCTGGGATGGTGGCTCCACAAAGTTGCTGAGGACCTGCCAAAACTTTCAGTTCATCATCCTATCATCCCCAGTGTGTGGCCCCTCTGCCTCAGGGTCCAAGATGATAACAATAGCACCACCAGTCACAGTATCTTCCCAAGCAGAATTGAGAAAGGGCCAAGGGAGATGCAGCTGACTTTTGAGGAGGCTTCCTGAAAGTTTCCATGCCTCTCTGCTTATATCTCATTGGCCAGCACTTAGTAATATTGACTCAGCTGGATGCAAGGAGGTGTAGAAATGTGTTTCTTATTCTCCAGGAAGCCACATGCCAAAATACAAGGCAGCATTTCAAGTAGTAAGGAATAAAGGAGAGTGAATACTGAGGTAGGCAGCCAGCAAATGCAGGCCCAGATGGGATCCTGAGGTTTGAAGCTTATTTCCCTTGGCCTGGGCCTCTGGTTACAGTGGGTCCAGCCACTGCCTGATGTTGAAGCACCATTAGGACTGGCACAGCAGATGATATGGTTTGAATCGGTGTCCCCACCCAAATCTCATGCTGAATTATAATCCCCAATGTTGAAGGTGAGGCCTGGTGGGAGGTGATTGGATCATGAGGGCAGTTTCTCATGGTTTAACACCATTCCCCTTGCTGTTGTGGCAATAGTGAGTGAGTGAATAATCGTGAGATCTGGTTGTTTGAAAGTGTGTAGCACCTGCCTCCTCTCTCTCTCCCTCCTGCTCCGGCCATGTAAGGTGGACTGCATCCCCTTCACCTTCTGCCATGATGGTAAGTTTCCTGAGACCTCCCCAGAAACCAAGTAAATGCCAGCATTATGCTTCCTGTACGACGTGTGGCATTATGAGCCATTAAACCTCTTTTCTTTATAAATTACCCAGCAATGCGAGAATAGACTAATACAGCAGGGAAAAGTCAGTGGGGCTGGTGGGCAACTGGTAGGAGATTCAGGGGTTGCCAGATGCAAATTTTCTAATTTTGTGGTGTCTAAGTGTTCTATGACTTCTGTATTCTAATGTTCATTTCCCTCACAATAGCTGCTTCTATAGGAGACTGAGAGATGACTCTTTTGAATCAGTTTCAAATTCCAGACCTGAGACTAAATAGCCCTGTGACCCTCTACTGGTAACTTGGTTGCTAAAGGATTTTGTATTTATTTCTGTCAACGTAAGATAATTTCTGATTTAGCTACCTCCCATATGGGGTTATTTTACACATCAAATGATGTAGGAAAAGTACTTCTCAATTTCTGGGTGAGGTTTGCATGTGTATTATTTTGAAAAAAGAAATCCATCAAACATATGTTAGTGATTAATGAAAGTATTTAAATTATTTAAGTGGAGTTCATACATCTAAAACTTTAATTAAAATTTTTCTATTAGCAGGTGATATGAATAATTAACATTTGTTACTTAATCAGAGGAAAGTTTCTCCCACTGAATTTTTAATAAAACATCCAAACTATGAATATCTCATCTTTCACCTCCAGTTCTTGCTGATTATGATAGCCCATTAATATTAGAAAGCATCTCTCTCAAAACCAATTGTTTTTCTTGAGAACCTTGTCATTTCTTTTTTACATCAAATTCAAGTATCTACTCTTTTTTCAATGGCGCCATCTCAGTTTACTGCAACCTCTGCCTCCTGGGTCCAAGTGATTCTCCTGCCTCAGCCTCCAGAGTAGCTGGGATTTACAGGTGCCCACCACCACACTTGGCTAATTTTTTGTATTTTTAGCAGAGACGGGGTTTCACAATGTTGGTCAGGCTGGTCTTCAACTCCTGACCTCAGGTGATCCACCCGCCATGGCCTCCTGAAGTGCCAGGATTACAGGCATAAGACACTATGCCTGGCCCGACACCTCTTTCTTATAAGTACCCTTTAGTGCAGCTGAACAGGGAAGGGAAACACATATCACCCTGTTGATTGGTCTCACTGTAAATGATGACAATTGACTGTAACGGAACCCGTTAGTGTGCCTCTGCCCCTCCAGATGACTATTTGTACCTGCTGTCTCTTCCAACAGCTCCTCACTCTAGGCTCAATCTCTGGAACTGGCTTTCTAAATCACTAAGAAATTAGAAGCCACCCGAAGAGAACTTGCTGTGTGTCAGCACACCTGTCCCTGCCCATTCACTCCACCTGCTCTCCTGTTGCAGCAAGGAACACCTGTGTTTCTCACCAAGGCCAACCTGTCACTTGTCTGCTATTCCCCATCCCTTCTCTTCTACTTAAGAACTTTGTTCTAGGAATTCTTTTTCTCTCCTGGATTGGCAAAAGTTCTCCCCAAATCCATTGAGCCCCTGCTATATAAACATACTATTATTTCTCATCTTAAATATGAAAAAGAACCCAATCTTTTTTGACCCCACTCCCTCTTCAGGTACTAACCTATTTTTCTCCTTCTCTTTGTTTTTTGTTAAATTAAATTAAATTAAATTAAATTTTATCTTTAGAGATGGGGTCTCACTCTATTGCCCAGGCTGGAGTTCAGTGACATGATCACGGCTCACTGAAGCCTCAAATTCCTGGGCTCAAGCAATCCTCCTTCCTCAGTCTCCCAAGTAGCTGGAACCACAGGCATGTGATACCATTCCTAGCTAATTTTTAATTATGTTAGAGAAAGGTCTTGCCATGTGGCCTAGGCAGGTCTTGAACTTTTGTGCTCAAGCAATCCTGCTGCTTCAGCCTACTCAGTAGCTGGGATTCCAGGCACAAGCCACCATGCTTGGCAACTCTCCTTTCCTTTAAAGCAAGTTTAGTATTGAAGATGTCCAGCTGCTGACTCTTAAACCCACTGAAATCAGGCTTCATCCCACCATGCCATCAAATCTGCTCCTGTCTAGGCAGCAGTGACTTCCACTTGTGGCCAAATCTGATGGGCAATTCCCAGTCCTATCCTAACATAACCTGTCATCAGCACTTGATGATTGTTACTCTCTGCTTCTTAAACCCTAACTCTGCCTGGCCTCTGGGGCACCACCCCCATCCTCCAATCTCCATCACCCATCCCATTTCCTGGCTCATTCCAAGTCAGCCACACTGGTCTTCTTGCAGCTCCAGGGGCAAGCCCGGAATAATCTCATCTCAGGGCTTTTTATCCAATGCATTTTCCTGGGATGCTTTTCCCTGGATATCTACATACCTTTTGCCCTCCCTTCCTTCACCTCCCCACCACTCTACTGCTTTACTTTTCTCCTTAACACATACCATCATCTCATCTACTATATGTTTTACAGATTTATATTTTTATTATCTACTTCACCCACTATATCCACAAAGGCAGGAATTTTTGTCTTTTTCATTCACAGCTCTATCCCCAGTTCCTAGAATAGTGCCTGGCACATAATAGATACTCAATAAATATTTGTTAAATAAACCCTTTATTATTTAAAACACTTGGACAAACATTTTTGTATAGCTGACATTTTATCTAGTATTAATAAGTTCATGTCTATTTGGATGTTATTAGACTTTGAAGAACAATCATAGGCCAGGTACTCTGGCTTACACCTATAATCCCAACATTTTCAGAGGCTGAAGTGAGAGAATTGCTTGAGCCCAGGACTTCGAGATCAACCTGGGCAACAGAGTGAGACACCATCTCTACAAAAAAAAAATAGCTGGGTGTGGTGGTGTGCACCTGTAGTCTCAGCTACTTGGGAGGCTGAGGCAGGAGGATCACTTGAGCCTGGGAGGTTGAGGGTGCAGTGAGTCATGATTGCATCACTGCACTCCAGCATGGGAGACAGAGTGAGACCCTGTCTCACAGAAAAAAAAAGAAAGATAAAAGAAAAAAAAAAAAACAATCAGAAATGCTACGAATGCCCAAATTGAGAGTATATCTATGTATTTGTTTTAGTTGAGAGCTTAGTTTTTGCCAGATATTTTATTTGAATTAACTCTTTTAATCCTTATTTTAAAGTATTTAAAATACTTTAAAGAAGGTATTATTCCCATTTTATAACAAAGGAAATAGGCTTTAGAAAAATGATATAAATTGCCCAAGGACACCTGCTGGTAGGTAATAGGGCTGGCCTTTGGGCACAGGCTGTCTGAGTGACTGAAACTCCACATTCCACACACTATTTACATTAGTCATGGCCAGGAATGACTGCTCAGAAATTAGCTGAGCAACTGTATTTTCATTATTTATCTTCATATAGTTCTGATGCACATATACATAGTTCTAAAACAGTCTCAGACAAATTGAAACTGAGAGTTCAGGTTGCTGCTTTATTCTACAGACATCTAAGTTCCTGCGTTATGTGAGACCCTGAGCTGGGCTCCCCATAGGATTTGTAGGCAAATGTTAGGGATGTATTGGCATTCTTGCCTTGCCCTTAAAAATATTCCCTCATCCAAAATGTGCTCATCAACCACAGCCCGTGTAAATATCACAACATCACCCTCTCTATTAAGCCTAAAGTTACTTCTTTCTTCTCTGAACCATGAGAATAATTTATAACTCTCTTGTGGCTCCAACCTTACAATGATTTGATTTGATCCATAGTCATATGTATATGTATCATTCCTGCAATATAGACTGTCAACCAGTGAGTAGGGACCATGTCACACATCTGTGTCTCCCACGGCACTGAGTGTAGGAGCCCAACTTGTGCATAAGGAATGAACCCTGGACTCATGTTGTGACCTTCAGCCTTTCCTTCACTCAGTAACTATCAAATACCAACCCTGGGACAGGACCTATCCTAGGTATGGGGGAATATAGCAGTGGACAAGAAAACCAAGCCACTTTTCGATGTAGCCGCACTCTAGTGGATGAAGATGAACACTGAAAACACACATAATGAGAAATGCTTTGCGGAGACTTAAAGAAAGATTTGAGAGGGACTGAGTGACTCCTTTGAACTGGATGTTGAATAAAGTCCCTCCTTGAAGGACATTTAAATGGAGTCTGAGGATGAGAAGGAAGCAACTTCTTCGAGAATTGGAGGCAGAGAGTTCCAGATGGAGAGAACAGCAAGTGCATAGACCTCGGATGCCAGTGAGCCTGAAGAGCTCGAGAAATGGAACGGGGAGGCGGCACATGGTGGCGTATGCCTATAGTCCCAGCAACTTGGGAGGCTGAGGTGGGAGGATGGCTTGAGTTCAGAAGTTTGAGGTCAGCCTGGACAACATAGCAAGACCCCATCTCTTAATATAAAAGACATACAAACAAAAGAAATAAAAAGGGAGCCAACGTGGCTAAAACTAAGCGAGTAAGGGAAAGCAGGAAAGTAGATACATAACAGCTGATAGTTGAGAAGCTACTTTATTTTTCAAAAATACATTAATTCTGGAGAATACTGCAGACGCCATTACTTGGTAAGAAAGAGTCATGTTGTCATTTTAAAGACAGTTTCTTGCCTGCTGCATCATAGTTTAGAATCTACTATTATGTTATTTATACAACAGCTAGATGATCTAACAAGCCAAGACCTTATCAATAACTACAGCACAAAGAAACATTTTCAGAGACCAGCAAATTCTCGGTGTATTTCTGTGTGGCACACTGTGCCAAATGCTGTTCCATGTTGTCACTTCAGATTTCATTAACTGCAGGGAGTGGTGGCAATCATTGAAATTAACTTGTTAACGCACACTTTCCCTTGCAGATTATCTGAGTTCGGTTAACTGCTTGGAGGGGAGCTGCTCACATCGTTGTCTGCACAGTGCTGATCTGTGAACTATCTGTTACCTATCTGCTGGGACAGAAATCAAGAGGAAGCAAGCAGAAACTTTTAGAATGGAATCCAAGCACGTAATCAATGTTAACAGGTGTGGCTTTTGGTTTAAATTTTGTATACAAGAATGTCCTGATGACAATGACAGGACACCATTTTGCAGTAGTTGCTCTAATTAAGAGCACACTCTATTTCCTTCATCAAGAAAGTCTTGCATGAAGAAAATGTGTCAGCTGGACTAAACAGTATGCTTAGTGAGGTAAGAAATATTGTGAATGATGTAGAGGCTAATGTGTTAAATTCAAAGGGATTTTCTTTATTGTTTTATAATATAAAGGCTGATCACAAACAACCCTGAATGCATACTGAGATGTGATTGTTACTGAGGGGAAAATTCTGTTGAGGATGTTTAAACTGTAAAATGAACTTTTGGTATTTCTGCAAGATAAAAAACCAGTTTCCCAACTTTTAAAAGGTATAAATCCAGATTTTGTTGTTGTCTGATATCTTCACATTTTCAATAAAAGTAATACTCGATGCAAGGAAGGGAAGCAACATTGTCTTTTAATGACAGAAACATAGGAAAGGGCAAAAATAGAAGTTAGAAACTTGGAATGACACTGTTTCTATAAATCGTTATGATATTAAAGTAACACGACCAATGAAGTAGGTGATAAACAGATATTTCACGCCTGTGGAAAGTTATCACCAGACAATTTATGAATGTGATAGTGCATTTCAAATTTGATTTTTCCACATACAGTATAAGAAAGTTTTGGATCTAGAATCTATTTCTTCTTCTTCAATTTTCTTTCTTTTTTTCGTTAATCAGAGACAGGGTCTTGCTCTGTCACCCAGGCTGGAGTGTGGTGGTGCACTCAGAGCCCACTGCAGTCTCCAACTCCTGGGTTCAAGTGATCTTTTCAACTCAGCCTCCTGAGTAGCTGGGACCACAGGCACACGTCACCATGCCTCGCTATTTTTTTGTATGTTTTGCGGAGATGAGGTTTTGCCACATTGCCAATGCTGGTCTCAAACTCCTGGGCTCAAGCAGTCCATCAGCCTCAGCCTCCCAAAGTGCTGGGATTATAGGCATGGGCCACCTCACACAACCTAGAATATATTTCTTTCGTGGAAGTTTAGCAAAAAAATTATTAAATACAAAACAATTGTTAAAACCGATCACTAATGAAGGATTGAAGATAAATTGTCTTGGATAATTGTTAATGAATATCCTGAGCTTGCTAAAATTACTATTTAACATCTCTTTTCTATTTCTGTCAATACACCTCTGTGACACTCTTCTCAGCTATGAATGTTAGTAAAATGGTTTTACTAACAAGTTTTATATAGAAGCAGTTTAGAATTATCCTCTGTAAGTATTGCTGTCACCAATCCAACCCATATTAGCTAAATTAACGAGAAAGAAGTAAGCTCATTTTTCACATTACCTATTTTAATATTTAGGCCGGGTGCAGTGGCTCACGCCTGTAATCCCAGCACTTTGGGAGGCTGAGGTGGGCAGATCGCTTGAGGTCAGGAGTTCGAGACCAGCCTGGCCAACATAGTGAAACCCTGTCTCTACTAAAAAATACAAAAATTAGCCCAGCGTGGTGGTGCCTGCCTGCAGTTCCAGCTACTTGGGAGGCTGAAGCAGGAGAATCGCTTGAACCCGGGAGGCGGAAGCTGTAGTGAGCTGAGAGCATGCCACTGCACCCCAGCCTGGGCAATATAGCATTTCAAAAAAAAGGGGGGGCTGGGGGCGGTGTCTCATGCCTGTAATCTCAGCATTTTGGGAGGCCAAGGTGGGTGGATCATGAGGTCAGGAGATCGAAACCATCCCGGCCAACATGGTGAAACCTCATCTCTACTAAAAATACAAAAATTAGCTGAGTGTGGTGGTGTGTGCCTGTAATCCCAGTTACTTGGGAGGCTGAGGCAGGAGAATCTCTTGAACCTGGGAGGTGGAGATTGCAGTGAGCCGAGATCACACCACTGCACTCCAGCCTAGCGACAGAGTGAGACTCTGTCTAAACACACACACACACACACACACACACACACATACACACACACACGTTTTAATATTGATATGCATAGAGGTGTTTGCTGAAAATGTTTGTTCATCTGCATATAGATGTATAACATGAGAAATGATTATTTTCTTTATAACTTTTTAGTTATGACTGCAGAACAAAAATTATAATTGAATAGCAATTTTCCATATTAAATGGCTGCATGCATACTTCCAATCAACAATGTGCACAATTTTTATAATTTTCTTTTTCTCATACTATGTTTCTTCTAGCTATGTTATTAAACTATAATTTTTCTGCTACCTCTAATAATAATATATAGGATTTTTATTTTGTAGGCCACTTTAAATTTTATCTCATACTTTATTTTTATTGAATTTCTAAAAGTATCTGTGACAAATTGAAAACAAACCAAGCAAACGAACAAAACGTTTGTTCTACACCACATATTTTTTGAGAAGCACTGACTTAGTGGGCACTCTATGTGTTGTTTGAAATTTAATGAAACATACCCTATTTGTTAGCTGATTGACCAAAAGCTTTGTTTTTCATTTTTGAACCAAGTCCAGAGGCTTCCAGAGTAAATAAATACTATTTATTTGAAAAGTGACAATTAAAAAAAATATATATACACATATATATGTGTATATATATATACACATATATATGTGTATATATATATACACATATATATGTGTATATATATATACACATATATGTATTTAGACCAGAATCTCACTCCAGCGGCTAGGCTGGAGTGCAATGGTACAATCACAGCTCACTGCAGGCTTGACCTCCCAGGCTCAGGTGATCCTCCCACCTCAGCCTCCAGAGTAGCTGGGATTATAGGCGTGAGCCACCACACCTGGCTAATGTTTTGTATTTTTAGTAGAGACAGGGTTTCGCTATGTTGCACAGCCTGGTCTGGAACTCCTGGACTCAAGCGATCTGCCTGCATTGACCTTCCAAAGTGCTGGGATTATAGGAGTGAGTCACTGTACTTGGCCCCAAAAATACTTTTGTAGTTAATGAGTCAGTACTTAGAAACTATAGAAGAGTGATTCCTCAAACTTGAGATTTAGAAATATTTCTTCTGTGAGTATAGATCACTTCTGCTTGTTTCTGATCTTCGTATGAATGGAACTGCACAGTTTCTTTTTGGAGGATCCAGCTTCTTTCACTGAGCATTGTGGTTGTGAGGTTCACCCAGTTGTGTGCACAGCAGTAGTTTATTCTTTTTCATTACTGTTTAGTACTCCATCATGTGACTATACTGTGATTTATTTATCCACTCTACTATTGATGAATATCTGGGTTATTTCTTTTGTGGGGGTTATTAAAAATAGTGCTACCATAAGCATTCTTGTATATATTTTTTGGTTGACATAGCATTCATTTCTTATGGGTGTATTCCCAGGAGTGAGATCCCTGGGTCATTGGATACTTCTGTATCTATTAAACTTCTGTTTAATAGACACTGCCAAGGAGTTTTTCAAAACAATGTACCAATTTCCAGTTTTAACAGCAATATATGTGAGAGTCTAGGTGCTCCACTGCCTTTCAAATATTTGATATTGACAGTCTTTCTAATATTAGCCATGCTGGTAGGGGTGTAATAGTATCTCACTGTGGTTTTATCTGCAAATTCCTGGTGATAATCTACAACCAAAATGTTCAGCGAGCTGTTCATTACTGGTCTGTAGTATGCAAAGCACTGAAATTAAAAGTAAGCATTGTTAAGTTTTTATAGCAATTTAGCTAATAAGTTTTAGGTCTGTTGACTCATAAGAATTGGGGCTTGCATTATTTATTTTAATTTTTACATTTTATATATTTATATATTTAATTTTATATTTTAATTTATAAATACATTATTGTTTTAATTTATTTGTCAACAAATTTTTTTTGTACTTTATGAAAATATCAGTTTGAGATTGATGGGAAACCAAACAAGAAAAAGAAATAGTCCCTTATCACAGATAGTTTCAGAAGCACTGAGATAGACCAAGCCACCAGGCAGTAATGCAGATCCAAGGAGAAGGAATGGGCCTAGGCCAGGAAGCGAGATGGAAAAGACAAATAGACTCTAAAAAGGAACTTGTTCACCCTCCAGGTGCGGTAGTTGTTTCTGGGAAGTGGAGAGAAGGGAAGAGTGCCATTTGTTGGCCGTGAGGTCCCTTGTGCCTTGTGTGTAAGTACTGGGCGGGGAAAGGGGGCTTACAATGACAGGCCCCAGAAAATCCTGACTAATATCAGAGGGTCTTGCTCCATGCTTTGAAGATTCGGCTCATGTTCTGATTTCATGCTTAGCACCACTGTCTGGTGCTGACTTAACTTCCCGTGGGGCTCTGCTAACTGCACAGCTACAACAGAATGCTACAGACTGCTTAGCTTATGAACAAGAGAATTTGATCCTCATAGTTCTGGAAGCTGGAAGTCCAAGATCAAGGCATCGGCAGATTTGGTGCCTGGTGAGGGCTCATTTCCTGGTTCACAGGTGGCACCTTCTGGCGGTGTCCTCATGGGTGGAAGAGAGGATCAAGCCCCACTGGGCTTCTTTTACATGGGCATTAATCATATTCATGAGGGCTCTGCCTTCATGACCTAATCATGACCTAAACATCTCCCAAAAGCTCCACCTGTTGGTATCATCACATTGGGGATTAGGTCTCAACATATGAATTTTGGAGGGAAACAAATACACCATAGTAAATACTGAACACTCAGATGCCTAGGATAGTCATTTCTCCTTGTAAATTGATGCACTGGCACTTTACTTCATGCATTCTGGGCCTGCTAGAATCATGAATCTGCTTCTCTGATTGTTACTTATCAGGGTTTTGAGCCTGCACGATTGAGATCCACTCTCCAGGCTATGGTGAAGGCACCAGCGTGGTAGCTGTCATCCTCTTGGGAGGCCACTTCCCTTTTTCCCTGGTGGCAATACGCTGACTTTGCCATGCGTTACGGGAACATTGTGTATTTTAAATTCTTACAGTTTCAATGAGCTAATGGCTGTGTCAATACAAAACCAAGCCCTTTAAAAAATTTACCTGTATGTTTAAATAAGTTCAGTTATTGCAACTGGGTGCAAGGGGAGGACCCTAGATCTACTAGACCTTCAGATAGAGTTTGTCCAATATCTTGGTACCTTAGTTATTCACCAGAGGTAGAGGTTGCCCTGCTCCCAACTATTGGAGAATTACTGCCTAAAAATCATCCCTTTTCCCCTCGAATATAGAGGATTATCAAGGCCCAAATGAAGTCAACATATTGGTTTTATGTAATGCTTGGGTGACTCAATATCCTCAAATGCAGGTGAACTTGTATTCGAGAAAAATTCCTCCTAGGACCCAAATAGAAGCCTCCTAGTACGGAGACTTAGGGACTCAGCTAAATGTTGAGATTACAGGCATGAGCCACCATGCCCAACCAGAAGCCTATAAATTTCTAATGGGAATTCAAAAGAGGTGTCTTAGTCAGCTTGGAGTGCTGTAACAAAGTACCATAGACTGGGTGGCTTGTCAACAACAGGAATTGATTTCTCACAGTTCTGGCAGCCAGAAATGCAAGATCAGGGGGCCAGCATGGCTGGGTTCTGGTGAAGGCCCTCTTCCGGATTGTAGATTGCCATCTTACAATTGTGTCCTCACAGGGCAGAAAGAGATCCAGTTAGCTCTCTGGCCTCTTCTTACAAGGGCATTAATCCCATTCCTGAGAGCTCTCCCTTCATGACCCAGTTACCGCTTAAATCTCCCACCTCCAAATACCATCACATCAGGATTAGAATTTCAACATATGAATATTGGGGAGACACAAATATTTAGTTTATTGCAAGAAGATAAGCATATATTGAGTTTGTACTTAAAATTAGAAATATTTTCAAATTTAAGAGAACCTCAGAAAAATGGGGGCCAAGAGAAAATAATGAATTATCAAAGTCACGCAAGTAGTTGTTGACAGATTGAGAATTCAAATTCTAAATTTTGTTTGAATTTCCTAAATCAGGAATAGACATGCTTGTTATTACTAATAGATGAATTATTAAATTGAAGCAACCAGATTTTAAACTGGAAGTGAGAAGAGTAACCCTCAGCATCCTGCCAAGTTATGGCTGGAATATCCTAGGAAAACATTGTGGTAATAAGATTTCAGTGGAGGTGGCGGGGTGCGGTGGCGCACACCTGTAATCCCAGCACTTTGGGAGGCCAAGGAGGGTGGATCATGAGGTCAGGAGATAGAGACAACTCTGGCTAACATGGTGAGACCCCGTCTCTACTAAAAATACAAAAAATTAGCCGGGCGTGGTGGCATGTGCCCGTAGTCCCAGCTACTCGGGAGGCTGAGACAGGAGAATGGCTTGAATCTGGGAGACGGAGGTTGCAGTGAGCCGAGGTGGTGCCACTGCACTCCAGCCTGGGTGACAGAGCAAGACTCTGTCAAAAAAGAAAGAAAGAAAGAAAGAAAGAAAGAAAGAAAGAAAGAAAGAAAGAAAGAAGTTGTATATTTGTTTCTTAAAAATATCTTGAAGACACTGAAGACTCTAAAAGTAGAGTGCTATCCTTTTACATGTACACACTCACATATATTTATATATAATGGTTCTTTTAAGAAGAAATATCAGGCTGGGTGCCGTGGCTCATGCCTGTAATCCCAGCACTTTGGGAGGCTGAGGCCAAGGTGGGAGCATTGCTAGAGCCCAGGAGTTCAAGACCAGCCTGGGCAACATAGGGATTCTCCATCTCTAAAAAAATAATAATAATAAAAATAAAGAAAGAAAAAGAGACTGCCATTCACCCTGTTGTTTTTCTTCTTTTTTGCAGACATCTCTTTCTTACCACTAGCTAGTTAGCTAGCTAGGGTATTTCTGCTGTGGTTTATTAAAAGATCCCATAGCTCCAAAGGGTTAAGGTATTTCCCTGTCGGCCTACTGGACTCAGTGAGGGTAGAGGATAAAGGTCACGGATGTTTGACACTGCTGCCTCTGATCACCCTTGCCGCTCCTGGTTCTTTTTCAGGTGACTATTTGTTGTTTACCCAAAGAAATCAGGAGACAGAGTAGGTCTGTGCAAATTATCATGACACTTGAGGACGAACTCAGCCCCTGCGTAACTTAGCACCATGCTGGAGAGATTAATTCAGCTGTCGGGAGCCTAGAGTTCAGTAGCAACCTTTTCCCTTAGTTTTGCTTTTTTATATTCTTTTGGCATGCATCAATTTCAGCTTGTTAAGCACCTGCCCTTTGTGCCCTGTTTTTTTATACTTTGTAATTTTTATGACAGTTATAATTGAGCTTCATAAATTCTACTCCCTCAATCTTGTGGACTCCTGGACATTATCTCTCTGTTTAAGGTTGGATTGCTAGGAGCTTCTTCCACATAAATTTTTTACTTTAGGAGTTGTTTGAAATTTCTCTGGAAACCATGCACTGAGTGAGAATGAAGGCATTTGAGAACATCTGCCTAAATTGGCTATGGTAAGAGAGCTAATACATCCTAGTGGGCATACTTGAAGAACAAAGTTGATTGCTTCTCAGCTAAGTATAGGAATTTGTTGTGTTGAGTGGACTACGCAGGCTGAGGACAAATACTGAATTGCTTGGAGATTTTTAGAAGCTGTATGTGTTGGAGTAGAAATGGAGGATTGAGAGACTCTAGTCAAAATAGAGAACAGAGACCTGCATGGGAGGACATAGAAGGGAGATACCAGAGAGAGTACAGAATGAATGTTGGAGTAGGAGTATGAGTAAGCTTAGCTGGAGGAGCTGGGAGGTTACCTTCTCTTTAACCTCCCCATAAACCCATAAAATCTATAGGTAAATTTGTAAACAAAATAACCTTTTCTTTTCAGAGCAGTTTTTGGCTTAAAGAAAAACTGTGAACACAGCACAGAGAGTTTCCATACACATCCTGTTTCCCCTATTAGCAACATCTTACAATTAGCCACAGTTAATGCACCAATATTAATACATCGTCATCAACCAAAGTCCATAGTTCATTTAGATTTCTTAGGGATGTGTGTGTGTGTGTGTGTGTATGTGTGTGTCCTTTCTCTGCTTCAGAATCCAATCCAGGGTACCACTTTACATTTATTTATCTGGAGATGGAGTCTCATTCTGTTGCCCAGGCTGGAGTGCAATGACACGATCTCGGCTCACTGCAACCTCCGCCTCCAAGGTTCAAGTGATTCTTGTGCCTCAGCCTCCCGAGTAGCTGGGATTACAGGCGCATGCCACCACACCTAGCTAACTTTTGTATTTTTAAGTAGAGACGGGGTTTCACCATGTTGGCCAGGCTGGTCTCGAGCTCCTGCCTTAAGTTGTCCACCTGCCTTGGCCTCCCAAAGTGCAGGGATTATAGGCCTGAGTCACCATGCCCAGCCTGGGATGCCACTTTACATTTAGTTGTCATGTGTCTTTGGGATCCTTTTGGCTATGACTTACCTTCTTTTTGATGACCTTGACAGTTTTAGGAGTACCTATCAAGTATCTTGTGGAATGTACCTCAGGTGGGATTTGTCTGATGTTTTTGCATGATTAGACTGGAGTTATGGGTATGGGTGAGGAAAATTACAAAGATAAAGTGACATTCTCATCACATTATATGAAAGGTATCTACGTCAGCATGACTCGTTACTGTTGAAGTTGACCCTGATTGCTTGTTTGACAGGTTTCTCCACTGTAAAGTGATTGTTAGACCCCCTTTCCATACTGTCCTCTTTGAGAGAAAGTCATGATGTGCAGTCCACACTTAGGAATGGGGAGCTAGGTTCCACCTACTTGAGAGTGGAGTACCTGTATAAATTATTCTGATTTTACGCAGGAGATTTATTTATTCTCCACCATTTTTCTATTTATTCAATCATTTATTTATTTATTCAATCATTTATTTATGTCAGTATAAACTCAGATATTTATTTCATACTTTGGGTTATAATCCAAATTATGATTATTGATCAAATTTCTCCAGCTTTGGCTCTTGGGCACTCTTTCATTTGGCTCTTGTGTCCATTTGACTGTGAACACCCCCTAATTGTGTGTGTGTGTTTAACACTTTCTTAGTCTCTGGCACTACAAGATGCTCCAGGATCAATCTGTATATTTCCTGCCCCTGTCCTGGAATCAGCCATTTTTCCAAGGAGCCCTGAGTTCTTTGCTGGAGAATGATATTAGAAACCACAATCTGGTTACTAGCTGTGCTCATGGCTACTATGGTGTCATTACTTCTAGGCCCTTTCAGATGACAGATAAAGGATATATGTATATTAACCTGTATATACACACACATATATAAATATTCCTATATATAACCATCTGCTATAATTTGAATGTTTGTCCCCTCCAAAACTCACATTGAAATTTAATTGCCATTGTAACAGTATTAAGAGGTGAGACCTTTAAGAGGTGATTAGGCCACGAGGGCTCCACCATCATGAGTGGGATTGGTACCATTATAAGAGGGTGAATTCTACCCTTTCTTGCCCTTATTCTTTGCCCTCTCACCTTCCTCCGTGTGATGATGCAGCAAGAAGGCCCTTGCCAGATGCCAGCACCTTGATATTGGACTTCCTAGCCTCCAGAACTGTGAGTCGATAAATGTCTGTGCATTATAAATTTTCCAGCCTTAGGTATTCTGTTATAGCAGCATGAAACAAACTAAGACACCATCTATATCTATATTAAGTTAAACACAGTTTATACTTGATCTCTTGAACTCTGAACTATTAGCACATGGATGACTATAGCCTCCTCCAGTTGATTACCTGTAAATTCCCACTGTAACCATGAGAAATTATCCATTTCCTAAATTGTTTAATTTCAGCTTACATGTGTAGTGTATTGTTACATATATCTACACTGTTAACCTGTACCTATGGGAAAATAACTTTTTCAACTATAGTGCTTATGTACAGTTTCCTTTGCCCTTAGTGTTACAGATTCTGCTCACATCCAAAGTTACTTGTGTCAGGACTTTTCTCCCCAACCCCCTGCAGTGAAATTGTTTCACACTTTTGTAATATAATTAGGTGGTTCTGTTGCAATCTGCATTCCAACTGAGGATCCCCCATCCTCTTAAATGATTCTTTAAAAATTTGCATGCAGAATGTTTACTCTTTGTGCTGTAAAGTTCTATGTGTTTTGACAAATGCATATGGTCATGTATCTACCATAACAGTATTATACAGAATAATTTCACTGCCCTAGAAAACCTTGTGCTTCATTTCTTCAACCCTCTACTCCCAACTCTTAGAAACCACTGCTCTTTTTTTCATAGCTATAGCTTTGCCTTTCAAGTTACACATCTGGCCAGAAGGTACAAGGAGAGATGTGTCAAAATGCTAAATGTGGCCTCAAGATGGATAGAGAGAGACACAGTAAGTGCCACTGGAAGCTCAGGGATAGATGGATCACTGCTGTAGTAATCGTGTTTGTGTGCAAAACCAGAGTTGAACCCACTTATTCTTGGATAGTAATTTTATTCCTCATTGACTCAAAAAAATTTTATATTAAATACCTGCCACGTGCTAGGTACTAAGAAGACAATGAAGAAAAAGCCAGGGTTCTTGTTATTTTAGAACCAACACTTTAATTTATAAGTAGTGAGAAGAAGATCAAGAAAAGTATTTTGTTTTTTCACCTAATTAAAAATATACCCAACATTTCCCTGAAGCTTTATGACTTATTTTATGCTTAGGACCATGAGAGAAGTTAAGAAATGTCTTATAGAGATAATTATATATGAACAAGAACTCAAGATTGACATCTGTATTTAAAAAGCACTGACCTAGATACATCAGCCACTGTAAGGCTCAGCCCTGCCTTTGAAGCATCCTGACAGTTAGCCTTGGCCTACCTCTCCTGCCAGGCTATCCTGTATCCCCTTCCCATCTCCTGCTCTAATGACAACTCACCTGCCCCGAAGTCAAGCCACTACTGTGCAGAACACTTGTACAGTTCCAGAGCAATCCATGTCAGCTCTAGATCCCACCCAACCAGAGGAAAAACTCCCCTGAGATCAGTATCTCAACCTCAGAGCGCTCCTTACATCTTACAGTCACCCTTGTGCTGTTTTCCCAGTGCTGCTTGAAGGGATACCGGGGAAGAGGAACAGAAAGAAACTCAGCCTACTTCAGGGGAAACAAAGATTTTTGCCAGCAGTCAGCTGAGGGCCATTAACCCAAGCTGGCTTTCCAGTTCTTTATCTGCAAATTTCCATACCCCATTCTCCCTCTTGACCTCCTGACAGCAGAGTGTAGGTTGTGGGCCTGGCTGGGTAGCTAGAGTTTCACCACAAAGAGAAACTGTTTCACATTTCTTCACTGTGAGCATTCCATTGCCTGGAGCAAGAGGGCTCTCTCTTCAGCATTGTTTGTTCATGGATAAAGACCCCAGTGTGCAGCCCAGTCCACAGGGTCCAGTTTTTGAAAACTCTGCAATTACCGGTCCTTGCGGGGATTTGGCTGAGCTCCACAAAGGACAGCCCAGGTGGGACTAAAATAATGGGTACTTTGTTCAATCATTTGCTGAACATTTCCTTAGAGGAAGAGGTAAGGCTGGTGGATGTTACAGTGAAGCAGACGGACACCTCCCCCGCCTCTGCCCCTTCCCCACCTCCCCCAGCACAGTATCTCTTCAAGGCTCATAAGACATGCATCTGGGCCAGGTGTGGTGGCTCACGCCTGTAATCCCAGCACTTTGGGAGGCCAAGGTGGGTGGATCATCTGAGGTCAGGAGTTCGAAACCAGCTTGGCCAAGATGGTGAAACCCTGTCTCTACTAAAAATACAAAAATTAGCGGTGGGTGGTGGCAGGTGCCTGTAATCCCAGCTACTTGGGAGGCTGAGGCAGGAGAATTGCTTGAAGCCAGGAGGTGGAGGTTGCAGTGAGCCAAGATCGTGCCACTGTGCTCCATCCTGGGCGACAAGAGCAAAACTCTGTTTCAAAAAACACATGCATCCAAGTGTTGTTTTTCAAGTTGTTCCTTTCAAGTTGTTCTTTCCAGTGGAGTAGCAGTGGAGCCTAGAGGAGAAGAGCATGGATTCTGAAGTTTGGCTCTACCTTTTAACAACAGTGTGACCTTGACAAATTGTCACCCTTTTGTGCCTCAGTTTCGTCACCTATAAAATACAGACAATTCTAGCATCCTGTTGTAAGATTTGAGGAAGTGTTAAATAAATTTAGTCACGTGAAGGCTTTAGGACACAATTACTACATGTAGTTACTGGTACCTAGTAAGTGCTAAAAAATGTTTATGGTTATTATTATTTAGAATTTACTATGTAACAGGCTAAATGCTTTCCATTCATTATGGAATTCAATGATGACACAACTTTGTGAGGTAGAGACCATTATTACTACTAATTTACAGATGGACAAAGAGAGACTTTGAGAGGTTAAGCAACTTGCCCAAGGGCACAGGAAGTGGCAGAACCAGGCAGGTGATTTTAAAATCCTTGCCCTCAACTATTTTACACAAGTAGATGTCCTTGTTTTGTGGAAACTAAAACTCTTTGATGTGGGCATTTCTATTAGAAAGTGTCATTGTGAGGCTCTCACACAACCCCAACACAACTGTCATCTGAGTTAGATATGATTTTAAGACATCACTGATGTTTTAAAGCATTCTGATCTTGGTGAGGCTCAAATGTGAAAAATAAATATGTATGCACAGTTGATAAAATTGGTAAAATAGGATAGTGTAATATAACTTTTCCAGAGTACATTCTGTGAGTCTGGTGTGGAAGTTCTTTACACATTTTAATGTATTTAATCATCATAACACACTCAGGAGGTAAGAACTGTTATTATCTTTATCTTCTGTATGAGGAAACAGAGGCAAATGGAACAGAGGCAAAAGTTCAATGACTTGCTTAGGTCACAGAGCCAGCAGCAGGTTTAGAATCTGATCCTAACCTGTCTGGTTCCAAAGCCCATGCTCTTTGCCTCCATAACTTTATGGTTTGGCATCACAGACTTCAAGCATACAGAGATGCAGAGATCCTTGCAGGTGGAGAGAACATGAACAAAGTACTAGAAGCTAGAAGAGGATTCGTCCCAAAACAAGTGTTTCAGCTTGCCAAGGTGATAATAGGAGAAAAGTGAAAGAAAGGTAGGGATCCAAATGGCAAATCAAGGACTCTAGATGGATCTAAGACTTGTAAAGCCTCTGGAATTTGGTTTACGTGTGTATGCGTGTGTGTGTGCGTGTGTGTGTGACTGTGCAATACATGTATGCACAGCAACACCAGTAACTAAAGCAATATTCTTACAGGGGACTTGGTGCATTTCTTAGAGATACAGCTAAGACAATACCATGAATATTTATATTGATGCATTTAATTCAACAAAGATGCCTGTTTGACAGCCAGTGTATTATTTTGAATATTATTCTCACAGGGAGAAAAGGGGCAAACAATCTTAAATGTTTATTAAATTTTCAGCTATCTTTGTGTGGAGATATTGTAGGCGTGAATTTCTATTTTACTTTTTTTGTCTTTTCCAAACCCAACAGGTATTATTTTCACAATCATAAAAGTGAGGCTGTGCTGAATATTCAACCTTTATCTAGGCAATTACGTATTCTATCTGGTTTGCAACATTTTATAAGGATCTTCAATTACATCATCATAAGTGACTTACATCTATTGATACAGCATCTTTCTTATGAGAAGCTTAGACATCATCGATTTAAACCGCATAAGAATCCTTGGAGACTATATTTTTGCCTAGCACTAAGAGTTACATAGAACAGAAGACAGAAAGGCTGGCAGATTTTCATTCTATTTGATAGACTGAAAAATGTGGCTCTGGGGATCAGCAGTGAATCATCCAGGGCTAAGTAGAAAGTACAAAAACTGGGATGAGGCCCAAGAAGCACCAACTTCTGGTTCAATAAGCAGATGTCTAGATATGGTGTGCAGAATGTCCACATCAGTGTAAAGCGATTACTCAGAGACGGCCAATCAACACATACTAGACCCCATGTGCAGTATAATGTGTGAAATTTCACAGGGAAATGGTTGAAACAAATGCAAATGGAAGGAGTGGTTCAAAAATATTTTTCTGGCTTCTAGTGCGTGACTACATTTATTTATTGAAAAAGATATCAATTTATTTGAGGTTAGGACAGTGTAATCAAAGATTCTCATTGTGTCTAGGTTGAAATGTATTAATAAATAAGTATCTCCAACAAAGACATTTGTATTAATATTTTAAAATTCCTTATAATCTTGCCATGTTAAAAATCGATGAAACTAGATTTCCATTTATTATATAGCAAGAAAACTAAGAATTATTCATCGAATTCTTGACAATACTATTTTTTGTTCGATGATAATTATATTTGTTGTTACTCTCCAAATCCCTAGGAAATCTTTGTTTTACCAAGTTAAATAATTTATATTAGAATTTACCATGGAAAACTAGAGCATAATTGGGTAAAAATAATTTCCACATACTGTTTGAGATAATAATATTCAAACAGATTCATCTGGTTCTGAATGAGTCTCCAATAAGCATTAACATTGTGATTTTCCTTATTTTGTAAAGCTTAGAAATGAGTCACTGCATTTCTACAATATGAAATGTATGGTGTGATCATAGTGTTTACAGATTTTTGCGGAGGCCTAGTTTTGTGCCTAACCTGAAGTAATGCACATTTTTGGAGCACATAAACATATTCTTATTAGTAACCTTGTAAAGTGCCCACAACCAGGCGTTGTGGAGAATTCCCGAGCGCGAATTTGACTCACGTGTCCTTTTTTGACTCAAATAGAGTACTTTCAGTAGGTCAGCATTTCCCCTTCATATTCAGTGGCATTCTCTCTATTAGTGTGACCTTGCTCCCAAAGGCCTTTCATATCAAATTCTACCGATTTTATGGTATAGTTGCAGATACTGGAACCAGGAACCACTACACCTCCAGAGGCACCAAAGGTCTCCTTGGTAACATTTGAATAGTACATTTTTAAGGAGTGTGATTTTTTGTTTGTTTGTTTGTTTTTTTGAGATGGAGTCTTGCTCTGTCACCCAGGCTGGAGTGCAGTAGTGTGATCTTGGCTCACTGCAACCTCTGCCTCTTGGGTTCAAGTAATTCTCCTGGCTCAGCCTCCTGAGTAGCTGGGATTACAGGTGCCCGGCAACACACCTGGCTAGTTTTTGTATTTTTAGTAGAGATGGGGTTTTGCCATATTGCCCAGGCTGGTCTCGAACTCCTGACCTCAGGTAATCCACCCGCCTCGGCCTCCCAAAGTGCTGGGATTACAGGCGTGAGCCACCACACCTGGCCTACGGAGCATGCATTCTGAGAATAGGATATGAGTGAAACAAGCATCGGCACCTGGTGGGCATTGTGCCATACTCAGCATACCTACCCTGTAATAACTTTCACTGATCCAAAGGCAGAGTAACAACACTGCTAATCAGGCCTGATATAAGGATGGTGGGGCTGAACAATGATCCTAATTATGCTCTGTCACTAAAGTGGGGGAGCACAATATCTAGCATAGCCACTTTCTATTCTTATCACTTACCCAAATATGACATGTTTTGAATATTAGCTTTAGATTGATGTGGGAATGCACCCCTTCTTGCATTAGAACCATTCTTCATAATACGAGTCCACATTCCACACACTGAGGCTCTCTTATGACTAGAGTTTCAGATTGTTGGTGACTTGAGAATTTTGAGTCTCGAGAAGGGGTGTGACCTATACTAAAAATCTCTGACCTTTAATATGAGCCTTTCTCTGAGACATAAAACTTATTTCTCAGTGAAATGAAATGGCTTCTAACTTTTCAGAGTTGACAAGCAGAAATAACAAGAACAATCTGTCGTGGGAGCTGGAGACACCTTCACTCTGGAGGTCATGCAAGTAATCTTATTACCAGTACATCACCACGATTTCAGATGCACTTCAAACACAAGACGCCTGCTACCTCAGAAACTGGCAGCAAAGGCCAATTTTTGAAGGCAGAGTACCCAATGTATTATAATCTTAATCTATTCAAGTAATCTTTTTTTTTATTTTTTGAGATGGAGTTTTGCTCTTGTTGCCCAGGCTGGAGTGCAATGGCGTGATCTCAGCTCACTGCAACCTCTGCCTCCAGGGTTCAAGCGATTCTCCTGCCTCAGCCTCCCAGGTAGCTGGGATTATACACACCCACGACCATATTCAAGTAATTTTAACCATTATAACCAACCCCTCCCTACTTCCCTTGAACTATGCTATGCTAGGGCTGTGGGAAAATATTCTTTCTTTACATAACTAGCTTAGTCTTCTCTGACTTTATATCAAGATGATTCTCTCTTCTATTCCCAGATATCAGCTCTGATATAGATTCTTGGCTTTTATTTTCCCGTAGACCACTCTCCTGTTTTAGACACTAAAGGCTGCTTATTGTGTATGTTCATTGAGCATCCTGATTCTGTGATCATTGCAACAAAATGTCATTCGGTAATGAGTGCATTTATTAATTCCCAGGCAATACCCTTACCTCCCCACAATAAAACCTTTTTTTCTTTTTTCTTTTCTTTTCTTTTCTTTTTTTTTTTTTTTGAGACAGGATCTCTCTCTGTCACCCAGGCTGGAGTGCAGTGGTGCGATCATGGCTCACTGCAGTCTCAACTTCCTGGGCTCAAGCAATCCCCTTGCCTCAGCCTCCCAAATTGCTGCAACTACAGACATATGCCACCATGCTTGTTGTCCATGTTTACTGGAAGGTTAGGAAAACAACTCTTCCATGTTTACTGCCAGGTTAGGAAGATGGCGGCGGGTCATAAGTCCATCCAGGATAAGCCATGCTTGCCCGGATGCAGAACAGCACACGGTGTCATTAGTGGATATTTTAACTGCATGGCACTGTTTGCTTTCTAGCAGAGTCTTGTTTCTCACGGGGCACTGCTTTACTGGATGAACTGCTCCAACGTGAGTTTTGGTGTGGGCTTTTCAGAATATGGACATGGTCACTGCATTTTGGGTCATGAGTCATGAGGTGTGTATCTTCCTCAATTCAGCCTTACCTCCAACATAGCATTGGAGAAGGCTAAGATCTGGCTCACAGTGTGAAAAAAGGAAAATCGTGATTGACTATGTGACCTTGAAATGTGATTGGGTAATGACTGCATTTATTAATTCAACAAGTATTTATTGAGCATCTTCATGTGCCAGTCACTAAGCCAGGCATCAGTGATACAATGATGAGCAAAAACCTACATCTCTGACCTCAAAGAGCTTGCTGACTGTGAGGTTGGTCATTAATCAAATAACTATACAAATAAGTGGAAACATTTAACTGTGGTAAATGCTAAGAGCCTTCTCTGGGTAAGTGACAATTAAGATGAATCCTGAAGAAAGGATGGAATTTGGCCAGGTGAAGAGAAGGGTAACAGACAATGGCAACTGCATGTTCAAAGGCCCTGTGGTAGGAGAATGCCAGGTATGACCTGAATGTGGTTGGTGGGGACCACGGTTCAAAATGACACTGGAGAGGTGGATAGGGGCCAAGTCATGCAGGGCCTTTTAGCCATGCTAAGAATTGGTATTTATCTGCAAAGCAATGGAAAATCATCAAAGTCTACTGGGGGATGGGGAGGGTGGTCAAGTGATCAGATTTGCATTTTTAATCAGATCACTCTGGTGGTAGTGTAGAGTAGAGGTAGGTGAGGGAGAAGATGTAAGTATCAGACCAGTCAGACCAGATCATTACAGTGAACCAGGTTAGAAATGAAGGTAGCTTGGACTATGAAGAAGGGTTCAGAGAGAAAAGGGTGGATGCCAGGCATATTTAGGACTCAGGGATGGTTTCAATATAAGAAATGGGCAAATTGAGTTTTCAAGGAAGAATGAAGAAAGACTATTTGGAGAGATCAAACTTATCTCTATGAATATTTTGTGTTCATCTTTTCAGGTCTCTTTGACACTAGAATTTTTGGTAGACTGTTTTTGTCTTGAAAACTTACAGGATAAATTTCCTGGGGAGAATGAATTGACTAGAGTCAGGTGCAGTTGCTGATCATCGTGTTGAGGACACCAGTGTTTTGGTGAGGGTGGTTGACAGGGAAGGATAAATATATAGGTTAAACATAAACAGTCCCTACAGAAATTGGTGGTTGGCAACATGTCAATGACCCTCATCCAATTCTCACTCTAGAAACTGGTAAGCTTCCCCTGGTCCATGTGGCCATGAGTTCCTTTTAGTTGTGAAGGGGTGCTTTGCTTCTGAGCTGTGATCAAGAAACTCTTAATCAAACCAGTCTATCTGTGTTTGTGGCTTTCTCTAGTCAATTCTGTTTGGAGATTATCTGTCTAGGCATTTCCTGTAAAATGCACCATCTCAGGTAGTTTGGCTTATTTTCTGAGGAAGGGTAACCCCGGAGAAGGCACCGGATTAACAGATACCACATTTATTATGGCCTGTTATTTTTTTTTATCACCTCAATCCCAGCCCTGGGGTGGATAAAACAGAGCTCTTCCGTGTTTACTCTTCCTGGGGCCTCTAGCTAATAGTTCACTTGGGAATAAGACAGACTTGCTTGGCAGCTCTAACAAACCTGGACCTGAGAAGACAAAGTGGACAGGTTGCTTTTTCCATGTTTCTCCTTCTCCAGCTATGTAACAGCTCATAGAGGTTTTCAAACTCTCAGGAAATGCAAGGGCGATGGGTCCTTTGCTACACTTTGACACAATTGACTCCCTTTAGTTTTAATGAACAGCTGAGTTCATGATATCAAACATTTACTGCACATTTACTATATGCCAGGCACTGTGCTAAGTGATACACATGCATTGAAAACTTTTTTTTTTTTTGAAACAGAGTCTCGCTCTGTTGCCCAGGCTGGAGTGCAATGGTGTGATGTTGGCTCACTGCAAACTCCGCCTCCTGGGTTCAAGCAATTCTCTGCCTCAGCTTCCCAAGTAGCTGGGATTACAGGCATGCACCACCACGCCTGGCTAATTTTTGTATTTTTAGTAGAGACAGGGTTTCACCATCTTGGCCAGGCTGGTCTTGAACTCCTGACCTTGTGATTCAACCACCTTGGCCTCCCAAAGTGCTGGGATTACAGGCATGAGCCACCACACCTGGCTGAAGACATTTTATTGAGGTATAACAGGCAGTAAGGTACATAAATCTTTATAGTCCATTATAAATCTCAATAAATTTTTATATATGTATGCCCTTGGTAAACTCCACCCAGATCATGATATAGCACATTTCCAACACCCAATAAGCCTCCCTTATTCTCATTTCCCAGACAATACCCTTACCTCCCCACAGTAAAAACTTTTTTTCTTTTTTTTGAGACAGGGTCTCACTCTGTCACCTAGGCTGGAGTGCAGTGGCGCAATCATGGCTTACTGCAGTCTTGACCTCCTGGGCTCAAGCGATTTCCTTGCCTCAGCCTCCTGAATTGCTGGGACTACAGGGTTATGCCATCGTGCCTGGCTAATTTTTGCAAAAACTACAATTACTTTTGTACCAATCTGATACCTAGGGATGGAATTATATCACAGAATAGGTGTGGGTTTAGTGTACAATAGTAGATACTTCCAAGCAGTTCTCCGAAGTGGTTTTACCGGTTTAAGTATTTACTAGCAGCTTCCAAGATAATTCCAGTTGTTCCACATTATTACCAATGCTTGATATTATCAATGTTTAATTCTAGTCATTCTGGGGTATGTGTGGTTGTGTCATGTAGTTTTAATTTTCATTTCCACAGTTACTAATAATGTTAAGCACTTTTTAATATACTTATTGGCCATTTGGAAATTCTTTTTTGTAGAGAGCCTTTTTGCTTACTTTTTTTCTTTTTTAAACTTTTGTTTTAGGTTCAGGAGTACATGTGCAGGTTTGTTGTACAGGTAAACTGCATCTCACAGGGGTTTAGCGTATAGATTATTTCATCCTTCAGGTTATAAACATAGTACCTGATATGTAGTTTCTCGATCCTCACCCTCCTCCCATTCTCCAGCCTCAAGTAAGCCCTGATATCTGCTGTTCCCTTTTTTGTGTCCACGTGTACTTAAGTAAGAACATGTCATATTTGGTTCTCTGTGTGAGTTTGCTTAGGATAATGGCCTCCAGCTCCATTCATGTTGTTGCAAAGGACATGATCTCATTCTTTTTTATGGTTGCATAGCATTCCATGATGTATATATACATTTTCTTTAGCCTACCATTGATGAGCATTTAGGTTGATTCTATGTATTTGCTATTGTGAATAGTGCTACGATGAACATAGTCATGTGTGTGTCTTTAAGGTAGAATGATTTGTATTCCTTTGGGCATATACTCTATAATGGGATTGCTGGGTCAAATGGTAATTCTGTTTTAAGTTCTCTGTTTTAGGTTTTTAAAAATGTTGTCTTTTTCTTATTTGTAGGAATGCTGGCTGCAATGCCAATAATTTATTGATGTATTATGAATCATCCCAAGATTGAGCAGCTGAAAACAACAACAATCATATTTTATTCTCTCTCATGAGTCCAAGGGTTTATTGGGCTCAGCTGGGTAGTTCTCACTTTGGGTCTCTTATTAGACTGCAGTCAGATGGTGACTGGGATTTCCTTTTTTTTTTTTTTTTTTTTTGGTTTTGAGATGGAGTCTCGCTCTGTCGCCCAGGCTGGAGTGCAGTGGCGCAATCTCGGCTCACTGCAAGCTCCGCCTCCCGGGTTCATGCCATTCTCCTGCCTCAGCCTCCAGGGTAGCTGGGACTACAACCGCTCACCACCAAGCCCGGCTAATTTTTTTTTTGTTTTTTTTTTGTTTTTTTTTTTTAGTAGAGACGGGGTTTCACGGTGTTAGCCAGGATGGTCTTAATCTCCTGACCTCTTGATCTGCCTGCCTCGGTCTCCCAAAGTGCTGGGATTACAGGTGGGAGCCACCGTGCCCGGCCACGTTTTTTGACATCTCAATTTTTCCCAAGTCTGATACTTGGGCTCAAACAGCTGGGGACGAGAAGAGCTGGTGCTCCTAAGGAGTCTCTCTGTAACTCAGTGCAGTCTTGCCCTCGTGGTGTCTCTAGCACTGAGCATCAGGGAAGCTGGGCTTCTTTCCTGGTGTCTTAGGGTTCCAAAAGGCATGTATCCTAAGAGAGTGATCCAGGTTGAATAAACTTTTATAATTTAGCCTTGGAAGTCACGTAGCATCACTTACACCATTCAATATTAGTCAAGGCAGTCACAAAGGCCCTCCCAGTTTTAAGAGAGAAAAACACAGACTTTACCTCTTGATGTAGGAGTGGAAACTATTTGGAAGACCATGTGGGACTAGACATATTGTTGTGGCCATTTTTTGAAAATATGATATACTACAGTATGCCCTCTGGGCACAACAATTTACATTCCTCTCATATGCAAGATATGCTTACCTCCTTCTCAAAGACCCCCTCAATGTCTCATCTTGTTATGACTAACTCAAGATCTCATTATCTAAATCTGGTCCAGATGTGGATAAGGCTCCTCAGCACCTCTCCTTGAATACCACTGTCCTCCATCTGAGCACCTGTGAACTAAAGTTGTCTGCCCCACACATTCCTAATGTATGAAACAGTCATAGACTGGTTGCAGTGAGAACTCCTGTTTAAAATGGGGGGAAGGTGGAGATACACAGTAGTCACTGGTCTGAAATCTAGCTGAGCACATGTAGGGCTCAGTTCTAATTCCCCGGAATGATTCTCTGTGGCTTTGGGTTCTGTCCTCTGGGCTCTTTGTTCCTTCTTCTGGATTATCATTCTAATTAACGCAGCAAGTGTTTGAGGCTGAGTAGTTTTCTCAACCTTCTTTCTGTCCATAGATGTTTGAAAGTCCCTAAACTTCTTTTCACTGTGTATTGGTCCGTTTTAGTCCAAGCTGTTACAATTCCTTTAAAAAACTATGAATTTCTTACAGGTTAATTTAGAATCCACTACATTATGCCAAAAAAAAAAAAAAAAAAAAACTCAAAAACTTCCAATTATTTTGAGATAAGGTCTCCTCTATTGTGGGCTTCCTGTAAGGCTGATATAATGCCTAGGCTCCCTATAAAACTGAACTCTTTATAGGGAAACTAAGATTCTGAGAATCCTCATTTCTTAATAGAGAGGATCTAAGAAACACAGTCTTAAGATCTTTAGAGGGCTATTTCTTAGTTTGAAAGGCAAAGACTACTGTGAAAAACTACTATGAGGTCTTAACAAAGGATTTTACTGGCCACCCTCAGTTTCATCTTAAGACTATTTTCATTATCATGCCCTGGATTTGATCTCTGCCTGAAGCCATTTCTTAATTTTAGCACTGTTTGCCATCTGGAGAGGCTGGAAATGAGGAGCGATTTTATTTTTGAGCCCAACAAGTCCCAGCTCCGTTATACTTAAGAGTTTATCCTTTTCTTTATATAGTTTCTTTTCTCCTCACCTGTTTTACTATATACAGTGAGAAGAAGCCACGTAGTACCTACAACACTGCCTGGAAATGCCCTTAGCTATATTACCTAGTTCATTATTTTCTATTTTCAGTGGAACCACAGGTGAGAGTGTTACTAAACTTTGCATCACTGCATAATAACAGACTCCTGTCCTCCAGCTGTCCCAAACATTTTCCTCACTTCTTACAAGCTTTTGCCAACAGCATACTCAAGACCCTTTAGACTTCTATAACAGTTCCTAGGCTCATTCAGCTTCCGCCTAACTCCACATCCCTAAGCCACTGTCACATATTTTAGGTCTTGTTATGGCACACCCCGCTTCTACGTGCCAGACTTCCTGGTTCTTCATTGCTGAATAACACACTATCCCCCTCCCCATGTGGTAGTTTAGAATAATAACATTCATATATTTTGCTTATATGCATTTTGAGTAAGGCTTAACAGAGAAGGCTTTTTTCTCTCCCATATGGCATCAGCAGGGGTGACTCAACTACGGGCAGAAACAGTTGCTTCCAAGATGACTCGCTTACATGGCTGGAAAGTTGGAGCTCACTGTCAGCTGGGTAGAGCGATGGAGGTTGCCATTCCTATGCACATGGGCTTCTCCATATGGCTTATATTTCCTCACATTATTGTGGTTTGTTTCCAGGGTGAATGTCCCAAGAGAGGTAAAACTATGATCTTTTATTATCTAGCCCCAGAAGTCACATAGAATCTTGTCTGCCACACTTCATTAGTCAAAATAGTCACAGAGATCCATCTAGGTTCAAGGGAGGAACATAAACTGCACCTTTTTCTTTCTTTCTTTTTTTCTCTTTTTCTTTTTTTTTTTTTTTTTTTTCTGAGACGGAGTCTCGCTCTGTCGCCCAGGCTGGAGTGCAGTGGCACCATCTTGGCTCACTGCAAGCTCCGCCTCCCGGGTTCCCGCCATTCTCCTGCCTCAGCCTCCTGAGTAGCTGGGACTACAGAAGCCCGCCACCACAGCCGGCTAATTTTTTGTATTTTTAGTAGAGACGGGGTTTCACTGTCTTAGCCAGGATGGTGTCGATCTCCTGACCTTGTGATCCACCCGCCTTGGCCTCCTAAAGTGCTGGGATTTCAGGCGTGAGCCACAGCACCCGGCCAAACTGCACCTTTTTCAAATCAGGCAGTGGCAAGGTTTTGAATGAGTACATGGATAGGAAATATTGTCACAACCATCTTTGGAAAATATAATACGTCAGGCTTTCTTTTCACACAGCTAATTACATTTTATAGTTAATAAAGTTCTTAATTTTAATGAAGTTCAAATTATTAATCTTTTCTTTTGCAGTTAGTTCTTTGTGTTTGCTGTTTAAGAAAGCTGTGCCTACCTTAAAGTTACATTATCATACCTAATCCTCATCATCCTGTAAGGTAGGTACTCTTGGTATTATAGGTCTCAGTTTTGCTAGAAGAGGAAATTGAAGCACAGAGAAATTAAACACTTGATCAAGGCCTGACTCCAAGGTCTGTGTTTTTGCCTCTTACTGCACCCTGACTCCCTTGGTTTTTTAACCTTAGAGTGAACCCCAATTCCTGTTGGACCTATTCCTGTGAGGCCTGGCATCCCTGGGACCATCTCAGAGCTGAGTTTCCCTCTGAAAGCCTGTTTGTCTGTCTATATTTTCTTTCCACTCCTCTGGAACAAATACCTGATGAAAAACAAACTCTTTCAAGTTTCTAGATGACCTTGTAAGAAGCCATAAAAGAGAAGGCAGCTTCTGAGATACAGATGACTTAAACTAGGTACAAACTCAAAGGGTTTTTGTTTTGTAATGTTGCTGTCGTTGTTGTTGTTATTGTTTTTTGGTCTCCACACAGAAACATAGGATAAGAAAAAGGGAACTCATGGTTATAGTCTAAATGGCCCTAAAAGTGGGTTCCATTTTTAGTATTGAGTATAAATAGCTACACAGTTTTAAGCATAACCATTAGCGTGACTGTAAAACTACCTGTTCCAGTACTCCACCAGGTTGTTGTGAGGATAAAATGAGTCAATGGGCAGAAGTCAACTCCAAGGGCATGACTGTAATAATGCTTCTTTCACCTTGCTAAAAACATCACAGCCCCGCCAGGAGTCAGGTCAGCAGACAGCGTGGAGAACAGAGCCATTTGCTAGCCAGGGCATAGATTAGGAAAACTTTGTGGTCCAAATAATGTCATCATCCATAAACACCTATATTTTTATCTAAATTGCATTGCCAGGCATTTGGAAACCTGCCAACTTTTTGCAGCTGTTCCTTTCCTCACAAGAACAACTAGGTAATTTAAGTTAAATGACTCATTAGGAAAGGGAAGACGCAACTCAGGACTGTGCTGGTTCATTTCACAGTTTTTTTTGTTCATATAGATAAGAGGTGAGAAGTAGGATGGGGTTTTACAATTTGACTGCCTTTTGGCAGTTAAGAAAAATTTCAGTCCTGAATTATTTATGACATATAATGAGGCAAATAAGTTATTCTGGCTTCTTGATTTACTTAAAGTGACAATACAATTATTGTATTTACTCTCTAGTTGCTAAATGGCAAACTTGAAAAGTTCCTGACATCAAAAGAAAGTATCAGTTCTAATCAAGGCCAAATTGAAAAGTGGCTCATAGTTATTGAGGGCTATGTGCCAGGCACTTTTCTAAGGGCTATACAGTATTAGCCCATTCAATTCTCATGGCAGCTCCATGTGCTAGATATGATAATTTCCCATATTCCATGGATATGGAAAATGAAGGCCACAGAGATGTGGGGATCCAGAATTTCCACCAGTGGAATTGGATGCCAGAGCCTACCGTTGGAATCTTATGTTATACCATCTCTCCAGAAAATATAGGATTAAATGCTAAAATAGGATTAAATGCTAAAACTGATATTAAAAAGTAAGCCTAGAGATGGCTTACTCACGGCTGAAAGAGTTAAATAGGAAAAAAACCCTCAGGTTCTAGAGCTGGGGAGGATGGATGGTTCTTAGTGTCCGAGAGGAAGGGTTGGAGAACCAATCACTTCTGCAAAGAGAGAAAAGCCAGTTCCAAATTTCTTCCAATCCAAAAGATGCTCTTTCCCCGCCCCAAATCAGGGTAGGTGTAATAAATTTCCTCCTGCTGACACTGCAAGAGCAAATCCAGTAAAGTGATTGTGGGAAAAGTGGTAGTTGTGCAAGCATTTCACAAGGATTGTTTTTCATTGGAGGATAACAATCCTCCTTAGGCATTCAGTCAGTGAAGATGTTGAGATACTTCAGATGGAGAGAAATTCTACACAATAACATTAAAAGCCGGGATACAAGGGTGTTACCACAGCAAGGCTAACAAGCTGGAACCTGAATGGCAATGGAAGCTGAAAAGGGAATAGCAAATGATATACACCAAAGCATTTGTTTAAAGGGGCATGAAGATAAGCCTTCAACCACATCAGGTGAAAGATTTTTTCCATTCATTAGTATGGAAAACTTGGAATGAACATCAGAACTGGACAGAACGGTAGTTATGGCGGATATATAGGTAGTTCCATTAATATCCCCTCTGAGCACTTATTTCCTGCCAGACTTGCAACTGCCAGAATTTGCAACCCTTTTGCCTAAGCCCTAGGGCTTTCTTGGACATGCAAAGGTGCTAGAGAATTCACTGCAACCATCACTGCCCCACCACCTCTCTAACACAGCACATACCCATTGTCCAGTAGCCTCCAACCAATGGCTGGTAGGAGGTGGCAGATATGTATTCTAGCTCCCTTGCCTCTCACCAGGAAACTCAGATGTGCTCTTCACTGTCCCCCATAGGTCCCTGCAGGATTCATCTCTAGTTAGACCTAGTGGCAACTTGCTTGGAAATAGTCATTTATTGGTTTCCTATGTCACTTCCCTACTCCCCTATTGGCATTTCTTGGGATAACCTCCCCCATTAAGCCAGCTGTCTCTGTGTCTACTTAAATTAGGGCTTAGTAAACGATATGTAATTCTTATTCCATATTATGTGTTTAGTCCTAATTAGGTAGTCCAGGTGTTGTTCCTGCCAGCTAATACCTGAACTGAACGGACTGAACAAATGTCCTACCAATTCTTGTGCTTGGCATTGGGACAGGTCAGGTTGGTAAGCTGGTGTCTTCTGATACAGGCTGTTCTGTCTGGGTTGCCTCAGCTTACACAGCTAACCAAATGTTTCATAGCACTTAATTTAATTTTTCCCAATCATGAAGAAATGTTGCCAGAATTATTTAATCAGTTTGACTGTCAGCTCCAAGACAGCAAGAAACGCGTTCATCTTCTTCATAGCTATGATAGCCCAGTTACCAGAAAAGAAGGCCAGCACATATTTAAAATATATTAATGAATGAATTTTAACAAAAGAGTAATTTTTAAATGGTACACTGGCAACCCATTTGATGTAATTTATTAAACTGAGCTTCTTAATAAAGAAGTCTGATAAAGATGTATGTTTATCAAAGACAATGTGTGTCATTAGACTAGGTAATATGTACGAAAGCTATTAGCAAGATATGAGAACCAAATATAAAATTTTAAGCCCCCCAATCAACTAATGGACTCCTCTCTTGGCCAAGGGCATTCCAAAGTAAACCTGAAAAATGAGTTGAGGTCATGGTAGGAAGGGGAGTTAGACATGCCCCATTATACTCACCTCCCTTTGGAATTCAAGCACAACTGACCACCAGAATTAACGTTGAAACAGAGGTCTTAAGACTACAAAACAGACCTTTGTAGCAATAAGCCACCAAATTCCAACCTGACTCTAGTAGAGCATCGCATGACAGATAGCAGGCTCTGAAAGAAATATTTTCCCCCAAAATATATTTATTTGACATATTTTGAAATGGTCCTGCAAAGCTGTCTCTTATAGGGAAAATATATAACTGTATCTTTTTTTTTTTTTTTTTTTTGAGACAGAGTCTCGCTCTGTCGCCTGGGCTGGAGTGCAGTGGCATGATCTCAGCTCACTGCAAGCTCCGCCTCCCAGGTTCACGCCATTCTCCTGCCTCAGCCTCCCGAGTAGCTGGGACTACAGGCGCCCGCCACCATGCCCAGCTAATTTTTTTGTATTTTTAGTAGAGACAGGGTTTCACCGTGTTAGCCAGGCTGGTCTCGATCTCCTGACCTGGTGATCCCCCCGCCTCGGCTTCCCAAAGTGCTGGGATTACAGGGGTGAGCCACTACTCCCGGCCCTATAACTGTATCTATATCTATAGATTTAAATGTTTGAAAGATACTATTTCACACTACTTCTCTCCTGAATCAGGGAAAATACCTGGAAAGGGAAGGGGATTCTGGCAGCTTTTAGGTCTGATGAGAGCTCTGAAGCGTGCTACCTGGAGGCTTCATCTGTATGATAAAACCTTGGTCTCCACAACTCCTTATCTTAACCCAGAAACTTCTTTCTATTGAGTCCAGGTCTTTAGATAATAACTCTTTCAACCAAATGCCAATCAGAAAAATCTTTGAATCCACTTATGACCTGGATTCCCCCACCCCCTAATCTGCCACCAATTCAAGCTGTCCCACCTTTCTGGCCTGAACCAATGCACATCTTATATGTGTCGATTAATTTTATGTCTCCCTAAAAAATGTATAAAACCACACTGTAGCCAGACCACCTTGGGTACATGTTTTCTGCACATCCTGGGGCTGTGCCATGGTCCTCACCTTTGGCTCAGAATAAATCTCTTCAAATATTTTACAGAGTTCACTCTTCATCAGCAGGTAGTCGGCAATTACTATTGTTGGAACTACAATTAATGAATATGTGCTAATTGCCATATCATGTGTGCTCTTTTGAAAGACAGCATAGGTTTTGGTGTGAGACAGACATGGGTTCAGATTTCAACTGTGCCGTTTGCTAGCTGTGTATCTTGAGCAAATTTTCTGGCATAACAGAGTCCCAGATTTCTCATCTGTAAATTGGTCAATTCTACATTTCATCAAATCAAGTACACCATTACTTATAACAAAAACCATTATTTTATGCACCATGAAGAAGAAAAGGTGGCTAATTAAACTATGATAATATGCTTTCTTATCACATGCATTGTAAGAGATCCTTAATTCAGAAGTGTTAAAATATAAACAAATGTGTATCTTAGAGTCCATAAAACATAGAACAATAATTACCTTAATAGGTTATTCTTGTGTAGATTAAAATGGAAATAATGTATGTAAAGCATGTATAGAAAGTAACAAATATTACATTTCTTTTTCCTTTTATCTCCTTAGTTAAAAATGTAAATGTTTGAAAGACACTATTGTCACACTACTTAACCAAATAGATAAAAAGAAGTGTAAGAATACTACGAAAGTTGGTTGTTTGGAAAAGACAAAAGCTGTGCAAACAATTGAACCTTGAAGTGTAAGATAATTAATGAGCCAAAAACATAGGAGAAAAGAGCATTACACTCTTAAATGAGGAGAGAATCATACCTTAAACAGAATGAAAACAATGCAGATAAAAAAAGAAGAGTGCTTTTCAATTATGAAGACACTGGAAAATTAGCGAGTTGTTAAATAGAAACATCATACAGTTTAGGTTCCTGTACATTTTTCAGGAGTCTGAGCCAACTAATCGGAGCGGTGGTGTAATGAAGAAAAGAAGAAAGAGAAGGGAGTAAAATGTGAGAAGCATTCTCCTTAAAATCAGAATCAAAATAAAGATGCCACTGTTACTACTTTTAATCTACTCAACATTGTACTAGTGATCATAGCCAGAACAACACAGCAAAATTAGGTGAGCTATAAGGATTGGAAAAGAAAAAATAAAACTATAATTATTTGCAAGTAACATGATTAACTTTATAGAAATACAAATGACAACATAAAAATAAATTCTATTTCTATTCCAGCGACAGTTTAAAAAATAGTAAAAATACTTTTTTTTTTAATTTGAGACAGAGTTTTACTCTGTTGCCCAGGCTGGAGTGCAGTGGTGCGATCTTGGCTCACTGCAACCTCTGCCTCCTGAGTTCAAGCAATTCTCCTGCCTCAGCCTCTGGAGTAGCTGAAATTACAGGTATGCACCACCATGACTGGCTCATTTTTAAAATTTTTTATTTTTAGTAAAGATGGGGTTTCACCATGTTGGCCAGGCTGGTCTCGAACTCCTGGCCTCAAGTGATCTGCCTGCCTCGGCCTCCCGAAGTGCTGGGATTACAGGTATGAGCCACCCCACCTGGTGGTTAAAATACATTTTAAAAAAGAATTTACAATAGTCACAGAAAGAAAATTAAGGAACTTATGAATAAATCTAACAAAGCTGAGCAAATCCCTTAGAGATAAAAACTATAAAAACTGATTCAAAAAACCTAAAAGAAGACCTAAGTAAATGAGAGATTTATAATATTTGTGGAAAGGAACATATAATACTGTAAAGATTTCAGATTTCCCCACATTTGATCTGTATAAAACTCCAATTCCAATCAAAATTCCTATAGGCTTTTTACAAACATTGATAACCTTATCCTAAAACTTAAATGAATGAACAAATTTCCATGAATAGTTAAGATACTCTGGAAGAACAAAAAGTGTGGAAAATTGCTATCATAGATATGAAAACATATAAAGCTACAGTTACACAAGCATGTGGTGCTGGCACAGAAGAGATCAGTGGAACAGAACGGAAAGCTTGAGTACAGACAACACAAACATGGAAACTCAATATGTGGCTGTTGTAACAAGGAAGACAGATCAGTGGGCAAAAGGGTATTTCATCAATGGTACAACTGGTTTTTTAATGGGATAATTGTTTTATCATGTGGGAAAAAGTGAAAATTGAATCTCTTTCATAACAAACACAAAATCGGTTCCTGATACATTAGAGACCAAACTGTGAAAAGTAAAACTTAAAAAAAATTAGAAGAGAATATAAGAAAGTATCTTAATGATTTAGAATAGGAAAAATGTAAATAAGACACAAAATAAGATTAGTAAATAAGATACAAAAAACACACCTCAAAAACACAAGAAAAAAATCATGAATTGGTTGTAGTATAAAATTTTTCTTCAAGATACCAAGAAGCAAAAAGTAAAAAGAAAGATAGAAACTGAAAGAATATATTTGAAACACAAATGTATCTGACAAAGGATTAGCATTTAAATTAATAACAATGAACTCTTCTGAATAAACCTAAAAAGGACAAAATCTACGTATAAAATGGACAAAAGGGCCGGGTGTGGTGGCTCATGCCTGTAATCCTAGCACTTTGGGAGGCTGAGATGGGCAGATCACCTGAGACCAGCAGTTCGAGACCAGCCTGGCCAACATGGCAAAACCCCATTTCTACAAAAAATACAAAAAAATTAGCTGGGCATGGTGGCATGTGCCTGTAATCCCAGCTACTTGGGAGGCTGAGGCAGGAGAATCACTTGAACCCAGGAGGCGGAGGTCTCAGTGAGCCGAGATCACACCACTGCATTCAGCCTGGCTGACAGAGTAAGACTCTGTCTCAATAAAATAATAAAATAAAATAAAATAAAATAAAATAGAATAAAATAAAATGGACAAAAGACTTGAAGAGGCATTTCAGAAGAAGAAATATATATGGCCAGTAAACATATGAAAAGATACTCAACCTCAATACTAGCCAAGGAAATACGATTTAAAACCACGTTGGTGAACTGACTGTACGAATGATCCCAACTTTTCATACCTCCCTGTGCCTAAACTCTGGTAGTTCCTTCCCTCACTAACTGTAGACTTGACCAAATCCAACATGATAATAGCAAACTTATTGCAAGCAGATCTTGTACAAGCACTTTATGTGTTTCTGCTCTTTCTTTTGCTCTTCTGCCTTAGAATGAGAACAAGTCTGTACTGTCTGTCCTACTGGAGAATGAGAGACCCATGGAACAGAGCTCAAACATGAGGCCATCCTAGACCAGCCAGCCCATTGCTAACCTGACAACTCTCTGTAAGTCATGAGCGGCTCAGGTGAGATCAGCAGAGCCTGGCCCAGATGAGCAGAACCGTGCATCATACCCCAGGCCAATGAGAAATATTAAATGGTTGTTTAAGCCACTAAGTTGTGGAGTAGTTAATATGTAACAGTGACTAACTGATACAGATACTATTTTACACCCACTAGACTGGCAAAATTAAGAAGTCTGACAACACCAAGAGTCAGTGAAGACATAAAACAGTGGAAACTCCTAACGCACTTGTAGTACAAACTGACACAACCACTTAGGAAAATAATTTACCATTCACTACCTTATAAGATCAAAACGCCTCATGGCCTAGCAGTTTTATTCCTCTGTGTGTGTGTGGGCACATGTGTATCTTTAAAAATGCATATTCCGTAGCTCACACCTGTAATCCCAGCACTTTGGGAGGCTGAGGCAGGCAGGTCATGAGGTCAGGAGATGGAGACCATCCTGGCTAACATGGTCAAACCCCATCTCCACTAAAAATACAAAAAAATTAGATGGGCATGGTGTGGGCACCTGTAGTCCCAGCTACTCGGGAGGCTGAGGCAGGAGAATGGCGTGAACCCAGGAGGCGAAGCTCGCAGTGAGCCGATATTGCGCCACTGCACTCCAGCCTGGGCGATAGACTGAGACTCCATCTCAAAATAAATAAATAAATAAATGCATATTCCACTTATATATGTATCTGTACATATATATGTAGCTGTACATATATATGTAGCTGTACATATACGTATCTGTACATATATAGGTGTACATATACGTATCTGTACATATATAGGTGTACATATACATATCTGTACATATATGGGTGTATATACGTATCTGTACATATATGGGTGTATATACGTATCTGTACATATATGGGTGTATATACGTATCTGTACATATATGGGTGTATGTATCTGTACATATGTATGTGTATGTATCTGTACATATGTGTGTATACACGTATCTGTACATATGTGTGTATATACGTATCTGTACATATATGCGTATATAAGTATCTGTACATATATGTGTATATATGTATCTGCACATATATGTGTATATACGTATCTGCACATATATGTGTGTATATACGTATCTGTGCATATGTGTGTATATGTATCTGTACACATATGTGTGTATATGTATCTGTACACATATGTGTGTATATGTATCTGTACACATATGTGTGTATATATGTATCTGTACACATATGTGTGTATATATGTATCTGTACACATATGTGTGTATATATGTATATGTACTATATGTGTGTATAAATGTATGTGTACATATATGTGTGTATATGTATGTGTACATATATGTGTGTATGTATGTGTACATATAAGTGTGTATATATGTATGTGTACATATAAGTGTGTATATATGTATGTGTACATGTGTATATGTATATGTACATATATGTGTGTATATGTATATGTACATATGTGTGTGTATGTATCTGTACATATATATGTGTGTGTGTATATATATATATGAATGCAGTGCTGCTGGACTCCTATTAACTTCAGTAGGGATGGCACCAGTTTTGAGAGGCTGAAGAAGAGACGCGAAGCCAGTGAACAAGACATAAAGTTTTATGAGACTGGCAAACTGCCTACAGTGCTAATGAAGCACCTAGACATAGGGTTTTATTAGGGGGAACTTACATATAGGGATGGTCCAGTGGCATTGTGCTAGACAGAACTGCAACCACTTGTAAAAGCATGCAGTTTATAAAGTGTCTTAGCATCCTCCACGCCAGCAACCTCCACGTGGCAACCCCGACTTCTTCAGCTAAATTATCACTGTCAGGCGCATCTGCCACACAGGGTATGTTTAAGTTATTGCTGTCAGGTGTACCTACCATACAACTGTTCATAACAACACTGTTTATAAAAGCAAAAAATGCACACAATCCATGTGTCTCATATCATGAAGGATAAATAATTTGTAGTAGTTACATAAAATGGAATAGTGAAGGTGAATAAACTAAAGAAAAATGTTTCAATGCGGGTTAATCTTACAAACATAATGTTGAGTGAAAAAGCAAGTGGCAGAAGAATACAAGCAGTAGGATGCTATCTACATAAAGTTCAAAAGGTACAAAACTAAATATAGCATTTAAAAATACATGCAAATGTTGTAAAATTATAACAAAAATATTATCACAAAATTCAGTGTGGTGAATACATTGGGAGAAGTTAGAGAGACTGCAAAAGTTTTGGTGGGCTGGACGCAGTGTCTCATGCCTGTAATCCCAGCACTTTGGGAAGCTGAATCAGGAGGAGTGCTTGAGGCCAGGAGTTTGAGACCAGCCTGGCCAACATAGTGAGACCCTGTCTCTATTTTTTTTAAAAAAAAGGTTTGGAAATATTCTGCTTCTTCGGCTGGGTTAGTAGGTACACATATATTAATTTTATTATTCTTTATCTTTTATATGCTATATATTCATACCAAAGAATCTGTTTATCTGTCTGAGGATGTATTCTTTTGAAATTTTTTTTGAAAGCAAAAGAAAGGGAGAGTTGGAAGCATATCTCTATTGCTGTGTCCTCATCATTGCTGTCAAGTATATAGGGCAGACTCCTGCGGATCTTGCTAACTCTCTATTTCTTTGATATTCTCACCAGAGAACGAGCATAGGCGCGTGCTTTTGTCCTGCTGTGGTTTTTTTCCCTCAAAATCAAGTGTCTAAAATCATTTTAAGCACATGAGCTTTTATTGTGACTCCGTATGATGCTTTCTGAGCACATGAGTAGGGTGCTGTTTCCTGTACTGACACTGATGTGGAAAAATGGGTAATCACTTACTAGCTGGGAGGATGAACGTAAAGAGACAATGTGTATCACACACAGGAGAGGTACAACTCTCCCAAGTGTCCAGGTTACTTCCTGAGGTAGGGGAGTCCAGCTTTTTCAGAGGTTAAGGTTGCTTTTAACTTGCAATCTATTGATTGGTATCTATCCTAAGCCTTGGACTCTACTGGATAATTACGGTACAAGCGCATTTAAGTACATGCCCAAGCTAATTGAAAACATATGTCCACACAGAAACTTGTACACAAATGTTCACAGCAACATTATTCATAATAGCTAAAATATGGAAACAACATAAATGTCCATCAACTGATGAATAGACACAGAAAACATGGTATGTCCATTCAGTCATAAAAAGAAATGAAGTACTGATACATGCTACAGCATGCAAGAACCTTGAAAACATTGTGCTGAGTGAAAGAAGCCAGATACAAAAGGCCACAAATTGATTCCATTTATATGAAGTGAATGTCCAGAATAGGAAAACTGATAGTAATAGAAAGTCGATTAGTGATTTCCAGGTGCTGAGGGGTGGGGGATGATGGGAATAAATGCTAATGAATGCAGACTTTCTTTTTGGGGTGATGAAAATGTTCTGGAATCAGATAGTAGTGATGGTTGCACAGTTTTGTGAATATGCTGAAAACCACTGAATTGTATACTTTAAAGATTTATGGTTTGTGAATTATACTTAAAAGAAAAAGCTAATATATTCAGTTAAAAGATAAGATAGTGGTTATTTATGACGGTGGAGCTGAGTGACTGGAATAGAGAAGGAAAGGACTTTGGAGTGCTAGACATGTTCTAGTTCTTGATCCAGGTGTTGGTTATATGGCTGTGTTCATTTTGAGTTTGAGCCGTGTACATAGGCTGCATTTTTGGATTTACATATTGTCACGGGTTCAACTGTGTTGCTCGAAAAGATATGTTCAAGTCCTAACCCCTAGTGCCTTAGAATGTGACCTTCTTTAGAAACGAGATCATTGCAGATATAATTAATTAAGATTAGATCACACTGGAGTAGGGTGGACCCTTAATTCAATTTGATCTGTCATCTTTATAAAAAGAGAAGAGACACTGACACACAAGGAGTACAGTCACATGAAGATGGAGGCAGAGTGGAGTTACACCACCCCAAGCCAAGGAACACCTGGGGCTGCCAGAACCTGGAAGAGGCTTGGAAGATTCTCCTAGAAGATTCAGAGGGAGCATGACCCTGCCAAGACCATGATTTTAGACTTCTATTCTCCAAAACTGTGATATAATAAATTTGTTTTAAGCTACCCAGTTTGTGGTATTTTGTTACAGCAACTCTAAGAAACTAAAACCGATTTTGGGCCAGGCATGGTGCCTCATGCCTGTAATCCCAGCACTTTGGGAGGCCGAGGCAGACAGATTACCTGAGGTCAGGAGTTCGAGACCAGCCTGGCCAACATGGTGAAATCTCATCTCTATAAAAAAATACAAAAATGAGCCGGATGTGGTGGTGGGTGCCTGTAATCCCAGCTACTCAGGAGGCTGAGGCACAAGGATCACTTGGACCCGGGAGGTGGAGGTTGCAGTGAGCCGTGATTGCGCCATTGCACTCTAGCTTGGGCAAGGGTGAAACTCCATCTCAAAAAATAAAAGTAAAATAAAATAAAAGATATTTTGGTACTGGGAAGTGGAGTGCTTCTGTAACAAATACATAAAAATGTGGAAGTAGCTTTAGAATTGGATAATTGGTAGAGGTCTCAAGAATTTTGAGATCCTTGATGCAAAGGAAACGTAGATCCCCTTGAAGAAATGGTGGGTAGAAATATGAATGTTAAATATGCTTCTGGTAAGAACTTAGAAGGAAATGAACATGTTATTAGATACTGGAGTAAAGGTGATCCTTCTTTTAAAATGGCAGAAAATGCATCTGAATTGGTTCTGCTATTGGGTGGAAAGCAGAAGGTGTAGGGATGAATTTAGCTGAGGAGAGCTTAGGCTAAGGATATAGAGATGAATGCTCAATGCCTACCTAGAGAAGAAAAATAAGAGGGCAACTCTCATGTAATGAAAAGAGTGCCGGACTTGCAGTCAAAAGAACTGGGTTCAGGCCAGGTATGGTGGCTCATGCCCGTAATCCCAGCACTTTGGGAAGCCAAAGTGGGTAAATCACTTGAGGTCAGGAGTTCAAGACCAGCCTGGCCAACATGGTAAAACCCTGTATTTACTAAAAATACAAAAATCAGCTGGGTGTGGTGGCATGAGCCTGTAATCCCAGCTACTTGGGAGGCTGAGGCAGGAGAATCGATTGAACCCAGGAGGTGGAGGTTGCAGTGAGCCGAGATTTTGCCACTGCACTACAACCTGGGTGACAGACTGAGACTCCATCTTAACATCTCAAAAAAAAAAAAAAAAAAAAGAACTGGGTTCATATCCCACATCCAACTTCTTAGCTGTGAGACCCTGAACAGATATACTGTTTCTGATCATTACTTTCCTCGCCCACAATGAGGATGAAAACTTTCCTTGCCTTACTTTCCTCGCCCACGATGAGAATGAAAACTCTTTTCTCCTATGGTGATTGCAAAGATTAAATTCATTTATGCATCTATTAAATATTTATAGAACACCTGTTATGTATAGACCAGGCACTGCAGATGTAGCAAAGAAGACAACACAGCCCATGGTCCTCAACCTCAAGGGATTTCTGGAAGACATATTGAATAAGAGGTGAGGAGTGTGATGAATGTTATTAAGTGAGACGTATGGAATGCAGCAGTCTGTGTGACAGAGGAGAGCATTAGTCAGGGGAAGTGACCTTTCTTCAGGGAGTTGGAAGATGGGTAAATGTCATCCTGTTGAAGACAAGGGAGGCAGGAGGCCGGGAGCGCCTTCCAAGTGGGAGAATGTAAGATGCTTCTGCGGCCTTTGCTGATGTTGGCTGACTCAGCAGTGAAGGAGTTGGTGAGGAGATCTGAACTAAATGTGAGTTAGGTAAGATCACAGCTCAGAGACAGTTTTTTCCTGAAAATGTGCAACTTCTGAGTTTCTTCCCAAACATGAACCAAAACCCCATTTAACTTCTTTATAGATGTGAACTAAGAACCACAAAGTAGGCTGCTTTTGTACTCCCCCCCACCCCGCCCCTCCTGCCCAGAATGTGGAACACTTAGGAATACTCTGGAGTAATATGTCTTTCAAATCTCTCTGGTGTTCTGAGTGCCATATTTCCATTATGTCTGAAACTACTTCACAAAATCTGAATAACATAATTAGTATTTGTCAAACATAATTTCTTAAGAGTCTTCAGATTCTTTGTGGTAATTAAAATCACTGCAATATCTGAAAAGGTATAAGATATCTAGGTTATTGGATACTATTTGTATACTGCCATTCATCAAAGCCTATCATTAAGCTAAATAATGGGTAGGCGCTATAGCTAAAAAATTAAAAAAATTAAAAAATTAAAACTGCAATTGCCATTATTAGGGAGAGTGTAGATTTTGCACTTAAATCAAAAATGCTTTTAAAAGTATTACTTGGTAAACCCCAGGTACAACCAAATATATTCTTTTTTTTTGGCGGGGGTGGTGGGGACAGGGTCTCAATCCATCACCCAGTCTGGAGTACAGTGGTGCTATCTCGGCTTACTGCAGCCTCAGTTTACCAGGCTCAAGCAATCCTCCCACCTCAGCCTCCTGAGTAGATGGGACTACAGGTGCTCAACACACCTGGCCAACTTTTTGTATTTTTAGTAGAGACAGGGTTTCATCATGTTGCCCAGGTTGGTCTCGAACTCCTGGGCTCAAGTGAACTGCCTGCCTCGGCCTCCTAAAGTGTTGGGATTACAGGCGTGACCCACTGCGCCCAGCCTCAGATATATTCTGCTATTTTCCATTGTGCTGTCCCATGTGGCAGCCACTAGCCACATGTAGTTATTTACATTTAGATTTGAATTAATTAAAACTAAATAAAATGTAGCATTCAGTTCCTCATTCTCATGAGTCACATTTCAAATGTTCAATAGCCACACATGGCTGGTGGCTACATATTAGTGCAGATAAGGAACATTTTGTTATCACAAAAAGTTCTTTAGCACAGAACTGCTTTAAAGGTCCAGCTAGTAGAAAGAGCTACGGTGCACCCTGGCTTAAGTTTTGATTGAAATGGGTTTTCCTTTATTCCAATTTCTGTCTAGGGGAGCACTAAGAGTATTTAAAACTACCTCTAGAAATATGTCTTTTAAAATGTAGGTATGCAGTTAATGAACAAGGCTGTTTCTCTTGGCATTAGTATAAGAATTAATATTGATGTCTGCTCTAAGAGAACGGTTCATGTTTTACAGTCATTAAAATCATGTTTTTGGAGACCATTTAATGACATGAGGAAGTGCTAATGCTATAATATTAGTTCAAAAAAACCCCACAGACACAATAGGATACCAAAATATACTCAACATGGTACTTTTTTAGCAATTAACTTGTGGTGATTTTTCTATTTTTCCATAATTTTTAAAAGAGCTTGTATTATTTAGTTAACAGAGGAAAAACATTTTTTAAAATGTAGATGTTTGAGGTTTGGAGGAGATAGATAAGTAAAATCCAAAGCACAAAACAGATCACTGGGGGGCCTCCTTTTCTGTTTTAATGGGTAACCAAAAGGTTGGTGGCATTAAAAGCACATGGGGCTGGGCACAGTGGCGCACTCCTGTAATCCCAGCACTCTGGGAGGCCAAGGCGGGTGGATCACCTGAGGTCAGCGGTTCCAGACCAGCCTGACCAACATGGTGAAACCCTGTCTTTACTAAACACAAAAAATTAGCCAGGTGTGGTGGCGCACGGCTGTAATCCCAGCTACTTGGGAGGCTGAGGCACGAGAATCGCTTGAACCCGGGAGGTGGAGGTTGCAGTGAGCCAAGATAGTGTGCCATTGCACTCCAGCCTAGGCAACAAGAGTGAAACTCCGTCTCAAAAAAAAAAAAAAAAAAAAAAAAAGCACTTGGTTGGCTAGCAGTTTCCATGAAGGACCTAATAAGTGTGATTCAGAAAATAAGTCTGTGGACTGGAGCTGTTGAAGAATGTGATACTAAAGCCAACCTCACTATACCAGGCCATCTGCAGACTGCAGTAAGGAACTAGGTTCAAACACAGAAAAATCAAAATGTCAGGGCATAAAAAGCAAGCTAGTTCAAAACCTCACAGCTTTGTTGAATTAAAAACCAGCAAGTTATTTAAAAAGTCATTTTCTGTACTTAATTTTGATTATTTTAAAATTCACTATCTTAACTTTTTTACAGGTGATTTTGGACAATCTGATTTTTCACTTTTTCAAGCCTTTTCTTAACATTCAGACAGTACTTACCTATCATTGTGCAGATGAATCGGCCAAATTGAAATTACAGCAATTTTATAAATGAACTCTAATCTCACATACTCTGCATTTTAGATATATTTTAATGTACAGACACATATACAACTGGGTTTATATAAAGACAAATTAAATATGTTCATGTATAAGTGCTTAAATATTAGCTTATTGTAATATATCAAACTACATAGTTTTGCTTAACCTTCTTTTCCATGACTATATTATATACATGGATGCTTTGTAGTTATCTACTGGGTCTGATAGTTCAGAATATTTTTAATTAAAGGTGGATTTAAAGGTTAAATTCCTAGTGAAAATTAGAATACTTATGAGGAAGACTGACAGTCAGTCAGTGAAGCACATTTCATCTGGCTGACAGCAGCAGTGTTGACTTTTGGGCAGCAGAGCTGGAGAAGGCACAATTTTATGCAGTGAAGGAGAAGTGTGGAGGGGTGAGGGATGGAGACACTTCTTGAGGGTAGGCAGGGAAAGGACTGGAAGAAAGTGAGTTAAACAATATGAAAAAGCACTAAAAGCAAATGTTATCCCTGTTGCAGTGTTGCCCAACACCCTGATGAATGCAAACCCCTGTCACAATCCTAAAAATCATCTTGGCTTGGAGCATCTGTTAGACTGCATGGAAAGTGCTACAGACCAGACAAAGAGCCCTTACCATCCATTGAGAGCCTGCCAAGTCACCTTCAGGTCATTAGATGATCAAATAACTTAAAGTTTTCATTTGAATCTCCCGGTGGAGACAGTGTTTGATGCATTTCACAATATTCTGCATTTTCCCACAATTTAGATACCAACTGCTTAAGAAAGGTCCAGGAACAGATTTCCCCAAGTGGCGTTTTCATCTACTATTTTGTACCTTCATGGCCAGGACCAAACTCCTTATCACCTCTGACAGTCCTCAGCTACAGGAGCAAGAGTTAAAACAAACTGCACTAAGTTTGCCAATGTCAATTTTGAATACACAGCTTTGCTGGGAAAATTGGAGCTTATCTTACTATTATGTTTCCAACTGAGATATTAAGTTAAGGCTCATTAGAGAAAGAGGCACCATTTGTTTGTTCTTTACTGCCCCGAGACTTGCCATAATGATCTTGGCTTAGATTGCCATTTAAATTCACATGGCTCATTGCAGGACTGTTGAACTTATTCATATCACAAGGGAAGTCTAAGACACTATGTCAACACATTTACTGAGGTTGGTCTAAAGGTAGCGAGTTATCTCAGCTGGTCACAGTTGGTTACGATTGCACTCCTTGTTCTACTCTTTCCTTCCTTCTCACTACTGCACTTAACTAGTCTTACAAGAAAAAAAAAAAAAAGAAAGAAAAAAGAAAAAGTCCACACATTAACTGAGTGCGTAGTGAGTGCATAGCACTGTGTTCAATACCAGAAATACAGTGACAGATATAAACAGCTTCAACATTTGTAGGCTTATGATGTTTCTCCAATCAATAGGCTGACACGATACAGGGACCATCCTACTTTTTATCCCCTGGGAGAAAGAGAAGAGAGGAGAGAGGGTCTGGTCAGTGCACCTGTTCTGTATCTTGGTCCCTGCAGTAGTGATGATGACTGGACCTTTTGAAAGTTGGGGATGCTTTTCCAGGACTCCTGAGATCCCTGGCTGGTCTAGACTCTAAGCATCACATTGGAGTTGCTCAAAGGTTATATTAATATATAGCTCTGAATTCATGTGTACTTGCCCAGACTTTACTTCTAATGTAGGGCCCGTGGGGCTGGGTTCAAGAAGTTTGCAGTCTTATGCTCTCTTCAATAACCCTTCGAGAACTAGCTTTCTTTTACTAACCCTCCAAGAACCATTGTGTGGAGGCTGAGTTACCCTGCTGCACTGGTTCTGTATTGCTGCTGTAACAAATTACCACAACGTAGCATCTTAACACAAATGTATGATCTTACAGTTCTGTAGGATAGAAGCCTAAAACGAGTCTCCCTGAGCTAAAATCAAAGCATGGCCAGGGTACTCTCCTGTCTGGAGGCTCTAGGAGAAAATCTTTTTTCTTTTTTTCTTTCTCTTTCTTTCTTTTCTTTTTTTTTTTTTTTTTTTTTTTTTTGAGACGGAGTCTCGCCCTGTCGCCCCAGGCCAGAATGCAGTGGCGTGATCTCGGCTCACTGCAAGCTCCACCCCCTAGGTTCACGCCATTGTCCTACCTCAGCCTCCCGAGTAGCTGGGACTACAGGCGCCTGCCACCACGCCCGGCTACTTTTTTTGTACTTTTAGTAGAGACGGGGTTTCACCGTCTTAGCCAGGCTGGTCTCGATCTCCTGACCTCGTGATCCGCCCGCCTCAGCCTCCCAAAGTGCTGGGATTATAGGCGTGAGCCACCGCACCTGGCCGAGAAAATCCAATTTCTTGTCCTTACAGTTTGCAGAGACCTTCTATCTTCCTGGACTCATGGTCCCTTCCCTCCATCTTTGAAGTCAGCAGCATCACATCTCTGTGTCTTTCTTTCATATTCACATGCTCCTTTGACTGACTTTACTGTTCTGCCTCCCTCTTTTTTTTTTTTTTTTTTTTTGAGACAGAATCTCGCTCTTTCACCCAGGCTGATATATTCACAGGTTCCAGAGACTAGGACATGGGCATCTTTGGGGCCACTATGCTGCCTACCACGCCAACCCACATGCTTTCCTCCCTCAGGGTCATCTCCTTTCTGAAGCCCATTCCAGAGATTTTTGGAGCAAAGAATGTTTCCTGTGGTGCAAGCGTGGAAGGGCTTATCTATGAGGCGGCCTGAAGGGGCAAGCAGTCCTTAGGAGAAAGAAGCTGGAGGTAGCACTGGGTGTCCACAGTCTGTAGAAGATGTGAAGAGCCAGCAGAGCAGATGTTCCTTCTCTCGTTTGTTTTGAGACGGAGTCTCACTCTGTCGCCCAGGCTGGAGGCAAGTGGCACTATCTCGGCTCACTGCAACCTCCGCCTCCTGGGTTCAAGCGATTCTTCTGCCTCAGCCCCCCGAGTAGCTGGGACTACCAGATGCATGCCGCCATGCCCAGCTAATTTTTGTATTTTTATTAGAGCTGGGGTTTCACCATATTGGCCAGGCTGGTCTCGAACTCCTGACCTTGTGATCCACCCACCTCGGCCTCCCAAAGTGTGGGATTACAGGCGTAAGCCACTATGCCCAGCCTGTTCCTTCTCTTTAAAGAGAATAGAGGAAGGTAGATTTCCAGGGATAAAGGGGCAGTGGGCAGGGGGAGGGCAGGGAAGATCTAGAGATGTCTCCAAAAAACCATAAGAATTCTCAGGAGAAAAAAGTCTGCTTTTGGCTTGGTGCAATGGCTCATGCCTGTAAGCTGGGAGGCTGAGGTAGGAGGATCACTTGAGGTCAAGAGTTAGAGACCAGCATGGCCAATATGGTGAAAACCCATTTCTACTAAAAAAAATACAAAAATTAGCCAGGTGTTGTGGCAGGCACCCGTAATCCCAGCTGCTTGGAGGGCTGAGGCATAAGAATCGCTTGAACCCGGCAGATGGAGGCTGCAGTGAGCTGAGATTGCACCATTGCACTCCAGCCTGGGTGACAGAATGAGACTCTGTCTCAAAAAAAAAAATTCTGCCTTTAACACATTCCAATACCATTTATCTCTGATGAGGGTACCAAAGTATAACTTTCTGTCTCTTTTTCTTTCTCTTTCCCCCACAACCCAAGCCTGTGAAGGTCAAACAAACAACATCAAAACCAAAACTGGTTGGCAAGGTGGGGAATGAGGATAAGAAAAACCTGGCAGAAAAGGAGAAAAAAAGGCCGATTTCTTCAGGATAAAGATGGTGAGAAGAAGATTTATAGATTTGTTAGGGTGTGCCTGGTGGATTGACACCTGTGTGTTGGGGCGGAGGGAGTAGGATTGGGCAGAGGAGACAGTGAACTGGAATGCAGCTGTAACAGAGGCCTCAGACTTTCCTATGAGACAGTTCTGCAGCTGGGTGGCCCTTCTTAAGTTGTCTGACCTTGGAAGAGGGTGCTCAACACTTCCTCACGCCCATTAACCAGCCATTGGATGAGGGCTGTCCCTGGGGAAGAGGTATGACCTTGGCTGAGGCATTTTCTTTTACTAAGGGCAATTTCCAGAGAGCCACTCAACTGAGAACCATCAGGGCCAATCTCAGCAGCTGGGGGATGACTGGGACATCCCTGTGGGCGGTGCACAATGGCATCCACTACACTGTGTGCTGGGACACAAGCAGCGGGGAGAGAGAGAGAGAGAGAGAGAGTTTTAAAGTATTGCAGGGGACTTGAGTTTCAATTAGTGTCTGGAGTAGTTTTATTACCTTAAAGATTTATTACCAGGAAAATTAAGGGACTTGCTCTAAACTTCATCCATGAGCAAGGAAGGAAATATCCCCACTGAATAAATTTATAGGTCTGTGCTATTAAATAGCTAGCTAGATAAAGTTACTTACATTCCTCAAGCCTTGGTTATACTTGCAGCAGTTTCCAGAGAAAGCAGCATCTGGGAAGGTTACCTTTGCATAGGAAAATTCCACAAGGAGTGTGATTATGCAAAGAGAGGCCTAGACAGGTAGCTCTAAATGTGTGTGTGTGTGTGTGTGTGTGTGTGTGTGTGTGTGTGTATGCATGTGCCTCGGATCCCTTTGGCAGTCAGTATAGCCTATGGAATCTCATCTCTGAATCATGTTTTCCTATGCATAAAATAAAATACATAGTATTACAAAGAAAACCAATTATATTTAAATAATGTCAGCTGAGTGCAGTGGCTCATGCCTCTAATCTCAGCACTTTGGGAGGCTAAGGCGGGCACACTGCTTGAGCCCAGGAGTTCAAGACCAGCCTAGGTAATAAAATGAGACCCTGTTTCTAAAAAAAAAACAAAAAAACAAAAGAAAACATAGCTGGGTGTGGTTGTGCGCACCTGTAGTCCTAGCTACATAGACATATGTCAGTGTCATAGATACTGCTAATGTTACTGAGGTTGTTGCCTACATTCATAGTTAAAGGAAATGCCAAACTTCATGTTGAAGTTATTGAAAATAAAGAGGTGATTTTTTTTTCTACTCAAGTCTACAACCCCCCTAAATTCAATTTGCAGACTCCCTGGGAGTCCACGGACTCCAGGTTAAAACTTTTGCAATCTGGAATAGGCTCAGCTGATCCTCTATATCACAATAAAGTAATAAAAATTTTCAGGGTCTTTTTTGGGGAAGGTGGGCTGATGGTGAGGCATGTTGAAGGTCTTAGAATTCTAAGAGAGAGAGAAAGAGAAAGAAGGGGGAGAGAGAGAGAGAGAGAGAGAGAGAGAGAGAGAAGCAGGGCTACAATAAAGAGATAAGTTAAGACCAGGGATCTATAGATGATATTGGCCAAATCATCAGGGAAAGTCTGTTACACACAGCTCCTTTTTGTCAGTATGTTGTAGCAGGGGAAGAAGGGGGCAACTGTACCTGTCTGGGGAGGGGCAACAAAGAGAAGTGCAGCCACCCATGTGAGGCCACAGTGGCTACCCCAGAACTACATCCAGAGAGCAGTTAGCAGCCAGTTGACCATGAATAAACAGCTGGCAGAGTGGGCTGAGTCATGGTGGCCAAGAGACCAACCTTCTTCAACCCAAATATGTTAGAGGCAAGTGTCTGTTGCCTGAAAGGGAGAAGCTGGATCCTGCATGGACAGGAGCTACCCAGAGGCTAGACGCTGAGGTTACTTCTAGCTAAATAGATAAATGTGACCCTGTAGGCAACCAAGGGCTAGGGGCCAGGGAGGATGTGGCAAAGGAGTGCCTACTATAAGTAAGATCATAGGAGCATTCTGCCATGGTTGTGGGATAAGAAGGGACAGTCACAGGTAGAGACATAGTATGGTAAAAAGAATGATAAATATCTCATTAGTAATTTCAATATTTTGATTACATGTTGACATGGTTTGGCTGTGCCCCCGCCCAAATCTCAGCTTGAATTATATCACCCAGAATTCCCATGTGTCATGGGAGGGATCCAGGGGGAGGTAATTGAATCATGGGGACTGGTCTTTCCTGTGCTATTCTCACGATACTTAATAAGTCTCACGAGATCTGATGGGTTTATCAGGGGTTTCCACTTTTGCTTCTTCTTCATTCTCTTTTGCTGCAGCCATGTAAAAAGTGCCTTTTGCCCTCCACCATGGTTGTGAGACATTTCCCAGCCACATGGAACTGTAAGTCCAATTAAAACCTTTTCTTTTGTAAATTGCCCAGTCTTGGATATGTTTTTATCAGCAGCATGCAAATGGACTAATACACATATTGAAATGGTATTTTGGATATATAGGATTAAATGAAATCTATTATTATAACTAATTTCACCTGTTCTTATTTTTTAATGTGGCCACCAGAAAATTTGGAATCACTTACATGGTTGGCATTATATTGCTATTTGTAGAAATAACACATAGTTATTTCACCTACACAAAACTCATGCCATTAACTCATGTAACTCCTGTAGTTATAATCTGGCTTAGACTAGACAAACACTTTGTAAGCTTCTGTAGTTTTCTGAATGTTCCCTCTTTTCTTATTTTCTCTCTGGTTTTCGGGAAATCCTTTAATATAAAAGGGCCCATATGTTGTCCTCCTGGTGTCACAGTGGTGGGAACTGTGGGGATGTGATGGTCCATGCTAAACCCAGGATGGAATGAGAAGATTGTCCCCTATAAAGGGACAGATTTTGTAGTAGCAGGAACTAAGAAGCTATCCAAATAGACTAACTTGTTGGCAATGCTGAAAGGAAGAAGAGGAGAAGTTGTGTTATTAACCTGCGCCTTGGCAACAGAATGGCTCATATGAGATTCTCAAGAGTTCCAAAGACATTGGCAGCAAGGACTAGGTTGAGAAAGGTTCAGCTCTCTCATACCCTCCTTCCCACTATCCCGATCTCACACCTCACAGACTACCAGACCCTCCAAATTCTCTCAGTAAATCAGTCATTTTGTGGCCTAACCAGCCTATCCTGAAGCTCAACACCTGAACCCCTTATCCTTCAAAACCACGAAATTCCTTGAAAAGCCTCTAGAATATCAGGCTCCTTCCTGGAAAAACCCTAACCATGGATCTATTTCCTAAACTGCCTTCTCCATTTCTACCTCTGAGTTTCCAGGTATGCGTACAGAGCATCACTCAATCCTGCAGATTGGCCCATGAAAAATTCATGGGCTGCAGTCCCAGCTATACCCTCCATGATGCACAGCAGTGCACATGCTGGACAGCTCTCCCATTCCCTTCAGTGATCATTCAAATCCTTACAACTCTCAGGGGCCCTGAGGATTGGCAAAAAGTGCCCCTTCCACCATTTAGTTTATTATGATATTGTGGCTCAATCTAGACAGCTCTGACCTTGCGGTAGGGGGAATTGGGGGGGATTTCCAGGGTCCTTGTGGGAAGCTTCCTTGGCTGCACACACATTCTTACACACATTCTGTGCCCACATTGTAACAACCTGCCCCCCTCCCCAACGTTTGGTTTCCACAGTGTCAGTAGCTTGTATATACTGTGCTATCTGTACCCTCCTGCCACAGGGAAAAAGAAGCAAGGTTGGAGTCTGGTAGACATGAGTCAGACCTCTGAGTGTGGGAGCAGTAACTTCAGGGGATGCTTGGAACGTGATTCACACAGGACACATACTTTTTCCAAGTATACGCATGGCCTTATGTATACTGTGGGCTTATATTCAGGAGGAGTATATTTTCTGCTTTTCTGTGACCAGAGATTCTGGCCTTCACATTCTGGGATAAGTTAATATATGGCGCTCTTGTGCAGTACACAACCCAGACACCTTTACTGGGGGCCTTAACATAGTCACCTCAAAACCCCTGCACCATTCCCGTCTATTCCATTGTCAGATGGCTGCCTTAGTCCATTTTCAGCTTCTATAACAGAATACCATAGAGTGGCTGATTTCTAAACAATAGAAATTTATTTGTCTCACAGTTCTGGAGACTGGGAAGTCCAAGAGCATGGCGCCAGCATCTGGTGAGGGCCTTCATGTTGCATTATCCCATGGCAGAAAGCAGAAGGTAAGTGAACACAGGAGACAGAGTGGAAACTGGGCAGAATTCATCCTTTTTATCTGGAACCCACTCCCTCAATAACTAACCCACTCCTGAGATAAAGGCCTTAATCTATTATTAAGGGCAGAGCCCTCACAATCTGATCACCTCTTAAAGGTCCCACTTCTTAATACCATCACAATGGCAACTAAATTTTAACATAAATTTTGGCTGGGACATTCAAATCATAGCAATGATTTTGCCTCTATTAATGTGAACTTTCTCAACTTTCTGTTTCCCACCTACAAATCTATACCTGTGTGCCCTTCTTTTGCCTCTCCCTTCCATTTCAGAGCATCAAATGTTTGTCTTTGTCTGAAGTCAACAACTCCTATGCTTTTGATCCTATCATTGAGTTCCTCTCAATCTTGCTACATTAGTTATTCTCCTTGTTCTGATTTCTTCACATATTTCTCTCCATGTGCTTTCCAATTGTCCCATAAAATTGACTTCAATCCATAAAAACCTTCTCTTGACTGCCAAGGTCCTCCGTATGACTTTTTCTCTGTTCTCTTTCAGCCAAGTTTCTGGAAAGAGAATTCTCTTTTCTCTTTTCTTTTTTTTCTTTTTTTTTTTTTTTGAGACAAGGTCTCACTCTATCACCCAGGCTGGAGTGCAGTGGCATGAGCATGGCTCACTGCAGCCCCGACCTCCCTGGGCTCAGGCAATCCTCCCACCTCAGCCTCCTGAGTAGCTGGGAATACAGGTGTACACCACGATGCCCAGCTAATTTTTGTACTTTTTGTAGAGTTGGGGTTTCACCATGTTTCCCAGGCTGGTCTCAGACTCCTGGGCTCAAGTGATCCTCCCACCTTGGCCTTTCAGGTGGGCTCCATCTCTATCATGCAGCTTAATGTTCTTCCACAAGGGTCTTCAGGTAACTCCACATTGCCTGATTTGCTGGGTAACTTTTTGGTCCTTATTTTACTAAACTCCTCAATACATCTGACATTGATGATCACTTCTTTCCCCAGAAAACTCTTGATAGATTCTACTGGCTTCCATGATACTTTCCTATATAGAACCTATCAGTCAGCAGAGGACCATGTCCGACATCCTTGTCTAGGGTGAACAGTTAAACTCAGAGTCCCTGGCTGGGCAGCCCCATATTCTCCTGAGTTGAGGGAAGCCGATCTATAGCCAGTTTGTGGAAGTCATGCTGAGTGGGGTGTGGGTTGAGGCAGCCATGGGAGGTCTTGGCTTGAGGGCTTCAGGCCTGGCCTTCTTTATATCTGTGAGAGTGCTTTATCCTTATACTACATTTACTGTTAAGGTTTCTGTTGGTTGTGATCAAAAGGAGGCTTGTCTAAGACAAACACTATGCACTTAATAGTTTATCCTCTGAAATGTATATTTGTGGGTTTCACTGGTCCCAACCACACAGTTTCTTACTGTAATTCTCTCTTGCTCTTTACTGAGAACAACTGTATCAGTGTTATATGCACCTGATTTTGAGGCTGTGGTCGCAAATGGTCTGAATCACTTATTTGTAATTTTTGGGAGACCATGTGCCCATGAAACATAACTCAATGTGGTGATCCAGGTAATTGGACAGAGATTAGGAACACCATTGCTATCGATTAGATTCCTCTGATTTTTACTTTTCTGAAGCTTCTTTTTTTTTTTTAGATAGGGTCTTGCTATGTTGTCCAGGTTGGTTTCAGACTCCTGGCCTTAAGCTATCCTCCTGCCTTGGACTTCCAAGTGCTGGGATTACAGGAGTGAGCCACTGCACCCAGCTGAGGCTTCCTAATTTATGATGGAATACATTTAATTGAACAATGGAAATTATTCTCATTATCCCTTAAAAAATCTATTTTGGCGATAAAATTATTTATTATAAAGTATGACAAATTCCTGGGCAATCGAAGCTCTCCATTCTCCTTTTGTCGACTGTTATGCTTGGCTGTGACCCACAGTTATTGCTGACCCATCCTCCTCTTTTCCTCATGCATATGTATGACTGTGCAGTCTGCAGTCTGTACCATGCAAATTCTTTTACTGTACATACATTCATACACATTTCTCATCTCTCCATCAATCCCAGTCCTTTAAGACCCAGCTCAAGATGCACCTCTTTCATGAAACCTTGCTCAAGAGCTTCCAGTACAATTCTTTTGATCTTCTTGGGATTTCTCCAGCTCAGTGGTTATCAACTGGGTGTGATTTTGTTCCCTAGAGTCATTTGGTAATATCTGGAGATATGTTTGGTTGTCACAGCTGGGGTGGGAGCTACTGGCATGTAGTCAGTAAAGGTCAAGGATTGTAGCTAGACATCTTACAGTGCACACAACAGTCCCCCACAACAAAGAATTACTGGACCAACAATGTCCACAGTGTTGAGAAACCTTGCAGTCTAGCCTGACTTAGCACCCCTATCATTTGATTACTCATTATGGTATAGAATCTTAGGGCTGGATGGGAACCTTTAGAAATCATCCTATCATCCTTGTATTTTATAGGTTGGAAGACCAACCCAAAAGAAGCTGCAGAGAGTAGAGTGAGCGAATCTTTGGCAGGGCTGTGTCCCCTGACCCCTGGGCTGTTGGCCATTTCTTTTTTTTTTTTTTTTGAGTTGGAGTCTTGCTCTGTTGCCCAGGCTGGAGTGCAGTGGCGCCATCTCGGCTCACTGCAAGCTCCGCCTCCCGGGTTCACGCCATTCTCCTGCCTCAGCCTCCCAAGTAGCTGGGACTACAGATGCCTGCCACCACGCCCGGCTAATTTTTTGTATTTTTAGTAGAGACGGGGTTTCACCGTGTTAGCCAGGATGGTCTCGATCTCCTGACCTCGTGATCCACCTGCCTCAGTCTCCCAAAGTGCTGGGATTACAGGCGTGAGCCACCGCGCCTGGCCAGCCATTTCTGTTCACTTATGCAACAGTTCCCTTTCTCCCAGGTAGGCTTAAAACTTTAAAAGCAAAGTTAGAATCTTTTTCTTAAGCTTGTAGTGACTCTCCCCTCCAACCCCTCATGCTCAGCCCAGTACTAGGAACACAGCACATATCTGTTGTCATATCAAAATAGCCCCAGATTGTGTAAAATATTTTATTCCCCTTCAGACATATTTTTTAAAAAGAAATGTAAGCTTATCTCCTGCATATAACCTCTCAAAAAGAGAGATGAGTACATCTAAATCACAAAAGAAATCCTACAGAGGCCTTCTGCGGAAGCATGTTCAACATTAATTAGAGTAAATACCAGCCTAGTGAGGCTTATGCATTTAAATGATGGTGATGAAAATCACCAGCTTAGCAGTTCAGAGGAAAACAGGAAAGGTTTCTACTAAGGGGAATGATTAACTGAATCCTTACAGAGAAACTGAAAACAATGAAAATCAGAAAGGACATCACATTGTATATGTTTGTAAATTTGATCCTATACACTCTGATTTTTAATCCATTCCCATCAATCAATAAATTATTCTCACTGAGGAAAAATATGTAAGCAATTGTTGAAACAGAGTTCAAAAAGGCTAGGTTAAACATGCAATGAAGGAATATGAGAACAATACTTTAGATTGCAAAAGAGGAGCTAGTTGGCTGGAGTTCTGCATTTCAGAGGCAGAATAGTGCAAGAGGAGGTTGCAAGTGTGGGCCCAAGGGAGCTGATCCTGGATTTGCATCCTGGTGGTGCCAGGGAGAGGCCATGTGACTCAGGTAAATGCCCTAATCCCTCAGCTTTGAAGTGAGGAGTGTTAACAATGATTCCCTAAATATAAAATCATTGTGAGGAATTGATGAAAGAATACAAAAAGAGTTCCCACCATAGGATTGGGCTAAATCTAAGGGCAGAATGAGGATTATTGTTTTTAATTAATGACAGTTATTCTTAAGAATTATTAAAACTCTACTTTTGTTTCTGAAAAAATGGAAATACAACTTAGTTTTAAGATTTCCATTTTATGTCCTCAGAAGAAATATGACATTCCCTTCATAATAGAGAATAGAAGTTCCATTACATTGGGGTTCTTACTTTTAAAATAAAACAGTGGATTTTTAGATATACATATGTAGAAGCTATTTAAATTGTATGAATAAATCTGTAGGGTTAAGGATATGGAAAATAATTTAAGCTTGATTTTCTTTCTTTCCTCTCTCCTTCCCTTCTTCACTTTCCTCCGTCCCTCCCCCTCTCTTCCTCCTACCCTTCCTTCATTCCTTTAACAAGACATACAAATGCATGTATACGGGGTACGTGAAAGTAAGACATTTATAGAGAGTGTGTCAAGCAGGTGTTATGGAAAGTTTAGGAAGAGAAATTTCAGAGCCCTGGGTTTCAACCCTGGCTCATAGTAGATATGTCAGGCAGATCACTTAACCATCTCTCATCTGTAAAACAAAGGGCCTGGTAGATAATGGGTAAGGCTTAAGTACTAGATTTTTATATTTGAAGAGCCATAACAGATATACAATTCAAATGTGTTGTTAAAAATGATCCCGTCTTTCTTTTTTTTTTTTCTTTTTTTCTTTTGAGACGGAGTCTCGCTCTGTTGCCCAGGCTGCAGTGCAGTGGCACAATCTCGGCTCACTGCAAGTTCCGCCTCCCGGGTTCACGCCATTCTCCTGCCTCAGCCTCCCGAGTAGCTGGGACTACAGGCGCCCGCCACCACGCCTGGCTACTTTTTTGTATTTTTAGTACAGATGGGGTTTCACCGTGTTAGCCAGGATGGTCTACGATCTCCTGACCTCGTGATCTGCCTGCTTCGGCCTCCCAAAGTGCTGGGATTACAGGCTTGAGCTACTGCGCCCAGCCAAAAACGATCCCATCTTTTTAATACTAAGTCCAATCTGTGGGAAAAGAGTGAAACATGATTCAATTTTGAAATGACATTTTACATTTTGATTAGATTTCTTGATTCAAGCATTTTGTTACATTCTAACTTACAAAACCAGAGCTGGCTTTATAAGTGTGTGACCTGTGCAACTGTGTGTTTAGGAGGGCTCCACAATCGATTTAATGTTGTGTTGTTGCCATCTTGAAATTCTTAACGATTTTTGAACAGAAGGCCCTGCCTTTTCATTTTGCATTGTGCCCTGCAAATTTTATAGCTGGTTCTGGCTACAACTTCTAATTTATAGTTTAATTTCTAGGTCCGGGATTCTCTCCTGTTTTAGTTAGAAATCCACATGGATCGCTTTCCTCCGCACACATTCTCAATGTTTATGTTGATATAAAACTAGCAAAGGCTGCCTGCTAAGACTGCCAGACTGTAGGATGCGCTGCCAACTGAGCGCAGGACGCGCAGTGCCCTCCTTGGGCTTCAAAGGGCAGGGGCTCCATCCTTCAGCCTCAGCCATCTGTACTGTAGTGGCCTGAGCTTCTGTCACTGGCAATTCCCACATCAATGCAATGTTTGTAATAATAGTCCAGCAGACTGCGTGGAGGACTCGGTGAGAGAATAAATAGTCCTCTGAAAACTAGAGGTTATCAGTCACCTCAAGGATGAGACCCATCCTGTGAAAACCCACAGCCTCCATGCACCCCCTCTTCTTGCTGGTGTTGAGTATTTGCTCAAGTCCTGCCCTAATTTCCTTCAAGCAAATGCTTGATGGCCCAGTAACAACAGTCTCTACAGGGCAGTAAAAAGGAACTATTCAGAGAGAGCCTCTGAGTCCTATTAATGCTTGTGAAGATGATTCAACTTCAGAAAACACTTCTGACCTCTTAGCGTGTGCTGTCTGTCCTCCATCCAGGCGCTGAGGGCACAGCAGCGAGCAAACACAATGACAATGAGATAATTACAATTTATCATGGTGGCCCAGACATCGTGGGTTTACTCCCTGGCCTCTAATAGTCACCTCGCAGAGCTGATGTGAGGATGTGAGGAGATAATAAGCGTCTGGGCATTGAAAGACCTACTTTGCGGGAGTATGCGCAAGGTGCAATACAAGCACACGATTAAAAAAAAAAGGCAAGTTGTTCCTGAAAATGCATAGAGGTATTTTCCCCAATAGGAGCAGCTTAAATGCAAACAAACAGAGGAAGAAATTTAAGTTATCTTTTCTGCTAATTTCCAAACAACAGAACGTGACATCCAGCACAGCATCACTCCCTAGATCTGCAACCGAGGGGAATGCTAGTGGATAGACATGCCAACAGCGAAAAAAGCCTGTGCTCACTCCAGTGCTGGCCGCTTCTGACTGTCCAGTGCTTCTCGGGGCGCGCTCCCTCTTTCTCTTCCCACGCCCGCCTAGTCCCAGCGACCGAGGGAGGTTGCACCCGGGCGACCCTCCCCCCGCCCCGGGCTCCCGCGTAATCCCGGCCCGGCTTGGAAAGGAAGCGGGCCTGGCAAGTAGAGGCACGGCCGGGCCACGGTGGGCAGGGCGCAAGGGCGGGGCTATAGCCTAACTGCGCCGCCAAGGCTGCTGCTGGGTTTGGAAAGGAAGCGGGAGAGGAGGGGTCGGGCTGAGCTGTGGGTGGGGAAAAGGGCGGGGCCATGGATGGGCCACGTGCCTTCTTAGGTGGAGTCCGGGGCTCGGTAGGGAGAGGCGGGGCCAAGCTGAGGTGGGTGGAGAAAGAGGGCGTGTCCATGGCCTAGCTACGCCGCTGAGGCTGCTGCGGGGTTTGGAAAGGAAGCGGGAATGGCAGGGAGAGGCGGGATCAGGCTGAGGTGGGCGGGGAGTCGGGGGCGGAGCCATGAGTGGACCTCGTGCCGGCTTAGGTGGAGCCCGGGGCGCGCGGGGAGAGGCGGGACCGAGCCGAGGTGGGTGTGGCGTGGGGCGGGGCAATGGCGGGGCGGGGTTCGCCGCTCCCTGGGGCCCAGCCCAGCCACTCGATCAGCCCGCCGGCTCCGGAGCGGCTCTGCCTTCCCGAGCGCGGGACGCGGCGCCCTGGGGGAGGAGGGCGAAGCGACGCGGCGATGGCTCCGCGGGCACTCCCGGGGTCCGCCGTCCTAGCCGCTGCTGTCTTCGTGGGAGGCGCCGTGAGTTCGCCGCTGGTGGCTCCGGGTGAGTGTCCGGTCGTAGCCGGGGCGCCGGGTGCTGAGCCCGGTCCCGGGAGCGCGGAAGGAAGCGAGGGGTCGGGACGGCAGCCCCGCGGCGTCCTGCTTTCTGGCACAGCCGCGGGATCCCGGCACTGAACAACTGGCTGTCCCGCGGCGGTCCGGGCAGGGCGCGGTGCGTGGCAACGGCTCCCGTCCCTCCCCTCCCGCGGGCCCCGCTCCCGCCTTCCCTCCCTGGGGCCTCCTCCGAGGATCTGTGTTCCCCAGCGCTGGGCAGTGCGGGGCGTAGGGACCAGGCCTTCTTCGGGGGCGCTTCCTCCACGGCCGCTCGCCTCGGAACCCCGCGGACCCGTTTCCCGCCGCCCTTGTCCTCAAAGGCGCCGCGAGCGGAAGATCGTGACACAGAGCACCGGGTGCGCTGTCGGCGCCTCCTTCTCCCTTTTAAATACCTTAAAATATCCTAAAACCTGGAGGACTTTGAATCTCTTTCCACGTTTCCATTTATTTGGGTGGTTGATGGATTCTTGTAACAGGTCAAGGAGTCCACATTTCTTCCCATATATCCTGTATAAATCAGGCTCGGAAAAAGGGAAGGCGCGTTGGTAAACTTACATTTTTTTCTTCTTTTTGTTGATTCCTGTCGTCACGAAAGGAACCTTGTGTGGTCAGGGCAGGAAGCCACCAACAGAGATGCTAAAGTGTCACCAACGATGAAGCAGTTTTTAATTGAAATCAATCTTAAGAGGAGGTGTAAGTTTTATGGAAGTCCTATGTCACATCCTTGCTTTTATAATTACAGACACTAGGGATTCCTTACCACCGCTTCCCCTCTTAATTGCCACCTAACAGCTGCAGTTAAAAAAAAAACATACTTACTTGGCCATTTGGGGTTACTACAGCTGGGAATCTGACGTCAGCAAGCTCTTCCAAGCTTGATTTCAGCGGTGGTTCCTCCTCAGGCCCAAATAATAAGCAACTGGAAGCCTTTCAACAGTGACTGTCTCCTCCATAAACATCCATAAACTCTTCCTCCTGAGAACATTTCAGTCGCTTACAACTTTTACACTGACTTAGCAGTTTGGCCTTCACTTTTTCATAGAAACCAGAGCAGGTTGGAAGGGAAGGAGATGGATAATATTGTCTCCTGAGTCTTTTTAGCAGGCCCGTATTTCCGTTAGCCATCCACCTGGGGAAATGGCAGCTAGTGACATGTTTTACTGGATGGGACAATTTTTTTTTTCTTTTCCTTATTTTGATACAGGGGCTCATTTTGTCACCCAGACTGGAGTGCAGTGGCACAACCTCGGCTCACTGCAACCTCCAGCTCTCTGGTTCAAGTGATTCTCCTGCCTCAGCCTTCTGAGCAGCTGGGATTACAGGCATGTGCCACCATGCCCGGCTAATTTTTGTATTTTTAGTAGAGATGGGGTTTTGCCATATTGGCCAGGCTGGTCTCGAACTCCCGACCTCAAGTGATCCTCCTGCCTCGGCCTCCCAAAGTGCTGGTATTACAGGCATGAGCCACCATGCCCTGCTGGTTCATTTTGATTTTCATCCTGCGTTTGATTGCTGGGACACATAGGTGCATAATCAGGTTCCACTTGGATGTGAGGTTGGAGACATTCATTAGAGGGTTAGAGTCAGTTGCAACAGAATCTGGGGAAGAGTTTAATCTGGGAGTAAAATTATTAAAAATTCAGCACATGATGCATGTAATTAGCCATCATCAGCAGGAGAAATCCATCCCTAGAGTGGGTGTGTGTTTGGTTTGACCTCTGAGCAACACCCAGGTCTCAGGACTAGAATGTGACTGATGAAAGCTCTCATCTAATTGCATGACAGCCTTTTTTTTTTTTTGATGAAAATTAATGCGGAAGAAGAAACAGGTGTCTAAAAAGGAAAGGATACAGAGCACAAATTTGCCAGTATCTTGAGGCGTGTGTAAAGAGAAGATGCTCTGACCAGCCAACATCTGATCCCCTTGCAACCAAAGATGGTGTTAATGTTTGTACCTTGAGCATAGGGAAGTAGAGGGAAAGGAATGGGAAATACTGTTGAGTGCCTGCTGTGTGCCAGGCTTTGGGTTGAGTACTTTGTATGCATTTTTATTTTTATTTATTTTTTTCTTTTTGAGACGGAGTCTTGCTCTGTCGCCCAGGCTGGAGTGCAGTGGCGCGATCTCACTGCAAGCTCCGCCTCCCGGGTTCACGCCATTCTCCTGCCTCAGCCTCCAGAGTAGCTGGGACTACAGGCGCCCGCCACCATGCCTGGCTAATTTTTTATATTTTTAGTAGAGACGGGGTTTCACCGTGTTAGCCAGGATGGTCTCCATCTCCTGACCTCGTGATCCGCCCACCTTGGCCTCCCAAAGTGCTGGGATTACAGGCGTGAGCCACCGCGCCCGGCCGCATTTTTATTTGTTTATTTATTTTTATTTTTATTGTTTTTTGAGACAGAGTCTTGCTCTGACTCCCAGGCTGAGGTGCAGTGGTGCGATCTCAGCTCACTACAACCTCCACCTCCCAGGCTCAAGCAATTCTCCTGCCTCAGCCTCCCTAGTAGCTGGGATTATAGGCGCCCGCCACCATGCCTGGCAAATTTTTGTATTTTTTAGTAGAATCGGGGCTTCCCCATGTTGGCTATGCTGGTTTGTAACTCCTGACCTCAAGTGATCCGCCCTTCTCGACCTCCCAAAGTGCAGGGATTACAGGTGTGAGCCACCGCGCCCAGCCTTCATAGGCATTTTTAAACTCATTGCTCATAACCCTGTGAAATACTTACTTCCAGTAAGGCAACTGAGGCAAGAGAGGTTAAACAACTGGCTGAACATCACATAGGTACTGTGCCAGTCAGCATTCAGAGAAGCAGAACCACTAGGAGGTGTCTGTGTATGTGTGTACCTTTATATGTATCTTTATCTGGGATAACCCAGCCTGCTTGATTCCAAAGTTCATTCCCTTTCCACTGTACCCCACTGCTCTGCAGAGGAAAAATAGAATATGAGTCAACCTCTGCAATCTCGCTGAGATTCTAAGATAGTTTAGAACGTCATAAAATTGTAAGCATGTGGTTATCAGAAGTTGTCAAGTAGAGAAAAGAAGGGCAGATAGCTTCACGGTGGGTAGTGGCAATGCCTTTTTCACTTCCTTCCTAGTAGAAGAATCTCATTAAACTTGTCTCTTAGCAGCAGCATTCGAAACTATATACCACAAGCACCCAAAGGGATGATTTTCCACGTCTTGGCTTATTAATGTCCTTAAGTTCTCTGGTTACTCAACCTTCAGGTTTATTAGTTTCTCTCTCAGACAGTGGGCATAGCCCTCGAGTAAGGAGTGGGTGGAAGAGGTCCTGGGGCTGGTGAGATGAAAAATGCATTGTCCTTGGGCTGCAGGCTTCCCTCCAGCATTCTGACTCCTTTTTAGAAACTAAAGATAAGCTTTATTAAATTCTGGGGTCTCTCTTAGCCAGGTAGCTGCGAAGCTGTACATCCACATAATATATAGTGTTTGGAAAGTTTTGAAAAAGCACACCTTGGAGCTTGGGAGTCCATATCTACATTTAATTTTAAAAGGAAATGAAAAATGTGAGAAGTCTCTGTCAATTCCCTGCCCCTACCCCCTCTAAAAATGGAAATGAAATGAATCTATTTGGAAATTTGAAGAGTTGAATTTGAATGTGAGAGACCAAAGCCCCAAGTGAACAAACAACAGATTTTATTGTTTCTTTAAAAATGATTCTTTGGCCCTAATGTTGAAGTTTAATGACTTATTGAAACAATAGAGAAATGATTTAAAGCTGACAAAAAGAATAAATTAAATTGTCATTGGTATAAACTATTAGGTTGAGTGGTTCCTAATAATTTCGGACACTTAAGTGGTTGTAAAGATTTGGTGTGCTGCTGAAAGCGGGTATATTAATAATTCTGGTGTGATTTATAAAAACTAAAATCAGAATTTGGTGTTAGTACACTGTAGACACTTTACTCTTTTAGGAAAAAGGAATTCAATTTTTATTATTACCTGGTTTGTGTGCAGGCGGTAGTCTAAATACCTAGATCATTTCATTCTTACAATTAATTTCCTGTCAGTTATATACATAATTTTATTCCTGTGTTTGTAGATGAGGAAATTGAGCCTCAGAGAAGTTGAAAAAGTCACTCATGTGTAAGCTGGATTTTGTCATGGAGTCCATTGAGTCAGATCTGTTTGATTTTGAAGTCCATGCTTATTATTACTAAACTATTTTTTTGAGTAAGAAAATTCTTTTTATTCTAACATATTTGTAAAGAATCAGTAAGTAACAAGGTCATGGGATGCTATGGTGGAAAGAGCACCAAGCCTTAAGTCAGGGCCTTGGACTTGAAGTCAAAAATCAGAAGGAAGCCGGGTGCAGTGGCTCACGCCTGTAATCGCAGCACTTTGGGAGGCCAAGGCGGGCAGATCACGAGGTCAGGAGTTCAAGACCAGCCTGGCCAATATGGTGAAACCCCGTCTCTACTAGAAATACAAAAATTAGTTGGATGTGGTGGCACATGCCTGTAGTCCCAGCTACTGGGGAGGCTGAGGCAGGAGAATCACTCGAACCTGGGAAGCGGAGGTTGCAGTGAGCTGAGATCGTGCCACTGCACTCCAGCCTGGGTGACAGAGCAAGACTCCGTCTCAAAAAAAAAAAAAAAAAAAAAAAAAAAACAGAAGGAGACCCTGATGCCTGCAGCATATGGTTCTGTCCACCTCCATTTCCTCACCTGTAAAATGGGCATTGTGCCAACACCTGTCTCTCTGTCCTACTGGCTGCTCTGTCTTACTGAGCTCTTGTCTCTGAAAGTTCTGGGTAAATGGCAAAGTGGCATATATCTTTTATCCTGTGTATCTTTAAAAAATATAGTATTTTTTCTCCAGAGTGCGCATTAGGCTTGATTTATATTACGTCATTTAAACTGTCAAATAAATGTGGACCACATATATTAAACAGTTTTTATTCTGGAGGTGGTGATAGCTTTGCAATGATAGGGATTTTTAAAAAGCCCAGAGTGACACCTCAGATTAGAGTTTGCTACTGTTGCATAGGAGTTAAGTAGCCAAGCCATCTTTTCTCATTTCCCTTTAGCTAAAATACAGTGCACTAGGTATTTTTGGAAAATTTCCCCAAAGATCTAAAGTTTGTGGGAGGAAGGAGCGAGAATCACCCTTGATTCCATTACTCCAAGGCACTAGCCATTGTTAGCATATTTCATTCTGGTCTTCTCTAATTGCATTTTTTTTTTTTTTTTTTTTTTGAGATGGAGTGTTGCTCTGTCACCCAGGCTGGAGTGCAGCGGCGCGATCTCAGCTCACTGCAAGCTCCGCCTCCAGGGTTCATGCCATTCTCCCGCCTCAGCCTCCCAAGTAGCTGGGACTACAGGCGCCCACCACCATGCTTGGCTAATTTTGTTTTTATATTTTTAGTAGAGACAGTGTTTCACCGTGTTAGCCAGGATGGTCTCGATCTTCTGACCTCATGATCCGCCCGCCTCGGCCTCCCAAAGTGCTGGGATTACAGGCATGAGCCTGTAATTGCGTTCTTAACTCGCATAGGTTCTTTAATTGCATTTTTAACTCGGATAGGTTCATAATGCAATATAACTTTGTATCATGACTTTTTCAGTTTATGTTACACAGAAATGTTTCTCTATTTCCCTATACACCCAAAAAAGGGCTGCCTACTGTTCCACTATATGGATTCACTGTATTTTACTTCTATGTATCTATTTGGGAGATTTCAGTTGCTCATTATTTTTAAGTGAGTTTTAAAACTCATTTCAATGAATGCCTCTGTGCATGAAACTTTGCCTAAATATCAGAGGACTTCCACAGAAAATGGGTTCCTGAAAAGGCACTTTGAGGGTCAAAGATGTTCACATTTTTGAGGCAATTGATGACATCAGTGTTGATCTGAAGGTCATCCCAGGTTACATTCTCACAGCAATAGCCAAAAAGACTCAATTTCATATTCTTGTTATTTTCTCTGAAAAACATATTCGCTAATTTGTTAGGCAAAAATTGGTACCTTGATTGTTTTAATTTGTACATGGTTGGTAACTATCAGGTTGATTTTGTTTTCTTCTAGTTTTTGAGCCATTTGCAAGTGTGTAATCCTTTATGGATAATTCTGAAATGTAAAAAGCTCTGAAAACAAGTTTTTCTTGTAGGCTTTTGATACCCTCTGTAGGTTGTAAAACTTAACTTGAACTAATGTGAGGTTTTTAATTTTTTTTTTGAGATGGAGTCTCTCTCTGTCTCCCAGGCTGGAGTGCAGTGGTGTGATCTCGGGTCACTGCAAGCTCCGCCTCCCGGGTTCAAGAGATTCTCCTGCCTCAGCCTCCCGAGTAGCTGGGATTACAGGCATGCACCACGCCCAGCTAATTTTTGTATTTTTAGTAGAGATGGGGTTTCACCATATTGGCCAGGCTGATCTGGAACTCTTGACCTCATGTGATCCACCCACCTCGGCCTCCCAAAGTGCTGGGATTATAGGGATGCACCACCACACCCAGCCTAATGTGTGGTTCTATGGTATATATTATTCTATCTTGACTATTTGCATGTTCTGCTGAATAATATTAATGAATTTGATTTGAGTGTTACAGGTTGTGCGCTAAATGCATTGCATTACCTTCCTAAAATCACAAGGTTTGAACTTTGAAGCACATCTGACTTCCAGGTTTTCAGATAAGGGATTATGGTCCTGCATTTTCGCTTCTGTGACTCATTTATTTGTGTCTGTTAGGAGGCAAATATAAAACTGCTCAAAGTAGCAAAATTTCCAATGGGGAAAATAAGTCCTCAAATGAGTGACACTTCAGAAAAAGAAGTACAACTTTGGTACTCTAGTGTGAAATCTAAGAAAATAAGGGTACCCCCAAAAAACTAAGATTTTGTTTATTCCAAGTGACTTTATGAATGGGTGCCAATTAGAATGGAAACTTGTCGGCTAGATGGAGAGTTTGGGCCAAATTTCTCCTCTGCTTTCTTTTGCCAGTTACTAACACAGTTCTCTTTGTAAGAGAAACTGAATCTACCCAAGGGATTTTCTGGAGGATGGATGGGTAGAGGGGCCGGACATCTTACCTTGGGGATCCTTTTGCCAAACCTGTTGAACTCAGAGGACCTGGTTTTCCATTCCCACCTGCAATACCCCAAGGCCCCCGGCTTCTTCTCTTTACTTGATAGCACTGTCCCAGGATCTCAAACAGAGAGAACCCGCCAGCCAGGTATCTCCCATTTCCCTTGCCAGCTGCCAGCCCTACCTGATCCTCCTCTCCCATTTTGTTTGTGCACTCTTGTGGATAACTGCATTCCAGCCACTAATAAAAGTGCCTGTTGTACAGAGAGAAAAAAAATCTTTAAATTACTTTCCTTATCGGTATTATAGAGAGAATATGGCTGAGCTGCCTCATAGCATTGTTGTGTCAGTTATGTAAGATAAAACTAGTGAGTGCTTGGCACACAGTAAGTGATGAAAAAGTGTATTATTATTATTGCCTAGGCTAAACCAGATACTAACCTATCACAGCTAAAGAATGAGACAAAGTTCCTAACCACTCCAGAATTTTCCTTTTTGGGCCTCTGCCATTACTTGAGGGGTTTCCTGTCACCTGTTGCTCCTGAGCCCTGGGTGCTGGTTGTGTAAAGGGCAGAGGGGGCTTTGAGGAGGGGATGTTGGGCAGTGCCCGAAGGAGTAGGGTCTGATGGGCTTGGCAGAGTTCTCTTGGGAGGCAGGGGATTTGTGGGGCAGAGCCATTAGCCACCAAAACTAAGCAAAGAAGGAAGGAAAGCATTACCTTTATAAGGTGATATAGTCTGTATATTTGTCCCTGCCCAAATTTCATGTTGAATGGTAATCCCCAGTATTAGAGGTGGGGCCTGGTGGAAGGTGATTGGATCATGGGGGTAGATTTCTCATGAATGATTTAGCATCATCATGAGAAGTGCTGCCCTCACGATAGTGAGTGAGTTCACAAGAGATCTGTTTGTTTAAAAGTGTGTGGTACCTCCCCCCCAACTCTCTCTTGCTCCTGCTTCCGCCATGTGATGTGCCTGCTCCTCTGTTGCCTTCTGCCATGACTGGAAGCTTCTGAGGCCTCCCCAGAAGCAGATGCCACTATGCTTCCTATACAGCCTGCAGAACTGTGAGCCAATTAAACCTCTTTTTTTAAAAAATAAATTACTCAGTCTCAGGTATTTCTTTTTTGGGGGGACAAGGTCTTGTTCTGTTGCTCAGGCTGCTGGAGTGCAATGGTGTGATCTCGGCTCACTGCAACCTCTGCCTCCTGGGTTCAAGTGATTCTTCTGCCTCAGCCTCCTGAGTAGCTGGGATTACAGGCACCTGCCACCATGCCCGGCTAATTTTTGTATTTTTAAGTAGAGACTGGGTTTCACCATGTTGGCTAGGCTGGTCTGGAACTCCTGACCTCAGGTGATCCACCTGCCTTGGGCTCTCATAGTGTTGGGATTACAGGCGTGAGCCACCGTGCCCAGCCTCAGGTATTTCTTTATAGCAGTGCAAGAATGGCCTAATGTGTAGGGTAGAGCATGACATTTTCTTCTGGAAGAACTTTGGAAGATTCACCAATTGGTTTATTCTTAGATAGCTGATCTATAGGTGTAGTCACAAAATTGTGACAGTTTTTCTTTAGTATTTGATGTAGATTTGATGATGACATGCTTTGTGATTATCCAGGGTCTGAGTGCTTATTGTTCATCTTCTCGTGGCTCTTTGATGAGTGTTTCAATGAATGAGACTCTTAGGAGGAGGAAGCAGAGTCCTGTAGTATTAGGGCTGGAAGAGACCTTGACTGTGTCCTCCAAGCTTTTATTTAGCAGATGCAGAAACTGAGCTGGCACAGCCAGGACTTAAGTGAGTGTCTTTCCTCATTCTGGGACTCTTCCCATTCTGTTAGACTGTCTATGGAAGTGGATCCAGCCTTGCTGCCTATGGCAGGTTTCCTTGATCTACATATGCCCTTGATCCTCATGCTCAAGGGCCTGGTTTCTCAGCTCCTTGGATGTAGGATGAGGAGGACTAGGAAGAACTTTGGCTAACTGACTCATGGGAGTAATTGTGTTATTCTTAGTCATATTTTAGATTCAGAAGGGACTTTGATGGTCATCTTGTAATTAACACCCTCTCTTTGCAGATGGGGAAACTAGCCCAGAAAGGTTCGGTGTCCTGTAGGAGTCAGGAGTGGCTGTAGCCCATAGCAGATGAGCAGACCTTTAGGTTTGGTGAGGGAGGGACTACGTGTATGTCTTGTTCGCCATTGTAGGCTCAGATCCAAGCACAGGGCCCGGAATAGAGTAAATATTTAAATATTTAAATGAGGGAAGGAAGGAAGCCAGAGTTAGAATTCAGGTGTTAGGACTCTTGGTCCAAAGCTTTTTCTTTATAATAAAGTGAAGAGTTACTGTTTCCAATATTCACCCACAAATCTTAGATGTAAGCCTCCCCACAGCCCTTCTCTTGCACTGGTGAGAGGCTGTTTTGTCTGCCAGCCTCTGTGGGCCAAATTGCTCCAAAGGCAGAAAAATCTGGTCATGGAGGAAAAATGAATGATAATGACAAACAAGCAATACTGCCAAGAATGATAATAACAAACAATCAATACTACCTTATCAGGTGATATGGTGTGACATTGGTAGCATTTTCAGTGCAGAGATTTTCGAAACCCAAATCTCTTCATGAAACTCTTCTCAAAGACAAACTAAACTCAGCTGTGTTTCTACAACCGGTACTTCAAATGCATCTGTTAATTGTATATGTATCATATTCCTGATTTTATAGTACTTTATACTATTCAAAACCAATTGTTTCGTGGCTTCTTTGATTTACTTATTTATCCAACAGGTATTAACAAAGTACCTTACAGTGTGCAAGGCTCTGAGAATGAAGTGATGTGAACAAAATAGACTCAGTACCTGCCTTTATGGAGCTAGTAGGTTATCAGGAAGGCAATTAAACAAGCAAAATGACATGCCCTGAGTACCTTGTCAAGGAAAGTATGACACAGGGCCAAAATACCTAACCTAGGGCTGGGGTTGGGACATGCATGGACAAACTAGACTCCAGTGCAGGTTGGGCATGCTCTCTGGAGGAAATGAAAGTGAAATTTACAGCTGCAAAAACTGCAGGAGTTGGTCAGGTGGAAAGAACTTGTGGTCACCGAAGAGAGGAGGTAAGATCAAGCAAAGCAACAGCAGTGGTTCCCAAACTTGAGTGTTCAGAAGTCCAGCTGGAAGGCTGGTTAAAACAGATCTCTGAGCCCCACCTGAGAGTGCTGAGTCCATAGGACTGGGATGGGTCTGGAGATTTGCTTTTCAACTCTCATGTTTCCAGGTGATGCTGGCTAAGTATCAACTGTGAGCAGGGGAGTGAAAGAGATAAGAGTAGATGGAATCCCCTCTCCTCTTCTTGGGGCTGTATGTATCCTGTCCTCTGACCATCCTTCAAGCTGAGATCAAGGATAGCATTTCCAGGAAACATTTCCTAGGTATTCTCACTGCCTTTATTGCCTCCTGTGAATACACTGTCCACAAGTCTATGGATACATGTTGCATCTTTTCCATGTTATTTAGCCCTCAGTTACATGCAATTGTTTCCACCATGTTTGTTTTGTCTAACTAGAGCTTCTTGAGGCAGCTGAGCATATGAAATGTGTACAAAATATTTGATTGCCTGATCAAATTTAATTCTTGCAACCACTGTGTGGAGCAGGTTGCATGTTATTCTCTGTTCTGTGGAGATGTGGAAACTGAGACTTACAGGGAATAACCAAGATGAAGAGAAGGGGAATTTCTTGCTCAAGTCAGAGGAGGGGAAGTCAACGTGAGGTGTGTGTTCATTGTTCTCAAATGTGCTTTGCATTATGTGAAATTGCAGGTATTCGGTGCCCAGCACCACTAGTAGAAGGAAAGTTTTATATTTAATTTGTTTTTGAGCTTTTTCACTATAGGTTCATCTTCTTAAAGAGAATACAAAGGCATCTTATAAATTGAATGTAGATTTTGTTTTTAGCAGGAGATGATTATCTTAGGAATTCTACAGAAATTGTCCACTTGCTTTTAGAGTAAATATTTGGAGGGGGTAATTCAGTTTACATGTCATTAGGCTTAGAAATGATTTTTATAAAATTTTGGCATGAGGGAGATACAACATATCAATTTCAATTTCCTGAAAAGACACACATTAGACAATTATGCTATTACCAATCTTTGAGTGGCTAGATGGATTTTGCTGCATGGTTGAAGACTTACAAAGAGCCTGTACATAGCACATTCACAAGACAGGTAGGGTTAAAAACTAACTAAAAAGAATTCCTTTCGATACCAATAATCTGCCAAGCCTTCCTTCCCCATGCGTAGATGTAAACATTATCTGGTTTTCTCAGATTCCTGTAAGAGGTGGAAGTTTGAAGAATTCACTGGGCTTTTGTATCACAGTACAACTTGGGAACACTAATTTTCAAATGTTCTAACAGTTCTTCATAGCTGGAAGTCCCCAACACAATTATGTGAATTATCCACTTTATAAAAAACAGCTGCCCGGAATTTCCTGGCATTGGTGAAGTGGCAGATGGCTAATGAGCAGGCGTTTCTTCATTTTTCTTTGCAAGTTTTTTCTATATGCTCGTACGGCCTGAATGCTTTTACTGCTTCCTCAGTTCTTTCCATCCTCCTTCTAAAGGCAAAACACAGAACAACCACCAAAAGAAAAAGGGAAGCATTGGATATTGTTTAAAGCTATGTGATAGAGCCAAGAAGCTGGGTTTTGAAGGTGAAACTCATTTCACAGTCGTGATTGTCAACTCAGCCCTTTTTAATAGTCATTGCAGGTAAAACTTGTAGATCATTCTTTACAGTGTGCAGTTAATTTAAAAATGAGGTTTCTCTTATTTGAGATATCGTCAGGTGCTATGTAGGTATGTAAAATGAATAACAAACTTCTTTTTTGTTCTCCACAAACTTGTGATTGAGAAGGGGGAGATAAGCTATGAATACAAATCACTATAGTATAGTAGAGAATGTGTTTGGTGTAATCAGAGAACTACAGACAAAGTGCTGTGTGGGATCAAAGGGAGGGAGACTTTCCTTCTGATAAGGGCGATGGAAAAGACTTCATTCATAGCCTGAAACTTGGCATTTTCAGTGGACCTTAAAAGGGAGTGTATGGAATGGTGTGCTGAGCAAAGGAAACAGCCTGTGTGCAAAGGCATGGAGGTGGGAATAGAGAAGTTAATGCAGACTGGGTGTGGCAGAGACTCCTCAGTGGAAGTCATGTGAGATGAGGCTGCAGAGGGGAGACTGAGGTTAGGCGACAGAGCCCCTGAAACTGCACTTTACTGTGTAGTTGCGGAGGATAGGGGACAACAAGAGGCCCCCATGCATTTCCATGTGATAGAAGAGCCCCAGAGGCTGAGCCGAAAGGAGACAGGGCCCTGTGCTGTCAGCAGGGCAGTTCAGATTGCCATTCCCATTTCCTTATCTGCAGAAGTGTAGGTGGTAGGGAGGCAGAGGGTGAGCCATCAAACATAATACAGTCCTTTGTAAGTAACACAAATAGGATCTATGCAGCAGAATAGATTTAATGCAATCCATATGATATGCAGATAGAAACAATTTTTCAAAGTTTAAGGAGTGCTGAGAAATGAGAATCATGAAGTAAGTGCTAAGTATATAGTTTTGGCCTAGTGTGGTGGCTCACGCCTGTAATCTCAGCACTTTGGGATGCTGAGGCAGGAGGATCGCTTGAGGCCAGGAGTTCAGGACCAGCCCGAAAACCATAGCAAGACCCCGTCTCTACAAAAATAGGACAAAAATTAGCTGGGCATGGTGGCATGTGCCTTTCATCCCAGCTACTCAGGAGGTTGAGGCAGGAGGATCACTTAAGCCCAGAGGTGCAAGGCTGCAGTGAGCTGTGATAGTGCCACTGCACTCCAGCCTGGGCTACAGAGTGAAACCCTGTCTCAAAAAAAAAAAAAAAAAAAAAGAAAAAAAAAGTATATAGTCTTGATGGCTTGGTGGTGTGAAAGCCAAGGAGTGTTCATTAATGGTTAAAGCTCGCTAATTATGTATTTTTCTTAAGTTAGAGTAAATACCTTCAAATTATACAAATCAGCTTGTCTATTGAATTCTTGATTACAGGCATGAGCCACCACACATGGTCCAGACTATTGAATTCTCAACCATTAAACATTTATATTTTGGAAGTATGTTGGTATATTTTCATTTTTTGGCCCTACTGTGGGTCTTGTCCTTGTTTACTTCTCCTTCCCAGTCTGGAGGACTGTCAGTGTTAAGGCAATCTCTAAATAAACCATGCATATCAGCATTGGGATGATTTGTAAATCCTGCTTGGCTAAGGGCTCCATCTCTGTCACTTCTGGTGAGTTTTCTCAGTCCCTTAATTTCTTATGATGTGATGAAATAGATTTGGGGGAAGGAAAACTAACCAGCTTCAAAGTAATTCAGTATACATCCAATGCCTACATATTATGGAAACAGTAGTTACACAAACTAAGTAGATCTGGTGGATCTTAGTTCCTGGGTGGGTGGGAGGGATAGGGATGGAGAAGACTTGAAGGAGGGAAAGAGAATTCTTTTGCATGAACCATATGGTAGTTGATCTGTTGCCGCCACAAACCTGTGATTGAGAAGGTTGATCTTTTCTACACTGGTTCAGTGCTGCATCTTGATATATTAGTGAGTAAAGACTCTTGACTTTGAGTCAATGTGGTGTAATACAAATGATATATTTGATCTTGTCCCTGATTCCTGGGACTCCTAAAAATAACCCTTGGGATTTCTTGAGTGATAGGAACATTTTTTGTTACTCATAATGAGCTCCTTTAGACCATACCTGAGTTTGTGCTAATGTGATCCTTGGACTCTTGGTGGGCCCCCAGGTAGCTACGGGATGGGGACTAGTTGCCGGAGGAACCAACCATGTGATTACAGGGTTAGAACTTTTAGCTGCAATCCCTGATCTCTGGGAAGGGAAAGGGGCTGGAGATTGGGTTCACTCAACAACAGCCAGTGATTTTATCAGTCAAACCTGTGTGATAAAAACTTGGTTAAAACTGCAGCAAGGAGGCTAGGAGCTTCTGGGTTGGTGACATATGGATGTGTTGGGAGGATGGTGTGCCTGGAGGGGGCTTGGAAGTTCTGTTTTCGTGCCTGCTCCCCAACCATACCTTGCCCTATGAATCTCTACCATTTGGCTGTATCTGAGTTGTATGCTTCATAATAAAACTGTAATCATAAGTGTAGGGATTTTCTGAATTCTGTGAGTCATTGTTGCCCAAAAGAGTCCCGATCTTGACCCCAGAAGAGGGTTCTTGGACCTCGTGCAAGGAAGACTTCCGGGCAAATCCGTAGAGTAAAGTGAAATCAAGGTTATTGGAAAGTAAAGGAATAAAGAATGGCTATTCCACAGGCTATTCCACAGCAGCCCTCGGGGCTGCTGGTTGGCTATTTTTATGGTTACTTCTTGATTATACGCCGAACAAGGGGTGGATTATTCGTGAGTTTTCCAGGAAGAGGGTGAGCAATTCTCAGAACTGAGGCTTCCTACTTTTTTTAGACCATATAGGTAACTTCCCAACATTGCCATGGCATCTGTAAACTGTCATGGTGCTGGTGGGAGTGTTTCTTAGCATGCCAATGTATTATAGTTAGCATATAATGAGCAGTAAGGATAACCAGAGGTCACTTTCATTGAGTCTTGATTTTGGTGGACTTTCACTGGCTTCTTTACCACACCCTTTTATCAGCAAGGTCTTTGTGACTTGTATCTTATGCTGATCTCCTATCTCATCCTGTGACTTAGAATGCCTAACCTCCTGGAATGCAACTCAGTAGGTCTCAGCCTCATTTTACCCAGCCATTATTCAAGATGGAGTTATTCTGGTTCAAACGCCTCTGATAATTCTAGCAAAATGCCAAACTTATTGAGGGGGGTCATGGAAAGCCCCCAATTTGTAGTCCCTAGGCAGAAGTGCAGTTAGCCTGGGGACCCCATTTGCGGCTGGCATCTGAAGTGGGGTCAGTCTTGTGGGATTGAGTATTTAACCTGTGGAGTCTGCACTAAATGCTAGGTGGTATCAGAATTTAATTGAATTGTGGGACACCCGGTTGGTGTTGGAGAACTGGGTTTAGGAAAAATGGAACAGACAAGTCTTTCCTATTGGGAAAAACCAACTCATAATATGAAAACGTTGGGGCTGGAATAATCTCTCTGAAATTGCATAGTTTACTATTTAGAAGATAAAGGCTCAAAAGTGTTTTTAAAAGATTTAGTGGGGCGGCCGGGTGCGGTGGCTCATGCCTATTATCCCAGCACTTTGGGAGGTCAAGGCGGGCAGATCACGAGGTCAGGAGATAGAGATCATCTTGGCCAACATGGTGAAACCCTGTCTCTACTAAAAAAATACAAAAAATCAGCTGGGCATGGTGGCACGTGCCTGTAGTCCCAGCTACTTGGGAGGCTGAGACAGGAGAATCACTTGAACCTGGAAGGCAGAGGTTGCAGTGAGCAGAGATCACACCACTGCACTCCAGCCTGGGCCACAGAGTGAGACTCCATCTCAAAAAAAAAAAAAGATTTAGTGGGAAAGAAAAAAAATTATCAGGCTGTTCTTTACTATTTATGTGTTTACATTGTGTTTTATAGTGTAATAAAGTAGAAGTTATACTACTATATGGTTTTCTTTGACTCTTGTTTCCTGTGGTTTTCACCAAAGATTTCATAGCACTGTCTCTGCCTCCAACCAATGGAAACATCTAAAATGTCAATATGATGGATTGTAGGTTTAGTAGTCTCTTTACTAAGGGATTTCCAGTATCCTGGTTTACCGCTGTCTACACTATTAATATTACTCTGACACTACAGTGACAATTTCATATGGTTCAACCTTATAGTAATGATGGCTCCTCATTGACTGTTACTTACAGTTAAAAAAAAAAACTATCGATTATGATCAGGACATTTTAGAAACTGCAAAAAGTAGAAAAAGAGAAAAAAATGCCCCAGAGTTCCAGCAAGAAAACATAAATGTTAATTATACTTGGGAGGTATTTTTTTTAACAGGTTCCTTTTTTTCTTTCTTTTTTTTTTTTTTATATTTATTTATTTATTTTTTTATTGATCATTCTTGGGTGTTTCTCGCAGAGGGGGATTTGGCAGGGTCACAGGACAATAGTGGAGGGAAGGTCAGCAGATAAACAAGTGAACAAAGGTCTCTGGTTTTCCTAGGCAGAGGACCCTGCGGCCTTCCGCATTGTTTGTGTCCCTGGGTACTTGAGATTAGGGAGTGGTGATGACTCTTAACGAGCATGCTGCCTTCAAGCGTCTGTTTAACAAAGCACATCTTGCACCGCCCTTAATCCATTTAACCCTGAGTGGACACAGCACATGTTGCAGAGAGCACAGGGTTGGGTTGGGGGTAAGGTCACAGATCAACAGGATCCCAAGGTAGAAGAATTTTTCTTCGTACAGAACAAAATGAAAAGTCTCCCATGTCTACCTCTTTCTACACAGACACGGCAACCATCCGATTTCTCCATCTTTTCCCCACCTTTCCCCCCTTTCTATTCCACAAAACTGCCATTGTCATCATGGCCCGTTCTCAATGAGCTGTTGGGTACACCTCCCAGACAGGGTGGTGGCCGGGCAGAGGGGCTCCTCACTTCCCAGTAGGGGTGGCCGGGCAGAGGCGCCCCTCACCTCCCGGACGGGGTGGCTGGCCGGGTGGGGGGCTGACCCCCCCACCTCCCTCCCGGACGGGGCGGCTGGCCGGGCCGGGGACTGACCCCCCCACCTCCCTCCCGGAGGGAGCGGCTGGCCAGGCAGAGGGGCTCCTCACTTCCCAGTAGAGGCGGCCGGGCAGAGGCTCCCCTCACCTCCCGGATGGGGCGGCTGGCCGGGCGGGGGGCTGACCCCCACCTCCCTCCCGGACGGGGCGGCTGGCCAGGCAGGGGGCTGACCCCCCCCCCCACCTCCCTCCCGGACGGGGCGGCTGGCCGGGCAGAGGGGCTCCTCACTTCCCAGTAGGGGCGGCCGGGCAGAGGCGCCCCTCACCTCCCAGACGGGGCGGCTGGCCAGGCGGGGGGCTGACCCCCCCACCTCCCTCCCGGACGGGGCGGCTGGCCAGGCGGGGGGCTGACCCCCCCACCTCTCTCCTGGATGGGGCGGCTGGCCGGGCAGAGGGGCTCCTCACCTCTCAGACAGGGCGGTTGCCAGGCAGAGGGTCTCCTCACTTCTCAGACGGGGCGGCCGGGCAGAGACGCTCCTCACATCCCGGACGAGGCGACAGGGCAGAGGCGCTCCCCACATCTCAGACGATGGGCGGCCGGGGAGAGACGCTCCTCACTTCCTAGATGGGGTGGCGGCCGGGAAGAGGCGCTCCTCACTTCCTAGATGGGATGGCGGCCGGGCAGAGATGCTCCTCACTTTCCAGACTGGGCAGCCAGGCAGAGGGGCTCCTCACATCCCAGACGATGGGCGGCCAGGCAGAGACGCTCCTCACTTCCCAGACGGGGTGGCGGCCGGGCAGAGGCTGCAATCTCGCCACTTTGGGAGGCCAAGGCAGGCTGCTGGGAGGTGGATGTTGTAGCGAGCCGAGATCACGCCACTGCACTCCAGCCTGGGCACCATTGAGCACTGAGTGAAGGAGACTCCGTCTGCAATCCCGGCACCTCGGGAGGCCGAGGCTGGCGGATCACTCGCGGTTAGGAGCTGGAGACCAGCCTGGCCAACACAGCGAAACCCCGTCTCCACCCAAAAAATACGAAAACCAGTCAGGCGTGGCGGCGCGGGCCTACAATCGCAGGCACTCGGCAGGCTGAGGCAGGAGAATCAGGCAGGGAGGTTGCAGTGAGCCGACATGGCAGCAGTACAGTCCAGCTTCGGCTCGGTATCAGAGGGAGACCGTGGAAAGAGGGGAGAGGGAGAGGGGGAGGGGGAGGGGGAGGGGGTTCCTTTTTTTCTGTGCATACCTCCTCCCTTTTTTGAAAAACATTTTGTGATTTTACTGTGAATAATTAAAATAAAAGGAAATGTGGGGAATGCTAAGACACAAAACACTAAAGAAAAAAAATGACTTATAATCTTACCACTTTGATAACATTTTGATGTCTTTTTTTTTCTTATAAAAACTGGGACCATTTAAGCTCTAAATACTGCTTTGTATGTGTTTTTTTTTCACTTAACATTTTTCATTCACAATTGAGATCATTTTGGACAAAGTGGGTGATGACAAATCTGATCCCTTCATACAAAGTGTTTCTATTGTTTTAAGAGTGCAAAGGAAGTTTAGGATTTCTGAGAAGTAACCAACTGTTTCATCAGTGTTATATGTAGATCAGGGTAGCATTTTAATTTTGTATCTTACAAATGGCAGCAGAATTACTTTTTAACAATTAGCACTTGGTTAAAAAAAAAGATAAATTGACTTGGAAAGAACGTAACTTTTAAATGTACCTTCTCTTCCTAATAACTGACTCACTAGGAAATGCCATTCTGTCATTGTAGATTTATTGCTGTGTTACAGGGATAATGATTATCTGTAGGTTTTCTACCTTCTCTAACTCTACTACGTGAACCCTGTAGTATCTATAATAGAGATGAGCTATGGAGAATCCCATTCCATGGACTTTTACTGAATGTTGAAACTGTGAGCCCTCACATTTCAGCAGTAATGGAGCAGAGTGTGGAGTTCTGGAGCCAGGCTGCCTGGATTAAAGTCACCTTTGATACTTGCTACCTGTGTGACCTGGCATAGGTTACTTAACCTCTCTGTTCTGTAGTTTTACATCTTTAAATGGGGCTGGAAATAATAGAAGCTACCCCATAGAGTTATTGTAAGGATGAAATGAGTTAATATCTGAAAAATGCTTGAAATAGTAACTGTACACATTATACATCAATATGTGACTATTATTAATAGTATTTTTTTCTGTGTGTCTCACTGGTTGCTACTGGTTTTCAGAGTTCTTGTTTGGGTTTCATGCTAGTGACATTCATTTCTCTTCTTTAACATTGACTTCCCTACGTCTAGGGTTTTCCTGGTTACTTCTGTTCAATCTTTCCTTCGTTTGCCTTTTCTGAAGTGACCTTTATTTTCTTTCCTACTCCCTCCTTTACTTTGCCCTTTCTCTAACAGCAGTAGCGGGGACTTCACACCAGGGGACTTCAGCCGGGACAGATCCTTGGAGCTCAACATTTACTCACCTTCCTTTTCCAGTTCCTATGTTCTCAGAAGCCAGCCCACGTGCCTGTCTTGCAGGAACATTGCCCGACCTAACCTGTGACTAATTGGAAAACCCTTCGTTTAGGACTTTTGTAGTTCTCTGTTTAGTCATTATCTGCTTCCTGTTCCTGGAAGGAAGAGAAACACTGGCTTGCATGTGGGGATGTGGGTGCCTGCCTGGCCTTGTGGTACCACCTGAGCAGTGCTGTGTGGTCGCTGCTCACTCACCCCCAGGGCTTATCTTTTCTGCACCCCACATTTAACACTGCCCCTTCCAGCCCAGCTCATGTGATTCCTTGTCCTTTTCTGGATGTTTGATTTTATATCCCCAGCTGAGCTGTGAGCTTGGTGAGGATAGCAACTGCTTTGCTCTTATTACCACAGATAATAATAATCACAGCAATAATGGCTAGCATTTATCAAGTCTTAACTTGGATAAACCCTAGTAATCTCATATAAGGCTTAGAAACTATTATTATTTTATGGATGAGGAAACTGAGGCACAGAGATGCTAATTGACCTTGCCTGGGGCTTCACAGCTAGGAAACAAATTGAACACAGTGCAGCCAAGAAAAAAGCCAGTTTCTGCTTTTGCTTCCATGCTTCATAGGGAGTAGTCTTGCTTCAGAGTTGGCCCTGCGTGCAACAGACCTTGGTTCAAATGTTGGCCCAGCCATTTCCCAGATGAGTGACTTCAGCTTCAATACTTTGTTCTTGATCATCTCCATTTCTAAGATGGGTTTAATATTAACACCTATCTCAGAGTTGTAGAGATAAGAAATGATAATGTAAGTAAAAATTCCAGTAAAGGTTAGTGGCTGTTAGCAGTTGGTGGTAAAGTAGTTGAGCATCCTAGAGGCCCTGGATCTGGAAATCATAAACCCCCAACACTCCACAGGGGCATCAGTCACCATCTCTCTTTCTCCCTCTGCCTGGTCGGGTGCTGGGCCAGTCTTCCTTTCTGACGCCCTTGCTTCCCTCCAGCCAGCTCAGCACCACCCATTTTTTCCCCATGTGATTAGTTTATGTCCTATTCTGCAGGGTAGAAATGACTTGGCTGGACTTCTAACCCTGACAGGTGCCAGTTGTGCCCAGAAACCAGGGATCTAGCTCCCCAAGGACTGGTTTCCTGCACCAGCTCTCTGTAAGCTTCAGGGAATTCACTGATTTCCTAAAGGAGCACCCCTTTGACCCCATTTCTTCCCGTTGCTACTGGAGACAGGCTGAGATGGCGTGTTTCCTCCTATTTGATGGTTTTTTTCTGGCCCTTGCTACTTAGACTTCCTCCCATAGTTTAAATAATTTCTAACCTAGTTCTTGGTTGGCCTCTTGCAAGGAATATACATGAACAGTTCTGTTAGGACTCGCAGCCACGTGGAAATTGGGCAGTAGCCTTTGGTGAGGTTGTGTAAGCTCGGATTTAGCGTCCCCTTATGGATCTGGCAGTTGGGGATGAATTGGAGTCCTGTGAAAATCCAGTTGAGAGCTAGTTCCCCAAGCTGGGTTTAGGAATGTGCTGCTATTTATAGCCTTTCTTTTGGATCTTTGCAAACTGGAAACTTCTGTTGATTTCGATGAACCCAGGAGCATGCTGGTATATTTACATCCTTCAGAAAGGACTTACCCAACAAGGGGGTGAAGCAGTGGGGTGTATCAGTTGTCCAGCTCTGAAAAGAATCTACTTATTTATGTTTGTAAAAACTGTTGGCATTTGGCAAATGGGGTGTAAGTACACTGGATATTCTGTTCTACCAAATAGGATCTTAACAAAACTGCTTATAAAGTTACTGTGAACTTGGGGACTTGATTGATTACCCAGGAGCCCTTCTGCAATGAGAGAATTTGCTTTCACATATAACATTGCTGCAGCAGATGTTTCAGGCACTCCTACTGTGTTGCAGGAACTGTGTTAGGGATTAGAGGTACAAACCTTCACTTCCCCACCTCCACTTAGGGAAAGAGGTGTTTGACTTCAGTCAGGGTTTTCCGGCGAGTTCTGTGTCCTGCTGGGATTCCTGCCTTTGACCGTGGTATGTCTGAGTGGTGCGCTGTTGTAGTGAGGTGGGTGGGGAAAATGTCCTCCTAAGCTTTGGTTCTTCTGCTTGGCTCATTTCTCTGCCTCGACCCAGTGATATCATGTAGGCCACTGATTTATTTACAGAATGATGATATTACCTAACTTCTTGGGATTAGGGATTTCAAATAAAAGAATGAATGTGAAAGTGCATTGAAAAGTGTGTTATTTGGGTGGGAACTTTTATATCTTGTACTGTGTGTCCCTATCTCATGTGTATGATTGAAAATTTTCTTTATTCCTCTCCTTTCTTTTTAAATATTTTTTCTGAAAGATTTTTAGATGCCATGTAATTAACATTGCTAGTACAAATTATGTTTGTGGCAACCACTGAATAACAGTTTTTGAGCAATAATGTGAACACATGCATCTGTGAATAAGGTGCTTTTCAATAGCTAGAGAAAGGTCTTTTACTTTTACCTTTATGATAGTTATAGAGGGAGATGAAGTAGTTATACATGAGTGATTTTTTTTTTTTTTTGAGATGGAGTCTCACTCTGTCACAGTGATGGGATCTCAGCTCACTGCAAGCCCTGCCTCCCAGGTTCAACCCGGGTTCAAGCAATTCTCCTGCCCCAGCCTCCCAAGCAGCTGGGACTACAGGCACGTGCCACCATGCCCAGCTAATTTTTGTATTTTTAGTAGAGACGGGGTTTCACCATGTTGGCCAGGATGGTCTTGATCTCTTGACCTTGTGATCCACCTGCCTCGGCCTCCCAAAGTGCTGGGATTACAGGCATGAGCCACTGCGCCCGGTCGATCTTTTGTTTTTTGCAGTTAAAATTAATATTGGGAAATTTTGTGCTATGAAGGTTTTTAAAAAATGAAGCCACTACAAATTTCATTCACCTACAGCTGACTTCAGTCTTTTTTTTATGAAGATGATTTTTACACCAGAAGAAGATATGTGCAAGTTCCAGTGTTAATCGTATATCATAGGGTCATTGGAGAGAGGCAGCTTCTTAGTGTTTAAGGGCCTTGGGTGGGTGAATGTTGACCTGTATGCAGCCCAGCTGTGTGGTTCATTGGTGACAGTTTAACAAAGCCACCTAAATGCATGTGTCACTAGATAAAACCCAAGGCCACCGCCACTTACAGACACTGTTAAGCAACATGGCTAAGAGTGTGGGCCCCGGGATTCCATTGTCTGGGTTGGATCCTGTCCTCCTACACACCGAGGCTTGTTATTGAACCCGTGTGCCTCATTTTCCTCATCTGCGAATGGGGGTAATGAGAGATGCTTCCTTACAGATGCTGCGAGGGAAGAATGAGATTGCCCAGGAAGCATCCAGAACACTGCCTGACACCACTAACACCCCGTGTGAATGCTGCGATTGACAATTAAAGTAGCAACTCATTCTTTATGACGTACCACCTTTCAGAAATAATCTGAAGCAAATATTAGATTTCTGAAGCCCTGTTGCTTTAAGGTCACTTCAAACAAATGACTTCTTCAGAATTCCATTTCTTTCTTGAGTGGACATAATGTGTAATTTTAAAGGTTCGCAAGAGCCATTAGTCAGAGGCTCTCTCCATTCCTGTTGTGCAGCCACCCAGCCCCTTCCCAGGAGACAGACGGTGCTATCAGTAAATAAAGACTTTGGAAAAGTCCCCAAATGGACAGCACCAAAAATAGCAAAAGGAGGAGGGGCAGCGAAAGAGGGAGGGAGGGGCTGGAGAACAGGAAAAGAAGATGGGGAGAGAGTCAGCAGGGAGCCCTCCCAGTCCTTGAGCCCCACGGGTATTGCTTTTCCTCACGCCCCTCTCTGAGGACCCCACTGATGTGTGCAGCCATCAGTGAGGGTCTGTGGGAATCTCCTCAGTCTTCTGTCTTAGAGGCACAGTTGGTGGCTTCCTGGCCTGTATCCCAAAGCAAATAACTGGCAAGCTGACCTTGCTCCAGTCTGGGGTGAGGCCAGGTCAGATGAGCCTTCTGTTGTATCCTGAATGCAAACCATTGTTTGAGATACTCTGGAAGAGTCCAGAAGTTGAGGTCCTTGGCCTCTCAAGACACCGGGATCCTAGAGTTAATTTCCTCCCAAGACGGAGCTTTGGGCGAGGTGGGAGGTGGGGGAAGATGGGGGGATGGGGGTGGCTGTAGCTGTCATCTGTGTTGGAGTTCTGTGGCTTTAAGAAATAACTTCAAATGGTAAACCCGAGACAGTGTGGAGTAGGCTAGGGACTTTATCTGACTCTGCAAAGTTATTTTTCTCTCTTCAGTTCAAATTGAAGCCAGGGATGGTAATATTTAGATTTCATCTTTTTTTTTTTTTTTAAGATGTTTCTTTATATTGACATCACTCAAGTTTCAGTCCTTTGTTCTGGTAGCAACCCGGGGTTCAGGAATGCTCTGAGTGCCCCAGCCTCCTGCCTGTCAAGAGTGTCCTGTTCCCTTTTTGTCCAGCCAAATTCAGTTATTCTGTTGAGGCTCAGCATAAAGTCCTTTTTCTTTCTGGATCATCTTTGTTACTTCCCTTCTCAATCTATGTGGTATTTAAGAAGAAAGCCCCAGCTTAAGGATAGGTTATGCCCCAAATACTACTTTTGAGTAAGTAGATTGTAAGTTGAAATGCATTTTCCCATTAAAAATGATAATTATCATTAGTAATGATAATTTTTCAAGGCATCCATTAGCCAAATGCATCTGAAAATAAGGATTTATAGCTAGGCTTTGCTGACTTCTGCACGTTTTATTGGGGAAGTTGTCTGAGCTTCCATCTGTTCCCAGAGTGGTCTTTGCAACCCAGAATCAGACTCCAGGGCTCATGACTCATGGTAGCATTTCAGGAATTTTAACAAAATAAAAGTAATTGAGGGACTGTATGCAGCTGGCGTTGGGTGGGGTTTTGTTTCATGGGTGGGTGGACTTTGGCAGGTGGGTGCCATCTGGGTGTCCCCTCCCTGCCCAGTCATAGCTGCCTTTTCGGGGAAAGGTGGGGTTGTAGCAGCTGTTTGTCTAGGAATTGTCTGGAAGCTGGTAGCTGCCTCAAGTTTCACTACAGAGTTCAGCACTTATTTATATACTGACTTACAGTGTTCTCCAATTCTGTTTAAGCCCATTTGTTCTCTCTACAACATATTCTTGAGCTTGGGCAAATGCTGTGTCTTTATGATTGCCACTGTGGGTAGATGGTCTTAGAGACTGTGACTTTAGTTATCTCTGTAACCAAATAGGAATAATTTGGGGATGATTTTATTTTGTAGAATTTGCTTTGGTTTCTCTTCTTTTATTATTGTGGGCAATTGATTTAAACTGTATTTAAAGAATTAACTTGGCTAGGTGCGGTGGCTCACGCCTGTAATCCTAGCACTTTGAAAGGCCAAGGTGGGTGGATTGCCTGAGCTCAGGAATTTGAGACCAGCCTGGGCAACATGGTGAAACTCCGTCTCTACTAAAATACAAAAAATTAGCCAGGTGTGGCAGCGTGCGCCTGTAATCCCAGATACTCTGGAGGCTGAGGCAGGAGAATTGCTTCAACCTGGGAGGCAGAGGTTGCAGTGAGCTGAGATTGTGCTACTGCACTCTGGCGTAGGTGACAGAGTGACTCTGTCTCAAAAAACAAACAAACAAACAAACAAACAAACAGAATTAACTTAAAACAGGTTGTTTTGCACTAGTAGTAAGCTGTTAGCTACTGACTAGATAATAGGTCCTAGCTCTACCAAAGTAGGACTGAGAGGCTACTAGGTGGACTAGTACACCTAGTAGGTATAACTAGGTGGACTAGTTACAGATTCTGTCCTGAAACAAGATTTTTGTCCCAGGTTCTTACCAGTTTTTGTTTGTTTGTTTGTGGTTTTTTGTTTTTTGTTTTTTTTTTTTGAGACAGAGTCTCACTCTGTCACCCAGGCTGGAGTGCAGTGGCACAGTCTCGGCTCACTGCAAGCTCCGCCTCCCGGGTTCACGCTGTTCTCCTGCCTCAGCCTCCCGAGTAGCTGGGACAACAGGCGCCCGCCACCATGCCTGGCTAATCTGTTATATTTTTAGTAGAGACGGGGTTTCACCGTGTTAGCCAGGATGGTCTTGATCTCCTGACCTTGTGATCTGCCCGCCTTGGCCTCCCAAAGTGCTGGGATTACAGGCGTGAGCCACCGCGCCCGGCCTCTTAACAGTTTTTAACCATGTGACCTTGAGCAAGTGCAGTACCCTGACCAATCTCCTTACTCTTAGAGTTGTGACAGTCGGAAACCCTTGGGACTGGTAGTCTAAACTCTAAATGATGTGACTTCCCCCGAGCTTTGTGCTGACCAAAATCAAGATTAAGAATGGCTCTGATAGCAATTCTTCCTCTCCTTACTAGGAGAGTGTGTGTAAATAGCCACACATCAGGTCAGTGCAGGGTTTGCTACCAGATGAATTTGTCAGATTTGATGTTGCTGTCAAAGGAGTTATGAAAAAATTGGATTTGAGAGCTGTTGGGATTTGGCCTTGTGGACATGGAAGATGGGCTTGTGTCTTCATCTCCAGCAGTGTCAGCCCAGAGTGAATTGTGGATGAGGCTGCAGAAGGTTGGGGAATAGTGGAATTTTGAGAATCATGAAGAACATCAGCTCCTGCTTGTAATTTTTTAGATGAGGAAACTGAGGCCCAGGGAGGTGAAGTGATTTGTTCAGTATCACACAGGTAGCTGGTGGAAATGGTGGATGAAGAAAAACCCCTTTAGAGAAATGAACATTTAGACATTTAGCCATCTTGGTAATCTAGACCAAAAAATAGACCCTTCTCAGATACTGTGATTTGAATGTTAGCTTAAAAATAAATAAATAAATAAATAAAAATGGGTGTGTGTGTGTGCTTAAAAACTATTTTCCAGCTAACCTTGATGTGGGTTATCCACTTATCAGCCAAGTTCCTTTCCCATCAAGAGTTTGTTGGTTCAGTTTGCCAGGAAACCCTAGCTTCTGAGAATGCGCACCCTTTCCTGGTAAGGAGAGGAAGAATTGCTATCAGAGCCATTCTTGATCTTGATCTTGGTCAGCACAAAGTGCTTGGGAGAGATTAGGACGGCTGCCTTGTCTGTAGTCTGTGGTTGGATTTGAGAGCTGTTTGGATTTGGCCTTGTGGACATGGAGGATGGGCTCGTGTCTTCATCTCCAGCAGTGTCAGCCCAGAGTGAATGAGGCTGCAGAAGGTTGGGGAATAGTGGAATTCTGAGAACCATGAAGGACATCAGCTCCTGCTTCTAATTTTTCAGATGAGGAAACTGAGGCCCAGGGAGGTGAAGTGACTTGTTCAGTATCACAGAGGTAGCTGGTGGCAAAGGTGGATGAAGAAAAACCCCTTTTGAGAAATGAACATTTAGACATTTAGCCATCTTGGTAATCTAGACCAAAAAATGTTAGCAACCCTCAAGCCATGCCCACTGGGTGTGAGAAATGCCATTTCCCCGCCATTCTGTCTCGGCTCCTCTGACCATTGGGGTCAGTTGGAAATACAAGTATTACTTGGAAACAAGCTAGAAAATTGCTTTTGACTTTTTAGGTTGACTTCCAGCCATGCTTCATGCCTCCTCCTCAGTTCCCTGCTGTCTTTGATCTTTTTCATCTCACGTTTTCTTTTGTAATCTCAGCAGGATCTTGGCAAAACACACATACCTAGTGGGTCCTCAGAATACAGCAAATTTACCAAAGCTTACTGGGCCCAGGAAAAACCCAAAGAATTTTGACAAACACTGGCCTTTGTGTTGGACATTTTTTATTTGTGGTGCTGTGGAAGAGAATCACACTTACCAGCTAGAGCCAAGCTCTGCCTATTTCAGTGGCTCTTGCTGTGTGCAAAAGACTCTCAAAATGAAGTGATGGGCTTGTTTTTGAAGAGCCAGCAAGGCTGTAGGGATCCCAGGTTATGACCTGCATAAGGCGAGCTGTGATTTGGGAGTTGGGAGGGAGATTGATTGGTGATAAGGGCAAATAGTAGAGTTTTTTGTTGTTTATCTGGTAAAACTGCTTTGGAGTCTGGTGGGAACATTTTCAAAACTTATCCTACTTCTTGCTGTGCTAATTGGAATCCATGGTTTTGAAGTCTGTGGAGGCTTTATTCTAAACCAAGTTGTGAAATAGGAAAGAATAGGCCATCATTTAGCATTTTAACAGAAAAGTGGCTAAATGATGAAATATTGTTGAAAGAAAAATAATGAAAATGTACTTTAGGCATTGGTAGATGAACAGCACTCTCTTACAAGTCGTGTTTTACGTATGCAGACACTGAGAGTAACATAAAGTGTGTTTGAGCATGCAGGATCCACACTGCCTGGTTTGAATCCAGGCACTGCCACTTGGTAGCCACGTGACCTTGATGTTGGGAATATTGCCTGACCTTTCTATGCTTCTGTTTCCCCATCTGTAATGTGAGGATAACACTGGTAACCATTTTATAGGTTTACTGTGAAGATTCAATGCTTAGCTTAGTGTTGGCTCATACATGCTCCATAGTTGTGGTGGTGGCTGTTGTTAGTATTGATAGTGCTGTAATAAACTAGTGTGAATCAGATATCATCGATTCTGGAGCCATCTCACCCTAAACTGTTCTCTTTCGTACTCTAGCTCTGTCTGCTTTCCATTCTGATCCTGATTTGTTATTCTGCTTGGTTTCCAGCCTGCATGGCATGCCCTGAGTGGTCTCATACAGTTAGAGATTTGGGGTGCACATCTCAGCTGTGTCCTGAATGCCATTGTGCATTATTTTCACTGACACCTGCCTTCAGTCTCTCTGCTAAGCCTCCTGTCTGCTGAAGTCCCCTCTTCTGTCCTCACCCTCCTAGTTACCAACAGATGTCATTGCTTCCTCCCTGGCTGTTCCTTAGGCTGGCTTTGAACTCCTGGGCTCAAGTAATCCTCCTACCCAAGCTTCCCCAGTAGTTGGGACTGCAGGTACATTTTACACTGGTTTGCCATTGCTTTTTATGTTTAGTGTGTGTGTATATGTGTGTGTGTGACAGGGTCTCGCTGTGTCCCCCAGGCTGACCCACCCTCCCAGTAGAGTGGCACAATCATGGCCCACTGCAGCCTCCACCTCCTGGCCTCATTTGATCCTCCCATCTCAGCCACCCAAGTAGCTGGGACTACAGGTGTGCACAAGCACTCCTAGCTATCTTATTTTTTGGGGATTTTTTTGTAGAGATGAGGTTTCACAAAATGTGTAATCTCACCTTGCCCTCCCAAAATCTTGGGATTTCAGGTGTAAGCCACCACACCAGGCCTTGCTTTTTATGTTAAAAGGCAACAGAAGCACCTGTTCCCGCAACTTTCTTCCACCCACTATAAAGGAAGGCCTCAGGAAAAACTGTATCCTTTTCTATTCAGATATTTAACTCCCCTCCTTCATATGGAAGTCATCTCAAGGCCATTGCTTCATACTCCCGCTCTGTCTCTCCCTTTTGCTCCTTCCCTTCTACATATAAATACTTTGGTTTCATCCACTTAAAAAATAAACCCCAAACAAAAATTTCTTCCCTTCACCCTGAGGGTGAACTACCCTACCCTCCTTGCTTGCTCAGAAGGAGCTTCTGGAAGGAGCACAATGAGCTCAGTGTCTCTGTTCCTGAACCCAGGGAATCCAGCTTGCATCTTGCCGTCCATTTCATTGGAAAACTGCTCCAGCAAGGCCACCAAAGAGCTTCTGTGGATTGTTTTTCTTTCTATTTTATTTTTGCCTGTTTATTTCCTTTTTTATTTTACTTTATCTTTAGAATTTTTAAAGAATGTTTACTTCAGGAAACTACAGAGAAACAGGGAGCAAAATCCAAGAAGGGAAAGGTTAAAAAATCCCAAGCTGCTCCTAAATTAGAAACTGAAGGTTTCCCATGTGTTCTTAGGAATTTCTGTGTGGCCTGATTTATCTGAGTTCTTCTCAAGCCTCTTTCTAAAGATTTCTCTTGGGTTGTGTCTTCATTTGTTTTCTGTTGCTATAACAGAATACCTAAGACTGGGTAATTTATAAAGAATAGAGGTTTATTTTGCTCACAGTTCTGGAGGATGGGAAGTCCAAGATTGGATAGCCATATCTGGTAAGGGCCTCTTGCTGCTTCATGACATCAGTGACAAAATGGAAGAAATCACATGGTGAGAGAGGAAGCAAGAAAGTGCCGAGGAAGCTGAACTCGCTTTTATAACAATCCAAACTCCCAATAACTAACCCCCTCCCATGAGAACTAACTCACTTCTGTGAGAACAACGTTAACTCCTTTATGAGCGTGGAGTCCCCAAGACCCAAGCACTTCTTAAAGGTCCCACTACAGCTCAACACTGTTACATTGGGGACCAAATTTCAACGTGTGTTTTGGAGGGGACAGATCATATTCAAACTATAGCAGGTTGTTTGTTTCTTTCCTTCTCTCTGTTTTTAAAAATTATGGTAAAAACACTTAACATGAGGTCTACTCTCTGAACAAATTTTTAAGTGCACAATACAGTATTGTGAGATCTCTAGAACTTATTAATCTCGTGTAACTGAAAATTTATATTTTGTGCCTGTTGATCATCAACTATCCCTATTCCCCTGCCCTCCCAGCCCCTGGCAAACACCATTCTACTCTCTGGTTTCTATGAGTTTGACTATTTTAGATACCATATATAAACAGAATTGTATAGTATTTGTCCTTTGGTGTCTGGCTTATTTCATTTAGCCTAATGTCCTCAGGGTTTACCCATGTTGTCACATTTGGCAGGATTTTCTTCTTTATAAAGCTGAATAATATTCCATTTTCATATGCCACGATTTCTTTATCCCTTTGTCTATCGATGGGAATTTTGGTGGCTTCCACATCTTGGCTGTTGTAACTAATGCTGCAGACAACATGGGAGTGCAGGTATCTCCTCAAGATCCTGATTTCAATTCTTTTTTTGGATATGTACCCAGAAGTGGGATTTCTAGATCACATGGTAGTTCTATTTTTAACCTTTCGAGAAGGCTTAATACTATCCAGCATAGCAGCGGCACCATTTTGCAGTTCCTTCGTATTTTAGTTGTGCTCTCTTACAGCATCTGACCCAGCTGACCACTTACCTCTTCTGGAAACTCATTCCTTTCTGTCCTAGACTGGAGCTCTGGCTGTTCTTCCTCAGCTTCTGAGTGGAGCAGATCCAGTTGCTCAATGCCTATTTCCATCTGGATGTCACCTGCTTACCTCTATTTCTGCGTGTTCAAAACTGAACTGTGACATTGTCCTCAAGATGCCAAGTGAATTCGTTTGCTAGAGCTGCCTCACAAAGTACCACAGACAGGGTGGTTTCAGCAACAGAGAAGTCCAAGAGGAATGTGTCAGCAAAGTTTCCTCCTTCTGAGGGCTATGAGAGAATCTGTTTCATGCCTCTCTCCTGGGTTCTGGTGATTTGCTGGCAATCTTTGGTGTCCCTTAGCTTGTAGAAGAAGCATCATCCAGATCTCTGCCTTTTTCTTCACATTTCCCCTTTTCAGAAGGACACCAATCATATGGGACTGGGGTCCACCCTGATGACTTCATTTTAACTAGATGACCTATGTAAAGATCCTATCTCCAAATACATTCTGAGGTATTGGGGGTTAGGAGCTCAACATATAAATTTAGGAGGGGGTGACAAAATTCAAACCATAACACCAAGCAAACTTGCTTTTTATATATATATATATATATTTCCCATCACAATGAATGGGTCCAATGTCCACTATGTTGCTCAAGCAGAAACTTGGACGTCATTTTTATTACATCACTTGCCCTTACATTAATTTGGGTTCAAGAAGTCACAGAACCGGGAGGCAAAATTTTGAAATAGGAATCCTAGCATCCATCAGACCTCACAAAGGGGTTTGTGACTCTCAAATGACTAACAGCCTCTGCTCTACATACTTTTTAAAGTGTCTACCATCTTGGTACAAAAGTACCACATACTAATTTTAGAAAGTTATAGAAAAGTATAAAGATAAAATTAAATTTATTTCATTATTTTAGTACCGAGAATCACTTAGCATTTTGGTTTTGGCTTTATACCTTCATGCGTTTTTATTTTTTAAAAAAACTAGTTGGATCATATTGCATGTAAGGTTTTGAATCCAGCTTTTGAAATTCAATATTGGATCATAGTGTTTTCCTGTATCTTCACAAAAAATTTCATAGATCTTTAAATAGTGCATATTATTTCATCAAATGAAACCATGATTTAGATATGTTTTTACTATCTCATTGCAAATATGCAGGTGTTGCTATTTTTTGACTTTTATAAATAATGCAACAACCTTTGCTATTTGGACTAAGTAACTTGTTCGTGATTCAGACATGATTCAGCTAGGGGTGAAGGAGAAGAAGGGATACAGTGTTTCTCAGCAAATTATTAGTGTAAATTGAAGGAAAGCTAAACCTACTGAAGTTTATAAATGTTTTAGACATTATGTATGAACAGTTACTTTGTTATTTAAAAGCTATTTTTCATTGAATTGTTAAGGTAGATCACAATATATTCTCCACTCTGCATCTTTCTTGTTAGCTATTCTTTATAATGCACAACAGGGCTGTCCAAAAAAACTTTCTGGGATGGTGGAAATGTTCATTATCTGGGCCGTCCAGTATGGTAGCAGTTAGCCACACATGGCCACTGGGCACTTGAGATGTGGCTAATGCAACTGAGGAACTGAATTTTTAATTTTATTTAAATTCATTTGGCTTAAATTTGAATTTAAATAGCTACATGTGGCTAGTGGCTATCTTACTGAATAATGCAGGTCTTTTATGATTATGACTAAAATACAGTGCCCACCTTTTTGTAGACACTCTTCTGAATGCTTTACATATTAATATTGTTTAATCTTCACAGTGACACCATGCAGCAGGCTTCCAGTTACTATTGCTGTATGACAAATAACCCCAAAGCTTAGTGGGTGAAAACAACAATCATTTCTTTTGTTTAAGGATTTGTTATACAATTTGGGCAGGGTTCATCAGAGACAGCTCTGATGCCCCATGGAGCATCAGTTGGGACTATAGGATCTACTTTTATTATGGCTATTACTGGCTGATAAGTTGATGCCTGCTATTTTCTCTCCACAGGGAAGCTTAGGCTTCCTCACAGCATGGTGGCTGGGTTCCAAGAGCAAGTGCCCCAAGAAACAGGAAGTGGAAGTTGTCAGTTTCTTATTGCCTGAGGCTGGAAAGTGATAATGCATCATTCCCAACACATTCTGTGGGTCAGGGAGAGTAGAGTGTAAATGTAAGGGGACGAGATACAGACCTCACCTCTCAGTAGAAGCAGTATCAAATAATTTTGAAGCTGGAAACCAAAAAGTATCTGAGACGGGTCTCAGTCAATTTAGAAGTTTATTTTGCAAAGGTTAAGGACATGTCCAGAGAAAAGGATCTCAAATCCACAGGAACAATCTGTGGTTCATGCCATTTTCCTAAGAAGATTTTGAGGGTTTCAATACTCAATACTTGTATTGAGTATTCAATACTTGTATTGAATATTGAGGTTTCAATACTTGTATTGAATATTGAGGTTTCAATACTTGTATTGAATATTGAGGTTTCAATACTTGTATTGAGGTTTCAATACTTGTATTGAGGTTTCAATACAAGGGGAAAGAGGGAGCAGATGTTCACATTACTGAATCTACCTGTTGCAAGGGAAAAGGAGCGGGCAGGGTAATAGTCAATTATGTCAGTCAGTCAGCACTTTACCTAAGATAAGGTGAGCATGGAGTAGCTACCTGTGCAGATACTTCACCTTTTATCAGTAGCTATCTGCCTAAGAACAAAAGGAAACGCAATTTCTTGAATGACTCAGCTTTCAGTTTAATTTTTTCCTTTTGGCATAGTAAATTGGGGTCTGAGATTAGATTTTTATTTCCCAGGGCCATCTTGTAAAATTATCACAGATTAGTCACACTCATTTTGATCCTTTTAACAGAGAGGAAACAGAGTACAGAACAGTTAAAATTACTCGCCTAAGGTGACATGTCTAGTATGTGGCCAATAACATGTCTGTTATTTCTGCCAGGTCTGAGCTTTTAATCTGAGTGCTATATTGCCTCTCCCTGTAATTTATATGCTTCACTAATGTAGATTAATATCTTCAGTTTTTTCATGGCACGATAATTATGAAATTAAGTGAATGACACATGTTTGTAAGTCACAGAGCTCTGTAGATATTTAGTGTTTGTTAGGGGTTGCCACATGTCAAATTCACGATGAAGACACCTTCTCAATCACCTGATTCAGAGGGAGGTGTTTGACTCCAATTCTGAGCCCCTCTTTCATCCCTCTTTCCCATTGTCCCCCTAAAAAAGAATTTATTTTCACCCCCAGATTGAAACAGACAGTGATTCTGAGTAAAGCTCCTTGATCTCAGCATGCTGCCTACTTCACCTATTCTTGTTGCGTGGAATATGTGTTATATAAAGGAATTAATAAAGAAAACATTGTTTTAGGACCATAAAAGGGATTAAATAAATGTTTCTGGTTTTTCCTGAAAATAAGGCATGAGGTTAAACCCTAACTTAGACGGTATATTGCATATATTTAGGGATGTATTTATTATATTGATTCTTCAGGGAGAAATCAGAAAACACTGGCTATTTCAAATTCTGGAGGTTGTCTGATAAAGTAATGAATGCAACCTCTTACAAACCTAAGAAACCAATTATTTCCTTTCATGTTCAAAGACAATGGATATTTCCATGCGAAAGAGAGGTAGTCTTTGTTCTATGGCCTCTGGTTTGCAAATAAAGCTTCTGTTTGATATTGTTTGTTTGCTGCTGTGATGAACCGTGCTCATTTCATACCAGGCATATTGTCCCCATTATAATCATTATGATGCAGGAGTTTTCTTCTCGGTCACTTTGTAAACTGGGGACCTCCTGGCTGGCGACGCTCTGCCCCAGCCTCGACGCCCTGCTTGGCCACGCTGGCGTGCTTCAGCTCCCCTGTGGTATAGCTTGTACCCACTTTCAGCAGTTCCCAAGCTCTTGTAGCGCACCCAAGAAGAATGAGGATACACGACACACTGAAGGGTGAGGAGGGCGGAGAAGAATTTTATTGAGCTATGAAAATGGCTTTCAGCAGAGAGGCAATGTGGGGCTCGGGGGAATGGTTCTACTTGAAGTTCCTCCTGTGTGGCTGGGTCTGGGGCCTTTTATGGACTCAGAATGGGGAGTGAGTGCTGATTGGTTTGTGAGGAAAGCGCACCAAACAGGAAGACAAGTCCTCCATCTGGTCCGAGGATTTAACTTGTAGCTTGGCTTTCAAGCTTTAAAATTCTTCAGCATGGAGGTGGGGTTTCACCAGGGACCCAACCCTGTCTGCCTGGGCATTTGACTGCCTCCTGCCACTCTCAATTACAATACGGATTCTTTTCTCACCAAAATTCTCTTGAGAAAGCTTATATTTAAATGTCTCTAGCTTTCCAATTTCTGGGTTTCTTGAGCAGTGTGTGTGAACCTCCCTTGATGTAGAAAACCTCACTTTATCCTTTCAGAGTCAGGATATTCCAAATACTGAAGCTTTGTTTCAGTCAAACCCCACAGTTTTCTTTGGTCCTCATCTACCTGACTCCCCTCTTCATTTTGTATTTCTCTCCTCATTTTTCCATGGCATGGTGCTCTGCTGATTCTTTTGCTACACGGTATGTTCTTCCTGAACTCCTGGCCTCAAGTGATCCGCCTGCCTTGGCCTCCCAAAGTGTTGGGATTATAGGCATGTGCCACTGTGCCCAGCCTAAATATTAATAGTGGTAGCTAACACATTTATAGTGCTTACTGTGTGACAGGAACATATATAAGGCTAACTTTTTAATACTTTTTAATTTAATTTAATTTTTTTTTTTTTTTTTTTGAGACAGTCTTGCTCTGTCACCCAGGCTGAAGTGCAGTGGTGCACTTCTTGGCTCACTGCAACCTCTGCCTCGCAGGCTCAAGCAATCCTCTCACCTCTGCCTCTCCAGTAGCTGGCACCACAGTTGTGTACCACAATGCCCAGCTAATTTTTGTATTTTTAGTGGAGACGGGGTTTCACCATGTTGCCCAGGCTGGTCTTGAACTCCTGACCTCAAGTGATTCGCCCCCTCCCCCCACCCCCTTCAGCCTCCCAAAGTATGTTCTTCCTGCGATCTCAGTTGGCCACATTGTATAATTGTGTGCTCCAGGCTCACTGCTTTCTGGAGTCCCTGTGGCACCCCTGCAGGCTAAGATATCAAACTGTCTCTCATATATATATTCATGTGATACTTTGACATGTCTAAAGGCAAAAACTTCCCTTTTCTCCAAAAGATGCCCACTTCAAAGCTTCCCTATTCTTGAAGTCATAAAGTAGATCCCCACTGTTCTTTTCTCTTCTAGTGCCCCGTGTTTTCCTTCCACAGCATTTCTCACAATCTGTCACGATCTGCCCGTGTATACTTGTTTAATGGCTGTTTCTGATGCCATCATATACGAGCCTCAAGATGGCAGGGGCTACGTTACGTTGTTCATCACTCTATCCAGTTCCCACCCAGTGTGGTGCTTGTCACATAACTGGCATGCATTCAATGTTTATTGGGATTAGTGAACAAATAAACAAGTGCACTCACTTCCATTTTTATGTTTGCACCCCAGGCCAAGATCTTGATGCTATCCCTGACTTTTCCCTCTTCTTCATACTCTAGATCTGCTAGTTTACTAAATCCTCCTAGAATGTAAGCTGCATGAGGACAACAAATCTCCGCCTGTTTTGCTCAGTGTGATGAACCTGCATCACAAGTGCCTAGAATGGTGCCTGGCATGTGGGTGAATATTTGCTATGTTGCTTGCTAGTTTACACGTAATAATTTATTTCATCTTTATAACAATCCTAGAAGGGTGAGTAGGTAGTATTTGTATGCCCATTTCATAAGAAACCAAGGCATCAAGATGTTAAGTTCTTGTCCATTGTCACACAGCTGCTAAATGGTGGAGCTGGGAATTGAACTTGAGTGTTCTGAGGCCATGCTCTTAATCACTAAGAACTGTGCTATAATGTAATGTAGTGTTTATGTAATATTTGTAATGTTACATGTAGTGTTTATGTGTTCATTCTGTGTTTGTAATGTTACATGTAATGTTTATGTGTTTACTCTGTGCTGGACACTTCACGACAACCCTGTATACTCATTCCACAATGAAGAAGAAGCTGTCTTCAAAGGATGTTTTAAAAAATGACCCAGCATGGGACCTGGTTCATGAGTAGCAGAGTTAAACTCAGACTGTTTGAGCTCAAACCTGGGCTATCTTTTGCCTGTGCAGCTGGACCCACCAGTCTGCATGGCCTGTGGTTTCGGGAGCAGACCCTGACTTACTGTGAACATTACCTGAGAGTCATTAGGTTTTTCTTGCCCTGGACAGATATCTAATGCAGCATGCATGTTTCTTTCTGTAGACAATGGGAGCAGCCGCACATTGCACTCCAGAACAGAGACGACCCCGTCGCCCAGCAACGATACTGGGAATGGACACCCAGAATATATTGCATACGCGCTTGTCCCTGTGTTCTTTATCATGGGTCTCTTTGGCGTCCTCATTTGCCACCTGCTTAAGAAGAAAGGCTATCGTTGTACAACAGAAGCAGAGCAAGATATCGAAGAGGAAAAGGTTGAAAAGATAGGTAAATAACCAGGGCTCTTTTTATTGGGGGTGAGGAGACAGTTTTTAAATATGAAACCAGTGATATATGCTTTCCATCTCTCTGAGGCAGAATGATCCATTTTAGTGGCAGGTGGTGCAGTGTAGTGTAAGTGCAGATTGTGCAGTAATCACACCTAGTTTGAAAACTTGCTTTCATTACTGAATACCTGCCAGATAGGGCACCCTTTCTTGCCCTGTGGCCTTAGACAAGTTATTGTGTGCTCTGAATCTCTGCCATGTATAATTTCACTTAAATGTATTTTTAATTAATTTAATCTTATTCATTTGACATTTTAATTTAATTTCAATGAGGAAAATAATCCTTACCTTTTGGGGTTTCTGTGAAATTTAGAGGAAAGATGCATTTGGTATTTGGAATATATGACTACTCATTAAATATTAATCCTTACTATTATTATGGAATCAGATTCGAATAAGAGTGAAGGAAAAATTAAAATAGGTCTCCCCATGTTTGTGGTGTTACTTTTGCTGGGGGAGTTCTATCTTAAATATTTGTGATTGGAATTTATGTTTATTAAGTAAACGATCGTGTGCACAGTGCAGAAAAAAGTATGACAAGAGCTGGTGCCTTAGTACTAACTTCAGGCTGTCTCATCTGTTTCTCCTAATGTGGAGTCATAAGGTAGTGTTTAGAAAAACCGGGGAGACGAAATCCTGTTTTCGCCACTGATGTTTCTTTCCCATCATCTTTAGGGATGTTTCCTGACTTGGGCCTTGAGAGGTAGTAGGTGACTCCCCCTATTCCTTTCAGCCCTGCTAAGGGCAGTTTCTGCAGAAAGGTGACATTGGAGTAGGTCGCCCTTCAGGCAAAGCAGGGCTGGCTGAGGGGAGGTTCCTCGTTCCTTGCCAGCTTGCTGGACTGTTGGTTTTTCCCACCCCCACTGACCTTTGAGGCTGAGAAGGAACAGGATTGCATGATGAGTCATGTATGAGCCTGTGAGCAAACCAAAGCCAAGTGTTTGTCAACAGAAAGTGGAGCCTCCCCCTCTCCTCCTTCCCAGATGCTCTGTAGGTTGGCTTAGCAGCCAGCTTCTGAGCTGTCTAACCAAACATGCATGTTCACGTGGAGGAAAGCTGACCTTTGGATGGAGAAGGCATTGTCCAGGTAAATGAGTAGGACACTGCACACCTTGATGCATTCTCTGTGAACTAGGATGGAGCGTTTCAACCCTTCCTCGTTCTTATTGAAACAAATTTTGCAGATTGGTTTCAGAGTGGTTTGCTTTTTTTCCCAAAGACCGTCATGTATGCTCCTGGTACAGAGTCCCCAAAGTAAACTGAGTTTGTGGACACATAACCAAGCCCTGAATGTAGGTAATTTGAAAGTGTATTTCAGAGGATACAGCAGTCTGATGAACATGGAAGAATTATGATCCAATTTAAAAAGGAAATTAATATTGTAAATTGATATAGTAAGTCTGCAATTAAAATAAAATCCAAGGAGAATCTTTTTCTTTTTTAATGAGCTTTCTTCCCATTTCTCATAAGGCTTTAAGAAAATGATGAGAGAGAAATAATAATGAAGACTGGTACAAATGCATTTTCAAATTATTGTCTTGGAAAGTGAGTATTTGAACTTCAGAAGAGATAGATGGACAGCTTTGATACTTTCTCTTTATGCTTGTTATGCATTAGGAAGTTTGGGGCTGGAGGGAGAAAGCCTAGAATTGTAGCACCATGGGTGATCTCCTGAGGCTTCTGGAAACTGTTCAGTGAGGTCTTGGGTTCTAAGATTGATTGACTTGATGCTGGTGACCAATTGTAACCTGTTCTCCCCTCCTCTTTTCTCTTTCAGAATTGAATGACAGTGTGAATGAAAACAGTGACACTGTTGGGCAAATCGTCCACTACATCATGAAAAATGAAGGTGTGAACATTTTAGTGTTCCAAAACAATTCAGTATTCCTATCCTTTATTAAAAACCTGCTTCGAAGAGTCAAGATTTATATAGACTCTCTTACTGACTTCACCTAAGCTTTCTAACACCTCAGCTTCCAGCATTATTCAGCTACGCAAGTTTCACATGAGTGAGTTTTCTAAGCGTGAGTCGGTCTAAGCGTTGCAGAGACCCAGCCCTGGAGGCGCTGTCAGCTGGTGTTCAAATCCTGGCCTCACTGCTTACTGGTTGTGTGCAATTTGGGGAAACTATATTGCCTTGTTTCATGAGGTAGAGTTTCTTCCTGTAAAATGAGGATAATAATATTTACCTCAGCCTGGCACGGTGGCTCACATCTGTAATCCCAGCACTTTGGAAGGCTGAGGTGGGAGGATTACTTGAGGCCAGGAGTTCAAGACCAGCCTGGGCAAAATAGTGAGACCCCATCTCTTCAAAAAAAGTAAATAGCCAGGCATGGTGGCACATTCCTATGTTCCCAGCTACTTGGGAGGCTGACGTGGGAGGATCACTTGAGCTCAGGATTTCAAAGCTGCAGTGAGCTGTGATCACACCACTGCACTCCAGCATGGGTAACAGAGCGAGACTCTGTCAAAAAAAGAAATAATAAGAAACAATAATAATAATAATATTTACTTCACAGCATTGTTGGGACATAGCACACATAGAGTGCTCAGTATGGTAAGTACTCAAATATTGTCTGTTCCTTTTTCATGCGCTTAAAAAAATTGTGGTAAAATACACATAAAATTTAGTACTGTTACCATTTTAAAGTGCACCCTTCAGTGGGATTAAGCACATTCACAGTGTTGTACATGCATTTCCACTGTCTAGTTCCAGAACTTTACATCTTCCCAAGCTGAAGCTCTGGACACTTTAGGCAGCCACTCCCCATTCCCTCCTCCCCCGTCCACTGGCAGCTGCTGCTGTGCTTCTGTTTGTCTACTCTATGTCATCCTTTCTCCAGTGTTAACACTTTTACAAAGTTGAACTTTTATGAAATTTAGTATTTTTTCACCCTGAAATGTATTCTAAATTATCATCTTAAATGGAAGATTAATTTAATCTTGAGTAAAGAAACTTTACGGTTATTGTTCTGAGCACTGGTTATTCCCTCCATAGCACACCATGCCCTCAGTGATATTTGAGGTGTGTGGGATTCCTTGCCCACTTACTCAATAGCTGTGGATTCTCACACTGTGAATTCTCATTACAATTTAAAAGAAAATGTTTCCCCTGGGCTTTGTCTGTGCTTTAGCCAGCATGGGCTCGTGGACTGATAGAGCTCAGCCTGATAGAGCTGAGCCATTTGTCTAAAGGTTGAAATACACCACACTCATCAGTAAATACCTGCTCCTCTGCCCTCAGGCCCTGCCCTGGGCACCCCACACTCCCAGATCCTCACTACTCCACAAGAGCACCTGCCTGCCCAGCCTGTTTGTCAGTTTGACTCTCTTCAACGGTTTTTGACTTAGAGAAACAGCAGTTTCGTATGGTTGAGCATAATTTTCATTGCTGTTTTTAGAATGTGCTTTATGCTTTTGGCATAGATCTGGGTGCTTTATATACGTAATCTCATTTAATCTTCAAAACATCCCTATAAAGTTAGTTCAGTTACACCCATTTTACAGATAAAGAAAGAAGGTTCCAAGTAATTAAATTCACATGGTTAGTGAGCAGCCCAGCTCTGTCTGTCTGGTTTCAAATTCAGCATCCTTTTCAACCACACGATATTGTCCCTCCTGTCTTCTAATATGCAGTTGTCAATTTCTGCAGTCTATAAAGTCAGACAACCAAACTTACTCGGATGATGTTTAAAATAACAAAAAAGACCAGAATACTTGGATTTTGATCTCTGTCTTCCAGAGACCTTCCTTCAGGGCACAGTAGTTGGTGATACTGTTCTTGAGTACTCAATCATGGATGTTTCTTTTATATGAAAAAAAAGTGCTTTTGAATTTGCCCAAGCAATGCATGACTATGTCCTTGGCCTAGAAGATGTACCCATTCTGGAAGTGTGCAGTGTAAGGCATGGATGACCGCCTCACTGCCTCTGTGCCTTTCACATTCCAGACTGCCTTTCGTGGCTGTGGGGAGCTTGCAGGCCTTTGGGACCCGGGCTTCTAAAAGCTGGAGCAGTTGCCAAATTTGTGATGATGCATGAAATGGGTACTGGCAGTTGAATCAGTCGAAATAAGTAAACTGTGAGAACCTTGCCAGGGGTTAAAGTTCTCACGTATCGACGTCATAGCACTCATGAGGGTTTGCTATGTGCTGGGCCTGTTCTGTGGGCTTTCCAGGGATGCTGTGATCTCGACATTTTCTTCCCATGTTATAAAGTGAAGCCCACCGTACTTAACTAAGTTGCCAGTGTTGCACCGCTGGAAAGTGGCGGAGCTGGGATTGGAGCTCAGGTGTTCTGGTTCCATAGTCTGTTATTTTAACCACTTACTGTAGTACCTCTGTCCAGGTGGCATGAAAGAGGGATGGAAAACTTATTCCTTTCAAAGAGGGACAGTATATAGCTGGGGTAGTTTGTAGAAATCCTTAAGCATTAACTCAATAAATTCTTCAAAGTAGCGGCCGGGCGTGCTGGCTCATGCCTGTAATCCCAGCACTTTGGGAGGCTAAGGTAGGAGGATCACTTGAGGTCAGGAGTTCGAGACCAGCCTGGCCAACGTGGTGAAACCCCGTCTCTACTAAAAATGTAAAAATTAGCTGGGCGTGGTGGTGCATGTCTGTAATCTACTTGGGAGGCTGAGGCAGGAGAATCACTTGAACCCGGGAGGCAGAGGCTGCAGTGAGCCAAGATTGCACTGTCACTGCACTCCAGCCTGGGCGACAGAGTGAGACTCTGTCTCAAAAATAAATAAATAAATAAATAAATAAATAAATAAATAAAAATAAAAATAAAAGTACCAGATGACGTAGGCCCTGTTACCACCCTATTTTGTAGATTAGGAAACAGCGACCCAGAGGATAAGACACTTGTTCAAAGTCACACAAGCAGGTATGGCAGGACGGTGCTGGCAGTAAGCACTTCTCTTAATTACAGCAGAGAGGGTGTTTGGGGTCCTTGGAGGAGGCGTATTATATAATTTCCTCACTTCCCACACTCATGGGCGAATAGGGCTGTTTTGGTTTTTTTTTCTTTTTCTTTTTAAATGATGTTGTTTTCCTTTTGGAAAGTAGCCTTTGTGTTTTTACTGTGCTTAGCACCAGTAGGTACCACTGAGCAGTCAATACCGGAGGTGCCATTTTTCTCCTCTCTCCTCTGCTCCCCAGTTCTCTTTGCCTTCTATCTTATTCTCAACCCCGGGTCCCCTCTTCTCCTGTCCATGCCTTCATCTGTGTACCTGCGGTTTCTCCAGGGGCCCGTGAGGACAGCTGGTGACTCCAATCCTTTGCGCAGCCCTTGGTTCCCTTCCTGGGCCCTCAGGTAATACCTGATGTTGCTGCACACCCCTTTCCAGCTGTGGCCTCTTCAGCTTCCAGCCTGCACCAAAACCACAGCCTGGTGATAAGATGCAGCCTTGATCTCTTACCAGTTTATAACCTAGCATGTTTGAGTTCGGCTTTGAGACTGAAATCCTCTATTTTGTGGACTAAATGCATTTTTAAAAATATTTTTGTCTCAATGATTAACATAACTTGAACTTAGTACCAATTTGGACTTCTCTGTTGATATTTTCTGTCTTTGATAAATTGGAATTAATATAAATTTTGCTTTCTAGTTTTAAAAGTGATACGTGTACCATGACTTTTCCTTTACGTTAAAAAAGGAATAAAATTAAGCACAATCTCTCTATTACCCTTTTCCCACGTGTGTTTAGGTTTTCTTTTCCTGGATTCATGCATCCGTAAACATTTGCAATCATGATATATGAATGGTTTCTGCTTCGCATTTTAAGTTTGGCAAATGGGGTGATATTTGAACTGTACTCATGGTAACATTCTTGTTTATGGTTTAAACACATTATGTCTTTAATGTTGGAAGTCAATTTTAATTTAGATAAATATCTCTTGAAGGATGGATTATCAGCTGACCTGCTGGGCAAACACACTTTGTTTGTTTGGTTGTCTCCATCCTCACACAACACTTCTGACAAAGATGTGGGTTTTTTCCATACTTTGCAGTTCTCCAAATCCCCGAACCCTGCAATTTAATACAGTTCTGACTCTGTCTACCTAGAGTTAGCGTCAGATCCCAAAAGACTGCCCCTACTTGGGATGCCAGTTGGAAGCCAGGGCTCTGGTACTTCTGACCTATAATCTTAAATGGCTGGGAGGAGGGATCCACAATCCTAGAATGGGTTACAGGACTCAGGGAAACACTTTATTACATGTACTGGCTTGTTATAGAGGATGCAACTCACGAACAACAAAATAGAAGAGATGCATAGTATTGGGGTGGGGCGCAGAGCTTTCCTGCCCTCTCTGGGTGCGCCACCCTCCCGGCACCTGCACCTGTTCAGCCACCTGGAAGCTATCAAATCTTGTTGTTCAAGAGTTGTTTTGTCCAGTTTAATTTCCAGTCCCAGAACCCTGCCCCGTCCTCCCCTGCTCTGACTTTCCTGAGGTCCCTGGGTAGGGCTGAAAGTTCCAACCCTCTAATCACTTGGTCTTAATGATGACTGGCCCCACCCTGAGACTGTTTAGGGGCTCCACCCCAAGTCACCGCATTAGTGTAAACCCAGGTGTGATCAAAAGGTGCTCATTATGAATAACAAAAGACACTCCTATCAGGAAATTCCAAGGCCTTTAGGAACTCTGTGACAGGAACCCAGGACAATGACCAAATCTGTTGCATATTATGCCACACCTGCACTCTGACTATTTTCCTAATCCAAAGGGTTGGATGTACGGCAGTGCTAGCTTTTAATTCATCTTTCTAAATAGAGCCGAACTGAATCGTGTCTGGGTAGTCGCTGGAGTTTTCTTGCATTGTATGGATGTTTGGAAAGTATCTGGGAGTCTGTAGCTGAGTTCCTCTGCTAGGCCCTTGAACTGGCTGCTTAGTAAAAATTGCAGGGAGTACTACAGATAGTCCTCAAGTGCTTCTGGTTAGTGATTAGTACTTCTGATCCCTAGGCAAGAGATGCCTTTGTGAAGTTTTTGCCTTCAGGCTTCGTTTATATTTTGCCAGAAAAGATTCCTTTATAAATGACTGTGAGTACCGAGTGGGTTCTGAAACTTTCTCTGTTGATTATGCAACATGCCATGAACCATTATTCAACCTCTGTCCCTTTGGGCGGGGACTTGGACATTGAAGGGTAGGAAGGAAGATGTCAGGGTTAAAAGCACCCACCCTGGAGTCAGACAGACCAGGGTTTGTGTCCAAGCCTGTCACTCTCTAGCTGTGTGACTCCGGCCAGTCAGTTACGATCTTTAGGTCTTAGTCTGTATACTTGTAAAATGGGGGTGATAATTCTACCTACTGTTAAGGTCATCAGAAAAGTCCAACACGTAAGATCGGTAAAGCTTTCAGGCAGTGACTGGCACGTGCCGGCGCTTACATTTTGGTGATGGCAATGTTAGTTTTTGCTTGGGAAATTTGCCTTAGGTGTGAGGAAAACTTTGAAGAGAATAGTGATGGGAGAGACAGAAGACATTTTTCTTGCCTGATTTTGGCTGTTTCATGCATATTATCAAGCAGGGATTCAGGGAGAAAAAGAGGTCTTTTCTGGAAAATGTCACCCATTGGAACATATTCCCTTTTCTTGAGGGAGTTTCCTTGCCCTGTGCCTAGCTCCTCCCATTTTGGGGAAGGTGGGGAAAGGAAGTGTAGTTGACAAAATGCCGGCAAGTGTGGAGAAAACCACCTAAGGCTTAGTGTAGCTGTGAGTAATATGCAAGGAGGAGATACACCTTCAACAGAACTCACAGTATTGCTCTTTTATGGTAACTTCACAACCAAATTAAGGCATGTGTTTCAGTCCTAACGGTGGTGTTATATTAGAAAACCTTCTCGTCACTGGAAACCAAAAATGTTCCCAATAGACAGATTACTGAAGTTGACTCCCTGGAGATTAGCTCAGAGACAGGGACGCATGTGTGTACATGTGGGTATGTACCTGTACATGCATGCATGTGGGTGTGTGTGTGTGTGTCCCACATGCCACAGGGTGAGTCCTAGAGACTCACTCAGCAAACCAAGGGGATGTTTACTAATTATTCCTGAGAGATAAAGATGAGTTACAGGAATTCATGAATAACCGAGAAACACACATCTACAAAAAGCAAGCTTTAATAATGATTTTAATATATCTTATCTTCCTGGAATTATTTTGTAATTTGACCTTTCATTTTATAGGTGGTCATCATTTTACAGGTGATTGATTTTTCTCAGGCAGTGATTTAAACGTTTGATTTTAAAAAGCTCACTCCTGTATGTGCTGATAGTGCTGTCCCTGTTTTAATACCTATTGGTGTTGTTTTCCCTCTTTTTTATGTTTATAGTTTTGAAGTATGGTAAATGTTGGCAGAGTAAGTTTGGGTGGCAAATTACTTTATATAATCAGCCATCCATATCCATCAGATCTGCACCTATGGATTTAACCAATCAAGGATAAAATAAAATTAGAAAAAAAAAATGGATGGTTGCATCCTTCTGGACATGTGCAGACTTTTTTCTTGTCATTATTTCCCATATAAAACAGCATAACAACTATTTACATAGGATTTCCATTGTATTAGGTATTATAAGTAACCTAAAGATGACTTAAAGTGTATGGGGGAGGGGGAGATGTGTTTCATATCAGGAACCTGAGCATCTGTGGATTTTGGTGTCTGCACGGATCTGGGGAACATCCCCGCATGGATACTGAGGACTACTGTATTTTGTATACAATAAAATACAAAATTGTATATGGGATTGTATATCCAAACCTAGTATCTGAAACGACATTATTTTTCTGAATCCTCATTTATTAGCCAAAAGGGAAATTAACTGACATTACTGGATTATACTTAAATGTGTTTTACAGAGGGAACTGTCTTCTTTATTGTGCAGGAGAAATTACTATGGATCCGTTTTCATAATGTTTTTGTAATGACAGGAGGTCTTATTTAGATCAAAATTTGTGTTTGAAAATGCATTTGGACATCCACAGATAGTTGTGAAGGGTAAAGTATTTCTTTTGGCAAAAGATTAAGTGTTGTATTAATATTTCTTCAAAGAAAAAAGCAAAAACCCATATGTTCTCAAGGGTTGCAATGGGGCAATGTGTCCCCTAAGAAGATAAAAATTGGATCGGGGCCAAAAAAAAACTCACTCTCTTATATGTAAAGCACAGATATGTGTATAGTACATAACTGAGTATATAATATATCTGCCGTATTGTACATTAATGGGAGAGTCATTAGGGTAAAATAGTTGAACAAGGCTCTTGGGTGGGGCAATAATGAAAGCCAGGTTGAGAAACACCACATTGTAAGCCCTTAACTGTTAAAACTTACAGCAGCAGTTGGAACTAGAATTAATATTCCTTCTCTAGAAAAGTCATTTGAATGTTAAACATTAAATGTTGGTGTTGGCTTACATGGTAAATAGTGATTTTTATTTGTTCTTTCCTCTCTAGAGAATTGTTGTGGTTAGTCATGAGAACAGTGCTTCAGAAATCAATTGAAAAGGTTACAAGCCAGTAATAACATTTGGCCTTGCCAATTAAATAGCCAAGGGAAACTTGAACATTCACTTCAGTCTTTCATCCTGGGGAGCGTGACCACTCTACAAGGAGGCAGAAAACACATGGCGTGTGGATGTGGATGTGGGTGTGGGTTGGGGGACTCAAGAATCTTAGATTAGGTTTTTTTTTTTGCTTTTGTTGACAGCCTAGCTTCCCATCTACAAATTTGGATATTTTTTAGAAGTCTAATTTTTTAAAGTTAGCGTATATTACATAACTTATATGTTGTGATCAATACTTGAAATTTTTTTTTTTTTTTTTTTTTTTTTGAGACAGAGTCTCGCTTCATCGCCCAGGCTGGAGTGCAGTGGCGTGATGTCTGCTCACTGTAAGCTTCGCCTCCTGGGTTCATGCCATTTTTCTGCCTTAGCCTCCCAGGTAGCTGGGACTACAGGTGCCTGCCACCACGCCCAGCTAATTTTTTGTATTTTTAGTACAGATGGGGTTTCACCGTGTTAGCCAGGATGGTCTCGATCTCCTGACCTTGTGATCTGTCCACCTCGGCTTCCCAAAGTGCTGGGATTACAGGCGTGAGCCACAGCGCCTGGCCAATACTTGAAATTTTAAGATATCTGGCCAGTCAAGGGCTTATATGATCCTGAAGCTCATCTGGAAAATTAACCTTCTCTCATCCCTGAATCGATATGGGATAGAATTGATGCTACAGGAGGATTCAGAGTTTAGGGCTAATTATTTTGGCACATACAAGTTATTAGACTATAGGTCACTTATGAAATACATTTCACTATCATATTTTTCAAAGTATATTTATCAAAATTAGTTAACTGCAAGGGAGCAGCGGCATATAAATGGTCCTTTAGTTTGGTGGAGTTGGTGTGGGGTGAGGGGGTGGTTTCTTCTACTTTATATTGCTATTGATGTGTAAGAAGCAATGCCTTATAGTAGATCTGCTCTCCTTGCCATAGATTCTTTGTCATTCTTACTAAGTTCCTGTGGGGTGGAAGTTACTGACAGATGGTGCCATGTTATGCAGTTATGTTGGGGGAGACCCTCCTTTCTCTAGGCCCCCAGGACTTCATCTATGAACTGAAAGAATGGAATTAGATGTGTTTTCAACAGCTTTTCTGATGTGATTACTCATCTTATTCATTCTATTTTAATTCTTTAATTTTATTTTTATTCCTTAGCGAATGCTGATGTCTTAAAGGCGATGGTAGCAGATAACAGCCTGTATGATCCTGAAAGGTGAGTGCTCCTCCCCTCTTTCTTAGTGCGACATCTTTTCAGTTACTTGCTCAGATATGGCGCCATCTGAAATGCTCTTCTGCTAGAGCAGGTTTCCCAGCTTTAACACTATAGTTATTTTGGGACCAGGTAGTTCTTTGCTGTGCGGAACTGTCCTGTGTATTGAGGATGTTTGATAGCATCCCTGGCCTTCACTCACAAGGTGTCAGAGCATCCCCTGCCCCCACCCTCCCAAGGTGTGACAACCCATAATGTCTCCACACATTGTCAATGTCCCGTAGTGGGGACAGTCACTCCTGGTTGAGAACTGCTGTGTTAGAGAATAGTGATGGGAAGAAGGAAGGCATAGAGGTTAAGGGCAAGAACATAGCCTTGGAATTGGGAGATGTGGTTGAGTCCTGCCTGTACCACAATATTAACTGTCTGTTCTTGAGGAAGTTAACTGACCACCCTGAGTTCCATCATCTATAAAATGGAGATCACCACAGTACCAGCTTTATAGGGTTGTTATAAGGAATACAGAGTACCTTAAGCATTGAAAGACCTCCATGAACAATGATGATTAAATGAACAAGCTGGTTTGGAGCTACCTGCTATGTTCTGTTTTTGTATTACTATTTTAGGTTATGGTTGTTGAGCAGCATATTCCTTCATAATTAATTACAGAGAACTGTATTTCCATAAAAGTATTATTTCTTCAACAAGGAGCATTTATTGGATGCCTACTGTGTGCTGGGTGCTGCTCTGGAGCTGGACATCCACAGACCCTTGCCATGGAGGAACACAGGATTGGAGATGTGTGTGTGAGGCCTCATGGTGGAGAGCCTGTGAATGCTGTAGGATGGGTGGAGACTGAAGGCTCTGGGGGACCCCGGGGGGCCAATGGGCATTCAGGAAGGTTCATGGAAGAGGTGCCATCTGAACCAGGCGTGCAGGAGGTGGAGACAAGAGTCAGGGCTGGCTGTAGGAAGAAGGGCCAGAAGAAAAGTCACCACATCATGATAGCCTGGGACTCACCTGTGAAGGGTTCAGTCCAGGGTGGCCAGGCCAACTGACATGGCAAAGGGGCTGGATCTTTCTTCACTTGCTATGTGGGTTGTGCACTCAGCACACCTTAGATGTTTAACAGGTGTTTGTCAAACTGGCTACGTTAGATGTGTGTTTTAGAAAGGTAACTCAGAATGCAAGGAGTTGAGTTTAGGAGAGACGTAGAGTCATAGAGACAGAAGAGCTCTGATTTCTCCCACATTCCAGTCCTGGCCACAGACGGCTGGTGTTCTGACCATCTTAGCTCAAGGTGTCTTTGTCTCAGTCATCTTTGGGCATCCTGTAGTGCCCGTCAGTGGGTTTTGTACATAGCTGGTACTTGAGAAATGCTTGTTGAATGAATGTTGTTAAACTCTTGCATTCAGCTTTCTAATATGTGGTGCTAATTTAACATTATTTTACTCCAGGAAGGTACTGCTTTGTGTTTTTATTTTAACAGGTAGGAAGGCATCCCTAAAGAGCACCAGAAGACTTTTGGCTCAGTCATGTTTGAGGCGGTCTCCTCAACCGTAGGCTCTACTTCTTTTTTAAGTGTGTAGGTGGCCAGTTTGCATCACCGAAAAGGCTGGTTTCTGCCATCACAGCCTCCTGTGTGTCTCTGGGGCTCTTGCCACAGTCCAGGTGTCAGGCTGTGGGTGCCACGCCACCCTCAGTACTCCCACCTGCACCAGAGGGCTGATTCCTGCTCAGTTTGGCTCTGTTAGGTTAGAATTCCTCCTTTTCTGCTGGGCCAGAGCCTTCACACATGCTTTTTGAAAATAGCTCTTATCTCGACTATGTATTTCTGCTTTTTTTTTTTTTTTTTGAGACAGAGTCTTGCTTTGTCACCCAGGCTGGAGTGCAGTGGCGCGATCTAGGCTCACTGCAAGCTCCGCCTTCCGGGTTCACACCATTCTCCTGCCTCAGCCTCCCGATTAGCTGGGACTACAGGCGCCCGCCACCACCCCCGGCTAATTTTTTGTATTTTTAGTAGAGATGGGGTTTCATTGTGTTAGCCAGGATGGTCTCGATCTCCTGACCTCGTGATCTGCCCGCTTCGGCTTCCCAAAGTGCTGGGATTACAAGTGTGAGCCACCACGCCTGGCCATATTTCTGCTTTTTATATTTTGGATGGTCTAGCCAAATATATTCCAGATTATCAAAGTGGTCTCTGCTGTTTCTGAAGCACTATACTGTATAGCAAGGTGATTAATTGCATGGTTTCTGGAATTAAACTTTCTAGGTTTGGATCTCAGATCCAGCACTTATTTGCAGTGTGATCTTGGGCAAGTTACCTCACTTCTCCCTGCCTCAATATCCTCATTGTTAAAAGGAAGAAATTAATAATACCTACATCATAAGATTTTATAAGGATTAATTCCATTAACATATACATATAAGATGCTTAGAATACTGTTAGCTATTTAATTATGACTGTTATCAACACCATCAACATCTGTTTTGAACATCACTTTTGATATCTTTGCCTAAAGGCTTTCCTCCTTTGATATAATGGAGATTTGATCAAATGTTTTCTCTAAGTTATCTGATAATTTGATGGAATTTGGGTTCTTCCCTTTTCCAGGGCATATATACTTAGAGAATCTCTTTGCTTAGAGTGATAGGCAGACACTCTGGTATGTGAGAAATTAGGATAATTGCATGAGAAAGGAGATCAGTGTTTTAGAAAGAAACATAATACTTTAAAGCCAGTGTATCACTATTAGAAGCAGTGGTTTATTCCCAGCTAATAAATTCCATTCTAGAAGTGATAAATCACATTTTTTTTTCTTCTAGAGACAGGTCTCACTCTGTCATCCAGGCTGGAGTTCGGTGGTACAATCATAGCTACTGCAACCTTGAACTCCTGGGCTCAAGTGATCCTCCCACCACTGCCTCCCAAGTAGCTGGGACTACAGGCACGCACCATCATGCCTGACTAATTTTTTCATTTTTTTTCAGAGACGAGGTCTCTCTATGTTGCTCAGGCTGGTCTCAAACTCCTGGCCACAAGCAATCCTCCCACTTTGGCCTCTCAAAATGCTGGGATTATAGGCATGAGCTGTTGTGCCTGACCGTGAATCATATTATTATTGCTTAAGATAAACTGTCATCGCATGGTCATGAGAACTGAGTACCTGCTGTCTGAGGTCTGTTCACAAAGTCCATTTGTACAATTGGAAGACGCTTTTTTTTTTCTTTCAATTTAAACTGCTTCTGTCATCACAGGGAGAGAGATCACCTTCGCTGATATTTCCTTTAACCAGTTGCTCTTTTTGTTTTCCTCCCCACATTAGCCCCGTGACCCCCAGCACACCAGGGAGCCCGCCAGTGAGTCCTGGGCCTTTGTCACCAGGGGGGACGCCAGGGAAGCACGTCTGTGGCCATCATCTGCATACGGTGGGCGGTGTTGTCGAGAGGGATGTGTGTCATCGGTGTAGGCACAAGCGGTGGCACTTTATAAAGCCCACTAACAAGTCCAGAGAGAGCAGACCACGGCGCCAAGGCGAGGTCACGGTCCTTTCTGTTGGCAGGTAAGATCCCTTCAGATGCTTTTGGTTTGTGTGTGACATGGGTGCTCTGGTGTGTGGACTTCTGCTTACCTGTCAGATGTAGAATATGTTCTCTGTGCCTGTCTCAGGTTATATCTCTGGGCTTTTTAGATGTTTTCTGGTGTGAGTCCTAGATTTTTCCAACAACAGAAGAATCCTAAAAGGTGGCTGTTGCTAGATCAGATGGTAAATGTATTAAGATAAATACCTACCTGCTCTAACAGATAAAGCCCAGATTTTCAACTGTATACAGAATAGACATTTATATTTCACTTATGGAATCCAGGGCAGGTATTGAGATATCAATGGGTGGCTCTTCAAGTACTTGTCCAGGGTTCCAGGCCCCCTTCGTTTGTGGCTCTGCCAGGTTTGCCAGCCAAAGGAGCAGGTCTGTGGAAGGTTGTTCACGAGGGGTTTTGAAAGAGCTAGGCCTGAGAGTGGCTCGTATCATTTTGACTCACACTCCACTGGCTGGAACTTGATCACCCAGCCAAGCTAACTTTCAGGGAACTGAGAAATAGCATCAAGCCATGTGCAAGGGAAGGGAGAAGACGTGGATCTGGTCCACAGCCCTCCAGTGTCTGTCTGTTAAGTTCCATGTGAATTGCTTTGACTGCTTTCTTTTAGTGGGTGGTGCTTTCCACTGTGTCTTGGCTTTCTTGGTCCTAGTACCTTTCACTTGTGACCCATATGTGAGGTGGAGATCTTGCAGTTCAAGTGATGAATCCATTGGCCCTTACCTGAAGCATCTTTGCAGTGGGATGCTTTTGCAGTTCTGCTGTTAGATGCTGAGTCCCATGCAGGAACTGCATTGCCGATGTTGCATTTGGAAAGACAGTGGGGAGTACTGGTAAGGAACACACATGCTGGAGTGAGACCGGGTGAGCACTGAGCGAAAGTCAACAGTGCTGCTTACATGATCCTTCTCTCTCAGTATACTGACAACCCCCCTGGGAAGAGTAACCTGAACTCGTCACTTCTACCTCCTTCAAGTCCTGGCACCACTACTTACAAACTGTTACGTTGCTCCATGCCTCAGTTTCCCCCTCTGTAAAGTGAGAAGGACAGTCACACTCACCTCATAGAGTTGCTGTGTGTAGACTAGGTGAGGTGACTCACATAAAGGTCTTAAACCAGCTTTGGGTACTTACGCACTCAAGAAATGTTGGCTGGTATTATTTTTATTTTAATTCAGTTGAGTTTCATCATGTGTTGCACAAGCATCATGGAGAAGACTTGCAGGGCTGTTTGCCACTTACAGCAAAACAGCACAATTCATGACCACACTGTTTTATTAAGAAGCAGAGTCATGGGAATTTATGAATGCAAAGCAGTGAGAACCTGTAGCTTGTTTGGACAAAGCATGTTTTGTTGGCCTTAAAAAAAAATCTGCTGAAATTTTCAACTCAGATTCAACATGCCTTTTTTTTTTTTTTTTTTTTTTTTTTTTTTTTTTTTTTGAGGTGGAGTCTCACTCTGTCACCCAAGCTGGAGTGCAGTGGTGTGAACTCGGCTCACTGCAGCCTCTGCCTCCTGGGCTCAAACGATTGTCGTGCCTCAGCCTCCCGAGTAGCTGGGACTGCAGGTGCCCGCCACCATGCCTGGCTAATTTTTGTATTTTTAGGAGAGACGGGGTTTCACCAAGTTGGCCAGGCTGGTCTCGAACTCCTGACCTCAAGTGATCCACCTGTCTTGGCCTCCCAAAGTGTTGGGATTACAGGTGTAAGCCACCGTGCCTGGCCAAACATGGCTTTTTAAAATGCCCCAAATCCAACTCTCTTTCTTGGATATTGGATACTAGGAGCGCTTAATGATTCCAGGCTGTTTTTCAGCATGTATTACTTAAGAGAGTCTTACAGTTTGACAGAATAGATTTGTGTTTACAGTTTCCCTGTTATTTCTTTCACTTCTTCAGAGCCTTCTCTTCAGGGTTGGTGATCTTATTTTGGACACAGAAGGAGAATTTATTTCAGATAATTTTTAAGGGAAATTAAGACCAGAACTAGAAAGAAGCTGTTATGAAAGACTCTAGGATTTGGTGATGATATACTAGAAAAAACAGTTAAACTGAATACATTTATTTAACTCTTAATTCTTAATGAAAATCTCTTCCTTAACTTCCTTTAGTTTTTCCTTAATCTATAATGAAAATTAACCCATTTTTTTTAAAGGCTTACTCTCAAACCCTAATGCTGATAAAATGTGTTTCTAGGGCTCTTCAGATTTTCTGCATATGTGTGAGAGCATGTGTGTGCGTGTGTGTGTTGAGATAGGACTGCCTGACAGTTGCATATTTTCGGAAGTTCGTCATCTTCTGGTAAACATTCTGGTTACGTCAGTCTAATTTGTAAACCAGTTGAGCATTTAACCAGGTTTCTGTGGTTAAAAAAACTGATGTAGGCCAGACATGGTGGCTCACGCCTATAATCCCAAAACTTTGGGAGGCTGAGGCAGGTGGATCACCTGAGGTTGGAGTTTGAGACTGGCCTGGCCAACATGGTGAAACTCCATCTCTACTAAAAATACAAAATTAGCCAGGCATGGTGGCACATGGCTGTAATCCCAGCTACTTGAGAGGCTGAGGCAGGAGAGTCGCTTAAACCCAGGAGGTGGAGGTTGCAGTGAGCCGAGATTGTACCACTGCACTCCAGTCTGGGCAGCAAGAGGGAAACTCTGTCTCGAAAACAAATAAACAAAAAAACTGATCATTGTTAGAAACGACAACTCTGACGCTGTTTAATATTCGAGTCTCTGAGGTGTTTTTTTTTTTTTTTTTTTTTTTTTCCTTATTGAGACAGGGTCTAGCTCTGTTGCCCAGGCTGGAGTGCATGACGTGATCTCGGCTCACTGCAACCTCCAGCTCCTGGGCTCAAGTGATTCTCCTGCTTCAGCCTCCCGAGTAGCTGGGACTACAAGTGCACACCACCACACCTGGCTAATTTTTGTAATTTCTGTAGAGACAGAGTTTTGCCATACACCCAGTCTGGTCTCAAATTCCTAGGCTCAAGCAATCCACCCACCTCAGCCTTCCAAAGTGCTGCTGGGATTGCAGGTATAAGCCACCATGCCTGGCCAATACCTGAGTTTTTAAATGCCTTTTGCATGCTCTGTAAAATATCCGGCTTAGTCTGTGATGTGGCTGAGTAGAAATCAGCTGGAAGGTTGGGCAGGGGCCAGGGGAATGTACTGGATAGGAATGCATGTTCGAATATGTTGTTTTTCATTTGTGTCCTAACTTTTGGCTGAGTTCATTTGAGATCCTCTGGGTGGATGATTTTTGCTTTATTCATAATTCTTGTTTATTAGAAAAGCAAACCCCATCACCTCTCCCCATTCCCCCCTCAGATTTAGAGTTACAAAAGTGGAGCACAAGTCAAACCAGAAGGAACGGAGAAGCCTGATGTCTGTTAGTGGGGCTGAAACCGTCAATGGGGAGGTGCCGGCAACACCTGTGAAGAGAGAACGCAGTGGCACAGAGTAGCAGGTGAGCCGTGGTTTTGGTGACATTGGGGGCAGAGTGGTGCAGGGTGAGGAGAAGGTACTTGGAGCCTCCCAGGTGCTGTGGCAGCATAGGAATGGTATTTGACAGGGAAGTGGGAGAGCTTTCCTTGACCCAGGAAGACTGAGGGGGACTGAACATGATTACTTGTCTGCCTAGAGCTTCTTGTAAAGAAGTCACAAACTTAGTGCCTCCAGGGGCTTGGCCTGTGTGATAATGAGGATAGAGGATTACTTGTGAGGCAATGTGGCATGGTGGGGATTGTGGCAAACTAGAATTCACATCACCCACCATATAGGGCTTGCATTACCACGAGGCAGAAAGCACCTAGTGTTGCTGCATCTTCTTACGCAAAAAAAGACAAAATCCAGACTTCTAAAATGTAAAATCACTGATTTTCGATATTGGCAGCTTACTTTTTTTTTTTTAAACAACCATGCAGGCCAAATGACTTGTAATCTTGTCACCATTTTTAGGTAAACTGTGACTTGAAAAAGTCTGGAGCAAACAAACCAATGCTTTTTCCTTTTATTCTGTTGGAAACCAGTTTTCTTTGTGTCACAGTTCTGAAACCTCAATACGAATATTTCTCTTCCCACCAAATATTTTGAGGCAATTGAAAAGCCACAGTGATTTATTTCTTGATTTGGCAATTTTAATTTTGCAAGACACTGCTTAAAAAAAAAACAACACGCAGCTGGGCACGGTGGCTCACGCCTGTAATCCCATGTAATCCCAGCACTTTGGGAGGCCGAGGCAGGCGGATCATGAGGTCAGGAGATCGAGACAATCCTGGCTAACATGGTGAAACCCTGTCTCTACTAAAAAATACAAAAAAGTAGCCGGGCGTAGTGGTGGGCACCTGTAGTCCCAGCTACTCAGGAGGCTGAGGCAGGAGAATGGCGTGAACCCGGGAGGCGGAGCTTGCAGTGAGCCGAGATCACGCCACTGCACTCCAGCCTGGGCGACAGAGCGAGACTCGGTCTCAAAAAAAAAAAAAAAAAAAAAAAAAACCACACACACACGCACCAGAACCCTGTGATAAATTGATAGTGGCTTAACTTTCATCTTAACTCCTTTATTTCTGTTCCGGCTTGAGTGGTATTTATCCTTTCCATGTTTCTTATCCCTTGTAAAAGAGCAACGGTGACGATTTGGGAGGGATCATGCCCTAAGTGCTCCATGGAACCATCAGAGCCTGAACATGAAGGCAGAAGAGTTTACACTTACATAGGGAAGGGAGGGCGGGCAATGGGGGAGAGGTCAGGCAGGGACACAGCAAAACTGACATGAACCCTGGAGTCAGACTGCCAGGTTCAAGCTCCAGTGTGCCACTCACTAACCCTGGGACCTGGGCAAGATACTTGAGCTTTCTATGCCTCACTGGAAATTGGAAGTGGTGCTCTTTGCCTCAGGGGCGGGAGTGAGATTTCCATGAAGTTGCACGTGTGAAGGCAGGGCCTGGCACGTGGGAAATGCTCCGTCCATGCTACTGATTATTACCATGTGATTCATTCATTTTTGGTCGGTGTGGCTGAGTGGAGGAGAGATGTGGCTTTTGGGTGAAGCTTCTCTGATAATCTGCCGGGCTCAGAGGGTTGAAGGTGCTCTGGAAGCAATCTGGAACAACTCTGTGCACCTAAATTTTCTGAGACATAGGGACTCTGATCATTTTCTAGTGTTAGTTAGCCCTCGCGGTTTTGCCTGTGGGGAGATCTGGCGTCTCTTCCTGAGTTTAGGAGCAGAATAGGAGCCTTCTTAAAGAGAGAAACAGTACAGAAAAGTCTACCATTGGCTTCTCAGCCAGTTACTGGTGACCTTAGGGAAGGGAGTCAAGAGGAATTTAAGAAGAGGATGATGAAGATGGGTAATAACAGCAGCTAACGTTAATTCAATATTCTAGTCTTCTAGGCATGGTACTGATGTGTTTCTCACATGTCATCATTATAAACCTCTCCAAATGGGGTTAGTACTATGATCATAGTTTTACAGATGAGGAAACTGATGAATGGGAAAGGTGAGTTACATGTTGAAGGTCATATAGCTGGAAAGAGGAGCATTCTGATTAAGGTCAGTGAAGGACTTGGCTATCTGGGAAGAGAAGCATCTGGCTATTCAAGTCTTAGGTGAGGAAGGCCCAGCCAGCTTAGCTGCAAAGAAAGTATGGGTCATAAGGACAGGCTGAGTATGAGTCATCAACTGGGCAGTGAGTTGAGAGATGGAGCCGATTGCACCAGAAGACCTGGCTTGCCCTCGATTAGGAACTGCAAGATGATCCTCTTGTCAGACTCACCTCTGATTAGAGCTTGGCTAACTAGTGCCATGGCTGATTTTGGCCACCACTGCCCAGAGAGCGGTACTCTAGATCTGGGAAGGTTAGAAGGAATTAGGATTGCTCAGCTGGTTTTTTTGGCCCGAATCTGTCTGATTCTGATTATAGAAATTTGGTCCAAGCATCTGAAGTCCTGACCACATTTAACTGATTTACAATGAGATATTCTCTGCACAGCACACTGTTATTCAACAGGATTATATAAACGAGGATTGGATTTGATCAGAAGACATGGGTGCAAATCTGAGCTTCACAATTTGGACATTGTACTTAACTGCCCTACCCCTGGTTTCCTTGAACGTGAAATAAGGTATTAAATTCATTGTTTTAATCCAAGAGCCAAGAGAAAGTCTGGAATGTAGTTGGTTCTCAGTAGAAGGTAGTCATATTGTGTTGTGCTGCTCAAATCACAATGAGCACGAGTGGCCTTCAAAGGGTGACGTGTTTTCCGAGCCTCCAACTTGTTGTAATTGATTTTCAAATTAAAAATTAATTCTTCGTTATGAAAAATTTTAAACTCAAAAGTAGAATAGTATCATGGATGTCCATGATCCATGGAGTAAATTAATTATAATACCTACAGTTTTTTGGGTATTCTGTACTTGGGCATGCTTTGAAAGGCACATTCCGTGTATTAGCTAATTTCTGTAATCCTCGCCACGGCAGTCTATAGGTGCTAGTACCCCATTTTGCAGATGAAGGTCTTAAGCACAGAGAGTTTAAACAACTTGTTTAGAGATACCAGCAAGAATGTGATAGAGTTAGACTTGAACCTGGGCAGCCTTGCTTCAGGTGTCACAGACTTCATTCAACTGGGTCCAAGACGAGCAGGTCCCATGAGTAGAGCCTGCTCAGATTGAGACCTGCTGGGTGGCCCTATCTGATTACCCCAATGAAGTATAGGCCCTGAAAAAGGAAGGAAGGGAATATTCATTGGTGTTTTAAAAATTATGTATTCATTAAAATTTTTCTTGCAGTTTTTTTTCTTTTCAAATCTCATCCCCCCAAAAAAAGTATGTTTGGGACATTTAACATGACTTGATTTTCCAACTAGAAAAATTCTGAAAATTTTACTTCTGGGCCAGACTCTCTGGTTCTAGACGAAGCCAGAAGATCTGCACTGGAATGCAGCTAGTGAAGCAGGAGAGGAGTGCTATGTGTCTCTTCTACAATCTGATACAGTCTTTAGAGTTGTATTTTTTCCTGAAAGAGGTTTTTGCTCAAATTTGGATTTTTAGCCAAACAATTTTACTGCAATGTTTTGTTTTATTGTAGAACAGACTCAAATATTCAAATACAAATGCATATCCACTTATTGGTTAGGTTTCTTTTTTTATTTCTTTTGTTTAAGGTGTTTGTTACCAGAAACTAAACTTATATTCTAAATAGAATGTTATCAAGACTGTGGCAGGATTTCTCTCTCTCCCTTCTGGTTCCTTCTCCCTTTAAAACCCCAAATCTGATGTTGGGCATGGCCTCCCCATTCGTCTAACCCTGCTTTGTTGGTCTGAGTTCTTGTTTGTGGCTACATCTAACTTGCCCTCTTGCCCTCTGCCTGATTTATTTTGGCAATGCGGTTAAAATGGTCTTTTTTCTGCAGAAAATGTGTTTTGGTTTCTCCTGAGAAGAATAAGCTTTTGTTCTTCAAAGTTAAATAAATTGAATTGCTTTCAGCCTCCAAATGCCACTGCCTTGTCTTCATTGTCACTGGTCTTTGGCTTTTTAAAAATGATCCTGTCCTAAGCATTCTGTGTCGCATGTTTCTGAAGTCTGCCCTCTTTTGTTCCATTCGCTGATAGTGTCCTGTTGGAAACATTGATTTAGTAAGTTTACATAACCATACTTTAAAATTTTTTATTGAAAATTAATCAGATTTTAATGGACACATGAAAGTTGCATATATTTATCATGTGCAATGTAATGTTTTCAAATGTGTGTACACTGCGATGGCTAAATTGAGCTAATGAACGTATGCATTGCCACACATACTTATAATTTTTTTGCGTGGTGAGAACACTCCAAATCTACTCTCTTAGCAATTTTTAAGAATATGATACATTGTTATTAACTGCAGTCACCATGTTGTACAATAGATCTCTTGAAATTATTTATCCCCTCTAACTAAAATTTTGTGTCTTTTGACCAACCCCTCCCCCGCCCCTACCTCTAACCACCTTTCTTCTCTCTGCTTCTATGAGTTCAACTTTTTTTAGATTCCACATGTAAGTGAGATGACGTGGTATTTGTCGTTCTGTGCCTGGCTTATTTCACTCAATGTAATGTGCTCCAGGTTTATCCATTTTATCTTCAATGACAGGATTTCCTTCTTTTTTTCTGGCCGAACAGTGTTTCATTATGTATCTATACTACATTTTATTCATTCATATGTTCAGGGACTCTTAGGAAGATTCCATATCTTGGCTATTGGGATAATGCAGCAGTGGACATGGCAGTACAGATATCTCTTTGACATACTGATTTCAGTACCTCTGGATATGTACTGAGAAGTGGGATTGTTGGATCATATGGTAGTTCTATTTTTAATTTGTTTGTTTGTTTTCTGAGACAGAGTCTCACTCTCGCCCAGGTTGCAATGCAGTGGGACAATCTCGGCTCACTGCAGCCTCTGCCTCCCGGGTTCAGACGATTCTCCTGCCACAGCCTCCTGAGTAGCTGGGATTGCAGATGCAAGCCACCACACCTGGCTAACTTTTGTATTTTTAGGAGAGACAGGGTTTCATCATGTTGGCCAGGCTGATCTTGAACTCCTGATCTCAAGTGATCCACCTGCCTCGGCCTCCCAAAGTGCTTGGATTACAGGTGCAAGCCACTGTGCCCGGTCTATTTTTAATTTTTGTTAGTGACCTGCGTACTGTTTTCCATGATGACTGTAATAATGTATATTCCCACTAACAGTATGCAAGAATTTCTTTTTCTCCACATCCCCATCAGCACTTTTTTTATAATTGTCATTCTAACAGGTGTGAGGTATTATCTCATTATAGTTTTAATTTATATTTCCATGATGATTAGTAATGTTGAGCCTTTTTTTCATATATTTGTTGGCCATTTGTAGGTCTTCTTTTGAGAAATTTCTATTTAGAATCTTTGCCCATTACAATTTTTTTAACATTTTATTTATTTTTATTGACAAAAATTATCTATATTTATTATGTACGACATGTTGTTTTGAAACATGCATACATTATGGAATGGCTAAATTGAGCTGATTGACATATGTATTACATCATATATTTATCATTTTTTTGTGGTGAGGATATTTAAAATCTCTCTTAGCATTTTTCAAGAATACAATACATTGTTATTAACTGTAGCCACCATATTGTGCAATAGATTTCTGATACAGTCTTTAGAGTTGTAATTTTTCCTGAAAGAGGTTTTTGCTCAAATTTGGATTTGATGGCCTATTCCTCCTAATTGAAATTTTATGTCCTTTGACCATCATCTCCCCAACCCTCCCTTCCCATTTTGCCCCATTTTTAAATTGGGTTATTTGTTTTCTTGCTTTTGAGTTGTTTGTGTTTCTTATATATTTTGGATAGTAACCATTTATAAGATGTATGGTTTGCAAATATTTTCTCCCATTTTATAAGTTATCTCTTCACTCTGTTGATTGCTTTGCTCTGCAGAAGCTTTTTAGTTTGATGAAATCCCATTTGTCCATTTTTGTTGCCTGCGCTTTTGGGATCTTATCAAAAAATCATTGTCCAGATCAGTGTCATGGAACTTTCCTCCTATGTGTTTTTCTAGTAGTATTGCAGTATTACAGTAGCATTTCTTTTATCAAAACAAAAATTCATAATATTAGACATCTGTTTTTATTTTTGTTTTATTCAGACTATTGTATTGATTTTTATTTTAGTAATTTATTTCAGTGATTAAAAGCTGGGTTTTAAACTCCTTACTTTTAATTGTGCCACTTAACTACCAATGGTTTTGGGCAAGTTACTTAATGTTTTCAAGCCCCGGTTATTTCATCTTTAAAATGAGATCGTTGCTGGACATACATGATACGATATATGTGTAGTTCATAAGTCAATCCTTGGCACAGAGTATCTGCTAAACATTCACTGCTGTTAACAATTGTCATGGCTGGTGGTCTTAATTATTTATTAGGTCATTTCTGAAGCATCAGCTTTTGGTACTGTGAATTCCTTTTTACATCTTAAGAACATTACAGCTTTGGACTCTCAGGACATCTCAGAAATAGATAGTATTTGTCAAGTCCCTTAGGAATTTGGGCCATTTTCTTGTTTGCATTAAGGAGGCCTTAGAAATAACCATTCCCGGCTGGGCGCGGTGGCTCACGCCTGTAATCCCAGCACTGTGGGAGGCCGAGGTGGGCGGATCACGAGGTCAGGAGATCGAGACCATCCTGGCTAACACAGTGAAACCCCGTCTCTACTAAAAAATACAAAAAAAAAAATTAGCCGGGCGTGGTGGCGGGTGCCTGTAGTCCCAGCTACTCTGGAGGCTGAGGCAGGAGAATGGCGTGAACCTGGGAGGTGGAGGTTGCAGTGAGCCGAGATTGCACACTGCACTGCACTCCAGCCTGGGCGACAGAGGGAGACTCTGCCTCAAAAAAAAAAAAAAAAAAAGAAAGAAAGAAAGAACCATTTCCTTCTTCCAAGAGGTGGAATTAAAATTACTAACAAGGAGATGGAAAAGTTTTGCTGACAAGTTCTTTTTATTATAAAAATCAGAGGGTGGGATAAATTGAAATGCTGGACAGAGACGTTTTCGGCCTAAGCGTGACTGCTGTGCCGGTGTTCTGCTTTGGAATAAAAGTCTCCTCTTTGTCAAGACTCTTTCATGGCTCAAACTCCCTCCTGAGCATCTGTGGCTGGTCACAAGGTGGCTCTTCTGACCTTCGGCCGCCTTCATGTTCTCCTCTAACAGTGAGGAAAGGCTCCTTGGCTCCTTTTTTTGGACTCTGTGGCAGGAATTATAGTAGAAGCTCCTTGGGGACCCCCTCGGAAGTCGTACTGCTTGATTTGCAGTCCTCTCAATTGCTTTTCTTTTATTAACTCTCCAGGAAGCAGTTAATGATGAGAAACTGCAGGTACTACTAGTTAGTTTATTTTTTTCTCTCTAGCTGTAATTTTTTCAGGAAAAAATGCATCTTTTTTAAAAAGCAAAAGGATCTCAGATTTGATGGGAACCCTTTAACTTGATTCACTGGTCTTACGGGGCAACAGAATATAAAAAGAAACTGCACCTAAAGTAGGCATGGATTAGGCCACCTGGCTTGGTTTTCAGTTGCTAAACACATTTCTCAAAGGTAAAAGTAGTGCCGTGATGCCTGCCGTACTCCTGTGTGGGAGACTGAGCCCACTGAGTCCATCTGAAATGTGGAGGTGGAGGGAGGTGAGCATCTGCCCAGGCCCTGCTCTGTGAAGCCTAGGTAGGTAGAACCGGCCAGATGAAGAGAAAAGCTGAGTGAAGGATGGGACTTTAGAAGCAATTTTAGGAGTTGTAGGTAATAATATCCTATTTTACAGATGAAGAGCCAGGCTTAGAGGGATTAATGTTCCCCATATCTCAGGGCTAGGTAGTGAGAGGGCTTGGATGGGAAGAAATTTATACTTGGGAGCTTACATGCTCAGTGGCCGTGGAGTGTGAGGGAGCTTTGCTTTTCTTGGCAAGAAAGCAAATCAACCGCCGTTTCTTCACATAGCTCAATAGCTCACAGAACTGATCATTCCAGCCTTTGGATGGCCTCCTTGGCATCCGATGGGATCATCTGATGAGCAGCTGATGGATTTTAAGGCTCTGTCTGGATCAGGTCCAGGTGTGTGAGCCATTCAGTTTTCTTCCAGGTAGATGAAGGTCATAGACTTGCAGACTCCAGAGCAGCTGTGATTGCTAGTTCAGATCAATGGAGGTACAATTATATCTTTAAAAAGTATTTCTTGGCCGGGTGCGGTGGCTCACACCTGTAATCTCAGCACTTTGGGAGGCCAAGGTGGGCAGATCATGAGGTCAGGAGTTCGAGACCAGCCTGGACAACACGGTGAAACCCCATCTCTACTAAAAATACAAAAATTAGGTAGGCATGGTGGCGGGCACCTGTAGTCCCAGCTACTCGGGAGGCTGAGGCAGGAGAGTCAGTTGAACCCGGGAGGCAGAGGTTGCCGTGAGCCGAGATCATGCCACTGCACTTCAGCCGGGGTGACAACAGCAAGACTCTGTCTCAGAAAAAAAAAAAAAAAAAAAAGCATTACTTGAGACCCTACTATGTGCCAGGCAGTTTGCTGTGTTTAGGGATGTGGCAGTGTGTCAGACAGACAATGAAGACCATACTCTTACAGAGCTTCTATCCTAGTGCTTATACCAGACTTTTCTCCCCTGCACCTCCCAGTCCCCTTGTTTAGTGTGTGTTGTTACATGTGTTGTTCAAGATCATGCCGAGAGTTCATTACGGAGCCAGGACCTGGGCTTCCTTATAGCTCATTCCTTTACTGTCTCCAGTGTATTGGATATTACAAGTGTTTGAAATGGAATTTTTAAAAAAGAACTGAAATATAAGAAATGCATAGGATAAAATATTTAAACAGCCTAAAAGTCTGCAGGGTGAAAAATAAATCCCAAAAATAAATCTTTGCTCCATTTTTATCCTGCTAATCCCTTTGCGTGTATCACCTCTTAAACCTTTTCTCAAGAGGACACCAGTGTGATCAGTGTTCACTATGTCCTTTCAGGATTATGCTGTGCATATACATGCTTATGCAATATATCTGTGTATATAAAGCCCCTCCTTTTGCCCTTCTACAAATGAGAGTATAGATACTACACTTGTTCATACCTTGTTTTTTATTGAAGTTAGTGATTTTTAGGTTCTGTGGTTCCCTGACTGTTGAGATTTTGTCTTACTCACAAATGACTGAGGAAGAACCAGCTTTTACTCTCCCACATTGACTGAGCCATAAGGAGTGAAAATGGTAGACACAGTTAAAAAGCTATATGCCCTATTTGTCCTCAGTTGTTGGGAGTGGCTCCAGTACATTTATGGCCATGATCTGGGAGTTTTTGAGTGGACCTAAAAACATGCTTTACTGTCATCAACTATGATGTTTTTTCTAAGTTATTCTTCCATGGCCTTGTTCTGTGCACAGGAGATACTAAAACATATTTATTAGTATTCCCAGAGTTTAGACAACATGGGTGACCAGGAATTTTTGATTTGTTTTGCTTTGAGTTGCCACCAAAGCAAGCCATCTCCTCCTAACACATATCTCCCTGGGCAGGGGCCTGCCCCAGGGCCCCTTCCTATTGTTGACCAGGAGTTGACCCACTGAAGGAGAGCTTATCTGTTCTTCCTCTTTATCCCTATCACCTGTTTGACATCTGCTCTTTTCACTGCAGAAATTGAGCAGTGTTGGAGGCTAGAGACTTTGGAGGGCCTAAAGACAGACCCAAGGGGGCTTGAGGGAAGCGGAAAATGAAAGGCTTTCGGAGACATTTTTACCTATAATTAGAAAGAAAATGGAATTAATGGTTATAATCAGGATTTTTATTTTTCTTTATTTTTTTCCTTATTTTATTATTATTATTATTTTTTGAGATGGAGTCTTGCTCTGTCCCCCAGGCTGGAGTGCAGTGGCGCGATCTTGGCTCACTGCAAGCTCTGCCTCCCAGGTTCACGCCATTCTCCTGTCTCAGCCTCCCGAGTAGCTAGGACTGCAGGTGCCCACCACCACGCCTGGCTGATTTTTTGTATTTTTAGTAGAGAAGAGGTTTTGCTATACTAGCCAGGATGGTCTTGATCTCCTGATCTTGTGATCTGCCTGCCTCGGCCTCCGAAAGTGCTGGGATTACAGGCGTAAGCCACCGCGCCTGGCCGATTTTTCTTAATTTGTGCCTTGAGACCTTGAGTTCTACTAACATTAAATAGCTTAAGTTAAAACAGTACCTATTTTCTGTAAGTAACAGGACATAGGATACTGTAGTGGTTCCACCATAGAGGTTCTGGAATCAGACTTCTTGCGCTCAAGATCTTGGCTGTCACTTTTTAGCTATCTAGCTTTGGGCAAATTACTTAGCCTCTGATGCCCCAGCTTCTCCATCTGTTAAGTGGGGATAATAATACTACTACTACTTCGTAGGGATACTGTTCCTTTGCCCTAAGTAAGTACAAAATAGGTTAGGTGTTAAATTACTATATCGGATCAGCCCTATTTAAACATGTAGCCAATAAAAGTGTTAAAATTAATGTTTTTGATATTTCTTGATTCTCTTGAAGCTCATAGAGGCCAGGTTAGACATAACCTATAAGGTAATAGCAGTATTGTCCATTTGATATTCAAGTGGAGGCTTACTGAAGGCCAGTTAGCTGAACTCTGTCTAGCTCACAAGCCAGTAGAGAGGCAATATCTAACTTGTTCCATTTTCCTTATTAGAAAGAGATGGTACTATTCAGAGTAATAAGTTATTCTGCCTGTAGCTTAGTGTAGACATTAAATCAGAAGTGTGTTGAGACTAGTAGGGAACTGCTGAATTGCATTTAAATAATTTCCAGTTGAATCCTTGTTTTTCCAGGTACAGAATAACTTTTGATGTCAGTTACATTTTACTTGGAATAAGGTGCTCTGATTCTACCATCTCAAAGGCTGGTAAATCACAAGTGTTCAGTTGCTGTCACTTGGGAAACCCATTGTTGCTAAATATATAAGTATGTTGAAATTGCTGTGAGAATATAACCCAGTAAAGAACAACCTTCAGACTTCAGATCTAAATCTAATGTCAGAAGATTCAAAACTGTAAGGAATGCAAAATTTCTCACTGGTATTATTCAACAAAGAAGATAATATAATTTGCAGGAATATACATTTCTGTCTATGCTAGTTAAAAAAAGTGATTTCTATTTTGAATGGAGAAACACACCTAGAAACATTATTTTTCCTGAATTGACCCACATACATAGAAAGCTTCTCACTATTGATATTAAAAAATTAAGGTTTTAGTTATTAAGCCCCCTTCTCAAATTGGGGGTTATAATATGCAACTCATGGAAGATGTAGTAGTCAATAAACATAAAAAATGCCCAACTTTACTAATAATGAAATAAATCCAAACTGAGATCACTTTTTGCTTCTCTGGTGACAAAGATGAATGTTAACACTAGCATGACCATATAACTCACATCCAAAATGAGGAGGTAGCTCACACCTGTAATCCCAGTGCTTTGGGAGGCTGAGGTGGGAGGATGGCTCGAGGCCAGGAGTTTGAGACCAGCCTGGGCAACATAGTGAGATCCTGTCTCTGCAAATTAAAAATTAAAAAATTAGCTGGGCATGTGGCATACACCTGTAGTCCCAGCTACTTGGGAGGCTGAGGTGGAAGGATTTCTTGAGCTCAGTAGTTGGAGGCTGTAGTGAGTCAGGATCATGCCACTGCATTCCAGCCTGGGTGACAGAGAGAGACTCTGCAGAGAATAAAAGGGAACACTGTGAATAATTATTCTGGGTAAACATATATAAACCAAGACCTCCCAGGCAAACTGGTTCATGTGGTCACCTTGGTTAAAAGGGTGCAGGGGCTGGGTGCGGTGGCTCACGCCTGTAATCCCAGCACTTTGGGAGGCTGACGCAGGTGGATCACGAGGTCAGGAGTTCAAGACCACCCTGGCCAATATGGTGAAACCCCGACTCTACTAAAAATACAAAAATTAGCCAGGTGTGATGCCGCACGCCTGTAGTCCCAGCTACTCGGGAGGCTAAGGCAGGAGAATCGCTCGAACTTGGGAGGCGGAGGTTGCAGTGAGCCGAGATTGCGCCACTGCACTCCAGCCCGGGTGACAGAGCGAGGCTCCTTCTAAAAAAAAAAATGTGGTGCAGGGAGGTGGGTGCAGTGGCTCACGCCTGTGATCCCAGCACTTTGGGAGGCTGAGGCAGGTAGATCACCTGAGGTTGGGAATTCAAGACCAGCCTGACTAACATGGAGAAACCCCATCTCTATTAAAAATACAAAAATAGCTGGGGGTGGTGGCGCATGCCTGTAATCCCACCTACTCGGGATGCTGAGGCAGGAGAATCACTTGAACCCGGGAGGCGGAGGTTGCAGTGAGACGAGATCACACCATTGCACTCCAGCCTGGGCAACGAGAGCGAAACTCCGTCTCAAAAGAAAAGAAAAGAAAAGAAAAGAAAAACGACCAACCAACCAAACAAAAATCAAGAGGGTGCAGGGAGATGGACATTATCCCACACCAAAGCAGGAGGCTACAATGGTCTAGACCTTTGTGGTGGCAATCTGGAACTGTAAAAACTTAAATATGTACTCTTTGACCAAATTATTCCAATTAATAAATATCATGCATAAATGCAAAGATAATGTCCAAAGTTGTTCACTTTAGCATTATTTACATAGTAGCAAGTACCTGGAAGCATCTTTAAATACATCTATCAATGGGAGATTAAGTAAATGAATTGTGCCTTATGCATTTCATAATGGCCTGCAAATGCCAAAGATTGAAGTAGATGCTGGGTGTGATAGCTCATACCTGTAATCCCAGCAGTTCGGGAGGCTGAGGCTGGAGGACTGCTTGAAGCCAGAAGTTTGAGATCAGCCTGGGCAACATAGTGACCCTGTCTCTACTTAAAAAAATAAATAAATAAAAAAAAATAAAAAATTAGCTGAGTAGGGTGGCATGCACCTGTAGTCCCAGCTACATGGGAGGATAAAGTGGTAGCTTGAACTCCATGACTTAAGCCCAGGAGTTCGAGGTTCCAGCAAGCCATGATTGTGCCACTGTACTCCAGCCTGGGCAACAGAGTGAGACCCTGTCTCTTAAAAAAAAAGAAAAAAAGATTGATGTAGAGTTATATGTACAGACACAGAGCATCTACTGTATATTATTAGATGAAAAAAACAAGTTATAAAATATTCCAGTTGTGTTTAAAAATGATATGCAGCATGGCTCAGTTTTTCTTGCGTCGAAGCTGATTGTTTAAGCTTCCTCCCTGCATACACTAAGCTCCTTCAGGACTTGGGCAGTGCCTTTGGATGGTGTCTTCTCATCCTTTGCTGAGACTTTAGGTGGCATCTTGGCATCTTGTACATAGTTGGCCCTCAGTGATTCCTTAACAGGTGTGATAATATGGCATTCATCTCATCATTACAAGAGCCCTCTGCAAATTAGTCGAATTCTAGTTCCCAACTACTTTGAAATACATTTAAAAACAGATTCTGTAATTTTAAAATTGAGTTACTGATTTTTTGTTTTGTTTTGTTTTGAGACGGAGTCTCACTCTGTCACACAGGCTGGAGTACAGTGGTGCAATCTCGGCTCACTGCAGCCTCTGCTTCCCAGGTTCAAGCGATTCTATTGCCTCAGCCTCCCAAGTAGCTGGGACTACAGGCATGCGTCATCATGCCCAGCTAATTTTTGTATTTTTAGTAGAGACGTGGTTTCACCATGTTGGCCAGGCTGGTCTCGAACTCCTGACCTCAAGTGATCTGCCCACCTTGGCCTCCCAAAGTGCTGGGATTATAGGCATGAGCTACCATGCCTGGCCAAGTTACTGAAGTTTTTAATTAATATTTCAGTCTTTAAGTGATTTTGTCATACTTGTTTTCGCCCCCATTTCTGAGATGTATTTTTTGACCTCCGCTGACTTTATAGTGTTGTGTTTGCAGGGTTTACCCTTTGGAAGCGGATTTAATTCTTGCTGTTTTTAATCAGTTGAAAAACATTAGTACTGGGTCTTACCTAAAAGCTTAAACCTTCATACGTGCATTAGAATCAATGAAGCACCTTATAGGAAAGCAGAGTCCTGGACTGCAACCCCGTAGACTCTGATTTAGTAGGTCTCAGGGAGAGGCCCAAGGAATCTGAAGTTTTTGGTAATATTTAAGCCGATTCTAAAGCAGGTTCTGCTGATCATTCTGGGAAACACTGATTTTAAAAGATTGCATGGATTAGCCTAGATTAGCATGAATCTATTGGGTTTGTTAAACAAGAGCCTTTATTAAAATAAGAAGGTATCCGTGTTAATTTATAAAATTTAACACACAATTTAGACCAGAGCAAGATTTAAAGGACTATAAGCACTGAATACTCTGTGATGTGATTCCATTAATCGATATCTGCCAAGATGCCGATCTACGCAGGCAGTACCATTGCAGGACCATGGTGTCACATGCACAGCCATCATAACCTGCAAGCGTGTAACTGCAGAATGGTCAGTAGAGCCTGGAACAAGATAAATCTCTAACTAAGAAGTGTGAGCCTTAAAGGAGCACAGATTATTAGTGATTGATCACTTAAATGTAGCTCCGGGACTTCAGTGTTAATATTGCTGTCATGTAGCTCTATAAACAACGTTCTCTATTTATTTTATTTAAAAGTGGTCAAGAGAATTATTAATCCGACTGTGTGGTTCCATAGCCTTGTCTTAGAATGAGATCAGAATTCAGTGTTGTGTAGGTGTATACTTTTGATCTTCCCAGGGACTGGGCCCCTTTAAAGTATAGGTTTTTAGCATCATTTAACTGTTCATGCAACCACAGTGATTTCCCCTGAGAGAGACCCTGGCAGCATTTCTAGTTTCTGCATTTCCTTTCTGTTGCCTGCCACACAGGTGGGGAGCAGAGAAGCGAGGGTACCAGAGGATTCCAGTGATGCTGTGGGTGTGTCCGGGGTGACTGGATAGCAGTGCAGCATGGAGGTAGCTTTGTGGTCTTCCAGGTCTTACTGCCTGGGATGGATTTCCTACTTTCCCGTTACTAATTGTGTGGCCTTTGGTAAATTATTGAACCTGGAAGCCTCAGTTTCCTCCTATGAAAATAGGAATCATTGACTTATGGAGTCATCGGGAAGATTGAGTTAATGACCCTAGAGTGCTTAGCATGACAGTACCTGGCACAGAGAAAGTGCTCTGCAAATGCCAGTGCTGTTATTATTAATCAGATAGACTTTTTCTTCCTTAACATCCTACACTTAGAGATTTTAGCATTTACTGTTCATTAATCCGCTTAGGCTCCTAGTTTCTTATAACATGTTTCTAATTTTTAAAGGGATCAATTTCTTTTTTTTTTCTAGAGAATCCTTTTTAACAAGGCATAGATATTTGTATGTATATCCTAATCAGAGACATATGGCAGCTTCCGTGGACCCATAGTATAATGAGAGGATTATGGCTTTATCTTTATAAGATTATGTCATAAGCAATAAACTCTAAAGAAAAAGACAACCTCTTCCTTTGTTCCAGATAAATCTTCTGGGCGGTTCTTAATTTTTATCCATCAGTCTTGTTTTATAAGCAAAATGGTTACACTTTGGGATTTCTGAATTCTGTTTTCCATGTAATGGAACTTCGCTTAATTTTTTCCAGCTTGAGTACTCACTTGTGTAAACTGTCATCACAAAATTTCTCCCGAAGAGAGATAGGCCAGGCTTGCTCAGTGTGGTGTGGTCCCATGTGATGGCAACTGGGAACAGTGAGTGGGTGGGTGTTTCCTCTCTCACCCACTCCTGTTAGCCTTTCTGGTGTCTCTGTGCCCACCCACACATGATTTCTGACTGCTGCAGGACAATATGGAAGGCACCTTGTAACACTTTTATTATTGTTCTGGGTTAAAGAAATACCTGGAAGGTCATAGTGTTGTGCCAGTAATGTGCTACCTTCTAATAAATGTGTGTTTGTAATTAGAGACCAGAACTGCAAGGGTTTTAATAAGATTAGCTTTCCCTTTTCTGCTTAGTTTCTGGTATTAGCAGTGAGGACTTTAAGCAGTGATTTGTATTTTTTACTTCCTCTCTCAAAGATATTACAGATAGTGCAGTTTTTATCAGCTGCAGAAGGCAGCTGTTGAAGAAAGCTAATGTGATTGTTGAGAGCAGAGAATTGGATGATGGTAATGACCAGAATAGTTAACCTTTCGGAGCATACTGATTGCTTTTCCTCGTATTAAGCGTTGTGCATAGGATCATCTCATGTCAAATCCCCAGTAACCCTAGGAGAGAATGCTACAGAAACAGCCACGGTTCCACGGCTGGGAGTAGGGGTCTGGATTTGAATCCAGGCCCCTCCTTTTTAGCTTAGCCTGTATTCTTGCATGCCCAGTTCTTAAAGCCGGTCAAATCTGTGCAAAACACTCAAAATGAGGAGTGTTTCTAGGTTGCAGTGAAAACTGTTACTGTGATGAAACATTAGTTTCTAGGCCTGACATCCCCCACCTTTGACGTTGTTATTTTCCTTGATGCAAAAATGTCTAGTTCTAAGGGAGCACATAAAGAGGAGACATAAAAACAGTGGAATACCATACCTGTTTTCTAGATAATGGCCTAGTTTAAGGTTTTGCCTGGAAAATTCCCTCTCATTTTTTCCTTTTTTTTTTTTTAGGGCCATTTTTATATGTCTCTACCTCTGGCCTTTCTACCTTTTTTCCCCCTCTGCTAGAATGTTTATATGAATTGACACCTACCTGAAAGTAGTTCCAGACTTGACTTTGTTCAGTTTTACAGTAAAAATCTGCAGTTCTTGTACAGTTTTGGCAATTCAGTGCAGGGTATTACGTATTTCATTAGAATTAAAAACTTGATCCATGCTGTTTTATTGGACAGTGTTTCCTTTTTAGCTAAGGGGATAAAGGTCCTTTACTCATCATCTCATTTGGGAAATAAATCTCTTTCTTTCTGTCTGTCTCCCTCATTCTTCCTCTTGTGCTCTGTCTCTATTCTCTTTGAATATTATATTGAATATAATATTGAATATTATGGTTGACCAAATGAATATTATATTGAATATACCATTGAATATTATGGATGACCAAATGACAGAAGAGGATAACATAGATAATAATAAGGTACATATCTTGAAGGACAAGCTGTAAAATAAGTAAAAAGTATGTTCTTCAAAACACTTCTAGCAACTTCATGCTATTTCTTCATATTTCTGCAAGCTGGGTCTATCTCTGGTTTTGTTTAGTGTTTATAGGGTACACATGATTTTGGCAGGTGGGAGAACGTTTCGTTCCTTAACCTTGTGTGGGTTCACCTGCATGGTATGTGTATTTCAGCATACACGGGGAGCTCTATAATTTTAGTCCTGTCCTGGGTTATGCCAGTCTGTAAAACAGGAAAGTAAAAAGTCACAGAGCTGTTCATTAAATGAGATAGTTATAGAAAGTCATTTGAAAAGCAGGGAGCTATTTTACAAGTATGGGCCTTTGTTTGTGATGTAAACGTAGACATTGACAAGGGCCAGTTGTTAGAATGACTTAAAAATACAATCCAGAACCCTGAAGGTACAATAAAGACCTAAGATGGAATATTTAATCATTGTGTTCTTACTTGAAATCCCAACCGTGCTGTCTTGGATGGTCAGTAGAGACTTCCAGTGAACTGGCTTTGGTGGGGCTTTAGAAAGACACCTATTGAAGGCACATCACATGGGAAAAGCAGGAGCAAGAGAGAGAAAGGGGGAGGGGCACATACATTTAAACAGCCAGATCTCGAGAGAACTCTTGGAATTAATTATATTTTACTTAAATTTCTTTAGCCTGAATTCTAGAAAAAAATGTACAGTGGTAGAAGGAATGGGGTGGGATGGGATGGGACAGGGTAAGAATAGATTATAATTCTTCTGTGTTTTTAAATATTCAGGCAGATTAATATGTGATATGATGCTTACCCTTGGTTAAAGATCTACATTTTTTGTTTTCTCTTGCAGCAATGACTTGACTTGAAGAGCTCTAAGAGACTGAAAACTTATATGAAGTTGCCTTGGGAATATTTTTATATATTTTATACAGTTTCTATCATGGAGTCAGCAGGCACGTGGATAAAACCTAAAAGGGAATATTATTGCTGTGCCATATACAGAATTCAGTTTGCTTTGAAACAAGTTTTGGTTGAAAGAGTCTGTTGAAAATTTTATTATACTTCCAGGGAAGGAAAGAGCTGTTTTTATCTTCTTAACCACTCCCAGCCTCTACTCTTCCCAGCCCCTAATCCCAGGCCTTGGTGTACACACTGTAGTTTTTCCATTATGATGAGTATGTGCAGTGATACTATTCATGTACAGTCTGAGCTTATGCTCAGGGGTGTGTGTGTATATGTGTATGCATGTGTGCACGTGAGTGTGTGTTTCTTTTTCCAGTTCCTGCATCCTATTTTGACACTGGTTGTAAGAAGATCTTGATACATACAGGTTAGCTGTTACAAAAGATAAAAGATGAATCTTCAGTGGTAAAAGCTCAGTGGAAATAATCTAGTTAGCCCTGAGGAGTTGATTCCCCAAGGGACCATGGAGTCAGATGGGACCAGATGCTAGACTTTGGATTCCTTGACCACAAATTCAGCATTAACTCCTGCCACCACCATGTCACTCCTACAGCACTTACACATTTTGAGAAGGTTTTTTTTTTTTTTTTTTTGAGGCAGAGTCTCGCTGTGTCCCCTAGGCTGGAGTGCAGTGGCACAATCTCCACTCACCTCAATCTCCACCTCCCCAGGTTCAAGCGATTCTCCTGCCTCAGCCTCCCAAGTAGCTGGGATTACAGGCATGCACCACCACGCTCGACTAATTTTTGTATTTTTAGTAGAGACGGGGTATCACTATATTGGTCAGGCTGGTCTTGAACTCCTGACCTCAGGCGATCTACCCGCCTCGGCCTCCCAAAGTGCTGGGAATATAGGCGTGGGCCACTGCACCCGGTTTTTTGTTTTTTTTTGTTTTTTTTTTTTTTTTAACCTTTAGCTGAGCGATTCTTGGTTAATCCATTGAATAAAGGAGAAAATGGTTGAAAGTCACACACACACAAATTTGTTTGGACAACCCAAGGCCAAAACAAAAGAACCCTGCTTCTCTCTTTTTTTTTTTTTTTTTTTTTTTTTGAGGCGGAGTCTCGCTCTGTCGCCCAGGCTGGAGTGCAGTGGCACGATCTCAGCTCACTGCAAGCTCCACCTTCTGAGTTCACGCCATTCTCCTGCCTCAGCCTCCTGAGTAGCTGGGACTACAGGTGCCCACCACCACGCTTGGCTTATTTTTTTTGTATTTTTAGGAGAGACGGGGTTTCACCGCATTAGCGAAGATGGTCTCGATCTCCTGACCTCGTGATCCACCCGCCTCGGCCTCCCAAAGTTCTGGGATTACAGGCTTGAGCCACTGCGCCCGGCCTAGAACCCTGCTTCTCATATAAGATGGGCCTGCACCTACCTCTGGCATGTTTTTCTTTGTGTATTTCCTGTTTTTCATCCTGTAACTAATGCTCATTATTTAAAACACTCCAGTTACTTTTCCCTTTAGGCCTGGCAAACTTTTCTTTTTCTTTTTTTTTTTTATAACTGTACATTTTACAAAACACCTGAAAGGACCCAGAGGCATAAATAGTATTACATGATTTATGGTAGCTCTGGGGTGAGCTGTGGGGGAGGCCAGTTACAAGGTCTCCAAGACCCGCCTCCATGTCAGTGTTGGGGGGTGCCTTGAGCACTTCTTTTATTTCATATAGGAAAATGCACATCTTTCATTTGTCTCCCAAAAGATGATTTCCATAAAAATATACTTCAAAGTATTTACTGTACATAGACTTCAATGATTTTATTTCCAGCATCAAACTAAACATTTCTAACCTTTTAAATAAATGGGGAATTTAGTTTCATGAGAATTTTTACTGACAACTAATAAACACTGTATGTGTACATATTCATATACACTGTGGACTGGAGAAAGTCAGTATGGAAATAAATTTCACTGAGATCCAGAAAGTAGCAATATAGGACTTTTAGGGGTATGTATTAGTGTAAATAATATATGTGCAGTCTAGGCTAATCATTTTAATTAAAAACAAATAAGCATACTTTTTTGCTTTAAAAATATGCCCTCAAAATGGTGGGGGATAAAATGTAAGATATTCTTTAGCTTTAATTATTTTTCCATCTTATTCAAGTCAGAGCACTTTTTTTTAAATAGCAATACAACAGGCAAGAGAATACTCAAAAATATTTAAAACTGTATTGATACCAAGAGTATGTTTTAAATATTTTCTAATAAATACTTGAGCGGTTTTTGTCTGGCAGGCTTCCAAATTTGCCAAAATTAAGCGTTCAGTATTTTCAACACATACGCTTTTTACTGGTTTATACTGAACTATCTGATGAGAATTCCTGTGTTCCCAAAGCAACTGATGTTTACAGGTCTTGTGTTACTCCTCCTCCTTTCTAAGGATGAGGGAATCCACAACAGACTTTCTCTAGAAAACACTAATGATGGACAACTTTTTGGTGTCATCAATGAGTTGGCTACTACCTTGATGTAAAAATTTGTAAGGAAAATTTTCACCATTTCGAGTGTCAAGTGTATTTTTAACTGTCTGGTTTGTACTTTTATGACTTTTGTACTACCAAAGCGGAGTTAAAAATAAAAATGTTAAACGCAGTGTGTTGTCTTGTGGGTGATCCAATTATTGGCGCCTTGTACACTGGAAATACAGTCGTGGCAGTATAATTATTGAGCTTAATTTTTTACAGTGCTGAATTTCTTGTGTCTTGAAATATCAAGTGATCACTTGGCTGACTTTCCTCATGAGATTTCCCCTCCTGCAGTACCCCTTCCCCTAACACAGGCATACTTTGGAGATACTGTGGGTTCAGCCCCGGCCTACTGCAGTAAAGCAAATATTGCAATCAAGCCAGCCACATGAGCTTTTTGGTTTCCCACTGCATATAAAAAAGTTATATTTATACTATACTATAGTCTATTAAGTATATGCAATAATATTCTGTCAAAAAACATACATACCTTAATTTAAAATACTTTTTATTGCTAAAAAAAAATACGATAATCTGAGCCTTCAGCAAGTCATAATCTTTTTGCTGCTGCAGGATCTTGCCTCAATGTTGAAGGCTACTGACCAGGGTGGTGGTTACTGAAGGTTGGGGTGGCTGTGGCAATTTCTTAAAATAACACAGTGATAAAGTTTGCTGCACTGATTGACCTCACCTTTCATGAAAGTTTTCTCTATAGCATGCAGTACTGTTTGATAGCATTTTATCACAGTAGAACATCTTTCAAAATTGGAGTCAATCATCTCAAAATCTGATGCTGCTTTATCAACTAAGTTTATGTATTATTATATTCTAAATCCTTTGCTGTCATTTCAACAGTGTTCACAGCATCTTCACCAGGAGTAGATGCCATCTCAGGAAACCACTTTCTTTCATCATCTGTTAAGCAATTCCTCATCTATTCAAGTTTTATCATGAGATGGCAGCAATTCAGTTCAATCTTCATGCTCACTTCTGATTCTAGTTCTGCTGCTGTTTCCACCACATCTGCAGTGACTTCCTCCACTGAAGTCTTGAACCCCTCCAAGTCATCTGTGAGGGTTGGAATCAACTTCCAGACTCCTGTTAATGTCTCTATTTTTACCTCCTGTGAATCAAAAATGTTCTTAATGGCATCTAGAATGGTGAATTCCTTCCAGAAGATTTCAATTGACTTTACTGAGGTCCACTAGAGGAATCACTGTCTACGGCGGCTGTAGCCTTATGAAATGCCTTTCTTAAATAATTAGACTTGAAAGTGGGAATTAATCTATGGGCTGCAGAATGGATGTTGTGTTAGCAGGCATGAAAGCATTTCTCCCTTTGTACATCTCCATAAGAGCTCTTGGGTAACTGACCAGGTCCTTGTCAATGAGTTATTATTTTGAATGGAATCTTTTTTTCTGAGCAGTAGGTCTCAACAGTGGGCTTTAAATGTTCAGTAAACCATGCTGTCAACAGATGTGCTGTTATCTAGGCTGTTTACAGGCAGAGTCGATTTAGCATAATTCTTAAGGGCCTTATGATTTTCAAGATGGTAAATGAGCATTGGCTTCAACCTAAAGTTGACAGCTATGTTAGCCCCTAAAATGAGAGCCTGTGCTTTTGAGGTTTTGAAGCCAGGCATTGACTTCTCAACTATGAAAATCCTAGATGTCATCTCCTTCCAAATCTGTTTTTTCATTTAGCCACCTTCATCCATGATCTTACCTAGATTTTCTGGATTATTTACTGCAGTTTCTAAATTAGCACTTGCTGCTTCACTTTGTACTTCTGTATAATGGCAATGGTTTCTTTAGTTAATCCTTATGAACTGGCTGGGTGCAGTGGCTCATGCCTGTAATCCCAGCACTTTGGGAGGCTGAGGCGGGCTGATTGCTTGAGGTCAGGAGTTTGAGACCAACCTGGCCAACACGGCGAAACCCTGTCTCCACTAAAAATACAAAAACTAGCTGGGCATAATGGTGCACACCTGTAATCTCAGCTACTCAGGAGGCTGCAGTAGAAGGATCACTTGAATCCGGGAGATAGAGATTGCAGTCACTGCACACCAGCCTGGGTGACAGAGCTAGACTCTGTCTCAAAAAAAAAAAAAAAAATTAAATTTAAAAATCTTATGAACCAACGTCTGCTGGCTTCCAACCTTTTTTCTGCAGCTTCCTACCTTTTTTCTGCAGCTTCCTCACTTCTTTCAGTCATTATAGAACTGAAGAGTTAGGACCTTGCTCTGTATTAGGCTTGGGCTTAAGGGAATGTTGTGGCTGGTTTGATTTTTTTATCCAGGCCACTGAATCTGTCTCCGTATCAGCAATAAGGCTGTTGCACTTTCTTATCATTCGTGTATTTGCTAGAGTAGCATTTTAAATTTTCTTCAAAACTTTTGCTTTGCTTTGCATTCACAACTTAACTATTTGGTACAGGAGGCCTAATTTTCTGCCTGTCTCGGCTTTTGACACGCCTTAATCATTTCTAGCTTTTTATTTAAGGTGAGATGCATGTGACCCTTCCTTTCACTTGAGCAGTGAGAAGCCATTGTAGGGTTACTAACTGGCCTAATTTTAATATTTTGTCTCAGGGAATAGGGAGGCCTGAGGAGAGGGAGAGAGACGGGAACGGCTGGTTGGTCGGGCAGTTGGAACACACATGCACAGCATTTACAGATTAAGTTTGTCATTTTATGTGGGCACAGTTCATGTCATCCCAAAACAATTACAATAGTAACATCAGAAATCGCTGATCACGGATCACTATAATAGATATAATAATAATTAATTGAAAAGTTTGAAATATTTCAAGAATTACCCATATGTGACACAGGGACATGAGTGAGCACATGCTGTTGGAAAAGTGGTGCTGATGGCTGGGCGCAGTGGCTCACGCCTGTAATCCCTGCACTTTGGGAGGCCGAGGCAGGCGGATCACGAGGTCAGGAGACCGAGACCATCCTGGCCACCATGGTGAAACCTTGTCTTTACTAACATACAAAAAAAAGAAAAAAATTAGCCAGGTGTGGTGGTGCGTGTCTATATCCCCAGCTACTTGGGAGGCTGAGGCAGGGGAATTGCTTGAACCTGGGAAGAGGAGGTTGCAGTGAGCTGAGATTGTGCCGCTGCACTCCTGCCTGGGCGACAGAGCAAGACTCCACCTCAAAAAAAAAAAAAAAAAAGAAAAGAAAGAAAAGTGCTGATGGACCTTCTCGACTTGCAGGGTTGCCACACACGTACGGTTCATTAAAAAACAAAACAAAAACAAACAAGAAAACCCTACAATATCTGCAAAGCACACTACAGCAAAGTGCAATAAAATGAGGTATGCCTGTTACTGCTTTTTAAATTTGAAGATAATTTTGGACTTGTAGAAGAGTTGCAAAAGCAGTACAGAGTTCATGTAAACCCTTCCCTCCATTTCCCCGTATGTTACCATCTTAACTATAAAAAAGTGATCACAACTAAAAAACTAACAGTGGTACAGTACCATTCATTAAACCACAACGTTCTTTGGATTGCATCCATTGTCTCACTAATGTCCCCCTGCTGTTCCAGGATCACCCACTGCATTTAGTTGTTGGATCCTGTCCCCTCTGATCTGTGGTTGCCCTTTAGTCTTTTCTTGTGTTTCGTGATCTTGACACTCGAATGTACTGATCAGTTCTTTTGTAGACTCTCCCTCAACCTAGGTGTTTCAGCTGATTCTTGTGATTAGACGGAGGTTTTGCATAAGGGAAGGGACACCATACAGGTGATGTGCCCTTCCCATTGAATCATGTCAGGAACGTGATGGTACATATTACCCGTGATGTCAATCTTCATCATTGCCCAAGGTGGTGTCTGCCAGGTTTCATTTTGGTAAAGTTACTATTTTCCCTTTGTAATTAATGAATATTAGATGGGAGATACTTAGAGATTAGGCCAATATCTTATTTCTGCTTAAACTTTCACACATTAATTTTACCATCTGTATGAGTTTTCTAGGGCTACCATAACAAATTACCAAAACCTGGGTGCCCCAGAACACAGAAGTGTATTCTTTCACAGTCTAAAAAGCCAGACCCTGAAGTCAAGGTGTCTGCAGGGTTGATTCCTTCTGATATCTCTGGGGTATAATCTGGCCCATGCCTCCCTCCCAGCTTCTGATGGTTGCTGGCAATTCTGGCATTCTGTGTCTTCTTTCCTGTGTGAGGGAGTCCTCTGCTCTTACAAGGACACCAGGCATTGGGTTTAGGGTCCACCCTAATCCAGTATGACTTTATCTTAACTTGATTACATTTGCAGAGAACCCATTTCCTGATAAGGTCATATCCACAGGTCTCAGAAGGTAGGACTTCAACATCAACAGGTCTTGTGGGGGATATCATTCAACCCACCACACCAACCATTGGTGGATCCTGGCTGCAGTGGCTATGTCTGTGGTAGGAGCCCTTTCAGGTTGGTGCCCATGTCCCTTGATGTGGTTCCATCCTTTACTTTTCTCCTTCCTCCACCTATTACACACTCTTTCTTTCTTTCTCTTGTCTTCTTTCCTTTTTCTTTCTTTCCTTCTTTCTTTCTTCTTTCTCTTTCTTTCTTCTTTCTCCTTTTTTTCTTTCTTTTCTTTCTCTCTCTCCCTTCCTTCCTTCTCCTCCTCCTTCTCCTCCTCCTCCTTCTTCTTGCCTTCCATCCTTCCCCTTTCTTGCATCTTTTTCCTTCCTTCCCTTTCTTCTTTTTCTTTCTTTCTCCTTCCTTCTCTTTCTCTTCCTCCTTTCTTCTACCCTCTCTTCCTTCTTCCCTTCCTTCCTCCCTCCCTCTCTCCTTCCCTTCCTCTTTCTCTCCTTCTCTCTCTCCCTCCCTCCCTTCCTTCCTCTTTCTTCCTTTCTTTCTCTTTCTTTCCTTCTTTCCTTTCTCTTTCTTTTCTTTTCTTTTCCTTCTTTCTTTCTTTCTTTCTTTCTTTCTTTCTTTCTTTCTTTCTTTCTTTCTCTTTCTTTCTCTCTCTCTCTCTCTCTCTTTCTTTATTCTTTTTCTTTCTTTCTTGACAAAGTCTCACTCTGTCGCCCAGGCCAGAGTGCAGTGGTACAATCTCGACTCGCTGCAACGTTTGCCTCCCAGGCTCAAGTGGTTCTTCTGCCTCAGCCTCCTGAGTAGCTGGGATTACAAGCATACGCCACCACACCTGGCTACATTTTGTATTTTTAGTAGAGACAGGGTTTCACCATGTTGGCCAGGCTGGTTTTGAACTCCTGGCCTCAAGTGATCCACCTACCTCAGCCTTCCAAAGTGCTAGGATTACAGGTCCTTTCTTTTTTGAAAGCCCTTTATTACTTTCTGGCACCACAAGATTCTCCAGGTTCATCTTGTCTTGTATTTTCCTTGCCCCAGCCCTGAAATCAACCACTAACCCAAGGAGCCCTGGTTCCTTTTATTGGACAATGATGTTTAGAAATAAAGAGGACTAGGTGTCCTCATTGATGCTGGGATGTCACAGCTACTAGGCCCCCTGTACACACATATATACATACACACACACCAACCCATGCGGATACACACATCTTTATGTATTTTTTGTATCTATCTGTAAAACAAAAGCATGTGCCCACACTGCTACTTCTGACTCCAGGCTTGCTCCATAGTACTCGTTCTAAGCTTCCTGCTTTCCTTATTTGTAACTTTCTTCTCCAACAGTGAGGAAACCTGGCTCTTATTATCTATGATATTTTTACATGTTTATTCAACACTAGCATACATATTAAGTAGTTTGAAAATATATTACTGTGAGAAACACACTTTCCAACTGAAGTACTGTGTGTATGTGTGTGTCTCTGTGTGTGTATGTGTGTGTCTGTGTGTGTGTGTCTGTGTGTGTGTGTGTGTGTCTGTGTGTGTGTCTGTGTGTATGTGTGTGTGTGTCTGTGTGTGTGTGTCTGTGTGTGTGTCTGTGTGTATGTGTGTGTCTGTGTGTGTGTCTGTGTGTGTGTCTGTGTGTGTGTCTGTGTGTGTCTGTGTGTGTGTGTGGTTCTTGTTTTTAGCCTTACAGTATTCTGTCAAAACTGTATTTGCCAAAGTTTCTTAAGTCAGCTCCTTTGTTCCCCACCCGCTTCTGCATGGTAATGTGACTCATTTGTAACACAGAGTCATTTGTCACCATCTGCATTCCATCTCTCCTTCATATCCTGGTTGAGATTTTTAAAATGTATAGACAGCAAACTTCACTCTGTGTGGTACCTCATAGGATTCTGATTTGGAGTGTGCGTGTGTGTGTGCGCGTGTGTATGTCCTTGAAAACAAGATGATCAATAACAGCTTATGCTGAGGAAGTGGAAAGGTTGATTTGGTCATTTGTGACCAAGTCACAACATGAGAACCAGAAACTCAGAATGTGTGCACTAGGATGGATGTTAGAATTCCTCCAATCCCGATTTATAGTTGAAAGGGGTCACTTGGGGACGACGGGCTTAGTTTTTGGTTAATTGGCCTTTTTGATATCCCCTCTAGTACATGTGTAATGTAGAATGGGGACGTTTGGTCACTAACTGGCTTTCATGTCTTTCTTGGCTCATTAGGGGAGTAGTGGGCAGCTGGCAATGTGGCACATATGACCCTTCTGTTCCCCATGGTGACGGACGCTAGCCTCACAACGCTGGCCCTGAACAATTGGTTCAGCAAGCTCCCCACCCTGGCAGTTCCAGCACTTTGGGAGGCCAAGGTGGGCAGATTGCTTGAGCTCAGGAGTTTGAGACCAGCCTGGGCAACGTGAAAAAACCCTGACTCTTTGAAAAATACAAAAGAAAGTAGCCGAGCATGATGGCCCGTGCCTGCAGTCCCAGCTACTTGGGAGGCTCAGATGGGAGGATTGCTTAAGCCTGCGAGGTCAAGGCTCTGGCGAGCCATAATTGTGCCATTGCATTCAAGCCTAGGTGACAGAGTGAGACTCTGTCTCAAACAAACAAACAAACAACAACAACAAAAAAAAGCAACCAGCACTGCCTGTTTTCCCTCTGCACATTCCCTCCCTTTCCTCACACCAGGAAAGAAGACTACACAGCAGGAAATATAGTCTCCACCAGCCCCCTGGGTGAATTTGCCAGGGGGCCTGCCCATGGTCTTGAATGCTCCTGCACTTCTTTTTCAAATCTGTCTTCACATCCAGGCTTCCTCCACCCCAAAAGGCGGGGAACCCTTCCTTCTGTCTCACTGAGGACAGTAGAGTTGGGGGCTTGGAAATGGCGTCGCGCGATTTAGTGCATAGTATCACTGAGGGCGTGTTGTGTGGTCAAAGAGGACTATGTTTTGTATCTGAGGTTTGACTTGCCAGTTCTTAGATCCTCCGACCCTTTAGTCTGGGTGGGGCATGTTGGTTCTACCCAAGGATTCCCTCCTCTCCTCATCTTCCCAGAACCATGCTGCAGGACTGTTCTCAGATCTCCCCAGGGTACCCTCACTGTAGCTCTAAACACCTAAAGGACAGCTGGGACTTCTTTGTCTTGGGCATTTTGTGGCGTGGCCAGGGGGTGGTGTGGCTGCCCACGCGGTTCAGCTGGTGTCCAGCTCTGCAGGTCCTCCCACAGAGCTGGCCCTTCGCTCCCTCTGCTGGCCGAATCGGAGAACTGCACGGCCGTTGGGGGGTTGGTGCTGTATCTTCCTTCAAGCCCTGGTGTTGCAGAAAGTACTCGTGATTTTTTGCTGAATGAATAAATAAACAAAAGCCCACCTTTAAAAACGAAAGACTACCATTAGCTATTTTGTGAGAGTAAAGGTTCAAGTCTAGTTTTTTTCTAACTGATTTTCTGGCACTGCCAGTTTGTCTTTATTGTTTTTCTCATCGGACGCTCCATTTTCTCACCTGGGAGCTTGTGTCACTGCAGGTGTTACCTGGATACTGGTGAGAATGATTCGGTTCCGCTTTGGAGGGAACCCCGCGCGCTGAATGCTGTCATGGAAGTGGTGTGGTCTCAGAGAAGTAGGCACGACCTTTGCTGTTGCGTTTGAGCCCCACACTCACCACTGTGTGACATTGAGAAAGGTATCTTATCTTTCTGAGCCTCAATGCCATCTGTAAAATGACCTGTCTCACAGGAGTTTTAAGGATCAGAAAAATGCCTGCAAATCCTCTGTCTTCTCATCCACCCCTACCGAGGGCGCGACTGCTGTAAGCGGCATGTTTGGTAACTTGGTGAAGGGTCTACATGCGTCCATCCCCCACGGCTGATCAGAGTGGCTGTGACTGGTCCAGCACACACAACTTTGTCTGAGTCGAGTTGAGCCGGCCAGTTGCTTGCTGTGGAACTGAGCCACAGAGTTCCATAGCCTCATGGGGAAGCCCATGAGGGTTCCCATGGCTAAAGGTACAGCATTAGCCGCCAGAGCAATAAACCATTTTCTCCAGCAAATGGGCTGGAAAAAATGGTTTATTGCTCTGGTGGCTAAAGCTGTGGGCTAGGGGCTGGTGAAGACCATATTTCCTGCTGTGTAGTCTTCTTTCCTGGTGTGATGAAAGGGAGGGAATGTGCGGAGGGAAGACAGGCAGTGCTGGTTGCTTTTTTTTTTTTTTTTTTGGTTTGAGACAGAGTCTCACTCTGTCACCTAGGCTTGAATGCAGTGGCACAATCATGGCTCACCAGAGCCTCGACCTCCCAGGCTCAAGCAATCCTCCCACCTGAGCCTCCCAAGTAGCTGGGACTGCAGGCACAGGCCATCATGCTCAGCTACTTTATTTTGTATTTTTCAAAGAGACAGGTTTTTTTCACGTTGCCCAGGCTGGTCTCGAACTCCTGAGCTCAAACGATCTGCCCACCTCAGCCTCCCAAAGTGCTGGAACTACAGGCATGAGCCACTGTGCCCAGCCTGGTTGCTTTCAAGCCCCAGATTCAGTTGTCCCCAAGGCCTAGTTGCCCTTCTGAACTTCACGAACATTTCAAGGAAATTCTTTTGTTATCTAGTTTGGGTTTCTGTCATTTGCAACCAACCAACCAAACCAACAAAAAGAACTCATGACTAATGCAGTTATTTGCAGAAACGTAGCTATAGGAGGAGTTATAGAGCCACATGGAAAGTGAAGCTCTGGCATCCAGCCCTGCAGCTGAGACTTCCTAGAGCTGCCTTCACTCCATCGCCAGAAGGCCTGGCCATGGTGCGGTTTCTGTTGTGAAATGCTTTTGCAAACCCTTTTCCTTTTATTGCTTCAGGAGAATTTCCTTTCACCATCTTTCCTGGATTGGCACAGGGCTCATTCTTACAGCTCCCGATAAGAGCACAGATTTGGCATTCAGATGCCTTTGCTGTCTGTGACCTTAAACTCTTTGGACCCCGTCTTCTAACTACAGAATGAAGATAATATGTGCCTTTTAGGGTGGTTGTGAGGATCATATGAGCTCAGATGTGTAATGCACTTAGTACAGGCCAGGCACAGTCAGTGCTCACTCAGTGGTCTCTCAGATGAAACAGAACAATCTATTGGCCACAGAGATGCCAAGTTCCAACCCTCTGTAGTGGAATAAATGATGGGGATTTTGCCTTTTGAGAGTTAGTTTTTGATGTTTCTGCCACAGCCATATTGTTTATAACATTCGAAGGTGGGCTGGGGGCGGAACCAGGTACAAGATGTAACTGCAAAGCCTATGGGGCCTGAGGTTCTCCTGATGGCAGGTCAACTGCCTTATTGGAAAGAATGACTTTCTTGCCTTGACTGATGTTGAATGAACCCAGATCTACCAGCTAAGGAGCATGGTCTCTTCCTCTGTTTGTTCAGGCTGAAATTTTATCTTAACCCTTTTATGACAAGATGTGCATGTAGCATAGGCATCTCAGTGAGTTTAAAAGTAACTCAATTTATTTTCATTCCTAAGTTAATCTAGCTGAGAAATCATAGACAAAATACTCTTGAAATCATAACATTATACCCAAATTGAAAAAATATATGGGTTTACTTATTACAGATGAATATTAGTGTTGACCAAATCAAACAAAAACTACACACACACACACACACACACACACGCACAAATCCATACTAAATAAAACCCAAGCCAGACACAACCTCTCCAAAATAACCAATCAACCCTCCCAAATCTTCCATGGTTTCTGTTTTGTATTAAAAATGCATTTTATTTTATAAAATCTTATTTGGGGCATGAGGAAAGATAAAAGAAAGGTCAATTTTAATGCTATAAATATTCACTTCAAATGCAATGTGACTTAAAGTTCAAAGGATAAATTCCCGTGTGTTCTACAATTGTTAAATGATGAAGATAATGAGAATAAAAATACACTAAAATTGAAGTGCCCCCAAGATGCATTTTTGCCTTTAGACGATTATTAATGATGTAGGTAGAACAGAACTTACCCAGTTTAGAAATTAGTATTATTAGAAGTGATTCATACAGCTTTGGTGGGTAGCAACAAAGATCTAGTTATTTAAAAAAGCATTGAGTGTTACTCATAGAAGTGGGCCAGTGACCTTCGCTGGATAATAAAAGTACATCTAACTTTTTTTTTTTTTTTTTTTTTTGAGATGGAGTCTCGCTCTGTCACCCAGGCTGGAGTGCAGTGGCGCAATCTTGGCTCACTGCAACCTCCGCCCCCTGGATTAAAGCAATTCTCCTGCCTCAGCCTCCAGAGTAGCTGGGATTACAGGTGTGCACCACCACGCCTGGCTAATTTTTATATTTTTAGTAGAGACAGGGTTTTGCCACGTTGGCCAGGCTGGTCTTGAATTCCTGACATCAAGTGATGCGCCTGCCTCGGCCTCCCGGAGTGCTGGGTTTACAGGCGTGAGCCACTGTACTCGGACAAAATTACATCTAACATTTATTGTTTACTTTGTGCTGGGTACGTGCTAAGCACTTTTTATCTCATTTAAATCTCATTATGGCCGAGAGAGGGGCCTAGCCATCACCTCCACTATACAGATGATGAAACTGAGGAAAGGAATCTTAAGCTATGTAGGGGTGGTTCATGGGTGGGGACATATGGCCCCTGGATCTGCCTCAACCTTTGTAGGGAAAGGAAATTCATGGTCTTACGATTGCCGCAAAAATACCATTGACAGTAGACAGTCTCAGAGATTTTACAGATAAAGCTGAAGCTGTCCTCACAGGGTTAACAAGAATTCTGGATTAAGCATTAATCAGGCTGTACTTTGGCCCACTTCCTTGTCACCAAAAGTCCTGTAGTAGCACTAGATCCTGGCCATGTGCATCCCCATTGTTCCTATAGATAGGATTTCTGACATTAGAATCATAAAGCTTTTGTTAGAATTGCTTAAGGTGTTTTCCCCCAAATTCCAGTGAAACAGCTGACAGCCAACCCACCCAGACAAATGGGATCAGCATGAGAATACAGTTTCTTCATCACCCTGTCCCATGACTTCACCCTGTACTCTTCGACCAATCAACTATCACCACACTTAGGCTTACTCCAAACCCTTTAAAATGCCTAGCCCCAAACTCCTCAGGGAGACAGATTTGAGGTTTCCTTCCATCTCCTCGTTCAGCGGCCCTCCCATTAAACCTCTTGCTCTGCGGCAACCCCGTGTCTCAGCTATTGACTTGCGGCACGTTGGGCAGCAGACCTATTATGGTTACAAGGCCTTGACTAACTTTTCTATTCTTTATTACAATCTTCCTTAGAACCAGAACAAAACCCCCTTTTAATCCCAATTGACAATACATACAATTTTACATATACAAAATTGGGTTGTCTCACATTTTGATTCAGCCCTTATCTTTGTCTAATGGCAACATGGATGTTGCCACAGAGAGGCATATTATGTCACCTTTAAAAGCACAGGTTTGGGCCAGGCGCGGTGGCTCACGCCTGTAATCCTAGCACTTTGGGAGGGTGAGGTGGGTGGATTGCCTGAGCTCAGGAGTTCGAGACCAGCCTGGGCAACACGGTGAAACCTTGTCTCTACTAAAATACAAAAAACTAGCTGGGCATGGTGGTGCACGCTTGTAATCCCAGCTACTCGGGAGGCTGAGACAGGAGAATCGCTTGAAGCTGGGAGGCAGAGGTTATAGTGAGCTGAGATCACACCACTGCACTCCAGCCTGGGTGACAGAGCGAGACTCCATCTCAAAAAAAAAAGCACCGGTTTGTTGTTCAGTCTGGGTTCAGTTGAGATTCTGCCACTGTCTGGTTGTGTGATTCTGGATGAGTTATTTAGCTGTTTGAGCCTCCATTTTCCCATGTGTGAAATGGGGACAATCATACCTATAGCTCATGGCGTCACGGTAGACTTCAGTGAGATGATTCACGTGCAGTACTTAGAACAAGGCTGACTGCATTTGGTGCTTAACACATAGCAGTACTGAAAATGTTAAGCTATAGTCATACCTATAAAAATACTAAAAACAACAACAAAATACCAAAACCCATAACTTGTTGGCTCCCAGAAATTAATTACTGAATACAATTTCTACGTTAATATTTGGCAAATTATTTTGAAGTAATGTCTTTGCAGATTTTTTCTCTATATATTTTCTTCCTATAAACTTTTTTTTTTTTTTTTTTTTTTTTTTTTTTTTGAGACAGAGTTGCACTTTGTTTCCCAGAACAGAACATTCAAGGAAATTCTTTTGTTATCTAGTTTGGGTTTCTGTCATTTGCAGCCAACCAACAAAACCAACAAAAAGAACTCATGACTAATGCAGTTATTTGCAGAAAAGTAGCTATAGGAGGAGTTATATATATATATATATTATGATATATATATATTACATATCATTTTATATATATGTGTATATATATATGTAGGCTGGAGTGCACCAGCACGATCTCAGCTCACTGCAACCTCTGCCTCCTGGGTTCAAGCAATTCTCCTGCCTCAGCCTCCCAAGTAGCTGGGATTACAGGCGAGCACCACCAGCCCTGGCTAATTTTTTTATTTTTAGTAGAGACAGGGTTTCGCCATTTTGGCCCGGCTGGTCTTGAACTCCTGACCTCAAGTGATCCGCCTGCCTCGGCCTCCCAAAGTGCTGGGATTACAGGCATGAGCCACGGCACCCAGCCCCTGTAAATTTTAATTTAAAAACCACAACAGTCCTTGATGGTTTGTCACCCGGCTTATGGCTGATGCCATGAAAACCTTGGACCTTAGATCTTGTGTCTTCAGAAATTGGTAATTTAAAGCTTTTGTTTCCTTTCTAAGCATCAACATCTAAGACAGAGAGAGCAGCACGTCGGCTGATGAGTAGAGGCTATGGACCTTCTGTGGCCTGTGAACTCTTCCTGATTTATGTAAATTCTGAGGTTTACCTTTCTCCATAGCTTTAGGAATATTTTGGAGAATGGAAAAGAATGAGTTGGACCTAGAAATGGATTTTTTTGTGTGGGATTTTAAGTTGGTAACTTATGTCAAGAGAAATTGCATTGTTGTGCTTTCAAAGTAGCCAGATTCTGACTAAACAAGTATTCTAATTAGCCTGTTCCTCAAAGGCCTCACTCATTTTAGTTTGGAATGTGTAGTTTTGATTAGGGAGATAAGTAAAATTCTTTGTCTGCCTTTTGGTCTCTAGGTCATATTTTCCCTTAGTTCTGTATTAACTATTCCAAAATGCTTAAAGGCAGTAAATACAGAAGTCTCCTAGGAACAAGGCTCAGAGGGCAGCACAGGTGAGGAGGAAGAGTTGCAGGTCAGTGGTGTTGACTGGATTTGCAAGTGGGCTTATATTATAAGTGCGTGGTCCACACTCATGTGTATGCTCTATGTGCTTTCAAAAATATTGGCCCGGGCTGGGCGCGGTGACTCACGCCTGTAATCCCAGCACTTTGGGAGGTCAAGGTGGGCAGATCACCTGAGGTGGGGAGTTCGAGACCAGCCTGACCAACATGGCAAAACCCTGTCTCCAGTAAAAATACAGAATTAGCTGGGCGTGGTGGCGCGTGCCTGTAATTCCAGCTACGTGGGAGGCTGAGGCAGGAGAATCGCTTGAACCCAGGAGGCAGAGGTTGCAGTGAGCCAAGATCGTGCCATTGCACTCCAGCCTGGGCAACAAGAATGAATCTCCATCTCAAAAAAAAAAAAAAAAAAAAAAAAAAAAATATATATATATATATATATATATATATGCCCAGTTTTGTCTATTTACAGAGAGCTTTTATATATACTAGTTCATTTGATCTTCTAAACCAGTGGTTTCCAAAGTAGGTTTCACATACCCCAGGGGAGTGAAAAAAATATTAATGCTCTGATATGTTGTTACTTCATCTTAGTATTGCTAAATACTGTAAACCATATAACATATTAGAAGACAGTATGGTTGTAAAAGTGCTTATATTAAGGGTGTGTGCAGTACTTTTTACTGATAACTGGTGCAAGATAAAAAAAAGGTGTGGCAATCCCTGCTGGAGTCTTATGTGTTTCTCCAAGTGCGGAGAATTACTTACAAAAACGATGTAGATGCCAGGACCCCACTCAAGACCTCCTAAGTCTGAATTCCTAGAGGTAGGTCCAGAAATCTGCCTTTTAAACAAGCACACCACATGCCTCAGGGGCACACTGAAGTTTGAGAATGTGCGCTTTCAATTCTTAGAAATAGGAATGATCCCCATTTCACAGATGAGAAAAGTGAGGCTCAGAAACGTTAAGGAACTTAAAGTCAAAAGGTCACACAGCGAGCAAGAGGCACAGCCGGATTTCACCCCAGGTTTATTAGGATTAAAGAGGCACATGTATGGGAAGTACCAGGCACGTGTCACATGGGCAGGGCCTCTGAACACCTGGAGGTCATGACGCATGGCTGCAGGTGTTACTGAAGGGTCAACCCTGGGCGCACCTTTTTTCCCCCATCACTAGGAGCCAAGAGAACGGTGAGATCTGGATGTCATTACACGAATATACACCCTTTTTTTCCTTCTCTTCCAGGATTTTAAAGATTGAGTTCAAAATCACTAAAAAACGAGGTCGGCCAAGCTCCCCATTGCTTGGCCCCAAACATTGGTTTTCTTAAAGTTTTTGTCTCAATTTGGGATTACCGTCCTTAGGGTAACGTGGACTCATTCTAGAGACCAAACCTTCAGCAGCTGCCCAAATTCTACTCTGTCCACTTTTCCACAGACCACCACAAGCCTCATTATTCAAATAGAGCAGGGTAGTCTGAGAGTGAAGGGCCTGAATAATAAATACAATTCCTAAACTCTCAAATTCCTATGGATTTGTGCTCCCACATCCTTTATTACACCATGTATACCTTTATTACACCATGTCACAATCCAGCACAATCCTGGCTACCTGCATGATATCTCCCCAACCAGACCGGGAAAAGATCACTAACTCCAGACTTCTTTTATGTATTCTTTCAATCAACAAATATGTATTGAGTTCCCCCCTTGTGCCGTACACTAACTTAGATCTCAGGCCAAACGCATTTTTTTAGTACAGATATTTCAGTTGAAAAAAATTGCTAATAGTTGACTCCAAGTGACTAAATGTGCAGGTAAGCATCATCTACGATCAACACATTGACTTGCATAAAATGTTTCTTAAAGTGGCTGGGAGTGCTTCAGAAGTTAGCAGACCACTTAGGTGTGGTTTGTATAACCTGATACATATGAGAAACTTACAAATTTAGTAAATCTATAAATGAATGACTTATTGTTCTATTAGTTAACAGGGAAAGGATTTACCATGAAAAACAGATGTCAGCTTGTCTGTGTTTGTCACCAACTCCAAAATAGAGGATTTAAAAATGCATGAGGTTTAATCTAGAGAAAAAAAATGAAACAAGACCAGAAAGCAATTAATTTCTACGTTTTCGTCATAAAGCCTGGTTGTGTGAAAAGCAGTGCCCTTGATGAAGAGTTAAGTCCAAGTCCAGGAAAGGAGGCTATATCCTGTGCTGCAGTAGTGACTGTGCTCTATCTGCTGCATGGTTGCACACAGACGACCAAACCAGGGAAGTCAGGAGATCTTTGCACTTGCACTTGCATCTGGTGTCTCATTCATTCTTTCTAAGGCCTCCTGCTTGGAGGTACGGATGGGAGAGGTAGGAAGAGAAGAGAATCAGAGAGACAGAGCGGGGCAGAGGGAGGAAAATGACGAATGGCCAGCACTTACTGAGCATGGACAGATGGGCATGTGCTATGTAAGAAACCTAAAATTCTCTTCGTTTTTTTGGGTATCTGGTTTTTCCAGTTATAACTATTCACTACATCTGCTTTGGCAATGAGGGGAAAAAATTTAATTTCATATTTATATGATAGTTCATTTTCCCCCAGTAAAAAGTTAAATCTAACTTCTTAGCTCAAGAAACCTATATGTAATATATACATAAAATAATCTTAATTCAAAATCAGGATTTAACATGGTAAATATCCACGTGATGCAATTGCCTAAGGTTCATGGGGAACTGTGAAGTCTGCCCCTAATCACAGTTAGTGCCTTCCAATCAGAGTGCATTGTGCTTTCATATTGTCCACAATGTTTGAAAAGGTTGGCTATTTTCAACATCACTTTTCTGACAAGAGGTGGCACTAGGCTGCAGAAAGAAGACACTACACACATAAGCGTGCTCAGACAGCTCACTGTTAGACAACCTGGTAGATAAGGCTAAAAGCTGGAATTACTTTTCAACCTAAAGATTTTTTACTTTCATTTCCTTTGGGGGATCCTGGATACTGGAGTAAAGATGAAAGGGGCCAGAATTACTTTTAAAGAACTCTTGAAAGTATTGGCCATCTGTCGACCTTTTCAAAGCAGTTATTCATAAAAGAGAATCTTTAAAACTACAGAGCTGTCAGTTATGGTGAACTCTGCAGCTGTTCTAAGATGTAAAATTATATACATATATAAATGCGAAAGTGTGTGTCTGGGTAAGAGAAAGAGACTTGTCTGCCCTGATACCTTACCCTACCCCTTCTTTGTCTGAATTTCTTCTTTTCGTCCGGTTTGGAGTTATCAATGGGAAGTTGGAGCAGCGGTAGCTGTCCAGTCCTCCTTCCCCCGGACCAAAGGTGGAAGCCCCTTTGGTGTCACACTGAATGTACACACGATCTTCCAATCTTTTGAAACCAGCTGTATCCCAGGCTTTTGGGTTTTGAGACCTCCTGTGGCAGAGACTGTAAACTGACCGCCTCGAAACTCATTGTCCATTTCCCCTTCTTAGTAACTGCATTCTGAGTTTATTTGGCAAAGCCACGCACACCACTAGCAAGACGATTTCCTAGTCTCTCTTGCAGCTAGATGTGGCCAAGTGACCAGATTTTGACCAAAGAGAGTAATGTGGAAGGGATGAATTATACTTCTGTGGGGTCCTTAATAGAGAGTGAGTGGGGTTTTTATTCCTTTATTCTTTTTCCAACATGGAATGCAAATGTAATGACTGAAGCCACAGCAGCCATTATGGACTACAAAGTGATCTTGAGAAGGAAACCAAAATGATTGAAGCAGCATGGGTCATTCATATGCGGGTCATTGATACGTGGGTCATTGATATGTGGGTCATTGATACACGGGCCAGTGATACATTCTCTACCACCCTGGATCACTAACTCCAGACTTCTTTTACATAAGAGGTAAATAAGCCTCTATTTGTATAAAACACTCGTCCCATACAACTGAACATAATCTCAACTGATACACTTAGGAAATCATTGAAGGAATAAGCATTCTGAAATATTAAGTATTTGGTGTACTAAATACAAAAGGAGACATACCTCTAATGCAATTAACAATGCCAAGACTTTATCTTTTTAAGGGCTCTGAGTGACCCTGTATATAGAGGTCACTTGCGATGGCTTGTCATTACAGTACCAAACAAACCCATAGGCTCATTAAGCATTTGTAAGGGTGCCGTCCTTAAAGGTGCTGGAAGGCTCAGAAATCATGTTTTATACTAAATAATTGCCAAAGTCAAATAATGACATTATACATACTTCCCAGTTTTAGAGTTTTCAGTTGTGGGGATGTAAAAATGTTTGTTAAAGGAATTGTTTTCAACTAGTAAAACATCATTTTTGAGTGCCTAGTGTGCCAAGCACTGTGCTAAACACTTACATCATCTCATTTAACCTTTACAAGCACATACAATTATTCTTCTCACTTTACAGATGGGTAAAGGGATACATAACTTGTCCAAGGTCACATGGCAAAGCTGGAAATCAAATGAAGTTCAGTCAGATTTCAATTCTGTGTTACAAAACACCAAACTAAAGCATCTTCCATGTTTATTTTTTTCTAGATAGTTTTGAGCATCCTTAATGCCTTTAAATTCTCCATTGAGTTACGTTAGAATGGTTGTCCTTGTTTCAGTGAATTAGAAGGCTGAAATCCAGAGAGGGCTTGTTCATCTTTGAGGTAAGATCAGGACATTTAGTTATGGCATCAAGTTTGACAGAGAGAAAGCCAAAGCTATGGCTCTGCAAACCAGCTCGGTCCCTTCCTTGAGTATAATTTTGTAGTCTAGCTCTTTTTTTTTTTTTTTTTTTCATAGAGATGGGGTCTCGCTAAATTGCCCAGGTTGGTCTCGAATTCCTGGCCCTGGCAATCCTCTCACCTCAGCCTTCCAAAGTGCTCAGATTACAGACATGAGCCACTGTGCCTAGCTTAGCTCTTTTTTTTTTTTTTTTTTTTGAGATGGAGTCTTGCACTGTCACCCAGGCTGGAGTGCAGTGGCACGATCTCAGCTCACTGCAACCTCCACCTCCCAGGTTCAAGTGATTCTCCTTGCCTCAGCCTCCCAAGTAGCTGGGATTACAGGCGCCCGCCACCGTGCCCGGATAATTTTTTGTATTTTTAGTAGAGACAGGGTTTCACTATGTTGGCCAGGCTGATCTTGAACTCCTGACCTTGTGATCCACCCGCCTCGGCCTCCCAAAGTGCTGGGATTACAGGCATGAGCCACCACGCCCGGCCATCTAGATTAGTTCTTTACATTGAAAGTAACATCCAGGGTCACTGATATTCTGAGAAAATTAGAACCACCTTTGAGTTAAGACTTCTAGAAAGACACATACGTTGTTATATTTTAATTGGAATCAGACATTTAATGGCATAAAAACATTGCATATATGGCTTTGCTGTTCCGAATGTCATGAACTTAAAATCCAAATATGACATAAGCAGTTTTAAGACTTATTTTGGCCAGCCTCCCCAATCCCAAAGGAGATTTAAAAGTAATAATGTAAAAAAGTTAAGGTCAAGGTGTTTTAAAATCAACATCTCAGCTAATGACTAACCCTTTGTTTCCTGGGGACTTCTGCTCTACTGTGAAAACTGCTGAGCTTAACCCGCTGTTGAACAACTGGTTAGTTATTAGTTCCCTGGGTGATTGTCCCTGAAGTTAAGCCATGCTCTGGGGACACATGAGGCACTTTAATTGGGGTAGTTACTTTTTCCAGGTTGGGTACAATGTTTGGCTCTCAAAAGCAAGGTAAACAGTTTACAGTCAAAAGGAATGCTCTGTGATTGTGTGCCTTTGGGATCAAGGGTTGAGATCTTAGAGTATTCTCATAAACATCTGTACCAGGTGCTCAAAGATGTTTGAGGGTTGTCAAGCAAGCTGTTCAACTTCTGCATTTTCTGTGGATATGGGCACAATGACCCACTCAGATTTTTCTCCTAGTGTCCTGAATGACAGCTCATCTACACAGAGTGAAACTCCAGATATGTGACAAGCAGCATGGGACAGATGCTGACAATCAGAACAGATGCTGGATGTAAACAACTGGTAAGGCTGCACTGGTGCATGCTGGCAGAATCACCTGCTATGCATCCAGGGAGCAAATGCATCTGCATGCTCAGCATGACACCAGCTTACCTCCCTGTGCAAATCCCCTCCCCTAATCAGTCTCATCCAAATCTTCTCCTGCAGTAGCAGCTTCTAAAGCTGCAAGGGCCTCCGCCACCGCTGCATCCTCGTCCACAATCTCCCCATCCCCATCTCCATCGGAGCCATGGGTATCCTCCTGCCTGTTTCCTGAGTCAACCACAGGCATGGCATGAACAGGACCCTTCTCATTAAAGCAGATGCTTAGAACTTCTGTTTCCACATCCTCATTCAATGAATCCCAGCTTCTCCTCACAGAGAAGGGCGTATTCAAACCATGCTCCCCCACTGGGGGCTGAATTCCCTCTAGGGATTCATCCTCAGTATGGTTCTTGAAAACACAGTCCTTTTCATTATGATCAACGTTGTCTCCAGCTGGGCCCCAATGCTGAAGGTAATCTGGGGCTGGTATCTGGAAGACATGGTCTTGTACTTCCAAGGCAAAACTTTCTGCCTCAGAAGGAGCTCTGGAGTCTCCATTTCTCATGACTTGGGTCCCTTCTGAGGCCAGCAGCACACAGTCCTGTTTCCTGGTGCCCCCTCCTTCCAGGAAGGGTTGAGTTGGGGGAACAGTATTTGCAGTACTGGCCCAGGAGCCCCTGTCATCCTGGGTGGGGCTGGAATTCCCAGTGGGCTGTGGAGTGGCAGCAGGGCCGATGCCGTTGACACCGCAGGCATGGTGTTCCCCTCCAGCGTCCCCCTGTGGGAGCGGCCCTTGGTGAGGCCAGCAGGGCTCCCATGGATCAGCTGTCCTGCTGCTGCTCTCAGTCTTCTTTGAGCCCTGCCTCTGAGGGTCATTTTTCTGCACCAAGACTTCACTGCTCCATTTGCCTTTTAATTTATCAGTGTCGTCTTCATCTAGCTTGCAGCTGTTGACTTCATTGACATAGCCAGGAGAGGGCACTTGAACTGGATCAAAGAGATAGCTTCAGGAAAGACAATGAAAACCAGTCAGGTCTGCTCCATCATTAATGCTTTTTACCACAGGCCCTGCTTCTTTCTACGATTCCTGCTAATTTAATTTCTGTGATTACTTTTCAACCTAGATAAGTATGTCTAAATCAAATAGATATAGTTGGTATAAAAATGTTTGGTGGCTCACGCCTGTAATCTCAGCAATTTGGGTGGCCAAGGCGGGTGGATCACTTGAGGTCAGGAGTTCGAGACCAGCCTGACCGACATGGTGAAACCCCATCTTTACTAAAAATACAAAAATTAGCTGGGTGAGGTGGTAGGCACCTGTAATCCCAGCTACTCGGGAGGCTGAGATAGGAGAATCGCTTGAACCTGGGAGGCGGAGGCTGCAGTGAGCTGAGATCACGCCCCTGCACTCCAGCCTGGATGACAGAGCGAGACAGTCTTGAAAAAGATAAACAAGGTTCTGCCTGAAATACTCTTAAGAAGAGAGCCAAAAGGAGGAAGGAGGGGTAAGGGGTGAAGTAAAATACAAAGTGGTTCATAGAATTTTAAAATAAAAAACAAATAAAACAAATGTCCACTAACAGGGCCATAAGGAGTATATCCTCTCAGTGGAATATTATGCAGTCACTAAAATGATAAATATGAAGTCTGTAGTCACAGGAATGATACTTACAATACATAGTTTTTGAATAAAGCCAAACATCACAGTATGATTACAGTGGAATACAGCTTATTTATATATAGGTCTAGAATAGAACTATGATTAAAAAGACAGTATATTTGTTAAGAAAGCAAGATCATCAGTTACCCTTTTTCTTAGTTAGAAGTTTATGTTCACGTTACTCACAATTTTCTGAAATGCAATGTGGACAAAATTAAAAGCACATATGTGATTGGGGTGATTTATTTTCAGCGATGCCATTTCAGGCATCCTCAGAAACCCAGACCAAATTCAGCCTCAGAAAATGATGGTGTTCCCAACATGCTTTGAGAAGTGAGCAAAAAAAGTTAAAAAAATCTAGGGCACATGTTCTTTTAAATGATATTATAACAATTCCAAACTCTTAATGTGTTGGCAATGTTGATCATGCCCCAAGCTGGATAAATGCACTGAATACACGCATGGTCTTTAAAAGTGACCCCACGCTCATCACAAATTCCTCCATTTAGAAGTAGTATTTCTCCAGCTTTACCTTTGTATTATTTTACAGCACCTGCACCCCATCTGGATTGTTTTCTGTTACCACCTGGAAAAGAAAGCGTAAAAGGTAGAGAACACAGTGAGTGATATATTAGTAGGAATTAAGTTTGCCTTTTTTTTTCCCTAGAGACTCAAAATGTATTAAGAGAGTCACACATTTTGGCAAAAGGATAACTACCACGTGGGTCAGAGAGGGTGCTGGTTACCAGGAATACCCCATTTCCATCACCGCTTCAGAGTTCTCAAACGTTCACTGACACTTGCCTCTGTGTCAGACCTTTCTCCCAACCCTGGGGTTATGTGTTTCATCCCCATTTTGCAGATGAGGAGAAGAAGGTGGAAGGATGCTAGACAGAGAAGGGACTTCTGCTTTTCTAATCTGTTACCTTCTACAGAGGACACAGGAACCTCACCAGGGCACGGCCCACTGCACGCAGCAGCAGGAGGGGAAGGAGATTCTGACGGATTCCTTGCCAGGGCATTTGCTCCTCAAGAGTTAAAGGATGCCGGAATAAGCTGGCGGATCCATTGTGTCCCATGATTCAGGCCCTGAGGAGCGTGATAGCCCGAGTCATCGCACAAGCTTCAACCACACTAAATTGATTCTGTGTTGCTTTTCCTACCGCTGGGCCAATCTCAGCTATGATTTGTGGACCTGTTCTTTTGCAGCTCAAAGACATGCCCCCTTGGGCTTCCTGGCAGAAGGTGGACTCATTTCCCACTTGCCCACTGTTCCCTGACCCCTCCCCAAGCTGGGCTTTTCCCCATCATTTCCTTTGGAACAAAATCTTCTCTTCATATAAAACTGACCATGTTGGCCTCTTCCTTCCTCAGAACATCCTAAAAATGAGTATGGAAGCATCTCTTAGATATTATTCATTTCTAATATCTACAGCCTTTATTTTTATTTATTATTTTTTTTTGAGACACAGTCTCACTCTGTCGCCCAGGCTGGAGTGCAGTGGCGCAATCTCGGCTCACTGCAACCTCTGCCTCCCAGGTTCAAGCGATTCTCCTGCCTCAGCCTCCCAAGTAGCTGGGTTTACAGGCGGGTGCCACCATGCCTGGCTAATCTTTGTATTTTTAGTAGAGACAGGGTTTTGCCACGTTGGCCATGCTGGTCTCAAACTCCTGACCTCAAGTGATCTGCCTGCCTTGGCCTCTCAAAGGTCTGGGATTACAGGCATGAGCCACTGTGACGGGCCTACAGCCTTTAAAAAGACAAGCCAAAACAGAATCTGCATCCCCAGTCTCCCTGTCTCCATGAAGCACATGCACCAGAAAGAGACATCATTCATTGCTGGCTGTGTCTCTGTCTCCCATGTTGTCCCTCCTTCCTTCTTTCAATCATAGGTGAATTTCCAGGGATGCTGCTTCATAAGCTTTTGTCCACAGTGAATATGACTGGTGCTTTTTAAGAAGTACAGATTGGTTGCTTAGTTAAAAGGGACTAGATTTACATTAAAAAAATAAAATCCACAAATAACTCCCTATGGTAGGCTGAAAAATGGCCCCCAAAGATATCCACATCCTAATCCCTGGAACCTATAAATAATACCTTATATGCCACCCCAGCCCCCAAATTAAAGGTATTTGCAGATGTGATTAAGTGTAGGATTTTCAGATGGTACAATTTGCCTAGTTTATCTGGGTGGACTCTAAATACAATTAAATAAATGCTTATGAGAAGGAGGTGGAGGGACATTTGATTATAGACAGAAGAGGAAGAGGCAATGTGACCAAAAAGGCAGAGATTGGAGCAAGGAGGTCACAAACCAAGAGTACTGGCAGCCCCCCAAGCTGGAAGAGGGAAGGAACAGATTCACCCCTGGAGCCTCTGGAAAGAGTGTGGCCCCGGTGACACCTTGATCCCTGATACCCACCCCTGGATCAAGCCCACTGATACCAATTTCAGACTTCTGGTCTCTAGAACTGGGAGAGAATAAACTTCCATTGTTTTGTTTTGTTTTGTTTGTTTTTTTGAGACAGAGCCTCACTCTGTTGCCCAGGCTGGAGTGCAATGGCACAATCTCGGCTCGCTGCAACCTCTGCCTCCCTGGTTCAAGTGATTCTCCTGCCTCAGCCTCCCCAGTAGCTGGGATTACAGGTGCCTGCCAACACGCCCAGCTAACTTTTATATTTTTAGTAGAGATGAGGTTTCACCATGCTGGCCAGGCTGGTCTTGAACTCCTGACCTCAGGTGATCCATCCACCTTGGCCTCTGAAAGTGCTGGGATTACAGGCGTGAGCCACCATGCCCGGCTGCTTCCATTTTTTTAAACCTCTAAGTTCGTAGTAATTTGCTGCAGCAGCACAGAAAACTAGTAACATCCCCAAATCACTTCATGCTTGAGGACCAAACCCCTTGTCCTTCCAACTCTTCCTGGGAGGACTCATGGAATGTAGAAGAGTCCCTCGGACCAGCCGTGCATCTCTTGCCACCCTCTTTCCTTACCGTGCTCCACCCTTCTTCAAGTCTAATTCTCAGCACTTAGGACAGCACCTGGTACAGAGCAGGCAGTCAATAAATGTGGAATGAATGAATGATTTAATGGCTATGGATTAAAAACGAGAGCACTATCAGTGAACCTGTTGTGTGTCTGCAACCAATCAAGACATTTCCAGTTTGTGCCAGCCGTGTCGCCCAGGTGTTATGAGGGTGGGCTCAGGAGACAGAAAACCCTGCTACTGTGGGACTTTGGGCCTCAGTCACTTGGCCTGTAGATGGGGATAATAATATTCCTACTATATAGTGTTGCTGGGGGTCATATGAGCAAACATTCATAATAAACATAGACCAGGGGTGTCTTAACCACCCCATTTGGATACAGCATATTAAAACACACCCCCCAAAAAGAAAAAGATGGAGGTCTAGTATCCAAGAAAGATATAATCTAGTTGCCAGAACCTATGCATACAAACAAGAGTATTAACAATGTCAAGTAGGACTTGTTTCTGGAATAAGGGCTACATGGTATATTTCTATCAACTGTGACACCAATTGAAAGATAGAAAACCCCAAGTACAACAACAGTCCCGTAGACAGAAAAATCGCTTTTGCTATGGAACTGTGTACACATGTGTAACATTGTACCTTTCAGAATACTCTTAAACTACCCCATTTCTAAAGCCCAGGATTTTATTCCCAGCCTCTACTCCTCCTTTACTTTCCTTTTCTGCTGATAATTCATAGATGAGCTGGATAAATAGGACAGGCGAGAAGAAGCACGTGCACCTCCTCCCCTCCCTCAACACCTCTCCTCACCCCTCTCCTTCCTCAACACCTCTCCTCTCCCCTCCCCTCCCTCAACACCTCTCCTCTCCCCTCTCCTTCCTCAACACCTCTCCTCTCCCCTCCCCTCCCTCAACATTTCTCCTCTCCCCTCCCCTCCCTCAATACCTCTCCTCTACCCTCCCCTCCCTCAACACCTCTCCTCTCCCCTCCCCTCCCTCAATACCTCTCCTCTACCCTCCCCTCCCTCAACACCTCTCCTCTCCCCTCCCCTCCCTCAACACCTCTCCTCTCCCCTCCCCTCCCTCAACACCTCTCCTCTCCCCTCCTCTCCCTCAACACCTCTGATCTCCCCTCCTCTCCCTCAACACCTCTCCTCTCCCCTCCCCTCCCTCAATACCTCTCCTCTCCCCTCCCCTCCCTCAATACCTCTCCTCTCCCCTCCCCTCCCTCAATACCTCTCCTCCACCCTCCCCTCTCCTCTCCCCTCCTCTCCCCTCCCCTCCTGACCCTCCCCCTCCACAATTCGCTCTGAAATCCTGACCCTTTTCATGCCTGCAATACTTTGTTTATCCTGGACTCTTTAAAAGCAAACCAACCAACAAACAACAACAACTAGTCAGGAGGATAGGTAGTAAAAAAAAAAAAAAAAACAAGTCAAAGAAAAGGAGAAAAGAGCTTAGAACTGTTTGAGAAACAAGGAAGGCAGACTGGATTGTAATAATGTAACTGAAGCAATCATAAAACATTACTCATTGAAACATCTCAGGTCAACTTTATGATGGTGAATTCAAGAGGTGTACAGGGGAAGGCGAAAGAAAGGAGGAAAGAAAAGAGGGAGGAAAGGCGAAGGAGGGCAAGAAGGCGAGGAAAAGCAGGCAGGCACATCCAGAGTGACACCTTGCACTCCCAGCTCCTCGGAGGCTGACCAAGATTGACCCTGGGGCACCCTCCATCCCCGCCTTCTGCTGCTATAGCCAAGACCACAGGAGCAGCCTGCACCGAATGAAGTGAGTGCTGAGATTTAACAGCCGTACTCGAAAACTGCCCCTTCCCTGCTTCTGAAGGAAATATACATCATTTGCGGCTTTTAGGCTCCCCTCCTTCCCCAGGAAAACCACAGGATCTATACTGTTCTTCCAAGCTGCACAATTACAAAGGATGTTGTGGTGGTTTTCCTCTTTCAGAATCAGGTTTCCAGTTTGGGTCCTCCCCGGCTTGCCTCCCATTAGGGCACACCACATGGGTTTCCTATAGACCTGGTCCCATACCTGAGGGTCATGCTTCCGCGCCTCTCCGGAGCTTGGCGGGGACAGCCTCTTCCTGGTTAGAGGTTCTGTCCTCTCTCACCTCGCCCTGAGTTTTCCTTCCCCAGCAACATTCCTTCTCTAGATCAGACGGACAGGCTCTAATGTCCAAGGTTGTGTGACTGCTGACGAAAAGGGTGGGGACTAATGTACTCACACCCAACCCCTGCATGCCTGTGTCTACAATTATTCTTCCTTATATGATGTGTCATATCAAATTTAATTCATTTCTTTTTTCATATGTCACTCCCACTTCTACATCTTGCATTTAGCAAGGACTTCTCCTAAGCCCAGGGGCAACAAGGAAATGCTCCGGGTCTAGCATGTGACACACAGCAATGAAAAAAATATGCTCTTTTGACGTAAGATTGGGTTCAAAATGAGCAGTCTATCAGCTGTCTTCCTTGCCTCCCTTTTGGCAACAGCTAGCTTAAAGGTAAGAATTCAGTTGTTGGGTACCCTTTATTACTGAGCAAAATCAAAATTTGCTTCCTCTTTGGAGCATAAAAAAGCAACAGGCAACAAAGGGAAAATCCTTCACAACCACTTCTTAGTTTACACAGGGGAAAAACAAACACCATTAGGATGGCTGTGTCCACCCAATGCTGCTGCCGCCTGCTTCTGCAGCCCTGTGTTGGGGGCTGACTCTGTTTTGTGTTTAAACAAGGCCAGGCTATCACGAGGTCAGGAGATCGAGACCATCCTGGCTAATACGGTGAAACCCCGTCTCCACTAAAAATAAAAAAAAATTAGCTGGGCGTGGTGGTGGGCGCCTGTAGTCCCAGCTACTCGGGAGGCTGAGGCAGGAGAATGGCGTGAACCTGGGAGGCGGAGCTTGCAGTGAGCCGAGATCGCACCACTGCACTCCAGCCTGGGCGACAGAGCGAGATTCCGTCTCAAAAAAAAAAAAACAAAAACAAAAACAAACAAACAATAAAAAAAGAAGGCCATGCTAATGCCATGTCAGTCATTGGTGAAGCCTCCTTGCTGGGAGGGTAGCAATGGAGGTAGGGGAAGGGCGAAGTCCAGGGAAGCCCAGGAGTTCTCCAGCCAGGCAGAGAAATTAACTGAGTATTCATTAGGAAGTCAAGGGCATATAGGAAAAGACTCAACCCATCTGGAAGCTGCCTTTAAATAGTGATAGCTTTGAAGAATGACAGGGACATTTTAAAAGGACACAGGAATCCACTTGTAGAAGTTTTACTGGCCAAATGTGGAACAACTGGAATATTAAAATAATTACTAATCTACAGCATTTGTAGCCAATTGAATAAAACAAGGACTTATGAGTCCACACTAAGATACATAAAGGGAAAGGGAACACTCTACCTTACAAGTAGGAAACCAGCTAACAAACATACGAGAAATACTGGAACTAGAAAAATCATTTGATAGCCATCATAATAATAGAAAAACCATTTGATAGCCATCATAATAATAATTGATGTCAGTAAGAAGTATCAATGGATGGTAGGACTAGTGGGTGAAATTTTGAGGAGGACAGGATATTTAGTCTTAAAGTAGCTCCCCCCCATATGATTAAGGACAAAATATTATCCTTACGTTGGAGAAACCCGGCATACAGCGCCTTAACCAAGTAATCAAAGGTAATAGTGCCATAATGAGACTAATCAATGGCATGTGGCTCCTGATAGGATGCACTGAGAACTTAGCCTCACTTCTGTGATTTCCTGACAAAAGAGCATACTCTGAGTTGAAACAACGAGGGATAGTCTGCAAAGCAACTGGCCTGTACTCTTAAAATAATGTAATGTTATGAAAAAGCAAAGAAAGACAGAAGAATGCTTCCAAATTCAAGGAGATTTAAGAGACATGACAGCCGATGCACTGCATGTCCTTCTTGCTAAAAGGTCGTTATTGACATAATTGGTAAAATCTGAATAAGGTCTGTAGATTAGGTAATCGTATTAAATTGATGTGAATTACCTGCTTTTGAACATTGTACTGGGGTTATATAAGAGAATGCTCTTGGGGAAGGGCAGAACAAGATGGCCAGATAGAAGCCTCCACTGATGTTCACTTCATTGCCCCACAGGAACACCAAATTTAACAACTATCATCTACACCAACAAGCACCTTTATAAGAACCAAAAATCAGGTACACAATCAGTGTACCTGGTTTTAACTTCATATTGCTGAAAGAGGCACTAAAGAGGGTAGTAGGAAAGACAATCTTGAACTGCCGCTGCCCATTCCTTGGCAGTGGCTGCATGTCGTGGAGAGAGCATCTGTGTGTTTGGGGGAGGGAGAGTACAGTGATTTGGGGACTTTGCGTTTGAACTCAGTGCTGCCCTATCAGAGCAGAAAGCAAAACCAGGCTGAAATCAGCTAAGCCACGACCCCCCAGCCTACCCACACACAGAGGGAGCATTTGGACCAGATCTAGCCAGAGGGAAATTATATATTCCAGTTGTTGGAACTTGAGTTTTGGCAAGCCGCACCACCATGGACTAAAGTGCTCTGCAATCCTAATACACTTGAAGGGTAGCCTAGGCCACAAGAACTGTGGTTCCTAGGCAAGATATCAGTACTGTGCTGGGGCCAGAGCCAGTGGACCTGGGGGGGCACCTGATCTACTGAGACACCAGAGTGGCTAAGGGAGAACCTGTGTCACGTGTCCCAAAACCCAGGCAGCACAGCTCACAGCAATGAAAGTGACCCCTTCCTTGTGCTTGAGGAAAAGACAGGGAAGAGTAAAGAGGACTTTGTCTTACACCATAGGATACCAGCTCAGCCACATTAGCATAGGGCACCAGGCAGAGTCATGAGGCCCCCATTCCAGGCCCCAGCTCCTAGATGACATTTATAGACACACCCTGGGCCAGAAGGGACTGCACTTCCTTGAAAGGAAGGACCAAGTCCTGGCAAGACCCATCACCTGCTGAGTGGAGAGCCCTTGGGCCCTGAATAACCAGCAGGAATACCCAGGTAGTACGCTATGGGCCTTGGGTGAGACTCTGAGATGTGCTGGTTTCAGGTGAGACCCAGCACATTCCTAGCTGTGGTGGCTATGGGGAGAGACTACTTCTACTTGAGAAAAGCAGAGGGAAAAGTAAAGTGGACTTTGTCTTGCACTTTAGGTACCAGCTCAGCCACAGTGGGGTAGAGCACCAAGCGAGCTCTTGGAGTCCCTAATTCAAGGCCTTGGCTCTTGGATGGCATTTCTGGATTTGCACTTGACCACAGGCAAGTCCACTGCCCTGAAGGATGTGTCCTAGGCCTGGCAGAACTTACTATAAACTGTCTGAGGAGCCCTTGGGCCTTAAGTGAACATCGGCAGTAGCCTGGCAATACTCTCTGTGGGCCTGTGGTAGTAATGGTGATAGGAAGAGGATCCTTTGCCTGGGAAAAGGGGAGGGAAGAATGGAAATGGCCTTGTCTTATGGTTTGAGTGACAGCTCAGCCCCAGTAGAATAGAGCACCAGGTAGATCTCTAAGGATTTTGACTTCAGTCCCTAGCTCCCACTTAGGGCCTGGGGTATCTTGTCACCCTGAAGGGAAGGACACAAGCCTGGCTGGCTTTGCACCTGTTGATTGTAGAGCCTTAGGGCCTTGAGCAAACATTGGAGCTAGCTAGCTAGTGGTTACAGAGGGCCCTGGGTAAGATCCAGTGCTGTGTTGGCTTCAGGTCTGACCCAGCACAGTCCTAGTGATCATGGCCACAAGGGTGCTTGTGTCACCCTATCCCCAGCTTCAGGTGGCTCAGTACAGAGAGAGAAACTTTTGTTTGGGGAACAAGAGTCTGCCCGGTAATCCAGTGAACTCTTTCAGATCTTATCCAAGACCACCAAGGTGATACCTCTATGAGTCTGCAAGAACCATAGCATTACTGGGCTTGGGGTGCCTCTAATGTAGATATGGCTCAGATCACAACACACAAGTCCCTTCGAATACCTGAAAAGCCTTCCCAAGAACAGGTACAAACAAGCCCAAACTGGAAAGACTATGAGGAATACCTAATTGTTCAATGCCCAGACACCAGTGAGCATCCACAAACATGAAGACCATCCAAAAAAAAAAAAAAAATGACCTCACCGAAAGAACTAACTAAAGCTCCAGGGACCAATCCTAGAGAAACAGAGATATATGACTTTTCTGACAGAAAACTTAAAATAGCTGTATTGAGGAAACTCAAAGAAATTCAAGATACCACAGAGAAGGAATTCAAAATTCTATCAGATAAATTTAACAAAGAGATTGAAACAAAATAATCAAGCAGAAATTCTGGAGTTGAAAAATACAAGTGACATACTGAAGAATGCATCAGAGTCTCTTAACAGCAGAATTAATCAAACAGAATAAAGAATTAGTGACCTTGAAGACATGCTATTTAAAAATATATTCAGAGGACACAGAAGAAAAAAAGAATAAAAAACAATGATGCACACCTACAAGATCTAGAAAATAGCCTCAAAAGGGCAAATCTAAGAGTTATTGGCCATAAGGAGAAGTAGAAAAATAGGGGTAGAAAGCTTATTCAAAGAGATAATAACAGAGAACTTCCCAAACCTAGAGAAATATATCAATATCCAAGCACAAGAAGGTTACAGAACACCAAGCAGATTTAACCCAAAGAAGACTACCTCAAGGCAATTAGTAATCAAACTCCCAAAGGTCAAGGATAAAGAAAGGATCCTGAAAGCAGCAGAGAAAAGAAACAAATAACATACAATGAAGCTCCAATACATCTGGCAGCAGACTTTTCAGTGGAAATCTTACAGTCCAGGAGAGATATGACATGTCAGTGGCATAACATATTTAAAGTGCTGAAGGAAAATAACTTTTACACTGGAATAGTGTTTGTGGCAAAAATAGTCTTCAAACATGAAGAAGTAAACTTTCCTAGACAAACAGAAGCTGAGAGATTTCATCAACACCAGTTCTATCTTACAAGAAATGCTAAAGGGAGTACTTCAATCAGAAAGAAAGGGATGTTAATGAGCAATGAGAAATAATCTAAAGGTACAAAACTCACTGGTAATCATAAGCAAACAGATAAACACAGAATATTATAACATTGTAACTGTGGTATGTAAATGTCTCTTGAATAGAAAGACTAAAAGATGAACCAATCATAAATAATAACAAAAATTTTTCAAGACATAGACTGTACGATAATATGTAAATAGATACAACAAAAAGTTAAAAAGTGAGGGGATGAAGTTAGAATCTTTGTTTTTTTGTTTTTGGTTTTTTTTCTTGTTGGTTTGTTTATGCAAGCAATGCTAAGTTGTTATCAAATTAAAATAATGGTTATTTATTTATTTATGTTTTGAGACGGAGTTTTGCTCTGTTGCCCAGGCTGGAGTGCAATGGCGCAATCTCGGCTCACTGCAACCTCCGCCTCCCAGGTTCAAGCAATTCTCCTGCCTCAGCCTCCCGAATAGCTGGGATTACAGGTGTGCACCACCATGCCTCGCTAATTTTTTTTGTATTTAGTAGAGATGGGGTTTCACCATGTTGGTCAGGCTGGTCTCAAACTCCTGACTTCAGGTGATCCACCTGCCTCTGTCTCCCAGAGAGCTAGGATTACAGGCCACCGCACCAGGCCAGAATAATGGGTTTTAGGATAGTATTTGCAGGCCTCATGGCAACTTCAAATTAAAAAAACATACAATGAATACAGAAAAGTATTAAAATCAAGAAATTAAATTATATCACCAGAGAATATCACCTACATTAGAAGGAAGACAGAAAAGAAGAAATGAAGGAAAGGAAGACCACAAAACAACCAGAAAACAAATAAAATGGCAGGAGTAAGTCCTTACTTATTAATCATAACATCAAATGTAAACGGACTAAGCTGTCTACTCAAAAGACATAGAGTGGCTGAATAGATTTTTCAAAAGACCTAATGATCTGTTGCCTATTAGAAACACATTTCACCTATAAAGACACACATAGACTGAAAATAAAGACATAGAAAAAGATGCTCCATGCCAATGGAAACCAAAAAAGGGCAGGAATAACTATACTTATGTCAGACAAAATAGATTTCAAGACAAAACCTTTAAGATGAGACAAAGAAGGTCATTACATAATGATGAAGGGTTCAATTCAGCAAGAGGATATAACAATTGTAAATATATATGCGCCCAACACTGGAGCATTCAGATATATAAAGCAAATATTACTGGAGCGAAAGAGAGGGATAGACCCCAATACAACAATAGCTGGAGACTTCAACACCCCACTTTCAGCATTGGACAGATCTTCCACACAGAATATCAGCAAAGAAACATTGCACTTAACTGTACTGTAGATCAAACGGACCTAATAGATATTTACACAACATTTCATCCAACTGCTGTAGAATGTACATTCTTTTCCTCAGCACATGGACTATTCTCAAGGATAGACCATATGTTAGGTCACAAAACAAGTCTTAAAACATTCAAAAAAATTGAAATGATATCAAACATCTTCTCTGACCACAATGGAGTAAAACTAGAAATCAATACCAAGAGGAATTTTGGAAATGATATGAACATATGGAAATTCAACAATAAGCTCTTAAATAAACACTGGGTCAATGAAGAGATTCAGAAGGAAACTGAAAAAAATTCTTGAAACACATGATCATGGAAACACGAGACCAAAATCTATGGGATCCAGCAAAAGCAGTACTTAGAGGGAAGTTTATCCCTATACAGGCCTACATAAACAAAGAAAAACTTGGAATAAATAACCTAAAATGCACTTTAAAGAACTAGAGAAGCAACAGTAAACCAAACCCAGAAGAAAAGAAATAATAAAGATCACAGCAGAAATGAAGTTGAAATGAAGAAAACAATACAAAAGATCAACAAAAGATTGGTTTTTTTTGAAAAGATAACAAAACTGGCAAACCTTTAGCCAGACTAAGAAAAAAGAGAGAAGATCCAAATAAATAAAATCAGATGAAAAGGAAGACATTACGACTGATACTGCAGAAATTCAATAAATCATTAGTGGCTACTATGAACAATTATATGTCAATAAACTGGAAAATCTAGAAAACAGGGATAAATTACTAGACACATACCACCTATCAAGATTGAAGATGAAGAAATCCAAAATTTGAACTGACCAATAACAAGATCAAAGTTGTAATAAAGTCTCCCAGCAAAGAAAAACTTGGGACCTGACAGCTTCACTGCTGAATTCTACCAAATATTTAAAGAAGAACTAATACCAATCCTACTCAAACTCTTCTCAAAAATAGAGGAGGAGGGAATATTTTCAAACTCATTCTATGAGGCTAGTATTACCCTGATACCAAAACCAGACAAAGACACATCAAAAAAAAGAAAACTACAGGCCAATATCCCTGATGAGTGTCAATGCAAAAATCCTAAATAAAATACTAGCAAACCAAATTCAACAACACATTAAAAAGATCATTCATTATGACCAAGTTGACCAAGTGGGATTTATCCCAGGGATGGAAGGATGGTTCAACATATGCAAATCAATGTGATATATCATATCAACAGAATGAAGAGCAAAAACCATATGATCATTTCAACTGATGCTGAAAAGGCATTTGATAAAGTTCAACATCCCTTCATAAAAACCCTAAAAACACTGGGTATAGTAGGGAACATACCTCGACATAATAAAAGCCATATATGACAGATCCATAGCTAGTATCATACTGAATGGGGAAAAACTGAAAGCCTTTTCTCTAAATCTAAAACATGATAAGGATGCCCATTTTCATCACAGTTATCCAACATAGTACTAGAAGTCCTAGCTAGAGCAATCAGACAACATAAAGAAATAAGGGGCATGCAAATTGGAAAGGAAGAAGTCAAATTACCTTTGTCTGCTGATGAGACAACCTTATATTTGGGGAAATCTAAAGACTCCACCAAAGAACTATTAGAACTGATAAGCAAATTAAGTAAAGTCACAGGATACAAAATCAACATACAAAAACCTGTAGCATTTCTATATGCCAAGAGTGAACAATCCAAAAAAGAAATCAAGAAAAAAATCACATTTCTAATAGATACAAATAAAATTAAATACCTAGCAATTAACCAAAAAAGTGAAAGATCTCTACTATGAAGACTATAAAATGTTGGTGAAAGAAATTAAAAAGGACACAAAAATTAGAAAGATATTTCATGATTATGGATTGGAAGAATCAATATCGTTAAAATGTCCATACTACCCAACGCAATCTGTAGATCCCATGCAATCTCTATCAACATTTCTTCACAGAAATAGAAAAAACAATTCTAAAATGTATGTGGAACCACAAAAGACTCAGACTAGCCAAAGCCATCCTGAGCGAAAAAAACAAAATGGAAGAATCACATTACCTGACTTTAAATTACACTACAGAGATATAGTAATCGGTACAGCATGGTTTTGGCATAAAAACATAGACATATAGACCAATAGAAGACAGAAGTCAGAAACAAATCAATACACTTATAGTGTTCTCATTTTCAACAAAGGAACCAAGAACATACACTGGGGAAAGGACAGTTTCCTCAGTAAATGGTGCTGGGAAAACTAGATATTCATATGCAGAAGAATGAAACTGGATCCCTCTCTCTTGCTGTATATAAAAATCAAGTCAAAATGGATTAAAGACATAAATCTAAGACCTCACACTATGAAACTACTACAAGAAGACAAGGGAAAGTCTCCAGGACATTGGACTGATTAAAGATTTATTGAGTAATACCCAAGAAACAAAGGCACCCAAAGCAACAATGGACAACAAAGATCACATCAAGTTAAAAAGCTTCTGCACAGCAAAGAAAACAATCAACGGAGTGAAGAGACAACCCACAGAATGGGAGAGAACATTTGCAAACTATCCATCTGACAAGAGATTAATAACCAAAATATGTAAGGAGCTTAAACAACTCTACAGGAAAAAAAAAATCTAAGAATCCAATTAAAAATGGGCAAAATATCTGAATAGATATTTCTCAAAAGAAGACATACAAATGGCAAACAGTATAGGAAAAGGTGCTCAACATCAATGATCATCAGAGAAATGCACATCAAAACTACAATGAGATATCATTTCAACCCTGTTAGAATGGCTTTTATCCAAAAGATGCGCAACAACAAATACTGGTGAGGATGTGGAGAAGAGAACTCTCATACACAGTTGGTGGGAATGTAAATTAGTACAACCACTATGGAGAATAGTTTTGAGGTTTCTCAGAAACTAAAAACAGAGCTACCATATGATCCAGCAATCCCATTGCTGAGTATATATCCATGAGAAAGGAAATCACTGTATTGAAGAGATACCTGCACTCCCATGTTTATTGCAGCACTATTGACAATAGCCAAGATTTGGAAGCAACAGAAGAATGAATAAAGAAAATGTGGTATAGAGTTCTCACAATGGAGAACTATTCAGCCATGAAAAAGAATGAGCTCCTTTACTTTGCAACAACATGGATAGAACAGGAGGTTGTTATGTTAAGTGAAATAAGCCAGGCACAGAAAGACAAATTTCTCATGTTCTCACTTATCTGTGGGAGCCAAAAATTAAAACAATTGAACTTCAGGAGATAGAGAGTAGATAGATGGTTACCAGAAGCTGTTAAGGATAGTTGGGGGTGGGGGTGAAAGAGAAGTGGGGATGGCTAATGGGGGCAAAGCAAAAGTTACAAAGAAAGAATAAGGCCTGGTATTTGATAGCTTAACAGGTGACTACAGTCAATAAGTATTTAATTGTACATTTAAAAATAATTAAAGAATATCACTTGTTTGTTTATAACACAAAGGATAAATGCTTGAGGCAATGTGTATCCCATTTACCTGGATATGATTATTATGCATTGCAAGCCTGTATCAAAATATTTCACATACCCCATAAATATATATACCATGTACCCACAAAAATTAAAAATAATTTTAAAAACTTAAAATAAAAATAAATGAAGTAAAATCTGCTTGAAAAATAAAAATTTCACTCTTAACATTGGCTTTAATGTGAAATGGGTTGGAATTATTCAAGAGACCAACTTAAAAAAAGAACCGTGTGGACCTGAACAAGTAGTATATGAAAGGGAAAGCCTTATATGTGAAAATATGTTCAACTTGATTAACAATCAAAGGTATGCTAAACAAAACATACATGTTTTTGCTTATCTAACTAGAAATGAGTTTTTTCTTTTTTTTTTTTGAGATGGAGTCTTGCTCTGTCACCCAGGCTGGAGTATAGTGGCATGATCTTGGCTCACTGCTACCTCCGCCTCCCAGGTTCAAGCGATTCTCCTGTCTCAGCCTCCTGAGTAGCTGGGATTACAGGCACGTGCCACCACACCCAGCAAATTTTTGTGTTTTTAGTAGAGATGGGGTTTCACCATCTTGGCCAGGCTGGTCTTGAACTCCTGACCTCGTGATCCACCCACCTTGGCCTCCCAAGGTGCTGGAATTATAGGCATGAGCCACTGCACCCAGATAAAAATGAGTTGTTAAAATGTATACTTGATGTCAGTGTAGGATGTAGGGAAATCTGCTAGTCATTTACTACTGGTAGGAGATGTTGAAAGCAAATTTGAGAATCTGTATTAACAGTGGAAACTATGCATAATCTCTGACTCAGCAATTCTACTTGTGACCCTAAGGATAAAATTAGTAGTATGCAAGAAGATTTCATAATAGTGAAAACTTGAAAAATAAATAACAATAAGGTAGCTCTTAAATATGGTATCTTTACTCAACAGAATACCCTGCAGCCATTAACAAGGTGCTGGAGAAAGAGGTTTGCATATGTGCAAAAAAGCCAGTTACAAAATGACTTGTATAATATAATCACAGTTTTGTGGAAATCTACACACCTGGAAAAGAATTGAGAGAGAAGGGTTAACAGTGGTTATCTCAGAGTGGGGTGGAGTAGACACAAGGCTAGCAGGATGGCATGCAGCTGAGAGTCAGGGGATGGGACAGACTTGGATGCATATCCTGATTCTGCCACTGTGGGAACTGCAGCAACTTGCTCACAGAGTCCTTGTCTGTAAAATGGGGATAATGCTTCTTCTTAGGGTTTGTGAAAGGATGACTAGAGATGATGTTGATAAAATACATAGCACAATATCTGGTACAAATGACTACTAACTGATAGATTTGTAGATTTTTAAATCTGCAATTACCAATTTTCTACAATGAACACATTACTTTTGTAATGAAAGTCATTTCAAAAAATGCAAACACGTACAGAATTCTCATTAATGATATACATGCTTAAGTGAAAGCAGAGAAGGGAAATACATGAGGTCCACAACTTACTTTGAAATGCAGCAAAATATAAGATGGATTGGTGGTGGGTATACAGAAATTTACTACAAAATTCTTTCAACTTTGCTATATGTTTGAAAATACAATACAATGTTGGGAAGAAGGCAGAAAAAAAGAGAATGCCCTTGTTTTTAGGAAATACACAGTAAAGTAAAAGTTGAGCATCTGAAATCCAAAAATCCAAAATCCAAAATGCTCCCATTTCTGAAACTTTTGGAGCACCTACATGATACCACACTTGACTTCATGTGACAGGCCACAGTGAAAACGAAGTAAAAATTTTGTTTCATGCACAAATTATTAAAAATATAAAATTATCTTCAGGTATGTGTAAAAGGTATATATGAAACATTTGAATGTCATATTTAGACTCAGTTCCCATTCCTAAGATATTTCATGATATACATGCAAATATTCCAAAATTTTAAAAAAATCCAAACTCTAAAACATTTCTGTTCTCAAGCATTTTGGATAGAGGATAATCAAACTGATTTGAGAGCTAAAGGACCATGGTTTATATAACTGCTTAAAATGATTCAGAAAAAAAATTGTGTGTATATAAAGACAGAGAGAACAACAAAGCAAATGTGGTAGATGTTCATGTTTAGGGACTCTGGGTAGAGGATTTATGGGGATTCTTTGCATTTTTCTTGCAACTTTTCTGTTAGTCTGAAATAATGTCAAAATAAAATGTTCTAAAAAGGTGTGGCCGGGCACGTTGGCTCACGCCTGTAATCCCAGCACTTTGGGAGGCCGAGGCGGGCGGATCACGAGGTCAGGAGATCGAGACCATCCCGGCTAAAACGGTGAAACCCCATCTCTACTAAAAAAAAATACAAAAAATTAGCCGGGCGTAGTGGCGGGCGCCTGTAGTCCCAGCTACTTGGGAGGCTGAGGCAGGAGAATGGCGTGAACCCGGGAGGCGGAGCTTGCAGTGAGCCGAGATCCCGCCACTGCACTCCAGCCTGGGCGACAGAGCGAGACTCCGTCTCAAAAAAAAAAAAAAAAAGAAAAAAAAAAAAAAGGTGTGAAGTTAAAAACAAACGTGTGAATCTAAGGTCAGTTCTTACTCTGCCTGTCACAACCTGGGCTGGGACTTGACACCTCCAGGAAATCCATGTTATTAAGATATTCCCTATATGGCTGTGTGTGGCGGCTCACGTCAGTAATCCCAGCACTTTGGGAGGCCGAGGTGGGAGGATCGCTTGAGGTCAGAAGTTCGAGACCAGTCTGGCCAACATGGTGAAACCCTGTTTCTACTAAAAATACAAAATTTGGGAGGCTGAGGCGGGCAGATCACGAGGTCAGGAGATCGAGACCATCCTGGCTAACACGGTGAAACCCCGTCTCTACTAAAAATACAAAAAATTAGCCAGGCGTGGTGGCGGGCATTTGTAGTCCCAGCTACTTGGGAGGCTGAGGCAGGAGAATGGTGTGAACCTGGGAGGTGGAGCTTGCAGTGAGCTGAGATCACGCCATTGCACTCCAGCCTGGGCGACAGAGCGAGACTCTGTCTCAAAAAATAAAAATAAAAATACAAAAATTAGCTGGGCACGGTGGCAGGCACCTGTAATCCCAGCCACTCGGGAGGGTGAGGCAGGAGAATCGTTTGAACCCGGGAGGTGGAGGTTGCAGTGAGCCAAGATCGTGCCACTGCACTCCAGCCTGGATGATAGAGTGAGGTCTGTCTCAAAAAAAAAAAAAAAAAAAAAAAAAAGGATAATAGTCTCTATAAATTAGACCATGGAGAGAGATCTTGGAAGGCAGCTCATCAAAAGTCTACCAACCTACACATCATCCTGTGTATATACTGAAGACCATATATAGTCCCAGGATGAGAACTCTAGAGGCAAATAAAGGGTATGGTTCCTGTCTTCAGGCTGTTGTTGCATCTTAGAGGGGGACTTTGGTGCTTGTTGGCTGTCTGCCTTCCCTACTACACATGAGCTCCCCACAGGCAATGCCTAATCCAACCAGCATCTAGCTTGTATGGGGCACTTCATTCTTACTATTTAAATGAAGGAATGGCGCTGAATGACACGTGGGAATGAAGGCATGATGGGTATGAGATATGATAAACTATTCTAACAGAGGGTCTATACCCTTTTCCACAATCAAATCTCATACTACCCAGTGGTCCAAACTACAAGCCGGAGGCAGGAGCTCGGAGAAATGGGAGAGACTGTTGTTCCCCCTTCCCATCTTGGGAGACAGCAAAACCTCTATTATGCAATTCCAAGGGTCAAGGACGTCCGGCTCCAAGGGTTCTATTCAACAAACTTTTAAAGTGGCTGCTGGGAGGTGGTTTGCGTTTATAGAAGTTGGAGTATTTGGAAGGGAGGAGATACAATAGAATGGAACATGTAAATTTCCAACAATTTGCTAATGTTTAGAAAACACAGCTTGAGATTTCACATAACCTGGCCAGAAGGCGAAGTAGACAAATATTTAGTGAGCCGCTACTAGGGACTGAGGTCCTGACCCAAGAAGAATGAATAAAAATAACTACCAGGAGCTGTGCTGCCTTTATAGAAGAAACTAGAGACTGCTTGCCCAACATTATAGACAGTAATGAATCTATAGTTGAAAAAGGACTAGAAGATAAACTCTTTGACAGCTCAATCTTTTTTTTTTTTTTTTTTTGGCAGAAACATTTCCTACTCTTTTGGGCAGTCTTTGAAAACTCACGGGACAAATTTTTCTGATGTGTTTACTTTTCTCCTACAGAGGCTAAGCTTCTGTTATTTTAGAGAACTTGAAAGATTATATGCAGACAGCCGGGCGCGGTGGCTCATGCCTGTAATCCCAGCACTTTGGGAGGCCGAGGTCGGCGGCTCAAAAGGTCAGGAGATCGAGACCATCCTGGCTAACACGGTGAAACTCTGTCTCTACTAAAAATACAAAAAAAAAAAAAAAAAAAAAAAAATTAGCCAGGCGTGGTGGCGGGCGCCTGTAGTCCCAGCTACTCGGGAGGCTGAGGCAGGAGAATGGCGTGAACCTGGGAGGCGGAGCTTGCAGTGAGCCGAGATGGCGCCACTGTACTCCAGCCGGGGCGACAGAGCGAGACTCCGTCTCAAAAAAAAAAAAAAAAAAGGATTATATGCAGACTTTTGTTATCAGCACCATCAAATAGTCCATTTCATGCATTCTCAATAGCCAGTGTGCTGGGATAGAAGTGTTAGCATGGTCTAGCGCTGGCTTTGACGGGATATTTGTGTGCAGGGAAGTGCTCATGGGTTTTCTCCCTGGAAAAGGCTCCCTGGTCAAAACAGGTTTGGGAACAACAGAAATTAAAGATGAAGAAATTCATGGTTATGAGAAGGAACTGTTTCACTCTGTTTAACCCGATTATTTCCCTACATTATTGGGCTACAGAACTTTTTTTCTCATAACAAACTTATTAACAACCAACAGATCTCATGTTTTGTAGAATACTTCTGAAAAATCTGCTATCAAAATGACAGTCCTAATTATCACTGGAGTTTTACTCCTCAAACTAATTAAGCTATATGGTGTTTGGGTGAACTTAGCCAGGCAAAGTCTGTGCCCAGGTATAAGAAATCCACCTCCTCGGGGCCGGGCGTGGTGGCTCACACCTGTAACCCCAGCGCTTTGGGAGGCCGAAGCAGGCAGATCACCTGAAGTCAGGAGTTCAAGACCAGCCTGGCTAACATGGTGAAACCCCATCTCTACTGAAAATACAAAAAATTAGCTGGGCGTGGTGGCAGGTGCTTGTAATCTCAGCTACTCAAGAGGCTGAGGCAGGAGAATTGCTTGAACCTGGGAGGCGGAGGTTGCAGTGAGCCGAGATCTTGCCATTGCACTCCAGCCTGGGCAACAAGAGCAAAACTCCATCTCAAAATAAAATAAAATAAAATAAAAATAAAGAAATTCACTTCTTACCTCCTAGCCATAACGCCATCACCAATGGCATGGACATGGTGAAGTTGTTTAATCTCTCCCCCCCTTTTTTTTTGAGACAGGGTCTCACTCTGTCACCCAGGCTGGAGCACAGTGGCATCATCTCGGCTCACTGCAACCTCTGCCTCCCAGGCTCAAGCAATCCTCCCACCTCAGCCTCCTGAGTAGCTGCAACTACATGCACACGCCACCGTGTCCAGCTATTTTTATTTATTAATTTTTTTGGTAGAGATGGGATTTTGTCTTGTTGCCCAGGCTGTAATCTCTTGAGTCCTCAGTTTCTTTATCTGCAAAACGAGTTTGTGAATCAAAGCTCTCTTTGAAATTTAACAATCTAAACGATAAAGTGGGAAAAAAGGGGAACTTCAACTCATTGACTTGATTTCCTTGTTGTTATCACATCAAATCCTGAGAATTATGCTGAAGGCATGCTTCAGTACTTCCGTGCTGCACGTGGGGCACCACGCCCAGTGGTTTGTGAACTAGCTCTTCGCAATACTGCCCTCTGGGTCCTACGTCCACACTCACCCCAGGCCATGATCTTGACTGAATGATAAAAGGCCAAGTTCTCTGTCTTATTCCCTGAACTCTGCAGCTCTTTTGGAAATGCCTCTTCAGCCTCTGCCAGGAGGAACTGTGAGATTGGGACAGAATGTGTGTAACAGCAAAGTCCCTGAGAGGGACGAGGCTCTCAGACCAGGGAGACTCCTGATGGAGAAAGTGACCCCCCTTCTCCACTGGGAATGGGCTGAGAGGTGCATGCTGCCAGGCAGGAGGGCAGAGTGGTTTTCAGAGCACTGGTGGCAACCCTGGGCCTCCTGGTGTTCCTGCATTTTAAAGAAAACTATGTAAAAAAATAAGTTCCCAGGAGCCAAAGAAATCAGCCTCTGAGGGTAGAATGTCTGGGTTGAAATTGGTGTTTCTCAGTGACAGGTGGCCCTGAACCCTCTGGAATCATACCACTAGAAGGGCTGCCTCTCTAGCCTTTACCAAGGCTGGCCTTGCCGGCCCTGTGCACCTGAGAGGTGCTTCCACTGTAGGAATGCTGAGGAACAGGCCAGGGCCTGGTCCTAGGACTTTCTTGCTGCTGGGTTCACAGGATCTTTGATATCCATGTTGAATGTGGAAACACATTCAATGTGGTTTTTTTTGTTGTTATTACAACATAGTGATGATGTCACTCCTTTTGTCCCTCCTGTAGTCTTTACGATAGCATATCACAGACATTTTCATAGATTGAAAAACATTTCATGTGGCCCTTTATTCAAGATCTGATACTATTTTTTCCCCCCATCTAGTAATTAGCCTGCTATCCTTAAGACAGGTGTGTGACGAATGCTCACAGCTGTGTGCAACATCGCTGACTTCACGATGGCTCCACTGGGTCTTGGTATGCACCAGGCACTGTGCTAGGTTCTGGGGATATGATGGCACCCGGGTGCTCCCTGGGAGAGCGTATAGTCGTGTGTGTGTGTGTGAGAGAGAAAGAGAGAGAGAGAGATTGATTCTGGTGAAGCCGGATGGCATTTAGACGAACATTCAGGAAGATTGATCACACCACACCAGCAGTTCAGCAGAGTGGTTAAGCGAGTGACTTAGGATCAGAGTAGTCAGCAATTCCACCTCCACTGCTTACTAGCTTTGTGACTTCTAGCCAAGTTTCTTCCCCTCCGTGAGTTTCAGTGGCCTAATCTGCAACACGCGAATGATGATAGTTACAGTTTATGAGGATTGTTTTGAACACTAAGATAAGTATGCATAGCGCTTGCTATAATGTCTGGCATACAGCCAGTACTTAATCACAATAAGCAGTTAGCCACTGAGTGTTTTCTATGTGCCAAGGACTGTTTTGGGGACTTTCATCTTTCATGTATTAACTCATTTCAACTTTAAAACAACCCTTTAAGGTGGGAACCAGTATTTTATAGATAACTAAATGGGAGGTTATATAACTTGCTTGCCCAAGGTTGTAAAAGTTGAAAGTAGGATAGTGAAGGTATTATTAATGTTGTTATTGTTTTTATTACTATAATATTTCTGGCATCCATCCTAGTAAGTTTATTTTATTTTATTTTATTTTATTTTTTTTTGTCCGCTGGATTATGCAAGAAGCAGTTTGTGCTCCAATAGCTTTTGCAAGAGAGAACTGGATTCTCTAGATTTGGGCTGAATTTTATAGGTGCAGTTGCATCAATTCACCAGCAGATGGCAGGATATAGCGGTTATTTTACTCATCTCAAGAGAAGGACTTGGTACAAGAAAGGCCTCAGGACCAGGCGCGGTGGCTCACACCTGTAATCCCAGCACTTTGGGAGGCCAAGGTGGGCGGATCACTTGAGGTCAGGAGTTCTAGAGCAGCCTGACCCAACATGGTGGAACCCTATCTCTACTAAAAATACAAATATTAGCTGGGTGTGGTGGTGCACCTGTAGTCCAACTACTTGGGAGGCTGAGGCAGGAGAATCACTTGAACCCAGGAGGCAGAGGTTGCAGTGAGCCAAGATTGTGCCATTGCACTCCAGCCTGGCCAATGGAGCAAGGCTCTGTCTCAAAAAATAAAATAAAAAGCCTCAGAAACAAGAATTTTGGGTGCCTATAAGCCCAGCACTTTGGGAGGCCGATATGGGTGGGTCACTTGAGGTCGGGAGTTCGAGACCAGCCTGGCCAACATGGTGAAACCTTATCTCTTCTGAAAATGCAAAAATTAGCCAGGTGTGGTGATGTGCGCCTGTAATCGCAGCTACTCAGGAAGCTGAGGTGGGAGAATTACTTGAACCCGGGAGGTGGAGGTGGCAGTGAGCCAAGATCAGGCCACTGCACTCCAGCCTGGGTGATGGAGTAAGACTGTGTCTCAAAAAGCAAAAAAAAATAAAATAAAAAAAAAAGAACAAAAAAAGAAACAAAAATTATGGCCCAAGTAGTGTAGGTGTTGTGCTATGCGGCAAGGTTATGAAGTAGGTGATGTGGTATTTTAGATGGTTACTGTATTAGTCAGGGTTCTCCAGAGGGACAGAACTAACAGGATAGACATATATGTAAAGGGGAGGTAATATTAAGTGTTAACTCACACAATCACAAGGTCCCACAATAGCTCATCTGCAAGCTGAGGAGCAAGGAGAGCCAGTCCGAGTCCCAAAACTGAAGAACGTGGAGTCCGATGTTTGAGGCAGGAAGTGTCCAGCACGGGAGAAGGATGTAGGCTGGGAGGCTAGGCTAGTCTCACCTTTTGACGTTTTTCTGCCTGCTTTATATTCGCTGGGAGCTGATTAAATGGTGCCTACCCAGATTAAGGGTGGGTCTGCCTTCCCCAGCCCACTGACTCAAATGTTAATCTCCTTTGGCAGCACCCTCACAGACACACCCAGGACCAACACTTTGCATCCTTCAATCCCATCAAGTTGACACTCAATATTAACCATCACAGTTACTGTCACCTTTAAGCCTGATGAGACCAGGGCTTCCTCTAGCACTGGCTAGACATTGGGTTTATTCTGGTCTGGCCAAGCAATGGTGGGGTCAAAAGGCTCCTGAAATTCTACAGAGGCCTCTTCACACAATCACTGCACATCAGAACTCCATCTGGGTTGGTCTCTGCCCACTGTACATTTGGACAATAACTCTGTGGAAGAGCCTGGGGGAGGAAGGTGTCTGTGGAGTCAAGGGGGTCCTGTTCCTTCCCCCAGATTAGACCCGGTGCTGCTCCTCCTCCATGGCTGACCTTGCACTTCTCCCAGATCCAGAGGCTGCCCGTGTTGTGAGCCAATCTCAGAGCCCCCCCTTCTACATGAGGATACATGGCCATGAGCTGGGAGGGAAAGGTAAGCCACAAAATAAATATGGCCCCATGCGAAGGTTTTGGGGGGAGAAGCCCATTATTTGTTATATAAAATTAACTCAGAATATCATGGGTGAAAAGGCAACATTTGTGTGAATGACTAGAATGAAACGGAAGGCACACAGAGATGTCAAGTTCTGCCAGTAGCTTGTGGTCATCCTCTCCACACTCCCCAGCCTCCCAGATCCTCCTGTACCCTCGTGGGGACAGTTTAAGGGAAAAGTTTGAGAAGCTATGTCCCTATTCTCTGGACTGTAAATTCCTGGAAGTAGGCTCCTGTTTGGAGCAGACAAGATGTAGTTTGTTAATGAATAAAGACTAGTGTGTGTGTCTGTGTGTGTGTGTGTACGTGTGTGTGTGTACGGGGTGGAATCTTGTAGACAGATAGGAGCACAGGGCACTGGGTCATGAGGAATCCACCTGGCTCTGAGTGGGGCCTGACAGCCTGTGTTTCTAACAAGCTCAGCATCAATCATTACTAAAGGATCTGCTGAAAAATGTCAGACACCGGGCTGGGCACAGTGGCTCGCACCTTTAATCCCAGCACTTTGGGAGGCCGAGGCAGGTGGATCACCTGAGGTCAGGAGTTCGAGACCAGCCTGGCCAACTTGGTGAAACCCCATCTCTACTAAAAATACAAAAAATAGCTGGTCATGGTGGCAGACACCTGTAATCTCAGCTACTTGGGAGGCTGAGGCAGGAGAATCACTTGAATCCAAGAGGCGGAGGTTACAGTGAGCCAAGATCGCGCCACTGCACTGCAGCCTGGGCAGTAAGAGTGAGACTCCATCTCAAAAAAAATAAATAAATAAAAAAGTCAGACACCCCTGGCATCAGTGCATGGTAACTTTCATTTTTATGGCTGCATTACCAGAAGTACTGGTCAGGGTCCTATGAGGATCACATGACTTAAGCATGTGACAGGGCTGGCAATATGTGTCTTGCAAATAGTAGGTGCTTAGGAAATGTTGGCCGTTTGCATGTTCATGGCAATTGTCTGCGAGAATATTCGGTTTTTTTTCTTTCTTTTTTTTTTTTTTTTGAGACAGAGTCTCACTCTTGTCACCCAGGCTGGAGTGCAGTGGTGCCATCTTGGCTCACTGCAACCTCCGACTCCCGGGTCCAAGTGATTCTCCTGCCTCAGCCTCCTGAATAGCTGGGATTACAGGTGCCTGCCACCACGCCCAGCTAATTTTTTGTATTTTTAGTAGAGACAGGGTTTCACTATGTTGGCCAGGCGGGTCTCGACCTCCTGATCTCCGGTGATCCACCCGTCCCAGCCTCCCAAAACGCTGGGATTACAGAGGTGAGCCACTGTCCCTGGCTGAGAATATTCTTTAACCATTGGGTGCTAGTTCCATTTAGACACTGTGTAGAAATGGGCAATGTTTTGACCAAATCTTCCCTGGAACCACATGGGAACTGGGCCGTGTCTCCATGACAGGGAATGTCTCTGATTTTGCTAAGTAGCTGTATCTGGGAGATGGCAGACATCTGGAAGAAACTTGAAGCATTTGGACAAAATTAAGTTCTAAAAATGCTGAGGAAGTTTTAGAGGTGGCCATGTGGAGAGGAGTTTATATAATATAGTCTGGTAAGGCTACAAATAGATTTTAAAGGAAGCACAGCTCAGGGCCACCTGCTTGGAATAAACTAGTTCAGGGTAATTCCCAGAGTCTTACAGTACCCGCTGTGGACTGAATTGTGTCTTCCCCCAAATTCACATGTTGAAACCCTAACTCATTGTGAGTGTAATTAGAGATAGGGCTTTCTGGAGGTAATTAAGGTTAAATGAGGTCATCAGGGTGGGGTCCTAACATAAGAGGATTGGTGGCCTTAAGAGGAGAGAGAGCACTCCCTCCTGAGCAACCTCGGGAAGATTAGAAAAGGCTTGTGAGCGAAAGCGAATGGTGCTGGTGGGTCCAGAGCACACTGAGGAGAGGGCACGTGAGGACACAGTGAGAAGGCGGCATCTGCAAGCTGGAAAGAGCTCTCCCGGGAATCGAATTTGCCGACTTCTTGATCTTGGACCTCCCGGCCTCCAGGACTCTGAGAAAATAAATTTCTTTTGTTTAAGCCACCCAGTCTAGAGTATTTTGTTATGGTAGCCTTAGCAGAGTGATATAGGGCTCTGATTTGAAAGAATCTTAGAAGTTATCCCACCCAACTATTTTATTTTATAAATGTTTTTCCGGACTCAAGACTGGAAGCAAGAACTGGTCGGAAGACAAGAAAAAACCTACAATTTGTCCCCTAATTGTAGATGAACCTACGTGTGCAGAGTTGGAACCCAATATTCCTTTAAAGTACAGTAAAAATAGGTTTTGCACTTGGAAAGACTGAGCACGGTTTAGAGGCCTTAAACACCCCCCTACTAGGGGTAAGACACTCTGCTAATTGCTAAGACACTAAGAGGTAGAAGATCTCTGCTGTTTGTTAAATGACTCACCAACCATTCAGGCAACAGATATTTCCTGAGCACCTATTATGTGCCAAGTACCGAACTTGATTCCAGGGATGTAGAAAGAGTTTACTGTCCAGGAAAGGAGACAAGTATATAGATACATGACTAATATAGTGTCATAAGTACTAGATTCAAATATGTCATATAATATGCTATATAGGACAAGGAGCTCCGGAGTAACCGTAGGAAGATTAGAAAAGGCTTGTGGGCAAAGGTGGGCAGACAGTGGTTCTGGTAGATTTCCAGAGCACATTCCAGGAGAACTATGTGCACTCCCACTGCCCTGTCCTCAAACAGCATCATCTCTTTTGTACCTGGATTACTGACTGCAACATCGCCTTACTATCACCTATACCTGCTAGTGTCTCTGGCTAACATATTTGCCACAAAGGAGTCACGATCTTTTTAGGCCATGAATCTGGATCATTATCACTTCCCCTGCCTAAAACTTTTCAGAGGTATCTCATGCTGTCAGGATATTTAGTAGCATGCAATAATGAAGATGATTAAAATATCAAATGTACATATTCCTTCTTATGTACCTGGTGTTCATCGATATGCTTTACATATACACTTGGTTCTCATTATTTGTGGATTCTGTATTTGTGAATTCACTGACTTACTAACGTTAATTTGTAACCCCCAAATCAATACTCATGGTGCTTGTGTGGCCATTCCTGGACATGTGCAGAGTGGGCAAAATATTTTGAGTCATTAGATGCTTATGTTTCTAGCTGAGCTCAAACAAGATGGCACTGTGCCATACTGTAAATGGGTTTCTTCTCATGGACCCATTGTTTGCATTTTGTGCTTTTTGTTGGTGATGTCACTGTTAAAAATAGCCCCAGGCATAGTGCTGACGTGTTGTCTAGTGGTCCTAGGTGCAAGAATGCTGTGATGTGCCTTACAGAGAAAATGTGTGTGTTAGATAAGCTTTGTTCAGAAATGAGTCATAGTGCTGTTAGCCCTGAGCTCAATGTTAATGAATTAACAATACATATGCAAATAAAGTGCTTTAACAACTGAAACACACATAAAACAAGTTATATATTGATCAGTTGATGAAAATATTGTGACCAGAGGCTTCTAGGAACCTAACCCCATATTTCCCCTGAGAGCAATTGTGCAGTATTCACTAACTCCTTGTTTGAAGTGACTTTATAGAACATAACTACAGTGAATTATGATTGTCGACTGCAGTAACTCACTTAAAATTAATAAGAAACTTATACAATAATAGATGAAGTCTTTTCTATCTCATACACAGCTTTCTGGTGTATTGTCCCCCCTTTCTTTCCCTGGCCACATTGGCCTTCTTTCAAGTCTTTAAAATTTATGTTTTGCTCCTGATCTCAAGGACCTTGTCATAGACTATTTCCTTTGCCTTCTCACCCCACCCAATCTAAACCAGCCAGTTTTAAACCCTGTTATTCCACCTCATATCACCTTTCACTTTACATTCTTAGCACAACTTACAGTTTTATTTAATTCATTTTTTGACGTCTTTCCTGCCTTCTCAACTATTCAACTCATGAGGGTGGGGCTTGCGAGTTGCCTGCAAGTCTTAACTCTGCTTGTTTGCTCTTAGGCAGAGGAGGATGAGCATATAAGGAGGATTGGGAAGAATGCTCAGAGAGGAAGGAGGGAATTGGGCTTTATTATCAAGAAGCAGGAGAGGAGACAGTCTTCCATCAAAGAGTGTCAGGTGCCTCAGAGATAAGGAAAGGATGGAACAGTGCACCTGAATTTCATATCAAGGAGGTTGTTGGTGGGAAATGCAGGAAGGTTGTAGAGCAGTGGAGGTGCATGCTGGGCTGCAGCAGGTTAAGGAATGCATGGGGCATATGAAAAGGAGGAGAGAGAACTCTTAGGGAGCTTGGCTGAGATGGAAAAGATGAAGGGAACAGTCACAGTGAACAAAGATATAGGATTATAGGATGGTTTCGTAGCAGGTGAAAGATAAATACCTTTTATAAGCCAAGGAGGAAAAAGATAGTTGAAAGAAACTGAGAATAGTAGAAACAATGGGGGAAAATCTAGGATCAAGTCAAGATCACTAATGAAGAAATACACCTTAGAAAGATGTACAGATATACACTTTTCCTTTGGAGCCTAGAGGGAAAGAGGCAAGGGTGATTTTAAGTGGAGACAGTTCTAGATGCAGGGAGGGAAGCTGGAAGACTGTAAGCTGTGAGTTTCTTGATGTAGGGGCAAGGTGTCTGCTGAAAGGGCTAGATGTGAAAGCTCAAAGTGACAAGGTTTGGAATGGTGTGTGGTGGAGGGGAAGAGCAACGACTGAAAGGCAGCTGAGCAGTGCTGAGGGTTGGCCTCAGCTGGCCACCAAAAATCTGAGTGATGCCAATGCATGTAGTTCTGGCATTCTTTCCCTCTCCCAGCAGTGCCCGGCAATCCAGGTAAAGGCCTATAGAATGTGGGTTACTACCCTGGTCCCAGGTTGAGGTATAAGGCAACAGGGCTTGGGTCTTGAGAGTGCTGGCAAGCATGGCTGAAGCAATGGACCTGGAGCCTGCACTAAAAGGTTAGGGCTGTGTGGCCAAGAGGTTGGCTAAGGAAGAAGAAAGAGTCCTGCAGGGTGAGGATCCTAATGAGGTTAGGGGGAACAAAAGCAAGACCAGTGACCTGGCATCCTTGAGCATGAGAATTTGGAGCCATAAGAGATGGTGGCATTGGCATATTAGTGTCTACAATGAAGGACATGGTCCAGGATGTGGCCATGGAAAGTGAAATGTAGTGGAAGTGAGGATGACTAGAGTGCAGAAAGTCAGAAAGGCTTTGGGCCTATGGTATTGAATGATCTAGAGCCACTGGGAAGTCCCCAGATAAAGGCAACAAGTAGGGAAAAGGACAGAATAGGCCAATGGCATGAACCTTAAAGGAAGATAAGGTTTGCAGATAGGAGGCAGCTTGACCATCTAGAATTTGCAAAGGGGAACAAGAATAATGCATGCACCACTTTCAGGAGACACAGAGTGAGGGGACCAGGCTGGTTCCACTGGAGTAAAAATATATAGAAGATTATAATGCAAGTTCGGACAAAGATGGAAATGGTAAAGGGCTTGGGAAGGAGACTCAGAGAGAAATAAAGAGAAGGAAGGTCTGTATTCACAGTACCTGGGTCCTAAACAGGAGAGTATACTGGAATCATCTCGAGGACTAGTCGTTATCCTGGACCCTCTGATTTAGTGGGTCTGGGATGGGGCCTGAGAAACTGAATTTATTTTATTTTATCTTATTATTATTATACTTTAAGTTTTAGGGTACATGTGCACAATGTGCAGGTTAGTTACATATGTATACATGTGCCATGCTGGTGTGCTGCACCCATTAACTTGTCATTTAGCATTAGGTATATCTCCTAATGCTATCCCTTCCCCCTCCCCCCACCCCACAACAGTCCCCAGAGTGTGATGTTCCCCTTCCTGTGTCCATGTGTTCTCATTGTTCAATTCCCATCTATGAGTGAGAATATGCGGTGTTTGGTTTTTTGTTCTTGCGATAGTTTACTGAGAATGATGATTTCCAATTTCATCCATGTCCCTACAAAGGGCATGAACTCATCTTTTTTATGGCTGCATAGTATTCCATGGTGTATATGTGCCACATTTTCTTAATCCAGTCTATCATTGTTGGACATTTGGGTTGGTTCCAAGTCTTTGCTATTGTGAATAGTGCCGCAATAAACATACGTGTGCATGTGTCTTTATAGCAGCATGATTTATAGTCCTTTGGGTATATACCCAGTAATGGGATGGCTGGGTCAAATGGTATTTCTAGTTCTAGATCCCTGAGGAATCGCCACACTGACTTCCACAATGGTTGAACTAGTTTACAGTCCCACCAACAGTGTAAAAGTGTTCCTATTTCTCCACATCCTCTCCAGCACCTGTTGTTTCCTGACTTTTTAATGATTGCCATTCTAACTGGTGTGAGATGGTATCTCATTGTGATTTTGATTTGCATTTCTCTGATGGCCAGTGATGGTGAGCATTTTTTCATGTGTTTTTTGGCTGCATAAATGTCTTCTTTTGAGAAGTGTCTGTTCATGTCCTTCGCCCACTTTTTGATGGGGTTGTTTGTTTTTTTCTTGTAAATTTGGTTGAGTTCATTGTAGATTCTGGATATTAGCCCTTTGTCAGATGAGTAGGTTGCGAAAATTTTCTCCCATTTTGTAGGTTGCCTGTTCACTCTGATGGTAGTTTCTTTTGCTGTGCAGAAGCTCTTTAGTTTAATTAGATCCCATTTGTCAATTTCATCTTTTGTTGCCATTGCTTTTGGTGTTTTAGACATGAAGTCCTTGCCCATACCTATGTCCTGAATGGTAATGCCTAGGTTTTCTTCCAGGGAGAAACTGAATTTCTAACAAGTACCCAGGTGAGGCTGATGCCGTAGGTCCCGGGACCACACGCTGAGAGCCACTGTTCTGAGGCATGGACATTACGGGAGAAGCTTGAAATTGCCTGGGGACGGGGGGATAGATTAACTGGAAATCTTTTCAGTGTGGAGACTTGGTTGAACCATGCATTATCACACTCGTTTTAGAATTGTATGTCCAAAAAACAAACGTAAAAAGGAAACAGCAATTCTACTCAAACCTGAGTGAGTCAGAAAGAAGGAGACTTTGGGGACTTCTGTGTCTACTGGCTTTAAGGTTTTAGGTAATAAAAACTGTAGCAGAAGACCAAATGATAGAAAATTTAACAGAAAGTGAAGAGAATAGATTTTCTCACCAAAGCATGGAAAGATAAAATAGCTTACCTGTTGTGGATATTGTCTGTTAGGTTTCTCTAGAAGTTTAACTTCTCTTCCTGCAACAACAAAAAAGTTGAACATTGAGATCTGTGGGTTGCCTTCTTTTCACAGTCAGGTATTATCGTGAGTGTGACTGCAGGAAGCATTTCCTAAAGGGCACTGGGCAGTAATGTGGGGAAGGAGTTCCTGGCTTGGAACAGTTTGCCCAGGAAGGCAAGGGGTTTCACATTTATCAGGCTGGGGTTTGCAGCCCAGCTCCTGACACTCAGCAATCAACTCACAGTTAACCACAATTTCAGTCTGTAAAATAATATTATAGTGAGATTTAAATGGAACATCATATAAACTGTTGATCACACACTGGAAATGTTGGAGTTGTCCAATAACCAAAAGCCATCTACTATGGACTGAATGTCTGTGCCCCCTGCAAATTCATATGTTGAAACCAATCCCCAGTGTGATGGTATTAGGAGGCAGGACCCTCTGGGGATAAAATCAGTGCCATTATTAAAGAGATCCCAGAGAGCTGCCTCGCCCCATCTGCCTTATGAAGTTATAGCGAACGATGGTTATCTATGAAGCAGGTCCTCACCAGACGCCAAATCTGCTGGCACCTTGATCTTGAACTTTCCAGCCTCCACAACTCTGAGAAATTTCTGTTGTTTATAAACCACCCACTTTCTGGTATTTTCTTATAGCAGTCTGAATGGACTAAGACATTCTAGTTGTTATTACTATTGATAAACATTACATGACAATGTGCCTCTTCTCTGATGGACAAAGTTTTGACTAAGCGAAAAATCCCACAAAAAAACAAAACAACAACAAAAACAAGCAAAATTGAATGAATAAATGTGTGGTATTTCAATAAAATACATGATTTAGAAAATATCTTTGTTTATGATGTATAGAACTTAAGAAAGTAAAACAAGTGTTCAGATTTGTATTCACTTCTCCATGATTATTAGAATAATTTACTACACATGGACACATCATTTTCAAGAAAGGCTCTTATTCCACTCCCAAGTAGACTGTATATCGAGATAATGAGCTCTGTCTTATGATATTGGAATGGTTTTACACCCTTTCAGTGATTTAATTTTATATTCTCGTCAGCGAAATCTTCTCACTTGGTTATTTCTTTAAATTGTTCAGTAACTCCTTAAGCTCTGATACACTGCTCAAACATTGTCCCATGATTATTCTATTATTCTTATTTTTTATCATAGTATTCACAATTCATTTAAATATTACTTGATAAGGAAGCCATGAGAAACACAAGTCCATGCCTGCAGGGAGATAACCCTCTAGCAGGGAAAAGCAAAGAGGTGAGAAGAGCTTACAATGAACTACAATATCATTCAGAGTACAAACAATGCCATCAAGGGGACACCAACAAAATCCTGAGGTGGTTCAGGTAGGGAAGAGAGTGTAACTGGGAGGCTTCCAGAAGCTGACAGTACCTGAGCCAGGCACTGAAACAGAGAGGAATCATATCGGATGAAAAACTAATAAAGGGGCTGGGCGTGGTCATGCTTGTAATCCCAGCACTCAGCGGGGCTGAGACAGGTGGATCACCTGAGGTCAGGAGTTCGAGACCAGCCTGGCCAACATGGTGAAACCCCGTCTCTACTAAAAATACAAAAAATTAACCTGGTGTGGTGGCAGGTGCCTGTAATCCCAGCTACACAGGAGGCGGAGGCAGGAGAATCGCTTGAACCCCGGGGACAGAGGTTGCAGTGAGCCGAGATGGTGCCACTGCACTCCTGCCTGGGCAACAAGAGCGAAACTCTGTCTCAAAAAAACAAAAAAACAAAACAAAACAAAAAAAAGAAAAAGAAAATAAAAAAGAAAAACTAATAGTGACCAGGTGTGTCGGGAGGGCGTTTTAGGCAAGGGGAATGTGACAGAGATGAGGCAGAAAGAATGGAGTATCATTTAGTCAACAAAGAATTCTGAATTCCTACTGTGTGACAAGCCCTATGCTATGCACAGGAAACTGCAGATTTTAGGTAACAAAAACTGTAGTGAAAGACTGTTAGAAAATTTAATGAAACGTGGAAAGAATAGGGTGGGATGCCAGGTGGTGCATCCTATAGAATAACAGCCTGATGGGAGCAGTAAATATTCTGGATTGCTTGATGTTTAAGGAGGAGACTCAGGGGGAACAAGGATTTCCATGGAGTGTTAAGAGTCACCCTAGGGAGTGAGATGTGAAGAGGGAAGAAGGCAGAACCATATGATTTGAACATCTACATCTGTGGGGTGAAGGGTTCTGGGTGAAAGAAACAGACAAGCAGCAGTAGAAAAGGTTTGAGGTACAGGGCTCTACAGTGCCTCAGATAAAGAGAACAGCTACCAGTCCAACAGCATCAAATGCTGTGCAGAGGATCGAGACCATTTTAAAAACTGGATCCTTATCTTGACTTTGATTATACTGTATTCCCTGTAGAACAAATCCAAAATCCACCTCTCGAGCCACACCCTTTGTCTCCTAAGCACCAGACCCATATTTTGCATGTGGATGATGCAGCATTTCTGAAGAGAAGACCTCAGCAGTCAGTTCCTCCACAACCATTTTCGGAAAGATAAACAAACCAGAGGGCATGAGTCTTAGTGACTTATCCAGGGCCATGCAAGGAATCGGTAGGGAGGAGCCAGGACTTGTTTCCTGGCCTCCTGTCTCAGAGTGTCCTCTATGAATTGATAACGTCACATAATTCTTGTTTTTGTTTTGAACAAAGTATCCAACTGTCTGTTAGAAGCTACTCTCAGATGTCTGCACACTTAGTAAGCTGTTACTGAGTGCCTAAGAAGTGCCATGTAGAGTGCTAAGCACTGAGAGTATGAAAGGGGAACAGAACGCCCTACTTGCCCTACCATGCAACTTACCAGGTGGTTGGTAGACAGATCAAAACCAGTGGTAAGTGCTTCCTAGGAAACCAACTGGATGTGGCAATTTGGAGTTATAGGTGAGAATTCACTTAGAGTGAGGGTTGGACCCTCTGAGAGGGTAGCATTTAAACTGGGATCTAAAAGATGAGATGGAGCCAGCTATGTAATGAAAAGCTCTCATTAAACCACTGCACTGTTAAAAGACCTTAAGTGGTTCCGTATTGCCTACCAAATCTTAAATATCCTCAGCTATGCATTCAAGGCCTTCTACAATACGACATCCATGGCCTTCCTAGTTTATCTGGGGAACTCCTCCAGCTACTTTCTATTTCCAGCCAAACTAGACTTTTCATTATTCTTTAATGCCAATGCTTCTATACCTTTGCACATATTATTTTCCCCAATTGGCATACCTCCTTACCAATCAATAGTTTGCAAAATTCTATTCATCCTTCAAAACTCATTTCACACACCACTTTCTCCAGGAAGACTTTGAAAAATTCCAAAATAAAGGTAATTACTCTATTTAAAATATTTCTAGGCCGGGTGTGGTGGCTCACACCTGTAATCCCAGCACTTTGGGAGGCTGAGGCAGGTGGATCACCTGAGGTCAGAAGTTCGAGACTAGCCTGACCAACATGGTGAAACCTTGTCTCTACTAAAAGTACAAAAATTAGCCAGGCGTGGTGGCACATGCCTGTAGTCCCAGCTACTCAGGAGGCTGAGGAGCAGAATTGCTTGAACCTGGAGGCGGAGGGTGCAGCGAGCTCATTGCACCACTGCACTCCAGCTTGGGTGACAGAGCAAGACTCTGCCTCTAAATAAATAAATAAATAAATATTTCTAAAGGATCTTTAAGCTCTTTGTATTAGTCCATTTTCATACTGCTATGAAGAAATTCCTGAGACTGGGTAATTTATAAAGAAAAAGAGGTTTAATGGACTCACAGTTCCACGTGGCTGGGGAGGCCTCACAATCATGGCGGATGGTGAAGCAGATGCAAAGGCACATCTTACATGTCAGGAGGCAAGGCAGCGTGTGCAGGGGAACTGCCCTTTATAAAACCATCAGATCTCATGAGATTTATTCAGTATCATGAGAATACCACGGGAAAAACCCACCCCCATGATTCAATTACCTCCCACAACACGTGGGGATTATGGTAGCTACAATTCAAGATGAGATTTGGGTGGGGACACAGCCAAACTATATCACTGTATCAAGGTGGATAGCTCTGATCACTTTCCGTCTTGGATTATAGTACATAATTCATTTATACAATGTTCCCTCTATCAGACTATAAACCCTCAGTAGAGAAAGCCATGGTTTCATCAGTGTTTATCTGCACATTGTGTCCCTTGGCACAGTGACTTGCATATAGGTGGTACCTTGCATGTTTTAAAAAATTTGACTTAAAAATATCATTGGCAATTTAAAGATGCCTAATACCAATGCATAATATTATAACACAACAACGCTCACATTTTATCGATTCTAAGATGTACGTGTATTCATTTACCTTTTAACATATCTGGAATTGGAATGTATCTAGCAATCATTGGCACATCATGGTTACATTGGCAGCATTATTTTCTATCTTTGTGTTACGTAAGATAATGGTACATGTTACAATCAATGGCATCTAATATTTAATGAAATGTGGCATTAATCCCATATTATAGTTTATTTCAGCAATATATTATGCAAAAATTTTACAAACAATACCCTATATCAAACAAGTGTCTACGTTGTGCACAGTTATACAAAGAAGTCCTTCTAAGATGAAACTAACAACATCCAGGGGTAAAGTAAGAAGTTTATCAGCTCCAAGAACTATAAAGATCAGGTGTCAAAATAACAATAACCATGAAATAAGATGCATCAAAGAAGTTATAATTTTTCCCAGAATGACTTTTTGAAGTGATAAATCTTTTCAAAAATAAATATTTTTTGGTATACTGCTGGTGCCTGGAAAATATGTGTTTCTATACAGGGATACAAGTATAAATAACTCATTTGTTGGGCAAGCTATTGCTTGTACATGGGGAAGACCTGATGCCTGGTACAGCCAGTCAGCACTAAGCGTTATGGGAGTTTGGGAGAAAATGTAATCCCACTGCAACGAAGCTGCCAGGAAAGGCTTTATGGAAAAATGAGGCCATGAGAGATAGGTAGAAATTAATTAGGCGGAGAGGACAGTTTTAGTAAAAGCAAAAAGGTAGAAAAGAACAGGACTTGTGTGAAAGACAATGGAGAGACCCATGTTGGATTTTGGGGTTACAAGATGGATATGGCCTATATGGCCAGGTTACTGAAAGTAGGTCCAGAAGACCAAATATGGCATGATAGGCAAACAAATTAGGTTCTGAAGTGGTGAATGACAAGATGGAAGCAATATATTACAAAGCATGACCTACCAGTGGTAAGCAGAGAAAATGAAAAGGGTTGGGTACAGAAAGACTTGCTAAGAGTTTACCCTTTCAATTTAATGATGAGATAAAAAAAAGCCTGGCGTGTGGTGGCATCAAAGGGAATCCAGAGGAAGGAGCAAATTTGGAAGTGATTTTATTTCAAGACTTCTTGGATTTTTGAGTTAATTTCTACTGCCCCTGGTTTCTCTTAGCACATTGGTTTATATGTTTATTACACATAGTATTGTACAAGAGTTACATAGCCTCACTAGCTCCTTCCTTATGCATAAAATGACAATGATAATAGTACTGTAGCAGGATGAGCCACAGGCAAAACCTCTCAGACACTGAGTTGTAGAAGGAAGGGTTTTATTCAGCTGGGAGCATCGGCAAGCTACTGTCTTAAAATCTGAGCTCCCCAAGTGCACAATTTCTGTCCCTTTTAAGGGCTCACAACACTAAAGATTTTACATGAAAGGGTCGTGATTGATTGAGCAATCTAGGGGATACATGATAGGGGTTTCATGCACTGGTAGTCAGAGTGAAACACAACACAGCAGGCAGTTTCACAATGTTCTTCCATACAATGCCTGAAATCTATGGGTAACATTGGGTTCTAAGTCATGAGTTGATTTTTAACTACTAGGTTTAGGCCAGGCAGGCCCAGGTCTGGTTTTGGGCCTGGCCCCGGGCTGCCTGTCTTTGATTTCACTTCCTTGTTTTTTTTCTTAAGACAGGTACTGAGTATAAAACAATATAAAACAATATGAGAGGGTTTATCTCTTCCCTCATTTCCCCCCTTTGAGACTCTCACTTTTTATTAGTGGGAGTTCTCACTCTTATTTTTGCTACTTATGTCTTTTTGTGCAATAGATTGATAGTGATTTATATAGTACACTTGTGCTGAAGCATTTTGGTGAACTAAGGTAGCGATGAAGCTTTTTATCATTTGAAGAAGTACAGGTAGTAAACAAGGGAGCAGTAAGCAGGTTTCTATTACTATTATAACTCCTATTATAAGAGTTTTAAATTTTTCTAGTGCTGGGAACCACCTTCTAAACATGGCTTCAGGGTTGAATCTGTGCTACACTTTTACGGGCACATGTGCCAGTTTTGTCATATTTCTAACTATGTCTTTGAGTACTTGCCTTTGATTATCTATGTGTAGACAGTAATTAGTAAGGTTAAATTTCTTATAGACCTCTCTTTCAGCTGCTAGCAAGTAGTCGAGAGCCAATCTATTTTGATAGATAGCATTTCTTATCTGAGGGTTTTTTTGCCGGGCCAGAATAGTCAAGGTTTGACTGGTTTTATTAGTGATGATTTCTAAAACAGCTTGCAACCATATGATTCTGTTGAGCATGTAATTGGGGGTCCAGTATCCCCATGAGCCATCTTGTGTCTAGCTGGCAGGCCTATAGTATTGTATAATTTTTTTAGGGGGCCATTTATCATCTTTTTAATTACCTATGGCTACGCTTCGTTTTTTGTGGGAAGCATAGACAGGGAAACCCAGGAATTTGCCTGCTTTTACGGGCAGTAAAAAGAAAGATGGTTTAATGGTGTCAATTACACAGCTACCTGTCCACTGATCAGGCAGCTTAGCATAGGCTCTATGTCCACATATCCAGTATAACCCACTGGGGGCAGTCCAGTCCCAGTGGACTTCTGGGTGGGCCCAGACAGTCTGCAACCTTGGAAATTTACTGAATGGATCTCTGTCTATGTAACTGGAACTCTATCATGTAACTGTTTTTTTTTTATGGTACTATTATTACAGTTTTTGTCCTAGGCAACTAAATCATCCTGCAGAATGAGTGAATTTTTTCTTTTTCTAGCTATGCAATATTGTCCAATAATTGAGGCCTTTAGAACCTAAAAATTGTCAGGGTGGTTCTTTTGGGCCGGTAATTCATCAGGAACTGGGTCTGTAGGAATTAATTCTCGGGATTCCCATGGCCATTGATCTCCTGTTATAGTTCCTCCACAAACATAACACGAAGTGACTTTTAGAGACTGGGCTACATGCTCGGCTAATTGCAAAAACAAATTTTTAGTCTTTCCTGGAATCTCAGGTACTGGCACATTTAGTTCATCATAGAAAGTCTGAAATACGGGTTCTGGAGAGCGTCTTTGAACCTCTCCTTTTATTAAGATGTTTACACTAGGATCTAGTCCTTTTCCATCAATGCTCAATGATACATATTTTCCTTTATTTCATTTTGGGTGTGAGGGGTTTGTGATTACCAGTTCTAAAGGGCTGCAGCTCCCACAGTGGGGCTGCTTTTCCTTTCTGGAGCCAAACAGGACCTTTTTAATCCTGTTTCCAAGTAAGTCCAAATGACACAAGACCAGTATTGACACATCTCACATAAATATGATTCTTGACAGATATACTTAATTTTTTTTTTTACTGTGTAACTTTTTTTTCCAGTCTAGAGAACTGCACCCTATTCCTTGCTGATTACTATTAATAGAAGCACAAGCATCAAATTTTAAGGTTACATGTTTGGGGACCCCTCTTTCTTCTGTTCTAGCTATTACTTTACTTGTGTCACCAGGAAAAGGACCAGTCCTTAGTCTTACTTCAAAGACTGTGATCATGGGAGGTTCAGAGGGGTCATAGCACACATCGGGCTGGTCACTTCCTGGATTACATACTTGGTACTGAGTGTTATTATACAAACAGGTTCCTTTTGGAGTTCCTAGGCATTCACAATAACTGTAAAACAATAGGACTGTAGCAATCTTTTGTCCTACCTCAGTGACTTGATGTATATACTAGGAACAGCCCTCAGTCTGAGGAAGGTCAGTTGAAGTCCTTACTGTACAAGTCTAAATTTTAAGGAAAATAAGTCCCACGATGAGTTTCCTCATGCTTCGGCCTGTGTGGACCAGTCAGCTTCTGGGTGTGACTGGAGCAGGGCTTGCTGTCTTCTTCAGAGTCACTTTGCAGGGGTTGGCGAAGCTGCTCCCATCCATGTACAGCCCCCAGTCTACTGATGTTTAAGGGTAGTCTCGGAGGTTGGGCCTACTAGAATAAACTGAGTCCAACACCTCTAAACAGTTATGTTTATCTGGGCTCTCTGATACCAGGAGTAAGGTGGCGGGGTTAGGGTGTTGCAAACTTCAATGGTTATGCGGGGATTTTCACAGAGCAAGCTTTGGTATCTAGTTAGTCTAGCATTTATTAGCTAATGATGTCCTTTGGTATTTATTAAAGTCACCACAGCATGGGGGGACTTTATGTTTAGGTTTTGCCTAAGAGTTAGCTTATCTGCTTCTTGTGCTAACAGGGCCGTTGCTGCCAGGGACCTTAGACATGGGGGTCAGCCTTTGGAAACCCCAGCTAGTTGTTTTTGAGAGATAGGCCACTGGCCTTGGCCAGGGCCCTACAGTCTGGGTTAAAACTCCAAATGCCATTTTTTTTTTCTTCTGGTTGATGAAATGCCAGGGTGAAAGGGATAGGCAATTGGACTAAAGTATAAGTTCCACTCCAGTTATTTGGCAGAGTGCCCAGTAAAGGTCCACCACAATACTACCACGCATCCGCTTGGGGATGAACAAGGGCTGACTAATTGATAAGCTCTTGAAAATTCTTAAGCTCATCGCATCACTTCAGGTCTCCAAGGAATGCTAAGTTTCCTCCCTGTGGTGAGAGACACGAAGTGAACTTAGTGTTGGGGCATGGAGGCTGGATGGCCCTCGGGTCTGACCTGCAGGGACTCCGGGATATAGCAGAGAGAGCTTGGCATGACTTATTACTCCAGGCTGTAGAATCCTGGAAAAGAGCTACCATGCAGCCCATGCCTGGTCGACTGGAGGACCACCTTAGTGGAAGGGAGATAAACAGGGCCTCTGCCATGTGCACAAGCATCACAATTGCTTTTGTTTAACATGCAGATGGAATATTTGATCCATTTCAACCAGACATTTGCATCTTGGTATGCTGTTTTAATTGCCAAAGTTTAAGTCTTTAACTTTTATGATCCTCTAGTAAAATGAATGTTTCTTTTAGCACCTATTTTTATTAGTTTTTAGACCAAAGAAAGCTAAACACCATTTTATGTTTAATAATGTTTCTTGTATGATTTTTATACCAGATAAACTAAATTTTACCTTTATATTAGTGTGTTATTAATGTTAAACTTAATTTTAATAAAACCTTGTAGACATATTTATCCAATTTTTCATGTTTGACCATAAGGTAAGATTTTATAGACTCTTTTTTTTTAACCTTTTATAATTTTTGTTAAAGAGCAGGTTGATGCTTTAAGAAAAACCTGTTGCATTTTTCCTTTAATATCCAGTTCACAGAAAAACTGGATGATACCTTTTTAACTTTAGCTAATATGTTTATACACAGAATTTTCTTTACAATTAACATTTTAAAACTTGCTTAAACTTTTAAAACAATAACTTTTTTTTAACCTTTTAATGTAGGTAAAAATCCACATTCTTATGCCTCCTTATAATATTTTTACCAAAGATATATTTTACTTTATACACCTTGCACATAAACTGTTTCTTCAGTAGTACTCAGGAGGCCTTATTACTTTTAAATTATACAACATTTTTTGCATAACTTTTTTTTATAACTTTTTTTCTTTCACGACTTTCACAGACAATTTTTCAACGTGTCTCAACTTTCTGACTTATTACAAGTAGTTTTTTCTTTAAACAACCAGTTAATTTATTTCAGGACAAGAATTTACCATATAACACTCTTTTGATATAAATTCTGCCTCCCCCCCTTTTTTTTTCCTTTTTTTTTTGAAGATAACCATTTTTTTTTTTTTTAAAGAGAACTTTCTTTGTGTCTTTGGACTAGACTGTGTAAGGCCACAAGATTAGAAGTTACCATAATACATGTTACGCTGTTAAATTTTAGCAAACTTCACTTCTGTTGAAAACCTTGTAAGTTTGGGATTTCAATTATCCTTTGCTATTAATAAGACCTTGTTTAGTCTAAATTAACTTAGAATTGGTATAGATGGCCTCTTTTTCTCCCTGCTGGTCTTTCCTTGCCTCTGCCAGCCACTTATGCTGCTGTTCTCTTAACTACTGTTGGGTGGGGAAGGGGGTCTAAAACCAGGTGTAATTGTCTATGTGTGGAAACTGGTCTGGGTGCCTTGGCTTACAGGTTACCTTGGGTCATACCTTTGAAACAAGGGACCTGTCCAGGCTTCCTTCTGGTGGCCAACCTACCTCTAATGCTGGCCAGTCTATTTCACACAAAGTTCTAAGTTTTTCTGGTGTCATGTAACACTATAATCTCCCTTAAATCCTTTCTTGAAATTTTTCAACATAGTTCCTAGTGGGGTGGGCTTATTTGTGCCTGACCTATGCTTCTTTGAGACAAAATACCACACTCACACCACATGCACACCACAAAACAAAAAACACTTAAAAAGGGCACACACACACTTTTGCAGTTCACACCAAACCAAAATCAGAGTATCCAGAAATCCAAGCCAGGTCAAAACCAAAACCAAAGTATCAAGCAATCTAAGTCAAGTCAAAAACAAAAACCAAAGTGCCGGTAGAGGCACACCGTGGGTGATCAGGCCATGCTTCCACTCGAATGGAGAAGGCAAGTTCCCAAGACCAGTCTTGTCAAGGAATTTAAACCAAGTCAAAACCAAAACCAAAGTGCCGATAAAGGCACGCCATGGGTGATCAGGCCACACTACCACTCAAATGGAGTGGGCAAGTTCCCAAGACCAGTCCTGTCAAGCAATTCAAACCAAGTCAAACCCAAAATCAACATCAAAGTGCCGATTAAGGCATGCCGTGGGTGATCAGGCCACACTTCCACTCAAATGGAGTGGGCAAGTTCCAAAGACTGGTCTTACCTAGTTTCAGATGTCCAGACTCTAAATGCCAGTTCCTTCCTGGTGCTCAGCCACTGCAGGGGCCTGCTACGTGCTGCTGTGGCGAGGCGTTCCACCGGGGCAATTGCCTACCTGGGAGCGGTCTTTGGATCGCGTCACTCAGGCTGGCTGGAGTCCCCTGCAGGGATGCTCCACAGGGCAGGCCTAGGCCACCTAAGGGGCTGCCTCGGCCATCTGTCAGTCACCTCGCTTCCCGGTCAGGGAACCAAGAAATGTAGCAGGATGAGCCGCAGGGAAAACCTCTCAGACACCAAGTTTTAGAAGGAAGGGCTTTATTCAGCTGGGAGCATCAGCAAGCTACTGTCTTAAAATCCGAGCTCCCTGACTGCACAATTTCTATCCCTTTTAAGGGCTTGCAACACTAAAGATTGTACGTGAAAGGGTCGTGATTGATTGAGCAATCTAGGGGACATGTGACAGGTGTTTCATGCACTGGTAGTCAGAGTGAAACAGAACAGAGCAGGGAGTTTCACAATGTTCTTCCATACAATGCCTGAAATCTATGGGTAACATTGGGTTCTAAGTCATGAGTTGACTTTTAACTACCAGGTTTAGGCCAGGCAGGCCCAGTCCTGGTTTTAGGCCTGGCGCCAGGCTGCCTGTCTTTGATTTCACTTCCTTGTTTTTTTTCTTAAAACAGGTACTGAGTATAAAACAATATAAAACAATATGAGAGGGTCTTTCTGTTCCCTCAGTACCTTTTTCAGACAGTAGTTAGGATTAAGTGAAAGAACACAGTAAGGTATGGAGCACAGTCGGTACAAAGTATAATTTCAACAGTGTTGGCTGTTGCTTGATTCATCACTGTTATCATCATCATCCCCATCCTCCTTCTCATCATCTATTAGTTTGCAGTTTTTCTCCCAGCCACTACAATGGAAGTTCCTTGAATCTAAGGATCAGGTCTCATTATCTTTATTTCTTCAAAAAGAAATACAAAGTAGGACTTCTGTAAATATGTACTATATTTTAAGGGAAAAAGTTCCAGATTTCCATGGAAGAAGGAATTTGTATGATAAAAGAAGGAATTATTAGAATTATTATTTTTGGAGGCTGACAGAATGGAAGAACAGTGGTTCCATAAATGAGACAGTTGGCAGGAGGACAATATACAGAGTTTCAGAGATCCTGAAGTTATCAGTTAACCTACTGAGCTGAAACAATGAATGGGGGGATGACAACAGAAAGGTGATGGACAGGACAAACACGTCCAACTACCTCCCATTGAAACAAAGGCAGAAACCCAAAGGGAGAGCAATAGAGGAGGTAAAAACAGAAAGTAAAGTCACTGACCTCTTAAATCAGCACTCTGGAAAACAAAGGATTAGCCCAATTTAGATGGTAGAATCCTTAAAGTCCCAAGGAAAGTAAGAGTGAATTATGGAGGACTAAAATAAGAATAGTTTGGAAGGTTTTTAAGAAGTCAGGTTACCAAATCTCTTCCTGCACTCCTTAGAGTGGTTTCTACTTTCCGTCTCAGCCAAAGAATGCAGGTTGAGTGTCAGGAAAGGGTGAAACAGGGTTTCTGGACTGGAAACAACAGTAGAGGACACACAGTGGAGGGCAGGGGTTTCATACCAAAAACAGGGGGATTAAGTGAACACATGCACAGGAAATGTTGGGGACTGCAGCCTGCTCCCCTCCTTGTTTCTGTGAGAATGCCTGGCAGCTACCTTCTACCAACAAAAGTCTCTACCATAAAGATAGAGATTAAAACCAAGCAACCTGGCCAGGCGCGGTGGCTCAGGCCTATAATCCCAGCACTTGGGGAGGCCAAGGTGCGTGGATCACTTGAGGTCAGGAGTTCGAGACCAGCCAGACCAACATGGAGAAACCCCATCTCTACTGAAAATACAAAAATTAGCCAGGTGTGGTGGTACATGCCTGTAATTCCAGCTACTTGGGAGGCTGAGGCAGGAGAATCACTTGAACCCGGGGGGCAGAGGTTGTGCCCCCAAGATCATACCATTGCACTCCAGCCTGCGCAACAAGAGCAAAACTCCATCTCAAAAAAAACAAAAAAACAAAAAACAGAAAAAAAAACAAAAAAGAACCAAGCAACCAACAAAAAGCACTTGGAGGAAACAAAGAATAGAAAAAAGAAAATCCAAAACAACAAACAAACAAAAAACCAACCCCCAACCCAAACCCCAAGCCACTGACAATAACATCCTCATCATGTTACTTGTTCCCCCAAACTGAAAGCTATGTTTTTTTTTAATCAGAGAACAAAAAAAACAGCTCCTTGAAATTAAAACAAAAGAGCAAAAATAACTATTTCAACAGAGAATCTAGAAGAAAAAGGTGAAGAAATCTCACATAAATTAGCAAAAGAGATAAAGTCATTTAAAATTGAATAAAAAAGATAAAAAAAAATTAGAAGACCAATCCAGGACATCCAGTATCCAAATAATAGGAGTTGCAGGAAGAGAGAATAAACAAAAGAAGGGAAGGAATTCGTCACAAAATAATTTGAGAAAATTTTACGTAATTGAAGGACATGAGTTTCTGGATTGAAAGGACTCACCAACTGCCCAGTGAAATGGTTAAAAATAGAATCAAAATCAACATACATCACTGAGATATTTCAGAAGTAGGATAAAAGTAAAGATCCAGTAGCCTCCCAGGGAAACATAAAACAAAAAAAACTCAATGATATACAAAGAGCTGGGCATCAGCATGATTTTGGACTTCTTAAACATATATACACACAAATAATTCTAAATCTGGCCAAACTACCAATTAAGTGAGAGGGTAGGATAAAGACATTTTCAGATATGAAAGGTCTCAAAACGTTTATCATCCATATATCTTTTCTCAGGCTATCAGAAGTTACTAGAAGATGTAAAAAACAAGTGAGGGAGTAAACCAAGAGGGAATGACAAGGGATAGATAAAATAGGGCATTAAACACAGAAGAGAGGCAAAAGTATTACCAAGGATGATGGTGATGGGAGATCCCAGAATGCCTCCAGTGTATACAAGAGAGGGCACAGCTTGTTCAGATTGGAGAAGCTAAGAAGGCTCTAGCAGCCTTCTTTTTTTTTTTTGAGACGGAGTCTTGCTCTGTCGCCCAGGCTGGAGTGCAGTGGCGCTATCTCGGCTCACTGCAAGCTCTGCCTCCTGGGTTCACGCCATTCTCCTGCCTCAGCCTCCCGAGTAGCTGGGACTACAGGCGCCCGCCACCACGCCCGGCTAATTTTTTGTATTTTTTTTTTCAGTAGAGATGGGTTTCACCGTGGTCTCAATCTCCTGACCTCGTGATCCGCCTGCCTCGGCCTCCCAAAGTGCTGGGATTATAGGTGTGAGCCACCGCGCCCAGCCAGGCAGCCTTCTTTCAAGAGATGAAATGAACAGAATAACTAAAGTGTCCCAAAGATAAAGATTTATACAACATGGAAATAATTTGAGGTTGAATCAGTGGTAGGTATACAGAACATTCAATAAATGAGAAACAAGCCCTTTGCTACCTGCAGAAAAACACTGTACAGAAAAGGAAATATAATGGTAATCCACTCCCTGGTTTAGCTTTCAAAAGTATTTACACAGTTATAAAATTCCTCTAACCCAAATTAAAGGCAGGGGGTTCAGTGGAGAATGGTGGCATTCCTTATGTATGGTAGGGCTGGAGGTGGTAGCTTCTTCCACTGTGGAAGATGATGCCTATTATGGAAAAAAACCCACCAAAGAAATAGTAATAGAAGTATGCATTTAGAGAGAAAGAGGCAAATACCAAAACAATCACTTAAAAGAGCGATTTCGTTTGAGAAAAGAAAAATGTGCTTACAGGTGAGCAGACTGGGCTTGACCTGGAGATTTGGGGACCAGTCTAGTCATAAGAGAAAGTCATGAGAAAGAGTGAATTAGATGATAGCAAGCAGTAGGAATCTGGCTTCTGAATGAGCCAGTTCACATCCATTTATTTAACTTGCATTAATTATTAAACATCTAGTGCTGCGGGCCAGACCATATGCTAGTAGGGATCACAGCCCAGATGAATAAGACATCAAGCTTATAATTTAGTGGGGTGGGTGCACCTAAGCAATTAGATGCAATGATATAATAGAGATTATAGGCAAAACACTATGAAAATGGAGTTGGGGTGGTGTCCTACAACCAATCTTTCTGAATATTCTGGAGCTGCACAGTCAAAATGGTAAATACTAACGACATATGGCTACCTAAATTACTTAAAATTAAATACATTAAAATTTCAGCTCCTTGGTTACACTAATGAGCCATACTTCAAGTGCTCAAAAGCCACATGTGGCTAGTGGCTACTGTATTGTACAGTATGGACATAGAACATGTTCCTCATTACAGAAAGTTCTATTGGATAGTGCTGATCTACACGTTCTTAAATGGCGTTTTTTACAGCATATTCAAGTACAACATTAAACACCCGAAGGACAACATTCCGTGGTCTGTTAGCAAATAGATTCTTGCTTGATATTTATCCGTGCAATTTATCTGTACATGGAATGGAATTTTTACTTTGTAGAATGTTATTTTTCAAGTGGAGCCACCCCTGAACTAGGAGGGGGTATTTCTTCTCCTGATACGGTTTGAGCACCCACAGGTGTTGGGGACAAATGCTGCTGGTGACCAAAAGTCGGTGAGTCTTTGGGAAGACACTTTTGCATAGTGGTGCAGGGTAAATGCACCTGGTGGTAATAATTTAAGTATGCCCTTAGAATGACCCTGAATGACAGATGCACCTGAATGTGTGTTCTGAGCTAGGGAATCCAGGAGTGACCACCTCAGAGATTCCTTCCTTATCTATGATAAACATCTGAGACCCGGCCTGTCCAATGGAAGATGCGCTGTACAGGGGATTGAGACCTGAGTTTTGGGTTAAATGAAGGTTGCCAGGTGGAGGTTATTAAGGGGAGGGTAAGTGAAAATGCTGTATAGAGTGCATGCTGTTTGCAAGTTGCCTAGTCCGCTACCACTGGGCAATGTGGTTATATTGTCCAGCCTGCCGCCACTGGACTCTCTCCTCTGTATGTAGGCCCCAAATAAGCCCCATGTCTCATTTCCTGGCTCTAGATGTCTTTTTCGGCCTCTTGAACTTGGTGCCTTCCCTATTGAGGTTAATAGGAGTTCAGCACAAGTGGAAAAGAGGGGTGAGCTCTAGAGCCAGAAACTCCTGAATTTGAATCGGCTCCACTACTTATAAGCTGTGTGGCCTCAAGAAAAATCTCAAAACCTCTCTGTTCCTTCGTTCCTTCACATGAGGTGTACACATAATGCATGAACCAGGAAAAGCTGGTGGCAGAAGCACAAAAATGGCAGCGGCCATGTGGCTAATTGTTATTAATGTGCAGCATTTGATGAGTAGGCTGGTAGAGGGAGGCCCCTAAGAGGGGCTGGTAGAGGGCGGAGAGGGCAGACTCTCCTCCTCGCTCATTTCTGCTCATCACCACCCTGTTAAAGGGTCTATCATTGTCCCAAGACTTAAGTACCTCTAATAGGAAGACTTTTTGTGCAAAGGGAAAGAGAAGAAGGGAAAAGGGCACCAGCATTTACTGAAAGCCTGGACATGCCAGACCCACTTGTGGGTGCTTTATATCGTTCTATAAGTCCTCCCAACAAGGTTGGGGGTGGGGAGTTAAAGCATGGGAGGAAGGGAAGGTTTGTGGGTGGTGGAAAAGGAAGCATGATGGGAGATAAATCCACTAGGATGGGCTGGGGTTAGGTGGGGAGAGGCCGTGAATACCATGCCAAATGCCTGACTCTGCGAGATTTCAGTTCATAATAATAACTGGTGGGAACATGCTGGACTCACTGGTGGGGAAAAATAGAGCTAGTCAAGGTGAACTCAGCCAGCCTGGGACTTCTCTGCAGACAGGTGTTTTTTACTTCAGAGTTTACACCACAGAGTGGACGGGCTGTTTGTGTTACCTTCTTTAACTTCCATGAAAGGAAAAAAAAAAAAGGGGTTTTTTTCCAAGTGGAGTTAAATTCTAAATATAATAAGCCTGAGTTGGCTCTAACACTGGTTGCAAGAATTAACTTTTCCTTGTAATCTGTAAATGCAGTCAGGTTTGTTTCCCATTTCTCTTTGATGGGTTCCCCCCAACTCCCACCCCCACCTCTACATGGGGCCAATATCTGAATAGAAAGCAAAGAGCTCAAGCTGGGCTCCTTTTTCTGAACAAGCTTTGCAAGCTTTGCAACATCTTCCTTGGATACGATTCAGCTGGGGGCCTTCCCTGTATCCCAAGAGGAATTCCTGTGTCCTCACACAGGGGCTCTTTGTTGTCAGAGGTTATGAGAAGTTAACCACTACTTTGCACAAGGAAATATCTTTTCATTGTGTGAAGTAATGATCAAAGAGGAATGTAATTTAAACCAAAGAAACAAAACCGTGATTTATATCTAGAATCTCCACAGAAAAAAGAAAAATCCTAGTTACTTCACTAAAGCACAATCATATTCGGGATAGAATGTAAGATTCACTCATTTATCGATTAACGTTAAAGCTTAGTCCTTAGTTTATGCCAAATTCTAAGTAGTTTTTAAAGTACAAAAACTTTCTTTTTGCACTCGCTCTGCTCAGATCTGGTCTTTTCCAAATGCTTAAAGACCTTTGTTCATTAAAAATGTTATATATGTTTGCATATACATAATGTGATTTATACACTCTACATTAAAACATATATAATTATGCACGCATGCACAAATACATATAAGTGCACAAAACTTGGAAAAAGAGAGGAAAAAAGGTCAACCATAATCAGTGCAGCTGAACCGTGTGTTATGTATGCAAATTTTTTCAAGGGTTTATGTCCATCTGCATACAAATTCTATACAATACACATACAACTTCGTGTCCCACTTCTTTTTCTTGTGTGGTTTTTAATTTTTATTTTTTTCACATTTAGTAACAGTAAGGTGTAGTATCTTATAAAATATTTAGAAGAGAGGCTTTTGAATGTTCTTATGATAAAGAAATGATAAATGCGTGCTGTTGCATATGCTAAATACCCTGTTTTGATCATTTTACAACATGTCCCATTTTTTTCACTTAGCATCACGTCTCTGGCCTTTTCCATGAAAATACACAATGTTCATAATAATTGTTTTAAATTCTTGCAAATTATTCCAAGAGTGATTGTCATGCCAATTCCCCATTAATTCCAGTGAGGATGGCAGCAGGTCCGAGAGGCTGAAGAAGAGACCTGGAGCCAGTGAATGCGACACAGGGTTTATGTTTATTCTTATTTTGAGACGGAGTCTTGCTCTGTCGCCCAGGCTGGAGTGCAGTGGCATAATCTCAGCTCAATGCAACCTCTGCCTCCCAGGTTCAAGCCATTCTCCTGCCTCAGCCTCTGGAGTAGCTGGGATTACAGGTGTGCGCCACATCTGGCTAATTTTTGTATTTTTAGTAGGGACGGGGTTTTGCCATGTTGGCCAGGCTGGTCTCAAACTCCTGACCTCAGGTGATTTGCCCACCTTGGCCTCCCAAAGTGCTGGGATTACAGGTGTGAGCCACCGCGCCCGGCTGCCACAGGGTTTAGAGGGGAACTTACATATCAGGACAGACCAGTGGCAGCAGGCTGAACAGGAGAACCACAGGACCAGTGGCAGCAGAACGCGATAACCACAGCCACTCAAGAGAAGCATGTCGTTTATATAACATTTTTCACGTAACATCCTCCTTTTAACAGCTTCTACTTAACCTTCATTTAACTGAAAACCAAGGGCCTTAATCCCATGTATGGTCTGTTTTTCACAGGGTCGGCTGGGGGCTCAGATGTTCCTCATAGATAAGGAGTGAATCTCTGGCTTGGCCACTCCCAGATTCCTTAGCTTGGAACTCCAAACACACATTCAGGTGCGAGTGCTATGTGGGGGTCATTCTTAGGGTATGCATAGATTATCATTGCGACATGCATCTACCCTACAGTGACCCCTGACAGTTAATTAACCATTCTCTCTAGAGTTTAACATTTTTGGAACTTAACATTTTTGGTAATATCACCCTCCTTGCAGCTTCCAAGTTCAGTGTCTACAGTGCTGACTATAACAGGCCATGATTTTAATGTGTGAGATGAATTTGATTTTATCTTTCCATTCTTTTCTATTTTTCTGTTGTGAAGTAAGTAACCTATGGGACCTGGCAGTTAGAAACCTAAACAGGAGATTAAGTTCCTCCATCATAAACCAGGAAATGATAATCTGCAAGGCATCACTGCTATCAAATTCACACCTCCAGGGAAAGTGCAAGGAAAGTCTGTTCAGCAATTATTACCTGTCCCAGGCAGAAACCCTTCTTTTCCAAACAGCTAAAGACCCCACCTAACAGACTCCAGGGAATCAGAGCCAAATTCTTAACTCCTGTTAAGTTCATCATGTTCTCTCTCTTTGCAGCACAAGCTCTTCCCAGGTGGAGATGGCAAGGTGTGTCTCTTTTAGCATCAGGGGCCCAAGAATGATGACTGACAGTCATTCTGTGAATCTGCAGATGCCCCAATGCCCTTTGGATTTTATCTTTTCTAGTTATAAAGTCCTTATTCTGTCTCAATTTTCTCACACATGTGGCAGAAGAGATTTGTCTGAGATGTACAAACTGTCTTGCACATACATGTTTATTTACCAAGGACAGGTGAGGGTGGAATGAAGCAGAACCCAGGGCCAAGTCACTGCGGCTGTGGTGCTAACAGTTCACACATGCAGGAGGGCTCAGGGAGGTTATAACCATAAGACTCTTCACTGGATCCAGTCCCAGTTGTTACACTCAACAGATTTTCAAACCAAGATTTGAGGCTCTGGTTCTGATGCATGGGTGTGCGTGTGTGTGTGTGTGTGTGACAGGGTTGTGGTGGTAATGATGATGGTGGTGATGGTGGTGACAGTGGAAGTGGTGGTGATGGTGATGACGGTGAAGATGGTGATGGTATCTGACACTTGAGCATTCACTATGTGTTTGATACTTTACACTCACTATCTTGTTCTTTTCCCAGCAACTCTGTGTGAAATAAGCATTCCAGTGTCCTAGCTTCATTTTACGATAATGGAAATTGGTTTAGCAAGCCTAAATAACTTGCATAAGGTTACACAACTAATATATTTTGGAGAAAGAATTCAGAGTTTAAGCTTCTTCATTTATTATATATCATGGAGTCTTCAGTATGGTGGATGCATGCAACAAAGCCTATCACTGCAGAGCTAGGCAGGGAATGTGAGACACAGGAAGTTGAATAACTTGGACTTCCTGTCAAAGAGAGAACTCAAATGTAGGCTCCTGACACTATCTCCAAATACATGCCCAGAGCCGCACTGACAGGACTGAAGAAAGGTAATGTTCTTCATGTATCTTTAAACCTCAGCCTCATTTTTTTTCTATAACAAATCACTTGCTGTTCCTTATGTTATTTCTAGACTAGGAAAATTCTACCACTTTTATGCATGTGTATAATATTGCAAATTTGTACATGTAAGCATTTAAAATATTCTTCAATGTTTATAATGCTGCTTTGTCATTATTTTACTACTTTAACATATTGACAGCCTCAAACACAAGCACAAAGAATCATCCAGGCCTCTTTTCAACCTCTGAGACACCTTGCTGATGTTCTAGTTGTTTTAGAAAAGCCAGATTCTAGGTACACCATACATGTAATGCAAAAGGAAATATTAGGGACAGATTTCTGTGCAATTATTTAAGGGAAATTCTGGAGGGCAGAACATACCTGTGTAGACACTGCACTCTCTGTGAGTCCTTAAGTATCTATATCTTATGAGCCTTAAGAACAATCTTATGGGTTACATATGTTACATTGGCACAGGTCAAGCAATCAATTACTGGAAAGATGTAATTATGATGCCACTGGCCCTTCAGCTTCCGGGCCTGTCTTTTCTTATGGCAGGCAAGGGCCCTGCTGCCATGAGTCCGTCACTCTGCCCCAAAGCTGGCCAGCCATGCCACCAGTGACTAAGACTACATGTATTACCAAAAAGAACCTGAACTGTCAGTTAAGTTGTCGTCCCCTAAATCTTTCCCATTCTACATGAGGTTTGTAATGTATTTTGATATCCTGGTTAAGCTATCAGTTTTAGTAGAGAGCAAGAGAGAGAACAAATACATGTCTATTGGAACACAACTAGGCCCATTCATTTATGCATTGTCTGTGGCTGCTTTTGAGCTACACAGCAGAGTTGAGTAGTTGCAATAGATACCATAACTGGCAAAGTCCAAAATATTTACTATCTGGTTCTCTACATAAAAAGTTTGCTGACTCCATCTCTACAGGATAAAGAAAGTACCTGATGAGAAACCTAGGCATGCTAGCAGTCACACGAGTGAGCTTGGAAGTGTACCTTTTCAGACCCGCCAAGAGACACCTGAGTGAGCTTGAAAGCGGATTCTCCATGCCCCAGTCCAGCCTGGAGATCACTGCAGCCCTGACTGACAGCTTGACTGACAGACCTTAAACTAGAGGCACCCCATTATCCTGCGCCCAGATTCCTGGCCTACAGAAACTGTCAGATAAAAAAAAAAGTTTGTTGTTTTAAGCTGCTAAATATTGGGGTAATTTGTTGTACAGTAATAGGTAACTAATAGAATTGCATCTCTTTAGTTGGACTTGCCCTTTCAAGGGGAGTGAAATTCTACCTTCTGGGTCAAAGTCCTAATAGGATCTTCTCTGTGAAAGCTTTTGGCCCGCTGTGCCCCTATCCCAAATAGAACCATCAAAGTGCTGTGCTAAGTGCTTACTCAGAGCCTATCCCCTGGCTATATGGCCAGTTATGTAGTTGTCTGTCTCTGTTTTGTACTCGTGTCACACCCAGTTTTGCAACCACAGAATCTGATTCAGTGCCTATTAATGGAATAAATATTTATTGAGTGCTTACTATGTGCCAAGCACTTTATGTGCATGATCTCATTTAATCCTCACAACCACTTAGGAGGTACTATTTTGAAGCTCATCTAACAGAGGAGGAAGCAAGGTTAAACAGGTTAAGGAACTTGCTTTATATCCTCTAGCTAGCAACTGGTAGAGCCAAGATTTAAACCTATACTCTACTGCCTGGGCCCAAAGGCCCAGGAAACACAGCTCCAGTCCCAGCGCTGCCATGTTGAACTGTGGACCCAGCAACATCGCTCACACTGAGGATGTCAATTTCCTCATCCATAATGTGGTGGTGGTAATGCCCCTTTCCAAACTCTCAGGGTTACTGCGAGGAAAAGCGCAGGTCATGAAATAGCGATTTTCAGTTCTTTACGAATGTGGAATCAAAATGAGGTGATTTACTGATCTTCTCACCAGACACCTCTTGGTTGTGGGAGACCTGAATGAACAGAAATCCAGGTAGAGGTGGAGCGAAGTGGGGCTCTGGAAGCTGTCTACTTAAACCCCTTTCCCACTTCCTGCTCCTCCCTCCCTGGCTCTTAGGATCACTGTGGCCCCCCACTCCATCTGTAAATGGCCCCAAATTGTGGGCATATCCAACAAGGTGTGGATATAGAGAAAAAATATTCTGTTTTTTGAAACAGGGTCTCACTCTGTCACCCAGTTTGCAGTGCAGTGATGGGACCATAGCTCACTGTAACCCTGAACTCCTTGCTTTAAAGCAATCCTCCCGCCTTGGCCGACCAAGCACTGGGATTACAGGTGTGAGCCACCACGCCCAGCCCTCGATTCTTTCAAAAACACGTCACGCTGTCACACTTTGGGAGTTTTTACTGGCCGTGTCCATGGACAGCCTTCTCTCCGGAAAGCCCTCCTTATAGCATCTGGCTGACTCTGACTTCCCACTCAGTGTTGGCCTCTTCCGGAAAGTACCCTGGATGCCTCTAGCTGGATTAGTTGTCCTAGTTCTGAACTCTCATGGCACTCTCTTGCACCTCTTAGACAAGAGTTGGAATTTGTCGCATTTGAATCCTCAGTATGCGGAAGAGCACCTAGTATATGATAGGCATTCAATCAATTCTAGTTGAATAAAGGAAATAATTCTCACCCATTTCTAGGCTGTTCTAGGCTAAATGTTGCTATGGCCTGAACACTAGTGTCCCTCCAAAATCCATATGTTGAAACATAAACCCAAGTGTGGAAATGTTAAGAGGTGAGGCCCTTAGAAGTTGATTACATCACAAGGGCTCTGACTTCACAAATGGGATTAGTGTCCTTACAAAAGAGGTTGAAGGGAGCTGCCCTCCCCTTCTGCCCTGTAAGGACACAGTCACAAGGCACCATTTATGGGTGACAGCAAGCCCTCGCCAGACACCAAATCTGTGATGCCTTGATCTTGGACATCCCAGCATCCAGAATTATGTGAAATAAATTTCTATTATTTATAAATTGGCCAGTCTAAGGTATTTTGTTATAGCAACCCAAAAGGACTAAGACAAATGTAAATTCCATAAGGAAGCTATCATGTTTAACCCAGTAGCAAGCACATAGTGGGTACTCAATAATCAGCTAACTGACCCTAAATACATGGCCTCATACTATTAGATTCAAGACAGTCTGGTCAGATTAAAGGAAGCAGAGTCCAAGGCGTGGCTTTAAGGTTAAGAAAACGGTAACTCTAGTCAAGGCCCCAGCTGTGGCCAAGCCAGAATGGATTTACATGACTTTCCTGGACCCAGGTTCTTGTGGCTCACATTCCTGGGCTTCATGATGCTAAAATATTATGGTTCATCTTTCAGGAAAAGTATCAGCTATCTATTCTGATCAATGCCAATGACCTTGGATTTAAATTGTATCTTTCTTGGACCAGTGATTTTCAAAAAGAAAAACAAGATGATTATTTCTGTATGGATTACCTATTTCATCTTGCTTCCTTAAATGCCACTGAAAAATCCAAACAGAAAAAAAAGCATTGCTTTTCCCCCAAGCAACAGCAAAATTCCAGGAAGCCAAAAACTTTGATCGGGGTTTCCTTTCAGTGTCATTTACAATGAACTAGGTAAAATGGACATCCTAAGAAAATAAAGAACCTGGCATATTTTGAATCCCAAAACCAGAACAAAATTCTGCCTGATAATCACAAAGAAAATATGCACTGTAAGCATTTCCCACCATTATTTGGCAATCCACTTACTTCCCTAAGGGAAACAAAGACTTTGCGAACATAGATTTGTCTTCCATTAGATGACTGTTCAAATATGAGTCAAATATAACTTGCTCAGGTATTATTTTTATCCCTTCCAGTTAGACACTCCAACTCCCACAAAAGGAAATCAATTTTCCAGAAAATATTGGAAGGATCTTTAGTTGTTGTTTTTTTCATTCAATTTTTCTATTAACAAGTGTTAGAAATATATAAGGGTCAGGTAGGAAGGAGGGCTGTTCTTGGAATTTTGCAGGTCAAAGAATGTTTGCTTATTTATAAGCGAAACTCAACAGAGCAGCCCCACCTTCTGCAATGTGGAATGTAATGCAGAAACATAGTTTGTGGAAACGATCCAAAACCAATTAAAGTAGACTTAAGTAAATGATCATATAACGATATGCGTGACAATTCACAGATCACAAGTGTATTTCTAGAGAGTGGTACAGGGTAGAAGTAAAAGAACACCAGAAACTGATAAACTCTTAACCCCCCTTTAATTCACTCAACTAAATAAATATGAGACCAGCTTAAATTCCTAATTTTCAATCCTTAATGTTTTCTTAGCTGGAAATATTAACATGTAAAGTGCATTAACTTACTGTTCTTTGGGGAAAAAAAATCCTACTGCTTAAGCCAAAGATACTTGGAAATAGATACTATTTTTTTAAATAATTATACATATTTTATTAATGTTTTAATTTTTAAATTTCTATTTTTCCATAAGCTATTGGGTGTACAGGTGGTATCTGGTTACATACCAGATGATTTGTGAGATTTTTGGTGCACCCATCATCAAAGCAGTACACACTGCACCACATTTGTAGTCTTTTATCCCTCGCCCCCCTCCCACTGTTCCCCCCAAGTCCCCAAAGTCCAGGAGATGGATTCTATAATCTTCTTTAGCAAAACATAGTACATACACACACTACAAAAATGCATGACATTTCATAGAAGCTTATCTTCAACTTGCTTTTGGGTAGTTTGAAGACTTCTTGACAGTATTCACTCCTGCTAGTGGACGAATGGGAAAAATATTAAAAGCAGTCAGCATACTTTTTAGCTTCTCTTTTTAAACAACAGGATTAAAAGCTATGTTCCTATTCCAACTGTGTTCAAAATGGTGCCTTTGTTTTGGGGAAGGTATGATTTTACTCTGTGGTTCTGGCAGGTGCAAAGTTTGCAGACCAGTTATACCTTACAGCTAGTGGTCTGGCAAATGTTTTACAACTGGTTCTATGGAAAAAAAATGCTTACTGTAAATAAAGGATGTGTACCACATAGTTTACAAATAATAGTATTTTTAAAAATAATAAATTCCATTTAGAGGACTGATTTCACAGAATGCTTTCAATGAGTTCTGCCAGCCTTTTCTATCCATAGTTAACCTATAGTTTCAACTGATGAGCAGGTATAGTTCCCACATGAATGCTGGTTCACATTTTTGTTTAACAATTTAGAAGAAAGTGAAACAAAGAACATATATGTTGGAATTACACTCATTTGTTAATGACATGAGCAAATTCTTTGGTGAATCAGATAATAGCTTTTGAATATTGGAAGAAAAATTTCCTTTTTCCCATGTAGCAGCTGTAGACTTAACACACTTTTAAGTTTAATTTGCATTAATAATTTCTTCATTCTTAATTGTAGACAAGCAACAAAATGATAAATCAAGCATTGATTTATCATATTTGCTGATTTCCATGGTGTAAATGCTCCTGCCATAGCTAATTTCAAGCTAGCAATGTTAAGTCACTGAACATAAAGTTGGAAAGGATGTATGGTAGCACCCCATTACATAGTATTTCCACAACACAGATATAATAGATGTCAATTACCTCCAAAGCATGGACAATAGTAAAATATTTAGGAAGTGACGAGTGTTGAGTATTTCTTTACTTCATTCTTTTTTTTTTTTTTTTTTTTTGAGACAGATTCTAGCTCTTTCGCCCAGGCTGGACTGCAGTGGCGCTATCTTGGCTCACTGCAAGCTCTGCCTCCCGGGTTCACGTCATTCTCCTGCCTCAGCCTCCCGAGTAGCTGGGATTACAGGCACCCACCACCACGCCCGGCTAATTTTTTGTATTTTTAGTAGAGATGGGGTTTCACCATGTTAGCCAGGATGGTCTCGATCTCCTGACCTCGTGATCCGCCCGCCTCGGCCTCCCAAAGTGCTGGGATTACAGGCGTGAGCCACCATGCCCGACCTACTTCATCCTTAATATGATTTATTTAATTATACTTTAATATATTTTAATTTTTAATATTATAAAAATCTCACAAAATTTCTGAAATTCCAAAATCCTGCAGCCAGTCCTGGCTGGCTCTGACAAAAGCTTTCTGGGTTCTGAGCTTGAAGGGCAAATGCATTTCCCAGACAATTTTCTCTCAGCCACATACCACTAACCTCCAATTAACAGTGACTCTAAGGCCCAAGTTCCCCTGCTATGAGTTAATCAGTCCAAAGGGTATGGGATGTCTGGTATGAAGTTTCCAGCGAGTACTAACATTTAGTCATAAGCATGTGGGAAAAAAATGTCTTTACCATAGTCATGTGACTTTGAGGCAATCCTCAGTTTCCTTACCTGAGAAGGAAGGATGTAGAAGGGGAAGAATGTGGTTCTGAGGGATGCTATAAGGATTACAGACAACGCATATAAAGTTCCTAGGATAACGCCTCAGATAAAGTAGATGTCAATAATTCAATGTTTATCATTAAGACAGTAACAGGTCACTGTAAAGATTTCATTTCTGGACACATATATGTCAGTCAGGTGAGCTACTTCCTTTCCTTTAACAGAGAAACAGTTTTTTTTTCCCTTTTCTTTGCTTTTGAGACAGAGTCTCGTTCTGTCGCCCAGGCTGGAGTGCAGTGGCACTCTCTCGGCTCACTGCAACCTCTGCCTCCCGGGTTCAAACCATTCCCCTGCCTTGGCCTCCCAAGTAGCTGAGATTACAGGTGCCCACCACCACACCACACCCGGCTAATTTTTTGTATTTTTAGTGGAGACGGGGGGCTTCATCACGTTGGCCAGGCTGGTTTTGAACTCCTGACCTCAAGTGAACCGCCCGCTTAGGTCTCCCAAAGTGCTGGGCTTACAGGCGTGAGCCACCGTATCTGACCTGAGAAATAATTTTCAAACGTGACTGACAGATGAGTGGGTTTGAGAAAAGCCCAGTGGCAATCATTCTTCTTTGAGTATTACCTGGCTCCCAAGCATTTTTTTTTTTTTTTTTTTTTTTTTGAGACATAGTTTCACTTTGTCATCCAGGCTGGAGTGCAGGGGCATGATCTCAGCTCACTGCAACCTCTGTCTTCTGGGTTCAAGCGATTCTTGTGCCTCAGCCTCACAAGTACCTGGAACTACAGGCGTGCGCCACCATGCATGGCTCATTTTTATATTCTTTTGGTAGAGACAGGGTTTCACCATGTTGGCCAGGCTGGTCACGAACTCCTGACCTCAAATGATTCACCGGCCTTGGCCTCCCAAAGTCCTGAGATTACAGGTGTGAGCCACCATGCCCAGCCGGCATTGCTATTTTCACCTCTTCTTGGAAAAACAACAACAAAAAAGTGAAGATAAATTTATAATAGAAAAGATCCAATGGGTAAATTCCAACAGTAAATGTTAGGAATCACAGGTTGTCTATTACGTGCTAGAAGTTAGGAAGACTCAGATGCCTTCTGTGTAATTAGCATGGGTAACAGATGCATCCTGTTTAGATGGAAGATAAAAAGTTTTAAAGAGTTTTTAGAACATTTATCATTACTTTTGGGATTCCAGGCCTTTTTTGATCCTTTACCTACCCCACTTCTTTTTTTAAAGCAGACATTTAAAGAACAAAGCAAAACAATGCAAATACAAAAAGGCTTACATTATTTTTTAATATGTAAAATCGAGATAATAATACCTATCTTATAGGTTTGTTGTCTTAAAGGAACTAAAGGATTTAGTCCAGGAATGTGTCTAGCACACTGCCTGGGGTGAACACTGAATGACAGCATTGGAGGTAGCACGGTACTTTCTTCCATCCTTTTAAATCAACTCAAGGTTGGGGAAGGGGGCGGCTACAGACGAAAACACCGATGAAAGAGCCAGCTTCCCCCATCTTCTATGGGAGCAGGTAGCAGGCTGAACTAATTTGATATTTTCCCCTCCGGAATAGAGTATGTTCTTCCAAGAATAAAAAGAACAGCCCACCTGTGATAGTCATTAACCAGATAAAATCTTGAGGAAGAGATTCTAAGTCTCCAATTATCCTTTTACATACATTTATTCTTTATTTTGGATTCTAGGGACACCAAGGGTTAATTGATAAGTCATAGGCAATTTCATCACATACTGAGTTGCAAGCACAGGTGGGATAATAGAGCCACTGGGAATTAGCCTAACCTTAAAATATAAGATATTTATAGCATCAATAGTACATAATCATATGATTGGGGAGAAAATACAAAGGAAGAAATACATACGAGTCTTAAAGCTAGAAATATTACAAGATTTACTAGCTTATAATTTGAAGTACCTAGATGTAGGATAAATATATTTATGCAATGTATTATTGAAGACAATTCAATATGTTTCCAGGGAAATTGCAGAATTTAGCCTAGAAACATTTTAAGGCATAAGGACTTTAGGTAACATATTGTTAAATTTAGCATAATTCCATTTAGAGATTTGAGTTCTAGCTGCTGTGTCATCATGCTTTATAAAACTTAAAGCTAGATTTCTGGCTGGAAAACATTCTAAATTGAAATAAAAGCACAAATATGATAAACCAAATATTGTTAAGTTGTTAAAGTTAAAATCTCTAACCATGAGTATTGAGCCAGATTACCTAAGTTGAATTTTCTGAAGTAATAGTATGGGTTTGTATATATGTACCAAGCTTAAGCCGGAACAAAGCAGGAATTTTTCTCTGGTGGTAGAATTTACATAATGTACACTAGGAGAACTGTTCATGAGAAAAGTTCCTTAAACTATAATGTTTTTAAATTTAAATACTCACTGCTATACAATTGTATGTGAATTTGGAAGGAATGCAAATTACATTTATGGGATCAGTCTTCCTACTTTAACCCTTGAACTCTTGCTACCGCAGACTATAGTGGGACGATTCCTGCCTAGGAGAACAATGCATCAATCAATATGGGTGTCCTCCTCTCTCTGGGCAATTGCAAAAGAGCTGGCTTTTTTTTTAGTTTTTAAAAAATTTTCAAGGATTTTTAAAACCCACCTAGTGCCAGGCGTTTGTCCTCATCAGACTTAAACTGAAGCTCTTCTGTTAGTTCTTCTTTCTTTACCCCAAAGAGGTGCCCCAAAGGCTTGTCATCCCAAGGCTAAAATCCCAACAGTGTCTTAGAACTTCACACAGTTATGCAATCATTAAAAGCAAAACTGAAAACACAGCCCTGGGCCTTCTTGGGTGAGATGCGGCTGCAGGTTGGCTCTGTGGCTCACAGCTATTGCTTAACAAAACCAAACAGTGAGCACTAGATGTCGTGATTACATATTAAATAGTAGGAGCTGGATACCTTTCCTTGCCGAGGATGTGAATGACAACACAAAATCCCTGAGTCAAAGCTCTTCAGGGTCAAATATTACAATACTTTTCAACTATTAGTATTCAAGCAGTACTCAGAATAAAAACAAGCCCAGTGCTAACTTCCTGCTCCTGGAGTTGGTGCTCGAAATAATTAAATTCAGTGGAAATGGACAAACTCAATTTAAAAAATTTTGAAATGAAGCCAGATATCAGTATTTATGTTTGTACGGTCACACTACAAAGACACATTCTGAGAAAGGCAACATTAGGTGATTTTGTCGTGTGAACATCACAGAGCGTACTACCCAAATCTAGATGGTGTAGCCTACCACACACCTAGACTGCCTGGTATAGCCTATTGCCCCTAGGATACACATCTGTATGGTGCGTTACTGTACTGAATACTTTAGGCAATTGTAACATAAAAGTATTTTTTTTTTTTTGAGACGGAGTCTTGCTCTGTCGCCAGGCTGGAGCGCAGTGGTGCGATCTCGGCTCACTGCAAGCTCCGCCTCCTGGGTTCCTGCCATTCTCCTGCCTCAGCCTCCCAAGTAGCTGGGACTACAGGCGCCCGCCACCACGCCCAGTTAATTTTTTTTTTTTTTTTGTATTTTTTAGTAGAGACGGGGTTTCACTGTGTTAGCCAGGATGGTCTCAATCTCCTGACCTCATGATCTGCCCACCTCGGCCTCCCAAAGTGCTGGGATTACAGGCGTGAGCCACAATGCCCGGCTCATAAAAGTATTTATGTATCTAAACATAAATAGAGAAAAGGTACAGTAAAAATGCGGTATAAAAGTTAAGAGATGGTTCACCTAGATAGGGCACTTACCATGAATGGAGCTTACAGGACTGAAGTTGCTCTGGGTGAGTCAGTGAGTGAGTTTGAGTGAATATGAAGCCTAGGCTATTACTGGACACTACTGGAGACTTCATAAACACTGCACACTTAGACTACATTTATTTTAAAATATTTTTCTTTCTTTGATAGCAAATTAACCTTAGCTGACTGTAACTTTTTTACTTTATAAACTTTTTAATTACTAAAACGTTTTGACTCTTTCGTAGTAACACTTAGCTTAAAACACAAATACATTGTGTGGCTGTATAAAATGATTTTCTTTCTTTATAGTCTTATTATATATACTTTTTCCTTTTTTAATTAATTTTTTTTAATTAAAAAAACCTTTTTGTTAAAAGGTAAGACATAAACTCACACATTAGCTTAGGCCTACGCACGGCCAGGATTGTCAGTATCACTGTCCCACCTCCACATCTTGTCCTATTGGAAGGTTTTCAGGTTCAATAACATGCATGGAGCTATCATCTTGTATGATAACAATGTCTTCTTCTGGAATACCTCCTGAAGGACCTGCCTGAGGCTGTTTTACAATCAACTTTTTTTTTAAATAAGTGGAAGATGTACTCTCTCAAATAATAAAAAGTATAGCATAGTAAATACATAAACTTGTAACACAGACATTTATGATCATTGTCAAGTATGTACTATACATGATTGTATGTGCTATACTCTTATAAGACCAGAAGTGCGGCAGGTATGTTTACAACAGCATCATCACAAACACGTGAGTAAGGTGGTGTGCTATGATGTCACTAGGCAGTAGTAATTTCTCAGCTCCAGTATAATTTTATGAGATCCCTGTCACATATACAGTCCATAGCTGACCAAAACATCGTTATGAGGTGCATGATTGTTTATTATGGTTCATACTTTATGCTTATCCCAATGAAGTTTAATAATTGTTAGAACAAAGCTGTGAATTGATATGAGAAAATCTACACAAAATATACCATTTCCATCACTCAAGTCAGTCAGGCAATTTCTTAAGGTTTGTAGTCCACTGAGGTACTTTAGAATCTCAAAGCAACTATAGAATCCTACGGGCCAAGTGTTTGTAAGGTATTACTATGAATTTTAATAATTAAAAATGATTGATTCTAGACCTATATGTATCTAGCACTGTGCTAGCTATTGTAGAAGAATAAACAGTATATAACTCTCTCTTTCCAAGAATTTCATAATCTGATTAAGAAGCCAAATCCAACACACGAAGCAATTAGATAACTAAAGCACAAAACAAGATGGTGCTGAATTCTAGTGCGATAGTAATTCAGTCTTCAGCTGAGCTCCCGCTACATCTAGTGTCTGGGCTAAGGATTTGCTTGTGTCCTTTGCTTTGACATGTATAATTTACTACATCATAAACAGTATGATACAAATGTAGATTTTTGTTTATTAAACCCTTGGGGTAGTCAGAAATATACACTTTAGGAGTGAACAGCTAGTATCTAATCAGGAAGGTCAGACATAGTACTGGTTAATAAATGCAACTCCACTGTCCATTGATTAAGATATGAATTAATGAATGGCAGAAATGAGTTTTCATTGATGAAATTAATGGCTTATTGATCAGAAAAATAAATTCTAAAAACAGACACTACTTATGAGATTCAAGGTATAAATAGGCTTCCCTGACCCTGTATGAACAGGGAATAGTCATCGAGTGAAGCCTTTGGTGTGCTGCCTGAGGCTGGATTGGTCCTGTATCCTGCTGGTGGATTATATGATTTCTGGTGCCTGATGCTGAATTTAAGGGTAGTAGAATCCTATTGGGGAATATAGTTAAGCTGACTGCAATATATTTTCTGCAGAGTGGTGGTAGAAGAACCTAAAAGAATAAAGACTTGAGACTTCATGAATGTTTACAGAACGGACTGATGAATTGCTTAGGGCCTCCTTGCTAATACAGTTTAAAAGTATGTGTGTGGAGAATTTAGTCTGAAACTTGCTTTCATTATATCCTGGCAGGGACTACGTTGGAGAGTGGCTAATTCTCACCCACCTCATGCTTCCCTGTAGCTACTGTTATCTACACTTGATCCAATTTAGTTTGATTTTTAAATGGTGTAAAGACCTATTTTGAAGTTAAGTGCAATTTTGGCCCTCACACATTGGCTATGTAGCTGACTGTAAATCCTTTAGGTTCAATTTTTCCACACTAAATAAGGATAACAATACCTACTTACCAGGTTGCTATAAAAATGAAAAACAATTATGTACATAGCCCAGGTAGCCACTCCTTCATTTTCAGTTCTCCTCCTCTGCATTACTGACCCATTGATGTCCCTTTCCTATCCCAGAGGAAACATACACACGTTTGCAGGGTTGAAATAAAGAACTGCTTTGTCTCTAATTTTCAGTTTTAGTTTCTTCGGACTGCACAAATTTTGGAATTGTCAATTCAGTGCCTAAAATAACTCCATCTTAAATCTGGACACCCTGAATCGTCAGAGAAGCTGAAATCCTTTGGTTTTTCCCTTCCCTTCCCTTCCCTTTTCTAGTACCCAGGGTCCTCCCAGAACCCACTGTGCGCATTACACTTCTTGAACTCTCCGTAAGTGATTACCGCTTTGGCCTTTCTCAACATCACCTCAGTTATTTGCTTTAGAGGCACTTGGGATGAGGGTGTCTATTTAACCTACACTTCATTTTAAAAGCACTGTCTTTACTAAGCAGTACACCATAAGAAACTATCACATAAGAAATTATCACCTAATAACCACTCTTGGTTATTAAGTACCCCAAGTGGGCCCCAATAATTCCTGTCCTCTAGTATCAGATCCCTGTATAATCCCCTTCCCATAGTGAATCAGGGTTGTGGTGAGACGAATAGAATATGGCAGAGAGATGGAGTGATATTCTCAAGGCAGGTTAGGAAAGGCATTGCAGGTTCTGTTAAGGGTCTCTCCCGTTGCTCCCCCTGGGGGAAGCCAGCTGCCATGCTGTGGAGATGCATGAGGAGCCCTGTGGTGAGGCCCTGGTGGGGAGTATCCAACTTGAGTCACCTTGGAAGTATATCCTCAGCCCCAATCAAGCCTCCATGACTAAGGCCACAGTCTAATCTGACTGCAACCTTGTGAGAGTCCCCAAGCCACTAAGGCCCAACCAGGGCACTCCCAAATTCCTGATCCATACAAACTATCAATGCTGATACATATTTACTATTGTTTTAAATCACTGAGTTTTGGGGTAACTTATACAGATTATACAGCAATAGATAACTAATACACTGAGAATGCAGTTCCTTTTCTTAAACGGCTTCATGATGGAGATAACATAATACAAAGTGTTTAAAAGAAAGAACCCACTTTATACTTCAATTGTTACTCTTGGACACTTTCTCTTCTTGAAATGTAAATGCCAATTTAGCTGTGAAAGAAATGCTATGGACAGATTTGTATCTCTCCAATTCATATGATGAAGCCCTAACCCCAGTGTAATGGTATTAGGAGCTGAAGCCCTGGAGAGGATTAGGTCATGACAGTGAAGTTCCCATGATGGATTAATGCCCTTATAGAAAGAAGAAGAGACACAAGATCATTTCTGCTCTCTCTGCTTGTATGCACCACCAAGGAAGGCCATGTGAGGACATAACTGGGAAGATGGCCCGCACCCTGATCTTGGATTTCAGCCTCCAGAACTGTGAGAAATGAATATTTGTGGTCTAAGCCACCTAGTCTATGGTAACTTGCTATAGCCGACTGAACAAACTAAGACAGGAATGTTATGTACATGTGTATATAACATACAGATGGTGTAATTTCTGATTACTTACAGAGGAAAAAACAGACAGCGTATAACCTTCCCTCTGGTTTATATGAAAACTGACTGGCAAACTGGAGGTGGAGCAAGATGGCAGAATAGGAGGCTCCAACAGTCATCCCTCCCTACAGGGACACCAATTTAACAACTATTTACACAGAAAAAACACCATAAGAACCAAAAATCAGTGTGCCCTCATAGTACCTGGTTTTAACTTCCATTGCTGAAAGAGGCAATGAAGAAACAGGAAAAAAAAAAAAGTCCTGAATCACCAACACCACCCTTCTCTCACTCCCCATAGCAATGGCAGCGTGGTGCAGAGAGCATCTCTGGGCATCTGGGGAAGGAGAACACAACAACTGTGAGTCACTGAACTCAGTGCATTTTGTTAGGGCAGAAAGGAAAACAGGACCAAACTCAGCTGATAGTTTTTACCCACAGAGGGAGCATTTAAACCAGCCCTAGCCAGAGGGGAATTACTGACCCCTGTGGTCAGAACTTGAGTTCTCATAAACCTTGCCACTGAGGGCCAAAGTGCTCTGTGTCTCCCAGTAAACTTGAAAGGCAGGCTAGGCCATAAGGACTGAAACTCTTAGGCAAGTCCTAATGGTGAATTAGAGATGGAGGACTTGGGGGGCACCTGACATACTGAGACATCCGCTGGGGTGACTAAGGGAGTGCTGGCATCACCCTTCCCCTAACTACAGGCTGCATGGCTCCTGGCTCCAAAACAGACCCTTTCCTTCTGCTTGAGGAGAGGAGAGAGAAGGGTTGAAAGGACTTAGTCTTGGATTTTGGATACCAGCTCAGCCACAGTATGATAGGGCAGCTGTCAGAGTCCTGAGGCCCCTGTTCCAGGTCCTTGCTCCCAGATGACATTTCTAGAGACATCCCAGGTCAGAAGGGAAACTGCTGACTTGAAGGAAAGGACCCACCCAGTCTTGGCAGCATTCATCACCTGCTAACTGAAGAGCCCCTGGCCCCTGAATGATCAGTAGTGATACCCAGATACTATGTTGAGGGCCTTGGGTGAGCCTCTGAGATTTGCTCGCTTCAGGTACTAGCATGGCCATAGAGGGTAGAGTACTCAGGAAGCTCTTGGGGTCCCAGATTCCAGGAATTGACTGTTAGATGGCATTTCTGATCCTGTGCGGGGCCATACCAGAGTCCACTTTCCCGAAGGATGAGTTCCAGGACAGGTAGCATTCACCACAAGCTGACTTAAGAGCCCTTGGGTCTTAAGGAAACATGGGCGGTAGTCTGGCAGTATTCTTTGTGGTCTGAGATGGTGGTGGCTATGGGGTGAGGCTCCTCTGCCTTTGGAAAGGTGAGGGAAGAGTGGGAAGAACCATATCTTGTGGTCTAGGTGCCACCTCAGCCACAGTACAATAGAACACCAGGTAGATATCTAAGGCTTTTGACCCTAGTCCTTAACTTCCAGATGGCACCTTTGAACCCACCCAGGGCCTGAAAGACCTTGCTGCCCTGAACAAAAGGACACTGGCCTGACTGGCTTTGCCACCAGCTGATTGTAGAGCTCCAGGGCCTTGAGTGAACATATGCAGGAGCCAAGGCCATAGGCCTTGGGTGAGACCCAATGGAATCTTGGGATGAGATACCAATGGAATCCAAGAAAAGCAGGAGTCACTATACTCATACAAACAAAACAGAGTTTAAGACAAAAACTATAAGAAGAGACAAAGAAGGTCACTACATAAAGATAAAGGGGTCAATTTGATAACAGGATATAACAATTTTAAATATATATGCACCTAACACTGGGGTATCCAGATCTACAAAACAAATATTATTAGCGCTAAAGAGAAGAATAGGTCCCAATACAATAATAGCTGGAGACTTCAACATCCCGCTTTCAGCATTGGACAGATCTTTTAGACAGAAAATCAATAAAGAAATATCAGACTTATTCTGCACTCTAGACCAAATGGATCTAACAGATATTTACAGAACATTTCATCCAACAGCTTCAGAATACACATTATTTTCACCAGCACATGGATCATTCTTAAGGATAGACCATACGTTAGGTCATGAAACGAGTCTTAAAACATTTAAAAAAATAGAAATAATATCAAGCCTTCTGTGACCACAATAGAATAAAACTATAGAAATGAATAACAAGAGCAATTTTGGAAACTATACAGATACATGGAAATTAAACAATATGCTCCTGAATGACTAGTGGGTCAATGAAGTGATTCAGAAGAATATTGAAAAATTTCTTGAAACAAATGATAATGGAAGGGCAGTGAGGTCTCCCAGGCCCTGGGTGGGTTCAAAGGTGCCATCTGGGAGTTAAGGACTAGAATCAAAAGCCTTAGATGTCTACCTGGTGTTCTACTGCACTGTGGCTGAGGTGGCACCTAGACCACAAGAGACAAAAACCTATGGGATCCAGCAAAAGCAATACTAAGAGGGACGTTTATAGCTGTAAGTCCCTGCAGCAAAAAATGGAGAAACTTCAAATAAATAATCTAATGATACATCTTAAAAAGCTAGAAAAGCAAGAGCAAACCAAATCCAAAATTAGTAGAAGAAAATAAATAATGAAGATCAGAGGAGAAAAAAATGAAATTGAAATAAAAAAATACAAAATATCAATAAAACAAAAAGTTGGGTTTTTGAAAAGTTAAACAAAATTTGCAAACCTTTAGCCAGACTAACTATAAAAAAGAGAATACCCAAATAAATAAAATAAAAGAGAAAAAAGGGCTGGGCGCAGTGGCTCACGCCTGTAATCCCAGCACTTTGGGAGGCTGAGGCGGGCGGATTGCGAGGTCAGGAGATTGAGACCATCCTGGCTAATATGCTGAAATCCTGTCTCTACTAAAAATACAAAAATTTAGCCAGGCATGGTGGTGGGTGCCTGTAGTCCCAGCTACTCGGGAGGCTGAAGCAGGAGAATGGCGGGAAGCCAGGATGCAGAGCTTGCAGTGAGCCGAGATCAGGCCATTGCACTCCAGCCTGGGCAACAGAGTGAGACTCCGTCTCAAAAAATAAAAAAATGAAAAAAAAATAAATGTTACAACTGATACTGTAAAAATTCAAAGGTTCAATAGTGGCTACTATGAGCAACTATATGTCAATCAATTGGAAAATTTGGAGGAAACAGATAAATTCCTAGACAAATATATACAATCTACCAAGAGTGAACCATGAAGAAATCCAAAACCTGAACAGAACAATAACAAGTAACGAGATCAAAGTTGTAATAAAAAGTCTCCCAGCAAAGAAAAGCCAGGGACCTGATGGCTTCACTACTGTAATTCTACCAAATGTTTAAAGAAGAACTAATACCAACGCTACTCAAGCTATTCCAAAAAATACAGAAGGGAATACTTCCAAACTCATCCTATGAGGCCAGTATTACCTTGATACCAAAACCAAAGACACATCAATAAAAAGAAAACTACAAGCCAATATCCCTGATAAATATTGAGGCAAAAATCCTCAACAAAATACTAGCAAACTGAATTCAACAATACCTTAGAAAGATCATTCATCATGATCACATGGCATTTATCCCTGGGATGCAAGGATGGTTCAACATATGCAAATCAACCAATGTGATACATCACATCAACAGAATGAAGGATAAAAACCATATGATCATGTCAATTGATACTGAAAAAGCATTTGATGAAATTCAACATCACTTAATGATGAAAATCCCTAAAAATACTGGGGGTAGAAGGATTATACCTCAACATAATAAAAGCCATATATGACAGACCCACAGCTAGTATCATATTGAATGGCGAAAAGTGAAAGCCTTTCTTCTAAGAACTGGAATACAACAAGGGTGCCCACTTTCACCACTTACTCAAAAAAGTACTGGAAGTCCTAGCTAGAGCCATTAAATAAGAGAAAGATATAAAGGGCATCCAAATTGGAATGTAAGAAGTCAAATTATCCTTGTTTGCAGATGTTGTGATGTTATATTTAGAAAAACCTAAGGACTCCACAAGGAAACTATCAGAACTGATAAATTCAGTAAAGTTGCAGCAGGATACAAAATCAGCATACAAAAATTAGTAGCATTTTCATACGCCAACAGTGAACAATCTGAGAAAGAAATCAAAAAGTAATATTGTTTACAATAACTACAAAAACAAGTAAATACCTAGGGATTAGCTTAACCAAAGAAGTGAAAGATCTCTCAAATGAAAACTATAAAACATTGGTGAAAGAAATTGAAGAGTACATATAAAAAGGAAAGATATTCCATATTTGTGGATTGGAAGAATATTATTAAAATGTCCATACTACCCAAAGCAATCTACAGATTCAATGTAATCTGTATCGAAATACCAATGACATTCTTCACAGAAGCAGAAAAAAAAAAATCCTAAAAATTTATATGGAACCACAAAAGACCCAGAATAGCGAGAGCTATCCTAAGCAAAAAGAACAAAACTGGAGAAATCATATTCCCTGTCTTCAAGTTATACTACAGAGCCATAGTAACCAAAACATGACACTGGCATAAAAACAAACAGATAGACCAATGGATCAGAATCAAGAACCCAGAAACAAATCCACACACCTACAGTGAACTCATTTTTGACAAAGGTGCCAAGAACATACACTGGGGAAAAGACAGTCCCTTCAATAAATGGTCCTGGGAAGACTGGATATCCATATACAGAAGAGTGAAACTAAATCCTTATCTCTTGCCATATACAAAAATCAATCAAAATGGATTAAGGACTTAAATCTAAGACCTCAAACTATGAAACTACTACAGGAAAACGTTGGGGAAAATTTTCAGCACATTGGTCTGGACAAAAATGTTTTGAGCAATACTCCTAAGCACAGGCAACCAACACAAAAATGGACAAATTGGATCACATCAAGTTAAAATGCTCTGCACAGCAAAGGAAACAACGAACAAAGTGAAGACACAACCCACAGAATGGGAGAAAATATTTGCAAACTACCCATTTGACAAGGGATTCATAATCAGAATATATAAGGACCTCAAACAACTCTATAGGAAAAAATCTAATAATCTGATCAAAAACGGGCAAAAGATTTGAATAGACATTTCTCAAAAGAAGACATACAAATGGCAAATAGGCATATGAAGAGGTGCTTAACATCGCTGATCATCAGAGAAATGCAAATCAAAATTACAATGAGATACTATCTCACCCCAGTTAAAATGGCTTGTATAAAAAAGACAGGCGATAAGAAATGCTGGTGTGGATGTTGAGAAAAGGGAACCTGCATACACTGTTGGTGGGAATGTAAATTAGTGCAACGACTATGGACAATGGTTTGGAGGTTCCTCAATGAACTACAAATTGAGCTACCATACGATCTAGCAATCCCACTGCTGGGTACATACCCAAAAGAAAGTAAATCAGTATATAAAGAGATATCTGCACCCCTGTTTGTTGCAGCACTGTTTACAATAACTAATATTTAGAAGCAACCTAAGTGGCCATCAATCTAAGTTTCAACAGATGAATGGATAATGAAAATGTGGTACATATACACAAGGGAATACTATTCAGCCATAAAAGAATGAGATGCAGTAATTTGCAACAACTTAGATGGAACTGGAGATCGTTATGTTAAGTGAAATAAGCCAGGCACAGAAAGACAGACATCACATGTTCTCACTTATTTGTGGGATCTAAAAATCAAAACAATTGAACTCACAGACAGAGCATAGAAGGATGGTTATCAGGGGCTGGGAAGGGTAGTTGGGGATGGAATGTGAGCGAGAGATGGGGATTGTTAATGGGTACAAAAAAATTAGAAAGTATGAATAAGACCTAATATTTGATAGCACAAGAGGGTGACTATAGTCAATAATAACTTAGTTGTACATTTTCAAATACTTTTAAAAATGTAATTGGATTGTTTGTAACTCAAAGGATAAATACTCGAGGGGATGGATATCCCATTCTCCATGATGTGCTTATTTCACATTGCATGCCTGTATCACAACATCTCATGTACCCCATAAATATCTGTACCCACAAAAAATTAAAAACAATTAAAAAAGAAAAGAAAACTGACTGGCAGACTCCAGTAACTACGTGAAGAATTGATTCAACCCATTAGGCACCCCAGGCTCAGGGCATGCCAGTGATGTCACCGTTAGTGACTAATTCATTACACAAATAAAACATGGTAATTGCAGAAGAATTAGAAAACACAAATAAAACAAAAACATAATGAGAACCATTGAAACACAGTCCCCAATAATCTGTGGTTACCACTAGCATTTAGATTTCACTTAAAAATATACCGTATTTTCTGTGTCAAAAAAATATACACAGGTGCTCTCTCTCTCTATATATATATTTATATATATTTATATTTATACATATTTATATATATATTTATATATATATATTTTTTGAGATGGAGTTTCACTCTTGTTGCCCATGCTGAAGTGCAGTGGCATGATCTCGGCTCACTGCAACCTCCGCCTCCCGGGTTCAAGTGATTCTCCTGCCTCAGCCTCCTGAATAGCTGGGATTACAGGTGCCTGCCACCATGCCTGGCTAATTTTTTGTATTTTTAGTAGAGACAGGGTTTCTTCATGTTGGCAGGCTGGTCTTGAACTCCTGACCTCAGGTGATCCACCTGCCTCCCAAAGTGCAGGGATTACAGGCGTGAGCCACAGCGCCTGGCCTACTGTATAATTTTTAATGGCTAGATTATAATTTTTAGAAACCTTGCATCATTTTTAAAGTGTGCTATTAAAAGTTTATGCCAGTGTATCATCTCACATGCAAACATATGTTTACTCATTTCCTGCAAGCAATACTGGGGATCAGAGTTCCTTAAAATAAGCGATTAATTTCTAAGAAGCCAAAATTTAATGATCTGTTAAGTATATCAACACATATTTGCTTTTAAAGAGGGGAAGGAATTTTAAATGCATGGAACTTTATAAATTGTTCATTTTACTGCAGCGTGTCACAAGAGTATTCATGTGTTTCTGGGCAATGTGACTTAGTCAAGAGAAAGCTATTTGAGCTCGTGGTGTGATTTAGGCCAGTGGGCTCCAAAACAGGGTGCTTGTACCTCTGGAACTTATTAAGATGAAACAGTGAGGGAGTGAGAGAGAAGGATTAGAACTCCTACTGATATCTGTTTACCTCATCTGTTAAAAATTTCTATTTGATGCATCATATGGTTTATAAAATATTATAGCAGTGTATGTGTATTATGCAAAGATACACATAGACATATACTCATGCCACATATTTTACTCATAGGTTGCACAAACTAAACACTTCGGAAAACATCGATTTCGGTCAGTACTATTCAAACCTGAATGGGTTCAGGAATCTCCTGGGGTATCTTGTTAAAATGCAGATTCTGACTTGTCAGGAGCTTTTCTACAAGCTCTCAGGTGATACCCAGACTATTGGTCCCCAGGACCCATTCAGAGGAACAAGATTTAGATCACTCTTCCTTTAGCCTTTACGGCGCCAGCCACTTGCTTGCTTAGAGATCTTGTCACAAAGATGATGACTTCAAGGAACTCTTAAATTCCATACCTAAATAGTTTGTATGAATAAGTAAAGAATGAATCAAGTTAAAGGATTGTGTTACAATCAGTTGGTTATGCACATTTTCTACAATTGACTTGAAAAAGGCATTTTATATATAAAAAAAAGTATAGAGGTATCATGGTTTGCCATAATAATTAGAGGTTTTATTTTGGCCTAAGCAATGATGTATGTTAAGATTTTGACTCAGTTATAAAATGAACTCATCTGAGATTGCCAAACATTGCTCTTATAAACAGGTATTAGAAAGTAAAAGTGGCAAACTTCATTTTGCTCAGTTATTTTTACTTTAATCTTTCTGATCTATTTCAGTAATCCCTGTATTTATTTTCTTAAAGCATTCTGCCAGTGTAGAAGGGAAATTTTTTACTATTGTCTCAATTTACAATTGTACAGGACAGTGTTTTTCAAACTGAGGATGGGGAGCCACTAGATTGTTAACACAGTTCAGTGGTAATCATCAGCATAAAAAACAGTAGACTACAATATATCAGAATATACTGCTTGTCCCGTAGTATAGTACCAGTGTGGTATAGTGTAGTATGGTACAAGGTAAGCAGAGTGTGGCAAATTATATTTTCTATGAATACCCAAGATAGTTTCTCCCATTCAATGTATTCTTCTTGCAATGTGATGTTGATGCTCTACCTATTGAGTGGGGGGTCTTTGTCTCTTCCCTGAAAACTTGGGTGGACCTTTGTGACTACTTCAACCAATAGAATATGGCTGACATGGGCTGCTGTAATAAAGTACCATAGATTGGGTAGCTTATAAACAACAGAAATGCATTTCTCACAATTCTGGAGGTTGGAAGTCTGAGATCAGGGTGCCAGTATGGTTGGGTTCTGAAACCCAAGGCCAGGTTTCAGACCACTGTCTTCTTATATCTTTATATGGCAGGAAGAGAGTGAGAAAGCTCTCTGGGATCCCTTTTATAAGAGCACTAGTACCATTCATGAGGGTTTTACTCTCATGACCTAATCACCTCCCTAAGGCCCTGCCTCCTAAGACCATCACATTAAGGGTTAGGATTTCCACATACAAATTTTGGAGAGACATAAACATTCAGTCCATAACAATGGCAAAAGTGACACGAAGTGTTCTCTTAGGTTGGATCATAAAAAATGCCCATACTTCCACCTTCTCTTCTTAGAAGGTTTGCTTTTGAAACCAAGAAGTCCATGGAGAGGACCTTGACCCACAGCCCTGGCTTAGCTACCAAATGATAGCCAACATTAAACTGCCAGCAATGTAGATCAGCTATCTTGAGGATGGATCCTCCAGTCCCTGCTGAGCTGCCTCAGCTAATGCCAAGTGGGGTAGGAGAGATCAGATATACTATCCCTACCACCTATAAGTCCTGCCTGAATCCCACATTTGTGAGCAATTTTTGTTTCGTTTTCAAGCAACCAAGTTTTGGGCTGGCTTAGTATGCAGCAATAGAAATCATACCATATAATTTTAAAATTTTGTTTCAGGAGTCTGTGGGGGGTGTATGTGTGTGTACTCATAGTGTTGATATAAAATATATTTCTTTTAATTTGTAGGTCTCAGTCAAAGTATGGGATTGGGAAAATCATGGAAAGAGAGGATTTCAGAATTGTTCTTTTATCCCGATCCAGTGAATGCTACTCTGCCACTAGATATAATCTTAAATCTTAAGATATATCATCTTAAAATAAATACCTTGAGTTAAAGTAGATATCTTTAGTTAGAAACTGCTATGGTTTGAATATTTGTCCTCACCAAAACTCATGTTGAAATATAACTGACATTGTAACAGTATTAAGAGGTGGGCCTTTGAGAGGTGATTAGGCCAGGAGTGCTCCATCGTATGGGTAGGATTGGTGCTGTTATAAAATCTAATTTCTGTTTTACAACAAAGGTCACAGAGACTCTGAGAGATAACATTGGCATCTTATGCTCACCATTAGCTGGTCAGTGCTAGCACCTGGTTTCAAAATTAAGTCTAATTCTAAAGCCTGTTCTACTTAGCTGCTCCCAGGTGCTGAAAGAATTCAATATAAGTTTTGACTTTCCAGCCTCCTAAACCATAAGCCAATGAATTTCTGTTCATTATAAATTATGCAGTCCCAGGGTGTTCTGTTACAGCAGCACAAAATAAAGACAGAAACATTCTGTTTACTAGGATGTGTTGACTTTAGTGCTCAATATACCATTTTTCGATTATGAGGTTCTCAACTCTGAATGATCGCTAAACGGACTCTCCCATCTCCCTCCATCCTTTACTCCCTACAGATATGAATTATCAGGACATTTTCCTCAAATATCACTCCTTATTTAGTCTCCACACAATTTCTGACCCTACCATTATATCAAAACTGTTTGTACAGAGTTAGTCTGTGATCTCAATCACCAAATCTAATGACTTGTTGTCTGTCCTCAACTTTTGTTATAGACTGAATGTTTATGTCCCTTCAAAGTTCATATGTTGCAGCCCTAACACCCACGGCCTAACACCCAAATGGCTGTATTTGGAGATGGGCATTTTATGGAGATAATTAAGGTTAAATGAGGTTATAAGGGTGGGGCCCCAATCTGATAGGATTAGTGTCCTTGCAGGAAGAAACATCAGATGCACACAGCAAGGAAAGACCACATGAAGACATAGTAGAATATGCCATCTACAAGCCAGGAAGAGAATCCTCACTAGAAACTAAACAATGTCAGAACCTGAGTCTTGGTCTTCTCACCTTCCAGAACAGTAAGAAAATTTATTCCCATTGTTTAAGCCACTCAGTCTGTGGTATTCTGTGATGGCAGCCCTAGCTGACTACATAACCTCCTTAAATTCTTTTAGCACCTAGAAGCTGCTAAGTAGAGCAGGCTTTGGAATTAGACTTAATTTTGAAATCAGTGCTAGCACTGACCGGCTAATAATAAGCATAAGGAGTTTAATCTCTTAGAGTCTCTGTGATCTTTGTTGTAAAATGGAAATGGGATTTCTTTCTTTCTTTCTTTCTTTCTTTTTTTTTTTTGAGATGGCATTTCACTCTTTTTGCCCAGGCTGGAGTGCAATTGGCATGACCTTGGCTCACTGAAATCTCCGCCTCCCAGGTTCAAGCGATTCTCCTACCTCAGCCTCCTGAGTAGCTGGGATTACAGGCGTGTGCCACTACGCCCAGCTGATTTTGTATTTTTAGCAGAGATGGGGTTTTTCCATGTTGGTTAGGCTGGTCTCGAACTCCCGACCTCAGGTGATCTGCCCCCTTCGGCCTCCCAAGGTGCTGGGATTAGAGGCGTGAGCCACCTCGTCCAGCAGGAAATGAGATTTATTTGTAATACAAAGTGCTGTGTTAGAAATCAGCACCTTTGGCCAGACGCGGTGGCTCACGTCTGTAATCCCAGCACTTAGGAAGGCCGAGGCGGGTGGATCATGAGGTCAGGAGATTGAGACCATCCTGGCCAACATGGAGAAACCCCGTCTCTACTAAAAATATAAAAAAATTAGCTAGGCCTAGTGGCCCGTGCCTGTAGTCCCAGCTATTCGGGAGGATGAGGTAGAATTGCTTGAACCCAGGAGGCGGAGGTTGCAGTGCACCAAGATCACGCTACTGCACTCCAGGCTGGCGACACCAGAGTGAGACTCTGTCTCAAAAAAAAAAAAAAAAAAGAAATCAACACTTTCTGGGTAAGGCAGCTACTCCCTCACAGGAAACATTTGGAAATGTGGGGACTTGATTTTTAGTGTCTCAGTGACAGGACACTAAGGCCATTTAATGCTTATGTGCTAATCAAACTGTAATGCTTGGGGAGTGCTGGAGCAAGATGGATGAACAGAGGGTTCCCCTGGTCATCCCCTACAGGAACACCAAGTTTGACACTATCTATACAAAGGGAACACCATCATAGGAACCAAATACCAGATTAGTCCTGTGCCTGGTTTTGACTTCATGTCTCTGAAAGAGGCAGTGAAGAGGGTAGGAAAGACAGTCTTGAATTGCTGACACCACCATTCCCCCATCCTTCAGCAGTGGCCACATGGTACCAAGAATCTGTGCACTTGAAAGAGGGAGAGCACAGTGATTGTGGGGCTTTGCACTGAACTCACTCCTGTCAGAGTGGAAATCAAAACCAGGCTGTACTCAGCTGATGCCCGGCTACAGAGGGAATATTTGGACTGGCCCTAGCCAGAGGGGAATTGTGCATCCCAGTGGTCAGAACTTGAGTTCCAGCAAGTCTTGCCACTGTGGCTGGGAGTGCTCTTGGGCGCTAGACTGCTTCTCTTTAGGAGCAGTAGGCCAGAACGACTGCAAGTGAAATGGGGTCCTCACGACTCTGACCAGTACCCTACCCAACTAGTGCTGAGCTGGGCTCTGAGCCAGTGGACTTGGGTGGCATGTGGCCTACTAGACACTAGCCAGGGTGGCTAAGGGAGTGCCTACATCATGCCCTCCTACCAACCCCAGGCAGCATAGCTTGCATCTTCAAAAGAGACCCTTGATTTCTGCTTGAGGAGAAGAGAGGGAAGAGTAAGGACAACTGTCTTGCATCTTGGATAGCAGCTCAGCCACAGTATGATAGCGTACTGGTCATAGTCGTGAGGCTCCCATTCCGGGACCTAGCCCTTGGATGAAATTTCTAGACATACTCTGGGCCAGAAAGGAACCTACTACCTTGAAGGGAAGGACCCAGTTTAGGCAGGATCCATTACCTACTGACTAAAGAGCTCTTAGGCCTTGAAGAACCAGCAGTGGTACCCAGGTGGTATGCTGCAGGCCTTGGGTGAGACTCAGACATACTGGTATCAGGTGTAATGCAGCACATTCCTAGCAGTGGTGGCTTTGGGGAGAGACTCCTTCCACTTGAGAAGAGCAGAGGGAAAAGAAAAGTGGACTTTGTCACCTTAGGTACCATCTCTGTCACAGTGGGGTGGAATATCAAGTGGGCTCTTAGGGCCCCTGATTCCAGGCCTTGGCTCTTGAATGGCATTCTTGGACCTGCCCTGGGATAGAAAAAGTCCGCTGCCCTGAAGGGTGAGTCCCAGGCTTGGCAGCACTCACCACAAGCTGACTGAAGAGCCCTTTGGCCTTAACTGAATATTGGTGGTAGTCTGGTAGTACTCCCTGTGGGTCTGTGGTGGTGGTGGCAATGGGGTGAGGCTCTTCTGCTTGTGAAAGGGGAGGGAAGAAGGGGAATGGCTGTGTGACTTGGTTTGAGTGACAGCCCAGCCACAGTAGAATAGAATACCAGGTAGATCTCTAAGGTTTTTGACTCCAGTCCCAGGCTTCCAGATGGTAACTCTGGACCCACATTGTGCCTAGGGGAACTTGCCAACCTGAAAAGAAGGACATGAGCCCAACTGGTTTCATCACCTGTTGATTGTAGAGCCCTAAGGCCTTGAGCATATAGTAGCCTGGTAGTGGTTACAGCAGGCCTTGGGTGAGAACCAGGGCTGTGCTGGCTTCAGGTCTGACCCAGTGCAGTCCTAGTGGTAGTGGTCACAGGGGGCACTGTGTCACACCATCTTCAGCTCCAGGTGGTTCAGCAGAGAGAGAAAAAGACTCCATTTGTTTGGGAGAAAGTAGGGGAGAGAACAAGAGTCTCTGCTTGGAAATGTGGAGAATTCTTCTGGATCTTATTCAGGGCCACCAAGGTGGTACCAGTACGAGTTAGGAAGAACCACAGTGATCCTGGGCTTGCAGTGCCCCTTAATGCAGATATGGATTAGGTCACGGCATCCAAATCTTTCTGAATACCTATAAAGCCTTCCCAAGGAGGATGGGTACAAAAAAGCCCCTATAGCAAAGACTATAATAAATACTTAACCCTTCCATGTCCAGACACCAATGAACTTCCATAAATATCAAGACCATCCAGGAAGACATGACCTCACCAAACTAGATAAGGAACGAGGAACCAATCCTGGAGAAATAGAGATATGTGGCCATTCACACAGAGAATTAAAAATAGCTGTTTTAAGGAAACTCAAAGAAATTCAAGATAATGCAGAGAAGGAATTCAGAATTCTATCAGATAAATTTAACAAAGAGATTAAAATAATTAAAAAGAAGCAAGTGGAAATTCTGTAGCTTAAAAATGCAACCCCTCTCCCTCTCCCTCTCCCCCTCCCCCTCCCTCTCCCTCTCCCACGGTCTCCCGCTCCCTCTCTCTCCACGGTCTCCCTCTGATGCCCAGCCGAAGCTGGACTGTACTGCCACCATCTCGGCTCACTGCAACCTCCCTGCCTGATTCTGCTGCCTCAGCCTGCAGAGTGCCTGGGATTGCAGGCGCGCGCCGCCACGCCTGACTGGTTTTCGTATTTTTTTGGTGGAGACGGGGTTTCGCTGTGTTGGCCGGGCTGGTCTTCAGCTCCTAACCACGAGTGATCTGCCAGCCTCGGCCTCGCGAAGTGCTGGGATTGCAGATGGAGTCTCGTTCACTCAGTGCTCAATGTTGCCCAGGCTGGAGTGCGGTGGCGTGATCTCGGCTCGCTACAACCTCCACCTCCCAGCCGCCTGCTTTGGCCTCCCAAAGTGCCGAGATTGCAGCCTCTGCCCGGCCGCCACCCCGTCTGGGAAGTGAGGATCATCTCTGCCTGGCCACCCATCATCTGGGAAGTGAGGAGCGCCTCTTCCCGGCTGCCATCCCGTCTAGGAAGTGAGGAGCGTCTCTGCCCAGCCGCCCATTGTCTGAGATGTGGGGAGCATCTCTGCCCTGCCGCCCCGTCTGGGATGTGAGGAACGCCTCTGCCCTGCCGTGACCCCATGTGGGAGGTGAGCAGCGTCTCTGCCCGGCCGCCCTGTCTGAGAAGTGAGGAGCCCCTCCGCCCAGCAGCCGCCCTGTCTGGGAGGTGGGGGGCGCCTCTGCCTGGCCACCCCTTCTGGGAAGTGAGGAGCCCCTCTGCCTGGCCGCCACCCCGTCTGGGAGGTGTACCCAACAGCTCATTGAGAATGGGCCATGATGACGATGGCAGTTTTGTCTAATAGAAAAGGGGGAAATGTGGGGAAGAGATAGAGAAATCAGATTGTTGCTGTGTCTGTGTAGAAAGAAGTAGACATAGGAGACTCCATTTTGTTCTGTACTAAGAAAAATTCTTCTGCCTTGGGATGCTGTTAATCTATAACCTTACCCCCAACCCCCTGCTCTCTGAAACATGTGCTGTGTCCACTCAGGGTTAAATGGATTAAGGGCGGTGCAAGATGTGCTTTGTTAAACAGATGCTTGAAGGCAGCATGCTCCTTAAGAGTCATCACCACTCCCTAATCTCAAGTACCCAGGGACACAAACACTGCGGAAGGCCGCAGGGTCCTCTGCCTAGGAAAACCAGAGACCCTTGTTCACTTGTTTATCTGCTGACCTTCCCTCCACTATTGTCCTATGACCCTGCCAAATCCCCCTCTGCAAGAAACACCCAAGAATGATCAATAAATACTAAAAAAAAGATTCAGCAAAAAAAAAAAGAAGAGGGTGAGGAGAAAGAGATGAATGAAGCAAACACAATAATATTCACAATTGTTAAATCTAGATAATTATATGTCTGTGGATGTTTATTGTACTATTTGACATTTTTCATAATAAAAAGTTTAAGAATAAAAAAATGCAACCAACATACTGAAGAATGCATCATGGTCTTTTAATAGCAGAATTGGTCAAACAGATGAAAGAATTAGTGAGCTTGAAGACATGCTATTTGAAAATACACAGTCAAAGGAGACAAAAGAAAAAAGAATAAAGAATGAAGCATACCTACGAGATCTAGAAAATAGCCTCAAAAGGGCAAATCTAAAAGTTATTGGTCCTAAAGAGGAGGTAGAGAAAGAGATAGGGGAGAAGAGTTATTCAAAGGGATAATAACTTCCTAAACCTAGAGATACTTATCAATATCCAAGTGTAAGAAGGTTATAGAATGCCAAGAAGACTTACCCCAAAGAATACTACCTCAAGGCATTTAATAACCAAACTCTCAAAGGATCTTTGGGAAGATCCTTCCCAAAGGTCAAGGATAAAAAAACAGATCCTGAAAGCAGCAAGAGAAAAGAAACAGAAACAAATAACATACAAAGGTGCTTCAATACATCTAGCAGTAGACTTTTCAGAGGAAACTTCACAGGCTAGGAGAGAGGGCATGACATGTTTAAGGTGCTCAAGGAATAAAACTTTTATGCTGGAATAGTATATCCAGCAAAAATATCCTTCAAACATGAAGAAGAAATAAAATTACTTTCCCAGAAAAACAAAAGCTGAGGGATTCCATGAATACCAGACCTGTTCAACAAGAAAGGCTAAAGGGAGTATTTCAATCAGAAAGAAAAGGATGCTAATGAGCAATAATAAATCATCTGAAGGTATAAAACTAATTGGTAATCATAAGCACACAGAAAAATACAGAATATTATAAAACTGTAACTGTGGTGTACAAACTATGTTTTTTTAGACAGAAAGACTAAAAGATGAACCAATCAAAAATAGTAACTACAACAACTATTCAAGCCACAGACTGCACAATAATATATAAGTAGAAAAAATGAAAAGTTAAAAAGTGGGGAACAAAGTTAAAATATAGAGTTAGGGTTACTTTTCTTTTTGTTAGTTTGTTTATGCTAGTGTTGTTATCAGCTTAGACTAATGGGTTATAAGACAGTATTTGCAAACCAGATGGTAACCTAAAGTCAAAAAACATACAATGGATACACAAAAAATAAAAATCAAGAAATAATGCCACCTGAGAAAATCAGCTTCACTAAATGGAAGACAGGAAGGAAGAAAAGAAGAAACAGCAGGCCATCAAACAACCAGAAAAGAAATAACAAAATGGCACAACTAAGTCCTTATCAATAATAACATTGGATATCAATGAACTAAACTCTCCAATCAAAAGACATTGATTGGCTGAATGGATAAAAACCAAGATCCAATTATCTGTTGCCTATAAGAAATACAATTCTTTTATAAAGACACAAATAGACTGAAAATAAAGGAATGGAAAAAGATATTTCATGTTAATGGAAACAAAAAAATAGCCAGAGTAGCTATACTCATAGCAGACAAAATAGATCTCAAGACAAAAATGATAAGAAGAGACAACAAAGGTCATTATGTAATAATAAAGGAGTTGACTCAGCAAGAGGATACAGTAATTATAAATATATATGCACCTAGGACTGAAGCACCCAGATATATAAAGCAAATATTATTAGAGCTAAAGAGAGGGATAGACTCCAATACAATAATAACTGGGGACTTCAACCACCCACTTTCAGCATTGGACAGATCTTCCACATAGAAAATCAATAAAGAAACATCAGGCTTTATCTGCATTATAGACCAAATGGAATCAATAGATATTTACAGAACATGTCACTGAATGGCTGCAGAATATACATTCTTTTCCTTAGCACAAGGATCATTCTCAAGGATAAACCATACGTTAGGTGACAAAACAGGTCTTAAAACATTCTAAATAATGGAAATAATATCAAGCATCTTCCCTAACCACAATTAAATAAAATTAGAAATAGGTAAAAAAAAAAAAAAGTAATTTTGGAAACTATACAAACACATGGAAATTCAACAATACACTCCTGAATGACCAGTGTTTCAATGAAGTAATTCACAGAAGAAAATTGAAAACTTCTTGAAACAAATGATAATGGAAACACAACAGACCAAAAGCTATAGGATACAATGAAAGCAATACTTTGAGGAAAGTTTATAGCTATGAGTACCTACATCAACAAAAAAGAAAAACATCAAATAAATAAGCTAACAATATGTCTTAAAGAACTGGAAAAGCAAGAGCAAACCACCCCAAAATTAGAAGAAATAATAAAGATCAGACCAGAAATAAATGAAGTTGAAGTGAAAAAAATACAAAAGATAAACAAAACAAAAAGTTGATTTTTGAAAATTTAAACAAAATCGACAAACCTTTAGCCAGACTAAGAAAAGTAGGGAGAAGACCCAAATAAATAAAATTAAAGATGAAAAAGGAGACATTACAACTGTTACTGCAGAAATTCAAAGGATTATTAGTGGCTACTATTAGCAACTATATGCCAATGAATTAAAACATCTAGAAGATATGGATAAATTCCTAGACTCATACACTCTACTAAGATTAAGCCATGAAGAAATCCAAAACCTGAACAGACCAATAACGATTAATGAGATCAAAGTTGTAATAAAAAGTATCCCAGGGCAGAAATGCCATGGACTTGATGGCTTTACTACTGTAATTGTACCAAACATTTAAAGAAGAACTAATAACAATCCTACTCAAACTATTCCAAAAAATAGTGGAGGAGGGAATACTTCTGATATGGTTTGGCTGTGTTCCCACCCAAATCTCATCTTTAATTCCCATGTGTTGTGGAAGGGACCCAGTGGGAGATAACTGAATCATGGGGGCAGGTCTTTCCCATGCTGTTCTCATGACAGTGAATGAGTCTCATGAGATCTGATGGTAATATAAGGGGGAGTTTCCCTGAGCAAGCTCTCTCTTTGCCTCCCACCATCCATGTAAGACGTGACTTGCTCCTCCTTGCCTTCCACCATGATTGTGAGGCCTCCCCAGCCATGTGGAACTGTAAGCCTGATTAAACCTGTTTCTTTTGTAAATTGCCCAGTCTCAGGTATGTCTTTATCAGCAGCATGAAAATGGACTAATACAACTTCCAAATTCATTCTACAAGGCCAGTATTACTCTGATACCAAAACCAGACAAAGACACATCAAAAACAAAAAACAAAAAAAATGACAGGCCCATATCACTGATAAATATTGGTGCAAAAATCCTCAAAGAAATACTAGCAAACCAAATTCAACAACACATTAAAAAGATCATTCTTCATGACCAAGTGTAATATATTCCAGGGATGCAAGGATGGTTTAAAATGTGCAAATTAACCAATGTGATACATCATATCAACAGAACGAAGGACAGATGTAATCATTTCAATTGGTGCCAAAAAAGCATTTGATAAAATTCAACATCCCTTAATGATGAAAACCCTTAAGAAACTGGGTATTGAGGGAATGTACTTCAGCATAATAAAATCCATATACAACAGAGCTACAGCTGGTATCATACTGAATGGGGAAAAACTGAAAGCCTTTCCTCTAAGATCTGGAACATGACAAGGATGCCCACTTTCACCACTATTGTTCAGCATAGTACTGCAAGTTCTAACCAGAGAAATTAGGCAAGATAAAGAAATAAAGGGCATCCAGATTTGAAAGGAAGAAGTCAAATTATCCTTATTTGAAGATAATATGATCTTATATTTGGAAAAATTTAAAGACTCCACCAAAAACTATTAGATCTGATAAACAAATTCAGTAAAGTTACAGGATACAAAATCAACATAAAAAATCAGTAGTATTTCTGTGTGCCAACGGTGAACAATCTAAAAAGAAATTAAGAAAGTAATCCTATTTACAACAGCTACACATAAAATAAAATACCTAGGAATTAGCCAAAGAAGTGAAAGAGCTCTACAATGAAAACTATAAAACATTGGTGAAAGAAATGGAAAACGACACACACACAAAATGGAAAGGTATTCCATATTCATGGATTGAATCAATATTGATAAAATGTCCATACTACCCAATGCAATCTACAGATTCAATGCAATCCTTATCAAAATACCTATGATATTCTTCACAGAAATGGAAAAAAAAAAATTTTAATTTATATGGGACCACAAAAGACCTAGAGTAGCCAAGGCTATCCTGAGCAAAAAAGAACAAAACTGGAGGAATCACATTCCCTAACTTCAAATTAAGCTATAGAGCTATAGTACAAAACAGCATGATAGTGGCATAAAATGAGACACATAGACCAGTGGATCAGAATAGAGAACCCAGAAATAAATCCATACACCTATATTGAACTCATTTTTGATAAAGTTGCCAAGAGTGTACGTTGGCAATGAATGGTACTTGGAAAACCGGATAGCCATATGCAAAAGAATGAAACAAGACCCCTATCTCTTGCCATATACAAAAATCAAATCAAAATGGATCAAAGCCTTAAATCTAAGACCTCAAACTGTGAAACTACTATAAGAAAACATTGGGGAAACTCTCTAGGACATTGGACTGGACAAAGTAATACCTCAGAAGCACAGGCAAGCAAAGCAAAAATGGACAAATGGGATCACATTAAGTTAAAAAGCTTTTGCACAGCAAAGGAAATAATCAACAAAGGGAAGAGACAACCCACAGAATAGAATAACATATTTGCAAACTACCCCATCTGGCAAGGGATTAATAACCAGAAACTATAAGAAGCTGAAACAACTCCATAGGAAAAAAATAAATCTAAGAATTCGATTAAAAAATCGGCAAAAGATCTCAAACATTTCTCAAAAGAAGACATACAAATGAGAAACAGGTACATGAAAAGGTGCTCAACATCATTGATCATCAGAGAAATGCAAATCAAAAACACAATGAGATATCATCTCACCCCAGTTAGAATGGCTTTCATCAAAAAGAGGCAATAACAAATACTGGTGAGGATGTGGAGATCAGTATGCTGTTGGTAGGAATGTAAACTAGTACAACCACTATAAGGAACAGTTTGGAAGTTCCCCAACAAACTAAAAATAGGTGGTGTGTGTTGCTCCCAGAATCTGAGGATTCCCTGGCAGATGGTGGGGTAGCAGTGCTGGCTTGGGGTGAGATGGCTGACTTGATGCAGTCAGGTGGAACAGCTGTCACTGAGGGACTGGGATGATGGGCACACTCCTAACAGAGCTTCAGAGGGAAGGCACTGAGGGTGCCTGGAAGGAAGACACTGAAGCCAAGCTGAGGTGGGAGGAAGCTGAGAGTTCTGCCCAGGGTAACTCCTCACTGTGACTCCTTCCTGGCTTCCAATGACTCTGGGGGAATGAGTGACTTGAACTGGCAAGGAGCAATCTGCTCTCACAATGGGCCTCTGGAATCCTGGCAGGAGGAGACCCCTTGGCCATCACAGACACTACAGTTGGCAGGGAGAGCTGCTAAGAGAAGTGGTAGGGGCAGCATACCAGCTATGCAGAGCCCAGAGTGTTTGGTGTGGGAGCATCTGTAGTGGAGTATGGCCAGGGACGCCCATTCCCCAGGCTCAACTTGCTTCCATAGGAGACTTTAGCCCTAGGGAAACTGTTGGACCTGAACTCTTTAGGGTGGTCTTGCCCATCAGACAGGGCCAGTCCGACCTCAGCAATCCTTGGTCTCCTGGCCTCTCTTGGGGTCCCATCCTGGCCATAACTGCTTGCAATACAGCCCTGGGTGCCCTAGGGTGCCGCATCATAGCTCCTGTGTTGGTGGACCATGCCTGACTGGTAGAGAGCTCCAGCAAGGAAGCACCCATGACTACACACCAGCCTGCCTACTCCCTCCTGCAGCTGCAGCATCTCCCTGGCCCGTAGCCCCCTTACATTGCTGTGTCGGTACGTGAATATGAGGGTAGATTTTGCCTTTCTTGCCCTGCTAGCACCCATGTGCGCACGCACCCTGTGCTGCCTCTGTTGCTGGCAGAAGTGCACTCTGCCACCCATCCCCTGCTGTATTGCCATTTCAGTTAGAGCCTTGGTGAGCACAGGGCCTGCCACCCCCACCAGCACCCTGTGCCTGCATCAACACTACCACCAGAGTGGTAGTGGAAAACACTGGAGACTTCCCAACTCTGAGTAGCCACAGAGGGCACACACAGACCTGCATCCACCAGCACCCTACCCACGTGCTAACACTACCACCAGCACAACTGTGTGCACAGTTGCCAACTGGGGGGCCTCCACCTTCCTGAGCCATGCTGCCTCTGCCACTGCTGTGAACACTTGCATGGAGGCAGGCCCCCGGCACCCGCTTGCACCTACCATAGCGACAGGCATGCGTCATGCACCCCGTTGCACTGCCGCCGTCCCTGATGCTGGCATGTGTGAATGAGGATGGAGCCTGCTGCCATCACCCTATGAAAGGCTTTGGCTGGCACCACCCATCAGAGTGTAGTGCCTAGTGGTCCAAGCACACCTTGTCTCCCTCAGCCCAGTGGTTTCCTAATGTTGAGGAGCCAGAGAACAAAGTTGGGGTCTGATACGAATCCCTTAGGGCATGCAGTCTAGGAGATGGGAGCTGAGTGTTGGCCTCCTAAAACCTTCCAGAAATGAAACCAATTGACTAAACCTACCTTATACCACAGTCAAACCCTCAAGGTCATCAAAAACAGCAACTTCAAAGCTTGAGGAAACACCACCCCACAAAGATGAGAAAGAACCACTGCAAGAACTCTGACAACTCAAAAAACCAGAGTGCCTTCTATCCTCCAAATGACATTACCTCTCCAGCAAGGATTCTGAACTGGGCTGAGATGGCTGAAATGACAGAAATAGAATTCAGGATATGGATAGGAATGAAGATCACTGAGATGCAGGAGTACATTGAAACCTTTTTCAGACAAGCAATGCTGAGGGAATTTGTTACCACCAGTCCTGCCTTACAAGAGTTCCTGAAGGAAATACTAAATATGTAAAGGAAAGACCATTACCAGCTACTACAGAAACACACTTCAGTACACAGACCAGTGACACTATAAAACCCCAACCTTTTTGGCACAAAGGACTGTTTTTGTGGAAGACAATTTTTCCACAACCAGGGGTGAGGGATGGTTTTGGGATGAAACTGTTCCACCTCACGTTATCAGGCATTAGTTAGATTCTCAAAAGGAGCACACAACCTAGATCCCTCGCATGTGTAGTTCACAATAAGGTTCACACTCTTATGAGAATCTGATGCCCCTGTTGGTCTGACAGGAGGTGGAGCTCAGGTGGTAATGCTCGCTCACCTGCCCACCACTCACTTCCTGCTGTGTGGCCCGGTTCCTAACAGGCCATGGACCAGTACTGATCCATGGCCTGTGGGTTGGGGACCCCTGCTATAAAGCAACCACACAAACAAATCACATAATAACTGGCTGACATCATGATGACAGGATCAAATCCTCACATATGAATACTAATCTTGAATGTAAATGGGCTAAATGCCCCAATTAAAAGGCACAGAGTGGCAAGCTGGAGAAGGAAGCAAGACCCAGTGGTATACTGTCTTCAAGAGACCCATCTGACATGTAACGACACTCATAGGCTCAAAATAAAGGGATGGAGAAAAATCTACCAAGCAAATGAAAACAGAAAAAAATAAGGGGCTGCAGTCCTAATTTCAGGCCAAACAGATTTTAAAACAAGAAAGATTTAAAAAGACAAAGAAGGGCATTACATAATGGTAAAGGGTTCAATTCAACAAGAAACTATCCTAAATATATGGACACACAACATCGGAGAACCCAGATTCATAAAGCAAGTTCTTAAGGACATTCAAATAGACTTAGATTCCCACACAATAATACTGGGAGACTTCAATACCCCACTGACAGTATCAGACAGACCATCAAGGCAGAAAATTAACAAAGATAATTTGGGACCTGAACTCAGCACTGGATCAAATGGGCCTGATAAATATCTACAGAACTCTCCACCACCAAACAACAGAATATACATTCCTCTCATTGCCACATGGCACATACTCTAAAATCAATCACATAATCAGATATGAAACACCCTTCAGCAAGTGCAAAATAACTGAAATCATAACAACTACTCTCTCAGACCATAACACAATAAAATTAGAGATCAAGACTGAGAAATTCACTCAAAATCATATAATTACATGGAAACTGAATAACCTGCTCCTGAAGGACTTTTGGGTAAGTAATGAAACTAAGGCAGAAATCAAGAAGCTCTTTGAAACTGATGAGAACAAAGATACAACGTACCAGAATCTCAGGCATACTGCTAAGGCAGTGTTAAGAGGGAAATTTACAGCACTAAACACTTACATCAAAAAGTTAGAAAGACTTGGCTGGGCACGGTGGCTCACACCTGTAATCCCAGCACTTTGGGAGGCTGAGGCGGACAGATCACGAGGTCAGCAGATCAAGACCATCCTGGCTAACACAGTGAAACCCTGTCTCTACTAAAAATGCAAAAAAAATTAGCCGGGCATGGTGGCGGGCGCCTATAGTCCCAGCTACTCGGGAGGCTGAGGCAGGAGAATGGCATGAACCCAGGAAGCGGAGCTTGCAGTGAGCCGAGATCGTGCCACTGGACTCAAGTCTGGGTGACAGAGAGAGACTCCATCTCAAAAAAAAAAAAAAAAAAAAAAGTTAGGAAGACCTCAGTTTAACAACTTAACATCACAACTGAAAGAACCAGAAAATCAAGAGCAAAGTAACCTCAAAGGTAGCAGAAGACAAGAAATAACCAAAATCAAAGCTGAACTGAAGAAGATTGAGAGATGAAAAACCATTCAAAATGTCAATGAATCTAGAAGTGTGTTTTTTTGAAAAAAATAATAAAATACACAGACCAGTAGCTAGACTAAAAATGAAAAAAGAGAGAAGACACAAATATACATAAATAGAAAAGACAATGGGATATTACCACTGACCACACAGAAATAAAATAACCATCAGAGAATATTATGAACACCTCTATGTACACGAACTAGAAAATCTAAAAGAAATTGATAAATTCCTGGACACAGCCTCTCAAGACTGAACCAGGAAGAAATTGAATCCCTTAAAAGGCCAATGAGCTCCAAAATTGAATCAGAAATATATAGCCTACCAATGAGAAAAAGCCCAGGACCAGACAGATTCACAGACGAATTTTATGAGATGTACAAAGAAGAGCTGGTAGCATTCCTACTGAAACTATTCCAAAGGGACTCCTCCCTAATTCATTCTATGAGGCCAGCATCATCCTGCTACCAAAAGCTGGCAGAGGCTCAACAAAAAAAAACTTCAGGCCAATATCTTTGGTAAACACTGGTGTAAAAATCCTCAACAAAATACTGGCAAACCCAATCCAGCAGCATAGCAAAAAGCTTATGCACCATGACCAAGTAGGCTTTATCCCTGGGATGCAAGGTTGGTTCAACATATGCAATTCAATAAATGTGATTCATCACATAAACAGAACTAAAGACAAAAACAATATGATCCTCTCAATAGATGCTGAAATGGCTTTTGATAAAATTCAACGCCCCTTCATTTTAAAAACTCTCAATAAACTAGGCATTGAAGGAACATACTTCAAAATAATAAGAGCCATCTATTACAAATCCACAACCAACATTGTACCAAATGGGCAAAAGCTGGAAGCATTCCCCTTGGAAACTGGCACAAGACAAGGATGTCTTCTCTCACCACTCATATTCAACATAATATTGGAAATCCTGGCCAGAGCAATCAGGGAAGAGAGAAATAAAGAGTATCCAAATAGGAAGAAGGTCAAACTATCCCTGTTTGCAAATGGCATGCTTCTATATCTAGAAAACCCCACAGTCTCAGTCCAAAAGCTCCTTAAGCTGATAAACAACTTCAGCAAACTGTCAGGATACAAAATCAACAAACGATAGCTGCAAAAAATAAAATATTTAGGAATATACCTAACAAAGGAGTCAAAAGACATTTGTAAGGAAAACTACAAAACACTGCTGAAAGAAATCATAGACAACACAAACAAATGAAAACATATCCCGTGCTCATGGATGGATAGGATCAATATTATGGAAATGACCATACTGCCAAAAGCAATCTACAAATTCAATGCAATCCCCACCAAAATACCATCATCATTCTTCACAGAGTTAGAAAAAACAATTCTAAAATTCATATGGAACCAAAAGAGATCCCACACAGCCAAAGCAAGACTAAGCAAAAATAACAAATCTGGAGGCATCACACTACTTGATTTGAAACTATAAGGCCATAGTCACCAAAACAGCATGGTACTGGTATAAAAACAGGCACATAGACCAGTGGAACAGAATAGAGATCCCATAAATAAACCCAAATACTTATAGCCAACTGATCTTTGACAAGGCAAACAAAAACATAAAATGGGGAAAGGACTCCCTTTCAACAAATGGTGCTTGGATAATTGGCTAGCCACATGTAGGAGGATGACACTGGATCTTCATCTCTAACCTTATACAAAAATCAACTCAAGATGGATGATGAAGGACTTAAACCTAAGACCTGAAACTATAAAAATTCTAGAACATAATATTCTAGACATTGTCTAGACAATGTCTAGACAAAAACCCTTCTAGACATTGGCTTAGGCAAGGATTTCGTGACCAAAAACCCAAAAGCTAATGCAATAACAACAAAGATAAATAGCTGTGACCTAATTAAACTAAACAGCTTTTGCATGGCAAAAGGAACAGTCAGCAGAGTAAACAGACAACCCACAGAGTGGGAGAAAATCTTCACAATCTATATATCTGAAAAGGACTAACATCCAGAATCTACAGTGAACTCAAACAAATCAGTAAGAAAAAAACAAACAATCCCATCAAAAAGTGGGCTAAGGACATGAATAGACAATTCTCAAAAGAAGATATACAAATGGCCAACAAACACATGAAAAAATGCTCAACATCACCAATGATCAGGCAAATGCAAATCAAAGCCACAATGCGATACCACCTTACTCCTGCAAGAATGGCTACAATCAAAAAAATAAAAAACAGTAGATGTTGGCATGGATGCAGCGATCAGGGAACACCTCTACACTGCTGGTGGGAATGTAAACTAGTTTATTTGATCCAGCAATCCCACTACTGGGTATCTACCCAGTAGAAAAGAAGTCATTATTCGAAAAAGATACTTGCACACGCATGTTTATAGCAACACAATTCACAATTGCAAAATCGTGGAACCAACCCAAATGCCCATCAATCAACGAGTGGATAAGGAAACTGTGGTATATATATATATGATGGAATAGTACCCAACCATAAAAAGGAATAAATTAACAGCATTTGTGATGACCTGGATGAGACTGGAGACTAGTATTCTAAGTGAAGTAACTCAGGAATGTAAAACCAAACATCATATGTTCTCAGTGATATGTGGGAGCTAAGCTATGAGGACCCAAAGGCATAAGAATGATACAATGGACTTTGGGGACTTGGAGGGAAGAGTGGGACAGAATGAGGGATAAAAGATAATATTTGTGGTGCAGAGTATACTGCTCAGGTGATGGGTGCACCAGGATCTCACAAATCACCACTAAAGAACTTACTCATGTAACCAAATACCACTTGTACCCCAATAACTTATGGAAAAATAAAATAAAAAAAATCACTAGTATTCCTATACACCAACAACCATCAAACCAAGAGCCAAATCAGAAATGAACTCCCATTCACAACGGCCACAAAAAGAATAAAATACCTAGGAATACAGATGATCAGGGAGGTGAAAGATCTCTACAATGAAAACTATAAAAAACTGCTCAGAGAAATCAGAGATTACACAAACAAATGGAAAAACATTCCATGCTCATGGATAGGAAGAACCAATAAAATGGCCATACTGTCCAAAGCAATTTATAGATTCAATGCTATTCCTGTCAAACTACCAATGACATTCTTCACAGAACTAGAAAAAACTATTTTAAAATTCATGTGGAACCCAAAAAGAGCCCAAATGGCCAAGGCAATCCTATGCAAAAAGAACAAACCTGGAGGAATCACGCTACCCAAAGTCAAACTCTACTAAAGGGCTACAATAACCAAAACAGCATGGTACTGGTACAAAAGCAGACACACAGACCAATGGAACAGAATACATAGCCCAGAAATAAGGCCATCCACCTACAACCATATGATCTTTGATAAAGCTGACAAAAACATGCAATGGGGAAAGGATTCCCTAGTCAATAAATGGTGATGGGAAAACTGGCTTGCCATATGCAGAAAATTCCTTATGCCACATACAAAAATCAACTCAAATGGGATTGAAGACTTAAATGTAAAACTCAAAACTATAAAAACCCTAAAGACAACCTAGGCAATACCATTTTGGACATAGGAACAGGCAAAGATTTTATAAGGAAGATGCCAAAAGTAATCGCAACAAAAGCAAAGGTTGACAAATGAAGTCTAATTAAACAAAAGAGCTTCTGCACAGCTAAAGAAACTATCAGCAGAGTAAGCAGACAATCTATAGAATGGTTGTCTATAGGTTATGGATTGTCTATAGAACACCAGGTAAAAAAAATTTTTTTGCCAACTATGCATCTGACAATGCATCTGACAAAGGTCTAACATTCAGCATCTATAAGGAACTTAAATCTACAAGAAAAAAAGAAAAATAAACAACCCCATTAAAAAGTTGGCAGAGGACATGAACAGACACTTTTTTTTTTCTTAAATTATACTTTAAGTTCTGGGATACATGTGCAGAATGTGCAGGTTTGTTACATAGGTATACACTTGCCATGGTGGTTTGCTGCACCCATCAACCCATCATCTACTTTAGATATTTCTCCTAATGCTATCCCTCCCCTTGCCCCCAACCCCGATAGGCCCGGTGTGTGATGTTCCCCTCCCTGTGTCCGTGTGTTCTAACTGTTGAACTCCCACTTATGAGTGAGAACATGTGGTGTTTGGTTTTCTGTTTCTGTGTTAGTTTGCTGAGAATGATGGTTTCCAGCTTCATCCATGTCCCTGCAAAGGACATGAACTCATCTTTTTTAGGGCTGCGTAGTATTCCATGGTGTATATGTGCTATATTTTTTATCCAGTCTATCACTGATGGACATTTGGGTTGGTTCCAAGTCAGTGCAATAAACATATATGTGCATGTGTATTTATAGAATGATTTATAATCCTTTGGGTATATACCCAGTAATGGGATTGCTGGGTCAAATGCTATTTCTGGTTCTAGATCCTTGAGGAATCTCCATACTGTCTTCTACAATGGCTGAACTAATTTACACTCCCACCAACAGTGTAAAAGTGTTCCTATTTCTCCACATCCTCTCCAGCTTCTGTTATTTCCTGACTTTTTAAGAATGATCGCCATTCTAACTGGCGTGAGATGGTATCTCATTGTGATTTTGATTTGCATTTCTCTAATGACCAGTGACGATGAGCTTTTTTTCATATGTTTGTTGGCCGCATGAATGTTCTCTTTTGAGAAGTGTCTGTTCATATCCTTTGCCCACTTTTTGATGGGGTTTTTTTTTTCTTGTAAATTTGTTTAAGCTCTCTATAGATTCTGGATATTAGCCCTTTGTCAGATCGATAGATTGCAAAAATTTTCTCCCATTCTGTAGGTTGCTGAACAGACACTTTTCAAAGAAGACATATGTTCACCCAACAAACATATGAAAAAAAGCCCAATATTACTGATCATTAAAGAAATGCAAATCAAAACCATAATGAGATACCATCTTGCACCAGTCAGAATGGCTATTATTAAAAGTCAAAAAAATGACAGGTGCTGGTGAGGTTGCGGAGAAAAGCGAAGGCTTATACACTGTTGATAGGAGTGTAAATTAGTTCAGCCATTGTGGAAAACAGTGTGGCAATTCCTCAAAGACCTAAAAACAGAACTACCAATCGACCCAGGAGTCCCATTACTGGGTATATACCCAAAGGAATATAAATCGTTCTATCATAAAGACATATGCACACATATGTTCACTGCAGCACTGTTCATAATAGCAAAGACATGGAATCAACCTAAATGCCCATCAGTGGCAGACTGGATAAAGAAAATTGGTACATATACACTATGGAATATTATGCAAGTGTAAAAAGGAACAATATCATGTCCTTTGAAGGATCATGGAGCTGGAGGGCATCACCCTTAGCAAACTAACACAGGAACAGAAAACCAAATATTGCATGTTATCACTTATAAGTGGGAGCTAAATGATGAGAATGCATGGATACATAGAGAGCAAAAACAGACATGGAGGACTACTGGAGGGTGCAGGGTAGAAGGGAGGATCAGGAAAAATAACTAATGGGTACCAGGCTTAATATCTGGGTGACAAAATAATCTGTACAACAAACCCCCATGACACCACTTTACCTGCATATAACAAACCTCTACATGTACTTAAAATAAAAGTTAAACAAACAAACCTAAAAATAGAGCTACCGTGCAATCCAGCAATCCCACTGCTAGTTATATACCCCAAAGAAAGGAAATTAGGATATCAAAGAGATACCTAATTTCCCATGTTTATTGCAGCACTATTCACAACAGCTATGATTTGGAAGCGACCTAAGTTTCCATCAACAGATGAATGGATAAAGAAAATGTGGTACATAAACATAACAAAATACTATTCAGCCATAAAAGAATGAGATCCTGTCATTTGCAACAACAGGGATGGAACTGGAGATCATTATTTTAAGTGAAATAAGCCACGCACAGAAAGACAAACTTCACATGTCGTCACCTATTTGTGGGAGCTAAAAATCTAAACTACTCATGGACACAGAGAGTAGAAGGATGGTTACCAGAGGCTGAGAAGGGTAGTGGGGCCATGGAGGATGGGGAGGTGGGGGTGAGAATGGTTAATGGGTATGAAAAAATCATTAAAAAGAACAAATAAGACCTAGTATTCACTTTCCTGATATTATTGGCAGTTTCAAGAACAGTTTCTTTCATCTGTAAAAGTTCCTAAGCCATTTTATAAATGAAATATAGTCTCCTATTTAATCATTCATGCCATGATATCTGCTTCTCAGTGGAGTGGCAGGGAAAGGGGAGAGGGTTACAAATCCTCTATCACCTGCTGTGACTCCATGGATAAAGCAGATACCAATAAATGTTTGTGGAGTAAGCCTAACGTGATCATAAAACTAATACGTCATGAAGTGGGAATTAAGAAAAATTTGTGTTCACAAATGAATTAGCTTTTTATGATAATTTTAAAAAATATTATTAAATACTGTAATTCACCATGAATTAGAACAGATAATTACATGTTGTTGGACCTCTGTGTAGATATGTTGGTAAATACTGTCTCTATTTAAATGTGTCTTGGTGAAACACCAGGTAAAGACAGTGGATTGAACAGACTCAGCAAGTTTGGCCTCTTCCTGAATCTTATTAAAAGCAGAATAATTACAGATTTAAGGTATATACATACATACATCTACATATATACACATAAATACATATATACATATATAGACGCATATACATATATATATCTATACACATATACATACATACACACATACACACACACATATCAATAACTAGGAGAGATGACAGTAACAGCATTTTGGAAGCTAGGAAGTAGGCAGATGAGTGGTCACTCAGTGGACCTGAGAAAGCTGAACCAGGGCTGGCAGTGGCACCAATTTACAGCAGAGGGTCTTCAAAAGGCACTAGGATCGGTGGCAGCAGCAGGTACCTCAGGCAGAGTAGGAGGCTGAGGCCAAAATGAGGAGTGGCTGAACTGTGTTTAAGAAGCAGCTGACATGCTTAGTCTTCCCTTACTGCAGTCACCTGGGCAAGTACACCTGCTCTACCTCAGCAGAAGTCTGGAAGTTTATCCTTTGGTGAGGGCCAAACCAGAAGGTTTCTGAATTGGGAGATGTACCAGGCATATCCAACGTGGGATACTATGTAAGATAGGAGGATTAAGTAAATATGCCCGAAGCATAGGGAGATTACCCAAGTCTCCTTTTCACCTTCATCCTTCACCTCCTGGCAGCAAGGTCCATACCTTCCAGGCAAGTGTTTGGAAGAGCTTTGTTACAGGATCCAACCAACTATGCAGAAGTACCTGAAGACACTGACATTGGAAGCTCCCTAACAACTGGCTCAGCCAGATCATTCCAGTGAGAATCACCATCAGTGAGGCTGAGCACCTCCTCAGACCAGATGCCATGCTCCTGTCTCAGAAGATGTTCAGAATTTCAGTTTTAGTCCCTTGCTCTTATATATGAGCAGAACGCCAATGACTATCAGGTAGCCGGGGAAAGCCAAAAACAATCTGGAGGGACCAGAAACTATGGAGGTAAAAGAAAAATTTAAAGATGATTGTTAAAAAATTCAGTGGTGGCGCACACCTGTAATCCCAGCTACTTGGGAGGCTGAGGTAGGAGAATCACTTGAACCTGGGAGGCGGAGGTTGCAGTGAACCAAGATCACGCCACTGCACTCCAGCCTGGTAGAAAGAGCAAGACTCCACCTAAAGAAAAAAAAAAGAAAAAATAATTCACAAAGATAAAAATATAGACCTGTGTCCATATTTGCTTAATGAAGCAAGAAAATAATGCTTCTACAAAAAGGCCATTCAGAGAATAAAAAAGGACCTCTTAGAAAGGAAAAACATGATAGCATTATATAAAAACCTCCATCAAAGGAATGTAAATTAAAATAAAGAAATTAGAGTGAAAAAACAAATAAATGGATAAGAGGACAGATAAAGGCAGATAATCCAATAATTCTAGAAGATCTAGAAAGTGAAATAAAACAAAATAAAAACCCACAGAAGAAAACATCAAGAAAATAATTCAAGAAAATTCCCCCAAACTGGAGGGTAGATTTTCTAGATTCAAAGGACCACTGAGTGCCCAGTAGATGGAAATAAACTCACACCAAGGGATATCATTGTGAAATTTTACAACATAGGATAAGATACCTGATAAGAATTGATAAGGTACCTGGTAGGAAACTGCTGGACTCACTGAACATCTTGAAAGAATATTAACAATTGGCAAATATTATTAATGAAAGCTAAGTACGTTAAAAAAATGCACAAGAAAAACAGATAAAACCATACAAACAAGTAAAAAAACTAACTCCAGGGATATTGTGTTCCCACAAAAATATAGTTGAGCATATGCCCCATTTCTGAATATCACATATAGTCATAATAATGTGAATAATGTAAATTGAATATTTTTCTAATTGAAATCGAGATATAATTATATCATGAGGATGGGAATTAACTGCCTGTGGTGTGGACAGAGAGAATAAAGAGCTAAGCCATCATCTTCCATAGCGGAAAGTCAATGTACAATATCCCAAGTAAAAAAATCAGGAGGAACACTTGACATTAAGGTGTCAGGAAGTAAATACCAGGCAAAGAGTGGAAAGTGGTTTGAGGAAGGTGGATTGGAAGTAGGCTGGCTGGCTGAGGACTGCTCTTTTCCTTAAGGAACCTTATGAAATCTGCAGGCTCTTTATATTCTAGTATATAACTTTGATAAAATTTAAAAAATGATTTAAAGTGTAATAGTATAAATAGAGCTAAAAAGTAAAGACTTTATCAAAATAGAATCTATGTGATTTTGGTAAACAATTTTGGGGGTACTCCCTTTCCCTTTTGATAAATAGAATTGTACTAATTTCTAATGTCCCTTGAACTCTACATTTGTTTATTGTATTTCTTTGTACATGTGTCTGTACTTTTGAACACAAACACACAGAAATCTGGTAACTGGGAGTAGAGTCCCCTGATTATTTTGATCATTAAAATTTGGTATGTATTATACACACACATGCAAAAACACAATCTGATCCCATCAAATGAAGGTGGCAAAGCCATCTTCTGATTTTTAGAGAAACAAAGGAGGCTGCATTTCTATCTTCCTCTGTCCAGGTGAGAGGAGAAGCCGGGAGAGACCAAAGTACCCTTCTGTTTAGACTCTTGTGTGTGACGTATGGTGATGCTGACCTAAAAGTTAATATTTACCTGTCTCCATGAGTTAAGCTCTGCTTGAGAACCTGGCAGGGGACAAAGAAAGGAAACTACTACAAACGCGGGTAGACGTTTGCATTAAAGTCAACGCTCTTCTTGGTAGCATTGGCCAAGTCACTCCTACACGTTTCTAGTACATGAAAAGGAAGAACATGAGTCTAGTCTTTTAAAAATACCAATATGAAAGTAGGGGAAGGGGTCTCTACATTTAAGAGAAAAATGCCGGGTTGATTAAGATTGCTGGGTTCAAACCTCCTGTTACTAACTTTACGACTTTGTGTAAGTCAGTTAATCTATTCCTATGGTTCCTCACCCATAAATTGGGGGATATTAATACCTATTCCATATGGTTGTTATGAGAATTATGCATTAACATACAGGAGAGCAATGAAAACTGAGTATACAGTGCTGAAAATTGAGTTTCAATTACCTTCTCTAAAAATAGATACAAAGAATATAATTTGATTCACAAGAATCTTAGATTGATTCATGACACTCTTTTTTTCTATCCTCTTTCTTTTCTTTTTTTTTAAGTTATGTAATCTAGTGTTAAGAATGATAGGAGATCTAAGAGGAGACAATTTCTCATGACAAATTTGGTTCAGTCAATCTCAGAAGGTCAAAGAACATATTATGCGTTGGCTACAGCAATCCCATTTAGGACAATCTCAGGTTACATTCATTTGCACTAACATTTTGGATCTGACACTAAAGCTTTCCTTTGCTTGCCAGATTTATCTGTGCTGGAAAAACCCTGCTAGTGTCAAGTCAAGGAGTCTAATCATTGGTTTAGGGAAACTTATTTATTTTTTGTCATCCCAGGTCTTCAACAACAACTGGCACACAGAGAAGGTGCTCAATAAATACTTTTTGCATTAAAGACAGAAAAATACATTGGTGTGCTCCTTACATAAGTTGCAGAACCATACCTCAGAGTCACCCACAATTCTCTCACCCAAAAATGTAACCTTATTTTTCTAATTTTTGTGTTTATGCTAAAACTTTTATAATTAAATGACTATATGAAGTGGAATGTTATATTATTGTATGTGTAATTCACATTTGAAAAATTAATTAAGAAGACTATCATCCTAGGAATGTGCTATTTTAGGGTGGTAAGCTATCTATGGCTAAAATCTCCCCAAAAGCTAGGGCAAAAAAACAGAGACATAACAATGATATAGAGCAAATCTTTCTCTCCTTCCCCCAAAATGAGACCATAGCATACATAAGAATTTAGTGTATGAAAAATTATAGAATTTCTTATACATGACTTTTATTTCCTTGTAGTAAGAGCACTTAACAGGAGATCTACATTCTTAAATTTTAAGTGCACAATACAGTATTGTTAACTACAGACATCATATTATACAGCAGATTTCTAGAACTTATTCATCTTGCATAATTGAAACTTTATACCCATTGAACAGCAATCCCCATTTCCTTCTTCCCCTAAGCCCCGGCAATCTTCCAGGACCTCTGCGTATACCAAAATCCATGCATACTCAATTATCACAGGTGGCCTGAGGAACCACTTAGGAAACCGCTTAGGAGAAGCTGGCCTTTGGTATATACGTGGGTTTCACATCCTAGTAACACTGTGTTTTTTAAATGGGTTTGGTTGAAAAAAACCCACTTATAAGTGGACCCATGCATTTGAACCTGTGTTGTTCAAGGGTCAACTGGAGGACTAAGGGAGGTTTACACTGGAAGAGTCAAGTTGTTAGGTTATGTTGATAGGAGATGGAAGAAAAGGTAGAGGTTAAAGACGGAGGAAAGCGGGGAGATAATCACTTGAAGAAGGTCTATCAGCAGGCCAGAGGTGATGGAACAGGATTTGTGAGCATGGGAGGGGAGATAGGTGAGGAATAAGGTAGACTGATGCTGGTATCTTCATCCAGATTTCCCAGGTGCTCTGGCAGGAGAGTTCCCACACTGACTTAGATTCAGACAGTAGAATGCAAGAAGAGAAAGGTAGAAGGAAGTAAGGCAGAGGTTATACTCTGGCTACTTCTGCTGCTTCTGTTGGCAAGCCTATGTAGACCCACAGGTTTTTGTTAGCAGTGTTCCAATATCCAAGTGCTTTGTGGATGTCAAGAGGCAGAATGCAGGCCGTTTGGGTTTTTTTGTTGTTGTTGCCTACATGGATTTATCACATGGCATGACTGTGGGGCCACCAGCTATCATGTGACAAGCTCGAGTTGCCTACAATGTTCCAAATCTTGATTCTCCCACTAATTCATATGCCAATGTGTCTTAATACACTGGTTTGAAACTAGTCTTTTAGGAAATACACTGCCTTTAAGCATATGGAAAATAAATACATTTTGGACCTAAAAATTAACTATTATTGTCTTATTTTACTATTGCTGTGTGAAAAAAATATTCTGGACTTGAAAGGATTTGGAAATTGCTCTTCCAAGAAAATTTAAGCCCAACAGGGCCTGGATGTGAAGGCTATGGAACAACTCTATGACCTAGCAATTTTCCACTCCTAGATATTTACACAAAAGTGCACATAAAGACTGGTACAGGAGTCTTGATATTAGCTTTATTCATAATAGCCCCAAACTGAAATAATCCAAATGTCCAACAATAGTAAAAAACACTGTGGTGTAGTCATACAATGAAATACTACTAAGCAATAAAAAAGAATGAGCAATAAAATATTATACTACTGAGCAATAAAAAAGAAAAAGAAACATGCAACATCAACAAAACACAAAACCAGGCTGAGTAAAAGAAGCCTTACACAAAGGAGGACATATGTATATATGTAATCATACAAATGTGTGATATAAATGTATGATTCATGAATATGAAGTTTTGAACAGGCTAAATTAATCTGTGGTGATTTTTAAAAATTAGAACAGTCATTGACTCCATGGGGCTGGGGACAAGGATTGATTGGAAACAGCAAGAGGGTTTTCCTGGGTAATGATAATGTTTTCTATATATCTTGATGGAAATTTGAGTTATACAGTTAAAACTCCCAAATAATACACTTAAATTTGTATATTTCACTGTATGTAAATTATACCAGGGTAGGATGAAGAAGGGAAAGAAGATAACCATAAAAAAAACTTACAGTTAATGCAATGCATATTGAAGTGCTGGGGTGAAATGAACTGATGTTTGCAACTTGCTCTGAAATACAGTTAAATAAAAAGATACATTACTTGATAGAGGGATGGTTAGATGGTTACATATGTGATCAGGCAAATATGAAAAATTTTAGTTGTAGATTTCAGGTGGTGAGTGTAGTTCATGTACAATTCTTTCAACTTTTCTGTAGCTTGAAAATGTTCATACAGAAAATAAGAGAGTGTGTGGGGGTCAATCTCTTTTTGCCTTTTTGAAATATTTCCTTAACCTTTGGGCAAAGAAACCTACTTCAAAACAAGCAAAGCATTTCATGTGGTTCTTGGCCCATTTTAATAAATGTATCTTAAGATGTCACTCGTACCATCTCCACCCCAGTAATAACCACCATCAATCACTCCCAGTGTAGACATCACCATTTCTGGATCACAGTGGTGATTACTTTATACATGCTATCTCTGTGTAGAGAAATTAGTAGCTTTCCTTATGGTTTAACAAAAAGCTCTAGGCTGAGTCACGTTTTCAGAACTTCCAGGCAGCCAGGAACTAGAACAAACAGGTGTCCAAGATGAAGATAATGTCTGTGACAGTAATTTTAGCAGACTGTATCATTCAAATATATTATGAAGGTATGGGACAATGTGCATGTGTGTGCATGTGTATGTTTTGGGGATGGTGAGCTGAAGCAAGAAGAAGGAAAATATATTCCAGAAAGAGGATAAACACTGAAAGTCCCAAAAAGGAACAGTAACTTCAATCTGATTTATATATGGAAAGAAAGCTTATTCCTTCCTCCTTTTTTCTCTTTCTTAAGCTCATGTCTGATGCCATATGATACTATCACTTGGCAAAGGGTTGACAATGGCTGCCCGAGTTTGGCAACGCTGGTTCTTTTGTGCCTTTCTTTTCTCAATAAACCTTTGACAAAGGCTCGGTGCTTGAAAGGTTGGGCTGTTTCTTGTTTGGTCTAAGTGTTTCTTGCTCGGCAGAATGATTAACTGTCTCTGAATGTCAATAAATAAGTGGTTTCAGTGAAGCTTTTTGAAATATATTTCCCTAAAGGGTGCTTGGTGGCAGGCCCAGGATTGACTTGGTTTTGTGTGAAACTAGGAAGTAAACAATGTAATTACCAGGCTGCCTAGTCCCCATGGCTCCTGATACCCACAAAGTCTCACATGTGAGAAGAGATCAGGGAAAAAAAAATCTTCACCTAAGAGTAGGAGTTAGAGGCTTTGAATTTCAGCTTAGATGGATAAAATGACAAGGTGCTAAAGTGGCAGAAGTTGGATTTGAACTAAGATTTCAGGAGCAATGGTATAGACGTGGCAGCACTAGAAAGAACATATGAGTTTAGTAAATATCTACTAGGAAAAAATAAGGCAATAAGTCTACCTTGAACAAAGACATATCCGTCTCAAATTAACTTATTCTGTGCTATGAATAGAGGCGATAATTCAAACCTGATTCATGATACGGTGCTTAACTACTGGCTATGTACAGGGGGAACCTGCCAGAGCTAGACTAGCTGTAATAACCCATGCCTACCAAGTTCAGGGAAATCTGCTCAGTTCCTTCTATTTTCATGGATCCCTGTCCTGCTATTAGGACAGGACAGTGAGCTTGTAGAAAAGCCAGGTCAAACAATATCTTCTTGGGAAGTAGCTGACTGACATGCAAACTAAACATCTTTTGACCATTATGTTAGAATAAGACAGTGGACACATTTCATAAAATGACTCAATTGGTGGTATTCAGGTTCCAAAAAGCAGTATGCAGATTCTGAGGCTTAATAGGATTTAAGAGGAAAAAAAAAAATTCTGGCTCTTCCTGTCTTTGTTTGTGCTGCTACAACAGAATACCTGAGACTGGGTCATTTATAAAGACCAGAGATTTATTTCTTAAAGTTCTGGAGGCTGGGAAGTCAAGGTCAAGGGGCCCCCATCTGATGAGGGCCTTCTTGCTGTGTCATTCCATGGGGGAAGGTGGAAGGGCAAGAGAGCACCTGTGACAGAGAAGGGAAGGGAGCCAAACTCATCCCTTTATCAGAAATCCCAAGATAACGAACCCACTCCCAAGATAATGGCATTAATTCATTCATGAGGGCAGAGCTTTCATGACCTAATGACTTCCTAAAGGCCCCACCTCTCAACACTGTGGCTCTGGGGATTAAGTGTCTAACTCATGAACTTTGGGGGACACATGCAAACCATAGCACCTTCCTTAACATAAACAATACCTGATCAGAAAACAAGCAGGAAGTTTTCATTGGTTTGTTATTCATTTGGGACTTAACTCCAATAAAGATCATGTGATGATATTTAAAAGACTAGCTGAAACTAGAAACATAGGAAACCTGAAGTCAAAGTTCCAATCACTTTGGGGCTAGTGGAGAATACAGAATATAAAATAGCATGCAACATAATAAATAAAATATTCACTTCTTAGATTGAATTTATGAGTTGTGGATATAACACATCCATACTGTTTTGACTCTCTAACCACTTTTCTTAATCTGTTCAGGCTACTTTAACAAAATACCATAAACTGGGTGGCTGATGAACAAGACAAATTTATTCCTCACAGTTATGGAGGTTGGGAAGTCCAAGATCAAAGTATCAGCAGATCTGATGTCTGGTGAGCTCTTACTCTCTGGTTTACAGATGGTGCCTTCTCATTGTGTCCTCACATGGTGGAAGGGGCTAGCTAACTCTCTGAGGTCTCTTTTATGAGGCCATTTTTTCATTGCTATAAAGAAATACTGGAGTCTTGGTAATTTATACAGAAAAGAGATGTAATTAGCTCACAGTTCCGCAGGCTGTTAGAAGCATGGTTCCAGCATCTGCTTCTGGGGAGGGCCTCAGGAAGCTGATAATCATAAGGGAAGGCAAAGGGGAGCTGGCATATCATGATATGCTCCCCACAAAGGCCCTATCTCCTTGATATGGTTTGGCTGTGTCCTCACCCAAATCTCATCTTGAATTGTAGCTCCCATAATTCCCATGTGTTGTGGGAGGAACCCCGTGGGAGGTAATTGAATCATGGGGATGGTTTCCCCAATACTGTTCTCGTGGTAGTGAATAAGTCTCATGAGATCTGATGGTTTTATAAGGGGTTTCCCTTTTTGCTTGGTTCTCATTCTCTCTCTTTGCTGCCATGTAAGATGTGCCTTTCACCTTCTGTCGTGATTGTGGAACCACAGCCATGTGGAACGGTGAGTCCATTAAACCTCTTTTTCTTTATAAATTACCCAGTCTCAAGTATATCTTTATCAGCAGCATGTAAATGAACTAATACACTCCCAATACCATCATCTTGTGGGTTAGGATTTCAACATATAAATTTCGGGCAGACACAGACATTCAGACCATACCATTACTTTACTAGTCAGCTGGTAATGGGATGAGTGAAGATCTTACTTTTATGTGGGAAGAGTGTTTCAGTTTTGTTTTTAAAAGCAGAATGATCCATGAACATAATCCTCTCAGCCATCCTCCCAGGAAAAGAAACAGAGAAAAGTCAAATGACTTACATTCTGAGTGGAGGGTGGTGTAAGAATTTGAACTTTAGTTCCCATGCATCTCACAAACTGCTCACCTCCCAGCCCACATAGATGAGACCTGGCTCTGTGGATGCTGGACTTCTGGACTGCTGGCACAGGGAAGCAGAGCAGAGTGGTGTTCACCTGGACTTAGGTGCTCTTCTGCTTCAAGGTGAAATGCTGGTTTCATATCATTAGGAAAAAAAATCCAGAAGCACTGCCTCTCTTCCACTAACACCTCCATCTTTGATATCTGCGTATAGGGGTGATCAGGAATACTGTTGGCTCCTTTTTCCTTATCCTTGTTGGTATGTTACAGGTTTACTAATAGCGAATCTAAGTAATAGAAATCTTGCCGTAGCATGTATTGGGACTCACCATGAAGAGTGCTGAGGATGGAGACATAAGATGACTCTTCATGACACTGGACCACCAGACCTTGCCTGTGGTGTAGGGTGTGGAGGAACAAAGATGGCACTGGCTCTAGAAAAGAGGTTTATGCCTCTAGGGTGGTGATGGGCTAAATGATGTCCCCACAAAATTCATATGTTGCAGCCTTTATTAGTCCATTGTCACGCTGCTAATAAAGACATATCCGAGACTGGGTAATTTATAAAGAAAAGAGGTTTAATTGACTCACAGTTCAGCCTGTCTGGGAAGGCCTTGGGAAACTTACAATCATGAAAGAAGGGGAAGCAAACTTGTCCTTCTTCACATGGTGTCAGGAAGAAGAATGAGAGCCAAGTGAAGGGGGAAGCCCTTTATAAAACCAACAGATCTCATAAGAACTTACTCACTATCACAAGAATAGCATGGGGAAACTGCCCCCATGATTCAATTATCTCCCACTGGGCCCCTCCCATGACACATGGGGATTATGGGAACTACAATTCGGGATGAGATTTGGGTGGGGACACAGCCAAACCATATCATTCTTCCCCTGGCCCCTCCCAAATCTCATGTCCTCACATTTCAAAACACAATCATGCCTTTCCAATAGTCCCTCAAAGTCTTAACTCATTCCAGCTGAAGCAACAGTCTAAGCTGTATGTTGGCCCCTTTTAGCCATGGCTGGAACTAAGCAGCTGAGATACAGGGCACCATGTCCTGAGGCTGCACAGAGCAGGTGAGCCTGGGCCCAGGTCCAGCCCATGAAAACAATTTTCCCTCCTACACCTTCAGGCCTATGATGGGAGGGGCTGCCATTAAGGTCTCTGACATGGCCTGCAGACATTGTCCTCATTGTCTTGGTGATTAACATTTGGCTCCTTATTATTTATGCAAATTTCTGCAGCTGGCTTGACTTTCTCCCCAGAAAAAGGGTTTTCTTTTCTATTGCATCACCAGGCTGCAAATTTTCCAAACTTTTATGCTCTGCTTTCTCTTGAATGCTTTCCTGCTTAGAATTTTCTTCTGCCAGATACTCTAAATTATCTCTTTCAAGTTCAAAGTTCCACAGGTCTCCAGGGCAGGGGCAAAATGCAACCAGTCTCTTTGCATAGCAAGAGTGACCTTTACTCCAGTTCCCAACAAGTTCTTCATCTCCATTGGAAACCACCTCGGCCTGGACTTTATTATCCATATCATTAACAGCATTTTGACCAAAGCCATTCAACAAATCTCTAGGAAGTTCCCAACTTTCCCACATTTTTCTGTCTTCTCCTGAGCCCTCCAAACTGTTCCAACGTCTGCCTGTTACCCAGTTCCAAAGTTGCTTCCACATTTTTTAGTATCTTTACAGCAGTACCTCACTACCCCGTATCAATTTGCTGTATTAGTTTATTCTAACACTGCTAATAAAGACATACCAAAGATGGGTAATTTACAAAGAGAAAGAGATTTAATGGACTCACAGTTCAGCTTGGCTGGGGAAGCCTCCAGAAACTTACAATCATGGCAGAAAGGAAAGTAAACATTTCCTTCCTCACATGGCAGAAGGAAGGCGAATGAGAGCCAAGCAAAGGGGGAAACCCCTTATAAAACCATCAGATCTCATGAGAACTTACTCACTATTATGAGAATAGCATAAGGGAAACTGCCCCCATGATTAAATTACCTGCCACCGGGTCCTTTCCATGACACGTGGGGATTATGGGAACTACAATTCAAGATGACATTTGGGTGGCGACACAGCCAAACCATATCACAGCCCTAATCTGCAGCTCCTTAGAAAGTAAATGTATTTGAGGATAGAGCCTTCAAAGAGGAAATGAAAGTAAAACAAAGCCATTAGGATAGGTCTTAAACCAACCTGATGTCTTTATAAAAAGAGGAGATTAGAACATGCAGACAACACACAGTATGAGGGATAACCATGTGAAGAGTCGGCAAAAGGGTGGCCATCTGCAAGCCAAGGAGAGAGGCCTCAGGAGAATCCAAACCTGCTGATACCTTGATCTTGGACTTCTTTTTTTTTTTTTTTTTTTTTTTTTTTTTTTTTTTTGGAGACAGGTCTTGCTCTGTTGCCTAGGCTGGAGTGCAGTGGTGCGATCTTGGCTCACTGCAGCCTCCACCTCCTGGGTTCAAGCGATTCTCCTGCGTCAGCCTCCCAAGTAGCTGGGACTACAGGTGCACGCCATCATGTCCAGCTAAGGTTTGTATTTTTTTTTTAGTAGAGACAGGGTTTCACAATGTTGGCCAGGATAGTCTTGATCTCTTGACCTCGTGATCCACCCGGCCCTAGCCGACTAACACAGGGTTTCAAACAAAAATGTGAAAAAATTTGAAATTGTTTTAAATAAAAAAAGCCCATCTTAGGCTAACTCAGTTGTCTCATGTATATTTTGAGGAAGTTAGTAATTGTTGCCAGAAAAAGAAAAGGGTAATCTAGGTTCAAATAATTTGGGGAAATGCTGGATTAGATAGCTAGCCAGGTTACTTTGCTGTAGGACTCCTCAGAGCCTTTAATGTGCTGACGTGCACATTATTAGCATGATTTATATGACCCGGTGTCATCCTTGACACCTCTGACAGAGCAGGAGCATCATCATCTTGGATAAGCCTCTTATTCTAAAGTTCACCTTAATAAAAAACTGCCTAAATCCAAAAGGCATCAGCCTAATGGCTAAGGTCAGCATGACCGTAAACCACAAATAACATTTCCAACCAGAAACATTCCAAACTCCTCCCTTCCCAGAGACATTCTAGCCCCGAGATAAAGCCCCCTTGGGGCGGGAAGATGCTAGCCTAAGATAACCCACCTCTGGGCTGGAAAGATGTCTGCCCCAAAATAATCCTCCACCCAGAGAGATTCCAACCCTGCCATGAACTTCTCCACACACAGAAACATTCCAAGCTTGTGACAAGCCCCCTCACCCTAAAACAAATATATACTCTTAGTCTGTAAGAGAAAGTGCTCCTGACCGCATTGGCTAGGAGCCCCTCTCAGTTTTTTTTGTTTGTTTGTTTTTTGTTTTTAATGGAGTCTCGCTTCTCTGCTCAGGCTGGAGTGCAGCGGAGCGATCTCAGCTGACTGCAATCTCCGCCTCCCGGGTTCAAGCAATTCTCCTGCTTCAGTCTCCCAGGTAACTGGGATCACAGGCACGTGCCAGCATACCCGGCTAATTTTTGCATTTTTAGTAGAGACGAGGTTTCACTATGTTGGTCAGGCTGGTCTCGAACTCCTGATCTTAAGTGATCCACCCGCCTTGGCCTCCCAAAGTGCTGGGATTACAGGCGTGAGCCACGGCACCTGGCCTCCTCTCAGGTTTTAACTAAAGAAAACCTGTCTTTAATTGCCAGCTGTGTTTCGTGTTTCCTTCCTCTTTAACTCTTACGACCTCCCTTTCCTCTTTTCATTTCTAATGCACTGCCAATTTCTGATGACTTTCTCTTTTAAAGATTCCTTGAATCATTCAATTCTATCTGATTCCCCACTGAAACTTGAACTGTAACATTGCCTAACACTTTTATTTTATAAATACTTCATGAATTAATTCACTTCTTTCTACCAAAATGACCAAATTGCCTATGTCTCTTGCTTAGTCTACTGCAAAACCTTTCTGACTGATCTGCCTATTGGATGCCTTCCAGTGAGTTCTCCACAGCACAAATGAAGTAATCTTGTCTAAGTTTAGGTCTGATTATAACAGCTTCTTGTTTTTAAAGATCTTTCAGTAGATTCCCTTTGCTTCCAGGATGAGAAGAAAAAATTTCTACCCATTCCTTCAAGCTCTCATCTTGAACTATCTTCCTCTTTGGGCTCCAAATTCATAGGTCTTCTTGTAATCAACCTCACACTGTGTTGCTGCTGCCTGCCACCGAGCCTTTGCACATGCTGTGCCTCCTGCCTGGTTAGCGCCCACTGCCTCCCTCAGATAAATCTTCCTTTACTTTCCTTATTGGATCAAATCTTTCTACTATTGATTCATATTATACTTGTTCCTACTGAAAATTTGCGTTTGTGTGATTATTTCATTAATTCTTGAATCTAACTCTTCTAGACTAAAAACTCCATGTCTGTGGAATACTCATTAATTTATGAAAGTTTGGGGAGGGCCTATCTGAAACACAATGTGAAAAAATTTTACAAAAAAAAATAAAATGAGCAAGAGTAAAGAAAAAAGGTTTTGGGTCCTTAGGAACATGTAGTTATTTGCTATAAATTAGCATCCTTTGAAATAAAGAACCCATCTGAAAAGCTGAATATAGAAGAGATATTAATATTGCATCTAAGTTCTGGAGATGAAATTAGATGTTTAATTTCTTAAAAATCTTTTGATTTTGAAAACTTTCAAACCCAGAAAAGACTTGAAAGACTAGTACCATGAACAGGCATATCCCATTAGTCAGCCTGTTTAATGTTTTGATGGTGCTCTGAAAATGCTGCTCTGTAGATATGACATTTTCTGCTTTGCTGTAGACAGTGTAATTCTGATTTTAACTTGAGAAAGCCATAAGACTAAGTAATTAGACTACTAATGCCAATACTGAAGGAAGAAAGGCTACCTATGCCTATTGGCAAATAATTAATCAGGATATATTTAAGACTTGACTTAAGGTACTGTGGGGGATGACAAGATGTTTACGGGACATACTTAAAAATTTATAGCCATTTGAGAAAAGAAGACACCTTCCCATGAAAAAATAATCATTGATAAAAGAAGTAACAAATATTGAGAGGGGGGAGGCAGAAAGTGGCCACAGAGTTAATGGGATGAGATTGCTTGTAGTTATTTGTCTTTGTAGAAATGGATTCCCTATGGACAACAGCACGTCTTGTTATCAATTTAATTTCCTTGACCAAAAGACCAACTCAGGAAAATAATTTTAAAAGGCACATTGTAAATAAGCATTTCCCCTGTGAACAAACAGAAGCGTAAAGAGTCTCTTTATCTGAGTTATATTTACATTATTTTAGTTCCTTGCTTGAAGGACGATCTAAAACAACGGGAAGTATTTGTTCCTTTAAGGGCCAACCTCTGTTTGGCGGACTTCAGCCAAATAATTAATCCATTTTTTTTTCTAACAAAGAATAGGCTACTATATTCACTTGTCACATCAAGTCAGACCTACATTAAGAGCCTTGGGAGAGTATGATTCCCAGTGAACTGGCTCCGGGCCTAGAGATCCGGGCACCATTTCCCTTATCAGCCATTATTTTCAGAGGGCTGTGTCTAGGCTAGGGAAATTGGAACTAGATAAATAATAAAGAAGACCATAACCTGGTCCAAAGGTAACATAGGAAGAAAAACATTGTGTAAATTGTGGGGCAGGGTAGGGGAGATCACTAATGGCAGCACAAAGTAAGTGGCGGTGGGGGGGGGTGTTTTTAAAATAAAAATAAAAAAATTAGTACATTTGGGCATTCTCCAATCCATACAAGACTGGAAATCGCCTTTGGAAAGATGAGCTCTTCAGGTCCAAGTGATCAATTTAGAGACGATTTTGTAAAGATGCAGTTTTTGTATGTACTTGGTGTAAGAACTCGGTTCTCTAAAACCTAAGTTCTAAAATCAGATTTTCCAACCTGAAAAGGAGCCAGGGAGGGATACTGCTCGCAGATCACAGGATAATTTATGTCTTTAATTTATGCTTTGAACTCATATTTTTTCTGGGTTTTTCCCAATCTGTACATATTTTAGAATTAGAAAAAAACCTAACTATTAAACAAAGACCAGGGTTGAAGTTTCTTGTTTTTACCCACAGGAAGACTGCTACTGTAGGCAAGGTAAATTCCCAAACAAAAGCTACTGGGAAGTCAAAGCCTAGGGATTGGTTGGCATATCTGTGATGGGGTAATTAACAGATGTCTATTGATCTCTTGTCTAAAAACTTTTAAGTTTAGAAGGTTACCGAAATTCCTTAGAAGTCTGCCACTTTATTATTATTTTTAACAGCTATATTGAGATACAATTCATGTGCCTTATAATTCACCCATTTAAATAAAGTATTTCAATTTTTTTTGCATATTCAGAGTTGTGCCACCGTTACCACAATAAATTTTAGCACATTTTTATCACTGCCAAAAGATATCCCATAGCCATCAACTTTAGCCATCTTGCCCAATCCCCTTGCTCTCCCCAGCCTTAGGCAATCACCAATCTACTTTCCATCTCTGTATGACTAATCTTGACCTTGCATATAAATGGAATCATACAATATGCAGCCTTTTGTGTCTGGTTTCTTTCCCTTAGAATGATGTTTCCAAGGTTCATTCATGTTGTAGCATGTTATCAGTACTCTGTTCCTTTTTACGGCTGAACAATAGTCTACTCTATGGATGTATCACGTATTATTTTCTACTCATCAGTCAGTGAACTTTAGGTTGTTTCTACTTTTGGGATATTATGAATAATGCTGCTGTAAACATTTGTGTACAAGTCTTTCTGTGACATAAACGTATGTTTTTTTCCTTGGATATTTACCTAGGAGAATTGATGAATACTGTAATTCTGTGTTTAAACTTTTAAGGAATTGCAAGACTGTTTCCCAACATGGATGCACCATATTACATTCCCACCAGCAGTGTATTAAGGTTGCAGTTTCTCCACTTCCTTGCCAACACTTGTTATTGTCCATCTGTCTGATTACAGCTATCCCAGTGGGTGGCCGTCATGAAGTGGTACACCTGCTGTGGTACCTGCTGCAGGCAAGGTAATTTTCAAAAATTCATTATTTTTAACATGTTTTATTAAAAATTATTTTTAATACAGAACTCATAGAGGTTAACATACAAAATTTCTTCACATGTATATACTGATTTGATTCCTAGCTTCTAAACCAACAACGATCCCATCTATGTTTTAGCACAATGATTATTCCTGTTTTACAGACAAAGAAATGGAGGCTCACAGAGGTTAAGAAGTTCTAGGGCTGGGATTTGAACCCAGGGGTTCTAAAAGCACATGCTTTTAGCCACAGTGTTATCCTGTTTCAACAGCTACTAGGTGCCTGCATAAACATGAGCAGATAAGATGGGAGAATGAAGGTATTTGAAATATGTGGATTTAAAGCATCTAGTAATGATTATGAAGATGCTGAAGGGATATGGCTTTGGATTACAGCAATAGGCAAGATGTTATCTGTTAATAGACTAAAGAACAGAGAAGTGATTTCTGTGACTATAGAGCAATTTAAAGGAAGAGCTGAGATTAAACAGTCCCACATCTGCTTCACTGCTTTGGGTAAGTTATCATTTTTATCCTTCCATTTGGAAAATGAGAACATTAGTGATGATAAATAGAACCAAACCATGTGCTAAATATATTTACCTTTTGGTCCTTACACTTGCAAGAACGAGACCAGTTTCTCTTGAATGATTGATCATATTATCCTAATACAGCTAGATACATTATTTTAGTTTTTGTGATTTTAGCAAAATCAAAATAGAGCCAGATACATTATTTTAGTTTTTGTGATTAAAATAATGCATTTTAAAATAAAATAATAATTATTTTAAATAATATATTTTAAATAATGTATTGTAAAATAAAATAATTATTTTAAATAATGTATTTTAAAATAAAATACATATTTTAGTTTTTTTCCTTTCTCTTCCTTGTAGTTGAAGAAAAATTATTTCACAAAAATAAAAATTATTTTGAATTTTGGCCACAGTAAAAAGCAGTTCTGGGAATTCAAATTCCTTATGCCCTAGTTAAACATTATTAGTCAAAAGCTACTGCTCACTAGAACCCCTTTCTAGAAATCTATCCTGTAATACTGCATATATAATTCTTACATCTTTATCTAGGATATTTCCAATTTTCAAATTTGTATATGTGACCTAATTAAACAAAATAGCTCAAGAGGACTGATATTCTAAATAACTAATTCATAAATGTTGCTAAAAGTGGTATAATTTTATAATTTCCTGAAGAGAAACTAGACAAAATTTCCTGTAACATTACAAATCTTAAAAGAAACAGGGTAGTTTTAAGTGTGACAGAGTTAATTCATGAATGAGATATATAGACTAGAATACTCATTTTTAAAAAATGTTTATTTTGAAGCAAAGGATCATTATCTCAATCTTTAGCTTGTACCTGGCAGCCTGTATTTAAAGGGTTTATTCTTCATGGTGATGGGGTGGGGTGGATGTAGCTAAGATAGCAGTTCCAGTTTTACCACTTTTATTAATTTTGTGCTGGGGTTGAAGTGCTCCACAGGAAAAAAAAGGAGCATTGTTTCTATGAACTGTATAAAGGGGAGGGAAGGAGGAAATGTTAGAAGGATGATTTCTCAATTTTATTTCTTAAAAGGCACTCTTGTGGTTGCATTTCCTCCAAACCCAACCTTTTGTGTTCAGTTTGATTAAAATGCATCCTTCTTGGTCTAACAGTATCTGGAAAACTCGAGAAGGCTTTTTCCTAAACCATCAGTAGGTCAAGCAAGAAAGTTAGCAGAGCTGATTCTGCTGATGTACCTTCCATAACTGACAGTATTCATCTTTGAAATGATCAAGCCCTGGTATTTTGACTGAAAATGTGAAGTCTTTTATAAGGAAATGAAAAAAATCTACTAATTTTTTATAAACACCCTAAATTCTGAGTTTTTGCATACATGCCACTTGATCTTCATAATTATATCAGTAATACCACTGCATAAAAACATCAGTCAGAGGAAATCTAATTTAATGTGAAAATAGCTATTCTGAGGAGAGGTGGGAACACTGAAGAGGTTCTGGAGTTACACAGACCTTCGCTAAGTACCATCTCTGTCACTTACTAGCTTCATCATCCTGAATGACTTAACTTCTCTGAGCCCAACCCTTTCAGTTAATGTGCACAAATCACCTAAAGTACCTAGTACATAGTAGGTGCTCAATGAATGTTAGCTATTCCTACCCTTTTGACAAAGAAACCATTAGCTAGTACCAAAATGATAATGGAGTCTTCCCTTTCCACTCATCCTAAAGCAGGTATTCATGTCATTCCCTCTTTTATTTGGGCTTCATATTTATCAACTGAGTTTTTGCGTACCTACAGTTGCCAGGTAGTAGGCACTGAGGGGGTCAAAGAGAGGCAACGTTGACAAGTGTCTTAGCCTGCTTTGTGCTGCTATAGCAACCTGAGACTGAGTAATTTATAAATAACAGAGATTTATTACAGTCCTGAGGGTTGGGAAGTTCGAGGTCAGGGGGACTTTTATTTTATATGAGGTCCTTCCTGCTGCAACATCCCATGGCAGAAGGTAGAAAGGCAAGAGAGAAACCCGTGAGAAAGAAAGAAGGGAAGAGGGCCAGAACTCTTCCTTTTATCAGGAACCCACTCCCAAGGTAATGGCATTAATCCATTCATGATGGCAGGGCACTTGTGACCTAATCACCTCTTTAGGATCCCACCTCTCAAAACTGTTGCATTGAGGATTAAATTTCAAACACATGAAATTTGGGGGACACATTCAAACCATAGCAATGTCCAAGCCAGTCTTTGCCCTAGAGAGGAAAGAGCACTTGATGATGTCATCAGCTGAGACAATAGCAGAAAGGAGAGCACATCAGTGGGCTTGAAGGTGGAGCACCGATAGACTGCATTTCAGGTGAGTTGAGTTGGATGGGGTCTGGGGATATGCAAGCAGATATGCCCTACCGGAAGTAGTTTTTAATGGATCTGTAGCTGTGTAGGGGGGCAGGGCTGGAGAAAGGCATTTGGGTATCATGTATGTTTGAGCTATGAGTGGTGCATATATTCTGACACTGCCAGAGGTTGGTCAGGGAGCCTAGAAGACTGGGAAGAACTGTGGGGTGAGAAGAAAGACCAGGGACACACTACTGCTTGGGAATGGGAGATAGCAAGGAGATTTTCTGGGTGTCCCCTACAACCCTCAAAAGCATTATCTGCAGGTACTTCGGTTTTTAAAATTAATATTAAAATAACAAATCCAAAAATGTATTTTCCTTGAATTGAGATCAACTATAAATCTTATATTCTATTTAACATTCTCTAAACTCTGTCAATCTTCTGAAGAGTGATCTTTTAACTTGGTTAAAGTAGTAGACATTAAACATTTCAATATAGCATTAAATACAGCAAAATTATCTTAACATTTTTAACTTGAAAATACAAAGTCTAAATCAATCATCCAATGACATATTTTAGATTAGAAATCACAAGGCTAATCATATTAACACATTATCTTAAACATAATGAATATCTAAAATATTAAAGACTTTTCCCCAAACTTATCTAAAAGTATAAATATTTTTATTTTATTTAGTCCATCATATTTACACTTAAATTTTAAGTTTTCCCATGGTTAGAACACTATATTATAAGGAAATAATTTTGCTTTCCCCCAAAATTTGGGGTTACCTTCTTAGCGCATTTTCACTAGCAAGTTAGCCTGGGATTTAGGATCTAATTTTCCCTATGTATACTTGAACGGACACTCTATACTTTACGAAGGGTTCAGTCTTCTCATCTAAGTCCCCAAGATTTAAATTACTTGTTATCTAATTCTCAAGTCATCTTTGATTCTGTAACCTTCCACAGATTACCTTGCCAGTTGACCTGAATCAATGAATATGGTTACCATTTAATCCTACTCAGAATTCTTTGCACACTCTTCCTTGCAGACATAACTCATAGATAGTATAGAACATACAACTGGATTCTGCATCATGAAAACCTCAGGGTCAAACTTGATAATAGATGATAGAAAAATAGGGACTGGTCATAGAAGTAGGAGAAGAATCAGGAATAAGAAATGTAATAGCATAAAAGCATCAAAGGAAAGGGAGAATTTCAAAAAGGAAGACATCCTCAAGATCAATAGCTTGAAATGTAGCAAGGAGGTTTTTAAATTAAAGGGGTGAAATATGACCATTAGAATTGATCAGTGATGTTTTCATGTCACGATGTGGACTAAAACCAAATAGCAATATGTTGAGTGAACTGGAATGGGAATTGCAGTTAAAGGCAGCAATTACTCAAGAACTCTTTAGGACATTTTATTTTATATTATTTTATTTTTAAATAAGGGAAACAGAGATGGGGCAGTAGCCAACAGGCTCAAAGGAAGACATATTTATCTTGTAAGAAATAAATTTTTTCAACACCCCTTACCCCCACTTTTATTTGGTTAGAGTTGATAGATTCAGGACAAAGACAGAATTAATTGGTGAAGCAATATCCCAGAGGATGGAAGATAAAAGTTAAGTCCACATGAAAAAGTTGGCCTTGAACAGGAAAAGGAACACCTTATCCTCTGAGAATGAAGAGAATGAGGAAAGGACTGATGCAGATGTAGATAAATTTGTGGACATGGGTAGGGCAGGAGGCTGAAGTCGCTCAAGCCTAACTGCATGACTGTCGCAAGTCCTAGCCAATGCCTGCCAGGGGCACACGCAGTATGCAGCTTCCCCATTTCCAAGAACCGAAAGAATGTGGACTAAGATGATGACAGCTCCAGGAACCAGCCCAGACGGAGCCACTGGAGAGCTTCCCCATAAGGTAGCCATACATATTAATCACAGATCAAATAAGAGAAGAAATCCTAGATCCTTCTATCCAACTCAGATTTCTCACTTAAAGAAAATGAGGCCAGAGGTTAAGACAGGCTCAAGGGCAGTTGCTAGCATCTCTTAAGCTAGAAACCAGGTTTCTTGCCCCCAGAATGAAGTCTCCCTTTATTTTTTAAAATTGTATATAGCCAATTTTCTCCACCTTTTCCCCTGGCCAACTTTTCTTCATTCTTCTACTTTTAGCACTTCACTTTCTCTGAAAAGCCTTCCTTGCCTTCTCCCTTCCCTCCCCTCTCCCATTTAAATCATTTAAACAGGATCCCATTTAAGGATATTATATACCTCTTTGATCTTTCCTTTGTTGTTCCACAATTTAAATTCTATTTTTATTTAAGGATTATTTAATGTTCCTCTTTCCCAGTAGATATTACAGGGATTCTGTTCACTTCTGTATCCTGACCATCCCAGAGTATAATGCTTAGCTTGTAGTTAGTGCTCAATAAAATTACGTTTATATATGAAATTATATTCATTCTAGAATACATTTACATACTGTTAAAGCAAAATAAGCAGGGGGTCAAAAGACTGAGGCTGTCTCTGTGCTTTGAATTCCTGTATAACAAACTGTAAGCTAATTTAGTATATAAACAAATGAAAACTTAGGAGAATATTTTTTGTAACAAATAGCTGGGTTTCAGCCAATCAGATGCAGCCAACTGACCAGACCATACTCAACTATGGCAAATACCTAGCTGTAACCAATCAAGTTATTTCTGTATTTTACTTCCAAGTTTAGCCAATGTAAGCTCACTGCTCACTGTGGAGCAGAACTTGGAATCTCTTTTGGTTCTGAGTGCTACCCAATTCATGAATGGTTCTTTGCTCAAATAAACTGCGAAATTTAGTTAATGTTTTTCTTTTAGAAACATCAGGTACGTGGTGTGGGAGTATAGAATTCAATAATTTTATTTGCAAATTAAAGTTCTCTGTTTGTGAAAAATATGCTGTGGGCTTTCAGGAAGGCTGACATACTTTCTTCCTAGTATATGGGAGATGTTGAATACATATTTGTTGAGTGAATAATAATTTCTGAACTATCGAAGTTTTAATTTATGGAAGAAAACCACACATAGCCACTCAAAATAATTTAAAGATCTTTTCTACATCTCAAAAAAAACTTCTTAGGTAAGCAAAATAAGATTCTTCAAACAATGTAATTTAGAATAAATATTAGGGTTCACCAAAACTTTGAAAATAACTGGCTTACAATGAAAATACTAAGCATATAACTAAGGTAGCTCCGGTGATAATTTATAACTAGAGAACCCAATGTTTAATTCCTAAAGTTTCACACTTTTGAAGCTTCTGAGCCATCTTCTCTTAAACCCGACTTTCAGATATAAAATGAACTCACCAACTTTTGGTGCAGAAAATTCATGCATTTGCAAGTATTTAATAAGAAAAGCCATCACCAATGAAATGCCTCCACCCTTTTCACAGGGAAGGTAATTTGCAAACACATGCATGAAGATTAGTACCATACAGTAGGCAAATATTTTCCATGTCCCACCCAAAGCAAACAAATGAAAATAGAAACTTCAAGGACAATTATAAAATATCTTTAAATTTAAAGACACAGCACCCTTTTATCCTTTGGCTCCACCTGTACCTTTATCAGAAACACACATTTCTTAATCAGTTCCAACTGGGAATTTCTAGCAGGAAAACAGTCTCAGTTGATTGTGAGGTAATTGATTTTTTTCTTACATTTCTTTACTCTCAAAACTTTATGAATCAAAAAACAAATGGCTAGAAAGTACTAATCTGTTGGTTGTAGATATTAAGAAACATAAACAAGTTCCCCGGTAGTAGCTCTTAATTATATCTACAGATGCTATGTTCTAACTCTTTCATGGCAGTTTTAATTTGGGAGATGTTCAATACATATTTGTTGAGTGAATAATAATTTATCACTGAATCAGTGAATATCAAAATGTCCCAATGTTTATGCATACAAACTGTATCTCCCAAAGTGTCATAGTATTGGCATAAAAATGCTTTGCCTTATCCATTTGGAAGAGAATATGATCAGCGTTCTTGTGGCAAAGCAGATAATGGGTCTGTGTGCAGATATGGAAGGGTCAAGTTATGGAGAACATCAACCTTTGAGTTTCAGAGCAGACTGACTCAAATAGCTCATCCTGTTGTCCATCCAACATATTTTGCATTTCACTAGAAAATTCAGTAACTATATGTCATACCAAGAATAATATAAGTCCGATAGATTATTGCTTGGTCTGGGCATAGCTGAACGAAATGAGAAACATAAAATTTTCCAGGTACTTCTGAGGGTGCACATATACAGTCCAGGTCTGGGTTATATAGAGATAATACCAACTCTTTTAATAACCCTCCAGGGCACAACAATCTTGTCATCTTGGAATTTTCTATGTGTTGTCTTGTAATTTTCTGATTCTAAGATCCACTGGGGTGTGGTTCAGTCACATTCCTTCCTGTTCTACTTGCAATGAGGGTCTACTGGCTGCTCTTCCACGCTTTCTCTCCTTGACTACTACACAGTCTCTATGTGAAGTTGGTATTCAAGAAGCTTATTGAGAAATAAATTTCTGCATTTGCGAAAAGAACAATGTAAGCTTACTGAAAGGCAGACTTACAGCTGACTGAGGAGAAAATAATTAGTGCTTTAAATTTCTCCCTATATCATTTAGTCATTCATTGCTTAATAATGGGAATATGTTCCAAGAAAGGTGTCGCTAGGTGATTTTGTTTTTGTGCAAACATCAGAGTGTACTTATACAAACCTAGATGGTAGAGCCTACTACACAGCTAGGCTAGATGGTACAACCTGTTGCTCCTAGGCTACAAATCTGTACCGCATGTGACTATACTACTGAATACTGTAGGCAATTGTAAACATATCTAAACATAGTAAATGTACAGTAAAAATACGGTATTATAATCTTAAGGCACCAACATTGTATAAGAGGTATATGACCCAAACGTTGTTATGAGGTACATGACTGTATATCAAAATCCTAGTTTAATACAATTTAAAGGAATATCATAGTTATGAGGCTTAACGTTTTTTCCGAATTTTAAGATAAAAAATATAAATGCATTACATGGATACTTAAATATTTAAGGCATTGTGAACCCGCACAGAATTAACTATTGGAAAAGAAAACTGGTTTGAAAGACTTTAGAACTGAATCTTACACAAACATATGTGTGTGGGGGGGTATACAGAGTCTAAAACATCAAGCAGATGGTAACGTAAATAATGTCAATGTTTAGGATATGGAAAATGTTCAGTTGAAATAAATTAATAAAACACTGGAAACAAACACACCAAATTTGCAAAATGGGAGGCAGAGAGCAGAATAGTTTCCTAGAGATAGCAGCTCATTTAGACGATGAACACCAGATGCCAAGTGGAGCTCAGTAGAGACAAAAGTGTCATGATTAGCTTCAGGGGAGGAGAAGAAAAGGACGAGGCACCAGAGGTGAGATCCTAACACAGCCCTTTGCAGGCTGGGGCAACTCCCTAATTGCCCCTGGGGAGCTACAAGGCAAGGGACAAAGTAGCCATCATTTCTCATTTCGGTCAAAGGAGGAGGTTTATATCACTGAACAGTGATTCAAAAGCCTCCATCTGGCTGAACCCCACAACATGAGGGGTTGACAATGTGAAACACTGCTCCACGCCCATAGTCAAGCCAGGGTTGGCTGTGTCTCTGTGAGATATGAAACAGTCCCTGAGACACACTGTGTGAAAAGGACCTATGAGAATTGTAGGACCAGAAAGTGTTGAATATAGTTGTGGGAAATTACTGACATTATCAACAGATTAAAGTTGAACGGCCATGCCATTTCCTTCCGGAAGTTCGGGATATTGGTATTTTGTTGCAAGTGGGAAGGTACCTACTGACATGCCCTGAACCCAAAGTTCATTTCCCCAGCATAACCAATTAGGCAACTAACTTATTCCTACTGTATGTGTGAAAGACAGAGAGAGAACATGAGCGAGCTCCTGAGAGTGCTGTGTAAGTACAAACCACAAATGGGAGTCTTTCTTTTCCCCAAATTTTAGTGTTGCCTCAGATCTGAAATCTAACTGAAGCCTGTCAATTGTTGTACTGCATGTTTCACAATGCATGAACGTGATACTGGACACTGACTCTGAGTTCAAGCACAAATTTACTGGAGGAGAAAGACATATTTATTTATGAGGCCTTCCAAGTAAAGCCAAATTATTCACAGATACAGTGAGTGCTAGAGGAGACTTTGCTTGTAGGAGAAAGAATTCTAGACCACAAGCCAGTATATCCCTTGGTTCTAGTCTTGGTCTTGCTCTTAATTTAGGGTTATGTGACTTTGGCCACCCCATTAGTCCTTCTAGACCTCAGTTTCCTCATGTGTGAAATGAAGACGTAGAACTAAATGATCTCTAAAGCCCTTTTTGGCTCTAACAATCTAGAAGATATTCGGAAGAGGGAGCAATCATTTTAGGACAGAGGATCAGAAGATTCTATGATAGAAGAAGGGCAGTTTGCTCTTCTGCAAAGTCTGCTTTCCCTGACTACAAAAGTAAACATGAGAGTTGCAAAAACTCGAGTACAGAAATGTCAAATATAGTTTGTAAATGCCCCTATAATCTTCACTGTTATTTGTTTAAAATTTATTCTTCCAGCTATTTTCTGTTAAGAGCTAATTATAATCATTCCTATTTTATTAAAATGAAACACTAAGTGCATTTTTCTTCAACAAGTTTTTAAAAACTTAAGACTATATCCTGAATATTTCTGTCATGTCATTACACATACATCTCATTTTTAAATCAGTGCAGAGTACTGCACTGTATCTACATACTGTACTTCTTTTTCTGAGATGGAGTCTCACTGTGTCACCCAGGCTGGAGTGCAATGGCATGATCTTGGCTCACTGCAACCTCTGCCTCCCGGGTTGAAGCGATTCTCCTGCCTCGGCCTCCCAAGTAGCTGGGATTACAGGTGCCCACCACCATGCCCAGCTAATTTTTGTATTTTTAGTAGAGATGGGGTTTCACCATGTTGATCAGGCTTGTCTTGAACTTCTGAACTCAGGTGATCTGCCCACCTTGGCCTCCCAAAGTGCTGGGATTACAGGTATAAGCCAGCGTGCTTGGCCTACATATTGTATATGTTGATGATATATGGATTTTTTTCATCACAAACAATACTGCAAGAAAACTTGTATACCCAAGTCCTAATATTCAATCTTGACACCTCTTCCCTCACTTCCCATTTCCTATCCCATTACCAGGTACTGGTGATCTTATTGACTATCCTAGGAACCCATCCACTTCTCACTCTATAATTGCCTCTACTTTATTCAAGAGGAGAATCAACATCTTCTTCTGCAATAGTCCCTTAATTGATCTCTTCTCTCCCAGTCTTGCCTTCTTCCTACACAGCAGCCAGGGATGCAAATCTTATTACTCCTCAGTTTAAAACCTTCAATAGCTTCTCACTGTTCTTAAAATAAAGACCACCAACTATAAGGTTGTATTGTCTGCAATTTGCTAATTTATGGTATGTCAGCGTAGACAGTTTGGAATTTATGAGTGTGCTTTTAATCTGTGCTTTAGGATGTAGATTAAATGAGTTGCCCCAACAGGAATATATATTCAGAAATGAAATATATTTCAGATATTATATTTCATTAATATTTCAGATATATTTCAAAATATAAATATAATATTTCAGAAACGAAATATAATCAGAAGGCAGAGATGGCTTGTACAGGTATGCTAGCCTCATTATTTCCACTCAACACAAAGGACTTTATGAGTTTGCAAAATGGATGTTAGAAGTTATTTTTCCTTGGTGAAATCAGTTTTGTATGAGTGTGGACTGGCTAGAAATAGTGTAGTGAGAGGCACTCCCACTCTTGCATCAACAATGTGATTACAGCAATCCAGTATCTTTTACCCTTCCCAATGTTCCTAGTGCTTGTTTCTGAGAAATGGCTCATTCAGTGGCCGGTTCAAAGCATTCTTGCTGCTTAAATTAAGCTCTTAGGTGACCTCAACTCTTCTTCTAGAAGAGTGTCACATTTGTCTTTCATGAACTTTCCATGAAGATACAGTTGGAGAAACCAAAAGAATAGAAGGAGGGGCCTCACCAAGCTTACAGGACAGGATGTATGATTGTTTTTATTCCTGCTTACTAATCAAACTTGGATTGTGAGGGTGAATCGAACCCGAGACCAAGTGTTGAGGCTGTGAGGATGGTTTCTTTATCCTCACCCACCTCCAAATTCTGGAGTTTTTAACATCCACTGAGAGGGACCTGGTAGATATGAAGGACCAGGTTAGCTGAGGTTGGTTTTTAGCATGTGGTCTGCAAGGCCTGCAGGATGAAGCTACTGTCTACTTCTCTTGGTACTCCTCGTGCTCAAGACATTTCTCAGAACACCATCCCCCCAAGCCATATCAGCATGCCCTTCGCCCTCCCCTCTCTGGGGCTCCCTTTGCCGGGTAAGAGTCCACTCATCCTGTGGATCCCAGCTGGACATCCCTTCCTCAGGGAAGCCATCCACACCAGTATGGTTATTGCATCAATACCTGTCTCCCACCAAGATTGTGTCCAGGTCCATTTTGTTCACCTTTGTATCCTCACCACCTGGCACGGTGCTTGACCTCCGCAGATGCTTGTTCAATAAAAGGGTATTTAGGTTTTATTCTACACATTGATAGAAAAAAAAAAAGCTTTTTGTGGCACTAGGTTCACTAATTGGAATGGGCCCTCCAGTATAAGAACATTTTACAGTAATATTTTTTCAAAACTCCAATTCACAAAATGAAGAATGGAGAATATACTAAATATGAAAAGTGAGGCCACGGCCCTCTCTTTTAAATGTTATAAATGCCACCTTTGTTATTTTGAAAACTCTTCATGGAACTGAGAATCAAGAAAAGGTCACGTTCTTGAGCTTTAATTTCTCCATATTTTACAGTTTTCTTTAGTCTCCCTACTTATACTGTGATCATTTCAGCATGTAAATAAGTTCTGCTTTCTCTGTGAACTCCACTGTTGCTTCCTTTCCTCAAATTCAGTCCTTGGCATCCTCTCTGCCTCACACTAATACAAACATGGAATTGATTATAGGTTTTACCCTAACAAGTTCTTTACATGCTTGGGGTATATTTAGAAACATTTGAAACTATCCCTGGACAGATATTTAAGTAGACAATTTCATAATGAGGAAATTTACATCTCTAGTTAGAAATTCAGGGGAAATCCCAAGAGTTTAAGCTTGAAAGCTTCCTGCTATTTCGTGTGGCTTTTATATAAGGTCAAGACGAGGGGAGCCAGGAGAAGGTGTGTGTAGTTTGAGCCCCTCCCTCATTCTTTCTTTCCATCCTGTACCTCCCATTCTGCTCTAGTCCAGATGTATTTTACATTTGAGAAAATGGGAGGCCATAGAGGCTGAGACTCAGATTATTTAAACATTTACTAAGGGCGGGCTGTGCTAGGTAGACACACATTAGAGGAAGTAGTTAGCGTCCCAGTTTTACAGATGAGAAAACTGAAATCCAGGAGTAGTTAGCGTCCCAGTTTTACAGATGAGGAAACTGAAATCCAGGAATTTTAAGTATTTCTGAGGTCCCACAACAAATGGCAGAGCCAAAATTCAAACCCGATGAGAGTCCAGCCCTCATTACCGTCTCTTCTGGGGCAGCCAGGCCTGACTCCAAGTGGGCCATAGCTTCTCCTCTTTTGAGACTTACACAAGAAGTACAGTGGAACAAATGGCTTAGTGATGGAAGAAAATACAACCCCCACACCCAGTTTCTTTCCAAAGGGCTCACTTAAACTGAATAGAGGGTAAGCACCTGCAGAGGTGAGTACTGATTTAATGCAAACAAATGTGCATATGATGCTGTCATCTGTGTTTGGGAGGATGAATCTCATAATTTCTGACTTATGGGCGCGGGTGTACTTGTGCCTCGCCTAGTCATACCTGCCATTAGGGGACCTGCGATGTGCTCCAGCCGTGGATTCTTGAGTTTGTATTTGTTAGCTTGTTTTGCTTGTTTGTCTAGTTAACTCTTAAAGGGCAATTGCCTGTCAAGGGTTGCAGTTTCAGTAATTTTATTCTCTAAAGCTATTTTAGTTTTTTTTTTTTTTGGTTATATAAAAGTAACACTCCTTTTGCCCCATTAAATCTTTGAATCTAGGCAGATTCAAAGGCAGAGGGTATTAAGAAAACAACTCTCTAGCTCCCTCACCAGTGAGCTGTGACTTCTCTATCTGCCTTTGTTTTCAGGCTCACCTCCCCAGCGCCACAATTTAGCCCTGTGCTGCAGCACCAGGAAATACTTGTGTTTTATCTTCCAACAGAGAATGCATGGCATCAACAGTAGTGCCTGAACTCATTTTACAGCAGGGGGATCAGGCTTGGTGGGGCCTCTGCCTGGGCTGCAGTGGATCTCTTCCATTTTTACTATGTCCACCCCTAGAACACTTGGCTTCCTTTGCCAAAACCAAATCCTGGTGAGCATCATAAAACTTGTCTTGTCAAGTTTAAAAGAGAATGCAGATAAATTGTAACTGCAATCTTGACGGTCTAGCCAATTAACTCTGTTTTATTATTCTCTTTGGAAATGACTATAGCATTAAATGCGTTTGTCACATGCCAGGTAGCCAGCAAACCAGGATTCAAACCCAGGTAATGGCGGCTTTAAAATGTGAACTCTTTCAACTTCCCTACACTGCTCACCAGTGGCTGGGAGACGCTGCCACAGGGAAAGGAACAGCTCTGAAGTGGTTGAGTGAAAAAGCACAGGACAGGAAGGTTATAGACATGGGTCCCAGCCCTACAACAACCTCCAACTTATGGGAGATCCTTTAAGAGGTCCCATTCTCTCTTTAGGCCTCAGTTTTCTTATCCATAAAATGAGGGGTTTGGACCACTGAAGACCCCTTCCAGGTCATGATTCTGTCATCTACGGACTTTTTTTTTTTTTTTTTTTTTTGATACTGAGTCTCGCTCTGTCACCTAGGCTGGAGTGCAGTCCAGGTTCATGCCATACCCCTGCCTCAGCCTCCCGAGTAGCTGGGACTACAGGCACCTGCCACCAAGCCCGGCTAATTTTTTGTATTTTTTTAGTAGAGATGGGGTTTCACTGTGTTAGCCAGGATGGCCTCGATCTCCTGACCTCATCTATGGACATTTTTAAAGCCTCAGCTTAGTTGCTTAAGAAATAGGCTTAGAAATTGAATTGAAAAAAAATAAAAATCTTTTCATCATTCAAAGAAACAAAGGAATGGACGGCAAAATTGCTCACATCATTTGAAATTTGAAGTGTGGTTTGTTGCCATTGGGATCAACATATGGATTCAATAAAATAAGAAAATCAGGCAGGGGAGGAAATCAGTTTTTAATGAGGCATTTTCAATTTTCCATGAAATAATTACTTCAAACCACCAATATAAACTTTGAAGCATCGTTCTGAATTTGGCACAGTGTATATGAAAAAAGTCAAACCAAAGTAAACCAAAGACTGATCAGTTTGATAATCTCCTCCAAAGACCAAATAGAAAACCTGCAAAGTGCTTTAGTTGGACAGATAGAGAATTGTGCTTGGAGCCAGCAGGCCTGGGTTCAAGTTTTGGCTGAATCACATCTCCAAGTCTGTGTCCTTAACTATGAAATGATCATCATAATCCTACCTACATAGATATCACAGGGTTGTTGGGAAGGCCTAATAAACAGAACTACATAAAGAACTATTTCATTACAAATAATTGCCTGCCAAAAAAATTTCCCCACTATTTACATGGACATACAGATTTGGAATTTAAATGTTTGAATTACCTCTTAGCAAAAGCTGAAAAACTGCTATAATGAAAAGGAATGGGGGAAGCTGCCTTTAAACAAACAACAAAACCACAATCACCAAAAAGTATCCTTCTTTTACAGTAGCAAAGAATTGCAAAGATAACATCCCAGCCTGAAGGTTGGGAAGCACAGTTCAGAACTTGACAGTCCAGAATCATGTTCACATTCTCTCTTTATTCCCTTAGAAGATCTGGCATCGAGTCCCATGGAAGGTGCTTTGAAATGCCTCCCAGATTGCATCCTTCTCCTCTATTTCCTCCATCTTTTCCTTGGTCTGAGTTCTCTTCACAGGACAGCTAAAGGACAGCAAAGCCTAAGCAACAACCAGGGTCACTGCTGCCAGGCCAGCCTCAGTACTGCCCGATTAACCTTTCTAACAAGCAGACTTCATCAGGCTCCACAGCGATTCCATCAGTCTCACATAACTTCCTTTTACTGCCAAAAACGCACCCCTACTCTAGTCCAGCAATCCCTCCACTTGCTTTCATACCTGTGGCATTGATTCCAGCCCAGCGTCCAAGCTTTCACTGTTCTCCCTGCCTAGAAAGCTCCTCCACCCTCATGTAAAGGACCTCTTCAAGAAGAACTAGAAACCACTGCTTAAGGAAATAAGAGAGGACACAAACAAACAGAAAAACATTCCATCCTCATGGATAGGAAGGATCAATATCTTGAAAATAGCCATATTGCCCAAAGTAATTTATAGATTCAATGCTATTCCCATCAAACCACCATTGACATTATTCACAAAATTAGAAAAAAAGCTAATTTAAAATTAATATGGAACCAAAAAAGAGTCCATACAGCCAAGACAATCCTCAGCAGAAAGAACAAAGGTGGAGGCATCACGCTACCTGACTTCAAATTATATTACAAGGCTACAGTAACCAACACAGCATGGTACTGGTACCAACACAGATATAGAGACCTCAGAAATAAGACCACACATCTACAACCATCTGATCTTCAATAAACCTGACAAAAACAAGCAATGGGGAAAGAATTCCCTATTTAATATGTGGTGCTGGGAAAACTGGCTAGCCATATGCAGAAAACTGAAACTGCACCCCTTCCTTAAACCACATAGAAAAATTAACTCAAGATGGATTAAAGACTTAAATGTAAAACCCAAAACCATAAAAACCCCAGAAGAGAATCTAGGCAATACCACTCAGGACATAGGCATGGGCAAAGATTTTATGATGAAATCGTCAAAAATAATTGCAACAAAAACCAAAATTGACAAATGGGATCTAATTAAACTAAAGAGCTTCTGCACAGCAAAAGAAACTATCATCAGAGTGAACAGGCAACCTATAGAATGGAGGAAAATTTTTGCAATCTACCCACCTGACAAAGGTCTAATTTCCAGAATTTATAAGGAACTTAAACAAATTTACAAGAAAAAGACCAAACAACTCCATCAAAAAGTGGGTAAAGGACATGAACAGACACTTCTCAAAAGAGGAGATTTATGTGACCAACAAACATATAAAAAAAGCTCATCACTGATCATTAGACAAATGCAAATCAAAACCACAATGAGATTCCACAGCATACCAGTCAGAATGGTGATTATTAAAAAGTCAAGAAACAGTAGATGCTGGCAAGGCTGTGGAGAAATAGGAACACTTTAACACTGGTGGTGGGAATGTAAATTAGTTCCACCATTGTGGAAGACAGTGTGGCAATTCCTCAAGGATCTAGAACCAGAAATACCATTCAACCCAGCAATCTCATTATTGGGTATATACCCAAAGGAATATAAATAATTCTATTATAAAGATACATGCACATGTATATTTATTGCGGCACTATTCACAATAGCAAAGACGTGGAATCAACCCAAATGTCCATCAGTGACAGACTGGATAAAGCAAATGTGGCACATATACACCACAGAATACTATACAGCCATAAAAAAGAAGCATGATCATGTCTTCTGTAGGGACATGGATAATGCTGGAAACCATCATCCTCAGCAAACTAACACAGGAGCAGAAAACCAAACACCACATGTTCTCACTCATAAGTGGGAGTTGAACAATGAGAACACATGAACACAGGGAGGGGAACAACACACACCGGGGCTGTAGGGAGGGCAGGGGGAGGAGAGTATCAGGATAAATAGCTAATGCATGCAGGGCTTAATATCTAGGTGATGGGTTGACAGGTGCAGCAAACCACCATGGCACATGTTTACCTATGTAACAAACCTGCACGTTCTGCACATGTATCCTGGAACTTAAAATAAAATAAAATTAAAAAAAAAAACCAAGCTAAAAAAAAAAAAAAAAGAAAGAAAGCTCTTCCACCCTCCTTCACCTATCTTAATACAAGTCATTTCTCCAAGCTCCCTTTAGTGCAGGGCTCTGCATTTACTGTGGTTATGCAATCATCTGGGAGATCCTGTTAAAATGCAGGTTCTGATTCAGTAGACTGGAGGTGAAGTCAGGACTCTGCATTTCCAACAAGCTCCCAGATGGTTATGATGCTGCTGGTCCATGGACCTCACTTCGAGGACCAAAGCTTACTGGCTTATTGGAAAAAAATGGAAAAGGAATAGTTTTTTGAGATACATGGACATGGGTTTAAATGTCATCTTGATTAGGTTTTAGCTGTGTGACTAAGGGCAAATAACTTCCCTTGTATAATGGGAATATTACTTAATTTATATAAATGACGTGAGGATCTTTTGAGATATTAACAGATACTATTCTAAATAGGGCTTTCTCTTGGCTCCCCTGAACTCATCACTTCATCCTCTATTAAGCTTCTCTGATTATCCAGTCTTACTTCTCTTTACTTGGAATTTTATTGCTTAAATAACATGTGTGCACACTGCAACCATATATAAATGAGACCATATGTTCTTTGAGGGCATAATCATGTTTGATATTTCTCTTAGCATATAAATCATGAAAAAGTTTTACTAAAGTTTGATTTTTTTTTCACGCAAAACTCTGAGCCGTATAATACTTAGTAATACCACCACCCTTCACTGCAGCATTATGTAGGGAGGCAGAGCTCCGTCGTGGTACTGAGCACAGGCTTTGGAGTCAGACACACCCAAGTCCCAGTGTTGGATTCATCACTCACCATCTGTCCTGCCTAATCCAGACTAACATGTCTGGTTCTCAGTTTCTTCACCTGTAAAATAGGAATTTTGCCTTAACCTTCAGTGCTATTGTGAGAATTAAGTTAGACAAGTTACATAAGGTACGAGGTGTATATTATAAATTGTGAAAAAGGCCATGATTCTCCATCCCTCCCTGAATCCATGCCATTTTCTAATGTAACGTTGCAGTTCCTCCCATTAAAAAGTGGGGTCTATTTCTCCACCCCTTGAATCTGAGCTGGCTTCTCGAGTTGCTTTTGAAATAGACTGGAGTAGAAGTGAGTTGTGTCAGCTTGAATTTAGGCCTCAAGGGGCGTTGCTTCCATTCTCTCTTGCAACCAAGTTGAGCCAACATGTGATGAACCCAGGCTAGGCTGCTAAATCATGAAAGACGTGAGGCTCAGCTGCTCCCCACGTGACATGGCCGATGGTCCGCCAATACTCAGAGGCAGAGCTGCCTTGGTGTCCACAGATGCATGGAGGAAACTGGAAAAGAACGTAATTTGCCCACCCAAGCCCACCCAAACTGCTTATCTACAGAAGCACAAGCTCAATAAATGGTGGTTATTTTAAGCCATTACGTGTGGGGTGATTTGTTACACAGCAATAGATAACTGATACTGAATATATAAGTAATTTCTCAATAAACAGTGGCTATGTTTTGGACAATATTATACTTAATATAGAATGAGTTTTTCATAGTACTAACATTTGTGCTTTTTAGTCAGAAGTAGGAACATGACTAAACCAGGAATTGGGACTCTGAGATTCCAGTCCCAGCAGTTTTTCCAATGGGCAGCTGTATGACTTTGGACAAATCAATTAACCTCTTTGAGACTCAGTTTCCTCACCTGTAAATTAAGGTGGTTAGACCAAGTAACTTTTAAGGTTCTTTTCCAGCTCTAAAAAGGATCAAGGGTCCTTTTTACCAAAAGGCAGTACTTCTTCCTTTCTAACAGATAGTTTTGAACACAATTTAATGTTTTTCTTGTAGACTTAGGGTTTAATCACAGACCACCTTCACTGTATTGTCTTTGCTGCCTAGCATTTGGCTGTAACCACATTTCATACTTATCACAAGAGCTGTACATTGAAACTATAAAGTAGATCTTGCTGTGGACCAGGAACCCAGGTAGCCAAGCTCATTAGGAATCAGAAATGAAATAATGCCAAATAAGTTCTAGTGGGAATCTTAAGTATGTGACTCTTAACAACAATTTGAAGGTGCAGGTGGACTTCTTTTATGCATTTCTAGGTTACAATACATATTCTGGAGGACTAAGGTTGTTGACAATCTGACCAAATAAAAGCAGTACTATTTCACAGCTATACAGAATCAAATCTTTGTATTTATTGCACGTTAATAACCAAGATATATGATACTCAGTTATCAAATGAGGGAAAACAACACCAAAATCAAATTTCAAAACTCCTGTGTGTAGACATCTACTCCACAACTAGTGATCAAGTGAATAAATTTAAAATACATCCAAATACACATTGTATTAAAAAGCTATGCATGCGGCAATGAGTCAATAACCAAGGTGACTTTTGTTTGTTCACAGGCATTATGTATAGCCTCTCACACGTCACTAATACTCTTACAAATATAATACAGTCCTCTCTGTGACATACAGCAGGCCATGTTGTGGTCAACTGAAAACAATAAAAAAGAAAGGCTGTTCTACTGTCCATTTCCACTAGTGTTAAACAATCAAATGTCAGGGTGTTTTTACTCCCAGAAGGAGTTAAGCTAAATCAGAGAATGTGTATATAATATGAGGGCAACAGTTTACTTCAGCTTTGCCTTCAGATGTAGATATTTAAGTCTGTAGAAAGAAGCACTAGGTTGTTGAAAATGTGAAATATAATTGGCTATTTATCAGAAACCTTTTTCTGTGATTAAAAACCATGAGGAGCTCTAGAGGAACTAGAATCCACATGAACATTGCAATGAAATGTGGCTTACATTTATCTACCTAGAGAAAATGTATTTTGAAATGACATGTAAATTGACGTCAGAGATTCAAGTCAATTAATGGGTTCTTACAGTTAAAATCTTAAATACCAGTGCTTCTTTAACTATCTTTCGAATCAGTTCACTTCTCTCTCTCCTCTAATTTAAATTTTTGCCGCAGCTGCCTTTGGTCTTGGTTGTATCTTTCCTGTTTCATTCTCATTGCAGCCTGCATGAACTCTCTAAAATAGAGATCTGCTGTGCTTAAGATCCTTCAATGGTTTCTCCCAAGATATTGGGATCTCTGAAGACAAGGACTGTGTCCCCAGAAACTCATCGACTCTCTGGTGTCTCTGGGTCTACGCACATGATGTCTCCAAGGCCAGGTCAGGGTTTTATTAAATTTTGTAGAACCACTTGTACACTGAACAGAACAGAGTTCAGCACTTCTGATAAAGTTTGAGTGAGATACAATATTCCTTTTGTCATTTGTTAATATTCATTGCAGCTCTGGAACATCTTTTCTACAATGCCTGACAACACTGAGTCAGAGTTTTAATTTTCTGTTTCAGGACACGTATTCATTGGCTTGGTGTTTTACGTATGTTTTAGGAAAGGATTATTTGATAATCTACAGTCCTGAAGATTTTAACTAACCTCTGTGGGACTATGATATTCTCGGGTGAAAAGGGTACAAGTAGATGAGCGATTTCATTTTCAGTTTATTCTCTTAAATAGCAGTCAGAGTAAGAAAGGCTACAACTGGAGACACAGGATGGCTCAATGGTTAAGAGCAGGCACTCGAGAAAGACTACATCTGACCTGCACATAGGTGAAGACTCCAAGTCGGCTTCCCCTAGGATGACCCCTTTAACTCAACTCTTTTCTACACACCTACAAAGTCTCTCTGTAAGCATGTAATCTAATGACCAAAAAGAATGACCAAAAAGAAAATCTGCCTAATGACCAAGAAAGAAAAGCAGGACATAGGTACTAGTTACTATTTAACCAAGACTGTAAAAGATCCCAAGATTCAGGGTTACCAGAAAAATTGTGTAACTAGGGGAATGTGAAACACAGTCTAGGGAGAGGAAACCTAGCTACTGGAAGGCTGGTATTCAATTATTTGGAAACTGGCGTCTATTCCAAGAAGCACCGTGAATGGGCTTCCGGGCACCAAGAGCGGGCTGTTCTAGGAGGAAAGGGGCCGGCCCTACCTGTGCTCTGCCCTTGGGCTGCAAATGGATTCTGGCCGGAGCTTAGCCAGGTTGTATTTCCGGCTCAGAGAGGGTCTGGGTGGGACGTCAAGGGAATCATTCCATGTTTAGGATAATGGAACGTGTTGAGTTGGTATGCAAGGTTTTGTCTTCAATCCCAGATATCCAAAAAGCTCTTTGAAACACAGGAAAGATTGGCCCTATTTCTCTTTAGGTATCATTATTTATCTAAATCTCCGGAGCCATTGAGGACCAAGATCATACTTGCTGAATAAATGCACGGAGCAGGATCAGAGGATAGACACAGAATGGGCCAAGAAGAGAAGTAAGCCACACCTTCCCTTCCTGTCTCAGCATCTGTTCCATTTCTGCTCAGTGACCCAGGCAGCTTGCTGTTAGCTGACTCTTCACACTTTAGGGAAATACAAATAACTCCAGAACTTAACTTTACCTTTGAGCTTCAAATTGTTTCAATTATGTACCTTGTTTCAATTATCTGCCTCCTGACAGTGTTTCACAGCTGGGACCAGTAAGGTGGTCTATGATCTTTAACATCTGTCTTATCCTTCCTAAAATAGTATCAACTGAAGGATTAAATGGGGAAGGGGGAGGGGTAGGCAACAAATATAGACTCTATTATGTTTAAAAGCAGTAACCGCTTTCCATTTCTTTCTCATTCAACTCTCAAATGCTTCTCTTCTTTTCTCCAGATATTATTCCTCATAAGAGCTTGCTTGATTGCAACCACCAAGGACATCCACAAACCAGGGCAAGAAGGACCATCCGTAATTCTTTCCCATAAATAGTGACAGGAAGAAAATAAACGCCCTATTCTTCAATGATTTGAACCACCTCTGGAGCACAAACTTTCTCTAAATTCACAGGGCAAATATCCATCATGGGGCAGGTATCTATGCTGCCATGGAAAGTAACATAAAATGTACTAAGTCATCACAGGGAGTTTTAATTTTGTTTTTAAGGTCAATTGCCATGCTGGGGTAAAAAGCATTGATCCTTGCCTTTTATCACCGGAAAAATTCTTCACCAGTACTTTGTGAAAATCTCGCCTCATCAGGGCTGCCAAGGTCAATGCAACCTAAGTAACCAAGCTGGGAGATGCTTGCCTAATTATTAAATATTTAGCAAACAGTTTGTGACTATTTAACTGTTTGCACCTGGCACCCTCTTTTCACTACGTGAGGCCTCCTGGCACCCTGACCTCTTCCCCCACCCCTACCCACTGCCCAGGCCGCCAGCACCCCTGGGGGGCAAATACCGGGACCCAAGGGCATTTCAAAGAAACAGCAGAGGTCACATTCCATTTCCTTTTTATTAAAAAACATACTTAAAATGGGGGAGGAGGGCACAGATCTAAGGTAAAATCTCTTGCAGTTTTTTCAAGTTCGCATGCACCGTTGAAAGTTCATTAGTTAGGGATTTAAAAGCAAAAATGTTTCACACAACCAATTAAACGCCAAGCTTTACAAACGCCTTGGTCTTTGGTTTTGGGAATCTGTAAAAGTCCGCCTCCCCCCACCCGAGTTTTGCCCCTTTTAGAGCCCCTTTGTTGAATTACGTGACTTTTCCCGAAGTCATCAAACTTTGAATTGCGTCTCTAATTTTTTTTTTCAGGGCAAAAGCAAATCAAGAAATTAAACTTAAAAGTAGGCGACTCGGAGAGAAGTGGGGGAAAGCTCGCCCCAAAGCCAAGTTCCGCAGGACTAAAGCCCTCTTTGCGCGCGCGGGGCGGGGGATTGTCCCTACCTGGGGCCAGACGGCGGCGGCGGCGGCGGCGGCGGGGTCCCGGCGCCCATGGCTTCGCCGGCCTCGGGCAGCCGCGCCGGGAGACGCTAGCGGCTCCGCGCTGCCCTGAGCCCGCCGAGCTCGCAGCGGCCGCCCCAGCGCTGTCATTGGGCCCGCGCGTCACGTGGCCCGGGCTGCGGGTGAGCCTTCCCGACACGCGTAACCCTTTACCTGCACGCCCCGAGGATGCGGCGGGGCTAGGGCTCGAAACCCTGGAGTACGATGTCCGACATCCCCGGGGCCGGGGTGGCAGTCCCGGGCGCACTGAAGCAGAAAATCCACGCGCTTGTTGGCCTCTGAGCACAAACGACCGCGCCAACCGCCTGCCATCACGGGAAACTCCGGGGTGCTTACTCCAATGTTGCGCTGGAGAGAAGGGAGCTTCCTATGATCAAGGGACTGGAGTACGGGGATACACAAAACAAATGCACCCGCTGGCAAATAGTTGTGTACTCCCAAACCCCGAGAACTTGGCATTTTTCAGTTTCCTCCTTATTTCTGGCATTCGCCGCCTAGACCTGCTGTGAGTTCCATGGCCAGCCCTGTATGAGCTACATGGACCTAGAAACAGCGGGGGCGCCACCACCACGATAAAAACCAGGGAAGTTGCACACACTCGCCTGCACCCTAAAGGCCCCAGGGGGAGTTCAATGAACTCCTGGTTCCCCGTCCCCTCCTCACCCACTCCCCCTCCATCCCTTTCTTTTCCTGAGGTCTTAGGGCATTGGCCACAAGACTGCATCCAATCTACTGAGTTCCACATTCGTAGCTGTTACAATCCATATACCTAAGGCGGGTGGAGAACTGACTCTGCTTAAGGACTGGACATTCTTTTCACCTGTGCTCCAAAGCAAATGCTGAGCTTGCCAAAAAAAGTGTTAAGCAACTGCGCCACCTAGCTTACCCTCTTCTCTCTTCTTTTCAACTCATCCAGCAAGAGAATAAAATAGGATATTGGAGAGGCATCTGGACAGAGTATTATCTAAGGATGGACATAGTGTCCTTGGGTTTTCAATGTATCTACTTTAATGATGCCAGCCCCATTCACATGATATTTGCCAGGCTTTTGAGAATTTGAACACTCCATTTTTTGAATCCTTCTAATTTTGCAGTGCTGGGATTGCACGCTGTAAAGTGTTAGATTTTTGCAGGAAGTTATATGTGGTTTTACATCCTTTGTCACAATGAACGGCACTCATGTCCAACTTATAGTCGACACTTAATTGTCTACAGGATATTGATACATTTATCAAGTAGGTTATCTGTCGAAAAAGGGGTTGGTATTTGTATTGGGTTTCATTTTATTTATTTATTTATTATTATTTGAGACAGGGTCTGGCTGTTGCACACAGGCTGGAGTGTGATGCGATCTCAGCTTACTGCAACCTCCTCCTCTGGGGATCAAGGGATCCTCCCACCTCAGCCTCTGGAGTGCCTGGGGCTACAGGCTCATGCTACCATGCTCGGCTAATTTTTGTATTATTATTATTATTATTACTATTATTATTATTATTTTTGTGGAGACTAGGGTGGGGGTGGGCTCTCCTAAACTTGCCCAGGCTGGTCTTGAACTCCTGAGGTTAAGCAATCCGCTCGCCTCGGCCTCCCAAAGTGCTGGGATTGCAAGCTGAGCCACCGCGCGCCCCAGCCTGCCTTAGATTTTAAAGTGCAGTTCCTAGACTAATAGCATCGGCATAATCTGAGAGAATGTAGTAAAAATGCAAATTCTTGGGACCCACCCCAGACGTATTGATTCAGAAATAGTTGGGGAGGGAGGGTGAAGAAATCTGTGTTTTAGCAAGTGGTACCTACTCCAGTTTGCGAACCGTTGCTCTGAATATGCACAGGTAGCTGGCGAAGTTCCCCTCATCTATTAAATAGTAAGGGCTGGCATTCTATAAAGCTAGAGGTGCTGCTTTTATTTGTATCCCTAGATTACCAGTTTTATGTAATCTGTCATGTTGATACACTGAAACTGAACCCTCCATGTGTCCATACAACGTGTAATCTGTACTTCTTGCAGATCTCTTGGAATGCCAAATTGAGATCTGAGGGGCCCTTGTAAAACATATGGAAGAAAAACCTATGGTTTCTTGATGCACACCAGGGTGAAAACACCATGATTCACTTCATTTTTTAGGTGTGCCCATGTTTTCACTGACATGTAAATTGTTCCCAGCCAATGAGTCATGAAAGATAGGAAAGCTAATTTTTTTGAGTGGATTTATCAACATGGTTCCAAATTTGTGAAAGAGTTCTAAAAAACAAACAACATTAAAAACATTATGGTATCCGTTTATGTTATAGCCCAAAAAACTCCCCACACCATATTAGGCATTGCAGTAAGGGCTCCTTGCAATCCATTGCAATCTCCTTACTGAGAAAGAAAGAACTGAGTGGGTTTTTATTTGAGTTTTCTCCATGGGATAGATAGACTATTTCTAATGGGCTAGATGGATGTCTTACTTTTAAACTCTCTAGGTCCAAGTTTGTTTTGTGATTTTCCCCCACTTTCATCCCCTGTTCACTTTACATTTGTAATTCTATCTACTCAATTCCAATTGGAACTGGAATTATTTGAGTTTTCCCTCCCCTTCATCAAACACCTCTATCCATTAAGCCCTGAAATAAATCTTGAATTGCCCCTACTCTAAGCAGGTTCTAAGATCAGGTTCTAACACTTTCTAACTGAGATCATGGCCATGGTCTTTACTGGTCTCCCAGCTTCTGATCTTTTCCATCTGAAAGCCATCTGACAAAGTAACTGCCCTTCCCCAAAACTTTTTTTCCCAGCTCCCTGTTGAAACCAGCGCAATTTTCCAACAAGCCAAATGCCCATAGCACTGAAGCTTGAGAAACTTACACCTGCTGCCTGTTGACCAATTCCTCTTCCTTAACCCTCCCTAATTCCTGTTTTCCTATAGGAGGTTACAGTGAGATGCTAGACACCTGCTGCCTATTGAGCAACTCCTCTTCCTTGCCCTGCCTGTTTTCTCCCCCCATATAAACCCCAACTTTAGCCAGGGGAGATTCAGATTTGAGTCTTGTCTCCTGTCTCTGGCTGATATCACCCATAATAAAGCCTTCTTCCCTGACAATACTCATTGCCTTAGTGATTGGCTTTCTGTGTAGTGAGCAACAGGACCTAGGCTGGGCCCCTGGCTTTCAGTGACACTATTGACTACTGAATAAAGTCTAAAATCCCAACAGCATTTGAAGTCGCCTGAAATATGCTTCAATGCCCATTTTTGCTCATGCAGCTTCCTTTACCTGAAATGTCTCTCTGACATTGACAGCTAAGTCCTAATTATTCTTCTAGCCTCAGCTCTATCTCCTCTGGGTCAACCTTTTCGATATTCAGGTAGTGTTAATTGCTCCTCTGTAGTGTATCCTCAGCACCTGGCTCTCACTCTTACTAACTTTGAAATCAGTCTCATCTGGTTTAGCTGTGTCTCTTCTAGACTGTAGGGTTCTGGATGGCAGGAGTCATGCGTGACTTTTCAAATCATTCCAGGATCTAGCATAATGCCTTGGGCATAGCAAGCATACAGTGTTGACTGTTGTGTTCTTGGCTCTAGGAAAGAAGATATTTAAACAAACTCTATTTATTTGAAATGCTTTTTTGCAAATATTTATTAACTTCTCTACATTTTCTTTGAGAACTAAAAGGAGAGGGGTTTAGCCTTTTCAACCTAAAGATATTACCCTTTGTAAGTAATGGAATTGTTTTCAGTGGTGGTAAATTTTGAACACGTTAGTCTCAGCCATGTGATGCAGGCAATAAACCAGAATAATTTATTTTCGTAACACATTAAAGTTTCTCTGAGAACAATTATTTCATGACAACTAGATACTAGCTTTCAGATTATTTCCTATGTATCATCACTTAAGCTCACCAATACTCCTCTGTTTCTGTTTTTTAAAAATATTTTTTGGTGCGTGTGTGGATTCTCAGATCCAAGAGGCAAGAGATGGAAGAAAGGGCATGTGGGAAGGCTCCCCTTGGTCCTGCTCGTTCGCGCAAAGGGAATTTATGAGAGAGACAACTCCTCAGTCATCACCCTTCTTCTCCTTCCTCCCCATCCTTCTATTAATGAATTCATCAACTATTTCTGTATACCTGAAAAACGTGAGAGTTTGCAGCAAATTTCAGTGATCTTCAGAGCTAGCCCAGTCTCCCACCTGCAAGTTAGAAAACACCTTGCAGGTCATTATTGATCTCTAAGTGCCTACTAGATACTAAATGCTCTGTTTTGATGTACTTTGAGAAAGTTAAGGAAAAAGACACTGAGAGTGCACTGAAATCTTGTTCAGCTATTCTCCCTGGACCCGTTTCTAGGTTTCTTTACCTATACATTTGGAATGCTAACAGTACCTACTTCACAGGGCTGTTGTGAAGTTTAAATGGCTTAGTACATGCAAAGCTCCAAGTACAGTGCCTGGTGCAACATAAGCAGTAAGCATGAACAGTTATTATTATTACTGAAGGTCTCTAATCACATCTGCCAAAAATGGGGGAGAAAAACAGCACGCCAATCTAAGTAGTTTATCTTTTATTCATACAAATAATACATACACAAGACTGTATATTGTTTGAAGACTGAAATAATTTTCTAGTGTAACAACTCTGTAACAAAATTTAACTAAATGTAACATTTATGAAAATATAAATCTCTGATTGGGTAATTCTTCCCAACGATACAAAGTTTACATAAAAACATTCAATATGAGCTATCAGTTGCAAACAAGTTAGGAAAAATCATTCAAGTCACTTGTATACTCTATTGGCTTTTACATAGAACATTCACATACTACATTTAATCCATCTAGGCATTTAATTCTTAGAAATGTGTGGCATGGAGGTTCAACTGATAATGACAGGAATGAGAATGTGTTGCCTAAAGAGCTCAAAAGCATAGACTCATATAATCAACTCCAGGTGATCTGTATGTGGTTTGCCTTCTCTGGGCTACCACCTCCCTGGCTAGTAGCTAAACCATAAGTAACATACTGAAAAACATCTTTCACTATGGACCTGGGTATTTTTATCTGAATCACATCTTTGAACGCTTACATGTTAAACTGCTTTCCAAGAGGAAATACAATTGACCTGGATTCTCTATGGGTTACATGAATTTATTTTTCCTATTAGCATCAATAATCATGATGTTGCTGAAGTTTTTCTTATACTGCTTCCCAATGTCCCTATGAGGGCTACAGCAGAAACTATCACTATCTTTATTTTGCACTTCACAAAAACAACACACTGATGAAGTTAAAGACCTGTCTAGGAATACACAATGAGTTTATGGCAGAGCTGGGCCTAGAGCAAATCAATTCCTTGTTCATTATTCTAGTAAAGTGTTACTTCTCTACTTTCTAAGAAAACTAAACTCAACCAAAAGTGTGGATACCTTTTGAAAAGTTATCCAAGGACATGCCGTAAGGAGGATATGGAAGAAAGAACAATCATCTTCACCTTTTGAGATGCAATGTTTTCTTTTAAACAGGTGAATTAATTTTAAAAAATATTTAATACCATTCCACAGCTTCTGCTTTGAAATGGATAGGACTATAAAAGGCTCAGAAGAGTCCTCAATCAGGAAGAGTAACAGATAAAGAAGCATACAGATGGTGTGTAGAAGTAAGAAAGTGATTACAAACAAGGACAATAAAGAACTTTTGGACACCCTTAAGATTTATGGAATATTTTAGCACAAAGACAGGCATATTCAGTTTATCCCAGAGTATTTGGTCATCTATCTGCATTTTACACAGGAAAGAGAAGGAATGTGAGTAAGGCAAACGTCATCAGTATCTCAGAGATGGCATGTTGAGAAAGCTTGCTTTCTATGAAGACTAACTGCAGGAATTTAGGGAATATTTATGCTTCCATACAAACTGACCAAATAGTACAGACTTCTGTTAGTACAATGATGGAAATGGACAGGTGTTTTGACCAGATTTGTAATGCCCTTCCTGTAATCTTCTTTACACCCAGCACAAATATGCATTTCAAAAAGATGCGAAAAGATTGTTGTTTCTTACTAAATGTGTTCTTTTGCAACCCAGGAAATAGTTTAAAAATCATATATTCTGTTATACAGAAACCCTCGCATGCAATTGTTGCAACTGTCTTTTAATAAAGACTGACTCTCCATGTTCAGTAGCCCTATGATAGTGGTAGTTAGTTCTTGTCCCAGTCCAGTCCACAGTCTCATGTTTCAGGTCATATCTCTCGGGAAACTGGGAATACACTTGGGTATTTTTGTTACATATTTTGCACCTTTAGACCGTTCACTGCAGACTAGGTGTACACAGTTGTCAGGACTGTAAAATGTAAAGAGAGATTAAGGCTGTGTTTACTTATCACACAATCATTTGAAGTCAAGCAGCTCTTTGTCTTCATGATTTCAGCTGATTTTTGTAGAACTAATTCCCATCCAAATGATCTGTATATAACTCTAGCCTCTCTCATCTTAACCAGTGGGATGTATTATGCTGCCTCACCACACAGCTAATTTAAAAACTTTTAGCCTCTGCCTTTCAGATGAAGTAACCATTTAAATATTACTACTAGAAATTCTGACATTCTGGATACACTTTGACAAAAAGACCACACCCAAGACTAACCTATTTGTCCATTTCATGAACATCTTAATAAAACACTGGAATTCCAGCATCGCTCCTGCCTTTTAATAAATGAATAGTTTATCATTTGGGGCACATTTTTTTCCCTTCTGTACGTGGATCACATATTTCTGCTTAGCTGGAAAACATTTTGTCAGTTATCAGGGGCATAGCTGTGGCCCCTGGCTTCTAGGGCCGAGCATACCCGCTCATAACAAGAGTTGTGTTTCTTGGAGGGTGTTGCTTCATTGGACTCAGTAGAGTCACTAACTGTGATGGGGCTGTCTCTTGCAAAGACCTCAGTGGACTCTCTCCATAAGCAATCCACAGATATTTTAAAACAATAACTGTTACACTTTGGCCTGGAGGTGTGTGTTGCATTGTTGAAAATTTGTCTGCTATTTGAAGTGGCAATTTTGATTTTCAGTGCAGCATCTACACGGTCTACTACCGTGTAGATCCCTATACTCCCATCATCAAAGCCCACAATGATGTTCAGGTGCCTCTGGGAGAGTGCAAGGAAAGTTGGTGTTTTGTAAAGGGAACAAGCACCGATATTTTTGCCATCTGCCAGTCTCATTACAATTAAACTGAATATTGCACCATTTTCATCCTCCTCCTCCCCATTTCGGAAACAAATGTATACCAGGTAGCGACCATCCCGAGACAACCTCTGCCGCCAGATGATCCCAGAGGCGTGAACCACCCGCAATTTACCACTGTATAAATCTAGCACATTGATGTTTTCATCTCCCCTGGCTATAATGCCTAGCTTTCCATTGGGAGAAATTTCAAAGTCCTCCAGATTTTTCAAGAAGTTGTTTGGAAGTTGCACGCGCCGACAGATCACTTCATCTGTCAGACTCCAGATGTTCACAGTCTCGGCCGATGTGATAAACACGATGATATCAGGACAGTCAGGGATTAATTTAAAATTCACGATGGTGGTCCCATCTTCACAGCAAAATTTCTTGGTGATACTTCCTGTCCAAAGACTGACTGCCAACACTTTGCTTTTAGTCATTCCCACCACGAAGGTATTTGCGGAGGTAATAAAGGCATTCTGCAAAGTGGTCAGAATGTTGCAGACCCTGTGGCCTGTGGCGAGCCTCCAAACCCTGGAGGCATTTTCCTCACAGAGCGAGACCACAAACTGGTCATTGTGTGTAATCAGCAGCTGAGATATTCTCTGCCCGTTAATTCGAAAAAGGTTTTCACCACTGCTGGTGTGCCAGACATACTGGCTGCTTTTGTCATCTGATGTCACCATTATATCTCCGGTGGATGTTAACACACAGTGTTCAACTATTCCTTCATGCTTGAATACTGCTTCGATGAAGCCACTGCTGAAGTTCCACTTATGAACACAATCGGATCCATCCAGGGAGTAAATGATTTCCCCTCTAGCAGGCAACAACAGACTTTGGATGGGTTTTCCAGTCTTATCTATGTTGGACATAGCTGTGATTATATCTATGTCCCAAATGGAAAGAACACCACTGGTTGATAAAGACAGTAGCATATTGTGGTGACTGGATTTCACTAACTTAACAATGGAACCTGAGATTTCCTGCAAGCTTGCCATACACTGTCCTGTGTCCCGCCTCCAAAAAAACACAGCTGAGGTATTTTCCATGGTGGCGATGATACAATCTCCATTTTTAGACAGCACGGCAGATATAAAGCGTTCGTTGTGCTTGGCTCTGAACTTTTCAGCCACCTTCCACAGACCAGTATCTAAGAGCTCAATGCTGAGGGCTTTACAGATCAGAACTGCACTTTGGTCTTCTGAAAGCTCAATGCTGACCACCTCACTGTCTTCTCTTCGGCAATCAAAGTCATCAGTCAGCTGGGGGCTGGAAATGTCCTCAGTATTCCAAACAGAAAGACTTCCTTCACTGTCTACCATGACCATTTCCTGAGCTGTGTCCAAGATAAGAAGAAACTTCACAAATCCACCTGAAAATTCTGATGTCACTGTACATAACTTTTCTCCACTCCCTAAATGAAATATGGTGGTTGTGTTCAGGTATTGGCCACAGAAAGCATACAGACCATCCAGGGAGCACTGGACGCACGTCACTTCATACCAGCAGTGGAACTGGTAAAGCGGCCATCCGTACAGCAGATCGATGACAGTGACATCTTTGCTGGCTTCGAGCCATGCAAGGGCGTGGTTGGCGGACAGTGTAAATCCATTGATGTAGGTGGCGCTGCTTCCATGCTTGGTCCCCTTGATTTCTACTTCAGACAGGAGGCAAGAATTGACATTGTCATAAATCAACAAGGTGTTATTTGTTGTAGCCACCACAAGGTACTTTTCATCACTGGTGAGTTTCATGCCCAGGATGACAGACTGGGCTGTGGTGATTTGCCTGAGTAGCTGTCGAGTCTCTACATCCCAGGTGCTGATGGAACCATTTTCTAAAGCTGTGAGGACAGTGCTGGGGTTACAGGTAGGCAGGATCTCTGTGACATGCAGGTGACTGGATGATAAGGGAAGACGCTCTGGGCTGTATGTCACATCCATGGATGAATGCAGTGGTACAATGGAGCAATATTTGGGCCCATCTTTATCACACTCTAAAAGAAGATGTCTAAGTTTGGGCAGGGAGCTTACAACAGGCAGCAGTCTTTGCTGAAGCTCTGCTGAAAGGGAGCCGGGAAATGCAGTGACCTTGTTTTTGATGCTGCGGAGGGTGTTGGCCAGGAACTTCAGCTCCTTCTCTTGCGAGTAGTTGTAAGCCAGCTCAATGTCTGAAAGCACTTTGTCAAACTGGCCAATTTTGATCATGGTATAAAGCCAGCTGAAGTTCATGATGATGCCGTAAAGCAGGTCATCGGTTTTTCCACACCTCGTCAAGTGGTACAACAGCTCAGACATTTTCCGATGATTAACGAAAAAGATGTCAGGTTCCAGGGGATTACACTGGAAAACCCAGGGCTGGTCTGGAGCCTGCCTGTCAAAGGAAGCCTGTTCCATGAAGTGCTTTTCTTCCTCCAGCAAACTTCTGTTCTCCAAGTCAAGGCAGCCATTCAAGTAGGGGTCCTCAAGGCAGAAGGCTTTCCTCCTGCCCCCTGACCAAACCCCCAGAAAATAATCTGCTAAGATGGTGTGCATTTCACGCAGGTCATTGTCATCCTGCAGATATAGCTTCTGGGCTATGAGCTGCAGGTGTCTGTTGGCCCAGACTAGGAGTGTGACATTTTTCACATGTCTTTCTATTAGGTATCCACTGAGACCCTCCTTGAGCCTTGCAATGTACAAGTAAGGTACTCTCAGGGGATTGCTGGGTCTGGTGTTTTCTTTGAGCTCACTCATTACACTGTTGTCTAGGGCTAACACATCCTCCAGTTCCATTTCACTCAGACCCATTTTGGCCATGGTGATGTAACCAAGAGCCCTAGAGACCAGTTTCTGACCACACTTCTTCTCCAAGGACCAGAATAACTGCTCTATACTTTCATGAACGGTGACAGAGAGGGAGGATTCATCGACGTCTTTGTGAGATCTCCAGTGCCTCACCTCCCTGAAGGTCAGGTTCACAAACATTGGCAGTGTGCACTTGGATAATGCATTGTTCACATAAATCTGCTGGCCTGATGTGACCTTCCTTTTGACGCGCAGCAGCTGGTGTTTGAGGACCTGGCTGCACATCTTCCTGTCTCGGGGAATCAGCTCGATGTAGTTGTCTTCTTCATGGATAAGGCACCTTAGTTTCTGCAAGATCCCATGTTTGTTGGGCAGCGTGGAAAGGACTATCCGGACAAAGCGGGGCAGGTGAGCTGGGAGCCACCAAAGCTTCCTGGCATCATCATTCTCTGAGAGCTGCTCTAGTGCATCGAATATTATGACTAGAGGTCTCTGCAGTGAAGACTCATTCAAAAGATTTATAAATAAGTCACAGAGGTCATGGATCTTCTTAGGGTAGCTTTGAACCAGACACCGGTAGTTAACTGCCAATTGTTCACAAACACTTAGAAGGAGAGTCCTAAGGTCAGAGCTCATGTCTGTCGTTCCTAGAAATCTCACGATGACTACTGGGTCAGATTCTGGTCCTGTGTCCTCATGTAGCCAGCCATAAGCCTGAAACACAAAAGTGGAGTTTAGAATGGTAATATGTATTCACATGGTCATATGTGATAACATTGCCTCTCTCCAGAGCTCAGATTTCTGGTCTCCTCTGCTGTGCAGGAAATAGCTTAGGACCAAAAATTGGAAAAACCCTCTGAGAAGGCCAAAGAACTGCCATGAAGCTTGTGTACCAAAATCTACAGGTGAGACCCTCAGGATTACCCCTACTGAGTGTACTAAAGTAGCAATAATAGTATTTTTCACTCATTCGGCAATATTTAGCTTGTATTCCAGAAGATACAAGGTGTTTCATGAATTATAAATACAAATATCTAGTATGGTCAGCTTTGTATCACTGAATGAATACCCATTTCCTGGTGCAGTTGTTGGCACACAGTAGGTCCTTTGTAAGTGTTTAATGAATGGATAAGTAATGATTTACATATTATATTAAGTTAAATATATGCATTAATTGAGAGCATATAATGTCATATATGGCTGACCAAATTTCCAATTAATTAGAAAGCAATAAAAATATTCAGTACTGAAATTACTTTGAATATAATCTTTTATGATTTAGAGATAATTTTATGGTGTTATAGGGTCATAATTTTGATTATTATTTATCTGTTATAAAATCCACAGAATGGTGGTTAAAAGAGCTTTGTTAAACGTTGTGCTTTGTAACAGATAGTTGATTTTATATACATGTAGCCATCAGTCCTCACATTATCTCTCTGAAGGGTAGATGAGATTACAGTGTCATTTAATAGGAGAGGAAACTGAGGCCCAAGCTGGATAAATGACTGCTCAGAGTTAAATGGTCACCAAGAGACAAAGCTGGAGTAGAAGTCATACCTGACTTTTCATTCTTTCATTTCTTAAATACTCTGTGGTGTTAAAGGATAAAATATGTGAGGAGCCCACTAAGTTTAGTCTTTCTGTTTTGAAAGGTCAATATAAGAAGAAATATGCCCAAGGCATAAAATACTCCAATGAGTATTTTTAGGAAAATAAAGTCTTTCAGTTATCCTTGGAATTTACCAAGGATATGCCTGAGATAAGGAAGAGTGATTTTACACATTAGGAGGTAAGTTTGTGAACTTTGCTTCCTCAGGAGAGATAGTTCAGGTTAAGGCATGAATAAAATTAGAAAGATTTATGGAGGTCAGTTTTATAAGGAGCTGTTAAGGAAAATAAACATTTCGTTGCTGTTGTTTAGCCTCAACCTTTGAAGCTGATTTCAAGGAAGATAATCTTGTCATTCAACAACTATCCTTTGGTGGTAAATCTGAAAACACCGGTTTGTTTCTACATTGATTGCTTATGATAACTACAGGCATCCTCCTCCGTCCTCCCAGTCACATGTTGCTGAACATGTGATGTCTGTAGAGAGCAGCCCTACCATCACGAGCTCATGGTCATGGAAATGCTGGGTGACACATGAGATAAAAATGAGATATCTATCTGCATCCTCAAAGGGACATGAGGTCACAGGACGGTACAGGTTGTTGTTGACGGTGAGTCAGACATTCCCCAGGAGAAAGGTAAGTGAAGCGCAGGCAGAGGACCTAAAAAGAGGCACAGTTTCTTGGAGGACCCGACTCCTGGATAGTCAATAGACAGACTCAGGCTATTGGACAAAATATCTAGAAGAGCAAGAGCTCAGAAAGCTGTTCCTTAAACTGACCAACTCTGAACAGTTACCACACTCTGCCTCACTGGGACTGCTTATCTGTGCAGGGAATCAGCACATCCCACATAAGTCTTGACCTCTTGTGCTAGAGCATGTGGAGGTGCATCACATGAACCTTTGACTTAGTCAAATTGAACGATATTTGTTTCCTCCAGCGGCCTGTATGCTCCTTTCCTCCACAAGGAAAAGGGCCCTAGGGTGATTACAAAATGGCATATGTGAATGTTTACTCATTTGGTTTCAGTTCTCAGGTGCCCCTCATGGTGTTACTATCTTGCTTACTTGGAATAATTCTAAAGTTTGAAGATACACATACAAATTCCTGTTCAAAGGCACATAAACATATGCATACACAATTTATGCAATGCAATGTGGACCCTAAATACAAGCCTGCTACTTCATCTGGTGCTTAATTAAAGAAAAAGCTATATCTTCTAACATAAGCAGAAAACCCAGCTGGGCTTGATAGATTAAGAAAAAGCAAATTAGACTTCCTATGGACTTTTCAAAGGTAAATGGAATATACCTGATTTCACCTATGGGCTTACTTTGGAACCTAATCCTCACATACAGTGTAATGCAACTGTCTCTGTTCTTGTCTTCAAGAGGACCAATTTGAGATTATGTAGCACATGACAGGTTATGAGAATATTCGTGAACTTAAAGAAAGTCCTGTTCTTAAGAGAGTCACCATGGGAAGAATAACACAGAGCTTCAGAATTAACACCATAATAAAATAAACCACCACACTTTGACACTAAGGGAAGAGGAGGTTAAAAATAATGGAACTAGTTTCATCCTGTTTAGGCTGAAGAGCCAACTCAGCAGATACCACATTCCAAAGTGAGGTTCCAGACCATCATGCAGGACTTGAAAGGGAGGTTCTGAAAACCAGTTTTGCTACTGTTAACAGATTACCCGCTGCTAGTCTGAAAAAGAAGACTGGAGAGGCAGGGAAAAATGGTGGGGATCAGGGTGCTGCGGGTTGTTTCTCTCACCTCCCCCTCCCTAGAAGGAGGTCAGAGAGATGCCTGTCCTTGACTTCCAGCCAAGAGGAAGGGACTTTAGTGGACCACCTATAGAATGCCCCCTACAGCTTGGGGATACAGGCATCTGGTACCTAGTGACATCTGGAAACCATGAAGGCTGAGTGACTGAGGCTGCCTAGCTGCTGTGATGGAGAAGTGAGACAGAGCTACAGGGCTGGGACTGGCCCAGAGGTCTAGAGTTCCTCAGGGCAAAACAATACCTGAGTGTTTCCCATGTGCTACATGTGGACGGCAGGCTACAGTGAGCTGACAAGGGTTTCTGTTTGCTTTTCGCAGGTCCTGTCTAAGGAGTGTGCTGGGATGTAGACAGGATCTTAGCAGAAAGGTACTGGAAGCACATTGCTGGATGTCTAGGAGCTGAGGAAGTAACCAGCTAGAAAAAAGATGCATTCCCCTGTGTCTAGGCAACTGTAGGTAAGAGATGCTCAGGGAAGATAGGGCAGAGGTACGGGAGGGGAAGGACCTCCAGGAAGCCATGAAAAGGCCTCCAAAGAGATGGGAGGCAGCTTTAAACATGTGCTAAGAACAGAGAGTTCACAGTCCAGTTCAGAACAGCACTGGTTACGTAATAACTTTCTGGCCACCTTACCTTTCCCATATCCCCTAAACTGTGACTTTATAGGAATCATAAATGTCATTGGGATTAGGAAAGGAGAGAAAGAAGTGCCACGTGGAAAAAGAAAGAAGATCCCCATTTCCCACTGTAGGTGCCTTGTTTATGAGAGGCCCCAGATGGGGAAGAAAGGTGTAGACTGATATTTTCATTTTTACCTTAGCCTGGACATACTCATTACTGAACGGAGACTGATTTAGCAGACTGGAGTGACCAGAGGGCTTGTCCTTGTCTGAAAGGAATGAGAACAGTTATTGAGATTGGCCTGGGTTTTCATCCAAATGGGGTGAGGGATGGGAACTAGCCCACAACATGAGTCTGAACAGTGAAAGAAAAAAATAAACTTGCTTTCCAGTTGTACCCCATGAGTTTTGCTCTCTCAATATAACTGTTATACCAGCAAAAAAGAAGCACTGCAGTATTCACTCCTAAAAGACCAACTATAATTCACATAGTAAACTCAGAAAGTAGAAATGAATTTGATTAATTTACCATTTTCCAAAAGTACAAGTTTTTACAAATATACACGGGAAAGAATAGGCTTTTACCTTCTTTGCTACTTCAGCTAGCAGAAGGGTCTTCCCAGTGCATGGCCCACCATATATAATAAGAGGGTTGATGTGTCCAGCTTTGCTTGGAAGAATGTAGTTATGCACTATGTTTAGAGATTCACATTTGTACTCATAGAAGGAGGCGTATGTTTTACATAATGATGAATGTTGAAGGATTTCATCATAGAGTGTATCAGTTTCAGTGTCAAAATTCTGTTGTATCGTTGCCTGAATTATATCAATCATGTCCTCATAAAATTGTTTACCAAGTCCTTCGATGTAATGATTTTCTATTTCTTGGGAGTAGCCTAGTTTCATGTCACAATGAGTAACAGATGTGTACACTCTCAGATTAGATGATGCAACAATAGTAGGAATAAATTCATCCCTGAGTTTTATCAGCTTCTCTTGGGCTTCTGGGTCCCGAATAATCCTCGGTTCTGTTCCAGTTATATCCATGTATTTTCCCATCTCTGGGATTTTCACAAAGCGCTCAATGTTAGCAATTTTCCTAATGTAGCAAACACACTTCTTTAGAAATGCTGGAGTTTGTTTTCCCAGAGCAAAGTCAAACTCATCCTCTATAGCTGAAAGAAAATATAAGAAGGAGTTTATTGCTTAGAACAAAGGAGCAACACACCCACATTCTCAATAGTCAACACTTAGTCATTAGTGGTAAATTATTTTGCTTATGGTTTGTAGCGAAGTAATCTTTAGAATAATTTCTTGATTTCCTATTTGTCTTTTCCTAATCAGCCAGCAACCCGGGAGAACAGGTTTTACATAAAATTATCTAATTTTCTCCCCAAGTTTAGGAAGAGGTTGGACATAAGCATAATAAAGAAAGCATATCAAAGTTATAGTGGATATTTCTAATATCTACTATTTCTAATTGCTGCTCAGTTTTCCTCTCAGACTTCAGAGGTTCTAAGAGGGAACAGCAGGGACCCATCTGGGCCAGGAAAGAAAGAGGAGGAGGCTGAAGGATGTAACTAGTTAACCGTTTCTTGTCAGTCTTTCCTTAACAAAGTGACCTCACCATTTTGTTTGAGGTATATTGAGTCCTAGTCAGATATGATCAAATATCAATATAAAAGCAAATTTTTTTTTCTTTTTTTTTTTTTGTTTAGACGGAGTCTCGCTCTGTCGCCCAGGCTGGAGTGCAGTGGCGCAATCTCGGCTCACTGCAAGCTCCGCCTCCTGGGTTCACACCATTCTCCTGCCTCAGCCTCCCAAGTAGCTGGGACTACAGGCACCCGCCACCATGCCCGGCTAATTTTTTGTATTTTTAGTAGAGATGGGGTTTCACCGTGTTAGCCAGGATGGTCTCTTTCTCCTGACCTTGTGATCCACCTGCCTCAGCCTCCCAAAGTGCTGGGATTACAGGTGTGAGCCACCACGCCCAGCCCAAAAGCACATTTTAAGGCAAAATATAATTATATTCTGATGACTGATCAATCTGGGTGATCTATGTCACTGTTATAATATCCATCAGAACAAGTACAGAAAAAGTGACTTAGTATATAACTTCATTTCTTCTAACATATACCGTATTATGGCTTACAATACATATGCTTGCACACAAGTACATATATATTATAAATAATTTGTGTCCCCATAAGAAAATTTTAAACTGGGTCAGTAGTAATGAAAACATCATTGTGCAGGGAAAAATTAAAAATATGTAAAATAAGCTAATGGAAATGAATGACAAAGCAAGTATTCTTAAAATTGGCTGCTCTTCCTTTCTTCCTCCTTCACCATCCCTTTCCTTCATGTAATTGCTCTTCATTGAACACCTTTTATATTCCAGGCACGATGACAGCCGCTTAGGATACAATGGTGAGAGAAAACAGAACATTGAGAAAAATAATCCATTATGGAGCCCTATAAACTGAATGTTTGTGTCTCCCAGAAATTTATATGTTGAAACCTGATTAGGTTTCAGTGTGATAGTGTTAGGAGGTGGGGCGTTTGGGTAATTAGTTCATGAGGGCAGAGCCTTTATGAATGAAAGTCGTGTTCATATAAAAGAGATCTCAGAGAGTTCCCTTGCCCTCCTGCCCTGTGAGGACACAGCAAGAAGACAGCCATCTGTGAGCGGGAAGTTGGCCCTCATCAGCCACAGAATCTGCAGGTGCTTTGATCTCAGATTGTGAATTTCTGTCAGGGAGGCTCTGAATACACAGGGCTGGTCTGGCCATAAATTGAAAAAAATTACATGCTGGTCATAACTCCAATGTCAAGCAAAATCTAGAATATATATACATATATTCTGTAATGTAACTATTAAGAAGGGTGAGAATTTTATTTAAAAATGGTTCCTTTCGGTGGAACTCTTGTGATAATATTTTTTCAGTAATGAGAGCCTTTCAATGGAAATTTTCAACCTAAATGAAAAAGATATTTTCATAGCTACCAGTGCCTAGTAAGCTGTGTCATGAGCATCAGTACATTTTACAAATGGTTTTAATTGAGCAAGCTGGTTAAGGAAGCCAGTTAAAGGAGCTTATAAACATATGTCTACTATTCTTTTTAAGGAAGAGTAAGAACTTGTTATAATGTAGATAAGGGAAGATGCCAGAAATCTGGACATCATGAGCTACTACAGAAAGCAGCCTTGGACCCATCTCTTTTCTAGTCATCTGTGTAAAATGCTAGCAGGTTGGATTAACAGCTTGCTACATTCTGAGAGCATCATGAAGAGAAAGGAAGCGGTCAAACTGTAGTATCTATATATAATGCATTATAATCAGAGATATGCTCTGCCACCTTTGACTCCCAGAAAGCAATTCAACTATAACTTGACATTGTTATCACATTTATGAAAAGGATGTATCAAGCAGAAGTGTTGATCACAAATGGAGCAAAAAAAGAAATACAGATAAACTAATTTGGCAGAGCCCATCTAAGCTTGGCTCAGGGGGGATAAATGCTGTACACAGAATGCCTGGTATGGTATAGACTTAAATATACCTAAATAAATGAGAGCTATGATACAAAGGCAACTCTACAGAGTTATTTTTAGAGGCGAAGTGCATGCTTATGATTTTATGGGAATTTTATTCACAGTTTCTGATGCCTATCTATAAATATTATAAATTTTAGAATTTTAGGGCATTATTAGAATATTATATTTATTTTCTGTTTTTGCATGTTCCTTAATGTCCTGAAATTTAACCAGTGAGAGCATCCACTGAAGGTAATGGTGGAAATAGGTTTCCAGTCCTGGTAACTATTATCCATGAGAAATTAATTTCTTTACGATTCCCAAGGCCACTGAGTTTTGATGTTCTCAGAAGGGCACCATTTTAGAGTCTAATTTATTTCTCGTCCTCTCCTGTTGTTTAAAAAGGTGAAACTAGAAGTGTGAAAAATTACATTCAAACATAAACAATACACCTTTAACAGGTTCTATCCAGTATTCTTATTTCAAGATTTCTAAAAATATAATATATACTATATCCATTTGAAAGAGTTGGCACGTCAGCAATTTTGATTGTGCAGACATGATCTTAAAAGGAGTTTGAACGTAAAATAAGTAAAATTGTCATGAGCATGTATATCTTCAGGAGATATAACCCCAAGCAGAAAACACTCCACTTGTAGTGGCTCACATGAAATTTCTCATCTTCACATGGCTATCTATGTGGACACAGTTCTTCACTGTGTGGGGAAAGCTAGGACAAGTGTTTGCCAGGGAAATAACCAAACACTGGAGCTGTGCGATTGTAAATAAGAGGATGACTTCCCCAGACTGGTGTTTTTTACATAAATAATAGGAAAGCTTCACTCCAGGTACTTTTTTCTAAGACAGCTCTTGAAGGAACAGGGTTGTTCTGTCTTTGATAAAGGTGAAGAGCCTGAGCCTCAAAGGTGGATCTAAAGGTTCCAAAGGAACAAGGATATACCCTGATCTATATATTTAAATACAGTACTTATTCCTGACGATTGTGGTATTTTCAGGAAGACTTTAAATAAGACCTAATTTTTAAAAACAGCTTCCTTCTGGAATTTGTCAAAATGGTTTGTAACTTCTCTGAGCTTCACCCACATGGATCCAGTGAGAATGATTACCAAGTGCCTTTTAGGTTTTCACGAATGCTTTGCCGCACCATTTCAAAACCAATCTGAAAACGCAGCTATTATAGTTTTTCCCTTTATAAATTTTTACTATCAACTTTCAAAATAAATGCTACACATCTGACTACTTTTACTAGTTGTGTTTGTTCCCTGGAAACTATGACTGACATATTCCTTCAGTTCTGTAATTTCCTGAGCAACTTCTAATGATAAAGCTTCCTTTCCATGGCTGAGAAAGGCCAACAGGTGAGCCTCTGTACGCAGAATGCTTGGTATGGTATAGACTGAAGTATACCTGAATAACTGGGTGGGTTTTTATTTTAATGTTAAATTTGAGCCTACCAAATAGCTGGAGAGGTTTTTATTTTAATGCTAAATTAGATCCTACCAAATCCCTTGTGCCACACCCTCTGATGGCTTCCCATCTCGCCCAGAATAAAACACAAGCTTCCTATTATGGCCTGTGCCCAACTTCTATCCTCATCTCTCCCTCTCTGTAAAAGTTAAAAAAAAAAAAGAAAAAAAAAAAGTAAAGCTATCTTTTATTTTTCCTGCTCCTGGAATTAGCTAAGCACGTTCCTGTCTCAGAGATCTTAAATCTGTTGCTCCCTCTGCTGGGAATTCTCTACCTTAGATGCATATGGCACTGTCAGTTCTGATTTTCTTCCGTAATTCAGGTCCAAAGTCCTCTCCTTTTTGCCCACCTCATCTAAATCTGGATCCCCACATCCTTTATCAGTCACTATTATCCTATGACTGTGCTTTATTTTACTCATAATACTTATCAATCACTTTTGATACGATCTTGTTCATTTATTTGATTACTTGGCTATCATTTATGAATATATATTTTATGAATATTTTTCCTCCCTCTAAAAAAATAAGTTGCAGGAGGCCTGAGACCTTGTGTTTTTACTCAGTGTTGTCTCCCCAGTGCTTGGCACGTAGGAACTCAATAGATCCATTAATATTTGCTGGATAAGCGGGTAAGTGATGAATGAACAGCTCAACTGAGAAATCATGGCAGAATATGGTCAATTATATCCGGGGCCACCTCTGGCTTCTTTTAAAATCACATTTTCTAGAGAAGCCTTAGAGTTAAGGGAAGGCTTTTCTATAATTAAAACAAAAGAACATTTGCTTCTCCAGAACATGGGAACATTTAGAAAAATTAAATTTCACCAGGCAGTAAATGAGATTAAATTTGCAGGGCATTAAAGGGAAGCAGTAGATGTACCTATTAATGATATATTTCTTATTTTACTGAAGGTATGGGAAAATTACCTGAGAACAGGTACCTCTTAGCCTGGCTGTGTTTCATTTTACCCTTTTCGTGTAACAGCTTTACAGCAGCCTTAAATATCTTCTTGATCTCATCTGATATCTCTTGCCATGTCTTCTCGTTTTCAGCATTGGTAGAAGGCTGCATCTATAGAAATGTAAAAGGGAGAAATTAGTCTTACAATCATCAAAGAAAAATAATATTTAAGAACAAGAAAATTTCTATTATTTGAAGGCCTACTATGTGCCAATACTATGATAGGTGCTTTACAGACAGTGTCTAATTTAATCTCAATAACCCTGAAAGTTAGAAATTATTTCTGTGTTGCATGTGAACTTGACCAAGTTACACAAGGGTGTGATCCAAATACGGTGTGTTTGTCAGACTTTCTTATATACCATGCTTTTCCCTTTTGAGTTTTGATACAAATGCCATAAGAAAATAATCTCTGGTGTCCTCCAAAGCGGAGAGAAAGTTAAAGGGGAGGTGCTCTTATGTTATATCTAGTTGTCTTTATTTGTTTTAACTTCATTTGTTTTGATGGTCCACTGGGAGATAAAATGGGAGGACTGCCTACCAATAAAGTAACATTTATATAGTCTTGATAATCTTATTCACACATTCATTTATTCAATAATAATTTATGCAGAAATATCATGTGGGGTTTTAGGAATAATCTCAATTTCCCTAGTGGATCATAAAGATAAATGAAGAAACAATTAAAGCAAATTAAATAGTAACATATGAGAAAATCCCCCAGATCATGGTAGAAACTGGTTTCTTGGGGTATCAGGTTCTTTGCTATCTATATTTACTCCTGGCATCTTTAACTGGGAAATGGTTTGGGTTTACCCCAATATTCTCACCCAGAGAAGCAATATTGTTATAGATAATTACTTTGAATAATATATGTGAGGGAGAAGAAGAAAAATCAAGGATTCTGATATGATTTCCCATTGCACAGAGAAAATGTGTTATGTTGGATACCAGAATGACAAATACACAGATCCCGAAGTGGAGAACTGCGGATAACCCACAGCTGTGCTCTTGGAACTGCCTGGGTGCTGACTGAATCAAGGACATTCTCTTTGGCAGAGGGTTGGATATCCATGCCTTCTTTGCAATCTCCCTAAATATTCTACTCAATGAACAGGTCCACCTTTCCCCTCTTCCTTTTTCATTTGCTTTTAAAGGACCTATCATAAACTTGGGAGCCAAGTTGGAAAGTAGATAATAACGTTTCCATGATGCTCAAGCATGAATCAGTCTCATTCCATCACTCTCTATAAGATGCATGAATATAAATGAACTGTTTAAGATGTTAAAGAAAAAATATTAAGTTAAAATTTAAAAAGAGACTATAAATAATAGCTAGGTAGATTTTACAAAGGACTTCCTCCCACAGAAAACAAATGCACACATGAACCTTTCACAAAATAAAAACTATAACTGTCAAACTTGAAAACTCAATGTATAGACAGAATGAACACAGCTGAAGAAAAAAATTGGTGAACTGGAAAAATAATCTGAAGCTATCTTCTGGAAAGCAGCACAGAGATAAGAGAATTGATCATGTGAAACTGATCATGATTATGATGATGATATGATTATGATCAGTTTCACGTGATCAATTTTCTTGATTTTTTTTTTTTTTTTTTCTTCTTCACCCTCACATGTATTATTCAACGTAATTATCTGTATGAATATTGTTTCTCTGGGTGGGAATATTGGGGTAAACCTAACTGATCATGTGGAATGATCTATTTTCATTGATTATGTGAAAGAGAATTAGAAGCTGTAGAGGACAGATTGAGATGGCTGAAGGCAAATGTAATTAAGGAGCACAAGGAAAGAACAGAGGGAACAGAAGAGAGGCATTGTTTGATGAGAAGATGACTGAGAATTTTCTAGAATTAAGAGACTATATGAATTCACAGATACAGTAAGCATGACATATACCAATCAGAACAAATAGACACATTATAGAAAACTGGGCAAAACAATAATTTTTCAGAGAAGCAAAGGGAGCTTCATTAATGGAACTTTAACCAATTAATATTAAGAATTAATAATAAATTATTTCATTAAATTATTGTTTAATAATACCAATATTAATAAGTAAAAATCAGTATCACTAGTAAACCTTCATTGATGGAACTTATAAAAGGTATACTTCAGGAGGAAGGAAAATTAGCCTAGAAGGAAAGTCAGAGATGCTAAATGGAAAGGTGAGTGACAATTTATAGTTTCTTAGCTTTGGATTTAGTTTTTTTCATTAAATTTTAAAGGTGCACAATGTGATGTTTTGATCTATGTATATACTGTGAAATGGTGACCACAATCAAGCTAACTAACAAATCCACTACCTCACATAATTTCCTTTGTTTTGGTGGGTGGTAAGAACACTTGAGATCTGCTCTCTCAGCCAATTTCAGGTTTATAATTAACTATAGACACCATGAAAGTTTGTGACCTTTGACCAACATCTCTCTATTTCCTCTAAATCCCAGACCTTTGTAAATACACTTCTACTCTCTGTTACCATGAACTCAACGTTTTTAGATTCCATATGTAAGTGAGATCATATGGTATTTGTCTTTCTGGGCCTGGCTTAATTCACTTAGCATAATGTCCTCCAGGTTCATCCATGTTGCTGTAAATGGTAGGATTGCTTTCTTTTAAAAAGACTGAATAATATCACAGTATGTGTGTATATAAATGTTCCTTAATTTCCTTCTACATTTTCTTTATCTTTTCATTTGCTGACAGACACTTAGACTGTTTCCATATCTTGGCTATTGTGAACAATTCTGCAATGAACCTGGGAGTGTGGATATCTCTTCAAGACAGTGATTTTATTGCCTTTGGATATATACCCAGAAGTGGGTAGTTCTATTTTTAATTTTTTGAGGAACTGCTATACTGTTTCCCAGAGAGGCTGCCCGAATGTACAGTCCCACCAACAGTGTAACAGGGTTCCTTTTTCTTCGCATCCTCTCCAACTCCTATTATCTTTTGACTTTTTGATGGCCATCCTAACAGGTGTAAAGTGATATGGCATTGTGGTTTCATTTGTGTTTGCCTAAGGATCAGTGTGGATTTAGTTGTTAAAAGGAAAACCTGGGGCCTAGGGCAGAGTAACTTTCTGTCTACTCTGCCTTTTCTGTGCAGCACCACCCCGGATGACATAAATGGTAACAAATGTAGTAATGGACAGATCCATAGGCTTGAGGGAAAGGCAGCTTACTGCATTTCTATTGCTTCTCAGCATTTCTGACTTGGGTCTGAGGTAATAGGCTGCTGGCACCGAGTTCTCATCTCGACAGTACCACTCCTCCAGCAACTTGGTCTCCAGCTTTGCCTCTATGGCGGCATCCAAAATCATTTCAAACTCTGAGGCTTCAACTTCTCCAGGGATTCGGATATTCCCATATTTTTCACCTAATAGTCCCTGTGTATCAACAAGAAAGTTCAATTTAGTGTATCACCAAGAAAGTTCATTTTAGTATTCACATCACATGGTCACTGAATAAATATTAATCAATAGATAACAAGATACATTGCTCCATCAGTTTTCTCTTTTGGTCACAGTGGATAGTTGATTTCCTAAGTAAAATTAGATCAACTATATTACAACAAATTATTCATAGGCTGAGAAATGAGACTGCATATCACATCAGATGAATTCAAAATAGTTTTTGCAGCCAATTTACTTTCTCAAAGTTTACATAATACAACAAAAGCTGATCTACTCTGAGATTTGTTTGTTCATATCAAAGAAAAATGATGTGCTAGACCTTAAAAATGTCAAACATGTAAAGCCTCAAACCAAAGAACTGCTCTGTCAAGAACTGATAGCATAATTCTAAGCTTCAGATTCACACTGCTACAATAAAAAGAAGTATGACATCACTGAATGTGATACTACTAGTAACCCCACTGGCAACTGAAAAAAAAATTCAAAATTAAACAAGAGAGCATTTTCTCTCTATTAAATTGGCAAAAGAAACCTCTCACAGAAAAACAATGAACAAATATGTACTCAGCCTTTATGTCAAGGTGTGAGAAAATAACCATAGAGTGCTGATGGGCATGTAAAGTGATCTAGCATTTGAAGCCTAATCAGGCAATATGTATTCAGAGCCCTAAAAATCTATATAACTTTTTACTTGGCATTTTTTTCTTCTGGGAATTTGTCTTTAGAAAATAATTAAGGATGCAAATCAGGACTTACAAGAATATTTATGCTGAATTAGTTTCTTTGAAAGAATTGTGTAATAACCTAAATGTTCATTCAAAGGATGTACTAAATTGTATCATACAACTATATTGACTTAGAAAGATGTTTACAAGTATATGTTAAGTGAAAAGGGTAAGTTATAAAATGGTATACATAAGATGATTCCAGGCTGAGTGCGATGGCTCTTGCCTGTAATCCCAGCACTTTGGGAGGCTGAGGCGGGTGGATCACTTGAGGCCAGGAGCTCAAGACCAGCCTGTCCAACATGATGAAACCCCGTCTCTACTGAAAAGTATAAAAATTAGCCAGGCATGGTGGCATGTGACTGTAATCTCAGGTACTTGGGAGGCTGAGGGACAAGAATTGCTTGAACCCAGAAGAGGGAGGTTTCAGTGAGCCAAGATTGCGCCACTGCACTCCAGCCTGGTCAACAGAATGAGACTCTGTCTCAAAAAAATAAAAGATGATTCCAGTGATTTTGATATTTATATATATAGAGAAAAGAGAGAATATTACGTACATATGTTAGAGAGAATAGCACGCATATATGTATACACAAACATACCTAAGAAACATTTTATAAAAATACAAAGCAAGGTTATTAAGGGCTATCTTTGGGTGGTTTTAAATTTACATAGGTCATTTAATAAGTTTATTATTTTTTATTAAAAACCTTTTTTTGGTATACATATATATTATTTTGTAGTGAGAAAACCAGCAGGTATTTAAACATTTTAAATTTAGTGGTGTAGGCCGGGCCTGGTGGCTCACACTTGTGATCCCAGCACTTTGGGAGGCCAAGGCGAGCAGATCACCTCAGGTCAGGAGTTTGAGATCAGCCTGGCCAACATGGTTAAACCCTGTCTCTACTAAAAATACAAAAACTAGCCAGGCATGGTGGTGTGTGCCTGTAATCCCAGGTACTGGGGAGGCTGAGGCAGGAGAATCGCTTTAACCTGGAAGGCAGAAGTTGCAGTGAGCCAAGATCGTGCCATTGCACTCCAGCCTGGGCAACATAGTGAGACTCCATCTTAAAAAAAAATTAGTGGTACTGCCTATTTGCTTTGTGGAGCAACACTTTCAAGGTTGCTGAGAGTGTCTGCTTACGCCAGTAGTTCTCACAGTGTGGACCTGGAACCAGCAGCATCTGCAACACCTGGGAACATGTAAATTCTCAAGCCTCATCCCAGAGCTACTAAAAACTAAACTCTGGTTACAGAGCTGAGCAATTTATGTTTTAGCAAGTCCTCCAGGTGGCTGAACTTCTGGTTTAAGCTAATAAAACTATTAGCTTATATAGCACTTGGTATTTCAATTAATCTTCATCTTATCTAGCAGAAATAAGGAGGGAACACAAAGGACCTCTTACATAACCCTACAGTAACCAAAGCAATTTGTCTGCTTTATTGTATCCATGAGACACTTTCTGTTCAATCTGGGGGCATTTTTCTTCTTTCCTCTTGTTGATTAGCATTTTAGCATAAACATCAAGCTGTGTTTATCCACTGGAAGGTGAATTTCAGGTCTGGTTTCCCTAGGGGGCATTTCTGACTACTTCTATTGCCTATCCAGTATTCACAGTGTTCTTTTCATCTGATACAGGCAGCTGAAAGATTAAGAGAAGTCCTTGGTAGATCTGTGTCCACGTAAATTCATGACCTAAATTCTACAACACAATGGTAAGCTCTCTGAGGGAGAGGCCAGAGCTGTTTATTCCTAGCTCATAGAAATGATTAAAACACATTTGTTGACTAAATGAATGAACCAAGACAGAGAAAGAAATCATTAAAGTTTGTTCTGCTCTTCTCTGAAGCTTCTTTCTGTAGTCAAATAAAATAGTTCAGCTCTCAATAGGTAGAGTAACAATTTGGGAAGGTACCAGTTTTGTGAGCAATACTCAATTCAGCTATATTCCTTAAGCAGGTACTGTATAAACATATCCCTGGTTGGACCATGTCCTCTCTCTCTCCTTAGCACATAAGCCATCTCATATAACTGGTTTACTGAAGGTGACTGTGGGTAACTGAATTCACTGCCTCAAAGCTCAAGCCTCCTCAGTACTGGCCTCAATGACCAGAAAGGAAGTAGATCTAACCTAGCTGTTCTTTTTGGCTGCAAAAGTCCCTTTAGAAGGGGCTAGAATGGAGGGATGCCACATTATTGGTATCTATTATTTCAGCATGGTATATGAGGCTTCTACAGAGGGTGTGCTAATCCCAACCCACTGTATTAGCCTGAAGCCCAATTAAGAGCACTTCTATTTTAATCTACATTGGGCCAATCTTGATAACAGGTTTATGTAACACAAATGATGTATCTCAAGTTGTTTCCCAACTTCTAATGGTTCCCTCTTCCAAAATCTCTTTTGCTAAGCAAATAGGCATGACCTTTTATTTTATCACACACACAGAGGAACATTATCTCTTTTAGGGTAACCAACCTGGTGATTATCCCATTATCTTGCCTAATTCTGGACACTCAGCACTCTTTGTCAGGGTTGTGTGCCACTAAGAATGAGGTTTTAATGCTCGGATGTGCCATCGAACAGACCCACATGGGCAAAATAGGGAATAAGAGAATGTCTAAGCAGTAGGCATTGGTAGAATTCAAGAAAGTATACAGATGGAGTTTGGTCATTGGTGGAGGACCAGGTAGACAGGCAGCACATTAAATATGGGATTTAGTAATTGACAACACTCCATCTAGTAGCCAATTAGGTCTTGGAATATCATGGACTAGCTACTACAATCCAAGGCAAGACCAGCTGGGTTTTGGGCATGAAGCAGGGAAGAGGAAAAAAGAGAGAGAACAGAAACAAGATCTTGTCCCTGGACAGCACCATCATGACTGCACAGCAATGTACTGTTCGTTCTTCAACTTCTTTCTGCTCTAAACAAGGCTGGTCTTAGAGACTAGGATTCAGTCAAATCTATGGATTGGTTCCTAAAATATGCTCCACAGATCATCTACTGGATGATATGCTCCCTGGATCTCCCAGGGTACTTGCTAAAATGTAGGTTGCTAGGTCCATTCTCAGATGGAAAGAACATTGTGAGTGAAGATTCCAAGGAAACTGCATTTTAAAATGAGGTTCCAAAGGAATTCAGAAGTTGAGAGCCATTGCTATGGGCAGTGCATATATGGTCTCATGAGGAATGGTTAACGAGTACTGAAGGGGCAGAGCCTGGACCACAGAGGATCATTTCAAAAATCAAGAGCTATTTAAAAATAATAATTTCTTTCAGTTGAGCACCTGGCACCAAATACTGTAATTATTTAATCGATATAGTAAGGCAGAATGTTCCTTAAAGATTACTAAAGAAGAAAAAATATCCTCATCCCATTCAAATAACAAATACATATTGAGTGCCTACTATATATAAAGTGGTAATACAGAACTTCAGAAAAGTAATAATATGCTACAGGCTTAAAGTTACTTATTGGATTGTTCTCCCTTACTCTTTTCCTTCTCTCTATTGATTCTTCCTTTAGGTGGAATGCTCATAAATCATGAATCAGTTAATTTTTAGGAGTCTAAGACAGGATTCTACCTCAGTCTTATCTTGCTATTTGAGAAACAGCAAAAGTGAATTTTGCTTCCACATTTTTCAGTAAGATATTTTTGGTTTGTGTATGTGTGTGTAGTTACAGTTCTAAGATAACACACAAATATTTACAAATAAGGCAATGCACAAATATTTTACCAGGACCAGAGTCAATTTAGAGAAGGGGGCAGTCCAACTCAGTTGCAAAGTCCAGCTCATACGGTCAATGGACCAGAGCAGGGGTGGAGATGGAAGACCAAGTTCAAGAGGCTAGCAGCTAAACTCTAGGCAGCAAGATGGATTCCACTGTTTTGTTTCCTAATTAGACTATTCGTTAGATCTGCAGCCATGGGGAGTATCCATGAATGACTTTAGGGCAGCCACAGCAGCTATGAGCAAGAAGGCATCCTTCTCTGTTCACTGGCAATAGAGTATTCATTCCAGCCACTGAAAGAGAAACAGATTTTCCACATCCTTCTGACCCCAATTCTCAAAAAGCTTGCTTTTTGCTTAGTTAAACCAACTTTGCCAGTTTGTAGGGAAACACTTGGTGCAGAGATGAGAGACTACATTGAATTTTGCATTGAAGTCCACTTTTATGAGTTACACTGTTGATCCATCTGCCTATGACCCTAGACAGAAGAAATGCATATGACTGAAAGAATTTTCTTTTTATTGAATAGTTTAAACATTCTGTCAATACATAGGTGAAAATAAACACATGGGATTTTGCCTGTCTGTAGAAATCTATAGTCACCTCTCTCCCATCCACCTTACCAAATGTGGAAACACATTTAAATTGGCCTATTCTTAAACACTGAAGACACATAATATCAGCTAGGCAGAAAGCAACAATACAACACTCAAATATAATCTGGGGAGTTAAGTCCAAAAGGCTGAAAAATCTAAGAAAAATTTATCAGACTTTTATGTAGTTTCTGCATGTATAATTCTAGAATAATAAACACTTCCTAATGGTTTGGAACTGGATAGAGGTGGTGTTTGTACAACACTGTAAATGTAGTAAATGTCACTGAATTGTTCACTTTAAAATGGTTAATTTTATGTTGTATGAATTTCACCACAATTAAAAAATACTTTCTGAACTATTGAGCTCTTTAGAACTAGGAACTTAAATGTAAAAAGACTCTCTACTTTTTAAAATCTCATTTTCCTTCTTTATATGCTGATATAGCTACATCTAAGCCACTGCTTTCAAAGGCTTAGAGATAACATTTTCCCTCCTCTCAATTGATTTTTTTTCTTTTCCATTGGGCAAATATTGATTTCTCTCCACTCTGCTCTTCATGTGCAGTTAGCTCTGCTGCAACTGAGAATCTTTGGGGTCTGAGTCTGTGGCATGCAGTTTGTATTGTACCAAACAGAACAGAGGAATAAGTATTCTTGAAGGTGTTGATGAGCTCAGTGTGTCTTTGACTTTACTCTGTGGTGGGATGTCAGGAAAGACAGGTGAGGATAGAGTATTTGGGGTTATGGATGCCATGTTTTGTTGGGCGTGAGGCAGCTGCTCCCTGGACTGCTGTTTATGAGCCATTGCTCATGGGAGAGCTGTAAAGGAAAAGAGATCTCCACTCATCCTCCTCCACAAACTGGTGCTGTAACAAGCTGAAGCATATACTCTTTAAATGCCCTATTCTCCCAACCTAATCACTGAAGCAAGGCAGGTGGGTCTGTTTTTCTCTTTCTAGAAGCTTCTATTTATTAAAATAAAATTCTATGATTTTATGCATAATTTTCCTTCATATATGATTCATTTGACACTCAAGAATCTGTGAAGTAGGGAGAGACACTAAGGCTCCCAGACCTCAGCAGGCTTGCCCAAGGCCATGTTTCCCAGAAGACATGGTAGTACCAGCAACTGAATATGGGGCTTTAAATTTAATAACCCCATTCTTTCTACTTCATCAAGTTATTGTGCTACTTCCTCTTCTGAGAGTATCTTAGAGTAGCTCATTTGATTGTGATAGCTCTTGTAGGCAGTACCCTTGGCAGGGCTACCATGTATGAATGTGCACCCTGTGTACTGCAGAACTCCATGGGGCACTGTTCACAAGGACTATGGCATGTTCAATGTTATAGCCTTGGGTGTTGGTATTCTTTCTACCTGATTTATTCTTTTGGGTGGGAGGACAATGGTGGTTGTGATGTATTCCCTGGAGCTCATGGCCAATATTAAGAACTCTACTGTGGAGTGAGACCACCTGAACCCCGCCAAAGAGCCAGCAACACCTTATTCACAACTTAACATTATTTTCTCAATGATTTGGAAGTCAAGAAGCACCTATACATGTATCTGAATTTGTAATACAAACATAAGATACTTTATTTAGAAGTAAATTACAAGTCAATTACTCAAACTTTAAGCTTCTCATGTCACAAGTAGAAAGGGGAAATGGAGAAATGGGGATGTGATGGTTAATTCTATGTGTCAACATGACTGGACCACAGGATGCCCAGATATTTGACTTAACATTATTTCTGGTTAGGTATGTGATGTTGTTTCTGGATGAGATTAGCACTTGAATTGGTAGACTGAGTAAAGCAGATGGCCCTTCCCAACTGGGTATGCACCATGCAATCCATTGAGGGCCTGAAGAGAACAAAAAGACAGAGTAAAGGAGAATTTGTTCTCTCTGCCTGACTGTTGAGCTGAGATATTGATCTTCCGCTCTTGGACCGGGACTTATTCCATTGGCACTCCTGTTTCTTTGGCCTTTGCACTTGGACTCGAATTTATACCACCAGCTTCTCTAGGCCTCCAGCCCGCAGATGGCAGATCATGGGGCTTGTCAGACTCCATAGTTGCACGAGCCAATGCCTTATAATAAGTCATCTATATATATTTGATTAATTTTGTTTCTCTGGAGAACTCTAATACAGGGGGAGATGGGAAAATGATAATAAATTGCAAAATAATAATGACAAGTGACTAAAACATTCCCTGTTAAAATAATGTCCACATTAAAGATAATCTAGATAAGGTCTTTAAGAAAGGTCATATTTTTGGCACCAACAGACATGAAGGTAATATTTTTGGAAAACTGTTAATTTCTTAGTTATTACAGATACACGCTTGTATGCAGGGTTGCCAAGAAGGAATGTTAGCAGATATATCTAGCACATTAAGTATTTTCATTCCAAAACATTCAATTATCCAGATATCCATGATGGTTCTGATGGTTGATAATAATTTGATATTTACTGGCATCTCTCTATGGGCAAAAAAAAAAAATCAATTTCCTACAATGTGTACACAGTGAGCCTGTGTTTCACATATTACGAATATGAGTCTCTGAAATAGGATATATTGACAAAGGGATACATTCATGGGTACAAATACTTAATCTAATCTGCAGATAAAGAAAGAATATTTCGAGGTTAGTAGAAGGCAAGGCATTAGGAGTGATGTAAGCAGATTGTTTTGTCTCTCTGAGTTTCAGCTTTCATATTTGTTAACAGAGATAAAACTGTTCCCTTGTATATTTATCTGGCCACATATCTCCTCTGGTGCATCATGAGAATCAAACAGGTGAGAGTGAAAGCACTCTGAAATGTAAAGCACTTGGCAATACATAAAGTAGCACTATATAAACATAGTTTATAGAGAAACACATATATATGGCATACTAATACATATATACACAGAATAGAAACAAATGCTGAGAGGCACAGCTGGACAGATAGAATAATGAAGTATTTCTTGATTGGAAAGACAAATAGAGGCTAGAAGGGAGGAAAAAATGCAGAAGTAGTTGCTTACAGGTGGTATGAAGGTAAAAAAATGTGTGGTCAGATAAGTACAAACTTATCAATGTTCCAGGGGTGGAGAAAAAGAGCTTTAAAATAATTATGCTGGGTTAACTGCACTAGCTAGCTGGAACCACGGCAACAGATGTGCAGAGTCACCTTTATAGAGAACAGGCAGTACTTTAAGGGCAGGCGGCAACCCACATGTAAAACAGAAGTTTCAGAAATGAAGCTGTTTGTATTATAATCAGTGTGTTCATAGCTATGTTTGCAGGAATTGAGTTACTTAAATTCAGTTTCTCTATAAAGAAAGGCCAGTATTGCTATGGACTAACTTGTGTCTCCTCAAAATTCCTATGTTGAAGCCCTAACTACCCATGTGACTGCATTGAAAATGGGGCTTTCAAGGAGGTGATTAAGGTTAAATAAAGTCATAAGAATGGAGCCCTAAACTAATAGAACTGGTGCCCTTATTGGAAGAGAGACACCAGAGCTCTCTCTGTCTAGTGAGGACACAGCGAGAAGATGGTCCTTATTCTAGTCTGAAAGACAGCCCTCACTGGAACCTGACCATGCTGGCACCCTAATCTTAAACTTCCAGTTCCCAGACTGTGAAAAAAAAATTCTGTTGTTTAATCTACACCTCTACAGTATTTGTCCTTGTGGCCTGAACTGACTAATACAAGCATACAGATGAATAAAATGAATGTGATTTTGTCAACATAAGGTCTGCTGTGTTTGGCAGTGATCGTAAAATGAGGCGGTCAAGTCATAGATTAGGTAATTTACCAATTTCGTCTAACATATAGCAGAATAACTAAACTGATGCTTCAATCACATTTCTTTGAGAGCTAACAATTCTCAGCTTTCTCAAAATCATATTATAGTTTTACCTTTCTTGAAACTGACATTTGTGGTTTAATTATAGTTATTAAATTTACACACATAAACTCACTGCTGAACTCCTTATATTAATAATAATTCTCCTTTTTACTTATTGCAAGATGCTTTTGCCTGTAAGGAAGTTTCATTACTTGGAAAACACTGAACACAACCATTATTCTTTAGAAATATCAGAACAAAGGGAACAGCCATAAGGGTGAAAGAGCTGCATAACAGAGTCACATGAAATGGAGCCATTCCGGAGTTTGCTCTTAGCTTACATTACCTCCAAAGTACAGATTACAACCCTAATCCTGGCAGTTGCCTTACAAAATTGAGAACTGTGAAATGTGTAAGGATTACTGGAATTCTAAAATGCTAGAGAAAGAATTAATTGGGAAAATGAATACAAAAGGAGCCGAGTTTTCAGAGGGGTAGTGGAGACACAGTTTTGGACATATTAAAAGTGAGATGTCAAATTAGCCGGGCATGGTGGCGGGCACCTGTAATTCCAGCTACTCCAGAGGCTGAGGCAGGAGAATGGCGTGGACTCAGGAGGCAGAACTTGCAGTGAGCCGAAAAAAAGTGAAATGTCTGTGTTATTCAAGTGGTGCTGTCCATGAAGAATTAGATATGTGGATCTGTGGGCCAAAAGATTAAGCTGGCTGGAATAGTAGTCCTGGCAGTTATCAAGGATTCATTCAATAAATTCTTATTGAGTACTTAACCTTTTAGGGTGATCAACTCTTTCTGTGTGCTCAGGACTGTCCTAGTTTGAACACTCAAAGTCCCAGGAACCGCCCCTGCCCCAGTCCCAAATAAGCCAGGACAGTTGGTCATGCTAAGACAGTCATGGTCCCTGCTCCTTTTGTGCCTTTTTTCTTCCTTTTTATTCTTTTGTTTTTGAGACAGAGTCTAATTCTATCGCCAGACTGGACTGGCAGTGGTGCGATCTCAGCTCACTGCAACCTCCACCTTCTGGGTTCAAGCGATTCTCCTGTCTCAGCCTCCTGAGTAGCTGGGACTACAGGTGCACACCACCACACCAGCTAATTTTTGTATTTTTAGTAGAGACAGGGTTTCACCATGTTGGCCAGGATGGTCTTGATCTCTTGACCTCGTGATCCACCCACCTGAGCCTCCCAAAGTGCTGAGATTATAGGTGTGAGCCACCATGCCCGGCCTGTGCCTTTCTCCTAGGAGAGCAGTCAGATACCTGCATGGATTAGATAGTTTGAGGGGCAATTACAGAGTGGAAAGAGGGTGGAGTTGAGGATCACCAACCTTTAGCTAGGCTACAGAAGCAGAGGGAGGAAGAATGGAAAAGTGTCACTGAAGTCAACAGAGAAGAGAATAATACTCAAGACATTTATACAGAGCTGTTATAGAGCAATGGAACAATGGACAAAGGACATGAACAGGTAACTCATATATGCAAAAAGATAAATGTAAGTATGAAAAATAATAACGCTCACCCTATTAACAATTGTAGAACTGCAAATGAAAGCACAAATGTGATAAGATCTTTTTGCTTATCAAACTGATAGAGGAAAATAATGAGCATACCTATGGTTTCTAGGAAACTAGGAAACAGGCACTCTCAGACAGAGTGCCAATAAAAATGAGTATAACATTTTGAAGATGTAGTTTGGCAGTAGATATAAAATTTCACTTTTAGAAATTCATCCAATTTGCAGAAAGATTTGTGTGCAAAGAAGTTCAACAATTTTTAGCTTATATCTTGGCCTTATTCTATAAGAGATGTTTGATTTACCAGTGTTAATATAAACAAGAAAACTGAGAGTAAAATTTCCCAAGATGATGAATTCCCATAATGTGTGGTACGTAAGTCTGCTCTAAGTTTTCATTTTTCTAATTCTGAGAAACTAAAAAACAGAGAAATAAAGAATAAACAACCCAGTTTGACAGCTCAACATTTTGTCATATTTTCAAGTGGTTTTTAAAAAATTAGTAGACTATTGAGAAGTGTCTGTTTATATCCTTTGCCCACTTTTTGATGGGGTTGTTTATTTCTTGTACATTTGTTTAAGTTCCTTGTAGATTCTGGATATTAGCCCTGTGTCAGATGGATAGATTGCAAAAATTTTCTCCCATCCTGTAGGTTGTCTGTTTACTTTGATGATAGTTTCTTTTGCTGTGCAGAAGCTCTTTAGTTTAATTAGATTCCATTTGTCAATTTTGGCTTTTGTTGCCATTGCTCTTGGTTCTTTAGACATGAGGTCTTTGCCCATGCCTATGTCCTGAATGGTATTGCCCAGGTTTTATTCCAGGACTTTTATGGTCCTAGGTCTTACGTTTAAGTCTTTAATCCATCTTGAGTTAAATTTTGTATAAGGTGTAAGGAAGGGGTCCAGTTTCAGTTTTCTGCATATGGCTAGCCAGTTTTCCCAACACCATTTATTAAATAGGGAATATTTTATCCACTGCTTGTTTTTATCAGATTTGTCACAGATCAGATGGTTGTAGATGTGTGGTGTTATTTCTGAGGCCTCTGTTCTGTTCTATTGGTCTATATATCTGTTTTGGTACAAGTACCATGCTGTTTTGATTACTGTAGCCTTGTAGTATAGTTTGAAGTCAGGTAGCGTGATGCCTCCAGCTTTGTTCTTATGCAGCCAATAAAAAAAAAAGCTCATCATCACTGGTCATTAGAGAAATGTAAATCAAAACGACAATGAGATACCGTCTTACACCAGTTAGAATGGTGATCATGGTGATCATTAAAAAGTCAGAAAACAACAGATGCTGGAGAGGATGTGGAGAAATAGGAACGCTTTTACACTGTTGGTGAGAATGTAAATTAATTCAACCATTATGGAAGACAGTGTGGCAATTCCTCAAGGATCTAGAACCAGAAATACCATTTGACCCAGCAATCCCATTATGGGATTTATAACCCAAAGGGTTATAAATATATATATATATTTTTTTTTTTGGGAGAAAGATCACAGAATTTAAGTGCCATTTTCATGATAGCAAGGATATTTACCATCAACATAGTTTATGAGTGTTGACACTGACCTTGAGCACCTGGCTAACACAGTGTTGGTTTTCTCCACTTTCAAGTTATTCCTCTCCCCTCATTTTCATACTGTACTCGTTAGAAGGAAATCATTATGTGTAGCCCACATTTAAAGGGTGAGAGTTATGCCCCCCTCTTTTAGAGGAGAGTATCTACATCATTACATAATCTATATAATTTGAAATTATTCTGCATAGAAGACTTGTCTCTTCTTCCCTATGTATTAATTTATTAAACAGTTTATATTAGTATGGACTCATTGATATTTATTCAGATTTTGGGTTATAATCCAATACTACTTTATTTTATTGCTCAAGTTTTTCCAGCTTTGGCCATTGGGAGCTCTTTCGTTGGCTTCCTGGGCCCTTTGACTTACCACCCTTCCATCCTTTTTTAAAAGAACTCCTTACTTCCTGGTACTACAAGATACTCCAGTCCCAGAATAATCCATTTCTCTAAGGAGCCCTTATTCCTTTTATTAGAGAATATTATTAGAAATCAAGATCTGGGTGCTAGATGTTGTTGTTGCTACTTTGCTGTCATTTCTTTTAGGTCCCCTCTATTGACGGAGCAAATAATTATATGTGCATATACTAACCTCTGTATATACATATATCCATAAATATTTCTATCTCTACTGTATATTAAATTATTAATCTTAATCTATATTAAGTTAAGCATGAGTTCTCCATAAGCAAATATCTCCAACTTTGACTCATTACCATGGATCATTCTAGCCTCCTCCTGTTGCTGATCTGTACATTCAACCCCAGTTGTGAGAAACCTGAATCCTGCCCTCTGCCAATTACTTAATTGTTCAATTCCAGGATACATGTATAGCTGTATGAGAATTGTTAGTCTCCTCCTTGTGGGAAATGATTTAATCAACAAAAGCACTGTATTTATTTACAGTTCCTTTTGGCTTCAGGCCTCCAGGCTCCCTTATTTCCAATAGATCTTTTTAAAGTAAAGGAAATATAACATAACATAAAGTTGAATTCCCTTTTGACCTGCAAATCCAGGCTGATTCCCCTCCTCCTTCCAAAGATGCAACTATTTTTATACATTTGTTATATACCCCATTAGTCTATTAGCAAATTCCATATATATAAATATACCTCTATATGTTTTTTATTTTAAAATTTACATACATTATATGAGACATATTTTGTACTTTTAAAATTCATTTTTTTTGCAATGGCTCTATGTCAGTAAGTTTAAATCCAATCTATTCTTTTGTATAACTGTGATATTCCATCCCAAGAATGTGCCACATTTTCACCATCAATTTCTTTCCTGATGAATATTTAGATTCTCCCAATGTCTTTTTTGCTTTTATAAATATTACCATACTAATGATCCCATCATTAAGCCAGTAATTTTCTTTTTTAAAAAAATTTTAAGAGAAATATATTCTAAATTTTATTTATTTTTTAATTCGATAGGTTTTTGGGGAACAGGTGGTATTGGTTAAGTTCTGGTATTGGCATTGAATAAGTTCTTCAGTGGTGATTTCTGAGATTCCTGAACTCATCACCTGAGCAGTATACACTGTACCCAACATGTGGACTTTTATCCTTCATCCCCCTCCCACCCTTTCCCCCCAGTTCCCAAAGTCCATTGTATCATTCTTATGCCTTTGCATCCTCATAACTTAGCTCCCACTTATGAGAACATATGATGTTTGGTTTTCCATTTCTGAGTTACTTCACTTATGATAATGGTCTCCAATTCCACCCGGGTTGCTGCAAATACCATTATTTCATTCCTTTTTATAGCTGAGTAGTATTCTATTATATGTACATCTCACATTTTTATCCACTTGTTGATTGATGGACATCTGGTCTGGTTCTATATTTTTGCAATTGCAAATTGTGCTGCTATAAATATGTGTGTGCAAGTATCTTTTTCATATAATGTCTTCTTTTCCTCAGGTAGGTACCCAAGAGTGGCATTGCTGGATCAAATGGTGGATCTACTTTTAGTTCCTTAGGGAATCTCCACACTGTTTTCCATAATGGTTGTACAAGTTTACATTCCCACCAGCAGTGTAAAAGTGTTCCCTTTTCACCACATCCACACCAACATCTATTATTTTTTGAGTTTTTGATTATGGCCATTCTTAAAGCCAGCAAATATTAAGGGCTTTATATCAGTGGAAATGATACCAATGTATATTTATATATTTTATGTACATATATAAAGGTATATAAATATATTTATTTAAAAAATATAACAAATATAAGTTCCATGCTCAGACCGATTTCTCACTCCATACTTAAAAGCCTGGACTCCAGTCCTGTTTTGGCGCCTGTGGATCCTAGTTCTCACAGCTGCTGTCCAGTTGGCTCGGTCCCTACCCCGGCCTGGATACATTGCACAATGCCTGGCCCACAACAGGCTCTCACTTCTCCTGCTGCCTTGTGGGGGGCCAGCCCTAGTCAGTGTGTCTGAGGTTTCTTTCAATGCTGCCTGTGTGTGTGCAGATCCTGCTGAGGCCTTTCAGCCATGCTTGGAATGCCTTACAAAACAGCTGAGTTGCCCATACATCCTGCTGATCCACTGTTCCAAGGGAATTTTCTTCTTTTTAACTGAGGAATCAGCAGACAGGCCTAGGAGGAAGGTTGGCCTGTGCATCATGGGCCTGAGAACTTGACGGAGGGAAAGCTGGCTCAGTAAGTGTTGTTTAAATGGTGATATCAGCGTCATTAATGGGTATCCATTATGAAGGCCTGGGCTTATGAAGTGTTCTCTTCAGTATGTGCCTAATCCTTAACTGGACTTTCGCATTTTTAAGTTCTGGATATTAAGTATCTTTTGCCTATTTTTTTTTTTTTTTTTTAGACGGAGTCTTGCACTGTTGCCCAGGCTGGAGTGCAGTGGCGCGATCTCGGCTCACTGCAAGCTCCACCTCGCAGGTTCACGCCATTTTCCTGCCTCAGCCTCCCGAGGAGCTGGGACTACAGGCACCTGCCACCACGCCCGGCTAATTTTTTGTATTTTTAGTAAAGGCAGGGTGTCACCGTGTTAGCCAGGATGGTCTTGATTTCCTGACCTCGTGATCCACCTGCCTCGGCCTCCCAAACTGCTGGGATTACAGGCGTAAGCCACCGTGCCTGGCCTCTTTTGCCTATTTTAAAGTAATGATTTATCTACTTGGCATCACCAGCTTCTCCACATGAGAAGGGGGAATATGAACGAATTCTAGACCATTCACTCATTTGATCTTTAGAACCACATTGTGATGCACTACCTCCACTTTAAAGCCAAGAGATCTGAGAGTGAGAGAGGTCAAGTAACTTGCCGAGGAATCTGACCCCAGGTCTCCTCTAACTTCAAAGTCTATGCTATTTCTCCCATACATGCGTTCTTCAGGGAGATTTCCAAATAGCCCATTTATCCCTTTAGATATCTTAAAAACTCTTTAAAACAAATTTCAATAGAAAACAAATGCCTAAATTGCCTTTTATACTTTCATTTCATCCCAATATATGTCTTAAATAAAGGACATTGAATGTAGTTTAACTTTTATTAATATGGATGCACCGACAGTGGTTCAGAGCAGAAGCTCTCTGCTCTGTGACCTCAGCCAAGTTACTTAACCCCTCTGTGCTCCAGTGTGCTCCCTTATCTGTAAAATATAGAATCCAACAATGTCAATTCGTGGATTTCCCTGTGGATTAACAGCATTAATATAAGTAAAGAAATTGGAAGGGTAACTGACACATAAATGCTCTATAAAGGCTAACAGTGTTATTACTGATGAATTAATCAATAATCCACCATTGTATAATGTGTTGATCCAATTCTTTTATACTTTTTTGGTTCTCCAAATGTCAGGCTATAAGATGTGATTTTTCCTGCTGTCACTGTACCCACTTCCAGCAGTCTTCCTTTACTAGATAAGATCTGGAATGAGAAACTATGCAAGCCAGCTTTTATAGAAGTGTACATTAAATAAGTCTGAATGATATTAAACAAGGTAAGATTCATGGCTTTAGCAGAGTCTTGTTACAGCGACTTCTGGAGCATAAAGGTAATTTATCTTTGTTTATTTCTAGGTTTTGGGTTTTTTTTTTTTTCAGGGCTGGCTGAGGCCACTTAAAGCTGATCTCTAGATGAAGAGGGTGTACTTCTCTATAAGGTGAAGAAGTCTAGTGTAGGCAGTAGTGATTTTTAAAAAGAGCTTATTGTGAAAACTTTCATACATGCTCAAAAGTACAGATAATAGCATAACAAGCCCCCAGATACCTATTACCAGCTTTACCAACTATCAACATTTTGATAATCCTATTTCAGAATCCTATCATTTGATCACAAAAATTCCTTCATCATGAATTTTTAAAATAAAAGTTTTAATGTAATCCTAACGATACTATTACATTCAGTAGAATTAAGGATAATTTCTTTTTTTTCTTTTTTTTATTATACTTTATGTTCTAGGATACATGTGGAGAACGTGCAGTTTTGTTGCATAGGTATACACATGCCATGGTGGTTTGCTGCACCTATCAACCCGTCACCTACATTAGGTATTTCTCCTAATGCTATCCCTCTCCTTGCCCCCCACCCCCTGACAGGCCCTGGTGTGTGATGTTCCCTTCTCTGTGTCCATGTGTTCTCATTGTTCAACTCCCACTTATAAGTGAGAACATGCGGTGTTTGGTTTTCTGTTCTTGTGATAGTTTGCTGAGAATGATGGTTTCCAGCTTCATCCATGTCTCTGCAAAGGACATGGACTCATCCTTTTTTATGGCTGCATAGTATTCCATGGTGTATATGTACCACATTTTCTTTATCCAGTCTATCATTGATGAACATTTGGGTTGATTCCAAGTCTTTGCTATTGTGAACCACACCGCAATAAACATATGTGTGCATGTGTCTTTATAGTAGAATGATTTATAATCCTTTGGGTATATACCCAGTAATGGGATTGCTGGGTCAAATGGTATTTCTAGTTCTAGATCCTTGAGGAATCGCCACACTGTCTTCCACAATGATTGAACTAATTTACACTCTCACCAATAGTGTAAAAGCATTCCTATTTCTCCACATCCTCTCCAGCATCTGTTGTTTTCTGACTTTTTAATGATCACCATTCTAACTGGTGTGAGATGGTATCTCACTGTGGTTTTAATTTGCATTTCTCTAATGACCAGTGATGATGAGCATTTTTTCATATGTCTGTTGGCTGCATAAATGTCTTCTTTTGAGAAATGTCTGTTCATATCCTTTGCCACTTTTTGATGGGGTTGTTTGCTTTTTTCTTGTACATTTGTTTAAGTTCTTTGTAGATTCTGGATATTAGCCCTTTGTCAGATGGATAGATTGCAAAAATTTTCTCCCATTCCGTAGGCTGCCTGTTCACTCTGATAATAGTTTCTTTTGCTGTGCAGAAGCTCTTTAGTTTCATTAGATCCCATTTGTCAATTTTGGCTTTTGTTGCCATTGCTTTCTGTGTTTTAGACATGAAGTGTTTGCCCATGCCTGTGTCCTGAATGGTATTGCCCAGGTTTTCTTCTAGAATTTTTATGGTCCTAGGTCTTACGTTTAAGTCTTTGATCCATTTTTTGTATAAGGTGTAAGGAAGGGGTCCAGTTTCAGTTTTCTGCATATGGCTAGCCAGTTTTCCCAACACCATTCATTAAATAGGGAATGTTTTCCCCATTGCTTGTTTGTGTCAGGATTGTCAAAGATCAGATGGTTGTAGATGTGTGGTGTTATTTCTGAGGCCTGTGTTCTGTTCTATTGGTCTATATATCTGTTTTGGTAACAGTAACATGCTGTTTTGGTTACTGTAGCCTTGTAGTATATTTTGAAGTCAGGTAGCATGATGCCTCCAGCTTTATTCTTTCTTGCCCAGGATTGTGTTGCTATTTGGGCTATTTTTGTTTCCACATGAAGTTTAAAGTAGTTTTTTGCAATGCTGTGAAGAAAGTCCATGGTAGCTTGATGGGGATAGCATTGTATCTATAAATTACTTTGGGTAGTATGGCCATTTTCACGATAATGATTCTTCCTATTCATGAGCATGGAATGTTTTTCCATTTGTTTGTGTCCTCTCTTATTTCCTTGAGCAGTGGTTTGTAGTTCTTCTTGAAGAGGTCCTTCACATCCCTTGTAAGTTGTATTCCTAGGTATTTTATTATCTTAGTAGCAATTGTGAATGGGAGTTCACTCATGATTTGGCTGTTTGTCTGTTACTGGTGTATAGGAATGCTTGTGATTTTTGCACATTGATTTTATATCCTGAGACTTTGCTGAAGTTGCTTATCAGTTTAAGGAGATTTTGGGCTGAGATGATGGGGTTTTCTAAATATACAATCATGCCATCTGCAAACAGAGACAATTTGACTTCCTCTGTTCCTATTCGAATTCCCTTTATTTCTTTCTCTTGCCTCATTGCCCTGGCCAGAACTTCCAATACTATGTTGAATAGGAGTGATGAGAGAGGGCATCCTTGTCTTGTGCCCATTTTCAAAGGGAATGCTTCCAGTTTTTGCCCATTCAGTATGATATTGGCTGTGGGTTTGTCATAAATAGCTCTTATTATTTCGATATACATTTCATTGATACCTAGTTTATTGAGAGTTGTTAGCATGAATGGGTGTTGAATTTTGTCAAAGGCCTTTTTTGCATCTATTGAGATAATCATGTGGTTTTTGTCATTTGTTCTGTTTATGTGATAGATTATGTTTATTGATTCACATATGTTGAACCAGCCTTGCATCCCAGGTATAAAGCTGACTTGATTGTGGTGGATAAGCTTTTTGATGTGCTGCTGGATTTGGTTTGCCAGTATTTTATTGAGGATTTTTGCATCGATGTTCATCAGAGATACTGGCCCTAAATTTTCTTTTTTTGTTGTGTCTCTGCCAGGTTTTGGTAAAAGGGTGATGCTGGCCTCATAAAATGAGTTAGGGAGGATTCCCTCTTTTTCTTTTGTTTGGAATAGTTTCAGAAGGAATGGTACCAGCTCCTCTTTGTATCTCTGGTAGAATTTGGCTATGTATCTGTCTGGTCCTGGACTTTTTTTGGTTGGTAGGCTATTAATTACTGCCTCAATTTCAGAACTTGTTATTGGTTTATTCAGAGGTTTGACTTCTTCCTGGCTTAGACTTGGGAGGGTATATGTGTCCAGGAATTTATCCATTTCTTCTAGATTTTCTAGTTTATTTGCATAGAGGTGTTTATAGTATTCTCCGATAGTAGTTTGTATTTCTGTGGGATCAGTGGTGATATCCCCTGTATCACTTTTTATTGTGTCTATTTGATTCTTTTCTCTTTCCTGCTTTATTAGTCTGGCTAGTGGTCTATTTTGTTGATCTTTTCAAAAAGCCAGCTCCTGGAATTTTTTGAAAGTTTTTTCATGTCTCTGTCTCCTTCAGTTCTGCTCTGATCTTAGTTATTTGTTGTCTTCTGCTAGCTTTTGAATTTGTTTGCTGTTGCTTCTCTAATTCTTTTAATTTTGATGTTAGGGTGTCAGTTTTAGATCTTTCCTACACTCTCTTGTGGGCATTTAGTGCTATAAATTTCCCTCTACACACTGCTTTAAATATGTCCCAGAGATTCTGGTATGTTGTGTCTTCATTCTCATTGATTTTAAAGAACACCTTTATTTCTGCCTTCTTTCATTATTTACCCAGTAGTCATTCAGGAGCAGTTTGTTCAGTTTCCATGTAGTTGTGTGGTTTTGAGTGAGTTTTGTAATCCTGAGTTCTAATTTGATTACACTGTGGTCTGAGAGACAGTTTGTTATGATTTCTGTTCTTTTGCATTGGCTGAGGAGTGTTTTACTTCCAATTATTTGGTCAGTTTTAGAATAAGTGTGATACGTGCTGAGAAGAATGTACATTCTGTTGATTTGGGGTGGAGAGTTCAGTAGATGTCTATTAGTTCCGCTTGGTCCAGAGCTGAGTTCAAGTCCTGAATATCCTTGTTAATTTTCTGTCTTGTTGATCTAATACTGACAGTGGGTTGTCAAAATCTCCCACTATTATTGTGTGGGAGTCTAAGTCTCTTTGTAGGTGTCTAAGAACTTGCTTTATGAATCTGGTGCTCCTGTGTTGGGTGCATATATATTTAGGATAGTTAGCTCTCCTTGCTGCATTGATCCCTTTACCATTATGTAATGGCTTTTTCTCTTTCGTTCTTTGTTGGTTTAAAGTGTGTTTTATCACAGATTAGGATTGCAACTCCTGCCTTTTTTTTGCTTTCCATTTGCTTGGTAAATATTCCTCCATCCCTTTATTTTGAGCCTATGTGTGTCTTTGCATGTGAGATGGGTCTCCTGAACACAACACACTGATGGGTCTTGACTCTTTATCCAATTTGCCAGTCTGTGTCTTCTAACTGGGGCATTTAGCTCGTTTACCTTTAAGGGTAATATTATGTGTGAATTTGATCCCGTCATTATGAAGCTAGCTGGTTGTTTTGCCCATTAGTTGATGCAGTTTCTTCACAGTGTTGATGTTCTTTACAATTTGGTATGTTTTTGCAGTGGCTGGTACCAGTTGTTCCTTTCCATGTTTAGTGCTTCCTTCAGGAGCTCTTGTAAGGCAGGCCTGGTGGTGACAAAATCTCTCAGCATTTGCTTGTGTGTAAAGGATTTTATTTCTCCTTTTCTTATGAAGCTTAGTTTGGCTGGATATGAAATTCTGGGTTGAAAATTCTTTTCTTTAAGAATGTTGAATATTGGCCCCTACTCTTTTCTGGCTTGTAGGCTTTCTGCAGAGAGATCTGCTGTTAGTCTGATGGGCTTCCCTTTGTGGGTAACCCGACCTTTCTCTCTGGCTGCCCTTAACATTTTTTCCTTCATTTCAACCTTGGTGAATCTGATGATTATGTGTCTTGGGGTTGCTCTTCTCGAGGAGTATCTTAGTGGTGTTCTCTGTATTTCCTGAATTTGAACGTTGGCTTGCCTTGCTACTTTGGGGAAGTTCTCCTGGATAATATCCTGAAAAGTGTTTTCCAACTTGCTTCCCTTCTCGTCACTTTCAGGTACACCAATCACACGTAGATTTGGTCTTTCCACATACTCCCATATTTCTTGGAGTCTTTGTTCATTCCTTTTTATTTTTTTTCCATAATCTTGTCTTCACGCTTTATTTCATTAAGTTGATCTTCAATCTCTGATATCCTTTCTTCTGCTTGATTGATTCAGCTATTGATACTTGTGTATGCTTCACGAAGTTCTTGTGCTGTGTTTTTCAGATCCATCAGGTCATTTATGTTCTTCTCTAAACTGGTTATTCTAGTTAGCCATTCCTCTAACCTTTTTTCAAGGTTTTTAGCTTCCTTGTGATGGGTTAGAACATGCTCCTTTAGCTTGGTGGAGTTTGTTATTACCCACCTTCTGAATCCTACTTCTGTCAACTTGTCAAACTCATTCTCCATCCAGTTTTGTTCCCTTGCTGGCAAGGAGTTGTGATCCTTTGGAGGAGAAGAGGCATTCTGGTTTTTGGAATTTTCAGACTTTCTGCCCTGGTTTCTCCCCATCTTTGTGGATTTACCTACCTTTGGTCTTTGATGTTGGTGACCTTTGGATGGGGTCTTTGAGTGGACATGCTATTCCTGTTTGTTAGTTTTCCTTCTGACAGTCAGCCCCCTCTGCTGCCAGTATACTGGTGTTTGCTGGAGGTTCACTCCTGACCCCGTTTGCCTGGGTATCACTAGTGGAGGCTGCAGAACAGCAAAGATTGCTGCCTCTTGTTTCCTCTGGAAGCTTTGTCCCAGAGGGGCACCTGCCAGATGCCAGCCAGAGCTCTCCTGTAGGAGGTGTCTGTCAGCCTCTACTGGGAGATGTCTCCCAGTCAGGATACATAGGGGTCAGGGACCCACTCGAGGAGGCAGTCTGACCCTTAGCAGAGCTCCAACGCTGTGCTGGGAGGTCTGCTGCTCTCTTCAGAGCCATCAGTTAGGGACGTTTAAGTCTGTTGAAGCTGTGCCCACAGCCAGGCCTTTCCCCTCATGCTCTGTCCCATTGAGATGGGGGTTTTATCTGCAAGTCCCTGACTGGGTCTGCTGCCTTTTTTTCAGAGATGCCCTGCCCAGAGAAGAAAAATCTGGCAGTCTGGCCATAGCAGCCTTGCTGAGCTGCAGTGGGCTCCACCCAGTTTGAACTTTCCAGCGGCTTTGTTTACACTGTGAGCATAAAACCACCTACTCAAGCCTCAGCAATGGTGGAGGCCCCTCCCCCAAGCAAGCTCGAGTGCCCCAGGTCAATCTCAGACTGCTGCTGTGCTGGCAGCGAGAATTTCAAGCCAGTGGATCTTAGTTTGCTGGGCTCCGTGGGGGTGGGACCTGCCGAGCCAGACCACTTGGCTCCCTGGCTTCAGCACCCTTTTCCAGGGAGGTTATCGGTTTTGTCTTGCTGGGGTTCCAGGCACCACTGGGGTATGGAAAAAAAGAACTCCTGCAGCTAGTTCAGTGTCTGCCCAAATGGCTGCCCAGTTTTGTGCTTGAAACCCAGGGCCCTGATGGAGTAGACAATGGAGGGAATCTCCTGGTTTGCAGGTTGTGAAGACCATGGGACAAGTGCAGTATCTGTGCTGGAGTTCCTCAGGCTCAGTTCCTCATGGCTTCCCTTGGGTAGGGGAGAAAATTCCCTGACCCCATGCACTTCCCGGGTGAGGCGACACCCCATCCTGCTTCTGCTCGCCCTCCATGGGCTGCACCCACTGTCCAACCAGTCCCAATGAGATCAACCAGGTACCTCAGTTGGAAATGCAGAAATCACCTGCCTTCTCTGTCGATCTCACTGGGAGCTGCAGACCGGAGCTGATCCTATTCCACCATGTTGCCCTATCAAGGATAATTTCTTAATTTAACTCCACACTTTGTCTACATTTAGTTCCCAGTTGCTTCAACATTTCTTTTTGCAGCTGCCTTGAATTAAGATCCAGGTGAAGTCTATACATTGTCTTAAGTTTGTAGGCTGTTAGAAGGCATTTTATTCTATAATATCCCCACTCCCTCTCACGTCACTGATTGGTTGGATAAGCAGGTTGTTTATCCTATCGACCAGTGGTTTTCAAAGTGTGGCCCCTGGATCAGTGGCATTAGTATCTCCTGGGAACTTGCCAGAAATGCAAATATTGTCCCACAGAATCACAAACTTTGGGAGTAGGGCCCAAGACATTTCTGTTTAACAAGCCCTCCAAGATCTCCTCCTTGGGTACTAATGTTGTTGAATATCTCACAGTGTAGATTTAGCTGGGTGCCACTCCTCCTGTTGTCATTTGCCTTCTTCAATTAGCTTCCCTATAAGTTGGTAGTTAGATTTAGAGCCTTAGTTATGTTCAGGTTCATTTTTTTCTTTAAGTTCTGGGATACATGTGCAGAATGTGCAGGTTACATAGGTATACATGTGCCATGGTGGTTTGCTGCACCTATCAACCTGTCATCTAGGTTTTAAGTCCTGCATGCATTAGGTATTTGTTCTAATGCCCTCCTTCCCCTAGCCCCCCACCCTGCTGACAGGCCCCTCCCTGTGTCCATGTGTTCTCATTGTTCAACTCCAACTTATGAATGAGAACATGCGGTGTTTGGTTTTCTGTTCCTGTGTTAATTTGCTGAGAATGATGGCTTCCAGCCTCATCCATGTCCCTACAAAGGACATGAACTCATTTTTTCTTTTTTTCTTTGAGATGGAGTTTTGCTCTTGTTGCTCAGGCTGGAGTGCAATGGCATGATCCTGGCTCACTGCAACCCCTGCCTCCTGGGTTCAAACAATTCTCCTGCCTCAGCCTCCCAAGTAGCTGGGATTATAGGTATGCGCCACCACACCTGGCTACTTTTGTATTTTTAGTAGAGACGGGTTTTCCCATGTTGGTCAGGCGGGTCTCAAACTCGTGACCTCAGGTAATCCACTCACCTCGGCCTCCCAAAGTGCTGGGATTACAGGTGTGAGCCACCACACTCATTTTTTATGGCTGCATAGTATTCCATAGTGTATATGTGCCACATTTTCTTTATCCATTCTATCATTCATGGGCATTTGGGTTGGTTTCAAGTCTTTGCTATGGTAAATAATGCTGCAATAAACATACATGTGCCTGTCTTTATAGTACAGTAGAATGATTTATAATCCTTTGGGTGTATACCTAGTAATGGGATTCCTGGGTCAAATGGCATTTCTGGTTCTAGATCCTTTTTTTAAGGCAAGAATTCTTGACAGATGGTGCTGTCCTTCCCACTGTATCAATTATGAAGCACAAAAGATCTCTGTGACTCGCTGTTAGAAATTCTGAGACAGGCCAATGCTTGGGATGTGTCGGTCTGTTTCACTGGCTGTCTAGATCCATTCTTTCCTTTGGGATTGCAAGACAATGATTTTCTAATATCACTTACTCTGCATTTATTAATCATTTTCTACCGTTTTGTTTTGCAGTTGCTGCTGTTGCTTATTTTGGGACTATGACAACCTCCAAGTTCAGAGTTAAAAGTGGCATGACTTAACGTGACTTCTTGTTTATAAATTTTAAAAAATCTTCAGAGAATTTTTTCATAACCCTTATGATAAACCCTGAACAGTTTAGAAACCACTTATTTAATTAGTGAAGAAATTACAATTTAACAGTTTCAATTCTGGGTTCTGGTTCTAAATCAATTGCTGTCTACCTGGGTGGCTATGCTAAGCCAAATTGCCTGATCAACAAAGATCTGTTAAGTATATCTAAATCCCCTGGTCCCCCTTTCTCTAAAATGACTGTAATATCACATATTCCTACCTACCTGGCAAAGATGTTAAAATGTTCCAAGATAACCTATGTCAGAGCACTCTGGGTGAAATTATAAAAATGCGTCCCTTAGACCTCACTCTTTAATCTATGAAGTAGAGCAATGTTTTTCTCAAACATTTTTTGACTGAGACCTACAGCAAGGAAAACATTTTATATTAAGACTCTGTTCAAGCAAACTCATGTTAGAAATGGAAAGTCGCAGTTGTCACCCCAGACCTATAGAATCAGAAATTCTGGGAGTGGATTCAGTAATTTCTTTCACCAAATAATTGTTAACTTTATTACATGCAATTCGCCCTGATGTTTTCTATTCTATTCTATTCTATTCTATTCTATTCTATTCTATTCTATTCTATTCTATTCTATTCTATTCTATTACATTCAACTAAAAAATTGCTGATGGCAACCTACTAGACAGAATGATTTATTGATCTACTATTAGACTGCTACCCACATTTCAAAAATGTATAATCCTCCCAAGAAAACCTCTTCCCTTACATGGTTTTAGAGTCGCTCTCCACAAGATTGCTTCATTCTTATAATTTGTCTCCCTGCAGGCAAGTGCCCCTGATCTCAGACACAATTACCTACAAAGTCAAGATGATGCTGTCATAAAGATATAAAATGGGTTCCCAGAGGTGGGTGACATTGATTTGAACTACAGGAAAATCTTTACACTGAGGATATTCATTTATTTGTTCATCGATTCATCATTTCAGTGAAGAGGAAGGTACGATAAATAGAAGACAAGATTATTGCCTGATATGGTTTGGATCTGTGTCCCTACACAAATCTCATGTTCAGTTGTAATCCCCAGTATTGGTGATGGGGCCTGGTGGGAGGTGATTGGATCAGAAAGGCGCTCTCTCATGAATGGTTTTACACCATCCCCTTTGGTGCTGCTGTCATGATAGTGAGTGAGTTCTCACCAGATCTGGTTGTTTATAAGTGTGTAGCACCTTCCCCTCTCTCTATTGCTACTGTTCCACCTTGTAAGACGTCTTGCTCCTCCTTTGCCTTCTGCCACAATTGTAAGTTCCCTGAGGCCTCTCCAGAAGCTGAGCGGATGTCGCCATGCTTCCTGTACAGCCTGTGGAACCACGAGCCAGTTAACCTCTTTTCTTCATAAATTATCCAGTCTCAGGTACTTCTTTATAGCTGTGTGAGAACTGACTAATACATTGCCCTTCCTGAGGTTATAGGCTGGATCAGAAAGAGGGATATGGGGCAGGCAAGCAGTGGTGAAAGAACAAAAAGCATGGTATTGTCTGTAAGGGCTCACAGACTTCAGAGAAGATGGAACTAATCAGAAGGTTGACTGTGGATGGAGAAGAAAGCAAAACTTGAACTGGCCTCCACTGGATAAAAAGGATTTCACTGGGCATATTGGGATGAGGGTGGGAAAGGACCTTCTAGATGGGGTATACAGCTAGGCAAATGCTCATAGTTATTAACAGGGAGGAGTGCTTTTCAGAGGCAATTAGAAGCCCGGCAATAATAACAACAGAGCTTTCATTTTTTATCAATAATCATATCACTTACTGAGTACTTCCTATGACATTGTAAGTTAGATACTGTTATTCCCAAGGTTGAGAAAGTCTAATTGGTCACACAGCAAGTATATGGCAAAATGGAGATGTAAACTCAGGTTTGCATAACTTTGAAGTTCAAAATCCTGTCCATTATTCTCTATAGCATGACTGGGATGAAGCTCACCCTAAGAGCCAGCATGTAATGGTATGTAATGGTATTTAAGGGATGAGTGGCTCAAGTGGGGACTGGCTGAGGAATGTGGATCTAATTCTATAGGTCTCTCACTCCTATAATCTTGATGAACTACAAGATGCTAATTGTTTTGAAAAGGAAGTACTAAAGTTTGTCAGTGAAAATTTAATTAGGGCTACTATCAGTATCATTCTTATGAGCTTTCATTTTAATGTACATTCCTGAATTGGACCTAAAAGTGGTTCAATTCCCACAAACTGCACATGACTTGAAGCCTATCTCTTTTATGCCATAGACTATAAAAATAGCCAAGTCTGCCTACAGAAATGTTTCACAAATGTGAACCCCATGTTTGCAGTGTATGTAATGCAGAAACAAGTAGAGTCGCTTTTTTCTGCTATCAAAGATGATCTATGCATTATAGCTTTGTCCTAGAGAGGATTTGAGCTTTAAATCAGGTCTAATGATGCTTCATGCAAGTGAGAATGAGAGAAAGAAAAATGCAGGCAAAACTCATCTTTTTGTCAGGAACCCACTCCTCAGAAATCGTCTCCACTGGGGAAACTGGATCTGACTCCTAGGAGTTTGTTTCCCCCTGTACTAGGAGCACGAATGTTCTTATAGTTGGGTAGTTTCCCTGGGGCCCCTAGATCTTTGCACATGTGGCTGCTTTAATTATTCTGGACCCTTCATGTTCACCTGAGCTAAACTAGGTATTCAAAAACCTATTACAACACTCTCTCTTATTGTTCCCTTGATCCATATCACTAGGTAAAAATGACCTTTTTAAAATTTGTTTTCTTGTTTATCATGTTTCTTTTCTTTTCCACTATAAACTACCAGAATGAAGGGTCCTTGTCTGTCTCGCTCATCACTGCATTCTCATGCCTAGAACAGTGCCTGGTACATAATAAGGGCACAATAAATATTTGTTGGAAAAGAGAGGGTAGTTCCTGAGAGTGGCATGCTGTGGGCTTAGAAATCTTCTCCACACCTTTTCTTCTAGTAGACTTTGTTCTTGGTGACTCCACAAAAAGATTAGGAAGAAGTGAGCTGCCTAACTCTCTCTCTCTCTCAGGGAATTAATTATTAGGGTTGGGACCTCTTAGTAATCAGGAAATCCTTGAAGCATTCAAAGTACAGTTGTCTATGCTATGAAAAACAACGCATCAAACATAAAAACTAGTACATTTTATATAACAAAAGCTGACAAAAGACAATAGTGATGGTTAAAATAACAAAATCTTAGACTTGGTAGAAAGTTTAGGGAGAATGTAGTTTCCTCATTTCAGAGATGAGGAAATTGAGTCTTCCCAAAGTTTTAAATGACATTACAGAACCCATGCAGCTGGGTTTGTGAACAGCCAGGGCTAGAACGTATTAGCATTTCTAATCCCAGCCTGATCTTTCTACTTTACACACATAAATGCCTTCTTCATATGAGAACTTCAAAATAATAATTCAATTCACCAATAGATAAAAATTCTAGATATGGGGGAAGTACATTGCATTTAAATAATATTACAGAAGACAATGTCTGATGAAAATGAATCCACATTGTCTTCTTCCCTATAATACCTCTGTGATTATCCATTTGGCTAACAGTACACAATGTAATTCAGTGCTTCAACATCTAATTTTCATAAATCACCATGTTTGTTGCTGGGAAAGATAAAAAGAAAAGGAAAAAGACGCTATTCCTGATCTCAGACACATAGAACTAACTACAATGGAAGGCAGTGCTATAATGAAAGCATAAAATAGGTGCTATTCTAGTGGGTTTTGTGCTGCTATAAAAGAATATCTGAGACTGAGAAATTTATAAAGAAAATAAATTTATTTCTCACAGTTCTGGAGGCTGAGAAGTCCAAGGACGTGACAGCAACATCTCCTCAGCATCTGGTGTGGCCCTTCTTGCTGTGTCATAACATGGCATAAGGGTAAGTTAGCATACAGAACAGAGAGAGAAACTGAGGCTGAAGTCATCCTTTTTATTGGGAATCTACTCCTGAAATAACGAATTCACTCCTAAGGTAATGGTGTTAATCAATTTATGATTAATGAATTAATCACCTCTTAAAAGTCCCAGCTCTTAATATCATCACAATGACAATTGAATTTCAGCATGAATTTGGGAGGGTCCACTCAAACCATAGCAGGTACACGGAAGTGGGTATCATTGATCTGCACTGGAACACAGAGGAAGGTTTTTCACTGAGGACGATTTCAACAAGAGGAGAAAAGACACTGCAGATGGGAAAATAACAAGGGCAGAAGTTCAGAGGTCTGAAGATGGGCATGGATGTTCAAAGAACCAGAAAGGTGTGCAGAAGATACTTGTTCTAGAAAAGAAAGTAGAAGGCCTCAAGGTGGATAGTAGAAGACCTTCAGGCTTATATTAAATTTTTTTTCTAATTCTTTTTGGAGATCTCTGAGTTTTTGGGTAGGGGACTAACATAATCACACGTGTATTTTAATGAAATAATTCTGGCATAAAATTCTGGGAAGAAAGCAGCTGCAGCTGGAGGGATCAATGAGGAGCCCAGGTGAGAGAAGATGAGGTTCTGAACCTGGGAAGTACCCAAAGCAATGGAATAGAGTCACAGATGGAAGACAATGTGTGAGTCTGTAAACCACACAGGGACAGGGAGGAATCAAAAGTACAAGAGACAAAGAGTTAACTGTCAGAGAAGATCCTGGGGCAGTGAAGATCAAGGTGGTATCTCTGGAGAGCAGTTTTTCTTGTTAAGCCAGTTGGCAAACTGGGCCAAATGGAGGTAGGAGATCTTCTCAGGTGGAGATGGGTAGGCACACCCAGGGGGCTCATGGAGGCTGTCCTCTGTTTCTCAATAAGAGGGAAATAAGATCTCTGGCCAAGGAGGAAAGAGAGCACAGATAAGTTTAGGGACTGGATAAGTGAAAAATGGCTATACAAAATTGACATTACAAGCTGTTCTAGGAGACATGGCCCTTAATTTAATCAGTAGTTTACTGACACTTACATTACCTATATCTGCTTTTTAAACACAAGTGTTATGATCACTTGTTCTGTTTGTGCCTTGTACAAAATGACTATACAACTCCAATGAATAGCACAGGTCACTGAAGAATGCTTAATAATCCTGCTTTCCAAGTGCTATGGTTTGGATATGGTTTGTTTGGCCCTGCCATGTCTTGCGTTGAAAGGTATTCCTTTATTGTAACACACATGGATTAAGATATCAAGTAAAGTCTGTTTCAGTTGACGTTTAAGCATAACGTAAGAACCACAGCAAAACAATATAACTATTGTTCTTTAAGGAAAGACCATCTGGCTTTTCCAATTCTCATTTCAAGAAATGCAAATTGATTGACATGAAACCCACACACTTTCCATTTTGTTTGTAATGCATTAATGGTCACAGTAAAAGCAAAATACTCCATCATAGCTTCCATAAAATGCTATTTGTCAGTTACTCATCAAGAGCAGGCATATAGGGAAATTAGTCACAAAGCTGAACTGAAATGAAATGTTTGAGAATTCTTAGCTGGCTTTCTGAACATGGGCAAGAATCAGGTACATTTTTCTATTGAAAATGGTCCTTCTAAGTGAATTGATGATGAGAGGGAACTCTCTGTGTCACTCAAGGGAGGAAATATATGTCACCACTCCAATTTTCTGACTACAGATGGGCAATTCCTCTTCACTGCAGGCTGGTTAACAGCCACAGGCAAATGGAAAAATCCATGCTGAATGAGCCAGATGCCCTAAAACACAACTCACAAAGGTAATTTCTCTTTATTTTCCCACTGGAAGGATTGCTGGGGAAATTGACCTGTTAGCTCTGAGCTTCTTCATTACTTAAGATACATAGGACAGATAGCAACACACTTGGAGACTAATACTAGGAATATTAGAATGGGTGGGAAGGCAAACTAATGGTAAGGGATTTTAAAAGGGGCAATTTACCCATATGTATCTGTTTAGATTCTGTTGATTTCCAAAGTTGCTGAAGCTTCCAGTTTTGAGATGGTTGGGGATACAGAGTCTACAATCTTAACTCCAGTTACCTGCTACTTACTGATTTAGAAAATATGTGAGACAGAAAGGAAATGTCTAAAAGTTTCAGAAAGGAAAACCTGGTCTAGTGATACTCGAACCTGAGCATGCATCAGAATCATGCATCTGGTGAGCTTGTTAAAACACCGGGCCTCTCCCTAGAATTTTTGATTCTTTAGTTCTGGAATGAGGACAGGCAATCTGCATTTCTAAGCAATTCCTAGGTGATATAGATGCCACTGGCATGGGACTGTACCTGAAGAAGCAGCATAAAATTACAATCCCAAGTAAAAGCATAGAGTTTAGGCCTTAAAGAAACTTACAGAAATTAAGTTTGTTCTGGAGAAAGAGGATAAAAAAGAAAACCATGTTACCACCCCAAAAGATTGAGTCAGAGGTCACTTCACATCAACAATAGGCAGAATTGGAGAAAGAGGTCTTAAGTGGGAAAGAGAGCTATTTTAAAACTAGGAATAAGGGAAATATTGGGCCACCAGGTTAAATGAGGGATTTTTCAACTGAGTGATCTCAAAGAGAAATCCTTCATCATTTTAATTCAAAAGTAGTAACTTTAAGATATGTAGCTAATAAAATAAGGGCATTGGAAAGAAGCCAAAAAATTCTTTTAAAAATACTTATCTTAACCAAGGTGTCTGGAATTAAAAATAATATAAACTGGGGTTAAGCTGAATCCAGGCCTGTTCCTACTATATTCTTGGAGCCAGAAGATGGCCAGAGAGGCTTAAAAAGTGAGGTCCACTGCCTCAGCCACCCATGAAATGAAAATGTGATTGGCTCTGCTGGTGTGACAAACTCCTTATCTAGATATTTCTTGAGAGACTTGGGTGGGAAAATTACAAAGCCATAAGCATTGACCTTCATATGTGGACCTCATCTGCAACGTCTCTAAATGTGCAACTAAAGACACAAGCCGCCATTTAAAAAGAACATTAAATATGTTGCTTTCAAAATTCAGTATTATAAAATGTGTACCTTTCTTGATGAACTGTCATGCTTCGTTTTTATCATATGATGAAAAATGTGAAATTTACTATGTTCCACTTTTTGTCATGGCAGCCAAGAAATCCCATGTTGTCTTCTGTTCACATCTGGCGTTTTCCCTTGAAGGCATTTCTGATATAGTTGTTTCTCCCTAGCTCCTTATTTCTTAGCCAGCATTCATTTTTGTCTCTTTTAATGTGGAAAAAAAAAGCAAAGGCAAAACTAAAAACTTACTGTTTCTTTTAATATAAGTTTCTGTTAAATTCTTTTTGGCATAGATATGATTATATATAGTGAGTTAAAAAAATATAACCCTGTTTAGTCACGAATACTTGCAAAGCACATAAGAGTCTGTTTATAAAGATAAGGCTGACCCTAAAGCAGGATGTCCTTTTTAGGGGCCAAAGGTTGTGGCAAAGACCATAGGCTTTGAATGCAGACTTCTGGGATTTGAAACCTGTCCCTGCCATATTGGTTGGGTGACATGGTTTGCTGCACCTATGAACCCGGCATGTAGGTTTTAAACTCTGCATGCATTAGGTATTTGTCTTAATGCTCTCCCTCCCCTTTCTCCCCACTCCTCCGACAGGCCCCAGTGTGTGACGTTCCCCTCCCTGTGTCCATGTGCTCTCATTGTTTAGCTCCCACTTATGACTGAGAACATGCAGTGTTTGGTTTTCTATTCCTGTGTTGTTTTGCTGAGGATGATGGTTTCCAGCTTCATCCATGTCCGTGAAAAGGACATGAACTCATTCTTTTTTATGGCTGCATAGTATTCCATGGTGTATATGTGCCACATTTTGTTTATGACCCTGGATAAGTTATTTAACCCCTCTAGGCCTTGGGCCTTAGTAAAATGGCCTTAACTGAAGTACCAGCCTCCAAAGAATCTGGTGAGGATTAACTGATGTTTGAATAGAGTGCTTTGAACAATGCCTGCCCATGGTAAGTATTTGGTAAATGTTATCTATTTTAATTCAAAGTAGTGGTGATGAAACTGTGCAACTCACTCAGTTGCGGAGTTAAATGGTGCTGCTTCAATGCATGTTTCTGGACAATGACAGATCTGTTTTCAATTTAGAGTTGATTTGGAAGATAGGCTTCCACCAAATGAGTGCTCACAATGAGACCCTTCTACAGCCATAGCATGGCCAATGCAGAACCCAGAGGCAGTGGACAGAGAGAATAACAGAAAGATGCAGTAGAGGAGGGAGGGAGAAAGAGAGAGAGAGAGAGAGAGAGAGGCTGTTCCCAGGGTAACAAGTTGCTAGGGACAAACATTTGGCAAGGGGTACTGGCGAGAAATTTCCTTCGTCAAGCAATTTCCTTCAACAATGTCTAATGAAAGTGATCTGTACTTACAATGAACCTGAGAACGCTGGGGAATTGGTAATAAGGGCTCTGAAGTCACCTTCACTCCAGAACGAGCTACTTTATGGGGGCTGGCAAGTCCGACTCTGCAGGGCAGGCTGGCGGCTGGAGAACCAAGGTGAGAGCTGGGGTTGCAGCTCAAGCCTGAAGGTAATATGCAGGCAGAATTCCTTCTTCCTGAGGGACCTCAGTCTTTATCTCTCAAGCCCTCTTCAACTGATTGGATGAGGCCCATCCACATGATGGAGGGTAATCTGCTTTACTCAAAGTCTACTGATTAAAATGTTAATCTCATCTAAAAAAGTACTTTCACAGAAAAATACAGACTGGTATTTGACCAAATACCTGGGTACTCTGGCCCGGTGAATTTGACACATAAAACTAACCCTCACAAGGACTTTCCCTAAACCTCAGGATTTTCATTAAAACCTGAAGGAAGGGCAATAGGCTATTGCAACACTGTAATGAGAAGCTCCTAGACACACCTGCTGGGCTGACTAAAAAGTGGCCACCCTATTCCTGAGATGCTCATCCCTATCACCAACTCCCAGGCTATCTCACTGAAGACTGGAGACTGGAGAGGGATTCATTCCAGGAAACCAGAGGAGTTGCTTCGCTTTTTTTTTTTGCAACAGAGTTTCACTCTTGTCACCCAGGCTGGAGTGCTATGGCACGATCTTGGCTCACTGCAACCTCCGCCTCCTGGGTTCAAGCAATTCTCCCACTTCAGCCTCCCGAGTAGCTGGGATTACAGGCATCCACCACCACACCCGGCTAATTTTTGTATTTTTAGTAGAGATGGGGTTTCACCATGTTGGCTAGGCTGGTCTCGAACTCCTGACCTCAGTTGATCCACCCGCCTCGGCCTTCCAAAGTGCTGGGATTACAGGGGTGAGCCACCGTGCCCAGCCTCGCTTTGCTTTTTACTTTCCTCAGATTGAGTTCCACTTCTCTCATCAAGGGAGGGAAGTTCCATCTGTAGAGACTGGGCAGATCACATTTGACTCCCTGACTGAGACCTGTTGAGCTGAAGAAGCTTATAGAATCCTCTCCAGTGAACACATCAGGTGGAACACACTTAGAGATTTCTTGAGAGAACCTGAGATGTGGCTCCAGGAGCTTTGGAGGATTTGAAAATATGGAGACTGGTTCCTGCTTCCCTTGTAAAGAATAGTGACGGCAACCAACTATGGAGAGCTGCCCATGAAGTCAGGATAAGGTAGCCTGTGCTTCCAGAGATGGGCATGGTCAGGGGTAAGGAGGTGTGAGTTTCCTGAATTAGAAGGCATGACAGAGTCAGGCTCCAACCATCTTAAAGGGACTTCATCCAACAGGGCCACATGCCAGGGCGAGGACTCCACCAGTAAGAAGAAATAAGGTGGATTGCTGGGGTAGGAGTGGAACTGGGGTGGTAGCCCTAAGAAGACAATCGGATAATATCATTTGTGTCAGGAAGGAGAGTTCCACTAAAAGCCTCCTCACAAATGAGCTCCATGAAAGAGCTCCCAGTATTTGTGCACCAGTCATGATGGCATGCAAGACGGCAGGCAGGGTTGGCTTAAATTTGTACAACCAGCATACTGAAGGGGCTGAGCTCAATTGAGGACACATAGGAGAAGGAACAGAGAACTTGGAGTTTGTTTTGTTTTTTGCATCGCTGCCTATAAATGTGCATTGCTGAATTCCTTCCCACTGGGGAAGCAATACATCTCAGACAGGTGCTATCAAGATTCACTTTCAAGTAGTAAGTCCAAGCCAGTCCAAATCAAAATGTCAGTCCCACACCCAGTTTAAAGGGTCTGCCTCTCCCAGAGGTCGCAGTGAGCCGAGATCATGCCATTGCACTCCAGCCTGGGCAACAGGCTGGAGTTTTTGCTCCTTGTCTTCTATTTCCCCTTCCCTTATATTGACCTGAAAAACGGAGAAATAGTACTTTGAGGTCCAGAAGGCTGGGAGTGGGATGAAGGAAGAACAAAGAGGGCTGATCTGAGAATTGACAAGGCCCCTTCCCCATAATGGATCTGAGAAATTGAACCAAGGAGAGGCAGACTCTTTTTTTTTTTTTTTTTTTTTTTTTGAGACAGAGTTTCGCTCTTGTTGCCCAGGCTGGAGTGCAATGGCATGATCTCGGCTCACTGCGACCTCTGGGAGAGGCAGACCCTTTAAACTGGGTGTGGGACTGACATTTTGATTTGGACTGGCTTGGACTTACTACTTGAAAGTGAGTCTTGATAGCACCTGTCTGAGATGTATTGCTTCCCCAGTGGGAAGGAATTCAGCAAAGCACATTTATAGGCAGCGATGCAAAAAGGAAAACAAACCCCAAGTTCTCTGTTCCTTCTCCTATGTGTCCTCAATTGAGCTCAGCCCCTTCAGTATGCTGGTTGTACAAATTTAAGAAGACTTAGCCCTTAAGAAGTTTAGCATGTGTCACCATTGTTCTGATTTATCATACACTTTGGAAGGCTGTGTGGCCCTCCACATGTCAGGGCACTATCTGTCTGTCAACTGAGGGCTAGGAGGAGGGTGAGGTCTCAGTTAAGAATTAACATAAAGGGGCCAGGCACACTGGCTCACGCTTGTAAGCCCAGGATTGGGGGGCGGGTGGATCACTTGAGGTCAGGAGTTTGAGACCAGTCTGGCCAACATGGTGAAACCCCATCTCTACTAGAAAAAAAAAAATTAGCTGGGCATGGTGGTGTGCACCTGTAATCCCAGCTACTCGGGAGGCTGAGGCAGAGGAATCACTGGAACCCAGGAGGCAGAGGTTGCAGTGAGCCAAGATTGCACCACTGCACACTCCAGCCTGGGCAGTGGAGGGAGGCTCTGCCTCAAAAAAAAAAAAAAAAAAAAAAAAAAAAACCATAAAGGTTCACTATAGAGGAAAATAGGCCAATTTGTATTATATTCTGAGTAAATGAGACAGTCAGGGAGAAACAAATTTCCTATATACGTGGATACGTCTCTACTGCAAACACTAGTTAGTAAGTTTCCTGTTCCTCTAGGGTTAGACTAGCTTTCAGGTAAGATAAATAAAAAATAAATTAGTGATGCTGCAGAGCACATATAACACTAGTGCCATGGCTTATACATAGCCCTTCTTTTAATTAACTGTTGGAGTGGGCAATCTACTCCTCTCACTTTATTATCATGATTTTTGAGTCTTATCAGTAAGTACTTAAATGCCTATTTCTGGGGATCACTGTCATTTACTGTGCTAGATACTATACAAAGCAATATAATTGATTTTTCAGTTTGTATTAATCAATAACTGTTATTTATGTCTAGCATCTGCTCTGAGCCATCCTGGCATGAACTAATTTCATTATCTCCCTTGCAAAACCTTGGTCTCACTCTATGGAGACTTCTAGACTAATCACGTGAAAACAACAAAGATGAATATATAAAGAAAATATGGCAAAGAAGAATCTTACGATGAAAACAGATGCTAGACAGATAACAATGAGGTGAGATTATACATTTACTTAAGTGCTCAGTGTGGTTATCTAAACAGATGCTAGATAGATAACAATGAGGTGAGATTATACATTTACTTAAGTGCTCAGTGTGGTTATCTTAAGGGATGGAAAATATTAGGCAGATGAGAGCCACAAAGATTTCCACATTCCCACTGCAGGTTTCTCTTCCCCAATTAATTTTCCATCTTTCTTAGAGGCTGTCTGAAAGAAACAACACTCATGTTTGCAGGTCCATCTTTGCCATTGGGGAACCGTTCTTTTCACAACTCTATGCCAAAGTCAAGAATTACCCTTCCAAAGATAGCCTTGTACTCCCAGCCTAGGGAGTAAAGGAATCAGACCAATTCAAGTGGCCCAATGGAGCTGAGCCTTAAGAAGCAGAAAGTTCTGAGAGGAGAGAGGGATGTTAAGTTAACAGGAAATCTGCAGAAGTCCGTGTTACATCAGGAGCTGTGAAGAATATATATAGCAGAAGGGAAGTTAGGAAGCCAGTAACCCCAAATTCAAGCCAACAGAGTGCTCGCTGCTGCAGAGAATTCAGCTTTTCAATGTATTTGGAAAGAAAGATTAAAATAGTGGTCCCTACTAAGAGACGCAATGGCCCGTTAAGGAGTCTGTGGTAGTAGTTGCATCCATTTTGCATTTCCTAGTATGTCTGGACCATCTTCTTTGGAAACTTTCCAGTTGTACTTATATTGAGTAATTATGGATTTTCTCCACTCTTTATCACATGTTTTGACATTTCTTCTCATGACAACACATAGCCTAGGAAATAACAAAAGGTCTTGATTAAGAAAATTAAAACTACTAAAATTTCTTGAGAACCCCTTCCAAAAACTTAAGGGTCAATCATTTCTGTTGTAAAATTTCTGACAGAGAAAATATATAAAAGGCCCAACAAAATGATGATTATTCATAGCATGAAAGACAGTTTTCTCTGAATCCCATCTTTTATTTGATTCTGATCAAGGTCAGAGTCTCCCCCCAACCCCCGGATGTTTCCTCCTAGCCTAAAGTGAACCCTTTGTTTTCTAAGAAAAGGGCCCAACATTCATGGCTTGGCCTCACTGCCTGCTCCCTTTCACTTCCTGAGGCGCCGTGGATCAGAGCCAATGCATTCAGAGAAGGGAACCAAATGACTGCCTGCTCCCAGGCGCTGTTCACTTGAGTGTGGCTGGAAATGATTTTATGTCAGACCGAGATTTGGGTCAAGAGAATTTCTGAAGCGTCCACAACATTCACAGACATCCTAGGGTGAATGAGAGACTGCCATGGTCCTTGGAAATTCTCCAAAAGAGAGATCAGCTCCTCTAGTTTTAAGATGACTCTAGAAGGGTCAGAAAACTGGGACTGGTGGAGACAACGTTAAGGTGAATAAATTGCCAACTGCTGAGTCAGTCTTCACTCAGAGGCATTTATTGAGTGCCCTGCAGTGTGCAGAGCTCTGTAGGAGCAATTAGCAAGGGCCAAGCTCAAGCTAGCAAAATGAGTAACACAGTTCAGTGAGGTCCACTGCTGGTGACTCCCTGCCCACTCGCACTCATTTGATCCTAGTTTCGCTAACTGTACTCCAAAACATTCTTACATCATCTACACCAGTGATTCTCAATAGAGGTTGGAGGAGAATTTTGCTCCCCAGGAGACATTTTGGGCTGTCACAATCTGGGGTGGGGGCAGAGGGGTTAGTATTGGCATCTAGTGGGTAGACACCATGAGATGCTGCTAAATATCCTACAATGTGCACAGCAGCCCCCGCCGCAGAGAATTATCTGGCCTAAGGTGTCAGTATAGCTGAGGCTGGGAAACCCGGATCTAAATGGTCTGCTTTAAGCTATTCAATGATCATGTTTTATCATCCACGTTCTAGTCTTCAGTTTTGATGGGAGCGTATCAGGCTCAAGCCTCTGTACTACACTCTCAGGTGTACGGATTTAAGAGTTTGCTTTTACCTTTATTCATGTTTTAATTAATTATGTTTTTTTGAGATAGGGTCTCATTCTGTTGCCCAGGCTGGAGTGCAGTGGTGCGATCTCGGCTTACTGCAACCTCTGCCTCCCAGGTTCCAGCAATTCTCCCACCTCAGCCTCCCAAGTAGCTGGGATTACAGGTGCTCCACCACGCCCAGCTAATTTTTTTGTATTTTTAGTAGAGACAGGGTTTCACCATGTTGGCCAGGCTGGTCTCAAACTCCTGATCTCAAGTAATCGACCCTCCGCCTCCCAAAGTGCTGGGATGACAGGCATGAGCCACCGTGCCCAGCCCGTGTTTTAATTTATTAAACGAACATACTTAAGCTGATGAAGACATGTGCAGAATATAGTGATTCTTCATTATCTCTTAAATTTGGTAACAGCCTTTTATAGCTGGGGGAAGACAGCGGGGCAGGAGGGCACAGGACTTGTGGGGGCCGATGGGGTCACCCAGCGAGGTCTCCATGTCTCAGCTTCCTCATCTGGATGACGATGAGGATGGCTTTACCTGGAAGGTCTTTTGGGACTCTGACATTGTATCACTAAAAACTCCTAGTAAGAGAAACCCACATACCCATTTCACCCATGCATACATCTTGACCAAATATTTCTCTCTTTCCCCACATACCAGCATATCTTCTCAAAGATTCTCATTTTCCATGACAAAAGGTTTTTATTCTAATTTAAACAAGACAATTATTAACCTTATACCTTCAAGCCTTTACTTATCTCTAAATCCCTCCCTTTCTCCTCACTCAAAAAGCATCTTTTGGAAGCTTCCGCTGACCAAAATACACCCACTCCTTCCTCCAGTTCATGCATGAGCATTATCTGACCAGCTAGCTGCCTGCAGGCACGTCTACATGTAACACATATGATTATATTCTGGCTGATCTGTTCATGTCCTTTCTATCCTAAAAATCTATATGTGTTTTCTTTCTCAGCAGGTAATAGAGTTCTTGAGTATGATATGTCATTTAATTCATCATCCTTTACAAGCTGTGGAGTTTTTGATGAACAGCCGCAAGTGATTTCCTAGTTATTAGCAAGAGACAAGGAATCACCAACCCACAAACACATTTTCTGAGTGGAAAATAAACAGGTAAAATAATCGAACTGTACTCTGAGATGTAGGTGGTAAATGCACCCAAACTGGATGTTGGTGAAAAACAAAAAAATCAGTGAGGTAGATTGTGTTGAGACACAGAATCTAATTTTAATGAACTCTAAATGAACACTTAACAGATAAATTCTGCAACTTTATTGAAATATAAAAGCAAATTATAACTTGATTTGGTAAACAGACTAGACAGACATTAGATATTCTCCATTTTGTCTCCCTTTCCCTTTCTAAAAGTCTTCCAAAAATGAAATAAAATATTTACCGAACGTCTTCCAGGCTCCAAAATATCTGTCAAGGTCCTTCATGAAGCTTCTCTGCTAATTACAGTATGACTTTTGGCAAGTCATTTAAACTCTCTGGATCTCAGTTCTCTCATGCACAAAACTAAGAGAGTCGATCATCTCAAAGGTCTTTCCTGGCTCTAATTTTTGATGGATTTAAGGCAGTAAGTCTCAACCTCAGCTGCACAGATAATCGCCTGAGTAGGTTTTAAACATCATGATGCCCAGGTGACACTAGAGACCAAATAAATCAGAACCTCTGGAGGTGGGACAAAGCAATCGTATTTTCAAAGCTCCCCAGGTAATTCCAGTATTCATCCCTGATTTACTATAAACCAAATTTCTTAGACCAGTGACTTTCTGAATATTTTAAAAATAACTCACTGTCAAAAAAAAAAATTTCAGATTATGCCCAAGCACACACGTGAATATAGTTTAATATTTCAGTAAAATCATTTTATGAAATGTAGCCGTCAAATTTCATAAAACATTTTATATGCACTCTGATATTTTCTACTGCATTTTATTCATATGTATATGTACATATACTTAAAGTATGTACATATACTTAAAGTATATGTACATATACTTAAATTTCAGTATAAAAACACTGCCCTAGCCAATTTGGCCACTAGATGGAACTGTTGCATTTAAAGAATGAAAGTGCAACTTCAGACTGAACTCTACAGAGCAAAACTAAAACAAAATGCTTATGATTTGGCTGGGTGTGGTGGCTGACGCCTGTAATCCCAGCACCTTGGGAGGCTGAGGCGGGCGGATCACCTGAGGTCAAGAGTTTGAGACCAGCCTGGCCAACGATGGCCAACATGGTGAAACCCCATCTCTACCAGAAATACAAAAATTAGCCAGGCATGGTGGTGGGGACTGTAATCCCAGCTACTCGCGAGGCTGAAGCAGGAGAATCTCTTGAACCCGGGAGGTAGAGGTTGCAGTGAGCCGAGACTGTGCCACTGCACTCCAGCCTGGGTGACAGGGCAAGACTCCATTGTGTAAAAAAAAAAATGCGTATGATTTGATATTAATTTTACATCCAAAGTTATTTTATAAGAAAAGGAGCATAGCTGTTAGAAAAAATGTAAGTTATATTCACAGCAGCTGATGCTGATGAAGGGTGAGACTCCATCTGCGTTGGGTATTCACTCTGACCCCTTCACCACCGCCACTACCACCCGTGAGGCAGGCATTAGATTTCTCTTCCAGCTGAGGAAACTGAGCGCCAGAACGACTAACATGAAAAGCTCTCAGTCAACTGCAGCCATTGTCACTGTAGAGCCAGCAGAGGGGAAGGATGGATTCGAAAAGTGACAAAGAGGCAGAGGCAGAATTTAAGTCCAAAGGTGTTGGGCTCTTGCTTCTCGCTATGATAAACTGTAAAATATTGAAAGTTTGTAATATTGATACACTGATTTTTAAAAATATTAATACACATTAAACCTGTACAAAAGAGGAGAAGATTGGATTTTCTTTTTCCCCATGAATCCAGGCTTCAAAGTGGGTACATTCAAAGGAAAGGAGAATTATCAGCACTGTGGGGAGAAACAGAGTGGCCTGAGGCAGGGGCTCTGACGAGAGGCCCCTGGGGCCAAGGAATGAGCTTTGGTTTTATTCAAAGGGTTCCCAGCATGAATAGCACATGGCAGGGCTTTTGCATTGCTAACTCCTTTGCTTCATTCCTCCCTTTGGGCAAATGTCTTCTCAGAGGGGTGTTTCTTGATCATCTGTCATTGCAGCCCCAGCCTCCATCCCTTCTCATGGTTTTATTTTTTTCACCACCTTTTAGTATTAGCAGGCATTATGTTAAATTCCTTTTTATTTATCAACTCTCCATGTTTCTGGAACTAGGCGTAGACACCATCATAGAGGTTAAAAAGTCAGTAACCCATATCAGGAGCTGGAGGAGGGGCACGTGGGAGAGTTATTGCTTAACATGTACAGAGTGTCTGGGGTAATGGAAACGTTTTTGAACAACTGTTTTTGTGGTGATGGTTATGCAACATTGTGAATGTAATTAATGCCACTGACTTGTACTATGGTTAAAAATGGCAAATTTTATGATATATATATGATATATATATTTATATATCATATATTTATATATGATATATACGATATATATTTATATATGATATATATGATATATATATTTATATATGATATATAACATAAATATATATTTTCCACAATAGAAATATATATTTCCCACAATATAAAAATATATATTTTCCACAATAGAAGTAAAACTCACTTAAAGAAGTCAGTATCCAAAATTCAAACCAGCAGAGCAACTTAAAAACTACAGCTGTCGGCTAGGCGTGGTGGCTCACGCCTGTAATCCCAGCACTTTGGGATGCTGAGGTGGGCAGATCATCTGAGGTCAGGAGTTTGAGACCAGCCTGGCCAACATGGTGAAACCCCATCTCTACTAAAAGTACAAAAATTAGCCAGGCATGGTGGCTTATGCCTGTAGTCCTGGCTACTTGGGAGGCTGAGGCAGGAGGGTAGCTTGAACCTGGGAGGCGGAGGTTGCAGGGACCTGAGGTTGCACTATTGCACTCCAGTCTGGGCAACAGAGACTCTGTCTTAAAAAAACAAAACAAAACACTATGCTGACTCCTTACTATGTAGCAAGCACTTTACATCTATTAACTAAGTGAATCCTCATCGCAAGCCCATATGGTACAATTATTAATAATATCAATCAGATACTATTATTGCTCCCATTTTACAGATGAGGAAACTAAAGCACAGATTGGTTCAGCAAGTTGCCCAAGGTCATTCAGCTCATAAGTACCAGAGGTATGATTTGAACCTGGCACAAATCATTTAATAAATAGTTGTTATAAGAATAAATATTTCAAGGCCAAGGCAGGTGGATCACCTGAGGTCAGGAGCTCAAGACCAGCCTGGCCAACATGGTGAAACCCTATCTGTACAAAAATACAAAAATTAGCCAGGCATGATGGCGGGTGCCTGTAATCCCACCTACTCAGTAGGCTGAGGCGGGAGAATCGCTTGAACCTGGAAGACAGAGGTTGCAGTGAGCCAAGATCGCGCCATTGCACTCCAGCCTGGGTGACAGAGCGAGACTCTGTCTCAAAAAAAAAAAAAAAAAAAAAAGAATATTTCAAAGTGGTTACTCTGGCTGCTGGGTGGAGAGCAGGCTGCGGGGATGAGAGGAGCTATGAGGAATCTCTAGGGGAGGCTACAGTAGAGGGTGAAAGATGGTGAAGATACAGGACGTACAGACAAGCAGATGGCTCATATATATTTAAGAGAGGGTGAAAACATGATATGTTGATGGAGTTGATTGCAGGAATGAACCAGGAAGCTTAGATCTAAGATTGCCACATCCAATATGGTAGTCATTAGCCCCGAATGGCTACTAAGCATTTAAAATGTGGCTGGTTAAGAAATGAGATTATACTGTTGAGTATAAAATAATTCTGGATTTCAAAGACATTGCATGCAAAAGACTTAAAATATATCATTAAAAAAAATTGGTGTAGAAATGGCAATATTTTGGCTATGTTGGGTTAAATACATTATTAAATTAATTCCATTTGTTTTTAATTTTTTCTAGTAGTTTTCTAGTAGTCATATTTCAGGATGATATATGTGGCTCATCTTAATTTCCACTGGATGATGATGACCTAGGATAATGTCCTGGTTTATTGCTTGAATAATGTAGTTAACAGTGATTCATTTACCGAACTGATTGGTTAGGTTTGTTGGTCCATTCTGCATTGCTATCAAGGAATATCTGAAGCTGAGTAATTTATAAAGAGGTTTACTTGGCTCATAATTCTGCAGGCTGTACAAGAAGCATGGCACCAGCATCTGCTTCTGGTGAGGCTTCAGGGAGCTTTCAATTCTAGCAAAAGACGAAGAGGAAACAGACATGACACACGGAAAGAGAGGGACCGAGAGAGAGGAGGGAGGTTCCAATCTCTTTCACAACCAGATCTTGCGTGAATCCATTACTGTGGGAATGGTACCAACTCATTCATGAGAGACCCACCCCATGAACACCTCCCACTAGGTCCCACCTTCAATATTGGTGATCACATTTCACCATGAGATTTGGAGGGGACAAATATGCAAACTGTATAAGTAGGGAAAAAGCAGGTTTACAAACAAATATAATATAAAAAATTCTGCTCTGGACATACAGACTTTGAGATGCTTGTGAGACATCCAAGCAGATATAGGGAGCCCAGAGCTCAGAGCACAGGTCAGAGCTGGGACTGCATGTTCAGGGTGTGCAGTTGATCCTGAGTGCTAAGTTAGGATACAGGAGATCTTCTGGAAAGCCTGTATTTGCAGAGAGTACAGTAAGCACCCAGGACCTACCCTGGGACACTCCAACATTTAGGGCTTGGGTAGAAAAAGGATGCCAGAAAGTTCAGAAACCACACTACACTTCTATGTTCAATTTTCAAGCTAGGAAAAGACCTATAAATTCATGATGGTTTCATGTCAATTTAATTTTGTTTGGAATTTATGTGTGTGTGTGTGTGTGTACTGTAGTTTATTTCAATACACACTTAGGATTGCTTTTTTTATTCTTCTAGACAACATTAGCAGAGTTTAGCTGTAGAAATCCCTGGAAATCTTTCTTTATAGAGAAATAACAAAACTCAGTATGATGAACAAGTACCACAGATAAATCTCACAAAATCCCTAAATGTCCAAAATCAAGGGAATAAAGCCTCTTGAGCCCTCACATGACAACAGCTCTGTGGCAACCACCTTGGTAGTGTGATGTGCTGAGGAAAGGACACATTTTCAGAGATTTAAAAAACTTTAATCTCCAAATTAAGTATTTCTTTATAGTACTCTGTTTTAGACAACAAAGAATGGTAACATAGTTAAGAGCTCAAACTCTGTGGTCAGGTACATCTGAGCTAATGAATATACTTAGAATTCCTGGCATGTGCTGAGCACTTGGTAGACATTATTATCAATAATACCCCAAATCCATCCTTCCTCCCAGTTAATTTCTATCATACTATTAGGGATGTTTATATCATTAATAACATCTTGTCCAACCAGTTTCTGTGTTTCTCATCCTTGTTCTCATGAGGTAGCTTATGCTTTCCTGGTGGACATGGCCCCTCAGCCTGGTGTTAAGGTGGAACTTTTGTTGTGCTCCTGATGTTTCTATGTGAGGGGACCCTCACTGTAGTAACACTTTCCGGTTTTTCACCCCTATTCAATCAGTCCTCACACAGAATGATTCTTTGGAGGCTCTGGGAGATGAAATTAGGCATCTCTTTTTGGTATTTACCTGTGGGCAGAGAGAACGCTGCTCTGTTCCTCTTGAGCAGCAAGTTTCACAGGATCAGGACCCTTTGTGGGAGTCCAGTTATAGGAGGGTATGTCAGGGTGGTGAAATTTTAGCAAACCCACTTGCCTGATGATTTCCAACAGCTAGATTCACAGAAAAGATGATTTTTTAAGTTGTCACCTGTCCAACTCCTATGCTTCTCAGTTGGTTCAGAATTTAAGCAGGGGAAAGAAAGATGTAATATTTACTGATCCCCTAAATTCCCAATATCTGTTATTGGGAATTTGGAAAACCAAGAGTAGAGAGGCTTTTCCTGCAGTCAAGGCAGTTGGGGCTCTAGGGTCAGCTGGGATCGGTCATGTGTTTTAATCTTGGTAGCTGGCAGGTGTCTACATCACTCCATGAAGCTGGGTTCTACCACTGGCTTTTTAAGTTTTATTTTAAATTGACATAATAATTGTACATGGTTATGGGGTACAATATGATGTCTTGATACATATATACATTGTGTAATGATCAAATCAGGGTAATCAGCAACGTGTGCTAATTACCATTGGCTTCTAACTGGTGTGGCTGAGCAGAAGACTTCAGGCTTTAGCAAGTGTGGGCCCTTTAGGATTCCAACCCTGACTTAGGGTGGCTCTGTCCACAGATGAATGGCTATTTTTATGCAGGCAAGAAGATATTGGTATGTAGGTAGGGCTGTAGTTGCTAGCCTTGGAAAGCAGTCAGAATGGAGGCCAAAACATGGAAAGTTCTTTGGGGTAAAAGTCTTTTAGATGTATCTGGAGGCTGAATGACTTTGTGCTGCTGTTTCTCAGCTCTGCCTGTTGGCCAGAACTTGCAAGAGAAGACATAGCTGAGCTCCATGTGCACTGTGAACACCAGCAGTTCTAGCATTAAATGACTAGTACCAGGCCCAAGGAGGCAGCATTATTTTGGCTGTCTCAGAATCCATGAACTACCTTCAGGGACAAAAGAGAGAATATGGCTTTTTGTCATTATGTGGCTTGCCAAAGGCTCTGAAGAGTCACCTAGAAAAAGTATTATATATTCAAAATAAACAGAATATGCCATCTTCTTGGGTTGAGGTAGAGAACAACTCAATAAAATTATTACAAACCCAAGGGCTTATCCCTAGGAACCAGGGAATGAAGGAAGAACGCAAACGCTTTGAAGAATGTGCTGCAGTTTGACAATGGTATCAGGAGCAGTGGAAGATTGGAAACAAAATAAAGAAGGCAAACTGATTAAAAGCTAAAGAAAAGAAAGATTTTCCCTGAGGGAAAGGCTGACATCTTAGAAGACAGGCTAGATAGACATAAACTGTTTAAAAGCCAGAAGATGTGCCTAAGTCTGTCTGCTCCTAAAAAGGGAATCAGACGTGGGGAGGGAGAGCATCAGGATAAACAGCTAATGCATGTGAGGCTTAATACCTAGGTGATGGGTTGGTAGATGCAGCAAACCACCATGAGACATGTTTACCTATGTAACAGACCGGCACGTCCTGCAGGTTTTTATTTAACTATAAAAAAATTAAATAAAAAAATAAAAAGGGGTGAATAAGAAAAGTGGAGAGATCTTTAATCTGTTACTAGATCAGAAAGGGTGACCTGGGCCCAGTGAAAACCAAAGACAGAGGGCAGGATCTCAGAAAACAACTTGGAATTACTCCTCTAGAGGGCGCAAAAACCCAGAAAACTTTTGCAAACTTACTAAAAACGTTCAGAGTCCAAAGTAAGAGCCATGGGGCACTCTCATCCTGATGACTGGGTTAGTGTACAAAGCAGTTACCTATGTGGGCAGGTGTGATATGAAAAGGCTGCGGAAAGCAGCATATAACACTCAAAGAATTCCTAGGTGAGTTTTCAGGTGATAGAGCCAGCGTAGGGGGCATGCAGGTGTTTTCTATGCCCTGAGGGACTTGCTTGAGAAACCTACGAGATCAGAACTCAAAGAGAAGACACAGACAAGATGAGACATATTCTATGTGAACAGACAGGCCAATAATAGAGCAGTTCAGGTTTAGGTTCTCTGCTAATCTGATGGGAGAATATTACCCAGGTGGGATTCTCCAATCTAGAGAAAGGCACAATTTATTTGAAAAGTAGGCGTCTCTGGCATATCAAGAACATAATTTCATTATTTTTCACCACAGGAAAGCCCACATGATGAAATCTAAAGAGATATCTTAGAAAATCAAATTGTTTTGGCTGTAAATCAAAGGGGGAGAGGGAGAAAGCCCTCAAATTTAGTAAACAGGGCTAGTCCCATATGTGTTAGATAAGGGAAGAAACCAAGTTAAGGTTAAATTGTCAGAAATTCTCGGGTCTTCCTAAAAGACTGCTACTGCAGAGAAAGATTACACAGAGAAATGCACCTTAGGCTTCAAATAATCAAAGTCTGAGGGAAGATAAGTGTTTTAAGGAGAACACAGCAGAAGAAATGGTTGTCAGCAGGCTCTTGAGACAACAACAGCACTTTCAGCTCAGGAGTTTTTTTCAGGCGGCCGGGTGCGGTGGCTTACATCAGTAACCCCACCACTTTGGGAGGTCAAGGTGGGTGGATTGCCTGAGCTTAGGAGTTCAAGACCAGCCTTGGCAACATGGTGAAACCCCATCTCCACTAAAAAAAATCCAAAAATTAGCCAGGCCTGGTGGTGTGCGCCTGTAATCCCAGCTACTCGGGAGGCTGAGGCACAAGAATTGCTTGAACCTGGTGAGTGGAGGCTGCAGTGAGCCGTGATCACGCCATTGCACTCCAGCCTGGGTGACAGAGCCAGAGCCTGCCTCAATAAATAAATAAATAAATATATAAAAAATAAAAATAAAATTTCAGGAAATTCTCCAGCTGGAACAAATTTGTTGATTCAGTGAAAATCATTCCTCACTGCAGCATTGGGAGGCTAGAAACCCGGGCTCACAGGGGAAAAGGGGAGAGAGAAGTGTGGAACATTACCACTGAGGAAACTCTCAAATAAAATTTGATGCTGAGGTTGCCACCATTCCAAATGTCGAAATTTGCAAGGCAGGAATGTGTCAATGTCATGTCTTGTGATGGAAGACAGTACACCTAGGGAAAAACATCCTCCTTAATATGGTAAACAGAGGGCCAAAATCAATCTCTTGATGGCAGCATTCTCTTAAATAAATCTAGGTTCACTGGAGTGCAGGTGTAGTGAACCTAAATAATCTAGGTTCACTGGTGTGCAGGCGCAGACCCACTGACATCCTGGCAAGGTGGAAACCGGGACTTTCCTGATCTCTGTCTTTCACTTGCTACCCCTGAAATCTCTGCTGTGGTTTTTGGCAACACAAAGTGTGGATTTGCGAAATACAAGTATGCCTGGACTAACTTCTTTAGGGCCTTGGGCTAACTTGTTTTCTACATTTCATGGGTGTTTGCTGTGTTTTCTTCTCTCTTGAGAAATGTAAAATTTTATTTGTGAGATGCTGGAGCAGTGACACGCATCCAGGAGAGGACAGTCCAAGCTTGCCCACAGTGTCACGAATGTCTCTGAATTAGACTGAACAGATAAAATATTCAGATCAATTTTGAAATTTAAAAAAATGTTATCCCACAAAAGCAAGAGAATTTTCTCTTCAACATCAATTCTTTTGAAATGTGACTTAACTACTTCATAGTTGAATTCTTTGGAACATTGATTTTTAAACTTTAATTTCTCCCTTTGTAATGAGATTTATATTCAAATATAGAACTGTTTATAGTATTTTCATTTCACTTCTGCAACAGATGGGCTGTCATTTCAGCTTGGTACAGAACCTCTGAAGTTGGAAATGTGGTTACAGGTAAATGGGGATGGGAAATAGAATACAGATTGACTTTAGATGCAGAGTAGCTTTGGTATTAATTTCATAATTGTGTATTTCTGTCCTGTTTGGAGCTTTCAGAGGATAAAATAAACACAGCCAAGGGAGGATGCCCAAAGCAGCAGTAGTGGGCTCTGAGGGAGCGGCCTCATGGAGTTGGAGGTAGTCCTGCCCTGACAGATGTTAATCTCCTCGCACTCCAGGTGGCAGCCATACAGAGGGATAACCCAGAGTCTCAGTGGCTGATCCCAGTGACGCTGAGAGAAGACAAACCTGGGGATGTTAAATGGGATTCGATATCCCACTCCAGGTGTTTCTATTTGGAGGAGCTCCATTAGATTAACACCCGGGGCTCTTCTCCACCTTCACTCACTCCACCCAGGAGAGCAGGAGTCACTGATGGTGACGTGGGAAGAGGAAGTGGGATATGAGTGACTCGGCCCTCTCTACCTCACTCTGGGCTCTGTCTGCTCAAATCCATGCTAGCTGTGCTGGAATTCAGCTCAAATCCTCCACAGGGCACATTTCAGGCTTCTTGGGGTGGGGCTAGGGCTTGGGGGGAGGCTTGACGTGTTAGGATCACCAGTGGGTGGTTCATTCTGTCTCTTGAAAGATTATTTTGCTCGACATTAGGATCTAAGTCATTTCCTTCAATAGCTTTATCATAAAAAAGGTGAGATTTTAATCTCCATCTACCTGATTCCTGCAACCACCTTTCAACTGGTTCTGAATTTAAGCAGGAGAAAGAAGAGCATTTCCTGATTGGCTAAGTCCCTAACTCTTGGGCTCCATCAAGACTGGGGGGAACGTTTATCTTAAATAGTTTGTCAGAATCAATACAGAATGTGGATGAAGCCTCCGAATTCCACCTGCCTGCTCACATTCTAGCTTCATCACTTGCTAGCTGTGAGTACTTAAGAAATTAAAAACACCTCTCAAAATAGCATTTGTAATATGAAAATAATGTAGTACTTACTTCACAGAAGTTTTGGTGAAACAAAATGAGATAATGTAGACTATTCATGAAATCCACTTTTTTTTTGGCTTGTGATTCCTTAGCATATAGTTCCTAATAATAACCATAGCTAGCATTTATTTAAGGCATACTATGGGTAAGACCCTGTGCTAAGCAACATAAACACAATATCCTATTTGATCTTCATAAAAATTGTATAGTAAGTTTTAATATTATTCAAACTTTATAAATGAAGGAATTAAAGCCTAGAGGGAGAAAAACATTTGTCCAAGGTCACACATTATATGATAGAACAGATATGTAAATACTGATGGTCTGATTTCAGAGTCCGTACTCTTAAACAGTCTCCCCCAAAATAACATCTGCCATTTATTGACTGTCTACTGCAGCACACATTAGGAGCTGTGTCTCATGTAATTTCCCCAATCCTAGGTAGGTTAAGAGTCCGGACTTTATCGTCAAACAGATGTGGTTTTGAATTCCAACTACAATTTTCTAGCCTAGTAGCCCTGGAGAAGTTAATCTGAACGTTTATTTTTCATCTGTAAATTGGTATAACAATACCTGCAACTCACAGGGTTGCTGTAAGGATTACGTGAGAAAATGCTTAGTGCTTGACTCACTAGAAGCAATCAATGAAATGCATTAATTCTTATTCTTATTTTAGAGATGAACATAGAACAAGTGGCGGAGCCAAGTTCAAATGCTTCTTGCCTTTACTTTTCGGTTGTTTCCAGTAATTTCTGCTCTTTCCAGTGCTAATATATGTAATATATATATATCTGAAAGATAACACGGGGTAAAGCAGTGGGCTTCCAGTTGTATTCTATGGAGCCATTTAGGGCCTCTGCGGGTGGGATGGAAATAGGTACAGGTAGGAGAGAAGTCCAAGTGCCCATCTGTCCCCTACTAAGAACAGTTACACCTTCATTTGTAACAGAGTTTGATGCAGTTTTTATTTAATGAAAGTGTTCCTTGGCAAAACAAAAACAAAACCTCCCTGAGAGCCACAGGCTTGCAGTCAGGAGGCCTCGGGTTGGGACTACTTCATCATCTACTCATGTACGGTCTGGGTTAGTTCTGCTCCACAATTCCGTGTCTCAGTGAACCCACACCAACAAAAAGCATTATAAAATCTGAATACCTCCTGGAGGTATTTAGAGGATTAAATAATAAAACATATGTCATGTGCTTTTTGAAATACAAAAGCATGACACAAAAGGGAATGTACCCTGAAACTAGGCTATTAGGGTTTGAATTCCGGCTCCCCACTTACTGTGTGGCTCTGGGAAAGTTACTCAACCTCTCTGTGTCTCTGTTTGTTCTGTGAAGTGCAGACAACAGTACTATCCTCATCATTCTGTTGGACGGACTAAATGGCTTAAGTCCTTCCAACAGAATTATGTTGGATGTGTTTGCTACATTTATTCTTAGTCTTAGATTTGACCGACTACATTGGCTCTGACCATCACAATTCTTCCTGTGAAAAGCCTGCAAAACAGACCAGAAAGTGTTATCCTTAGGTATAAAAACCACTGGATAAATTTATGAACCCTGTCATGTGGTTTTCCACTGAATTACCAGACCACTAGAATGAAAGATTTTTGGGGGAGTTGAGTGGGGTAAGTGAGGAGTCCAGATTATCAAGGATTTGGCAAGTTTCAGATTTCCTTTCCACAATTAGCTTGAAAGTTGAGTTACAAAATGTGAACTGCAATTGTAAGTAGCTTTATAACCTTAACACAAATGAATACGAGCAATTCCATTAGTTTTATAGTTTCTACTTGTAAAACTATCAAAACAAATGTTTGTTCCCAAAGCAGCTTTAAAACAACAAATAAATCCTTGTGAATTTCAGCAAAAAGCCTAATTCTTTAAACTTCTCCATTTTTAAAGAAATCTGTTGTTGAGCCCAGCATTACAGAAAAAGCCTAATTTTTTATTTTTATGATTTACAAAATTACATTTAGAAGGACACATGGAGTGTATAAAAATAAACACTTTCACAAGAGTCACCAAATGACAAGTTCTTCTGGCTCAAAGGTCACTCAAATTAAGAAAAAAAATAAAAAACAAACCATTCAGGGAAACAAGGCAAAACACAAGTGCCAGCAGAATGGTGATTGTGTAACAAGTTGGGGAATTGTCCTAAGATCCTGGCAAAATTAGGTTAGAATTTGGCTGGCATTTGCCATTGTTACATGGGAAAATGGACTTCCTTCCGTTCTTGGAATTGTGGTCCACCATCCAAAATGGACAACAACTGACACCCTGTCACAATGTTCACTTTCTTAACCAAAAGTTTCTAATACTATGATTTTGGGGGGACTGTTTTTCATTTTCTCTTCGAGGAAGCTTAGATAATAAAATTGAACTTAAACTCGTCCATAAAGATGACTGTCATATTTATTTCAATTCAGACATCAATATAGGAGAGCAGAATAATGTTTTCCAAATCAAAGCCAGTTAATATTTTGTGAAGTGGTTGTTGGCAGGGACGTGGAGCAGACACAGGAACATAAGTTCGGGAGGGTGGGATATAGGTGGATGAAGGGCATAGAGAACCATAGAATATTTTCTTAATCATAATCAAAGTTAGGCTTAGAAATCCATTTTTTAATTATAAGAAGTTCTAACCTAAAATGTTTAATGATTAATTTTTAATTGAAAAATAATAATTGTATACAATTACAGGGTACAACGTACTGTTTTGCTATGTTTACAATGTAGAATGATTAAATGAGGCTAATTAAAAAAATCCATCACTTCACATACTATTTTTTTTGTGGTGAAACATTTAAAAAATGTTTTAAAGTTATTTTAAGTTATTTAAACTTATTAAACTTCTAATACATTTAAATTAAACATATACTTTTAAGTTATTCAAACTTATTTTAAATTATTAACTATTTTAAATTATTTTATTTTGAAGATGTCTTTCCTCCTGAACTTTTCTTTTTTTTGAGATGGAGTTTCACTCTTGTTGCCCAGGCTGGAGTGCAACGGCGTGATCTCGGCTCACCGCAACCTCCGCCTCCTGGGTTCAAGCGATTCTGCCTCAGCCTCCTGAGTAGCTAGGATTACAGGCATGTGCCACCACGCCTGTCTAATTTTTTTGTATTTTTAGTAGAGACGGGGTTTCTCCATGTTGGTCAGGCTGGTCTCAAACTCCCAACCTCAGGTGATCCACCAACCTTGGCCTCCCAAAGTGCTGGGATTACAGGTGTGAGCCACCACGCCCAGTCTCCTGAACTTTTATAACAACTTTGGTCTGACAGTGAAAATAATAAGAAAAAAATTACGTGGACATTTGCAGGTCTTCATAAAACCTTATGAGTGAATTTAATTTTTTGTTTTACTAAGCTAAACATTGAGTTATATTTTCAAAAAAAATTATCTTCTCTTTCATTGGAAAGAGAAGGAAGGAAGTGAGCACTTAATTTGCTGAGGCAATGCTGTGGGGTTGCTACATTTTTGCTCATCAAATCACATGGTGATTGGAGTGGTCCCTACTCTTGCATCTGCCATTGAGTTTGGTCTATATGTCACTGGCCTATAATTGAGTCTGTCCTAAAGAAAGTGGTCAGCAAACAGTTTAATCTCTAAAAGCTGCCTTTGAGAACCCAAATTTGAGTATTTCTAAGAATTCTGCAATAGGAAAATGATAAAATGTTTCAGAGGCTAGATGGAATCATGACATCTCATATCACAAAATGTTCTTTGAATTTGAGTAATTTTACACTCAGCCCAATACAGTAGATATGTATTCCTGATACATGAGGCTTTATGCTAGGTACTTGGGACAAAGGACAAAGATAAAAATTCCTCCTGAGAATTCACAATATATTGTGGGAGAATAATAAGGTCATGCAAAACTCTAATATAAGCATAAATAGAGGTCCATGTGACTGACATGAAAGCGTGGACCAATATTTTTAAAAGTCACCATGTTTTAGGCTATTTGTACACTAAACACTTTGCATATATTAATACTGACAATAAACATGAAGTATTAATATCAAGTAGTATTATCAATAAAGATGAGGAAATGGAGATTCAATGAGATTAAGGTTTGTAGGATCAGGATTAACCGAGATTTCTAGGAATGGCTGAAACTTTCCATGTCAGCCTTTGAGAACAATATGTCTAATATAACCATGTTCCACCTCCTACAAGCTGGAAGCATTCATCTTGCTCTAGAGCCTCTGACAAAAAAAGAGAGTCTGTGTTCTTAACCATTAGCTCTGTTGCTTTCTCTGAGGCAGGAATTAATAAAAAATTCCAATGGCTGATACATATATAAAAATATTTTTAAGTGTTATTGGTAGCCAAACAATGTGAAATAAATATGATATCCCTTCTTTCACCTATCTAATTTAATTTACAAGTGTTTTAAGTAGTGACACTATTCAGAGCTGATAATGTTGCTATGAGATGGACATTCTCATTTTCTCTGAGTAGAAACACATATTGCAAAATCCTTCCAGAAAACAAGTAGAGAATCAAGATGGTTCACAAGTATTCATAACTTTGACCTAGTAATTCTGCATCTTAGAGTTTACCTTCACAGAAAATATTAGGCAGTTTGATTTATATGAAAATGTTAAATTCATCAATATTTGTAATAAACACTTGATAATGACCTTCATGTCTAAAAAAAGGGAATGTTTAAATACATAACAGTTCATTCATTTGCTAGAATATCATACACTTATTAAAATCACGATTTCAAAGCATATTATCATTGGAAAATACTTTATGATAAAATACTGGAAACAAGTTCTCTAAAGCCACAGTATAATGCAATGGTTTAAAAGTGAATTCCAGAGGCCAGGCGCGGTGGCTCACGCCTGTAATCCCAGCACTTTGGGAGGCCGAGGCGGGTGGATCACAAGGTCAGGAGATCGAGACCATCCTGGCTAACACGGTGAAACCCCGTCTCTACTAAAAATACATAAATTAGCCAGGCATGGTGGCAGGGACCTGTAGTCCTAACTACTCGGGAGGCTGAGGCAGGAGAATGGTGTGAACCCGGGAGGCGGAGCTTGCAGTGAGCCGAGATCGCCCCACTGCACTCCAGCCTGGGTGACAGAGCCAGACTCCGTCTCGGAAAAAAAAAAAAAAAAAAGTGAATTCCAGAATAAGACCTCCTAAGTTTATACCTCACCTGTGACTGCTTGCTTGGCAACCTTGGGCAAGTTAATCTTTCTATGTGTCAGTCTCTTCATCAGGAAAAAAGAGGTTACAACAATAATGCCTATGGCAGAAGATTCTTAATGAAATTAAATAAAAACATATAGATAAGCACTTAGCACGGGGTCTGGCATATTTAAAATATTAGTTAAAATATTAATGGTGATAATTTTTGAATGATGAGATTATAGGCAATTGTTATATATTCTTTATAATCACTTGCACGTCCAAATTCCTTTCAATAAACATTAATTTGACACTAGGCATGACTATAAAGATTACAAAGTTGGTTATATCGGTTTGGGAGTCAGGGTTATGCTAGTTTAAAAAATGAGTAAGAGAACTTTTACACCTTTGCCTATCTTCACAATGGAACAATTTATTTGGCCATGGGAATACATTCTTTGAAAGCACAGAAGATTACACAGGTAGAACCACCTTGCCCATGTTTTGGAAGCAAAAGGAAGCTCATTTTCAGAAGTTATGCTGTGATCAATTTTGTTTGATGAATTTGGTTACAACTTTGTTACCAATTTATCCAGATTTTCTTGAAGCTACTTTGGTAATTAACATATCTCAGAAAAGCATTCATATCATTCAGTTGAGAAACTCTCAGCACAGAGTTTTACAGAGTATTTTCTCATAATTTAAAAAGTTTTCTTACTTGTAATGTTTATAAAATACTATATATGTAGCTTAGATGCATGCAGTCAGTGCTAAGTATTAGTATTGTTGCTGTTATTATTTCTATATCTGTGGCTAAATAACCTTATTCCTAATTTGCTTGTATATATTTCCATTAGATTCATCAAAACTTTGTTTTTGCTAGTAACAATCATTTGTCCAGACTTTTCTTCCAATTATTTTTGCTTTTGACCTTGATGTTTTCCTGTCTTCCCTGAAAATACCTGTAATTCTAGGATTAGATTTCCATTCTCTGTTGTCTCATTCCTTTTTCCATATCTTTCTGCATACCAAGAAACCATCTCATGTATATTTGTGTATTATCTGCATCACTGACCTGATTTTTATCGTGTTAGTTCTATTCTTTGTCTTCCCTGCAATCCACCTGTATTAGTCTGTTTTGCATTGCTATAAATGAATACCCGAGGCTAAGTAATTTGTAAAGAGGGCTTTTTTTGGCTCCTTGTTCTGCAGGCTGTACAACAAGCATGGCATCAGCATCTGCTTCTGGTCAGGACCTCAGGAAGCTTTTACTCATGGTGGAAGACAAAAGGGGAGCAGGTGTGTCATCACATGGAGACAGAGGGAGCAACAGAGGAGGAGGAGGTGCCAGGCTCTTTAAATCAGCTCTCACATGAACTAATAGGGCAAGAACTCACTGATTACTATGGGGAAAGCCCCAAGCCATTCATGAGGGATCTGCTCCCCTGACCCAAACACTTCCCACTGGGCCCCATCTCCAATACTGGGGATCACATTTCAACAGGATTCAGAGGGGACAAACATCCAAACTATATCACCACCCATCCCTACCATCTAGCTGTCTTTGTATATTGGTCTATTCTCTATGCACGGTTTTCAGTCTCGAGTCCTCTGCATGCTACTGAGATACCAACATGTTTTCTAAAGTGTTTTGTTTCTGATGGCAAACCATTTTCAGATACATTACCTTCTTAGTGCACCTTTCTTTATCTGTAAAACATTTTCTAAAAGTTTTCAAAATCCAAACTTGATGTTTGTAATATACAGGACGTCTGGCTTGCCCTTTTGTCCTGATCTCTGACCATTTAGTTGTTGGTCAGCTCTTCTTCTCCATCTGTTGCTGGAGAACAAATTGATGTCCTTTCACCTAATTCAGAAAGCAGCATCTAATAGATATTTAGTAGATTGAATTGGGTCTTCTACTCATCACTGTTGCTAATTTTCTAAACATTTCCAGTGATGAGGCATATGAATATTTAGAATTCCCATAATGCAGTGCTATTAAGGTATTACAAACCAGTAATGGGTTATCAGTAATACCCAAGCCAAGTTACAATAAGCTACCAAACCTCTATTACATTCCTTGTTTATGGTGATCCGCAGCCCTTGAATTTGTACTGATTGAGCTTTGACAACCCTTTTAGAAAGCTGTACATATACAGCAATGAACAGCTGCCTGGTGTCCTTCTTGATACTGGTCTGGATATTTAGGCAAAGGGTGGGTAATGGTAATGAAGTTAGAATGAAGCATCTCTTATCAAGTGGCAAGGAAAATATTAGAAAGAGAGTAGTTATGACCATGAACCTCACAGTCAGTGTGCCTGGCTTGAAATCCTAGTTGAGTGCCTGTTTCCTTATCTGCGAAATGGGACTAATATTAGCACCTACCTTATTAGTGCTGTTGTGAGGTTACATGAATTACTATATGCAAAATGCAGAATAGCACCTGGCACATGCATAATGCAAAGTAAATGTTTGCTATTATTGTCCACAGTTTGTGAATCTTATTTTAACTCCATATATCTTAAAAATAGCTGAATTTCCTCCTTGATTTAGTCTTGATTTTAGCATTGTGAATTTTCTTTGCGTTGTATCTTCACAGTTCAATACGAAGCTGGGAGAAGCAATACTGCATAGGACAGTCAGAGGGCATTCAAAATATAAGTCTGTATCCTTTAATTTACTTTCTCCCCAAGGATTAGAGAGATAATAGCTTTTATAGGAGACTAAGAAAAATGAACTAATAATTCCTACAAATGAACAGAGCTTTCTATGCTGCACAGCACACTGGCACATAGGTGTGACTTAAGATACGCGGCAGTAGATCTGGGAACCAAAGGGAAAGAATGACAAACATGGATTGGAACTGGGGGAAGGATGGAAGTCAAGAATGCTATCCTTTGACCTTGATATATATGAAAACAAATCATATTAAAACGTTGAGTTACTAGTAGCGGCCAATATTCCAAATGGAATTTGAGACCCGTTGGTCCAGATAACTTGTAGTTTGACATGAACATATCTGCATTCAGGGAAAACAAAAGCTGAGTGAAGACAAATTGAAAAGCAACAGTATAGAGTAATTAATACGTAAATTCTAGCCCCAGCCTACCTGGGTTCATGCCTTACATCGCTCCTTACTATACTAGCTGTGTGTCCTGGCAAGAATCAGAAATCTTTTATTCTTTTTCAGTTATTACCTCATTTGTACCATGGTTATAACAGTAGTAACTTTCTCATAAATTACTAGGAAGAATAAATGAATGAATCCACATAAAGTACTCAGAATACAGCTTAATTATTCCATTTATGTTTTATATATTTATATAGATCCTTAACTCACCAAGTGTAAGAAGTCAGCCATTCAAAAAATAAGTGTGTTTAGTTTTAATATAGTGTTGAGGTAGAGACAAGTAAAATGAAATACAAATAAAAAGGTACTTAAATGTACAATAATTATTCAAAAAATTGATTTTATCTAACAATGATTTAAAGATTCCATCATAGCATATTTTCAACATACTATATAAAAATGATACTAATTGCCTTATTTAAATACACCATATTTCAAGAAACAGAAATGACTTCTTGATCTCCTAAAATTTATTTGCATTCCCTTTTTCACACTTTAGGAGTGTTTATACCATGAATACAGCTCTGCTTCACTCTAGAAAAAAATGTTAAAATATAAAAAGTTTGCCATTGTAAAGTTCATTTCTTGCATTAGAAAACTTTTAGGGAAAAGCGTTCTGCATTGCAGGGCAAAATTAGATAGAGCCTGAATACATATTTTAACATTTTCTCCAGGGAAATAAAAAAAGTAGAAGACACTAAGTTCAGTCCATTGGTCTGTGATATCAAAAAAGAGAATTGGGTGAAACACTTGGTTCCCTCAGGTAAATAAAAGCCAATTGTGTCAACAATAATTATTGATTACACATGATGAAGTAAGAACAAGGAAGCCTCTTGCCTCAATTTCCTAAGAAACTTCAACATATTTAATTCAAATAAGAGCAAAGTCATTTTCATATCACTGCTAAAAATTAGCAGGCACAGCTTTGTTTTCTGAACTTTACTGAAGAAACTGTTTAATAGATTTAGCCATCTAGTAAAAGCAAATTAGAAAACTGGTTATGATTAATAAGAAAGATGTACTTATTGCTTAACATATTGAACTTCTGGCTGGGTGTGGTGGCTCATGCCTGTAATCCCAGCACTTTGGGAGGCCAAGGAGGGCAGATCACCTGAGGTCAGGAGTTCGAGACCAGCCTGGCCAACATGGTGAACCCTGTCTCTACTAAAAATACAAAATTAGCTGGGCGTGGTGGTGCACACCTGTAGTCCCAGGTACTTGGGAGGTGGAGGCAGGGGAATTGCTTGAACACAGGAGGCAGAGATGGCAGTGAGCCGAGATTGCACCACTGCCCTCCAGCCTGGGCGACAGACTGAGAATCTGTCTCAAAAAAAAAAAAAAAAAGAAAAAGAAAAAAAAATTGAACTTCTTTGGCAAATAATTTGCCTTCTGTAAGTTTAACCTCCTGGTTTACTCCAGATTGGTTTAATGTGTGGGTGTATGTAAGCAGGTGTGGCGGTCTGTGTGGGGGTACCAAGTCCCTAGATGTGCTTATACTGTATAAGCTCCCACATTAAAGACAGACTAAAAAGCCAACACCAACCAAATTTAGTCTGTAGGCTTGTTCTTTTCAGATAAGCAACAAAATGAGGCAAAATTAAGGCTAGCATTAATATTTTATAATCAACCTTTAGCCTCATCATTCCTCCTGTCTTGAAGAAATGAGGTACAGAGATAGATATGACAACTAATCTAGATTCTTTAAAAGCGTATCTCATCTGATAAATTTTGGAGAAAGTTGAGTCCAGTACTTCACTGAGACTGCTATAGGCAATAAAGATACAATTGCTTCCCTGCTGTTGGTTAATCAGGGTCACCTCCATATTTATAACTGATTCAAGCCGGAGACCAATTAACATCCATTTTCACAGGAACATCATTCAAACCCTCTTCCAAATGCTTACTCAGCTCCTTATTCCAAGGCTCAGTAAAAATCCACAAACATGCTCCCATTTTGGGGCAAGAAAATAATTTTACTCTTAAGGGAATGTACAGCGGTCAATCCATTTGTGTAAAGGGATAAATTTTAAGTTATATATAATATTGCTGGTGGCATATAAATATTCTAGTCCAGAAATATTAATCTTAACTATAGGTTTGGAAATCCTTAAATACTCATTACTAAAAATACATATTTTTGTATAACAATAGGCAAGTGTAAATGCTGAACTAAGCAGAAATAAGCAGAAATTCCCTATTCTCCAGTCAAAATTAAACAGTTAAAACTATTATTTCTTCCATAATCAGAGATATCATGCGTAAACAAGATAAAAATAATATATTTAAGTTGTCTCAAATTATTTGGTTCAGATCTGCAGAATAGTTGTGCAGGTAGTTTCCCAACTGTGGCAAAACTGGAAAGGAGTGAGGAGCAGTAATAATCCTACAATTCCATCTGCACATCCCGCACAGATGCTAAAGAACAGAACAGAAAGGAGTGAGGAACCTCTTGGTGCTTTGGGAGCTGCCATGTACAGCTGAGAATACAGAAAGGGCCATACAATGGAGAAGTCCCACAAAGCCATCCCATATCTGTGCATATTTCCAAACTGGGAAGAGAAGACCTGCTTTGACTGCCCACGTTCAGCCATTCTGTGCATATTTCCAAGCAGGGAAGAGAATATTTGACCTCCACTTTCAGTATTTCCTGTGCGCATTTGCAAGTTGGGAAGAAAATACCTACTTTGACCCCCCCTCTACCTTTTGCATTTTCTTTGCATTTGACCTATTACATCACATATTTAGAAAATTACTCCTTCCTTGATTGTTTAAAGGAGGAGAGTGAAAACCAATACAGGGAATGTTCATCGAATTTTGATGGTCCACACTGATTTTATGATTCAACTTGTTCTTTATTCACTCTTGGTTACCAATTTTACTCTCCTCTCATACCACCTAAGATGGAAAAGAATTATACAAAACCCTCATGTAAGCCAAATACCACATGTTCTCACTTATAAATGAGAGCTAAATAATGTTTATCCATGGACATAGAGACAGGGAAGTGGGGGAGAAGGGTGAGGGATGAGGAATTATTTAATGAGTACACTATTCAGGTGATGGTCACATTAAAATCCCAGACTTCACCATTAGGCAGTATATCCATGTAACAAAACTGCACTTATATACCTTAAATTCATTAAAAAAAACCTCAAACAGATTGTAAGAAACAGAAAATATTATTCATTCTGTCTGATTAATACATATTTTATTTCACCAAATAATTACCTTTCATAAATTTTGGATCATAAGTTTCTCCATAACATGTGTTTCAGTGTGTATATTTAAGTATCTATAATGGTGTGATGGAAGGAAGAGCTAATAATCTGGGCATCAGCAGGTGACTAAGGTGACTTAGACTCATCCTTCTCCCTCAGCCCTCAAACAGTCAACAACTTCTTACCAATTCTGTCTCTGAAGTATCTCTAATCTATGCCCACCTTTCTATTTCACCCCCTTAGCTCATCAGGGTATCTTTCATCTGGATCATGACATTAGCTAGGTTGCTAGTTAGGTCTCTTGTTTCTAGCCTCTTGAACTCACTGCCTTTAGTTACAAATCTCAACAGGATGTCCTCCTCACTGCTAACAAGCTTAAGCGGAAATTTAACTTAGAAGGTCTGGCCTCAAATTACATTTTTTGCCTCATGTTCCATAATGCCCTGTCACTAACCCTATATTCTACCTTCATCCAGGAACTGCTGGTCTCTGGACAATCAAAGTACCCTCACCTCTCCTGCCCTAGATTTAGAGATGGAAAGCTCTTAGTCCTTCCAGCTCTTAGTGATTCCTTTTGTGACACACAGAATCAGAACAAACCAGTTTCCCCATTTTGCTTCCATAGCAGCTAACTAATATTATATTATCTCACTTATCAAACAGTATCATATTTAGCCGCACGCACACCTCTTTCTGTTTAAGTGGGTGCTTAAGAGGTCAAGGGTAGTATATGACTTACCATTAGCTCACAGAACTTAGCACAGTTTTACATATGATAGGCACTATAGAAACTTGCTTGTTGTGTTTTATTGGACAACAATGGAAAATACACATTCCTAGAAGCATTTTGAGACTTTAGGTTCGTTGGATATAGCAGATCTGGACCTTGCATCGTAATTAGATGCTAGGTAAGTGCAAGGGGAGAAAAATTAAGAAATCTTTGTTTTTACAATTTGCACTTATGGCATTTTCAAGTGCAGGTTTTGGCAGCTTAGAGTTTCTCAGTCCAGGGAAATTAGATGAAAAAGTCCAAGTTTTGGCTGAAGCAATCTTACTAAAGCCTGCGGCAACACAGCTTCCTTCCCTACCAGAGAGAAGTATATCACACACTAGGCTAGCGATTATGTTATCTGAGTCATTCAACTGTATATGAGAAAATGCCACCAAGAAAACTGGAACAGGACCTTATAGTTCAATCCCTCTACTTCGGTAGATAAAGAACAGACAGGGAGAAAAGGACTTGGGTTCTAGACTTCATTATAGCTTCCAGTTAAACCATTTAGGGTCTGCTGGTAGGAAGAATGTTGGCTTTGGATTAAAGAGACTTAGACTGAAATCCTGGCTCTTATCCCTTACTAGTTAGACATCAGGCAAATTGCAGAAATCACCTAAGTCTCAGCATCCTCACTGATAGAGACGGAGAAATAACAGCCCCATGGGTTGGTATGAGAAAAAGAGGAAACGTGTTCAACACAATATCTACTGTATTTTACACATTCAGAAAATAAAAATTCCCTTCACTTCTTTGGGTTTCAATTTTACCTGTGTGTAATCAGGATTTTTAACTATTTAGTTACTAGATTATCTTAAGGCTCTTTCCAGCTCTGAAATCCTATCATCCGTTTATCCTTAGAGGAACAAGTAGCACTGATAATTTGTAGAAGCGTTTTAAAAGCTGTTATACTCTGATGAATATTGCCCTTTTCTTCCAATTGCCTTGGGTCTAATTCTCCTTTTTTTTCTATCCTCTTGACAGATTGACACTTAAATCATTAATTTTCAAATTCTCATCTTTTCTAATTATATGAATTTCAAATAATGGATTTCTGTTTTTTCTAAGCATTGAAAAAATAGAAATCCATAATTTGAAATTTGTATCATTAGCTGAATCCACAAGTTTTGACACAGTTTTCATGTTAGTGCAGTTCAAAATATTTTTAGATTTCCCTTGTGATTTTTCTACTTTGACCCATAGTTTATTTAGAACGGTGTTAACTTTCACACATTTAGACATGTTTAGTCATCTTTCAGTTATTTTTCAGTTTTTAATTCCACCGAGGTCAGAGCACAAGTTTAGTATGATTTCAACCCTTTGAAATTTGTTGAGACTTGTGTTGTTACCCATCATATGGATGGATCATCCTTTGCACTTTAGCAAATGTTCTGTGAATTGAAAAAAGGTATATTTTGCAGTTATTGAATGTGGCATTCTATAAATGTTAATTAGGTCATGTTATAAATCATGTTATTCAAATCTACATACTTACGGATTTGTTTTCTACTTCTCTTAGATACCGAAAGATGTTTGTAAATATCTCCAATTATGACTGTAGATTTGTCTATTTCTCCTTTTAGTCAAGATTTTTATATTTTGAAGCCATGTTATTAGGTGCATAGAAATATAGAAATATTACATTTTTCTGTTGAATTGAACCTTTTATCATTATGAAACATCCTACTTTATCTTAACTTAAAACCTACTATATGATATTGATGTAATTTTCTTTTGGTTAATCTTTCCATGGCATATATATCTATATCTAGATATACATACTTTTATCATTTTACTCTCAGCCGATTTATGCCCTTTCCTTTAAAGAGAACTCTTGAAAACCGCATACAGTTGAACCTGTATTTAATAGGAAGATTTAGATTATTTACAGTGAATAAAATAGTTGTGTTATCTTTCTGCTTGTTTCATCTATTCTTTAGTCTTCCTTTTAAAATTAGTCATAGTTTCTTGATTCCTTGCATGTCTTGTAATTTTCATGGTATTCTGAACTTCATTTTTAAAATAATGGTTATTTAGGGGTTCCTTTCCTATGTTAGACTGATAGGGCAATGGGAGGCTTATCACATTCCCATTAGTAACTGAACTGGGCCGCGGCTCGGTTGCAGTTTTAGATTCTGCTTACTTTGAATTAAAATGCCTCAAAGGCAACACCAGTTAGATGTTTGTGCTACATTCTAGTGGACTTTGTCTCCTGTACACCAAGATATTATTGGAGACTTTATTCTGCCTTTCCATCCCAGCTTCCTAACCTCCCATGTTGCTCAATGTTCAGCATTGAGCATTCATGGAGAAAACTCCCAGTGATTTGGGGGTTCCTCTATCTGTAAAGCCAGCTTACCAAGAAATGACTCATTTCCTTCTGGAAATTGAGTGTGTCTAATCACATTTGTCTCCACAGCCCTACTGTCTTTTTAAAAACATGATGTTTACATTTTACCTTTTTAAAAAGTTGTTGCTGGCCTACTTAGAAGTCCTTTGGACTACAGCTATAAAAGTGAACATTTTTCTTTACCAATTAAATTATAAAGAGACTGAGTACTCTCCCGTCCACTTTTTCTCCATAATTCTTTTTATCATAAAAAAATGCTTTCTTACACCAACTAAGCTTAAGCTATAGAAATAGCTTATATGTTAGTAAAAGTTTACTGTGGAAATACTTAATATATTAGCAATAATTATTTCAACGGCCCTCTTGGCTTTCACCAGACAATTAAATACTGTTGAGAAGAAAGCTAATTTTCCATGTTTGTCCATTCTAAAGCTCTTTTGGTGATATCAAGTCACTAATTATTGAAACCTATTTCAGAGCTATGATAACTAGTTGATTTCAACTGGACAAACATTTTTATAAGTAAAGAAATATTTGTTTCTCTGGACTATATGAGCAAAATACCTGGAAAATCTGAGGCTTTAGATTTTTATTTAAATAAAATTTGTAAGAAAGATCTTTTTAAGCTAGACTGTTTAATTTAGATGACTTTCCAGTTCAAATCAATGACTGTTTTCTCATTTTAAAATACATTTTGGTTGGTAGAACTGTACTTATAAAGGTTAGAACTAAATGATACAAACCCCCCTGCACTTTAAAATATGAATGAAAATTAAGTACTTATTTAAATTTTTCATGTGTGTATTTTGTTTTGTATACCTAAAATGATAAAGCAAACATACTGGAATATGGATAAATGTGAAATATTTTCCAAAGCTAAGTGATTTTAAAAATACTGTAATTATTTCAAATGATTTAAGAAATCTCATCATATAGTTTTCTTTTACTAAAAATTATTTAAAGAAACTAAACTGTAAGGAGACATAATTTAACCTGAAGGAGAGTGATGAGAAGGTGAGAAGGAACTGACCTATATGCTATAAGTTTGAGAGTAACTCAGTGATATACAAAAATAGAATGTTAGTCTTTGTCAGTTACAGCTACACACTTTGTCTTGTCTTTACTCTTCTGCCTAGTGAAAAAACAAACTTGCTGAATAACAACAGATTTCACAGTTCAATCCCTTAAGTTGTCATATTTTTGGTTTAAAATATGGCCCCGTTCAAAATGTAGCTCTCTGGGCTTCTTTCTTCTTACTTTGTGCATACTGGGCTTAGGGTCCACTGCCAGGAGCTGCCTGTGGTGGGTATGAGCATGACCCATTCTCTGTTCCCTGCTAGCTGTGCCACTGATGGCAGTGTGTGTGTGTGTGTGTGTGTGTGTGTGTGTGTAAGTGGAGGTAGAAGTCTGCTCTGACATCTGCTTATACTCAAGCAACAATGGTGATATGCCCATTCTTTTGGTCTCTGCTGCTTCTTTACTCAATGCTGACAGATTGTGTTTGTTTATATATGTGTGTAATCTCACAGCCCCGATGAGGATGCTACATGGGTGTTGGTTCACTGAGAGCTCAGGGAGTTGACAAGGCATACTACTGCAGGCAAGATTCCTCTTGCCTGCTGTATGGGAACACCCCTCTAAATGTGAAGTCACAGAAGAACCTCTTACCTGCCTCCATTGGTGGTAATGGTGCTCCTCTCATCGCATGCGTGGTATCAGGCTTGGCTCTTCTAGGGTCACCTGCCAATGCTTCTCCCACAGCAAATTTCCACCTCATCCACACTACGGATTGAGGAACTGTAGTGAGATGCTATGAGCATCCTCCAGGGATGCCACACACATGGTGGAGTGGGGACGGATTCTCCAATACTGTAACTAAGCTTTTCAAACTCTAGTTGCTCAAGACAGCAGAGTGTAAGTTGTCTACTTTTGTTTGTTTGTTTTTGAGACAGAGTCTCGCTCTGTAGCCCAGGCTGGAATGCAGTGGTGTGATCTTGGCTCACTGCAACCTCCGCCTCCTGGATCCTGGTTCAAGCAATTCTCCTGCCTCAGCCTCCCGAGTAGCTGGGATTACAGGCATGCACCACCATTCCCAGCTAATTTTTTTTTTTTTTGTATTTTTAGTAGAAAAGGGGGTTTCACCACGTTGGCCAGGCTGGTCTTGAACTCCTGACCTCATGATCCACCCGCCTTGGCCTCCCAAAGTGCTGGGATTACAGGCCTGAGCCACTGCGCCCGGCCGTCTGCTTTTTTATATATAATTTCAACTTTTATTTTAGATTCAGGGCATACATACGCAGGTTTGTTACCTGGCTGTATTGCATGATGCTGAGGTTTGGGATACGACTGATCCCATCACCCAGGTGCTCAGCATAGTACCCAATAGTTTTCAACCCTTGCCCCCTCCCTCATTCTCTGTGCCACTGATGGCAGCATGTGTGTGTGGCTGAGTAGTCCCCAGTTTCTATTGTTGCCAGCTTTATGTCCATGAGTACCCAATTTTTGGTTCCCACTTGTAAGTGAGAACATGTGGTATTTGGTTTTCTGTTCCTGAGTTAATCCACTTAGGAAAATAGCATCCAGCTTCATCCATGTTGCTACAAAGAACATAATTTCTTGCTTTTCTATGGCTGTGTAGTATTCCATGGTGTTTATGTACCATATTTTCTTTATCCAATCCACTAGACGTGGACACCTAGATTCTTTGCTATTGTGCTGTGATGAACATGTGAGTACATGTGTCTTTTTGGTAGAAAGACTTATTTTCTTTTGGATATATACCCAGTCATGATATTGCTGAGTTGAATGGTAGTTCTCAGTTCTTTCAGAAATCTCCAAACTGCTTTTGACACAGTGGCTGAACTAATTTACATTTCCACCGACAATGTATAATCTTTCCCTTTTCCCTACAGCCTCACCAGCATCTGTTGTTTTTTGAGTTTTCAATAATAGTCATCCCTACTAGTGTGAGATGATATCTCATTGTGGTTTTGATTTGCATTCCTCTGATGATTAGTGTTGATAAGCATTTTTTTCATACGTTTGTGGGACACTTGTATGTCTTCTTTTGAGAAGTGTCTGTTTATATCTTTTGCCCATTTTTAATGGTCTTTTTTGCTTCTTCCATTGTTTAAGTTCCTTACAGATTCTAGATATTAGACATTGGTCAGATGCATAGTTTTTGAACATTTTCTCCCATTCTGTACATTGTCTGTTCACTCTGCTGATAGTTTCTTTTGCTTCGCAGAAGCTGTTTAGTTTTATTAGGTACCACTTGTCAATTTTTGTTTTTGCTGCAGTTGTTTTTGAGGACTTACTAATAAATTATTTCCCAAGGCCGATGTCCAGAATATTTCCTAGGTTTTCTTCTGGGATTACTACAGTTTGAGGTCTTACATTTAAACCTTTAATCCATCTTAATTTTTGTGTATGGTGAAGGATAGGGGTCCAATTTCATTCTCCTCCATATGGCTAGACAGCTATCCCAATATAATTTATTAAACAGAAAATCTTTCCCCATTGCTTATTTGTGTCAACTTTGTCAAAGGTCAGATGGCTGTAGGTGTGCAGCTTTATTTCTGGGTTCTCCATTTTGTTCCATTTGTCTATGTGTCCGTTTTTGTACCAGCACCATGCTGTTTGGGTTACTGTAGCCTTATAGCATAGTTTGAAGTTGGGTAATGTGGTGATGCCTCCAGCTTTGTTCTTTTTGGTTAGCTTTGTTTTGGCTATTCACACTCTTTTTTGGTTCCATATAAGTTTTAGAATAGTTTTTTCTAGTTCTGTGAAAAATGACGTTGGTAGTTTGATAGAAATAGCATTAAATATATAGATTGCTTTGGGCAGAATGAACACTTTAATGAATTGATTCTTCCAATCCAGAGCATGGAATGTTTTTCCATTTGTTTGCGTCATCTGTGATTTCTTTTGGCAGTGTTTTGTAGTTCTCTTTGTAGATATCTTTCACTTCCTTGGTTAGATGTGGTCCTAGGTATTTTAATTTTTTTGTGGCTATTGTAAATAGAATTGCTTTCTTGATTTGGCTTTCAGCTTGAACGTTATGGGTGTATAGAAATGTTACTTATTTTTGTACATAGATTTTGTATCCTGAAACTGAAGTTGTTTATCAGTTATGGGAGCCCTTTGGAAGAGTCTTTATGATTTCCTAGGTATAGAATCACATCATACATGGAGAGAGACAGTTTCACTTCTTCTTTTCCTATTTGGATGCCTTTTATTTCTTTCTCTTGCCTGATTTCTCTAGCTAGCACTTCCAGTACTGTGTTGAATAGGAGTGGTGAGAGTGGGTATTCTTATGTTCTTCCAGTCCTCAAGGGGAATGCTTCCAGTTCTTGCCCCTTCAGCATGATGTTGGTTGTGGGTTTGTCATAGATGGCTCTTATTATTTTGAGGTATATTCCTTCGATGCCTTGTTTACTGAGGGTTATCAAGAAGGAATGTTTATCAAAAGCTTTTTCCATGTCTATGGAGATGATCATATGGTTTTTAACTCTGTTTATGTGGGTGTGTCACATTTATTGGTTTGCATATGTTGAACCAACCTTGCATCCCAGAAATCAAATCTACTTGATTATGGTGACTTAACTTTTTGATGCGCTGTTGGATCTGGTTTGCTAGCATTTTGTTGAGGTTTTTTTGCATCTATGTTCACCAGGAATATTTGCCTGTAGTTTTCTTTTTTCATTGTGTTTTTGCCAGGTTTTGTCTTTTGCCAGGTATCAGGGTGATGCTGGTTTTTAAGAATGAGTTGGGGAGCAGTCCCTTCCCCTTAAGTTTTTGGAATAGTTTCACTATAATAGGTATCAGCTCTGCTTTGCATATCTGGTGGAATTTGTCTGTGAATGTATCTGGTTCCGGGCTTTTTTTGGTTGGTAGGTTTATTACTGATTCAGTTTTGGACCTCAATACTGGTTGCTTAGGGTTTCAGTTTCTTCCTTGTTCAATATTGGGAGGTTGTGTTTCCAGGAATTTTTCCATTTCCTCTAGATTTTCTAGTTTGTGTGCATAGATGTGTTCATAATAGTCCCTGAGGATCTTTTGTATAGTCCCTGAGGATCTTTTGTATTTCTGTGGGATCAGTTATAACGTCACCTTTGTTGTTTCTGATTGAAGTCACCTACTTCTATCAACTCTGCCAAGAGGCAGGCCTGTATTCAGGGTCCAGGATCAATGCTCAAACTCTGTAAGCAATTCTTTTGGGTACTCCACATTTGGAGGGATGACAAGAAGAAAACCCCCTCTTCCCTATAAATATGCAGCATGGAGAAGGATGGGGATGAGATAATGAGAGAATTAGCATCATATGACCTCTGCTCTCTCCAAAAGGCCGTATTCCTCTCCCTCTACAAAAGGATTTTCTATGGACTAGGGAATGCGACAAGTAGGTGGGGGAGATTTTGTTGACCTTTCCACACTTTGCAAAGCCTGCAGCAATTTTTTACACCTAAAAGGTGATGAAGATGATTTTGTTACTCAGCTGTGATTTGTCTCCCTGCTAGGGGCTGCCTTGGTCAGAATCCCTCCTTGGGGATAGGTAAAGCTTTTAGTCAGTAAATGTCAGCAAATTCATATCTAGAAAAACAAAATATATATGTACCATATGCATTTTACAAATATTACATTTTATTAATATACACATAAGAATGAATTAAAATCCTTTAACATTTGACTGAATGAAGCCTTGATACTTTTTACATTTAGATTATCAGCATTTTTAAGGGGAAAAATTATAATAGCACATAAATGCCTAATATAAATGAAAACTTTTTATTCTTATTTGAAAATAAATTACATTTTAAGTTATTTGGTCTAAAATTACTGGTTGTTAGCCTTTTATGGGTTTACAAAGAACTCATACATATATTATCACATTTGGTCCCCACAACAATCCTTTGAAATTGATTCAAAATTTACTTTTAGTTTATTGTTATTATTTTCCCATATTTATAGATGTGATCACTAAAGTACAATTAAGTTAGTGACTTGTTCCCTGAGAACCAGGGCTCTCGCTTGATTGTAAAATGAAAATTCTGGGCTCTTCCCACTGTACTTGCCTCTCTCTACACATGTATTCAAATGTTGTTCTTCTCAGTAAGATGATGTATGCTTTACAATGTTTCCCAAGCTAGTCCTCTGAGAGCAGGACCAGACACATGTCCAGGCTCCCTCACTCTAGCACCTTCATCTCTTCATGGACAAAAACATGTGTGTAAAACAGCTGTCCAGAATTACAGCACAGCTTGCATGTCAGTGGAACCTTGGGCCATTATCTAAATGACAACTTATAGGAAATGAAGTCGAAAAAGGCCAAGCACGAACTATACTGAAGACTAAAGTTCCCTTTGGAACTCAATTCCCTGGGTGTTTAAAAGGAAAGCTTCATCTGGTCCTTAATTTATTTGGACCTAACATAAAGGCTAAAGACTGTGAAGCCTTTGAAGATATAAAAACTTTTTTTTTTTTCATTCAGCAGTGGTGAATTTCCTTGCCAAAGACTTCAGCATTAGGGGAAGTATTATGTTAAGCTCTGCATCCCACAGGGGTCATCATGACTTCTAGAAATATCCACAAGGGAGCACTGGGCGAGGAAACTGGAGCTTAAAAGTAACACACACATGCCAGTTGTCACCGTAGTTACAACAGGAAAGGCCCTAAGAGGAGTACTTTTTTTTTCTTTTTCTATAAGCTGTGAGATACAAGCCTTGTGTGATTTAGGATCGCTGGGGTGAATAATCCTAGCTCTATCTGCAGGGTTTTATCGTGGTTTCCCTGAGTTTAAACATGTAACAGGGGAGCAGAAGGAGGGATAAATGATTTGTTTATGCTCAATAAAGATGTTGCTGCTGTTCTGTCAGCTAACCTTTGCTCTCATAACCTGCATAAACTTGCAAAGTCTTTATTTATTCTCCTACCAGCAAATTATTGGAATTCATAGTCATGTCTAATTTTAGTTAGCTTAGGGATGGCACTCAACAGGGTTATAAAAGGGGGAGAACATCTCTCTCATTCCTGAATTTCCAAGGCTGGATTACGGTAAAGCTGTGGAGATCACAGTAATTGAGGTTTCCCAGGACACTCCCATAGTGGGTTATGCTTCCCAAATCTGGCTTTCTAAGCATAATGGAATCTGGCCTAACCTGTCTTCCAATATTTGAGTCTCTTCTATAGCACCCCTGTCACAGTGGTTTGTGTTCTTCACTTTGATAAAAACTTTTTTGGGGATGCATCATTACAGTTTGAGCCAGGTGATTTCATCTTCAGGCAGCTGTGATAGATAATAATACACAATAAGAAACAACGAACACTTTTTAATGGATTACTATGTGTGAAATACTATAAAACTGCCTGTAATTTCATTTGATTCTCAGAATGACCCGATGAGGTAGATAACTGTTATTATCACTTCCATTTTACAGACAAAAAACTGAGGCTTAGAATAGTGGAGCAACTCCTGCAGTGCCACACAGCTATGAAATATCAGGTCAGAACCCAGGGATACTGGATCCAAAAACCTGAGAGGAAGCTATATATCCTTTAACTTCTTCACCCAAAGCTGAAATCTGCTTCCTAGTTCTATCCTCCAATGACCCAAGGAAAAGAATCTCTTCCGCTACTTGCTCTTCAGATATTTAACACAACTTTCAGGCCTTCTTTTGCATTCTTTTCAGGCCACAGGACACTGTTTTTCGGTGTTCGTTCCCCCAACCCCCCCAAACCACGTATTTTTCTCATTTGGCTTATTGCAGTAGCTCTCTAAAGGTCTGCCTGCTCTGTTCCCTATTCTTCACCCAGCAGCCAAGGCCATGCTTAAAATACAAGTCAAATCACTTCATTCCTCTGCTCAGAACACTTCTGCAGTTTTTCCTGTCACTCGAGGTAAAACCTTAAGTCAACTTGAAGATTACAGAATTGAATTGTCTTACTGAAATTACCTTTCCAAAATCGATGGTTCCCAATTATGCTGAGCCATAACAATAGTCTTCTTAGTCTTAAAAATAAAAATATTCTCTTAATCATAAAAGATGAAAAGGCCCCATGATACGTTCCCCATATCCCATGCCCTCCTCCCTATTCATACTTGTTCTAGGCACAGAGGCCTGCTTGCTGTTTCCTGAACATGCCAACCCCTCTTCCTGGAATACCTGACTTGGAATATCCACACCTGGTTCTTTCCTGCCCCTCTTTCCATCTCCCCTTCAGAGTCACCTTATCAGTGAGGCCTCCTCTGACTGTTTTATCTTAAGTAGCAAATCTCTCCCCTCGCTGGTATTCTCTCTTTTCTTTCATTTCTCTATTTTTCTCCATAGCACTTATCACCAACTGACTTACTGTTTATCTTACTTATTTGGGTTTTGCCTGCCCTCTCCCCCTTCCACCCACATTAGAATGTAAGCTCCGGGAAAGCAAAAAATTTTATCTTCTTAGTTCAATTCTAAGGTTGAATCCTAAGGAACTGGCCCACAAAATAACAATTTCGTATGGGTCAACCTACCACACCCCCAGCACCTAAGAGCAACCCTTGGCACACGGTAGCACTCAGGCAGTTAGTGAGTAATCAACTTATCTATATATGGAATACTACAAATACTATATGATACAGCCTTTATACACTTTACTAGCCTGGGTAAGAAATTTACCATCAGCTGGTCAGATTTGTGATATCATCTCTGTAGGTCTTCCTAATCCTATGCGGAGCCAAATATAGACGGATATGCAAATAAATATTAAGAACACTTTTGCTGATATATTGAATCTAGTTTTTAACAGTACGGTGTGATTTTTTTTCATAGCACTCACTGGTAATTTTAACACTCGTCTGTCAGTCTTAGAGCAACCTATGTTCAAAGGGGCAACTTCCCTTATCGATTGGTAGGATCTGTTTGAATTCAAGGTAAGTCTTTCTTAAGCTAAATTAAGGCAGTGATTTTTGCACAACCACCTGCCATAGAATGACCTATTTATCTTACTGCCACCGTGCTAACACAGAGGAGTGAGTATTCTTTAGAAAATAACGATGAATTAATAATAATGTTCCACTTGGAATATCTCTGTCGATCTTTAGCTTATAATGAACATGTAGCTGAAAATCACTGTAGAAACAAACATTTTCACAGGGCACCATTTGCTACTGGCAGATGAGACATAGTATATTTGATTTACTTTAACAATGTTTCAGCCATTTTGTTAAAAAATGCCAGAAATTCTAGCGTTAAGAACTAGAAGCACTATGATGGAATATATTATACAATAAGATAAGAAAACCTAGGATAATTATTGTAGGTCTGAAAGAGTAATCCTTATTGTTGATCACAAGGTGTTGTAGAAATTGTTGTCAAACCCAAGTCAATCCCTTTGATTACCAGTTCAAATTATTCACCGTTAATTGGCAGCACTTCTTATGGAAAGTTGAAGCTTTTTGTTCTCATACATTGAGAGCCAGGAGACAGCTTAAAATGTTTAAATAGACATAAAAAAGTCTTTTTCCCCCTCATTTAAAAAACCCCTTATGAATCACAAATCAGCAATAATTCTCACATTCATCTAAAAGTTAATATAAAGCATTAGTTTTTTTATACCCACAACAAAACATGGACCTGCAGAAGTTTTCAAGCAATTCTCCAGCAGCTTCATGCGGGTCTTCTGGAGCTCTGGGCTGTCCCACTCATCTTCTTCCACTCCCCAGTACAGATCTATGACCTGGGGACAGATGGATGAAGAGCATTAGTTTACATGTGGGCTTTGTTTTTATTTACAATGTCAAGCTAATGTGACTTTTAACTTTTCTCTTTGCAGCATGTTTTCTCTTACAGAGGGGAAGTGATTTTTAAGATCCATTTAGAGAGATTTTTCATTCCATGATGGGTTGGGAATGAACCTTATAATTTCTTCTTTTGTTTCTGATTATACTGCTGACATGGGCCCAGAGAAAATGAAATGCTAACTGTTGAAGGTTTTGGAGCACGGGCTTTTGTTGTCTTGAAATGGAAACAGAATTTTAAGGTTTGAAGCAGCTGGCATGATGTTACCATAGTACTTGAGACAATTAAATCACCAAATGTATATAATGTTACCATAAGTATTAATTTGAGAAAAGAAACCATAATGAATATTACTATACACTGATTTCAAGTCAAACACCTACATTTCTTAAAAAAAAAAAGCCCTGTCATTATCACACTCTATCATATGAGGAGAGATATTTTGCTTAAGTCTGTTTTATCTGTAAGCAGTTTGGCTTTCATCAATATATATCTGAAAAACATGTACGGGCAAAAAAATGAAAGGTATGCCTTACAGAAAAGTGAGGATAATAGGATCCTCTATCTCCCTACTTCAAAGACTACTAAGGAAGATTCTGGCAGTCTATAACAAACTTTCACAAGTTCACTCTTTGAAAAGTGCTATGGAGAGCATCATGGATTTCATTACCTTCACTCAGCTGCTGTCTGCATAAAGTAAATGTTCCCAGTTGTAGCTTTGAAAATTTCTTCTTTTCCTTTCCTTGCTTCCCACAAGTGGAAACAAGACCCTCCCTACTCTTTTCCTCCTGCTTGCACGGCATTTGGTGAGATGGAAGCTCACAGTATGAGTTTCCCCTTGTGGCCCCAGCAGATTCTGGAGACTTTGTGTGATTCCCATTTCTTGGCTATGGGCCCCCACAGATCTGGCTTGTTCCAGGTCTTTGTCTAAGTGCATTTGAGTGTTTTAGAAGGCTGATAAATAAATGACAGCTCTTTAAAAAATATTCTCATGGCCCATACCATGGGTTTTGTCATATATGAAAATATCAGCATTTTGATTTTGGGGGCTCTATGCTTTAATCTATCTTACAAAGTTTAATCACACAATACGAAGAAAGATGACATCAAAGAAGGTAACTTCATTATCCAATTTGAGAGCCTCTAGCTGGGGCTACTTAAAAGTAAATATAAATTAGTAAAAATTAAAAAATTCAGTTCCTCAAGTGCTCAGTAGCCCCATACTGGCTCTCATGTTGGACAAAGGAGATACAGAGTATTTCACATCATAATAAGTTCCACTGATCAGAGTTGTAAATTACTGAGCTTCAGAAGAGCACAGAAATCATCTAGTAATAAATGAATAAATAGGGCTATAAAATAGTCTAATTTGTTAAATAATGGACAGGCCATAATTTGCAAAGGGTCATGCTTCCAGAAAATGAAAAAGTAAAGAAAACATTTATGGCTTATCTGTTGTTAATCTTTCCAGGTGTTTTACATGCCACAGAGTACCTTTTGGTAAATTAATATCCTGCCACACTAGGATTTGTTTCTAATGTCTTAGAATACAAAAGATGAACTTTTCCATCTCACCACCCTTGGGAAGGATGTTCCCAGAGCTGCTGCAAATGCTGAGGAAGTGTCTCCCTCAGTGGAAGCAGAATCCCCTTCACATGCTACTCTGGCCTCCTGTCCTGAGAAGGACAATAATAGCCTTGGTTGAACAATGAGTTAAGAAAAGCTGGCAAGTAGACTGCCTCTCTAGGTTCCTCCTCTCTGGGCAGGGCATCTCTGAAAGACAGGCAGCAGCCCAGTCAGGGGCTTATAGATAAAACTCCCACCTCCCTGGGACAGAGTGCCTGGGGGAAGGGGCGGCAGTGGGCACAGCTTCGGCAGACTTAAACATTCCTGCCTATCGGCTCTGAAGAGAGCAGTGGATCTCCCAGCACAGCTCTCAAGCTCTGCTAAGGGACAGACTGCCTCCTCAAGTGGGTCCCTGACCCCCCATGCCTCCTGATTGGGAGACAGCTCCCAGCATGGGTCAACAGACATCTCATACAGGAGAGCTCTGGCTGTCATCTGGTGGGTGCCCCTCTGGGATGAAGCTTCCAGAGGAAGGAACAGGCAGCAATCTTTGCTGTTCTGCAGCCTCCGCTGGTGACACCCAGGCAAACAGAGTCTGGAGTGGATCTCCAGCAAACTCCAGGATACCTGCAGCAGAGGGTCCTGAGTGTTGGAAGGAAAACTAACAAACAGAAAGGAATAGCATCAACATCAACAAAAAGGATGTCCACACACCCCACCCTAAGGTCACCAGCATCAAAGAACAAAGGTAGATAAAGCCACAAAGATGAGAAAAAACCAGCGCAAAAAGGCTGAAAATTCCAAAAACTGAACGCCTCTTCTCCTCCAAAGGATCACAACTTCTTGCCAGCAAGGGAACAAAACTGGGCGGAGAATGAGTTTGATGAATTGACAGAAGTAGGCTTCGGAAGATGGGTAATAACAAACTCCACCAAGCTAAAGGAGCATGTTCCAACCCAATGCAAAAAAGCTAAGAACCTTGATAAAAAGTTACAGGAACTGCTAACTAGAATAACCAGTTTAGAGAAGAACATAAATGACCTGATGGAGCTGAAAAACACAGCATGAGAACTTCGTGAAGCATACACAAGTATCAATAGCTGAATCGATCAAGCAGAAGAAAGGATATCAGAGATTGAAGATCAACTTAATGAAATAAAGCATGAAGACAAGATTAGAGAAAAAAAATGAAAAGAAACAAACAAAGCTTCCAAGAAATATGGCACTATGTGAAAAGACCAAACCTAAGTTTGATTGGTGTATCTGAAAAGTGACAGGGAGAATAGAACCAAGTTGGAAAACACCCTTTAGGATATTATCCAGGAGAACTTCCCCAACCTAGTAAGACAGGCCAACATTCAAATTCAGGAAATCAGAGAACACCACACAGATACTCCTTGAGAAGAGAAACCCAAAGACACATAATCGTCAGATTCACCAAGGTTGAAATGAAGGAAAAAATGTTAGGGGCAGCCATAGAGAAAGGTTGGGAAAGGGAAGCCCATTAGACAAACAGTAAATCTCTCTGTAGAAACACTACAAGCCAGAAGAGAGTGGCGGCCAATATTCAACATTCTTAAAGAAAGAATTTTCAACCCAGAATTTCATATCCAGCCAAACTAACCTTCATAAGAAAGGAGAAATAAAATCCTTTACAAACAAGCAAATGCTGAGAGATTTTGTCACCATCAGGCCTGCCTTACAAGAGCCCCTGTAGGAAGCATTAAATATGGAAAGGAAAAACCAGTACAAGCCACTGTAAAAACATACCAAATTGTAAAGACGATTGACACTATGAAGAAACTGCATCAACTAATGGGCAAAATAACCAGCTAGCATCATAATGATAGGATGAAATTCACACATAACAATATTAACCTTAAATACAAATGGGCTAAATGCCCCAATTAAAAGACACAGGCTGGCAAATTGGATAAGGAGTCAAGACCCATCAGTGTGCTGTATTCAGGAGACCCATCTCATGTGCAAAGATATAGATAGGCTCAAAATAAAGGGATGGAGGAATATTTACCAAGCAAATGGAAAGCAAAAAGTAAAACCAATCCTAGTCTCTGATAAAACAGACTTTAAACCAACAAAGATCAAAATAGACAAAGAAGGGCATTACATAATGGTAAAGGGATCAATGCAACGAGAGCTAACTATCCTGAATATATATGCACCCAATACAGGAGCACCCAGATTCATAAAGCAAGTTCTTAGAGGCCTACAAAGAGACTCAGACTCCCACATAATAATAGCAGGAGACTTCAACACCCCTCTGTCAATATTAGACAGATGAATGAGACAGAAAATTAGCAAGAATATTCAGGACTTGAACTCAGCTCTGGACCAGGGGATATGCACCCAATTCAAGAGCACCAAGATTCATAAAGCAAGTTCTTAGAGGCCTACAAAGAGACTTAGACTCCCATATAATAATAGCGGGAGTCTTTAATATCCCTCTGTCAATATTAGACAGATGAACAAGACAGAAAATTAACAAGGATATTCAGGACTTGAACTCAGCTCTGGAACAGGGGACTTAATAGACACCTACAGAACTCTCCACCCCAAATCAACAGAATATACATTCTTCTCAGCACATCATCACACTTATTCTAAAATTGACCCCATAATTGGAAGTGAAACACTCCTCAGCAAATGCAAAAGAATGGAAATCATAACAAAATAGTCTCTCAGACCACAGTGCAATCAAATTAGAACTCAGGATTATGAAACTCACTCAAAACCGCACAACTATATGGAAACTGAACAAACTGCTCCTGAATGACTACTAGGTAAATAATGAAATGAAGGCAGAAATAAAGATGTTCTTTGAAACCAATGAGAATGAAGACACAACATACCAGAATCTCTGGGACATAGCTAAAGCAGTGTTTAGAGGGAAATTTATAGCACTAAAATGCCCACAGGAGAAAGCAGGAAAGATCTAAAATCGACACCCTAACATCACAAGTAAAAGAACTAGAGAAGGAAGAGCAAACGAATTCTAAAGCCAGCAGAAGACAAGAAATAACTAAGATCAGAGCAGAACTGAAGGAGATAGAGACAAGAAAAACTCTTAAAAAAATCAATGAATCCAGGAGCTGTTTTTTTGAAAAGATTAACAAAATTGATAGACTGCTAGCCAGATTAATAAAGAAGAAAAGACAGAACCAAATAGACACAATAACAAATGATAAAGGCGATATCAACATTGATCCCACAGAAATACAAACTACCATCAGAGAATACTATAAACACCTCTTTGCAAATAAATTAGAAAATCTAGAAGAAATGGATAAATTCCTGGACACATACAGCCTCCCAAGTCTAAACCAGGAAGAAGTTGAATCCCTCAATAGACCAATAACAAGTTCTGCAATTGAGGCAGTAATTAATAGCCTACGAGCCAAAAAAAGTCCAGGACCAGATGGATTCACAGCTGGATTCTACTGAGGGTACAAAGAGGAGCTGGCACCATTCCTTCTGAAACTATTCCAACAATAGAAAAAGAGGGAATCCTCCCTAACTTATTTTATAAGGCCAGCATCATTCTGATACCAAAACCTGGCAGAGACACAACAAAAAAAGAAAATTTCATGCCAATATCCCTGACAAACACTGATGCAAAAATCCTCAATAAAATACTGGCAAACTGAATCCAGCAGCACATCAAAAAGCTTATCCACCAAGATCAAGTCAGCTTCATCCCTGGGATGCAAGGCTGGTTCAACATACACAAATCAATTTAATCTATCACATAAACAGAACCAATGTCAAAAACCACATGATTATCTCAATACATGCAGAAAAGGCCTTCAATAAAATTCAACACCCCTTTATGCTAAAAACACTCAATAAACTAGGTATTGATGGAATGTATCTCAAAATAATGAGAGCTATTTATGACAAACCCACATTCAATATCATACTCAATGGGCAAAAACTGGAAACATTCTCTTTGAAAACTGGCACAAGACGAGGTTGCTCTTTTTCATCACTCCTATTCAACATAGCATTTGAAGTTCTGGCCAGGGCAATCAGGCAAAAGAAGGCAATAAAGGGTATTCAGATAAGAAGAGAGGAGGTCCAATTGTCTCTGTTTGCAGATGACATAATTGTATATTTAGAAAACTCCACCATCTCAGCCCAAAAACTCCTTAAGCTGATAAGCAACTTCAGCAAAGTCTCAGGATACAAAATCAATGTGCAAAAATCACAAGCATTCCTATACATCAATAATAGAGAAACAGAGAGCCAAATCATGAGTGAATTCCCATTCACAATAGCTACTAAGAGAATAAAATACCTAGAAATACAACTTACAAGGGATGTGAAAGACCTCTTCAAGGAGAACTACAAAATACTGCTCAAGGAAGTAAGAGAGGACACAAACAAATGGAAAACATCCCATGCTCATGGATAGGAAGAATCAATATCGTGAAAATAGCCATACTGTCCAAAGTAATTTATAGATTCAATGCTATCCCCATCAAGCTATCATTGACTTTCTTCACAGAATTAGGAAAAACTACTTTAAATTTCATATGCAACCAAAAGAAGAGCCCATATAAAGACAATCCTAAGTAAAAAGAACAAAGCCGGAGGCATTGCACTACCTGACTTCAAACTATACTACAAGGCTACGGTAATGAAAACAGCATGGTACTGGTACCAAAACAGATATATAGACCAATGGAACAGGAAAGAGGCCTCAGAAATAATGCCACATATCTACAATCATCTGATCTTTGACAAACATGACAAAAACAAGCAATGGGGAAAGGATTCCCTATTTAATAAATGGTGCTGGGAAAACTGGCTAGCCATATGCAGAAAACTGAAACTGGATCCCTTCCTTATAACTTATATAAAAATTAACTCAAGATGTATTAAAGACTTAAATGTAAGACCTAAAACCATAAGAACTCTAGAATAAAACCTAGCCAATACCATTCAGGTCATAGGCATGGGCAAAGACTTCATGACTAAAACACCAAAAGCAATGGCAACAAAAGCCAAAATTGACAAATAGGATCTAATTAAACTGAAGAGCTTCTGCACAGCAAAAGAAACTATCATCAGAGTGAACAGGCAACCTACAGAATAGGAGAAAGTTTTTGCAATCTATCCATCTGACAAAGGTCTAATATCCAGCATCCATAAGGAACTTAAACAAATTTACAAGATAAAAAACAAACAACCCAATCAAAAAGTGGGCAAAGGATATGAACAGACACTTTTCAAAAAAGAAGACATTTATGCAGCCCACAAACATGAAAAAACAGCTCATGATCACTGGTCATTAGAGAAGTGCAAATCAGAACCACAATGAGATACCATCTCATGCCAGTTAGAATGGTGATCATCAAAAACTCAGGAAACAAAAGATGCTGGAGAGGATGTGGAAAAGTCAGAACGCTTTCACGCTGTTGGTGGGAGTGTAAATTAGCTTGACCACTGTGGAAGACAGTGTGGCGATTCCTCAAGGATCTAGAAACAGAAATACCATTTGACCCAGTGATCCCATTACTGGGTATATAACCAAAGGATTATAAATCATTCTACTGTAAAAACACATGCACACATATGTTTATTGTGGTAGTATTCACAATAGCAAAGACTTGGAACCAACCCGAATGCCCATCAGTGATAGACTGGATAAAGAAAATGTGGCACATATATACCATGGAATACTATTCAGCCATAAAAAAGGATGAGTTCATGTCCTCTGCAGGGACATGGATGAAGCTGGAAACCATCATTCTCAGCAAACTTACACAGGAACAGAAAACCAAACACGACATGTCTCACTCATAAGTGGGAGTTTAACAATGAGAACACATGCACACAGGGAGGGGAACATCACACACAGGGGCCTGTTGTGGGGTGGGGTACTAGGGGAGGGATAGCATTAGGAGAAATACCTAATGTAGATGACGGGTCGATGGGTGCAGCAAACCACCATGGCACGTGTATACCTATGTAACAAACCTGCATGTTCTGCACATGTATCTCAGAACTTAAAGTGTGTGTGTGTGTGTGTGTGTGTGTGTATATATATATATATATATATATATATATATATATATATGAATTAACCACAGGCAAGGATCTTAAAATTCAACAAAAAAAAAAAAAAAAAAAAAAGAAAAAGGAAAAAGAAAAGTTGGCAAGTGTGAGAAGGGATGGCTTCACTGGTTGGTCATGGCCTGGAATTCACTGGGCTTTACCCATGGGTGTGGTCACCATGTCAAGGTCAGTCCCCAAGGGTGGTAGGGCCTCATGTCTTCTCTGCCAGTTTTTTGATCCATGCCTCTGGGACAGAAGGAGAGCAAGAATCAGGGCAGGTTCTGCTCTGTGATGTTTGTGTGGCTTGTCCGTGGAGGAGGTGATTTATGTGGGAAAACTAAATGGCTGAGGCCATTAGTATGTTAAAGAACTTGTTAAATGTTGAATGTTAACGAACTTGTTAACAGTTGAATATTAAAGAACTAGGCTTGTTTAGAGTTAGCCAACTAGAATTCAACTTACTCTTATTTTCTGGTTCTCTTCAGACTGGGTTGAGACCAGAGCATCACACAGCTTCTTAGTTCGAGATCCTTATGGGACTGCCACTAGGGATCATACTCCATTTTTGTATGATTTTAAAAAGCACTTGTTCCTCTAGTCACTTTACTTCTAGCTACCAGAAAATTGTGATAACATACTGAAATCATAATTGTTACAACATACTGAAATCATTAAATCATTATAAGACCATATGCCAATAACTTATCAAAATAAATATACAAATCCACTGCAATGTGTATGGCACCCTTTAGTTGTGCCATGCACAAACCAAGAACTATACACATAATCTCGTCTCGATTCTTTTGGCTGACACCATTTGGATGTGGTTGAGGAAGGTCTTATTTAGAGCAAATAAAAAATGGTAAATATGAAGGTTAATTTAAGAAAAGCTATAAATATATACTTGCTCTTCTCTGATCTTCTTTAAATGTCATACAATTATATAAAGTAATAATTATAACAGTATGCCATTGAATTTGTAACATACCTAGCTGTAACAGGGATAACAATAATAGCACAAAAGGGAGGAAAAGGAAATAGAGCAATATAGGAATAATCTTTCTACAGTTCACTAGAATTAAATTGGTATAAATTGTAAACAGATCAGATGGTTGTAGATGTGTGGCATTATTAAATTGGTATAAACTGTATAATTTTAATAAATTAAATTGGTATAAATTGTATAATTTAATTGGTATAAATTAAATTGGTATAAACTGTAAACAGATCAGATGGTTGTAGATGTGTGGAGACTTAAATATCCTACATTCAATAAAGGGAGGAACAACTGGTAAGAAGATATAAAATTAGAAGACTTGACAATACTATAAACAAATTAGAACATATGTCTATGAAATAATCTACCTAGAAACAGCAGAATTTATTTTTCTCAGGCACACATAGGACCTTCTCCAGGAGGAATACATATTAGTTCATAAAACAAGCTTCAATAAATCTAAATAAATTCATATCATACAAAGTATGTTCTCTGAATATGGTGGAATAAAATTATAAATCAATCATACAAAAAAATTTAGGAAATTTACAAATTTGTGGAAACCAATATACTCCTAAATAGTCAATGAGAAAGAAGTCAAAAGGGAAATGAAAGGGATACTTTGAGATGAATGAAAATAAAGGTACAATATACTAAAATTTATAGGATGCAGCTAAAGTAGTACTGAGAGGAAAATTTCTAGCTATAAACTATAAATGAACTAATCAATGAATTGGGTAAGGTTGTAGGGTGCAAGATCAATATACAAAAACCTATTTCTATACACTAGCAATGAAAAAATCTGATGAAATTAAATAACAATTCAATTTAAAAGAGCATCAGAAAGAAACAATTCAATTTAAAAGAGCACCAGAAAGAAACACTTTCATTCATAAGATCACTAAGAAAACTTAGGAATAAATTTAACAAAAGAAATGCAAGATTTATACTTTGAAAACTACAGAAAAATTGTCGAAAGAAATTAAAGAAGATATAAATAAATGAAAGACATTCCATGTTCATAGATTGGGAGACTTAATATTGTTAGGATGGCAATACTCCCCAAATTAACCTACAGATTCAATCCAATCACTATAAATCCCCTAGTTGGTTTATTTGCAGAAATTGACAAGCTAATCCTAAAGTTCATATGGAAATTCAAAAAACCCAAGATGACCAAAACAATCTTACAAAAGAAGAATAAAGTTGAAGAACTCACACTTCTGGATTTCAAACTTACTACAAAACCACAATAATTAAGACAGTATAGTGCTGGCATAAGGATAGACATAGTAATCAATGGAATAAAATAGAGAATCCAGAAATAAATCTTCACACATAAGGTCAACTGATTTTCAATAAGGGTACTAAAACAATTCAATGTCACATCCATAACCTTTTTGACAAATGGTGTTGGGGCAACTGGAATATTCACATGCAAAAGAATGAAGCTTAGCCCCTACCTCACACCGTGTAAAATTAATTAACTCAACAGAGATCATAGGCATAAATTTGAGAGTCAAAACTATTAAACTCCTAAGGGAAAAACATAGGAGTAGTAGGTTTTTTTTTTTTTTTTTTGAGACAGAGTATCCCTCTGCTGCCCAGGCTGGAGTGCAGTGGCATGATTTCAGCTCACTACAACCTCTGCCTCCCAGGTTCAAGCGATTCTCCCTGCCTCAGCCTCCTGAGTAGCTAGGATTACAGGTGCCCGCCACCATGCCTGGCTAATTTTTGTATTTTTAGTAGAGACGGGATTTTGCCATGTTGGCCATGCTGGTCTCTAACTCCTAACCTCAGGTGATCCACCTGCCTCGGCTTCCCAAAGTGCTCGATTACAGGCATGAGCCACTGCACCAGGCCAGGAGTAAATCTTTGTGAGCTTGGATTCAACAATAGTTTATTGGATATTATGCTAAAAATACAAGCAACCAAAGAAAAAATAAATTGAACCTACTTAAAATTTTTTTAAAATTATGATTTAAATGACAGTACCAAGAAGGTTAAAATAGTAAACACAAAATGCAAGAAAACATTTGCAGATCATATTTGTATGGATTTTTTTGTCTAGAATACATAAAGAACTCCTACAACTCAGTAATAAAAGGACAAATAACTCACTTAAAAATGGGCAAACGATCTGAGTAGACATTTCTTCACAGAATATATACAAATTTCCAACATAAAAAGATGCTTAATATTATTAGTTATCAGTAAGTACAAATCAAAAGTATAATAACACTTCACAAGGTGGCTATAATAAAAAAAGACTGATAATTACAAGTGTTGGCAAGAATGTGGAGACATTGGAACCCTCATACATTGCTGATGGGAATACAAAATGGCTCAGCCACTTTGGAAACAGTCTGGCAGTTTCACAAATGGTTAAACAGAGACTTACCACATGACCTGATAATTCTACTACTAGGTATATACTCAACAGAAATGAAAACATATGTCCACATAAAAACTTGTACACGAGTGTTCATAGCAGCAGTATTCATAACAGCCCAAATACAGAAATATTGCAAATGTCCATCAAGTGATCAACAGATAAATAAATAAGACATAATCCACACAATGGCATACTATTGAGGAATAATAAGTAATGCAATGAAATACATTGCATGTTACCACATGGATGAACCTTGAAAGCATTAAGTAAAAGAATCCAGTCACAAAAGACCACATATTGTATGATTCCATTTACATGAAATGTGCAGAATAGGCAAATCCATAGAGACAAAAAGCAGATTAGCAGTTGCTTAGGGCTAGTGAGGAGGAGAATGGGGTGCTTGGGGAGTCATAGCTAAAGGGCACAGGGTTTCTTCTTGGAGTTATGAAAATGTTCTAAAATTGATTTTCCTAACTATTACACAATTGTGAATGTACTAAAAACCACTGAATCATACACTTCAAGTGGGTGAATTTTACATGTGAATTATATCTCAATAAAGCTATTTAAAAAATAATACCATACACACCTATTTGCATTGCAAATACAAAGAACTAACTACATGTGAACCAAATGATCAGGGTAAAAAATGTCGTAACAGCGCTTTCATTATTTATTTTCCTTTATTTCAAAAGCCAAAGTATCACATCATTTATTCGCCACTGATGGAAGTCTTTTGTAATAGTTTTGCATCTGTTATTTCCTTATAGTTTGGCTACCAGTATTGCCCTCATCCAGGCCTTCATAGCTCCATGTCTTCTTACTTCAGTAACTTTGTTAAAAAATATTCTCCTGCCTCCAGCTTTTCTCCCTTAAATTGTTCTTTCCCATATGTCTTTATGGGAAAAAAATGATGAAAAAGATAAAAATCAAGCAACAGGGAAGACATTGACGAAATAAATAAATGAAACAGCCAACTCACGCAATACAAAACACCATTTTGGGCAGACAGCTATGCCATATATCCGCATGATCAATAACTGGCAAAAAACACTTGGAACATAAAGTGCTCAACAAGACAAGATTTATTACATACTTTAAAAAATTAAGTTTAGCTTTTAGCCTAATGTCCAGGCACTGCAGAGTCTAGAATCTAATTTACTATTTATTGGAATACTAACTTGTTGACAGCACATTTTATTTGTCTTTACTTATTTCATCATTTAAGCATAAAACCTTAGGAAAGTAATTTGATATTACCTTTTTTACTTAAAACCATCTCAGTTGTTTTAAAAACTTCTTAGGGAAGCTAATTTATCATGCTTTTTATAATGTGCTAAATTGGTCTAAAAACAAAAAACCAGCAAATAATGCCCTAACAAATCTTACCCGTTGAAATCAAACACTGTTATTTAAATATCAAGATTACCTAACAATAAAGCAATCTGTAAAAAAACAAATAATCCTAAATTTTTTCTAAAAAGAGAGAGTCAAATTTGAATTCATAATGGCCTCACACTATCATTTCTTCAGATAGGCTTAGATAATAACTTAAATGTCTTCCAAAATATTTTCTTTCCCAATTTTCCCACACCATAGAATAATATCTCAATGCAAAATGGAAAAAACTATAGAGATAATATGACTGAGTTTTGAAAACAAATTCAGCACTGAAATGAAGGCTATTCTTCAAAGGTATTACAATGGAAGGCTACACATTTATTCCAATTATTGTACACAAAATAATCTTGTCGCTTTGTACTTGAATTTTGTTTTGATTAAAAATGGTATTTCTCCAGCCTTACTGGCCTTTACATATATAACACATAGCTTTTAAAAGACCTGTAGCTCTTTCAAGAAAGTAAAATCTTTTCTTATTAATAAAAGGATTAACATCTGCTACCACTAAAAATATTCAAGTGTACAGAGCTGATTCAGAAAGCTTTGAACAGCAAGAAGATTGTTGTACTAAGGACATAGCTTTCTAAGGTCAATACAGTGGTGAAGATAGCACTCATTATAATTTGTTTTAGTATTTATGTCCCATTTCTAGAATGCTTATCTCACAGAAGGTAGTAAGCAGAGAAGTCTTAAAACTCAGATTAGCGTTGTCAGATACTATTTACCAATGGTAAGTTATGGTTTATACATGTGGTATAAGCCATCCTCTGGGTAGAACGACTTGCCCCAGATGCAAATATCTCAAGGAAAATCCCAGGTCCTCATCTTCAATGGCTACATTTTACTAGAACTATTGTGAATACTGAGTTCAGGTCACTTGCAATTATTCTCTTGATTATGAGACATATGACGGATATATAGGAGGGCATGATTAAAACAGGCAACAAACAGGTCCTCAGTTAAGCCCAGAAAGGACTGACTGGCCTGGTGTCATACACGATCACTAGAAAGAAGGAGACCAACAATATGAGGTTGGATGATGCTTCATCGAAAGCCTTCTGTAGACAACTAACTGCCTAGACCTGATGCCCCTGTGTCTTGAAAGATTTAGCCTCTGGACATTCCTAATATAACATGATAGTAAGGAAGAACTGAACCCTTGACCATGAACCAAGGCAGGACCTCTATCTATGAAGGCTTAATGAACATGGAGAAAGAGAGAAGGGACCAGGAGTTTTGAGGGGCAGAGAAGTAGTGGCAAGATGGAAGTTGTTGTGTGTCTGTGATAAGTTGGAAAAATTCACTGCATAAAGGAACTTGAACCAGGCTGCCAGTGGGGACCAGCTTCCTTCAGTGGCAGGACACCTGACCACAAACCATACGCCTTTGTCAGTCTGTTCTGTGTTGCTATAAAGGAATACCTGAGACTGGGAAGTTTATAAAGAAAAGAGGCTTATTTGGCTCATGATTCCACAAGGCTGCATGAGCATAGCGCCAGCATCTGCTTGGCTTCTGGTGGGGCATCAGGAAGCTTTTACTCATGGTGGAAGGCAAGAGGGAGCAAGTGAGTCACATAATGAGAGAGGGAGCAAGAGAGAGAAAGGAGGAGCTGCCAGCCTCTTTAAATAGCCAGATCTCCTGGTAACTGATAGAATGAAAACTCACTCATTACCATGGGGAGGGCATCAATGCCGTTCAAGAAGGATTCGCCTCTGTGACCCAAACACCTCCCACCAGGCCCCATCCCCAGTGTTGAGGATAACATTTCAACATGAGATTTGGAGGGGATAAACATCCAAACCGTATCAGTGCCTGAGTGAAAAACCCAGAGTTGGTTCTATTCCTGTCACTGGGATTTTGGCAATCACTGTATCTGAGTGTCCTCTGAGTAGACATGTACCTGTATTATGACTTCAGCTCCCTAAAGTATCTCCCTGCTTAAATTCTTGCTCCCTCTCACCCATTAGCCACACTGCAGGCAGATGGATCCTTTTAAAAATGCAAATCTGATTACCATAGCTAAGATTTCCTGTTACATAGTCAGAAGCTACATAGAGCCACTTATTTACTTCTTAAACTTATGAAATAGGTAAAACTATTAATAATATTCTGTTTTACGGATGAAAATCTGAGGAACGGAGAAGTTAAGTAACTTGTCCAAAGTCACACAGGAAACAAGTAGTAGAGGTGGAATTTGAACCTGGGCTCTTAATGCTATTTTACACCTTCTCTGCTTAAGCTTCCTGTCATCCCAAAGATAGTGTCTAGAATCCATGACCTGATTTATGAGCTCCTCTGTGATCAGGTCCCCGCCTAACACTTCAATCTCATTTCATGTCATGTTTGCCTTCATTGTTCGTGCTCTGGCTATACATACATGCACTCACACACGTGTACATGTACAACATGTATAATTATATAGCTTATATATTTACACATGCACATATATTTACATCTCTATGCAAATATAGATATAGATTCTTCTCTACTTACAGTGAGGTTATATCCTGATAAACCTGTTGTCAGTTGAAAGTATGATAAGTTGAAAATTCATTTAATACACTTAACCTACTGAACATCATAGCTTAGCCTAGTCTACCTTAAAGGTGCTCAGAACACTTATGTTAGACTACAGCTGGGAAAAAGCATTTAACACAAAGCCAATTTTATAATAAAGTGTTGAGTATCTCATGTAATTCAAAGAATACTGTATTGAAAGTGAAAAACAGAATGGTTGTACAGGTACTTGAAGTGCAGTTTCTACTGAATGTGTATCACTTTGAACCATTACAAAGTCAAGAAATCGTAAGTCAAACCATCGTCTGGTTGAGGACTGTGTGTATAAATTTCCACCAATGTGAGAACAAACGAGGCTGTATGGTATAGCGAGTAGGAGTATGGACATTCAGGCCAAACTACCTTGGTTCAAATTCTGATCCTGCCACTTATTTGCTTCAGGGTCAGAAGCAATTTACTTCCGTATTTCTAAGTTTCCTTACCTAATAAAATGAAGAAGGTAAGATTGATCTCCTAGACTCATGGCAAGGATTGAACAAGTTAATGTATGCACAGCACTTAGAATAAGTGCCTGGCAGGTAGTAATTTCTATATACTGTTAGAATTTTCTCTCAGATTTGCCTGTGAAAGTATGTTCTCTCTGCCTAGAATATTCTTTTAACCTAGCCATCTCCCACTGCCTAACCTTGAGGATTCAGCTTAGACATCAACTCCTCCACAGGCCTTCTTGATGCCTCCAGATGGGCTGAGCTTCTCCCCAACCTTTACACATGCCCAGTGCACCCTGTATTTCCTGGGCTGCAAGCACCACCCTGGTCACTGTTGTTTACAACTGCGAGACTGTAAACTCCATGAGGGCAGGTACTCTGTTTTCAATATTATGGTATCATTGCACTCACAACTCTGCCTGGTACAGAGCAGAGGCTCAATAAATGTCTGAATAATAAATGAGGCTCAGGGGAGAAACTACCTTAATCTGCCCCTGGGGCTCTGGGGTAGATGCCAATGAGGAGGTAACACATGTATCTGGACTTGAAGGACAGGTACACGGGACACTGTCCTTCAGAGAGTTTAGGTGGGCCTGTTGATACACAGAACAGCTCTGCAAAGACAGAAATGTGACATGGTCTGCCCATGTAGAATTGGTAAGGTCACAGTATCATAAATGTGGAGACTTAAAACTTAAAGATCTGGTAGAAGGAATACTTATAGATAAGAAAACTGAGGTATGTTAATTTTTTCAAGGGACTATATCTAATTATTGACAAAGGGGACCTCTTAAATGAGTGCTCTTTTTATTATATGAAGACTTATCAAAAGGTTTCCCTCTCTCCTATAATAAAATATGAGGACGGAAAGAAATTGGCCATTATCTTCAGTGAAAAAAAAAAAAAACAACCAGAAACAGAAATTCAAATACCGCTTGTTCTAACTTACCAGTGGGAACTAAATAATACGTACACGTGGATATGGACTGTGGAATAATAGACACTGGAGACAGAATGGTGGGAGGATGGGAGGGTGAGAGGGAGTGAGAAATGAGAAATTACTTAATGGGTACAATATATACTATTTGGGTGATGGCTATGCTAAAAGCTCAGACTTTTTACAACTATTCAATATATCCATGCACTAAAACCATACTTGTACCCCTATTTATACCAAGAAAGAAAAAGAAATAGCTGCCACGTGCTCAGAATTTGAGAAAGGCCTCATGGTGACTGTACTCAATGGGGACACGTAGTCCCCTGCAAATGGGCAACCCTCTCTTAATTCTGTTTATTGCAAGATCAATCCTCTTGGGTAATTTTCAGTGTTGGTATAATCAGACAGCCACCATGTAGCAGAAATACATGCTCAGCAAAGTTTAGCTGCTCCAGTAAATTCTAGAGCCTCCCACAATGTCACTGCTGTATATTTAGGAGAAGCAATAGGTAGAAGATTGCCTATGAGTACAAAGTAAAGGAAGAACAATAATACTGCCTTGAGAAGTCTGGCATGAGAATTCCAGAAGAGCCATTCCAGGCAGCAGAAATGGTGAGCTGATATTTACAATTAAACTGGAGCAATGAAAGTCAGTCATGACATAATGCTTTCCTTCCCTTTTGCCTCTTTGTCTCCCTTCCCCCTTTTTATAAGCTGCCTCACTCACATGGATGGGAGAAGGATGATGTAACATGCTTATAATACTTCTGGGAATGTCAACTTGGTAAGGTTGGTCCAGGCTTTGATGGACATGACTGAAATGTGAAGAGACCTAAACAGGTTGGAGCACTGGCCCTGTGAAATGATGTGTGACTAAACAAAGAGACATGCATTTCACTATTTCACTGCCAAAAGCAGCATCCATTTGATTAATAGAAAATGGAAAAGGGATGATCAGTTACTTGACAATGTGGAGAAAAGACCAAGGGTAGCACAACAAATCCTGTCAACTATAAAAGCCAGTTACGTATTTTGGTAACTTGTGGAGCAAGATGCATTTTGAGATTCTCAGGCAGGAAGACAGTTAAGAGACAGAGGAGAAAAAAACAAAAACACATGTCCAGAGAAGGAGATTGGGCTCAACAGAATAGTCGAGCTGTGGTGAGAGAAGAAACGGTGGAAGAAAGGTGTTACAACTGACAACAGACTTGCAGTGTGACAGTAAGTGATTGCCCAATTCAGAAATTATTAGTAAGGCCACGCTAATATAAGACCCACAAAATTTAACATACAATTTTGATGTGTTGGTTAAGTTAAAGATTTCTAGTTTCTTTATTTGCCTAAAACTAGTTGGCGATTCGTGCCCAATTCTTCGTCCTCTGGTTAGCAGGATAAAGTGAACTTTTAGTTCTATTCCATTTAAACCAGAGTTCAAACTGTTGTTTTCAAGGAACTTTAGTTTTCAAGGAACTTTATTTTGTGCTCATCTGTTCTTGGATCAAGATGCCGAGCCTCTCAAAAAGACTTGGTTTCCTCATTGCTTTGCTTCTTTTCCCTAAGAAGACATCTGAGCAATTTCATATCCTGAAGGGGAAAAATGGAGCTCTTGGGCCCAGTCCCCAGTGATGCCTAGTGGCAGTCACGGCTGGGTTTGGAGCACTGCCAATTACATGATCACACACAATTTATTTGTAAGGTAAAAATCCTGACTCTGACATTTAAAAAATGTGAAAATCCATGCATCTTAGACTCAATGAAATCTGGTAAATACTGTTCAAGGAATATTGTGTGAACAGCTGTGTACAGTTTGGACCAGAGCACATAAACACCACAGGTAGGGAAAGATCAGAGAAAGATTTCCATAGACATCCAGCTGTTAAGAAACAAAAGCTTGTGCAAAGACAGAGATTTTCAAAATGGAAAGAAAAGGCAAGCTTCGAAGAAACACTGTGGCAGATGAGTCAACCAGAACAGTGGCAGCTTGGATCTAGTTTTAAAGGATGAAAGAATGGACTAAGCCAAGAGTTGAAAGTCTTGAAGACAGGGAAGTAGTAGCACTTGAGAATTCAGAAAGGGAAAAGGAGGATGAGTTCTGTTTTAAACATATTAACATTCAAAAAAAAAAGTCAGAGAATTGTCCTCACACAACTATGGAGGAGAGAGAGCTGGAGATGTTGATGCAAAGATTACTCATGTACAGAAGGCAGCTTAAGGAGAAGGTTATACTCTCATTGGGGGTTTAGGGAAGAAGAAAACCAGGTGGACAGGCATGGGCCTGTGCTGCCCAAGGAGACAAGGAGAGATGGAACCTCAGCAATGAAGAGCTGACAAACCCCAGACCAAAGGGGCTGCAGGAGACACCTCTGCCCAGGATAAGCATGCACCCCTTTGGTGCCTTCAGGTGGCATCCAATTGTTATCCTGAGACAGAAAGTAGTTGCGGGCAAGATCTTCCTGCTAGGGTGAGCTGCGAGTTTCTCTCACTTCCTTACACACCTAGGAAGCTGACACTTGCCTCTTAGAGGGAAGGAAAAGGGCTGGGACCAGCACATGGAGGAGTTCCCACTCTGAGACCATGTTGTCACGCTTAGTTGCAAAGGCGTGTTTGGGCAATTTCTTTTGAAAGCTACACTTTACAAAATGTAACATATGACACCCACTAAGATGAGGACTATTAATTTAAGATTCCGAAATAAAAGGGGTTAGAGTTTCCATCATGTGCCTCTCTTGATTTCAAATTAAGTTTCAAGATTAATACAGCAGGCAAATGCATCACTGACCATACGTTTTAGTCTGTTGCCTCATGTGTAACAGTCACTTAGTCCTGGTTCTACAGCAGTTTTGAAAGTTGCATTAAGTATTTATTTCAGGTTATATACCCCCTATTAACACAATGCCCAAAAGCAGTCAGATAGAAGAAAAAGTTACTCATTTGACAGGTGGACAATTTCTTGTTTTTTTTTTTTTTTTTTTCTTTTTTTGAGATGGAGTTTCACTCTTTTGCCCAGGCTGGAGCGCAGTGGTGCGATCTTGATCTCGGCCCACTGCAACCTCCGCCTTCCAGTTTCAAGCGATTCTCCTGCCTCAGCCTCCCGAGTAGCTGGGATTACAGGCGCCCACCAGCACGCCTGGCTAATTTTTTTATTTTTAGTAGAGACGGGGTTTCACCATGTTGGCCAGGCTGGTCTCGAACTTCTGACCTCGTGATCCACCCGCCTCGGCCTCCCAGAGTGTTAGGATTACAGGCGTGAGCCATGGCGCCCAGCCAAATTTATTTTCTTTATAATCATTTTCTGGATTTTTAATTTTTATATATATTTTTACACATACAAGTGAATTTCCATTCCCACTGGGGCTCCTCTAGTTAAGGCCCCCATGGCTCTCAGCTGGACTTCTGTCACCAGGCAGTCAGGCCATTATCCCATCAGGATGATCCCACCCAGACAGACCCCACTACTATCTAGAGCTTTGCTGTCCAGCCTGGGAGCTACTGGCCACATGCAGCTGGTCAAGCACCTGAAAATTGGCCAGTCCAAATTGCAATGTGCTCTGAGCGTAAAATACACTGAATTTTAGAAACTCAGGATAAAAACAAGAATGTAAAATGCCTCATTAATAATTTTCATATTGACCATGTATTAAAATGATGTTTTAGATATTATCTTAAAATATTAAAATTTTAAAAACCATGTCAGAGAAAGAATAACAAAGAATATCTAAGAAAAACCAGAAAGAATGAAAATATGAAATATTTGGAAATGACCTTCACAAAATATGCTCATTTGAAAAAAGATGACTATACTCTTCTTAAAGCTAAAAAGACTTGAGCATAAGCAGAAAAAAAATAAAAACATTTTTGGCAAACAAATTTTATGCTATTTTATGTTTCCTTTTACTTTTTAGAACATGGCTAGTTGGAAAATCTAATATTACTTATGTGGCTTGCATCTGTGACTCACATTATACTTCTTTACACAGTGATGGTATAGACTCTCAGCTTCTGGGTCTTAGTCATTTAATCAATAAATTGAAATCGATCAACCACCATTTATTATGGATCTAGTATGAGCCACGTACTATATCAAAGCAGTCCCCAAAACTTTTTGGCACCAGGGACCAGTTTTGTGGAAGACAACTTTTCCACAGAGGTAGGGGCATGGTTTGGGGATGAAACTTTCACCTCAGATCATCAGGCATTTGATTCTCATAAGGAGTCCACAACCTAGATCCCTCGCAAGCACAGTTCACGATAGGGTTCATGTTCCTATGAGAATCTAATGCCACCGCTGATCTGACAGAAGGAGCTCAGGCGGTAATGCTGCCTCACTGCTCACCTCCTGCCATGTGGCCCAGCTTCTAGCAGGCCACGGTCCAGGAGTTGGGGACCTCTGCTATAACAGATTCTGGTACTATGAAGATATAAATAATGTGATTGCTAACTTCTAAGAGCTCCCAGTTAGTGGGGGAGGGACATTTAAAAATTAATTAAAACAAATAAGACATGCTAGTAAAGATTAGAAATAAAGTACTCTGGAATCTCATAGAAGGACTTCACTACATTTTAATGAATTAGGAGGAATTTTTCTACTCATTTGCCTGGGAGGCAATTTAAGCCCCCCCCCCCCGCCCACCCCCCAGTCAGAGGGCACAGTGGGTGAGAAAATTCAGGGTGGGAAAGGAAACACATCTGGTGAACCAAATGTAGTTCGCAAAGGCTAGAACAGGCTGCCTGTGGGAAAGAGTCACAGATAAGACCTCGAGAGTAGGCAGGGGTAAAAAAGAACTTGCACATTGTGCCAAGAAGCATAGACTGTATCTTGTGGACAAGGGTCAGATTGGTGTTTAAAAATACCACCGTAGCAACATTGTGGAGGATGAACCAGCTGGGTAAAGTAGATTAAGAGTTTGGTATTAGGGAGGAAAAGGCAGAGATGAAGGAAATGGGAATAGTCAGGGTACCCATGGCAACAGTCAAGGTAACGGTAATACAGATACGAACAAAAGGAACAGATTGGAGAAGTATTTAGGGAGGTAGAGTTGGCAGATCTTTGGGATTTAATGGATGTCAGAGGTAAAGAAAAAGGAGGTTTATGAACTTTGTGACTAAGACCAATGTAAATACCAGGTGCCCACTAATGAAGTTGGCTATGAGAAGGTATTCTTAAAGAGTGATGTAAAGCTCAGGGGCTGGACTCGGATGGAGATTTCTTTTGAAATGGAAGTGTCCTAAGTATTGAGATTAGCTAAACACCCCCTTTAGAGGTCCCTGTCCTAACTGGATTCAATCTTGGCTCAGTGTACCAGCGGCCCATGTGGGACAGATTTATGAGTTCAGAGAGTAGAGGGGGAGATTATTTAGAAATCGGAAAAGATGTCTTGGGAAAGCTAGGCCTTCAGCTAGATTGTGAAGGACAGGGTGTGGGGTGGCTAGGGGTGAAGAAAGGGTATGTCTGATAGGAAGCAAGCATTGAAATAGATATAGTGACTAGAATGTGAGAGTTAGGAATGAGCAATCAGGAAGATGTGCTCCAAGCACAGGCTGAGGATGGACTGGCATGGATTATTTACGTGGGGAAGAGTTGAAAACGAAGCTGGAACTACATTAAAGAGAGATCCTATTGGCAGCAGAAAGCCATTAAAAACTTTTAAGCAAAGAAACTGATAATATGGCATTTATTGAATGTCTTGAGGTGGTCTTATTTGGGTTAAATCTGTTTGGTGTTCTATAATCTTGTACTTGAATACTGATCTTTCTATAGGTTTGGGAAGTTCTGTTATTATCCCTTTGAATACACTTTCTAGCCCACTCTATCTCCTCTTTAATGCCAACAATTCTTAAAGTGGCCCTTTTGAGGCTATTTTCTAGCTCTCGTAGGCATGCTTCATTCTTTATTCTTTTTTCTCCTCTGTGTATTTTCAAATAGCCTGTCTTCAAGTTCACTAATTCTTTCTTCTGCTTGATCAATTCTGCTGGTAAGAGACTCTGATACATTCCTCAGTATGTCAACTGCACTTTTCAACTCCAGAATTTCTGCTTTTTTCAAATTATACCAATTTATTTGTTAAGTTTATCTGATAGGATCCCATATTCCTTCTCTGTGTTATCTTGAACTTCTTTGAGTTTCCCCAAAATGGCTATTTTTAATTCACTGTTTGAAAGTTCACAATATCCCTGTCAGGATTGGTCCTTGGTGCCTTCCTGAACTCATTTGGGGAGATCATGTTTTCCTGGATGGTCTTGATATTTGTTGGTGTCTGGGTATTTAAGAGTTAGGTATTTATCGTAGTCTTCACAGTCTGAGCTTGTTAGTACCTGTCATTCTTGGGAAGGTTTTTTCAGGTATTCAAAGGGACTTGGGTTTGTGATCTAGGTTTTTGGTCACTGTAGCTGTAACTGTATTAGGGAATACTCCAAGCCCAGTAACACGTGGCTCTTCTGCCTTGGTGGTCTTGGATAAGATCTAGAAGAATTCTCTGGATTACCAGGCAGAGATCTTGTTATCTTCCCTTACTTTCTCTCAAACAGAGTCCCTCTCTCTGTGCTGAGCTTCCTGGAGCTGGGGGAGGGGTGACACAAGCATCCTTATGACCACCACTGGGACTATGCTAGGTTAGACAGGAAGCCATCACAGCAGTGAGTCCCATCAAGGCCCTTGATAACCACTGCCTAGCTACTGCCTACGTTCACTCAAGGACCAAGGGCTTTACAGTCAGCAGGTGGTGATGCCAGCCAGGTTTGTGTCCTTCCCTTTAGGGCAGCAAGTTGTCCTCAGCCCTGGCAGGTTCAGAGACGCCCTTCATGAGCCAGGGCCTGGAGTTGGAAACCTCAGAATTCTACCTGATCTTCTATTCTACTGTGGCTGAGCTGATCCCTAAGCCACATGACAAAGTCCTTCCCACTCTTCCCTCCCTTTTTCACGAGCAGAGGAATCTTTTCCCATGGCCACCACTACCCCAAGCTCACAGCAAGTACTGCCTGGCTACTGCCAACATTCACTTGAGGTCCAAGGGCTCCTCGGTCAGCTTGTAGTGAATGCTGCCAGGTCTGAGACTCTCCCTTCAGGGCAATGGGCTCCCTGCTATCCCAGGGCAGGTCCAGAAATACCATCTGAGAGCCAAGGCCTGGAACTGGGAACCCCAAGAGCCCGCTTGGTGCTCTACCCTACTGTGGCCGAGCTGGTACCTAAACTGCCAGATAAATTTCCCTTTATTCTTCCCTCTCCTTTTCTAAAGCAGGAATCTCTCCCTATAGCCACCACAGCTGGGAATGTGCTGGGTCATGCCCATAACCAGCACTTCTCTGAATGTCACCCAAGGCCCATGGCGAGTAATGCCTGGGTATTACTGCTGATTATTCAGAGCCCAGGATTGGTCCTTGGTGCCTTACTGAACTCATTTGGGGAGATCATGGCTCTTTAGTCAGCAAGTGATGAGTCCTGCTAGGACTGGGTCCTTTTTTTTTTTTTTTTCAAGGCAGCAGGTTACCTTCTGGCCTAAGATATGTATAAAAATGTCATCTGGGAGCTAGGGCCTGGAATGGGGAACTCAGGACTCTGCCCAGTGCATTATCCTACTGTGGCTGAGCTGGTGTCCAAGTTGCCAAAGTCCTCTCTACTCTGTCCTTTCCATCACTCAAGTGGAAGGAAGGAGTGTCTCTCCCAGAGCCGTGAGCTGCACTGCCTGGGGTTGGGGGAGGGGTAGTGCAAGCACTCCCTTGGCCATCCCAGCTGGTATCTTGCTAGTTCACATGCACCCCAAGTCCACTGGTGCCAAGCCCAGCCCAGCACCAGGACTTGCCTAGTAGTTGGAATCCTCGTGGCCTAGACTGCCTTTCAAGTTCATTCAGAACTCAAGAACACTTTAGCCCATGGTGGCACGGCTTGCTGAAACTCAGTTTCTGATCACTGGAAGGGGCGATTCCCTTCTGACTAGGCCTGGTCTAAATGGGCCTCAGTGGGCACTGGCTCATTTCTGCCCAATGTTGCTTTCTGCTGTGACAGGGGCAGTAAATTCTAATGCAAACTCCCACAATCACTGTACTCTCCCTTCACCAAGCACACAGATTCTTTCTCTGCACCATGTGGCTGCTGCTGGGAGTTGGGGGAGGGATGGCACTGGAAATTCAAGACTGTCTTTCCTACCCTCTTCAGTGCCTTTTCCAGTGACATGAAGTTAAAACCAGGTACTGGGATCACTCACCTGATTTTTGGTTCTCATGCTATTTTGTGTGGATAATTGTTTAGTTTGGTGTTCCTTCAGGAGGACAATCAGTGGAAGCTTCTATTTGGTCATCTTGCTCTATGTCCCCTCATTGACACAATATGACATTTACACAGGATGATTCTGGTGGTATTGTACAGAAATACTCAAGTAGGGTGATGATTCTGGTGGTATTGTATAGAAATACTCAAGTAGGGTGATGATTCTGGTGGTATTGTATAGAAATACTCAAGTAGGGTGATGATTCTGGTGGTATTGTACAGAAATACTCAAGTAGGGTGATGATTCTGGTGGTATTGTACAGAAATACTCAAGTAGGGTGATGATTCTGGTGGTATTGTATAGAAATACTCAAGTAGGGTGATGATTCTGGTGGTATTGTACAGAAATACTCAAGTAGGGTGATGATTCTGGTGGTATTGTATAGAAATACTCAAGTAGGGTGATGATTCCGGTGGTATTGTATAGAAATACTCAAGTAGGGTGATGATTCTGGTGGTATTGTACAGAAATACTCAAGTAGGGTGATGATTCTGGTGGTATTGTACAGAAATACTCAAGTAGGGTGATGATTCTGGTGGTATTGTATAGAAATACTCAAGTAGGGTGATGATTCTGGTGGTATTGTACAGAAATACTCAAGTAGGGTGATGATTCTGGTGGTATTGTACAGAAATACTCAAGTAGGGTGATGATTCTGGTGGTATTGTATAGAAATACTCAAGTAGGGTGATGATTCTGGTGGTATTGTACAGAAATACTCAAGTAGGGTGATGATTCTGGTGGTATTGTATAGAAATACTCAAGTAGGGTGATGATTCTGGTGGTATTGTATAGAAATACTCAAGTAGGGTGATGATTCTGGTGGTATTGTACAGAAATACTCAAGTAGGGTGATGATTCTGGTGGTATTGTACAGAAATACTCAAGTAGGGTGATGGTGTAAGGCAGTTCTGCTGAACACACTTACTAAAACCCCACTAAATGCCAAGCTCTGTTCCAGGCCTGGGGACTTAAAAACAAACAAGAACCAGTCTCTTCCTCAAGGACTTGCAATCTACTAGGGGTAAGCGGGAAAATAAATCAATTAGGATGCTTTTGTTCATCCCATTTTTGAAGCAATGAGGGTTAGACCAGGACCTCGGCAATGGGGATGGAGAAGAGTTCCAAAAGCAAGAGTGGATGGTATCTCTGGGTATAATCACAAGCTCTTTATTTATTTTATCTGTTTTGCACCACCGGCTTTCTCCCCAGTCTGTCTTTACTTTTTTCCAATTGATTCTCCTTGTTCTTATTTTCTATCCCCTTCTCTGTAGCTGGAGGCCCTTAGTAAATACCTGCAAATCAAATAACATATTATTTAAATACCATGTCTTTTCCTGATGCCCTGGGTGTTCTTTGCTGAGTGGGCTTGATGTTCTTTCCAGTGAACTGTTTCCATCTCTGAGTAATCAACCTATATATGTACCCATCACATATAGAATTAATTGAAGTTTACATAATCGGAGTCTAGTGTATTTTCATCAAATATCTTAGTTCAAATGAAAAACAAATAAGGAAAACACTACAAAATAGCCTGCCAAACAGGCACATAGATAAAAGGTATATGGACTTGCTTAAAATGCGTATTAATTTAATTGATATTCTATTAATTTCTATTCTATTCATATTCTATTAATTTAATTGAATAAAGACTGAACTAAATGGATTACTATGTGCAGCTATTTGACTGGCCATTGGGATAAGTTAAATAAGGCAATTCCAGGCCTGAGAACATTTGGCACTTATAGGCAGGTGATGAAAAGTTTACTTAACCAGATGACGTTTCATTATCTACACTGCTTACTTTAGTTCTTCCTGTTTGCACTATTTTCCTGCTTTGACCATTCCTTTGCATTGTATTCTACTCATAGAACCTGAGCAAACCTCTTAATGGTAAGTCATATCACCTCACTCTTTCCCTTCCAACTCAATAAAATTCTAAGTCCTTAATCTTGGCCCATGAGGTCTCATATAATCTTACTTTGATGCCATCTGTAATTATTTCCTTCACTCACACTTGGCTTCTTTACTGTTCTAATTTTTTTTTTTGAGACAGGGTCTCACTCTGTTGTCCAGACTGGAGTGTGGTAGTGTGATTGTTCCTAGAATATTCTAAACACACTTCTACCTCAGACCCTTTTCCTTGTTCCCTATGCCTGGATTCCTCCCCACAACTCCAGACATCCGCATGACTTGCTCCATCACTTTCTGCAGATCTCTGCTCAAATATTGCCTTATCACCGAGTCTTTCTCTGACTACCTGGCATGCCCTAACCCTACTTTCTGTGATTTTTAAAACCGAAGCATTTATTCAATAAAATGCATTTATTATCCCTGGAATCTACACTGTCTGCCTCTCCTAACAATGTTAGAAGCTCCTCAGAAGAGGGTCTGGTTGGTTTGCTCCTTTATTTCCAGCACTTAGAATGTTGGTTGCCATGTGGTCAGCACTCAACAAATACTTCTTGAATGAACTGGATGGATTATCGGGAGTTATGCATTGAATTTCAGAGAAGCAAAGAGGAGGGTACATGGCCTATCTTGGGAGGTGTGGGAGGGATCAGAGAAGGCTTTCTTTTGCAAGTTATATCTGGGCTGGGTCTTCATTCATTCATTTTTTTTTTTCATGTAACCATTCATTCAACAAATTCTCATAGCATTTTCCAATGTGCCAGGGACTATAGGACAAGGAATGCAGCTGTCTTGAAATTCCGTAAAAACAGACAAGCCTCTGCTTTTATGGAACTTATAATCTAGTGGGAGAAAGACAATAAGCAGGCCAATACATAAACAAACAAGAAAAAATATCTGATACTGGCACACACTATGCAAAGAACTAAAACAGTATGATGCAAAAGAGAGGTGGTTACTTTAGGATGGGTCACAAGAACAGCATCTCTAGAGGAGAAGAGGCGTTCTGGTTTCTGGAATTTTCAGCCATAAAGACACATGCACATGTATGTTTGTTGCAGCACTATTCACAATAGCAAAGACTTGGAACCAACCCAAATGCCCATCAATGACAGACTGGATAAAGAAAACGTGGCACATCTACACCATGGAATACTATGCAGCCATAAAAAAGATGGAGTTCATGTCCTTTGCAGGGACATGAATGAAGCTGGAAACCATCATTCTCAGCAAACTAACACAGGAACAGAAAACCAAACACCGTATGTTCTCACTCATAAGTGGGCATTGAACAATGAGAACACATGGACACAGGGAGGGGAACATCACACACTGGGGCCTGCTGGGGGTGGGGGGCTAGGGGAGTGATAGCATTAGGAGAAATAGCTAATGTAGATGATGGGTTGATGGGTGCAGCAAACCACCATGGTACATGTATACCTATGTAACAAACCTGCATATTCTGCACACGTATACCAGAACTTAAAGTGTAATAATAATAATAAAAAGAAAAGCATCTCTAGGGGTGACATTTCAGTGGAGACCTGAGGGACAATAAGAAAGCAGCTGTGTGAAGATAAAGGCAGTGAGTATTCTGCAAGACAGAACAGCCAGAGTAAAATTCTCAAGTATGAATGGGCTTAAGGTGTTCAGGGATCCAAAAGAGGCCCACAGGGCTGTGGGCCATTGAGCAAGGGGGCACAACATGAGGTTAGATAGGAAGAGTCTTAAGAATGAGTAGAATCCAGGAGGTGAAGCAGGGGAAGAACCAGACTGAAAAGCATTGTAGTTGAAGAGAATGGCATGAGCAAAGGCAAGCAAGCATGAAGTAGACCGGTATGTTTGAGTAACTCTAGGAAACCATATGTTCTGGGTTCAGTGCACAACCAAAGATGGAGTCGGGGATACTGTGGGGGTAAACTGGCTGTTCATGAAGCTTCTGGCATCATACCTTTTGTTGAGTTGAGAGAAGAGAACTGCCTCTCTAAAAAATATATCCTTAGGGAGTGATATAATTAACCTACTATAAAAGACTACACTTAAAAGGTATATTCTTAGAAGATTCAGATATTATGGATGTGAACTCCTGCTAAGCCTAGAGCTTGGAAGCAAATGTAACCTTGCATATTTAATTTTATTCTAAACACAACCTCAGACATGTAAGCTGCTGCCATTCCTATTTTAGACACTGAACTGAAGGATAGGCAGGTTCAGTCACTCCCAGTACCCGTAGAGAACTGGGGGTCAATTTTACATCTTCCCTGCCCACTGCGGTGTACTCTGTGGTCCAACATCTCCTCAGCTGATTCAGTGCACCTGCCTAGAATAATCCTGTCAATTTATTCTATGGGCCTCGCCTAGTACAGTTTTCCTTTGCCTGTATCCATCTTCTGTGCCTACCTCTAGTTCAGAAAGTATACTTTTTTTCTCTTTCTCCCTCAGCTAATCCTAGTCAATACCATGGTTTATAGAAGCTGTCCTATAGCTCACTGACTTCCCCTGTTGACAAAAATGATGCAAAAACAAACCTAAAGATGGGATTATATGCTTGGACACATTTCTTCCTCTATGGTAACTGAGTCCCCAAGGAGTGTCTAAGTCTTTGGGATTCTTGACAGATTGGAAATTATGTAACAATTGGGACCCTATTATCAGTAAAACCAGATTCCTCAGAGAAGGCAGTGCTGAATTCATGACAAGGAATTTAATTTAGGTTCACAATTTGTCAAGTAAATGGTGACTTATGAGTGACAATTCAATGTGTGTGTCATCATGGTCTGGTGGCAAAGACATTATGCATTGAGATTGAAGCCATTTCGAGACTGTTACTTTATACAACATATTAGAAGGCATCAGGAGTATATCAAGATAAAATATTTATCTGGGAGGAAACAAAGGGTGAAATGTTCTTCCACTAACAATGGTGCATTTTGCACTTCTGCACCACAGACCTCTATTACATATTCATCACTTGACAATGTAAATGTGTAGTTTAGATAGCACTGGAGAGTTAGGATTTCCATCGCCAATGAGGCTGAAAAATTCTGACTAAATAATGTTATCTGTTGCAGGAGCCATTTATTTTTTTCAACATTTGGATGCCCAAGATACATGCAATGTTTTCAAGCACTTTACCGTTAGATGGCACATTCAGTGGTGCATTAAAATGTTAGGATGTTCATGAACTTTAGCAATGATGTGTGCCATCGCTGTCTCTTGAAAGGCTGATATAATGTTTTGGGGGGAGTAAATGATGTAGCTCTGAAATGAATAGGAAAAACGATGTTCTACAATGTGAATAAAAAGTTAAAGGCAAGACAGAAGGCAAGGCCAGGCCTGGCTGATGAAAGGAAATAAGTTTGAAAAAAGTTGGTCCCCATTTTTAAGTGCAAAATATTTCTAGAAACCATAGCTTAAACTCAGGTGCTCAGCAACTTTCATCTCTTTGATAATAGTGGAGACCGTCAAAAAAGCAAATAAATATGGTTCAAAGAAAAAGATGAGCCCATACCAGGAAGGGTCCAAGAAGCACAGCATAAAAGAACTAAACATAAAAAATGATGAAATACTTTATTTCCATTTGTCAGTGTTTCTTTTTACCCATGCTTGAAGAAATAAATTTTTTCAGGGCCTAAAACTTGTCTTTTACAACACTCAAGTTGTGACAAGAAACAAACACTAGTTATTTAACTGGACATAACTGTGAATGAAATTAACACTAGAATTACCTGAAATTCCAATCCATAGTTTTCTCTGCAGAATTCTCTCAGTTTAGGATATACATTTTCTCTTAGCGCCTGTCTTTCTGCTCCCGTATCTGTAGTAGAAAGACAAACACACAGGAAGTGAGTATGTCCACACATATGTTTCTGGCAAAAAAATGAAAACCTAAAAATAAATACTAACAGTAATACAATCAAGTTGAGGTGCTGGATTGTGAAATAACAGGATATTTGGCTGTTGGTGTAGACCTGCCCCCTAATTCCACAGAGATCCATCCATCAGGCACTCACGAGCAGTCCACAGGATGGACCACTTCTTGGTTCTGTGTATGCTGGCAGGGCTGAGAATTTACAGTTGATTCTTGATGCCTACATAGACCTTCACACTAAGCTCTTAAACAGTTATGACCACAATGTCTTTCGAAGAGGCAGAAGGACACTGGGTTATCAGGGTTTTAGCTCCACAAAATACAAGTTTTAAAACACACATACATACACACACGTTGATAAATTTAATTATTGATTTCCAAAAACATCCCAGACTACACCATTGCTACCTATTCAGATATATTGTGACATTTTACAAAATTTGGCACAGTATGGAAACAAGCATGAAAACCTATCATAGCAGATCCACCCACTGTAGATTCAATTGGCCAGTGGTTTAATAAAGTAATGCCTCCCCACCCCGGGCTTAGGGACATTATATCAGAGATAGAAACTATTTTACATATGTCATACCATGTAAACCTTCTGAAATAAAAAAATATTTTATTATCTCCTGTCATTAAGAAAATACAAGAAGAAACACAGAACCTGAAGCTCGAAGAATCACAAAACATGTATGCATTTAATGTCGAATGTTTTGCACAGAAAGGGATTCCAAAGTCACCTGTGCTGAACAATTCTGCATTGATGATGGCACTGTAAGATTCTAAGAGCAAATAGGCTGTTCCTTGCCCAGCTACCTTCAGTGAAACATGAATATAGTTTTCAAAAATTAGGTTAATGTGTAATCTTATGAAAAGTACCATTTGCTAAAAGTACCTCTATCCCAGCCATAACTATGAAACATCTGCATACCACATTTATAACAAAGATAACCGTTTAAAAGAATTTCCTTATTATTCTCAAACACATCTGTCCATGAAAATTTAACCATATGCCGTGTTGACCTACTCTATTTTCCTACTGTTCTCAAGCCTATTTTGAGAAGCAAATAACCAATCATGAAAGCCTGAAATGCAGCTGCAGCCTGGCAGAGTGACAGGAACCAGTGTTTACACAGAAATCAAAGATTCAGAGAAATACAAGGTCTTCTGGATTGTCTGTGGTCTAAACAAATAGGGTATTTTCCAGCCTTAGATTCAATATAGTTCTAAGTCCAAAGAGAAAAAGCGGGACACCCATCGGAGGAGCTGTACATGAAAGCGGGGCCCATGCGGTGTTATGGCACTGATGGAGGCAGTTATATTAAGCTTTCACATAATTTCTATAATCTTGAGATCAGAATGCCCATCCTCCCTTGCTCCATTTTAAGAGCTGAAAATGCTAACTTCACAATAAAGCCTATAATATTCAATAAATCTCTCTAAAAGCCCTTAGATTTTCAAAACCCAAATAACAAAAAAGCCACTTTAAAAAGAAACAAATACTGGCAGATATAGAAGATAAAAATATATTCAAAAGGGTTAAGAAATTCTGAAAAAAATGGTATCTAAATCGTACATAAAATAATTATGTAATAATATAAGAAACAGAAACTTATTGTTTCTTAAAAACATGTTAACTCATTTCTAGGTGCTGAGACTTGAATGCACAATTGGAAGGAGGATAAGAGAAATTTAGTACCTAATTTTTTTTAATTTCAACTCTTATTTTAGACACAGGGGGTACATGTGCAGGTTTGTTACCTGGGTATACTGCATCCAGGTAGTGAGCATAGTACTTGATGGTTTTTAAACTCACATCCCTCTCCCTTCCTCTCGCCACTAGCTGTCCACAGTGTCTATTGTTCTCATGTTTATGTCCATGTGTGCTCAATGTTTAGCTCCCATTTTCAAGTGAGAACATGCAGTATTTGGTTTTCTGTTCCTGCATTAATTAGTTTAGGCCTATGGCCTCTAGCTGCATCCATGTTGCTGCAAAGGACATTGCATTCTTTTTTTTTTTTGGCTGTGTAGTATTCCATGGTGTATATGTGCCACATTTTCATTATTTAATTCACCACTGATGGGCACCTAGGTTGATTCCATATCTTTGCTATTGTGAACAGTGCAGCAATGAGCATACAAGTGCATGTGTCTTTTTGGTATAATGATCTATTTCTCTTTGGGTATACATCTAGCAATGGGATTGCTGGGTCGAATGGTAGCTCTATTTCAAGTTCTTTGAGAAATCTCTGAACTTTTCCACAGTGGCTGAGCTAATTTACAATTCCACCGACAGTGTATAAGCATTCCCTACTCTCTGCAGCCTTGCCAGCGCCTGTTGTTTTTGGACTTTTTAGTAGTAGCCGTTCTGACTGGTATGAGAATGTATCTCATTGTGGTTTTGGTTTGCTTTTCTCTGATGATTAGTGATGATGAGTATTTTTTCATGTTTCTTGGCCACTTGCATGTCTTCTTTTAAGAAGTATCTGCTCATGTCTTTGTCTGTTTGTAATGGGGTTATTTGGTTTTTGCTTGATTTAAGTTTCTTATAGATTCTGGATATTAAATCCTTGTAGGATGCATAGTTTGTGAATATTTTCTTCCATTCGGTAGGTTGTCTGTTTACTCTGTTAATAGATTCTTTTGCTATAGCACCAAATTTCTAACATTTAATGACTGCTTCCTGCAGGCCAGTAGTGTGCTAAGTACTTCTATTTGCATTTCCTTAGTCACTGCTGACCACAACCCTATGAAATAGGTAACATTATTACCATGTTTTTTAGGCAAAGAAACCAAAGGGCAGAGGGGTTAGAAAACTCGCTCAAGAGCATACAGCCACTAAATTAGAAAACCCAGAATTGAATCCAGAAACTCATACACCATAGTTTGCTCTAACCAAGGAAATACACAACTGTGAAAAGAATCAACCTTTGCAATGACCGATGGAATAAATGCATGAAATGACTAAGTGATGTTAAAGTCCTAAAGCTTATGAAATAAAAAAAATTGAATTATCTGTGATGGATTCTTTTCTTTCTATAATACACCCTCCAAGAGCCAACACATCAATAAGTTCTCTCATTCTACCACTAAACAAATCCTGAGTTAATCTACTTCTGTCCCTTCTGCTACCAGATGCAAGCCATACTCACCTCTCATCCAGATTCCATCTCCCTGTTTTCATACTTGCCCCTTGGTTCATTCTCCATGGAGCAACCAGACTGATTTTTCCAAAATGTAAATCAGATCACATCACTACTTTGTTTAAAACCCCTACCAGCTCTTCACGGACCTTTAAATGAAATGTACACTCCTTACGATGAGTGTTCTCTCTCTCCCCAAGCTCATCTCTTACCACTTTCCTGTTTATGTCCCTCCAGAAGCACTGGCTTTCACTTGATTCTTAGATTATATTCCCACTTGCAGACCTTTGCTTTAGCTATGATGTCGTCCTGGAATGCTTAGTCCTGTGATCATCTCATGGCACTTCTTGTTATTCAACTCGCAGCTTTAATGCCACCTCCTCAGAGAGGCCTTCTCTGAGCACTCCATCTACAGAAGTCACTGAATCACCTTCTACTACCTTAATTCCTTGAGGATTACTCATCATTGTTTATTTGTTTATTGTGTGCCTCCCTCACTAAAATTTAAGCTCAAAGGGAGTTGAAAGCTTCTTTTGTCTCACTCATGGCTGCATCTCTAATGATTGGAGTCTTGCTCAATTAATAAATGAGTGAATGAAAAAAGCCACACATGCGCCAGTGACAAAAATGAACTGACAGGCATGGTTTCCCTGCAATTGCCTCCAGAAACAGAAAGGCCTCCTCTATTGTAATTCATCATTCGATGGGTTTAATAAAAGCAAGATTCTGAAATCTCGGGAAACGGTGGTATTTAGATAGTTGGTGTCATGAGGTAAATGAATGAACTGAAATATTTCTTCTCTGGTTTCTGTGTTTGTGGCAGAATATGAACTCAGATATTTTGAGCCTTTCTAAATATGTGAAGGAAGCATATACACATATCCAATGGGTTTTCTGTGCTCTTATTTATATTAAAAATTGACTTAGATTTTCCCATATTTGTATTAATATATGATTGGCTCTGAAAATGAAAAAGTAATTAAGATAGGAATGGATTAATTATGATGAGTGACAGATAAGCTGGCTTAATTAAATAAAAAACTTGATTCATACCAACGGCAAATCTGGATGGTTCACAATTTAAAAAATTAGAATGTCATGGACAGGAAATATTAGCTCACAGAATCTCACACTTAAAAAGGGCCCTCTTTAAACAGTGTAAATCAAAGATGAGGTATGTCTTAATTTATGTTTTATACATAGTCATCGCAACTATTTGTATCTGCCCAGTTCCTTAATGCTTTGAAAAGGTGCATTAACACTTTGGCAGCACTAACTATTAGGTATTTAAGGAGCTGCTTTCTGAATGATTCCTTTGTGATTTCAGAGTTAATGAAGGTCTCTGTACAGTGTCTGAGTCACCTACAGGAAGTACATTAGTTGGGGGAGAATTAATAATCAATACCATTATCCTTATAATATCTTGATTTCACTTCAGCAAGGGTTTAGATTAATTCCAATTTTTTTATTGAAGATAAAAGAGTGCTGAAAGGACCGTGCTAGATTGGAGCTTCATACAGCTCTATCTTCAACAAACTAAAGGCATGGACTTTAGTCATTTTTTTCTTTCTCTTTTTTTTGAGACACAGTTTCACTGTTTCCCAGGCTGAAAGTGCAGTGGCATGATCTCGGCTCACTGCAACCTCTACCTCCCAGGTTCAAGCAATTTTCATGCCTCAGCCTCCCTAGTAGCTGGGATTACAGGTGTGTGCCACCACACCTGGTTAACTTTTATATTATTAGTACAGACGGGGTTTTACCACGTTGGCCAGCTGGTCTCGAACTGCTGACCTCATGTGATCTGCCCACCTTGGCCTCCCAAAGTGCTGGGATTACAGGTGTAAGCCAGTGCACCCAACCTAAACTCATTTTTCCCATGTTCTTTGCAGCTCAGAAAATCTGCTTAGAATCCACTATAGATCCTCTGCTAAAATTGTCCTGTTAGCATGGTTTCCAAGGTCTCTGTACATTTGCTCTTGCCTGGATTCTTTCTCTTTTCCTAGCCTCTTAGTTAATGATTCATATGGACAGCCTGTTCGACTTCTGGGGTTGTGTTTAGGCTAATTTCTTGTTTGGCAGCTCCCCAAGAGGCTGTCTCCTCTCTATGGCCCTCAGATAATTCCTCTGTACTCATCTAGCCTCCCACACTCTTCCTTATATCAATGTGAGCAAATCTTCTCAATTTTATGTCATAAACACTTTTTAAATTTGGCCACTATTTTCACTCACCTTCTCTCAACCCAAGAAGCAAAAAGTCTATTTGCTTGACCTGTTATCTGTCCCTGTCTCACAGAGCCGCCAGCAATAAATGCCAAGACAAAATGAAAACAAAAACTAATTTGATTATTAAAGACCTTGCTGGCATCTGGTGGTCCAGAGGATAAAGGCTAGAATGCTTAGCAAGTGTAAATATATCTTCTAGCTAAGTTCTATCTTCTACTGCTGATCACCATGTATCCTCTAAAATCTGAGTTTTCAGCCATTACTTGCTCCTGAACTTTGCCCTCACACAAACTGCTTTCCATGCTCAGAAGGTCCTATCAGATGAAAGATCTCTACAAGAAGAACTATAGAACACTGCTGAAGGAAATCACAGATGACACAAACAAATGGAAAAAACATCCCATGCTCATGGATTACAAGACACAATATCATTAAAATGACCATGCTGCCTAAAGCAATCTACAGATTCAATGCTATTCCTATCAAACTACCAATGTCATTTGTCACAGAACTATAAAAAACTATTCTAAAATTCATACAGAATCAGAAAAGGGACTGAATGGCCAAAGCAATCCTAAGCAAAAAACAACAAATTTGGAGGGATCACATTACCTGACTTCAAACTATACTATAAGGCTACAGTAACCCAAACAGCACGGTACTGATACAAAAACAGGCACATAGACCAACGTAACATAATAGAGAATGCAGAAATAAAGCTGCACAACTACAGATATCTGATCTTCAACAAAGTTGACAAAAATAAGCAATGTGGGAAAGGACCCCCTATTCAATAAATGGTACTGGGATAGCTATCTAGCCATATGCAGAAGAATGAAACTGTACCCCTATCTTTCACTATATATAAAAATTGACTCATGATAGATTAAAGATTTAAATGTAAGATCTTTACCTGTAAGAATCCCAAAAGAAAACCTAAGAAAAACCATTCTGAACATTTGCATTGGGCAAGAATTTATTTAAGTCCTCAAAAGCAACTGCAACAAAAACAAAAATTGACAAGTGGGACCAATTAAATAAAAAAGCTTCTGCACAACAAAAGAAACTATCAGCAGTAATAAAGAGACAACCTGCAGAATGGGAGAAAATATTCACAAACTATGCATCTGACAAATGTCTAATATCCAGAATCTCTAAGAAGCTTAAACAAATCAACAAGCAAAAACCAAATGAACCTAGTAAAAAATGGGCAAAAGACATGAAGAGGTACTTCTCAAAAGAAGACACACAAATGGCCAAACATGAAAAAATGTTCCACACATCACTGGTCACCAAGAAATGCAAATTAAAACCACAAAGATGCCATCTCATACCAGTCACGGTGGCTATTATTTAAAAGTCAAAAAACAACAGATGCTGGTAAAGCTGCAGTGAAAAGAGAATGCTTACCTACTGTTGGTGCAAATGTAAATTAGTTTATTCACTGTGGAAAGCAGTTTGGAGATTTCTCAAAAAATGTAAAACAGAGCTACCATTTGACCCAGCAATCCCATGACTGGGTACATATCCAAAAGAACATAAATCATTCTACCAAAAATACAGATGCATTTGCATTTTCATCACTGCACTATTCACAATAGCAAAGACATGGAATCAGCCTAGGTGCCCATCAATGGTGGGTTGGATAGAGAAAATGTGGTACATATACACCATGGAATACTATGCAGTTATAAAATATAATGAAATCATGTCCTTTGCAGCAACATGGATACAGCTGGATGCCATCATTCTAAGTGAATTAACATAGGAACATAATAAAAATATTATAATATTATTATAATTTTACATAATAAAAACCAAATAGCATATATTCTCACTTATAAGTGAGAGCTAAACACTGGTTACTAATGGATATAAAGATGGCAACAACAGAAATTGAGGACTTCTGTGGGGGAGGTAGGGAGGGTAGTAAGGGTTGCAAAACTAACTGTTGGGCACTGTGATCAGTACTAGGGTGATGGCATAAATAGTACCACAAACCTCAGCATCATGAAATATACCCAGGTAACAAACCTGCACATGTGTCCCCTGAATCTAAAATGAAAGCTGAAATTATTTTAAAAAATACCTTTTTTGTATACCTTGTTTGTATCCACTGTAGACTATGAATTCATGGAAGGCAAGACCTTCTCATACATCCTTACATCTTAGAAATTAGAGCAGATTGGCCAGGCGCAGTGGCTCATGCCTGTAATCCCAGCACTTTGGGAGGCCAAGGTCAGTGGATCGCCTGAGTCAGGAGTTCAAGACCAGCCTGGCCAACATGGTGAAACCCCATCTCTACTAAAAAAATACAAAAATTAGCCAGGTGTGGTGACAGGTGCCTGTAATCCCAGCTATTTGGAGGCTGAGGCGGGAGAATCACTTGAACTTGGGAGGTGGAGGTTGCAGTGAGCCAAGATCATGCCACTGCACTACAGGTTGGGTGACAGACAAGAGCGAGACTTCGTCTCAAAAAAAAAAAAAAAAAAGAAAGAAAAAAGAAAAAAGAAATTAGAGCAGCTCCCAGAACGTAATTAGTACTCAATAAATGAATGAGCGAATAGTTTGTATCATAATGAAAACATTAACTAAACCAAAGTAAAAAAATTAACATGTCCTCCTAAAGCCAACATGAATCAAAATCCAATGTCACTTTCAAGTAATAGTTGACTATGTTGACAGCATTAACTATCATATGTGAGTCTTGAGGTGATGTTAAAAAATACTTGATGGAGTATGGCATTGTCAAGTGCTTAGTGGATTCTCTTCCCAATAAGCAATAATCAAACTTGACCAAATTGTCAAAATAACCATTTTAAAGATCTGTCAAACAGCCAAAGATCAAAGGCATGAAACAAATTGAGAAGTCATTATTCATGAATAATCACTGAACTTTGGGTAAGAGGAGTCTGTGGGGATTCTTGCCTTCTCCTATCCCTACTTAACTGAGACTTCACACCTTCACACCCCAGCTCAAAGAAAGTCAATCAACATCATCGCCAGAGAAGTTTAACTTGATTAGGAGCTGAACTTGTAAAAACTCCATGTCTACCAGTATTGTTAGTAGCAGTAGTGGTCTCAGAGGTAGACAAAAGGGTAAGTTCAGTGCCTCAGCTAGCATATGGCTTCATCGAAATGTAACAAGGAGATCAAGAAAATAAACAGTCATTGAGGGCCTGAATAAGCTCTCCACAAATTCCTGTGGTGGGAAGGCTACACACAAACTTAAGAAAGATTGAAAGCTGTTTACACATTCCTGGCTGACTTTGAAGCTGTTTACATGGGCAGCAGAAACAAGAAAAGGCCTGGTGGAGAAGCTGTAATAGCTTTAAATACTGCCTAAACTTTGAATGTGTTCCCCAAATACAGATCCACAGTCGAATAAAAGCCTTACTGGTTTGAGGTATTTGAGAAGAAATTCTGAAAAATCATTGACAAATATTAAACTACACAGACAAATGGGTGACCCATAAGAAGTCAGGCTTAAAAACAGAAATGAAAAATTATAGTAATTAAATAACTGTGAAGAGACATCAACAGCACATATTGTGGGGAATAGATTTCACAGATTTAGTCCAGGTAAGTTACTAAACAAAAATAATTCAAAGAAACAAACTAAAAAACATCACTCAGAGGTGAAAAATCAGGATCTAGAATTGTTATATTACCTAAAATATCCAATGTTTAAGAAATACTTATGAGAGGGATAAATAAACAGAAAAATGTGACACAGAAAAAATGTCAACGGAAATTGTCTGAGTGGGTTCAGATTTTAGATTTGGCTGATGAAAACCTGAAATCAGCTATTATAATCAAGAAAATTAAGTTAACAATGTTTAAACAATAAGGAAAATGAACCAAGCCCCAAGACACCTGTGGAAAACCATCATCCAAACTAATATCTATGTAAAGTGAGTCCCAGAAGGAGAAGATAAAGGGAAAGGAAGAAAATTTAAATAAATAATCACGAAAATGTCCCAAATTTAAAGGAAGACATAAATCTACACATCCAAAGAAGTTCAAGAACCCAACTAGGATAAACACAAAGGATCTGCATTTAGACACATATAGTCAAACTGTTAAAACAAAAGATAAAGAGAAAATCTTGACACCAAGAGAAAAAAAATTATCACATATAAGGGAACAGCATTACAATTAATAGCTGACTTCTCATCAGAAGGAGTGGAAGCCAGAAGGCAATAGAACAACATAGTCTGAAAAAAGGTACTGAAAAAATGAGTCAACCAATAATTCTATATTCAACAAAACTATTTTTAAAAAAGCAAAATACTTACATCACCAAATTTGAAAAGGCTGAGAAAAGCTGATACTAGCAGATCTGCATTATAGACTATACTAAAGAAATTATTCTAAGCTTAAAGGAAATGACATTAGACATAAAGTATACTGGAAAAGGTAAATATGTAAGTATGTATAAAAGACTATATAAGTAGATCTTCTTCTTTCTACATTTAGTAGAAAAGACTGTACCTTTGGATTTTAACATACACATAATACATATATGACAATAATAAAACAAAGGAGAGAGAAGAAAAATAGAGCTGTACCAGTGCAAAGTATTTTTGCTTTAACAAAATTAAGTTAGTATTCATCTAAAGTGTGATAAATTAAGAATATTTTGTAATCCTCAGAGCACCAAGTAAGAATATAACCTGAAAAATAAAGAAAACATAATTAAAATGATATACTAAAATATCTATTTAGCAAAGAAGAGAGTCAAGTGGGAACAAACGAAGAAAACCAACGTGAGATATGTAGAAAATAGTAAAATGGCAGAAATAAATCCAAGCTATCAATAAATACTTCAAATAAAAATGGAATAAATATTCAAATGGAAAGAAGGAATTGCCAGGCTAGATAACAAAACAATATCCAACTAAATATAAAAGACACACTTTAGATCCAAAACCACAAATATGTTGAAAGTAAAAGGATAGAAGATATGCAGTAAACCAAAATCAGATCAGACAAAATAGGTTTTAAGAAATACTACTAGAGGAAAAAAAACTATAACAATTATGAATGTGTACACACTCATAAACAGTACCCTAAAATATATAACGGAGAAGCTGGCAAAATTAAAAGAAGAAATAGATATTCCAAGAGCTGGTGACTCCAATCTTATTCTCAATAATTGATGAAATAACTAAATAGAAAATCAAAAGGAGGCAGAAGACTTGAACACCACTATCAAGCAGTTTAACCTGACATTTATAGAACAATCCACCCCCAAGAGAGCAGAATGCAATTCTTTACTGGTGCTCATGGAACATTTCCCATGATAGGTCATATGCTAGACTAGAAGCAAGTCTCATAAGTTTAATTGTAATGATAACATATATGATCTCCAACTACAACAAAATTAAGTTAGAAATCAACAACCTGCATTTTGGGAAGCTTCCAGATTTTTGGAAATTGAATAAGATACTTCTAATACACTAATATTCTAATATATTTCTAAATATTTGACATTATTACTCATGCATCAAAAATTCACAAAGGAAAACAAAATGTGTTGAAATAGATAAAATAAAAGCACACGCTAAAAGCTATCAAATGGAGCTAAAGCAGTGGTTAGAATGAAATTTATATCTTTGAACACCTGTAAAAGTAAAGGTTAAAATCAGTGAATCAAAATTCCACCTTAAGAAACTAGAAAATTTAAACAAACTGAACCCAAAACAAACTCAAGGAAGAAAATAAGGATTATAGTACAAATCAATGAAACAATAAAAGAAAACTGAGAGAAAAATTGCTAAAGTAAAAAGTTGGTTCCTTGAAAGATCAGTACAATTATCAACTGTCAGCTAGGTTGACCAAGACAGAAATGAAGGAAAACAAACCACCAAAATCAGGAATGAAACAGGAGCCATCACTACTGATGCTACAGAAGTTAAAAAATTTAAGTGTATACTATACCTTATAGTGAACAACAACTTTATTTCTAATACATTAAAGAAATTAGATAAACAAATTTCTAGGAACACACATATTACTAAAACTGACTCAGGAAGAAAGATAATCTGAATATATCTGTAACAAGTAAAATCATTTAGTTATTAAAATCTTTCCATAAATAAAATCTCAGGCCCAGAGTATATAACTGGTAAATTATATAAAGACAAAATTAATCCTTTGCAAATCTTTCAGAAAATAGGGAATACTCAACTCATTCTGTAAGTCTATATTATCCTACACCCAAAACCAGACAGACATCAAAAGAAAAAAACACAAAACAAAAACTACCGACCAATATATCCATCATGAATATAGATGCAAAGTCCTTAACAAACTATTAGTAAACTAAGTCTAGCTGCATACACATTATAATCAAGTGGGATTTATTGCAGAAATGCAATGTTACTTTAATGTTTGTAAATCAATTAATAGAATATACCATATTAATAAAGAACATAACCACATGACTGCTCAATAGACGCAGAAAAAGCATTTGACAAAATCAAATACATATTCAGGATAAAAACTCAGCAATGGCCAGGCGCAGTGGCTCACGCCTGTAATCTCAGTACTTTGGGAGGCCGACGTGTGCAGATAATGAGGTCAGGAGATCGAGACCAGCCTGGCCAACATGGTGAAATCCTGTCTCTACTAAAATACAACAATTAGGAGGGCGTGTGGGCAGGTGCCTGTAATCCCAGCTACTCAGGAGGCTGAGGCAGCAGAATCACTTGAACCCGGGAGGCAGAGGTTGCAGTGAGCTGAGATCGCATCACTGCACTCTAGCCTGGGTGACAGAGTAAGTCTCCATCTCAGAAACAAACAAACAACAAACAAACAAACAAAAAACTCATCAACAAGGAATAGAAACGAACTTCCTCAACTTGATAAATAGCATCTTCAAAAATCCCTACAGCTAAAAATCCTTCAAAAAATTAATGAATCCAAGAGCTGGTTTTTTGAAAGGATCAACAAAATTGATAGACCGCTAGCAAGACTAATAAAGAAAAAAAGACAGAAGAATCAACTAGACACAATAAAAAATGATAAAGGGGATATCACCACCGATCCCACAGAAATACAAACTACCATCAGAGAATACTACCAATAACTCTACGCAAATAAACTAGAAAATCTAGAAGAAATGGATAAATTCCTCAACACATACACCCTCCCAAGACCAAACCAGGAAGAAGTTGAATCTCTGAATAGACCAATAACAGGATCTGAAATTGTGGCAATAATCAACAGCTCACCAACCAAAAAGAGTCCAGGACCAGATGGATTCACAGCCGAATTCTACCAGAGGTACAAGGAGGAACTGGTACCATTCCTTCTGAAACTATTCAAATCAACAGAAAAAGAGGGAATCCTCCCTAACTCATTTTATGAGGCCAGCCTCATCCTGATACCAAAGCCAGGAAGAGACAAAACCAAAAAAGAGAATTTTAGACCAATATCCTTGATGAACATTGATGCAAAAATCCTCAATAAAATATTGGCAAACCGAATCCAGCAGCACATCAAAAAGCTTATCCACCATGATCAAGTGGGCTTCATCCCTGGGATGCAAGGCTGGTTCAATATACACAAATTAATAAATGTAATCCAGCATATAAACAGAACCAAAGACAAAAACCACGATTATCTCAATAGATGCAGAAAAGGTCTTTGACAAAATTCAACAACCCTTCATGCTAAAAACTCTCAATAAGTTAGGTATTGATGGAACATATCTCAAAATAATAAGAGCTATCTATGACAAACCCATAGCCAATATCATACTGAATGGGCAAAAACTGGAAGCATTCCCTTTGAAAACTGGCACAAGACAGGGATGCCCTCTCTCACCACTCCTATTCAACATAGTGTTGGAAGTTCTGGCCAGGGCAATTAGGCAGAAGAAGGAAATAAAGGGTATTCAATTAGGAAAAGAGGAAGTCAAATTGTCCCTGTTTGCAGATGACATGATTGTATATCTAGAGAACCCCACTGTCTCAGCCCAAAATCTCCTTAAGCTGATAAGCAACTTCAGCAAAGTCTCAGGATACAAAATCGATGTATAAAAATCACAAGCATTCCTATACACCAATAACAGACAAACAGAGAGCCAAATCATGAGTGAACTCCCATTCACAATTGCTTCAAAGAGAATAAAATACCTAGGAATCCAACTTACAAAGGATGTGAAGGACCTCTTCAAGGAGAACTACAAACCACTGCTCAAGGAAATAAAAGAGGATGCAAACAAATGGAAGAACATTCCATGCTCATGGGTAGGAAGAATCAATATCGTGAAAATGGCCATACTGCCCAAGGTAATTTATAAATTCAATGCCATCCCCATCAAGCTACCAATGACTTTCTTCACAGAATTGGAAAAAACTACTTTAAAGTTCATATGGAACCAAAAAAGAGCCCGCATCGCCAAGTCAATCCTAAGCCAAAAGAACAAAGCTGGAGGCATCACGCTACCTGACTTCAAACTATACTACAAGGCTACAGTAACCAAAACAGCATGGTCCTGGTACCAAAACAGAGATATAGATCAATGGAACAGAGCAGAGCCCTCAGAAATAACGCCGCATATCTACAACTATCTGATCTTTGACAAACCTGACAAAAACAAGCAATAGGGAAAGGATTCCCTATTTAATAAATGGTGCTGGGAAAACTGGCTAGCCATATGTAGAATGCTGAAACTGGATCCCTTCCTTATACCTTATACAAAAATTAATTCAAGATGGATTAAAGACTTAAATGTTAGACCTAAAACCATAAAAACCCTAGAAGAAAACCTAGGCATTACCATTCCGGACATAGGCATGGGCAAGGACTTCATGTTTAAAACACCAAAAGCAACAAAAGCCAAAATTGACAAATGGGATCTAATTAAACTAAAGAGCTTCTGCACAGCAAAAGAAACTACCATCAGAGTGAACAGGCAACCTACAAAATGGGAGAAAATTTTTGCAACCTACTCATCTGACAAAGGGCTAATATCCAGAATCTACAATGAACTCAAACAAATTTACAAGAAAAAAACAAACAACCCCATCAAAAAGTGGGCAAAGGATATGAACAGACACTTCTCAAAAGAAGACATTTATGCAGCCAACAGACACATGAAAAAATGCTCATCATCACTGGCCATCAGAGAAATGCAAATCAAAACCACAATGAGAAACCATCTCACACCAGTTAGAATGGCAATCATTAAAAAGTCAGGAAACAACAGGTGCTGGAGAGGATGTAGAGAAATAGGAACAGTTTTACACTGTTGGTGGGACTGTAAACTAGTTCAACCAGTATGGAAGTCAGTGTGGCGATTCCTCAGGGATCTAGAACTGGAAATACCATTTGACCCAGCCATCCCATTACTGGGTATATACCCAAAGGACTATAAATCACGCTGCTATAAAGACACATGCACACGTATGTTTATTGTGGCACTATTCACAATAGCAAAGACTTGGAACCAACCCAAATGTCCAACAACGATAGACTGGATCAAGAAAATGTGGCACATATACACAATGGAATACTATGCAGCCATAAAAAATGATGAGTTCATGTCCTTTGTAGGGACATGGATGAAATTGGAAATCATCATTCTCAGTAAACTATAGCAAGGACAAAAAACCAAACACTGCAGGTTCTCACTCATAGGTGGGAATTGAACAATGAGAACACATGGACACAGGAAGGGGAACATCACACTCTGGGGACTGTTGTGGGGTGGGGGGAGGGGGGAGGGATAGCATTAGGAGATATACCTAATGCTAAATGACGAGTTAATGGGTGCAGCACACCAGCATGGCACATGTATACATATGTAACTAACCTGCACATTGTGCACTTGTACCCTAAAACTTAAAGTATAATAATAATTAAAAAAAAAATCCCTACAGCTAGCACCATGCTTCAAGATATTAGGCAAATGTTTTCCACCTACAACTAAGAACACCTCCTCAAAACTTCTATTCAATATTTTATAAGAGGTTCTGGTCAGTGCAATAAAGAAAACAAATTATTTTTTTTCTATCAATTTATCCAAATCTTAGAAGTTTCCAGTAAAAATTCACTGTGTTATTTCTACACCTGAATACATTTTAGGGAAAGAGGGGTAAGTTAGAAAAGATAATGGTGGATTTCTGTTTCTGGTACTACCAAGGTAAATAAATTTGCAAACATCACACTAAAAACAATGGAAATTTTGCATCAAATATTTAAAAATCTATCTTTTTAAATGTGTTGCATAGCTAGAATAAAACTAAATAACACACAGACAGGCCAAAGGCACAGTGAAAGCAGAAATCTTGGAAAATAAGAGATCTGAGGACAGCTTTAGATTATATTCTATTAAATCTTGGTGACTTTTAAGTATCATTTTGTCATTTGTGGGTACATGGTAGATTGGAGACAAAGTATAGGGCCCTACTCAATGTGACAATGGTATGGGATTTTTTTTCTAACAGGAAAAACATGCAAAAGGTCATCACTCCAAAGAGGTGTATCTTCAGTGTGGCAGTGAACTAGAAATAAATCTTCACCAGCTAGAAAACTTGAAAGATGTTATCAAGATAGCTGAGTAGAAGAGCCTGCTTCCTTCACACAAAAAGGCTAAAGTGATAAGCAGATAACTACATGGTGAATTGCATGCCTAGGGAGAACAACAGAATACATGGGAGAATATGTGACAGAGGCATCCCTGAGGCATTGGAACTTGGGAAGGTAGCATAGAGAAGGAAGAGCCCTGGGATTGACTCAAAGCCAAGAGGCACTCTGCACTGTGAGAAAAGGCAGGAGATCCCTAGCAGTCCACATTCCCACCACAGACACCTGCAATTCTAGCTGCAAGGGAGCCCTACAGTATTCACAGGCTTTGAGACTAGTGTAGGGAGGGAACTCATGCTGAGTTCCCACCTCCCCCCAGCCATTCTCTGGAACCCAGACTACTGCATTATGGTGCCATTTTGAGAACAGAGCCACTGCTAAAATGTACCCTGTCCAGGAGCCCCAAAGGGCCTGCTTCTCTGCATTTCTGAGCCCTTATCATTATCCAATCCAGAAGGCTACAGGGCTGTGATTCCAGTTGGACCCCGTGGTGTAGCTGTGAACTCAGCACCTGAGGCAATGCAGTGGCCTGTACCCAAGGGAACAGGTGATCTAGTATATCAGGGAGGCCATCTTCAAGACAGAGGGAGCCAAAGCATGTGCTCCCCAGAATTTGAGAGCTGACGGCCTAATGACCAGCAGAACTGCCACATGCTCGTGTGCACTCCCCAAAGGCCCTAGGACTGGCCTGCCTGGGGCCTGCTGCCAGTGTCACTGGCAACGCTGACTCCTGTAGTGGTGGAGCTGCTGCATTGCCTGCAGGGCCTTCTCCATCAGGAACTCAAGGACTGGCTACCCCAGGATGGGGGCCCAGGACTGGCCCACCAAGGGCCTGCCAATGCTGACAACTCTGCCCGCTTCAGCAGCAGAGCTCCTGTGCTCTCTCATGCAATCCCCCATCTGAGGGCCTGAGGACTGTCTTATCTGATGTCTGCTGCCACTGATGGCCCTTCCCACTACAGAAGTGGAGCTGCCATGTGCCCCCATCAGGGGCCTAAGGACTGGCACATTTAGGGCCCATACCATCAGTGAAACTACCTGTCTAGTGGGGAAGCCACAGTGTGCTTGCATTCCCCTTAGAAGCCTGAGTACCAGCTTGCTGGGGCCTTCCATTGCCTTTGACTTTGCCTACTCCAGTGTCAAGGCTACTGAGTGCCTGTACCCTCAACCAGGGGCCTGAGGACTGGCTCACCTGAGAATTGCTGCCACTGGTGACCTACCAATCTAGTAGTGAAACCACTGCATGTCCCCTCCCAAGGGGCCTAAGAACTACCCTGCTGCCCAGGGACTGCCACTGCCAGCAACCACACTCTCCAGCTGGGAAATAGAGCTATGTGCCTGTGCATGCTCCCCAGGGACCCAAGGTCTGGTTTACCTGGGGTCTGCTCCTGCCACTAATGGCTGCTGCCACTAATGACTGCCGCCCTGACCAGCATACCCCTCCAAGTGCTCCCAAACCAGGCTCTCTGGTAGCTCCAGGCCTCTCAGCAAAGCTGCCTCCACAAACACTCACAATCTAGGCTACTAAAGCACTCATAGGTACCACTGACACTGATTACAGCTGAAGAAACACATGGACACTACACTACTGTGCCCACCCAGAACCAAAGTCAAAGCACTCTATTCAATTAACACATCTGCCAGAAAAAGTCTTTCCCCATGAAAGCTATGCCATAAAATTAGAAGACGTGACTGTTCTACCAGATGTGCAGATATTAACATAGGGATGTAAAAAACATGAAAAAGCAAGGAAAATTAACACCTCAAAAGGATCCAAATAATTTATTAGTAATACATCCCAAGGCAAAGGAAATTGATGCAATACTTTTAAAGGAATTTAAAATAATGACCTTAGGGAACTCAGAAAGATATAAGAGAATACAGACAGATGATTCATCAAAATCAGAAAAACAATTCATAATCTGAATGAGAAATTTAATACATAGATATCACAAAAAAGGACCAAATTGGAAACTAAAAAAATCAATGAATCCATTTTTTTAAAAAATCAAGAGCTTCAACAATAGACTAGATCATAAGAAGAAAAAATTTCTGAACTTGAAGACAGGTCTTTTGACAAAATCCAGTCAGACAAAAAGAAAATGAATAAAGAAAGCCTACGAGACTTACAGGATATAATTAAGTAAACAAATATTTGTATTATGGAATTTCCAGAAGAGGAAGAGATGGGAAAAAGAATAGAAAACCCATTTAATAAAGTAATTGCTAAAAACTTCCAAGTTTTGGGAAGAAATATGGATATTCAGATACAGGAAACTAAAAAGTCCCCAAATAGATTCAACCTCAAAGATTCTCTCTGAGAAACATTATAGTCAAAAGTCAAAGAGAAAATGAGAATTGTAAAAACCGCAAGAGAAAAGCATCAAGTCACATATAATGAAATCCCCTTCAGACTAATAGCATATTTCTCAGCAAAAACCTTACAGGCATGGAGAGAATGGGATGATATATTTAAAGTGCTGAAAGAAAAAAAACCCTGGCAGCCAAGATACATTACCCAACAAACTTATCCTTCAGAAATCAAGGAGAAACAATGTCTCTCCCAGACAAGCAAAACTGTGGGAATTTACCACTAGACCTACACGACAAGAAATACATGAGAGTCCTGTATCTGGAAGCAAAAGAATGATAACTACCATCATAAAAACATGTGAGAGAATAAAACACACTGGTAGAGCAGATACATAAATAAAAAAGAAATAATTAAACTTTATCACTACAGAAAATTACCAAACTGCAGCCAACATTGGAGTTAAACTATACCCTAGACCAAATGGACCTAACAGACATTTACAGAACATTTCATCCTAAAGCTACAGAATACATATTCCTCTCATCAGTACATAGAACATTCTTTTTTTTTTTTTTTTTGATGGAGTCTCGCTCTGTCGCCTAGGCTGGAGTGCAGTGGCGCAATCTCGGCTCACTACAACCTCCACCTCCCGGGTTCAAGTGATTCTCCTGCCTCAGCCTTCCGAGTAGCTGTGAATACAGGCGTGTGCCACCACGCCTGGCTAATTTTTTGTATTTTTTTAGTAGAGACAGGGTTTCCCCATGTGAGCTAGGATGGTCTCACTCTCCTGACCGTGTGATCCGCCTGCTTTGGCCTCCAAATGTGCTGGGATTACAGGCATCAGCCACCACACCCGGCCCAGAACATTCTTTAGGATAGATCACATGGTAGGCTGCAAAACAAGTCTTAACAAATTTTAAAAAACTAAAATCATATCAAGTATCTTTTCATACTACAACAATATATAACTAGAAATCAACAACAAGAGAAACTGGAAATTGTACAAATACATGGAAATTAAACAACATGCTCCTGAATGGGTAAAGGAAGAAATTAGGAAAAAAATAAGAAAGTTTCTTCAAACAAATGAAAAATATCCTAACCTATGGGATAGACAAAGGCAGTATTAAGTGAAGTTCATAGCAATAAATGCCTACATCAAAAAAGTAGAAATATTTCAAATAAACAACCTCATGTTGTGCCTCAAGCTATCAGAAAAGCAAGAAAAAACAAAACCCCACATTAGAATAAAGGAAATAATAAAGATCAGAACTAAATGAAACAAAGACTTAAAGTACTAAAGATCAGTGAAAGAAAAAGTTGGTTTTTGGAAAAGATAAACGATACTGAGAAACCATTAGCTGTACTAAGAATAAAAAGAGAAGACTCAAAATCAGAAACAAAAAAGGAACCATTACAACTGATACCACAGACACAAAAAGGATCTTTACAGACTATTATGCATAATGCTACACAAACAAAATGGAAAATCTACAAAAAATGAATAAATTTCCAGACACATATAATTTACCAAAACTGAACCAAAAATAAACAGAAAACCTGAACTGACTAACAAATGATGAGGTTGAATCAGGAATAAGAAGTCTCTCAACAAAGAAAATCCTGGAACCAAATGGCTTCACTGATGAATTCTACTGAACCTTTAAAGGACTAACAACAATTCTTCTCAAACTTTTCCAAAAAACTGAAGAGAAAAAAATTCCTCCACATTAATTCTATTAATTAATTATTCTATTAATTCTATAAGAGTAGCATTACTCTGATATCAAAACAGCACAAAGACAGCCAAAAAAGAAAACTACAGACCAATAACCCTGATGAACACAGATGCAAAATCCCCAACAAAATACTAGCAAACGAAATCAAACAGCACATCAAAAAGATTCTATACCACAGTCAACTAGGATTTATCCCAAGGATGCAAGGATGTTTCAACACATGCATATCAATAAATGTGATACATTACATCAACAGATGAAAGACTAAAACCACAGGCCAAAGAAACATTTGCTAAAATTCAACATCTTTTATGATAAAACTCTCAATAAATTAGGTACAGAAAGAACGTACTTCAACGAAGAGATTTTCTGAAACTGGAAGTTATATTTAAAAGGGAAACAGAGAATAAAAGTTTGGAAAATTTGCAGCCCGACCATGTAGTAGAAAAGAAAGACCTATTTTCTGGAGAGGAATTCAAGGCTGCAGAAATCTGCATAAGTAAAAAGGAGCTGAATGTTAATAGCAAGACAATGGCAAAAATGCCTCCAGGGAATTTCAGGGACCTTGGCAGCAACCCTTCCCATCACAGGCCTGGAGACCTAGAAGGGAAAAATAGTTTCGTGGCCTGAAACAGGTTCCCTGTGCTGTGTGCAGCTTAGGTACTTGGCGCCATGTGTCCCAACCACTGCAGCCATGGCTGAAAGGGGCCAACATAGAGCTCAGGCCGTGGCTTCACAGGGTGCAAACCCCAAGCATTGGCAACTTCCACGTAGCGTTGAGCCTGCGAGTGCCCAGAAGTCAAGAACTGGGGTTTGAGAACCTCCACCTAGATTTCAGAGGATGTATGGAAATGCCTGGATGTCCAGGAAGAAGTTTGCTGCAGGAGTGGGGCCCTCATGGAGAACCTCTACTAGGGCAGTGAGGAAGGGAAGTGTGGTATTGAAGCCCCCGCACACTGTCCGTGCCGGGGCACTGCCTAGTGGAGCTGTGAGAAGAGAGCCACCATCCTCCAGCCCCCAGAATTGTAGACCCACCAACAGCTTATACTGGGCACCTGGAAATGCCACAGACACTCAACAGTAGCCCTTGAGAGCAGCCATGCAGAGCCACAGCGGTGCAACTGCCCAAGGCCTTGGGAGTCCACCCCTTGCATCGGTGTGGCCTGGGGTCAAAGATTATTTTGGGGCTTTAAGATTTAATGACTGCCCTGCTGGGTTTCAGACTTGCATGAGGCCTGTAGCCGCTTTGTTTTGGCCAATTTCTCCCTTTTGGAATGGGAGCATTTACCCAATGCCTGTACCCCCACTGTATCCCAGAAGTGACTAACTTGTTTTTTATTTTACAGGCTTATAGGTGGAAGAGACTTGCCTTGTCTCAGAGTTTGTACTCAGACATTTGAATTAATGCTGAAATGAATAAAGACTTGGGGGACTGCTGAGAAAGTATGATTGTATTTTGCAATGTGAGAAGGACATGAGATTTGGGAAGGACCGGGGTAGAATAATATGGTTTGGCTCTGTGTCTCCACCCAAATCTCATATCAAATTGTAATTGCTAGTATTGGAGGAGGGGCCTTGTGGAAGGTGATTGAATAATGGGGGCAAACTTCCCCCTTGCTGTTCTCATGAGATTTGGTTGTTTGAAAGTGTGTAGCACTTCTCTCTCTCTTCTTCCTTTTCCAGCCATGTATGAAGTGCCTGCTTTCCCTTTGCCTTCCACCATGACTGTAAGTTTTCTGAGTCCTCCAAGCCATGCCTCCTGTACAGCCTACAGAACTGTGAACCACTTAAAACTTTTTCCTTTATAAATTACCCAGTCTCAGGTAGTTCTTTACAGCAATGCAAGAACAGACTAATACAGATGCCTACTTTCAGAACTCTTATTCAGCACAGAACTAAAAGTCCTAGTCAGAGGCATTAGACAAGATAAAAAATAAAAGGCATGCACATTGGAAAGTAAGAAATGAAACTGTCCCTGTTTGCAGATAACATAGTCTTATATATAGAAAAACTAAAAGACAAAAAACTCTATTAAATAACTCTTAAAATTGATAAACCAATTTGGTAACATTGTAGGATACAAAATCAACATATAAAAATCAGTAGTGTTTCTATACACCAAAACGAACTAGCTGAAAAAGAAATCAATCGCATTTGTAATTGTAACAAAAAATAATAGAACACCTAGGAATTTAACCAAAAATGTGCAAGATCTCTACAATGAAAACTAGAAAACAATGATGAAAGAAATTGAAGAGGACATACAAAAATGAAAAAAAATCACGTTTTTGAATTGGAAGACTGTCAAAATTACTATACTACCTAATCTACAGATTCAATGTAATCTCTATCAAAATATCAATGACATTCTTCACAGAAATAAAAGAAATAACCCTAAAATTTATATGGAACCGTAACAAAAATCTCAAATAGCCAAAGCAACCCTGAACAAAAAGAGGAAAGCTGGACGCATCACACTACCTGAATTCAAATTATATACCACGAAGCTGTCGTAACCGAAACAGCATGATACTGGTATAAAAACAGAGAGATACACCGATGTAACAGAATTTCAGCTCCCAGAAATAAATCCATGTATTTACAGACAACTGTTTCTCAACAAAGGTGAACAGAACATACAATGGGGAAAGAACAGCCTCCTTCAAATAAATGGTATTGGGAAAAATGGATGTCCATATGCAGAAGACCAAACATTACACCCACATCTCTCACTATATACAAAAATCAACTCAAGATAGATTAAAATGTAAGACCTGAAACTATAAAACTACTAGAAGAAAACAAAAGGGAAATACTTAAGGACACTGATCTAAGCAAAGACTTTGTGGATATGACTTCTAAAGCCCAGGTAACAAAGCAAAAATGACAAATGGATTAATATCAAACTATAAAGTGTCTTCACAGCACAAGAATAAATCAACAGAGTAAAGAGACTACCTGAAGAATCAGTGAAAATGTTTGTAAACTATTCATCCAACAAGAGATTAATATTTAGAATACACAAGGAACTCAACAGCCAAAACAACAAATAATCCAATTAAACAGTGGGCAAATGAGCTGAATAGACATTTCTCAAAAGAAGATATATAAATGGTCAACAGGTATATAAAAGATGTTTAACATCACTAATCATCAGGGAAATACAAATCAAAACCACAGTGAGACATTTATCTCACCCCAGTTAAAATGGCTATTATCAAAAAATACAAAAAATAAAAAAAATGCTGGTGAGAATGCAGAGAAAAAGAACTCTTGTACATTGTTTATGGAATGTAAATTAGTGTAATCATTATGGAAAACGGTGTGGAGGTTTCTCAAAAAAACTGAAAATAGAACTAACATATAATCCAGCAATCCCACTACTGGGATTTATCCAAAGAAAAGGAAATCAGAATATCAGAGAGGTATCTGCACTTCCATGTTCACTGAAACATTATTCACAATACTCAAGATAAGGAATCAACTCAAGAGTCCATCAACAGATTAATGGATAAAGAAATTATGGTAAATATACTCAATAGAATACTATTTGGCCATCAAAATGAATAAAATTCTGTCATTCGTGGCAACATGAGTGAGCCTGGAGGACATTATAATAGGTGAGATAGGTCAGGCACAGAAGGATAAAGAATGCATGTTCACACTCACATGTGGGAGCTACAAAAGTTGAGCTCATAAAAATAGAGAGTAGAATTGTGGATACTAGATTCTGGGAAGAGTGGATGGTAAGGGAATAAAGAGAGGCTGGTTAACAAACACGGAATTACAGCTAGATAGGATAATTTCTAGCGTTTTATAGTACTTTAGGGAGACTATAGTTAACAATAATTTATTGTGTATTTTCAAGCAAGTTAGGAGAGGATTTCCCAAAACAAAGAATTGTATTGGGATATGCTAATTACCTTGATTCAGTCATTACACTTTCTAACAATGTACTTTCTAACAATGCCTTGATCTATTCCAGCAAACAAAGTTCTTAAACTATACGCACACACATAAAAATCAAGACAACATATGTGAGATCCAGCTCAAACAAAAGAACCAGCTGAATCACATACAAAATTATCTGAAATACAAAATTATCTTAAATATAAAATAAGTACTTAATCTGTTTAAAGGAATAAAAGTAAGCATTGAATAAAAGAATACAAATAAGAAACCACAAAAGCCAATAACGCAGATTTGAAAAAGAAATTAATAAAACCTCTAGAAATAAAAAAACATTAAAATTAAAATTGAATGGAATGCTTAAATCACTGAAAAAAAGGGTAAAGAGCAAGACAGATTTGAATAAATTATACAGAATTCATCACACCAAGAGAAAGAAATGAAAAATATGAGTATATGAGATAGGCATAATATATGGAGACAATCTAATATACATCTTTTGAATTCCAGAAAAAAAATGGACAAAAGAGATAAAGTAGAGGCAGTATTTGAAGAAATGATGGCTAAATATTTCCCAGATTTGTTGAAAGATTCCAGTCTTCAGATTCAGGGAAGTCAACAAATTCCAGGCACAATGAATATAAAGCACTCCATATAAATACTGAAATTCCATTTCATAGTGAAAATGAAGAATACTAAAAACAACAGATCTTAGAAACAGCCAGAGAAAAAATACAGATTACCTACAACATGACAATTATATTTTCAGCTGACTTTGCAACAGCATTAGAAGCCAGAAAGACTATAGATTATCTTCATAATGCTGAGAGAAAAATCCGCTGTCTGGAATAACCAACAAAATTATGTGTCAAAAAAAGGTCAAAAGAGGACATTTTTAGAAAAACAAAAAGTGAGTTTACTGCACTCTTCCTTTAGAAGGTAGAAGAAAAATTATCTCAAATGCAATGTGTGAAATGCAAAAACTGGTAGTGTGCAAACAAACTGGTAAATACATAGCTAAGCCTAAGTATTAGCTGCATAAAATAATAATTTATGTCTTAAATAATATGTCTAATTTGTGGAGTTAAAAAGGACAGAAGTAAAATTCTAAATTAAGCATGTAAATCAGGAGTGATGAGAATTAAAACCTCCTAAATTCCTTATGTTTTTCAGAAAATAATATTTTGAGTATTTTTATTCTTTGTTGGGTGTACTTATTAAAATTTCTAGGGTAGTCATTCAACTAGATATTAATGTTACAACCATGCATGCTATTGAAGAAACTTATATACTTTTTGTGCTTTATTATGACAAAACAAGATGTTTCTCTTTCTGAAATAGGTCATATTTTGTACAAAATAATATATAAGTAAATAAAGTTACTGCAAAATTGGTGACTTCAGAGTTTTCAGCTTCTTTTTTAATTTTGGGAAGAAAAAAGCCCCTTCAAAGTAGCATAATTCATCTGTAATTCTTTTTCATGTTAAAGTCTATTTAAAGAAAACCCCGTATGATCTATATGAGGCCTTTCAGATCTACTAATTCGAATAATATATAATTGGAACTTTACACTCCACTAGCATGAGTTCACTTACACAGTTCTTAACAAGGGCTTGCCACGTTAAAATTTATTGATTGCTACAGCGTTGCTTCCAAAACAAAAGTGACACAAGGCACAGTCCTGCCCTCAGTCTCATGATATAATCGGGCAAGATGGCACTATTTCCAATAATGCATAGCAAGGTCTGAAACAGAGTATAAGCAAAGTGCTACTGAAGCACAGAGAGAGGAACAATTAGTTTTGTCCGATGATCAGGAAGAGTTTCTCAGAGAAGACTACAATTAAGCTGGAACTTGACATATAAATAAAACTTTCCCAGGTATGAAGGAGGAGATATCTTCTAGAAGACATAGCAGCATGAACAAAGCGGGAAGGCTTGAAAAGGACACGATGTATTTGAGGAAGTAGCACAGTTTGTTACAGTATAGTGTATGGGGGTTAAATTATAATTAGGCTATCAGTTTCACAAGTCTTTTGAGGTTTCTCTGTGTGCTGAAAATTTGGGGGTTTAACAGCAATTGTTTCTCATAATCAAATGGAAAAGAAAGCATATATACAGAAGAACATACAGAACAAAAGCAATTCATCATACATTTCAGTTTACAAGAAAAACATCTTTCATCAAGTGTCCAAAATGCAGCTGTCCTTTCATTGAGAGGGGATTACTTGTACCTGGTTCACCTGCCCACATTAGAGTAATTCACCAATCAGCAAGTCCTTCACTTACAGAGGCTCCACCCTGCACCCAACACTCTGCTAGGTGTTAAAGAATCAAAGGAAAGATTGCTGGGTCCCCATTGCAAAGGAACTTGCATTTTCGACAGGGTCAAAACTGAGATACCTGTAGAAAACAGAAAATTATTCAATATTAGACAGGATGGAGTACATTCTAGATACAAGACTGATTTTGAGATCCAAATTGGGGAAGATTTTAGGGAAGTTATTACTTGAAAATGAGTAGAATTCAGATATAGAGTACAGCAGAAGAGCTTTCTCAATGCAGAAAAAGACATGGAGTTTATTACAGAAGGGGGTTGGGGACAGTGAGCGAAACTTCCTTGGAAAAGAGAAAAGTAAAGGGATCAAATTACTGATGGTCTTGAAAATGAGAAGTCTGAATTTGCCGAGGTGGGGCAGGGTGATGCCATGCTACAAGGGATCTTACAGAAAGGCACAGAGGGAAATGTTTTGTATTACAGATTTGAAAAAGAAGAAACTGGAATAGGGGGATTGCTTTGAACTAGCTGCAGTAATCCATATATGAGGTGAGGAGAACTTTACTGCAGTAGGAAAAGGAGGAATGCAAATGAGAGATTTGAAGAGAAATTGAGTGATAAATTAGATACACAGGAAAGAGACTCTGTAAGATGGCTGGTAATAGGAATTGAGTCTGAAGATTGTCTTGGTTAAATACAAAGTGTATGCCCTATGACTAGTTCACAAGCCATTATAAACCTCAGACAATGTCCATACAATCTATATCACCTAGATTAAATTAATATAAAGTACTTCACCCATAACTTTCCAGTAAAGCTTGGCTGTACTACCACTCTCATCATCATCATAACGGGGTGATTAACATTTTCTAATTTATAAAATAGCTGTTTCCCTTGCAACTAATAGGTATTTTGTGAGGAAATAGTTTAAGGCTATATAGGCTGTTGCTCCTCGAACTTTCATTGATGATCCTTGTCTGAATAAATTATTATGGTTGTCAAATAATGATTTTCTGTTTCCATAGTTTCTTTTACATCTATCACTTAGCAAATAATGAAGAGCTCTCTTTTCTCCTATCCATCTGCCCATCCACTCACCTCTCTACCCTACCCATCTACCTACCTATCTACCAACTTCAGTAGAGATGCCTACATTAATTACAAAGGAAAAATTAGCAATTAATAAGCAAAAAGAAGTCTCTGACTGCTATCAAATGGAAGCTGGCCTGGCTCTCGCACCTAGGTGATCGTGTTTAGCTGAATATAAATAATTGTATACCAGAACAAATATTAGACAAAGTCATTTTGTGATACTGATGAAATCAAATATAAGCAAGGCCACTCCATAATCAAACAGACATGGCAAAGACTTAGAATACTGCCCAAATCACAAACAAGGATCAAGCATGTGCCCTCTCATGGCACGAGTGATTGCTGCTGCCTTATCAGATATGGGCTCAGCTTTGCTCCATTCCTCTGACCCTCTTAGATAAAAATTATTAATATAACCAATCATGAAATTGTCCCTGTTTTCTGATAGCGCCCAATCTGGAATGAAACCACACTTCCTTGAAACTTCCCCCAAATAATCACACATAAGTCTAAACCCAACAATAAGTACCTCCTTTCTGAGCATCTCTTACTGAGACGCCCACCAGTTCCCTGTGGCGTGTTGCAGTGGCCAAGAAACATCTTTGTTCAACCTAGGGGTGTTCCTGGGGGTCTCTAGCTGGAACATCAATGATTTTGTGGTAGAGAATCTTGGAAAAAACCCTCTCAGCTAAGTGTTCAGTTAGCATTACTAGAAATGGAACAAACCAACTTCATGTTCCTCCTGATATGATGTACTCAGAACACAGCACCACTCTTGTAATGTTCCTGCCAAAAACAGCATAATCTAAATCTAATCATAAACAAACATCAAAGCACACTGAAGACATTCTACAAAATAACTGATGTATAGTCCTTAAAAACATCAATGTCAAGAAAGAAAAAGACAGACTGAGGAACTGTATTAAATTTACAATGGCTAGAGGAACATGACAGCTGAATGCAATACATGATCCAGTATTATTGGGACAACTGGTAGTTCCTAATAAATGTATAGATGGTAATACTGAATTCCTGTTCACTTCCTGATTTTGATATTTGTATTTTACTTATGTAAGAACATATACTTATTTTTAGAAAATATACATTGAAGCATTTAGCTGCAAAGGATATGAAGATATGTTAGAATTACATATAGTCAGTCTTCCATATCGGCAGGTTCCTTATTTACAGATTCAACCAATCACAGATAGAAAATATTTGGGAAAAAATACAATAAAAATAATACAAATAATACAGTATAACTATTTACACAGCATTTACATTGTATTAGGTAGTATAAGAAACCTAGAGATGATTTAAATTATATGGAAGAAGATGTGTAGGTTATATTCAAATATTATGCCATCTCATATAAGGGGGACTTGAGCATGTGCAAATTTTGGTGTCTGTGAGGGATCCTGGAATCAATCCCCCATGGATACAGAGGGACAACTGTATTCATAGATACTGTGTGTGATATACACACACACAGAGGAGTGGGGGATAAAGCAAATGTGGTAAAATGGGAACCTGGGTTAAGAGTGTACAGGAATTCTTTTTACTGTTCTGGAAACTTTTCTGTGAATCCCAAATTATAGTTGATTTTCATTATTTGCAGAACTTAAGTTCTATGAAGTTGCTGTGAACACTGGATTGTGAATACTGAACCATCACTCCTGGGAGAAATACAGGGCTAGGTTCCTGTGAGCCTTTGATCACATTTTCTTTGTTAATTTTTTATTTTAATAGCTTTTAGGGTACAAGTGGTTTTTTGTTACATGGGTGAATTATATATTGATGAATTCTGAGACTTTTGGTGCATGAGTCACCCAAGTAGTATACATTGTACCTAATAGGTAGGCTTTTTTATCCCTAGGTCCCCATCCACTCTGGCTCCTGAGTCTGTAAGGTCTATTATATCACTCTGTATGTCTATGTACTCATAGCTTAGTTCCCACCTATAAGTGGGAACATACGATCTTTGGGTTTCTACTCCTGTGTTACTTCACTTAGAATACTGGCCTCCAGCTCCATCCAAGTTGCTGCAAAAGACATTATTTCGTTATTTTCTATGGCTGAGTGGTATTCCGTGGTGTATATATGCCACGTTTTCTTTATCCACTCATCAGCTGATGGGCACTTGGATTGGTTCCACATCTTCACAATTGTGAACTGTGCTGCCATCAATGTACATGATCACAATATTTGTATCGAGCAATCAATAACATAACCTTGTTTATGTGTGTTTCTGTTTAAAGGCACCTTATTTAATACATATTGTTGATTCATTAACATTGGCCAACGGCACTATAACTCATGCCTGAATGCAGCTTATCTAGCACGTGTATTTTCTCCCGAAGGCACCCCACAGCCTTAGGAACACTAGCACTTCAGCACTAAGCTTGGGGGCCACGTGAAATGGTGAAATCTATTTTAAAAAACAGAAAAGGAAGAACAATGTGGCATGAAATAGACTTAGGAAAGGGCACCTGTTTGTGGTATGAGAGCTGAAACAAGAAGCAGAGCATTGCCTTGTTCCACTCAGTTGGGAATGTGTGCATGTCAGGGGACTCAAATTTTACATTGCTCAGTGCATGTCTGTGAACAACCCTGAAGGCACCATGAGTATTGATTTTGGCTACAAATAAATTTTAGTAAGTGGACAAACGTACAAATGTTGAATCTGTGAATAATGGGGATTGACTGTACATCCAAATAAAACATTAAGGAAATATACTTTCAGCGTGAAGACTAGAAAAATGGTGGTACAGTAATGAATTACAGTCATTGGATAAGGGACTTGTCCTGAAAGGGAAAATGCTATTTAAGATATTATAGGTTGGGAAGCTTGTCACAGAAATGCCTTAGACACATTTGGAAACCCAGGAATTGATGAAGGCCAAGTCAGGGTAGGAGACGAAGTTATGGGAATCACTGGTAACCTAGTAGATAGATGATTCCACAAGGACAAAGGAATAGCCAGATTTTGTGCCTAACCTATAAGACAAATGATGATTAAATACTTATAGGGAAGACAGACAGAATCAAGGCTAATGAATCAAGAATGGGCCAGAGTGAAACTTGCTTTGATTTTGGCAAAGATTATTAAGATACACACACGCTGAGCTAAGGCGCAGCATGAGATAGGTGTCAATGAGATGATTTCAACTACAAATGAAGAAAAGTTAACTCTGTAAGATATTTCCACACAGAATGAGCTCCTTTAAAGAGATAGATTCACAACTATTGGAGGTGTTCAAACACAAAGTACACGATCATTTACTGATATTGAAACATCTAAGGAATACTTTGATTGGATAATCTTCAAAAACTTTTCTGATTCTTGTGAAAAAATAAAAATAAAAACTTGGGACACCAACACACTCTGACAAAAAAAAAACTAAGCTGAAAGCTGAGTCATGCAAGAAGCTGCCTTACCTTTTCCTCTTAAGCAGAGAGCTATAGAGAAAAGGTCAATTATCTCCACAAGTAGCTGTTCTGTGTTCACCTTATTTTATGCTCAGCACCAGATGAATACATAATCGACGATTCCCCTGCCTGCTCCTTTTCTCCTGTAACATGTGGATTCAGTAATGTGACCATACCCTCCCTCCTTTCCCTCTAGCCCACTATTCCACTTTAAATATTGAAGCCCTCAAACATCGAAGTCATCTTTGGAGAAGGGTGCAGACCACAAACTGTTTCTGTGGTTCTGTGTTTCTTTCAGATGTGATCTTTATTTTGGCAAAATAAACTCCTAATTGATTGAGATTCGTCTCAGATACATTTGGTTTAAACTCTAATATTCTATGACTAATTTTTGCTTACTCTTTGATGTCTTAATAAATGATTTCTGTGTATTTCATCAATCATGAAGCAAGTCTGACCTTATCCTTAAAAATAGTCAAATCTATCGAATTAAGGTTTTTTGTTTTCCAAAAAATTTTTGTTACAGACAAAACCATAGTCCATTTCACTGGAATATCTACAACATAGAGAAGGCGGAAGCTACATCTTCTTTGTCAATGTTTTCCACCTTTTCCCTTAGTTTGCTGCTGCTATCTTATTAATAAGCAGGAGGTGAGATGGACATTTGGGGTCTGCAATGTATCCTTCTTAGCTGCTCCTATGGCCTCTGGCAAGTCAGCATGTAGTCCTACAGGGGCGGGAAATGAGAACATGGGTGGGGCTTGAGGGTGTGGGGCATATAAAAGCAGACATTCCTGAGAATTCCACACTAACTTGTGGCCTTTGGTATTAAGGATTTCTCTGAAATAACCTACAGTCAACTGCCAATTAGTGGCACATTAAAGATAAAAATGTCCAGACAGTAACCCTAATTCTCAAACGATGTGTACGTACTGTTTCAATGGTGTAGGGAAGGCCTGGGAACATTAGAGGCTGTTACAACAAGATTGGAAGCTCTCACATTTGTCTTATTGCATCAACTCTGTGGTTCCCTCCCATTATATTCCCTCATCTGACAACAAAGAAAGTCTTCCTTTCCAGAAAGGAGTAGGGGGGTGGGGACTTCCTGTGATTTGTGGAACACCTCTTGTCTGTCTTCTTACTATAGCCTATAGTGAGCCTTACCTATAACGCTTTAATTATGCTTTTTACTAGTTTAGAATAGAGAAGAATGTTCAGTGATAGGTCTCCTCTGAATTTTAAAGTCCAAATCTTTTTTTTTTTTTTTTAAATGCAGTGTGCCCTGGGCTTAACATTTGTTAAGTACTACCCAGTACTACATAGCTTGCAATAGCTGGTAGGAATAACAATAGCTGAAGGCATACTCCACATTATTAAGAAAACACTTTAAATCCTTAACGTCATTAGTAAACACATATATTCCTTCTTCGTATAACTTCCTTTCATTATACTGTCAACACAATCCTCTAAATACAAATGCCATCCACCATCTGGTTTCATAAAAACCAAAATGTACGAACCAATTTTAAGGGAAAATTAATATACTGTATGTGGCTAGGGAAAAAGTTAATTAAACTATTTTGGCAACATATAAAATATCAAAGTGGCAAACATTAATATGTTATAGTTGATATTTATCAATGGATTGTGAAGACACAAAATAGGTATAAAATAATTTCCATAATAACTGCTTTTGGAAACAAGCATGGTTTTGATTTGCTTTATACCACTAATGAATTAAATTACTAGCAAATATGTTTGCAACTTGCCATGTACAAAGTACTGTCCTAGGAGATATGGAGGATATGAGTAATCTGCCCACCCCTGCAGCTAGGCAGGTTAACATCTAACTGGCAAATAGACAATGACACAAATACCTATAAATCAGGAGAGCACGTGATGCTAAAAGTTAAGTCTTTTTTAATGGAGAAAGAGAAAGTTGAAGAGGTTGAGATTGATTTTGACTAATTGATTCCATGTGGAAATTAAGGGTGAAAAAACAACAAATATTGGCTTATTTAAATAAAACATTTTGTTGAAAAAGAAAGTGGTAACATTAGTCCCAGTACCAGCCCGTTTACAATTGACTGGACATTGTCCAGTGGATGACATTTTCAGAAAATAGATTTAATCAGTTTAATAGGTATAGACATTTTAGAGCAGAGGCCCCCAACCCCCAGGTCACGAACTGGTACTGGTCCGTGGCCTGTTAGGAACCAGGCTGCACAGCAGGAGGTGAGCGGTGGGCAAGCAGGCATTACAGCCTGAGCTCTACCTCCTGTCAAATCAGTGGTGGCATTAGATTCTCAAAGAAGTGCGAACCCTATGGTGAACTGGGCGTGTGCGGGATCCGGGATGCACACTCTTTAAGAGAACCTAATGCCTGATGATCTGAGGTGGAACAGTTCCATCCCAAATCCAACCCCCTGCCACTCCCTGATCCATGGAAAAGTTGTTGTCCATGAAACCAGTGGGGACCAATGCTTTAGAGAATGCAATTTTGATCTCCACATATGTCAGGATTCCACAATATCTTGATACCTGTTTGAATGGGATCCTGGGGCAGGAGGTGAGCTGGGTAAAGTTCTTAGCCCATTCAGGCCGCTATAACACAATATCTTATGGTGGGGATATTTATAAGTAATAGAAACTTATTTCTCACAGTTCTGGAAACGGGGAAGTCCAAGATCAAGGCACTGAAGATTTGGTATCTGATGAGGTCACTCTCCGCTTCATAGATGGTGCCTCCTGCTGCGTCCTCACATGAAGGGGCCCAAGGGGCTAGAGCAGTCCCTTCAACCTTTTTTCATAAGGTCACTAATCCCATTCATGAAGCCTCTGTTCTCATGACTTAATCATCCCCTCAAGGCCTCACTTCTTAATACTATCACATTTTCAACATATAAATTTTGGGAGGTTGCATTCAGATCATAGCAAACTCATTGGTCCCAGTTTCCTGCATGGATCTTTGGAGCGCCTAGGAATTTGCCCTGACAACGGATCGCCTAAGGGAATGCACCTCACAAGTGGGGCCAAGGGGAGAAATGTACTGAGGCAAGGCCCTTGAAAATATGTGAGGATCATTAAGTCAGTTTTATTAACTTTCTAAAAAAACTTAATGATGTGTGGCCCTGTTCAGATAATTAACCCTCTCAAAGTGATCTTCACTTCAGGAGCTTCCATATCTGAGTCAGCTTACATTCAGACAATATTTCTTATATGTTCAAAAAAATGACAAATTGCAGAGAAGAGTTTAAGGCATGGCCCATACCAAGGGTATATAATGCATGGTGCCTTAATTTTAATGTTTTGGGGTAAGTTTAAATATTTTGATTATCATATATTTGTGGATGTATATAACTGGTCTTATTGAAAAGGTGAGTTATCTCTCATATGAAAAACACTGATACAGTTTTACACAGATATAGCAAAACAAAAATTTTAGTAACACTATCCTCTCTAATGCATTTATAAATAATATATTAATATTATTATCAGTGTGAACTTCTAAATACTACTGACAGTAAAGGCTACGAAGGTTTCCTTTTAATCCATTAAAATATATTTTCACTTTACTCTTTCCCAAAGTATCAATATTGAATGTTATAAAAATACTTTTAGCATTTGCTTTCAAATAAAATATTCAATACTCAATGCTTTCATGGAATATTTTCCCTTAAAAATCCATTATACTAAAAGTAAATATCTGTATGGAACCTACTAGACTGATGTAATTAAAATTAAATTTACAAAAAGGTAATGGAGATTATATCAGCAATAGCATGCAATTCAATGCAGCAGCTGAATCACCGTAGATTTTTTTCCCTATTTAATCTTATCTCGGATGAACAAAAAGGTTAAGTCCCACAGCAATCCTTAGATTAGGCTATTATTTTTGTTATGGCTACTTAGTCGTTTTATTACAAACTATTAAATAACGCAAGAAAATCAAAGAGGTACAAAGGTAAGAAGTTGGCTACATTTATTTTTAAACTGTTGATCTAACTACTCAGAGATGACCTGTTAGTGAGTGTGGTTATCACTGAATGTCCCGGGCTGATTTTAGACTTCTGAAGGAAAAGGTTGACTTCAGACCTTTGGTCAAAGGATTCCCATGATTCCTTTTAGGTTTGCTCTCAGGGGTTTAAGACTACACAGAGCTGCAAACTTTAAGAAGTCCCATTAAACCAAAACCTTGTCATATCATTCCTTAATTCTAGGACTCCTTAACTCTACACCTCTCAGAACTGCTTCTTGCTGAAACAACTGTACAGCCAACTTCCAGTCAAACTCAGAAACTAATTTAAAAAGTCAGTAATTCATCTGCGGAGTGAAGAGCAAAAATGATGATGGCTCACCCTGTCAAATGCCCTTAGCCTCTCATGAGAAATGTCATAGGAACCTATCTGACTGAGCCCATTCCTTTCTGCAGACTTCACCTTTTACTGCATCCCTCTTTGTTATCTACGTTCCATTTCCATTTTTCCAACATGCCATCTTTCTTCTTAGGTGGTTTCCACACATCTGTGGTCTAACTACTGTATGTGCCTTTAACCAATGCGTGCTCCTACTTGTCCTTTATAATTTGCTTAAAGGCAGTTTCTCTTGGAAGCCTTTCCTGACTGCCTATAACTTCCCAGAAGGACTAAGTTATATCTGCTCAAATACACTCCCATAACACTCTGCACTTCTGTGATATCGTCACACTTACAATCAGTAAGGATTGCCCTCACCTCTACACTGAAGCTCTTGAGGGCAGGAACCATGTCTATCTTGTTCAGGGCCATATCCCCACTGCCTGGCACAGGGCTATCTACATAGTAGTGGCCCAATACATTTTTTAAAATATAATTAATGGTTAATAGTTATTGGTTTATGTGTCAGTCTCCCTTACTGGTGCTTCTGCATGTTTTATCTATCTTGGTATTGTCTATGTTTATCCTAGAGCCTGGTACAGAGTAAGCCCTTTAATAGATGTTGGCTAAATTTATCTCTGAAATGGTGTGCACATCTAATTTCTTAAGGACAGTGCTGTGCAAAGACCCTTGAGGCCCTCCTTTCCCTTTTGCTTACTTTCAACTATGAGAAAGGGCTTAGAAGATGGCTGGATTGTTAGGCAAAAGGGCAAATAAGCCACCAGAAGAGAAGCGAAATAGCCTCAGAAAGTTAGACGGATGTGAAAATGAAAAATAGATTGTTCATTCGACCTTCCAGCAGGGTACCTAGGCATACAGTCAAATCTAACCAACAACTCCGGAAAAAAAAAGCCTTTGCTGATAACTGGTTGCCTGAAACTAATCTGTTGGAAGAAAATCATAAGAGTAGTTGCCTCTAGGGGTGAGGAGTGGGACTCACTAGGAGGGGATATGAAGGAAATTTGGGGGATGAGAAAAATGTTCCATATTTAGCTAAAGGTTTGGGTTATATTGACATAGGCATCTGACAAAAATCATCTCATAGTACACTTAGGATTTGTACATTTCACTGTGTAAATTTTACCTCAAAAGACAAATGAAGAGAACCGTAAACAAATATTGAAGTGTATTTAATGATATGCATGCTAAAGTGTTAAGAGCAGAATACACTGATAATTGCCATTTACTGTGAAATACATATAATAAAAATAAAATATGAATGTAGAGATAAACACATGATATGGCAATATGTAAAATGTTAATTGTAGAATCTTGGGGGTAAGTATATAAGTGTTTACTGTACAATTCTTTCAACTTTCCTGTAATTTTGAAAGTTTTTATCATAAAATGTTGCCAAAAAATGGTTGGTTGGCCTCATGTGGTTGTGGGCACATTAGTATCCAAAAGCTAAGTACTGACTTGTCCCAAGGGAGTGCTTCAGCTATGAAAAGTCAGAAATTATATGAAAATTTCCAATTTATATCATCCCAAACTAGATTATCATTTGGGGTAGTAAAATTTGAATACTACAACCATGTTGGTGGTATTTATTAAAAAATCCAACACTATTTAGGCACTAGCTTGAATTAGAGGTTAGGAGATTCATTATGAGAAGTCACTGACAATCTCAGGGATTAAAGAGAAACTGAGACAAAACTAAAACACTAGATGTAAACCATATGTGCAGTTAATATAAACATAATATTTGAAATGTAAATAAAATATTTAAATGTAAATATTAAAAATATTTTAAAAGTCAATTACTAGTATATTTTATAGTCAGTTATAGGCAATTTATAACTGTTGTTTCCCTAGAGCTCAGTTTTATTTAAATAATAACCGATTCATCCAGTATAATCATGTCCATTCCATTATGTTCCTAAAAGGATTTGGGTTCAGTTGATCTGGTTTTAAAAAAACAAAAACCAAAAAACAATGAACTACCCCCAAACTCAGATCTATTGTTTACCATTGTTTAATATATGCAAATGGGTAATTCACAACAACAATTTCTACTTTTCTACAAACTCTGCCACTGTGCATATGGACCCTGACAGAGGAGGCAGAAGAGATTCTGAAGCCTGAATTCTCTCCCAGAATGTAACCACTAGACTTCCATGGAAACAATAGTTTGCTGATTAAATTTCTGCACATGCTGTCCTGAGATATTAATACATAAATTAGGTTGACAATTAGAAGCACTATGAATAACATGTTCAATTTGACAGCTTGGCTGTTGTAATAAATTTAACAACTGTTTCTCCCTCTTGCTGTATTCATTTTCACCTTGGGGTTAAGTGATACTGGCTAAAGTAATCCTGGAACAAGAGGCATTTGCAGAAGGCTAAAGTGTGAAATTAATTTTCCTTGCCTTGGCTTTATCTTTGTTGACATAAAGGATCCACATAAAATATTTCGCACTAGAAAATACTCTATCTTCTTTGTACTGATTTTAAGTTTTACTTTTAAGTTCTGAGATACACGTGCAAAACGTGGAGGGTTGTTACATAGGTATATGTGTGCCATGGTGGTTTGCTGCACCTATTGACCCATCCTCTAAGTTCCCTCCCTTCAACCCCTAAGAGGCCCTGGTGTGTGTTGTTTCCCTCCCTGTGTCCATGTGTTCTCAATGTTCAACTCTCACTTACGAGTGAGAACATGTGGTGTTTCATTTTCTGTTCCTGTGCTAGTTTGCTGAGGATGATGGTTTCCAGCTTCATCCATGTCCCTGAAAAGGACATGATCTCATTCCTTTGTATGGCTGTGTAATATTCCATGGTCTATATGTACCGCATTTTCTTTATCCAGTCTATCATTGATGGGCATTTGGGTTGGTTCCATGACTTTGCTATTGTAAACAGTGCTGCAATAAACATATGTGTGCATGTATCTTCATAGAATGACTTATATTCCTTTGGGAACAGGACCCATTAATGAAGCACTTTCACTGTCCTTTGGTGGAAGGGGTGTGCTTCACTAGGGGGAAATCCACTTGTCTGGGCTGCCCAGATTCCTCAGAACCATCAGGAGGAAAGGCTAACTCTGCTTGACTGCAAAGACTGCGGCCACCCCTCCCCCTAGGGGCTCATGCCCAGGGAGATTTGGTTTCTGTCCCTGAGTCTCTGGCTAGAGTTGTTGGAGTTCTTGCAGGGAAGCCCTACCCAGTGTGGAAGGATGTGTCAGGGTCAGGTCTGAAGAGGTGCTCTGGCCACCGTATGCCACAGCTGTGTTGGGCTGTGGGGAACACTTCTTGGGGACCAAGCCATCCAGTCTCCCTGGCTCCAGCAGGGTAAAAGTGCAGCCTGGAGCTATAGAGATGGATGCCACCCTTCCCCAACCCAGGTTGCTTAGTATGTTAGGCAGTTATGAGTCCCAGTGCTGGCTGCTGCCCCCCGTCGCAAAAAGCTCAAAAGGCTAAGGCAGCAGGCAGCTACAGCTGTGGTGCTGGTTGCCCCTTTCCCTGGGAGCTCTGCAGGCTTAGGCAGATTCCAGCTGAGAGGCTGTTGAGAATCTGAGCAGCTCCAGGGTTGGGACCCTAGGCCCCGGTAGCATGGGTTTGAGTGGGATCTTCGGATCCGTGTTGCACAGTTCCATGGAAAAAGCACAGTTTCCCTGGCTGGGTAGCATACTCACTCTGTGCCTCCCTTGGCTGGGGGTTGGGGCTCCCCTGCCCCATGCGGCTCTCAGGTGGGCCACAGTACCACATTGCTCTTCCTTCCTCTCCATGGATCACGTCAGTCACCTCGTCAGTTCTGATGAGAGAACCTGGATACCCTGATGACCGGTGAAGGATTCACACGCTAGTTATGGTTCTTTTAGATGGGAACCTCTGATTGCCACTGTTTCTAGTCGACCATCTTGGCCCCGCACCCCATGATTTTTTTTTTCAATGTGATTAAACTAAGTTAAGATTTGTGAGAATACAAGCAGTAAAAATTCATATTCAACATTTATTAAGACCCTCCTTAGGAACTGCTCCAGGTACCTTCCCACACACTGGTTCACCAAACCTCATGAAAGCCCTGTGAAGAAGGTATCATGATCTCTATTTTACACATGAGGAAACTCACAGTTGCTAAGTAACTTGCTCAAGTGCACACAAGTTGGCTACTGGTCAGTTCATGGCTTAATCCAGGCTACACACTACAGGGCTTGTGTTCTTTCTACTGACCCCAACACTGATTTTTAACTTTTTGCTTTCTCTTCCCCATGCAATCATCTTTGCACATGCATATTTAAATGCAAATTGGACCTCCATTTGATTAACATATAAGTGAGTATCTTGTGAAGATACTTTCCAATTCAGGGTTCCAAGGGTCCTGTTCCCTGGAATGTAGCATGCATGGCAAGAAAGAGTTAATATATTACTCCAAGCTAACTCAAGCATTAAGGAAAACTTGACCCAATAAGCACAAGTGTAATTTGGATGATATTTCAACTCTAGGATATTTTGGGAATTTCAGCATCATTACTGTTACTGTTAACAGAAGTGCTAAGAAAGTAAGGATGAGTCTCTAAAGCTGATCCTAGTTAAAACACCGAAAATGATTAACTTACCCAATCATATTAGAAGTTATTTTTAAAGGTAGCAATAAAAGTCTATTTGAAAATAAACATTATGCCTCTTTAAGTGATACTCTGTGATGTTACATCCTACTTGTTCAGTCAACTAAACACAGAAAATTGTTCTCCTTGGATCTGCATTGGCAAGACGTTTAAATGCTTCAGGTGCACACATATGGCCTAATGTCAGTTGGTGTCATGATTCTAACACCAAGTTGCTTCAAAATTTTCACACATATCTGATGAGTCTTCAAAAATCAGACTGAAATTCTTTTCAGTATAAGTGACACTAAAGTAACTTTTAAAAATTCAATCATCTGAATGGAATAGTGATACTCCCTATTTAATGAGAACCACAGAATTTTCTACATATATACTTTTGATTTAAAAAATCAAGTTACTATAAACTTTTGCATAAAATGTTCAATGGAAGGAAGCTAAAATATATAGACATGTATTAGAACCCTAAATAAAGTAAAAATATATTAACCAAACCTAATTTAGAAAGTATTACCCAGCTCAAATGAAACCAAAAAGTGTATATGCTTTTCCAAAGAAATTAATTAAATGTTAAGGAATAGCATCCTTCATTTGGACAGCAGTTAATAAAATAAAATTTGTGAGAACAATCCCCAATCATTTTTCAGTTGATTCCTAGGTACTTATAAAAATTATCAACGAGGACTGCCCTATTGTCTTTTTCTATATTACTATAAATATATTATTATATTGTGTATTATTAGAAGGCCTTAGAGATCAGCCAACTTTAATATACGGGAGAAAATTTCAGAATAATTATTTACAAATATATTTTGGCAGCCGCAGTGTTTTCTCTAACAATTCCAAAGCTATGTAAAAATAACCAAATGTTACTGAATTACAGGGAACACATGTTAGAGATAATTTAGGAAAAAAATGAAAGAAAAGGACTATTCCTATAAAAGTTACATAGTGTGTTGGAACGTTCACAAGAGTCATATGAACTAAATTTGAGTTCTGCCAATAATTACTGTGACTTGACGTAGGCTTCAGTTCCTCACAGGTAAAATGAGGATGTGGGGAGTGAAAGGGGCTGGGTGTAGAAACGAGTGTTAACATTGTATGGTACTGACGGTCATTTACAGTTTCAAGATTAAAAAAAAACTCATCCCTACCTGTACTTACACATAGAAGTAAATATCTAGTTGTGAAGTGGGGCTGGAAGAAGCAATTCATGGGTAAAACAAATACCGAGGGTGTCATCCCTGAAGGCAGGTAGGCCAAGTACCCTACGGAGGCATCCCATCATTTCTGCCATCAGCCTTCTTTGACATCCCTCACCAGAGGACTCTAGCCATTGAAGGGACACAAGGAGAGTGCACAGCTGAAGAGGCACAAATGTGAAGCCTGGTTCTGGAGGAAAGTCAACTACAAGGGCTATCACAGCATCCCGAGAACTAGATACTCACTGTGTTTGGGCAGAGAGAACTACATGCACCTCATCTGTTCCACTCTTCCAAATTGAACAATGTCTTCCTTTTACTTCCTACTTTTAAGCAATTCATGCTAAAAAGGAAGTCTCCTGCAAATGGGCCATAGAAGAGCCATTAGATACATGGTGTCACCCTAGGCTGAAGGAGATACTGGAGATCCAGGGCTCTGTGGGGGACTCCAACAGGCACTGGAGGAGCCAAGGAATGAGGGTCCCTCAAGATGGGCTGTGGGGTCCTGGGGCTCATCGAATATTCTGGACTCTGGATGGGATAGCTCTATGGTCTGAATGTTTGTGCCCTTCCAAAATTCATATGTTCAAATCCTATCATTCATATGTTCAATTACTCTCACCTGAAGGTAATAGAGGGAGAGGCTTTTGGGAAGTAATTAAGTCATGAAAGTAGAGTTATCCTGGATTGGATTAGTGACCTTACAAAAGAGAGAGTTCTGTTGCTCCTCCTACCATGTGAGGATGCAACTACCATGTGCCACCTACGAACCAGAAAGCGAGCTCTCACCAGACCCCAAATCTGCTGGCACCTTGATATTTGATTTCCCAGTCTCGGCAACTGTGAGAAATACAATTTTGTAGCTTATGAGCCACCCAATATATGGTATTTTGTTATAACAGTCCAAACAGACTAAGATAAATGGTCTATACTGATTTATAACAATTCAGTACTAATGACCTTCCAGAGGATATTGTCAAATATTTTTAAAAAGGAATTTACATAAAATGTTTTCAGTATTTCAACTGCATAGAATGTATACAGTAAACAGATCAAGGGCCACCTCCTTAAGTGATGAGAAAACTGAAGCCCCAAGAGCTTAGGAAGCATTCCTCAGAATCCAGATTTCCTGACCTCACTCAAGAGCACATACTACTACAGCACACAGAATGGCCCTAAATATACTCCCCAGAGATACTGGTTTTCTTAATTATCTTATACTCCTCAGATACTACTGAGATATCAAGAAAAATCTTGGTCAAATTATCTGAGCTCCCACTACTACATATAAATTTCTATGTGATCCTCATTAATAAAAGGTAAGTCCCATTTTTTTCAGAAATACAAGACTTACACACTGTGGGGTCTTACCCTGTTAAGAGTTAAATCACTGATACTAACGGTACAAGGCTTTTAGAAAGATGTAAAACTCCTAAGTTCAGGAGGTTCAGAATTTTAATAAACTGTAGTAATAAGTGTACATTTATAATTTATTGAAACATTGACCCCTATAATTATCATAAGACAGAACTAAAATCTCCCAGTGTCATTAAGAAGGCTTAGGTAACATATACAGACATACTGAATTTAAAAAATTAAAACAACATTAAAGAGAACGTAAGTGCTATCTTTCAGAAATTATTGTGTCTGTCAAAAAAGCTGGATGGTCCTCAGGGTAATTTTTTCCTAAAGCCATAATATATTGATTCTTATATCCCTCCATAGTTGGATAAAACAGATTGCTTTGTATTAAAATATTACCAATATGAATTCTGATAATTTACACATTTTTACTGGGAGAAGGCTTTTCTTTGGTTACAGAAGACTGGATTTAAGGTGAGTTCAGTAGAAATCATGGTGAGTTCAGTAGAAATGACAGCAATGTGCCACAGCTAATGGCTCAGAGCCTCATGTCAGATGGGACAGGGTGTGAGTCCCTGGTGCGACAACACACCAGCTTTATGACCTTGAGGACATACTAAAGTTTAAGCTTCAGTGTCCCCAGTAAGACAATAATTGTACTTTCCCAATAATCTGTAAGTTACATAGTAATCATGCAAGGTCCTGGGTGTTATAAACAGTACCTGTTATAATTACATTATTTCCATCTATCAGTTGATTTGTTTCACACAACAATGCTAAAAATAAAAAAAACTAAATACAACTTTGATGATTGTGGAAATGGGAGCATTGAGAGGTTAAATAAATTCTCCAAGGATACTCATGGTGTAGCTTTACTCACTATCTTCGGTAAATGTGTGTAACCAGAACCCAGCAAAGAGACACTAATGCCCCAAAACATAAGATAGAGGTAGGTTCTCGGAGCATGCCTAGCATAATAGCTGGAGCTAAATACCCATCAAATAAATACTGAATATGAGTGATGGAACTGTGGTTGACTATTTTTACAACTCAAATTGTGCAAGGATTCAGACTGACTGGAAGGTCAATGGATCTGATTTACTGAATTACTGTTTATTTAACAGGGAGACAGTTTACTATTTTTATACCTACAAACTCTATTTACTGTGCAAAAATAGTATCAGAGCAGACTAATAGTCTCAACATGCTTTTCTAAGCACTTAAATTACTTCAAGGCTGGGAAGTAAAGCAGGCTCAGGGGAAAAAAACCCATTGTTATTCTGCATTTTTTTTCCTACCTCAAGAATAAAATATAGCTATAATGCTATCAATTTATCAGCAGTTTCTTTTTCGATATAAATAGTGGAATGCACACCCTATTCTTAAGGTCTTGGGGTGTTTGATTTTTGTAGTGTTTTTCATTTTTAATAGCCTTTCATAGAAAGAGCTGTTGCTTTTTACATGAAATATGCTAGTGATTTAAAGTTGAGAGGCCATTGAGTTATATTACTGAACACTAAAGGTCTATGCATAATTGCTCTAAAATATTGGCTGATATAAGCAAAATTATACTGACTATAAAGAAGAGAAATCCTGAAGATTGTGTATGTACAGAAGAGATGGATCTTTCTGTTTCTTCCCGGGGAATCATAAATATCATGAAGGCTTTATGAAGCTATGTTTAGCCATACTTTCTCAATTTAGATACTAGAGTGTTATTGTTTGTGTATTGAATACAGATTAAATTATTTATAACTGTTATGTCCACAAATTTGTTTAAAATAATTTGATTGTAACCATGATTATCGAAATGTTAGATAAAAATATATAAGAAAATGAAATTTCTTTATATTGATCTCACCATTATCTTAATAACGTTAAGTTCCACACTACCTAGCTCAAATACCATCTCCACGACTTACTTATGGTGTGACCTTGAGCATGCTACTTAAAATTTACTGGACTTGGTTTTCTCATATATGAAATGGGGACGCTAACAGGACGAATCTCACAGGGTTAGTAAGAGAAAGAACGATTTAACACATATATAGTACTTAAGCGGAGAGATGGGTCCCAGTTCTCCTCCTCCTCCCCCTTGTCTGTCTTCTCTAGTTTTCCTTAATAGGTTCATAGAGACATGGCTTAAGGATCTCTTTCCTTTCATCCCATGAGGACTATGAGGGTTGGAATTGAGTCTTTATCTTACCTTTATATTACCTATTTTTAACAAAATATCTGATACATAGCAGCTTTTCAAAAAAAAAATGTAGATTCTACTAAACTCCCCAACTGGCCCCAGGAACACTTTGCGTGGTTCAAAAGAGAGGGGACCACAAACTGTCACACGAGGACACCCACTGGGTAGTTTACCAGAGAGGTGATGAGATCCTTCCTAGGAAAATCTGAACTGGAGTCCTGCAATTGACATGTATGCTTTCCTCTTTTGTGATCACATTTGATTTTGTTGTGGTTGTTTTTAACCATGTCCCCCCCTTGGACTGTCCCTCAGAAGCAGCATTCCAAACTAGCAACAAAGGTTAGCTTTCTTCCCTTTGCCCCTCCAGACCCACTCCCCACCCTCTCTACCTACTCTCTCCCACAGCCAGGAGGCTAATCTGTACAAAGGACACCAATGGGTTTCCTACTCCTCCAGCTTGCTGTGATGTATGCACCCTGTGAGCCACAGCACCAGGCCACAGGGAGAAAGGAGAGAGGTTATGGTCTTTATTCCCCAGGGTCTTAACCTGTAGGGACATCTCATATTTGCTATGCTATGTCCCCTTAGGGTGCTTTCTCTAATTCTGTAAATGCACTTTCTTCTGGGTCCTTTGGACCTGGGGCGGTAACAATTCTACTATTGTTAGCCCCGGGGTGCTGTACTATCCCTTGCAATTTCTTTCTATTCCTCTCAGGGCTTTGCTGACAGTCCCCTTTCTTAAACCCTCTAGAGTTAACCTAGCTTGAGTGTACCATCTGCTTCCTGCAGGAACCTTGACTGACACAGTACAGAGGTCCTTAAATAATGTTGTTTCAATCAATGTCGCTTCCTTATAACATTGATGAGAAAAAAAATATTGATTCCCAGCAGGAGTCTGCACGTTCTCCCTATGTCTGTGTGGTTTTTCTCCCGGATATCCTGTGTCCCAAAGCTGTGCCCATTAGGTGAACTGGCATGTCCATGTGGTTCCAGTCTGAATGAGTGTGGGCGTGAGTCATCCTGCCATGGGATGACCTCCAGTGCAGGGCTGGTTCCCACCTTGTAACCTGAGCTGCCAGGATAGGTTCTGGCCACCCAAGATCCTGAACTAGAGTAAATAATGATCTTATTAGTCTTTCTTAAATATATGTATAGCTCACATTTATTTCAATGTTTAATATTAGAAGTGTTTTGGTTTTTATTTAGAAGTTTGGTGATGTTTTTGTGGCCAGAAATATGTCATAGGAACTTAACTCTTACTTATATCAATTCGCCTGTGGTAAAACAGTCTCATTATGTGTTCTCTCACTGAAGTTTCAGTTTCTGCGAATCTACTGATGACATTAGGGGAGGACTTTCTGTACTCTGGATATATAAAGGGAAAACTCTAAAAACAAGTGTCATGCTTTCTCTGGCTCTGCAGCCATTTAGCAACCACTTGTTCTCTTTTATGCCAGGTTGGGAATCAAAGGCTTTCCCCTCACTCTTGTCAATCTCTCTATGAATTATGAAATGATAAAGGAAGGCTTCTCTATTCATTCTTCTTCTCCTCTAGGGAATTCTCTTATGAGAAAAGATTTCTACCATAACTTAGGAATAATTTCCTACTTCTTGTTTTTATTTTTTATTTTTGGTTTAGTTTTATACTTTTTAGAGGCATTTCATTTGATTATATTCTAGAGTTAATGTTTAGGCTTAGCTATAGGTGATAATATAATCTGCATGTAAAGTGATATCTTTTTCAAAAGGAATTTTGCTCTGCAATACCATAACTGATTTTTGCCAGGGAAGAATAAACTTAAAAACATGTCACTAACAAGATATATAAAGTAAAATATTATTTTCAAGATAATGCAGATATAATGGAGATGCTTCTACTTTTGAGTACTTTTCACTGCATATTTCTTGCAATTCATTCTAGATGTTATAGTAATTTCAGAACACATTTGGAAAAATCAACTGATATTCACTTACAATGAATTTCTGTCTCTACATATGATTTCTGGAGATTTCACTATGGAATTATGGCAATGAACAGTAAATTACTATGTTAACTTTTTACTCTCCTACAGATCTAGTGTTACTGTTACGTAATACTTTTTTGTTGTTCCAAAACCAACCCTTCCATTTGGTGAGTAGGATTTTCCATTGAAGGCTCTATTCCTTCATTATCTGTTTATTTTGGCTTCCAAATGGACTAACATTTAAAATAAAAGCAAACAATTGAAATATGGAGCTAGAAATCTATAAAGCAAGGTGAATAAATAAAGGAACTTGCCACAGATAGACCTAAAACCAAAAAACTTCACAGCAAATTGTCTTTTCCATTTAAAAGTATGTGTTTTTTTTAATCAACCTTGTGTATTTCTCTATCTTATTTTATTCTTTCTTTGCATTCTGTCTTCCTTCTGTGGACATTATTCTTGATGTTGTACTAAAGAATCAAGTATAACAGAGGTGAATGCTTATATAATACTAAGTCAGTTTTGCACTGTCTTCTACAGGGGGTTGAGTATGCTGCACTTGGCAAAACTGTGTACCCTTCTCTTTTAAGGAAGGAGGTTTAAAAGGGTGAAGAGTGAAATATGTTGAATCTTTGGTAGGAAAGTCAGAAATCGGGTTAAATATTTACCTTTTAGGTGTATGCGTTTTGGGAAATGGCCCATTTCTCTTTGGCTATGGCCTGGTCCAGTTCATCACACTGATAAATGGCCCAAGAAAATGGTGCTGGTTTCTATGAAGGTTCAGGGGCTGGTGGATTGATCAAAACCCTCACAAATGCAGCAATGCATTTCAAGATTGATTCAAGTACTGCTTTCCTGATATACCACTTTTCATTGATTTCTAGCTACATATCTCCTCACATTTGAAGAAAATGTGAAGAAAACTTACAATTAATGGTGTCTCACAATTGCTGTTGTCCAGTATGGTTGATATGAAGGTTCCACCAGGTTAGGGTAAGCCACGAGGCTGGCATTTTATCTGCGTAAATAAAGGGGCTCACCTGACTTGCAGTGGTGGATGATGTCCATTCCCAGTGACATGTTTCGTGGACATAATAATCTCAACAGTGGACAAGTAGTAAGTGCCAATTGTTCTTCTCACCCAAGGTTGTAGTCATGGTTGGAGAAATCATAATTATGGCTGAGAGCACATGCAGAGAGCACCAGAATACCAACTCAAGCTATTCAGACACTCCTAACTAAACCTAAGGTTATGTAAATGGACCTTAAAGGGCACAGATAAAAGTTAGAGCAAGATTTAAAACAGTCTGAGCCTTAAATGCATTACCCATCCCATACACACAGTCATTGACAGAGGACTTACTCACAAGGTGGTTGAATATGACCTCTCACCACCAAACTACACAGACATATGAGATGACCCCTAGGAAAACTGACCTAAAAATTAAAGAAAATACTTACATCTTTGTCTCTGTCTATACATAAACTGAGCAAAGATATCAGTGGAATCATACTGCAGGGCAGACAGATTTCAAAGAAGTAGCTTAGGCAAGTTACTACACAATAAACAACAAAAGCAGAAAAAAAACAATAATCTTCAGGGAAAAATATAAAAATACAGAACTATTACAATATGTTAACTAGAATGACCAGTTTTCACAAAAAATTGTGAGATATGCAAAGAAACAGGAAAGTGTGACATATACTCAAGGAAAAAAGTAGTCAGTAGAAACTGTCTCTAATATCCCTGATATTAAAGACTTGAAAGAAGTTGTTATTAATGTAAAAAAAAGGAAACCATTTTTTAGAATGGCAAAGTATGTCAACAATAAATAGAGATAATCAAGAGGCAGCTGAATTTTTTTTTAAATTTAGAGTTGAAAATTACAATAACTGAAATAAAAATTCCCCAGAAATCACAATAGCATACTTGAGATGACAGAATAAAAATAATCAGTGAAATTAAAGAAAATATTCAATCTGAAGAGCCAAGATTAAAGACAAATGAACCCAAGCATCAGGGACCTGTGGGACATCAAACATAGCAAACTATGTGGGAGTCCCAGAAGAAGAGAAAAAAAGGCAGGGATAGAAAATATTTTGAAGAAATAACAGCTAAAACGTTCCAAATTTGATGAAAAATTAATTTGTGTATTAAAGAAGCTCAATGAGACACAAATACAAAGAGATTCACACCGGGACATGTCATAGTAAAACTCTGGAAAGCCAAAGACAGAAAACTCTAAACACAAAGAAAAGCAAAACATCTCATACTGCAGAGGATCGGTACAATTAATGGCTGACTTTTTTTTTTTTTAATTATACTTTAAGTTTTAGGGTACATGTGCACAATGTGCAGGTTTGTTACATATGTACATGTGCCATGTTGGTGTGCTGCACCCATTAACTCGTCATTCAACACTAGGTATATCTTCTAATACTATCCCTCCCCCATCCCCCAACCCCACAACAGGCCCCGGTGTGTGATGTTCCCCTTCCTGTGTCCATGTGTTCTCATTGTTCAATTCCCACCTATGAGTGAGAAGATGTGGTGTTTGGTTTTTTGTCCTTGAGATAGTTTGCTGAGAATGATGGTTTCCAGCTTCATCCATATCCCTACAAAGGACATGAACTCATCATTTTCTATGGCTGCATAGTATTCCATGGTGTATGTGCCACATTTTCTTAATCCAATCTATCATTGTTGGACATTTGGGTTGGTTCCAAGTCTTTGCTATTGTGAATAGTGCCGCGATAAACATACGTGTGCATGTGTCTTTATAGCAGCATGATTTATAATCCTCTGGTTATAAAGGATATAAAGGATTTATAATCCTTTATAGCAGCATGATTTATAATCCAGTAATAGGATGGCTGGGTCAAATGGTATTTCTAGTTCTAGATCTCTGAGGAATCACCACACTGACTTCCACAATGGTTGAACTAGTTTATGTTCCCACCAACAGTGTAAAAGTGTTCCTATTTCTCCACATCCTCTCCAGCACCTGTTGTTTCCTGACTTTTTAATGATCGCCATTCTAACTGGTGTGAGAGGTTATCTCATTGTGGTTTTCATTTGCATTTCTCTGATGGCCAGTGATGATGAGCATTTTTTCACGTGTCTGTTGGCTGCATAAATGTCTTCTTTTGAGAAGTGTATCCTTTGCCCACTTTTTGATGGGGTTGTTTGTTTTTTTCTTGTAAAGTTGTTTGAGTTCATTGTAGATTCTGGATATTAGCCCTCTGTCAGATGAGTAGATTGCAAAAATTTTCTCCCATTCTGTAGGTTGCCTGTTCACTCCAATGGTAGTTTTTTTTGCTATGCAGAAGCTCTTTAGTTTAATTAGATCCCATTTGTCAATGTTGGCTTTTGTTGCCATTGCTTTTGGTGTTTTAGACATGAAGTCCTTGCCCATGCCTATGTCCTGAATGGTATTGCCTATGTTTTCTTCTAGGGTTTTTATGGTTTTAGGTCTAACATTTAAGTCTTTAATTCATCTTGAATTAATTTTTGTATAAGGTGTAACGAAGGGATCCAGTTTCAGCTTTCTCCATATGGCTAGCCAGTTTTACCAGCACCATTTATTAAATAGGGAATCCTTTCCCTATTGCTTGTTTTTGTCAGGTTTGTCAAAGATCAGATAGTTGTAGATACGTGGCCTTACTTCTGAGGGCTCTGTTCTGTTCCATTGGTCTATATCTCTGTTTTGGTACCAGTACCATGCTGTTTTGGTACCAGGACCATGCTGTTTTGGTTACTGTAGCCTTGTAGTATAGTTTGAAGTCAGGTAGTGTGATGCCTCCAGCTTTGTTCTTTTGGCTTAGGATTGACTTGGCGATGTGGGCTCTTTTTTGATTCCATATGAACTTTAAAGTAGTTTTTTCCAATTCTGTGAAGAAAGTCATTGGTAGATTGATGGGGATGGCATTGAATCTATAAATTACCTTGGGCAGTATGGCCATTTTCACGATATTGATTCTTCCTACCCATGAGCATGGAGTGTTCTTCTATTTCTTTGTATCCTCTTTTATTTCATTGAGCAGTGGTTTGTAGTTCTCCTTGAAGAGGTCCTTCACATCCCTTGTAAGTTGGATTCCTAGGTATTTTATTCTCTTTGAAGCAATTGTGAATGGGAGTTCACTCATGATTTGGCTGTTTGTCTGTTATTGGTGTATAAGAATGCTTGTGATTTTTGCACATTGATTTTGTATCCTGAGACTTTGCTGAAGTTGCTTATCAGCATAAGGAGATTTTGGGCTAAGACGATGGGGTTTTCTAGATATACAATCATGCCATTTACAAACAGGGACAATTTGACTTCCTCTTTTCCTAATTGAATACCCTTTATTTCCTTCTCCTGCCTGGTTGCCCTGGCCAGAACTTCCAACACTATGTTGAATAGGAGTGGTGAGAGAGGGCATCCCTGTCTTGTGCCAGTTTTCAAAGGGAATGCTTCCAGTTTTTGTCCATTCAGTATGATATTGGCTGTGCATTTGTCATAGATAGCTCTTATTATTTTGAGATATGTCCCATCATTACCTAATTTATTGAGTTTTTAGCATGAAGGGTTGTTGAATTTTGTCAAAGGCCTTTTCTGCATCTATTGAGATAATCATGTGGTTTTTGTCTTTGGTTCTGTTTATATGTTGGATTACGTTTATTGATTTGCGTATGTTGAACCAGCCTTGCATCCCAGGGATGAAGCCCACTTGATCATGGTGGATAAGCTTTTTGATGTGCTGCTGGATTTGGTTTGCCAGTATTTTATTGAGGATTTTTGCATCGATGTTCATCAGGGATATTGGTCTAAAATTCTCTTTTTTTGTTGTGTCTCTGCCAGGCTTTGGTATCAGGATGATGCTGGCCTCATAAAGTGAATTAGGGAGGATTCCCTCTTTTTCTATTGATTGGAATAGTTTCAGAAGGAATGGTACCAGCTCCTTCTTGTACCGCTGGTAGAATTCGGCTGTCAATCTGTCTGGTCCTGGACTTTTTTTGGTTGGTAAGCTATTAATTATTGCCTCAATTTCAGAGCCTGTTATTGGTCTATTCAGAGATTCAACTTCTTCCTGGTTTGGTCTTGGGAGGGTGTATGTGTCGAGGAATTTATCCATTTCTTCTAAATCTTCTAGTTTATTTGCGCAGAGGTGTTTATAGTATTCTCTGATGGTAGTTTGTATTTCTGTGGGATCGGTGGTGATATCTCCTTTATCATTTTTTATTGCATCTATTTGATTCTTCTCTCTTTTCTTCTTTATTAGTCTTGCTAGCGGTCTATCAATTTTGTTGATCTTTAAGAAAAAACAGCTCCTGGATTCATTGATTTTTTGAAGGGTTTTTTGTGTCTCTATCTCCTTCAGTTCTGCTCTGATCTTAGTTATTTCTTGCCTTCCGCTAGCTTTTGAATGTGTTTGCTCTTGCTTCTCTAGTTCTTTTAATTGGGATGTTAAGGTGTCAATTTTAGATCTTTCCTGCTTTCTCTTGTGGGCATTTAGTGCTATAAATTTCCCTCTACACACTGCTTTAAATGTGTCCCAGAGATTCTGGTATGTTGTGTCTTTTTTCTCGTTGGTTTCAAAGAACATCTTTATTTCTGCCTTCATTTCGTTATGTACCCAGTAGTCATTCAGGAGCAGGTTGTTCAGTTTCCATGTAGTTGAGCTGTTTTGAGTGAGTTTCTTAATCCTGAGTTTAGTTTGATTGCACTGTGGTCTAAGAAACAGTTTGTAATAATTTCTGTCCTTTTACATTTGCTGAGGAGTGCTTTACTTCCAACTATGTGGTCAATTTTGGAATAAGTGCGATGTGGTGCTGAGAAGAATGTATATTCTGTTGATTTGGGATGGAGAGTTCTGTAGATGTCTATTAGGTCTGCTTGGTGCAGAGCTGAGTTTAATTCCTGGATATCCTTGTTAACTTTCTGTCTCATTGCTCTGTCTAATGTTAACAGTGGGGTGTTAAAGTCTCCCATTATTATTGTGTGGGAGTCTAAATCTCTTTGTAGGTCTCTAAGGACTTGCTTTATGAATCTGGGTGCTCCTGTATTGGGTGCACATATATTTAGGATAGTTAGCTCTTCTTGTTGAATTGATCCCTTTACCATTATGTAATGGCCTTGTTTGTCTCTTTTGATCTTTGTTGGTTTAAAATCTGTTTTATCAGAGCCTAGGATTGCAACCCCTGAAGGGCTCACTTCTTATCAGAAGCAATGAGGGCTAGAAGGCTGTGGAATGACATAATGAAAATGCAGAGGGCAATAAAAAAATCTGTTAAACTAGAAAAATTTATATCCAGCAAAAGTATCCCACAAAACAATAACAGCAAAATTCTACAGATAAATACTGAGAGAATTTGCTGCTAGTAGACCAGCCTTAAAACAAACACTACAGAGAGGCCTTCAGGATAAAATGAACTGACATGACAGTAACTTGAATCTATTGGGTGAACTGAAATACCTGAGCAACCAACTCAACCTAACTGACATTTAGAGAGCACATCACCTAATGTGTGGAGAATATACCTTCTCTTCAAACATGGAGCATTCTCCAGGAGATAACATATGCTCTGCCATAAATGCTTACATCAGAAAGGTGGTTTACACTCAATAATCTAAGTTCTTGCTGTAAGAAACAGAAAAAGGGCAAATTAAACCCAGCACAAGTAGAATGCAGGAAACAAGAAAGAAAGCAATGAAATAAAAGGCAAATAATACAGAAAATATAATAAAAAATGGTTGTTTTAAAATAAGATTAATAAATAATATTTATATCATTTGAAAACCGATTAAGACAAAAGGAGAGAAAAATCAGTACCTGTATCAGTAATAGAGGGCATGCCACTAGGCATCCTATATATACCAATAAAATAAAAAACGAATATGCACAATTTTATGCTAACAATATCAACAATTTCAATAAAATAGACAATTTCCCTAAAAATATGAATATAACAGAACTGTTGCAAGATAAAACAGAAAATCTGACTTGTACTATATCAAAGAAACTGAATTATAAATTCTCAAAGAAAACTGCAGCCCAGGTGGCTTCGATGGTATATTTTGTCAACTATTAATGAAGAAATAATATTCACCTTACACAAACTATTTTTTTAAATAGAGGTGGTAGGAACACTTCTCAACTCATTGTATGAGGCTCTGGTACCAAATGCAGACAAACATATTATGAGAAAACTACAGAACAATATCCTTCCTGAGAAAACAAACAAAAAGATCCTTAAAATATTAGAAAATTAAACACAGCAATATATAAAAAGGTAATATTAATACATCACGACCAAGTTAGGTTATCTGAAGAAGAACAGGTTGCTTTAACATTTGAAAATCAAAAATGTACTTCACTGCAGTGACAGAATCAAGGAATAAAAAACATATAATCATTTCCAATCACACAGAAAAGACCTGCAATACAATTCAAACCGATTCATAATAAAAGTCCTCAAAAAATCAGGAATATATGGGAACATTCTCAATCTGATAAATGGGCACTACAAAAAACCTACAGTTAACATGATTTCTTAGAGTAAAATACTGAACTGGGTAATTTGCTACTAGTAGACTTGCCTTACAACAAACACTATAGAGAGTCCTTCAAGATAAAAGGAACTGACATGTCAGTGACTTGAATCTATCGGGTGAACTGAATAGCATGATAAACTCAACCAGAGATTGGAAACAGGAAAAAATGTCTGCCCATCACTTTTGTTTAACAACTTATTTTGGAGTAAAATAAGTGGATGTAATAAGGCAAGAAACAGAAATAAAATGTGTGAAGACCTAAAAGGCAAAAGTGAAACTCATTCTAGATGATATGGTTTTGTTTCTAGAAATACTGAGAAACTTACAAAAGAATTATTTGAACTCATAAGTGAATTTAGGAAAATCACAAGGCATTTAAGGTCAATATAAACATCAACTCTATTTTTATATACTAGAAGTAAAGATTGATACAAGATAATTCCACTTGAAATAACATAAAAATTTAAAATACTTAGCAAATAATTTAACAAAAGATGTGCAAGATCTCTTTCCTGAAATCTACAATACACTGTTCAGATATCCACATTCATGTATTAAAAGGCTCAATATTATTTGGATATCAACCATTCTTAAATTCAACTTCAGATTTAATGGAATCCCAATCAAACTCCCAGCAGGCTGTTTTATAGAACTTGACAGATTTTAATATTTACATGGAAAATTAGAAGATCTTGGATAGCCAGAAGAATCTGGTGGGAAAAAATAGAGTGGATGGACTTACACTATCTAATCTCAAGATTTACTATAAAGCTACGGTAATCAAGGCAGTATGGTAATGGAGTAAGGATAGACCAATTGACCAATGGAACAAGACTGAGTCTAGAAACAGATTTCACACATATACAGTGAACTGATTTTCAACAAAGCTGTCAAAGCAATTCAATGGGGGAAAAGAAAGTCTTTTTAACAGATGGCACAAGGACAACCAGATAAATGTATAGAAAATGAATCTCAACTTTTTGTCTTTTACCACATGCAAAAATCCACTCAAACTGGATTAAACCTAACAGCTAAAGTTATATAGTTTCTAGAAGAAAACATAAGAAAATAATTGCTACTTTGAAATAGGAAAAGATTTCTTTGTGCTAAAAACCACTACATTTTGAAAAAAATGATAAATTTGTCACCAAAATTAAAAACCACTTCTCAAAAAAGACATCATTTAGGAAATAAAAGGGATATGTACCAGACTGTGAGAAAATATTAGTATGTATATATGACAAATGACTCACACCCAGAATATATAAACAATCCTACCAATCAATAAAAAAAGACAAATGACCCAATTAAAAATGAGTCATGATTGTTCCTAACGTGAATATCTGGATGTTTCAGTTGAAGGTGCTGTATTTACTTGCTCCTCTCATTCCTCTCCGTGGGAGCCATGCACCCTAGCTGCTTGTCGTAGGCCATCTTCGGATATGAGAAGATACTGACTTGACTCTGGACAGGGAAGCTAACCAGACTGAACTGTTATCCTTTGGGGATACAGTATAAATGCTTTTTTCGAATAGAGAATAGCCTCACCACTTTGCAAACACATTATTACTGTTTGAAGTTTAAATGGGATATAGTTATTCATTCAAAAATTAATTTTTAAATACCTCTGTGCCTGGATATACTATTTGATTTGGTGTATCTTGAATTACGCTAATAACTATTCCTGATATGAGCATGGTTAACCTTATTCAAGTTGTATAAAATAACTTCTATTATTTTATAACATAGAATGGTTATTTTTTAAAAATGAGTCAAAGATTTGAACATATACCTCAGAAGAAGATATATAAACAGCAAATAAGAACAAAAAGATGCCCAATTTCAGTACTCTTCAGAGAGAAGCAAATTAAAGCCTCAGTGAAACATCACTTCATACTCACTAGAAGACCAACAACACCAAATAATATAAAATATCTGAATCTCACATATATTGCTGATGGGAGGGCAAAATGGTACAACCAGTTTCAGAAATTGACAGTTTATAAAATTAAACATCTAGCTACCCTTGGAGCTAGAAATTCCACTCAGAGGTATTTAATTAACAAGTGAAAAAATATAGAGACTCTCTAAAAATGTTCATAACAGCTTAATTCATGAGAGCAAATACTGGAAACAACCTAAATGTCCATCAAAAAGATAACGTGTAAACAATGTGTGGTGTGTTCATAAAACAGAACAGCACAGTATTCACCAATAAAAACAAAACAAATTATGGATAAGAATGAACTACTGATACACACCATAATAAATCTTCAAAACCTTATGCTGAGTGGCAGGACCCAATGTAAAAGGTACCTATGATTCCATTTCAATGAAGTTCTAAAGCAAACAACTATCAACGGTGAGAGAAATCAGGAGTGGTGCTTTTATAGGATGGAGAATGACAGGTGAAGAGCACATGGGTAGATCTCTGGCTTTATTAGGGTGTGGTTACACAAATGAATACATTGTCAAAACTCAAGTTGTACACTTAAGATGCATTTCATTGTATATAAATCTTATCTCATAAAAAGATTATAAGACTGTAAACTAAGCTTCCATTTTTTTACTTTAATATTTTAGACATCAGTTTTGCATTGCTCCCTAATTAAAAGTACAACCAACCATTTAGCAGCATGAGAGGAGACAAGCATCTGGATGTCCTGAATCAAGCCAAATGGTGACCGGCGTTATTTTCCATATGTTCCATTTTTATTTTAAAAACACTTATTTGTGATCATCGCATGATTATGTGTTCTTTAATGTAAACAAAACAGGCTATCATATTTAAGTCCTACAAAACCAGTGAGATAAGCAATAGCAATAAAAATAAATCTCATAATGACAAAGAGATTCCTCAAGAACTAGGCTTAAAAATCACTGCTGTGGGAAATCTGAAGTTCCCTCTAACTGACCTTACTTGGCTAAAGATGGACTTTGATCAATTACTGGAAATAAAGCCTGGGAATTTATTTCCATGTGTCAAATAACCTTTGGCAATATTTAAATAATTTCAGATGCCGCTGGGCTATGCAGAGTGTTTGGGAGAATCCTGGCCCACTTACTTGCCTCTTATGCTTGATTTAATACATCTGCCTTGTAGCTTGTCCACCTGCTTCCAGTCCCACCCTATCAACTCATTATATATACAGCTGCCAGAATAATTTTCTTAAAACACTGATTCCTCATGCCAACAGCCTGCTTTTTTTCTCTAATTATCACAAAATAGCTTTTTCAAGGCTCTTAGCAATTGCAAAATACATCACGAATGCCAATGAATGATCTTTCTACATAAAAGTACTATATTTCAGTTTACATTTATAATTGTCTTATCAACATTCAAAGTAGGTACTGTGATAACCGCATATTAACTAGATGCTTCCTGGCAAGGCACTGTCCATGGTGCTCAGAACCCATAGATGAATACAACAGAGTCCTGGTTCTTTCTTTATTAGTTAACAATGAATTTGGGAAACAACATAAAGACATTAGACACAGAGAAGGAATAACGTAAAAGATCTATGATTAAAGGTTAATAGTCAAGCAGTAATTTCCCTAGAAGTTCATTCAGAATGGCTTCCAGTAGGAGGTAGATTTTAAACCAAAACCTTAAAAGTTCACAGGTTTTGATGAGTTGTGGACAAAGAGAATAACTCTCCAGGAGAGAGAAGATAATACGGGCTTCATTTGGGGGAATGTGTAAAAACAGGATACAAGGAAGAAATCAATGGGCTAGTAGGATGACCCCAAATTTGTAGGTAGGTTTCTGGCAAATCAGGCCCTTGAGTTCAGACTTTATCCCACAGGTGGTGAGAGTAGTTTGATGTTTCTGGGCTGAGAAGAAAGCATGAAAATTGTCTTCCAAATACAAATCTATTTTCTTTGTACAGAGGATTCCTATAGGAAGCAAGACAAGCCACAGGAGCAGGGAAGAGTAATACCAGCATGAGAAAAGTGGGTAATGTATGAGGAATCAGTCAGTACTGGAGGCAGAACACCATGGTTTCATAACACTGGGGTCAAATGGCTTTCAGAGTTATAATCGTATATCTCTTAAATGTTCCATTTCTGTGTTTTTTCCCCCTCAACAGACATGAAGTCCTTGGAGGCAGAGCCCACTTATTATTAATTGTTGTAATTGTATCAATTATTGTTTAATTATGTTGTAATAATATTAATTCCTGGCATATAGTAAGTACTCACATTTTATTTTGTCTTAAAGAACACATTAAGACCAAGAGGTACTTCAAAAACACCGGTCAAAGGATTTCTATTATTTCAAATTTACAGCCCACGACTTTCAGTAGATCTACATAGATTGTGACTAGATGCATCCGTGGGTGAGGTCCTCAATTCAAAGGCCACAGCTTTGTTATCAAAAATGTTACATTTGCTAAAGAGGCACATTTTAAAATGTAGGCATCCCTTCGCAATAGGTACTAGGGTTCTTAGAAATTCTTAAAAACCGTGGGCTCTGATGGGGTTGCTATGATCAGGGCTGGCCCTGTTTTCCTCTAATTCCTCCTCAGCACTCTCTTCTCTCATCTTGCTACCTCCCTCTTTGAAGCAGTAACATCTTATTATGAGTCACAGGCCTTAATATGCATAAATAATCATAGTAAACCACCAATAAGTAATTAAATGAATAAATGACAATGAATCTTTGCAAGATATGGAAAACTGCTATTCTGCAATGATAATTTTTAATTAGCATGAACATTAAATATTTATTATTTCTAGCCGTACAGTCATAGAAGAGGTTCCAGCACCAAAAGACCATTTGTACCTAGACTAGTTTTCTGTTTCTCCTTCTTCCCTTTATGACCACATGAGTTTTGTAATATGCTATTCTCTTTGCTATATGTCCTTTTTCTACGTAAATTCGACTCATCTTTCAAATCCCAATTTAAGCTGTAATATTTTCTCGTCATTAAACTCCATAGTGCACTTAATTTCTCTGAATTTTTAGCACCTATTTTAATTAAATTTGAGCTGCCTCGAGATATCTTTTGTGTTAAAGTATTATTTTCACCCCAATTCAACGCTTTTACTGTACTTTTACTATGAGTATTGCACAGAATAAGGTGCTGAGTGGGAGGGGTAGGGTGAAAATGAGAAAGACATAATCACTTGCTTTAAGAACTCAGTATGTCAGCAAGAAAAACAGGACAAAATAAAGGCGGTATAATTAATGATATAAGTTAAGAAAAATAGAAACAAAATATAATGGGGTTTGAGAAGTCACACTAAGTTGGTAGCGACAGTAAATAATTCCTTCCTGTTAAAAGATTATTTTCCACATTTCCTATCTCTAGCTTCAATACATGACCATCTCACCACAGTGATTGGTCTAAGGGTTGGACATGTGACCTCAGCCAAGCCAATCAGAGTCCTTCTCTCAGAATTTCTTTCAAACTCTAGCTGAAGGAGACGGTCTCTTTCTTTCTGGCTAAAAGTTGTAAAACTGTAAGCTTGAAGTAACCTGTAGCTACATCGACTACTGCCAAAGTTAGAAGAGCTGATCTGACAGAACTTGGTATGTATGCAGGGAGAAGTAAAAATAGTCCAGATCATGTTCAAGTTCCTGATCATAGCTGTTTCAAAGGCCAGATCCACCCCTGGTCTGTGTTTAAACAATTCAATTACTTGAGTTAACAGTGGCTCCAGATCTTGCTTAAATGTGTTTGTTGGGCTTCTGTCACCTGCAACCAAAATGTCTAGGCTAATTTGGGAAAATCAGAAATATTAAATGGAGAACACAGCATTTGAGATTGGCTTTGAAGGATGGATAAGAATCTGAAAAGTGAAGAGGTTACAAAAGAACTCACCAACGAAGACAGAGGGGAGGGAAAGGGCAGGACGGTAGCCAGAAGGAATGAATTTAGACATCTGGTAGGGAATGAAACTAAAGAGGAAGACTGTAGTGTTCTTAAAGAATCTTGAAATTTAGCCTGCAAATATTTTTCTTTTTTGTTTAAGGTAAGCTAAATAATGTGGTAAGCTAAATAATGGCCCCCTGAAAGATGTGCACAGCCCATCTCTGGAAGCTGCGAATGTTACCTTATATGGCAAAGGGGACTGACTCTGCAGATGTGATTAAGCTAAGGATCTTGAAATGGGGAGACTATTTTGGATTATCTGGGAGGATCCAATATAATCACAAGGGTCCTTATAAGAGGGAGGCATAAGGATCAGCATAAGAGGAGGAAATATAACCACAAAAGCAGAATCAGAGAAGGAAATGTGGCAGTGGAAGCAGAGGTCACAGAGAGAGAGAGAGATGGGAGGGATGTCATGCTACTGGCACTGAAGATGGAGGAAGGGGCCATTAGCCAAGAAATGCACCTAGAGTCTAGAAGATGCAAAAGGCAAGGAGACAGGTTCTCTTCTAATACCTCCAGAGAGAATGCAGACTTGTCAATACTTTGACTTCAGACCAGTGAAACTGAATTCGGACTTCTGACCTCCAGAACTCAAGACAATAACTTTGTGCTAGCTTGTTATAGAAGCAATAGAAAACGAATACGAATGGTTTTGTTCATTAATTTGCTTTTTAACTTTTCAGATGTCAATGTTAGTAACTATACGGTAAGCTCCTGAATGTCAATCCCATGTCTCATACTTCTGTGTGTCTTTACACAGAGACTGTGCAGTTAGATCCATTAAATCTTGTCTAATTTACTGCAGTAAATATTAGAACTATATCATTTTATATCTGGATCTTGAGTTCCTTTTTTTCTTAAAGAATGATTCAGTATTATCATTAATATCACAAAGTATTCCTTTATTTTCTTTCACCTCCCGCGCTTTTTGGGGAGTTTTTTACAATCAAGTCACAGTACAGGCTGGAGTTCAGCTTTAGATACATTTTTGATCTGATTTTAATATTGTTTCAATTTATGTCAATTTACACACTACATGGCTGGGAGATTAGTTTCCTGGCTCATTCTACCCTACAGATTCTGCAGTAAGCACCCTCTAGCATATGCTAATAGTGTAAATGTTATGGAAGAAAAGTTATGCCAGAAGCAGACTCTACATTTTACTTTTTATCTTGTACATGTCATTTTGATTAGACAATGGTATTATGTTGTGAAAATATTTAAAAAACACATATCCTTTATATAATGTTTTTTTACAACTAAAATGGAAAATTAAATGTTTACATAAACTATAACTGCATTAATAAAAAAGGGCTAGATTCTGTTTTGCTTCTGATTTTCTTACAGAATAAAGACTCATTTTTACATTTTACTTTTGAACTTTTGAAAATGTCTGGTTATATGTTAAGAGCATTTATTTTTCTTTGATTTTATGAAGCAGGGAATTTTATAGCGCTATTGCCTTAACAGCTTTCAAATACAGATTGAAATATCTGTTGGACATATGAGCACATCCAGATATAAATATATTCAACCTCCTTGGGCAAAAAATCTCCAGAACACCGAGTTTACTGGCTGCACAACAAAATGACCTATTTAGGAAAAAGGTCAGCTGGTTATGAAAAAATTAAAAAGATAAGCAAAACAACTTCAGGAGGGAGGTAGAGGAACATCATTTTACTTACAGGAGAGAAATTACCAAAATCACACATCCACCAAATGGAAAGTAAGCTCTTCTGAAATGTTAGGGATATATGAGTTTTATTCCAGCTATTTAACCTTCAGAAAGCCACTCAAATTCTTCTATTATGTCAGAAAGGACTGATTAAAAAGAAAACCATTACATCTGAATTCAGCCAGGCACTAAATTAAGCTGACAGTTATCTGTTCAAATTGGGATTGGATAGATAGACTGAAGGATTCTGGGTCCAAAACTCTCCTCTGATTGAATGGGTTGGTCAGTCCAATCTGAAATGAATGGAGCAGCTACTAACTACCTTGTTGTCCCTCTCAGAAATCTCTAACTTAACAGGCATCACATACTATCCCAGTGCTCTCTTTAATTACCATCTTATTTAAGAGATGCCCAGAAAGTATTATTTAATCTCACTATTCACAGGCATTGAATAAATGGTCTGAAATAAAGGCAATAGTCAACTGCTTCCAATGACCATCTAAAATTCTATTCCTAAAAAATCATTTCATTTCTTTTTTTAAAAAATAACTCACAGCCAGTTCTAGTCTATCAGTAACTCTTGTATTTCAATAATTTCTGTTAAAATTTATAAGGACTGAATATTCTTCTCCTCCCCTCCCTCTTCTCTTTCTGGCACATGCTCACTTTACTAAATAATTCTACTTCTACTCTAAATCATCAAAACAACAATTAGCATTAATCTATCTGTTATGTGCCAGGCAGAGTGCTAAATGCCTTCAATACATTATCTCACTAGCCCTCATAAAACCTTAGAAGTCTAACACTATTATAAGCCCCATTTCAAAGATGAGGAAACCAAGGCTTAAAGAGGTTAAGGAAGAAGTCACCCTGCTACAAAGTGGCAGAGCCCTGATACTGGACCTAGCACTTTCTGATCCAGAGCCAAGACCCAAGCAATCTTTGCTCTACTGTTGACATACTGAAAGCTTGTATAACCCATGTTCCCTCAGCTGCCAAGCCAGACTGAGCAAGGGAAAGTGATGGACAGTTCTGTCCATGCATTAATGTTCCTGGAATGAATAAAAAAAATAGTCAGTATGATTCTTGATCATCTTGGGTACCTGCTATGAAAATGAAGCTTTTGTGTCTTCCTTGTGGGCCATTACATTTTCCTGCTGCAATTACAGGTTCTAATAATATAAAATACTCTGGGATCTCAGCAGCTGTGAAAGCTGGACCATGCAGCTCCTGTTGTCCCTGGTGGGAGTGACATCACAGCGGCTGCAAAATGCCACAGGTGACATTCACCTAGGACTCTGCTGAGACTATAGCTACCTTGAGACAGATAGAGTAGCACTGGTGGTCTCGGCTCCATGAACTTCATGATGGGCTCCCAAATGGTTGTTGCCTTCATTTCCTCTCTCAAATAATTTTTAGCAGGTTTTCTAGGAGCTTTGGTAGGAGGATGTGGCAGTGAATCCACCTGGGGCTATATCAAGAAGCACCCTGTGCCATCATGTTCTAGCATCCAGAGACCAAGCTGGACTCTACCCTCTGCAACCTCAGAGAGGATTTTCTGTCTTCCCAGGCCACATATGAACAGAAAACCTTTCCCTCTTATTATGAATCTTATTCTCAAGGGTTGGACCACTTTGCCACGTGCTCCTCTATAGATCCAATACAATGTCTCTCATCCATTTCCATTTTAGTTCCGAGGTACCTGGGTAGTTGGGAAGATCAGCTTAGGTTCCACATTTCACTATCCTCCCAGAACACTGAATGAATTGCTGAATTTCTGGAGTGGGTAGGGAAACCCAGATCAGATTTAACACAGCTACTAGAAAATGTACATCCCAGTGAATGCTGTCTTACTTTTTTTCCCAAGAATACCGGCCAATCATCACGGAAATGCAAATCAAAACTACAAGGAGATATCACCTCACAACTCTTAGGATGGCTATTATCAAAAAGACAAAAGGTAGTGCTGATGAAGGTGTGGAGAAAACAGAAGCTGTATACTGTTGGTGGGAATGTAAATTGACACAGCCACCATGGAATCTTCTCTTAGAATCATTTTCTAAAATGAATTGAATCAATGAGTGAATATGCTCCTTAAATGAATAGTGAAAATCCTTATGCTTTGTGGGTAAAGTTGACTTCTATGAATTACAATGAGATAACATGCTGGCTCCACATGATCCAGCTTCCACGAGTTCCTTGATCTTATTTCTTATCATAGCTGATGCTCCATAGGCACACACAGGTACAGCTTCCTGGATGTTTGTAGATGGCATTTATTCTGGTTGGATGGTGTCTGCCACACAGGGGCATTACATTTTTTTGAAAATCACCTTTGTCTCCATCTACTTTCCAGTACAATGACCTTGCTCTTCCTTGAACACCCCAGTCATGCTCTGCCACAGGGCCTTTGCACTTGATGTTTCTTTGGGTGGAAATGTTTGTCCTCCATATATCTGGTTGGTTCTGCCCTTTACTGTTAGCATCTCTGTTCAAACAATATCTCATCAGACAGACCTTTTATGACCACCCGTTAACTGGGAGACAGAAACTGCCCATTATTCTTTCTCTTTACCTTGCTTCGTTTTTCTTCACAGTAGTTATCACCACCTTCCACAAACTTTACAAATATTTTAATTGATTTTGTATATTTACATTATGGTCCCCCCATCAGAATGTGAGCACCATGAAAGTAGGGGCTATGTGTATGTTTATTTGATAATGTAATTATGTAAACATAGTTATTTAACATAGTTAAATTCTACATCTTCACGGCTTAGAAGAGTGTCTTGCATGTAGAAGTCCCTCAGTAAATACTTGTATGATTCTTGCGAGTTTCATGGAAAATGGGTGTCTGTGAAGTAAGAAGGCATGCCTACTTTTATGGCTTACAACTTACTTGTGATAGTAATCCTTGAAAAACACTTTTTAAAATGTTTATGATAAATACGGCCTCCTAAGATGTCAACCTTGACAGACAGTTGGAAATAAACATTCTGGTTTAACATAAACAGAATACAAATGTTTCCTAACTGTATCATCATGTTACATGTCCTTCCCTCTTCTATTGAGTGGGCAACAAAGATACCGCCAGCAGATGAGCCTTTGTTTAATGCACGCCAGCTGGTTGAGCCATGCCTGATGTGTCCTTCTTCACTAGCTGAGTCCTCAGCATCTCCTAGATAAGGAGAAAATGGAGCTACTAATTATAATGGTAATTAGTCCTAGTTAATGTTTAATGAAAGCTCATTGTGCCAAGCATGTGTTAAACACTCTACAAGCTTGACCCTCAGATGAATCCCAGGATATTTCCAATTTTAGAAATAAGGAAATTGATGACTGGATAAATTAAGTAACTTGTTTAAGGTCACTGAGTCAGAAAATGGCACACAGCAAGGTCTCAAACCCACTGCTTCCAACTCTACAGTCTGAATTTTCAACCTCTACTATTCAGAAGTCCCTGTATCATGTGTTGTATGTGGCTACATAATGGATTCTATTACACAATTCAGGATGAAGATCAGATCCCTTCTATCCAAGGGTTCACACTCTGTCTGCCTTATCCCAAACTCAATGATGTTTTTTAAAAAAATCAATCTAATAGTCTCATCTGTAGGCCTAAGGAAGATGTCTTTTATGCCTATTTTACCCTACTCATACCTTCCAGTTTGAATAAGGAACAGTGGGGAAGGTATTTCTAAATCCTGGAGCTATTCCTCACAAACTTTGTTGTATTCCTTGTTCTACTATCCACATAATAAATAGTTTACATGTATGAATACACTGTAGTTTCAAAGCTGCTTTCCCCTCCATTATCATGATAAACTCTGTTACAGGAAGGACAGGTGGTATTTTTACTATTTTTCAGGCAATCGAGTAGATGCACTCACAAAGTTAGGAAGAAAGAGCTAGAGCCCACATTTTCCCTCCATAAAATAAACTGCCCAAATAACACTGTTGGGGAGTTTCAGAGAAATGGAATAATGCAATACTGCAGCTCAAAGAGGCCCCAGAGAACCTGTTTGTCAACCACCTCATTCTACAGATGAGAAAAATGAGAGTCCCAGAGAGAATGCCCATGGTCACAGAGCTACTGTATAAACCAGAAGTAGAAGCCAAGATGTTTCAGTCCATTTCATGCCCTCTTCCCCTCATGTTATCTCAAGGACAAGAACGTCACACCTCATGCACACATGACACTATTGGAAAACAAGAACGCTCTCTAGTGAAAATGCTCCAATTGCTCCCTTCTAAATGGCTGTGACACAAGCCTGATGGTACATGATTTAAATGGAACACAAAATGAAACTGCCCATAAAAATAATGTTATAGAGAGTGGCAAGGTTCCTAACTTGTCCCCAAAGTCATAATGCAGCCAGACCATAGTACAAACAGTATTCGATTTCTCATTGCTCCTGCCAGAAAGGCATGGGAATTTAAAACTTCACTGCTGTTCTCTAGTTTCACGGAAATCTCATCTCTCTTCTTCCCTCAGTGGCTCCTTCCCTGGAGGGGAGGAAGACATCCTTCTCCTCCCACTCTCTGCCTTTTCTCCTGGCACTACGGTAGAACTTGGGGAGCAACATCCATGGATTGCGGCTGGTTGGGAGCTCTGGTCTCCAGGGGTGGGAACTCTAGGGCTGCATCTCTATAACCATCCCCGTGGGGATCCTGCTGTCCTCTAGGTGAGGCCCTGTCAAGCTGGGGTAAAGTAACAGGGTAGCCTCAGGCATAAAGTGGTTGGTATATTGACAGATGGTTACATCTACTGGCAGCAACAGGGACAGGGACATGAGAGGGATGAGATGTGTAACCTAAAGTGGGCCCTGCTGTCCCAGGCCCTGCAGGAATGTCCAGGACTCAGGTCACGAGGAAGACACTTCATGCCATGACCTCCTCTTCACTGTTTCTTAGGTATTTAAAAATTCAGCAAGTATTTACTGAGCACCTATTTTGTGTATTAAATGCTAATAATACTGTACCACAATATTGGCTTATAAGGCAGTTTAAGTCTTACATATTTGGAAAAGTTTTAAGCAAACAGCAATGCTTTGCTTTTATATAGGGTTCACTGTATGTTTACTTCAGCAGAATTGAATCCACATAACTGCATAAGATATAAAACATAGAGTTGCATTTCTTTTCAACAGATGAGAAAACGGAGACTCAGGGTTCTAGAACCTGCCCCAGGTTACACAGCTCATAAACACTGGGCAGTGCATAATCTAGATTATGGTGCTAGGATTCTAACATGCTCTGGTATCAAATGAAACTCATGTCCTTGAAATCTGCACTGCCATCCCCCTTGCAGGTGCAGGTGCTAGCAGAGAGAAAATTTACACACCCATTTTGAGGTCCGTGGAGTGTTAAGAGGGGACTCCCTGTGCTTACCCACCCACTGGAGCAGTCTCCACAGCATGGGTCTGCCTTGATCCTACTTGTGATATCAGCAAAAGTGAAATCCATCTTTTCCCTTGACATAGTTAAGACTAATTTTCCAAAAGAAAAATGGTAAGGGAAAACAAAACAATTAAATAGTAAGCACAAGGGACAGAGAATGAGTTTCAAATATTTAAAAAAATCTCAGCAAAAGAACCAAAGCATTTAGCTGAGCCCCATATTTCCTCTTCTTCAGATAAGCACACTGGCTACATTCAGGAAACCAGGCTCCTTGCCTTCCTCCACCTGCTGACACTCAAGACTGTCTCACTGTCCTGGAGAGGCTGGACTGCCTCAGTTTCTAGACCTTTTCAAATTCCAAACTTAATCACAAAACTCATTTCTGTTTCAAAACTCCTGGATGTCTGGGCCTTCTCCCTCATTCCATTTTACTCTGAGATCTGCAAGCTTGAATTAACAAATAAATGATTAACACTTTCTAGATTCAAGTCATCATCCACCTATGCCCAGCCCCGTTCACTGACTCACTCAAAAGACCCATCTCCTGCAACCACCTCCAACTCCAAACATCTGCACCTCTAGGAGCACAAATGCTCTTTAGTCACTATAATGTGAGCTTTCAATAACCATTACAAGAACACAATAAGAATGATCAACTTACAGTGAAAGTTGGTTGGGTCATTCAATAATAGTTAACTACTTGGAATTAAATAGTCTTTTAATCATGCAAGAGATTTGTACCAAAATCCTTCCTAGAGAATAGTGGCTGCTCATTTTTATCCAGTGTGGTATTTCCCACATAGATGTGGGAACCACAGGCTCTTTGGAACTATGAGCAAAACTATGCAAATCTGAACTTAAGCAAACTATGCATTACGGTCTAAAAGATTAACAGGATCAGAAAAATGATATATGAACTTTTATGTAGGTTTAAAGCAACATTAAAGGAATTCTTTGAGTGAAAGAAATAATTTTTTACTATAAGAATTTAGCACATCTGACATTAAATGGTGAAAGTGCAAACTTTTTATTCTTTGAATGTCATTTTATTGAACTCTGTTGGCTACCTGTGGTTTCAAAAGAGTTGTCCTTTTTGGTAGGTAGCTTTTTGAAAAATCAGCTAGTTTCTGCTCTATTATTTAGAGATGTAACTTATTAACTTAATATTTTATAGTTTGGGCTGAATTCATGTAATTAAATCATCATTTTAAAAATCTGGTAAACAGCAGATCCCTTCTAGCTAAAAGCATATATGATCATATAGGTGGCATGATTTGAGAATAATGACCCATTTTGTGCTATAGTTTTTTTAAGAAGGAAGTTATTCAAGGAATTCTCATTTCCATAAAACTGTTATAACTCTATATTCTAGAGCTTTTAACAAATTCTGACCTATAATTTTTAAGTCCTTAGTATCTTTCAGGCATTGTTTTAGATGCCTAGGTGTAGCATTTCATTTCTTTCTCACCACTGCCTTGTGAGATAGGTATTATTGCTCCAATTTTTCAGTTGAGAAATGAGCCTAAGAAGACTAAGTATCTTACCCAAGTCTGGGAAAATCTTGGGATTCAAACCTGAATCTAACTTTCAACTTCTTCATTCTTAGGACACATTATAATGTTTGTTTTCTTTTATTAATTTATGTATTGCTGCATAACAAAACCAAATCAGTGGCTTAAAACAACAGTCATTCCTTTTAACCCTTGCACCTGCACCTTGGGCAGGTTTAGGTGGGAAGGCTGGTCTCCACACCACACGGCCACAGTCAGCTGGGGAAGCTCAACGGGGGTGAAGATCTACCTCCAAGATGGCTCATTCTCCTTGTTGGCCAGGTGGTGCTGGCTGTGGCCTCCTTTCCACAGGGTCCGTCCATGGGGCAGTGAGGTTCTAAAAATCAGTGTTTCAAAAGACAGAAAGTGGAAGTGGCCAATCTCTGAGTTCCTGGGCCCCAAATCTGGTACAGTGACACTTCTCCTATATTCTATTGGCCAAATCAGAGCCCAGATTCAAGGGGAGAAGTCATAGATCCCACCTCTTAATAAGAGAGCCCCAAATTTCTAGGGCCAGATTGCAAAACCCTAAATTTCCAGCATGTCAGTGATTTCACTAAATTGTGAAATCTCCCAATTTATGAATGCTCTTATCCTTTTTTGGGTAAAACCTCCAAATGGTAGCTTCTTAGAGGAGAGAGAGAGCTTTGGATCTTTCTTTTCCCTACATATTCTTATTGTTACTGAAATTGCTTCTGTAAATAGATTTAGACTTCTGAATTTTAAAACAAATGGGCTCGTAAAGGAATTTGTTATTTTCAAGTCTCCTTTTCAGTGTCGGTAGCAGATTATCTTTTTTTAAGCATTTGATAACTGTGGTTAACTTTCCTTATCACACAGTGCCTTCAGTAGTTTCTGAATTCCATTTTAATTAGAGTCTTCTAGAATATCATCAATCGAGTGTGATCTCTTCTGAAGCTACTCTTTGCTTAGCAACAAACTCACATGCAGGTTCCACCTCATGTAAGTAGATTTTTCAGTCTATTTAACAGTTTCAACACATTCTTCTCCCTTTAGAAAGCTGTGATTTTACCAGTTCTGTCATCTGGGCAAGGGAATTTCTCACCAGTTATTTCTTGGGAAAAATTTTCTTATTTTCCTCTGACTTGTCTTCTCTGCTTTGCCCAAATAAAACAAAACAAAAGCCTTCTCTTGGTTGTTTACACTGCTCCATTCCTCTACCCCAAGTGTCCACAGTCACATATATACTGCACACATAAGGATACAGACCAGCCCTCATTCCACAGCAGACATTACTAATCACTGCTGTTTTCCACTGAGCCTGAATATGGCCCCACAGCCTTCTCTCTAATGTATTCCAAAAGCACTGCTACTGATTCAGAAATTAGACTTACCCGACTTCCAGGATATGTCCTACTCTTTTGGGAACATTTCTTTTCCAACTATGACAATTAAGTATTTCTCATCTTTCAAATATTTTTCAAAATCCCTTGTTCTAACTGAATAACCCTTCCTGGCTTCTGCATCCATCCTCTGACACACTGGGAACCACAGCTCGTGCCACCTGTAGTGGTGGCTGGTCCCACTCTCTGGGCTCAATAGTAACCTTAACCAGGAAATGTTTAGTATTATTTCTGTCCCAACCCTCTGGGACTCAGGGTCATATCACTCAGGCTGCAGTTCTGGCCTTGGGTTCTAATCCCAAGAGCAGATTTGTACATTGTCCCAGGGCCTCAGTCCTCCCTTATGATTAGGGGCTGGGATCCTATTGTTTTTGCCAGACACTTTCTGCTACCCTATTCTCCTTCACAAGTCCCCACTTCAGAAAGGGAACTTTGTGCCCAAGATATTCAGACTCTGTACCTGCCAAAACTCCTTCAATTTTTATCTAAATAAACCCTACTCTTCTGACACTCAGATAAATTAAACACATTTCAGCCCAGGCTTTGCTCACTCACTGGGTAACCCTTCAGATTCTATCAGGCTCCTTGGTATCAGATGCTTTCCCTTTCAAAAGCTGTGCCCTCCCTTGGATCTGGACTCACTCTTCTTACATATGGCAGGAGCAGTTCCCCACTGGCCACCCCTCTACAGTAGAAGGGTGATTTTTAGGTCTGATCCTTCTCAGTCTTTCCCTTTTGGCTAAATTTGAACAGCTCATGCCACACCGGGATATCAGATACAAGCTGATTCCAATTATTCCAATCAGCCTTTGAATGTAAACATCCCTTTCACAACGGCAGTGTCTGTAGTTTTTATAGTTGTTTGTCCTGCCTCTTAGATGTGTGAGTCTGAAGAATAAAGACAGCAGCACATACTGTCATTTTTACTCCCTTTCTAACTTTCCACACCAACCAATTAGGTGTTTGCTAGTGCACAATGGGTATCTAATAAATACTGCAGTTGATGCTAAGAATAAAACCTGAAGGAGACGTTCTGCGGCAAGAAACTCTTTGAATGACACTGCATGTAATAGATCAGATTAAATATTATGAAGGATATGCTTTCAATTTTGTGGTTTCATCCGAGTGAAATTCCGTAATACTCTAGGAATAATACACCTGACATCTGTGCTCTGCTCTTTGTTTTGAGTGTGCCATTTCACAGTCTTTGAAATATTTTGGATTGAAAATGAGATTTCAAGGAAGTATTTCATTAGAAGGGGGGTATTATTCTCTTTGAATTGCATCCAAGCTGCAGTTTTTCATCTTTTTTTATTAACTTTCTATCACATTACTCTTTTTTCTAATTATACATTAACCAACACACTTTAATGTGCAGAATGAATCCTGTTTGGTTTCAACAAAAATTGCAATGGAAGCTAAAGCTTTGAAGAAGTGATGCAAGAGTGTCTTTAAGTTAATATCACATTTCCTTCTACACTGATTGCATATCTCAGTACCTACATATGCTTTTAAGCCACTGCTACAAGTTTTACATTTATTTAAATAACATGACCATTATGAGTAAAACTTAAAAAAAATTGAGTGGAACTTTAAGCTGCCTGGTTTATTATAGTTGCTTTATGTTTATAAACAGATTATTTTTAATGTCTGAATGCTGGTATTACAGATCTTCTGCAGCTGTTTTGGATAGGAATTCATCAATGCTTAGAGCTCAAAGGTGGTTGCTTTTTGACATTTTCCTACTGTATCAGTGAAATACATATTGCCAGGGATTTCTCAACAAAATGGAACTTTTAGTATTTCAACAAATGTTGATATGCCCAGCCTGATTTTTTTAAACTTTTAAGTTCAGGATACAAGTGCAGGTTTGTTACACAGGTAAACATGTGTCATGGGCGGTTGGTTGTACAGATTATTTCATTACCCAGCTATTAAGCATACTACCCATTAGTTATTTTTCCTGATCCTCTTCCTCCTCCCAGTCTCCACCCTCCAAAACGCCCCAGTGTGTGTTGTTGCCCTCTATGTGTCCACTTGTTCTTATCATTTAGCTCCCATTTATAAGTTAGAACATGCGGTATTTGGTTTTCTGTTACTGTGTTAGTTTGCTAAGGATGGATAAAAAAAAGAAGAACCTTAGGCTTACTTTATCAAACCTAATTACTTCCTGTTACTCTGTAGAATCATCATTTGCCATTTTAAAAAGTGCTTGTGAGTTTTTACTTTTTTAATTTGCCCATTATCTATTGCTGCATATCAATCTACTTCAAAACTTAGTGGCTTTAAACAACTTATTTATAGAGAAATATGTGACTTTTCCCAAGGCCGTGCTAAGAACTTACCTTACGGATGTATTCTGATACTGAATATCTGAAACATGTGTACAGATACATGTATATCATTCCTGCTATTATCTTTAGTAGCTTGTACCTCATTGTCTTCTTTATATGAGGTAATGGGCTGTGATGTAACGAGGACCTCCTGGACTCCCTTTACCTCATTTAACCTTCCCAGAACTGGAAAGCAAAGGAAGAAGAAACCAGACAATCTCTGCCCATCTGCTCACTTCTATCCCTTGGGACATGACCTGTTCCGGGGAGCATGGCTTCATTCTCTCCTCCAGGCTCCTTGTTTCTGGAGCAGGCCACAGGATGGAGGGTCTCTGGAGGTCCACCACCTCCAGTGAGTGGCTAGAAGAATATCTAATTCTGCTATTTAGTATTAGGATGCATGAAGGCATTCTCCATTATCTTTATCAGGAAAAATGGTGATATTTTGATCTTCTATCTGCAAACTCTTTAGTCTTTTTAACAGAAACTGATTTTCAGTTAGTTCAGAACTTGAGAGGGGAAGAAGGGTGCTATTTACTGAGTTATTCTCAGTTTTCAATAACACATAGTAATGATGACAATAATTATTAACACTTGTTGAGGACTTACTATCATACTTGCAGTGCCCCTGGATTATGCTCTTGTTATCTCACATAATCTAATTATAACAAAGGGAGGTCAAAGAAACTGCAAAACATAAGGGGGGGGGGTTGTGGTAATTTTTAAAGTCAGCTACTATTAATTCCTCCTTTCCCTGTATGCACATACTTCTTCTCACATTAATAAATGGGGTCTAATTCTCCCCACCTTGAATCTAGACTAGACTGATAACTTGCACTGATGACAGAATGCAGCAAAATAAACATTCTGGGACTTCCAAGCCCAGGCCTTAAGAGGATGGGCAGCTTCCATTTCCTTTCTCTGAGGAAGCCAATCCCCTATAAGGAATCTTGGGCTGGACTCCTGAAAGATGAGCGAAAAGCTGGAGATGGAGAGAATACCCTCATGGAGGAGAACTGGGTGCCAGACATGTAAATGAAGCCTGCTGGGACCTTCCAGCCCAGCCAAGTCTAGGCTTAGCTGAAAGAAGCTGAATGAGTAACTCAATTCAATACCCCATGGAACAGAAGAGCCACCCAGCCAAGCCTTGCCCAAAATACCAACCACAGAACTGTGAGAAAGAAATCATTGTTGTTTTAAGCCACTCAGGTTTGGGATGAGTAGATACATAGCAATAGATAACTGAAAGAGAAATAAAATAGAAACCTTCACACACCTTTTCAAATAGCAAATGGTATCATTGCTCTGATATACACTGCTTACAGAAGAATTTTAAAAGATCCATAAGCTGATTTTTTTAAACTGCAAAGTCATGTATATAGTTTACCTTTATAGTCCAAGTCATCCTTTCTTCCAAATGTCATTTTAAATGAGCCACCTTCAAGAGCAAACAATAATATCACCTCAAGACATCAGTTCCACTTCTATTCAAAATGATAAAAGCTTTCTGCTGAATGATAAAGACTATTTCTTTCTATTCCCTGTGGAGATCTCATCATCACTCTGCCTCATATTTGATTATCATGCAGAATAGTTTCCATACCCTGGCTCTATTCATTATCGGGAAAGCCAAACTAACCCCTCATTCTGACCCCCTCCACACCTCGAGTTGGTTTACATAACCCTCCTTGGTGCTCCTTTAATGCTCCGTTCATATCATTAGCACAGTGCTCGTCACATATGTATTATTTATGTAAATACCCTAAGAGCAGAGACCTAGTCTGTTTTGTTCACTTTTCTGTATGCTAAGCACCAGAACAGCACTCCATATAGAGTAGTTGCTTCGTGAATATTTACTGCTTGAGTGAGTGAATGCATCTGCTTCCCCCTGGCTAGATACTATCTCTTGGTGTTGATTATTCATTATCTCTTCCCTCCATTATCTATCTCCTTAGTACTGTAGGGGCTGAAAGCCTGAAGTTCCTAGACTTGCTTGTTGCTAGGGTCCAAATGCAATTCTGGTTCTACCAAAGGGATGCACCTGCATAAGATCTGGAGAACAAAGTTCCTTCACCAGGAGTCATAGTGGCTAACATGCAGGTTTCAACAAATGTGTTTCTGCAGAGGCTGAGCAGCTACCCAGTACTCAGGGGCAGCTGTGATACTGGCAATGGCTTCTACAGTTTTCTGCCCTCTGGGTGGCAGCTTTGACAATATGAACTAAACACCCAGTGGTACCCCTGACTTTTGCTCCTCCAACCTCTATAATGATTTTTGGAAGCACCTAATTCCATGAAAGATCTGGGGTAGTTTGTATTTTACTACAGTCATGTGCCACATAATGACATACCAGTTAAGAATAAACCACGTATATAACAGTGGTCCCATAAGATTATAATAGTGTATTTTTACAGTACCTTTATGATGTTTATTTATTGAGATGGAGTCTCTGTCACCTAGGCTGGAGTGCAGTGGTGTGATCTCAGCTCACTGCTGCCTCTGCCTCCCAGGCTCAAGCATTTCTCCTGCCTCAGCCTCCCAAGTAGCTGGGATTACAGGCGCCCACCACCATGCTCAGCTAATTTTTGTATTTTTAGTAGAGACGGGGTTTCACCATGCTGGCCAGGCTGGTCTCGAATTCCTGACCTCAAGTGATCCGCCCACTCACCTTGGTATCCCAAAGTGCTGGGATTATAGGCGTGAGCCACTGCATCCAGCCAACGGTACCTTTACTATGTTTAGGTATGTCTAGATACACAAATACTTACCCTTCTGTTACAATTGCCTATTCAGTATTCAGTACAATAACATGCTATACAGGTTTGTAGACTAGGAGCAGTAGGCTTTACCATATGACCTACGTGTATAGTAAACGGTATCATCTAGGTTGGTGTGAGTACACTACGATGTTCATACAATGACAAAATTGACTAAGGACACATTTCCCAGAACATATCCCTGTCATTAAGCAATGCATGACTGTAGTGAGTTCTAATTTATATGCCTCTATAGACTGCATTCCTTGAGGGCAGGATATATTTATATTTGCTTAAACATGCCTGCACAGTGTCTGGATCATGGTAGAATGTAATAAAGATAATAATGATAAAAATAGCAAACATGTATTTAATATTTACTACATGCCCAGCACTGTCCTAAGTGCCTCACATCTATTAGCTTATGTAATCTACTCAATAACTCTGTGAGACAGGTGATATCATTGACTTCTTTTACAAATTGGGAAACTCAAAACAAGTTAAGCAACTTGCTCAAGAAATCACAGCATTAAATTGTGGATTGAGGATTTAAATGCAGGAAACCTGGCTCCCAAGTCTAGCTATAAATATCTGTATCTAATAATTTCTCCACTTGAATAACGTCTGCTTCAGGACTTAGAAGATACAACCACTAAAATTTTAGAACTCATTTACTCTAAATGTCCTATGTGCATTTATCATAATATAGCAACTCAGTATATTCCCCCTGACAACTTAGGTTTTAAAGATGTTCTTGTATCCAAATGGCTGTGTGTGTGTGTGTGTGTGTGTGTGTATACACACACATATATGCTTTTTGCTGTATTTTTTCCACTACTCATAAAGACAATAAAAAGGGCGCCACAGAAATAATCAGGATAGTAGGAAAAGTAAGAAGAATAATGATGAAGAATACTGATAGGTTTCACGTGAATTTCTTAATGCAGATATGTCTGCCTTTTGTGTGGGGAAGCAAGTTCAAGCAATTGAGCACTAGTTGTAGCAAATGAACCCATGTACACATATAAAGGGAAAGCATGTCTCTTGCTGTTACTTCCACTGTAACGGAGAACAAACCTTCCTATGGAGACCCCAAAGGCATGAAGAGTCTGGGAAGATGCAAAGCCATGCAGACAAAAGAAAACCAAGTAGTAATGGTATGAACACCTGATCAACACTGTGGACAAGAGTTCATGACTCTCAATAATGACCAGCACAGAAATCTGAGTGGACAGAAAAATGCATTAAGTGTTAAAATATATTTTTCTCCACTTCAGATATCTTTTTGCATGCAGAGGGCAATGCACTAGTGTAGGATGCTGTCAGTTACTCCTTAGGGGAGAAGTATCTTAATCTTATGGCTGCAGTTGGAAGGAAAATCTGACCACAATAGCCCAGCCTCTGCTTTCTTTCTCGTAAAATTGCCATTCTCCTCCACTCCTCCATGTGTTAAGGTTTAAAGGGATCTACTCTGTCCACGAGCCAGGGAGAGTGGTCTGTGCTCTGCCCACTGCTGACAATGACTGGGAGTAAAGCCTGTCTAATTCTTGGGTTCAATATTGGGAAACTCCCTTGCCCAGAGTTAAAACCATATTCTCCAACAAAAGTCTGTATCTTTTACCTGCAATTCCAAAAATCTCCAAAGCTTTGAACATAAAAGGTTTTCCCCAATCCATCTGGTAGCAAAACTTGAAGTAACCTGAGTCCTTGATGGCCAAACCTGACCTTGACTGACATGAAGCTACTTAAAATCTGTATCACTCCTCTTGGAGCTTTGCTATCTGATACAACAGCCACATGTGTCTATTTAAATTCAAATCCATTAAAATTGTATAAAATTAAAAATTCATATTCTTAGTCATACTAGCCACATTTCAAATGCTCAATAGCCCTATGTGGCTAGTGTTACCATATCAGATAGACATTTCCAGCATCACAGAAAGTTCTGTATAACACTGACTTAGAGTGAACTCATGTTTCCTTATACACCTATTCATATCCGACATGGGTTGTTACCCCAGAACCCACATATTAGAGCGTAAGTATTTTTCCTCAAAATCTGAAAAAAGAGATTCCAAAATCACATCTGGCCCAGATGATCACAGATAATGGATTGTGGACCTGCACTGTTTTCATCAGTAATAAAAGTGATATTTTGGTCTTCCTTCTGTGTTAAGACTGTACCTTCCTATAAACTGATAAAGAATCAAGACAGAGAAGAGGAGGGCCTTTACACTCTAATAACAGGGAGAGAATCTCGCAGGTTCCTTTCATCTCCATATGCATGGACTATTTAGGCTAATCACAGTAAAGGATTTTATGTGGGTTTTAAAATCATCTTTCCAAGGAGCTATAAGTGCTGTTCTGGCAGAAGTACAGTAGCTAAATGACTAGAAAACTTCCAAGGATTGATGAAGATGTCACAGATGGAATTTCTATGTTGGGTGGGAGGTGGAACTAGATGAAGTCCAAGGCCCATCCACTTAAAAAAATCTGGGATAATGCTATCACCTCCCCCACATGGGTCCTTCTCCAGCATCTTCCATGAGGTGGGGACTAGTCAGAGGCAGATACACTTCTGGACAAGAATGTGTCAATTAGAGTCCAGCACATTTTGAAATTTCCTTGAATGCCTCGGACTACCTCTTGGTGGGAGCAAAGTGGGTCAGCATAGCCATGTTCCCTGCCAGCTGTTCATACTCTTTAAGTCTGACAGCCAGAAGATGCTGGACAGTGCTTATCCCCCTATCTGTATTGTCTTGCCCACGTGGTGTGAGATATTTCACAGAGATCTGTCAAGAGCCTAGGCTGGACAAGAGAATATCAAGTGTTGTCAGGGTCCTATAGGCTCTACTCTTTCACTCTGCTATATGAATTCTGGCAAGTGGTATAATTTGATACAGCCTCAGTAATCTCATCCGTAGAATAGATGGAACACCCCTGGTCCACTACCCTCAGAGGGTTGTTTGAGGATAGAAAACAAAATGAAAATATTGAATGAACTAATATATGGGAAAGTAATTTTTTCATTCTAAAGAAATTCTACGGTTAGGTGCGGTGGCTCACACCTGTAATCCCAGCACTTTGGGAGGCTGAGGCAGGTGGATCACCTGAGGTCAGGAGTTTGAGACCAGCCTGGCTAACATGACGAAACCCCGTTGCTACTAAAAGTACAAAAGTTAGCCGGGCGTAGTGGTGGGCACCTGTAATCCCAGCTACTCTGGAGGCTGAGGCAGGAGAATAGCTTGGAGCCGGGAGGTGGAGGTTGCAGTGAGCCGAGATTGCGCCACTGCACTCCAGCCTGGGTGACAAGAGCGAGACTCTGTCTCAAAAAAAAAAAAATTCTATTCATTCTATTATCTATTTCATTCTATTATCTTCGTTACCGATGGGGAAATTCCATGCAAGCCTTGTAAAGCACTACCTATTAAAACAATACTCCAAGCAAAATCCTTGCTGGGTTCTGAGTATTGCTGTGAGTTCAACACAAAGCAGCTTTTATTTAGAACATAAATTGGATTTCCGCTAGTAAAGGAAAGCATGAGATAATGTTCTTTGTCTTAATTTGACAGTAGAGAGGCTCTTCAGTATTGGCCAAGAATCTAATATTGGATCATACCAAAACACAGGCATTTGCTTTCTAAATTGCATCCATAAAGATCCCACGGTCAAGTGCTGCCTCTGACAGAGCATTTACCAAGATTTTAAGGCTTCACGTTCAGATCATTAAAAATGCCCATCTGTCTTTTTTATTTAATATGCCATCCGCTCTCCAATTTGGATAAAATCTGAGATCCTGCCCCTATTGAAACTTCCCAGGTAAGCTTCACATTTCTGTTTTGTTTGTTAAGATCCTTGTGGAAGCTGTCCAGCTCAAACCGTAGCCAAGGGGCATGACTGGCTCCTCCCTCCTGTTTGCTTTCCTAGGGTTAATCTGTGCTAAAGCTTTTATTCGAAGAAACTAGGAAATTTGAAGAATCATATGGACAGGCTTAAAAAAATGACATTAACCTTGAGTACTAACTCAATATTAAGCTGATAGTATAAATTCAGTATCGTTTTTATCTTAGAAATTGCAAATCTAGACAGCAAGAAAAAAATTACACATATTAGCAGAATTCTTATTGTATTTTAGAAGCCACAAGTTTAAAGAAAAAGAGTGATTTAGCTAGCTTCACATCAGCAGATTGAAACACATTTCACATGACTTTTTTAAAAGCTCAGAACTAAAAATGTCTAACATTTAAACATTTTCTAACATAATTCTCTCACTTAAAAATGTTCTAGCAATATTTTAAAGAAGTAACCCTCAACCCTTAAGTCGCAGATTGCCTTAAATAGGCTGAATATCTCCATTTTTTTTCTTTAAATCCAGATATAGGTACAAATCCTAGACGACATCTTTGAGATACAATGATTTTTTGAGTGTACCATATCATCCTAAAAGCCTCCTTAAGTTCTTTGAAAGTGAACTGTAAACTGATAAAAGGACAGTCGTGCCGTCCCCCAAGAGTATATCGTCTTTCTAATACTAATTAGTGCATGTTATCGTTTTGATTCTCTCCCCAACTCCTTCTCATAATGTAAGCTTTACCTCAGACTTCTGCTAGTGCTATTTTTTCCGAAACGGTAATTTTCTAGAAAGTTACTTTTGTTGGTCTTCTCCGAAAGCTTTTTCAAGAAACCAGAACCTTGGGTTTTCAAATGAGAATTATATCCAATGATCGTTTGAATGTGGACTTTTCTCCTCGACTCTTTTCGACTCAAGGCTTGTTAGAGTGCAGAAAACGTTAATTCTCAAATCTTTCACCTCTGTCAGTCTCCCATGGACTCATAGCCAAACATTTTTTTTCCTAGAAAAGAGCAATTCCTGCAGTTTTATCCTGCCCCAGTCAAATACATCTTTCCTTCCCCAACTCCCCAATTACTGGGAATGAAATCTAACGTTGAGGACTAAGGACTGGAAGGTAGTGATGAGCCAGGATTTGACCGCCCAGCGTTCAACCTCTGTGGTTGTGAATGCAACAAGAAATCAACAAGTTTTCATGGAGTGCCTACCAGGTGCCTTAAGCAGGAACATGACTGAGTAGGCCAAGTTTTAGATACAGAAGACCAAGCCCTGTGACCCAACTGAGATGAGCCCATCCTGCGCGCCCCACCGCGAAGCCTGTTCCGGGACCCACAGAGGGTGTCCCCCTCGACCTCCGGTTCACAAAAGTCTGCTTGGCCTCTGCAAAGGGCACCATCGCACCTGCAGGAGGAGAGTCTCAAGGAACTCACCTCGCCTCAGCTGGAAAAAGTGGCCAAGGAGGTAGCCCCGCACTCAGGAACCCGCCTCGGGGAGGAGAGCTACTGTTTGTGTTTGCGGTCATCTCGGAGAAGAAACCGCTTTAAAAAAAAAAAAAAGGGCGGGGGACAGGAGGTGGTGGTGGCGGCGGCGGCAGAATGGAGCTTCCAGAAGGGCCGGCTAATGCCTTGGATGTTTCTTGGATTGACCCAGGGGAATAACCCGGGGTGGAGAATGGGTGTCCTAATAGAAGTGTGCAGGCAAAACCGGCCAGCGAGGGGAGAAAAAAAGTGATTCAAATTAAATTCCCACGCGCTCAGGGCGGCCACGGCTTTAGCTGGAGGAAGGGAGCGCAGGGCGCACCGGGCTGTGGGGCGGACACACACTCTCCAGCTCCCGCAGCGCTGACGGACAGAAGGACGGACGGGCAAACCCGAGCGAGGGACGTACCTTCAGGGTTGGCGCTGATGAAGACCCGGACGCTGCGGCCGGCGGGCACGAGGTGAGAGGGCAGGGCCGTGAGGTTCCCAGAGAAAGCCGCCCGCCGGAGCGCAGAGTCTCGGGGACAGGGCAGCTTGGTGCCCGCGCCGGCCGGCCACATCGCCCTCTGGGAGGAACAGCCACTGCCGCCGCCGCCACCTCCTGCTCCTCGGGTTCCTGCCCGCAGCTCCACGGAACGGCTCAGCAGGCGGTCGATCTCAGCAGGCGGCGCGGCTCAGAGCCGCTCCGAGCCCGAAGCGCCTTTGGCGAGCTCCGTGGCGCACAGCACCCGCCGGCGAGGAGAAGCCATACGGACCCTCGGGCTCCTGTCGCGGCGGTCTCCTGCCCTTCTGGGCCTCCGCCTTCGCCCGCTGCTAGGGCTCCGAGCAGCAGCCAGCTGGAGCGGGAGGTCAGCGTGGCGGCGGCTACGCGCGCAGCGCCCGTTTGCGCCGGGAAGCGCCGGCGGCCATCTCCCCGCCCGCGCCCGCCGTGGGAGGAGGGGGCCGCCAGGCGGCAGGGACCGTGCGAGCGAGGAGAGCAGATGAAACTTTATGTACCAGAAGGCGTCCCGACTTTATCCGAGCCCGCCTCTCTCGGGCGCAGAAATAACTTGCGGCTTAGAGGACGGCCGGGGCTTGGGCGCGGGGGCCTCGGGGGTGCGCAGGAGCCTCCTGGACTCCTCTGTGGACAGCCGAGGGCTCCTGTCTGCCTCCGTGGTGGAGGACAAGAAATCAATTAGCCTGAGATTTCTACTACGCCCCCTCCAACTCTCCTAAAGGTCACACAAGCCCTGAGAATTTTCGGGAATCCACACGCTCGGGCGTCTGTGCGTCTCTGCCCAAGTGCAGGGAATCCAGCCTCAAAGTTCGACGCACACAACCCCAAGCCAGACCCGGAGAGTTTAAAGCATCAAGTCTCCAGATTGTCTCTGGCGTCCTGGAGGGACGATCGCTTCATCCCTATCTCTCCTGGCGCAGGTGGCAGCGTCCTGCCGCTCCGGTTGCTCCCCACGCGCGCTTGAGCGGGGTTTTTATAGCCAAGCTGCGCCGTTCACGTGCTCCTCGCCGCGTGGTCCCGGAACCTTTCTGGGAGCGGATCTCCGCGGGTAGTTCCTCCGAGGCCTCCAAGGTTCCTAGGGGCCTTTCTGCTCCCATCAAGGCGCACTCACCGGCTGTTCTGCTCGCCTGACAGCTCCCGGGCCCGTCGGCCGCCAGGTTGCTGGAGCCCCGCGCGGCCGGGTGCGCACCTGGGCCGGGCGGGAGGGTGTGGGTTCTCTGGAGCGCCCCCCAGCGCAACGTTACGCAAAGTGCAGGTGGCCGTGGATTGGGACCGGGGTGCGAGAAATCGGAGCTGGCTGTGGGCAGCAGCTTCTTGTGTGCGCTTCAGCCGCTCTTCAAAGTCAGTGCAACGCGTAGGTCAGCTCCACCTGAAGTTGATCCAGGGCGGCCACAGAGGACGCGGGGCCGTCCTCGGGTTCCGGGCTCAAGGTGGACGGCGCAGGGGTCCAGTCCACGTCCTAGGTGACATGAGACGCAGAGGGACCCAGATGTAAAATCGCCGTCTCCCTTCCACTCCACTGCACCCATGGAAATACTGCATAAGCCAGGACAGGAACGAAGACCTCGCAAAATAAAGTGTAATTGTGTTGGGGGCCAACGGCGCAGGGAGAAGGGAGTGTTTGTAGCCTTAATTGCAGTTTAGTCAATAAATCACTTATTCTGGGCTTCTGGGCAGGAACACCTGTCTTTTAGGGAAGAAGAACAGTTTTTCCAAATCTCTGAGATTGGGGAAGGGGTGGGCGGGCACAGGGTGAGGCAGTTCAGACGCAAGTGTTCTCTTCTTGCCTGGATGGTCCTAACCTAAGCAGCCCGGCCTCCTCTGGGCCTGCACTTCCTCTGGGGCCTGCTGGTGGCAGTGAAGTCCTATGCACTGCTGTTCATTTTTTTACCCCACCCCAGCCCCAACACACACGTTCTGGGGTAACCTCTTTGGAAGAATTGGGTCTCTAGGTTTGTAAGGCTGCCTCTCCACTCCTGAGAACCAGGGGGCAGACAGCAGCAGTTCTTACTTTGTGATAATTTGATGCAACCCGTAAAGAAGGCTTGAACATACCCAGTTATTTAATTGATTCAATTTCTTCACTCCAGAGTCATTCTCGGGTGGAAATGTTCTCAGCAGGAAGGGGGTCCCTGAAAGATCCTCTATTGTCTCAAGAGGTATGGACTGAGAGCTGTGGAAAGGTCATGAATATGCGGTATTTATTGCATATCATCGTGTATGAATATACAGTATCTATTACTGGAGAAAAGAGCTAGGATCACTTTATGCCTGATCTCAATATTGTTTATAAAAGAGTGATTAGAAGTTGCCAGATTGTCAGGGACCTGCCTTCCTGCCTTTCTTTTTTCTCTTACTTCTTTGTTTGTTTCTCTCTTCTCAGAAATAGGATTAGTGTTTGTGTCTTCTGACCTTTGCTTCAGATCTCAAAGTGTTGCATTTTCTTTGGATGACTTTGGGATTTTTGGCAGCCTCTATAACCTAATTAACTGTTCTAGACAGGCCGAAGTTTAGCATCTGCCAGTGTCACTGCAGACCAAGGCTGCAGAGGAGAGAGAATTTCACATTGTCTGTGGGCCACGCTGTAAAAGGCTCTTTGCACAGCCAGCTTTGCCTCAGCTAGAGAGGCTGCTGTCTTTGGAGTATTCTACCTAAGAAGGATACCAATTACTCACCTCCCTCAAAACACACACACATACACACACACACACACACACACACACACACACACGCATGTACATGCAAAAACAATCTTCTTCCACATTCTTCAGCTTGCAAGCATCTGACATCCTAACACCAGATATTGATTTCTTAGCACACAAATACCAATAAAGGAGGTGTCACCTATGGTGATAACACTTTATTATAAATTATTTAGATTTATTTCTTAACCTGAGGAACCAGAAAGAAAGAATTAGAGAGAGAGAGACAAATGAGAGGGAGAGGGCATGATTGTGGAAGGCTGACCCTGATTTTCAAGACAACTTTGTTTTTTTTATATCCGATTAAAATATTTTCTAAACGTTTTCTTCTTGTCCATAAATACTGGGAGTTTTTGAACCATGACAGGAGCCGTGATACCTGGATCCTGGCTCTACCATTAATGAGTTATGTGACCTTGAACAAGTCATTTAACTTTTTTGAGGCTTGGTTTTCTTATGTGTAAAATGTAATAACATTTCTTATGTTTAAAACACTTTACACAAGAAAACCAAGGCTCAAAAAATGAAATGACTCAAACCAAGTCAAATGACTCAAAACCAAGACTCAAAACAAGTGAAATGACTTGTTCAAGGTCACATAATGAGTTAATGGCAGAGCCAGGATCCAGGTATCACAGCTTCTGTTCCAGTGCTTCTTGCAACATACCACCTCTATTTTCTAATTTTGCTCAGGTCTGGCCCTTGAGGACATCTTTGTTAACCTGGACAGTGGGTGCTCAGGCCTGTGTTCACAGGTGTGGAAGGCTGGATATCATTTCTGCTTTCTAGATAGGAAAGAAGATCATTGTCTTCATGATCACACAGGACTAGACTCTTCCAACTTCTAGGTTGTTGATCTGATGACAAACACTTCCAGATTCTGTGTTTCTTTTGGGTCCTGCTCTTTCTTCATGAGACCACAGGTAAATCTGTACCATCCCAGACATGGGCTGGAGAATTTAAAGCATCTAGAAATGGGAAGGTGAAAGTACATGAAAAAATGAGCCTGGGACCAAGACTGTGATCAAAAACAAGCATTCCCCTCTCCATCCTCTCACGCTACCACCAATTAGTAGGCTAGACAGGTGCCTTATCCTTATAAAACAATGGGAGCTAGCTCTTTATAAAACAAGGGTGCCCAAAGGTAAAATTACCACTAGCTTCATTCTACTCACTGAGCTAGAAGGAGCCTTGTGATCATGAAATGAAACCCCCTTTAATATGTAGGTGATGCCCAAATTGTAATTTTATTAAATGAGTGGAAAGAAAATTACTTCCTAATAATACTGATATATGAGGATTTCCCATATTCTTGACCTGCTGTTAGGCTTTTAATAGGCATCTCATTTAATCGCACTACATCGAGGGTCTGGGCCCAGCACCTCCTATCTCCAAGTCTGACATCCCTTCTTGGACACTACTGTTCCTGTATATCTTTTGTTATGTGCATTCATTACCTTTTGTAACATATGTGCACTTTGCTTGCTCCGAAGTCTATGGTATGCACATGTACCTCACCTACTTCCCTTCACTGTGATGGCTGATGATTTTTCCCCCAGCTTCGTGGCTATGTCACATGTCCAGTTCATTCCTCGTAGGTGCTGGAGGTAGTGATCAAAAGGCACAAAACTAGAGTCCCTGTGACTGACTGTGACCCAGCAGAAAGAGTGCCCATCACCCAACCTGTATTTGCCTGCAGGTGCATTCCCATGTGTGTACATCAAATATCCTGGTCAGGAAACCTGTGGATCATTCTTCCATGAAATAAATTTGTTCTGTTATGGATAGAAGTGAAATAGAGCCCCTAGTGTCATGAAGAAGACCACATTAGCACATCATGCCACTCTTACTATTTTAGGGACTCCACCCAGTGAAGTCAGTGATGTGCTGTTCTTGCTTCCCTAGCTTGAAGAAGAGTATCAGACTTAATATTACATTCATACAGTGGCTCTATGATTTGGGTGATAAATAATTGAATCTGCTTTGCTAATGTGAGAAATAGATTATTCAGGGTCACTCAAGCCAGGGTTCCACTTTTCAAAGTTCTAGGTGGTAAGCTAGATCATTAGGAACCCACTTATTTGTTTACAAAATGGAAATTTTCAGTCTTTGTGAGAATTTGTCAGCATAACAATTTGCCAACAGAGACTGTTGATTCAGAGGTGTCTGTGGCATGATAGAATTCACAGCAGCACAGTTTTAAATAAAGTTACACCTTTCAGAAAGCGCTCTGATGTTTTCATGACTCAGAAATTCTAACTTTACCTCCACCCCCTTCCAAATCTGCGTAATGTATTTTTTGAGCAGCCTTCCTCTTACAACCTTCTAAACACATTGCTATGAGAGCACTATGCATGCCACACAAAGTAGAAGAAAGTTAAAGAAGTTTGAAGTAAAAGTTTGTAGATTATTTTGTATTTCTAAATTAAATATTTTATTTTCATTTTGTAATTGCCAAGGTTGTTTTTCTTTTTTTCTCCTTCATGACAATCTCAAATACAGTACCTTACAAAACCCTCCTCTTGCTTGTTTCATCATCTGATACTTATTTGGAGAGTTGCTTTTTACAAAGCACTTTCATACATGTTAGCTCATTTACTTTTAGTCTAACCTTCTAAAATGGGTTCTGCATTAACATTATTTCCCTCTCCTCTCCAATTTTTAATGTGAAGCTCGAGTGATTTTAGTGGCATGTTTAGGTTCACTCAGTTGCTGGATAGCAGAGCCAATGTCAAAACTAGATCTCCGAACATGAAGCCATAGATCATTTATAATATACCACGTGGCTGCCAACGTATAACAAGATCCATTTAGCCAAATTGATTAAACATCATTTGCACTTCTCTATAAAATTTATACTGGTGGGTAGGCAAACCAAATAATATGGTGTATAAAACACTCTACTTGGATGGCAATGTTAGCTACATTGCCTATTTACATTGACTCATATTTTTATTGAGCAGAAGCTAACTTCCACATCTTTTAATTCTGCTAACAACTCAGTCTTGTAGATAAGTACAAGAGGCTGAGACTTTAAATGACTTGTCCAAATTCAGATAGCTAATAAGTTGGCAAAGCTAGAATGTGAACCAGATTTATCTCACCCTTATGCTAGATGGAGTCTTTTCATCATGTAACACTAAATCCACATGAATAAGAAGGAAATCTTCCCTTTACAGTACTCTATATTGACATGGCCCAAATATCTTAAATATATTGTCCAGGTCAATCATTGTTTTCTTATTTTTTAAGTGCTTGTACTTAGCTAGAATAGTATGAAGCTTGAATGTATTTTGAATCTGCTTTTCTTTTCAAAATACCTTAATGGGATAAAGTGTTTTTATTTGCATATTTTTGCAATTTGCATATTTTCTGCAAAAATTCAATATAGATGATGATTCTATAACAGTCTCTCTAAATATATTTATTTGGATTCTACTTTCTGAAAAACTACTATGACTTTGCCATCTTCCTTTTCTCACCATTCTTATAGTTATGCTTTATGTTTATTATTTAATAAGATTTATTTCTTCACCAAATAAGAGTCTCCATCACAATCCTTTAGCCTGAATTAGTTATAGAGTTGCACTATGCATCTCCTTGGGTTACCCCTTGTAAATGTAAATTATCTTATCGCCTAAATTTAGAAAGCCATATGCAGAAATTGACAGGTCATTTACATTCAGTTCAAAGAAGAGGATAGGCAGCCAATTATATTGTGTTGAAGCCTTGAGAAACATTTTACAAATCAAATGATTCAAAAACAGGTTTTAAATTCCTAACTCCTGTCACTTCTTGATAAGTATGGGAAGATCATTCCGCTATCATTTGAAAGATTTAGAACAAACTTAAAATTTAGGGGACTGGCTTTATTCCTCTCCAAATAAATATAGTGTAGCTTTTTTATTATAAAAATGTATATTAATGTATCTTTTTATTTGCATATTTTATCATATATTTTTATTATAAAATATAATTGTATGTAACATTTTAAGAGATGCTAACCTATTTGATCTATAGATCCTGATCTATTCCTGCATTAGTCAAGATTTTTTAGTGGCAAATAACCAAAATCAACAAGTTTCTTTTCAGAACACAGGAGTTTATGCAGAACACATGGCCAGAAAAGAATTGAGTCTCAAGACAAATTGGAACCAGGAATAAGAAATGTCCTTGGGACAAATGGACATTATTTTACTGATATCCTAGATCTCATCTCTGGTTCTTTCTAAGCAACAAGAACATCTCTTTCCCTTGCATCTCTCTTTTTCTCTTGTGTGAGCACAGGCATGCACACACACATACCCCCACATAACTTTCTTTGATAGTTAATACTCATGAGCCACATGGAAAGACTGATTCTTTTTTGAAATCCTTTTCAGGAACTAGGGAACAGCAAAGTAATTGAGTAAACATATTTGTGTTCATTTTAAGTTGATGCTTTCCTGTGGCTCTTTCCACTCTTCCAGGAAGTTAGCATACCCCAACACAAATACTAACGTAAAACTGTACTCACAGTTTACCTTTTGTTTTTCTCTGCTGTCAAAAAATAATTACTATGTACTTCATATTAGCAAGGACATCACTGGGTTTGTTCCTCCAAACGAATCTTTCTCTGGAAAGAATTTTGTAATTCTTTCTTTTTATTTAAATAAGTGATTTTTGGAAAATGATTTAAACACTACTTGCTCAGTTGTAAGATGCTCAGGGGAGTAAAGTAAGTAGGAAGGAGTGAGTCAAATTAGAATTTTGCCACCTGATATGGTTTGGCTGTGTCCCCTACCCAAATCTCATCTTGAATTGTAGCTCCCTTAATTCCCACATGTGGTGAGAGGGACGTGGTAGAAGGTAATTGAGTCATCGGGGAGGGTCTTTCCTGTGCTGTTCTTATGATAATGAATAAGTCTCATGAGATCAGATGGTTTTATAAGGGGGAGTTCCCCTGCACACATCCTTTTGCCTGCTGCCATGTAAGACATGACTTTGTTCCTCCTTTGCCTTCCACCATGATTGTGAGGTCTCCCCAACTACCTAGAACTGTGGGTCCATTAAACCTTTTTTTCCTTATAAATTACCCAGTCTCAAGTATGTCTTCATTAGCAGTATAAGGACAGACTAATACACAGTCTCCTCTGAATAATTGTGTTAATGAAGATATGACAATAAAATTTACTGAACATAATCTAATGTATGGCTCAACCATCCTTTGAAATCAAGTACTTCTTATATATACGATTTAGATAGAAAAATAAGGAATCACCCATGTGTCCTACACAAGGTTCTTAGCTGAAAACAACAGAACTGGTGCTGATTAACTTAAGCGTATAAGCAATTTACTGGAAAATTATTAGATAGTAATGGTACTGTTGAAAGCTAGAGAACCAGGCTTGGAAAATGAGAGGAGACTGGAAGAGGTCAGCAGATTGGATCCACAGTCAAAATAAGCATCACAGAGACAGACATTTAGGGCAGCCTTGCTGTTGCTGCTGTCAAATCCTGAACACTGCACTGCACCCGTTACCACCAGTACCACCACTGGCATTATTGCCACTGAGTCCTAGACATTGCCATGCCTATTGCCCCACACAGTTCTTCACTCTGGCTTCTGGGGCCAGAGAACCTGGGAGAGTGAGTATCTGTCCTGGACAAAGATTCAGACTGTGCAGAATGTATGAACACTGGAAGGGGTTTTGGAGTTTAGATTGTCAAAATCCTCACACACCTTTATCCAGAAAATGTATAGTACACTTCCTCTGGTCTTATTAATATATGGCTCAGAACATTTCAATGCCATAAACAAAAATTGAGTTGAATGCCTTTTGTATTCCTAGTAATGAAAGTAGAATAATAATGCCCGACCACTCCAAGACTCAGATGCCTGGCAAAGCTTACCTCTTCTGGACAACAACCAAGAGCAAGAAAGTGAGCTAAAAGGAATCTTCTAAGCAGCCAGACTCTATGTTACAATGTTCACATGATGACTCTCACTGTCTTGACTCATGGGAGATTCCCAGAGGCTCTCTGTCAGACTCTCTTTACACTTACTGTACACACAATTCAAACAAACTGGGTTTTCCCAGTTGGCAGAACCACAGCAGATTACAGACATCACATCAGAAGAAGAAGGGCTGCTATGAACAAACACACTGCTGGAAATGAGAAATCATAGCTCACGGCAAAGAGGAAGCAAATGACAGCAGAAGTGATATGTATTCACACACACACACACACACACACACACACACACATGCACACACACCGCATTCAGTGATCTAGAGATGACTTAATATTGGAATGATGCTACTCTATAAATCTCAAAATGGGAAAGATCAGGGATAAATAGACCCTGAAGTTGAGATAGGTAAATTTCAGCATATTGCAAGTACTTGGGGGCAATTTTCTGCAGCAAACAACCCAGATAGTTGAGACAGATGGACAAATGACACTTGTGCTATCCAGTAGTAAACACCTACTAAGTAGGTAGAAACCAACAGTAGGCAGATTCAAGTAGAGTCCTACCTCCAAGAAGAACATTGTAGAAGCATTTTGCTTAAGTGCCTAAAGTAGTATTGGTGGTAGTACTGGCAGTAGTAGTAGTGCTAGCAGTAGTAACAATAAAGTAAACATTCACTGAGTGCCTTTCCTGAGGCTAAATATGGTTCTGTGTGCTTTAGAGACATTAAGTCATTTGATTATAAACTTCCATCCCATGAAGGAAGCTACTATAATTATCCCTATGTTACAGATGAGGAGGAGGCTGAGGCTAGGTGCCATCAAGGTACTTTGCCGAGGTCATACAGTTACAATGTGGTGGGGCCTGGACTTTAATGCAGGCACTTTGTTTCCAGAATCTGGGTTTCAACCTTTAGGATATACTCCATCTCTAGATGCTAGGTAGGATACCAATACAATTACCCAGGCAAAGGAGAACTAGTTCAAGACAAGGAAACTAGAAGAAAACTCAGGTTGCAACATTTGTCTTAAAGAGATGTAAAGTGATATTCAATGAATATTCAATTTGAGTCACGTTCATGATCTTATATGATCTTCCATATGCCAGAGTAAATTATTACTCACTGTACATATGAACAACCTGAGGTATACAGTGGTTAAATAATGTGTCCATACTCACAGACTTTGGAAGCAGTGAGGCTGGGATTCTACTTCCATGCCTGAGTGTATGCTTTAAATTCTGCTACAGGATACATTGCCTTGGAACAGTGCAAATGACAACTGCAGGAATGACCTATTAGAAAACTTGTCTATTCATATATTCTTCAATTTTATTTATTTGTTCATTTATTCATCAAAGATTAGTTGAACACTTCTATGTTCCCAGCAAAAAACCATTTCCCAGGAGGTCCAGTCTAGTATGGGACTCCAAAAAGATAGTGCTTATGTGGGGCAAGACTACGAAAATGACCATCAATCAATTTAGAGGCTTCTTAAACACAAGTAATACCAACAAGATAAATACACAATAGAAAGGTCATTAGTTGACACTCTAGAAAAAAGGGCTGCATGGAAGTATAAGGTCACTGTGACATACCTTATAAGGACTGGGGAATAAAAGGGGTTTGGTGAACTTTACTCACTCATGGCAGGATGGGGGTTTTGGAGAAAATCAATAAATGTGGTTTCTATACTGGCTCCAACACTTAATAATTATGGCCTTAGCCTAGTAAATCTCTTTCCCTTAGTCTCATTTTCCTCCTCTGTGAGATGGACACCAGGATGCCTACTTTGCTCTGGTGAATGGTAAGCATATTAGCAAAGTGCCTAGCACAGTGCCTAGTACCCAGCGAGTGTTACTACTGTTAGAAGGAACTAGATTCACAGTTACTCATTCAATAGGGGACGCTCGCAACAAAACTATGTTAGATTTTTAAAACTTTACGTAGTGTGGTTATCTTGTTTATATCCTTAAAGTCTAATAACAAACAAAATCAAACAGACCAGTCAATCCAAAGAAACTTCTTCGGAGGAATTTTGGAGCCTTGTGTCTTGTTTTTGTGTGGTTGTGTGCAAGGATTGCAAGATTATCAGCAGAAGCTGTGGTCGTTGGGTTCTACTCCATAGTTGGTATAATTGATGTGAAAATCTAGGTAAGAAATAAGCTAGAGCCACATGAACAAGGCAGGAGAAGCATATTGAGTCCCTGGGACTCTGGCAAAGAAGAAAAGAAGATCACAGACCCCGGAAGGCAATCTTAAAATTTGAACGTGGAAAAATCATATTGTTCTTCATGTTGGGTTCCAAGGTGAAAATGAAGCCAGGAGCAAGGCTCATCATTAGATTTGTGCTCAACAGCTTGTCAGTATTATCTGGCTTGAAGTGAAAGCCTGGAGAAGTCTGGATAGGTAAGTTGTAGGTACTGTTGAGGCTTTAAATGTGAACACTGGAATGATCTGGGGATAGGAAGCATTAACTACTTTTTAGCTGTCATACCTGCTATTCCTCTCTAGGATTTTGCAAGACCTCCTATCTCTATCTCCATTTTCAATTTCCCCAGTACAGCTTTTACAAATATTCTGTTCCTAACTTGTATTTCCTGTCTTCTCTTCCACTCTTTATTTAAGAGTTTACTCTAAGTCAGGGTATAGAAATTCATATCCATACTGAATGACTTATCTTCCATTCTTCAAGGCTTATCCTCTCCAGGTCACTTTTCCAAAAGCCTTCTCTGATTTTCCCAATGAAATGGAATCCATCTCTATTTTGTTCCTAATATTGGCATTATTGATACATAGGCAAGGTTATGCTGCAATAACATCTAACTTCAAAATCTCTACAGCATTATACTTTAGGTTTTTTTGTTTTGTTTTGTTTGTTTGTTTTGTTTTGTTTTGTGACAGAGTTTCACTCTTGTTTCCCAGGCTGGAGTGCAATGGTACCATCTCGGCTCACTGCAACCTCTGCCTCCCGAGTTCAAGCGATTATGCTGCCTGTGCCTCCCGAATAGCTGGGATTACAGGCATGCGCCACCACGCCTGGCTAATTTCCCTGTATTTTTTTTTAGTAGAGATGGGGTTTCACCATGTTGGCCAGGCTGATCTCGAACTCCTGACCTCCAGTGATATGCCCACCTTGGCCTCCCAAATTGTCAACATGACCTTTTATGTAGAAAATTCAAAGGACTCCACTAAAAAACTACTAGAGCTAGTAAATGAGTTTAGCAAGGTTGCAGGATACATGCTCAATATATGAAAATTAATTGCATTTCTATATACTAACAATGAAGAGTACACAAAATAAAATTTTATTTACAATACCATCCAAAAAATTAAAATACTTAGGAATAATCTTGGTAAAAGAAGTGAAAGACTTGTACACCAAAATCTACAAAACATTGTAGGAAAAAAATTAAAGCTTTAAATAAATGAAAAAAATAGCCTATGTTCATGGGTTGGAAGACTCAATATGTTGTTACCATGGCAATACTCACCAAATTGATTTACAGATTTAATGCAACCCCCATTGAAATTCCAGCTGGGCTTTTTTTTTTTTTTTCCAGAAATTAACAATCAGACTGTATAATTCATATGGAAATGCAAAAATCTAGAATGGCCAAATCAATCCTGAAAACAGAATGATAATGCTGGGAGAACTTCCACAACCAGGTTTCAAAATGTATTACAAATCTTCAATAATTAGTACAGTGTAGTATGGGCATAGGGACAGACATCTGGAGGATAGAATTGAAAAAATAAAATTGAAAGTCCAGAAGTAAAAGTCTTATGTTTATGGTCGATTGATTTTTACCAAAGCTGCCAAGATAATTCAATGAAAGAAAGAATAATCTTTTCAACAGATTGTTCTGGGACAACTGATATCAGCATGCAAAAGAATGAATTTGGACTCTACCTCATACCATACATAAACACATACTGGAAATGAGTCAGAGATCTAAATGTAAGAGCAAATACTATAAAACTATTACAAGAAGTCATAAGAGTAAATCTTTGTGACATTGAGTTAGGCAATGATTTCTTAGCTATACATCCCAAGCACAAGTGATGAAACATTGGAGAACAAGAGTGAAACATTGGAGTTCACCAAAATTAGAAACCTTTGTCTTGTCAACTTGTCATCAAGAAAGTGAAATGAAAAACCCAAGTCTTGACAAGGGACTTGCATCTAGAATATGTAACGAACTATTGAATATGTAACGAACTATTTCAATTCAATAGTAAGAAGACAAATAACCCAATTATAAAATGATCAAAGAATTTTAATAGACATTTCTCCAAAAAAGATTTACAAATTGTGAATAAGTACATGAAAGGATGCTCAACATGATTACTCATTAGGGAAATGCAAATTAAAACCACAGTAAGATGCCATTGCATCCTGCTTGAATGACTAGAATAAAAAAGTCGCACAATAACAATTGTTAAAATTTGTTGCTGATAATGTGAAGAAATTGGAAATTTCATACATTGTGACATTTATACATTGGGAATGTGAAATGGTACAGTCACTTTGGAAAACAGTTTGGTGTTTCCTCAAATTGTTAAACACAGCTACCATGTGATCCAGAAATTCTACTCATAGAGAAATTCTAAGAAAAATGAAAATTTACATTCACACAAAAGGTGTACACAAATGTTTACAACAGCATTATTAACCAATGCCAAAAAGAGAAAATAATGCAAATATCCATCAAATGATAGATGGATTTCTAAAATGACATATACTGCAATGTAACAGTATTTAGCAATAAAGTATGATATATTACTGAGAGATGCTACAACATGGGTGACCTCAAAAACATTATATTTCATGATAGAAGACAGTCACAAAGACCACATATTGAATAAGGTAATTTTTGTGAAATGTCCACAGTAGGTAAATTTATAGAGATGGAAAGTAAATTAGTGATTGCCCACAACTGGAAGGATGAGAGAGAAATGAGGAACGGCCGCTGATGGATACAAGATTTCTTGTTGATGGAACCTCCTAAATAATGTTCCTCTGATGAAAATATTTTAAACTTAGATTTTGCTGATGGCTATAGAAGTTTGTAACATACTGAAACCACTGAACTGTACACTTCAGACAGGAAAAGTGTATTTTTTGTTGAGAATTTATGTTCATAAAAATCACAGTGATTCAATAAAGCAAAAATTTATTTTGTACTCATGATATGTATTCAATGAAGGTTGGGAGAGAGGCTTTGCTTATAGTGGACACTTTAAGACCATGGCTGATGGAAAGTCTACTTTATCATGTAATTCTATGATCACTAAGATAAAACAAAAGGAATGTGGCAAATTGCCTACTGACCGTTACGACTTAGACATAGAAGCCATACACATCACTTCAAGTCACGTTTCATTGGCCAAAATAAGTCACATGGTGACATACTTCAGAGAGAGCAGACAATTTCAATTCCACTGTATACCTGGGGAAAGGAAAGAACTGAATTATTTGTAGAGAGTCCTAATGAACCCTACAATGTCCTATCTTATTTCCTATATTTTAATTCCTGAGAACAATGACTCCATATTTCCTCACTGCAACATAAAACCACGTTTCCTTTCATTCTTTTTTATTTTCCTTTTTTTGTCATTTTGAAAAGATGGAGGTATTTAAAAGAGTAAGACTTAAAATAAAAAAATTACAAACATGCATGTCAGTCTACAATAGTGCTCTCCTTGCAGTAAATGTTTCATGCTTGTCAGCAAGTGAAACAAATGAACAAGAGAAATGGTCAAACAACAGTGCCCAGTAGTGAATGACTGAGAGCCCAATGTGTGAATCAAGGGTGAGTATTGCAGGAGTTCAGAAAAGAGGAGACCAAGGTGAGCTGGAGTGGCAGTGGCTGAGTAATCAGTGTTCCCACTCCATACCTCTTGTGTCAGTACAGATGGATCACTAAGAACTGCTGCAGTGACCCAGATGGATGGTGTTATCTGTGTCATGGTTTGTTTTCTTCCCAGATATGACTTGGGCAGAGCAAGCTTAATGAGGACGGAAAAGAATAAGATCCGGAATCACTTCACTTTTCTGAACCTTCGTTTGCAAATCAAGGTTGTAAAGTGTAGTTGTATAACACCTTAAAGATCTGTGATAAAACATGCTATTAGTATTGTGGGCAGAATCCATTAGAGAGCAAAACAGGAGTTTATGGTTAGGAAGTTACTGAATATATCAAAGATTTAATAGCCAGTCTGGAGGTAAATCCTGTTTCTGCTGAATTCAGAGATTTCACAGAATGTTTCAAAGAAGACCCCCTTCTTTCCAACAATCTATCAGGCGGTAGAGTTATACATACACTTGAGTCTTTTTTTTTTTTTTTTTGAGACGGAGTCTCGCTCTGTCGCCCAGGCTGGAGTGCAGTGGCACGATCTCAGCTCACTGCAAGCTCCGCCTCCTGGGTTCACGCCATTCTCCTTCCTCAGCCTCCCGAGTAGCTGGGACTACAGGCGCCCGCCACCACACCCGGCTAATTTTTTGTATTTTTAGTAGGGACGGGGTTTCACCGTGTTAGCCAGGATGGTCTCAATCTCCTGACCTCGTGATCCGCCAGCATCGGCCTCCCAAAGTGCTGGGATTACAGGCGTGAGCCACCGCGCCCGGCCTTGAGTCATTTTTAAATTATGCAGAGGTTGTTAAACTGAAAGGAGGGTTGAGAGTGCTTTAAAGTTATGGCTAATTCTTTCATTGTATATGGGATTTCAAGCAAAAGTTTACTGCTGGCAGAAATCAAAATCTCTGTTTCCTTCATCTTGCTATTAGACATCTCTCCACTAATTTCAGTTCTTTCAGAAAATATATTTTCTTTCAAGAAGGCTTTTTATGTGTCCATTATCAGTTCTGGTTGTTACAATGATCAAATTAACTGGATAATGGCCACATCTCCACTACCTGGTTTGCAGACAACTGTAAACATGGAGAGAATGGTTAACCAATTCAAATAAAAGTATTACTTATTTTTTTATTCCTCAGTTTAAAAAAAATCTCAGTTAAAAGTATTTCTTTCCTTCTCCCACCAGAAGGGAACAGTAAGAATTTCAATTAAAAAGTCAGGAAAGAAAAAACACACACACACACAACACTTACCACTAGTACATGTAAATCTTAGTTTAAGCTATTTTAAAATGAGAAAAAAATAACTAAGAGCTATGGGAGCAGATTTCATTTTTGAAAACTACTCTTATGATTATGGAAAGAATAAGGGAATAGAAATGAGTTTGAAACAGGAATAGCAAACAAATCATAAATTAGAATTTATATTCCGATTTTAATAGTTACGGTATTTGGAAAAATATAGAATGTCTTCCAGGGGTGAAAAACAAGACGATTTCCTTACCATAACCATTTGTTAGCTTTTTATTTACTGAAATTACACACTACTTGGCACAGAGGAGGTGCTTAATAAATGCTTCCCCAATGAGTTGCCCACACTATGGCAAATGATCTCAAAATACATTCAGAATAGCAGATAGGCTGTTGCATCTAGCAATGACACATGTACCTGCAGTAACACCAAGAAAGCCATATGTGGAGCAGAACATTTTTAGTACTTCCCTAAGGGAACCACACCTACTGCTAATTCTGAAAAAGGAAAATAGCTTACAGCCTAAAGTTGCAAAGACAATAATGAATAATACTCCAGAAATATCCATATAGGACTTCCGATACATATTGATGTATGCTTAGACATTGATCTTTTCCCTATTTACTTGTTCTGTCAGAGGGGAAATGACAAAATCAGCCCTGTGACACTTTGTACCTTTTGGATATACAGTTTATTTCAGCAAGAATTCCTTGAGCATCTTCTACCTTCTTTGTACTGTGAAGTGCACATGTCATCACAGGATAAAGAATATTGAAGTAGGACACTGAGGAAAAACAGAGGGAGGAAAAAAATGACATTAAAATTTTAGTCCTTAAAAAAAATCAGGAGCAACATTGATATTTACTTCATACATCCTTATTTTTTAATTCTCTTACTCCCATCTGGCTCAATGACATGAAAATTATAGTAAGTGAAGTGAGCTCCCCATCTGTTAAAAATGTAGAATAAAACACTTAATCTGTGGGCAAGCACACAGAGTACCAAGAAATGTCTCAAACTGAAATGATAAGAGCAGGATCCTATAATTAGTTAAGTATAGCTGATATAGATCTCTGTAAGATCTCTGTTTTATGGATAGATAGGTTTGCAACTATTTCTATGGATCTAGTGCTATTTTCTGATCTCAAGTGAGATGAAACCCACTAGGCAACTTGTATGATGCTCACCAATTAGGGAGATAATTTGCCATGAATTGTAAGTAAATTATACAATAGATATCAGCTACGTATATGATATGGTTTGGCTGTGTCCCCACCAAAATCTCAACTTGAATTGTATCTCCCAGAATTCCCACATGTTGTGGGAGGGACCCAGGGGGAGGTAATTGAATCATGGGGGCCTGTCTTTCACATGCTGTTTTCGTGACAGTGAATAAGTCTCACAAGGTCTGATGGGTTTATCAGGAGTTTCTGCTTTCTCTTCTTCCTCATTTTCTCTTGATGCTGCCATGAAAGAAGTGCCTTTCACCTTCTGCTATGATTCTGAGGCCTCCCCAGCCATGTGGAACTATAAGTCCAATTAAACCTCTTTTCTTCCCGGTCTAGGGTATGTCTTTATCAGCAGCGTGAGTATATATGTTGTTCACCTTTCATTCCCTGCTCTCCCTCTCCATGACTTCCATTCTCATGGTTGCAGGACTGGCTTCAGTTGCTATGTTCATAGAATATTAATCCACCACCTCTCCCATTGATAGTTCGAGTGGACTTTTCCAAGTCCTTTCCCTGGGAATTTGGGTGGCTGGACCTGTGACAGATAAATCCAGGAGGCATCAGTGGTGGTTTCTGACAAGTAGACCACAGAAGTAGAGGAAGCTGGTCTAGACAAAGAGTCAGAGTGGGGTTAAGAGCTACAGTATGCAGCAGAAGGAAAGAAAGAACTAGAAGGCAGGAAAGAAGAATGAGTGTGAGACAGGGAAAGAGATGTGACAGACACAAAAGAGTTGCAGCAGAAAAGGATGCAGAGAGAGCTCAAACCCCTAGGTCAACTGTTCTAACCTTTTCGTTCCATGGGAAACTCTTTTCCTCTGCAATGAAGTCTCCCATATTTGTCTAAGTACCTCAAATAGTTTCTGTTATTTGTAACCATGTCAATATTATATCTCCAAGCAGTCATTTTGTTATTTCTGGGTATTTATCTCCCTCTCTTCTCTCTTACTTGATCCAGGAGGGGATTTTTCCGTCCATCAGTCACACCAAGTAGAAACAATAATTCAAAGAGGTCTTGTACCTAACTTACAGATGAGAAGCATGCCTGAAGTTCCATTTCTCCTTTCCCTACAGTGGAGTGATTAGATAATGCTGCTCCTGGGGGAGGGGAGAGAAAAGGCAGAAAAATCTAACAATCTCATAAGAGAGGAAGAATGGATTGGAAGGACAAAGGGGAGAACTTTCAGTCACAGAGCAGGGATTGCAGAGTGGAAGGATTGAGAGGTTGAGCACCTCCCTGCACACTCATTCATTACCTGCCATTCAATAGTCCTTGGCCCTGGTAAGTCCTCTGATTAGATGGTAGGAGATTTGGACCTCTGTATGGGGTTAGGGGCATTAAGAGATATTTTGCTCCTCATCACATCACAAACTAAACAAGACCAGTGGGGTAGTTTCCCTATGAGTGGGCAGCGGAGGATCCACCATGACTGTTAACACAACTGCAAAGGCTTATAATTAATACAGATATCAAAACTCTATGTCCATTAGCAGAATGAAATGCAAGTGATTATCTAGATATTTCACATAATTAAATGGAAAGTAGATAGGACTGACAACTAACACCACACTTATCATAACATTCAGGTCAAGGTCTATGATTAGAGATTCTCAGGGGATGCCTGTTTTCTGTTTGAGGACATGCTCACTGGAAGGTATACTTGAAGTAGAGTCAGTTTAGCTAAATGTCAAGAGGAAAGTCAATTAAAATAGGATTTTACTTGAGGGGAAAATGATGCCATCCTCTTTCAAACCTGTGGCTGAGGAAGCAAAGATAACTCAGACATCCCTGGGTTAATTGAAGCCCAAATGTGCCCCTCTTCCATTTGGATTAGCCTGGCTCTTGGGACTCTGTATTAACAAGAAGTATTAACAAGCATATGGATGTTAATCCTGCTGTCTTTGTGTCTCTAAGAAATAGATCTTTGATGAGACATATGCCTGGCCCTGTCTGCTTTTCTCTGCTGTACTCATCCAGAAAGAAATGACAGCTGAGGTTAGGCCCTAGACAGACAGCAAGTCCACCAGCTTTTGTTATCAACCAATGGCCACCTTTGTCACCCCTTTGCTCACTTGACTGCTGGCCTATCTGATATCCCCAACCTTTCTTATCATTCTCCCTCTCTATTTCTTTCAAACTCCACAGCCCTGCAGAATCTGATCACGTGCTCAACTCCCAGGCTACTGATACTCAGCCTACACTAGCCATGGAGGATGTCATCTGTTTCAGGGGAAGTGGGAGGTCCCATCTGCTCAAACACATGACAGGGAACTCAATTAGGTCGTGAGGAAGTGGGGCAAAGGGAAGCCTGGAATTAGGCAGAGGGTGGAAGGAATTGAGCCAGAAGTTCAAGAGTTTGGCACACGATATAAAAAGCTTGTTAATTGTCCAGGCACAATTCTAGGCACTGGAGATACAGAGATGAACATGAACCTCACGTTTTTAGTGAAGCAGACAAAAAATAAACAGCTTCAATAAATAGATGATTAAGATAATTTAGATATTAATAAGAACTATAATTTTAACAAGAGGGATGGTAGAAGGAGTTTTTCTCTTTTTTGGCGGGGAGAGTGTCCAATTTAGGGAGGGTGGTCAGGAAAGTCTCTCTGAGAAAGTGACAGTTGAGCTGAGACCTCAATGGTGAAAAGGGTTCAGTCATGCTGTGATTTGAGGGAAGAATATTTCAGGCAGAGAAAAGAGCAAGTGAAGGAGCCCTGAATTTGGGACAAGCTTGCCCATGTTGCAGGGTCTGTAGGACTAAGAATCAACTAATGGGGGAAAGGATGGTCTTAGATGCCTTGAAGGGAATCAAGGTAGGGACCGATTCTTGTAATTTCCTGCAGGCTCTGGTAGGGTGTTTAGGCAGTGATCAGAGAGATTTAGGCCCAGAAACTGCGTTATCAACTTTATGTTATGAAAAGCAGGGTCCGGCTTGTGTGCGGCAATGAACTGTTGGCAGGCAATAGTGGAATCAGAGAGACTCCAGGCAGATTGATGGCTTAGACTAGAGCTGTTGAGTAATTTGCTCAAAGATAGTCAGCTAATAAATCAAGAACAAGTGGCAGAGGGTCAGTAAGAGTAGAGGAGTTAAAGAGAAATGTACTATTCCCTTTTGACCCTGTTATTCTCCCTGACCTAGATTGTCAGCCAATATTCTGAATCAGCCAGTATTCCAGCACTCCGGCCCTGCTGAGAAATCAAGGGAGTAGACATTTACCATTTTTTTCAGCAGTCTGGGACCTTTGAACATGCCTACTTTGGGAGTTCTCTATTTTAAATGTCTGTATATCCCAATGAACGATGTTAGAATCTAATTTTTATAGCCTTTTTGCAGTATTAGCATAAGCACGTGATCTAGGTACTTTCAACCAGAGATGCTAACAAGTAATTCATAGATTTAGAAGGGAATGATGGGAAGAAGCAAGTGCAGAGAGAAACCCACTGCGGCAAGGACAGCTATAGAGATATGTGGCTTCCAGAAGCAGTGGAGGAGGCGGCTTTGCAGGTGTGTCCAGGGCTCGGTATTGCCGATGCCAGATACAGTGTGGGGCTTCTGTTGGAGACATGTTCCTGGGTACAGTGGACATTGTATTTGGCCACAAAACCTCCAAGCCTGGTTCTCCATCCTTCCAGAGATGATAAAATCTATCTAGTGTCCTCAATACATTTATTTTCTGCTTAAACCGATTGGTTCTTTTTGTTGACTTCTTCAGAACCATGGCTGATACCTCCATTTTCTGATGGAATGCAATTGCAGGGTTGAAGTCAGAGATGAGAGAATCCTAAGTAAATTTAAAGGCTATGGTTTCAGAAGACTCTCCCTTGCCCAGGCTTGCCTGCAGGTTCTACAAAATTTCCTTCTTTTCATTATAAACTAGAACCTGAGAGCTTATTAACATGCCTAATGTGCTTCTTATAGGAAAAGGCAACGTGAAATTTGTCAGTGGGCTACAACGGGGCTGACATACCCTGCCTGTTACTAAAAGTGATTTTTCTTCAGGTGGATAAGGCAAAGTGAAACCCAAGAGCCATTGTTTGCAAAGCACCGAGTGAATTCAGAAGCCAAGTACTGAGTGAACACAACCATTTGCAAAATAATTTCTTTCACAGAAAGAATTCATTTCACAGAAATTATTTTGCAAATGGTTGTGTTCACTCAGAACTTGGCTTCTAACTGATGTTACCAGAGAATGTGAAGTTTCTGACTCATCAGCAATATTTGTAGGCACTTGTCCCACTACAATTGGAAATCACAAAAATGACTGAAAAAAAACACCCTTCCAACTAACTCTTATGAGGACTTCCTGCAAATAATAAGAATTTAAAATATGACACATGCTCCCAGTTCCCAGGGTTCAGAATAGCTGCCCACTTATAAATTATAAGGAAGAGAGAAGAAAATTGAGAAAAACTTTCAACAGGATTTAAGAATATGTCTTGTAATGTTAATTTTAATTGTTCATTTTTCCAAAATACATGTCTCTCAAGTTAAAACTGAAAATGTACCATAAATCTGAATCTCAAATGCAGTTCTCTGTTTTTAGGGGGTTGTTTTCATCTTGGATGATGAGCTAAGGGCTCAGGACACAGATTCCCTCAGGCCACAAAAAGAGAAAGGAAATGCATTTCACTGACCACCATTAGCCAAAATCTTCCTCTCTGGTGCTATGTCTTTTTTTAATTAAAAATGTTGTTTTCGGCCGGGCGCGGTGGCTCACGCCTGTAGTCCCAGCACTTTGGGAGGCCGAGGCGGGTGGATCATGAGGTCAGGAGATCGAGACCATCCTGGCTAACAAGGTGAAACCCCGTCTCTACTAAAAATACAAAAAATTAGCCGGGCGCGGTGGCGGGCGCCTGTAGTCCCAGCTACTCGGGAGGCTGAGGAAGGAGAATGGCGTGAACCCGGGAAGCGGAGCTTGCAGTGAGCCGAGATTGCGCCACTGCAGTCCGCAGTCCGGCCTGGGCGACAGAGCGAGACTCCGTCTCAAAAAAAAAAAAAAAAATGTTTTTTTCTGGTGCTATTTCTAAGAAGTAGTATATACTGTAGTAAAAATGACCTGCTTAAAGTCTTTCAGAAATTGATGTCTATTTATTGCTGACAAGTATTTAGTTATATGTCTGGCTCTATAATTATATTGTGAACAAGACTGAAGTCTCATCATTTTGTCTTCACTTTTCTAGTTCTTCTACCTCAGTTATCCGCAGTGCTGTGCTGTGGGCACTGGCTTTGGTGACTCAACTGTCACTAGGATCAAACTTGTGATACCATCTTCCTAGGAGGAAAGGGCAAGGAGAAGGAAGATGCTTTGTATGCATGTGAACACCTCAATGTTGGATCCTCCATATATTTTCAAAGTGTACGTTTTCTCCATTTATGATATTCTTCCCAATGGATTCACTTATTTATTAATTGATAATTAATTGATTCTAGAGAGGCTGTCAAAATGCTCTGGAGGCTTGCTTCATGGATTAGTAAAGGCTTTGCAAAGGCAATGCCTTTGAGAAAAGCCTTGAAGGGCAAGAAAAACTTCAAGGGAAGGAGATGGCCATTCTTGGATGAACAAAGGTAAGGAAGTAGAAACATCAGTGGATTGTTGTGAACTTTAGATGTATGAGGTTTGTATTAGATATACGGCAAGATGTAGGAAAGGTGGATGGGACCAATCACAGCTGCCATGTGTTCGCTAAGGCCTCCCACAGACTAGGTATTCCATGAATCATGCTTTGCATAGGGGTTTGGACTTTGTTGCGAGAACAAGGAGGAGTCATTGAAAGTTACATTAAAAACATTTTTGGTGCTTCATTTAACATGGACAATATTCTAGGTATTTTTTTCCCTCTTTACAAACTCTATTTTCACCTTCACTACCTTTCTTACCCCACCTTTTCAAACACTGTCATTACATCTGAATCTGTAATCTGCCTTTTAGTGAAGTTTGGCTTTGCATCTATAATTCCCTTAGAACTGTGTGCTGCCATTTACTTTTGTTGATATGTTGCTATTCCAAGATATTCTTGATCAAAAGATCATTTGCATGCAACCTCAGCATCATGCAATATACTTATGTAACAAACCTGCACATGTACCCCCTGAATCTAAAATACACGTTGACATTATAAAAGAAAAGAAAAAGATGGCGAGCTCCTTGAAGATGAGTTCAGGAGAAATTCTTCAGGTTACCTCTACACAGTGAATATACTCTAATGTTTTTGACAAATGTCTTGGCTTACTTATCTGGACCCTTTTAGCTCAGAAAGATAGGACAGCAGGAAGTAGAACATAATTTCACTATCTGCTCTACGGCCAATCAGATAAGACATGCAAAGATAAGAATACTCAATGTGGCTTGGAGTGCTGATCACATGGTATAACCTAGAGTGCTATAAATTTTAGTTGAAATTTAGATAGGGTTTGATGGCAGATAAACTTCACGAACACAATTTATTCTTGGACCCATTTCCCCACTAATCTTCACTTCTATTCCAGAAGCAGATCTTTCCAAACTAACAGCAGCTCAGTGTGGAACTGATCAGCATAGGTGTGGACTGAGTTACCTATTGCAGGGATTTATGTTATTAACATTGGTTCAGGTGTCAAATACTAAAATCATTTCTCAAGCTACTTTGGTCAGAATTTCTTATCCCAAGTTAAATTGGTGCACAAAATTTGAATATACAATTCTTAAGAGTTACAAGATAGAGGCATGATCATCGACTTTATCTTGTCATTTGAAACAAGATTGAAACTGATAAAAATCAGGTCGTTAAAAATAATAATATATATATATGGAACTTTCCAATTTACTAAGAACTTTTATATGTAGTTTTACTTTGTATTTTGTAATTACTCTGGTTGATTACATCAATTTCACAGCACAGGTGAAGAAATAGGCTCAGAGAGGTTAAGTGCCTTACCTGAGGTGACCCAGCTTATTCTTATTTTGGGCACAACTAGGACTCAATCCCAGGTCTATGTATTCTGTATCTCTGTGTTTGTCAACCTGTAGTTCGTTTCATCAGTGTTAAGTTATTCATTTAGGCAACATGATAGGCTAATTTACATTATAAATAGATTTTGGTTTTTCTGCTTTGTGAAAGTACTATGTACAGGAAAAGAAAAGTCATGAAAGATAAAATATGGAAGGAAGGATGGATGAAAGAAGGAAGAAAGGGAACAACTTACAAAACAGATGGTGCCTTTTAAAGAGGAAGTGATTGTCTAGTCCCTCCCATTTGTCACAGTGTGACAGCGACCACTCCCAAGCCATTCTCACTTCACATAGATCAACTAAATAGAGAAGCTGATGCATTTCATCCACAGGCCAATATATTGAAAACCATCAGTGTTGTTTGCTTTGATTGTGTTGTTTTGTAGAGATGAGAGACGGTGATCGGTGAAATGAGAAGTTAATTGAAGTGGTTCTAGTACTATCCTTCTATTAAGCATAGATCCCAGAAGGACTCTCAGAGACCTCCCATGAGATAGCTGGCAGGGTGTCTGGGAGAGTATTCCACGTGGTGTGTACAGACCTATGAGTCTCCTGTTCCCTTTTAGCATTTATTGTATACCTGTGTGAAAACAAATCTAGTCATTTTTACAGATACACCAAAAAAAAAAAAAACCACCTTTTTTTTTTCTGAATGAAAGAAAAGATATGGAGCTAAATATGAGGCACTTAGTATCAATATACTGCCCGCTTTGGGATGTTAGAGGTCAGGCAGCCTGGGCACCGATCCCTGCTCTGCCTCTAACTAGCTTGGTGATCTGAATAACCGACTTAACTTCTAATTTTGCTTCCACAACTGAAAAATGAGAGTGACACTCTTTCATTAAACTAAGTACAGTAAATCAGGATTTGAAAGGATGATCAGAGAGTGCTACATATCTTTGCTCTGACCTCACATGAAGCCAAAATAGAAATGTGGATGAACTGGCACAAAGGAATAAGAAATTGAAATAACTCACACTGGGAATGTGGGTCAGAAAGAACCTCTGGCTTCTTAGATAATAATTTTCTGAGCTTCAGCTTCCTCATTTACGTAATGAAGACATGGGACTAGATAGCCTTTAACAGTGATTCCAGTTTTTCTTTTCAAAGTTAGACTTTATGGCATTAGCATTCCACTGGATTTGTGTACAATGGCAATCTCCTAGAAACCCTACAAAGCTGTGATCTAACATGATAGGTTTTGGAAACATATACAGGGAGATAAATTTTTTCCTGTGTGCCTATATATATATATACACACACATGAATGGGTTTATTTGCCTTTTAGCCTTTTTCATGTATATAAGTGATAAAAACACAAATTTTAGTCTTCACATAAAATGTTTGCCAGACATTTATTGTTTGGATAATTTAGTGCTCCATGACCCTGAGGTTATTAGCATAACTGAGAATTTGTGTTTGATTGCATCTTTTACAAGCACTTTAGTTTAGTATCTAGTTACATCTTCACTATTGTATGCCTATGATGTATAGATAAACTGCACTGATATTATATGCTTTTTCTCAAGACAATTTCAAAAGAAATTGCCCATGACAAGACAACATGTTTATTACAGAGTTTTATCCTATTTATCAGAGAGAGAAGGCATTCTATTTTTGGTAGTGAGCATCCCTCCCTTCCTCCGCTGCCAGAGACAAGAAAATGATTAATGAGTGAGTTCCACATTCCTGTCAGTAGGAATCCAGTCCATGTGTGGGGGAAGCCTAAATAATTGAAGGGAAGAGGTAACGGTGATAACATTAGTTATAACTAGTCAGAGAAGCTTTATTTCTGGGCATTCTGCCCAATTTAAAGGATCGTTTACACATTTCAGAGTGTGGTTTGCTTTGCTAATTGGTAAGCAAATCTTACCAGTCACAATCACAGCTCAGGGCTCCCAGAAAGGTTAGAGAGGGAGGCTGGAAAGAATTGCACATTCTCCTTATTCCTAAAAACTTCTGGGATAACAGTTGCAATAGAGGTTTTACCTAATGGGAGACCAACTACCACCACGTCCCAGATGGACACTCTATCTCATTTATCGGCTCTGGAGTGGAGAGTCACTTGAATCACAATAAAAACTATTGAATAGTTCCATATTTTGTGTGTATGTGGGATTCATTCACATCCTTTTTCCCTCTTTTTATAACAGATAAGAATATATTGAGTGGTTAGTGGAATTGGGGCAGTGGAGAAGACATATCTGAGAAAAAAAAAAGCACTTCACTAACTGACTAAAGCACTTTAACAGAGCCTATTTATGCAATTGTATGAAACTGAAAACAGATTGACCTACAGCCTCAAAAGGAAAGGGGGAAAATTAATCTGTGCAAAGGCAGCATGAGAGGGAGAGGCAGAGTTATAACATCTGACAATTGGGAGATGGGCATTGGACAACTTGAGATGAAGGATCTGCCTTACAACAGCCTGAATGTGGTCCTGTCTCCAGGTTTTGGGTCTTGTCACCTACTTGGACATGTAGATAATAACCTTGCCTTTAACAGTAACTTGACATATGAAAGAGATAACTTGTACCCATTAACACACATACATACATTAACAACAACATAAGGAGATGTTGTGAGGACGTAAAAGTGGTTGGTGCCGGATTAAAGAAAGATGAAACCAAGTGATACTATGTAAAGCAAAACCAACACCACCCAGGACACAACAATACATTACTGGCTGAATATCAAGGGAGTATGATACCATAAAAATCAGCAAAATAATGGTGGCTTCTTTGGAAAAACATCTTTGAATAGTAGCCCTCAGTCTCATACCATCTTTTAAGGAGGAATTATTTAGAGGATTTTGTAATTTTTGTAATCTAAAATTTACATGCTGGGTGTAACAATTTTAGTGAAAAATAGTCACCCTCTTTATAATAGATACCTAAAAATAGAAACTTTGCAAGAGGTTAATAATTCTAGAATATTTCATTAAAATCAAATTCGAATGTAACATTGAATTGCACTGAAGATTAAAACATAAAATAAATAAATTCAGTGAGTTAACAAAATGTAAAAAGTTGCTTTAAGATTGAGAATATTAACAAGGAGTCTGGCTTTTCAGTTTGAAAACCTAGAACTCATTTTAAGGTGCAAGAATCAATGTATTTGAGAAGGGAATACATTTTAGGTTTATTTCTTTATGTTTTATATCCTGTGTTACAATATTTTAAAAAACTCAAACCAACACAAAAGAAGCAGCTTGTAAAATGTTACACATACTGAGTGGTTTGGAAAGAACTTGCTTTTATTTTTGTTCCATTGTGTGAAGCAGGTATACTAATAACCAGTCCCAAGGGAGGACTCCCACTGTGTAAAGGATAGCAAAGATCATCACTATGCCAACTACCAGGAATAGGAGTTTGAACACATCCACCCACTGCATCCTGGCTACAGTTTTACCTATTGCCTTAGTCTGGTGAGACAGAATACACTCACATGTAACAAGTTACATGAAGCAGATTTATTACTTACAGAGAGGCAGCAAGGGACAAAAGAAACCTAGGGTCCATTATAAGCCAGTCTTTCAAGCTTCACGAAAGCTGCCAGAGGTGGATGGCATCTTGCCTTTATGTGCCCCATCTGTAGGACACCTGAGGGCCTCCAAAAGACAGCCCGCCCCAGGTTACATGCCTCAGGGGCAACAGGACTCAATGGATAAACTCTGCAGGACACACCATTCCCAAGGAAGAAAGGAACAAAGCTTGGGCTGTTTCTGGCTGTTTGTTCCTCCCTAACTCAAGATGTTACATTCTCCAGGAGGCACAGGAACAAGGCTTGGGCTGTTGCAGGCAGCTCCTCTGTATCTCAGGATATTTCATTTCCAGCACCTTCTACAGTTGTTCTGAGAACTAGAGGCAAGATGAAGAAAGAGGAGAAACTGGGTTGGCCAAAGCTATCTAGAGACCACTCAGTACAATGTAGAAGGAGATTTTAAAGTCCTGATTCAGCTTAAATACACAGAAGTTAATATTTATAAATGTAAGATTTAAATGAAAAAAATTAATTTAGCCCATGACCTCCCATTTTTGTCTGTTACTAGTATATTTCAAGTCAAAATATTTTTAGGTGTTCTCACTTTAGTTACTTGTTGCAGACCTAGCTGAAAACCATAATTAATATATCTAAAACTATGTGGTCCATCTCTAGGACCAAGTCAACCAGTATATCCCCAAATGGAGGGCAACTCTCTGCCCAGCCAATGGATCAGAGATGTCCTCCTAGGACAGAACTTTGGAAACATGCTTTACCTTTCCTGTTTGAGGACTATTTAACTTTAACCTACCCATAAAATTCTGAAGCAAGAAAATCTCCTTTGATTTGAAGCAAACAGTCTTCAAGGTGGAAACTGGTAGTTAAGGTACAAAGCAAGCATATAATTTGTTCTCTGTAGTTGGGTTCCTTCAACTTTAACTGGATATCCAGGTCAAGGTTTTCCTCAAATCCTGAGTTCCTGTTCTTTTTGTGATAAGCTTCAGAGGTCAACCCTCAAGTTTGATCAACATTGCTCTGTATATTGTCATTAGAACTTAACTTAGGGTTCTATTATATCCTGAAGTCAACCCAACACCTCTTTTCGCAATTATTTTTCCTTAGGCCTTACGAGCTAATTGTGTATCTTCTCTGCTCTTAAAGTAGTTGTGAACAAAGCAGGCTCTTAAAGGGATATACCTGTATCCAAGTCTGTCTCCATCACTTATAGTTGTAGGACTTTGGGAAAATTTATTTGTGTTTGAGATTCCTCATTGCTAGGGTAACTTACTAGCAATAACTTCCTTATTGCTAGTGTAACTTACAATGAGATTCCTCATTGTGAGTGTGAAGTAATACAACCACTTTGAAAAACAATTTGATATTGTCTTGTAAAGCTGTTGAATATTTGCATTCTCTATAACCCATCAGTTGCTTACCTATGTATACAAAGAGACACACATGAGAATCTTTATAAGTTTCACTTATGTGTGGATAACATGCTTTGGGATTTAAGATGGGCAAATATTTAGTATGTCTTCTAGCATCTCCTCTCCTAATCCTAAATACCCATGGCAGACATCACTAATAAATTCTAGTAGTCTTTCCTGCTGGGTCCAGGCTTAGCCTCACAATTTTTTTCAGCTTAGTCCTGCAGGCAGACACCACCAATCAACTGGAATCTTGAAAAGATACTTTTCTGCCTTCTTGGCCTCAGGACAGTTGGGTGAATTGGTATGAAGTGTATTTGGCAGTTTACTTAAGATGGTTTTGAATGTAGGTAATAATAAACATAATTTCAAAGGCTTATTTCCTCCCTCTTTTTGTATTATTTTATCCTCAAAGACAGGATAATTTCACTAGCACTACTTGCTAGTGGTATTTTTCTCTAGCCTTTTGGAGCTAAGTTATATAATGATTTTAGAATGACAAATTGTGTTCCCATCTCTTAATATTTTTAACTTCTTGTCAATGTGCTCAGATTTATTTTGCTTTTATAATTCATATTGATTCATTACATAATGCTGCTAATTTTTAGCTGTCATTCAATTATTTTATAACATTTTCTTTTTAGATTATCAATACTACTTTCCTACAAATTGCTTTTTGCCTCCTTTGTATATAGCAACCAATGAAAAACAAAAGTCTCATAGGATACAGGGAGGGGTTATATTCACATCCTATAGATCTACTCATATTTCCAAAATGAGACGAGAAATTGCCAAATCCGTAAATTTCTTCTCCCCAAATCTTGATACATTATCCTGAACCAAAGCATATATTGCAGTTCTTTCCCATAAGTAAGTTTAGAAGGAGAAGCACTGAGTCACCAAGCAATAATTTTAAATGGTTAGGGCAAGGGGACAAGAAAAAAATATGGTTTCACATATAAAATGAGAATTCTTAATGTTTCCTGTGGCTGATGGGCTAGGCTTTTTATTTTGGGGGTTTAAGAGACCCTGGTTAATAAGAGATTACTATAGAAACAGTGTAGGTGGCAGAGTGTCAATTTAGTTGAAAGATCCTTTCCTGAAGAAGGAAAGAAAATCCCCAAATCTTTAGACTGACTTTGTCACCGAAGCAAAGTTTCTCAACAGATTTTCTTTCAATTAGAAGCAAGTTTAATACTTGGGAGACCAAGTGGGTTAAACTGATGCTCTTGGAGGCAGAGGCCATCTACATTTCATCTCCAGAATAATTCACAGGCTGTGTTTGTTTCCAGGATGGTCTGGATCCAAGCTCTGACTGAACTGGATGAACTAAGGCAGCAGGTGAAGATGCCAATTAGAAGAACCTTCCTTGGAGATGCCTGCCCTTGCTTTTAGGAATCTGCTCTAGACTCCTCAATGCTGTTTCTTTTTAAAGTTGTATAGAGTATTTGACAATGAGATTCAAACACTTTGAGAAGTTCTCTAGTACTTCTAGAAGCTGGGGGAAGAAGGAAAGCAGACTTAGTTCCAGGGGACATTGCACAAGATTCTCAGAACTGTAGAGCTCAAGGGTTCTGGAAAACAAACTTCTTCTGGAATTAAAAAATTTGGAACAACATTTGAAATATTTGTAAAGATGGCAAGTTTTTCTTATCTTTTGATACTCATGCTAGTAGATCTGATCACACTTAATTTTAATAATGCTATGCTATTATAAATGTATAAAGGAATTCAAGGCATATGCTGGTGAGAAACTATAAGAGGAAGTAGCAATAACTTCATTTTACAAATGCTGAAATTGAAGCAAGTAAATTTTAATCATTATTCCAAAGTTAACACAACAGTGTAGGATCATAACCCAGGATTCCTGACTGTCAGATTCCTGGCTTACCTAACTGGATACCTGGTGTCATATCTCTCATAATCTTCTCTTTCTCTCTCTTAGTCTCTCTTTCTTCACACCTTTTTTCCCCCAACTCCTGTAAGAGGCAGGTTTGCATCATGGCTAAGAGCATGGACCTTGGGATGAGAAATACTGGCTCTTCCACTCTCTAGCAGTGTGCCTAAAGGTACCGTTTTTGATATTCTCTTGTTTCATGTTCCTCATCTATAAGAAGGGGCTGCTAATGGTACCTATTTTATATGGCTATTGTTGAAAACTAAATAGGCTGTTACAGGTAAACTGTCTTGCCCAGAAGAAGGCCCTCAATACATGTTACATATTATCTATTCCCATAGCCTTTTTTATGAAGACTTCCTTGCTTTTCTTTCTCCTGCCCTCTTTTTATCCACAGTTACTATCAACTCTCTAACCTGTGTTTGTTCCCATTAGGTACCCCTCTTTCTGGATCTCCCCTGCAGAATTTTACCATAACCCGTGGTCTGTACTTGTTTGCCAATGAGCAGACAACTTCAGACAGAGAAGCTACAGGACAGATTGTGATGATAACGAGATCCCCTAGAGCTCGAAGAGGAAGTGTTGGAAAGGACAGGATTGGAGGCAAGAAGGTTAGTAAAGAGGCAATGACAGCTGTGTGACAAGGGCCAGCTCTGGGAGAATGGCAGTGGGGATGGAGAACAGGACAACAGGAAAGGAGCAAAATGAGGAGGCAGAATCTACAGAATCTGGTTATCAAGGGTAGGAGAGAGGAAGAAGTCGAGGATGATGTATGGGTTTCTGACTTAGTTGGGCCTGGACATAGAGATCTGAAGGTCAAAACTGTAGTGGGAACAATTGCAGGTAAGGGAATAGGGGAGACTGCCCAGGGGCAGTGGTGTGCAGAGGAATAAGATAAGAGGACCAAGGCAGATTTCTGAGAAGTTTCAACACTTAAGAGTTGGGCAGAGCAAGAACAGCATAAAGAAACTTGGAGGAGGAAAAGACTAAAGCAGAGAACGTGAGGTGAGATAGAGTAAGACCTGAGAGAGACCGCGCTACAGAACTATAAGTTGTACTTTATTAAGGAGTTAGGTTTTACAAAGGTGTTAAGAAAACAAGAAATAAATATTCATTAAACATTTGCCGAGGCCCTAAATTTCTAAGCTTAGAAGTTCCCCCACCCCACCAATCACATTAGAATAGACAGCTTTATAGAAACATAAAGCTAAACATTTAAATATCAAATAAAGCAATCAAAACAAAAAGGCTAATATCAGATTGAGGATAAATGTTTGCGAATGTTTATGGTCAGGAAAATATCATCTTTAGAAAAAGAGCTTGTGCAAATTGTTAAGGAAAAATCGCTAAGAATGGGACAGATCAATAAGTAAAAAACTTGGGATAATTCACAAAGGGGCAAATATAACAAATAAGTACATGGGGAAAAGTTTACTGTCGCTAATAGCAAAGGCATCTATTTTAGAACAAAGAGGCACTACTTTCCTTTTAGTAGTTAGCAAAGAAATTCTTAAATAATAATATAACAATTCTAGCAAGTATTTGGTTGAACTAGTATTCCTAAGGATTGTTGGCACTCTATACTGGTATATACTTTTGGGAAAAATATTTGTTAGAATGAACCCGGAACCACAAATTGTTCTTGTACACAGTTTTGCTAATGTCTCCTGAAAATTCAAATGATAGCACATGTGTATAAATATTTTTGTTAAATCACAGAATTATAAAAATTAGAATTTACCAACAAGACTGTTGTTAAATAACATACAGTGTGACCTATTATAAGGCTATTATAAAAAAAAGGTTACAAAGATTATATAAAAACCTCTTAAAATGGAGATATAGTATTTGTGAATTAAAAACAGGATATATAACTATATGTATGCTGAATATAGCTACATAGACTATTAATATTACAAAACTAGAAAGAGTTATACTAACATGTTGACAATGGTTGTCTTATTGTGGTTGGGCTGAGCATAATATTTCTTCTGTTTTCTATCATTCTGGCTCTCTTGTTAGATTGCCTATATAATTAAAATAAATATAATCACTGAATAGTTATTGGGCCTTTATTTATTTTTCTCATTTTCAGGCCAAATAAGACCAGTTTTTTTCCATTTTTGATGAGATATGTTTTCCTATCATTAAAACTGTCTTGGTGATCATTATCTGAAGGTTAAATACAATCAATTTGATGTTACTATTTATTATCAAATGACAGATTTCTTTAAAAGGTGACCCAGTGATGATGATGACAATGATGGTGATGTTGATGATACTTATGATTATAATGATGATACAACAAACTTAGGTGAAAGTTTTAAAGTTTCAAAGCTTTTTTTTTGCTTATCTAATTTGATCCTTGATATAATTTTATGAGATTCACCAAACTGCTATCATTGTGTATAGTGATGTGTTATTATTTATTCACTGTATGCCTTTGGGCAAGCTAACCTCTGGATATAACACTATCTTCATCTAAAAATTAAAATAATAGTACATGCTTCAGTATTTGATAAAATTAAGGTAAAGCACTAGGCATTGAGCCTGCAGATAGTAGGCACTCAGCATACATCAACTCCAATTCTCTGAATCAAAATACGGCCCTAATCAGGCAGTATCAGTCAGCCACGATGGATATAAACTGTGCTATTACAGCCTCAGATGGGAATGAGCGTTCAAATCTGGAGGCTTATTTTCAGAGTTCCTGGCCTGCCACCTTGTGTGTTCTCAGGGCTGCTCTTAGGAGTTCCTTGAAGTAGGTCAAGATGATCCACTATTGGGGAAAAAACTTTTCAAAGTTTGCAGAAATGTCAACCAAAAGCATTGGCAGATCCATTCTCTAAGTTAAGTTTTCCATCCTGTATTTTCCTTAAACCTTTGGCATTGGCTGTCTCTTGTCTATGCTGACATAATATGATATCCAATTTAGCACATCATTTTGTTTTTGGTATTTTGGATTTATGAAACAATATTTGATAGTCTTCCTCAAAGAGGTCTCTGGCTCCTGGGTGCTCTGCCTCCTAACCATGTGTGAAAACTATAGGTTTAGGTCAGTGTATTTGGAATGTGCAATATATCTTAAGAAAGACTAAAGTTTTACAGCTGTGAAGATTACTTTCAAATACAAAATGTTGGACGGAGACATGGAAATACCTCTCGTTTAAAAATATATATACATCGGCAGCTTTTTGATGATTAGAAAAATCAACATTGCATCCTGAAAACTATAAAGCACTGTGTATATATGTGTGTGTATGTGTATGTGTATGTGTGTGTGTGTGTGTGTGAGAGAGAGAGAGAGGAGAGAGAGAGAGAAAGAGAGAGAGAGAGAGAGATAGTTTGGATATTTGTCCCTGCCCAAATCTCATGTTGAATTGCAATCCCCAAGGCTGGAGGTGAAGCCTGGTAGGAGGTGTTTTGATTATGTGGTCAGATTCCCCATGGCTTGGTGCTATCTTCCTAATAGTAAGTTCTTTCCAGATTAGGTCATTTAAAAGTGTGTGGCACCTCCACTGCCACCCCCTCTGTCTCCCTCTTGCTCCTATTTTCATCAAGTGACATGCCTGCTCCCACTTCAACTTTGGCCAGAATAAAAGCTTCCTGAGGCCTTCCCAGAAACCGATGCTGGCACTATGCTTGCTTCCTGTGCACTTGCAGAACCATGAGCTAATTAAACCTCTTTTCTTATAAATTCCCAGTCTGAAGTATTTCTTGATAGCAATGCAAGAACAGCCTAATACTGTATGTATATGTGCGTGTGTGTGTGTGTGTGTGTGTGTGTGTGTGTGTATGGCTTAGTTACACTTTTTTGCTGATGTATCTATTATCTTTTTTTAGCTTCTGCATGTATGTGTTCCATCTCTTTAACTGAATTATAAATCCACCAAACATAGGGATTATAGCTGCCACCCATTGGGGGAACCTAGATGGTGCTCAGCAGTTTCCTGCACAAGTGTAAGCACCTGGAGAGGTAAAATTTGATTTATGTATTAGTCTGTCCTCACATTGCTATAAAGATACTACCAGAGACTGGGTAATTTATAAAGGAAGGAGGTTTATTTGACTCACAGTTCTACATGGCTGAACTCACAGTTCTTCATGGCTCAGGAAACTTACAATCATGATGGGAGATGAAGGGGAAGCAAGGCACATCTTACATACCAAGAAGGGAGAGAGGGAGCAGGGGAAACTGCCAGTTATAAAACCATCACATCTCGTGAGAACTCACTCACTATCATAAGAACAGCATAAGGGAAACTGCCGTATGATCCAATCACCTCCCACCAGGTCCCTCTCTTGACAGATGGGGATTACAATTCCAGATGAGATTTGGGTAGGGACACAGAGCCAAACCATATCAGTTTACTCTCTTGGCTTTACCACCTTTTGACTGTGAGAACAAGGAAAAGTTACTCAAGTTATTTTGCCTGAGTCTCAGTTTCTTTATGTACAAAATAGATCTAATAATACTAAACAGAGTTTCTGTAAAATTAAATGAGAGAAGGGTACCTGTCAGAAGGGAGTCACTCAGTACATAGATTTCTTTTCTTTCTTACTTTATAGACATTTGATGGGAAAAATATCTAATAATGGATTTATTGTACCTGAATAAAATGTACCATGTATTAATTCTATTACAATGGCAATAACTTCTTAGCAAATGTTGCACTACTGAATTGCTGCTGATACACTGAGCCTATATTTAATGAATCACAGTAGAGTTTACCCTTTGGCTTCACCAAAATTAAAGGCCTTTTTATCTTAGAGGTCTAAAATCAGGTACATATGTGCCTTGTGATTAATAACACATGCTCATTAGCAAACTCAAAGCCCAACTTGAGGGCTGGCTGTAGGTATTATAGGTGAAAGCTCTTGAGTGCATTACAAATGCCATGAGTCATTTAGTTAATCCTTTCATTGATAATGCTAAATTATTCTACATAATGAGGCATCTGTTCAGAATAAGAATATGATTCTGACATGGTCTGGACAATTGACCAGCTCTTCATGTCTAGACAGGGGCTGTTAGAGGGCACTAACAGACAGTGAGCCAAAACTTTCCTGACATCTAATTTATCAAAAATTATTTTTACATGACATAATTCAGTATTCAGTTTTCCTTTATTGGGTGACGTATTTCCACTGGGATATCAGACTTCATCTTTTTCTCCTTTAAACACTTTAAGTCTGACTATTGACTTTGGATTATTTTATACCTGGTTCTTGGGTTGGCATAGTGTTGACTGAAAGGCCCCCTGTTCCCCAATTTTCCCTTCAGGTAAGTTTGAAATTACTGATATTCAAGGCAGGCCTTCAGATCAGTGTTTATGAAGTTGCTGATGTATGCCTGTTTTCATTCTCTTAAAGTACCGTCATGGTAGTGTGGAGGTGGAGGGAGGGAGGAGAGTCCTGTTTATGACATTTTGAGACTGAGAATTCACATTTGACTATTTAAGTTTGACTTTCCAAAAGCCCTAATAAAGCCTTCCAGTATTATTATTTCTCCAGCCAGTTTTCTCTAATAGTTCTAGAATATGAAGTCCACTAGAACACAGGTCTCACAAAGGCAGACATTTTTGTGTGTCTTTTGTTCACATGTGCAGAATAGTGCCTGCCACATATTAGGTACTTGATGGATAATTGCTGAAGGAAAAGGGTCTAAAAATGAGAGAGAGAGGGGAGGATTCTTTAACAGGCTGTTTATTCCATTCTCATTTATCCCTGCCCCCTTGCACTTCCCTTTACCCAGGGAATAGAGTTTTTAAAGGTGCCAGAGAGGGCACAAGACGATTTCTTCTTGTTTGTGGCTTGAAGGATGGATCTCCCTCTGCAGAGAGTATGGTGATGTTATGGTTTGGCTGTGTCCCCACCCAAATCTCATCTTGAATTCTCACATGTTGTGGGAGGGATCTGGTGGGAGGTAATTGAATCATGAGGTGGGTCTTTCCCATGCTGTTCTCATGATAGTGAATAAGTCTCACGAGATCTGATGGTTTTAAAAGGGGGAGTTTCCCTGCACAAGCTCTCTTCTCTTGTCTGCTGTCATGTGAGATGTGCCTTTCACCTTCTGCCATGATTGTGAGGCCTTCCCAGCCACGTGGAACTGTAAATCCAATAAGCCTCTTTTTTTTTTTTTTTTTTTTTTTTGTAAATTATCCAGTGTCAGGTATGTCTTTATCAGCAGCGTGAAAATGGACTAATACAGATGAGTTGCAATAGCACAGAGAGGTTCACAGTCAGGCTTGTTTTTCATGTAATACTGAGAGGAAGGCTGTGAAGCCCTTCATTCTGAGGTGACCTTCAGAAGGGTCTTAGCTCCTCCTCTGGATATCGCCTCATGTAAGAACTGATTATGAATACCCAGTTGTGGTGGTTTTTTCTCTTCATCTGTCTGGGGCCTCTCCACAATATTCTTACCTCTGGACCTCGTTACCTTGATAGACAGCTTTTACATAGGACTTCAAATAATTTTTTCTTCAAAAATTTTCTCAGCCCTCATAGTTTAACACATATTTAACATAACTAAAAAAATGTCTCCCACATAAGATTCAATAGTGTACAAAAATGAAGGGTTCTTTATTCTGTTCCATTGGTCTATGCATCTGTTTTTATGGTATGGGATCTAAAAATCAATTGTACTCATGGAGATAGTGATTAGAAGGATCGTTACCAGAGAGAGGCTGGGAAGGGTAGTGGTGGGCTTTTTGGGGAGATGGAGATGGATAATGGGTACAAAAAATAGAAAGAATCAATAAGACATACTATTTGATCACACAATAGGTTGACTATAGTCAATAATAACTTATTTGTACATTTTAAAAAGCTAAAAAAGTGTAATTGTGCATAACACAAAGGATAAATGCTTGAGACTATGGATACCCCATTCTCCATAATGTGCTTATTTCACATTGCATGCATGTATCAAAACATCTCATTTACCCCACAAATATATACACCTACTGTGTACCCACAAAAATTAAAAAAAATTTTAAAAATAAAGGGAACATGATTTTCACTTTCAAGGGATTTATAAGATACTAGCCTTATTAAGTTTTTACTTGCCTAAATTTACCTAAATTTTTATAAATAATGATCTTATATCTGTAAACATAATCTCCCAAATACCTCCAAGCTGAAATTGGAGTCATTTTAAAGAACTGCATGGAGGACAGATGAGGCTTCCAGTAAACTGAAAAATTTCTCCCCAAAGCCTTACTGCCATGTAGGGTAATCTTACCAAGAAATGTCTTTGAGGCATAGTTTCCTCATCCATGTAAAGAATACAATAATCTTGCTCAATAAAATTAGTTGAATGAATGAAGTATTTATTGTTCAAATGAGAATGAACATTAATGTATTAGTGACTCATCATATACTGTATGCTTTTATTCTAGGAAGAGGGTTGCAGGGTGAAGTGAGAGCTTATTCTGAGACAGAAGAGGTGGGTTTCAGTCCTGATGAAGTTATTAATTCTGCAAGTGTGATGGGCACCTTTTGGCTTCTACCCAACCATCTATTACTCAGGACCATAACTTCCCTTTGGAAATTTAAAGTTCCCTAGTTTTAAAATATGTGGTTTGGGTCAACCAATCTTAGTCCAGCATCAAAGATACTCCCATGGGGTTGTTGGGAAAACTAAACAAGTTACTATATACAAAGCAGTTAGAACAATGCCTGCCTGGCATTTAATAAGTATTGTTGTTAAACCTATATTTTATTTGTTTTAAAATAATTTCTATAAGATATTACAATAATACAAATCATTGGAATAAATGACATTCTGGCATTTTATCATAAACTCTACAGCCTCTCTTCTCATTTATGAACTCATTCAACTAATTAGCCAATCAGTTTTTATGATGCAGCTGGTACATGCATTACTTTAGTTAGGGCAGCATACAAAGGCAACAACAGCATGGTTTATATCTAATGAATCTTAAAAGACACTTGTCTTATTCAGGATTTTCACTCACCTAAAGGGTTAGAAGTCAAGACTACCATATTTGCTGCAAATGAATTAAGTGTATATTATCATAGTGGGGAAATTGCCCATTTTTTAGCCTTTCATGATTTAATCGAGTACAACTAGATGATTTGATACCTGTATATTTTATGGGTTTTCTTCCCTCTATTCCAGTGGCTACTATAGAGAGAGAAAGGAGGGAGTGAAATGGAGGTGTCATATATGGATTAAGTTGTTCAAAGGATCTTTTTAAGTTGAAGCACACAAGCAACACTAAATCCTACTGTTTTCAATTACATCACATGTTCTCACAAAAGCATTCCTTAGCTCCTGTGGAAAAAATGTGTGTTTTTCATTTTATTTTATAGGAGCACATGTAAAAGCAATAGGACATTTGGCTTTCCTAATCATAGCTGCACATTTGAAAGGGCCAGATTTTTGAAAGTGAAGGCTGTATCTATTTTCACACCTGAGTTATATCTCTTTTTTCATTGCTCTGTGTAATTTATTGGGGGAAATTCTAGTGATAACAGGCATATATAATTGCCCCATAATAGTGCTGAAATATGTTTTAAATGTATAACATGGGAGTTAGGAAACATACAAAGTTTGGAAAATCATGTTCTGTTGTTCTGGGAACCAGTATGTGGATATATGTTTCCTCTGCTTGGGAGGATCTCTCCCTCATTTCTTTTTCCTGGCAAGCTCCTACTCAATCCTTCAACATTCAGCTTGAACGTCATGTTCCCTAATCTTTTCCCATTCTCTCTGCACTTCCTACTTTGAGAATACCATCCTCAGAGCTATACCTGTACTTTTATGTACTGTTAAACATCATTTAACAAAGGGAATGCATTCTGGGAAATGCATTGGTAGGTGATGTTGTCATTGTGTGAAAATTGTAGAGTGTACTTACACAAACTTAGATAGAGCCTACTACACACCTAAGCTATATGGTAGAGCTTATTGCTCCTAAGCTACAAACCTATACAGGAAGCGACTGTACTGAATACTGTAGGCAAGTATAACACAATGGTTAAGTATGTATGTATATAAACCTATATGTTTTGGCTGTGTCCCCACCCAAATCTCATCTTGAATTCCCATGTGTTGTGGGAGGGACCTAGTGGGAGGTAATTGAATCATGGGGGCAAGTCTTTCTACATTGTTCTTATGAGGATGAACGAATCTCATGAGATCTTATGGTTTTAGAAACAGGACTTTCCCTGCATAAGCTCTCTTTTTGCCTGCTGCCATCCATGTAAGATGTGACTTGCTCCTCCTTGCCTTCCACCGTGATTGTGAGTCCTCCCCAGCCATGAGGAACTGTAAGTCCACTAAATCTCTTTCTTTTTTAAATTGCCCAGTCTCAGGTATGTCTTTATCAGCAGTCTGAGAGCCAACTAATACAGTAAATTGGTACCAGGAGTGGGGTGCTGCTGAAAAGATACCCAAAAATGTGGAAGCAACTTTGGAACTGGGTAACTGGCAGAGGTTGGAATAGTTTGTAGGGCTCAGAAGAAGACTGGAAGATGTGGGAAAGTTTGGAACTCCCCAGAGACTTGTTGAATGGCATTTCTCAAAATGCTGGTAGCAATATGGACAATGAAGTTCTGACTGAGGTAGTCTCAGATGGAGATGAGGCACTTGTTGGGAACTGGAGCAAAGGTAATTCTTGTTATGTTTTAGCAAAGAGACTTGTGGCATATTGCCCCTGCCCTAGAAATCTGTGGAAATTTGAACTTGAGAGAGATAATTTAGGGTGTCTGGCAGAATAAATTTCTAAGCAGCAAACCATTCAAAAAGTGACTTGAGTTCTGTTAAAGGCATTGAGTTTTATAAGCGAACCAGAGCACTGAAGTTTGGAAAATTTGCAGATTGACAATGTGATAGAAAAGAAAATCCCATTTTCTGAGGAGAAATTCAAGCCAACTGCATAAATTTGCATAAGTAACGAGGAGCCAAATGTTAATCCCCAAGACAATGGGGAAAATGTCTCCAGGGCATGTTAGAGGTCTTCACAGTAGCCCCTCCCATCACAGCCCCAGAAGTCTAGGAGGAAATGGTGGTTTTGTGGGCCAGGCCCAGGGTCTCCATGCTTTGTGCAGTCTAGGGACTTGGTGCCCTGCATCCCAGCTGCTCCAGCCAGGACTAAAAGAGGCCAAGGTACAGCTCTGGCCATGGCTTCAGAGGGTGCAAGCCCCAAGCCTTGGCAGCTTCCATGTGGTATTGAGCCTGCAAGTGCACAGAAGTCAAGAATTGAGGTTTGGGAACTTATGCCTAGATTTCAGAGGATGTATGGAAACACATGGATGTCCAGGCAGAAGTTTGTTGCAGGGGTGGGGCTTTCAAGGAGAGCCTCTACTAGGGCAGTGCAGAAGGGAAATGTGGGATTGGAGCCCCCACACAGAGTCCCTACTGGGGCACTGCCTAGTGGAGCTATGAGAAGAAGACCCCATCTTCCAGATCCCAGAATAGTAGATCCACCTACATCTTGCATTGTGTGCCTGAAAAAGTCACAGACAATCAACACCAGCCTGTGAAAGCAGCCAGGAGGGAGGCTGTACCCTGCAAAGTCACAGGGGTGGAGCAGCACAATATGATGGGAACCCACTTCTTGTGTCAGTATAACCTGGATGTGAGACATGAAGTCAAAGGAGATCATTCTGGAGCTTTAAGATTTGACTGCCCTGCTGGATTTCAGACTTGCATGGGTCCTGTAGCCCCTTTGTTTTGGTCAATTTCTCCCATTCGGAATGGCTGTAGTTACCAAATACCTGTACCTCCATTGCATCTAGGAAGTAGCTAGTTTGCTTTTGATTTCACAGGCTCATAGGTGGAAGGGATTTTCCTTGTATCAGATGAGAACTTGGACTGCGGACTTTCAAGTTAATGCTGAAACGAGTTAAGACTTTGGGGGACTGTTGGGAAAGAATGATTGGTTTTGAAATGTGAAGGCATGAGATTTGGGAGGGGAGGGGCCAGGGCAAAATGATATGGTTTGGCTGTGTTCCCACACAAATCTCATCTTGAATTCCCATGTGTTGTATGAGGGACCGGGTGGAAGATAAATGTGGGTGGTTTCCTCCATATTGTTCTTGTGGTAGTGAATAAGTCTCACGAGATCTGATGGTTTGATATGGGGAAGCTCATTTTGCTTGGCTCTCATTTTCTCTCTTTGCCTTCTGCCATCCATGTAAGATGAGACTTGCTCCTCCTTGCCTTCCACCATGATTGTGAGGCCTCCTCAGCCATGTGGAACTGTAAGTCCATTCAACCTCTTTCTTTTGTAAATTGTCCAGTCTCGGGCATGTCTTTATCAGCAGTGTGAGAACAGACCAATACAGTAAATATATCTAAACATAGAAAATGTACAGTAAAAATACAATATTATAATCTTATAGGACCACCATTGTATATGCAATCTGTTGTTGATGGAAATTTATGATGTGGTGCATGACTGCATCACTATTATTGCTCTTGTCTCATTGCACTATAGTTACTTGTTAATCAGTCTAAATTTGTTTCCAAGTTGCGTGCTAGAAGATGGAGTTGGTATCTTACTTATCATAGTTGTAGATACTGTGCATAGTAAGTTACCTGTTCCTAGATAAGTATTTGTGGAATGAATAAATAGTATCACTCTTCCATGACCTCATCAGGCTTTAAGCTTACATGGAAATTAGACAGTATGTGTCAGGAGGGTCAGGGATGTTCAGTTAGTTGTTTGGTGGATGGGCTGAATCCTTCTAATCTTTTCTGGGAAATCCATGATTCTGTGACACTGTCCCTAAGTCCAGAGTGGTGGATACATAATAAGCATTACAAAAGCAGAAGATATGTACTTTTTTTATAACATAATGTTTTTATTATATAAGCTATCTTTCTTAATGCTGTATTTGAAATTAGGTTTTGTGAATTATCAGCTCTTTAAAAACAATTTGCATTTAGGCACTGCTTGAAATGGTCCAGTTTTCTTTATAATTACATAGTGACAGAAACTGTGGATGGTCTATCTCCAAACCTCCTTTTGTTACTGAAGGAATGTATCCACGTTACTGGTGGCAAATCCATACAAATCTGCAGCAATCTCACTACTTGCCTCCTCAGAAGAAAGAATTTGACTGAGGGGCATAAGGCAGAAGGAGAGACTGAGGCAAGTTTCAGAGCAGGAGTGAAAGTTTATTAAGAAAGCTTTAGCACAGTAAGGAAAGGAAGGAAAGAAAAAAAAAGAAAGGAAAGAAAAGAAAGAAAGTACAACTTGGAAGAGGGCCAAGTGAGCAACTTGAGAAACCAAGTGTACAGCTTGACTTCTTGACTTAGGTTTTACACATTGTCATACTTCCGGGATCTTGTGTTACTTCTCCTCACTCCTGAGATCTTACTGGGAAGCCGCTGATCAGTTTCAGGTGTTTTCTATTAGGAGACTGCCTTTCTCTGGCACCAGCTGTGACCAATTATTACTTTAGAGAAACAGTTGACAACTGCCTGACCATCATCTGATGGTCACCAAATACTCCAAGTGTGTGTGTGTGTGTGTGTGTCTTTGTGTGTGTGTGTATGTGTATTTGTGTGTGGTGGGGGAAACCCTTTCCTGCCCTGCTTATACCTAACTAGCTACACACTATAACATTTTCCCTTATCTTTCTCTGCCTTAGAGAGTAGGAAGCTGAAACATCTTCCTAGATTCCTCTGCACCTTGTGTTGACCACAGCGCAGGTTTCTAGCTAATGAGATGAAGGCAAATTTTTCCAAAAAGGCCTTTGTTATGGACTGGATATTTTTGCATCCCCAAAATTCATATGTTGAAATCCTAACCTCCACTATTATAGTATTAGAAGGTGAGGTTTTTGGGGAGGTAATGAGGGTGGAGCTCTCATGAATGGGATTGATGCCTTTATAAGAAGAAACATGAGAAAGATGATTTCTGTCTTGGCTATGTGAGGCTATGAGAAGACAGATGGCCATCTACTAACTAGGAAGAGTGTCCTCACTGGACACCAAATCTGCCAGCATCTTGATATTGGACTTCCCAACCTCCAGAACTGTGAGAAATAAATGCTTGTTGTTTAAGCAACCCAGTCTATGGTATTCTTTTACAGTAGCATAAAAAACTGACAACTTTCTTTCCTAAAGTAAGGGACAAAGACTTGCCTCTTCTTCCTGCTTGGAATATGAATGCAATGCCTATAGGAGCAGAAGCCATTTGACACCACAAGGACTAAAACCATAGCCAGAAAGACAGAATAAGAAGATGGAAGGATTATGGAAGATACCACTGAGCCATCCAATTCTAGGTTGCCTTCATTAGGTCTTCTTATTATGCAAGCCTAGTAGTCCTCTTACATGTATATGCCATTACAGTTGAGTTTTCTATTCCTATCAGCCAAATACAACTGAAACACCATGTACAATAAGATAGGCTGGTTCATACTGCAATGTACGAATAACCTGGAAATCTCAGCAGTTACACATAAAAAGAGTTTATTTCTTGTGGTAGGCCTGATGGGGTGTTAGGTCATTCTCTAAAATATACATGTGTTAGCTCAGCCTTCCAGGCTGCTGAGCTCTTATGGCAATTTTGTGTTAACACATGCTCCCATGATTGTCAAAGGAGAGGAAGGAAGCAGAGACAAAGATTAAAACAAGTGCAATTAAATACTCTGGCCAGAAGTGACACACATCATTGGCCAAACCAAATCACCTGGCCAGGACTAACATCAAGAGTATAGAGAAGAACAATATCCCTGAACACCTGAAAGAGGAGCCTGAAAACATTGGTCAGCAACACTGATGTCTACTGAAGATATCAAACATCTTCATTGTCAGTTGAAAAGTAAAGGAATGATGTTACTGAAAAAATGCTATTCCTATCAAACTATTTGATACCAATGACATTTCTCACAGAGTTAAAAAAGCTATTCTAAAATTCATATGGAACCAAAAAAGATCCCAAATAGCCAAAACAATCTTAAGCAAAAAGAACAAAGCTAGAAACATCACATTACCCAACTTCAAATTATGCTACAAGACTACAGTAACCCAAACAGCATGGTACTGATAGAAAAACAGACACATAGACCAATGGAACAGAATAAAGACCCCAGAACTAAACACCTACACTCATCTGATCTTCGACAAAGTCAACAAAAACAAGCAGTAAGGCAAGGACTTCCTATTCAATAAATGGTACTAGGATAACTGGCTAGCCATATGCAGAAGATTGAAGCTGGATCTCTTCCTTTTACCATATACAAAAAGCATATGGATTAAAGACTTAAATGTAAAACTTAAAGCTATAAAAATCCTAGAAGAAAACCTAGGAAGTACCATTCTGGACATAGACCCTGCAAAGATTTCATAATGAAGATGTCAGAAACAATTGCAACAAAAACAAAAATTGACAAATGGGGCCTAATTAAACTAGAGAGCTTCTGCACAGCGAAAGAAACTATCAACAGAGTAAACATACCACCTACAGAATGAGAGAAAATATTTGCAAACTATGCATCCAACAAAGACCTAATATTCCGAATCTATAAGGAACTTAAATAAATTAACAGGCAAAACATAACCCCATTAAAAAAGGGGCAAAGAACGGGAACAGACACTTCTCACAAGAAATACATGTGGCCAAAAAGCATATTAAAATACTCAACATTACTAATCATTAGAGAAATGCAAATCAAAAGTAGAGTGAGATGCCGTCTCACATCAGTCAGAGTGGGTATAATTAAAAAGTCAAAGAATAACACATGCTGGCGAGGCTGCAGAGAAAAGGGAATACATGCACATTGCTGGTGGGAATTTAAATTTAGTTTAGCCACTGTGGAAAGCAGTTTTGTGATTTCTCAAAGAACTTGAAACAGAGCTAACATTCAACCCAACAATCCCATTATTGGATATATAACCCCCAAATTAGAAATCTTTGTATCATGGCCAGGCGCAGTGGCTCACGCCTGTAATCCCAGCACTTGGGGAGGCCGAGGCGGGTGGATCACGAGGTCAGGAGATTGAGACCATCCTGGCTAACACGGCGAAACCCTGTCTCTACTAAAAATACCAAAAATTAGCCGGGCGTGGTGGCAGGCGCCTGTAGTCCCAGCTACTCGGGGAGAATGGCGTGAACCTGGGAGGCAGAGTTTGCACTGAGCAGAGATCGCGCCACTGCACTCCAGCCTGGGCGACAGAGCCAGACTCCGTCTCAAAAAAAAAAAAAAAAATTGGTCTATCATTTAGACACAAGCACACATATGTTCACTGCAGCACTATTCACAATAGCAAAGACATGGAATCAACTTAGACGCTCATCAATGGTAGACTGGATAAAGAAAATGTTGTACATATATACCATGGAATAACATTCAGCCATAAAAAGAATGAGATCATGTCCTTTGTGGCAACTCCAATGTAGCTGGAGGCCATTATCCTAAGCAAACTAACATGGTAAATACACAAAACCAAATACTATGTGTTCTCCCTTATAAGTGGGAGCTAAACATTGAGCGCACATGGGCACAAAGAACATAGACATTGGGGCCCACTGGAGGATGGAGGGTAGAAGGGTGAGAATTGAAAAACTATCTTTGGGGTATTATGCTTATTACCTGGGTGATGAAATAATCTGTATACCAAACCCCTGCAACATGCAATTTATCTATATAACAAACCTGCACATGTACCCCTGAACCTAAAATAAACGTGAAAAAAAAGATCAGGCAAAGATGTTAGGATAGTTTGATAAAATAATTGTGCAAAAAAAAAAAAAAAAAAACAAAACCAAATTCCTAGTCCTAGTCTAGTCCTAGTCCAAATTCCTGTCCTAGTCTAGTCAATAATACAATCCCCTTATGTTTCCTACATGGTAATGGTTCAGAGAAGAGCTTTGTCAGTAACTTTCATGGAAGCAAGTGGGATGGATGGAAAAGGGGCATGACACAGAGGAACTTGGAGACATTCTCATTCACCCACTGGTTATTTTCCATGGGTGCTCTGATTTTTCTCCTCCCAACTTAAAATCTGCTGTGATTTTAAAGATCAAATAGAAAGGAATGCCGCTGATCTGTAATTGCTCAGGACACTTCGCAGCTGCCCTCTCAGCAGGTCCCTCTGTGTAACTTGTTTTCTCATGACTGTAACTCCAGTAAAGTGATTTTTAAGACTCTGGGAGTTTGGTAAATAGAATTGAGTTGAACCGTGATTCAGAACACCAGGCTATCATGTGGACTCAATGCAGAAGTTGTCACATGCTACAGGGGAAATGACTCCAACTGTGGAAATATCAGCCAATAAAATGTGCCTTTCTATATATATAGTGCTCTTCTGGGTTATTATGGATATTCAATGAGAGTAATAAGGAAGTGAGGAGAAGTGTGGGGAAAAAGCAACTCTATCAGAGGGTTAGAGCTGCCGCTGAGTTTTGTATTGTAATGATTTTCACAGTTGGGGCTTCTGTTACAGCCCTGGTATTTTCTAGTTGGGTGGTCTTGTCACTTCCCCTTCCTAAGCCTCAGTTTCCTTATCTGTGCAGTGGGGTTGGGAGGGGATGATACCATTAATCTCACAAGATTTCTGCGATGGACAATTGCAAGAGATTCAGAATTTATCAGTGCTTACTCCTGTCCCTTTAGGTTTCTTCTTTCACAGCAGGGAGAATAATTGTGCGTAAGATGGTTTAGATTTTTCAGGATGAGAATAATTATTTTAAAATTCTTTTCTAAAAGTTCTTCTTTTAAGCTTTTATATTTCTTTAAATTATTTCAGACTTAAGGAGAAAACCCCACTTTCTTTCTTCTTAGACGTCTTTAGAAAACCATGTGATAAATATTAATATTTGAATTCATTTTTCTTTTGGGAGGATTTTGAATACCAGGTTAGAGTAAAGGGAGAAGGCGTTCTGATTAAATTTCAGACTTGCTTCGTCTATTGGAAGCATGGCTCAGTGGTGTCCAGAAACAGTCATGAGTTCAGCAGAAGGAAACACCAAAGAGATGCAGGTGAAAACTTTTGGCTAGGCTGGATGGATACCAGCAGTGATGATTCCCTGAAGACTTCAGATGAGGCTGTGATGGGTTATGACCACATCTGAATGCAGTAGCTTGTATCAAGCCATGCAGATTAGGTTCAGAAAATGTTCTTAAAGAAGGCAAGGGTGCAGAGAGAAAGAAGAGTTGGAGGATGATACAGGATGACAATAACAAAAATAATTACAGCTAAGAAGTATTGACCTACAACAATGTGCTAATGATAATATGCTAATGGCTAACATTTATTTAGAACTTAGTATGGGTTGAGTGTCATTCTAAGGGGAGCTGATCATGTCCCAAAAAAGACAATCCCAAATATTGAAATCCCAAGAGATTAAAATCCTGAAAATGTAATTCCGAAAAAAATTACACATTATTTAGAAAATACTTATTTCTATTTTAAAAGGGCATTTATTTGAGCAACATATGAAAACATGAGAGAACATTTCACAGTCCATTTTACACAACAAAATAGTCAATAATAAATACATATTTTTAGAAGCATAAACAATCAGGTATATCAAGAAGAGTTACATAAGTATAAGAGTTATGAGCAGATGAACCATATTCATAAAGAAATAGGTCAAAAAGGGAGATGTATAAATACATCTCACTATGGCTGGTGATTGTTTGCACCCATCTTTAGAAATGTGGTCATCTGAAATAGTAACACACAACCTAAATCTTTCGACAAGATTGATCAAAAACTGTGATAGGTCACCAACACATATGCAGTTGCCCAAACAGCCAAAATCTTGAGAAATTTTGTCTTTTGCAAATGCAGATGTACAAAAAAGACATCTCTTCACTTATTGAGGAAGTTTCAACATTTTTACATGCATGCACTATGCTTACACACAAAGGCAACATTGTGGTAATGCACTTTTGTGGAGTGAAATTTGCAAAAAATGCATGAAACAATTAGAACTCTCTTAAAATCTCTGCACAATTTATACCTCCAGTATTGGAAATGATGCAAAGACAAAATACATAGCCACTCCTAGCTCCTTAAAGCACAATTAATTTCCAGATAACAACCGTAACAAGGTAATAGTTCCTCCTGATCCCGGTTTTTGGGATATTAGACATTAGGGATTTTGATCTTTTAGGATTTCAACATTTGGGATTATGGTATTCAGGATTGTGTCTTTGGGGATTAAGATCCACACTCCATGCTAAGTGCTTTATCACTGCTGTCTCATACAGTCTTCAAAATAACCCATGTGACAGTTTTCTATCATTATCCTCACCTTACAGAAAGGAAGACTGCAGTTTCTAAAGTTTAAGTAACCTCTGCAAGAAAGTAAATAGTCAAGTCACAATTTGAACCCAGCTCTGCTTGATTATGAATTCTGTTTCTCCCCTTCTCCCCCAGCTTTGCTGTAGCATCCCTATGTTAATGAGGTTGCAAGAGTCGTTTGACTCCTCAAAGAGAGATCAGACATGAGACAGCAAAGGAATAAAGCTGGAGCAGTTAAGGGAGGGGCATAGATATGGGAGAATTTAGATTATGTAAAATCAACTTGCTCTGAGGCTGCCTCTGGTTTAACCCGTAAACATGGAGGCTTCTCTGGCCCTTTCTTGGTCCTAATTTCTTTGCCTCCTATTCGGCCATTCTGGTTGACCATGAATCTCACTCCCAGATACAACAGAACCAACTGAGACTCCATTCTGTTAGTTGACCAGAATGTGATTTAAAAAGTGATGAATACTGAGATCAGGAGTTCACCCTATTCAAGAAATATATTGTCAAAGTTGGCCCCTTCCATTCCTCTTGAAAGATAGGGTGCTAAGGGAAAACAGTTATAATGCCTTTAAGCTAGTACCCACTTCATTCAATGCCAGAGAAATCTCATAGACAGACAAAATTTCAGCAACCAAAAGTAGTTTCAAAGCAATCCAAGTCATTTATACATATTCTTATATTTCCTAAGCATCATGATTCTTAGAATCCCCACACAATTCTAAGTATCTCCAATTTCCTGTCGCAAGTACTGCTTTCATATCCTGCAGCTGTTCCTATGCCTCTTATTTTAAAACTCCTTTGAAAATTTCTCTTCTAGCCCAAGTCTACATGGTCTTGTCCTTTCTCTCTTAACCCTTGTTCTGTACCCTTTGATAGTGGAGAACCCAAAAAGAGTAAGAGAGTCAAGGCTGAATCCTGATTAGCAGTCTACATGAGGAAGAAGCCTGGGAAAACTCTTAACATTAATAACTTTTGTCCCATCACCACCATAAAAGCATTTGTTGACCACCAGCACGTGAAGAGTTTGGAAGGGAGGGCTCAAAATGGGTAGAGCCACTGCTTTCACATACGGTGTAGAAAGCATTGTGGTGGCACTAGGAGACCAGTTTGCCCTCTTTGAAATGCAAGTTCTCAGTTTCTGATTATCCAGAAAGTCATGAAAGGCTACTAGTTTAAATTTAATTTTGCACTGGAGAATGCTTTTAATGTAGGCAGTCTCATCAAGTCAGCCCTCAATCATGCTTAAATGCTTACTGAGGGACATGTTTGGCCTCCAGAAGGAATTCGTACTCAGTAGTTTAGGAGAACCCCCAGTAAGATAAATGAAAGCATTTTTCTCTCACACAAAAAAATCAGATGTATTATTGCTTCAAGTCAAACACCTACAGTGTTTGTCTCATTTATCTCTGTAATTGTATCTCATTATGGTTCTTTTAACCCTAGCTCCACTGCAGTCTTGTTCAGTGCAGAAAGCAAATGTTTAATAATTTGAGGCCAGATGGAAAGCTTGATAAATTTTAGTATTATGTCCAAGAGAGTACTGTTTGAGAAATCTACCTGATGCTTAGCAAAATGAATGCACATTTTGATTGCAATATTTTTCTGGTCAGGTTTTGTGCATCATTTTTTGAACAGTAGTCAAGTTGCAAAAATTGTAAGTCATCTAAACATTTTATGGTAGAAACTTGTAGATCATTTTAGAGCTATGCACACAATTTTAAAAAGGAGTATGATAACTGTATTTTAGAAAGAGAGACTTATTTATAGGAAGCCAGGTTTGTACTGCTGGAGTGGAAAATAAAGAAAACAAAGTTGACCTAGTCTACTCTTTCATCCATATAAAAAAGGGAGACACACAAGCTGACCCAGAGTTTAATGGTCCCATAAAATAATAAGATTTATATGTTGGCTGAGATACTGCGATCATAGATATGTCTGATTTTATAGAATAAGCTGCAGCAGCACTATTGGTAATAAAGGAAACCATAAATGACTAAAATACCAAAGTAACCAGAAACATCACTGTGACGAACATTCCAACAGTTTCCTAATAAAATCTTTTATCTTTGTGCATAACATGCCAGTAAAAAGGAGAAATTTGCATTTTGTGTTGGAAGCACCAACTGATCATTTATGTTCGGTGTCCATTTCTCTCCTTTTTCCTTTAGTAACAGCACCTCTCAGGGTTTGACTGGGCACATTGCTGACCTGTGCAGATGGAATTTCTGAGCCTCTTTTATGATTAGATAGGGCCATCTCACTGAATTCTGGGCAATGAGATGTGAACAGATGTGATATGTGCAACTGGCAAACAATGCCCTGTAAATGAAGATGCCTGCTTGCACTTTTCTTTGACTGTCTCTTGTTTGCTATATGCAGACATGATGACCAGAGTGACCATACACCTTAGAAGCAAAGATGTAGGCAGCATGTTGAGAATGGTGGAGCTTCCCTTCTACACCTTGACCATTCATTCCTGGGTTGTTGCATGAGAAAGAAAGAAATTTCTATCTTGTTAGGCCTATGTATTTTGTAACCCGTTTGTTATAATAGCTTGATTGTGCCATTTTTAATACAGGATTCGAATTGTTCTTGCTGATTCTTTTGGAGAAGGGTGTCAATGAGCAATAAAATCCCCTCTACAAAGGCAGGTGGATGAAAAAGGAATCTTCAAGTTAGTGTACTGTCCCTTCTAAGTCATAGTATTTAAAAAGTGCAGCAGGAGAAAAGAAAAAGTGCCGTGAATTCTATGTGAAATGTTGAGGAAAGCTTCAGAGAAAAAGTGGCATTTGCACTGAGGTTTCAGTGTCATGTTTATATTTGCCAGCTGGAGAAAATCTAAACAAAGACTTGGAAACCTGTAGCTAAAAGTATAGAGTTTTTGGTGAGATTGTAAAAGGAATTTTATGATGCCATATTTGCAAGATTGCTGTATGCTTTGTTAAGGAGTTTGGATTTATTCCATACACAATGAAGAAGTGTCTAACAATTTAAATTGTGGAATTGAAACGACCAAATCTGTGTTTAGAGAAAAATACTCTGGCAGCACGGGAGGAGACATTTGAAAAGAAGAGAAAGTGGAGGCAGGGAACCATGGCTTTCAAATTCCTGTCATTCATTTAATTTTTGTCAAGGGATCTATCTATCTATCTATCTATCTATCTATCTATCTATCTATCATCTATCTATCTATCTATCTATCTATCTATCTATCTATCTTCTATCTATCTATCTACATTAAGTATATTTTTAAATTTGGACTCAGTGTGTCATATTTTTAACACAGTAAAATACATATTTATTTTTAAAGAGTTTATCTATGTCCCTCTTTAAACTATCCAGTATGTCTCCATGGTATGCATACCACGTTCAGGACAAATACTCAGCTGGTGCACACTACGATGGCTTCCCAGTTGTTCCAATATTGAGATACTACCCTACCAGTTGTTATATAGCTGCTGCCCTGAGCTCCTGAGTGTCACCCACTGCCACAGCTCTGGCTACCTGATGCACCCCTAGGAACCCAGGACCACCTCTTGATTTAGCATTTAGATATCTCAAGGCTCTGACCTGCCCTACAGCTGGCTTCTGCTCTGGTTGGTTGAGCCTAGTCATAATTAGTTTTTATAGATTTTATATACTAATCTTGGAAGTAAATTACAGATCATAGATTATTTTGGCTATAGCAGTAGTAGGAGGAAAGAAAAAGAGGGAACAAATTTTAGATACATTTTGAACATAAAATGTAGGGGATTGATAATTGATTGAATGTGGGAATGAAGAAGAGAGTTAAAAAATCTGGGATTTTGGTTTGTATAAGTAGATGGCTGGTGATATCATTAACTAGAAACGAGATATAGGGTACATATACTTGGAGAAGGAAGATAATATGCTTAGACATACTGAGATTGAGATGCCATTGCAACATCCACTTGGAGATGGTTCAAAATAGGTTGGATATGGTGGTGTGCTGGTAAATATTTAATCACTTATTCTCAAACAATAAAGAAGAAAGCTCATTTTTTTCTGTAGCATTTGCTGATTTCCATGGAGCAGATACTCCCACCGTGTCCAAGTTTAATACCAATGTGATGTCAAAAATGCAGAGTTGGGAAGAGATGGGCACAGTCCGCTCTTACAAGACCATTCCAGCACATTGTTGGTTGGATACACAGGTCTGGATCTCAGCATGAGGTCCGAAGATGATAGATCGATTTGGCAGGCAACAAGCTGTGTATTTTAAAACCGCTAAACTGTGTTGAGTTTTGCTTTTTGCTCCAGAACTTGGTCAACTAAAAAAATATATATATTCCATTTTGCTGCTAAAAGGCATATATATTGTGCAGATGTTGTATGCAGTGTCTATTTGATCAGTTTTTTTCATTCTGTACAAGTTTTCCACGTCCCTATTGAATTCTTTGTCTGCTTGTCTTATTAATTACTGAGAGATGTATTCCATTTGTTGTGGGTTTGTTTTAGTTGTATATATATTTGTGACCATGCTATTTTAAGTGAATAAAAAGTGAAGTATCTTTCAAGCAAATTGAAATTTTGATTATTGTAACATGCCCCTTTTTGTCTCTAGAAATGCATTTGTGTTAAAGTCCAATTTATATGATACTGACATGACTACTCCAGCTTTCTTTTACATGATATATTTTAACTTTTCTGTATTCTTAAGCTTTAGATATTTATGTTAAAAATAGCATATGTTATGTTTAAATAATTAAGCCTGGTAATTTTTGTATCTTAATTAGAGTGTTTACTTCATTTGCTTTTGAATAAGCCAGGGTCCAATCTAGAGACAGAAAGTGTGCAGTAAATTGAATAGTGAAGATTAAATATCAAGCATAAACTATTTATAGAGGATTAGCTACTAGGAGAGAATAAAAGAGAGTTCTAAAGCTTACCCTAGGGCTGAGGGAGAGAATCCAAGGAAGAACACATTTGGTAGACTGCATCCCTCTGCCCTTTGCCCCACCCAAGACTAGAATTTAGTCTTGAAAAGCATATTGCTGCAGCCTACTGGCTGGTCATGAAAGTCTTTGGATCACCTTGGGTCTAAGCTGGTCCACAGTTGGTTAGTGGGCAGGATACCATGGACTGGGACTTCTAATAAGAAAAGATTAGCAAATACAAATAAACTCATTCATATCACAAGCAAAGGGAAAATATGAAAAACTACTATATAGCAGTATTCTTTTACCTGCTGTTTTGCTTTCTGTGGTTTCAGTTAACTGTAATCAATTGTGGTTCAAAATACTAATGGAAAAAATCCAGAAATACACAATGTAAAATTTTCAAATTGTATACTTTTTGACTAGCATGATTAAATTTCATGCCTTTCTGCTCCGTCTTGGCCTAAAAGTGAATCATCCCTTTGTCCAGTGTATCTATACTGTCTATACTATCTGCCTGTTAGTCACTTAGTAGCTGTCTTTGTTATCAGATTGACTGTCATGGTATCGCAGTGCTTCTGTTCAAGTAATCCTTATTTTACCTAATAGTGGCTCCAAAGTGCAAGAGTATTGATGCATGCAATTTGGATATGCCAAAGAGAAGTCTTAAAGTGCTTACTTTAAGTGAAAAGATGAAGGTTGTTGACTTAATAAGAAAAGAAAAAAATTGTATGCTAAGGTTGCTAAGATCAACAGTAAGAACAAATCTGTGAAATCGTGAAGAAGGAAATTCATCCTAGTTTTGCTGTTGCACCTTGATAGGGTTTGGCTGTGTCCCCACCCAAATGTCATCTTGAATTCCCACGTGTTGTGGGAGGGACCTGGTGGGAGGTAATTGAATCATGGGGACAGGTCTTTCCCATGCTGTTCTCATGTTAATAAATAAGTCTCATGAGATCTGATGGTTCTGCAAGGGGGAGTTCCCCTGCACAAACTCTCTCTCTTTGCCTGCTGACACCCATGTAAGACGTGACTTGCTCCTCCTTGCCTTCTGCCATGATCATGAGGCCTCCCCAACCATGTGGATCCCTAAGTCCATTAAACCTCTTTCTTTTGTAAATTGCCCAGTCTCAGGTATGTTTTTATCAGCAGCGTGAAAACAGACTAATGCACTGCAAAAATTCTAGCCATAGTGAGTGATAAGTGCTTAGTTAATAAGGAAAAGGAATTAAATTTGTGAGTGGAAGACATGAACAGAGACATATTCCAACCAGTGGCAATTGGATTTTCTACTATCTGTGGTTTTAGGCATCCACTGGGGGTCTTGGCACATATCCCTGATGCATAAGGGGGACTACAGGAGTCTTCATTTCTGTAATTGCTCATGAGGCTGTAGTTAATATCTTTGGCTTCTTTCTTCTACTACCCACTACCTATTTCCCTTCCTCTTAGCCAGAACTTCATCTGGCCAGGGTTCTTGGTCTGTAGTAGAGTGACCCAAATCTTCATTTTTGAAGGGTCTGAATGATCAGTTGTCCGCCCTTTTTTATTTTATTTTATTTTTTTTAGCTTACTGTAGTTTTCCATTAACTTTTACTACTGGATGTAGAACTACTAAAAGGTGTCCTAGCAATGCCTGGGTTCTAGGTGTAGTCCACATTTTTTTTTGTTGTGTAGAAACAACAACCTGATTTCTGCTTGGAAATTAGAATCAATCACTCTAGGAGTAGAGTTAACTTTCCTGCCTATTTTGTCAGTAGCATACAGAGTCCCAACGGCCAGGTAGTGGTCTCATCTAATTCATTCTGTAACTCCCTCGGTGGTAGTTCTGGTAGAAGCCTTACTGTCAGGAAAGGCAAATCTATTGCCAGAATGTGTGTCTATTTCAGTGAGAATGAATCTGTGCCCCCTCCATGATGGAAGCAGTCCAATGTAATCAATCTGCTACTAGGTTGCCGGCTAGTCCTCCCCATCCCTGGCAATGCTACCATATTGGGGATTCAGTGTTGGTCACCAGTTTTGGCAGATTAGACAAGCATCAGTAGCATTAGCCAGGTCAGCCTTGCTTAACACAAGCATAACCTTCATCCCTGCCACCGTGGCCACTTTGTTCCTGGGCCCATTGAGAAGGCACTGTGTCTTGGGAAAAAGGCTTACTCACACCCACTAAACACATCATTTCATCCACCTAATTAAGAGCCTACTCTGCAGTAGGAACTCATTTGTGGACATTCACAAGGGGCACAAATATCCTCACAGTTTGTGTCCATTTTAACATTTCCATTCATATAGCTATTTCTCAGAATTCTTTGGCACCAGTTTTCCAATCTTATTCCTTCCAAATCTCTAAGCAGAAAAACTATCGTCAACTTTCCATGAATGATTTGTGGATCTGTATTTCTGGCCATCTCTCACTTCAGACAAAGTGGAATAATAACGTACTGCTTGAAGTTCTGCCCAAGGAGAGGATTTCCCTTCTCGCACTGCCTTTCAGGGTCACCCCTGAGGGGAAATACAGCACTGTAGTTGTCCACTTTGTGGTGGTACCTAAATATTATATAGACAGATGCATTTGTAAAGCAGGCTCAACTTTTTTTTTTTTCTTTTTTTTTGAGACGGAATGTTGCTCTTGTTGCCCAGGCTGGAGTGTAATGGCACAATCTCGGCTCACTGCAACCTCCACCTCCCCAGTTCAAGTGCTTCTCCTGCCTCAGCCTCCCGAGTAGCTGGGATTACAGGTGCCCACCACCATGCCCAGCTAAGTTTTGTATTTTTAGTAGAGATGGGGTTTCGCCATGTTGAACCAGGCTGCTCTTGAACTTCTGAACTCAGGTGATCAGCCCGCCTCGGCCTCCCAAAGTGCTGGAATTACAGGCTTGAGCCATCACGCCCCGCCAGGCTCAATGTCTTCTTCAGTCGTGTAGTCATTAGTAGCTCCCCCTGGAGGCCAAAGGCATGAATTGAAGGAGAAGAGGCAAGAAAGGGACCAACTTGGAACGGGGGGCTATCCCTAATAATGAGGTTCAGTTGTGTTTAATGCGAGGTTCAGTTGTGTTTAATGCGCTGTTTGTCTCATTCTTAATTGTAATTATTGTATTTTTAAGTTTTAGAATTTCTACATGATTCTTTTTCAAATTTCTGTCCATTTTCAGCATTACCTGTTCTCTGAGTTTTTATTTTCAATCTTCTCTTTATCTTAACGACTATTTTAAGCATGTCTATGTTTAAAGCCTATGCCTGATAGTTCCCAATAGCTGGAGTATTTGTGGATCTGCCTCTGTTGGCTAGTATTTCTGTTGTTTCTTTTTTATATTGTTTTATTTCCTCATTCGTATGATTACCATGGACTGTGTGCTTAACATTATATTCAAAGACCAGTTTATATAAATAAGTTGAAACCTAGTAAAATGTGATCTTACATGAGAGGGAATTTACATTTTCTTCTCTCAGTGCCTAGAAAACTGTCAGTCTGGAACTTAATCCAGTTTCAGTGATTTAGGTTTTCTAGGTCACCCAGCTGACACAAAGCTGGCATGCAGGCCAGGCAAGAAATGGCTTACTTCTGTTTCACCTTTGTTTCTAAATGCAACCATTAAGAGTCCAAACCAAAACCATATGGAAGTTATCAGATTCTTCCCAGAAACTTTTGTCCCTCTAGCCCTTGAGGCCACCTAAAAACTTGTTCAAGCTCTTTCAGATCTACCGTGCTGGCTATTCTGTATTTGCTCTTCCAGAGCCACTTCCCACTTCTTTCCACTCTACCTTTTGTCCTGAAAAGTGGAAGCATCAGTGAGCTTCCTTTTCCTCTGGATTCTGGTTGGGTTTGGCCAATGGGGGCACCATCAGCCAACAGAAGGATGGAGGGAATGTGAGAGCAGGGTTTATTCCATCAGCACCTCTAAGCTGGCTCCTAAATTAGTAGTGGCTGCATTTGACTAAAGCCCCAAACTCCTGCTAGGCAGCCCTTTCCCACAGCTCTCTCTCAGCTCTGTAACTCCTTCCTTTCCTTGCCCCTTTAGTGTTAAGGCTGGGAATGGCAACCAAACAACTTGTTGTTAGTCCTGAGGCATTTCCTCATCTCTCACTGTTTCTCTTAATCCTATCCACACACTTATGAATTGTACCTTCACTGATTGTTTCTCAGTTATGTCACTTGAATGTGCCAGGTCTTTCTTGTCAGATCCTTTATTGATATAAGCCCCAAGTTTTGCACTCCTCTGTCTGGATTTCCATCTTCTTACAGTAATACTTGTTTAAATTGCTAGTGTGCCAATGTTCTCCAGTTGAAAATTTACATACTATTTTCCAGTTTTTCTAAGTACCTTATCAGTGGGATAACTAATATGTCATTACTTAATATACCATTATTAGAAGTAAAATTTCCCTCACTCTTGCTTTCCTTTATGCCTCAGCATATATGATTTTGTTTCTAAACAATCATGCTAAATATTGTATATTTTACACAAATAAATGGAAGCATGCTGCATATAGGCTTCTGTGAATGTTCTTTTCTCATTCGATGTTGTTTTGGGGTCCTTCCATTCTGCTTTGCGTAGCTATAGTTAATTCATTGCTCTGTTTGACTATTCTGAATAACACCTACCTATCCGCCTGTGGTTTATCATTCTTCATGTTCACTTTTCCTGGTTTCTCAGTTTAAATGCTCATGTTGGCTCTATGTTTTATCTTCTATCCTTTATCTAGCTCTGTTGTTTGACATGTTTGATAGTTGATTTGGTATAGTTTCCACAGCTATGCCTTTCATACCCCTTTAGGACTTGATGTATTCATTTCATGCATTACTTGGGTAAAATATTCCATCCCATCCCTCATCTCCTTATAACTTCCCTAAAGACCTTCTTATCTGGATTCTTTTTCTTTCATGTATTTAAATCAATACTCACTTTCTCCCCGTCTTGATAGTCAAAAACTTCTTTAACCAAAACAAACAAAAAAAAACAAAAAACAAACAAACAAACAAAAAACCAAAAAGACTTGATGTAATATAATTGTTTCTTGCTTTTATTTAGGGGAATTACTATGCTTTTCATTGGTAAAATGTAACATATTATAAAAAAGGAAGGACACATTGGTTTAGAACTAAGTGACCTTAATATTTGAAAGTTCATATGTATAGAACATGCAAAAAAGGGATTAATAATACTTTTATAAAAGGATTAATCATATGATGAATTTAAATTAACAAGCTTCCTTAGTGCATTTAACATTTAACTTGATTTATACAAATTCAATTTATATTGCTGGTCAGGAATAAATCTATTAAGTAAAGCAAGGTGCACCTGAAATTATATTTGGAAATACAGTCACTCTTTCCATAGCTTGCCCTTTATGTAATAACAAATAATACCAAACTCTTTCCCCCGGAAGGAAGTAATAAATTGTTATGACTTTTAGATTGCAAGGATCTTTTATGGAGAGGCAAAGATATACAGAGCTAAGAGAATTCAGAAAAAGCACAATGAAAACATAACTTTAATTTCTAAAAACTGCAGGTGTTAAATCTTAAGAAAGGATTATGTGGTGTGGGTGTTGAGAGCCTCAAACTCTTGAATGGAAAGACAGATCATGTCCTGACTGTTCATGTGTTGCTCTTGAGCATTTGCACTTTATATCTCGTGTTTGGGTGGCACAAAGACTATATTATAAACCATCAGTAGCCTAGCATCCCAGCTAAGCTTGGTTGCCAGCTGGGGTTTGTGAAGCAATGAGATAAAACTGATAAAAGATTTAAAAAAGAATATGTATTCAATCTGAACTTTTAAAAGTATCAGTACAAACGTTTAAAAAAACTGATACTTTAAAAATATAAAATAATATCTAATCAAACAAATTCTCCCTAATCAGTGTAATTTCTTGTCATAATTATTCTGTGAATTTTTCATATTATAGATAAATTTGCAAAACTGAATATAAATATAATTCTTGAAACAAAAGTTATATATAAGAATATCAACCCCAATTTGTTTTAAGGTATACTGAAAATTAAGATTGGATGGAGAGGGAATTTAAAGTAGGCAAAAGTCTCTAGGATATATGGTGGGTTGGGGAAAAAAAAGCTATTTCATTTTCAGTGATATTGATCTTTGAATATCGACGAAAGAAAGTTTGGGAATAGTTTAATGGTAAAAATCTATAAGAAAAAACAACAACAACAGGATTTGAAACTTTTGAATGATTAGAGAGTAAAAAATCCTTTAGGAACTCCCCAAAATAGCAAAAAAGCCCAGAAAGTGAAAGCATAAAACGAGATATCATAAGACCAAACAGTTCAATTATGACAATAATGCTAATGTGTTAAAATCTTGTTAAATGAAAAAACTACTGAGCCTCACTCGTTCAAAGAATATGAGTAAAAATGTTATTATATTTTTACTTCCTGTTTTTAAAATCTGATTCAAAATAGGGAAAAGTTTTCCATTTATAACATATCTGAGGCCGGGTGTGGTGGCTCATGCCTTTAATCCCAGCACTTTGGGAGGCCGAGCCAGGTGGATCACTTGAGGTCAGGAGTTTGAGACCAGTCTGTCCAACATGGTGAAACCTTGTCTCTACTAAAAATACAAAAAATTAACCAGGTGTGGTGATGGGAGCCTGTAATCCCAGCTATTCGAGAGGCTGAGGCAGGAGAATCATTTGAACCCAGGAGGCAGAGGTTGCGAAGAGCCAAGATCGTGCCATTTCACTCCAGCCTGGGTGACAAGCACAAGGCTCCATCTCAAAAAAAATAGAAAAAGAAAAAGAAAAAGAAAATATCTGAAAAGTCAACTTAAAAACATGAACATATTTGATTATTTATATAAAATTATTCTATATTTCACCTTTCATTACAATAAAAATTTGACAAATTAAAAACTGAAATATCTATAATAAATATGAATGTTATAATTCCTAATATACAAAATTCTTATAAATCAAGATTAAAATAAAAAGACCCTAAAAACTGGCAAAACGACATATCTGAAATACCAGTGGTGAATAACTGTAACAAAATGTATAATTCACTAATAATCACAGCAATGCATATGTAAATGAGTTATAAATTCTCATTTATCAAATTGGCAAAGATTCACCATGGTGCTGTTCAATGCTAATAAGGGTATGCACAGACTGATACTGTTCTCTGCTGATTGAAGCATTAACTGGTACACGCTTTTTAAAGCAGTTTGTCCATATGTATCAAGAAGAGTAAATTTTTCCATTTTTTACTCAGTAATTTACCTTTTAGGAATCTATCACAAAGAAATAAGGAGAGGTACAGACAAAGGTAAATAAATAAGGGCATTTACTTTGGCACAAATTATTATAGCAAATATTGGATCTGGCCCTAATTTTTAAAAATCAGGAGAGTGTGATACATAGATTACAGAATGTAATCTATGACTATAAGTCATTAAAATTATATTTCCAAATAATGATGTTCTGTAATGAAAAAAACAAGACACTGATCTTTCTGCAGTTTCCTTAATATCTCTGGATATTTGTTTTTTTCCTTTATTCTTTTATACATTTTCCCAAATTTCTTCAATGATCATATATTACTTCCACAATTACCAAAATTCTTATTTAAATAATGCTCAGTAGCTTCTGTGAGGGCTTTTGTCTCTGTTTACTGAAGTGATAACCCCAGAAAGTTAATGGAAATGTGGATATCACCATTATGCACAACCTTCCCATTCAACCTTGTCAAGTGGAGGATGTTGACTGGGTAATTGTATGGCTGACTTTCCTACTGTTCTGCTCACTGAGGTCAGGAGATGTAACTGAGGCAGTGGCATATAATCAAGGATGTTTAAACGCCAAACCAATCCAATTCTTTTCAATCTCATCTTATTACATTCCCCTTCCCACCAGTGTAAATATCAAAGTTTTGAGATGCTATGCTAAGCTGCTTATGTAAGACTGATTCTGGTTGTCATAAGTACTTGATCATAAAGTACTTGGGTTCTGAGTCTTTAAGGTATTCTTGAAGTTACAAATATAATCAAACTTGAATTATTTTGATGCTATGAGTCAGAGGAGACATCAGGGGTGAAAGGCAGAGCCTCCAGGGGTACGGAGAGCAGCTCCAGTACATCATCTTCTCATTCACTTTTGCTCAGCCCACTTGTCTTTTGAGAGTGTTGGGATACCTTGCAAGATCATCCTGTGAGGGAAGCTTTATCAAAATCTATCGAACATCAGGTTGATTGTGTTTCGTTGAAATAAAAGTAGGCTTTGTTTAAATACTGTTTTCTCCGAAAATATTTTCTGTTGATTAGGTGATGCCTAATGATCAGTTTGACATGTTTTTCACATTCCAATCATGTGATTTTAGTAGGGAAAATCAGCCTTCAATGAGTAGTTCAATGAGTAGACAACTTGGATGAAATAAAAATTATTTCTTCTACCTCCCTTCTTCCATTCCTACCTCCCTTCATTTACTCCTTCTTAACATTTTTCTTTTTGAGTCTGTGTTTGAGAAGCACTGTCCCCCTGCTTGGCAAAATTATACTCATTCTCCAAAGCAAAGAAACTTCACTACTGGTTGTCTTGCCTCTCAGCCCCCTGGGAAGAATAAGAGCTTCTCCTTTTGTGCTCCAACAGGAATTTGGAAATGATACTGGGACATGCCTGACGTTTTATCAGAGCTGAGTTGGGTCTTTTCCACTAGACCGTGAGCAAGGATCACGTGTACTAAGTTTTATGTCCAGAAAGCTCAACCCAGTGACTGGCACAAAGCTGGTCCTTTATAAGTAGTGAGGGAGCTCTGTTTTTCTGGAGATGTTGTGCTTTTGAAAAAAATTGAGTCCTTTCTGTTATTTCACTTGTGGGAAAACTTCTGAGAAATGGAAGAACAAAAATATCCAAGAGTTCTGTAGTCTATTCCTTCTAGATATTTAAACAAGGACTAGAAATAACCAACGTCCCTAATAGAAAAAAAGACAGTAATAATTAGTTAAACAAAAACAAGTAATAAGGTTTAAAACTATGCATGGATTTCTTTGTTAGGTTTACTTTCCATTTTTATGAAAAAGATTTTAAAAATAATATAAACTCTTTGGTAAGGCTTAAATTATAGCTGAGCTTCTTATGTAGAATGTCTCTTCTTGGAGAAAATATTTTTTCCTCACTTGGGCATCACATTTCCCTTAGGGAGAGTAAAGCGCATCCATGCAGTTATATCTTCTCTCCGTGAATAGAAATAAAGAGGTACAAAAATATTTTGACAGGTATTCATTACTAGCCTGTAAAGGACGTGCACTGTTGGGAAATAATGTAAATAAAATTGGCTATGATTTTTAAAAGCTCTGTTTTTGCATATTTCCATAAATTTTATAACAAAAATAAAGTAGTAGGCTTTTGGAAAAAATCTAGATATATTATTTATCAATTGAAAAAATCTTGTGGTAGGGCCAGATTATGAGGGAAAGTGACAGAGGTTAGTGACTAAGCCTGAAAAATTTATCTTAGCCAGGCAACCTGCTGTAAGCCAGCCAGTTGGTTAACACAGACATTTAAAGAAATTTGCTCTTGGTAAAAGACAGCAAAAGAATCTGCAGTGAATTTAACAATGCAAGGCATGGTGACCCCTTCTCTCCCAAGGAGCTGCTGAATGGAGAATGCTGTTTTTATGGAGGAACTAAGAAAACATTGGCTAAAAGACAATTCTTGAAAAGTGAGGTTATTTTATCCATCCATTGATTGTGTTTTAAAACATACCTGTTATTTGATTAGGTGTGTTTAGTGCTGCATAAGAATCATATACTGTTACTATAGGACTCAAAGAACAGAAACAGGAAATAGAAGGAGACAATAACAATATTCCTTGGACATCAGGGTAGAGGTCATATCCCTTCTATAGCAATGATGAAGAAAAGATCAATTGTAGAAGCTGCAGAGACAGTCAGGTGGCTTGAAGACAGACAGTTATTACTTGTATGGGAGGGGGTAACGCAGAGAAGAAAGGGACCCTGAATGGGAGCAAATCTCCAGCCTGAGCTCTTCCATACAAAGGGCAGAGTAATGATAGACTAATTAATTTTAAAGATAGTAAAAAACCTTTTATATAGAACATCACTCAATTGAATTTCCAGATAATTACTTCATGCCCCACCTTGTAGTGTACGTGCATGTAATTTTTCCTTCTTCATATAATATTTATCATAACTACAGCAAGATGATAATTTCAGTGGTTGGAGGCTCACCATCTCTCTCGAAAACTTAATTGGTTAAGGATTTGGCAGACTGTTCTTTCCAAATATCCTGGGTTGCTGTAATTTTGTGGGCTTCCAGAGCATGTTTATCTCCCTTATTAAGAGATCTAGAAACTTGATGACCAATTTTTCCAGAGTTGAATTTACCCAAGGGATATTTATAGCGTTATTCTCAATCAAATGACAATGTATTTAAATTATTAAACAAACATTTGTAAAGTCCACTGGTCTAGCTGCTGAGATATAGCAAGGAATACAACACACAAAATCTCTGTCTTCATGGGTCTCATCTTTATTCCCTCATTGATACACTATTAATCACCATCTACCTATGAGAAACACCAAGACATAAGTTACTTAAGATCTTGAGTTAGAGTATTTTTGAACTGATCTGTTTCCTATAATATGGATTATTTTGTTTGTTTTTTGAAGAGTGAGTCAAGACAGAATATTAGTCCAGTAGCATGGTCTCAGGCTTCAGACTACTAGCATTCAAATCTCAATTCACTTCTTACTAGCTGTGTGATTTTGTGCAGCTTACTTAACTTTTCTGCACCTAAGTTCCTAACTGTAGAATGGGATGATGATAAATTTGTGTGACTCAATGGCTAATAAATGTTAGCTGGTATTATGATGACTGATCTTCTTATATATGAAGTTGTAAGAATTAAATGAGATTGAATATGAATCTCCAAAGAAACAGCAGAGTACAAGACATGTTATTTATATTACTCCTTCATTTAAAGATATTTAGTAAGTGCCATGAGCTAAGAGCAAGGTGGTGCTTTCATTCAATTAGCTCATGCTCTAATGGAGGATAAAAGGCACATAATAAGAAAATGTAAAGTATTGTGGTTCAAGAAATGTTACTATTGAGGCCAGGCACGGTGTCTCATGCCTGTAATCCCAGCACTTTGGGAAGCCAAGGCAGGCTGATCACCTGAGGTCAGGAGGTCGAGACCAGCCAGACCAACATGGAGAAATCCCATCTCTACTTAAAATACAAAACTAGCCGGGCGCGGTGGTGCATGCCTGTAATCCCAGCTACTCGGGAGGCTGAGGCAGGAGAATCACTTGAACCTAGGAGACAGAGGTTATGATGAGCCAAGATCACACCATTGCACTCCAGCCTGGACAACAAATGCAAAACTCTGCCTCAAAAAAAAAAAAAAAATGTTATTCAAATAACAGGATGAGAAAATTTTGAATAATACAAATGAAATAGATATTTAGACCTTTACAGCTCAGTAAAGGAGTGACAGGGCATTCTTAGATCATTTTATGCTGCTTATAGCAGAATACCAGAAACTGGATAATTTATAAAGAAGCAGAATTCAGTTTTTGCTGTTCTGACGGCCAAGAAATCGAAGGTCAAGGGACCACTTCTGGTGAGGGCCTTCTTGCTGGTAGGGACTCTCTGCAGAGTTCTGAGGCAGTACAGAGCATCGCATAGCACAGGAGCTGAACATGCTCATGTCCTAGCTCAGATTTCTTCTTCTTCTTATAAGGCTACCAGTAACACCTTTATGATAATGCATTAACCCATTAATTCATTAATCCAAGAATGCATTAATTCATTCGTGAGAGCAGGGCCCTCATGACTCAATTACCTCTTAAAAGCCTTACTTCCCAATATTGCCACATTGGATTAAATTTCAACATGAGTTTTGGAAAGGACCAATATTCAAACCATAACAGGTACCCATAGCAATTATGTGAGAGAAAAGATTTGCAGACAAAGTGCTGGTGGCATTCAGGAAGCTGTTCCTTACAGCTAAGGGGACCAGGAAGGTTGTTATTAGAAAAGAGACATTTAAGTCCTGAAGGCTGCATAGTATTTTTAAAGTTTATTTTTTATTTAATTTTCCTTGTGCTCGTATTTGAGAGAGAGGCTTAAAAAGCTGTTTGGACACTCCGGATGCATGGCCACAGCTTGTTGCCTGGTGAAATTCATTATAGGGTGATTGGGTGGGGAGTGACGAGTTCACTGGAGAGATTTCAAATAGCTGCAGGTTTTTTCTATTGTGCCAGTTAGTTTCACTAGAGAGAAATCCTCCAGTCACTTGCTTGGGGTATGAAAGCCTGACTTCCAGTGTTCTGGGAGCTGAGTGAACAGAGGTAGCTGGGACCATTCAGGAGAAGGTTTTCTCTGTCCCCCCGTTTTCAGTCTATGCCTTCTCCCTGCCCTCTGTTGTGCTTGGTTATTGTGTCTCTCTGGTTCAATGTGGAGAATAACCATGGGAGGCAGAATTGGAGAAATGGTCCCCAAAGATTCCCATCCTCTGGTTATTCCGTGAACAATAATCTAGGTACTCCTGTGAGGGGACTTTGCAGGTGGAATTAAAGATACTAATCAGTTGGTTTTGAGAAAAAGAGATTATTCTGGATTATCTTGTTGGGCACAATGTAATCATATAAACCCTTAAGAACAGAAGAGAAATGAACAAGAGCACAAGAGGAAAGCAGAAGAGACAGAAGATATGCAGTGAAAGGGAAGTCAGAGAGATTTGAAGTGTAAGAAGTACTTGATGCTGTTGCTGGCTTGAAGATGAAGGCACCACTAAGGGCAGCTTTCAGGAGACAGTCAGCAAGAAAATGGGAACTCAGTCCTACAACTTGAGTGAGCTTAGAAGTGGGTTTTTCCCAGAGCCTCCTGATAAGAGTCTTGCCAGTAGACACTTTGAGTTCAGCTCTATATAACCCAGAACAGAGAAAACAGTTGAGCAAACCTGGATTTATAACCAACAGAACTGTGAGGTAAAAACTAGGTGTTTTTTTTTTTGGGTGCTAAATTTGTGGTATTTTGTCATGGCATCAATAGAAAATAAAACAGTAAGAAATTGCTCATGTCCTGCTAAACTAGGGAAAGGGTTGTATTAGTCTGTTCTCACACTGCTAATAAACACATACCTGAGACTGGGTAATTTATAAAGGAAAGAAGTTTAATGAAATAGAAGTTCCACATGGCTGTGGAGGCCTCACAATCATGGTGGAAGGTGAATGAGGAGGAAAGTCATGTCTTACATGGTGGCAGGCAAGAGAGCTTGTGTGAGGGAACTCCCATTTATAAAACCATCAGATCTTATGAGATTTATCCACTATCATGAGAACAGTATGAGGAAAACTGTCCCCATGATTCAATTATCTCCTTTACACATCAGTTATGCCCTTTACACATAGGAGTTATTACAATTCAGGGTGAGATTTGGGTGGGGACACAGCCAAACCATATCAGGGGTATAATTTCCTGAGAAGTGGATGGTGAGGGGTGAAAGGATGGAATCTGATATTTATATTCTTATTATACAGACTTTCAACTAATCCCCAAGGCTACAGTCCCACCTCTTACCCAGTCTTCAGAGGTACCCAGTATCTCCAATTTTCAAGCTTTTCTGGGGCTCTGCAGAGCAAACTGGCTTAGTTATAGTTGGCCTCCCTTTGGCAGACACATACTTTTTTCTTTCGAAAATCAGTCATCACTCACATCCCATTCCCACTTGCTATAAACTGAATATTTCTGTCCCAAATTCATATGTTGACATATAATCCCCAGGGTGATGATGTCAGGAGATGGATCTTCGGGAGGTGATTAGGTCATAAGAGTGGAGCCCTCATGAATAGGACTAGTCCTCTTATAAAAAAAGCCCCAGATAACTTCCTTCCCCTTCCACCATGAGGATACAGCATGAAGATTGGCCCTCTATGAACCAGCAAGCAGGTCCTCATTAAACACCAAATTTTTGGGCACCTCAATCTTGGACTTCCTAGCCTCTAGAACTGTGAGAATACATTTCTGTTGCTTATAAGCCACTTTATGGTAGTTTTGTTACAGCAGCCCAAAAGGATTAAGACACCTGCTTTCCAATTTTGTTGACTTTTCTCATCTGTCATCTCTTCTTTTCCAGTTCTCCCTGTACTTAAGAATTTATTTCTTTAAAAAAAGTCTATATTGTTATCTCAGTGACATTTTGGGAGATGAAGTTATGGTGGGGGTAAGTGTATGTCATCTTTATATGGAGTTATAATAGTCTGTATAAATTATATGTAAGAAATTATTGTAATAGAATTATAAAAGGAAATGTTATAATAGAAAGATGTAGAAGAGAACAAAGTTATATAATATATAAGAAAGTTATAAAAGAGAACAAATATAAGCAGACATGAGGAAGGGAAATCTTGGATGCAAGCAGAAAGATTAAGTAGTTGATTTTGATTAGAGATGCCCTGAGAGTAGAAGAAAATAAGTTTGGAAAGGCTGTTGAAGATAAATCATTGAAGACTATGAAGGCCAGAAGTTAAGAAGCTTGGAATTGATTTTTTGGTGTTGGGAAGCTTTCAAAATCTTTGAACAGAAATAATAAAAAAATTGCCTTAGAATTATTAATTTACCAGCCATATATAAAAGGATTAAAGTAGGAAGGACTTGGAGAGGGAGAGTAATGAATCAGAAGGCTCTGACAATTATCTGAGAGGGTGATGAGTTTGAACGTGTGCTGTCCAATATGGTAGCCACTTGCCACATTTGACTGTTGAGCATCTGAAACATGGCTAGAACAACTGAGGCACTGAATTTTAAATTTAGTTAAACTTAAATTTAAAAACTGCTACTTAATTCAGTTATTAGAATTTTTTTCATATATAAGTCGAACAACATGTGTATGTGAATCTATTTTTTTAACTATAAATCTTATGAAATCTCAATGCAATGAATTTCCAATGAAATTCATCTGCAGTCAGATATGTGGTAGGTGTAAAAATACACACCAAGTATTTAGAATACATAGTTAAAAGTGTAAAGCACCTCATTAATACTATTTATATGATTATATTTTGCAATATTTTAGACATATTAGGTTAAATATTTATATTATTAAAATTAGTTTCAATTGGTTTTTTCAGAAACTTTTTTTAATGTGGCTATTGGAAAGTTTAGAATTATATATGTGGTTTATATGATATTCCTGTTGGGCATGTCTGGTCTGAATAGTTTGTGGTAGTTTTCAAAAGAGAGAGTAAGCCTCATTATTAAGCACTATGGATGTAGAATAGAATAGATTGTTAGAACTTGGGTAAATTCAAGCAAAAGTAGTGGATGGGGCTCTGGCAATGTAGAAGGTGAAGAAACATGGCTGGGGCAGAAATATACTCTCCCATGAGGGAACTCAAGCTGAGGGAGGGGAGACTCATGCAGATGTCCTGGAGAGAGCTGTTGGCTGTTTGAGGCTTGTAGCCTTAGGGAAAACAATAGTATTACAACTGATATTAGAAATTGTGGCTATTGTTAGAGTATCCAAGCATAGGGACTGAGCCTAATAATGTGGAATCTAGATATGACAAGGGCAATGGTGGGTTCTGGCAGATATATCCATATGCAATAAAGGAACAGGGAATTAATGAGTCCCATGGAAGGAGCTGAGAAGACCCAAGCAATGTTATCAGAACCCATTTCACTGGGACTAAGGTATAGGACAGGTGTCAGTTCCACAAGGTAGGAGTATTAGAAAGAGGATAAGCGCTTTGACTTGACCAGTAGGTCACGTGTATACTCAGGGATCAGCATTGCATAATTGAGTCCTAGGTCTAGTTGGCAAGAAAGAAATCTGAACACTTAGCAGTTATACCTGGATACTGACCCTGGGTGTAAAAAGAGTATGAATTTTGGCCGGGCGTGGTGGCTCAGGCCTATAATCCCAGCATTTTGGGAGGCTGAGGCGGGTGGATTACCTGAGGTCAGGAGTTCTAGACCAGCCTGGCCAACATGATGAAACTCCATCTCTACTAAAAATACAAAAATTAGCTGGGCATGGTGGCAGGCACCTGTAATCCCAGCTACTCAGGAGGCTGAGGCAGCAGAATCACTTGAACCTCGGAAGGCAGAGGTTGCAGTGAGCCGAGATCGCACCATCGTACTCCAGCCTGGGTGACAACAGTGAAACTGTCTCAAAAAAAAAAAGTATGAATTTTAAGACCCAACGTATTATAGAAGAAGAGTTAGCTGGAGACTTAACACACTTCTAAACTTTTGAGATTGACTACAAAATTGGCGAGGACATCTGTGGGTTCAGCAGTAAAAATATAGGCAGGATTAAAGAAGGCAGTAGAAAGTGGGGAAAGAAGCAATCACCATTTTGGATAAGAGGGAGCAGGGAGGAGAGAGGAGAAGATAATTATTATCTGGTTCGTGCCAAAGCAGAAAATAATAACAAAGGGGTAGGATTGGTTTTGCCTGGGAAAACAAATGATTTTTATTTACCTTATATGGAATTTGCTTATATACATTTGAAATGTTGATGAGACATCAACCAGAACTAGAGTATGGAAAGGTTGTCAGGATTGGAGACTCAAATTTGAAAGTTTCCTCATCTGATAAATTATTTGCAATGAGATTGCCAAGTCTGGAGATAATGAAAGTATAGAAGCCAAGGACGAATTTCTTTGGGAACCCACCAGTCAGCAGGTGGGAGGATGCAAAATATGTGAAGTGTTTTACTATTTTTAAGAGCCTTTGCCTCCATTATGATCAGAATGCTAATCATTAATAAGTAATGAGATGTGACTGCCAAGTGATCAAAATGTTCATATTGGCACATCAATGAATTCTCTCTCTACTAATCAACAGAAAGCATTGACATTGATTTGGAATGTATAATTGGAAATATATGATGAGGGGAAAAAGAGTAAGATGGTTTTCAAGGTTGTTTTCACCAGGATTATGGGAGCCCAGTGAATTATAGTTTTCCAATGTATGGAAAAACTTTTAAAGCATTGGCATATGTTCTTTATGAGCTAGATATAGAAACTTCTTCCCAAGTCATGTTTTTGGAAGGACTAACAACATCTCCATCCAACTTGACTCTTTCTAGGTTCCAGAAGTGCTTCTCCTTTTTGTTTGTGATGACTTGCAACATCATCTATCATTTCAACAGACTTTCATGTTATGTTATAAATTTATTTTACATTGATTATCTCTTTAGTTGGCATAAAGGAACTTCTTAACTTCACCAAAGCAAGTCATATTATGTGATGGTTACTGTTGGGAAGGTTTCCTGTAAACATCTCATTTCGTTCTTGTTGTGGGGTAGGATTGGTGTTTATCAACTTCATTACAGAGGTATGTTGATTTGGCCAGGAGAGGTTATGTTATGCAGTGACATCAAAAGACAACATCAATAGACAACATCAAAATATCTATGGCTTACAAGAACAATGGCCATCAAGGACAACATCCACCATGGCACTGTTCCATATCACCTTCACTCTGGGACTCAGGCTGATGAATCATCCTATGCCCGGAACATTGTCAACTGTGGCAGAAGGAAAAGTGCATAGAGAAGCCCACACTGACTCTTGAAGTTTTCAGTGGAAAAATCATAACTCAAATGGTTTCATCTAGTTTCACTAGAGTGAGAATCTTTATATAGAGGAGGGCAGCAAATATGCATGAGTCTATCACAGATGTCCCTTTGGGATATCCTCACCCCTTTCTGTCTACTGAATCAGTTTGCTACTGTCCAAGACATTAGAGCCCAAGTACGATGTTTTGATTACACTTTTCAGTCAACAAAAGGATTCTTTGATCCATTGTATTGGACCAATATGATGTTTTGCCTAGGATTGAGATGATGGAGTTCCCTTCAGACCATAATTTGATGGAGAGGAGGAACACAGTTGAGGCAACAGAATGTCAACTGCCATGGACCTATGCTGATACAAACTTTTCATCCTCCTTCCTGATGGTGTTGAAAATAATGCATTCACCAGATCAACTGGGACATAGTCAGACATCACATCCGGCACAGCTGATGTAATTAGGGCTACCATTTGGTTAAGTTTATGGTAATCACCAGCTATCCGCTATGATCTCATGGGATTTTGCAGGGGCTATGCTGTGCATCCTTTAAAATTTTTGAGGGTGGTGCTACTCTCTGCTATCCTACCTGGTATCTGTGATTGCTTCTGATTTATAATCTTCACAGAGGAAAAAGGACTGTTTCAAAAGTTTGGCTATTCCTATCATAATGAATCTTACTACACAGATCAGGTATCTATTGGGAGAGTTGCTACATGTATCCACTCCGATATACTCAGGGACTAGAAAAATGGTAACAAAATAGATCCTTGGGTTTATTAGGCCTACTGTGATGTGGACCTGAGCTAGGACTCCATTTATACTCTGCCTCTATTTGCTAATTTTTTAACAGATGGGGCATAGTGATATTTTAGCTTGGTTGATGTCAATAACCACTCAGCTCCTGTATCCAGCAGTCTTCAAAAAAAAAAAAAAAAAAAAAGGTTTTTCTTTCCCCTGTTTGGTTCATCTAGTTATCAACTATATAATAAACTGAGAGAAACTCTCTAAAAGAAAAAGGTACTTATCTGGGAATAGGATATTGCAATAGGAATACATGTGCCATAGTAAATTATGTGTGTGCTCAGGGAAGTAAAGGATGACAAAGATCTTAAAAGAAAAATGAGGAGGATTATATACCTGTCTTGAAATTATTATTGTTGGCTACAGGGATCAGGGATCAATAAAGGCTGATGCCAGTCTGAGGTTAGACAGGCAGTCGCTGGGCAGATGTCCTTGCGGAAGAATTTTTGTGTGTGAGGTTGCAGTGACCTTTGTGCAAAGCTGTGTGTTTTGCAGTCTTTTGTGTTAGTTTTGTTACCAGGCATACAAACATGTAAGCGTGAGAACCCTCTCTTTACTGCCTTTCCTCATCTCTATTTGTCAGAGTTTTTGTTGGTGTAGTTGTTTGTTTGTTTGTTTGTTTTAACACAAGTGCCTCCATTTGATTCTGACAACTTTAACATAGTAAATGGCTGTAGATTGCTTTGGGGAATGATTTTGAGAATCTTAATCATGTATACTTTCTATAGCATTGCGGAGTCTTTATTTAATGGGTTCCAGCTTCCCCTTTAGTTGATGGGTTTTGGAACTGAAAACTATCTCGTGTATGGTAGGTCTAAGAGAGATCATGGTTTTCCAGTGCAGCAGCTGCTCATCAGCTCTTGACCAATTTGTTCACGTAAGAAAAGCTATGCCCTTGTGGGCTGCCCAAGTCGTCTTGCTCTTAGGAACAAAATGATCTATTAGCCCCTTGTTGCCATCCTAGTTTCTGCCTGCTATAATAATTATTTCTATCTTTCCTCTGATGATTAAAAATGATATCTGACCTCTGGAATTTTAGAGTATTATCATCCCCACTGCCTCATTGACTGTAGGAAGTGCCGTTTCATGGCAACATATCCTGCCATCCACCTTGGCTGAAGAGGACAGACATTACTGAGATTCTCAATAATGTCAGTGTTTGCCTCATTAAGGCATTCCTTATTGATTCAGCGAAGCAACTTTTTTTTTTTTTTTTTTTTTTTTACTTCTCCCTCAGGATCATACAGCTGATAAGTTCTCTGGTCTTACATAATAATACGTTCTTGTTTGCCCACTGCTCTGAACTCACTGACTCCTTCTTCAATATTCTGCCAATACAACTCTGGCATCTTCATGTCTAACAATCTGTAGGTAGCCATCCAAGCAACCAGTGCAGACTATCTTCAAGTGTTATCACCCCACAATTTATATGCTGAAGTAGTGGTTCTCAGAACTGGGACTGTATCAGATGTCCCTGGAGCGCTTGTTAGAACACAAATGTCTGGGCACTACACCACAGTTTATGATTTAGTAGTTCTTAAATGGGGCCTGAAATTTTGCATTTCTAACAAGTACCCAGGTAATACTGCTGCTGCTTTTGGTCTAGGCACAATACCCTGAGGACCATTTGGCTAGACTGTGAGGTCATCATCCAGCCTTGTAATCTCTCTGTTGCCCAACTCGTTGTTAAATTTTGTCTTCTTCGCATGTTTTGCAATGTTGGTGACACAGATGGGCAATGTTTTATAAAGCTCAGATGAACATATAAGCATGTTTTGGAATATATTTTTGTTTGCTCACTTACAACAGCACTACATTGATTCATAATATAGTAGTCCCCCCTTATCTGCAGTTTCACTTTCCATGGCTTTTAGTTACCTGATGTCAACCATGGTCTGAAAATAAGTGAGGACAGTGCAACAAGATATTTTTAGATAGATAGACAGATAGATACATAGATAGATAGATGATAGATAGATAGAGACCACATTCACATAACTTTTATTATAGTATATTATAGCTGTTCTGTTTTATTATAGTTACTGTTATTAATCTCTTTCTATGCCTAATTTATAAATTAATCTTTATCATAGGTACAGATATATTTGCAAAAAATATAATATATATTGATTTCAGTACTATCAGTGGTTTGGGCAACTACTGAGCATTTTGGAACGCATCTCCCATGGGTAAGTGAGGACTGCTGTACTTACTTTAGGGTAAGTTATGATTCTTGTAGTGACCCCCAAAATTTCTCAGTTCTTTTTTTCCTCAGGCTAGATGAGTGATTGTGGCAAATGTTGTCCATTTCAATGAGGCCCAAGGTCTACTCTGATTGGACTCCAACTGGCTTCCACATTTAAGAGAGACTAGATCCTCAATAGATATTCTAGAAATTCATATTTTAAAAAGAATAAACCAGATAACATCTTACCATATCCTAAATTAACGTTTAGCTCTATATTGAATTTTAAATATAATATTTTAGTCACTGAATGAGTTCCAAGATAATAAAATGAGCCAGAATAGTCTTAGAAGAAGACTGACAGTGAGCAATTTTCTGTCCAATGAATATTCAGATTAGGCTCCTCAACCCAGCTTACATCTCTCTCGTCATAAGTCAGCTTGTCTAGGTACAGGCTACCAAAGATTAATCGTGAATTTTAGATGTTCAGCAAGCCATCAGATGGTGCTTAGATGTTTCCAAGGAAACAGCTTTGCTTATCAGCAGTTGTCTCCACAGAAAGACCAACTTTAAATACACCACCTCCCGGATATAGAAGCAATCAGCTATCGTACTTGTACCACTTACAAGCCCACAAACCATATTTAAACTATACTATAGGCAAAAATAAAAGCATCTCGTGATCTTCTTCCTCAGAAATATAGGTACCATGAAATCTTATATAATTGAGATTCCTTCATTTTTAGTACAAATAAAGGACTTTTGCTTAAAATATTGAATAATGTGGCTTAGGCACAATAATTGAATTTTATTGATTTCTCTTGTGTCTTGGCATTATTTTAAGTAAGATTATTTTTAAATTTTATGCTTAGAACTTTAAGACATAATGTTTTAATCTGTATAGCTGATTCCACAAGTAAATTAATTGCAATTCTATAGCAAACTTGGGAGCACAGTGTAAATTTGGAGCATGATTCATAGAATATGAAATTTTAGTAAAATTTGAGAACCTTTGTGCCTATACAATGTTTAAAATTGCCCATGTGGAAGAATATTACATGTATTCAGAGGAGTGCTAACTGAATTAAATGCATACCTCTGACAGTGTGGAAGTACTGTCATCATAGTCCCTCAAGTCTGCAGTAAGCATATTTACATGGCTTCAAGTCTACTAGCAGCCCCCTGCAAAGTTCCATGGGTGATCTGATTCTCTCTAAATCCACGTGGGCCTATATACATATCATTCCCACAGAGAAAATAGACTTGTAGAAAATGCACTTTAGCATTATTGATTAGTTAACCTTTAAAATAGCCCCTTGTCTTAAGATTTTAAAACTTCACTTTTTCTTTGCCAAGGAATGTACTAATAAGCAAGATAAAAGGGCAGAGAAGCAAGCAGTGCCAGTTTGGGAAGGCGATTTTAGACTTAATTCGTTTGCTTTCCAATTGGGCCTAATGTTGAACTAATGTACTTAATCTGCCTGGGTTGTAACAAGGAAAAATATGTATGAATTTATATTTATAATTTTGAGGAGTTTGCAAAATCATTTGAAAGTTAAACTTGTTGATATATGAGACACAGAACAATAAATGAGTATATAAACAAAAGCTACACTGCTTCCTTTATAATCAGAGAAGGCTTCGTGAAAGGACAGAGACCAGGTTGGGCCTTGAAAAAATATAAGATATTTTTAGTATGTATGTCTACTAATAGGAGTTATCAAAAATGCAAGACTTACAAGAGTGATCCTAATACCTCTTTAATAATAGATGTTTCTTCAAGACATTTATCAAGAAGAAATAACTGGAAAGGTGAGCAAAGATGCGTGTATATGTTTGTTCATAATACCTTTGTTTATACCCACTTAAATGAGGCTCAGTAGGGAATTTATAATTAAATTATAATATCAGAATTCAATTGGAATATTGAAGGATGAGGTAGACCTTTATTTTTATGTATTGAGTGTAAATAGCAAGTTACAGAGGAGTAAGATGCCTTCACTAGTGTTTTTAAGCTCTTTCAAAGCTGTACTTTGATATTGTGAATACTTTTTCTTTATAGTAATAATAACTACTACTGCCATTACTACCCCTACGACTCTTCCAGGCTTCCTATATTGCAAGCATTGTATATCAAATGTCACACATGCTAATTTGATAAACTTTATAAACACTCTGAGCTGAATATTATTTGATAGATGAGTAAGTTGAGAAGTTAAGCAACTTGCCTGGGTTTGCACTGTCAGTTGCTTGCAGAGGTGGGACTCAAACTCACCTATCTTTCTCAAATATGTTTTACTTTCATCCTGTCATTTAATTATCACAGCAATCCTGTGAGAGCAATGAGCAATTATCGTTTATCCATTTGTGGATTAATATAATTCATTTTTACATTTTCACATCTTCTATCAAGAGTGACATCAATTTTTTGTAACACTCTAGTGTTTTTTTTTTTTTTTTTTCCTAAACTACTTACTTGTTTCTGTGAAGCTGGAGCAAGACTCCTGATTGTTAAGTTTGGGACAGGACCTAGGTAGGAATGGTGTCACTCGATCTTCCCTCTTCCTTTAGGAACTCAGATGCCTGTAAGAGGGATGCATTCAACTCTCCTTCTCCATGCTGTAAGGTGTTTTATTTTCTTTAAAATTTAATTTTATTTTATCTTACATTCTAGGATACATGTGCAGGATGTGCAGGTTTGTTATGTAAGTAAATGTGTGTCATGGTGGTTTGCTGCGCCTATCAACCCCTCACCTAGGTATTAAGCCCAGCATACATTAGCTATTTATCCTGATGCTCCCCATCCCCCTGCCCCTCCAACAGGTCCCAGCATGTGTTGTTCCCCTCCCTGTGTCCATGTGTTCTCACTGTTCAGCTCCCACTTACAAGTGAGAACATGCAGTGTTTGATTTTCTGTTCCTGTGTTAGTTTGCTGAGGATAATGGCTTCCAGCTCCATCCATGTCCCTGCAAAGGATATGATCTCCTTCCTTTTTATGAGTGCATAGTATTCCACGGAGTATACGCTGTAAGTTTTAAAGGGGCAGACTTCTTTGCAGGGAGGCTACTCATTGTCTAATGCTGCCTATGATGGGTCAGATAAGTCTGTGTCATTCTGGGGTTCATTATCAGAATGTATATCCTAATAATGTTGTTTTATAAGTAAGCCACATCTGCAATGTATTATCAGAAATAAAAGTGCTATTTAAATTTCCCATTGTGTGAATTTTTAATTCTAATTCCATGGTGGTTGAATCAGAACCAGGAAAGAGTAAAAAGGGTGCATGGATTGGGTCCCCTTTAATGTGGAATCAAAGTGAACTTGATAATTTGGTAGCAGGCAAAAGCAAGGCAAGAAAATTTAACAGTTCTCATTAAAAACTTGTTCTTAGAGGTTAAATTTATAATTAGATAAGTACAGGAGGGTGAGACAAAGTTTGGCAATAATTCACATGGAAAAAACTTAGCGGCTTAATGTGATCACAAATACCATGATTGGAGACTACTACATGATTGTGAGGGCGTGTAAACCAGGATGGTGAGTGATTTGAAAGCAACGTTACTTCATTCAGCCATTCAGAAAATACTTCTTGAGTGTCTTTCATATGTCATAATTAGCTTAGTGTTTATGAGTTTGGTCTTTGGAGCAACATTTACATTCTGTCACTTAATTCTCTATATGAGTTGACTTGAGTCAATTCACTCAATCTTTCTGATCTTCCTATTTCTCATTTGTACAATGGGGATAAGAGTCACACCCATCATATAAGGTTTTGTGAGAATCTAATGAATTAATAACTGCTAAACATTAAGTAAGTGATAAGCTTGTAGTAAAATCTTGATAAGTATTAGCTATTGTTACTCATTTTATTGTTATTTATTTTATAATAATAAAAATATTGCACCTATGAATTTAATTACCACCCATATGATGACTCCTAATTGAATGTCTTTAACTTTGACATTACCATTTTTGCCCTCCAGGTTTGCTAACTTAATATCATATCTGAGCTTAACATATTGGAAACTGCTTTCATGTCTGTCCCTGAAACTTGCTCCTCTTACAGTCTTCCTTATATGAATAAATACCGTAATTGTCTATTGGTTTGTACAAGCTGGAAACATAGGTGTCACTCTTAATATTCTTTCCTTTTAATGGCCATATAAGTCGTTCATCAAGTCCTGTTAGCTTTACCTTCCAAATGACATTTGTACTTTTTTGCTTTCTAACTGCAACATCAATAAGCCCTCCATTACACCTTGCCTGAACTACAGATGCTCTTTGATGTGCAATGATGTTACATCCTGATAAACCCATTGTAAGTTGAAAATATCATGAGTTGAAAATGCATTTAATACACTTAACCTGCCAAATATCATAGCTTAGCCTAGCCTACCTTAAATTGCCCAGCCCACAGTTGGGCAAAATCATTTAACACAAACCCTACTTTATAATAAAATGTTGAATATCTCATGCAACTTATCAAATACTGTACTGAAAGTGAAAAACAGAATGGTTGTATGGATAGTTGAAGTATGGTTTCTACTGAACGTGTATCACTTTCACACTATCGTAAAGTTGAAAAATAGTAAGTTGAACCATCATGAGTCAGGGACCATCTGTATCGCACAAATTTCCTGAAAGCTCTCACTGCATCTCATCTCCTACTCAGCCCATCCACTCTGTGAACAAAAGTCACAGTGATACAAAATCATATCAAATCATGTTGCTTGCTCATTTAAAGCCTGTTGGGGGCTACTTGATGTTCTTAGTATAAGACTTAAATCATTGGCAATATTCTAATATCTCAGTATAACCTGACCCTTTCCTATGTCTCTGGGCTCAACTGGCATCATGCTATATCTTTTACTTTGAACAACAGCTACACTCGCCCTCTTTTAGGTTCTCCAATACGACATGAGTGTTTTTGCCTCAAGACCTCTGTGCAGTGCACATGTTCTTCCCTTTACCTTGAATCCCTTCTCTCCTTCACCCAGAAATATCCATAAATCTTTCAAGTCTCAGCTTAAATAAAATTTCCACAGGAAAGCCTTCCTTGTATCATAATCTAGATCAGGACCGTATTCATATTCTCAATACGCCTTATGTTTACTCCTAAAATAACTTATTGTAGTTTTAATAAAATGCTTATGTAGTTATTGGTTTAATGTTATTGATATCAATGCTTTTCCAGCTAGAAGGTAAATTCGAGGAGGGCAGAGATCATGTCTGTGTTACTCATTCTATGTCTTCAGGACCTGCATGATGTCTAGCAAAGAGATTGCACCTAACAAATATTTATTAAATGAATGAATAAAGGAATGGACAATGTGATATCTGAGCTGAGTTTTGAAGAATATGTAGGAGTTAGCTATGTGAGTGGGGATGAGGAGAGCCATAGGGAGTACTGGGAGTAAGGACAGCAGATGGAGGCATACAAAAGGCAGGAATATGAGAGTGGCAAGAGATGAGCTGAACACTCAGGCAGAAGCAATGAAGGGCATTGCATATTATCCTAAAAGGTATGGATTTTACCCTCAAAATCCTTGGAAACTATAAAGGGAATAGTTAAGTGTCTGGATCTGAATTGGGCTTTAAATAGTTAAGTGTCTGGATCAGATTTTGACTTTGGCATAAAACATGTAGCAGAAATTTAAAGAATAGATTGGAGAGGAACAATTTTTGAGACAGTGAGACCAATTAGAAATCTGTTAAACTAATTGACTGGAGAAATGATGTCATCTTGAAATAAGGCAGTTGTAAGGATGAAAAGAGGATGAATTCCGAAGATATTAAAGGGGTCAAATTGAGAAGACTTCATCCGCTCAGATATGGACAGTAAGAGTGGGAGATACGGATTAGTCCTTGGTTGATATTTGGAAAACTAGATGAGTAGTGGTGGAATTCACAAAGACAGCAGACAGCAGATACTGTATGAGAGACAAATTTAATGGTGGTGATAAAATACTGATTTGCTTTTGTGTTGTATTTGAGGCACTTGAGAGGCATCAGTAGAGCTGCCTTGTGATGGTGTTCAGAAGGTAGCTGATATCATAGGACTGGATGAGATTATCCTAGGAGCAATGTAGAGCTTCATTTCATAGTTCAAGAAGACTTTGAGTATTCAGTAAATATTCTTAGTCCTACGAATATGCACATTTACATACAAAATTTTGAAGACAATTTAAGGGGGTTCACAGACATCGTGAAGTCTTTTTGTCCCCTTAGACCTGAGAGGAAAATGGAGGAGAAAAACTTGGATAAGTATCAAGGAGTGAACAAGCAAGATAAGTGCAAGAGGATTATAATGGGTTGACCAGAGAGATGGCTGAGAATCAGTAAAGAATGAGTCCAAGGAAACAGGAGAAAAGGAGTTTTAAAAAGGAAAGTGTGATCAGGAGTGTTTAGATGTTTCAGAAATGTGGCGCGATACAACTGACAATAGTAGTTTCATTGGTGTTGCAGGGATGAGAGCCCAATCATCTCCAGAGTTAATGGAAAGTGGGGCAGTAGAAATAAACATATAATACACATTTCCAGAAACATGATGTTATTTAAGAAGAGAACTAAGACAATAGCTGGAGAAAGCATAGTTTCAAGGAAAGAAATAGTTTTGATTTTTCTTATTCTAATTTTTAAATGGCTGCATAATAAATGTTTCTTTATTGAGATTAAAGAGGCATTAAAAAGTTATTTGAGGACTTTTTGGGGATTTTTTTTATTCAGAAGAAAATAAGATATAAGATGTTCTGAAAGTGGAATTCAAATATTTGCTTTTTAATTTGTGCACAAGTCAGCAACTTAGTGCAGTTCTAGAGTGCAGAATAGGACCAATGAGATCCTGCCAAGAAAACAAGCGCATTGTTGTAGGAAGTATGCAAGCAAAGTCTCTTGATAGCTTGTTAGGGATAGTGTAGAGGGAAGTCCCATGTAAGCAGAAAATGGAGCTACATGAACAACCATATCCCTTTCACCTCTGGGATGATGCAGTTCTTTTTCAGGAATTCCTAGGGAGAATCAGAAAGCCTTTTATCCTTCTTGTTTGAGGAAAATTGTTGCTCTAAATTCAGAAAGGCAAGTTGCATTGCACAGAGCATTTGAATAGTTTTGGGTTGATATGCCGTGGGAACTATCTGTCACATCCAGTCACAAAAAACATGTAATCCATTACATTTAATTGCAGGTGATATGTTAGCTTCTGCCTGGGAGTTTGCCAATGATGATACGTTATTTTTCTCTTTGAAGCCATCTGACAAATTTTGAGATCCTAGAGTAATATTTACCGCTTGTAACTTAATTTTTAAAAATAAATTATTATTTTCACACTTGCCCTCCTTCATGTATAAAATATGGATATGAATGGCAGAAAGATTAAGAGTGATTCTAAATCTTTCATGCAGGATTCAAGAGATGTTCAAGGCTGGGCACAGTGGCTCACGCCTGTAATTCCAGCACTCTGGGAGGCCGAGGCGGGTGGATCACCTGTGGTCGGGAGTTCGAGATAAACCTGGCCAACATAGGGAAACCCCATCTCTACTGAAAATACAAAAATTAGCTGGGTGTGGTGGTGTGCACCTGTAGTCCCAGCTGCTCAAGAGGCTGAGGCAGGAGAATCGCTTGAGCCTGGGATGCAGAGGTTGCAGTGAGCAGAGATCACACCACTGCATCAGTCTGGGTAACAGAGTGAGACTCCATCTCAAAAAAAAAAAAAAAAGATATGTTCACAACAAAAATCTTTAAGAATATACTGGAAAACTTCAAGAATATAGTTTTATCACAAACAGTTTCAGAAAGTGAGATTTCTGATAGAATACTATTTATAAGCTTAAAGTATTGTTTCCTTTAAGAAACGCACCCAGATGCTCATGTTGGACACATTTCAATGAATTTGGCAAAGTAGAATTATTAAACACCCTCAAATTAGTGTTTAATAATTGGGTGACCCAAAATAGCACACATCGTTATATCAAAAAAGAGAGAATATATTACATTCCCACATTTATGTTATGTATTTGTGTGTATGGGTATAGATGGGTCTGTAAACCATTACTCAATATTATGAGTTGTAAAACAGCTCATAACGTCTAACATTGCAGAAGGAAGGATGCGGAAGAGAGAGGCTCTCTTTCACCCACATTTTGTAATGGAGCTGATTTACCTGGCCTGCTGAATTTGGGCACCAAGATGATTACATCAAACATCTATTACGTCTGCCCAGGCAGGTATCTCCAAGTAATGTATTTAACTCTAGACTTCATAAGAATAGCAAACAGATTAGTTAATAAACACTAAAATCACATATTTGTGAGCATTTTTTCATATAAATACTGAATGAATTTGATAGCTACCATTCCCAGCTGGCTAACTCACTAGATGAATCCTGTATCCAGAAGTAATTAGTGTGTGGGTACTTGCCTTTCAACAAATTGGTTCTGTTTTTCTTTCCCATCTTATGTTTATTAATTTATATAACAAATAATTATTAGATACTATTATAAGCTAAATTATGTTCCTCCAAAATTCAAATGCTGAAGTCCCAATCCCTAGTACCTCAGAATGTGACTGGAGCTAGGATCTTTAAAGAGGTAATTAAGGTTAAATGAGGTCATTTGGATGGGCCCTAGTCCAAAATGACTGAAGAAGAAGACATTAGGATACAGACACACAGAGGAAAGACCACATTCAGACAAAGGGAGAAGAGCGCCACTTATAAGCCAAGGAAAGATCTCAGAATGAAAGGAACCATACCGACACCTTGCTTATGGAATTCTGGCCTCCAGAACTGCGAGACAATACATTTCTGTTGTTTAAGCCACCCAGTCTGGGCACTTCGTTATGGTACCCCTAGCAACTAATACAGACACCAACTATATGTTAGATATTGTGAAATCCTTCAGTAAAGAGCTCAAACTGTAGCATGCACGAGAATAACTTGGATGCACTTTGAAATAGAGATTTCTGAACCCCATTGCCAGAGATTTTGATTCAGTAGGTTTAGAGTGGGGCCCAAGAAGTTACATTTCCAATCAGCTTTCAGGTAATGGGATGCTCCCAGTGGGACCATACTTTGAGTAGCATTGGCTTTGTAAATACAAATGCCTTTCAGAAAGGGCAATAAATTAAACTTCACCAGTGATTTGACTGAATCTTTCATGCTAGCATTCAAGATGTGTTCAGTGATTTGACTGATAAAGTTTAGTTTATTGCCCTTTTTGATTTGATTTTAAGGATGGCTGTCTTTAACAATCAGTCACTGATGGTTAATTATGCAGGATTTTTGTAATCTCATTGTTAAAGACAGTCATCCTTAAAATTGGCAATGGTGGGAGTGTTAACGTCACAGAAATTGGCAAATGCTACAGAGCAGGACTTTTATTGCTGGAAAGCCAGTTTCAAAACATTTTCCAGTACCCCAGTGCCTGAAAATAAATAGGCTTATTAGATTGCTCTTCAAAATATATGGAGAGGAGCGGGGCCAGGCGTGGTGGCTCATGCCTGTAATCCCAGCACTTTGGGAGGCTGAGGCAGGTGGATCATTTGAGGTCAGGAGTTCAAGACCATCCTGGCCAACATTGTGAAACCCCATCTCTACTAAAAATACAAAAATTAGCCAGGCGTGGTGGTACACGCCTTTGGTCCCAGCTACTCCGGAGGCTGAAACAGGAGAATTGCTTGAACCCAGGAGGCTGAGATTGCAGTGAGCCGAGATCACACCACTGCACTCCAGCCTGGGCAACAGAGCGATACTCTCTCTCTCTCTGTATATATATATGGAGAAGAGTGATAAAGCTAAGTGCGTGGGATTGTAGGGAATCCCCTAACGTGAGAAAGATACAGAGAGTGAAGGCACAAAATAGCTCATTCCTTAGGTCAATGACTTCAAAGAACTTCAGTTTAGCAATTTTATTATTATATTAATATTCAAATGGACCCCTTTTAAGCAGACAGGTTGAAAGAAAACAGGCCATTGGAACTTGAATCATTGCCCCGGTGTTTGCTGGCTGTTTGGGTTTGTTATTTAGCCTTTAAAGCAAAATTTTTTTTTAATGTAAAATGTAGGTGGACAGGATAATTTGAGCTGCCTCTTGTATCTTTGAGATTGTACATTTCTAAGTGCAGTAGCCTAATGAAGTGCCCAGTGCCATGGCTCAAATTCCCACTCACTTCAAGTGATTTGATTTGTTTTTTCCTTTTAAACTACAAAATCTCTGAGGCCATGATTGTGTAAACATCTGAGCTGATGGGATCATGGGCTTGTCCTAATTACATCTCAGGTAGTTGTGAATATTAAATGGCACCATGTACTAACAGATGTTTACAAACTCTACTGAGATATAGAAGTGCAAGTTCAAATAAATACCAGTCTTTAATTTGAGAGTTTGGCTGGAGGGCTGGTAGGAAAAATTTAGGAGCAGAGATTTCTATAGTACTCTAGTGGTTAATGTGACTGTTCTTGACGTACCTTCCTATGCCTGCAAGAAATGGAGAAGTGAGCCGTAGGGACTTACTTTAGCAGAAGAATTCCACAGAAATGTTTTTCCTACAGACTTAAAATATGCCCATGTTCGTATGTCATATTATTTGCATTAAGTTCTTCATTATTCATTATTTCAACAAATATTTATTGAGCTTCTACCATGTGACAGTCTAGAGTTAGGTGCTAAAAATGGAGAATGAATAAGGTAGATATAGTTTCTATTCACAGAGTGTTTACAAGTCTAGAGAAAAAGAAGGTTAGATGACATTTGAAAAAAATTATAGAATTTCATTGGAAAAACACTGTGTTGTCTCTTGTCTCTTAGGATTTTCTATACTTGTATGTGTGTATATATATATATACACATATGTTTTTTCTCCCCATATATACACATATTCTAAGGGACCATATACATATATATGGGGAGAAAAAATATGCATCTCTTAGAATGCGTATATATATATATATATATATAAAATAACAGCATCTTTAAAAATATACGTATATTTTTATATATACCATATATATTTATATATATATACCATATATGTATATATAAATATAAATATACCATGTATGTGTATATATATATAAATATATATATTTTTAAAAAGAAGGTTAGATGACATTTGAAAAAAATTATAGAATTTCATTGGAAAAGCACTGTGTTGTCTCTTGTCTCTTAGGATTTTCTATACATACATATATATATACATATATATATATATACACACACACACATATGTTTTTTCTCCCCATATGTACACATATTCTAAGAGACCATATACATATACATATATATGGGGAGAAAAAATATGTATCTCTTAGAATGTATATATATATATATATAAACAGCATCTTTAAAAATATTTGTATATTTTTATATATACCATATATATTTTTATATATATACCATGTATGTATATATAAATATAAATATACCATGTATGTGTATATATAAAAATATATATATTTTTATAAGACACTATTTTGAGTGAGATGGTAAGATGATCAGTATTTGGGTGTGGAGTATGATACAGAATAATTTTATGTATTGTTCTAGTTGTAGTAACTGTGTAGGCACTATAGTTATTCTTGCTTAAATGTAAACTGTGGAGTATCTCGTTATTCAAAGTCTTAACTGATGAAGCATCCATTTTCTCATGTCTGGGAGAGTGAAAAATGACAGCAGGTACCTGGAAAATAAAGATTCCAATGACAGCAGGTACCTGGAAAATAAAGATTCCCAAAGAGTCTAGCCAAAACAATATGAACACTTGAATACTTTTATTTTGAATAACATGTGTTTTTAACAATGTATAATCTGTGTTTTTTTGTGTAAGATTATTAAAACTGGACATTCACATAGCACAGAAGAAAATTTAAAATCGACATAGCTGAAATACCATGAACCAAGAAACAATAAACCAGGGCCCAAATCTGTATTAGTTATGTTTTTCATTTTCTATATTTTAGGATGCTTTGACATGTTGAAGCCTCACTGACCTCAGAGCTAACTAGTTCCCACAGATAGTAAAAGGATTTACCTGTGAACAAACTTTTGATATGCAAACCAACCAATCCAGAGCCCACACTCCATACTACCTCCTCTATCTGGCTTTTCTACTCCAGGTGACAATATTCCTCTGCCTTAATCATCCCAGGGCCAGGTACCAGGCAACTAGGGACTACCCCTATGGAGCTCTCCAAAATGACTCAAACTACTAGGCCTAAACTGCTTACTCTGCCTCACTCATCCCTGCCCAGGAAAACCACCATCATGGCTTTCCCCTTGCTCCTTCTGCCTCATGACTGAGCCTGGCGCTTCCCTGTGTGGCTCTGCATGGTGTGGTGCATTAGTTAGGGTTCTCTGGAGAAACAGAACTGTTACCCATTGAGGGTGTCCAGGTTCTTGGTTTTTTGAACAAAGAATTGGACAAAACACACAAACAAAGCAAGGAAAGAATGGAGCAACAAAAGCAGAGATTTATTGAAAATGAAAGGACACTCCACAGGGTGGGAAGGGGCGCTAGCAAGCGGCTCAAGGGCCCCAGTTACATAATTTTCTGGGGCTTAAATACCCTCTAGAGGTTTCCATTGGTTACTTGGTGTATGCCCTATATAAATGAAGAGGCTAAAGTGAAAGTCACTTGTTCAGTATAAACCCTATGTAAATGAAGAGAATGAAGTAAAGTTACAAAGTCATTTACTCAGTGTAAGCCCTATGTAAACAAAGAGGATATTTCTTGTCATAGCTGAAGTGTTTGAATGATTTAGTAATGAGAAATTCTTAAGTTCCCTGCCTCCAGCCCCTATTCTTCTGCCTTGGAACCAATAGTAGCTCACACATTTATAGAGGCTGAGGAGTTCCACAATCTGCTGTCTGCAAGCTTGGCACAAAGAAAAGCTGATGATGTAATGTGGAGGTCTCAGGGCCAGAGGCCAACAGTCTAGATTCCAGTTTGAGTCTGAAGGCCTGAGAACCAGGAGCTCTGAGGGCAGGAGATGATTGATGTCCCAGCTCAAGTAGTCAGCAGAGGGAGCACAAATTCTACCTTCTCCTCCTTTTTGTTCTATTCAGGCACACAACAGATTGGATGAGGCCCACCCACACTGGAGAGGGCCATCTGCTTTACTGAGTTCACCAATTCAAATGTTCATCTCTTCCAGAAACACCCTCACAGACACACCAGAAAGAAGGTTTAATCGGCTATCTGAGCATACTGTGGCCCAGACAAGTTGACACATGAAATTAATCTTTGCACATGGGATCCCTCTCCTCTTGGGAGCTGTAGCAAACTATTCTTCTCAATGCAATTGTCTCCTCCACTGTTGGCCTCATCATACCTGAATAAAAACAAAATCTCGGGTACATTCAGAAACAAAGTCACATGGGTAGAGCTGTCTTAGGGGGAAGTCAGAAGTCTTAGTGGGTTAGGAATACTTTTGGTCAAGTAGAGAAAATAACTGAATAGGGAGTGATTGATCCAACAGAAACTGTCTGGTAACAGAATGGTGGTGACAGAGAGGAAAAGTACATGCATTGATAAATAGTCATATAAATGAAAACCGGGTCTATTCAGGCATCCATCTATGGGCTATATCTGATGACTGCACAAACTTCAACCTGCATATTACTCGATCAAGTCCTGAGGAAAGGACTTAAAAAAATTAGCTCTGCTTAATCCTAAATGAATTAATAGATAATGCAGATCCATCTAGAAAAATCTGATAACAAGCAGCCAGTATGCACAATGTTCAGCTGCCATTGGGAGTGTAACTATGAGGAAGCAGCTGAATCTCCTGTACTCCCATTCACACCTGCCGTATGAGGTGTCCAGCATTGTTTCAGTAATAGCTTTACTAGTGATCACCTTTTTACATTTACAACTATGCTATAAAGTAGGTACAATAACTACTCCACTACTGATGAGAAAACAGGTAGAGAGAAATTAAACTTGCCCCCATGTGCACAGTGTAGGTTTCTATATTGCAGAAACTCAATATGGGTGCAAACATATTGATTCTAGTTCCCATCAACCTTTAAACTCTGCTGTCTTCTCCTTCCTTCCACCTAAAGGATGCTCAAATTTTAAATGCCAGTGTCTCTTGTGAAACTTTCTCTCTGCTCCTTCTCTTTGTGCTTTGTAGGAAATGAAGCATCCTTATATCACAGCCAGTATCAGTTAGTAATGGCGTAAACAGATTGCAGTTTATTTGTCTTATGCAATAAAAATTCTGTAGGGGCCATGCTGGGTTACTGATTGATATTATTAAGAACTCTATCTTTTTCCATAGTTTTACTCTACTGTCCTTAGATTTAGGATTTTTTTCCTCATGCATTGTGCCTTTCAGTTGCACAATGGCTGCTGCACTTCTTGACTCTTATCCATATTCTTAGGAAGATGGGAGAAGGGCAAAGGGGCAAGGAGCTAAGCAACATATCCTAGATTTTGCCTCTGTTCAGAAGGCAATGCTCTTCTGCCTTAATCTCATTTATCTATTGCATACACCTGTAGGCACAGGAGTCTGGGAAATCAAGCATTTTTAGCTGGTTGCATTGCTACGTTAATTAAAATTGAGAGTCTACCAGCAAGAAAGAAAAAGCATATTAAAAATAGTTAGGCACCTGGCAGGGTCTACACGTAATGCTTAACAGAGTGTATTTTGATTATTTAAACCTGTTTATCTCTCCTGGTAGACTGGCTCTGTGTTACATCTGTGCATTCCTCCTCGATATACTCTACGCCTAGCATATTGCAGAAACAGTAAAATTTTATTGAATGGATGACAGTGATCCTTAAGACCACAGGCATTTGTTGTTGTTGTTGTTGTTTTATCTAAATCTACGTTTTGAAATTCTCAACTCAAATTTTATTGTGAAACTTCATAAAGCACTGAATGTCCTTTCAGAGAGTAAAAAAAATACACAATGCCTGAAAAAAAAAAGATTACTGAATTAGAACTGCCGGAAGCACAACTCAGACGTTGTTCCAAAATGAATACACTCTAAATTGGTCTTTTAGAAAAAAAAAAAGGACACACACACACACACACACACACACACACAAGCAATGAAACAAATGGTGTACATGCAGAGACAGCTGGGAGACCATGGAAAGAAGTATAGCAGCCATCAAGCAGCTTCGTTGGTTGATGCTTTTGTGATCCATGAGTAAACCATGATTGTCAGGGTAAATGATGGGAATGGTCCATGCTTTCCTTGGAGTTAGGTTTGCATAGACATTACCTAAAAAAAAAGAATAATTATATTTCCCATTATTTTTAAACTGTTAGGGGAAAAGTTTTCCTCTTTTAGAAAACATCGGTTGGGGTTTTCTAAAAGGTGAATCACCTGAAGAGGAAGATTTCAAATGTTGACAAAATATTGGCAGAAGTCTAGATTTTAGCCAAACACTTCTGGGGTGGTAAAATGACAATGTGGAATCCAAGCCTTAGCAGTTGACTTGACATTGTTTGGGAAGAAAACTGAGCTGGGTCCAAGTGATATCAAGTTTAGAAGAAAACTCTGGATGTTTAATGTGTCCGCCACTGCTGCTTCCATGTTCTTCTTTCTTTTCCCAGGCATCAAAGTTAATTATTTTTCTCAGAAACTCTCGTTTTTATACACACATATATGTGTAATAGACAGATGTTCCCTACACCACTTTTATCTAGTGTCATTTGCATTGAAATAATGTGTCTACCTCCACAACTATTTCATGAATTTTCTAACACTCATATAATTGCATCAGAAGATACTTAGCGTTGGGTGATGTTAAAAGTTAATTAGAAACACTTGTCCACACTTAAATTAATACTTTAAAAAACTCTGTCAATAAGTCGTTTCTTGTAATTAATCAATCTGATTACTCTTCCCATTGGTGTCCAAAGATCTGATATACAATTTTCCCTTGCCAATTGAGCACTGAAGACAGGTAGCTATGATGTAATCCAGCTGTTGTAGTTTAAGTTCCCTTTTGCGAGTTGATGTATTCATATGTGTTGGGGGCTGGGTTGGATGTAACTTTTACCACTCTCCACTCTGCCCTCCACTCTGGGAGACTGGCTTCTCTGGACAGCATCAACCATGCTCGCCTTGATTGTGACGGTGGTGGTGGTGCTAGTGGTGGATGGGCAGTGCTGGCAGGATAATCAACGATAAGTAGAGAGAGGTTGGAGTATTTGTTCTCCTGGTTCATTCCCTCTCTGGCCATGGTCTGACAGTTGCTTGTTCTTCACTCCGAAAGCCGCAGCTACTGCCATGTTCCGGCAACAACATTGCCCCCTGCTTCCCGTTGCTGCTTAGGCCTTAGAGATGTCAACATACAACCTGTTCTTGTGAGCTTCAGCTGCATCACTGCCCCTTGTTTCTCTCCTTTAGCATTGCCTTAGCATTATGAATAGTCTTTCCATCAATCCCTTCAGCCCACTGTTTGAAGCGTGTCATTACTTTCTTGCTACAACTTCAACGAATAAAAGAACACCCTGTGTCACTAACCTTAACGTGAGAGATCTTCAGTACTATTTCTCAGCAGATAAATGGTGGATACGTTTTTTTCTGTTCATTTATTCTATCATCCCACAGGAGGAAGAGTGGGAAAGTCCTAGTGTGTGAGCACTGCCTGTTGTCTTGCTTGTTCTTGTTCTGGGATCAGCATGTCTACCGGCAGCCTGTATTCTCCTTTTCTTGCTGCTGTGGAGAAGCTCCCTGGAGCAGAGATTCTGTGCCCTACTGACAGCTGTGACTGAGTAGGGGTAAGTTCTTGGAGGCATAGTTTGGGGTCTTACATCCACGTTGCCTTCTCTGGTCCAGATTTATTGATCATTAAGTTGATATTTTGATTCTCATCTGTTTCCTGTGTGTAATTCTCAATTTGTTCAGAATCTAGAGGGAAAGAAAAGGTGATTGATTCCACTGTTTCAAAACTCGAATAAGAATGGAATCTTATACATAGAAGTAAATGAGGAGACATTGCCAGTCTCCTCATTTTCTTCTCCATATTTCTTGCCACAAAACCTTAATGACTTCCACAAATCTATTTTGTTGGCAGTTAAATAACTGTACATATCCGTGATCGTAAACCAAATTTACCACTTCAGACCTTATCATTTCACTTTAATGTTTGTAATTCTGAGGTTATTAATGACATTAAACAATGAAGGAGAAAACTTTAGAAACACTTATACCCTACAAAGAAATTTAATATTTTTATTTTATCAGGCAAGTTGATTTGACGAACTCTATGATCTTAGGCAAGTCAAGTAAATCCTTGGGATTGTGCTTCCTTGTCTGTTAAGCAAGAGATTTTAAATTAGTGGAAGACACGTTATTCAAATAAAATTCAGTATGAAGCGTAGGTATGTAAGAGAATGTCAATGAAGATTACATTAGCATAAATGTATATGTTGAACTTTAGGACTTTTATTTATACAATTATAAAATAATCATTTTAAAACCTTGTTAGGAATGACAACTATAGTCTTGTACCAGCCTTAGTCTTCTTCTTTTTTTTTTTTTTTTGAGATGGAGTCTTGCACTGTTGCCTGGGCTGGAGTGCAATGGCATGACCTCAGCTCACTGCAACCTCCACCTCCTGGGTTCACGTGATTCTCCTGCCTCAGCCTCCTGAATAGCTGGGATTACAGGTGCCTGCCACCCTGCCCAGCTAATGTTTTGTATTTTTAGTAGAGACAGCATTTCACTATGTTGGGCAGGCTGGTCTCAAACTCCTGACCTTGTGATCCACCCGCCTTGGCCTCCCAAAGTGTTGGGATTACAGGTGTGAGCCATCATGCCTGGCCCAACCTTATTTTTCTATTTAATAATTTGGTTTTGGTTGAACAATATTTAGAAAGGTCTGATTTCTTAAAGATCAACAGTTCCAAGTGGAAGCAGTTTTTAAAATAGTTTTCTTTCAAGCTTATTATATTTTTAAGTAAATTAATCAAGAAGCTTGAAAAAGGGGTAGCAAAATAGTTTTTGATTCAAAATTAAGTTACCAATAATGACTATCGACTATTTAAATTTCCACCCTGGCTTACTTTACTTAGCACAATGTCTATCAGGTTCATCCACATTGTTGTAAATGGCAGAATCTCCTTTTTCAAGGCTGAATAATATTCCATTGGGTGTGTGTGAATGTGTGTATGTGTGTGTGTGTAGCACAACTTCTTTATCCACCTGTCAATGGACACTTAGATAGTTCTATGTCTTGGCTACTGTGAGTAATGCCGGTGTGATCTCACTTATATGTGGAATCCAAAAAAGCCAAATACATAGAAACAGTAGAACTATGATTACCAGGGGTGAGAAGATGGGAGAAGTAGGGAGACCTTGGTCCAAAGGTACAAATTTACAGTTATAAGGTGAATAAGTTCTGGAGGCCTAATGTATAGCACAGTGACTATAGTTCATAATAATGTATTATATACTTGTAATTTGCTAACAGAGTAGATATTAAGTATTCTCACTACCAAAAAATAGTAACTATGTGACGTGATGGACATGTTTATTAGCTTGATGTGGTAATCATTTCATAATGTATATGTATATCAAAACATCACAGTACACCTTGAATACATACAATCTTTATTGTCTATTATATCTCAATAAAGATGAAAAGGAAATAAATTTCCAGTCTATCTCCTAACATTGTAAATAGTGTTTTTATGGAGAACTTCTACAACTCAATAAGGCAGCATCACACAAACAAAACAGTAAAATAGGCAATTGACATAAAAGGAATCCTGCATGATTAATAACACATGAAAACATGCTCAGTCTCACCAGTGACCAGAAAAATATTTAGTAAAATTGAAAACGCAAAGCACTAAATATTTAGGATTCTGTTTCTACATACATATTTTAAAGTAACCATTGCACATGGGCACCAGGAAACTTGTTCAAGAATGCTAATTTTAGAGTCAATTTTAACAGTTACAAATACGAATAACCAAAATTCCATCAAAGAAGAAGGAAGCATTATCTGTGTGATGGAGTGCTACAGCGATGTTAAGGAGAATGGCCTAGATGGATATGTAACAACATGGATATTTATTGGATATGTAATATTGGAAGGGAAAAAAAAAACGTGTTTCAGATGACAAAGTATGACAGTGTTTATACAAATCGCAAAACACACAAAGTAATACTGAGAGACAGAGCAAGATGGTAGAATAGAGAGCTCCACCGATTGCCCTTCCCCCTGCAAGGATACCAAGTTAACAACTACCTTCACAGAGAAAAACACCTCCATAAGAACGAAAGATAAAATGAGCACTTACAGTACCTGGTTTTAACTTCATATGGCTGAAAGAAGCACTGAAGAGATTAAAAAAATAGTCCTGAATCGCTGACACCACTCCTCCCCCCACACTGGAAGCAGCTGCCTGGTGTGCAGAGCATCTCTGGGTACTGAGGGAGGGAGAAAAGAGCAATTGTGAAGCATTGAACTCAGTGCTGTCCTGTCAGGGCAGAAAGGAAACCTGGACCAAATTCAGTTGATGCCTGCCCACTGAAGGGGCATTTAAACCAGCCCTGGCCAAATGGGAATTGTGCCTCCCAGTGGTTTGAACTTGAGCTCCCATAAACCTCACCACTGAAGGCTACAGTGCTCTGTATCTCCAACTAAACTTGAAAGGCAATCTGGGCCATAAGGACTGTAACTCTTAGGTGAGTCCTGGTGCTGAACTAGGCCCAGAGACAGTGGACTGGGATTGCACCTGATATACTGAGACACCAGCTGGGGAAGACAATGGAGTGCTGGCATCACCCCTCCCCTAACCCCAGTCTGCATAGCTTGAGGCTCCAAAAGATACCACTTTCTTTTACTTGAAGAGAGGAAAGAGTGGGGAGGACTTTGCCTTGCATCTTGGATACCAGCTCAGCCAAGCACGACAGGGCACTGGTCAGGGTCATGGGGCCCCTGTTCTAGGCCTTTGCTCCCAGATGATGTTTCTAGACACACCCCAGGCGAGAAGGGAACCCACTGCCTTAAAGGAAAAGACCCAGTCCTGGCAGCATTTATCACCTGCTAACAGCCCTTGGGCCGTGAATGTCCAGCAGCAATACCCAGGTACTACATCAAGGGCCTTGGGTGTCCAGCAGCAATACCCAGGTACTAAATCAAGGGCCTTGGGTGAGCTTCTAAGACTTGCTGGCTTCAGATACCAGCACAGCCACAGGGAAGGAGAGTAACAAGTGGGCTCTTGGGGTCCCTAATTCAAGGACTTTACTCTTGGACAGCATATTGAATCTGCCCTGAGCCAGAAGGGAATTCACTGTCCTGAAAGGTGAGTTCCAGGCCAGGCAGCATTCATGACAAGCTGACTTAAGAGGCCTTGAGGGGACATGAGCAGTAGTCTGTCAGTACTCCTCATGGCCTAGGGTGGCAGTGGCTATGGGGTGAGGCTCCTCTACCTTTGGAAGGGGAAGGGAAGAGTGGGAAAAACTGTGTCTTGTGGTTTGAGTGCCAGCTCAGCTGCAATATAATAGAATACCATGTGGACTTCTAAGGTTTTTGACTCTAGTTCCTGACTGTCAGATGGTACTTCTGGACCCACCCTGGGCCTGAAGAACCTTGCTGACCTGAAGGGAAGAAGACAGAATCTGGTTGGATTTGCAAACTTCTGATTATAGAGTCCCAGGGCCTTGAGTGAACATATGCAGTAGCCAGGGAGTGGTTACAGCAGGCCATGGGTGAGACCCAGTGCTGTGCTGGCTTCCGGGTCACTGCTGACCCAGTGCAGTCATAGTAGTGGTGGCCACAGGGGTGCTTGTATCACTCCACCCTAGCTTTATGTGACTCAAAGCAAAGAGAGAGAAACTCTGCATGTATGGGAGAAAGTGAGAAAAGACAACACAAGCCTCTGCCTGGTATCTAGAGAATTCTATCAGATCCGGTCCAAGACAATCAAGGTGGTATCTCTATAAGTCTGCAAGAACCACAGTGTTACTAGGCTTGGAGTGCCTCCTAAAGCAGATACAGCTTAGATGACAACACCCAACTCCTTTTAAATATCTAGAATGCCTTCACAAGAAGGATGGCTACAAATAAGCCCTGACAGTGAAGGTTACAATAAATACCTAACCCTTCAATGCCCAGACACCAAAGAACACCTACTAGCATTGACACCATTCAGGAAAACATGACCTCACCAAATGAACTAAATAAGGCACCAGGGACCGATCCTGAGGAAACTCAAAGAAAATCAACATGGAAAGTTTGTTCAAATGTATAACAGAGAACTTCCCAAACCTAGAGGAAGATATAAATATCCAAGTGCAAGAAGGTTATAGAGCACCAAGCAGATTTAACCCAAAGAAGACTACCTCAAGGCATTAATACTCAAACTCCTCAAGGTCAAGGATAAAGAAAGGAAGCTAAAAGCAGCAAGAGAAAAGAAACTAATAACATACAATAGAGTTCCAATACAGCTGGCAACAGACTTTTCAGTGGAAACCTTACAGGCTAGGAGAGAGTGGAGTGACATATTTAAAGTGCTGAAGGAAAAAAAACAAAAGAAAAAAAACAAAAACAAAAACCAACTTTTACTCTGGGATACTACATCCAGCTAAAATATCCTTCAAACATGGAGGAGAAATAAAGACCGTCCCAGACAAACAAGAGAAGAGGGATTTTACCAATGCCAGGCCTGTCCTACCAGAAAAGTTAAATGAAGTACTTCAATCAGAAAGAAAAGGACATTAATGAGCAATAAATAATCACCTGAAGGTACAAAACTTGCTGTTAATAGTACACAGAGAAACATAGAGTATTATAACACTGTAACTGTGGTGTGTAAACTACTCTTATCCTAAGTTGAAAGACTAAACAATGAACCCATCAGAAACAGTAACTACAATAACTTTTCAAGATATAGTTAGTACAATAAGATATAAATAGAAACAACAAAAAGTTAAAAAGTGAGGGGATGAAATGAAGGCATAGAGTTTTTGCTATTTTTCTTTTGGCTTGTTTGTTTATGCAAGTGGTGTGAAGTTGTTATTAGGTCAAAATAATGGGTTATAAGATAGGATTTGAAAGCCCCATGGTACCCTCAAACCAAAAAACATACAATGGATACACAAAAAGTAAAAAGCAAGAAACTAAATTATATCACCAGAGAAAATGCCTTCCCTAGAAAAAGACAGGAGGGAAGAAGAACATAAAACAACCAGAAAACAAATAACAAAATGGCATGAGTAAGTCCTTACTTATCAATAATAACATTGAATGTAAATGGACTAAATTCTCTAACCAAAAGCTATAGACTGGCTGAATGGATAAACATGCAAGATCCATTTATCTGTTGCCTACGAGAAACACACTTCACTTATGAAGATATACATAGACTGAAAATAAAGGAATGGAAAAAGATATTCCATACCAATGGAAACCAAAAAAGAGCAGGAGTTGCTATAGTAATATCAGACAAAATAGCTCTTAAGACAAAAATTATAAAAAGAGACAGAGAAGGTCACTATATAATGATAAAGGATCAATTCAGCAAGATAATATAACAATTTTAAATATATATGCATCCAATACTGGAGCATCCAGATACATAAAGGAAATACTATTAGAGCTAAAGAGAGAGGCTCCAATATAATAATAGCTGGAGACTTCAACACCTCATTTTCAGCACTAGACATGTCTTCCAGACACAAAATCAACAAAGAAACATCAGACTTAACCCACACTATAAACCAAATAGATCTAATAGGTATTACCATAACATTTCATCCAAGAGCTGCAGAATACACTTTCTTTTTCCCAGCACATGAATCATTCTCAAGGATAGACCACATGTTAGGTCACAAAGTAAGTCTTAAAACATTAAAAAAATTGAACTAATATCAAATATCTTCTTGGACCACAATGGAATAAAACTAGAAATCAGTAACAAGAGGAATCTTGGAAAGTATACAAATGTAAATAGGAAATTAAACAATATGCTCTGCAATGACAACTGGGTCAATGTATTAGTCTGTTCTCACAATGCTATGAAGAACTGGATGAGACTGAGTAATTTATAAAGTAAAGAGGTTTAGTTAACTCACAGCTCTGCATGCCTGGGGAGGCCTCAGGAAACTTATAATCATGGCAGAAGGCACCTCTTCACAGGGTGGCAGGAGAGAGAATGAGTAGCAAAGGGGGAAGAGCCCCTCATAAAACCATCAGATCTTGTGAGAACTCACTCACTATTATGAGAACAGCATGGGAGAAACCACCCCCATGATCCAATCACCTCCCACAAGGCTTTTCCCTAGACATGACACATGGGGATTATGGGGATTCCAATTCAAGAGGAGATTTGGGTGGGGGCACAGCCAAAACATATCACTCCAGCCAGCCCATCCTAAATCTCATGTCCTCACATTTCAAAACACAATCATGCCTTTCCAACAGTCCCCCAAAGTCTTAGCTCATTCCAGGATCAACCCAAAAGTGCAAGTCCAAGGTCTCATCTAGACAAGGGAAGTCCTTTCTGCCTATGAGCCTGTAAAATCATAAGCAAGTTTGCTACTTTCAAGATAAAATGGGGATACAGGGATCAGATAAATGCTCCCATACCGAATGGGAGAAATTGGTCATAACAGGGGCTGCAGGCCCCATGCAAGTCCAAAATTCAACAGGGCAGTCAATAAATCTCAAAGTTCCTAAGTAATTTCCTTTGACTCTATGTCTGACATCCAAGTCACAATGATTCAAGAGGTGGGCTCCCATGACCTTGGGTAGATCCACCCTTGTGGCTTTGCAGGGTAGAGCTCCCTGGCCCAGCTGCTTTCACAGCTGGCGTTGAGTGTCTATGGCTTTTTCAGGTGCACAGTGCAAGCTGTCAGTGGGACTACTATTGTGGGGTCTGGAGGACAGTGGCCATCTTCTCACAGCTCCATTAGGCAGTGTTCCAGTGGGGACTCTGTGTGGGGACTTCAACCTCACATTTCCATCCTGCACTGCCATGACAGAGATTCTCCATCAGGGATCCACCTGTGGAGCACACCTCTTCCTGGACATCCAGGCATTTCCATACATCTTCTGAAATCTAGATGGAGGTTCCCAAACCTCAGTGATTATCTTCTGCATATCTGCAGGACCAGCACCACATGGAAACTGCCAAGGCTGGGTCTTGCACCCTCTGAAGCAATGGCCTGTGATGTACCTTGGCCTCTTTTTAGCCAGGGCTGGAGCATCTGGGACACAGGGCTGAGGCCACACACAGCAGCGGGTCCCTAAGCTTGGCCCATGAAACCATTTTTCCCTTCTAGGCCTCTCAGCCTGCCATGGAAGGTGCTACTGCAAAGGTTTCTGGAAACATTTTTCCCATTGTCTTGGTGATTAACACTTGGCTCCTCGTTACTTATGCAAATTTTTCCAGCTGGCTTGAGGTTTGAATTTTTCCCCAGAAAATGGGCTTTTCTTTTCTACTGCATTGTCAGGCTGCAAGTTTTCCAAACTTTTGTGCTCTGTCACGTCTTGAATGCTTTGCTGCTTATAAATTTCTTCTGCCAGATATCCTAAATCATCTCTCTGAAGTTCAAAGTTCCACAGATCTCTAAGGGCAGGGGTAAAATGCCACCAGTATCTTTGCTAAAGCATAACAAGAGTGACCTTTACTGCAGTTCCCAAGAAGCTCCTCATCTCTCTCTGAGACTACCTCAGCCTGGACTTCATTGTCCATATCACTATTGGCATTTTGGTCAAAAACATTCAACAAGTCTCTAGGAAGTTCCAAACTTCCCCACATCTTCCTGTCTTCTTCTGAACCCTCCCAACTGTTCCAACCTCTGCTCATTACACAATTCCAAAGTCGTTTCCACATTTTTGGGTATCCTTATAGCAGTGCCCACTACCTCAGTACCAATTTACTGTATTAGTCCATTCTCACACTGCTATCAAGAACTGCCTGAGACTGGGTAATTTATAAAGAAAAGAGGTTTAATCGACTCACAGTTCTGCATGGCTGGGGAGGTCTCATGAAACTTACAATCATGGCAGAAGGCACCCCTTCTCAGGGTGGCAGGAGAGAGAAGAGCAAGTAGCAAAGGGGGGAGAGCCCCTTATAAAACCATCAGAACTCACTTACTATCATAAGAACAGTTTGGGAGAAACTGCCCCCATGATCCAATCACCTCCCACCAGGTCTCTCCCTAGACACATAGGGATTATGAGGATTATAATTCAAGATGAGATTTGGGTGAAAACACAGCCAAACCATATCAATCAATGAAGAAATTAAGAACGAAATTAAAACATGTCTTGAAACAAATGACAATGGAAACAAAACATACCAATATCTATGGGATACAGCAAAAGCAGTACCAAGAGGGAAGTTCATAGGTATAAGTACTTACATCAAAAAAGAGGAAAAACTTCAAGTGAATAATCTAAGCATGCATCTTAAAGAACTAGAAGTGCAAGAACAAACCAAACTCAAAGTTAATAGAAGAAAATAAATAATAAAGATTAGAGCAGAAATAAATGAAATTGAAATGAACAAAATAATACAAAAGATGAATGAATCAAAAAGTTGGGTTTTTGAAAAGTTAAACAATATGACAAACCTTTACCCAGACTAAGAAAAGAGAGAGAAGATCTAAATAAATAAAATCAGAAATGAAAAAGGAGACATTACAGAAATTCAAAGGATCATTAGTTGCTATTATGAGCAGCTGTATGCCAATACATTGGAAAATCTAGAAGAAATGGACCAATCCCTAGACACACACAGCCTATCAACATTGAACCTGGGAGAAATCCAAAACATGAACAGACCCATAACACGTAATGAGATCGAAGCTGTAATTAAAAAGTCTCCCACTAAATAAAAGCCCAGGACTTGATGGCTTCATTGCTGAATTCTGCCAAACATTTAAAGGATAATTAATACCAATCCTACTCAAATTATTCCAAAAACAGAGGAGGAAGAAATACTTCCCAACTCCTTATATAAGGCCAGTATTACTCTGATATCAAGATGAAACAAAGATACATTAAAAAAAAAAGAAAACTACAGGCCAATACCTCTGATGAATATTGATGCAAAAATCCTCAACAAAATACTAGCAAACCAAATTAAATAATACATTAGAAAGATTACTCATTATGACCAAGTGGGATTTATCCCTGGGATTCAAGGATGGTTCAATATACTCAATTCAATCAATGTGATACATCATACCAACAAAATGAAGGATAAAAACCATATGATCATTTAAGTTGATGATGAAAAGCATTTGATAAAGTTTATTATTCCTTCATGATAAAAACCTTAAAAAAACTGTGGATAGAAGGAACATGCCTCAACATAATAAAAGCTATATATGACAGACCCACAACTATTATCATACTGAAAAATTGAAAGCCTTTCCTCTAAGATGTGGAATACGACAAGGACACCCAATGTCACCACTGTTATTCAATGTAGTACTGGAAGTCCTAGCTACAGCAATCAGATAAGAGAAAGACATAAATGGCATCCAAATGGAAAATGAAGATGATATAATCTTATATTTGGAAAGACCTAAAGACTTCACAGCAAAACTATTAGAACTGATAAACAAATTCAGGAAGTTGCAGGATATAAAATCAACATATAAAATTCAGTAGGATTTCTGTATTCCAACAGTGAACAATGTGGAAAAGAAATTTTATAAGTAATATCATTTTTCATAGCCACACATAAAATTAAATACCTAGGAATTAATTTAACCAGAGAAGTGAAAGATCTCTATAATGAAAACTACAAAACACTGATAAGGGAAATTGAAGAGAACACTAAAAAAAAAAAAAAAAAAAAAAGAAATATTCCATGTTAATGTTAATGGATTGGAAGAATTTATATTGTTAAAATGTGCATACTACCCAAAACAATCTGCAGAGTCAATGTGATCCCTATCAAAATACCAATGACATTCTTCATGGAAATAGAAAAAGCAATCCTAAAATTTATATAGAACCACAAAAGACCCAGAATAGTCAAAGCTGTCCTAAGCAAAAAGGTCAAAACTGGAAGAATCACATCATGTGACTTCAAATTATACTATAGAGCTATAGTAACCCTAACAGCATGATACTAGCATAAAAACAGACACATAGATCAATGCAACAGAATAGATAATGCAGAAACAAATACAAACACCTATAGTGAACTCATTTTTGCGAAAGGTGCCAAGACATACATGGGGAAAGGACAGTCTCTTCAATAAATGGTACTGGGAAAACTGAATATCCATAGGCAGAAGAGTGAAACTAACCTGTATCTATCACTATATAAAAATAAAATAAAAATAAATTGAAGATGTAGATCTGAGACCCCAAACTATGAGACTACTACAAGGAAACATTGGGGACTATCTCCAGGACATTTGTTTTGGCAAAGACTTCTTGAGCAATACCCCACAAGCACAGACAACCAAAGCAAAATGGACAAATGGGATCACATCAAGTTAAAAAGCTTCTCCTCACAGCAAAGGAAACAATGAACAAAGTGAAAAGACAACCCACAGAATAGGAGAAAATATTTGCAAACTACCCATCTGTGAAGAAGTTAATAACCAGAATATATAATATAAAAGGAGCTCAAACAACTCTATAGGAAAAAGTTTAATAATCTGATAAAAAATGGGCAAAATATTTGAATAGACATTTCCCAAAAGAAGACATACAAATGGCAAACAGATACATGAAAATGTGCTCAACATCACTGATCATCAGAGAAATGCAAATCAAAACTACAAGGAGATATTATCTTCTACCAGTTAAAATGGCTTACATCCGAAAGACAGGCAATAGCAAATGCTGGCAAGGATGTGGAGAATAGGGAGCCCTTGGACACCGTTGGTGGGAATGTAAATTAATACAACCACTATGGAGAACAGTTTGGAAGTTCCTCCAAAAACTAAAAATTGAGTTACCATATGATCCAGCAATCCAGCTACTGGGTATATACCAAAAGAAAGGAAAGCAGTATATTGAAGAGATATCTGCACTCCCATGTTTGCTGCAGTACTGTTTAAAACAGCTAAGATTTGGCAGCAACCTAAGTGTCCATCCACAGTTGAATGGCTAAAGAAAATGTGGTACATATACACAATGGAGTACTATTCAGCCATAAAAAGAAATGAGATCTAGTCATTTGCGTCAATCCGGATGGAACTGGAGATCACTATGTTAAGTGAAGTTATCCAGGCACAGAAAGACAAACATCACATCTTCTCACTTATTTATAGGATCTGAAAGTCAAAAACACTGAACTCGTGGACATAGAGAGTAGAAGGATGTTACCAGAGGCTGGGAAGGGTAGTTGGAAGGTGAGAGGCAGAGAGAGATGTGGATGGTTAACAGGTGCAACTAAGTAGAAAGAATGAAAAAGACCTAGTATTTGATAGCACCATATGGTGATTACAGTTAATAATAACTTAGTTGTACATTTAAAAACAAAGAGTGTAATTGGATTGTTTATAATTCAAAGGATAAATGCTTTATGGGATAAATATGCCATTCCCCATGATGTGCTTATTTCACATTGCATGCCTGTATTAAAATACCTCATGTACCTCATACAGATACAAGAAAAGAAAGTAATACTTTATAATGTTCATGGTTTTTGGATTTCAATTTTATTTGCAAACTATATTTTATATAAACTTTTGTTTATTTTGGATGGAGGATATCTGTTGCATCACTCTGTACCCATTTATTCCCTTTAATCTTTAAAAATAGAAAGCAAAGCCAATCATACAATTACAGACTATATATATATATATTATCAGGTGCCATGAATCTGAAACTTCTGATGAAGTTTCTGAAGTATTTGTACTCTAATTGTGATAAAAATTTAAGGCTGAGTTTTGTTGCCATTCAAACCCATATGAGCATATGTTCTATAGGAGTGTACTTGCCTGTACAGTTTTATAGGAATAGATATTCTAGATCTGAATTAAGAAAACTTAAAAAACAAAAGCATAGTGGAACATAGTCACCCTGAGCAATGAACTCTCTACAAGAAGTTTCAATATATGCAAGAGCAGCCGTATTCTAAAGTCTGCTAAACACATACTAATCCTATGTGTTACAAATATCTATTGTCACTTTGTGGCTACTTGTTTTCATTTTTATGGTGCCTTTGGCTGAAAGAATCTCAATTTTAGCGTGAAAACTTATCAATGTTTTCTTTGTAATTTGTGCTTTATAAACTTTAAGAAGTCTTTCCTTACACTAAGGACTTACAGGTCATAAGGTTATTTTATTATAAAAGCTTTAAAATTTTTATTTTTATATTTTTAGTTTTCTCTATCTTTGGACTCCAATTTTATTGTAATGTAGATGCTATTGTCCTGGCATCAATTTTGAGTAGTCCCTTCCCACTGATCTGCAATTCACTGCCTTTATATATGAAGAATTCATATAGGCCAGTATGTTTCTAGACTTTCTATATTCTGTTCCTTTAGTTTTTTTTTTTTTATCTTTTCCTGTGCCAATACCACTCTGGTTTAATTACTATAGTTTTAGAATTTGTTTGGATGTCTACAAGAGCAGTGATTTTCAAACCCTGATGAGCTTCAGAATCACCCAGGAACTTAAAACCACAAAGGCATGAGTCAGCCTATCTCAAGAAACTTAGGTCTCAGAGTTCTTTTTCATCTCTTTAGGTGATTCCGCTACACAGCAATGCTTGGGAACCACTGTCTTGGGGCAAGTGTCCCCCAGCTTCCAGCACACACAGAGAGATATTTCTTCATCTTTTTGAACAATCTAGCTACTCTTGCTCTTTCCTCTTTTACTTATTTTTTTTTAAATCTTTGTCAGTTTTACATCATTTCTGTTGGGATTCAGATGGGGACAACATTAAATCTATAGATATTTTGTAAAAACTTAGTCTAAAATTGCTTTTTCTTCTTTGTTACAGGATACCATGAAAATCTATCTCTGCCCCACCACTCCACCAGAAAAGACATTAATTCACAGCTACCATTAACCACTGTGGTATATATTTTCATTGTAAAATACATATTTGAGAAATAGTAGGAAAGAAAAAAATTGCATGGAGAGGAAGATGCTCTGTCAGCAGAGTTGCATCAGTGTGTTGGTTATAGGAATTGCATTGCTAAACACATTCAGAACTGATTAAGGAAAACCTGGGCCTCAAAAAATTCATCTTTCTCACAAATGCTAGCACACACTAAAACTTGTGTATGCTCGAGAATTATATCACAATACATTTGGATTAATCCATAAGACTCCGGAGTGAATTAAGTGCTTAAGTCACATCAGGACAAATGTTCTCACCTTATTGATTTCCAGAAAAGAGTCAGTAGGAGTATTGATTGACTTGACAGCTCTTTTACTTCTCAGGAAGCAAAAGAAATAGTGCTTAAAACTAGAATGATGAAAAACACCAGCATCTGTACCTCTGTGTCCTGCTGCTCAGAGATTAGAAACCACATTAACTAGATAAGGAAACAAGTTTTCCTGAGCTGTATATGGAATTCCACAAATTCTCATGAGGTGCAAGGTCACAATTTGCCTTTAGTTATCGGCATCTGCATTGAGTTTGGTGCAATCTTCTAGCCTTATCTCCTTTCCTAGAACTGATCATGCAGCTGATATAAGAGGCAAAAGAAAATGAATAGAGGAAACACCTATATTTCTTCATTTTTTCTTCTCTGTGTCTCTTCTTCTTTTTAAGCATTTTGCACTGACCAAGAGGTTGAAACACGTCTGAAATAATTTAGTAGGATTTACGTTCCAACCCTGTCATTTATGAGTTGTGAGACCTTAGGATATAGGTTAAAACCTGTACTTTATTAGAAAAAAATAATATAATAGTAATAAGTTTTTTGGAAAGTTGTCACAAGTGCTAAATTAGTAAATGCATATCAAGAGTCTTGGCATTAGGCAGTGATTTCAAATGTTCTTCATGAACATTTAGTACAAAATCAATATAATGGGTAGCAAACAACTTAATAACATGCAAATATAATGGAAAATATCAGAGTATATCATATACAGTAAGGGTATGTATTGGATGGTGAAATTTTTGTTTCAGTTTCTCATATAGACCTACACGCACATGTATATACCAGATAACTCTGAAAACATATTTCTTACTGTGGGTTGAGGTAAAAGAAGATTTAAGACACTTGTATAGGGCTAAGTAGTCAGTAAATATTAACATCTATCTTTTTCATTTTTATTTTACCTTTCATCAGCCTTGTATACTGTTATTTGGTCACAACAATTACACTTGACCACTACAATTTGTGAGGGAACAACCTAAATCTTTAAGAAATGTATGTCATCCTGTCTTCATGGGGGCTTGGTTTTAACCACCATAAAATCCCTTACATTTTCTTAAAATCTTCTACTTACACTATGACATGCAAATTAGTACTGTGATGGAAATGGTAGCAGCAGATCCATACCCCCACTCACTCACTTGTTCCTGCTCATTAAGTGGAAGGGAGGATAGAATGTTCCATGCCTTGTCTTTTCTAATAAAAATTATTTCATTTTTTTCTTTTAGCTAAGAGCAAATGTTTATATTTCAGTAGTTAAATGCATTCTATGCTGAGGTTATAGCTTACAAGAAAAAGTAGAGAACAATAAATTTCCCTTGAGATGTGGCCACTAGATGACCTCTCAGGCACTGTCACTAATCATTTCAGAAGATGTGTGGCATGAATGGAACCTCAGCAGTTACAATTTCCTACGGTCATGGATCATCAGATGCACTTGCAGATAATGAAAAACTCTGGAATTCCAAATTCCCATAAGAGCCAACCCGATGAATATATTTGTTCCAAATGTAATTTTCAGATCATCATACCAGGCTTTATGTAAGTCATTTGACCTCTCTAAACCTAAAGGTTCTCATCTGTCATATGGGGATATTACTTTTTGTGAGAATTGATTGAGTTAATATGTATAAAATATATAGCACATAATAAGCGTTCCATACATGTCAGCTATTGTCTCAGGTCAGGGGCCCAGGAAAACAGCTCCGAGACAAAGATTTGCATGCAGGGGGTGTTTTGGGGAGTGATCTGAAGAACATCGCCTACAAGTTAAATGAGGAAGGAGTAACTGGGCAAAGGAAGAAATCAAATGTGGCAGAGGAAGAAATCAAATGGTTGCAACAGAGGCCTCTGGGAGAGCTCTGGTAGTGAGATGCATCAAACAGGGATAATTTGGGGTAATTCCCTTGTCAAGGGAAAGCCCCAGAGAGAGACTCAGCTGTGATAAATCAGTAGCCAACTCTCTTAGGAGCTGTGAGAATGAACGTGTTTTAGTTCCAAAGGAGGGATCTGGGTAGCAGACTTCTGGCCTCAGTGCCCATGTCAGGCCATGGCTGTTGTCTTTGTCCTTTTATCATCAAAACTGGGCAGGGGAAGAAACACCAAGAAACACCACCATGGCCACCAGGGTGCTCACTGTATTCTTCTCTGCCTCCAACATGTGAAAGCTCCCTGACTTCCTCCTGGTGACTGTGTTCCAGCCCTGCCAAAATGGTCACTCCTTTTCTTGCCTGCTGTTCTCCTGGCATGAACAGCTTAAAGTGACTGGACAGAAACAAAGTTTAATATGACCCTCACTCTGTCCTCTGGTAGAAACATCACTGCTGAAACCAGGGTCTTTAGACCCTTAGAGCTTAAAGTTGTGAGAATGGAGAGCACAGATACCCTCTGGGAACCAGATCCTTCAGACACACAGAAGCTAATGTCACAGGGCAGGAAACACAGATTCCCCAAATGGGTCCTTGGGAGTGATGGTGAGTGAGGCCATTTCTATTTTCACTCCCTGGCTCTGAGACTGTGTATTCTACTATGGGGGACACAGCACCAGCACCTACAATAGTCATCAGTGTTTTATACATATGGTTTCCTAGAGGGTGGCCTCCCATCCTTAAAAGGCATCATCCCAAGTCAGTGACCCAGAGATATTTTCAAATGGCCATATCACTGCTTATCAGGCCAGCTGCTGCTAGTTGGTGTGGTATGTGCTAGGACCAGTGAATTTCATTTTTGTGCATACATAGCATTACCTGCTTCACTATAAAGTGCGTTTCTTTGTGTGTTCACAAAGATATTATGTGGGATTCCATGTTAATAGATCAAATACTTTGTAAGAATGTTTGTAATGAGGATGCTAGTCAAGTCCATGTAAACTGGCAGTAGTTATCAATCACCTCAAATGAGAGTTTGCCTAATAGTGAAACCAATATACAGGAAATAAAAATTGAGAATTGGAGGGAGAACTATTTCATGTAGTATTATTTGAGCACTTGGTTCTTTAGTGCCTGAAAATAATCTCCCCCAAAGTTTTAGCTAAATGTCTTAGTTCATGTTATGTTGCTGTAACGGAATAATACAGATGGGATAATTTATAAAGAACAGAAATGTATCTCTCACAGTTCTAGAGGCTGAAAGTCCAAGATCAGGGCGTTGGCATTGGGTGCCTGATGAGGGTCTTCTTGCTGTATCCTCGCATGGTAGAAGGCAGAAGGGCAAGCAAGCAAGCTAGTCTAAGGGTGTGTGAAGCCTCTGTTACTAGGGTCTTAATCCCACTAATAAGGAAGGAGCCCTCATGGCTTAATCATCTCTTAAAGTCCCTACCTCCTTGTAAGTGTCACACAGGCAACAACAGAATTTTGGAGGGGACACATTCAAACCATAGCAATGAGCCCACACATTCTTATTATCTGAGTTGGGCTTTTGCAATATATATCCAAAAGCATTCTGACAAAACCATGAACCACCAACTTCCCTTCCATGGCTTTTTTTTTTTTTTTTGAGATGGAGTCTCGCTGTGATGCCCAGGCTGGAGTGCAGTGGCACAATCTCGGCTCACTACAAGCTCTGCCTCCCAGGTTCATGCCATTCTCCTGCCTCAGCCTCCCGAGTAGCTGGGACTACAAGGTGCCTGCCACCACACTTGGCAATTTTTTTTTTGTATTTTTAGTAGAGACGGGGTTTCACTGTGTTATCCAGGATGGTCTTGATCTCCTGACCTCGTGATCCACCCGCCTCGGCCTCCCAAAGTGTTAGGATTACAGGCTTGAACCACTGCGGCCTGCCTGTTTATGCGTTCTTAATTTTGCAGGTAATACCACAAATAATGACTTATTCTGTCTTGAAAGTCATTTTATATCTTTAGGCTGACTTTGAATATCTCCAGTTTGATCTATGTTGTGATGATTTTATAGCTGAAATCTCAGAAACAGGTATTTCCACGTTCTTGTGGGTTTTATGATAGTTCCCCATGGGGATATGAAAATACCATGGTGTATAAGAGAGAGAATATAGGGGTGTGAAAGCCCAAGAACTGCTACCGTTTTTTGAGAACTTACAATGTGCCCAGCACTGTCGTAAGTGCTTTTGTAATTACCAAAGTTTAGTCTTATTACATTCCCATGAGAGTGATATTAGTTTTCTCATTTTGACACCAAAGAAACAGGATGAAAACTGTTGGTTGACTTGCTTTAGTTGACTTCATGAATAAGTAGAAGAATCACAAATTTAAAATATGTTGCACTGACTGTGTTGTTGGTAGGAGTCCAGAGATGTTTTTATTTTGTTTTGTTTTGTTTTTTTGAGACAAAGAGTCTCCCTCTGTTGCCCAGGCTGGAGTAGAGTGGTGCAATCTCAGCTCACCGCAACCTCCACCTCCTGTATTCAAGCAATTCTCGTGCCTCAGCCTCCCGAGTAGCTGGGATTACAGGTGCGTGCCACTATGCCCAGATAATTTTTATATTTTTAGTAGAGATGGGGTTTCACCATGTTGGCCAGGCTGATCTCGAACTCCTGACCTCAGCCTCCCAAACTGCTGAGATTACAGGCCTGAGTCACCATGCCCAGCCTAGGAGTCCAGAGATGTGAGAGATCAATGCAGGCTGCAGGAATCAGAAAAGCCTCCTGGTAAAGTGTGAGTGAAACCGCTCCTCTTGGTTTCATCATTTCAAAGCCTATAGTAAAACAACGAGTTGGTGTCCTGAAGGCATCCTTTGAATTGCCTGAACTATTATATACATGTATGAAAACTTATTTTTGATCTTTTTCTCAAATTTCTTGCTCCAAAATGACATTTAGAAAATGGAAATAAAAATATTTAGTCCAAAACTATTATTTTGTTAATATCTTAGTGTATTCAGGCTGCTATGACAAAATACCATAAACTGGGTGGCTTATAAACAACAGAAATTTACTTCTCACAGTTTTGGAGGCTGAGAAGTTCAAGATCAAGGTGGCAGCAGATTTAGTTCTGGTAAGAGTCTGCTTCCTGGTTCAGAGACAGCCCTATGTTTGCTGTGTCTTTACATAGACAAGGGGTGAATGAGCTGTCTGGGGTCTCTTTTATAATGGCACTAATCCCATTAATGAGCGTTCACTCTCATAGCCTAATCTCCTCCCAAAGGCCCCATCTCCTAATATCATCCCCTTGGGACTTTGAATTTCAATGTACAAATTTTGGGGAAACACAAACATCCAGATCATAGCAATATCCTAGTTTTGCAAATCAAGAAACTGTTAAGTGACTTGCCCCATGTGACACAGCCAGTGTGCGCAGAGGGAGGCCTTGAACCAAGTCTCAATGGCTGTCAGCACTGTTAGCCCCTGTACTGCTTTTCAATTTTACAGTAAAGAAAACTGTTGCCGGGCCCGATGGCTCATGCCTGTAATCTCAGCACTTTGGGAGGCCGAGGCGAGTGGATCACCTGAGGTCAGGAGTTCAAGACCAGCCTGGCCAACATGGCGAAACCCCATCTCTACCAAATACAAAAATTAGTCTGGCGTGGTGGCACAAGCCTGTACTCCCAGCTACTCCGGAGGCTGAGGTAGGAGAATTGCTTGAAGCCGGGAGGCGGAGGCTGCCAGTGAGCCGAGATCATGCCACTGCACTCCAGCCTGGGCGACAGAGCAAGACTAGGTCTAAAAAAACCAGAAAAACAGGCTGGGCGCGGTGGCTTACGCCTGTAATCCCAGCACTTTGGGAGGCTGAGATGGGCGGATCATAAGGAGATAGAGACCTTCCTGGCTAACACGGTGAAACCCCATCTCTACTAAAAATACAAAAAAATTAGCCGTGCCTGGTGGTGGGCGCCTGTAGTCCCAGCTACTCGGGAGGCTGAGGCAGGAGAATGGCGTGAACCCGGGAGGCGGAGCTTGCAGTGAGCCGAGATCGCACCACTGCACGCCAGCCTGGGCGACAAAGCGAGCCTCCGTCTCAAAAAACAAAAACAAATAAAAAAGAAAAAAAAAAAAAAGAAAAGTGAGGTCCAGAAAGATCAAGTGACTTGCTCAAGTCGTCCCAGTTGTTCAGTGAATAACTATAGCTCTTATACCAGTGCATTGAAATCATTTACCTAATATATGTTTCTCCTATTAAACAGTAAGAAAAGACCTTTCGTTTATGTTGCCATTATTTTAACTTTGTCAGTATCTGGAACAAAGGTTACTCAATAATAACGTGTTGAATCAATAAAAGGAAGTTGGATAACTATAGCTTTTATATCAGTGCATTAAAATCATTTATCTAATATGTTTCTCCTATTAAACAGTAAGAAAAGACCTTTTGTTTATGTTGCTATTATTTTAACTTTGCCAGTGTCTAGAACAAAGGTTACTCAATAATAATGTGTTGAATCAATAAAAGGAACTTGTAATCTATTAGAAGCCTTGAGTCCAATGCAAGAAATGTCAAAACTAAGATCACTACTTTTGAGCTAAATGTTTGGGCAAGTTGAAATTATAAATTTAACTGACTTCTTTTACATTTCAATAAAGTATATCTTCTGTAGCAAGAACTCCATACTCTCTAGGATTTTCTGTGAATGTCACCAATAACTTTATATTTAATTATAGAGTGATTTAATAACAAGAAAAGTCAGGGTTGCTACAGAGAGAGTTGCTACTTGGTTTAAATAAAAACCAAGTTGATTGCAAAATTACGGAAACTTTGATATATCTTGGAAGACATTTTTAGGAGTCAAAATAACTGGAAAATTTTGAATACTTATTTGTGAGTGTTTTCTAATGGGCTCACAATGGACCAGGGTCATTATTATAATGTGTCTGGATTTGTTTCTGAAATGTCAAGCCCTGAGAATCAAAGATGAGTGCTTCTTGGTGTTCTCAGGACATTGGTCATCTCTAATCTACCTCTCTCATGGGCTGCTGTAAATCAACTTTTCTAAAGGGGCTTCAGACAACAATACTTTATGATCATTATTCTACAAGTAGCAGAGGGCAGAAAGATGATCGTGAGTGAAGGTGACAACTTGGCTGTGGCCAGGGTGACCACAATTACAGGCCTGATGTCTGGTATTTTGGCTTACATGAATTTTGTCTTGGAGAAATTCTTAGTCTTCAAAGGGAACCTTATTAGGAAAATGGAAGTGAGTTTCCCAAGAAGTAAGTGTCCTGTCTAAATGACAGTGTCCATGGAGATACGGCAAACTCTGGATTTTTTGTATCCAAGGAAGTCTATTTAGGATGGATGTGAGAATGAGTCATCCCTGGTTAGCAATGATTCTTGTAGTCAGTTGGTGAACACCCTTCTTTGTTGAAGCTGTATCAGCAAGTGGGGTGGAAGGATCTGTCAAAAATAAAATCAGATCAAATTAGAAAATTTAACATTTTAAGTTCATTGTGCATACAAAACAACAGTTTATAAACCAGAAGACTTTGAACAGAAAATGGAAAGAAACTCACTTCACAGCAATTACAGCACAGCTTATAAAGCATAAAAGAGAAAATATTTTGACCTTTTTCATGATTGTCTGTTATGCATTAATATTCTTTTGAAGACAAGTAGAGTTTTTAAGCTGATTTATGTATGACTGGTTGGTTTAATTTTGCTGAATCATGCTAACAGGGTTGTAAAGCCTACATTTTTTGTTTCATTTGTAATTAGAGCTAGTGTTTCAGGGAAATCAGGATGACTTAAATTTTGACTATGTTGGTATAAGTGGCTGGCTTTGGGGTATATCTAAAGTGTGGCTTCTCTTTTTATTTTTGTTTAAAAGATTGCATTCAGTCTTTTACAGAGCACCTAGCAGGAGCAGGCCAGTGGCAGGTTTCCATTCTCAGAGGTCACATGGGTATGGATCAGGAACTGTGATTGACATCCACCATGTAGACTGAGGAAAAAACCCTGGTGGTGGTTGGAGGGAATACCATCCTTCAGTGAGAAACAGGAAAGAGTGTACCAAGGGGCTGTAATTAAAGTCAGGCTCCTTTCTCAAACCCCTGGTTAGAAATAAAAATCTCACTTAGAGCAAATAAACTTGACTCAGCCCCCAGACTCATTGGCTTTTGAATGACATTCATATCTTCCTCCTTTGCTTTTTATCTGTAGCACATTGTCGAGATTACAAAGCTTTCTACATGGTCTGAAGCAGCATATCTGCCCCGTGACTAGTTATTTGTTTCATAAAATCCACAGCTTCTTCAAATGGAATATTGAAAATAACTATCTTGTCTGGCATAAATTCTGAGATACCTTATCATTTGGCTTGCTGTTTGGGCAGCAATGTGCTGCCAGGGAACAAGATGAACTAACTACAGAGCTGTATGTCTAGAATTCCTCAAGGTGCATGATGTAGTGAAAGAAGCATAATTTTAGCTTTATGTAGACAAAGGTTCAAATTCTTGCTTGTCTGCTTGCTGAATGTGTGCCACACTGCTAGCCCTTACTATCCATATCCCAACACAGGCATTCACATTTTTCAATCTTATTATGACTTTAATATTTAATGTTATCTTATAGAATGGTTTCAAATTATAACTCCAATAAAATGTTATTTTAAGAAGGAATAATGTTTGACAAAAATTGTGTAAAAGCCAATCCAACCATTTTCTACCCACCCTCACTACTGTATCTCTCAGCTAACCAATGATAAACACTTGCTGTATATGCTTTCTTACCTACCTCCTTGCTCATGCAAAGATGCGTATACACACATACTCACACTCATACACACACACACACACACAGAGAAACATCTAGACACTCATAGGGGGTTTTTTGTGTGTACTGTTAGCTAAATAGAGTCATGCTTTGCAATATGATTTTTCTTCTTTCCTCTTAATGCAGCATGGCATCTGTACCAGTTAATATAGATCTAAGTTTATTTTTAAATTCTAATTCTGTCATGCATGCATATTCACACAGATACATGATGTCAAACGGATTATTTCATTCTTACTTTAAAAATATTTTCTTGCCTTACATTTCTGTAATAGTCATTATAATCATATTAACACACTCATACCTGCCCCAGACCCTTCCAGCCTCGTCTCTACCTCTGACCTTCTGAATACAGAGAGCCCCTTGGTTCAGGATCTTTGCCCTTGGGCTCACATGAGTTCTGCCACTAACAAGTCACGTCAGCCCCCTTTGTGTGGGTTTTGAGAGTCCAAGGTATTTTCTTCAAAGCACCTCCCTTCAAGTAGTCCCTGATAATTATAAACGATTTCATTTTTCATATTTAATTCCCCACATGCCAGTTTCTAATTGTATGTGCAAGGTTATTTTTAAAAATTTTTCTAAGCCCTTGATTGAAGGTATTTAAAGAACTTTCTAGGGACTGTGTAAACTCAGGGCAAAATCAACCGATGGAGCCTTTCATTCTAAGTTCCACGTTCGTATCTAGTCTAGGTCAAGAATGAGTGACAGCAACAACTTTAGCACCCCTTGGGAGAGGAACTAATTCCATTTCTGGACCTATTCAATTTGATCTCATCTTTTGAGACTTTTAGGAAGGAGTCTCAGAGAGATTTAAAGCTGCTTGGGAGCCACCATGGCCTTGTGGAATGAGACCATGTCTCAGAGTCAGAGCCATCTAGAGTTTTGTCCTGGCACTACCTCAGCCCCTGTAACCTGAGAGAGGATTCTTCACCTCTATTTGACTTAGTTTCCTCATCTATAAAATTGGGATAATAGTATGGGCCCTGAAGGAATTGTGAGGATTAAATGAGTCAGTGAGTACGTGGCACATGTCACAGACTGGGAGCTTGTCAGACACATGCACACACACGCACAGCACTCACAGTGTGCCAAGCACTGTTTAAAACACTTTTCAATTCTTAAAATCTTCACTATTCATAATAACTTGTGAAGAGGAAAATATTACTCTCCCCATTTTACATATGAAAAAAAATGAGGCTCAGAACAGTGATGTGACTTAATGTCATCAATAAGTGGTAGATCTGTTTCAAGTTCAGGCAGCCTGGTTCCAGAGTCCACGCTCTTAACTGTTACTATGCTGCCTTCAGTGGTAGCTGTTTTGTAATCTAGTTTTAAAATGTTGACTACAATAACTAAATTGCAAGATGTGTGTGTGTCCATTGCTTCTGAAGGAAGTTTTACTACAGTCACTTTCAAATAGGAAATAAAATGAACTTTATTTATTAAGCCTTTAATGACAATAAAATAGAGTCACAGCATTTAAAACAGGTTACTTAAGGATGATTTAAGAAGTCTAAATTTCTCCAAACTATTCCATAACTGCAGTATATCTTTCCTTGAAATTGAGTGTTTGGATATACTGATTCGTAAATCGAAGAAACTCTTTTTTACTTGGTACCCAGCACTTACACTGACACTTTAAAGAAACACAGCATCTCATTATAGAGTTTCTCTAGGATTTACTCAGAGAAATATGCCAAAAAACAAGACATCACACCAATAAGCAATCATTAAGTTTCCACAGTAAATTCATCATGCTAATCTAAATCAGTGATTCTAATAAGTGTGGGAAATCCTATATCCAGGTGGAACAGTTAATTTATTTTTAAATGCAAGGACTTTGCTGAGTCTTTGATATATTAATGTGCTGTGAGTCTCTTAGAGAGCGATATCGTATGCCATGGGTCCTTAATTTGTTGGCTGTGGTACCTGTGGTGGCCTCCTAATGTGTAAGCTTGGCTAGGTTGAGCTACATTTCCCATAATTCCCTTCTGTGAATGTTTTCAGTTAGCGTAGCCAAGAGAGACATTCTTGTGGAAGACTTGGGAGGTGGAAATGAAGCGGTAGCCATTCTGTAACTCTCCCACGATGTTGCTTACCTGCTGGCTCACCTTGTTGATGTGGGCCAGCAGCTGAGTCTGCAACCGCTCCACCTTTCCCTGGTCCCGCCTTTAGCTTCTCCAGCTCTTGGGCCAGGTGTGCATTCAGCTCTATGAGGAAGAGCATCAGGTCAACAATGTCAGAGGCAGTAAGAACTAACTTGGGTTCCAGCTGTGCTCATGAATTTAACTGATCTTTGTTCTCCTCCATGTTATTTCCTTTCTGATTGCCTGTCCTGTGAACTTCAAGCCCCAGAGCAGACATAACAACAACAACTTTAGAGAGATAAAAATAGTGCTTAAAAGTTCCCACAATTATGTAAGATAAAATCCTTTGGAATATATAACATATGGTATATAATATACAACATATATTATATATAACCTATTCTCTTTCATGTCTGCATAATTAGACAGGACCTTGGGCTTTATGTTCGGATATAGAGAAACGGATGTGGTAACGTGAAGTCAGCTAAACAGTATTTATTTGCCAAGTTTCATTAAGGCCTTTTCCTCTGCTGAAGCACTGTACTTTTATTGGCAAAATATAATACAATTACCAGAGACAAGTGTAACCAATAAATCTCAGCACTATTTGCTGAAAAGAGTATGTTAATTGCCTTTGCAGTTTTGTCAAAGTTGAGTTGGCTATATATGTATGAGTCTATTTCTGGGTTCTTTATTCTGTGCCATTGGCCTGCATGCCTCTACTTTCACTAATGCCTTGATTACTGTATCTTTATATTATGTCTTGAAATTGTATAGCATAATTCTTTCAAATTTGTTTTTGTTTTTCAAAGTTGTTTTATATATTCTAAGTCTCATGCATTTTTGTATAAATTTAGAATCAGCCTGTCAATTAAAATAAGGGTGCCTATTGAAATTTTGATTGTAATTGTGTTGAATCAATAGATCATTTTAGGAAGAATTGACATCTTAATACTGTGCTGGCTGATCTATGAACATGATATAGTTCTCAATATAGTTAGGAATTCTTTAATTTCTCTCAGCTATATGTATAATTTCAGTGTGTAGGTCTTACGTCTCTTTTGTCAGGTTTATCTGTAAGCGTTTCATTATTTTTAATGCTATTTTAAATGGTATATTTTGTTGATTTTGATTTCTGATTTTTCATTACTGATATTAAAAATAAAGTTTGTACATATTGATCTGATAATTTACAGCCTTATTAAAAATTACTTCTTAGTTTTAATAGCTTTTTATAGATCTTATTGTGTTTTCTACATAGACAATTACATCATGCACAAATAAACCTTTACTTTGTCTTTTCCAATCTGGTTGGCATTTATATTTTACTTTTCTTACCTTATGGTAATGGATAGAGCCTTCAGTATAGTGTTGAATGGAAGTCATGAAAGTGAATATTTGGTTTTGCTCCTGATCGTAGGACAGTATTCAGTTTTTCACCATTAAGTATGGTATCAGCTGTAGGTTTTATTATAAGTGCCCTTTATCAGGTTGATATAGTACTCTACTATTTCTAGTTTTCTGAGAGCTTTTATCAGGAGCAGATGGTGGATTTTGTGAAATGCTTTTTCTCCATCTATTAAGGCAATCATAAAGGGTGGTTGTTTTGTCTCTGTGAGTTACATTGATTGGGCTTTGAATGTTAAATGAATTTAGTATTACTGGGACAAACCTCATGTGGTCATGATGTATTATCCTCTTTATATATTACTGGATTCAGTTTGCTAAACTTTGTTAACATTTTTTTTTCATCCACGTTTGTAGGGACGTTGGTCTGTGGTTTTCTTGTAATGTCTTTATCTACTTTGGTATCAGAATAATGGGGACCTCAGAATGAGTTGGGAAATATTCTTTCCTCTTGAAATTTTTGGAAACATCTGTGTATAATTTATATTATTTCTTACCTAAATGTTTGGTAGATGCCCAGTGAGGGCATCTGGGCCTGGAGTTTTCTTTGTAACAAGTATTTTAAATGCAAATTGAATATCTTTAATAGATATATGACTAATCAGGCTATGCAATTATTTTTTATTACACTTTTGTCATTTTTGTCTTTCACGAAATATGTCCATTTCATCTATATTGTACAATTTATTGGCTTAAAGTTCCCCATAATATTCTATTACTGTCTTTTTAATATACATAGAATCTGTATTGATGTTACTTCTTTCATTCATGAAATTGGTAATTTCTGTATTATTTCTTTTTATCTTTGCCAGTCTGGTTAGTGTTTTATTACTTTTAATGATTATAATGACGGTAGAACTATTTTTTTATTCATTTCTCTATTTTTAAAATTTCACTGATTTATGATCTAATCTTTATTTTCTGTCTTCTGCTTACTTTAGGTTTAATTTGCTCATTTTTCTAGTTTCTAAGCTGAGGTCACTGATTTGAGAGATTTCTTTTTTCCCCCTAATTCAAGTGTCCAGTGCCCTGAATACTGCATTAGCAGCATCCCCAAATTTGGATATTTGACATTTATATTTTTATTCAGTTCAAAATACTTTCTAATTTTCCTCATAATTGCCTCTTTGAGTCACTATGCTATTTAGAAGTGTAATATTTAGTTTCCAAATATTGGGGGGAGATTTTCCAGATATCTTTTTGTTATTGATCTCTAATTTAATTCCATTGTGATAAAAGAACATACCTTGTGTGAATTGAATCATTTGAAACTTACCAAGACTTAATTGATGGTCTAAATTATGATCTAAATTGGTAAATGTTCTGTGTGCACTTGGAAGTGTATCCTGCTATTGTTAAATGGAGTGCATTATAAATGGCATTAAGGACTAGTTGGTGGATCTTTAGTCATTTTTCTAATTGTTCTACTTTTCAGTGAAGATATTGAAAAATCTGATTGTAATGGTATAAATGGTATTTTTGCCTCATATATTTGGAAGTTTGTTTATTTTGTGCCTAGATGTTTAGGATTGTTATGTCACCTGGGTTGACCCCTTTATCGTTATGAAATGACTTTCTTTACACCTGGTCACATTCTTTATCCTAAAATCTATTCTTTCAGGTATTAATAGAGCCTGCCTAGCTTTCTTTTGACTAGTGTTAATGTATTATATACTTCCCACTTTTTAACTTTTAACCTATTGTTGTCTTTATGTACAAGGTGGAGTCTTGTAGACAACATCCAATTGGGCCTTGCTTTATGTCTAATCTGACTGGCTCTGCCTCTCAATGAATATGTTTAGATCAGAGGTCAGCAAACAACAGCTTAACAGCTTACCACATATTTTTGTAAATAAAATTTGATTGAAACACAGTCATGGTCATCATGCTCATTTTTTAATGTAATGTTTACAGCTGGTTTCACTCTCCAATGGCTCAGTTGAGTGGTTATGACAGATACCATATGGCCTCAAAGCCTAAAATATTGACTGTCTGGTCCTATAAAGAAAAAGTTTGTCAATCCATGGTTAACATCATCTACATTTGATGTAATTATTGATAAAGTCATGTTAACACCTACTAATTTGCTATTTGTTTTCTATTTGTCTCATCTGTTTTTCCCTTTTCCTTTTGTTCCTGATTACTTTTGAATAAATTGACTAGATTTGTGATTCCATTTTGTCTGCTTTGGTTTTCTAGCTATAACAATTTTTTGTGTTATTTTCATGCTTCTGTTTAGCGTTTATAGTATTCATCTTAATGTATCATACTCTCTCTTCAAATATGTCACTTCACATATTGTATAAGAACCTTACAAGAAAATATTTCCCTTTATCTTCTCAACTCCAGGCCTTGTGCTATTGTTAGCATGTATTTTACTTGCATATATTTTATATACCTTAAAATATTGTGCTATGGTCTTTGCATTAAACACATAGTTGTCTTGTAAATAGATTTAAATAAGAAATTTTTTATAGTTTCCAACAGAATTTAATAGTTACCATTTCTTGTGCTCTTCGTTTATTTGTGTAGATTTATATTTTCATTTGGTATCATTTTCCTTCTGCCTTAGAGATTTTCTTTTTATTTATTTATTTATTTTTATTTTTATTTTTTTTATTATACTTTAAGTTCTAGGGTACATGTGCAGAAGGGTGGGTTTCATTTTAAAAGTGGTGTAGCATTGTTGGAATAACCACACTTAATATAATTAATAACTTACCTCGAAAATTTTAGGATAATACAATTTTTTCACAATTATAAATAACACTGAAAAAATTTTTTTTCTATAAAATCTTTGACTGTATTTTTCCCAATAAGGTAGATTCTTAAATGTGTAATTCTAACTATAGATAAAGACATCTTTTAAAGCTTTTGATAGTTTGTGCTAAATTGTCTCTCTGAGCTTGGCTTGGCTGATCTTGGCTAGGCTTGCTCACATTTCTGGAGGTGAATTAGCTGTGGGCTTAGGTAGAATGGCCTTGGCTTGGGTGACTGGGACACCAGCTCTGGTTGACGTGTCTGTCATCCTCTAGCAGGTTAGCTGGGTTTGTTCTCCCTGGTAAAGGCTGAGGTAAAAGGGAGCAAGCAGCAACGTGCAAATATTTTATTTACTTCTGTTTCCATCACATCTGCTGACACTTCATTATGCAAACTGTCACATGACTTGGCGTGAATTCACATAGACACTAAAAGGTTAGATGGCAAAAGCTCGGTTACAGTGAGGCTTAAAAAATCAGGGCTATTTATTCAGTCAATCTATCTTATTCTGTGAGGCATATTAAGTGCTCAGTGAAAGATACCATTTTACCTTTTTCTTTTTAGAGTATATTACTCTTAGAATGCATTAATATCCAGTGATATATTTTAGTCCCAGTAGCTTAGTTCCATAAACACTCACATTTATGAAGGAATTTATTTTCTTTCTCCAAGGAATTACTCAATGCATGACTGTTGTATTAAGTAACACTGTATTCATGCTACTGTACAGGGCACGTGAGACAAAAGACTACAAACACATGGTTGTGAAACTATTAGAATAATTCTAAATTAATTCCATTTCTTTGACTTTTTTTTTTTTTTTTTTTTTTTTTTGAGACAGAGTCTAACTCTGTCACGAGGCTGGAGTGCAGTGGCACGATCTCGGCTCACTGCAATCTCCGCCTCCCGGGTTCAAGCAATTCTCCTGCCTCAGCCTCCTGAGTAGCTGGGACTACAGGCACGTGCCACCACACTTGGCTAATTTTTGTATTTTTAGCAGAGACAGGGTTTCACCATGTTGGCCAGGATGGTCTCGATCTCCTGACCTCATGATCTGCCCACCTTGGCCTCCCGAAGTGCTGGGATTACAGGCGTGAGCCACCGCACCTGGTCAAGTATTATTTTAATACCAATCTATGAAATGCCTTTTCCCTTGCTTATCTAACTTTTATTTTCTTAACTGCCCAGCTCACATTCCAACTTATACCTGAAACATTCTTGAATCTATAATAATCTTGCTTTTGCTAATATAGTATCTCTAGAAGGAACCGGGGGTAGAACCCCAGGTTTTACCATACTAGATTCTATAAAAACTAGTTCATGTGAGTAATTAACAAAAATTTTGAGAAAAGTTCTCTGGTCACAAAAAGAAGCTGATAAAATTCTTGGTTAAAAAAGTTGAATTTTTATTTTTAATGCCCCATACAACAGTTTAAATTGCGTATCTACAAAGGGGAGGGGAACAATTATTTGAAGCATTTCCCCAATTTATTAATCTAAGTAAAAAGTTTCTTTTTTTAACTATTTCATAAGCTAGCATTTTAAGAATTTCACTTTGGGATGCATTAATACATAGTATGCAATATGGCAATTTAATATGTGCTTCCTGGTCATTTCAAATGTACTTTATTTTCATTTGCTTATGCCTAGTTTCTTCAATAATAATATCATGATGTACACCGGGGTTGGAGATTACAAAAAGGATTTTCATAAATTATTTAATTTGATCTTTACAACAATATCTGAGCAGCCTGAGCTGGTGATATTTAAGAAGTGACCCGAAGGCCTCACTCAACTTTTTAACTGATATTGACTGAATAATGATGTGATTCTTATCAGTATGGTAGGCTCTGGGGATACACTGGTGTCCAAGAGAACAGTTCATGGCAGGGAATCATTCAGGCAGGGACATATGTAAAAATAATGCAAAGAATGAAGTCTTTAGGAGATAGATGGTGGTGATGGTTGCATTGCAGTTCATAATGCTTCAGAACTGTACATTTAAAGATGGTTAAAATAGTGAATTTTATATTATATATATTATACCACAATAAAAAATAATTAAACAAACAGAAAGCAGATGAAGAATATGGTAAAATGATAATAAGTATTAAGACTAGGTGGTAAATGTTTGGAGCTCTATATAATATTCTCTACTTAAATATTTTTGACTTTTTATAATAAAGTTAAAATCAATGTAAGAAGAAACACTCTTCAATCTAACAGCAATGGACAGCTATCGGATGATTTTAAAGAGAGCTACGTGATAAGATTTTATCTTTTAATGGCAAAAACCACAATTACTTTTGCACCAACCTAATACAATCACTGCTGGATGCTTCATGGAGAAATAAATGATTGGGAATGAAAAGGAGATTTGAGATATCTAGGTAGAAGAATGTTTTTTTGTTCTAGGGTGATATCAGTAGTCATGGGGAAAAGTGGATATATTGAAACATATTTAGGATGAAGAATCATTAGACTTGGTGATTGGATACGTGACATTTCTGACATAAGCTATGGAGTAGGTGGTGGAGGAGGTAAGAAGATGAGAAATCCCATAAGTGTCGTGTCAGGGAAACTAAAAGAAAAGATGGCCAATGTTGAATGCTGCAAAGAGCTTCAAGTAAAATGATTTCTGACATGAGAAATATAGAAATTATTTGTAACCTTAGCAAGAGGATTTTTGGTTTAGTGAGTGGAAACTAGCAAGTAGTAGGTTGAATAGTGAATAGAAAGGGAAGAAATTTATTCAAGAGGTATGTATGATTCTGACCGGTGGGGTTGTGAAAGACATTGAGCGAGTTGTGGAATGGAGCTTTTGTTTTGTTTTATTTTAGGATTGGACAAATTTGGACATCTTTGAATGCTTATAGGAAAGATCCAGTAGATAAGAAGTGGTTGAGCCATAGTGGGAAGGAATGGGCTCTAAGCCAGGGGTCGGCATACTTTTTCCTTAAAGCGTCAGATAAGTAAATATCTTAAACTCAGCTGTCATTTCAGTGTCTGTCCCCATGACTCAACTCTGACATAGAGCAGCCATAGACAGTATGTGAAGGAACCAGTATAACTATGTTCCAGTAAAACTTTATTTGTAGATAATGAACTTTGAATTTCATATCATTTTTACGTGTCAAAAAATATTCTTCTTTTGAATTTTCTTCAAGTATTTAGAGATATCAAAATCATTCTTAGCTCTTGGGTCATGCAAAAACAGGTGGGATTTGGTCCCTGGATCATAGTTTGCCAACTCCTGCTCTAGAGCACAAGTGAAGAGGTGGACTTTTCCCCAAGGGAAGCATAATATAAAAGATGGGAAGAAGGAAAGTTAGGTGAAGATGGATTTGTTGGTATGGGGTTGGACAGTTAAGGGAATTTCTACCTGGTGACTTCTATTTTTCCTGTGAAAATATAATTAGAATACAGGTAATAGTAACTTTTCTTGATTGCAAGTATTATTTTGGAAGATTTACATATACTGACTCATTTACTATTTATACTAACCTTATGAGAGAGGAGCTACTATTGTCTCTATTTTACCAATAAGACACAGAGGCACAGAGCTGTTAAATGTATGCCTTCACATTATCTTACTTGAAACTATAAGGCTACAGTAACCAAAATAACATGGTACTGGTACAAACACACACACATAGACCAGTGGAACAGAGTAGAGGACCTAGAAATAAAGCTGCACACCTATTGCCATCTAATCTCCAACAAATCCAACAAAAATAAGTAATGGGAAAAGGACTCCCTATTCAGTAAATAGTGCTGGGATAGCTGGCTAGTGGTATGCAGAAGAATGGTATACCTTTCACCATATACCAAAATTAACTCAAGATGGATTAAAGATTTAAATGTAAGGCCTTAAATTATAAGAATCCTAGAAGAAAACCTAGGAAACACCATTCTGCACCTGGGCCTTGGGAAATAATGTATGACCAAGTCCTCAAAAGCAATTGCAACAAAACCAAAAACTGACAAATGAGAGCTAATTAAGCCAAAGCGCTTCAACACAGCAAAAAGAAGCTATCAACAGAGTAAACAGACAACCTAAAGAATGAGAGAAAGTATTTGCAAACTATGCATTCAAAGAAGTTCTAATATCCAGAATCTATAATAAATGTAATTCAACAAGCAAAAAAAAAAGGCAGACAAAAGCATGGACACTCTTCAAAAGAAGACATATGAACAACAAATATATGAAAAATGCTCAACATCACTAATCATCAGAGAAATGCAAATCCAAATCACAATGAGATGCTGTCTCACACCAGTCAAAATGTATATTACTAAAAAGTCAAAAAATAATAGATGCTGGTGAGTAAGACCGTGGAGAACAGGGAATGCTTATACATTGTTGGTGGGGATGTAAATTAGTACAGCCACTGTGGAAAGCAGTTTGGAGATTTCTCAAAGAACTTGAAACTATCATTTGACCCAGAAATTCCATTACTGGGTATATATGTCCAAAAGAAAATAAATCCTTCTACCAAAAAGACACATGCACTTGTGTGTATCACAGCACTATTCACAATAGCAAAGACATGGAATCAACCTAGGTGCCCATTAACAGTGGATTGGATTAAAAAATTGTTGGTTCACATACACCATGGAATACTATGCAGTCATATAAAAGAACAAAATCATTTCCTTTGCAGCAACATGGATGCAACTGGAGGCCATTCTCCTAAGCAAATTAGTGCAGGGACAGAAAACCAAATACTACATGTTCTTGCTTATAAGTGGGAGCTAAACACTGAATACCCATGGACACAGAGATGGCAACAATAGACACTGGGAACTACTACAAGGGAGGCAGGGAGCAGGCACAAGTGTTGAAAACTAATTATTGAGTACTATGTTCACTACCTGGATGACGGGATTAATCACATCCCAAGCCTCAGCGTCATGCTATATACCCATATAACAAACATGCACATGTACTTCCTGAATCTAAAATAAAAGTTGAAATTATATATATATAAACTATGCCTGAAGTTACATTTATAAAAGTTGCCAGAGCCTTAATAAAACCCAAATAATTTGCTTCTGGAGCTCACGGTCTTACCTACAAGCATATTTCACTAAGGCCATCCACTGATAGGGAAGGGGACATGGGTGGGGTGGTTCTCCTAAGGAGTATGAAGGAAGGGCAGAATGATTGGAACAATGTATTACGATCATAAGGGATGTCTAGAGCTCAGCTGAGACCTGTAATGAGAAATTGAAAGTGCTATCAGTCAACCTGGTGATGTGATTTGCTCTTGAGGGTCTCAGCTACTGGAGTGCAGGCACTGAGAAGACAGACTGTTGGGTTTATCTAAGGTTAGGATTTATCAGGTATAACAGGAGGACAAAGTGAAAATGGAGAGTGAGGATGGCTGTAATATTCTATAGAGAAAAAGGCTTTGGGAAATATATTCTGCATATTAAAAAGCTCTGCTATGGCAGTATTTTTCTTACCGGTCTCCTCTGGCAAAGAATTTTGGTGAATAGAGCAGAGCCTTGCAATTTAGCTAAGTTCAATACTCTAAGAATTCGTGTATGTTAAACTGTTAGATGCTAGGCATATTTTGAACTAGGACTTTGCTGTTTATCTATTCTTAATGCCATTAGTTCCAGAGATTTTGTCCAAAAGCAATGCATCAGATTCTTCAGTGCTTTCACTCGGGCCTACATATTTACTCCGCCTCAGTTGCAAGGTTATACTAATGATGACTTTCAGGTTTCTTTTATATCATTTATATCACTTCATAATAAAAAATGTGTATGTTGTAGTATATGAACAGACCCTAAATTTATATCTCAAATTTTATTTTGCAGTCTAAAAAGTTAAAATTTACACCTGAGGACAATCAAAAGCAAAGAGTCAAATATAAAATTATGTACATATCATAATGACCCATCTCAGCAAACTTTTAATAATTAAGACTTGGGTAATTGGATACCTCTAAATAATCTTCGTGGTCAGTTGAAAATTAGCTGACCATCAATGTGCTTTTTAAAACTTGCTTTTATGATGACTCTGATGGACTGAAATTGTGAACTGGATTCTGAATCACAAAATTTTGACTAGATTAGGCAATAATGAGATAAATTATTAGAAGTGATTTTATTGTGAACTAATTAATGCAATGTACAAAACTTGAATCCAAAGGTAATAGAATTAGTTGTTTAAAATCAGAATATTGGGCCCCATTCCAAGTTTACTGAAACAGCATATGCAATTTAAGAAGATCTCCAGTGATTTGTATGGACATTACAATTTAAGAAGTACTTGTCTCTGTCATCATTTTAGTAATTAAGCATTGTAATGAGTTAAAATTTTATCTCATGTAAAGCATGCATTTGTTTTTATGTTTTTGGTCTAGTGATGAGCTGACCACATGTGAGCCCAGATTTTTTTTTAGGTAAAAAGTTAGTTTGAGAGGAAAATGGGAGAAAGGCTTAGGGTCTCATTTTATTTTGGACTTCAGTGACTGCTGGTTGGCAAAAGCATTCATTCACAATTCTAATTCACAATTCGAATACCCATTTTCTCTTGTCCTCCCTATAATTCAATTAAGAAACCCTGATTTGCAAAGGCAATAGTTTCTAGACTCTCAACAGCCCGATATTTGTTGCATAGAAAAAAGAACCCAAAACATACCTACAAAGTTGCCAGGATTCTGGTGGTTCAGGAAATTTTGAAAATCGTCACATGGGGATCTAACTATTGAAATGGCTGATAGTTTTTGTTTTTTTTTTCCAGGACAGGGCAAAACATTGACTCACAGAAATTAATGTGATTAACCTTCAGCCAAGGCATGTTCAAAGCAAAGAGGTGAAGCTGACTCAATTAGTTTTTGGTTCTGGAGCAATGAAGAGTCATGGCATTTGCCCTGTCCAGGCCCTTTGAAATGTGGATCAGCTCAATTGCATAATTGCTGCTTCTGACATTTTTCTTCTGCATGTTTCTTTCTCAAAAGCATAAAATGCCAAGATGAGTGACAGGAAGATAGTGGCTATTCAATGTATGGCAAAGAGAACCAAGCTAAGGTTTTCTTCTTGTAAAATATTTCCATTGAGAGCACTTTTATTTCTTCATCTCTGTGCTTTCTTATTGGAAAAAATGTAATAAATGAGAGGTCAGAGCACCGGAACCGATAACGGAAGGACTCCAAATAGACAGGCAAAGACAGTTTCTATCTCTTCTTACTTGATTTTCCTCTCATCTTTAGGATTTAGGTTGATGCTTTTAGGTAGACAATGCCCTATGAAACAAGACGAAGAATGCTTTATTGCTCAATTACTCTAGGTATTAAAGCCAATTGTCATGATTTTAAATTGATATTAGATATTCAAGAGAATGAATTAAATCTAGGAGTATTTAAACAGTGAGTATAAAAATAAATAGAATGTTCAGCTCACTGACCTGGCAAAGAAATAGTCCACTCTAAAAATAGTATTAAATCATCACTTGTGGACTGTTGCATTCATTATCTCATTTAATCCTCTGGATGACCGCTATAAATGTAAAACTATTATGATTCCCTTCATTCAGACCAGGAAACTGAGACATAGAGACATTAGGCAACTTGCTCAAGGTCACATGGCTTGTCAGTGGCATGGCTGGGATCCACTCCCAATACTCCATCTCTCTCCCCCACAGCTAAGCCACAGGTTACCACAGAATGTGAAGATCTTAATCCATGATTTTTCTATTCTCTTTACTTACACGTGTCACATACTCTCATAAAGCTCTTGATTGCATTATGAAAAGTTTCAAAGTCATGTTCCTCCTAACTACCAAATAAATTTGTGAATGTATTCATAATTACAAGTAGGATTCATTATTTCTCATTCTTAGGCCCATAGGAAAGGTATTGATTTAGAACACAATATTATGCCCTAAGTTAATAAAGTGAATAAAAGCAAAAATTGGCTGTGAAGAGAGTCCTAAAAAGACTTCTAATGTCCTTTAATACTCAAATACTATTAAACCTAGAAAAGCAAACACACAAGCATTCTCTTTAGCGATGCTCTCACTTCTAATTCCTTAGGGTCTTCACACTTTAGTCTTTATCAACTGTCTTTACACAAAGTAATAAATTAACAAATCAGTAAGGTGTTTATGTGGGCTATGACAGTCATATTATTTGCCATATTCTCCTTCTTCCTTCCTGGAAATCTTGCCCCCCAAATTATTTTCTTTATATTCTTTATCTTCAACCTTCTTCTGTTTACATTTAGTCATGCATTAACATTTAAACATGCCAAATGTCTCCTATCTTGGACAACAATGATAATAATGATAAACCACCCATATATTGCTCCAGTTATAGCTCTACTCTCTTATCCTTTGCAGCCAGCACTTTCACAAAGGTTGGTGAAAAGTTACAATTTCTTCTCTTCATTCTCCAACCCACTCCTACTCTTCCCTCTGCTATACCAAATCAGTATTTTCCAAGATCGCCAATGACTTTCTCATCTCTAAATTTACTTGGAAAAAAAATAATTCTCAATCTACTTGAACTCAGAGCAGCATTTAATATGATTGATCACTCACTCCTCTTGAAACCCTTCCCTCCCTTTGTTTCATGAGATACACACACACACTCCTTGTTTTCCCCCATATCTGACTGCACAGTTGTAGTTCCTAGCTCTTCTGCCTGCTGCTTCTCTTTCGGTATTGTGTAGGGATCCATCCTTTTTTCTTTCACTTTACATCTTCTCCTGAGGCAGTCTTATTTACTTTCTTGGCTTCAATTACAGTCTACTCCCCAACACTCTCAATAACATAGCAAGACCATTTATTGAATAATTACAATGTGCCAGGCACCACACTAAACTCTTCATAGGAAGTATCTAATTTATGCCTCATAACAACTCTTACGTACTTAACTCCACCCTGTGCTTTCTGCTAAATCCTTGGATTGCTTATGTAAATGTATGTTAGAAAATTCTCTTGACTCTCTTAAAAGTACCTCAAAGGCACAATATTCAAAATGGCACTCTTCATCTTCTTTATTCTACTCTACTTCTTCCAGCCTTGTTCTTCCAACATTGTTCTCTAAATCAGTTCATGGTACCACCAATCAACAATTGCTCAAGCTAGAAATCCAAGAGTCAAATTTTTTTTGCTCTTTATGCCTGACCACTCTGTCTAATCACTAAATATCACAAATGTTATTTCCAAACTATCTTTCTAGTATGCTGCTTCTCTTCATTTTTACTACCTTCAATCTACTCCATGGTTTCTCAACCTTAGCACCATTGGCATTTTGGATCAGAGAATTCTTTGTTGTGGTAGGCTGTCATATGCATCATAGAATGTTTAGCACCATCACTGCCCTCTATCCACTAGATGCCAATAGCAACCTTCCCGCCCTCCCCCTAGAATTACGACAATCAGAAATGTCTGCAAACGTTACCAGATATCCACTGGGAAGCAATACTGCTCCCAGGTGAGAACCACTGCTTTAGTCCCAGCCAATATCATCTCTCTCACTCATTAATGCAACAGACGTGGTTTCTTGTAAATGATGCAAAATGCAAACCTAATTATGTCACCACCTTTTTAAAAAAAAAAAAAACCTTATTTAACTTATCCTTGCCTTTATAATAAAATCAAAAATCCTTAAAAACATTTCCAAGTTTTGACCCTTACTTCATTTTTTTTGACCCCTCTTCATTTTTTTTTTTTTTTGGCGGGGGGGTCATATTAGATTTCCTTATATTGGCATTTCCTCAAAATGCCAATTTTTTAATCCTCAGTTTCACACAGCTCTTACTGTTGCTTGGAATGTTTTCACCCACCCCTCCCTCTTTAGCTAGTCAATTGCCCGTCATCCTTCAGGTATCAGCTGACACGGCGCTGTCTCAAAGAGATCCCCACTAACCAGCAACCATCTCTCCCTCTGACTGGGATAATGATCTATGCTACCCAAACTACATGCTTTCATAGCACATTGTATTTTCCTTTTCATATTTTTTGGTGTAATTACCTAGTCAATGATTCTCTTTCATGTCAATCTAAAATCTATGATGATGGTTAGTTACCATGTCTATTTCATTACTCTGTTATGTACTTAGTACCTGCTACAATGCTGAACACATAGTACAGACTCAATTCATATGTGTTGGATGAATTCTTGGAAGAATCAATTGGAAGGAAGCAGTGGTATCTTGTAGACTACCAGGACAGGAAACAGCGAAGTCTCATTAGCTGCTAGAAGTGGGAACTAGAAAGTCAGCGACCAAGCTTACATTCTCTATTTGCTGGGGGCAAAACGGCCTCCTGTCTTTGTCTTTCTGACTCATTTGCTTTATTTGCTTCTCTCTGCACTTCACTGTCTTGTCTTACCTGTGCCAACTCACCCCTGACTCCACATGACCTTCAGATTGGCTTGTCTAATGCCAAGTAACACCGCTACTAAGTCATAAATTTTCTAAGTGAGAAAGGAAAGTTAGTGGACAATTCAGCAACCCCTTATCCTGAAATTAATGAGGAAGAAGATAGTGAAAGGGATGTCTTTGTTTCTATGATTATTCTTTTGGTTTTCCAGAAGACAGTAGAAGGAATTGTGACACTCAAATGAAATGTAGGATCATTTCTATTTTTAAGCTCCCTTTAGTGATCACTCATATCAGAAGCATGCCTGGTAGGAATGTGCGTGGAATAGCCTTGCATATCACAGCAATGAGATGGAAACAATTCAGATAAAAAGTAGACCTACATCTTGGAGGCTTTTCCTTTCCAGAGCACCTCCTTTGCTTCTTAGGCCTTCTTTTGGAAGAGCATCAGTGCTTGGCTCCAAGAAAACTAAGCCAAAATCTGTCACGGTCTCTGAATGCTGACAGGGCCACTAAGGAACATGGAAGCCAGTCAACATGGATCAACCTATTTTCTTGGTAAGTGGATATCAAAGAAAATAACTTGGTTTGTTTGATGATCCCACATCAATAAGGTTTTATTTATTTTTTAAATGGAATTAGAAACGGTTTCTGAAAATGTTTTTATTTTACTGCAAAAGATTGGTAAGAGATGCAGGAAACTGTTGTCATTGAAGAGCATGTGTGGTGGAGATACGTATATGCTGAGACACAGAGAGGGAAAAATGGGTCAGTTGTGTAGGGGGCACCTGGGCTTTGAAAGCACACTTAGCCAATTGTCCCTAAATCCCCAAAGTGAGACACATCTTACATTTCGGAACAACTGAAATCAGACTTCTTTTTCATGAACATAGATAAACACTCAAAAATGTGAGATATCAGGTGCCAGAGGCTGTCACTTGGAGCAATGCTGATTTATATTGGAAAGCTAAGCCAAGGGAAACCCATAATTTTTTAAGGAAAAGATTTTGCAATCGTCTTTAAATTTTCAGATGCTAATTCTTATCTTATTTCTATAACTACCCGCTCTAGAGCATGTTTAATGAAAATAAGAGATGATGGCTGTCATATCTTCAGTGAGCTAAATTTTATCTGCACTGAAAATCATTGTGAAATAATCTCTAATTATAAAGCTGGGAAACAGAACATTTCAGCACATGTGCATTGAAGGAGTGAGGCCCCAGTTCTTACCACTAGAGCTGTCTTGAAAATTACTCACGTCTGCTAAAAGGGGGAAAGACTGAGCTTCTTCATTAGTGTTTTTTTAAAAAAATCTAAATATTTAGCAACCATTCTGAAGTTTGGCCTAAAGACCTATTTTTCTAAGTTAGTGATTAAAGACATCTTATGATGCATGAAAATGTCTCTGATTTTGTAATATTGAGTTTAGAAATTATGTAACATACCATAAATAATTCTGTAACTGCTCAATGGAGGCCGTGTGCCAGGTATCATGCTAAGTGCCTCACATATTATCTGCCTTATGTTTACTTCCCACCCAAGATAATGATAAAGTGGCAGAATCCAAGTGGGATTATCTCAACTAAGAAATTTCCAAATGCTTCAGAAAACTGTTCAAATCTTGAGGTAACATAACTCTCCAGGAAAAGGGTAGAGAAAAGAACATAAAAATGTTTTATATAGCTGCTTTTAATACTGTAAAGGGTTGGATTTTTATGGACTGAGAATTGTGGTAATATGCATCATTTATCCTTGTACTTCAATAACAATACTTATATTTATTTTAAATCAAATTATTAATATATGCATTCTATATGTTGACACATGCTAAGCTATGTAAGGGCTGTTTCCACATAGATCATAAATTCATTCCTTCAGCATTTCTTCCATTTCGACTCAATAGCCCACTTTCAAAATTGTGATTAAGAAACAACCTATAGCAGAACTAAGAGGATTCTTGAAAACGTCACAAATACTTGTGCTATGTAACAGTTAATAATCCTTCTCTGGATTGCTACTTACATTTTGAAAATTGCATATTTTCCCTCTCTCTCTAAAACTACCAGCGGGAGAAGAATGATTTCTGTGAGCATTAAAGGGCCCATCAAAGCTAAATGGATAAGTCCTTGCCAGAGTCATGTGGCAGTTGTCTCCAGGCTGGCCATCTCTATCCATCTAAACACATATGATGCTGTGCTAGAATTTGTGTTAAACTTAGCATGGTGTAATGATCTTAAATCCACTGTCATATGTTTATTTTGTTTAGAGATATATTTCATGGAAATGTTGCTGTTAGCTTAAAATTCTCAGGTTCACAACAATCAAAAACAAAAACAGGCCGGGCACTGTCATGCCTGTAATCCCAGCACTTTGGGAGGCTGAAGCGGGTAGATCATGAGGTCAGGAGTTCGAGACCAGCCTGACCAACATGGTGAAACCTGTCTTTACTAAAAATACAAAAATTAGCCTGGTGTGGTGGCATGCGCCTGTATTCCCAGCTACTTGGGAGGCTGAGGCAGGAGAATCACTCAAACTGGGGAGGCAGAGGTTGCAGTGAGCCGAGATCATGCCACTGCACTCCAGCCTGGGTGACAGAGCAAGACTTTGTCTCAAAAAACAAACAAACAAACAAATAAAAAACAAAACAAAACAAAAAAAACCAGCCCATAAACTGAAAAGTTTAAACCACCTCAGGTTTCACTAAGTGAAAATACATCTGATCACATTTACTTATTTGTGGGGGAAAATTAACCAAATTGACTTTTCTGAGGCTTTATTAAGTCTTTTTGAATTGTTGTAACAAGCATTAGTGGAACATTGAAGAGTTAAAAAAAAAAAAAAGCCAAAATAGACTTAGTTGATCATTAAAACAAACAAACAAAAAAAAAAAACCTGAAAAATGCTATCTTATTGTTTTGGTTTTCAGACATATCCTAAAGGCTGGATCAGATTGATCCACCAACAATTCAACTGAACTTCTACCTTGGGACAAGGAAACCCATCAATCGATAGCCCCAACATTGTCTGAGATACACTAAGTCACTCCCATTGTATAAGTTTCTTCAAAAGAGAACGTCAAACATCTTTTGTACTAAGAAAGAATAAAATTTCCTGGCTGAAATCTGATAAATTTTGTGCATTTCTTGGTGAAGTAATTTTGCCTCTCTGTACACATCAGTGTCTTCTGGCTCAAAAGGTCACCTATGTCTTACAACTTCTGAACTAGAATGTCTGTTTTATATTAAAATTATATGTTTGCTATTCTGCAGAGGAACTGCAAGGGATAGAAAGTAAATTCATACACCATTCTAATTCAGGCTGCCTTTAAGAGGCTACCTTGACTGACAGCCACACTGCACCATATATTTTCATGAAGCCACTTGATGAGAACTGTGTCTCATCACTCACCTACCATTTCAACTTGTCTTTTCAGCATGAACTTTAGGTCACCCAGCTGTGAACCACATTGAATTATAGGCTCACTTGTTTATTGAAAGTGACAGGATCTTATATATATATTTGTCAAATTGACTATTACATGAAAGTGAAAATTAAATAGAAATCTGAAAGCTCTACCACAGTTACCTGATAGTAAGTGCCAACTTTTTCCACTTTAGAACAGTAGGGCCTTAAAAATCCTAACACGTGAATTCTATGGTATTTTCCAGTGATAGTCAGTAATTTATTACATACCCACTGTTTGCAAATGTTTATTGTATAATACATTTCAATATTTTCATCTTGGATGAGCAAACAAAAGTCTCAGAGAGCCATTTTTTTTCATAGTCACACAGCTTTTCTTTAATGAGAAAACTAAGACAAGAATTTAAATCTTTTAACTTCCAACTCATTTGTCTTGCATCTCTGTTGTTCTATAGGTATTTCTCTAGCACCTTGTTGCTCAAAGCTAGTCTGCAGCCCTGACGTATCATGTCAGCTAGAGCTCGTTAGAACATCCTGACCTACTGAGTCAGAATCTTCATTTTGACCTGTGTTGTGCTGAACTTCTGTTGACTTCAATACAGGTGGCACCACGTTCAAGAGGCCCAGGAAGAGACTTGAAGCCAGTGAATGAGACACAGGATTTATTAAGGGGACTTACATACAGGATGGTCCAGTTGTGGCAGGCTGGACAGGATAAAGAATCACTACTGTTTGTGAAAAGCAAGCAGTTTATACAGCACTTTCACATAGCACTCTCCCTCTAGCAACCTCCACCTGGCAACATTCATTTAACCCAAAGCAAATGACCTTGATCTCCTGTATGGCCTGAATTCCACAGGATGAGCCAGGAGTTCAGATGTTCGTCAAAGATAAGGAATGAATCTCTGGATTGGCCACTCCTGGATTCCTTAGTTTGGAACTCTGAACACAAATAAGTGAAGTTATTGGTTTCAGTTGTGTCTGCCATGCAACATGATCTCCAAGTGTTTGGCAAGCTTGACAGGCATTGATACATGTTGTGCTAGGAGACTGGAAGTCTAAAACTTAATTTCAATATAGGAGGAAAGAGCTATTAACTATTATAACTATTAAATCATTGAACTATTAAGTAAGCCAACAAAGAATAATTCATTGCTATTAATTATTGGCATATGAATAGGTCGAAGTTTTAGCTTTGTCTGCTCATGAGCAATATTTATATGACAACAAAATAACTAAGGATTGAGAATATAACACAAGATATTTTTACATAATACTGAATAATCCGTTTGGGTTAATATTATTGTCTGAATTAAATATTTATCCTGTTGGCATATATATAAAGTTTATCATTTGAATAACCTATTACTGGATGAATATATCATTTGCACCTAAATTGTTAGGTCTGACCATCACTGCCTTTCTGGTGCGTAGGCATGGTAGATGCCATTATCCAAATTCTACAGGTGAGGACAATGAGCCAGAGTTTAAGTAATTACCCAATATAGTGTGATGTATTTGTTGCCCCTTTTCATTTGCCCATGATAGAAACCCAACTCAAACCAGCATAAGCATAACAGAAAATTCTGAAATGTTTGAACCTAGGAGCTGTAGATCTCAAACAAACTGGCTAAATATGGCAGATATAGAACTGCTCAGCTCCAGATGTATCTTATCAGCTTAACATCCTCAGTGGAAAAAGGAGACTTTCTCTTTCCTCAGAACTCTGGCAGAAAATCCTTGGGAGTACTCACTCTCACTGGCTTATTTTGAGTTTGTGGTCAGAGGGGTAGGATAAGCAGATTTGATAGGGCTGGATCATATGTCCAACCACTCGTGTGCCCAAGGAAAGAAGATTAAATAAAAGACAGGATTCAGCCCCTACAAAGTACAAAAAAGATATTGTCTCTGGAAAGAAGGACTCTTGCTTTAGAAGGGTGAAAAAATGGTTTGAACTAAGTTAAGATCGTAAACAGATATTTTGATTTCTCTTTTCTTTTGATTACTCTTTACTGAAGCATTGAAGCAGTAGATTTCATTTGGTTGTGTTGATGGGCTGCATTCATGTCAAAATCACCTGGAGGAGAATGGATGTGTACACTCACATGCATGAAGCCCTGCATGGATGGAATAAAGAATCTTGGATGGGAGTGGGTGAGACAATAAAAGGGTAGAGTCTAGAGTTTTAAAAGATACCTCTCTGTATTTAGGCATTTGAATAGCAGCAGTACATGATTAGTAAATGTAAAGCTTCTTGGTTTAAATTATATTATCTTTCATTTTAAATAAAAAAATGTGTATCACATTCCTTATTTATGTAACCGTACCTGTGAAAAGCTCATCCATTCAGATGAAGAATTCGTGTTAAGATAGCAGGCAGCAGGTCAGCAGGTGGGGACTTATGCTGGAAGAAATAAACAGCCACCAAGTATTTGTTTTGTAAAACCTTGCAGACAACACAGCATCATGCAATACCCCCATGTAACAACCTGCATATGTATCCTCTTTATGTAAAATAAAAGTCGAAATTATTTAAAAAGCTCAAATCAATTGTTTATTGCATTTTTAATGCTCCTGGTATGTATGATGATCAACATTAATAAGTAAAATGAGAACTGTCGATGTTGAGGGTATCAATTACTAAGGTCTCTCTAGCCACATTTATGAGAATGAAGGAGAGAAAAATATCAGTCAATGCTGTCCTGCTGAAGTAATATTTTCGCTGCACACATCTGAGGGTTAGGCCATCATAAGTCTTAAAGTCCTTAGGAAAAGATACCAATTTCCTCAACCCTTCATTAAACATGTATTAAAGTATCCTTTATCTCTTTTTTAATAGTCTCTAAATGCCAAAATATTTTTAAATTTTGGATTTTTTGTAACATGTTTTATTTAAATCTTTTTTCTGATCTCTACAGGTAATAGGTAATGATCTTATCTTAATCAACTGTTAATTTTTTTCAATGTAACATAATTCACAAGAACTCTAGTTCTTTGTTAATGACTATGTGTATAATAAAAGAAATGTTGCTTAGCCTCATCTTTTAATCCCCTTGCCCAGTCTATTATCTGCCTTTCTATAACCTTTCCTTTTTTCTACAAAGTGCTTGACAAGATATCAATCTCTAATCTCTTAGTTCATAGAAAAATCCTCTAAAGTCTTTCCAACCTGAGTTTCTTTTTAAACTCAGCACTGAAATCCTCTCCTGTGTAGTACAAATCTTTCTTCTTCTGAAAATCACTTCAAAAGGTGTTTCATGTTTTTAAAAAGCTAGTAAACCTCATCATACTTAGATGCCATCTTGTTCAAAGCTTTTAATACTTTGTTTGAGGCATGTTACTAAAGTGCTAGGGTAAGACTTACCACATGTAAAGATATTTACAGCATGAGTGGGCTGTAAAATCTAATCACCTTGGACAGCACAGACAGAATGTGAAAAGGATACTAAAATTAAGATACCTTCTTTCTATTCCTTGTCTAAAGCTATCTTCGACTTCACACTTTTTGCAAATCAAAGCCAACCATTATAATAAAGTCACAAAGAAATAAGTCCTTTTTGTCAATTGCCTAATAAAAATGGAAAGACAATTTAGTCAATGCCCCTCAAACCAAGCTGTCTGTGGTTTCATTTTTAATATTAGCAACAAAAACACTATAAAAAAGAAATCAAAATCCAAAATCCTACACTTAATCTTCCACTGCTAAATTTAAGAAGCTTTGTGTGGCATGGACATGAAATATGCCTATGTATTCATAAGGTATTTTAAGCATAAACGCAAGCCATCTGCCCATCTTCGTGTCTCCCCACTCTTCATGCTATTTTCCTTCTTACCCTTACTTAGTATCTCTTCTTTTTAGTTTTAAAGCAATAAACAGGTTTAAGAAAAAATACATACATGATCTCATTTGTTACCTAAAACTGTAGGTATATATTTATGTTTGTAAAAATTCTATTTTTGTATACATACCAGTATATTAACATGGCTACATAGAAAAAGGGCTGAAAAATACCAAGTTATTAAAAATAGTTACCACAGAAGGAGTAGAATGAGTTGAGGTTGATAACAATGTATGAAGACAGAATTCCATAGACACATGTTTTATTCTTCACGTTACAGTAAAAACATACCTATGTTTAACTTGTGGAAATGTTTTACAAAATTATAGCCACTTTCAAACTATTGCTTGGTAGAGAATTTTGAGTCAAAGGTGAAATCCCAGTTCCTTGATCATTGACATTCTTACCCTTTGAGTCTAAGTGAGCAGAGGTGAGTTTCAGTAAGATAGAAGAACAAGTAACATTAAATGTAGAGAAGTTGAGGACATTAAAGAAATGAGCCATTGCTGTGGTTATAAGAGTTGATTGGTGACTTTCAAGAAAATATTTCAGCAAGAGTGGAAATAAGAAATTGGAGTAAGAGAAGGTTAAAGAACTTAAATTTGTTCAGCTGAGTGTGAACTATCTTTTCAAAACATTAATACTTCAGGGAATGAGAGAAACAGATTCAGAGCTTAAAGGAATAATATGGAAGGACATATTTTTAATGTAGGAGGGAAGACTTTATCATGTTGAGGCCAGAGGAGAGGAAGAATATAGTGGAAATCTCATGAAAATACAAGAAGTTTGGTATTTGATGTTACAAACCTAAGCAGGAAGCCTTGAAGAGACAGGGAAAAAGTTTAAAAACTTTAAAAAGATGCAATAATGGCTAATGCTATTTAAAAGATGCAATGATGGCTAATTCTCTTGAAAGATAAAATTTTCATGCAGTGAAAATAAATTTGACCAAGTTAACAGTGGCTTTTCTACAGAAAAAAAGAATTACAGCATTTTTTTAACCTAAAAGAATTCCATTAACAAAAAAGAGTCACAATCATGATTTTTTACTTAAGAACTTCATTTGTGTTTACCTGAGTAACCGCACAGCAATGATTAGACAATCTAACAAATCCTTATAACCTAGTTAACTTCTCAGTTCTTCCTAGCATGTGATGTTGAAATCTCACAGGGAGAACTGTGCTACTTTTTAATAAAAACTATCTGGACAGCAGTTAAGTGGAGCATTAACCTGTTTTGGAGAAAAATAAATCTGCTGACTCTTGCATGTCTCTGGAAATCAAATGACTGGAAGAAAAATATAAGTGACACTTCTAAATGTACAGAATAAAGAAAGAGAAATTAAAGACCCAAGTAGATACACTCATGTAAAATTGTATAGTCATTCCTCAGTATCTGTAGGGGATTGGTTCCAGGAATCCCCAAGGGTGACAGAATCCACGGATGCAAGTCCCTTATGTAAGGTGGTGCACTATTTGCATATAATGTATGTACATCCTCCTGTATACTTGAAATCATCTCTAGATTATTTATAATATCTAATATAATGTAAATGCTATGGAAATTGTCATACTGTATTGAAGAGTGAATAATGACATGAAAAAAGAAATCTGTACGTGCTCAGTACAGACACAAAGATTCACTTTTTTTCAAATATTTTTGACTTATGTTTGATTGAATCCACAGATGTGGAACCCATTGATATGAAGGGCCAACTGTATATATGAATTTACAGAGAGCCTCCAACATGCAAGGGACTATATTGGGTATTGGGATAAATTTTAAAAGTTTAGGCATTTGAGAAACTTTAACATGCTTTAAATATATTCAGAATTATTTAAACATATTCAGAATTAGTATAAGTTTAAATTATTACATTTAAACTTTTTAAATCTTCCATGTAATGAATAAGTTCTATATAATCCTGCTGGAAAAATTTTACGTGATCACTAAATAAATTTTGGAAAATACAGAAAGGAATTAAATAGAGAATGAAAATCACCTTTAATCCCTCTACTGAGAAACGGCCACTATTAATATTTTGGTGTTTTTACTTACAGTAATTTTTTCCCCATGCATTGCTATTATTACATGGCAAATAACCTATTATCTCCATTGGATGAAGTCCTACGAGTGGAGTTACTGGATGGGAGTGTATAGACACTTTTTTTTTTTCATATTTTATAAGCACTTTTTTTTTATTACACTTTAAGTTTTAGGGTACATGTGCACATTGTGCATGCAGGTTAGTTACATATGTATACATGTGCCGTGCTGGTGCGCTGCACCCACTAACTCGTCATCTAGCATTAGGTATATCTCCCAATGCTATCCCTCCCCCCTCCCCCCACCACACCACAGTCCCCAGAGTGTGATATTCCCCTTCCTGTGTCCATGTGATCTCATTGTTCAATTCCCACCTATGAGTGAGAATATGCGGTGTTTGGTTTTTTGTTCTTGCAATAGTTTACTGAGAATGATGGTTTCCAATTTCATCCATGTCCCTACAAAGGACATGAACTCATCATTTTTTATGGCTGCATAGTATTCCATGGTGTATATGTGCCACATTTTCTTAATCCAGTCTATGATTGTTGGACATTTGGGTTGGTTCCAAGTCTTTGCTATTGTGAATAATGCCGCAATAAACATACATGTGCATGTGTCTTTATAGCAGCATGATTTATAGTCATTTGGGTATATATACCCAGTAATGGGATGGCTGGGTCAAATGGTATTTCTAGTTCTAGATCCCTGAGGAATCGCCACACTGACTTCCACAATGGTTGAACTAGTTTACAGTCCCACCAACAGTGTAAAAGTGTTCCTATTTCTCCACATCCTCTCCAGCACCTGTTGTTTCCTGACTTTTTAATGATTGCCATTCTAACTGGTGTGAGATGATATCTCATAGTGGTTTTGATTTGCATTTCTCTGATGGCCAGTGATGATGAGCATTTTTTCATGTGTTTTTTGGCTGCATAAATGTCTTCTTTTGAGAAGTGTCTGTTCATGTCCTTCGCCCACTTTTTGATGGGGTTGTTTGTTTTTTTCTTGTAAATTTGTTTGAGTTCATTGTAGATTCTGGATATTAGCCCTTTGTCAGATGAGTAGGTTGCGAAAATTTTCTCCCATGTTGTAGGTTGCCTGTTCACTCTGACGGTAGTTTCTTTTGCTGTGCAGAAGCTCTTTAGTTTAATTAGATCCCATTTGTCAATTTTGGCTTTTGTTGCCATTGCTTTTGGTGTTTTGGACATGAAGTCCTTGCCCACGCCTATGTCCTGAATGGTAATGCCTAGGTTTTCTTCTAGGGTTTTTATGGTTTTAGGTCTAACGTTTAAATCTTTAATCCATCTTGAATTGATTTTTGTATAAGGTGTAAGGAAGGGATCCGGTTTCAGCTTTCTACATATGGCTAGCCAGTTTTCCCAGCACCATTTATTAAGAAGGCAGAAATAAAGATGTTCTTTGAAACTGACGAGAACAAAGACACAACATACCAGAATCTCTGGGACGCATTCAAAGAAGTGTGTAGAGGGAAATTTATAGCACTAAATGCCCACAAGAGAAAGCAGGAAAGATTCAAAATTGACACCCTAACATCACAATTAAAAGAACTAGAAAAGCAAGAGCAAACACATTCAAAAGCTAGCAGAAGGCAAGAAATAACTAAAATCAGAGCAGAACTGAAGGAAATAGAGACACAAAAAACCCTTCAAAAAATCAATGAATCCAGGAGCTGGTTTTTTGAAAGGATCAACAAAATTGATAGACCGCTAGCAAGACTAATAAAGAAAAAAAGAGAGAAGAATCAAATGGACACAATAAAAAATGATAAAGGGGATATCACCACCGATCCCACAGAAATACAAACTACCATCAGAGAATACTACAAACACCTCTACACAAATAAACTAGAAAATCTAGAAGAAATGGATACATTCCTCGACACATACACTCTCCCAAGACTAAACCAGGAAGAAGTTGAATCTCTGAATAGACCAATAACAGGATCTGAAATTGTGGCAATAATCAATAGTTTACCAACCAAAAAGAGTCCAGGACCAGATGGATTCACAGCCGAATTCTACCAGAGGTACAAGGAGGAACTGGTACCATTCCTTCTGAAACTATTCCAATCAATAGAAAAAGAGGGAATCCTCCCTAACTCATTTTATGAGGCCAGCATCATTCTGATACCAAAGCCTGGCAGAGACACAACCAAAAAAGAGAATTTTAGACCAATATCCTTGATGAACATTGATGCAAAAATCCTCAATAAAATACTGGCAAACCGAATCCAGCAGCACATCAAAAAGCTTATCCACCGTGATCAAGTGGGCTTCATCCCTGGGATGCAAGGCTGGTTCAATATACGCAAATCAATAAATGTAATCCAGCATATAAACAGAGCCAAAGACAAAAACCACATGATTATCCCAATAGATGCAGAAAAAGCCTTTGACAAAATTCAACAACCCTTCATGCTAAAAACTCTTAATAAATTAGGTATTGATGGGATGTATTTCAAAATAATAAGAGCTATCTATGACAAACCCACAGCCAATATCATACTGAATGGGCAAAAACTGGAAGCATTCCCTTTGAAAAGTGGCACAAGACAGGGATGCCCTCTCTCACCGCTCCTATTCAACATAGTGTTGGAAGTTCTGGCCAGGGCAATCAGGCAGGAGAAGGAAATAAAGGGTATTCAATTAGGAAAAGAGGAAGTCAAATTGTCCCTATTTGCAGACGACATGATTGTTTACCTAGAAAACCCCATCGTATAGACACTTTTTAAAGTCTTGAAACATATTTACTAAATGGATTTCAAGAAAACTTCCATCAGCTCATGTGCACTTGCCTGGATTAAATGTGTATGTTTTTGGAAATCTTGACTAATTTACTAGATAAAAATGCAATCTCATTGTTTTTATTTTCTTTTTTATTAGTTTCAACAACCAACATTCATTAAAAACTACTATTCACAGGGAGCAATTCTAGGCCCTATTTAGATATAAATGTGAATATGAAAGTATCTGCCCTGAGGGAGCTCAAAATAGAGGAAATGTTTACATAGGAGGCAGCAAGGTGAATGTCCTGATGATGCACAGGGTGGACCCTAAGTGATGGGAGCAAAAAGGAGGAGAGTTTAACCTTTCTTGGAGGCCTGTGATTAATGATTTTATTTTTTCTCTTGGAGGATAAAGAGTACACTGAAAATTGTAAATATTCTTTCTTTTTTTTTTGTCCCAGAGACAGAGCCACGCTGTGTCGCACAGGCTGGAGTACAGTGGTGCAATCTCTGCTCACTGCACCCTCTGCCCCCCAGGTTTAAGCAATTATCCTGTCTCAGCCTCCGGAGTAGTTGGGATTACAGGTGCTCGCCACCACGCCCGGCTAATTTTTGTATTTTTAGTAGAGACGTGGTTTTCCCATGTTGGCCAGGCTGGTCTCATACTCCTGACCTCATGATTCATCCACCTCAGCCTCCCAGAGTTCTGGGATTACAGGCATGAGCCACCACGCCTGGCCGGCCATACATATTCTTTAATTTGAATACAAGTCTATAAAAGAAGGTTATCATTTTCATTTGATAGGTAAGGAAACAAGTTTAAACAGAGAATGATTTACTTTGGGTGACAGATCTAGCAAAGAACAAAGAGGAAATGAGACTGTAATGTCTATCTCCTTCAAAGACTCCACCTCTTATCTTCCTACATAGATTCTCTGCAACTCCCAAGAAGGTTATTAGATCTCTTTTGTTTTGTTGTTTGTTTAACCTCAGAATCTTGTCTTAATTCGGAGATCAATTTGATCTTCCAGTTCTGTTTCTAATCAGATGTTCAAGGCATTGAGTGAGCTCAAAGTTAGATCTCAGTGGTCCCTGGAGGCCACCAAGTTCAACCAGCTCTTGTCTTGGATGAGGAAGCTGATGCTCAGAGAAGAAAGCATCATAGTTACTTGCGGTGGAGCTGACACTAGCATTTGCATGTCCTGATTCCTAACCCATGTGGCCTTCCTCAAAACCACACTGGTTTTGGTGTTTAATTTTTGGTTCAACAATATCTGAGGTCTGAGCCCCAAATCAAATGCATTTTTTTTTAAATTGGGGGAATCAATGTTCAGTTTTGTTCAAGTTCTTTTTCTGTGTTGGTTGAAGTGTGCAGAGATATTTAGACAGTCTGCTCTGCTGCTTTCAATAAGGGAAAGGAAGGGGAGAAACTGAACATTTGAGTGCCTACTCATTATATGCCAGACACTTTGGTACTTTTTACCATGTAGTCCTCACAACAACTCTTTGATGTAGCTATTATAATCTCCAAGGCACAGATGGGAGTATAGGGGGAGTTTAAAGAACTTGCTTAAGTTAAATTCCTCAGCTTCTACGCATTAGTGGGAAGATCAGAACTAACGTCTGTCTGACACCAAAGCCTCTGCCCTTCCCACTGTATCCCGCAGATTCCAAGTCCTCATTAAAGATTGATGTAATCTTGAGTACTGGATAGATATGATTATAATATGTTATAAATACTCACTTTTGCATCATCTCTTGCTATTGCTGAATCTAATTCCCTGCCCCCACTTGTCTCAGCTCCAAGCACCTGGAATTTACTTCAGTTCCTTGGATGAGCCATTGGATCACTTGCTTGAGACTCAGTAAGAGGTAGTGCAGAAGAACAGTTAAGCAAGAGGATTCTAGAGCCAGAATGCTTGGGTTCATTTCTATACTCAACTACTTACAAGCTGTGTCATGTTGGGCAAGAAGTACAAACTCACTGTTGCTCAGCTTTCCTATCTGGAAAATGGAATCAATAGCAGTGCGTACCTCATCAGGTTGTTGTGAGGATGAAACAAGACTGTGTGTGTACAGCACTTAGCACAGGGCCTAACATATTGTAAATACTTAATAAATATTATAAATATTAGTGATTATTACTGTTGCCTCTGCAGTTGTCCACATTCCATTTGCTTGGAACAGTCTTTGCCATTACTCTTTTTGTCTAGACAATTTCTATGCATTCTTAAGTCTCAGTTTCAGTGTTGTTTCTTAGGAGAATTCTTCCCTGACCATCTAAAGTTGGGTTCGGTGCTTCTCCAACATGGTCATAGAGAACTCTGCTTTTTTCCTATCAAAAAACACAGACACTCTATCAAAACTAAATCTTGTCTATAATCATCACCAATCTGAAGTTCTTTAGAGGTAAGGATTGTGTCTTTCTTGTTCACCATTTTTTCTCCTGCACAGCACAGAGTAGGTAGGAGTGCTCTTAGGCGAGTAACAAAATTGTACTTTAGTATTTTATCAGTGAGCTTTGGGAAGTGTTTCCTTTCAGGGAAGACCAATAGTATGAAGGGCAAGAAGAAAGGTGTTTTGGCACTCCTGCCTTTCTGAAGCCACAGCTGTTAGGTTGGGCAGGGCTGCCTGATTGTGAGTCACACCGACTTTTGCTGCTAGCAAATTAATTGATAATAGCTCTGCAATTGTGACTCTCAGTTATAAGCAGTTTAGGCAGTGAAAAAATAAAGAAAATAGATGGCTCTGGAGGCACACACTGGGATGCGATAGTGCAAATTAATAATAATAATAATAATAATCACCTGGCAAGTGGACTGTAGGTAGCTGAAGCTGTCATACTGACTTCCATAGCTGGCAAGGAGATCCCTGCAGACTCATCCTGCAGAATGGAGCCCTCGGGTGTCTTTCTTCTCCATCAATGCATGGAGCCAAGTTCACTATTTGGACAGGCAGTGTATTAGTTTACTGTGACTGCTGCAACAAATTACCATAAACTTAATGGCTGAAATAATATGCATTTGTTATCTTTTAATTCTATGGACAGAAGTCCAGGATGGGTCTCACTAGGGTTAAGTTGAAGGCTGCATTCCTTTCTGAAGGCTCTAGGGGAGAATCCAGTTCTTAGCCTTTTCCAGTTTCTAGAGGCTGCCTGTATTCCTTGCCTCATGGCCCCCCTTCCTCCACCTTCATAGTCAGCAACAGCTAGGTGAGCCCTTCCCACATTGAAATCTCTCTGGTTCTTTGAAGCCTGGATAGGTCCTCCACTTTCAAGGATTTATGTGATTACATTGGACTTACCTCTATAATCCAGGATAATCAACCCATCTCAAGGTCCTTAACCTTAATCACATCTGCAAAGGCCTTTTGCCATGTAATGTAACATAGTCACAGGCTTTGGGAATCACAGCATAGATATCTTCAGGGGCCATTATTCTGCCACCATAAGTAATTCTATCCTTTTGTTAAACATCATTGAGAGCGTTTCCAACTGAGTTGCTAGAAATGCCCTCTTGTGCTTGACAGTGTAGTGAGTGTCGGGGCGTACCACCTGCATTCCTCTCCATGACGCAGGCACTCATTCCCTCAGCTGCTGAGAGCATTGACAGCAACTGCATGCAGCTGGATCCCTTTTTGGGAATTGCCATTTGCTGAAAAACGCCACCAACTCCAAAGTCACAGTTTCTTCTGGGGGACCACCTGCATAACTTGTCCTGGTTGGGGAGAGAGTGTGAGTTTAAAAACCAAGCTTCTCTTCTTCAATGTGGGGCCACTCTGAAGTCCCAGTCTGGCTCCAGCCCTCCCTGATGCCTTCTTTGTGATCTCATCCCAGTTCAATGTTTCCTTTTGCCCAGTCCTGCTGTCTTCATTTCCCCACAGGAGCTGATTTCAGAAACAATTCTCCATAAACTTCCTGCATGCAAATCACCAACTCAGAATCTGCTTCCTGGGAACCTGTCTGCAATATGCTGTGATAGACAATATGTGGAGTCCTGCAAGAACCTGCAGAATTCCTAAAGCCAAACACAAATAAGAATAAAGAAAACTTTTCAACCATGCACTCTTTCATTGATGAAAAATCATCTGCCTGATTTGTACCCACTAGCAAGCTAACATTCATGCTTCTTAAATATGGTCGATCCTCATTATTCAGATTCCATATTGGAAAATTTGCCTTCTTACTAAAATGTATCTCTAACCCCCAAATCAATATTCATGTCACTTTGATGGTAATTTGCAGACTATGACATGCAAAGACTGATAAAAATTTGAGCTTCCCAATGTGTAGTTCCCAGCTAAGGTCAGGTAAGGTGATGTACCACCTTCTTATTTCAGCTCTCATACTGTAAATGTGTCCTTTTTGTGGTCTATTTAGTGCCATTTTTTTTGCATTGTTTCTCCTTTTTTTGTTGGTTATTTTGCTGCTTTAACTGGCTCCAAAGGCAGTGCTGAAGTACTATCTAGTGTTTTTAAGGGGAAGGAACCTTGATGTTCTTTAGAGAGCTTATATAAGATAAGCTCCATCCAGGCATGAGTTAAAGTGATATTAGCCTAAAGTTCAATATTAATCAGCAATATATATTAAATACGGTGTCTTTAAATAGAAACATACATAAAACAAGGTTACTTATTGATTGGTTGATGAAAATGGCATGACTAGGGGCATATAGGAACCTAACCGTTTTCCCCTAGAAGCAATAGTCTAGTATTCACTAATTCAGTGTTCTTGGTGACTTTTAGGACACTATTACCATAAATAACAAAAATTTGCCGTATACTGCTATATAAATGCATTTTTCAGTATACTATAGTAAGAGTCTCAAGTGTGATTACTTCATTGCCCTGTATATTCTGCAGCCTTGGGGTGTCCTGAATAAGAACTGTGAGTGTACATGCCTGGAAGCAAGAGAAAAAGGAAATCCTCTTTTCATTTCAGATTCTGCCAACCCAGATATTCTGCTTTAACCTGGCTTCTGACTTACAGGATGGGATGATCTTTGAATATTTGTTGGCACCTTTTATGCCCTGGGAAAAAGAACCCAGATCAGTAGGTGAAGCCCTGAGCATCTTACAGGAGTACTGTAAGAGGAGTACAATGAGGCTAATTGGTGGAGTTCAAAGGCAGCCATAAACATTATTTTTCCCCAGATCATATGTTGTCTTCTGCAAATTACAGAGTAATCAAATGGAAGAGTTTTCTGACTCCTGTGTTCAAGCTATAGGTAGGAGAAATAAGAATTCCATAAATATGGACTTGAGAGGGGCTGATTCTATTCACTAACCTATAGTGATTCCTATTCAGCCCTCTTCAACTTCCTACAGAATTTATTTGTTTAGTTTTTTTTTTGTCCTAGTGCCAAGGTTGTGTGCATGTGTCCCTAATTATTGTGTTTCTCATATGTTCATTGGAAAAAGGAATCAGTTGAATTTCTTTTTTATTTTAACTTTTATTTAAATTCAGGGGTACGAGTGCAGGTTTGTTACACAGGCAAACTTATGTCATGGGGGTTTGTCGTACAGATTATTTCCTTACTCAGATATTATGCCTAATACCGATGAGTTATTAGTTATTTTCCTTTCCCTCCTCCCCTCTCCACCCTCCAAAAGGTTCTCTTGTGTTTTGTTTCCCTTTATGTGTCCATGTGTTCTCACCATTTAGCTCTGACTTGTAAGTGAGAATACGTGGTATTTGGTTTCCTGTTCCTGTGTTAGTTTGCTAAGGATAATGGCCTGAATTTCTTTCCAGATGCCACAACTGAGGGCTCAGGCCCTGCCGTCACATCTTAGCAGGTTGTCCCCTCTTTCTGATACCCATAGGCCTGTCCCTTTGCTCATTCATGTTAATATCATCTGTTTCTTACTGGATTGTGACTAAAACAGGCACCAGTTTCTTAAGCCCTACAGAATGATGGATACCCGAATTTTGTTAAACACTCCAAAGAAATGGCAGGTTTTAAATGGCTTTGTTTTAGACATTTGATTATCTTCTTACAAGTTTATGTAAACTGCATTTCTGTAATTCCAATTATGTGTTATATGCACTAAAAGAGTATTGGATTTTTAAAAGCATTCTCTGGTACATTATTCCATAGTGAAGAACACTTTTACAAAAGGAATATTCACCCCATAGTGTATCTGTTTATTGATCTGGATTTTGTGTGTACTCAAAGATGCTGTTGACTTCCCAAGCACAAACTCCTGAATGGAAAACAAAAACATCTAACTTTATATTTTTGCTAAGAAAAATTTTAATTTTTTTTCTCATGTTCCCCCATGCCTCTTGATGAAGTTCCGTCTGGGTATTGTTAGTCAATTTCCGATTTTCTTTTTTTTTCCTAGGAGATAGGGCTTTGCTGTTTCCTAGGCTATAATCACTGTAGCCCTGAATTCCTGGCCTCAAGCAGTCCTCCTGTCTTAGTCTGCCGAGTAGCTGGGATTACAGGCATGTGCCAACACATTTACCTAATATTTTCTTTTTAAAACAATTGTATTGTAAAATGGGGTGTTGTTATGTTCCCCAGACTGGTCTCAAACTCCTGAACTCAAGCAATCCTCCTGCCTTGGCCTCCCTAAGTGCTGGGATTAAGAGTGTGAGCTACTGTGCCCAGCCCAAATTTACTGGTTAATCATTAGCTTTACTCCCAACGATGTCAATATTTTTCCTAAGTTCTTCAGAGTCTGAACTAGTGCCAAGGTGTGAGAATGAGGATGTGGCACGGTGGAAGTAGGGAACATCTAGTCTCAGGCATCCATGCTGATGTTCCTTTAAGACACCCTCAGCATTCTCTGTTGTCTGCTTTTTGTTCATACAGATGACTTCAGTGTCCCCATCATCTCAACCACTAGGACTTTCCAGGATCTCAGCTCTCTGAGTCACGCCCTCACCATTCTATGCCACATAAGGAAAAGTTCTACTGCTTCCTGTGCCACACTGGAAAGCATGAGAACTCTCTGAGGCTGCTTGAGGTGTGTCTACCTAATTACATGTCATAGCCATTTTCCCTTGGCTGCTCCCTAGTCATGGGGAGCAATGTTTTTTTTTTTTTCCTTCACCTACAGATTTGGAACCTCTGCTTTCAATTCTTCAAATCTGCATGAGTACTTTAAAAAATTTACCTCTCCTAGTGCATATAACATATAATCAGAATCAAAGGCAATTTACACCCACTTTTGCAAAACTCCTCAATTGCTTCTGGACCTTGGGTGAGGGCGTAAGACACAGGCTCCTCATCCGGGATGCACTGAAGTATGTTTTCTCTTTCTTCCCTTGGCAACTCATGCTCCCTGGCTACTTTATAGAATTCTTATTCAGGGGACAAGGTTATCCTGGCCTTCATCATTCTCTCAAATGTATTTTTTATGGCATAAACTTTATGTCTCGAATCCTTCAGGACCTTTGGTTTGATTCTCAAAACATCTTTTCTTCAAGCTAATGCCTCTGCCATAAATTTCAAGAGACTTTAGATTTTCATGGAGAGGACTCCCTTGTAACCTGAGTTTGGCTATATATTCTCTCCTGTGGCAATAATATACCAATCTAGTTTGAATAAGGAAGGGTCAGGTGGTCTGAGGAAATGCCTTGGAAAGAGATTGAAAGTGTGTGGGATGCAATCATTGATATTTAAAACTATTGTTCAGATATTCATGGGCCTTATGTTTAGAAATCTTTATTATGAAAAGTTTTAGGATCTGTTTTACTTTATTCTATATTCATTTTTCCCTTTCATATCATATGACACCACTGAGAAGCTACATTACCGTATAAGAAATAAATATTTGATGACATGTTACTTCTTTAAGTCAAGTAATGGAACAAAGATTTCTAACTATGCAAATACCTATGGAAACCAACCTGCCTTTTGCTGTGCAGAGTACGCTAAATAAATTGAGCCATCCATCATTACATGACTGCATTTCGGGCAGATTAAAGAGAGAAAACATTTATTTATTTCATTTTCTTTTCGGCTGCTCTCTTTCATGCCCTCATATCTTGAAGCATTGAATTCTAGCAGCACATTCTTGTCTCCAAAAATACACTCTTTTATTTATTATTGTGAAAAGGCTTAATGAGAAATGACAACCTGCCACCTCATCATGATTCAGTTTTTAGACTATCTAAAGTCTTCTAATTAATTTACTTCCAATGTGATTTTCATCCTTCTTAACATTTTATTGATTTATGGATTAATCAACTGCAACATTTCTACTGAAAGCAAATATAGCACCAATTCAAATAATTTATTCTTGCGTAAGCTTATCCTCCAATGCTGTCACCCATACCTTAATTCCCGAGACATAGAAGAAAGGTTGAATATTTTTTAAAGTACCATTTAAACTACTCCTTCCCAGAGTCTGTGTCTCCCCAGTGCATTCCTGTCCATCAACCTTCTTTTTTGTTCACTTCCCTCTTTGCCAAAGAAGACTTAATATTTGTCACTATAAAGATGCTCTTGCAATACTCCTTTGCTCCTTTGTCCTCTTTTCACACTTGATAGCTAAACAACAACTATCTTTGCCTGTACTCAAACAGCTCCTGAAACAGAGTGCGATGCCCTAGTAGGAAAAGAAACACACAGCTAGGAAAAGAAACACACAGCCATTGTTAAAACAATGAGCATATGAGCAAGTGACCTAGTAGTTGAAGTAGAAGGTTTGAATTTTAAAGCCCCACTCAACCTCCACCAACTTCAGCAAGAGGTCATGAGAATTCCCCTCAATTCACATATTATTCCTGAAACAAGAACTAGCAGGACCAGAGGAAACTTAATTAGGAGCAGATTCGAGATGATGTCATTGGATATAAAGGTATTGTTTGTTAACAACCATATTATTTAATAATTGATAATCAGGAAGCAATGTTTTCAGCATTTCATATCTTACTATTATAATTTGTTACTTTTGCATATACACATATTGCTGTGTCTTAGTTTCATTTTATAAAAATTGTAAATTGGTTAAGAATTTTTAAATTGAAATGTGCTACTTAATATTTTTCCCCTTAAAATAAAAATAGAGATTTTTTCCAAGATGCCTGACTAGAGATGTCAGAGGCCAGTTCTCCTCAGAAAGAAGAACCAAACTTACAGATGAATAATCATAACTTGAATAGAATATTAAGAGAAGAGTGCCAGAGCCTACCAGACAAGCTAAAGCACAGAACAACAACAACAACAAAAAACAACAACAACAAAAAAAAACAAGCAAGGGTTTGGCAGAGATTGAGCTTCAAGGGACTTGGTGTCTGGTGAACAGGGTAGGCGGGGTTTTCTGGCTCCTGTCACCCTTGCAGTAGGCTGCTGATTGCTGAACTGTTGGAGAGCCCCTCTGCCATCATGAGCCCAGGCACTGGTGTGAGTGGTGATGTGGGAACTTCTTGAGGGCATTGCACTGGGCTGCCAGTTTATGCAAGGTTGCTCACTCTTCTGCCACACCTGAGCAGTGGTGGGTTGATGCATACCCATTGTGGGACTGTCCTGCCTAGGGAATCTCAGCCCTTTTGTTGCCACATCATTGGATCCCCTGCAAACATTCCAAAGCACCTGCTCAAATTAAGGTAGCCAGACAGGGCTGACTGAACCCAGGGAAGCTGCAGAATTCCCAGTGATCTGGCCCTTGGGCCATGCTGCTCCTAGGGGAAGAGAGAGTGTAGCACACCAACAAAGCCCCCTTGGAACAAAGGAGACAAGAACATGTGCTCTGCTGTGCCTCCAGAGTGCCACACTTGTGGGCTGAAGGTGACTTCCCCTTTCCTAGTGGATACACAGACACTGTGTTCAGTCCTGTGGGGGAGGAGTGTGTTCTGTCCTAGAATCTAGGCAGCTCCATTGCTTGGACGTGGATGTGGAGAAGGGAACTTCTCCTCACCCTGCTCATTGCTGCAAACACAGACGTGGCTGATCCCACAGGGAAGAGGCATGGACACACCTGTGGATGGCCATTCCAGGGCTAATAAGAGCAGCTGCACCTCCTCCACTGTTGAGTGTCCACTGGATTGGGAATGCGTGAAAGGCAGAGCCCCTCTCCCTCTACACATGGAGCAGCAGCATTCTTGCAGTGGAAAACAGGCAGGTCTCAAAGCTATCTGTTTTAGACTGAGGGAAGAGGTTCCAAGTCAAAGCCATTTGGCAGAGTGCCATAGAACAATTATTTTCTATGGCTCTTAGCTACATTGTGGCCAGGGGATAAACAGCAGTGTCTATCTGAATTGAGAGTCATGAGCCCCAGGAGGGTACAAATGAAAAGTTCACTAGAGAGATAGATTAAAAAAGAAAAACACTCTGAACTTCTGGAAACAAAAAAGTCATGAAGGAATTACAAAATACAGTTGAAAGCCTTAACTGTAGACTAGACCAAGTAGAGAAAAGAATTTTAGAGTTTGAACAGATCTTCAAATTAACATAGTAAGACAAAAATTTTATAAAAAAAATTAAAAAGGGAACAAACCCTTTGAAAAATATGAGATTATGTAAAACATTCAAACCTACAAGTCATATGTATTCCTGAGAGAGAAAAAGAAAAAATAGAAAGTTTAACAAACCTAATTGAGGAAATAATTGAGGAAAGCTTTCCTATTCTAGTTATAGATTTATACCTACAAGAAGCTTTGAAAACTCCTTTAAGATACTTTTTCAAGACAGACCACCAAGGCATATAGTCGTCAGACTATTTAAAGTGATCAGGAAGGAAAAAAATCTGAAAGGCAGCAAGAGAAAAGCATGTAATTAACAATAAAGGAAATTTTATCACACTAACAGCAGATCTCAGCAGAAATCCTGCAAGCTAGAATAGATTGGAGTCCTATTTTTGGTCTTCTTAAAGAAAAAAGTGTCAGCCAAGAATTTTTTTTTTATCCTACTAAACCAAGTATCATACATAAAAGAGAAATAAAGTCTTCCCCAGACAAGCAAACATTAAGGGAATTTGTCACCTGTAGACTAGTCCTGGGAGAAATACTCAAAGAAATTCTAAACATGGAAACCAAAGGTTAATAATCACCATCACAAAAGGACACAGAGGTATATAACTCACAGGTCTTATAAAACAATTACACAACTGAGACTACAAAGTAAATAGGGAACAATTAACATTATAACAGAAATAAAATCTCACACACCAATATTAACCTCAAATGTAAATTGACTAAGTGCTCCACTTAAATGATATACATTGATGACATGGATACAAAAACAGGATGAAATTACATGCTGATGAAAGAAAACTCACCTAACTGGTAATGACACTTATGGACTCAAGATAAGTGGGTGGAAAAATACATTCCATGCAATGGAAACCAAAAGCAAGCAGGAGTAGCTATGCTCATATCAGATAAAACAGACCTTAAATCAACAATAGTAAAAAAAAAGACAAAGAAGGTCATATAATGATAAAGGGATCAATTCAACATGAGAATATAATAATTATTCATATATACATATGTACATACATATATGCACCCAACATCAGAGTATCCAGATTTATAAAATAAATACTAAGAGACCTAAGGAAAGAGATAAACAGCAACATAATAATAGTTGAAGATTTCAACACCCCACTGAAAGCACTAGATAGATCATCAAGGCAGAAGATCAACAAAGCAACACTAGACTTAAATTGAACTCTAGACCAAATGAACCTAACAGACATTCTACCCAACAACTGCAGAATATACATTCTTATTAGTGCATGCATCTTTTTTAAAAATAGGCCATATGTTATGCCACAAAATAAGTCTTGATAAACTTAAAAAAATCAAAATTATATCAAGTATATTATTCTCAGATCATAGTGGAAGAAAACTAGAAATCAAAACTATGCAAATATGTGGAAATCAAACCATGTGTTTTGACTTATATTTGGTCAATAATTAGATGAAAGTGAAAGTCAACACTTTTTTTGAATTGAATGAAAATAGAGGCAACATATAGCAAAAGCAGTGCTAAGAGGGAGCAATGAAAGGCCTACATCAAACAATAGAAAGATTACAAATTAACCACCTAACATCACATCTTTGGAACTAGAAAAACAAGAACACACCAAGCCCAAAGCTAGCAGAAGAAAAGAAATAACAAAGATCTGAACAGAACTAAATGAAATAGAGATAAAAAATGCAAAGGATCAATGAAATGTAAAGTTTCTCTTTTGGAAAAATAAACAAAGTTGATAGACCACTAGCTAGATTAACTAAGACAAAAAGAGAAAAGATTCAAATAAGCAGAATCAGAAATGAAAAGGAGACATTACAACTGATACCACAGTAATACAAATGATCATCAGAGATTTCAATGAACATATCTACACTCACAAGCTAGAAAACCTAAAGGAAACAGGCAAATTCCTGGAAACATACAGCCTCTCAACATGAACCAGGAATGACTAGAAATCCTGAATAGACCAATAAGGAGTAGTGAGATTAAATAAGTAATGAAACATCTCCCAACCAAAAAAAGCTCAGGACCAGACGGATTCACAGCTGAATTATGCCAGACATACACAGAAGAACTTTTACCAATCTTATAGAAACTACTCCAAAATAATTGAGGAACCAGAAATCCCCTCTAACTCATTCCATGAACCCAGTATTACCCTGATATCAAAGCCAGAGAAGGAAAGAACAACAAAAAGCTACAGGCCAATATCCCTGGTGAATATAATGCAAAAATCCTCAACAAGGTGCTAGCAAACCAAATCCAACAACTCATCTAAAAGAAATAAACAACTATCAACTGGGTTTTATTCCAGGGATTCATGAATGGTTCAACACACAAAAATTAATAAATGTGATTCACAACATAAACAGAAAAGCAAAAAAACATCTGATCATCTCAATAGATTCAGAAAAAACATTTGAATCATTTGATAAAATTAGGCATCTCTTCATGAAAAAAGATCCCTAGATTTTATAAGTAAATAATGTCAGTACAATTTCAGGATACAAACTAGACATTGAAAAAAATCTCAAAATAACAAAAACCATACACAAGAAACACATAGTCAACATCATACTGAATGGGGAAAAGTTAAAAGCATTTCCCCCTGAGGATTTTAAGAAGACAAGAATGCTCACTTTCCCTACCCCTATTCAACACGGTACTGGAAGTCCTACCTAGAGCAATCAGGCAAGAGAAAGAAATAAAAGGCATTCAAATTGGAAAAGAGGAAGTCAAATTATCTGTATTTTCATATTATATGATCTTATACCTAGAAAATCCTAAAGACTCCTCCAAAAGACTCCTAGATTTTATAAATAATGTCAGTAAAGTTTCAGGGTACAAAATTAAAGTATAAAAATTAGTAGCATTTTTACACACTAGTAATGATCCAGCTGAGCACCAAATAAGAACTCAATCCCATGTATAGTAACTACCAAAAAAAAATTATTGGAATACATTTACTCAAGGAGGTGAAAGATCTCTGCAAGGAGAACTAAAAAACATTGATGAAAGAAATTGTGGATGACACAAACAAATGAAAAAACATGGCATACTCATTGATTGGAAGACTTAGTATTATTAAAATGACCATATTGCTCAATGTAATCTACAGCTTCAGTGCAATTCCTATGAAATTGCCACTGTCATTTTTCACAGAATTAGAAAAGAATAATCCTAAAATTCATGTGAAACCAAAAGATAGCCCACATAGACAAAGTAATCACAAGCAAAGTGAATAAAGCTGGAGGCGTCATTTTATCCAATTTCAAATTAAACTGCAAGGCTATAGTAACAAAAACAGCATGGTACTGGTATAAAAATAGACACATAAATCAATGAAACGGAGTAGAGAATCCAGATTTAAAACCTCTATATTTACAGTTGAATTATTTTCAACAAAGTCAAAAAAACCTACCCTGGATGAATGCATCAGTAGGTTTTATTCTTAAAAAAAAATTTTTAAACTACCCTGGAGAAAAGACACAATAGTTAATAAATGATGCTGGGAAAATTGGATAGCTATGAGTGAAACTGGACCCATATCTCCCACCATATACAACAATTAACTAAGGATAAATTAAAGACTTACATGTTAGACATGAAACTATAAAAATTCTAGAAGAAAAATTAGGAAAAACTCTTCTGGACATTGGGCAAAGCAAAGCACTTATGAGTAAGTCCTCAAAAGCAAATGCAACAAAAACAAAAATATACAAATGGTACCTAGGTAAACTAAAAAAGCTTCTGGGCAGCAAAAGAAATAATCAACAGAGTAGACAAAATGATGTACAGAAAAGGAGAAAATATTTGTAAATTATGTATCCAACAAAGGACTAATATCCAGAATCTAAAAGGAAGTCAAACAACTCAAGAAAAAGCATATAACCCTATTAAAAAGCGGACAAAGGACATGAACAGCCATTTTTCAAAAGAATATGTACAACTGGCCACAAACACATAAAACTGCTCAGCATCGTTAGTCATTAGAGAAATGCAACTTAAAACCACATGGGATACCATCTTACACCAACCAGAATGGCTTTTATTAAAAAGTCAAGTTCAACACACGTTGGTGAGGATGCATAGAAAATGGAATGCTTATGCACTGTTGTTTGGGATATAAATTAGGACAAAGTCTATGAATAACAATATGGAGATTTCTGAAAGAGCTAAAAATAGAACTAGCATTTGATTCAACAATCCCACTACTACCTACATAAGGGAAAAGAAATCATTATGCTAAAAAGATACCTGCACTTGTATGTTTATCACAGCACCACTCACAATAACAAAGTCATATAATCAACCTAAGGGTCAATGGATGGTTGGATAAAGATAACTTCTGTTCAGTTTTAGTGAATATTATTCCTTCATTTATCTCTTTGGGCATTTTAAACATTAAAATAATTCCATTTACAAAATAAATATGTTTTGAAATTGATACAATTCTAATTTATCAAATGTATGTGTAAGAGTTACCAGAATCAAAATGAAATCACTTGTGAAAAAAGAAAAAAAAGGCAAATAGAGCCAGGGAAGGCTGTAAAGAAAGGGTTTCTTACCCTGGTATGCCTGATATCAGAACTATAACAAAAGGTTTGGTAAAAACTACCTCGCACAAAGGTCATTGCAACCTCACACAAAAAATACTATCATAAGAACATATGCCCAGCTACTACCTGTCCAATCTCAGACTGGTGTCTCCTTTGCTATTGAGCCTTGTGGCCAAGGGAAATTATCTGAAAACAATTATGTAACCCACCTGCATTTTTCCTTTAAAAATTTTTGTCTTCTCTTACCTTCCTGAATATGCACATAGTTTGCAATGGCATGTGTAGTCCCATTGCAATGCCTTATTTCTGAATAAATATCATTTTCTTTTACAGAATCTCTCTATGCTTGTTATTTAGGTTGATATACGTATATGTTCATCAACACATACACAAATGTTTCTGAGCTTCACTTAAATCAATCAGGTTTTGCCTCTAGCTTTGGTAGGGCTGATGTATGTCTACATGGCCAATGTCTTTTGCTGTTTCATACCTTTGCTGTACTGGTTGCTGTGTGTTTTGAATATCCCTCTGGCATTAGGTATAATGAGACCTATAGCAGAAATTCTAGTTGCCTTCTCTTAATGGCAGAAGGAATCACAACAGCAAAGAAAAAAGAAAAGAAAGAAAGAAACTGAAGAGAGAAACATCATATAATCCACCAAGGCAAATTTGACCCAACCTCCGGAATTTACAGCTACCTTTAATAATACCTAAAGAGGAAAAGTCTGAATTAAGCCTTGGCATTTTTTTTTTCTAGAAGAGAAAATATTGCACAGAACAATACAAAATTAGAATCAAGAGGGATTACATATTCCATTAAGTAAAAGCCTCTCATTTTAGAAAATTAGAAAAAGAGAAACAAAGGTGTTAACTGGCCAAGTTCTTTTGGCTGGAGACTGTTCAGAGGACGGACATGGCCCCTTTCCCTGACATGCTCTTTCTCTATTTCGTGGTTTCCTTTAATCCCCAGAAGACTTCAATCTCCCTAGCATTGTTTATAAAAATATTCTGGCATATGCCAGCAAAAATGTTCAAATACGTAAACTCCTTCTCATCCTCCCTTAGCCAGATTTTTCACTAACTTTATCTCACTTGAAAGAAACATGAGAAGTACTTCTCTTTAGGATGTGAACCAGCAAAATCAATGTCTAAAAACAGTTATTTGGTTTCATAGGCTTTAATTAGCAAAGTAATTTTTTTGGTAGCATTTTTCACCACAGTGTTATTCTCAAAATAGTTTTAAGGATAACATGCTTGTTTTCTAAAAATATTGAGTTCATGTGGAAAGCATTTTTTTTAATTTAGTCTCCAAATACATTTTTATCTCTCCAACAAAGGTCAATTTGTAACCAATTATCACCTTAAAAATATAGGCAAAGCCTCTGCATTAGTCTTCTATGCTGTTATATTAAAATTAAAATGTCCAAAATTAAATTAATATTTAAATAATTAAAATGTGAAGTCTTTTTGAATATGTTCCATATATCTTACAAATTTTAAAAACACATATCTAAATAGATAATTTTACTTCTTAAAACTTAAGACCCCTCAGAACTCATGTAGCGTCCATTCAGATGATTATTGTGAATAATTATTATATATTGAGAATCTACCAGGTGTCAAATTCAGTGGGTTACTTAAGTCATCTTGCTCATCTCTCACAGCAAGCCAGTAAGGTAGTTATTTTTCTCACCTTATTCCCATATTATTTTCTTGAAATTATTCCTCAGTTTTCTGTATAGGTCATGGGAAACTGAAGAACACAGAGTAAGGAAACTTTTCTAGAGAAAGGGCTAGCTGATGTAGAGGTGAGATATAATCCGTATCTGCCTGATTTTAGTGCTTAATTTTGTTATCACTATATCAATGCTTCTCATATTTTTTCCTCGTTGCAGCTCTTTTAAGTTTACTCTAATTTTTCTTATATTTTCAAAAATTCCCACTTTCCTTTTTACATGATTCAAAAATTAAATCTCCTCTTTCTAAGTCTCCTACCTTTTTATTTACTCTCCTCATTCTTTCCGCAAAATATGACTACATTAAACTGTTCCATGACAGTAACAAAGACTTAAAAATCAAAAGAGGAATATTAATTATTAAACTTTTGAATAAACTGTTGTTGAATATCATTTGGTGTTCTTTTTCTCCTGGATATCTGGTAGATTACTCCTTATCTTTCTTCAAATTTCTCTCCAAATGCTGCTTTCTAAAAAAGGATTTCTTTTCTACCCTTCTTTTATTGTATTGAAATATAATTCACATATAATAAACTTCGCCATTTAAAATTATACAATTCAGTGTGTTTCAGTGTATTAAAAGCTTATGAAACCATTACCACTAATTCTAGAACATTTTTGTAACCTTCCCAAAGAAGCCCTATCCTCATAGATCAGTCACTCCTCAATCTCTTCTCTTCCCCAGCCACCTGCCGGCTCCTGGCCACCACTAAGCTTTCTGTCTCTGAGAGTTTGCATATTCTTGACCTTTTGTGCAAGTAGAATTGTACAATATGTGTATGATTTTATGTCTGGCTTTTTTTCACTTGACATAATGTTTTCAAAGTTCATTCATGTTGTAGCATGTATCAGAACTTTATTCCCTTTTATGTCTGAATAATATTTCATTGTGTGGTTATACTATACTTTGTGTATCCATTCATTAGTTGATAGGCATTTAGGTTGCTCCCACCTTTTTAGATGGTATGAATAATTCTCTTATTAACATTTGTGTTCAAGTTTTTGAGTGAATATATGTTTTCATTTCTTTTGTATGTGCCTAAAAGTGGCATGGCTGGGTCATATAGTAAATTTATGTTTAACTTTTTGACGAACCTTCAAAATGTTCACCAAAGTAGCTGCGCTATTTTATATTGACAATGTATGTTTCCAATTTCTCCACATCTTTGCCAACACTTGTTATTGTTCATCTTTTTTGTTATAGCTATCTTAGTTGGTGTGAAAGGGTATCTCATTATGGTTTGGTTGCATTTACCTAATAACTAATGATTTAGATAATCTTTTCATGTGTTTTATGAACTTTATATATCTCCTGTGTAGTAATAGCTATTCAAATACTTGACCCATTTTTTTTCTCACTGAGTTGTCTTTTTATTATTGAACTTTAAGAGTTTTAAAAATATGTTCTGGATCTAAAATCTTATCAAATGCATGGCTTGTAAGTAAGGTAGGCTATTCTGTACGTTGCCTTTAAATTTTATTGAAAGTGTCCTTTGATGCACAAATGTTTTTAATTCAATGAAGTGCAGTATATATATATATATATTTTTTTTTTTTTTCTGGTTGCTTATGCTTTAGGTATCTTGTCTAAGAAACTTTTGCCTAATCCGAGGCCACAAAGATTTATACCTATGTTTTCTACTATGAGTTTTATCCTTTTTTTCTCTTACATTTTTGTCTCTTACCTATCTTTTTTTTTTGAGGTGGAGTCTTGCTCTGCACCCAGGCTGGAGTGCAGTGGCGCGATCTCAGCTCACTGCAAGCTCCACCTCCTGGGTTCGCACCATTCTCCTGCCTCAGCCTCCCCAGTAGCTGGGACTACAGGCACCCGCCACCACGCCCGGCTAATTTTTTGTATTTTTAGTAGAGACAGGGTTTCACCATGTTAGCCAGGATGGTTTCGATCTCCTGACCTCGTGATCTGCCCGCCTCGGCCTCCCAAGGTGCTGGGATTACAGGCGTGAGCCACCGTGCCCAGCCATCTCTTACCTATCTTGAGTTCATATTTGTATATTCGATTTCCTTGCTAATCTTCTATCTTCTTATTTTATTCATCATTGAAAGTCAGGTGCTGAAATCTCCAACTATTATTGTTGAATTGTCTATTTCTTCTTCTAGTTCTGCTTCATGTATTTTGGGTCTCTGTTGTTAGGGACATACAGTTTTATAATTATATCTCCTTGATGGACTGACCTGTTCAGCATTATAAATTGTACTTTTTGTCTCTAGTAATAGTTTTCCTCCAAAGTATATTTTGTCTTCTATCAGGAAAGTTACTATAGCACTTTGGTTGCTGTATACATGGTATGTCTTTTTCCATCCGTTTAGTTTCAATCAATTGTGTCTTTTAACAGAAAGTGTATCTTCTGTAGAGGGAATATAGTCACAGCATAGCATTTTATCCATTCTACTAATTGCTTCCTTTTTGATTGAAATGTTTAATCCCTTCAAATTTACTATAATCACTGATAAGGTAGGATTTATGTCTGTCATGTTTCTAGTTGTTTTCAATGTCTTTTCATTCCTCTATTATTCCATTCCTGCTTTCTTTGGGCTACATAGATATTTTCTAGTGTACCATGCAATTCCTTTACCATTCCTTTTACTATGTTATTTTCTTAATTGTTCCCTGATAATTATGATTAACATTATTATTTACAAGAGTCTATTTCAGATTTATGCCAATTAATTTCCATAGTGTACAAAAACTTTTCTCCAATATTGCACCACTTCTTTTGCTCTCCTTTGTGCTATCATTGTCACTCATATTACGTCTTTGTACATTGTATGTAATATAAATGAACACACATATATAATTATTGCTTTATGTAGTTGTCTTTTAAATCAGATACGAAAAAAAGAGTAATCACAAATTTCAAATACATTTATACTCTCTTTTACATCTACCTGTATAATTACTTTTACCAGTATCTTTTATTTCTTCATGTAGATTCATGTTACTGTCTAGTGTCTTTTCAGGTCAGTCTGAAGTACTACATTTAACATTTCTCTTAAAGCTGTTTTGTCAGTGACAATGATCTCAGTTTTTGTTTGGCGATATCTTAATTTCGTTTTAATTTTTGGAAGATAATTTTGCTGGATTTAGAATTATTGAGTGAAATTTTTGTTTTTCTTTTAGCAACTTGAATATGTCATTCCATTGTCCCTGGCCTCAATAGTTTCTAATTATACACTTGCTGTTTATCTTAGTGAGGATTCCTTTTACATGATGTATCACTTCTTTCTGGCTGCTTTGAAGATTCTTTCTTTCTTTGTCTTTGACAGTTAATGACTCATCTGATTATAATCCTTATTGAGTTTAAACTATCTGGAGTTCATTGAGCTTCTTTGATGTATAGATTAATGTAACTTTTGAAATAAAATTTGTTATGTTTCCTGTCCTTTTTTTCAAGTTTTCTTTCTGTCCCTTTTTTCTTTCCTCCCCTCCTGGACTCCGATAATGCATATATTGGTACAGGTGATGTTATCTGTAACAGCTCTCTAAGACTGCTAATTTGTTATTATTGTTCTTTATCTTTCTGAGACTGAATCATTTCAATCCACTTATCTCTATGTTTGCTGATACTTTCTTCTGCCCTCTCAAATTTGCTGTTGAACCACTCTAGTAAATTTTTATTTTAGTTTTATTTTCAATTCCAGAATATATATATTTTTTATTTTTTATACTTTAAGTTCTGGGATACATGTGCAGAACATGCAGGTTTGTTACATAGGTATACAAGTGCCATGGTGGTTTGCTGCACCCATCAACCCATCATCTAGGTTCTAAGCCCCTCATGCATTAGGTATTTGTCCTAATGCTCCCCCTCCCCTTGCCTTTCACTCCCCACAGGCTCTGGTGTGTGATGTTCCCCATTCTGTGTCCGTGTGTTCTCATTGTTTGACTCCCACTTATGAGTGAGAACATGTGGTGTTTGATTTTCTGTTCCTGTGTTAGTTTGCTGAGAATGATGGTTTCCAGCTTCATCCATGTCCCTGCAAAGGACATGAACTCATTCTTGTTTATGGCTGCATAGTGTTCCATGGTGTGTATGTGCCACATTTTCTTTATCCAGCCTAACATTGATGGGCATTTGGGTTGGTTCCAAGTCTTTGCTACTGTGAATAGTGCTGCAATAAACATATGTGTGCATGTGTCTTTATAGTAGAATTATTTATGATCCTTTGGGTATATAACCAGTAATGGGATTGCTGGGTCAGATGGTATTTCTGGTTCTAGATCCTTGAGGAATCACCATATTGTCTTCCACAATTGTTGAACTAATTTACACCCCCACCAACAGTGTAAAAGCATTCCTATTTCTCCACATCCTCTCCAGTATCTGTTGTTTCCTGACTTTTTAATGATCGTCATTCTAACTGACATGAGATGGTATCTCATTGTTGTTTTGATTTACATTTCTCTAATGAACAGTGATGATGAGCTTTTTTTCATATGTTTGTTGGCCACGTAAATGTCTTCTTTTGGGAAGCATCTGTTCATATCCTTTGCCCACCTTTTAATGGGGTTGTTTCTTTTTTCCTTGTAAATTTGTTTAAGTTCCTTGTAGATTCTGGATATCAGACCTTTTTCAGATGAATAGATTGCAAAAATTTTCTCCCATTCTGTAGGTTGCCTGTTGACTCTGATGATAGTTTCTTTTGCTGTCCAGAAGCTCTTTAGTTTAATTAGATCCCATTTCTCAATTTTGGCTTTTGTTGCAGTTGCTTTTGGTGTTTTAGTCATGAAGTCTTTGCCCATGCCTATGTTCTGAATGGTATCCCCTAGATTTTTTCTTCTAGGGTTTTTAGATTTTAGGGTATACATTTAAGTCTTTAATCCATCTTGAATTAATTTTTGTATAAGGTGTAAGGAAGTGGTCCAGTTTCAGTTTTCTGCATATGGCTAGCCAGTTTTCCCAGCACCATTTATTAAATAGGGAATCCTTTCCTCATTGCTTGTTTTTGTCAAGTTTGTCGAAGATTATCTCTATTGATATTCCATATTTGTTAAGTCATTGTTTTCATACCTTTTTTTAGTTCTTTAGCTATCATGTCCTTGAGGTCTTTGAACATATTTCATATAGCTGGTAGAAAAATATTTATCTAGTAAGTCAACTTTTGGGCTTCCTTGGGAATAGTTGCTATTGCTTTTTTTCTTATGCATGGGTCACACTTTCTTAGGTATTTCCATCTCATAATCTTTTGTTTGAAACTGGACATCTAAAATAATCTAATATGACAATTCTAGAAATAAAATTCTCCCCCTTCTCCAGGATTTGATGCTGCTGTTTGCTGTAGTAGTCTTGTATGTTTGTTTAGTAATTTTCTGAGTTAATTTGGTAAAGTCCATATTTATTGTCACATGTGGTCTTTTAGATTACTCTATTACCTTAGTGCTCAGCTAATGATTGGATAATTTCCTTAAAAGTCTGGAACCAATACATCTTCCAGCTTTTGCTGAGGGGCTTTGTGTGCTTGTTGCAAAGCAGGCCCTCAACATTCAGTTAGGCAATTGACAACTCTGCCTTAGCTCTCACTTTCTCATTGCACAGGTCCCTATGGTCAGCCAGAGGTGGTAATATGGGACTTCTTAAGGATTTTCTGAGCATTACCACACCCCTGAGAATGTGCACAACCCTATATGACTTTCTAAATAACAAAAATTATGTTGGAGATTTTTTCAAAGACTGTATTGACATGTCATTTCTCAGCTTTTCCTTTTAAATTTTTAGTCACTGTTTCTCCTGTTATCCACTGCCTAAGACAACCACAAAGTTAAAACACTTTCCAGTAATTGTTTTTGATAAATATTCTTCAGGGAAAATAATTTTTGCACTAGGTGAGCTCCTAAACAGGCCAAGTACAGGTGGCCTTGTAACTGATATATTTCAGAGAACCACCAGACTGCTCAGATAATGACAATTATTTTGGAATGAAGCTTTTTAAAAAGTTGCAGCTCCTTTGTACTCCCTTTGATGGCTTCTGGGCTACAGTGGAAATGTGGGCTGTTTTTTCTCAATGGTACTGCAGAGCTGTAGAGCAGGAGATAAGATTAGGACACTCACTGTTCTTGCTGAGATCATTTATTTTTCTTGAATAAATCCTCCCTGTGTTACTTCAAGATTTTTGTTATTTTTTCCAGTATTTTGAAGAAATGATTCTGACTTTTTTTTTTTTGGTCAATTTTCTCATTACTTTTGTGGAGGAGATCGTTTTTGGAGGTCCTTCTGCCATCATTTTACTAACATGTCCAGAAGGCATTTTCCTGAACACCTTATTTAAAATAAATGATATTAACCTCTCACTCGTTTTCATATATATATACATATGTATATATAGACAGTTTCCATAGTACTGTTCATTATCTGCCATACTATGTATTTAATTGTATACTTGTTTATTGCATGCGGTAGACTTTGTAGTCTTTTCCCATTTTATTTTCCTTTTCCATCTTAATAGCATTTTACCTAGGCCTTGAATGAGAAACTAGAGACTACATTTTCCTCTCTCCTTTGTAGCTGGCAAGCTGATGTTACTAGTTCTGAACAATGGGAGTAATGTATGTAATATCACTGTAACTGTCTCAAATTGCAGTGTCTCAAAAGATAAATGCTTGCCATGGAATTTTTTCTCCCCTCTCAGGTATATATGTCGTGTTGACAATACAGCTGCAACCATGTGTGTAAGGACTACCATATAAATAGAAGAGTTATAGCACAGGAGGGCATGGCAGAGCAAGACGGAACACATCTGGGCCCCTAAATAACTTTGTAGAGCGAGCTGCTCTTCCTCATCAATATCATTACTAGCCTTCAAAGAAAAAAAAAATCTCATGATTAACCAGGGACCAAAGTTTTGCCTATAAAGTTATTTACAACTTGTTTTACTGAAGCTGGAGGCAAAAACAAACAAACAAACAAAAAACTGTTCATGGGAGAAACTGCTAAAATATTTTCTTCAAATAGATTTTTCTGTCTATGGGGACTCACTATTAAGTTGCACTGCAGAAGATATATTAGGGGAAAAGATGCTTCATGAGCACCAAGGGTAGTTAATAACATTCTAATCCATGTAAATTAAATACAAATTATAAAATAATTTCTAAATTCTAGGATCATATATTCATGGGACTTACAGATAGACACTGAACTTTTAAAAAATATGAAGCCGCCTAATTGGGTCAGGTGGACAAAAAGGCAATAGTAGAACCAAATGCTTGTCCTTAGGCCTAGATTGGTATATTTACTTATCTGTCATTTTTCCTGTCGTTATGCATGGCTAGGAAACATGATTGTGGTGGACTGTCATGCATTACATCATGGTAGTAACTACTAGATCCATCATTACTTGTTCACAGGGGAAGCACAGGAGAATATGGTCTCAAGGCATCATTTAAAGATGCTGGATTTCCCATAACTGGGAGCTAAGCTATGAGGATGCAAAGGCATAAGAATGATACAATAGACTTTGGGACTCTAGGGGAAAGGATGGGAAGGCGGTGAGGGATAAAAGACTACAAATTGGGTTCAGTGTACTGCTCAGGTTATAGGTGCACCAAAATCTTACAACTCACCACTAAAGAATTTACTCATGTAACCAAATATTACCATTCCTCAAAACCTATGGAAATTAAAAAATGAAAAAATAAATAAAAATAAATAAAGATGCTGGACTTACATCACTGTAGCCTACCTTCTGCCTGAGTATCTGAAGTTGTCCCCTTCATCTCACTCTGTTGGCTCCTTCTGCAAAGAGCAAAGAATTGATTCTCCTTAAATCATCTGTTCATGGTTGTTCCTTCAGAATTGGGGCTGATTTTCCATCGCTTAAAGTGGACTTTCTCTCTTTCCACGCTCTGCAAGATATTATATGGTTGTGTCCAGGACCCAACTTTGATCATACAGACAAGAAAAATGTCCTAGGGGATGGGAATGCAACAGAAATATGGGTATACACTTGCTCCCTGAATGACCGTGTGAATCAGAACCTCCCCACTCTAATTGTGAGACTCTGATTCTACCTAGGACACTTTCCATATGCAAGTTACCGATGCTGTATAAATTTTTAAGCCACATTCTGTGTTTTATGATATTGTTTTGGAAAATGAGAAAGGTATATTATTTAGAATTAAACTCAAATTGCTGTAAGCCCAAACACAAAGCTTAACGAAAATTCAAGGCCACTACTATGGTTCTGGGTCATTATTCTGTGATGTAATAGTGTTAAGAGGAGTCATCAGGAAGGTGATGCTTTCAAATGGCCATCAGGGACCATAAAACTATAAAGACAACAAGGAAAAGGAAACCCAAAACTTAGAACACTGGTTTGCTCTTAGTGGGAAGGGGAAAGAAAGGGACATGTAAGAACTACAAAAGTAATGGCATAGATGAATTTTTTGTTAGTTGACTTGTTTTGCTTTCTGCCAAATATATATTTATAAATACTTTACTCAATTTTTAATAAAAAATTTTAAAAAAGAAAAAAGTTAAAAAAGAGTTCTTGGTAAGACAATGAGAATTAATCCTTCTTCTACCAACTCTGTTAACTAGGAAGAAGGGAGAGAGTAGAAGACACTAATATTTATTGAGCACCTACTATGTGCCAAGCAGTTAAGGTGTAGTAACCAAAATTATTTCACTTACCTATCATAAAGATACCTTGAAAGTCATTACTATAAACTATTTTTGGAAGAGAAAACTGAGGCTGAGAGACTGAATGATTTTCCAAGGTCACACAGCTAGTAACCAGCAAAACTGGGATATAAGCTTGTATATTTCTTGACACCAAGGCCTGTGCAAATGGCTAGTGGTATAAGGTACTATTTCCCAATTCTTAGTTGTTGGCTTAACATATACCTGATATTTTCCATATCTGAGCACTTTTGACTACCACTCTAATCATTTCTACCATGCTGAACATATCATATTGTTATTTCCTTAATATTTTTTCTTTATAACTTGATTTTATTTAAAATGGAAACTTTGCATCATAGGTGGAAAGTGGAAAACTGTTATCATTTGGCATAAATAGAAGATAACAACTGTGAGTAAAATTGTGATGATTTATCTAGATACTGTTTGTTGAAGGCTCTGGGTCAAGACCTGTTTTCTGTTGCTTGTAAGGGGGAGATCAGCAAGTGTGTATGCGAGGCTGTTAGAGGTATGTTCATACCAGACTGACTCATATTCAAGAACTATTGAGAAAAAAATGGAAAGAGAATTACAGTTTATCAGGTGAATCCATGGTGCTTATTGTTGTACCTGAGTGTCAAGTCAAACCTAAAATATTTCATATTCTATCAGTCTAGTACTTTGGGAAATAATAGTTAGACTGAAGTGGGGTCACATCTTTGCTTCAGCAATTTCCAGTTAACAAACTTCTCTCATTTAATGTTTTCTCACTTGTAAGATGGAAATGTACCTGACAGATTCTTGTGAATATTAAATGTGACAGTACATAGAAAGCCCTTAACAACCATGCCAGTAGATGTTCAGAGAAAATGAACCATGATTTTCCTGTTCCCTGCACTCTATTGTTTTTGCTGTAGCTACCTGACCTTGTAATTGTAGTTATAAAATTGTGGCCCCATCCCACTCAAGAGTTCATTGAGATTCTTGTTACTAACCACTTGTCACATAAACAAAATTGGATTAAAAAGGTCAATGAGGAAGTGTATCATATGGAGACATTTACTGAGCACCAGCACTGATGGGTAAAGTGATGTTTTTTGTTTTGTTTTGTTTTCTCTGCACAAAGGTGTCTGGGGCTAAAGGAGCAAGTGGGATCTGAAATGAAGCTTATGTTATGCAACCTAAGCCATAGGCCCTGGCACGGTGCTGCGTGAACCTTAGCAGGTTTTTTTTTTTTTTTACCTTATTTGTATTAAAGTGCCTTATTAGTGTGGCAGTGGTCTCTCCCTTCTAATTGCCCATTACTTATTTATGTGAAGGCATTTCCTATGCATTATGAGTGCATTGATGATAGAAAAATCAGATTAAAGATTCTTAAGCAAACTTACTAAAGAAGGCAGCTAATTTTTTTTCCAGGTATCTTTAATGTGCCAAATACTAGGCTAGGGACTTGGCAAGGGTCCCAGAACCCTGCCCAACTCTGTTAACTGTTCATCCTCTCTCCTATGTTTGACAGTGCTCACATCAGCTCTGATTCTGCTTCCAAATAATGTCAAAGTTCAGTTTTAAAGTTAAAGTGTAAGTCTCCATGGAATTGAAGAAGGAGCTGAAGGATGGATAAGTAAACTGGGATATACCAGGGAGAGAGGCAGGATAGAAAAAGTCATCCAAATTTAGCCGTGGCAGAACCGGGTTATTTTTATTTTGACCAATAAGCAAAATTCAGAAAAGGATCTTTTCCCTTTTGTCAACTTTAAAATAAAGAGACCTCTGTGTCACTGCAGTGGCTTCAGGCACTATATTTATTCTTGTAAGGGGAGTGAAAGGAAGAAAATTGATGGAGCCAGGTCTCTTTGCTTGGGTTTTAACTTCTCTTTCTCATCATTTGAACCATTCCCACCTGTGAGCCAGGCTAGCTAAAGGGACCTGGTTCTCAGTGGGAGACAAGAAGTCATGCATCCACGTGGGCCTTCCCTTCCATTTGCCCACACAGATAGGCATTGTGGGTTTTCGGGCAGGTCCCTTAGCCTCTCTTCATCAATGTCATAGGTTCTCACTGTGATCAGCACTTTATATGTATCAATTGGTTTAATCTTCATAACAATTCTAAGAAATATTGTAGGGTTGAGTAATACTCCTATTACTATTCTAATTTTACAGAAAAAAAATGAGAGTAACTGTCTAAAAGAAGTACAATTATTAAGTGGCAGAGTTTCATCTAGAAAATGGGACTTGACCATTTCCAGGAAGGAGGTGCATCTTCTCAGTTTCATGCTGGTACTTGGACCTCTACTTCTATGAAGTCTAAGTTAACAAATTAATTGGTTTATTATTTATTATTAGCCAGTGTCTAAAAGCTTTATCTTTCAGGATTTTAAATCAAGCATGTAAATGTGGCGTTTGTTCAGCCTTATGGGCTGTGAGACCTTCTGTATATACATGGTTTAAGCAACTAGGGAATCCTGAGGTGAGGTGGAAGTGGCAGCCCCAATGTTGCTGTACTGACATCAGCTACTGGGGGACAAAATGAGCCCCAGGAAAGCCCAGTTGAGGTTCTCAGCTAGTAGAAAGCAAAGCATTGACTCAGCATCTCTCATGTTCCAGAAAAGTAAAAAGACACATCTTGGACAGTAACGGAGAGACCTTCTGCTTATGAACACCTTGGCTGCAGTTGGGAAAGAAAAACTAAACAAAGTAGGCTTACGAAGACACCTCTGAACCAAGCCCTTCTGTATCCATGATGTCTGCTATAAATAAAGATAGACTTGCAGATGGGACCTTGGAAACGCTAAGATAGTTTTGGGTAAGTGTGTGTGTATGTGAGTTTCTTTAGTTTGGAGTATACAAAATGAATCATTATTCATTTTTTTATTTTGAGACATGGTCTCACTCTATTATTCCTTTTTTTTTTTTTTTTTTAGACAGGATCTCACTCTGTCACCCAGGCTGGAGTGCAGTGGCGTGATCTTGGCTCACTGCAACCTCTGCCTCCTGGGTTCAAGCGATTCTCCCGCTTCAACCTCCCGAGTAGCTGTGAGTACAGGCGTGCACCACCAAGCCCAGCTAATTTTTGTATTTTTAGTAGAGATTGGGTTTCACCATGTTGGCCAGGCTGGTCTCGAACTCCTGGCATCAAGTGATCCACCTGCCTTGGCTTCCCAAAGTGCTAGGATTAAAGGTGTGAGCCACTGCTCCTGGCCCATTATTCATTTCTAATAGGCAATTTGTATGACATTGGCTCCTAAATTACAAAATGCAATTGCAAAAACAGTTTTTCTTTTCTGAGAGAGGTCTTTTTAGTTTGACAACTTCATAAATCTTGGACCTCTTGATACAAAGTTTCTGTGTTGGCTCCTATCACTAGTAGAGAACATTGGAAAGTCTGCTCACTGTTTACAATGATTTACTGGTGATCCTCTAGTCTGATGCCATCATTGCCTGCTGGTGGGCTGGAGGTACCAGTCAAGTAACGGTTCTCAACTGTAAGAATTCTTGCTCTTCCAGTATTAAGGTTACTTTATTATCCTGTTCCAATCTGATACCCTGATACCAGGGACTCAGCTCACATAGAGCTTCTTTCTAATGGACTTAGCCCTAAACTCCATTATTCGTCCTCCATGGCACCCAAGATATTTTCTTGGGTTACGCCAGGATTTCTTGGGTTAATACCAGGATTTTGGGGTCAGCAATTCTTTAAATATCCACATCATGCAGTGCCTGGAGCTAGTCCTTACCAAAGACTTTGGGTATTAGCTTTGTTTTCCTTGCATCACACCTGCTGGAGAGATGTAAATTCAATAGGATCTCTGTAAATTGGTGTTAATACATCCTCTATAGCTACTCCTACTGCTTCCAACCCCAGTGGAGAAAGTGGAGAAGTGAGGGCCGTATTAGGAATCTCTGCTTCCACAAGCCAGGGCTGAGGGACTAAGTGGCTAAGTTGGCTGGACTTCCTGGGTCAATAGGGACTTCCCTAAGGGGACTTTCCCCTAAGCCGAAATGGGTCATAGCTGCAAGCTAAGGGATTGAAACTTCAACCAATCAAAGTGGACTTTCCCCTAAGCCCAAATGAGTCATAGCTGCAAGCTAAGGGATTGAAACTTCAACCAATCATATAGGGAGTTTAAGCTCTAGCTACAGCCTGATGTTTTTAACCAATCAAGCCCGCTAGCCCACAAGTGGATAGAAAATAAGCTAATTCTATAGGGCAGAAAAAGGAAATGGGGAGGGGTCATAAGGGGCTATAAGCATAAGACACCCAACCAGAAACAGCAACCCTTCAGGGTCCCCTTTCACCACATGGAAGCTTTAGTTTTGCTTCTGTTTTACTTTCACTTTCGCTTTAATAAATCTTGCCGCTGCACACTCTTTGGGTCTGCGTGTTTCTCTAACTGAGCGGTAACACTCGCCACTGTGGTCCACAGCTTCATTCCTCCCGTGAGATCACAAACCCTTCGATCAAGAAAAACCTTCTATCGGAAGAAGACTTCTCGTCTCAGGTCCATGTATCTACTACTGCAATTCCTAAAAGTGAACTTCATACCTCCATTAGTCAGATGTTTTCTTTTCTTTTTTATTCCCAAAACTCGCTTATTTCTTGTCTCTGTTGAATGGCAGCTGGACGGACCACTGTGTTTCTCCAACTATCTGCATTGATCATTCTTCCCGTTGGTCACTTGATTACATGTATCTAATGTGTCTACCTATTTTTTGCATAGAGGCTGATTACAGCTGCAGGAACTGAGGGGGCTTGACTTTTGATAGAAACTCTGGATCATGCCCCAGAACCACTTTAAGAGACTGGACTCATGAGACCTCTTGTCTTGGGCAGGGCCCTTGATGGCTATGTCTGTTTCTCACAGAGTGGGTTATAACAGGGGACTAGATAGTAAAATGTTTAGATGAAAGAGGAGGCAGAAGACAGAGATTCATTTAGACTGGATGCTTGGTAACTCTGAGGTGTTAGAAGTGGAGAAAATGATTGGACAGCCATAGAAGGATGATCAGGAGGTCAATTTTGGATGAGTACTGCTTTTAAAAGTTTAGGCTATGTATTCAAACGATGAAGTTTTGAATCCCAGATCTGACATAGATTATCTGACTTTCAATAAATTAGTTAATCTTTCTAGGATCCAGTTTTCTCAACTATAAATTGAGGATAGAAAAGATCGTAAGTTGCAAGGTTGGTGTATGAACTAAGTAAGACAACACATGCACAACACCCAGTGCCTGGCCCTGGGAAGGCCCTCTAATTGTTGTCAAGGCCCCATTTTGAGGCTATTGGTTAAGTTGCTAATGGATGCATAAATCTTCATTGGTAACATTAAAATCTAAAAATATTTCATGTCACAAAGCCTATATATCCAAGAAGGTTGAGAAATTTGTATATGATTTGATTGTACATTTTTATATGATTTCATTTACTTTGAAAGCCTTAGATAGTATTCTTATTGATCATTTTTGGAAACGAAAAGGCAAACCTTCATGGAGAGGGCTAAGAAATAAAGTATAAATATTGCCCATATAATTAGTTTTATTTCCATCTGCACCTTCATTTTTCAGCCTCATCCTAGTCCTGGGTTCTGCTCTGGGTTTGAGGTGGAAATGGGACTTGAATCCCTTTATCTTTTTCCCTTGCTAGCTGCCCTGGTGACATTTTGTGGACTGAGAGAAGGAAGCGGAAAGCAAGGGGAGGAAGAGAAAGGAGAAGTGGATGGTAGTGAATCAGAAGTCAGCGAAGGGATGACAAGGGGGCAGAGGAAGGAAAATGGAGACTTAGTCACTAAATGGTAAAAGAAAAGTCCCACTCCCAATTCCCCGCTCTTCTGTCCCCTGCACATGGGAGACACTGTAAGCTAATGTGCCCAATCTAGCATCCGATTTCTCTGTATCCTCCATGCATTCTGGCACAGTCTTTGCCTCAGGCATGCAAATTTGCATTTTTCCCTTGACACTCTTTTAATATGCACTTGTACAAGTAGCTTTCTAAATTTGCCTGAAATAAAACATTTGCAAGGTATTTTAGAAGGCTTATGAAGAACTGGATTGGAGTTAAGCTTAATTATTATTTTACCCACTTTCTTCTTTTTTATTTTAATTTAATTTCTAAAGAAACTGCTAAACTGTCCATAATTTGAGAAATTAAAAAATATTAAACAAAAATAACTATAACCCAGAGACCATCTTTCACTGGCAGAAAGATGGATGAGATGGTTGGTTCTAAGTTAATTAAAAACATTTGTAACGATTGCAAGTACTATGTTAGAACTCTAGAATGTGTAAGTGTATGCAATACCTCAACGCCCCCTCTACTTTTATATGGATGGAGAAGGGCTGCCTCTCTGAGCTGAAGTCCAACTATTTATTCCGATTGATTAACATCTTCACAGATTTTGCTTTAGCTCCTTTTATTCACTAATCATTAGTCAGTTCCACACTTTCAAAGGACCTGATTACATGGCTTGTAGAATTGAATTAACAACAATCTAGGAAACCATTAGGCCTTTATTCTCAGGTTTTTAACATAGTGAGGTACAACAGCTTTGCGTTGGGCTGACAATGAGACCAAATATTTTAAATAGGTAGAAGGCTGCATGAGGCGCTAAGGGGGCAGAGCCCTCAAAGCATCGTAGGTAGAGGTTGGTCCTCTTGTCTTGGTAACTGCCTCAGAGACTGATGAATGCCTGGGAGCAAAGCTAAAATTTCAATAGAAATGATTGTAATTTATCCCATGTTCATTATGAACCCTGTTCATCTGGTTTCTTAACATCTCTCTTCCAGCCCTCTTAGAGTAAATTTACTTCCTTCTTAATATATTAGTGTTTTGATGAAAAAAGTAGAGCTGCTCAGAATTTTTATTTTAATCAGTTATGGTTTAGCTGTTCTGAGCACAGACTTGGGGTTAAACATTCTGGGTTGAATTTTGCTTCCCTCTTTCGCCAAGTTCTAGTTTTGTGTAGATTAACTCGCCTAAAGTTACTCTAACTGAATAAATGTCAAATTCCTTATCTGTAATATGGGAATAACAATGCCTACCTAACAGCGTTGTTGTAATGTATTAAGGTGTCTGAGAAAAATTCAAAGTCAGATCCAGAATATAGTGTTTATGGAGCTAGTGAGTTGGTGACTCATATGCATGAGGTTTGGTTTTGCTAAAAGTAGAGAAAACTAGTTTTCAGGATTGACAATTAAGCAGTTAGAGGGAAAGGTAAGTTGGATGAGGGAGAGGGAGAGGATGCCATACTCTGTGCCATGTTCTAGTCCTTTAGTTTGATATTGGATCCAGTGGACAGAGAGATGGGAACTAGAATTACACAGAAAGTGCTACTTAAAGGTTCAAGTTACCGCATGGTACCCTTTGGGAGAGAAGGGCATTCTCCTTTTTCATGGACCACAGTGCTGCTGTGGCATCTTAATGACCCTTGGCTCTGAGAGTAGCAAGAGACAGCCCTGCACTGGGTGTTCCCATGGTGAACACTGACGAAGGCAGCCTTCAGCATGATGAAACTTTAGACACTCCAGGGCCCTGACCTCGCTTTTCTTAGAACATTTACTTTAGAAAGCCTGTAATTTCAAATTCCTTCTCTGCTCCTTTGAGATATATATCATTTTAAAGGCTTCTGGCCAGCGTTTATAACCTACGAGTATCTTTCTTAAGGACCTGGGAGCCATCCCTTTGATGGCTATCCTATCATCAAGGAAGATAGAATCCCTCTCGCTCAGTCTCTGTGGTGAGACAGATGCCTAGCTTTTGTGGGTATCTTGCTCCACATTGTAAAACTGTCTATTGACATGAAGATAAGTGCACATTTACTTTTCCTTTGGGTAAAGCCAATTAACAAACACGGACACCTTGAGTTTTCCCTCTTTGAATATTGCCAATTAGCAAACATAGATAGCTTGAGTTTTCCCTTTCAGCTCAGTTCAGTTAAGTTCAGACTTAATTCTGGCCTCTCTCCCTTAGTGCAATAGCTTTGAATAAAAATTTCTTTGTTGAACTTTGTCCTGTGCCAATTTTTGTTTTGATAACACTTTCCACTGTGGCAGTGGGAGGCACATTCCTATGGCTTACAGGGCAACGGGGGCTGACCATATGAAAAAGAGACATAAGGAACAAAAATATTAGAAAAGTTTGCCTCAGGGTGATTTGAGCTTGCGGTCAGTTTGTGCTGAGATGGGAGGCACCCTATGGAAATCCAAGAGTGGAGGCAGGGGATATTTAGATTTCTATTGTTAATGTCACTCCATTACTGTGCAAAAACTTATAAGGACATTAAGGCTACAAAGAATCAGGTAATGCAATTAAAGAGCCTACTTCTGAAATAGATTAAGCCCTTACTAGGTGACAGTTACTGTTATTACTTATTCATAAATACACCAGTATTTATTGAGAGTCTACTATGTACCAGACATGGTCTTAGGCACTAGGGATACAGCAGTGAACAACAACAATAATAAAACAAAGCTCTGCTCTCATGAAGCTTATATTTTAAGTGAGGGAGAAAAGTGAACAAATAATGCAAGTTCAGATGATGATATTCATTATGGAAAAAATACAGACAATTAGAGATTGGAGAGAAGTTAGGGAGGAAGCCATTACAATCATTTCGTCAGCATTCTAGCAGTCTAGTAGTCCAGCAAACGCCAGCATTTTGGATATACACCAAGAGATGACATGAGTCCTCTGGCTGACTCTGATAAATCACAGCATCACAGGATCTCAATAGCCCTGAGTGGCTTTATTTCACCTGGCCTGCATCTCCTGATGAGACATCAGGGTTGGCCATGCACAGCAAAGACAGAAATCATCTTTGAGTGTTGTTTTCTCATCAAATAGTCTGTCCATGCAGTAGCCCCTGTTTTCCTCCAACTTTCTCTTGCCACACTGAGTGCTCAATTGGCCTCTTCAGTAGGGCGCCCACTGCTGGTACTCATTGCCCGATCGGTTGCTTAGACTCAGGAGCTGTACTGAAGGGTTGGTGCCCAAACCATACCAGTTGGTAAATATTTTGAATCCTACTCCTGCTTTTAAGCACGTATCAATGAAGCTAATTTTTATAGTCTAACACAGTCTAGGCAGACACATTCCTATTCGATCTTTGTCTATATTCTTGCTCATCTTTCTCTATAACATGAGAAAGAAATTACTCAGCACACCTTTCCCCCACATTTCCACCTGAGATTTTGTCCTTATCCTTAATTCTGCTTTCCTGTGACTCTTACTAAATGATCACTTGTTAATGCAGAGGCCAGAGCTTACTGGTCTTTGCTTCATAGAAACTAACTGATTGCCCTTCATGGAGAGACACTCAATGAGTGTGCCAATTAAGAAACAACATCCCAACTTATTTCTTTCCCTATAGAGATGAAGTTAGAATTTTAAAGAAATTGTTTTGAGCTCTTTAACACACTCATCTGACATGTCATGTGAATTGGTTGGGAGACTTTAAATCTTTAAATTTGAAACATTTCTCAGCTGGGGAGAAACCACTTTCAGTAATAGCTTCCCTAGGCTACTTAGATTGTTCCCAAGCCCAGACCCACTCCGAGGGAATTTTCTGATTCTGCAGGTCTCCCTTAGCCATAGATTTATAAAAGGCATCAGGACTATAAAATTGGGGGTGACAGGATAATATATGCAATTTTCCAGTTACTTCATGAAAAAAGTTGTAATGACAGTGGATCAAAAATCATTCATTTTTTTTTCCAGTGAGCACTACATGCATACTTGGTATTATAATACCCAGATGAAAACTGTTTGAATGGTACCAACAAATACAAAATTAAAATCTGTTGAAGGTCCTTGTTTAGACTGTGCATACTATGAAAATATGGAAAACATTATTGTGATGGATGATTTTGTCTTTTTAATGTATGTTCTGTTAATACAATTGATCTTTTATCAACTTTATTGAGGTATAATTGACAAACAAAAATTGTATATATTCAAGGTGTACAACATGATGTTTTGATATATGTATACATTATGAAATGACTATCAACATAGGCATCACTTCAGAAAATTACCCCCCTTTTACTGTGTGCTTATAATACTTAAAATCTTCTCTCTTAACAAATTTCAAGTGAAATAAGCCAGACACGGAAAGACAAATACCTCCTTATCTCACTTATATGTGGAATCTAAAAAAAAGTCACAGAAATAAAGTAGAATTGTGGTTACCCAGGGTCAGGGTGGAAGAAATGGAGAGATATTAGTCAAAAGGTACAAATATTTGATTATAAGATAAATAAGTTTTGGAGACCTAAAGGACAGCATGGTGACTATAGTTAATAATAATGTATTATATGCATGAAAACTGCAATTTACTTTCAAGCATTAATTAAAACAGCAATTCACTTTGCAATTCTAAACACCTGGAATTCTGTCCATGCAGCCCTTGTTGCAGCTTTAGTGTCAGTTATAAACATAGGTGTGAACAGTCTGTAGTGGGGGCCTTGCTAATGTCTATTAGTTAAGTTCTTTTTTTTTTATTTTTCAGAGATGGGGTTCTTGCTCTCTTGCTCAGGCTGGAGTGCAATGGTATGATCATACCTCACTGCAGCCTCGACATCCTAGGCTCAAGTGACCCTCCTGCTTCAGCTTTACAGAGTAGCTGGGACTACAGGTGTGCGACACCATGCCTGGCTAATTTATTTTTATTTTTTAGAGACAGGGTCTCCCTATGTTGCCCAGGATGGTCTCAAACTCCTGGTCTCAAGTAATCCTCCCACCTCAGCCCCCCAGAGTGCTGGGATTACAGACACAATCCATCTATTAGTTAAGTTCTAATGAAATGAACAAGATGATACAAGTTAAGAGCCACTCTGCTTATACTATAAGTTATACCAAACAGTACACTGGAATACTAGAGAATTACTGTACAGAGCCTGTCCAAATAAATGATATCTGATAGGATTGTCCAGCTAGTAATGAATTTTATTTCAAGCCCAGGTGGGGTCAGTGATGAATTCTTAGATTGACTCTTTCAATATGAACTGTTTGTGAGAATTATAAATATATACCTGTATATAAAATATGAATACAGTTATATTTTATATAATTTTAAAAGGCAAAATGCTTCTCAAAGAGACAGTTAAAATTTTAAAGTATGATTTTTTTATTAGCGTTTTTCCAACAGATGTGTGGCTAACAGTTGACTAAATCTACTTACTCTTCATTCTGGGCACACAGCCAGACTACATTTCCCAGTATCCTTCGCAGTTACTGAATACTTACCAATGGACTGTGAGTGAAAGTGAGGTGTGCTATTCTCAGTTAAAATTTTAAAGTATGATTTTTTATTAGCATTTTTCCAGCAGGTGTGTGGCTAACAGTTGACTAAATCTACTTACTCTTCGTTCTGGGCACACAGCCAGACTACATTTCCCAGTATCCTTTGCAGTTACTGAATACTTGCCAATGGACTGTGAGTGAAAGTGAGGTGTGTTATTCTCAGTTAAAATTTTAAAGTATGATTTTTTATTAGCATTTTTCCCACAGGTGTGTGGCTAACAGTTAACTAAATCTACTTACTCTTCTTTCTGGGCACACAGCTAGACTGCATTTGCCAGTATCCTTTGCAGTTACTGAATATTTGCCAATGGGCTGTGAGTGAAAGTGAGATGTGCTATTCTCAGGCTTGAATGTAACATATTGCCCATGGGTGCTAGACCCACCATGCTCTTTCTTCTTCAGGATTGAGACAGACAAACTTGGTAACCTGGGAAATAAGGACTTGAAGATCACAGAGACACATGAATCAACGGGCCCAAGTCCCTGAATCACTTATTGGAGAAGAGCTACTGGCAGAATAAAACTATCTATTTGACATTTAAATATATGAGAATAAACTTACCCTGTCTGAGTCACTATATACTTTGGAGTTTACTAGAGTAGTCAAATATGCTGTTTCTGATTTCCAGACAACCTTTAAATATGAAAAGCTGCAGTCACCTGTTCTTCCTAATTCCCTTTACTATGGGTGTGCACAGTGCTTCTGTGATTTGTCTGGTCTCTCTAACCACCTAGATGTTCAGTAATAGTTGTAAAGTGCCTTTTCTTACTGTCCTTTCAGAACATGGACTGAGAGAGATTTTAGGTTTCGGAAAAGCTCAGAACTTTTAGCACATGTGTATTATAAATTAAATGACTGATACCACATTGGGGTGGCTTGAGTACCGGTGGAAGTTCTATTTAATGATAGGTGTTACAAAAGAATATACAAAGGAAGGGCAAATGAGAATGCAAAATGTACTCTCCTTCATCTCACTGTATCCCAGAACAAAAGGAAAAGTTCTGGGTCATGATCAATATTTGAACATTATTTCAAAATATAAACCCTTCTCTGACCATCTTGCAGTAGTTACATCGTTCCCGTAATCTCTGCCCCAAATGCTTCTCTTTGATCTCTTTCTTCTCTCCTAACACTGACTTTTTCTTCATGAGGTTGAGAGCTACTGAGACAAATTGAATAAAGGCAACAGTTTTCCAGTGTCGGAGAAACTCTAGCACACTGGAGTACAAGGATTTCCTAGGACTGTGAGCAGGGGTACACTGTGCTGCCCACAATGTTCATGTTGGCGACCATTATGCTATATTCTTAAGGGGCTCTAGGAGTATAAAGTTGACTCTCTTTGTCAACTTTGAAGTAGTAGTAATAAAAGACTACATTTTTTGGGGACCTTCAGATGTGCTAGGCATCATCTCCAACAATCCTATAAATTTGGTATTATTGTAAACATATAATCAGAATACAATTACCCATCAATCAAATAAATGGTACAAAAGGTTGAGTAATATGACCGATATATAAGTCTAACAGAACTTCGAAAACTTATATTAAAGGTTGTATTATTTCAGATAATCCTACAAATGGGAAAGAATATACTGAAAATATACTCATTGACATATTTGATTACATTTCCAATTTAATTAAACAAGAATGCAAAAAAAGTATTGGGTATGGGTTGACCCCTTGGAGAAGAAGCAGATGCATGTATCACAGCACCGCCTTCTTGGCCTGCACAATATCTAATAGGTGCGGATAGTGCTTGTGATGCTGTTTGAGCAGGGAAGGGGTCTTTTGGGTATGAGAAATCCATTTTTGCCATGCCCAGGCCTTTTGTCATCAGGGTATATATCAGTAGTCAGAGAGAACTTAGGAAAAAAGCAAACAAGCTACACTTTTAATCAAGTATATTTACACATATCCAAGATGTTGCTTTCTACATGAAGCAACAAGGTCATATCCTCATAGAAAATCTATTTGCCTGCAGCCAGTCTCCTGCTTTGATTTAATTCTCTTATTAGGGATGTTTCTGATACTGAATACGGGGACCATGTTCACACAGTAATTTCACTGTAGTTCACACCTGAATCTTGATGGGGAGGCTGTGTGGTCATTTCTGTAGCACCATTGGTCATATATTTGTGTTGTTGACAATTTTGTACCCATAAAATAACTCACATATGATTTTTATCTAGGATACTGTCTTAGTTCAAGCTGCTAGAACAAAAACATCATGGACATGATGACTTAAGCAACAGAAATTTATTTCTAACAGATCTGGAGGCTGGTAAGTCCAAGATAAAGTGCCCGCTAATTCGACATTTGGTGAAGGTCCTCTTCCTGGGTTGCAGATTGACATATTCTTGCTTTATCCTCACATGGTGGAGAAAGACACCATCAGTCTCATGCCTCTTCTTATAAGGACGCTAATCCCATGTATAATTAGGGCTCTACTCTCATGACTCTAATTATCTTCCAAAGGCCCTGTTGCCACCTACTTTGAAAGTTCAGGTTTCAACATATGAACTTTAGGGAGACACATGCAGTCCATGAGACATGCTATATATTGTTTGCTCATATTGAGCATCATCATCAATTAATAGGTTTTCTCCATGTCAGTTTTTTTGTTTGTTTGTTTGTTTTTTCAGATGGAGTCTCACTCTGTCACCAGGCTGGAGTGCAATGGCATGGCCTGGGCTCTCTGCAACCTCTGCTTCACAGGTTCAAGTGATTCTCCCACCTCAGCCTCCTGAGTAGCTGGGACTACAGGCACGTGCCATCACACCTGGCTAATTTTTGTACTTTTAGTACAGATGGGGTTTCACTATGTTGGCCAGGCTGGTCTCGAACTCCTGACTTTGTGATCCACCCACCTCGGCCTCCCAAAGTGCTGGGATTACAAGCATGAGCCACCGTGCCTGGCTGTCAACTGGTTCTAATAATTAAAGTCATTGTTAGATTCTCTCACAACATAACCCGGGGCTCTAGTTGTGACAGTACAGACAACGAAAGCCCATTGGGTCTAAATTGTTTAGTTCAGCCACAGACACCTTTAAAAGTATCCATGTTTTCTTGCAGTAACAAAATGTACAGGCTGACCTCGATATTTTCTGCCTCAAGTAGAGTCAGCTACTCTTACTGAGTTCTGGTTCTTCTCAGAAGGAATTATAAAAAAATATTCTAATGTTATGAATTTTAATCTACTTCTATCTTTACTAAAGATAGGGTTCTTTTGACCTTACTTTGATAGGAGGATTAATTAATCTAATAGTCCTTTCCACGCTCTTTCCACTTTTTCCTGGAGCTGGATATCTCCCCATGTCCTAAGAAACAACATGGCACAATAGTTAAGAGAATGTTTTCTGGAGTCAGACTGCCTACATTTATTTTCGAGCTTCACCATTGGCAGGCTACTCAATCTCGCTGTGCTTCCGTTTCCCTCTCTATAAAATACCTGATTGGGTATTTGTCTTAGTACATATAAGCCTCTTAGAATAACATTTAATTCCCAGTGCTAAATAAACATTAGCTATCATTAATTTTGGAACTCCATGTTTTATTTTGTCATAGGAAACCACGGTTTCCAATTGAAATATTTCCTTCAAACTTGAAAAATCTTCATTTTATTTTCATGTTTGTACTCTTGCCTCAAGCATCCTAGAATCGGCTTAAAAGTGTACTGACCCACATGATTCTCCTTGCCAGCATCTCTTTAAAAGAATAATTTCTAGTAAGAAGAAGAAATCTTAAAATCTTTCCCAGGAAGCACCTAAACTTCACAGTAATAGTATCCCTGGATTCTCATAAAAACATGAATAAAAAGTCAAACAATGGCAAATAGATTCTTTCAGATTTTTATTTAAAATTCTTTTTTTAATTAATTATTTATGTTCTAGACCATTTAATTGTCATTTTTTCTCTATCACAAAAAACTTGACTGGTAAACTCCAAATGTTTTAACAACTTTAAGCAGAACTACATCCATAATTCATTACTTTTGTAGTTTCCAATCTGACCTACAAATGTCAGAAATACAATGAATTTGGTATCACGAATCATCAGAAACTTTAAAAACTTCAGTTGCAACATTCATGTACAGCAGTTTTAGTAGCTTCCCAAAGTTTCATCATGTTACCTGGTTTGCATAATTGCTGACCACAAAAATAAAATAAATCCTAGAAACACAAACAAAAATTTCCTTCATATTATATATTATTCACTTAGGCTCTAGTGACAAAATAGCCTTTGACAGGGTCACATTCAAGCAGCCATTCTTGTGAATTCTGCTCATCATTCACTTCTAGCTGCAATGAGGACTCTTTCTTTTTTTTTTTTTTTGAGGCGGAGGCTCGCTCTGTTGCCCAGGCTGGAGTGCAGTGGTGTAATCTCAGCTCACTGCAACCTCCACCCTCCGGGTCCAAGCGATACCCCTGCCTCAGCCTCCTGAGTAGCTGGGATTAAGCAGTGTGCCACCACACCCGACTGATTTTTGTATTTTTAGTAGAGACGGGGTTTCAGCATGTTGGCCAGACTGATCTCGAACTCCTGACCTCAGGTGATCCACCCGCCTTGGCCTCCCAAAGTGCTAGGATTACAGATGTGAGCCACTGCACCCGGCCTGCAATTAGGACTCTCTACAATCACCAGGAGATTGCAAGGCACCAGAGTCACCAGGTTCCAACTTATCTTTCCTAAATTTATTATCACATTCTTTATGCAAATCACATACCCCAGAACAACAAGTCTTTTCGTTTTTTCCCAGCTATGCCTATAATTTCCTACGTCTGCATATTTGTTCACATAGATCTCCCCACTCAGAAAGCTCCTGTCCTTTTACTCTTTCTCTTGAAATCCCATTTCTACTTGAAGAGCTGACTCAGATAAACCATTCCCCTTAAAGATGATTGTTTTCATCCCAACTGGAAATGTCTCTTCTCTACCAGAGTTTGTGCCTTGTATTACCATTTCTTATCTTTTTCATTTATTCCTTTCCCAAAAGATTTTAAGCTCTTTGGCATCTGCTGACCATAACAGCTAGTTTGGTACGTTACACTATACTTGGCATTCTAAGTATTGAAAGGGGAAAAAACTAATTTTTACTTCTTGGGAATAATGGCACAATGTAGTAGAAGAGGCTGCATGGAATCAGTGGCTTAACAGCCAGTCCTAGCCATATACTCTACTACTTTGGAAAAGTCATCCTCTCTGACATCAGTGTTCTCAGCTCTAAAAGGAACAAGATGTACTGGGCAAACTTTTAAAGCTCTTCTTGCTCTAAAATTGCTTTGCTTGGTAATAACTTCTTACTCTTGACAAATGAAAGTGCACATTGATTGCTCATGCATAACCACTTAAAATTTGAAAAATATTTTACATGCAGCATTTTACATTTGACAGGAATATTGTTAGCAACTGATAACTGCGATGGTATATTTTAAAATATTTGGGTTCCACACAAAAAGATTTAGCTATCAGAAGAATTTTATTTTATCGTCATTTTTTCCAAAGACTCTAACGATGATGGTTTAGAAAGGAATCACTCTTTTATAATATATATTAAATGCTTGTGGCTTAGGTATATTGACTTTAAGATACAACTGAAGAAAGAAGTATTCATTTAGTCCATTGATTTAAGTAAGCATAAAATATTTCTTTGACATTTTCCCAAAGTTTGTTGGCTGCATCATTAAAAAGAAAGATTAAATTTAATTTCCGACAGAGCCTCATTCACTCTTATTGCTTTTCCAATTAGAATATATTTCAATTCATGACTTCAAAAAAAAATCAAGCAAGGAAATATAAAATTATGTTGATTTTAATAACATCTTAAGATTTTGCCCTATTCGAATTGCTTACTTTTACCTATTTAATTCTAAATCAGGGGAGTCATCTTAATTGAAATTATATAGAATCTTAGCTCTAAAGGAATATAACACTGAAGATATGTTACCTAAGTTAGCTCAATTTTACCGAAATTAACATTTCAATGAGTCTTGCTCTGAAATAAAAATATCTTTGGGGAAAACATGAAATAAAACATCTGGTAGAGTTGACTCAGAGATTCTCTGTGGAAACAGACACCTTTCTAATCAACGGTTCTGGAAAGCTGTTTGATGAAATACTTAACTAAATTAAAGATTTTTAATGTTCCACAGGAATTTAGTTTTTCAGTGTTCTCTCCAGGTTTCTATTACTACGTAGAGCTTGAAATCGACAGTATAGCTTTTCCTCTTTAACGGCATGAACAATTCTCAGGAAACTCTATATAATATATACATATATGTATATATAATGTATACTTCATAAAATAACCTCAAAAGGCTTTATTTTCCAATGTGCCAGGTTTTTTAAGTGTTGGTACTATTGATATGTTGGGCTGGATAATTACTTGTTGTGGAGGCTGTTCTGTGTACTACAGCGTGTTTAGCAGCATCCATGGCCTCTACCCACACAATGCCAATAGCACGCACACCCTCTAACTCTCCCTTTGACAAACAAAAAGCTTGCAGACTTTGCTAATGTCTTCTGGGACAAAATTGTCTCTGATTGAGAACCACCAGTTAAAAATATTACGTTGGTGCTAACTCTGAAGACAGCTCCTAGCATTTGAAGCTCTGCTTCCGCATGTATTACATTGGTGCAAAAGTAATTGTGGTTTTTGCCATTACTTTTTTTTTAAATGGCAAATACCACAGTTACTTTTGCACTAATGTAATACTAGCAATATGGCCTTGAGCTAGCTAATTAAGCTCTTTGAGACTCAGTGTCTTTATCTGTAAAACGAGCATAATAATTATCTACCTTATGTGGCCATTATGATTATTAAATAAGATGATGCATAAGGACTACTTAGAGGCATGCTTGGAAATTAGTAAGCTCTTAACCAGCAGTGGAAATTATTCTTATTATAATCCCTACAGCTTTTGAATAAAACTTTAATTTTCACAGTAATGCAAGATTTAGAGGTTTTCTTACCAATTCTGTAAGAGTTATATTATTGATACTGATTAGCGGGTATTTTTTCTTTTTAATCCCAGTTGAAATAATTATATAGGCAATTTCTCCAACTAGTTTTCAAGGGGTACAAACAAGGGACATGTGCCATAGCCTCTCGAGGATGAAATTTTGCCCACCATCCTGGGGATAGAATCTAGAATGTGTTCAGAGAAAAGCATTTTGTGATTTTTTTTTTCATTACACGCTTACTCAAGAGATGTGGTTGTGCCAAACTTTTACTTTAATAGTAATTGATACAAATGCTACTAGCTCAACGCCTCTAGGTTTCAGAACACAGCAGTAGCGGAGGCTGCATTTAAAATCTCAGCAGGACTTGATCTTATGCTTCCCATAAAACCGGAGGCTACAGCAGAAGAGGGTATGATTAAGACCAGTGCTCAATAACACCACAGGCACCCTCAGACTTGGAAATGGCAACTGAATCCTGTCTTTAAATTTGAGCTGAATAGAGTCACCTGACATCTTATTGAAATAAATACAGGTTGAGGCTTTTAAAATATGATCCTATGGTGCTGAGATGTTAAGGAAATAGATGCTTAAATCATCTCCCCTGGTAGCATTTTTAAATTGCATTAAAATACAGATACTTACCTCTCTACTTCCTGACATTTTAATTTAGTGAAATCTTAGGTACAGCTCTGGAACCTGATTCTTATGAAGCCCTCCAGGAGATTTTTAGAGTTTGAACAGGTTGAGAAATATTGCCTAAAGAAACAGAGGGACACCTACAGAGTTTAAGTAAATTTCTGCAAATAAAATACAATTTCCCTGATGACTCTGATCATAAAATGAACAATTAATCTATTCATTCATTTCATATGTATTTAATGAGAGCTTACAACAGGGTAGAAACTGAGCTAGCTACAGGGAATCCGGAGATGAACAAGATAGTCTTAGTCTCTGCTTTTGTGGAGACTGGCCAAAAGAGCCTTACCATTCCACCCAGTTTGGCTAAACTTTAGACAGAATTCTTCCTGACTGTGGGCCCCTAAGTTCCCTTTTTTAGAGAAGTTACTAGAAAACTTCTGATTGTAAATTATTTGTTTGCTCCTTTGAGATATAAATCTTTTCCAACCCAGTAATGTCTTTCTCAAGGATCTGGGCACCTTCCTTTTAAGCGTAATCAAGAAAAATAGGGCCCATCTCTGAGTCTCTATGGGAGGATAGGAACCTAACTAGGATAAGTGCCAATTAGAGAATAGAAACCATCTAATCACTTTGACCAACTTCCTTCTTAAAATCCTTCAGTACTTTTCCATAAGCTCACCCTAGCATTTAAAATTCCTGCCTCCTTTTGTTTCAGCAGAGCTGAGTTTAATCTCTATCCTTTGTAACAATAGTTTTGACCCCTACTGCATTCGTCTTGGAAAAGTGTTCTTTGCCTGGTAACTCCATCTGGTATAAGATTTCTCTGTCCTTATCTATGTCATCGACTTTGATTTTTATTGTTCATAAAAATCATCTGAGTTTGCCCATCCCCAAAAAGTCTGGTCCAGTAGGTTTGAGTACGAAGACGTTATCTGCATTTGTTAAGCACCCTGGGTGATATATGCAGGACAAAGAGAGACCAGACGTTGAGAAACATTGGTTTTCATGGTCCTACCATGCATTACATTAAGGAGTATATACCATCTGGGATAAGTCACAAAGACGCAGGAGCTCACAGGCCAAGCATTGGTAAGTTTGAGAATCAAAATAAGTAAATATAGTAATAAATTCAGAAACTTTGCACAAATAGGAATCCATAAGTACATGCTGATTATAAATATGTGAGTAAATAACTGGGGAGAAGGGAGGGCTCTTGGTCATTGTAGAAGGTGAGTGATGACTGATGAATGTGCAGGGCATGCTGGAGTATGAAAGTCATCATTGCGCAACCATCACAATGAAGATCAGTTCATGCAAGAATCACGGATGAGTGATAAATCACAGGGGAAAATTTTTATGTAGAGCAGGATATTGCACAGTCTTGAAGTATCTCCATATGGATTGCTTATCTATTGCAAGAGAATAAAATAATAACTACACACTGGAGTAGCTGGACTGTACCTTGGTCAGGTGATCAAAATTTATATTAACACGGAAAATAGATGAACATGATATGTCTCCACATGTGATATCCTAAGAAGACCATAAAACGACTTGTGTAGCACTCTTGCTAAGAGTATGCAAATCAATATGCCTGCTAAGAATGTTAACATGAATCTAGTTCTGAGGAAACATTAGGAAAACTCCAAGTGATGATCCTTTTATTAACTGGAAGGAAATGTTCTTCAAAAATGTTATAAAAAGTAAAAGCTGAGAAACTCTTCCAGATTAAAGATTCAAGAAGCCTGAAAATTAAATGTACTGTGTGATCCTAGAGTGGATCCTATACTGAAAGTACTGAAAAACAAAACAAAACAAAACAAAGCAAAAGCTACACAGGTCTTTGTTCAGTTGATAAAATGACAATAGTGTTAGTAGATTCTTAAATGTTAAAAACAATGTAGTTATGCAAGAGAATATTCTAATTCTTAGGAAATACACACTTAAGCATTGATAGTTAAAGGGTCATGTTGTATGTAATTTATTCCTAGTAGTTCAGAAAAAAATGTAGATAGATAGCAAATAACAAAGATAAAGCAGATGGACAAAATATTAACAATGGTTGAATCTGAGTAAAACAGATCCTTGTTTTCTTTGAACTATTCTTATAACTTTCTGCATGTTCAAAATTATTTCCAAGTAGAAAGTTAAAAGTATACCATCTTTTCTTAATACATATTTATATAATGAGAAAAACAGTAATTCCAGAAAGCAAGCCATCGTATTGCCTCTACACAGTTGTAATTAAGTATTATGCCTTTAGCCTTTACAGAAGATTGATGAAAGAGATGATTTTTGAACATTATTTATTCTGTTGTTTAACTGTCCCCCCAAAACAACCAATTTATGAATTTCTCTAAGATGAAAGAACCAGGGAAAATCTTGGTTATGGAAAAGCTTTACTAAGAAAAACCATGCTAAGTTGGCTAGACTTGCGTTCCTTCAATATGAAGATCCTCGAAACCCTTTCATCTGTTCCTTTGCCTTGACTGTTTAGGGATCCTTTGTTACATTGCAATCACTCTCTTAGTCTAGGTGGGCTGGTTCAGAGTCAGCATCTTCCTTCAAAGCCCCACCTTCTTCTTTCTTTTTTTTTTTTTTTTTTTGAGATGGAGTCTCGCTCGTTGCCCAGGCTGGAGTGCAGTGGCATGATCTTGGCTTACTGCAACCCTCCCGGGTTCAAGTGATTCTCCTGCCTCAGCCTCCTGAGTAGCTGGGATTACAGGCACCTGCCACTGCACCTGGCTAATTTTTGTATTTTTAGTAGAGACGGGGTTTCACCATTTGGCCAGGCTGGTCTCGAACTCCTGACCTCATGATCCACCCGCCTTGGCCTCCCAAAGTGCTGGGATTACAGGCGTGAGCCACCGCGTCTGGTCTCTTATTTTGTTCTTATGTTTGAGGTCTATCTTAATGGGCTTCAACGTTTCACATGACAGTATGGGGCTTAAGTGGTAAGCTGCTTCAAAATGTTGAAAAAAGTTACATTATGAATAAATATGTAAAAGAAAATGCTATACTGAAACCAAACAATGCATTAGGCTTCTCCCACCATCGGAGGAAACTTTCAATCACAATTTGGGGAGCTGCCTGAGAAATGTACCTCAAACACCATCACCACCCTTACCTTCCCCATGGTCACTGCCTAGCTGCCCATCACTTTACCCTGCTGGCTTTCTAGATTTATTTGTGTGTATTGTCTGTCCTCTCCTTTTTAAACACAAATTTTATGAGAGGAAGAATTTTGCATGTCTTTTGTTTACTGCTAAAACAATTCTTAGCAAATAAATTAATGACTGAGAGAGAGCCACAAAGAGAGAGAGAGGCACAAAGAGTTTGAAGAGAGAGAGAGAGAAAGTTGCATCTTGCCCTAAAATCACTCCCTGGTAAGAGCCAAGGTAAAACTTCCCATTTTATAACAGTTTTTACCTCTGTAACATGATACACATATTCTATATGCAAACACACATATATACATAGAAACATATACATATGTACAAGTATATATGTAGGTATATGTGTATGAATATATGAATATGTATATGTATGTGTATATTTCCGTCTTGCTGATTTACAAGGCAGATATTGTCTTGCTCATCACCCTCACCAAGAGCAAGGGAATGGAGATTGAGGGACTGTGTGTGATATTTTATTTGTTTATTTGTTTAATCGACAAGCTCTCTAGGTCTTAAGAAAGGAGAAAATATCTGACTCTAATAATTTGTTTTAAATGTGGGCTTGTTTTGTTTTTATTTTTTTTGTGGCAGGTGAAAGAGGACACTGGAGGGGATGCTGAAAAGATCGGGATCCAGGAGAAAGAAGGAGAAGTGGGAGCAGCAGAGGCCTGACAGACCCACAGAATTGGACAGAGTGGCAGCTGTTCTCTGGGCAGGGCTGAGTGAAAATGCCTGGAAAAGGAAGGGGGTGGAAGAAATCCAAGGCCATTTGTGCTGCTGGGAGTCGTCACCAGCGGGAGACCCAGCAGGCTGACTTCCCACTGCACTCTACAGGGAAACACAGAGAACAGGGGAAAGAGAGAAGGAAGAGAAGGCCCTGAAGTTAAACAGTGTGCATTGCAAAGGGATTTTCATCAGGCAAAGGACTTTAGATTTTATCCTGTAAAGACTCACTGAAGAATTTTAAGCAAAGGAGTGACACAATCAGATTGCCAGTTTAAAGAGTTATCTGGAATCAGTGTGGAGAAGAGTTTGGAGAAAGGGAATAAAGAGGCAGGGAAATCAGAGCTTCTGACAAAAACCTGAGGTATGCCGGTAGCCGCCCTTTCCTTTACACGATAGAATTTTCTGAATTTAAAAAAATTACTCTGATGGTAGTTTCTTTTGCTGTGCAGAAGCTCTTTAGTTTAATTAGATCCCATTTGTCAATTTTGGCTTTTGTTGCCATTGCTTTTGGTGTTTTAGACATGAAGTCCTTGCCCATGCCTATGTCCTGAATGGTAATGCCTAGGTTTTCTTCTAGAGTTTTTATGGTTTTAGGTCTAACGTTTAAGTCTTTAATCCATCTTGAATTAATTTTTGTATAAGGTGTAAGGAAGGGATCCAGTTTCAGCTTTCTACATATGGCTAGCCAGTTTTCCCAGCACCATTTATTAAATAGGGAATCCTTTCCCCATTGCTTGTTTTTGTCAGGTTTGTCAAAGATGTGGCATACATACACCATGGAATACTATGCAGCCATAAAAAATGATGAGTTCATGTCCTTTGTAGGGACATGGATGAAATTGGAAATCATCATTCTCAGTAAACTATCGCAGGGACAAAGGGCCAGGCACCGCATGTTCTCACTCACAGGTGGGAATTGAACAATGAGAGCACATGGACACAGGAAGAGGAACATCACAGTCTGGGGACTGTTGTGGGGTGGGGGGAGGGGGGAGGGATGGCATTAGGAGATATACCTAATGCTAAATGATGAGTTGATGGGTGCAGCACCCCAGCATGGCACATGTATACATATGTAACTAACCTGCACATTGTGCACAAGTACCCTAAAACTTAAAGTATAATAATAATAATTAAAAAAAATTAGAGAGCTAGACAAATGCAGATTTCTTCTAAGTGAAAAAAAAACACAAATGTATGTTTTTAAAAATTAATCATTGTTCACACTCTTCTGAGTGTTGGGCCCATTTAAAAATCTCTTTTTGTTTCTGTCCATGGATTATTAAAGCAGCTGACTTTTATTTTTAATTCATTAATGTCTAGGATGTTAATCTCTTCTACCCAGCTATTGATAAATTTGGTTTTAGACCCTTATCAATTTCAATTGATGCCATGATGAAATGATGAAATATCAGGCTGTCACTGTTATTTTCTTCTGAAGAGTTAATCCATTTTGTTATTTGCTCAGTAGTGAATCCAGAGCTATAATACTTCATTGTTCTTTTGATGGTGACAGCCACCTTTATTATAAGCAAGCTATTAATTCTACAATGCTTCCTTAAGCTCAAGGACCAGTCAGTTCCCCAGACACTTATCTTCTGGAAGTTTGAAGTTTGTAGTAGGGAGCCATGGTGAGGGAGAGCACAGATGTAGCTGTTGAAAATTGGAGTGTTTGTGTGACAGAATTCACAAGTAAGATCTTTGAGCAAGTAGGTGGAACTGACACACAGTGTCCAGTATATCACTGGGCATAGCCAAAGTATAAACCACCAAGGAACAGGGGTGTGTATTGGAAGACATGAAGGAGGCTCTCCAAAAGGAGTAATTCCCAAAGGTCATCCCAGACATCTAACTGGCAATGCATAGAATGATTCCAGGATGCCTACTTTTGTCTGTGTTTGAGCTTTTTACTGTGTTCTCTCAGAAGAGTAACATAAAAAGTCAGTTCAACTAAGCTATTGAGTCTTAGTTGTAGCAAATGAGGAGCAACTAGAAGGCTGAATAACATGCTTACAACCCTTTCAGGACTTCAACTATCATAATATTACTTTTATCCTGTTTCTTCCAGCCCTTTCTATATAAGCTTAACACACACATTTTAGTTACTGTATCTATGGCTGACACGTTTCTTAGGTAATTAACTTATTTGTCCACCTCTACCTAACACATCTTTATGAGCTTTTCCTTTCTTCACAAGCTGCTAAATTATTCATTAACTGTGCTTAGCATATCTTATGAGTTTCTTCTATCCCATTTGTTTTTCTTATCCTGTTTGGCAGACTTGAATATTATCAGTGCAGCAAATGTGCATTGCAGTAGATATTAAATAGGAGGCTTTCGATCATGTTATTATAATGATTGAGTCATAGCAGCAGTAACTGATAAATGCAAACAATTTAGATAATAAACCAAACAGGAAATCATAGGATCCAGAAAACACTCAGCAAGATTTAAAAAATCATTAGCTCCTGGGTAATTTTTTTTTTACCTAACGTGAAGGTAGCCTTCTTGTTTTTTTTAATTTATTTTATAAATGTTGTTGTAATTGGAACTGTTATCTTGAGTGACAGTAAACTAAGACAACTTAGATAACTAAGTTATCTTGAGATACAGTAACTCAAAATAACAATGGCTTAAATAAAATAACAGTTTATTTCTCTGTCATGTGTGAAAGAATTTTTTTTCAGCTAGCAGAAAGGAAAGAAGGGACAAAAGGGCTATAAACCCTCTTCTAGAAAGTTAAACAAAAGACATTTATTTGTAGGGCATCAGATTGACCTTAATAATATGTCCACATTGAATTCAACGGTTGCTGGAAAACATCTTTTTTCCATTGGGAGTGAGGCCAGCTAAGAATTAGGGTTTAGGGAAAAAAGAGATAACATACGTTGCAAGAGAAATAACAGACTCTGTTACAAAAGCCTTTGAACAAAAATGAAATTGTCACTGCAGTGTAAAAAGTGATTGATCTATGAAGAGGACAAATTTCCAGCCACCTTTAGGAAGCTTATCATTATCATTCCAATCTAAAACTCAATGTAAATTCAAATCTATCTTATGACAACTCCTCCTAAAAAGTGCATAATTATGATGAATTTAGCTTATGATTAAATATTTTTCTCAAAGACTTTAGATTCAAAACAACCAATAATTATCTCATACAACATAGTTAGCAAATGCAGCTTATTACCATAATAATATCAAGATCATGTCATCAAACCAAACCTAAACCTTTGAAAAAATTAAAAAGGAACCCAACACTTTCTAAACAGGTGCATGCTTTTCTTCTGTAAGTCTAAAGAACTACCATTTTCTATTTGCTTGGGTTGTTTTTTTTCTTAAACCCCACATTTTCAGAAAAGTAAGCCTCAACTGTCTTTAAATATGTGAAGAGTTAATTTGTTGAAAGCTAAGCTTTATATATTTCTCTTCTAATCACCGACTCTAGGCAATTTGAGGCAGTTGATCTCAGGATTTGATCTTGCCTGGTAAGAAATGACTTTCATGGGCCTTTTAACTGGTTTCCACATTAAATTTTTATTTATTGACATTTCCCTACAAATAAGATTGTTGGCATTTTCCAGTCTCTCAGTTGATGACATCTGCCTCATCTGCTTTATGAGAAAAGACTTAAGGTAGCTGTGCAGAAGGGCTGTAGTGTTGCCTTCAGTGTACCCTGTAATGCCTAAAGCCTGCAGGAAGGGAACTGATATTCATCAAAACAATTACTCACTGCTGGGCACCACATATTAAAATTTTATATGACAGACTTTCATTGTTTTCTTAAATAATTATACACATTTCTTTTTAAACATGTTCTTGGATATTTTATACTTAGTTCTCATAGAGGTCTTTTTTAGTAATATTTTCAAATTAATTATTCTTCAAATACAAGACAGTTGTTGACTTATATTTTAATTTTGTAGCTAGCTACCACTTAAACATTCTTACTGTTTTGAATAAATTTTTGCTTGATTCTCTCAGGTTTCCAACTATTCAATGTACACTCTTTAAATATTTATGTCTCATATTTTATTCTCTTATTTCTTTTTAGACATTCCATTGCTAATCATCATGGAGAAAGATAGTCCCTGGTTTATAACTTCTGACTCCATCTGAGATGTTAGGAGCATTATCCCTATTAGCTGAATTAAGCGCGACAGCTACGTACAAAGTAGATATCATCCATATTTTACTAAGAGGAAATTATCAAAGTTCATAAAAGATAATAAGGGAAATGAATATTTTTGAACTTAGATCTGTTCTCAAATTTCATATATTTTCTACCACTCCACATAATAATCCAGAAAGGAGAAAATGTAACATTCTGTAAAAAGGTAAAAATCTATTCTCCAGGTAATGCTGGAGATTTTCACCATGGGAAAATCGTAAATTATAAAAACACCTGCTCCAGTTATATACTGTTGTGTAATATATATCCTCAAACTCAGTGTGATGCTTAATTTTGTATGTCAACTTGACTGGGCCATGGGATACTCAGATATCTGGTTAAACATTATTTCTCAGTGTGTCTATGAAGGTGTGTGGGAAAGACACTAGCATTTGAATTAGCGAACTGAGTAAAGCAGATGGCTTTGCTCATTGTGAGAGGGCATCATCCAGTGAGGATGTGTATAGAACAAAAAGATGGAGAATGTTGAATTTGCTCACTGCCTGAGTGCTTTAGCTGGATTACTGATCTTTTCCTGACCTCAGCACTCTTAGTTCTCAGGCCATCAGACCCAGGCTGGAATATACCCCATTGGCTCTCACTGGGTTTCCTGAGTTTCCAGCTTGCAGATGGCAGATTGTGGGATTTCTCAGATTCCATAATTGTGTGAACCAGTATCTTACTTCACAATAAGTCTCTCTCTCTCTCACTTTCTCTTTCTCTTTGTCTCATATGTATGTATGTATCTTATTTTCTCTAGAGATCTGTTTCTCTAGAGAATCCTGACTAATACCCACTGTAATGTAAAACAACATATATTTGATTGTACAGAACAGATATTTGGACAAGCCTCAGTGAGAATGATTTGTCTTTGTCTAGGGAAGCACATGACCAGCCATGTTCCACAAACAGAACTGTTTGGTGCAGCTGGCATTCTAAGTGTGGTTTATAGGGATGGCAAGAGCTGGGACTAGATAGAGGGGGAGATAACAAACTTCAGATGATCTTGCTTCCCAGACCAAGGAGTTTGGATGTTATTTTGTAGGCAGCCTTTTAAGGGACATAGACAAATTTGCCTTTTAGTTTTTTTCTAGCAGGATTTTGAAAACATATTGATGGTAGTTGACGCAGGAGGTAGAAGAATATGTTAGGAGAAATGACGAGTGCTTTTACTGGGGCAATAGCAGTGAGTAGAACTGCCATCGTTTGCTGGTGGATTGCACAAGGGAGTTTGAGAGAGGGGTTGAGTCTAGGAAGATTCCAAGCTCTCAGATTGGATTTTTCAGCAGATGGTGATGCCATGAATGAGGCTACGATGACACAGAGGAGAAGAGGAATGACATGGAAGGGGAGAAGGATGGTGAATTTTATTTGGAAACATTAAATTTGAATTTTCTGTGGGAAATTCCCCCACATTATCTGAAGGGGAAATGTTCAATAGATCAGTTGCATTTAAGAGTCTAAAACGCAAATGATTAATCTGTGCTACAGTTTGAGGAGTCAGCATATACATGGAAGCTGAAGCCAAGGGTGTGGATGAGATTGTAGGGAAAGGTTTGCTGAGTAAGAAACAAAAAAGGAGTAAGGTCAAAGCTCTGGGAAGTACCAATATTTACACGCCAAGCTGAGTAGGAAGACAGACAGATAGATAAATAGCCAGTGGAAAGTGGTCAATCTGGAAAGTAATTGAAGGAGAGTTTCAAGGAGCTTTTTGGTCTGTAGTTTAACTTGAACTCTAACTGAAGCAAAGATTTCTCTCTATAATACTAAGGAGAGGGCTCCTGAAAAGCCATCAAGAAAAGAAATTTTCAGTGACAGCAAAAGATGCTGTAGTGCCTCTTGCTTTCATCCACTTATCCCTTTTCAATCTTCCAGAAATTCCCTCACCTTTCTGATGGCTTGGGCGGCCTAGGAACTTGGCTGAGCCAGTGGAAGGAACCCATCTCACTGCCCATAGTGATTGGTTCATGATATTTGGGTGGGAGGAGCATGCCTAGCCTGGGACAACCATATTCTACCACCTAAAGAATTTTGATCTTGAGAGAAAATATACAAAGGCAGAAAGTGGTTATAGCTATGTCATTTTATGGCAGCACCCAGAAAGAAGCCTGACAGTCTTTTGCTGCTAATATTCCTAGATCTGACTTTGTTCTTGTTCATTCAAAAGCTTTGTCATTCAGTGCATTTTTCTTGGCTGTTAGCCACCTGGGTATCCTCCCTTAATTTTATTTTATTGTTCCGTCTCCCCACCTCTTTCTGGAGTTATTTCTCATTGCTTTCAATAAAAGCTGATATTGGCTGCTTTTAACAGGTGACATTTTTAATATGGTGCCTATTCCATTTGGTCTGTTGTTAAATATATTGAATATGACCCTTGTTGCCACTAACAAATGTTAACTCATTCATATATTTGACTACCTGAAGGACAGAGTTTTATTTGAAAGGAAGCTGTAAAGCACCAAAACCAGATAATCTCTAACTTATGACCCAATTCTTTTCTGGAAATATCAATCTAAAGTAAGGCTTTGTATGTTGAAAAATGCTTAAGATTTTCAGGGCTTTTGCATCAGAAGGACAAATAGATGAGCATGTTCAGAGTATTGGCAGAAAGTTGTTGAAATGATGCATCAGGAAGAAAGTAGAGTCAGAAAGGAGCTCATTGATATGGAAACAAATGTGGAGTCAAGGGACGTAACATTTCTACAGGATAATTGTGGAAATAAGGGGCCTAGAAAGATGAAAGATGAGAACTAATGGTTTGAGAATGACAGACTTGGGTGTTATTATTTAATATATTACAGCAACCATCAGTCCATTTTCTGCACTATAATGGAATACCACAGGTAGAGTAATTTATTTAAAAAGGAAATTTATTTTTCACAGTTCTGAAGGCTGGGAAGTCCAAGGGAATGACATTGGCACCTGGCAAAGATCATAAGATGAAGGAAGGGCAGAAGGCAGAAGTGAGTATGCAAGACAGAGTGAAATAAAACCAAAATCATCCTTTTTATGAAGAACTCACTCCTGCAATGATGGCATTAATCCACTTAGAGAAGAGCCCTCATAACCTAATCACCTATTCAAGGCCCCCATTTCTTAATACCATTAAAATGGTAATTAAGTTTCCACACATGAACATTGGAGGACATATTCAAACCATAGCAGTAGCCCTAGTTGGTAAGTTCTAGGACATGAGTTAAGAAATGAATTAATGAAATGGAGTAAAGTGGTAGCTCACAGTGACTACCAGGTTGAAAAACAGTGAGGATAAGGCTTTGAATGAATTTTTTATATAGATGCCCAACATCTTTTAGGATGTCAAAAGGAGAAAATTTAGATGAAACAAATATATGTCAATTAAGAAATATGCACCACTACTGTTGCATTCAATATATTTTTAAATATATTTTTTGATTCAAAATTTAATATATTTTTACTGATTAGATTCCAAGTTGTTTAAAAATATTTCCCTGAATCTTAGCTTTCTTAATAAAGCACCTAAATGCCTAAGTTCTGCCTCACTTCATATCATTAAGGCTACATTAAAATCTGTGCTATGGGAAAAAGTAATGTGAACTTAAGTCAGAGATTTTATAGATAAACATGTATTTTCAAGACTGTAATTTAGTGTTTCTTAATTTGTCATATGGTATAACAATGTTTTGTCCAAAGCAAGAATGAATGGAACATCTTGTTGAATTATTTTCTTTTGAGAATATGTATTCCCATTTTCTGGCCTCACTTGAAATAGCTTCCCATGGTTATAGAGTAATAGTCTAAGCATTTATAAGTCATGAAAATGACAAATCAACATGTAGAAGTGCTAAAACTAAGAAATGTTTCCACATTAAATAATGAGACCGGTATTGTTTTCAGAAAATATTGTCTTAAAAAAGAAGCAGTAATTAAACTTGTGGGTAAAGGAACAGGAGTATCCATGGCAAATGGAAATGTGATTAATTCATATAAAATTGGTAAATGCTCATAGTAAACAAAGCATGCTGACACAATGTTAAAGTCTGACCAAGAATAACTGAAAATGTTTGAGTCCTTATCCTAATGCTTTCTTTAACAAAGGCAGTTTGACATAAAGCTCATAACCCCTGTATGCATAAATAAACTCTCAAGAGATCATACGCTTTCACGCTCTAGTTTTTAGGTTCAACAACACTTTTACAATTTTTTCTCAAAATATTACTAGGAAGAAATTCTCAAATATTTATCAAGTATTTTTCCAGTGCCTCATTAGAAATCCTTCCCAGATTCTAATTCAAAATGTTATGGTGCAATTGAAGACAATGGAAGAAGTAATATGAATTTACTGCCTTTTGTAGGAATAGCTTATTTAAAATCTGAATAACTCATGCCAGGGTTTCATAAGCTGAGCGTAAGTAGCAAGCCTGCCCTTTGGTCTCTGAAAAGGACAGCAGGTGAAGTCACTTATCTGGGTACCTGATGAACTGGGTAAAGAAGATGGAAAAGATCTGAGACATACATTTTAGGGGCAAGTGCTATACAACTCGAGGTCTCTGAATAATGCTATTCTTTTTCTTGGAATGACTTCCATTATTTCTCTGCTTGGTGATCTCTTAGCATAAATGTCTGTCCTCTGTAGCATTTAGTGCATCCAATTCCCCATTCCTTTTTACTTATCTCTTTGTAGATATGCACATGCAATCCATTGTACTGTAATTATTTTTTTAATATCTCTCAGACCATTTGAATAGTAAGGTTCCTCAAAAGTCCTTTGTGTCTGATTCTGTGCCAGAAATGTTAGATTCATAATAAAAGACTTATTATCATTAGAATAGTTGTTTAATGCAACACATTAAATCAGTCAAGCCACCATACTTTCCTCAAGTGGTAAAAGGATGTGGATAAAATTAAATGTTAAGGAAATTAAATATTCTTTACCTTAATCAACCTTTTTAGAATTATAAGGCAGGGGTAGGAGTGATCAGCTAACTTGGCTGGTTGAGATTTTGAGACTTCCTGAAATCACAGGGAAAGAGATAGGTATAATATCAATCACCTTTTGTGAAAAATGATAATCGGGGAAACACATCTAACATTTTCCTGGATCAGCCTAGCTGTGTGCATTGTGGTGGTTCCAATGCAAATAAGTACTGTTAATATTTTAGCAAATGCTTTTGTGAATGGAAAATTTTCATGGAATATCCAAGAAATGAGAGGCAGAAGGTAGCCTGGCCCACCTTTGCAAAAATTATAACTCAGGAAATTATGACAGTGAAAGAGATAAGACCTAACCTACTCCATCTTGCTTCTAACCTTTAAGCTGTCCTTTTTCATTCCTGGGTGTAGGCCAAACTAGCTTTGGGAAGGAATTCAGTTCATGGTTTGACTCTAAAACAAAACTGATAGTAGCCCTTTCCTGAAAATATCCGTTTCTTGCCTGGGGACCAGTTGGCCTTTGGAAGACTAACAAATTAGCTACAAGATTAGAAATTACGGTTTAGGGGTCATGCAGCCTCTGGCTCCAAGAGTCTGAACCTCCCAAAATTGCTCCTGGGGATAACATCACTATTGTAAAATTTAAGATCAGTGCTTGAGATAGCTTGCAGACCCTGCACTGGATGAATCAGCTGACGCCACCCAGACCCGTATCTGGCTCAGCCAGTTCTGCCATCGCACCCGGGAACAGAAGATAGCAAGAAAACCTCACTTGACACCCTATGATTCCATCTCCAACCTGACCAATCAGCACTTCCCACTTCCCAAGCCTCTACCTGCCAAATTATCTTTAAAAACTCTGATCCCTGAATGCTTATGGAGACTGATTTGAGTAATAATAAAACTCTGTCTCCTGCGCAGCAGGCTCTGTGTGAATTACTCTTTCTCCATTACAATTCCCTTGACTTGATAAATTAGCTCTGTCTAGGCAGCGGGCAAGGTGAACCCATTGGACTATTACATAAGCATCAGATAGACCTGAATTCCCTATCAGCTTGGGCAGTGCCCAGATGTGTGGATTTGAGTGCATGATGTAACCATTTCTCATTTAATCTCAGCATCTGTAAAATAGGGAAAATATTATCTCACTGTCCTGTTTTGATAATTAAATGAGACTAGGTGTATAAAGCATGTAAAGAGCATAGTGGGTATCAATAAATACCAGTCTCATTGTTTTGTCTAAATCTAACCAATATTTACTCTGCTCCATAGTTGAATAGTTCTCAAACTTCAGTGTGCATAAGACTAGACTTGAATTTTTATTAAAATATTCTAGAGTGGTGCCTATACTGGAGCACCACTATCAGAAATTTTGATCCAGTTTGTTTATAAGGTCCAGAAATCTGACTTTTAACAAGCCTCCTATGTGATTCTGATGAGGTGCTTTTTGACCATACTTTAAGTACAGCAATACCTGAGAACCATTTAAGTAGACTTGTAGATGTAAAGCATATGGTGCAATGTATTAAATATTTATAATTTTACATAGGTTAGTATTTGGTGATGATAATAGTAAATCCATAGGAAAAAGAAAAAGTGTGGGTTTAGTTGAGTTCAAAACAACAAAGTTTCAAGATTCTGAAGTGCACAGTCATTTTTCCCGTGAGCAATGTCCCCTAAGCTCTCATGTTATTTAAACATGGCAATACTAGCTTACCAAGAAGTGATTGTAAACACATTAAAATTTGTGGTCACACTGACAAAGATTCTTTCTTTGCCCACACTTTAGTCAGACCCCTTGAATCCTCTTCTTCACTAGATCTCAACCTTGGCCTCCATCCTTGCTGGGCCTCCATCCTTGCTGGGCCTCCATAGCCCAGTGGTAGCTGGAATCCCAAACCTTTCAGATCTGATGAAATTCCTCATTTCTCACCCTTGATATCCAGTCATCCTGGCCTACATTTAGCAAGAATCCTGTTAGGTCAATTTAGCAAGAATTTCCCTTACCTGTGATGTCACCTTTTAGTAACTTTCCATCCACCCATACCCCAACCTGCTCCTTGGCTATAAATCCCTATTTTTCCTTTTCGTATTCAAAATTGAGCCCAGTTCTATACTGAGATCTCTTTCCCGCTAATCTGTTTTTACTGATTTAACTACTGTTAGGCTCTGGTTCTCTTTAACAATGTATAAATGTTAAATCTATTTTTGCACCCACAGATTGCTGCTCACCACAGTACCTACTGTGCTTAACACATGTGCACATTTTTATGAGTAAGCAATCCAGAGAAGGTGATTTCTCAAGGTTCTGTGTGTGGGCATTCTAAACTCCTCACAACATTTTACTCTATATTCTGAAACTACCTCCCCCACTTTCTCAGTGCTTCTACAATCTCACTTTCTTTAAATGGCAAGAATAAAGTTTTCCTAGAGGTCTTTGTGGGATACTCAACCAAGTGCCATCAAAATTTCTAAAATAACATTTGACACTTCTTTTCTTGAACGTTGCTATAGAATGCCTGTGTTCCCCGAAATTAATACGTTGAAACTCTAATCCCCAATGTGATGATATTTGGAGATAGGGCCTTTGGGACTCAATTAAGTTATGAAGAAGGAGTCCTTATGCAAGGACTCCCATATTGCAAGTGCCCTTGCAATAATGGGAGGAGGAGACACAGCATCTCTCTCTGTCGTTCTCTCTCTGTGCATGCGCCAAGGAAAGGCCACATGAAGACACGACCAGGAAGAGGGCCCTCACCAAGCATCTGACTAAACAATAAATGTTAATTATTTGAGCACCCCCCCTCCCGCCACCATCTACAATAATTTGTTGTAGAAACCCAAACTGACTAAGACCAACACAATATATTCATTCTATCAAGACTCTGATTGCCAAATAATAGGATATCCAGTCTAATGTTAAAGAGAGGAGTTTATTGGCCCACAGATTTAAAAAATACTGGCCAAGTTTACCTGCAAACATGGTTTTATCTAGGATTTCGAAAATAAAGATCAGGCCGGGTGCAGTGGCTCACGCTGGTAATCCCAGCACTTTGGGAAGCCAAGGTGACTGACTGGATCACTTGAAGCCAAGAGTTCGAGACCAGGCTGGGCAACATGGTAAAACCCTGTCTCTACTAAAAATACAAACATTAGCTGGACATAGTGGCGTGCCTGTAGTCCCAGCTAGTCCAGAGGCTGAGGCAGGAGAATTATTTGAATGGGGAGGTGGAGTTTGCAGTGAGTTGAGAATGCACTACAGCACTCCAGCCTGGACAACAGAGGAGGGAGACCCTGTCTCAGAAATAAATAAATAAAAAAAAAACAAAAGTGAAGATCAGACTTACTTCTTTTTGTATTTTAGCTCTATGTTGTGGTGTCTTATTTTCATACCCTGGTTCTAGGATGACAGCTTCCAGAAGCTCCAGACTTATATCATGGAAACCACTGGCGATCCCAGTAGAGATTTCTGACAACCTTCATACAAGCCCAGGGATTTACCATGTTTGAACAATGTTGAGTTACTCATCATTGTACAGGAATTTGATGCTTTAATTAGTCAGGCCTAGGTACGTGTTTTACTCTTCTAAAACACATGGACTGAGAAGAAGGAGACAGTTTTCTAAAGGAATTTCATGGTACCGAGGTGGCTAAAATATGCTATTTTGGCGCATATTGACAATTTAAGTTGAAGACACTTGAAAGACAGCAAGTGCAAGATCACTTTGACCTTTGGGCTTTTTCTTAAAAGGGTGAAATTCCCATGAAAGACTCTCTTTACTAGAAAGAAAGGTGACATCCTTATCTTCAAGAACAAGAAGTTGAGACTGAAAGAATTCTGTACAATTTTCATTAGAATAACTCTTATCTTTTAAGCCTCCCAATATAATGTAGTCACATTTTCAAGTTTACTGCTCTTTGTCCAATTCAGTATGTAAGTAACTGACTCCAACTGCTCCTTCGAGTCTTCATTTCTCTATGAGGGCTCTCATGCCATGTAAAACTTGTAGAGTACGCTTTCCTCCTGTTAATCTATGCTATATTAATTTCATTCTCAGAGCTAGCTGGGACTCTAAGAGGAAGGAAGTAGGGTTTGTCTACTCATCTAATACCACCATTAGAAGGAGGAATAGATGGTAGGGGGTCAAAAACAACTTATTTCCCCCAATTTTTTTTTTTGAGTCCCTGGGTTTTTCCATTTTTTACTTTCTCTGTCTGGAAATTCCCCTCTTGTCTTTCTGGCAGTCTCTTAATACACGCTTTTAGAACCAAGTCATATGTCACCTCAAATGTCAGATTCTGCTTAAGTGTCACCTTAGCAGAGGACATTTCCTAACCACCCTGTTTAATGCATATTCTTATTTCCTTACTCTAATTTTTTATTCTGCATATTACTTGTTACCATGTGACATATTATATATTTTCTCTGTATCTCCCTTATAGAATGTCAGCTCACAAAGGCAGGAAGTTTTGAATCTATTGCTCACTGTTCACTAGTGCCCAGCATGGTACCTGGTTATAATAGGTGTGCAATAAATATCTGTTGAATCAACTCTTCTTCTGTCTCCTCAGTGCAGAGTTGGGAGCTCCTTCTCCTCTGTCCTGTTAACATTTTCTGTACATTTCCATTCTAATTCTTAGCACATCGCACTTTATCTACACTGAATTATGTGAGGCTGGATGGACTCACCAAACACTTACTTAACTGTACCATTCCCTTCCTCTACTCCTGGCGCTCCAAATCTTCATGAATTGTGCTTCCACTCTGTATTAGGACATCTGTTTTATTTTCAAGATCAATTTTCTTAATTGGCGTCATTAGTCTGACCATCAGCATCTGGGAATGTTGACATTTCCCAGTTACTCTTTGTTAATTTGTTTATGTTCCATTGGCATTTATTCAGGCTGTAGTCAGATGCTGAAATTGTTTAAGAGTTTAGATTATAAGAGAGAAGGAAATATTTCTAGTTACATAATCTTAATACTTAAGTATATTTTGGATTTTACTTTAATCTCACATTAAAAATCAACCACCATAACAAAGCAATTATTAGCTTAATTTTCTGAGACTATCGCTTTTCCACCACCAACTTTGCTATATATTTGGCCAAAAACAGTTGGGCCTAAGAAAGCAGAAAACGTGCATTTTTGTATGGATTCTGTTCTGAATTACCTTCATGGTATAAAATAATTCACTTCACTTGTCTGAGGCTTTAGGTGTTCCATCTTGTTCTTCATCGACCCCCTCACTTCTTCCTCTTTACTGCATATAATCCCTGCCCCCATCTCTAGTTTCTCTCTCTCCACCTTCTAATTCTTGCACTCTCTGAAGTTAACTCATTTATGTTATCAATCTATTCTTTGAACACTCTTTAGATCTTCCAGCCTTAACATCACTGCTTAGAAGACATCATTTAGCCAAGAGACTGGAGTCTGCAGCGTACTCAACATCTCTTTCATGCTTCTGTGCCTTCATTAGATGCCATCTATCAAGTTATTGGTATTTTCCCTTCATTTATGGAAGGTGCACATGGTTCACAATTATCATCTCTAAGTTCAATGCTGCCACCATCCTGAGTGAGCTTACCACATATGTGGAAACCTTACTTAACGTGCTGTCCTAGCTGATGTGTTATTCCTTTCAACCCTGACCTCCTCCCAATCTTCTTGCATGGTGACCTCTGTGAAACAAACATTTTTTTTCTTTTTTTTGAGACAGAGTCTTGCTTTGTCACCCAGGCTGGAGTGCAATGGCATGACCTTGGCTCACTGTAACCTTTGCCTCCTGGGTCCAAGCGATTCTCCTGCCTCAGCTTCCCAAGTAGCTAGGATTACAGACACATGCCACCACACCCTGCTAATTTTTGTATTTTTAGTAGAGATGGGGTTTTGCCAGCCTGGTCTTGAACTCTTGACCTCAGGTGATCGGCCCACCATGGCCTCTCAAGGTGCTGAGATTACAGGAGTCAGCCATCGCACCCGGCCTGTGCAACAAACTTTTTAACAGCCCCTTTCTTTAATTGTTCGACTATAAGCAATTTACCCTTCTTACTTTTGATCTCTTTATCCTCTGGAGCTTTTATTTTATCTTCTAAATTTTGAACATTTTTAAACTGATTATATTCTTCTTTCAGACCTTGTCTTGAGAATCTATAGCTATTTGAAAACTTGTAGATATGTGAAGTATAAATCATTGTCCACTTCAGGAAGACACATTGGCATAAAATCCATGGCAAAAGGATGGTGCCCCTCTGGATATGTCAAATTAGAAAATTTTTTAGAAAGAGTTTGCATGCATTTTTTGAAAAAGCTTTTGTAATGAACCAAAAACCATATTGCCTTAGGGCTTAAATTGGCTTTAAGTCAGAGTTATTTATCCTGTTAGACCTAATGACTGATCAATTCACAAATCTTTGTTGAACTTCTGCGATAGGCAAAATATTTTAGAGGATGCTATCATAAAGAAAAACATTTAGGAAATTTACATTCTAGTTATTGAGAAGAGACTGACAAGTAAAATTTTGAAAAAAAAATGCATATATTTAGTTTCATTTAAAAATGTCTTTTACTTCTTATTTTGAATTATATGGAAAAAAGCTATCTGGCTTTCATCAGTGTTTGAGTGTATTATGAAGGCCAGGGAAGATTATTTGTACTGATGTTTTCCATTTGCTTCTTTGTGTTGGTGTTTGTGTTTATTAAAGTAACTAGACACATGGATGGAACTGAAGATCATTATGTTAAATGAAATAATCCAGGCACAGAAAGACAAACGTTGCATGTTCTCACTTATTTGTGGGATCTAAAAATCAAAACAATTGAACTCATAGACACAGGGAGCAGAAGGATCATTACCAGAGGCTGGAAAAAGTAGTGGGAGATTGAGAGGGAAGTGGAGTTTGTTAGTGGTACAAAAAATTAGAAAGAACGAATAAGACATACTGTTTGATAGCACAACACACTGACTATAATCAATAGTAACTTAATTGTACATTTAAAAATAACAAAAAGAGTGTAATTTAATTGTTTGTAGCACAAAGGGTAAATGCATGAGGGGATGAATACCACAGTCTCCATAATGCGATTATTTCACATTGCATGCCTGTATCAGAACATCACATGTGCCTCAAAAATGTATAAACCTACTATGTACACACAAAAATCAAAAATAAAAAATGGAAAAAATAACTAGAAAGTAACATGTATATAATTGGAGACTAGTTTATGAAAAACATATTTTGGGAACGGATCTTTGGAAACATATGTAATGGTCATTTGATAGTAAATAATTGCAATGAGCTTGGGTTCATGGTATGTGTGAAATGTCCATTGTGCCATTGTGCTGATATCTGGCAAATAACAGAGGTGGTGATTTAGGTTCAACCTCTGATCACACAGATTTAGGGAAGAGACTGGTTTGCTTCTCTGTATTGAGCTATCATATATCAATCTACCAAACAGTTTGTACTTGGCAGAAGAGATGATGCCCATTTTTTTGGACTGAGAATTTCCTATTTTAAACTCACAAAAAGAATAATAAAAGCCTAACTTTTTAAGTGTCTGTGCTATTACTAAACCAATACCAACTTTACTTTTATGTTTGAAAGGAAAAGAAAAATCTCCAAGACAACATGTGTTATACCTTATTCCAGAATGAAACAAATCCAAAAGCCCTAACATGGATTAATTATGCCCCACTTTTGAGGCTTTATAATTGACAAATCTTTCATATGAGTTTCATTTTTTCTTGCGAATGTATACCAAACTACTGAATTCAGATTTGGCATAATCAAAATACTGACATGAGTATGCATAAATCAAACAGCTCCCTCATCCGTAGAACTCTACATTCACCTATTGGAACCTGGTACCTGGCAACCTAGGGTGAGCTTTGGGATCACATCTTAAACTAACTCAATTTTAGAGAAACTGGAGACATGATTCAGGTCTAAACATGAGAGACTCTGAAGACTATAGAATATCTGAGATTGAGACCACATATTGTAAGCTATAGCCCATGGGACCCTATATCCATAAAGACATATAATTGCTTATCTATGTTATTAAAAGTTTTACCAATATTAAAAATCAGGATTTTTAACACAAAAATCTGAATTTTTGGGGTATTAGAGAAATTGGTAACATTTACCTAAGCGGGGCTATTTCTTTTAGAAACTTTATTGTTATAAGCACATGCTTCTATACCTGGCCCTTGGTTGGGATCTATTTTCCAGCTTTATTGAGGTATGATTCAGATAAAATTGTGTGTGTTTGTGTGTGTGTGTGTATACATATATATATATATTCACTATGTATATGTATAGTGAAATAATTATAAGAATCAAGCTAATTAACATGTGATATGGTTTGGCTGTATCCCCACCCAAATGTCACCTTGAATTGTAACTCCCACAATTCTGACGTGTTATGGGAGGGACCCAGTGGGAGGTAATTGAATCGTGGGGGCAGGTCTTTCCCATGCTGTTGTTGTAATAGTGAAAAAGTCTCATGAGATCTGATGGCTTTATAAATTATCAGGTGATAATTTATAATATATAATTTATAAATTATATATTATATTTAATTAAATTATAATTAAATTATAATTTAATTAAATATAATATATAATTTATAAATTATATATTATGTATCTATACAGATATATAGATATTATGTATCTATACAGATATATAGATATTATGTATCTATACAGATATATAGATATTATGTATCTATACAGATATATAGATATTATGTATCTATACAGATATATAGATATTATGTATCTATACAGATATATAGATATTATGTATCTATACAGATATATAGATATTATGTATCTATACAGATATATAGATATTATGTATCTATACAGATATATAGATATTATGTATCTATACAGATATATAGATATTATGTATCTATACAGATATATAGATATTATGTATCTATACAGATATATAGATATTATGTATCTATACAGATATATAGATATTATGTATCTATACAGATATATAGATATTATGTATCTATACAGATATATAGATATTATGTATCTATACAGATATATAGATATTATGTATCTATACAGATATATAGATATTATGTATCTATATAGATATATAGATATTATATATCTAGGAAGTAATTAGCTTTCTTTTGATTTTACAGGCTCATAGGTGGAAGGGAGTTGCCTTGTCTCAAATGAGACTTTGGATTCTGGGTTTTTGAGTTAGTGTTGAAATGAGTTAAGACTTTAGGGGAGTGTGGGAAGGCATGATTAATTTTGAAATGTAAGGACATGAAATTTGGGAGGGGGCAGGGTGGAATGATATGGCTTGGCTCTGTCCCCACCCAAATGTCACCTTGAATTGTGGCTTCCACAATTCCCACATGTCATGGGAGGGACCCAGTGGGAGGTAATTGAATCATGGGGGCAGGTCTTTCCTGTGCTGTTCTTGTAATAGTGAATAAGCCTCATGAGATCTGATGGTTTTATAAAGAGGGGTTCCCTTGCACAAGCTCTCTTCTCTTGTCTGCCACCATGTGAGAAGTGCCTTTCACCTTCTGCCATTATTGTGAGGCCTCCTTAGCCACGTGGAACTGTGAGTCCATTAAACCTCTTTCTTTTGCAAATTGCCATCTCAGGTATGTCTTTATCAGCAGCGTAAAAACAGGCTAATACAGCATATCACACATATTTACACTTTTGTGTGTGTATGTGTGGTGAGAACACTTAAGATCTATACTTAGCAAATTTCAAGTTTATAATACATTATTAGATAAACAGGGGCATTTAGAAATATGACCCCTGGCCTAGGGATGTGGGGTTGGGAACACGAATAACACTAACGTATGATGCTGTAGGAAAATTCATCTTGCCAATGGTTCAGTGGATCGAGCTGGTTCTCTAGGGAAGTTCCAGCTGTCTCAGAGTGCCCTAGTTATGAATTGCTGAGTCTCACTCTGACAGATTCAAAGGCAGTAGATATATCTTAGATGGTAGCAACAGGGAGTAGAGAGATTGGGCAGGATCTGAATTGCTTAAAAATATTTCTATGTATATCTAATCATTATTTATATTAGAAAACTACTGTGTATTTAGCAATCTTAGCATCTCCTGATCCCTTAATGTGTACAAAGAGGACAAAGATTACAGAGAGATTCTGTACATAGAAATTGGACTCTATAGGCTTTAGGTCCTTATTTTCCATTTATTATTTATGAAACTTGGGCCAACCATAGAACCTAAATCTCAGTAATTACACCTGTAAAAAGAAGTCAGGAACTTCAGTGTGTTCTACAGTACTCCTAAAATTCCTATGAAAATAATAAAATTTAAAAATTGAATTAAAATAAGTGAAAAGTTATCTATGAGATAAAAAACAATATTGAGAGGGTTTGATAAAAAGTGAAATTTTCTTGTTTTAAAATTCTCTCTAAAGTCATGAAACATAAATATCCCATTGAAAATGTTTTTTTCTAACTCACTTGCCTTAATGATTCTGGAACTGTATAGATTACTAAAAGGTCTGATATGACTTACAGCTCTTTCAACGTTATATCGGAAAACATGATCAAATTGTACTTCAGGAGATTAGCCTGGAAGCAAATGCAATGAAAGGGAAAGACAAGTGAAAGAACTGTCACCATGTTAAAATATATTTGAAAATAAACTACAGTGAGACACTTAAAAAAACTCTAGAAAGATCCATAGGATCTGTGAAAATATGATTTGTTTAAATTAACCATAGACAATAGAAAGTCTTGAAGACTGGAAAATAGTTAAGCTACAAAAAAAAAAAAGGACCAAATCAGGGAGGATTAAAATGTATTAATCCTTACTTGCTAGCACTGCCAAGTGCAACTTATAGAAAATTATCAGTCACCAAGGGATGCGGAGTCAGCTGGCAGAATAATTCAGTGTCCTTAATTCCCTCTCTTCTTTGGAATTGAGGATAGCTATATGTGGGGACACACGTATGTCACATTACAGAGATTCCAGTTAATTATCTAGATAATCCCCATTTTAATATGTTGCAATTACATTTAAAAATGACCAAACAACAACAAACAATATACTTTTTAAAGCAAATGTTGAATGCAATACTTTGGCATCAATTTATTCAAATGTCAATAAAATGAAATTTAACAAATACTTTATAAGAAAAAATACACCTAAGATCAATGACAATGCTCTTAAATTATATATACCAAAGAAAACAGAAAAAAAAAGTAATTGCATTCAAGTCTCCTTGTGTTGGAAACAATATGAAGATGTGTTTTGACGTTAAGAAGACATGAATTTACAATCCCAATCCTGGTATTTATTAGGTATGTAAGTGTGGACATGATATTTAATCTTTCTGAGGCTCAGTGAGGATAAAATATTTTTGAGATGGGTTTAAAAATGGGAACAAATAGAATTGGTGGTAACCATAAGTCTGAGCTTAAGAGTCAGAAATATGCTCTCAGCCTACTTTGACCTGTGTTTTTCTCTTGTAGGGGCACAAAGGAGGTGATCCCTTTCCTCCCTATCATAAGGGTCACAGCTGACACTCCTATAACAAAAGACAAATTAACAAGAGAAAAGCATAACAAATTTATTTAATTATAGTTTTATGTGTCATGGGAGCCTTAAAAATGGAGACTCAAAGATACAGTGACAACTGTCTATTTTTATGCTTAGATTTGATGAAGAATGAAAAACCGTGTAGAAATATGGTTGGACAAAAGGGTATGACCTGATGGGAATAGACTAATTGGGGAAACTCAGCATGGTCTGTCTGTTCAGATGCTTCTTGGCCTCTCAGTACAGCATTCCTTCCTCCGGGATATGAAGTGTTTTCTGGACTCAGGGGGTCTTACGACCTACAGTCAAACAAGTCAGGTCAGAGAATTTCTTTATGGCCATCTTTTACACAGAAAGGAGGGGGAAGGTTAGGGTAATGTTTTCAGGTTTTATGGCTGGCTTTGGGGAAAAGGGGTTCGGTTTCTATGACCCACCTTGGAAAGGAAGAATTCAAGTTTCTATGACTTGCATTGGGGGGAAGAATGAGGTGCGAGAGACAGGCGGGCAGAAGTTCAGAGAAACTTTGCTTCTGAGTCTACTTCTGAGGCCTTCACTTTGGGGTATAATTTTCTGAGCCCCAAAACTCATAGTGGTTTTTGGACAGCGCTTAAACATTTACTTATATACTGCATTTTTTTATGTGTGAGTAGTGAAAAATGGCATTCCCTTTTGTCTAAGAATATTAGTAATAAATAATTACAATTCTCCAACCTGGGCTCTAGTCCTTGTTTACTAATAATTATTTGTGGGATTTGAGAACATCACAGATAATCACACCATACATAATTTTGTACATTGTATTGATGATAAAAAATTTGGTGAGGACATTAATGGATGCAAAGAATATATTTAGTACCAACATAAAACTGGGAACTTTTATGGTCCTTCCAAGTGGTTTCTCTAGCCCACAAAATAGCAAAAGCCAATAAGAAGATATTATTACTAGATGGGACATCTGAGAACCAAGACTGCTAAATTGGGCAAAAAATTTTAAAATACAGGTGCACATTTCTTCTCATTCATGATAATGTGAGCTGTTAGGGTAGAAATGAAATAGAATTGTGTACTTCAACTAAGAATATAAACTATATAAAACTTGGTCAAAATTAGTCCAAGGACTTGAGCTTGAGAAACTAACAGATTTCACAATGCCTGGAGGAATCAAAAGGCTAATAATTTTTTCAGAGGTCCTGTACTTTAGAATGCTTCTGGTAATTCCATATGATACTGTCATAAAGACTACTATTTACCCCCATATATCTATTCTTCCATAGTAATAAAGCCCCTGAATTTTATCTGGGCTTTATTACTACCAGAGTAAAGAAATCTCTCAGTCCATGGAAAAGTTGTGACAGGTAAGTAGAAGTGTTTGGTAATTTCCTGTTGAGCCTCCTAAAAGACAGCTGGCACCTGTCCTTTGCTCCTTTCGTCTTAATCTTCCCTCCATTGTGCTTCTTGAAAGATGGAGCTCTAGACGTGTTCTGCATCATGACACTGTGGGCTATCAATGATGGAAACATGGGCTGGAATGCCCCAAGATTTCATGGAGCAGAGCCACTGCTCCCATTACGTTAGTCTGCCTACTTCCAGATTTTTATGTGTGAGAAAGATAAGTTCCATTGTGTTTTAATTCCTACTATCTTGAGACTCTGTCCTTCAAAACCAAAATTTATCCTATCTGATTCAGGAACCTTGGGATTCCAGGTGGTGAAGGCACTGGAAGTACATGGTTGTTATTAATGGCAAGAAAAAGAGATGATTCGCATAACACACCTAGTACAGTGCCAGGTATATAGTGGGCACTCAGAAAATAATAGTTCTTTCCACTATCTTAACACACAGTGGCTCATTCAAATCAACTGACTTCCAGGACATCACTAACGCCTTCATGTTTATGTAGATTCCTAATAGTTTTGTCTTGGTTCTCATCACAAATTCTTAGCTCTTCCAAGTGGTTGGGATTTGTGAGGGTTTTAAAGATACGTTGGCATATTTGTTGATACTCTTTTTGAGCAGTAAGAGCTTAAATTTCCTACTGGTTGAGTGGCTGAATTTAGTAACTTGCCTCTAAGAAATAGAATATAGAAGAAATGATTGGGTATCACTTCCAATATTAGGTTATAAGATTTTACTTCCACTTTGTGTATATCTCTCTCACCTTCTCTTAGTTCCTTTATGCTGGGGATAACAAACTTAAATTTTGTGAGCGGCACTATGACGAGGTCCATTTGGTGAGGAACTGAAGCCTGCAAGAAAAGCCACGAGTGAGCTTGGAAGTAGATACCCTGGCCCCGGAAAATATTTGCGATGGCTAAAGCAGTCCTGGCCAACAACCTGGCTGCAATATCATGAGAGAATCTGGGCCAAAATAGCACAGCTAAGATTCTCCCAGGTGCCTGACCCTCAGAAACTATGCAAGGAATAATTATAGTTTATTCTTGAGTTTTAAACTGCTGAATGAATTTTGAGGTAATTTGTCTATATATATAGCAATAGATGGTTAATGCAATATTCAAAATATGTTTGGTAAAGTTAATTATCTTATTCTGTTCTGTTAGAATTCTGAAGGCTCTCTCTAGTTGATTTTGCTAATGCTTGTGACTCTCGGATTTATACTGTAATTATATCTCCAAATTTGTATATATATCCCAAACTTTATATCTAAATTCAAGCAACATATTTCAATCTACACGAAGCTGTCTTTCTTATCTCAATGAATAATGTTACTCTTCATTATGTATCCCAAATTAACATCCAGATAATCATCTTGTATTCCTTTATCTCCCTTTCTCCTTTTATTATCCCTGTCAAATAAATAAATTTCATTCTTAGAATAAAATTTAACAGGCCTCCTGCTCCATTAGATTTGATTTATCTGTATTTTTTATTTTAGATTTTGGGTTTTAGTAGGAAGTTAGATTAGTCTGCACCTCTTCTGTCTGCATCATCATTACCTGAATCCTAAGACATTTAAAGCAATATTCTTTATATAGAAATACTTGAATTTCTTGCCCTTTTTGGAGGGGCAGAGGGTGTTCCTTGACACTAAAAACATTTATTTTGTAGTTATTAGTTTATTCTGATATATAAGCAACTTTAATAATATATAATATCAAACAATTCAATCATTTTATCGAGGTTTCAAGTTTTCTATGTGATATTTATATACACTACTTTCTTATAATATTATATGTGTTATAGTAACTGTATCTTTCACCATATAATGACTTTTCTTGTTCTTAAAAAAAAAGTGCCACAAAATCTATCTATTCCATTAACTTTCCTAAAAAACCACTCTTGGTTTTATGTTTGAATTCAACTTTTTAATTAGATGTCTAACTCATTATATTTAAAGTTTATATTCATCAATTTATATGTCTCACAGATCAGATTTATTTTTTAGATATTTTTCAGTGTGCTTGTGGTTAGTGCTTAGTTCATTTTTTTCTCCCAGGTTTTATTGCTCCGTAATAATACAACATTTATTGCTATGGATTTTCTTCTGAGAATGATCTTGGCAGTGTCCCATGGGTTTCAATATTCAGTTTTGTTATTTTCTAAATGGATGAAATTGGTTTTAGTTTCTCTTTAGACTAAGAGTACTGTAACTTTTTTTTTAATTTATAAAGAAAAAGAAGTTTAATGGACTTACAATTCCACATGTCTGGGGAGGCCTCACAATCATGGCAGAAGGCAAAGGGATTTTTTTATTATTATTATAATACTTTAAGTTCTAGGATACATGTGCAGAATGTGCAGGTTTGTTACATAGGTATACATGTGCCATAATGGTTTGCTACACCCATCAACCTGTCATCTACATTAGGTATTTCTCCTAATGCTATCCCTCCCCTTGGCCCCCACCCCCTGACGGGCTCCAGTGTGTGATGTTCCCCTCCCTGTGCCCATATGTTCTCATTGTTCAACTCTCACTTGTGAGTGAGAACATGCGGTGTTTTATTTTCTGTTCCTGTGTTAGTTTGCTGAGAATGATGGTTTCCAGCTTCACTCGTGTTCCTGCAAAGGACACGAACTCATTCTTTTTTATGGCTGCATAGCATTCCACGATGTATACCTGCCACATTTTCTTTATCCAGTCTAACACTGATGGGCATCTGGGTTGGTTCCAAGTCTTTGCTATTGTGAACAGTGCCGCAATAAACATACGTGTGCATGTGTCTTTATAGTAGAATGATTTATAATCCTTTGGGTATATACCCAGTAATGGGATTGCTGGGTCAAATGGTATTTCTAGCTCTAGATCCTTGAGGAATCGCCACACTGTGTTCCACAATGGTTGAACTAATTTACACTCCCACCAACAGTGTAAAAGTGTTCCTATTTCTCCACATCCTCTCCAGCATCTGTTGTTTCCTGACTTTTTAATGATTGCCATTCTAACTGGCATGAGATGATATCTCACTGTGGTTTTGATTTGCATTTCTTTAATGACCAGTGATGATGAGCTTTTTTTCAAGTGTTTGTTGGTCACATAAATGTCTTCTTTTGAAAAGTGTCTGCTCATATCCTTCACCCACTTTTTGATGGGGTTGTTTGTTTTTTTCTTCTAAACTTGTTTAAGTTCCTTGTAGGTTCTAGATATTAGCCCTTTGTCAGAAAGATGCATTGCAAAAATTTTCTCCCATTCTGTAGCTTGCCTGTTCACTCTGATGATAGTTTCTTTTGCTGTCCAGAAGCTCTTTAATTAGATTGTATTTGTCAATTTTTGCTTTTGTTGCAATTGCTTTTGGTGTTTTAGTCATGAAGTCCTTGCCCATGCCTATGTCCTGAATGGTATTGCCCAGGTTTTCTTCTAGGGTTTTTATGGTTTTAGGTCTTATGTTTAAATCTTTAATCCATCTTGAATTAATTTTCGTATAAGGTGTAAGGAAGGGGTCCAGTTTCAGTTTTCTGAATACGGCTAGCCAGTTTTCCCAACACCATTTATTAAATAGGGAATTGTTTCCCCATTGTTTGTTTTTGTCAGGTTTGTCAAAGATCAGATGGTTGTAGATGTGTGGTGTTATTTCTGAGACCTCTGTTCTATTCCATTGGTCTATATATCTGTTTTGGTACCAGTACCATGCTCTTTTGGTTGGAAGTCAGGTAGTGTGATGCCTCCAGCTTTGTTCTTTTTGCTTAGGATTGTCTTGGCTGTACGAGCTCTTTTTTTTGTTGTTGTTCCATATGAAATTCAAAGTAGTTTTTTTTTTTTCTAATTCTCTGAAGAAAGTCAATGGTAGCTTGATGGAAATAGCATTTAATCTATAAATTACTTTGGGCAGCATGGCCATTTTCCCGATATTGATTCTTCCTATCCATGAGCATGGAATGTTCTTCCATTTGTTTGTGTCCTCTCTTACTTCCCTAAGCAATGGTTTGTAGTTGTCCTTGAAGAGGTCCTTCACATCCCTTGCAAGTTGTATTCCTAGGTATTTTATTCTCTTTGTAGCAATTGTGAATGGGAGTTTGCTCATGATTTGGCTGTTTGTCTATTATTGGCGTATAGGAATGCTTGTGATTTTTGCACATTGATTTTGTATCCTGAGACTTAGCTGAAGTTTCTTCTCAGCTTAACAAGTTTTTGGGCTAAGACAATGGGGTTTTCTAAATATACAATCATGTAATCTGCAAACAGAGATAATTTGACTTCCTATCTTCCTATTCGAATACCCTTTATTTCTTTCTCTTGCCTGATTGCCCTGGCCAGATCTTCCAATACTATGTAGAATAGCAGTGTAACATTTTGTTCACTATGAAAGTGTCTATGTTTTTGCACAACCGTTGCTTAACAAGGTGAGATTGCTTCTTTCTTTCTCATGCATTCTCTGACCTTCCTTGACTCTCTCTCACCATGCCCTATCTCCCCTTCACCCCTTCACATCTGATGCTCTCCTAAATTTTTCATCTATGGCATATTTCTATTTCTTTCATTCTAATTTCTTTGTCAAATTCTATTTCTCTGTTATCTTCCTTGTAGTTTTTATGTTATGATTATTTATATGTGTGTTCAAGACTTAACCTATTAACTCTTTTGGTGCAGAACAAACTTTGATTTGCCTTGAATTTTCATAGTATATAATACTATGCCTTGTACATAGTAAATACTTGGTAAATGCATAGAGACTGATCAAATGACAGTGTTTGAGTGGCAGAGAATACAAGGTAGAAAAACCAGCTGAGCTGACCTAGGAAGTCAGTCAAAAGAAATCTCAGCATAACAAGTGGACAGTGGGCCCAGAAAGTAACAAATGGGAAATTGGAACTTGAAGTTAGTAGGCTGCAAGGAGGTTCTCAGAAAGATGAATGGGCATTCCAATTAATAAATCGAATGACAAATGAGCAGGTTTACAGTAGTGACACAGTGAAGAAATAATATGCTTCTTCTCTCAGTAAGGATAAATACAAATGCCTGGAAGACAAATATGAACTCTAGGAAAAATAACAGCTAACCCTGTCTATAAAGTTAGTGTCCAAGTGTGAGATACATTAAATAAGGCATGATTTTGAGCAAATATTGAAGTATAATTATGGAGAATCATTTGACCAGGATGCTTAGGATCATTACACGTTGATTGCTATGGGAGTGGGTGATATGGGAATAAAGTGAAGGAAATAGAATAGTAGCACGTGAGTTGGCCCTTCATTGAATATTTATGTAGTCATTATACTGTAACTGCTGTTTACTAGTTTTCAGCTCTTAGAATACCTCCACAGAGATAGCATAAATATTTAATTATGATTATAGAACAGAACATAAACGTTAATAGGCATTATAATGTAAAATTAGAGACGCTACTGATGGAAGGTGAGAGGTAATGGGGAGAGATAAAATGTGCACGTAGAGGTGAGGGCTTAATAGAAGGGAGTCAAATGATTACATTTATTGGAATAAAATGGAGGTTAAGTATACTACTTAATTCACAGTAGCTATTGGGTTTCATTATTTGGGAAGCTATAACAAAATGCCATAAACTGATAGCTTTTAAAGACAGAAATTTACTCCCATGATCTCATCACCTTCCAAAGACCCCTCCTCCTTACATCATCACCCTGGGGGTTAGGATTTCAGCATATAAACTCTGAAGGTACATGAACCTCCACACCATAAGAATTACCAAGATGAGAAATAAAAGTATAGAATCAGTGTTTCCAAGGAAGCTCAACAAAGAGCACCTCTTTTCTTCACCTGGATTTGTGAACATTTGTGAAAAATAAGGAGTGGCAAGCAGAAGGCAAAGTGCCATTTCAGTTACTAGTAAGAGCTAAGTGTAGGATGTGTGAGGCCAAATAGGCTTGCTAAGTGAACCACGTGTTGGAAAGATGATTAGTCCAGCCTGCAGTGCTGGATTATTGTAGAACAGGTCTTTCCTCGCTGCAGAGAGCAGCAGAGACCTGGAGAATTCCAATAAAAGAAGGGCAGGATTAGTAGAACTAGGCTGACATGGTTTGGATCTCTGTGCCTGTCCAAATCTCATGTTGAATTGTAATCCCCAATATTGGAAATGGGGCCTGGTGGGAGGTGATTGGGTCCTGGGGGTGGTCCCTCAGGAATGGTTTAGCACCATCCCCCTAGTGCTGTTCTCATGATGGAGTTCTCAAGAGATCTGCTTGTTTAAAAGTGTGTACTCACGCCAGTAATCCCAGCACTTTGGGAGGCTGAGGTGGATGGATCTCCTGAGGTCAGCAGTTTGAGACCAGCCTAGCCAACATGGTGAAACCCCATCTCTACTAAAAATACAAAAATTAGCCAGGCGTGGTGGTGGGGGCCTGTAATCCCAGCTACTGGGGAGGCTGAGGTAGGAGAATCACTTGAAGCTGGGAGGCAGAGGTTGTAGTGAGCCGAGATAGCGCCATTGCCCTCCAGCCTGGGAAAAGAGTGAAACTTCGAAATTCCGTCTCAAAAACAAAGGGTGTAGCACCTCCCCACTCTCTCTCTCCTCCTCCTGCTCCAGCCATGCTCTCGCTTTGCCTTCCGCCATGAGTAAAAGCTCCCTGAGGCCTCCCCGGAAGCAGAAGCTGCTATGCTTCCTGTACAGCCTGCAGAACCGTGAGCCATTAAACCTCTTTTCTTTATCAATTACCCAGTCTCAAGTATTTCTTTACAGCAGTGTGAGAATGAACTAATACACAGGCCCAGATAATTTTTTTCCAAATTTACCAGATATCTCTCTTTACCTTCTCTGGCATAAAATGAGTAAAGACGCAGACAATGACCCAGAGAGCCAGTGGAGCCTCAAGCACATGGAAGGAACAATCAAATACGACAACAAAGGCCTGGTGTGGTGGCTGAGGCCTGTAATCCCAACCTTCTTGAGGCATAATTTACCCCCTACGAAGTTCATTCACCCACTTTAAGTGGACGGCGAGATCTGTTATGTTACAGATGACCTGTGAGTTGGGGGTGAATGTTCCAAAGCTTAATTAAATGGTCCAAACTCAAAAGAGTTTGCATTCTAGCTGGGGAAACAGGCATGATTACAACTACCAAAAATATAACAACATAGATTCTAAATAGAATAAAATATAAAATTCACTGGTAATGCTGGAGTGAAATTTCGAACTTAACAACGCAGGTCCTATTAAATATTTGAATAAGTATCTAGGCTACAATTTTTATTTCCAATTAGGAGTCTTCTGTCTCTTTAAGAGAGAGCAAATAAATCTCAGAGTTTAAATAAGGGGCCAATTCCACTCTTAAAATTACGCATAGGGAAGCACAAGAAATGTACATGAATATCATTTCCATAGAATAACAATTATATTAAGATTTCTTTTATATTTTCCCACAGGCATAGAGAATCACAAATTAGAGGAATAATATATTATGTAAATTTTCTGGTAAAGAGAGAAAATCTTTTGGCATATATTGATTCAGAAACATGAGTAAATGAATCCCTTAGATGATTTTGAAAATCCTTCTTGAGAACTAAAACAAAATCTCCATAAAGAATAACAGAACATCAACACTTAATGATCCCATGCTGATTAGAACTATGTAAATGTACTGAGTGTACATATTGACTATTTTACTATTTAGTATTAAATAGTAGGTTTGGCTGGAGTTTTCTGGGTGATATCACATGTACTATCTCCATTTTGAGAACTGATACTAAACCACAAATATCACAGAGTCTGCAGAACACTAATTTTTTTTTTTTTTGAGATGGAGTCTAGCTCTGTCGCCCAGGCTCTAGTGCAGTGGCACGATCTCAGCTCACTGCAAGCTCCGCCTCCCGGGTTCACGCCATTCTCCTGCCCCAGCCTCCCTAGCAGCTGGGGCTACAGGCGCCCGCCACCTCGCCTGGCTAATTTTTTGTATTTTTAGTAGAGTTGGAGTTTCACCGTGTTAGCCAGGATGGTCTCGATCTCCTGATCTGGTGATCCGCCCACCTCGGCCTCCCAAAGTGCTTGGATTACAGGGGTGAGCCACTGCGCCCGGCCCACTAACTTTTATGTAAACTAATTTCAGCATTTAGCATTATGTAATTTTGGCTGGACTGAATGCTAACTTGTGCTAAAAGGATAATTATCAAAGAGGTAATATGCTTATTGTATTTTCCAATACTTAAATTACATCAAAACCTAAATTTTGTCATGAGTAGCACATAATAAAGATAGCTAAAGTACCAAGTGAGAAATCTGAAAGACTTAACAAATTAGTAGTAAAAAGAAAAAAATTTACCATTTTCAGTACTGTCCCTGAGAACCACACAATCCTTTGCTTCATATATATCATCTCATTTAATTGTCACAGTAGCACTGGAGTAATACGTTTTTTTGTTTCCATTTTACACTTGAGAAAAATGATTTTACATGGTGAATAAATAAACATCCCCAAGTTTACAGAACAATATGTGACAGCCAGGCAGTAAACAGATTTGTCAGCCTGGAGACTATGCTCCTAATTCTTATGCCATTCTGCTTGGGTAAATCATGACTGGAATATTTGGAATTCTATTCAGGATTTTCTAACTTATGGTACATGTTCTTTCTGTGCAAGAGTTACTACCTCCATTTCTGGAAGATGTTTGGCAGCATTCTAATTTCCTTAGAAATTTGCATGTGATGGCAGTTAAAGAAATGTATCTTTAAAAATACACTTGGCTTGTGAACAATTGGATGCAAAAAGTAAATTTGAAGAGGCTCACTTTCCTCTCCAAGGAAGTTACAGAATTACCCCAAGTTGTTGAATGTATTTTGCCAAAGTAGATCCTTGGATGCTTGGTGAAAATGGGATGTATATATATGTCTCACCTGGTGGCCACGTTTGGATATCATCCTCCTAGTTTAAGTGTGAAATAAGTCGTGGAACTGTGGATCATCAGAGCAATTGTTAGATGAGGTGGTCAAAGAAAGGAATGTTTTCCCAAGAGCTGTTCTTCCATCAACCAAACCCCAAACCCCTCCCCAGCCCAGTTCTGCTCCTAGCTGGCTCTCTCCCTTTGACGTTGAAACCTGGATATTGTCTTTTCCTCTGGGTTGTTCTGAGGATTAAAAGAGATCATCTGTGTGAAGTGATGACTCCAGTGCCTGACACATAATAAGAACTCAAGAGCTGTTAGCCATTTTCATAATTACTCATGCTTCTCAAATTGCTTTCATACTGTCTCTTTTAATCCTGATTACAATTCAGTGAGGTAAGCATTCTCATCCCCATTTATCAAATAAGGAACTTGAGGCTCAGCAAAGCTAGGTATAAACTATTAGGTTGGTGTAAAAGTAATTGCAGTTTTGAACTGTGAATTTTAATTCATTATAAGTAGGCTCAAATACATCTTTATTAATCAAAATAGGAACCACTACAATCAACACAGTTTTGCCAAGGAGAAATAAGTTTGTTTATTCCTGTAGCATAAAAATCCATGCTTTGGGATCCGACGAACCCTTGGAAAGCATTTTCTGCATCCTGCTGGTTGTGGAAGCATTTTCCCTGCAAAAAGTTGTTGAGATGCTTGAAGAAGTGGTAGTTGGTTGGCAAGGGGTCAGGTGAATATGGTGGATAAAGCAAAAACTTCCCACCTCAATTTGTTCAACTTTTGAAGTATTGGTGGTGTGACGTGCAGTTGGCTGTTGTAGAGAATTGGGCCCTTTCTGTTGACTAATGCCAACTGCAGGTGTTGCAGTTTTTGGTGCATCTCATTGATGCGCTGAGCGTACTTCTCAGAAGTAATGGTTTTACTGGGATTCAGAAAGCTGTAGTGAATCAGACCGGCAGCAGACCATCAAACAGTGACCATGACCTTTATTGGTGCAAGTTTGGCTTTGGGAAGTGCCTTGGAGTGTCTTCTCGGCCCAACCACTGAGCTGGTCATTGCCATTTATCATATAACATCTACTTTTCCTTGCACATCAGAATCCAACTGAGAAATGGTTCGTTATTGTTGTGTAGAATAAGAGAAGAGGACACTTCAAAACGACAATTTTTTTCATTTTTGGTCAGCTTATCAGACACCCACTTATCGAGCTTTTTCACCTTTCTGATTTGCTTCAAATGCTGAACAACCGTAGAATGGTCGACATTGACTCCTTCAGCAACTTTTCATGCAGTTGTAAGAGCATCAGCTTTGATGATTGCTCTCAATTGGTCACTGTCAACTTCTGATGGCCGGCCACTACGCTCCTCATCTTCAAGGCTCTCGTCTCCTTTGCAAAACTTCTTGAACCACCACTGCACTGTACGTTCGTTAGCAGTTCCTGGGCCAAATGCTTTGTTAATGATGTGAATTGTCTTTGCTGCTTACTTTACGACCCATTTTGAACTCAAATAAGAAAGTCGCTAGAATTTGCTTTTTATCTAACATTGTTTCCGTTGTCTAAAATAAACACAAAATAAACAGCAAGTAATGTCATTAGTGAAAAAATAGAAAGTGAGAAGTGCCCATTAAATGATGTATAACATAAGCACATTTATTTAAGAGTATATTCCAATATCAAATGGCAAATTCCAACAATGCAAAAACTGCAATTACTTTTGCACTCACCTAATAACTCAGCATAGCCAATCCTAAAACCACAATCTTTGAGCAGAGTCTCCCATTTTTCCAACCACATCACAAATGTTCTCAAAGAGACACCAAGCCTTTTTTACTGGTTAAACTCACAGATATGTTATGCTACAACATGCTTTGCTCCAGCCCTCCTCCTTTCACTATGGCTTTGCTCTCTCTGCTGCCTGAATCCATATGAAAGTCTTGGTCCTCTGAGCTACTAAAAAATCCAAGTTGTGGCTTATCTTCATTGGGTTCTGACTGTACCTCTGTCCTTTTAATATCCTTTTTTTGGTTTTTAGAGACAGAGTCTTGCTTGTTGCCCAGGCTGGAGTGCAGTGGTACGATCTTGGCTCACTGCAACCTCCACCTCCTGGGTTCAAGCAGTTCTCCTGTCTCAGACTCCTGAGTAGCTGGGATTACAGGCACCCACAACCACGTCTGGCTAATTTTTGTATTTTTAGTAGATATGGGGTTTCGCCAGGTTGGCCAGGCTGGTCTCAAACTCCTGACCTCAAATGATCCTCCTGCCTTGGCCTCCCAAAGTGCTGGGATTACAGATGTGAGCCACCACACTTGGCCTTTTTTTTAAAGCATTCTTATAACTTCATTTTTTCATATTTTCTAGTAAGTCTCTCATTTCCTTATTTGTCTTTGAAATTTCCTCAGGTCAGTGACTATATCTAACAATTCTTTGATTCTCATACTTACTGATTCAGTCATTCAGTCATTCAACAAATATGCCTACTTGTCTCCTATAAGCCAAGGATATATTTCTAGATAAAGCAGACAAATTCTCTGCTCATATCCTAGCACTTGGGGGAGGATACTAAAAGTAAACAAAGGCACACATGCGTGAATACATACATAAGTAAATTAGAAAAGTATCAGAGGTTTATCAGGGCTATACCAAAAATTAAAACAAGATGCCGTGGTTGTGAATGACTGGGTGGCTGCCATAATTTGGGTGAAGGACCTTCTGAGGTATTGACATCTGATTTGCAAGAAGGAACTTGTGTCATACTCATTTTCATAAACTGAATAATCAATAATCACAAAGTAATGGATTAGGCCTGGAGGAATTGACAATCTGGCTCAAGATATAAAGAATATGTGAACAGTCTTCCTTCTGGCTCTTGTTAGAGGCAAGAAATTTCAGGAAAGTTTTCAAACATTAACCATTTGTTCACTCAAATCAATGTTCTGGAACCAAGGTAATACTTGTAAAAGAATAAAGGTGAAAAGTGATATTTCTATGTATTTATAACTTTAAAGATATTGTCAAAAGGACACACAGAGAAGGAATATATTTGACTTCAAGCAAATGAAAGCAATAGTTTCAACAATTAGTCTATTTTTCTCACTCAGTGAGAAGCCTAGAATTAAGCTAATGATAGAAGCAATAGCTCTGCAGTGTTATCAAGGATTTAGCCTCTTTCTAACTTTCTCCACCATCCTAAATGTGCAACTGTTATCCTCATGGCTGCACCAAAACTAGATATTATACCTAGCTATCAAGCAGAAAGAAGTAAAAATAAAAAGCAAAAGAAGCTTTGCCTTTTTATTTCGAAGGGATGCCCTCTTTTTGGGCAAGCACTGGCATCACATTGGTTAGAGAAATGAGTTTTCAGTGGGACACCTTACTGTCCCAATCAAAATCTAGGTTTTATTTATAAGGAATATGGGGAAATAGATACTGGATAGGTAATAACAGTGTAAGACACAACAGTATTCAAACTTGGCCCCCATACAGTTTAGAGCCACACTCTGGGGATCTGATCATAACTGTATTTAATCATCATATTTTTGGTGGGGGGAGCTCTCAGAGTACTCACTTGTGTACTGCTCAAATATTTGATGCATACTAAGCATGGCATAGGCACTGGTGGCACAAAGATTAATGTGACGCTGCAGCGTGAGTATGCATTTTAATTAACATGTTTGTTAAATTTGTCATAAATTTTATTCAATTGAATTACTTACTAAATTATAGTATATTATTAGCAACTGCTGGTTGGTGCCTAGCTTCCTATAAGAACATAACTTCAAATAATAAGTGAATAATTCAGTTCAGTATAACAAATAAATATACAAAAAAAGAGGTAACAAATATTGAATATTATGTTTTCAACTAGATTTTGGGGCATCATGAAATGCAGACTTTGTTTCTAAAATCTGATAGTCTTTGCCAGTTAGTTCTTGAAACATCACTGCTTTCCTGTACATGCCATGGTACATGAACGACTTTTCCTATTTGACACTTGGATGAAAGGTCTCCAATGCCTCATTTGTTTCTCCTTCTTAGTGATGTATTAGGCTGAATCACTATTCAAAGACCACTTTCTGATTCAAACTATTTTGGCTGAAACTCTTTTGTAATGTGTGTCTCCAAATGAGACTGCCACATTTCGGTGGTACCTTTATGAGGCTGCAATTCATACACTCAATTTGGGAATGGAAGAGTCCTTCAGGAAATATAGAAGTAATAGAGGTTTTGGTTGGCTGGTGATTTGTTTCATGAGGGAAAATTGATGTTCACGATGGCCCTTAAGTTAAAACACTGCATTACCACAAGGGCAACATCTTAAACCTCCTGTAATCCAGAGGCTTAAATCACCTTCTTAGAGAATAGTTACATCATTTCCTTGAACTTTTTCTATATAAATTTAGACTTGGCTTCTAACAGTCATAAATTTTAGAAAAACAATTGATCAAATAACATCTCCCCATTCTCTAGGGTAGTAAGAGGAAGAGCCTATTTATTGATTACTCTTTCTGTAGTTACTGCTTTAATTCTGTTGGATGACATATTTCATTTTGAAGCTGGAAATATACAATTTTCTAGCATTTAAATAGTTTCTTATTGCAATAAGAAAAAAGCTGATGACTGTACATTTTATAAAGTGCTTGGAAACTCATGAAATCGCCAAACGAGTTATTTTTGATGTGTGCCATTTTGCTTCCTGGTAGAACTCAAAAGTAAGTCACTTCTTGCATCCTAACCCTGGAAATTAAATCTTAAGGCTGGAACCTCTGGGTTCTATAAAGAGGTTAGGGACAGTGATTTAGCCACATCCATCATCTTTTTTAAATCTGGGGAAAATTGTTCTCCAAAAACCATCAGTATAGCTAAATTATTTTGTGTTTTTCCTGAGATTATTAGAACTAAGCTTATTTCAGAAGGCTATGAACTTGTATAATTGTCCTTATCCACAAAAGTCTTGCCTGGGTGTCTTCTACTTAGAGTGTCTAAACTCCCCTGGCCTCAAGTTCTCAGATATGACCCTGGGAACTTCAGCTTTTCTTAGAGATTTATTTATTGATCTGTGGCATTATTTTCAGAAATTATTCTACATTAAACATGATTTATTAATACAAGCATTAGAGACTTGATTGTGATTAATAGGCCTGATATTCCTGCTGTGCCATACACCAGTAGGTCTTACCTCCTGAATAATTTCTAAGACAATGGGAAACTCAACAAAGAGGAATTAAAGAAAGCTAAACCATACTATCCCTGGCTTTCTGCAATTTGCCTATTTAATGATCTTTTGTCCTTACAGAACAGGCTGCTAGATGGTTTCATACTTCCTGCCTGCTGGTTCTGATTCAAATGGCCTTTCTGTTGATCTCTCCTATTTATTCCCCAATTCTGGAATATTCTTGTACTCCTCAGATCCAGTCGAATTCTTTCTTTCCTTTGATCCTATAAAAACTTGTTCATATTGTTTTTCCAACACCTTGTCTTCAATTATGCTGTTGGCTTGCATGGCTTGTATGTCCCATTTGACTGAGTCCTAAGACCAGAAATGCAGCCTACAATTTATTCCTGCAGTGTCTGTGCCTTGACAAGTACTCCGTGTTAATTGTGCTGAATCCACATTGGGCTTCTTTTTCTTCTCAATGATGTAGACATCTTTCTTTTCAATGAGACTGAACTGTAAGAAAGAAAAGTTTGAGACATTTCCTTATAATATTTTTTCTGTTATAATGGAAAAGATGAATAAAATATACTTTGTAACCTAAAACATGCTTAATAGTGCTTAAAAAGGATATATTTTAAAATCCAACATTAACACAGAGGCAATCTTCTCTCTCCATTAGCAAGAATTGGAAACATAAAAGTTACTCTATTCAGCAGTTCAAATAACCTCAGAGGTACCAGTGTGTGTGGTATTTGTACATCTAAAATAGTGACTTCATTATATGTTCATTTGCCATTTGTATTTGCAATATCTCAGGGAAACTTAAAAAGAATAAAATCCCAGCCCTGGAAGAAACTTCAAGGAATGGTTAGTCAAATAACAGATATTTTTGTAGGTTCTCACGAACCGGACAGAGAGATTCCACAAAAGGGCAGAGCACCATAACTACACCATAGATCTTAGACGATCACGAGGCATCCCAGCTACTCGGGAGCCTGAGGCAGGAGAATCGATTGAATCTGGGAGGTGGAGGTTGCAGTGAGCTGAGATTGCACCAATGCACTCCAGCCTGGGTGACAAGAGTGAAACTCCGTCTCAAAAAAAAAAAAAAGGAAGAAGAAGAAGAAGATCATGAAGTCATGAGGCAGACATGGTAAACATAGGAGGTGTGCAGCTCAGATCTTTCTTCAAGAAAGCCCTTACTGTCTAGATGCGAGGAGTGTGGTTCGCTGACATCCTCCAGCTTTTGGCTTTTTTAGTTTGCTCTTCCCTCCATTTTTGAACCAAGGTAACACTCTTCTCATGGTGGCCTTGGGCCAGAGACTGAACAAAGTGGTGCTACAATGGCCTAGTAATTTCCACCCATCACGGGACTCCTGTAATCAATAATCTTTGCTCTGGAACTCCCTACTGGGCTAAGAGAGACTTTGTCAGCTCCACATGGTGGTCTGTTCCTCCCCTTGCCTAAGCCAGCTTCTGCCTCATTTCTCTCACAGATTTGATTCCCTAATGGATGTGTGCACTCCTAAGTAGGTCTCAGTGTCTGCCACATGGCAAAATTAACCTGCACTCCTAACTCTGTTTCAGTTTTTGTCTTCTGGAGAAACCAAGCTGCAGCATAGCTCAATAATATAACAGGACAAAAGACCAGCCTCCTCTTGGAGGCAGCTGGAAGCCAATGATTGCTTGATGTGGACAGCACAAAGGTCTGGTCCAGCCCACTTGCTTTAATTAACATAACTCTGAAGAGTCATTCCAGCCCCGGAGCTCTCTTCCTTAGCTGACTTATCTGTTGCCACTGCATCAGATAGGGCTTTCTTCCCTTCTCTCACCTGTGGTTCTTGAGAACGCTCCACAGTAACCTCCTACATGGAATCTTAGGACTCAGGAGTGTTTCCTGGGGAACTGCAATATTAGGAAAATTCCTCTCAAATGTTAACCAATTACTCAAGGGTGTAGATGTGTAGATTTATAATAAGTTGTAGATAAACACATATATCCCTCTGTCTGTACTGAATTATTTTAAATTACAAAAATATACCATTACTCCTCTCTGGGACCCTCTTCCTGTCTGTGTACCTTCCTTCTACATACAGTCTCTATGCTGTGCAATAGCCATATAGAACTTCTTGCAGATCCCCAAGGCACATGCCACTGCTTCTAGTTCATGCATTGGTTTATGCAGTTTTCTTTGTTTTTGAATGCATGTCTTAGTTCATCTGAGCTGCTATAACAAAATACCATAACCTGGATAGTTTATAAACAACACAAATTTATATTTAAGAGTTCTGGAGGCTGGGAAGCTCAAGATCAAGGTGCTGGCAAATTTGGTGTCTGGTGAGAGCCCACTTCTTCACAGATGACACCTTTTTGCTGTGTACTCACATAGTGGAAGGGACAAAGGGTTTCTCAGGGACCTTTTTATAAATGTGCTAATCCCATTCATTAGGAATCTGCCTTTATGACCTAAATACCTCCCAAAAGTCCCACTTTCTAATACAATCACCTTTGGAGGCAGGATTTTAACATATATATTTTGTATATTTTGGGGAGACACAAGCACGCAGACCATAGCAATGCAACTTTCTGTTTACTTAGAGAATTCTTCTTCCTCTTCCTGCAAGGCGCAGTTCAACCAACTTCACTGAAAGCTTTCATTGATGCCCTCAAAATGATTTGATCATTTCTATTTTTTGCCACACTGTACCTAATATATGCTTCTGGATTTTTAATGATCACGAAAAAATAGGAAAGTAAGACGGGAATAAAATATTGCAAGAGAGGCAGGCGGATCACTTCAGGTCAGGAGTTTAAGACCAGCCTGGTCAACATGGCAAAACCCCGTCTCTACTAAAAATACAAAAATTAGTCAGGTTTGGTGGCGCATGACTGTAATCCCAGCTACCCAGGAGACTGAGGCAGGAGAATCGCTTGAGCCCAGGAGGTGGAAGTTGCAGTGAGCCGAGATCGCACCGCTGCACTTTAGCCTGGATGACAGAGTGAGACTCTGCCTCAATAATAACAAAAATAATAATTGGAAGGGGAATGTCATAAATGTTTTTAAAGCATCTTCAATTTCAGAAGATATCTTGGCACATATGTTCAGAAAGCAGTTGAAAATGAGAATCTCAATATACATATTTGAGTATCATTGCTTGTTAGCACTTAAAGAAAATTATAGAAAGCATAATTGGAGTTCGATCCATAGTGAAATATATGCTGGAAGCAACAGCACTATGAATAGACTCTGGGCACAGTCCAATGATTAAGATAACTGTAAGTTGGAAATATCTACTCCTATTTTTTGAATCTAGATGCATTGCCTTAGAAACGGGAATCATGATTGACCTGACTAGGCCACTCTCCTTTGGGATTACTTTTAATAATTTAAACAAATTTCCAAGTGAGTTTTTCTGAGGAAGGGATAGTTGAGGTTAAGAAATTCTAAAACCACAAACCATTTCAGGCTACGAATAGTTTAAAGATTCAACTTCATGATTTTGAATCAGTCAACAAAGTAATAAAATGGAGGCATGTGCTAACCACTTCTCTCTCTCTCTCTCTCTCTCTCTCACTCACTCTCTCAGTTCTGGAGGCTGAGAAATCCAAGATCAAGGTGTTGACAAATTTGGTGACTGGTGAGGGCCCACTTCCTCACAGATGTCACCTTCTTGCTATACCCTCACATGGTGGAAGGAACAAGGGGTCTCTCAGAGGCCTTTTTAAAGAAGTATTATTAAATGTTTATATGTATACGATTAAATGTATATATGTATAAATACATATATGTATATATAACACATACATAGTCTATATATAATATATAGCGTGTGTATATATATATATATATATTCTCATTATATGTCCTACAAACCCATGAGGAAATGTAACCAGCTTATTGAATGAGGGCATCATGGTAGAAACAAGCAGAAAGCAATTTCATTCTATCTCTGTCACTTCAAATTTGCTCTCTCTCTTCCTCTTTTAAAGGCTTGTGGAAGTGTAACAGATATAAAATAAATGGCATATATTTCAAGTGCTCAATTTGATGTTTTGGCATATGTCACACAACTGTGAAACTACCACTATGATGAAAATAGTAAGTGTATTTATTACTTCTAAAAGTGTCCTTGTGATTCTTTGCCATCCCTTTCCCCACCCTTTCTTGTCTTACATCATGCAAATACAAACCACATTCTGTCACAATAGATTAGTTTGCATTTTCTAGAATATTATGTAAATAAAATAAAATCATATGCCTTCTTTTTTACCTGGCTCACTTTATTCAAAATAATTTGATATTTATTCAGGTAATTAGATGTGTCAACAGTTCCTTCTTTTATATGGTTGAAAAACATTCTATTGCATAAATATTCCACATTTTTTTAATCCACTCACCTGTTGAAGAACATTTGGATTGCTTCTAGGTTTCAGCTGTTTAAAATAAAGCTGCTATGAACATTCATATACAAATATTTGTTTGAACATATGCTTTTATCTCTCTTGCATAAATGCCCAGTGGAATAGCTGAGTCATAGGAAAGATATATGTTTAACTTTTGAATAAATTAATAAACTGTTTTCCAAAGTGGCTGTACCATATTTCATTACAAATAGCACTGTGTGAAAGTTCCAGTTGCTCCACAGCTTTGCCAACACTTTGATTAATCTTTTTAATTTTAAGCATTCTGATGGAAAAATAGTGGTATCTAATTGTGGTTTTAATTTTATTTCCCTAATTATAAATAATATTGAGTATCTTTTTATTCATTTATTTTCCATCCATGTATTTTCTCTAGTGAAGTAACTGTTTAAATTTCTTACCCAGTTTTTAGATTGAGTTCTCTGTGTTCATTTTGTTGTGTTTTGAGAGATTTTTGTATATTTTGGTCACAATTCCTTAATTGGTTACAATTCCAATATGCGATTTTCAAATATTTATTCCAGTCTTTGACTTGTTTGTTTATTCTCTTATCAATGTCTTCCAAGGAGGAGAAATGTTTAACATAGATTAAGCCCAACTATTTTTTTCATGTTTTAATTTTATGGATTATTCTCTTCAAGTTACATCTAAGAAATCTCTGCTTAAACCTGGGTCATAAATATTTTCTCCTACAAGTCTTATATTTTAGTTTTGTATTTATTCTGTGATACATTTTGAGTTAATTTTTATAAGGGTACAATATATGAATCAGGTCTCATTTTTTTTACATGTAAATATCTAACAATTTTAGAACCATTTGTTGAAAAGCCATTATTTTCCCTACTGAATTCCCTTGGTACCTTTGTGAAAATATCTTGACCATGTAAGTGAAACTCTATTTTTGGACTTTATTTTCTCTTTTATTGATCTATACATCTGCTTTTATGCCATTACCACTCTCTCTCGATTATTATAGCTTCATAATATGTCTTGAAACTTAGGTGTTGCATGTGTTCAGACTTTCCTCTTTTTAAAGCTATCTTGACTATTCTAGGTCCTTTGTTTACATGTAAACTTTGAATCAGCTTGCCAAGTTCTACAGTAAAGCCTGCTATTATTTTTATTGGGATTTAATTAAATCTAAAAACCAAACACCACATGTTCTCACTGATAGGTGGGAATTGAACAAAGAGAACACTTGGACACAGGAAGGGGAACATCACACACCGGGGCCTGTTGTGGGGTGGGGGGAGGGGGGAGGCATAGCATTAGGAGATATACCTAATGTAAATGACGAGTTTATGGGTGCAGCACACCAACATGTACATATGTAACAAACCTGCACATTGTGCACATGTACCCTAGAACTTAAAGTATAATAAAAAAAAATTAAAAAGTCAGTTTGAAGAGAACCAACATCTTAATAATTTTTAGCTCTTCCAATCCATTAACACAGTATCACTCTATTTAGGTATTTTTAAAATTTTCTCTCAGCAATTTTTGCAGTTTTGAGTGTACACACTTTAAAATGTTATCAAAAATGTTTCTAAATATTTGATAAATTTGGTGCTGTTATAAATGACAATATTTAAAAAAAGTTATTTTTAGAATTTTTTGGGTACGTAGTAGGTGTAAATATCCATGAGGTACATGAGGTGTTTTGATACAGGCATGCAACGTGAAATAAGCACATCATGAAGAATGGGGTATCCATCCCCTCAAGCATTTATCCCTTGAGTTAAAAACAATCCAATTATATTAAGTTATTTTAAAATATACAATTATTATTGACTATAATTACCTGATTGTGCTATTAGTTTGTCTTATTCATTTTTTTCTATATTTTTTAGTACCCATTAACCATCCCCACCCTTGCCCTCACCCTACTCCCCTTCCCAGCCTCTGGTAACCATCTTTCAACTCTCTATGTCCATGAGATCAATTGATTTGATTTTTAGATTCTACAAATAAGTGAGAACATGTGATGTTGGCCTTTTTATGCCTGGCTTATTTATTATTTCACTTAACATATTTTCCAGTTCCATTCATGTTGTTGCAAATGACAGGATCTCATTTTTTTTAATGGTTAAATAGTACGCCATTGTGTATATGTACTACATTTTATTTTTCCATTCATCCGTTGATGAACATTTAGGTTGCTTCTAAATCTTGCCTATAATCAATAGGGCTGCAACAAAAATAAGAGTGCAGATATATCTTCAATATACAATTTTTGCTTCTTTTAGGTGTATACCCAGAAGTTGGATTGATGGATCATATGGTAGTTCAATTTTCAGTTTTTTGAGGAACCTCCAAACTCTTCTTCATCTTAGTTGTACTAATTTACATTCCCGCCAACAGCGTACAAGGCCAAATCCTTTCCAGCATTTGTTATTGCCTGTCTATAACATTTTAACTGGAGTGAGATGATATCTCATTGTAGTTTTGATTTGCATTTCTCTGATGATCAATGATGTTGAACACCTTTTGAATGTCTGTTTGATATTTGTATGTTTTCCTCCGAGAAATAACTATTAAAATCTTTTGCCCATTTTTGATTGGATTATTAGATTTTTTTCCTGTGGAGTTGTCTGAGTTCCTCATGTATTTTGGACATTAGTCCCTTGTCAGAGGGGTAGTTTGCAAATATTTACTTCCATTCTGTGGGTTGTCTCCTCACTTTGTTGATTGTATCCTTTGCTGTCCAGAAGCTTTTTAACTTGATGTGATCCCATTTGTCCATGTTTTCTTTGGTTGCCTGTACTTGTGGGGTATTTTTCAAGAAATCTTTGCCCAGACCAATGCCTGGGGATTTTGCCCAATGTTTTCTTGTAGTAGTTTCAGTCTGATGACTTAGATTTAAGTCTTTAATTCATTTGGATTTTATTTTTTTGTATATGGTGAGAGATAGGCATCTAGTTTTATTCTTCTGCTTATGAATATCCAGTTTTCCCAGCACCATTGATTGAAGAGACTCTTTTCCCCAGTGTATGTTCTTGGCATCTTTGTCAAAAACAAGTTCACCATAGATGTGTAGATTTATTTGTAGGCTCTCTATTCTGGGTCATTAGTCTATGTCTGTTTTTGCCAGTACCATGCTGTTTTGGTTACTACAGCTCTGTAGTATAATTTGAAGGCAGTTAATATGCTTCCTCCTGTTTTCTTATTTTTACTTAAGATAGCTTTGGCTATTCTGGGTCTTTTGTGGTTCCATATAAATTTTAGGATTTTTGGGATTTTTTTTTCTGGTTTTGATTTGTCTTTTTCTGGTTTTGATATTAGGGTAATACTGTCTTAGTAAAATGAGTTTGGAAGTATTCCCTCTTCCTCTATTTTTCATGATAGTTGGAATAGGATTTGTATTAGTTCTTCTTTAAATATTTGGTGGAATTCAGCAGTGAAGTCATCAGGTCCTGGGCTTTTCTCTACTAGTAGACTTTTTTTATTTTTTATTTTTTGAGATGGAGTCTCACTCTGTCACTCAGGCTGGAGTGCAGTGGCACGATCTCAGCTCACTGCAAGCTCCGTCTCCTGGGTTCATGCCATTCTCCTGACTCAGCCTCCCGAGTAGCTGGGACTACAGGCACCTGCCACCATGCCTAATTTTTTTTTTTTTTTGTATTTTTAGTAGAGACAGGGTTTCACTGTGTTAGCCAGGATGGTCTCGATCTCCTGACCTTGTGATCTGCCCACCTCAGCCTCCCAAAGTGCTGGGATTACAGGCATCAGCCACCGCACCCAGCCTCTACTAGTAGACTTTTTATTATGGCTTTGAACTCATTGCTTGTTTTTGGTCTGTTCAGGTTTTGAATTTCTTCCTGGTTCAATCTTGATAGTATCTAGGAATTTATCCATTTATCTTAAATTTTTCAATTTATTGGCTCATGGTAGCAATGATAATGTTTTAAAATTTCATTTTCCAATTATTCATCACTAGTTTATAGAAACACAATAAATTTTGTATGTTTCATTTCTTACTCTGCCATCTTGCTAAATTCACATATTGGATCTAGTAACATTTTAATAGACTCCATATAATGCTCTATATAGACAATTATGTCATCTGTAAATAGACTTGTTTCATTTGCTCTTTTTCCTTTCTGGAGGGCTTTTATTAATTTTTTTCTCACCTTATTTTACTGACTAGGACCTCTAGTGTAATGTTGAATATAAGTGCTGGCAGTGGACATCCTTGCCTTGTTTCCAATATTAGAAGAAAGCATCTAGCATCTAGTCTTTTACCATTGTGATGTTAGCTGTAGCTTTTCTTGTAGTTATGATTATCAGGTTGAGAGGGTTCCCTTCTATTTCTAGTGTGTGCACAGTTTTCATTAAAAATATATGTCAGATTTTGTTAAATGTGTTTTTATATGCATTGAGATGATTGCATATTTCTTTTTTAGTCTTAATATGGTGAATTTCACTGCTTTTCCTATGTTAAACTTACCTTAAACGACTGCCCATAAGTCTCTTCTGAAGGATGAACTTCTGCTATTCCATTAATTCATGTGCTATTTATTTCATACTTCCTGAGAATTATGCTCTATGCTACATGCTGGGGATCCACAACTGAACAAAATCTCTGCTGTCAAGAAACCTATATTGCAGTTGGGTATCTAGGGTAAATAGTCAATAAGCAAGTAAGCCAACAGAAACTATCTCAAGTATAGATTATTTCAATTAAGAAAAATATAAAGAGTAAAGGGATGAGGAAGTGAGGCTGGTGATGTGCCCCTTTTTGGAAGGTAGCCAGGAAAGAGCTGATGAGATATTTGAGCAAATACCTGGATAAAACAAGGGAGTAAGCCATTCAGACATTTGGAGGAAGAGAATTTCAGGCAGAAAGACAGTAAGTGCTAAGGTGGGAGATGGTGCTGTGTTTATGAAACTGCAAAGAGATCACTGTAGCTAAGTTGGCATGTGGGAACATACCCCTGCCTTATTGGTGTTGGTGAATACAAATAAAATTTGAAGACAGAAGACAATTTACTTCTGTGTTAGAAAATTCAAATATATACCATTTGCTGATATTTCAGTAAAATATTCAAATTGACAATACAAATATATTGCTATGTAGTTAATCTTCCTTCCTAACATTGACATCATTCTTTATTAGTCTTATCTGGGACATAAAAGCTGAGCATAACAGCATTAATATGTGCAAGTTTATCTCTTGACCAGTCTTGGTCACATATTACTACTTAGTTTCTAATAATGTTTTATTGTTAAATTTTTCCATGTGAACTTTTAGTTTTACTTGCTCTGATATTGTTTTGTTATTTAATAGATTTGATGCTTCAAATTTCAAGTGTGAAGGCTACTGTAAATATTTTTTAAAATAAAGATTCCAAATTGATGAGTTCATTCTTTTCACACACTCTTTCTCAAGCAGGAGTTATTAAGTTTTTAAGGTGTTTTTGAGAAAGCTTTCTGAGGACAAATAAGTACATGTAATGCTAGTAAAGAAATTGTTAATTATTTTTCTTAGTTGAAACTTTTTGATATTTATTAAATGCTAATGTAGATTGTGAATCTCCAAGAAAAGAATATCCCATTCACAACAGAAAACCTAACAGCCATAGGAATTTGTCATCACCAGAACAAACCTTGAAGAAACTTTCCTGGAAAAGCAAGGACTCTATGTTCTGTTGAGTTCTCCTTTAAGTTGTTGGGAACAGTGAACAACTGGCATCTGGATAGTACATCATGGGATCACAATCAAAAGGTCAGAAATGGTACCATTAAAAATTATAAGCAGAAGCTTATAAATTTTTATTACTCACTGCTTTTAATTAACCTTTAAAAGCTATTCATGAAGGAATGCATAGGTCTTGGCTTCTGAAGAGAGCAGGATTTAATACAGCTATGTTGTCTAATGAGGACTGGTGGATGTCTCTCTTCTGCAGTGTGGCTATGACATTTCAATTTCAACAATGCCATATGTAAGGAACATGGCTGTGCTGCAGCCAAGCAGGCATAGGGCAGCAGGCATAGGCCAAGGTAAACAGCCTGGATGACTCAGCGAGTTTGTAGCACAGGCGCATAGTCCCATGCCTTATATAATCATAGCCATGTTGACATAACATAGAAAAGCACCCAATCTGGCTCTCAGCCACTATTGTTTGTGTAGTGTATAAATGTAACACTGACCCTGAGAAGAGGCTTCTGAATAAAGCCATGTCTCATTTACCTGCTGTCTCTCAAGTGTTCTTCCAGCTCCCTGCCCCATGTCCACCCACTCCCCTCAACCCTCAGCTGGGGCTGGAACCTGACCCTCAGCATGACACCATACCTAGTCAAAGTAGCACTAACTGAGCTTCAAAGTGGGCAGTATGCACAAAGATATTATTTTGTACTCTTACAAGTTTCATAATATTACTAATTTTTGGGATATAATTCCTATAATTACATCATCAGGCAGGCAGTCCAGTTCCAAACTCTGGTTAAGGCCTTCTATAAACATGTAGAATAATCTCCCATAATAAGTGCATAACTTGTCTTTGAGGGAAAAAATGATTTTTTAAAAAAGATAGTGTATTCATTTTCTTTTGTAGCATAACAAACTATCACAAGCATAGCAACTGAGAACAGCACCCATTTATTACCTAATTGTGTTTTAGGGCAGGAATTAAGGCACAAATTAAGCGGGGGTCCTCTGCTTAGGGTCTTATAAAGCTGTACTCAAGCCGTCAGCTGGGCTGGGTTCTCATGTGGAGGCTCAACTAGAGAAGCATCCTCTTTCAAGCTGACTGTTGGCAGAATTCATTTCCATGTGCCTCTAGGACTCAGAGCCCTGGCTTCTTGCTGGAAATTAGCTGGAGACTATCTTGAGCTGAGGGCTGTCATATGGGCCTAAGGAGACAGTCTCCAGAATAATTCTGATAGCAAGATGGAATCCTATATAATGTAATGTAATCACAGAAGTGACATCTATCACCTTTGCCATATTCTACTGGTTAGAAGCAAGTAACAGGTCCTGCCTCAACTCAAGCAGAAAAGATTATACAAAGACATAAATACTGGGAGGCAAGGATCATGGAGATAGGAGGAGGGGGACCCCTGCAGTGTGTTTACCACAAAGAGCATTCACATTAACAGATAATTGAGATCATTAGATGGATTATTAATATAGTACATTGAACAAATGTTAGTTTTGAATCCAGGTAGGACCAGCATTGAAATCTGGCTTTAACACTAACAGCATATTTATATGGCATTTATTACCTCAGTATCTTGGTTTGGCAAGGCAAGGTAAGGCATTTACTACCTCAATATCTTGGTAAGGCATTTACTACCTCAGTATCTTGGTTTCTTCACCTATAGAGTGCAGAGTTATTGAAAAAGTAAAATCAAATAAGATAATGTATATTAAGGGCTAAATGTGTGGCATGGAATGAATGTTCAATAGTAGTAGCTGCTTCTAAAAGTAATAGTATTGATGAAAATAATAAAATCCCACACATATTGATTGATAATGGAAGTCTTTTTTCTTTTCCCCTTTAGCAGATATTAAAATATATTTGATACGTATTTTATTATGTATTCTTTTGTATCTTCCAAATATAATACAAATTATAATTTCAAGATTCATCAATCTGCTTTGTACATTGGTAGTCAACTAATTTTTGTTTCTGTATACTATTCCAGTGACTGGACCATAGTATATTTATTCAACATGTACTTATACATTATTTGGTTAATGGACATTTAGACTGTTTCTGGGGGTTTTTAATTAAACTCTTATTAACAGTGTGTATTAGTCAGTTTTCATGCTGCTGATAAAGACATACCCAAGACTGGGAAATTTACAAAAGAAAGAAGTTTATTGGACTTACAGTTCCACATGGCAGAGGAGGCTTCACAATCATGGCAGAAGGCAAGGAGCAGCCAGTCATGTCTTACGTGGATAGCAGCAGGCAAAAAGAGAGCTTGTGCAGGAAAACTCCCCCTTACAGTAACCATCGGATCCTATGAGACTTACTTTCTATCACAAGAACAGCATGGGAAAGATCTGCCCCCATGATTAAATTACCTCCCTCCAAGTCCCTCCCACAAAACATGGGAATTCAAGATGAGATTTGAGTGGAGACACAGACAAACCATATCATTCCAGCCTGGTCCCTCTCAAATATCATGTTCTCACATTTCAAAACCAATCATGCCTTCTCAACAGTTCCCCAAGGTCTTAACTCATTTCAGCATTAACTCAAAAGTCCACAGTCCAAAATCTCATCCAAGACAAAGCAAATCACTTCCACCTATGAGCCTATAAAATCAAAAGCAAGTTAGTTACCTCCTAGATACAATGGGGGTACAGCCATTGGGTAAATACAGCCATCCAAAATGGGAGACATTGGCCAAAACAAAAGGGCTACAGGCCCCATGCAAGTCTGAAATCCTGTGGGGCAGTCAAATCTTTTTTTTTTTTTTTTTTGAGACGGAATCTCGCTCTGTCGCCCAGGCCGGACTGCGGACTGCAGTGGCGCAATCTCAGCTCACTGCAAGCTCCGCCTCCCGGGTTCACGCCATTCTCCTGCCTCAGCCTCCCGAGTAGCTGGGACTACAGGCGCCCGCCACCGCGCCCGGCTAATTTTTTGTATTTTTAGTAGAGACGGGGTTTCACCTTGTTAGCCAGGATGGTCTCGATCTCCTGACCTCATGATCCACCCGCCTCGGCCTCCCAAAGTGCTGGGATTACAGGCGTGAGCCACCGCGCCCGGCCCGGGGCAGTCAAATCTTAAAACTCCAAATGATCTCCTTTGACTCCATGTGTCACACGCAGGTCACGCTGATGCAAGAAGTGTGCTGCCATGGTCTTGGGCAGCTCCACCCCTGTGGCTTTGCAGGGTACAGCCTCCCTCCCAGCTGCTTTCACGGGCTGGTGTTGAGTGTCTGTAGCTTTTCCAGGTGCACAGTGCAAGCTGTCGGTGGATCTACCATTCTGAGGTCTGGAGGATGGTGGCCCTCTTCTCAAGCTCTGCTAGGCAGTGCCCCAGTAGCGACTCTGTGTTGGGACTCCAACCCCACATTTCCCTTCCACACTGCCCTAGCAGAGGTTCTCCATGAGGGCCCCATCCCTGCAGCAAACTTTTGTCTGGGCATCCAGGCATTTCTATAACTCTTCTGAAATCTAGACAGAGGTTCCCAAACCTCAATTCTTGATTTCTGGGCACCCACAGGCTCAACACCACATGTAAGCTGCCAAGGCTTCGGGCTTCCATCCTCTGAAGCAACAGCTTGAGCTGTACCTTGGCCCCTGTTAGTCATGGCTGGAGTGGCCAGGATGCAGGCCACCAACTTCATAGATTGCACACAGCACAGGAACCCTGGGCCTGGCCCATGAAACCATTTTCTCCTAGGCCTCCTAGTCTGTGATGGGAGGGGCTGACAAGAAGACCTCTGACATGCCCTGGAGACATTTTCTTTACTGTCTTGGGGATGAACATTAGGCTCCTCATTACTTATGCAAATATCTGCAGCCAGCTTCAATTTCTCCTCAGAAAATGGGCTTTTGTTTTCTATCACATTGTCAGGCTTCAAATTTTCTGAACTTTTATGCTCTGCTTCCCTATAAAATTGAATGCCTTTAACAGGACCCAAGTCGCCTCTTGAATGCTTTGCTGTTTAGAAATTTCTTTCACCAGATACGCTAAATTATCTCTTTCATGTTCAAAGTTCCACAAATCTCTAAAGCAGGGGAAAAATGCCACCAGTGTGTTTGCTAAAACATAGCAAGAGTCACCTTCGCTCCAGTTCCCAAGAAGTTCCTCATCTCCATCTTAGACCACCTCAGCCTGGACCTTATTGTCCATATGGCTATCAGGATTTTGATCAGAGCCATTCAACAAGTCTCTACGGTTCCAAACTTTCCCACATTTTCCTGTCTTCTTCTGAGCCCTCCAAACTGTTCCAACTTCTGCCTATAACCCAGTTCCAAAGTTGCTTCCACATTTTCACGTATCTTTTCAGCAGCACCCCACTCTACTTGTACCAATTTACTGTAATAGTCCATTTTCATGCTGCTGATAAAGACACACCTGAGACCGGGCAATTTACAAAAGAAAGAAGTTTATTGGACTTACAGTTCCACACGGCTGGTGAGGCTTCACAATCACGGTGGAAGGCAAGGAGCAGCCAGTCATGTCTTACATGGATGGCAGCACACAAAAAGAGAGCTTGTGCAGGAAAATTCCCCCTTATAATAACCATCAGATCTTGTGAGACTTACTCTCTATCATGAGAACAGCAAGGGAAAGACATGGGAATTCAAGATAAGATTTGGGTGGGGACACAGCCAAACCATATCACAGTGCTACTATTAACAGGAAGGAAACAACCCATAAAATAAATATGTTCATACCCCAAGAGCTATTTTAAGCCCTTTGAAAATAGAAAATCATTCACTGAATATTTATTAAGCATCAAGAAAAGTATTATATGCCAAGGACCAACGGGAGGACATTGCCTTCAAAGAACATCAAAGCTTAATGGGGGAAATATATTTTAAACAAAAGTGACTAGACAGAAGGTCAGGTCCCATCCATGGTAGGGTGACCAACTATCCTGGTTTTCACTGTCCCAGTTTTTGCATTGGAAGTCCCACATCCTCCAACCCTTCAATCCCAGGCAAACTTGAAACCTGTAGTAGGAGACATTTATTTAAGGATGTCCATGATAATGTTGTTAGAATAGATACTGGTCAGTAAATAATAGATGTCTAATAGATGAAACTGGAGGTTAAATCACAAAAGGCTTCACAGAAAGAAATCTGTATATCAAAGAGATACCTGCACTAACATGTTTATTGCAGCACTACTCAGAATAGCAAAGATATAAAATCAACCTAAATGTCCATCAATGATGAATGGCTCACAAAAATGTGGCATACATAAACAAAATGGAAAACTATTCAGCCATAAAATAGAATGAAGTAATGTCATTTGCATAAACATCAAACTGGAGTCATTATCTTAAATGAAATAAGCCAGATACAAAAAGGCAATTATTGTATTTTCTCACTGATATGTGGGAGCTAAAAAGTTTGGTCACCTAAAAGTAGAGAGTAAAGACAGACAACAGAGAATGGGAAAGGTGAGTCAGGGAGACGGGGAAAGATGAAAAGGACTGGTTAAATGGTACAAACATACAGTTAAATAGAAGGAATAAATCCAATGTTTGATAGCAGAGTGACTATAGTTAACAAAAACGTATTGTACTGGGGTAATGGACACCCTGAATACCCTGACTTGAAATCACTCCATGCTATAAACACATAAAAAAAGTCACACATACCCCATAAATTTGTACAAATTTTAAAAAGAAAGGCTTCCCAGAAGATATATGTAAATAAGCAGCCTAGGAATACAGCTACTATTATCAAGGCAAAAAAGAGAGCCAGGAAATGGATTCTGACCAAAGAATGTCACATGAGGCAAGGAAGTGTTAAATCGTATTCAAATTCAAGGAATTCAGTGGTTCAGTACTGTTGGAACCTAGACTGCATATAGGGAAGAGGCAAGAGTTGCAGCTAGAGTGGTTGGTAGCAGCCACAGTGACAGGACGTTTATGTCTTGCTAAGGATCTTGGAATGCTAAGCATAACTGAGTGACAGGATTGGAGCCTGAGATCAAATCTATCTAAGACATCTCACTCTAACAGAGTGGAAAGGGGACAGACTGGGTGACTGGTGTGTTATAGTTCTTTGTTCCCCCATAGATTTCCTGGACAGCTAAATAGGGCTTGAGTCAATAATTTTTTTTAAGAAGAAATTAAGCATAAAACCAAACCAAACCAAAACAAGAAAACGACAATGGCAATAGGCATAGTGTTGTGCAGCAGATCTCTAGAACTAATTCATTTTGGTTAACTGAAATTTTGTACCTGCTGAATAGTAATTCCCAGTTACCCCCTCTTTTTAGTCCCTAGTAACTACCATTCTACTCTCTGCATTTAAGAGTTTTACTGTTTTACATTCATCATATAAAAGAATCATACAGTATTGGTGTAAGGTTCTTGTATCAGTTCGAACACCAAGAGTGCGCCAGCAGACAACACAAGGCAGTGTGGAGCAACATGCTGTTTTTTTTTTGTTTTGAGACGGAGTCTCGCTCTGCCGCCCAGGCTGGAGTGCAGTAGCGCCATCTCCCCTCACTGCAAGCTCCGCCTCCCGGGTTCGCGCCATTCTCCTGCCTCAGCTTCCCCAGTAGCTGGGACTACAGGCTCCCGCCATCATGCCCGGCTAATTTTTTGTATTGTTAGTAGAGACAGGGTTTCCCCCTGTTAGCCAGGATGGTCTAGATCTCCTGACCTCGAGATCCGCCCGCCTAGGCCTCCCAAAGTGCTGGGATTACAGGCATGAACCACCGCGCCGGGCAACATGCTGTTTTAATGAGCGCCTGGGTGCAGGCGGGCTGAGGCCTAATGGCGTCAGCCCCCAAGTGAGGAGGGGGCAAAGGTTTTATAGTCTCCTGGAAACAGGAGGTGTCCTATTCTGAGGTAACTGCTACGTTGTACCTGGATGGCCTCTTTCTCTATCTTCACGGGTACGTGTCTTCCTGCCAGGGTAGGTGTCTTCTTGCTGGCTCTCTTCCTGCTTCTGCTACCTTGCTGACGCACGCTGCTGACGCAAGTGGCCTTGCGTCTTCCGGCTGGGCCTGAGAAGGGAGGAGTTTTTCATCTACTTAAGCTTTCAGGCCCGGGAGAGCTTAGAACTGGCCCTTCTGTGTCTCATTTATTTAACTTAGTATAATGTCCTCCGTGTTCCTTCATGTTGTTGCATTGCAGAATTTCCTTTTTTTAAAGGCTGAATAAAATTCCTTGTCTGTATATACCACATTTTCTTTACACATTTATCCATCAATGGACACTTTTCCACATCCTGGCTGCTGTAAATAATGTTGCAATGAAAATAGGGGTGCAAATACTATCTCTTCAAAATCTGAGTTTCAATTCTTTTAGATAAATACCAATCAGTGGGATTGCTGGATCATACAGCAGTTCTATTTTTAAGTTTTTGAGGAAACTCTATACTATTTTCCGTAGTGGCAGCACTATGTTACATTCCCACCAACAATGTACAAGGGTTCCAGTTTCTACATAACCTCACCAACATGTATCTTTTTAATAATGTATTTATATTCATCAATGATACTCTATTGTACACTTAAAATTTGTTAAAAGGGTAGATCTCATTTAAATACTCTTACTACAATGAAAATAACAATTATAAAAAACACCAAAAATATCCTAGAGAGGTGGAATATATATAAATATATATATATATATATATATATATATATATATATATATATATACTTTTTCCAATTAGGTTTTGATAAAACCAGTTGATACTCTGGACTCACATTTAAAATGTTACTTTCATGATCACTCAGCATATTGTGGGAGATAAAATCAGCAATTTCACCCACATAGGCACACACCTACATGTACACCCAAAATGGCCTTGGCTGTATTAACGTTTCAGTATCACCAAGATCTATCAACCTACTAGCCATGGCCCTATAGAAACTCAGAGATCAGATGCTGGTGTGGCTTACAGGAACTCTGGAAGTTCCACTAACCACATGGCATCCACAGTGTCATAAATATCTGGCAAGGCCCCTGACAAGGTCTATGTCAGGGAAAACCTTATGTAGATATCATGTCACATCATTTTAATTTCTTCTAGCGTTTTCTCCCAAGTTTTTCTCTTCTCATCACCATGACAATGCCTGTTGAAAAACTGAGTCAAAAGCAGGATTTCCAAAATGTATCTTTCCTGGGATTTTTATCTTATCGTGTGCCTTACAACTAGGTAGGCTGAACACAGCCTATGTCCCATAATGGCATCTTTCAATCAGTTATCTAGACTTTGCCTGCCAGACTAGTGAAACAATCTTCCCTTTTCCTTATCTGTATCCTGCTCACAGGGGTGGTTTAGGATGGACAGAAAGATAAACATAGACCTACACACTGGTCTGAGTCACCTTTTAAAGTGATTACCTGGGAAGATACGAAATCTTCTAGGTAGACTTGTGGTCTCTTGGCTTCATGGAGAATGTGAATGGAAGCAAACTTCTACCATCTTAATTCACTCTACTTCTGTTGAATATCAGGTTTTTGTAATACCAGCCTTCTGCAAACTTAATATTTTAATATCTTTTAAATAAAATGAGTTGAACTCTTGAGCTAAGAATAGAAAGTATCAGGTGTCTTTGCAAATGTTTTACAAGAGTTTTATGCATAGGCTATACACAGTATTTTCAAAACGTGACCCTGAAGCAATGTGACTGTTTCCCAGGCATAGGAGCTGGGTTCCTTTCCAGGGAGCATTGCCTCCTGTGCAACAGCCAGCTCTTCTCTGAGGATACTCCCATCAGGTGAGACTTATGCAGAACTCAACCATAGCACATTCTGGAGCTGATGTCTGCATGTCTTCAATGGCAGCAAAGCTTAAGCTCTTACAGGCAGACTTGGTATTTGTAAACAACCAAAGGTCATTCATTCAGAGCCATTTTAATTGAATGAGAGGTGACTGTGGAAAAGAAGGCTATGTGTGGTTGATATGTAGATGAGAGTCTGATGCAAAAATGGTTATCGTATGTTGCCTCTAAACCGTCTCTGAAGACAATTTGCAAAGATGAACTGCATATAAATTTTGATAAGTATGACAGTATAGAAATGAGCACAATGTGTCTCTATGACTCTTTGTAGGATACAATACTTATGTTAGTGTAAAATCCAGGCATATATGGTAAAAGTATATTTTGCGTCTTCATAGATACTTTTATGCTATGTTGGCCATGGGGCTCTGTGATACTTTATGTGCTTGCTTTCTTATTAGTACCATCCAGCCATGGTCCTTTTTAATCAAGGAAACTAGACTCATACGTCCAAAGATCAGGAAATGAATAGAATCAGTGTAAACTCATTTTAAAGAGAATAAGCCAATTAGCATTTAATTGGATGATTTAGAATCTGAATCAGGGCTCATTAGATTAGTATTTATGAGCATGGGAGGTTTTGCATAATTGCTGTATAATTGTGATTCTTGCTTTCTACGATGAAAGAAAAGTGAAAGATTTCATTATAGTCACCTTCAAGGAAAGAAACATTTTCTTTTCTTTTTTTTTTTTTTTTTTTTTGAGACAGAGATTCGCTCAGTCGCTCAGGCTGGAGTGCAGTGGCGCGATCTCGGCTCACTGCAACCTCCACCTCTCAGGTTCAAGCGATTCTCCTGCCTCAACCTCCCAAGTAGCTGGGATTACAGGCACTGGCCATCATGCCCAGCTAATTTTTGTATTTTTAGTAGAGACGAGGTTTCATCATATTGGCTAGGCTGGTCTTGAACTTCTGACAGGTGACCCACCTGCCTTGTAATCCCAAAGAGCTGGGATTACAGGCATGATCCACTGCGCCCGGCCAAGAAACATTTTCTTATTCCTTCTTTCTTACTATTTCTGTCATGAAATTCAGTTGCCTTTCATGCATCTTAAGAACTCCTATTATTGTTTTCCAAAAATTTAGAAACCCATTCTCCTACTTTTGCGTATATTGTTATATTTGGCTTTAAATCTGTTAATAATAAAAATTTCTAAGATAGGTAGATACCAGTTTGTTTAAACAGTATGCCTTTTGTGCACAAAGAGTTTGGCACTAAATTTTTAACAAAATATTCATACATTGTCATGTAAAATTACGAGAAGTCTTTCACATGCTAATTCTTATTTTATCCTAACTATATTGGTACAATATTATTCTACTTTAAACATGAGGAAAATAAAGCTTAAGAAAGTTCAATGCTTGCTGTAGGTCACAAGGGCAGTTAACGATGGAGCCCAGTTTAGAAATGGGTACAGTCCTTAATACTGGCTTGTTTCCCAGCATTGTCCGTAACTTCCATCCACATTCATAACAACTTCCTACCTTCTTCTCATCCTGATTCTGAGCTCACAAATAAAAGACAATCCAAGCTTGACAGTTATTTTTTATTTACTCTCTGCTTTAGCCTAAAAAAAAATTGGTGTGATTTTCAAAACATGTAAAGTAAAAAATGGAAATAAGCCATAAAATTGGGTAAAGGGAAAAGAAGTTAGGAAAATTAAGATGATGCTACTGATTCCGTTGGTGTCAAATAGATGCACTGTAGCTGTGTTGCCTTGGGAGGTTCTAGCAGTCACTTAGAGGATGGAGTCAGTCTTTTTCTCTTTTTTACAATTTCTAGCCTTAATAAGATGAAAACAAACCAGTGGTTGAGGAGAAGCACCAGCACCTCTGGTAGTAGAAACTAATAATTTTCTGTTCTGTTGGATTCGTGAGGAAACAAAAATGTGCCCTGCTTGCAATCAGTGATGGTTCTAACCAAAACCAACCACTCTTTTCGATGGATGCAGACATGGTCAGAGGAAATTTAGTGATGCTTCCAGTAACAACAGTGTTTCTAGCTAAACAAAGGCAAGGCTGTGCTGCAACCATAAAATGACTCACATCCCCTTTTCTGAGTGATCTCTGCTTCCTTGCAATGACAATGTGATTTTAGTTTTCATTGTCCCTGCTTCTGGGGGACATCATTGAGATACCCATTATCGAATTGCCTCTCTTCTCTGATAGCACCCAACTTACTTTCATAATCTGTTCTCAGAGCCCTCCAACACTTGTCCAGAGTCCATAAGAAGCCCCTTCTAGTTTCACTTTACTAAGATGCTCCTAATGGTTCCCTGGGTATGTTCTCCGTTGCCATAGCAAGCTAAATAAAAAAACTGTGTATGTTGTGTGATTATAGGTGTTTTTTTGATATCAATTGATTGGTGAGTTTTGGCGGATGTCAACAATACAAGACTAAGCCAGGTGTGGTGGTTCAAATCTGTAATCCCAGCACTTTGGGAGGTTAAAGCAGGAGGATTGTGTAAGGCTAGGAGTCCAAGACCAGCCTGGGTAACATAGCCAGGCCCCATGTCTACAAAAATTAAAAAAAAAAAAAAGTCCAGTGCAGTGGCATATGGCTGTAAGTCCCAGAGGCTGAGGCAGGAGGATAGCTTGAGCCCAGGACTCCAAGGTTACAATGAGCTATGATTTTGTCACTGCACTCCAGCCTGGGCAACAAGCACCACCCGGTCTCAAAAACAAAACAAAAACAAAAACAAAAGACTATTTAATGGAGTTAATGGAGTCAGAATTACCCTCAACAGTATGTCCAGAATAAATAAAATAAATTTCATATGCCAGTTTCTTATAAAGCTCCTTAATTTTGGCCAACATCATTGTACTTAAAATCATAATTTACCAGCAATAATGTAGTAGAGTAAAACAAATTTCAGATAATGTTACTTAATCCAGAGAAGCATTTGATAGCTACGTTTAAAAATGTTTTATAAGAAAACCTGAGAGAGCTTGATTTATATTACATTTGTGAAAAATATTTTTATGAAGGTGTATATATATATATATATATATATATATATATATATATACCTGTATATACATATATACAGGTTGAGCATCCAATCATAATCCAAAATCACAAAATCTAAAATTTTTTTGAGCCCTGACATGATACCAGAGGTGGAGAATTCCATACCAAAGTGCTTAACACAAACTCTGTTTCATGTTTAATAAAATTATTTAAAGTATTTTATAAAATTACCTGCAGCCTATGTGTACAAGGTATGTATGAATCATAATGCATTTTGTGTTTATACTTGGGTCCCATCTTCAAGATATCTCCTTAGGTATATGCAAATATTCCAAAATGCAACCAAATCTGAACTCTGAAAACTTTTGGCTCCAAAAATTTCAGATAAAGGATACTCAACCTATACTTTAAAATCTTGTTAGCCTTTGCAACATTCTCTTTATAACAGAGTAACTAACTTTGCTTATAATCATAACTTGGTAAACATCATTTCACAATGAGCTTGAGTCACACTCAAATTTCCAGTATGCTTTGTGACTGGAGGAGTTACTTCAAGGCCTTCGCTGAAATAAAACTATATTTAGAGTCAGAAAAAACATTACCAGTATGCCTCAATCACAAAAATGGATTTGAAATGGGAGCCATTTAATTCATATCAGAGGGGAAACAGCAATTCTAATACACTCACCCCATAAAAATTCATGGGGAGATATTTGCTTTTTCAAAATTGTATATAAGCCTGGTTTTCAATTTGAAGCTTATTTTTATTTTTTGAATGGTAAACCATAATATCTACCATCTTGTAGGTGCGATATTGTGAAGTATATATTTGGTGTTTAGTTTCCTGGCATACTGCTTCTTTTTTTTTTTTCAGGCAGAGTCTCTGTCACCCAGGCTGGAGTGTAGTGGCATGATCTTGGCTTACTGCAACCTCCGACTCCTGGGTTCAAGCCATTCTCCTGCCTCCGCCTCCTGAGTAGCTGGGATTACAGGTGTGCACTACCACGCCTGGCTAATTTTTGCAGTTTTAGTAGAGATGGGGTTTCACCATGCTGGCAAGGCTAGTCCCAAACTCCTGACCTCAAGTGATCCATCCGCCTCGGCCTCCCAAAGTGCTGGGATTACAGATGTGAGCCACTGTGCCTGGCCCTGGCAGAGTGTCTAAGAGTGCCTTTAGTCATGCTAATGAGATGACTAGGTTTGGGAACCCCTAGGTAGCTTCAGGATTGGGGCTGGTGACCAGAAAGACCAGGGCATGATTAGACAGTTGGAACTTTGAGCCCCACATCTCAACCTCTGGGGAGGGGAGAAGAGCTAAAGGTTGAATTGATCGCCAGTGGCCAATAATTCTATCCATCACGCTTGTGTAATGAAGCCTTCCTAAAAACTAAAAATATCTTGGTTTGGGGAGCTTCTGGAGAGCTGACTATGTGGAGGTTCCTGGAGATGGCTTTGAAGCTCTGTATCCCTTCTCCCTTACCTCACCCTATGCATCTCTTCAATCTGGACTTTTATCTGTAACCTTTCCATTGTTCTTTATAATAAACGGGTAAACATAAATATTTCTCTGACTTCTGTGATCCACTCTAGCAAATTAATCAAACATGAGGAAGGGGTCATAAAAACTCTGATTCACAGCTGAGTGGTTAGAACTACAGGTGATAACCTATTACTTGCATTTGGCATCTGAAACGGCAGTCCTGTGGGACTGAGCCCTCAAACTGCTATCTCCAGGTAGATGAGTCAGAATTGAATGGAATCAAAGGACACCCAGCATTCATGTTTGTTGAAGAAGTGATTGCTTTGGTGTGTGGTTTTGTGTTGAATGGTGTGTAACAGGAAAAAATCCATTTTTTGTGTGTATTACAGAATAGGAAAGGTAGTATACCTAAAAAAACAGCATAAGTTATTTAAAATGAATTTCTCTAACACCTAGAAATATTTCCTTTCCCTGCTAATGACTGAATTTCATTGTCATTAGGTAATTAATGAGTTTTATCCCAAACCAAAAAGCTTTTCTTACCTGAATTAGTCATCAATGACAAAGGTGTTTATTTTAATACAAAAATACAACTTATATCATTGAATTAAACAGTTCGCTGATGTGTTTGGGGCAGTAAATGGAATGTGAAACCCTGCAAAGTAAAAGGAACTCAGGAAAATGAAAAGGCTTGATAATTGCCCAGAGGCTAAAGTTGAAACTAAGGCAATGGTCATTTGGTTTTTACATTTAAAAAAATGATTCACATTTCTCAAACACACTCTCTGCTCTCTGTAAAGCACTTTTTAGCATTTTCTATCCACCTGTCCTTATATCCATCTATGATGTTCTAAGTATGAATATGAATTTCCTGGCTTTAAAGAGCAAGTTTTGATGTCAAAGCTATTTTCTACAAACACATTCAAACATAGTTCCTGTGTCATGTTAGCACTATGTGAATATATGCAATTTCTTCAGAGAGAGTGTAACATAAATATGATATTCTCATTCCAAAAGTGAATTCGTGAGAATGTTCCTAAACTATTTGAGTGAGAAATCAATCCCTAAATAAATATGTTTTAAGTCAAGACTGTATGTCTTAATACGCAAAGGTTGGGTATTACCTACAGCTTTCAGAAAATAGGGTGAAATTTTCTTACAGTATGAAGACAGTTTTATAACCTGGGATCCAGAAATACCAAAATCCTGTACCTGACCATCCCCATGTTCTCTGACAAGGCTCTGGAGGAAAATGCATGAGCAAGAAACAATGAATGAAGAAAACCAAGGTAACACTTTATTAACTTCTGGATTGAAGGCACAAATTTTGGTGCAGTATATGTTAGTAACCCAGGGCATGTTATATAGAACATCCCTTTTTGAGCTAGCTAGTAACTGGTGACATCTGTCAATATCAGAGAGAGGATACCAGAGAGAAAGATAGTACATAATGAGAATATATTTGTTCGCGATGTCTGATACTGACCTCTGCTAGAAATAATTCTCCTGAAATGACCCAATCCTTGGTTGCTGTCACATGGGAAAAGAGAGAGCAAAGGGAGTGAGAGGAAAAGCTCAAGCTCTTACCACTTGCATTGGTTCTACCCATCAGTGAGAAGGCCTAGTTGGTGTCCTCGAATCTGACCAACCCCAGACAGCACATTCATGATTGGACTGGGAGGGAATAAGAAAGAATTGCAGAACATTGGATTTCTTTCTTGCTTTCCCTTTTCTTTTCAAGACACAGGATCTTACTCTGTTGTTCAGGCTGGGGTGCAGTGGTGTGATCATAGCTGACTGCAGACTTGAATTTCTGAGTCCGAGTGATCATCCTGCCTCAGCCTTCCTAGAGGCTGGGACTGCATGTACACATCACTCTGCCCTGCTAATTGTTTGTTTTATTTAGAGATGTAGTCTTGCTATGTTGCCCCGGCTGGGCCTGAATTCCTGATCTCAAGTGTTCTTCCCACCTTGACCTCTCAAAGTGCTGGGATTACAGGCCTGAGCCACAATGCCTAGCCTTGGATTCCTTTCTTGAAGACAAAAATGATAAAACCTGCAAAAGATTTACACTTGCACTCAGTTTGTAATTCCATAGCATTAAGTTTCTTTGTTGCTTTTTTATGAATTTAAGGATGATAATTAGCAGAAGAAAAACTTAAAAGATACCAAACAATACAAATTGCATTCTGTCCTCATGCTACATCAACAATAAAAATTGAGGCAATTATGCTGATTTAATTTTTTTTAAGTACATAGTTAACATAATCTACATCAGTGACCCTTGCCTTTTTGGGGTCATGATTTGCTTGAGAATCTTATGAAAGATATAGAGTTTTATCAAAGAAAATATGAGATTTTACTACAACCCAACAAACGCACTTTCTAGAAATGCATAGATTCATGCAGGTACTCTTTTGTGTCTAATTTATTTTGTTCTGCATTATGTTACTGAGACTCTTCCATGGTAATGCATATAGCAATAATGCATTTATTCTCATTGCTGTGCAGAACTTCATATTATGAATATATCACAACTAATTAATTAATTTTTGGATGGACATTCATGTTACGTATTAGTTTTCTATTGCTGTGTAACAAATTGCCACAAATACAGCAGCTAAAAATGACACTCATGTATTAGCTCACAGTTGTGTAGGTTAGGAGTCCAGGCATGGTGTCCTCTGTGCAGGGTGAGATCAAGGTGTGGCCAGAGCTATATTCTCATCAGATACTTGGAGTTCTTTTTGAAGTTTACATGGTTGTTGGCAAAATTCAGTTCCTTGCAAGTTGTAGGAGTGAAGTCCTGTTTTCTTGCTGTATCTTTTTACTTTTAACTTTTTCGAATTTATGTTTTTATAGTATATTTCTTCTTAGCAACATAGAGTTGTATTTTGTTTTCAATTCAACCTAACAAGTACTGTTGTTAAATAGAATCATTTAGTTCATGGCATTTAATGTAATTATTGGTATACTTGCTTTTATGTCTGTAGTCTTATTTTCTATTTGGCATACCTGCTTTGTTTTGCTTTTTCTCTGTCTTGATTTCTTTTGAAGTAATCAAATATGTTTGCTACATTTACTTAATTACTTCTTTTAATAGTCTTTTAGTGGTTATTAGACATTATAGCTGGCATCCTTCACTTACCCTAGTTTAATGCAAATTACTATTTTCCACTTCTCTAATGTTAAAACCTTTGCACATTTTAACCCCATTTACCTCCTACCGTCTTTCCATTTCTGCCACCATGGATTTTAATTCTATAAATATTTTAAGTTTCACAAAATATTATTGCCACTATTTGTACTGTCAATATTACTTTACATATACTAATGTATTTACATATTCTGTGTTTTTCATTCTTTTCCACACATGTGTGTTTCCATATGGGATCATTTTCTTCTGGTTGAACAATACCGTTTATTTAGTAAAGGTCTGCTGGCGACAAATTACCTCAGTATTTGTCAGAAAGTGTCGTGCCTTTATTTTACAGTTTAAAAAACGTTATTTTCGGCCAGGTGCGATTGCCCACGCCTATAAACTTTGGGAGGCCCAGGCAGGCGGATCACCTGAGGTCAGGTGTTTGAGACCAGCATGGCCAACATGGGGAAACCCTGTCTCTACTAAAAAAAAAAAAAGGTACATGGGGAAACCCCATCTCTGCTAAAGAAAAATACAAAAATTAGCCAGGCATGGTAGTGGATGCCTGTAATCCCAGCTACTCAGGAGGCTGTTGCAGGAGAATTGCTTGAACCCAGGAGAAGGAGGTTGCAGTGAGATGAGATCGTGCCACTGCACTCTAGCCTGGGTGACAAAGAGATACTCCGTCTCAAAAAAAAAAAGTAATGCTATTCTCACTGGGGATAGAATTCTAAGGTGGCCATCATTTTCTTTTAGCAGTTGTATCATTGTGCTTTAAATTTCACAATTTCTGTCGAGAGTAATAGCTCAGTCTTATTGTTATTGCTTTGTGGTTAACATTTCTTTCTTTCTCTAAGTAAATTTAATATTTCCCTTTTTGTCCTTGGTTTTAAGCAGTTTTACTATGATGTGCCTAAATACAGTATGGTTTTCCTTCTATGTATCAGAGTTGGCTAATATCTTTTCGAGTTTTGCTTTTGCGCTTCTTTCTGTTCTCTGCTTCTGTGATTCTAAGAAAATTTATATTTTGCCATTTCACTTCATCCTGTACCCATCTTATAGTTTTCTCTATTTTCTGTTAGTTGTTTCCTCTTTCACGTCACCTGTTTTCTGGACGAGGTGTGGTGGCTCACGCCTGTAATCCCAGCACTTTGGGAGGCCAAAGTGGGAGGATTGCTTGAGTCCATAAGTTCAAGACCAGCCTGGGCAACATGCAGAAACCCTGTCTCTATCAAAACAACAACAAGAACAAAAAAAATCATGTCACCTGTTTTCTATTGCTCTTTCTTCTAGTTTCAGAATTTCATCTTCTGTGTCTGATCTGCTCAGACCACGTATTGAGTTCCTAATGTTAGTTATTATTATTTTTCAGTTTTAGAATTTACCTTTGTTTTTTAAAAAATAGATTCCAAAAGCTCTGGTAAATTTATGTATATTTTCTTAAAGATATCATTCAAGGTCATTTTAAAGTAATTTACTAATAACTCCAATGTTGGGATCACTTGTTGGTGTATTTCTATCATGTTATTTTTCTTGACTTTTATTTACACTCTCTTTTCTTTTGGTGAGCCTAGTAATGTTATAGACTCCAGATGATGTTATTTTCTTCCAGAAAGAATTTAGTCTTTTCTCTGCTTGGCTGACAATGTGGGCCTGATCACATTAATTCAAAGTGTGAGATGAGTCAATACTGGGTTTCAGTTTGGGTGTTTTTTTTTTACCTCTCAGTCACCCTTGATTGTAGTATAAAGGCCTCCCAGGTTTCCAACTGAGGTTCAGTGGTGTTTGTTGGGACCCCCTCCATCTAGTAGGTTTTAAACTGTAATTCCTACATTACTGAGATTGTTGGAAAACCTACTCTGCTTTTCAGAGATTTTCTGCCTAACTTCTCATTTCCTACCATGTACATATTTAGAATGCACCAAATGTCTTGAAAGAAAAACTTGCCATGTTTCAGGTTTAATCCTTCACCCACTGCCTGCCTGGATCCTGTCCCTTTATGTCTGCAATTTTGTCTCTCTAGCCTGACAAAACTGTTAAATGCTCTGCTGGTTTCTCTTATCTCCGCAGTGTCTCTTTGCCTGGGCGTAACCTAGATTCTAAGGCTCTTTCTCTATACGCAGAACCATTAAATTTCCCCAGGGAATTAATGGCTGAAACATGTTTTCTGACTTCTCTACCATTGTTTCTTCCAGTCTGGGTTACTTTAGCAGTTCTCTGATGTTTTAAACATTAAAAAAAAAAAAAAAAAAGAGAGAGAGAGTGATCCAAATGTTTTGATTTTTCTCAGCAAGAGCAATGGTCGGCTCCAAACTACCCTAACTTGAAATTAAAGTTTTCTTCAGCTTTTTAACCTATGGTCATCTCTTTCTCTCTCTCGGCATTTTTTGTTTGTTAAAAATTGACCATTTTTCTATAGAATTTCTCCCATTCTCAGTTTTCTGACCACTTCTCTATGGTTTTGTTTAACATAATTTACTGTTTCTCTTATTATCTTGTGAAAGTTTGTAAGACCTATTGGCTTGAGGAGATTTAGGTTTGACATTTGGCAAGGATATTTTGTAGGTGATGCTAAATACTCCTACTGCATTATAACAAGAGACCCACAATGTCAGATTGCTTATTTTAATAATGCTCAGGTTGATCAGTGGATTTAGGTGTTTTCACTATGGTCTATCCATTGTTATAATCTGCATCAGAATTTCCCATAATAATTTTATTTTTACTTTTTAGAGATGGGGGTCTTACTATATTGTCCAGGTTGGATTTGAACTCCTGGACTCAAGTGATCCTCCTGCCTCAGTCTCCAGAGTAACTGGGACGACTGGCACCTGCCACTGTGCCTGGCTCCACCTAATTATTTTAGCAACCACAATGATAATTGAATAAATTTATTTTTTCAGGAGGGGTTTAAAATAGTCATATTATAATTCCATCATACTTTTCTGTATTTCTTAGGTGTAATTTTTCTAAAATAATTTTCCACAACTATTCAATTACCTCAAGTTATAGTATATTCAGAACTGGGGGGAAATATGCTGTACTTTTCCTTTTATTTATCAGTTTTCAGAATAATGAGTTGGCTCCATAGCATCTCTCTGAGATGACCAGTTAGCTACATTTCAAGTATCATTTTGACCTCATGGAGTTTAACAAAACTGATAGGTTTCAAATCACTGCAGCCGTTATTTTAATCGATGCTCAGATTGTTCCATCTTTGGCCAGTATGACCCACCTGAATGGACTACTTTTTGTTGTGTCTTTTTGTTATGGCTGTATTATTCTTTGTTTATTCATTATTCTTTAATTTATGGTATAAGATACTATTAAAGGACTGTTGGCAATGAATAGCTGTGTGTCTACACCATTTCATATTTTTGTCAATGTATCATTGGAATAGGTTCCTAAAAGGAGAAACTCTGAGTCAGAGAACATATGCATGTGTGATTTTACTAGATATTACTAACCTTCTCTCCATAGTGGTTGAACAGTCCTGAAATCTTACCACCAACATATAAGAGTATATGTTTCTCTATAGTTTCCCCCACAGAGATTTTCACTTTTATTTTGGTTAGCTCTAGTATAATACTGTATAATAAAATTCATTAGTTTAAATATATAATTTGATGAGCTTTGACAAATATAGACAGTGGTGTAACCACCATCACCATTACTGTATGTAAAATTTTAAACATACATTTGTGTCCCTTTGCAATTAATTCTCTCCTCCAAATGCCTAGACCCCGTGCAACCACTGACCTGCTTTATATGACTATAGTTTCTGTTTTTTTAAAGTCTGTTAAATAAATGAAATCTTATAACATGTAGTCTTTTGTTTCTAGTTTCTTTCACTTTGACATTTGTTCATGTTGTTCTTACTAGAGGTCTTTCCAATTTCTTTTTCTTTTTCAAAGTTGTTTTGGCTGCATTAGGACATTTGGATTTCTGCACCAATTTTAGATTCAGGTTTTTGATATCTACCAATCTGCCTACTTGGATTTTGCCTGGTTTGCATTGAATTTGTGGTTAATGTACACAGAATTGACATATTACAATTCTTCCAACTCATGGAACTGATGTATCTTTCCATCGATTTAGGTCTTACTTAATCTCTCTTAACAATGTATTGCAGCAAAGACTTGGAACCAACCCAAATGTCCAACAATGATAGACTGGATTAAGAAAATGTGGCACATATACACCATGGAATACTATGCAGCCATAAAAAATGATGAATTCTTGTCCTTTGTAGGGACATGGATGAAACTGGAAGCCATCATTCTCAGCAAACTATTGCAAGGACAAAAAACCAAACACTGCATGTTCTCACTCATAGGTGGGAATTGAACAATGAGAACACTTGGACACCGGAAGGGGACCATTACACTCCGGGGACTGTTGTGGGGTGGGGGAGGGGGGAGGGATAGCCATAGGAGATATACCTAATGCTAAATGACGAGTTAATGGGTGCAGCACACCAACATGGCACATGTATACATATGTAACAAACCTGCACATTGTGCACATGTACCCTAAAACTTAAAAGTATAATAATAATAAAATAAAATAATTAAAAAATAAATGTATTGCAATTTTCACTGTATAGATCTTACACATTTTCATGAGATTTATCCCTAAGTATTTTACATTCTATGCTGCTAGTTTAAATACTTGTTTTTTAAGTTTCAATTTCTGAGATTTATGCATGTATATACAAATACAATTAATTTTAATATACTAGTTTCAAATCTTTAGACTCTGAAAAACTCTTATTAGTTCTAGTAACTTTTATTATTCCGTTGACTTTTCGACACAGATGCTCATGTTATTTGTGAATAAACATAGTTTTTCTTCTAATATGGAAGTCTTTTATTTATTGTACTCAGCTTCGTGCATTGGCTAGAACATCTAATACGACGCTGAATAGAAATCATGAGAGTGGGTATCCTTTTCTGGTTCCTGAACTTAGGGGAAAGCATTTAATTTTTCACTACTAAGTGTGCCAGCTGTAGGTTTTACCTACATGCCTTTTGTTAGGTTAGGGAAGTTCCCGTCTATTTTAAGCTTGCTGAGAGTTTTCAGTTTTAACTTAAATCAAGGATGGATGTTGGATATGTCAACCACTTTTCTGCGTGTATTGGTAAGATATTATGTTTTTTTCTTCAGTCTATTATTATAATGAATTACATTAATTGATTCTTGAATCTTCAACTAAACTTGCATTCCTGGGATAGACCCCACTTTTATTTTTGTTACCTTTTTCTATATTGTGGGATTCAACTTCCAGACACATGCACGTCTATGTTCATTGCAGCACTATTCAAAGTAGTAAAGACAGGGAATCAACCTAAATGCCCATCAATGATGGACTGGATAAAGAAGATGTGGTACATATATACCATGGAATACTATACAGTCATAAAGAAAAACAAGATCATGTCTTTGCAGCGACATGGATGGAGCTGAAAGACATTATCTTTAACAAACTAACGCAGGAACAGAAAACAAAATGCCACATGTTCTTACTTATAACTGGGAGCTAAGCGATGAGAACATATGGACACATAGAGGGGAGCAACACACACTGGGTCCTATTGGAGGTTGGAAGGTGGGAGGAGGGAGAGGATCAGGAAAAATAACTAATGGGTACTAGGCCTAATACCTGGGTGGTGAAGTAATCTGTACAATGAATCCCCATGACACAAGCTTACCTATGTAACAAACCTGCACATCCTTCACATGTATCCCTGAACTTAAAATAATAGTTAAAATAAAGAGAGAAAAAGATATTGAAAGAAAGGGAAAGATGTAAAGGAGAATACCAGTTTCTATGTCCGTATGTATCCAGCTTTATTCTATCTCATGGTTTTCTTTGCTTGAGACACTTCAGGCTGAAAGTAAAACCAAGACAACACAAGTATTTATTATTTTTTGTTGTGACTTACTTCAAATAAACTCTCAGGACTAATAAAACAAGAAAGTTTTCCTCCACGTTGAGGAATATTGGTCTGTAATTTTCTTCAAATGTCTTCACTTGGTAGCAGGGATATGCTGGCCTTGTAAAATGAGTTGATATGAATTTTCTCTTCATTTTCTTAGAAGTATTTGAACAGAATTAGTATTATTTCTCCACTAAATGCTTAGTCAAATTCCTCAGTGAAGACATGTGGGCCTTGAATTTTCTTTAAGGGGAGGTTTAAAATTCAATTTCCCTAATAGATATCTCGTTATTCAGGTTATTATTTCTTATTAAGTGAACTTCATTAGTTTGTTGTGTCTTTTAAGAAATTTATATATTTCTTCTGAGTTGTCACATATTTTACATAATTTGCAAATAGAATTCTCTTATTTTTTTAAATGTCAATAGAGCTATCATAATTGTACCACCTCTCTCATTCTTGTCATTAGAAATTTGTGTCTTTTCTATTTTTTTCCTAATAAGTCTAGCTAGAGGTTTAACAGTTCATTGAATGTCTCAGAGAACCAGCTTTTGATTTCATTTTTTTCTTCATTGTTTTCCTGCTTTATATTTTATTGATTTCTACCCCAATGTTTAATATTCCCTTACTTTATTTCAGTTTTAATTTGTTTCTCTTTTTCTTAAGTAGAACCTGAGGCCATTGGCTTGCAATTTATCTTCTTTTATAATATTGACACTTAGGGCTATGAATTTCCATTTAAATACTACCCTAGCTACTTCTCAAAGATTTTGAGATGTTTTAATTTTCATCCAGATGAATTTGCTTTCTTATTTTCATTTATGATTTCTTCTTTGATGCATAAAATACTAAGACTTGTGTATTTAGTTTCAAAATATTTGAGGGATTTTCTAGATATTGTTCTAGAATCCTAATTTAATTCTATTATAGTCAGAGAAAATAATTCATATGAATTATACCATTTAAAATTTATTGTGACTTTTTTAATCCTCTAGAATATGGCCTGTCTTAGTTAATGCTCATTTCATACTTAATATTTAGAATTTTAACCATTTTTAAGTGTACAGTTCAGTGTCATTAAGTATGTTCTAATTAAGTTTTTTTTTTTTTTTCTTTGAGACGGAGTTTCGCTCTTGTTGCCCAGGCTGGAGTGCAGTGGCACAATCTCGGCTCACTGTAACCTCTGCCTCCCTGGTTCAAGTGATTCTCCTGACTCAGCCTCCTAAGGAGGTGGGATTATAGACATGTGCCACCATGCCCAGCTAGATTTTTTTGTATTTTTAGTAGAGATAGAGTTTCACCATGTTGGCCAGGCTGGTCTCGAACTCCTGGCCTCAGGTGATCCATCCGCCTCAGCATCCCAAAGTGCTGGGATTACAGGTGTGAGCCACTGTGCCTGGCCTCCTGTTCCAGTTAAGTTTTAATACTCTAGAATATGGCCTATGTTAGTTAATGCTCACTTCATAATTAATATTTAGAATTTTAACCATTTTTAGGTGTACAGTTCAGTGTCATTAAGTATGTTCACATCGTTGTGCAGCCATCACCACCATCCATCTCCAGGATTTTTCTTCTTCCCATAGTGAAACTCTGTACCCATTAAATACTAACTCCCCATTTTCCCATTTCTCTAGCCCATTACAACCATCATTCTAATTTCTGTTTCTATAAATTTGATTATTCTAGAGACCTCGTAGAGCTGGAATAATAAATATTTGTCAATTTGTGATTGACTTATTTCACTTAGCATAATGTCTTCGAGGTTTATGTATGTTGTACCATGTATCAGAATGTCCTTTTCAGAGGCTGATTAAAGTTCCATTGTATGTATATCATACATTTGTTTATTTATTGACCTTTCAGTGGACACTTAGGTTGCTTCCACTTTTTGGCTGTTGTGAATAATGCTGCTATAAACATAGGAGTACAAATATATGCTTGATTCTTTGCTTTCAGTTCTTTTTGGTATACACCCAGTAATGGAATTACTGGATCAATACGGTAATTCTATGTTTACTTTTTTGAGGAGCTGTCATACTGCCTTCCATAGGGACTATCATTTTACAATGTTACATTTCTTTTCTTTTTTCTTCTTCTTCTTTTTTTTTTTTTGAGACTGAGTCTTGCTCTGTCCCCCAGGCTGGAGTGCAGCTCACTGCACCCTCCACCTTCTGGGTTCAAGCGATTCTCCTGCCTCAGCCTCCCTAGTGCCTGGGATTACATGAAGCAGACTCACAACCCATGTCCATGTTCTCAAAAGAGAAACATCACCAACCAAGTTGATCTCTAACATTCTTGCACTTGCCTATCATTCTATTTGAAGGAAAAGACCACCGTCTCATTAACATTATTTTAGTTATAAAACAAATTTAAATAAAGACTGTTGAAATGGCCAAATTCATTCCAACAACATTTATGCTAAAAAGCATCCTGCAAATAAAGTACTAAAAAATGTTTTCAAGTTAGATTAATATATCTGGTAAACAGATTCATCTTATAAATCTGTGTGGAATTCTTTAGTTGCTAAGTGATCATTATGCTATTTAAAAAGCTATAATCCTTAACAGGGAGAAGACAAGAGCAAATGGTCTTAAAAAATCTTTGGAAAAGAAAATATAGGCCAGGCATGGTGGCTCACACCTGTAATCCCAGCACTTTGGGAGGCCCAGGCGGGTGGATCACGAGGTCAGGAGATTGAGACCATCCTGGCTAACATGGTGAAGCCCCATCTCTACTAACAGCACAAAAAAATAGCCAGGCGTGGTGGCGGGCGCCTGTAGTTCCAGCTACTTGGGATACACACACACACACACACACACACACACACACACACACACAGTCTTCTGAATATCATGGCCAAGAACATCACTGAAAAATGGTCAGGAGTCACACATTGCCCAAATTCAGCTAGACTTGATAAGAAATCTTTCATGTCTCCAGAATGAAAAAATGTCCTACAAAGCCAAACTCATAATATGTGCACCTTGTAGATAAGTACATGTATGACTAGAAAAGCCCAATTTTTTGTGCTCATAGCCTGAACACTTGGATGACATTGTCCTTTGATCCTAGGATTCATTGAAGGCAAGGATAGAATAAACCTTAAAGATTCCCTTGTTTGGCCCATTTCAAATATTTTACAGGAAAAGAAAACTAACATCCAAAGAGATCTAATGAGGTCCTGAGAGTCACACAATGCAATTGGTGTTTATTGTTATTTATCTCTATAGTGGATTGAATAATGTTCCCCCAAAATTCATGCCCATCCAGAACCTCAGAATGTGACCTTATTTTGAAGTAGTGTCTTTGCAGATGTAATTAGGTAAGATTTGAGATGAGATTTTACTGGACTAGAGTGGACCTTCAATCCAATGACTGGCATCTTTATAGGAAAAAGAGAAGCTGGAAAAAGCAAGAAAAGATCCTTCTCTAGAGCCTTCAGGGGAAGCACAGCCCTGCTGACACCTTCATTTTAGATTTGTAGATTTAAGAATTGTGAGAGGATAAATTTCTGTTCTTTTAAGCCTCCCAGATTGTAGTAATTTGTTATGGCAGCCACAGGAAACTAATTCAGCTGCCATTCATGTTATGTCTGTACATTTTTGTTTTTTGATCTTGATTTGTATGTTTGGTTAAGGGTTTTTAGGTTACTAGCTGGAAATCAAGTAAAGATAACACAGGAATAAAAGCAACTAAAAAATTGATATAGAAGCTAGGTCTTTTTTCCCATTTTTGGAACTCTGGGTGAAGGATTGCCTGAACAAAGACTCTAGATAAAAAAATAAATTCCCACTTCTTTTAAGTAGGTTTGTATATTCATCCATCTGCAACATAAAGCATAACAATTATAAAATTCAGAGTTGAGGCATCTTTCCCGATAGGGAAATCAGGAAGTGACTCTCAGGATAAGGGTGAATGGATAATGGGGAGGCAGAGCAACACTCATTGGATCAATCAGCTAGTTGAACCAGCTATGAAGAGAATTTATATCTCGTGACTCAATGATCGCTGCACTTTTCTGCCTTGATAACTTCAGAGAAAATTTTGTAAATTCTGAAGACATTGGAGTATCTTATACAAGTACTTGACACACTTTCACATTTAATTTATCATTTCATGGGATCTAGGGTCATTGTAGACCTCCAGAAAATTCATTAAGAATGTGATAATAACTGAAAACAACATACACATAAAATAGCTGGTTTTTCTCTCTACCTTCTGAGTTTCTACCGTGGAAAGAACACTTTTGAGTTTTGAGTCACAGAGAATTACATATGTACAGTTTCATATTGTTGTTTTGTTTTCTTTTTTAAAGAGTGGCTACCTAAATTGTTTTAAATCCTTAGAAAGATCTCTGAAGCATAAGTAAATTCTGAGGGATATTTTTCTTTTGTTGACATTTTAGAATACAGAAATTATTACCATAAGAGTCTACTACATAGCTTACTATTTATTGGGAAAATAAAAACTGAAGACATCCTGTGCAGTGAAGTGTTCAATGACATTCATTTTTTTTTCAAATCAGTTTGACTACCTTGCATAACTTGCTAATTGAACCTATCTAAATAAATGGTCTGTCAGAACTCAAAATGTCTGTCCATATAAGCAGAGCAAGTATTAGAGGAAGAGATGAAGATGACTATTAATATGCTCCTTGGCTTATTCTTGTTTAATGATGTTTAAGTGTATGTATGTTGGGCATGTATTTACTATTTAAATGGGAAGGATTTGACAATTGTGTAGAGCTATGACTTAGATGTATAGTTCTCTGGACTTGCATAGATAGAAAGTCTTTGCATTGGCCTTTCTAGAGTTTTATTACTAGCTAGCTAATAAATTTTCCCCTTTTAACTTCCTTTTCAATATTCCTAACTATCAATTTATATTACCTCTATTCTGCTACTGATTGCAGTCTCTAATGCACACTCATTTTATATTAATAGTTATATTTTCACATCAGGACATGACATTTATTGCCTTGAGAACACTGAGTAAACTGGAATGCCATTCCAGGATGTATAAATGTACCTACAATAGCAAGATGACACAAATCTGAATAAATAAGAAATTACAAAGGTCAGCCAGAATGAAAGTCACAGTTGGTAAACAGTAACAAAAGAATCTCCAGAAATAAAAGTAACAAAAGTAAGATTACAGTAATTTGCAATACAAATAAAAGTAATGGAAAATGCATATAATCTAGAGGCTGTTGAAGAGGAGGAGTTAGAAACAAAATATTGGTGTGATTTAGATTTTTTTTTAGCAAGATTCAATGAATGCACCAGGTAGAATACAACTGTGTTGTTGAATTAACAAAAAATGGGGAAATAAAACAGATGTTTATTGTCAATTACAGTTACAATTCAGTTACTATGCTACTTACTAGATGTGAAAGTTAAACAATGCTAGATAACTTTATACAATGTGGCAGCTAAAATAAGGCATGAATGTGATTTGGAAAGACAACCAAAAAATCAATATAGACTAAGAGATGGATAAAAGTTAATAGCTGAATTCAAACATTGCTCTATATTATAAATGTGAAATGAAATTAAAATTTAAAAATGTAATTCAAAAGCATGTGCCGAGAAAGCACATAAAATATAAGGAGTTAAAAGATTTAAGAGAAAACCAATATTCACCCATAAACACCAAAGAAAAGGACAGTTATAAGGAAAAATAAAAGAAAGCCAAGGACATAAAACTTGGTTGGGGGAAATTCCATGCATAAATCAAAATGGCAGTGTTCAGAAAGTGGCGATACTGATGCAAGGTTGAATATTTAAATTTACCAATGAACTAGTTCTGTGTCACTAAACCCAACGGCCATTTTTTTTCCCCCTCATCTCACTTGACCTATTATAGGTTTTGACCAAATTGATTTCTCCTTCCCCTTTGATGCACTTTCTTCTCTTAGCTTTTGAAAAAAACCACACACATCCTTTGCTTTCCTTCTAACTCACTGGGCGCTCCTTTCCGGTTAATCTCCCTCTTCGTCCTGACTTAAAGTTGTATTGCCAAGGCTCAGTCCTTGGTCCACACATGAACTCTCTTGTTGGAATCATCCAGGCCAGTGGCTTTGAGTACCATCTATCTGCTGGTGACTCCCAAATTTAAACCTCCACTCCAGACCTTTGTACTTGAACTTCAGATTCATATACACAACTGTCTAACAATTCTGCTTGAACGTATCCTAGACTGAACGCCTGATCTTCTTCCTGGAACCTTCTCCATCCAGTTTTCCTCATTTCAGTTGAGGAAATTCCATCTTTTGAGTTGCACAGGCCAAAGTCATCCTCTATTCCCCCCTTTCTCATGTTTTCCTTATTAAATCCATCAAGAAGTTCTTTTTTCTCTACCTTCAAACAATATCCAGAATTTAACTACTTTTTAGCACCTCTTACTCTGATCTGAGCCCCCATCTGTTGTCCCTGGATTACTGCAACCCTCTCCAAATTGGTCACCTGCATTTATCCTCTTCTCTCTATAGTCTGTACTCTATACAAAAATAGAATCATCCATTTGAAACTTACATCTCAGTAGACTGTTTCTCTGCTCAGAATTCTGCAATGGCTCTTCCCTGTACTCAGCAGAAGCTAAAGTTCATATAATCACCATGTGTCAGGCTGTGTATGACTGAGTGTGCTTCCTCATTACCTCTCTGACCTTATTTTCTACAGCTCTTCCCTGCTTGCACTACCCTGGAGAGCTACACTTATGTCCCTGGTCTTCCTTGAACACATCAGGCACGCTCTCACCTTTGGACTTTTGCTCTAGGTGTTGCCTCTGCCTGGAAAGCTCTTTCCCCAGCACCTGCTTGGCCAACTCTCTCAACTCCTGAAGCCTTTGTTTAAATCTCACCTTGTCAATGAGGCAGACTTTGATCATTTTAAAAACTGCAACTTGGCAACAGCCCACACCACTACTATTCAAGATTACCCTTTGCCCTCTACTTTTTCTTTTGTTCCAAAACATTTGTAACCTTCTAACACACCACACAATTGTTTATCATATCTATTATTTATTGGTGGTCTCCCTTGCTAGGATATAAGATCCATGAGTAAAATTTTTTGACTGTTTTTCCCTCCAATGTATCCAAAGTGCATTGAATTAAATTACTTATTGAATTGAATTAACTTATCCTCATATAATAAACTTCCACGTTTACAAGCTATGTACACATTATTTTTTATGCCACTTGGAATGCCTCAACACACTCCTGAAAATAACATGCATATTCGGTATTCGTTCCAGGCTCATCACTGTCAGTATTTAAAACTCTGTTGGTACCAGGTTCTAATTAAAAGACCAACAACAGATATGTGACATTAAATTTACAATTGTGTATTAGGTACTAATAAATTTTAAAAACTGGGTTGTGAGAAATACGAGAATATAAAAACATAGTTTTTAAAAATTTACTAGTCTAGTAGGGAAGAGTGAAATAATTTTTGTATTTATCTGACCAGTAAATTTTCTCCTAGCTGTAGTCCTCCATTGCCTTTTCTAAAGCTTTTTGGAATTGTAGTAGATGAAACATCTTGTTACCAGGCTAACTCTTCTTTGGATATTAATGAAACTGCGAGTTCACTTAATTCTGGCTTCTTCAGGAGTTCCCTGGACGCCAAGCTAGCATGCCTAGTTAAACCAATAGGCTTTCAGTATTACAATCTAGGTGCATACTTTTAAGAAATCGTGATTGGAACCTCAAAATCATTTAAAGTCAACGAAATATTACCAAAATATTACCACTACATTAACATATAATGTTGTATAGTGCTGGGATATTTTTTAAATGTTTGAATAATACTTGAAACAAAGTAATAAAGTACACAATCTGTCCCTGGTTGGCATGACTGAAACTATATCCATGGAAACAGAACTCAGTGACCATGAATGCTAATCCATCTGCATTTTCGCAAAGAGGTACACAATGAAAATCTCAATTATAACTACATGTTTGGCAAATGCAATCTCCTGTTCAAATTTGTAAGTGAGTGGCTTGCTATTTTAAAACATACAAGAAAAATGGTATCAAGATCCTATCCATTTCAATCTTTTAGAATTTGGGGATCGGCCCTACCTATAGTGAGTAGACAGCTAAGAATGATAGAATTTTGGCACTGGTTGAACACTTACATAATACTCCAATGGTCGTGCATGTGGCATGGGGTTTGGTTTAAACAGCAAGATAGTTGCCTTATAACCCAAATAGCTGCCCACGACTGCCTGTCAGACTAAATGACTGATTTTATTCTTCATGCTGCTTTAAATTCCTTCATTCACAACATCCATTTCTTCCTGAAGTTACTTTTAAAATAAATTACTAACTGTTTTCTGATAACTACAAGCTGAGTGCAGATAGCCTGTGAAAAGGAGAGCTTTGTTTCAGAAAAAGAGTAGGGAGAAGAGAATTCCTTATATAACATGATGTACAGTAATAACAACCTATACCTATACCTGCATCTAGATCTGCACCTATGCCTATATCTATCTACATTGGAGTGAGAGCCACTTAAAGAATACAGACGTTTTCATGGGACACAGGTTTTTCCACACTCAAGATGCAAATAGTTACACTGAGTCCCATGGGGGAAAGTGTATATTTTTACAAATTAGATGTCATATGTAATATAATGACCTATTTTATTGAATATAAGAATGCCAATGAGAAACATGATATTATTTATTGGTCACTTACATGTTAGCATGTTTAGGGCACATTTGAGAAGTAGTCATCTGGAGTGGTGAGAGAGGGCATCCCTGTCTTGTGCCAGTTTTCAAAGGGAATGCTTCCAGTTTTTGCCTATTCAGTATGATATTGGCTGTGGGTTTGTCATAGATAGCTCTTATTATTTTGAGATACGTCCCATCAACACCTAATTTATTGAAAGTTCTTAGCATGAACGGTTGTTGAATTTTGTCAAAGGCCTTTTCTGCATCTATTGAGATAATCATATGGTTTTTGTCTTTGGTTCTGTTTATATGCTGGATTACATTTATTGATTTGCATATATTGAACCAGCCTTGCATCCCAGGGATGAAGCCCACTTGATCATGGTGCATAAGCTTTTTGATGTGCTGCTGGATTTGGTTTGCCAGTATTTTATTGAGGATTTTTGCATCAATGTTCATCAAGGATATTGGTCTAAAATTCTCTTTTTTGGTTGTGTCTCTGCCAGGCTTTGGTATCAGGATGAGGCTGGCCTCATAAAATGAGTTAGGGAGGATTCCCTCTTTTTCTATTGATTGGAATAGTTTCAGAAGGAATGGTACCAGCTCCTCCTTATACCTCTGGTAGAATTCGGCTGTGAATCCATCTGGTCCTGGACTCTTTTTGGTTGGTAAGCTGTTGATTATTGCCACAATTTCAGATCCTGTTATTGGTCTATTCAGAGATTCAACGTTTTCCTGGTTTAGTCTTGGGAGAGTGTATGTGTTGAGGAATTTATCCATTTCTTCTAGATTTTCTAGTTTATTAGCGTAGAGTTGTTTGTAGTATTCTCTGATGGTAGTTTGTATTTCTGTGGGATTGGTGGTGATATCCCCTTTATCATTTCTTATTGCGTCTATTTGATTCTTCTCTCTTTTTTTCTTTATTAGTCTTGCTAGCAGTCTATCAATTTTGTTGATCCTTTCAAAAAACCAGATCCTGGATTCATTAATTTTTTGAAGGGTTTTTTTGTCTCTATTTCCTTCAGTTCTGCTCTGATTTTAGTTATTTCTTGCCTTCTGCTAGCTTTTGAATGTGTTTGCTCTTGCTTTTCTAGTTCTTTTAATTGTGATGTTAGGGTGTCAATTTTGGATATTTCCTGCTTTCTCTTGTGGGCATTTAGTGCTATAAATTTCCCTCTACACACTGCTTTGAATGTGTCCCAGAGATTCTGGTATGTTCAACATAGTGTTGGAAGTTCTGGCCAGGGCAATTAGGCAGGAGAAGGAAATAAAGGGTATTCAATTAGGAAAAGAGGAAGTCAAATTGTCCCTGTTTGCAGATGGCATGATTGTATATCTAGAAAACCCCATTGTCTCAGCCCAAAATCTCATTAAGCTGATAAGCAACTTCAGCAAAGTCTCAGGATACAAAATCAGTGTACAAAAATCACAAGCATTCTTATACACCAATAACAGACAAACAGAGAGCCAAATCATGAGTGAACTCCCATTCACAATTGCTTCAAAGAGAATAGAATACTTAGGAATCCAGCTTACAAGGGACGTGAAGGACCTCTTCAAGGAGAACTACAAACCACTGCTCAATGAAATAAAAGGGGATACAAACAAATGGAAGAACATTCCATGCTCATGGGTAGGAAGAATCAATATTGTGAAAATGACCATACTGCCCAAGGTAATTTATAGATTCAATGCCATCCCCATCAAGCTACCAATGACTTTCTTCACAGAATTGGAAAAAAACTACTTTAAAGTTCATATGGAACCAAAAAAGAGCCCACATCACCAAGTCAATCCTAACAAAAAGAACAAAGCTGAAGGCATCATGCTACCTGACTTCAAACTATACTACAAGGCTACAGTAACCAAAACAGCATGGTACTGGTACCAAAACAGAGATATAGATCAATGGAACAGAACAGAGCCCTCAGAAATAACGCCGCATATCTACAACTATCTGATCTTTGACAAACCTGAGAAAAACAAGCAATGGGGAAAGGATTCCCTATTTAATAAATGGTGCTGGGAAAACTGGCTAGCCATATGTAGAAAGCTGAAACTGGATCCCTTCCTTACACCTTATACAAAAATTAATTCAAGATGGATTAAAGACTTAAACGTAAAACCATAAAAACCCTAGAAGAAAACCTAGGCAATACCATGCAGGACATAGGCATGGGCAAGGACTTCATGTCTAAAACACCAAAAGCAATGGCAACAAAAGCCAAAATTGACAAATGGGATGTAATTAAACTAAAGAGCTTCTGCATAGCAAAAGAAACTACCCTCAGAGTGAACAGGCAACCTACAAAATGGGAGAAAATTTTCGCAACTACTCATCTGACAAAGGGCTAATAGCCAGAATCTACAATGAACTCAAACAAATTTACAAGAAACAAACAAACAACCCCATCAAAAAGTGGGCAAAGGATATGAACAGACACTTCTCAAAAGAAGACATTTATGCAGCCAAAAGATACATGAAAAAATGCTCATCATCACTGGCCATCAGAGAAATGCAAATCAAAACCACAATGAGATACCATCTCACACCACTTAGAATGGCAATCATTAAAAAGTCAGGAAACAACAGGTGCTGGAGAGGATGTGGAGAAATAGGAACACTTTTACACTGTTGGTGGGACTGTAAACTAGTTCAACCCTTGTGGAAGTCAGTGTGGCGATTCCTCAGGGATCTAGAACTAGAAATACCATTTGACCCAGCCATCCCATTACTGGGTATATACCCAAAGGACTATAAATCATGTTGCTATAAAGACACATGCACACGTATGTTTATTGCGGCACTATTCACAATAGCAAAGACTTGGAACCAACCCAAATGTCCAACAATGATAGACTGGATTAAGAAAATGTGGCACATATACACCATGGAATACTATGCAGCCATAAAAATGATGAGTTCATATCCTTTGTAGGGACATGGATGAAATTGGAAAGCATCATTCTCAGTAAACTATCTCAAGGACAAAAAACCAAACACCACATGTTCTCACTCATAGATGGGAATTGAACAATGAGAACACATGGACACAGGAAGGGGAACATCACACTCTGGGGACTGTTGTGGGGTGGGGGGGAGGGGGAGGGACAGCATTAGGAGATATACCTAATGCTAAATGGGTGCAGCACACCAGCATGGCACATGTATACATATGTAACTAACCTGCACATTGTGCGCATGTACCCTAAAACTTAAGTATAATAATAATAAAAAATAAAATAAATTAAAAAAATAAAAATTTCAAAAAAAAAACTATGAGATAACTTCTTTTATTAAAGAGACTTCCAGTTAAATATGGCAGCCCCCCCGCCACCGCCGAAAGGAAAAAAAGAGAAGTAGTCATCTGGAACAGTTGTCTTATCTTTCAATCTGAAATCAGATTTATAATAGATTAGGCAGGTGGAGTTACTTGACATTGATGCATGAGATTGGACTGGGGTCTGGAGAGTACCATGAATGCTCCCAGAGTGGGGAGAAGCTCTAGAAGCTGGGGGATGGACATTGAAAGGGAGGAGAATCTCCAAAAAAGAGCTCTCTCCTGTTTCATCATCTTTCCAGGGTCCAAGTCTAAGACTTCACCCCCATTTCTCTTGTTTTAATATGTAATCTTGATCTTACTTTTTTTCTCGTAAAATCACTTGATATATGGTTTATAATGTAGATATAGAAATGGAATCTTTTCTAAAGAGCAAAGTATATTTTGCTTACCTTTCAAAAGATAATTGCAAAATTTACCACTCACCTTTCATCTCAAAAATCACATTTAGAAATTAATGTTACTCTGTTATATTTTGCCACAGACAGCTAGAAAATAGAGCATCTTACCTCATGAGAGTTCAATGTCACACTCTGGGAAATGTTAGAAAGTAGGTAACAAAGGTTATTAGGGGTCGGTTTGCTGTTAGATGTGTGATTTATTGTTTTTAGTGTAATGAAGTCCTATAATTTTGATGAATTGGAAACGATGCTCATTTTTATTGACAAGTGGTTTGAAACTATTTGTGAATAATCAATCATCTTGCTCAAAAAGAAAAAAGTGTTTGTGTTTTAATAAAATATTTTATAATTGATATCTTAACAACCACAGCACTCTAATTGCTGGAACAAAGAGTATGATATGTGTTGTTGCTTACCCTCTCTGGGGTCAATTTTTTGTAGAAACCAAATGATTACAATGTAAAAACATGTGGCTCATAAAGTGCTTATATTTTCAAATTGGTCCTCATGCCTCTATCTATCTATCTATCTATCTATCTATCTATCTATCTATCTATCATCTATCTATCCATCTAGCTGTGTATTCATTCAGATGACACAGAAACAAATAGGTAGAGATTTAGGTATAGGCATAAAGGTATAAATATAGGTACAGGTCATTATTATCCTATACTATTCTATGTGTACATGAATATAGCTAAGACTGCTTTCTCATGGTCTGGGTGTAGTGTAATAATAACTGAACATATTTATCAGTCACTTTTGCCTGCTACATCCTGCAAAACTGTAGTGTAAGATCTTATAATTTGAAGTTCATATCCTTTAAAATTTGCAGTTTATTTTGGCCAAAGCTATCAATGTTTATTTGTTCATTCACCAAACTCATGATGAGTGCTACATTTACCAGACATTCTACCAAATGGTGAGAATACAAATGGTGAGAAGACTCAATCCCCATCTTTATGTACTGTCTGGTAGGGGAGATGGACTAGTCAGCATAAAATTAAAACACAATGTGATACAAGCAAGGTACCATGGTAGGAAATGGTACCTTCTCTACCAAATGGTGAGAAGACTCAATCCCCATCTTTATGTATTGTCTGGTAGGGGAGATGGACTAGTCAGCATAAAATTAAAACACAATGTGATACAAGCAAGGTACCATGGTAGGAAAATAAGCACTGTGAACCCAGACCTGGCTTTTACAGGTAGGTAGGCTCAGGTCTATCAAATGGTGGGGGCTGGAATATTTCTTGTGGCTTAAGCTTGATGTGTTAGGTGGGACCCTCACTATTTGAGGTTCAAGATTCACTTTTCTGAATTTGTTCAACGATTCATCTGCTGGATCTGAAGTTGGGTTCTGAATTCCAGCCTCCCTACCATTGATAGTAGTACCATTGATAGTACCCTCTCCCCAGGCAGTGAACAATGCTTCCCAAGTCTAACTATGGGTTGGGAATCTGAAAGACTATGAGCTTTAACAGGAAAAGGAAGTGTTTTGTTTTTTTGTTTCCCTCCTGAATTTGTAGAGTTAGCATAGAAGGGACTCATACACTATGAACCAGAGACACTTCTTTCACAGTGTAATCTCCAGAACAACTCTGAATGGTTCACTCCTTGGAAGCCCTTTCTGTAACTCTACTGCCAGACTGGATGGTGACCCTAAGTTTAGTTATCTATGCCCCTTGGCCATGATGAGATAGCCTAAAAAACAGGGCTTAAAATACTGATCTCCCAGGGATGTTTGTGAGGTATGTAATCTGCCTGCCAAAGAATAGGCACAGTCTTCACTGTGACGCCTTCCCCAATACCAGTGCCATCCCTCAACAATTTCTCTGCCTTATTAAAGTCAACAGCAAAGTGTAATGTAAGAAAAAAAATAGTGGAAACACATATTAATTGATTTGTCTCTTATGGAGCTGATTTTTAAAAGGTCAAGTAGGGAAAAATGTTCAAAATTGTTATTAATAGCTCTGTTATTTATTTATAAGATGATTGATACATTTTAACACAAATAAAGTCAGCTCACATTGCCAGAAGTGAGTTATAACTATCCCATAGCCAAAAATTCCATCATGTTAAAGTATCACTATGCTTTGAGACACTGTTTTTGCAAATTTTACAGTCAAATCCTTTTCTATCCATATACCTAATCTATATTTGTAAGACCCAGTCAAGTCAATAAACTATCCCAGATAAGTTTTTGTAAAGGCATCAACTTCTTATGTTATGAGGAATTATCACAGTATAGTCTATTTTACAAATGAACATGGTTAGCAATTACCATGAGTAGATAGATAATTCAGCTTTGCTTAATTTAGCACATTATGTTAATATCTTACTTTTAGTTGGATTTATTTTTTCATTTTTTTTTTTGATTGACAAGACAGGATTGTATATATTTATGGAAATGCTTTTGTATAAATTGTATATATTGTGGAATAGCTACATCAAAGTACTTAACATATGCATTACTTCATATACTTATTTTTTTCTGGTGAGGCCAGTTAAAATCTGCTCTTAGCAATTTTCAAGTATATGATGTATTATTATTAACCGTAGTCACCATGATGTACAAGAAATCCCTTGAACTTATTCCTCCTGTCTAACTAAAACTTTTTATTCTTTGACTGATATCTCCCTACTCCTCCCAATCACAGCCACTGGTTACAACCATTTTATTCTCTGTATCTATGAGTTTGACTTTAACTTTTTTAGATTCCACATACAAGTGAGACCATGAGGTATTTGTCTTTCTCTGCCTGGCTTATTTCATTTAACACAGTTTCTTCCAAGTTCATCTATGTTGTTGCAAATGACAGAATTTCTTTCTGTATAAAAGCTGAATAGTATTGCATTATGTATACATACTACATTTTCTTTATCCATTCATCAGTAGATGGACACTTAGGCTGATTCCATAACTTGGCTACTGTGATGGTTAATACTGTGTGTCAACATGATTGGATTGAAGTATGCAATATTGATCTTGGGTGTGTCTGTGAGGGTGTTGCCAAAGGAGATTAACATTTGAGTCAGTGGGCTGGGGAAGGCAGACCCACACTTAATCAGGTGGGCACCATCTAATCAGCCAGCAGCGAATATAAACCAGGCAGAAAAATGTGAAGGAGCATGAAGGGGCCTAGCCTCCCAGCCTACATCTGTCTCCCGTGCTGGATGCTTCCTATCCTCAAAGATTGGATTCCAAGTTCTTCAGTTTTGAGGCTCAGACTGGCTCCCCTTGCTTAGATTGCAGACAACCTATTGTGGGACCTTGTGATCATGTAAGTTAATACTTAATAAACTCATATATATATTCCTATTAGTTCTGTCCCTATTAGAGAACCTTGACTAATACAGCTACTGTTAATCATTCAATAAATATGGGAGTGCAGATATCTCTTCAACATACTGATTTTATACCTTTTGGATATATACCCAGGATGGGATATTTGGATCATATAGTAGTTCTATTTGTAATTTTTTGAGGAGCCACCATACCGTTTCCATAATGGCTGCACCAATTTGCATTCCCACAAACAGTGTACAAGGGTTCTCTTTTCTCTGCATCCTTGCCAACACTTGTTATATTTCATCTTTTTGATAATAATTATTGTAACAAGTGTGAGATGATATCCCATTGTGGTTTTAATTTGCATTTTTTCTGATAATGGTGTTCAATATTTTTCATATTCATATGTCTGCTTTTGAGAAATTTCTATTCAGGTCTTTTTTTCATTTTTTTAAATAGGGTTATTTGTTCTCTTACAATTGCATTGTTTGTGTATTTCTTTGTTTGGCTTCTTTCTACCAACCTTTCCTTGGTCTAGGTTCCATTTCTTCCCAAACCAAAAAGATCTGTATTCTCAGCCTAGTTATCTGAATTTCTTTTCCTGGGCTACATGAGAAGTAGGTATAAGCCATTCTAATGCTTAACTACTATTGAATTTTTAAAAAGTGTTTACCTCTTGAAAAAGTATCCTCGGTTACTCTGTTTCATGATTGTTTCTAGGCTCTGAAACTATTTCACTTCTATTTTATCCATTAACAACAAACTTTGAACAGTGAAACCCTGGTTATTCAAGAGCCAATGCAGTGAAGTGGTTACAAGGACAGAAAGTTGTTTTATAATGTATGGTTTTTTTTTTGTTTTTTTTGTTTTGTTTTGTTTTGTTTTGTTTTTTGAGATGGAGTCTCGCTCTGTCGCCCAGGCTGGAGTGCAGTGGCGCGATCTCTGCTCACTGCCAGCTCGAACTCCTGGGTTCACGCCATTCTCCTGCCTCAGCCTCCCGAGTAGCTGGGACTACAGGAGCCCGCCACCATGCCTGGCGAATTTTTTTGTATTTTTAGTAGAGATGGGGTTTTACCATGTTAGCCAGGATGGTCTCAATCTCCTGACCTCATGATCCGCCCGCCTCGGCCTCCCAAAGTGCTGGGACTACAGGCGTGAGCCACCGCGCCTGGCCAATGCATGGGTTTTGGTTGCAGTTCTACTACTTAACAGCTGTGTGATCTTGAGAAAAGTATTAAATCTTTCGGACGCTTAGTTTTCTAGGCTAAAAAATGACAATAACAATTGTAACTACCTCCTGCAATTGTTGTGAAAATTAAATGACTCAATAGTCATTAAGTAATTACAGTGGTACACAGTGGGTGCTATGTAAGTATTGGTTATTATTATTTATTCAGATATTGATTTTTAAACCTTATTGCTAGTGTCACTGTGATGATTAGTTTTCTATATCAACTTGACTGGGTGATAGGTTGTCCGGACATCTGGTTAAACATTATTTCCAGGTGCATCTGCGAGCGTGTATTTGGAAGAGATTAGCATAAGTATTTGAATAGGTGGACAGAGTAAAGAAAATGGTCCTACTCAATGTGTGTGAGCATCATCCAATCTGTTGAGGGCCCAAGTCAAACAAACAGGTGGAAGAAAATTGACTTCACTCTGCCTATTTGAGTTGTGAAAGAAAAATAAATCTCAGGACCCCAAAATCACTAAACCAAAAAGGAAAAAGTCAAGCTGGGAACTGTGTCAGGCAAACCTGCCTCCCATTTTATTACTAAATAAAATGGCTACAAAGATTTTTTTAAAAAGCGACCTATCTCCCTCACAATTTACCCACAAGGAAATTCCTTGTGGGCCTCAAGATCTTTATCCTCAAACAGTTCTGTTGAATTTCACTCTGGCAATGTAAATTGATAGCTTATCTTCACAGGTGTGAGATAAAGGACAGAACTCAAAGACATCCGTCTGCCCATCTGAGACAAATGCGTATCTAGTTGCTTCTTCTGCCCTATTGTTTATGTAAAAATGCAGATTCACTGAGCCAGACTAAGGGATAAGTGATTATTCCTCTACCCATCTCTCACATGTACATTGTGTATTCAGTGAAAGGCCAATCAAAGACTCAAAAGAATGCAAACAGTTGTTTCTTATCTACCTATGACCTGGAAGTCCCTGCTTTGGGTTGTCCCACCTTACCAGACTGAACCAATTACATCTTACACATATTGATTGACTGTGTCATGTCTTCCTAAACTGTACGAAACAAAGCTCTACCCTAATCACCTTGGGCACATGTCATCAGGACCTTCTAAGGCTGTGCCATGGGTGTGTCCTTAACCTTGGAAAATAAACTTTCTTAAGTGATTAAGACCTGTCTCAAATAATTTTGGTTCACAGAGCTGAGAAATCAATCTTCCCCTGCCCTCAGTGCCCCTGGTTTTCAGGCTTTCAAACTTGAACTGGGATTTATACCACCAGTCCTCCAGCTCTCAGATCTTTAAACTACACCATAAACTTTCCTGGGTCTCCAGTTTCCAGATGGCAGAGCATGGGACTTCTCAGCCTCCATAATTGTGTGAGCCAATTCCTTAGAATAAATCCCTTATAATAAACCAATAAATCCTATTAGCTCTGTCTCTCTAGAAAGCCCTAATATAGCCCACTCTTCCAAAACAGATGTTACTACTCTACGTCTTGGAAAACTGAGTCCTAAATTCAAATTTGATTCACATCCTAGGTTACCTGCACAATGTTCATGGACTACACCAAGCAGGAACCAATCAGTAGTTCCATGTATTAAAATGTCCTAGAGGCACCATCCTGAGCTTTTGCCAGAATTGTCATTTTAAACATTTTTTTTCTCCTTTCCTCATAAATATATTTATACTTGGTAGGAACTTCATCTCAATCTTTATTTCAGGAAATATACCTATACTGAAGTAGATTAACATAAGTATGAGATCATCATCAACAAAGCTACTATCCCATCACTACCCTGGACAATTTTATCTTTATGTTTTTTATGATAGTGTCAGGTTTTTCTGAGGATACTCAGAACTGGAGCCATTTGTGAGACAGCCTAAATTTACTCAAGACAGGCGTCTATAAGGAAACAATGGATTTTAAAAAAATTAAAAGTATCAATCTAGAATGTACATGATTTAATAATCTGAGTATTATGAGATTCATAATGAAAGATAGCCTTCTTCTGTCATATTTCTTTGTCTATAAAGCCCTATTATCAAACTTTTAAATGTCTCCCATTGTATTCCTACATAATAAGCTTGTAGTAATGTTTCTAGAGTTATCAATATCAGACTTTGTTGACTTCCTACTAGAAAGAAAAAAAACTCAGCAATTTGCTTAGGTCTTCTATATTTCTTTAAAGCTGTAACTAAATAGGAAATCACACACATACCACTTAGTAAATATTTTTTGCATGAGTGAACCCTCAATGATGCAGTGAAAGATTAAACTTTAAAGGTTAAGCCAGTTAAGGAGGCATATTTGATGTGGCAGCACAGTGAAATCACCTAGAGATCTTTAAAAAATACCCATGGCTTACTCCCATTCCCAAACATTATTATTCAAAACATCTGGAGTATGACTTGAAAACTGGAATTTATAAAAGCTACCCAGGTGATTCTAAATGTGCACTAAAGTGTGGGAACCACCATTATTGGCAATTTCTTACTGGCCCGGAATTGTGCCTTTTCTAGGTTAAAGAAGAGGAGCCAAATCATCTTCTAATTAATGAGTAATCTCTGCTGGAGAGAAAGTTCCCTCGTATGGGGCTGCTATGCTTAATCTGGTGTGTATTCCTATTGTTTGACCTGTACAGTTTGCTGCCAGTGTGCAGAGCCATGGGTCCATGGGACAGGACAGGATTACTCTGGCAGGGAGATCACACAGGAGGAGGGCTGGCATGTCAATGGTGGGCATGTATTGGCCACTGGGAAGCTCTAGCTGGCAAGCTGGGTGCTGCCAGATGAAAGAATTTGAAGTGCCTTGAGGGTGAACCAGGGGTGTGGGTAGGGCATTGGATAGCTTTCAGTGGTTCTGAGGAGGGAGAACCAGTGATGGAGCCCAGAAGGAGAGACTTTAGAAAATTGAAAGGTATTGGAACCCACCAATCTGAAAAGATATTGCTTTTTAATTGGATCAAGGTCCCTAAGGATTAAGCCAGTAATTCTTTAAATGCAGGATTATAGGAAAGGCCAAGGAGGACCCTGAGGGGGCTATAACATTCAAGGACCTAGGGACTCCAAAGAGAGGGGCTCAGGGTAACAGCTGTTTACTAACCGGTACAGGAATATTTCAACATTTCAATAAATTGCACAGCTGTCCTGATGAATATAGGATGGATGTCAGCTTTGTCTTAACATATTCATATATTGGCCTTTGAGTAGTTTTTTTTGTGGCTATATTGGCTCCAACCTCATTGGAGGTAAATCTTTGGGCAGAATTTAAATCTGTATTTCAAAAATAATGTATTTTATTCATGTTTTTTATTAGGTCCAACACTGATTCCTAAAGGGTTAATAAGGATGGCTTCTCTGAAAATGAGATTAAACATCTCAGATGAGACCTGGACGTCAGTGGCAGCTGTGGGAAGAGTCAAGGGAATAGTGTTTCAGGCAGAGGGAATGGAAAATTCCATGTTTCTCAGACAGCAAAAAGCTTGCTGTGTCCTAAAAACCAACAGAAAGACTGAATATAAGTAATATATTTTTCAAGATCAGAGTTTTGTGCAGCAATTGTATCACATTTAAGAAGGTACATAGAACTATTCAGAATGAATTTGCGTAATCTAGATCAAAGACGTTCAGGGAGAATCTTTTACATAGGACATTAATGTGCTCTCATGAGTACGGCTGCCATACACCTCCCGCTTTCCATGATATCTTTTATTTAAGATTTTTTTTCCACCAAATTGAAAACTTATGTCTACACAGAAACCTGTGCATGAATATTTAGAGCAGCTTTATTCATAATTGCTCAAACGTGGAAATAACCAAGATGACCTTTAATAGTGAATGGATAAACTGTGGTACAATCCAAACAATGTAATATTATTCAGTGCTAAAAAGGAATGATCTATCAATCCATAAAAAGACATGAAGGAAACTTAAAAGGCATATTACTAAGTGAAAGGAGCCAATCATAAAAGACCTCATACTGTATGATTTCAACTATATAACATTATGGAAAGGGCAAAACTGTGGGGATACTAAATGATTCAGGGTTGCCAGTGGTGGTGGGAAGGGAAGGATGAATAGGCAGAGCAGAGGGGATTTTTAGGGCAGGGAAACTATTCTCTATCGTTATGCAAGGGTGGATACATGTCATTGTACATCTGTCAAAACCCACAGAATGTACAACACCAAGAATGGACTCTGATATAAACTATGGACTTTGTGTGATAATGATGTGTCAGCGCAGGTTCATCCATTTTAACAAATATCTCACCCTCATGTAGCATTTTGATAGTGGCAGAGGCTACTTGGGATTGGGGAAAAAGGTGTGGGGGAACTGTATTTTCTCCTCAATTTTGCTGTGATTTTAAAAGTGATCTGATATAGTCTATTTAAAAAACACATCTTTCCCTTTCTCTCCTTAATTATAACTCAGGCCATGTGCCATGCCATGAGTATTGCTTTAAACAAATGTTTCCTGTTTTTTTAGGTCAGACCTAAAATGAACTGGGTAAATTACAGTTAACACTGAATGAAGTTGCCTTTAGACATATCTTATCTTTAGACATTCTTTTGACAATCTATTTATAACTTACAGAAATGTTTCTAACCTTCCTGGAGATAATTAAATCCTGCCATTCACAATTTTTATTTATAAGCATTTCAGACCCATAAAAGAAAGAAGGCAAAACATTATTTAAGGAAAAAATGGTACATATGTGTGAGCACAATACATTCCTCCCTGGTCTATACTTTGCCCAAACAAAGAGTTATCTATACATTCAGAAAAAAACATTGTTGACACTGCATTTCAAATGGCTGCTTTGCTATTGCTTGATGTAGTTACAGTGGAAGAGACAGGTTGAATTCTGACAAATGGAATACAATTCCTGGATGGGTGAAATAATGGTGTGTTTAGAACATTCCCTTGAAGAACACTCATCATCAGTAACCAGTCCAAGTGATATACCTGGTTTGAGAGGCATCGGCTGCCAAAAAACTGCATGTTCAACAATGGTGCCAGAGCACCCTGCCAACATTTCCTCAGAAGTTAACTCATCAGATAAATCCTTTAATGACAGCAAAGGTGTGTTGGTAAATTTGAAACAATCAGCTCTCTGGAGACAAGGTCCTGATTTTTTGTAGCATTTTACAATTTCCACCATGCTCCCATCACTAAATACTTCAACCATGTTGACTTTCCACCTACCAGTGTGACATCCCTGCATCACTGAACATGGAGCTGGGAAGTGATTTGCAGTTGGATTCCCACAGCTGGTACATACTGGCCCCAGCACACCACTGAATGAAAGGTCCTTTGCACCAGCTCCAGAAATAGAAAGGGGGAAATTAATTATTTTATTTTGTGGAAACTATTTTTTTTTTCTGGTTTTATGCACTGCAAATTCTTCTTTTTCTTGGGCTTTAAAGATGGATCTTTTTCATTACCTCTTCTTGGGGTTCTTCCCAAGAAATCCACAAACTGCCCTCCTTTGGATCCCCCATCACCTGTCAATGCAACAACCTATGTAATTTTATGTTTTCTTTTAGTGCAGTTGTATAATTTAGCTGTCAGGTGGCTAATTAGAGCCAGTCTCGTTGTAGAGGTGTTGTAGATATAACACTGAATGAAGATTAGACCACTTATGATTCAGAAGATAGGGCAAAATTCCCTGATGAAATGGCAGTGTCTACATGATTCAACAGTATCTCATTGATTTACTGATTTGAATGGGAAAAAATAAAAAAGCTTCTACTGTGTCATGAAGGCTATATGATTAACAGGGTAATTAATATCCATATTAATATGTATTACAAGCACCTTGTATACTTTAGAGTACAGGAAAAGTAACTAATTTTTATGTTAAAAAATAGAGGTTTTCATCTTCATGCATATGCAACGGGGTGTGAAAAATAATTAGTGAATACAGTTTCGGGTGAAGAGCAGATGAAATCAGCTGTGAATGGAAAATAAATCTTGGGGCCCCCAAATCACTAAGCAAAAGGGAAAATTCATGCTGGGAACTGCTTAGGGGAAACCTTCCTCCCATTCTGTTCAAAGTCATCCCTCTGCTCACTGAGCTAAATGCAAATTTGATTGCCTCCGTTGGAAAGGCTAGTCAGAAACTCAAAATGCTAGCCAGAAACTCAAAAGGCTAGCCAGAATGCAAACCTTTTTCTCTCACCTACCCGTGACCTGGAAGCCCCCTCCCTTTTTCGAGTTGACTCACCTTTCTGGACTGAACCAATGTACATTTTACATATATTGATTGATATTTCATGTCTCCCTAACATGTATAAAACTAAGCTGTGCCCTGACCATCTAGGCACATGTTGTCAGGACTTCCTGAAGTTGTGTCATAGGCGCACGTCCTCAACCTTTGCAAAATAAACTTTCTAAATTAACAGAGACCTGTCTTAGATATTCGGAGTTGACCCAGCCTTGTTGATTTTCTTCCAGAAAATTGCTCAGGTATTCTGCAGGGAATGAGGACCATAGTGTCCCTAGAGTTCCCTTGAGGGATAGTGAAACTCAGGTGCTATAAGATGAAAAATAAAAAGTTCTGGGACCATAATGTAAATGGTAAATATCTATCATTTGGGAATTTTCTTTGTTCCTCACTACAATTTCCATTTGATTCTGCGTGTGATAGATATAAGTCTTGATTCTGTATGAGTCTTCTGAGTCTGAGCTCAGAAATCATAGCCCTCTTTAAAATAAGCTGAACGTACTTATTTCATCCAAATACGTCTTTTTTTTCTTGAAACAGGGTTAACTTTGACTCAGAGAGCTTTAACATATATTTCAGATGCTCAAAATGGTTTGGTTAGGCATAGTGCACCTAATGACCAAAATACAAAATCATTTAAAAATAATTCAGTATTCATTATTGTCAGATCCATTTTTTTTCTTAGACAACAGAAAAAGAGAGAGGTGGAGAACTGTTTCAAGCATAAAGCTAGGTATATTTAATAAACTTAAAGAACTTTAGACTTTTAAAATTGTTTTAAAAAATGTTAAAACGGAAATGTATAAACAGAAGAACATTTCTCAGGCCTGTAATCCCAGCACTTTGGGAGGCTGAGGCAGGTGGATCACTGGAGGTCAGGAGTTCGAGTCCAGCCTGGCCAACATGGTGAAATCCCGTCTCTACTGAAAATACAAAAATTAGCCAGACCTGGTGTCATGTGCCTGTAATCCCAGCCTCTTGTGGGGGTTGAGGCAGGAGAATCACTTGAACCCGGGAGGTGGATGTTGCAGTGAACGGAGACTGTGCCATTTGCTCTCTAGCCTGGGCAACAGAACAAGACTCCACCTCAAAAACAAAACATTTCTTTTATCAAAAAGTATATAGTTTTCAATATTGGTTTATTAATTAGATGTTTTAATGCTACTGAATACAGCATTTCAGTAATATCTTTTTCCTCATTAAATACCAGCAAGACTACATAAAAATAATTCCTTAACATCTTTGAAACTGGAAAATTTTAAATAAAGGTACCACTTCTTCCCTAACAATTTTTAAGGGAGTGGAGATTTCCAAATGACAAATAAGTTTATCAAAAACCTTAATGGATTATAAGTTATGAAAAAGTATAAAATTCCTTGTGCATAAAACTGTGCATTTTTGGTAATTATCATACAAATGATTTATGTGGCTGACTGGTAGAGGTAGAATAAACTATAAGCAAATAAAAATTTGATAAAAAGAAACATTTCTCTCCTTTTAAATTGCCCTCTCCATGTTAATCATTATGACAAATGGATTCATTATTTGGTTCAAATGAACACATTTCCAACATGAATTCTTACTGACCTTATCTAGTCAACTTTCAGGAAGACACAAGCTTAGTTCTAATGAATATTTATGTCCTGTACAAGCTCATGGGGTGACTGTGTCATTAGTGAGATCATGTAACTTTCTTTGGCTTACAGGATGAATATCAATAAAAGTAACAGCCTCATGAAATTGGAAGGCCCATTAACTGCTTTCCTGAAGGAGGTATATAAGAGGTCATTCTGAGATTGCTGTGACTTTACAGTGGCCTGCAGAAAACGGCCACATAATTCAAAGAAGGTATGAAAGTTTGGGCTGCCCTTCTAGGAGAACACATCAATATTTCATTGAAACTAAAGATTGAATCTGTTATAAGGAAAATCAGAGCAGGAGACAGGGCAGGGGTTGTTTGTGGCCCGGGGAAGAAAGTGGTAATGAAAACACAAAAGGTGAGGCTGCAAGGGTGCTAAGGATGACCCTGATTTTCTGTCAATTGCCATTGCTTGAAACCTAAACTCCCAATATGCGATTTCTGGGAGACCAGTATTCTTGCTCTTTCTGAAGGTGGTTTGCTATTTGTATGTTTATTAATGTTATATCATTATATGTTATACATAATAATGATGTATGAGAATATATATAATAATATTATAAACATTGATATTATAATAGAATCAGTGTTGTACACTGAAAGTACATTGCTTTTACTTTAACAATTTTGTGATAGTGGGTGCATTCTTGCTTTATGCTTTAATATTCTTATCTGTAAAATGAAGATTAAAAAACAGTCATTGAGTTTATCTGCTAATATGTCTAAAACTATTGGCACGAGATTATAGTGGACAGTAGATTATTCAATGTCTGGCTTCTCATACATTTAATAATTATCATTGAAGCCATTCTACAAACAGTAACTTCTATGTTTCCAATTTTCTTTTTCTTTTTTTTTTTTTTTGAGATGGAGTCTTGCTCTGTCACCCAGGCTGGAGCGCAGTGGCGCAATCTTGGCTCACTGCAGCCTCTGCCTCCTGGGTTCCAGCGATTCTCCAGCCTCAGCCTCCTGGGTAGCTGGGATTACAGGCGCATACAACCACGCCTGGCTAATTTTTGTATTTTTAGTAGAGACGTGGTTTCACCATGTTGGCCAGGCTTATCTTGAACTCCTGACCTCAGGTGATCCTCCTGCCTCGGCGTCCCAAAGTGCTGGGATTACAGGTGTGAGCCACAGCACCCGGCCCTAATTTTCATTTTTTAAAAGGTGTAGATGGAATTGGGAGAGACAGTGCAGTTATTCTTGATAAAAATTTTAGAATGAAGTTACCCTACCAGAAGAGAGAAGTTTGATGTTTGACGTTTCCTTCAATTTTCAGTTGAAACAGGTTATTTCTTACTAGTAGTTAAGTATATTTGTGCAGATTTTCATTTAGTGGTTGAGAAAATAAAAGTTAAAAAACAGAATAATTGTTCTATCATATTTTCTTTGTCAGGTATAGTTACCTTTCCACAAATTAACACAATGATACATAATTTCTTTTCTAGTTATTTATTTTATTTTAAAAACAGTTTGGTTTTAGTGGTTTTCATAAAATTAATACGCATAAGTTAATAAAACTAAATTGTTAGCACCTAAAATGATGTGCAATGACTTTAGCAGCAGGACGTGGTGATAATAGGCATGTATCAGCAGTCTTGCCCTCGTGAATCAGATATTGGTAGAAGATCTATTGTGTTTAATTCTGCTCTCACTGTAAAATAGGCCAGCAATGCAGGAGGAAATAAAAATAAACTAGCTCCTGATTTCAGCTCCCACATATAAAAAGTTAGGAAGTCATAATTTCCATTCTTACAAGAAGAAAAAGCTATCACTACTTAAAATCCATCAATTACTTCTTAAGCACGTTAGAGGACAGAGGTCACAGGGCAAAGTGCCACACCAAAATCTGGAGACAGGTGCATTCACAAAGTTACAGGCAAGATCGGCTTATACCTACTATATACCCTTATTAATAAAAAATAAAAAGAAGTTTCTAGAGCCATTAACTGGTAGCAAAACTTAAACAGCAATTTTGCCAAATTGTTGGAAGCTGAGTATGGAACAGTGTGGTGAGAGACTCTTGGAGGCTTCAGTCCCTGGGGTTGAGGTGGAGGCTTTATTTCCAGGAAACCTACCAGGTTGTCACAGTGAAGATCCTAGAATGAGCTCTTTGGGGCTCTGCCAGGAGGAAGGGAAGAATAACCCTTGTGAAATATACCCAGAACCTTCTCCATAACAAAGACCTACTCTTCAGGGAAAAAACTTTGCCAGAGCTCTATCCCATGTAAGGGAAGGACATTTATCCAATTCTAGCCCCACTCCAGTCTTTGTGTCTCTACCAAGGAGGGCAAAGAGTCAATAGGGGTCAGAGATTTAAAGAAATATATTGGAAATACTAAGGCAAGGAAGGAAGTAGAGGGCAGAGAGAAAAAATACCACTATAGAAATACCTGTGAAGGTCATAGCCTTGAGAACCAGGCCCATTAAGTGATTGAGATTTAATTAAAAGATTGTAGAATGCTCTCTCCAACAAACATAACTTAATAAATCACACCAACAGGACTCTGCTATAACAGCGTATGTATTACATACAGCAAATAGCTGTGAGTCATAGACTCTTACTGAGGAGAAATTAAGAAGCCCAAAGTCATGAAGGGAGACAAAAGTAATTTTCAGAGAGTAATTTCAGAGAGTAATTTTCGGTCTTGGCACCTGTAACTATAGCAAACACTAAACACAGCTCAACTCCTATCTAATTAACATGAACCCTCAAACTAAAGGATTATTTATGTCCATTTCTATTACCTGATATGACATATATGGCTTTAAATAAACAAAAAAGATTACAAGATATGCCCCCCAAAAGAAGAAAAATACAGCCTGAGAGACAAAGCAATTATTGGAACGAAACTGAGATATAAGACAGTTGTTGAAATTATCAGACAGGGAATTTAAAGTAACTATGATTAAGATATTGAGTTCTAATAGAAAAAGTAGATAACATGTAAGAACAGATTAATGGAAGAGGATAGGTGGAAACTCTAAGAGATAATATGAAAGAAATAATAGAAATAAAAGACCCTAAAAGAAATGAATAACTCCTTTGATGGGTTCATTAGAGTAGTTGGCACAAAAGAAACAAGGATGAGTGGGTTGGAAGACAGGTCAATAGAAACTTTTCAAACTGAAATGCAAAGAGGATAAAGAATTAAAAAACAGTGTAACACATCCAAGAGCTTTGGGACAATCTAAAATGTGTAACATACATATCCCTGTAATACCACCAAAGGGGAGAAAATATAATTTCTTTTCTCAAGGCTCCTAAGTTCTTTGTTGAGACACTACAGAAAACAAAAGTCAGATTAACGAGAGGGAAAACAGCAGAAGTTTATTGATGCCTGCTGTACCCATTACCTGGGAGAGACTGTAATTCAAAAGTATCTCTCTCAAGGGAGTGGCTTAAGTGCCTTGTTTAAATGGTATTTTAACAAAGGGCCATCAATCTTAGCATAGTCAAAGGAGAGAGGAGTTCCAGTCCTTTAAAAGTTGAGAATATGTGGGAAGGTAGTAAAAATTTATTCCCAGATTCCTCGGGTGCCTGCTTATGCCTTCTCTGGGCCAATAAGCAAGTGCTGTCTGTAGTAAGAAAGGGTTTATGTCCTGCCATCAGGCAAACAGAGGCTGAGTTATAGTGTTCCCCTAAAATTGAACAACTAAATAAATAGTTATCAGATGGTGGGAACCAGGTTTATCACTGCTGGAATTAGATGTGACAGATAATTATGGAACGAAAACTGGAATGATAAATGTAATAAAGGATTAGAGTTAGAGACATCAGTAAGAACTTACGTTTAGCTTAGTGTAAATACAGATATATATTGAAATATTTATAAATATATGTTTATATACATGTTAGCATACAAATATATTGACTTTCTTTGTGAGAGGCCTAGAGGCATTGGCACTCCAATGAGAACCTAGTGTCCAAATCTTGATTTCTAATACAATTTTCCAATAAAAGGAAGCAGAGAACCTTAGAGAAATAAATTATTTTAAGGCTGGGGTAAGAAATATACAAAATGACCCCAGAGCATCTTGTGGTAAGGGAGATGTTCAGAAAAGGAAGTAAGAAAATTAGTAAATGACAACAGTAAAAACAATATGCAATGGTGGATTATGACAAAGGTACACAGGAGCCAATTGAAAAAACTCCTATTGGCCAATGTTGGAACAACTTAAGTAATAAAATAAAGAAGTATTGGATTATGTCATAAAGTATAAAATAAATATCTATGAATCCTTACTGGTATAAATATATGATTGAATAAATAAATAAATGAGGGAAATAGACAAATTTATCATGCAGAATAATTCCCAATAATTTATTGTAGCTACTCTGTCCTCAAGGATAATTCCCCATGTGTAAAGTGTGCAGTGGATACAGTGATTTCTTTTCAAAAACTTTGTTAGAAAGTGTAAAAAAAAGGAGAAACTTTACAGTGGAAAAACATGACAAACACTACCTCAGTCATTAACAATGTCAAGTCATGTTTTCAGTATGTGCCTTTGATATGATGTGATGAGAAGGTCACTTTAACTCTGTGGTCTTCCTCTCCCAAAAAGCCATTAACTTCCGTCTATTCATGAGAAAAACATCAGACAATCCCAAAGCACCTGACCAGTACTCCTAAGAAATGTCAAAGTTTTGAAAAAGGATATTCTGAGAAACTCTTACAGCCAAGAGAAGCCTAAAGAGACTCTCCTGCTAAATGTAATATGGTATCCTAGAATAGAAAAAGGGCATTAGGGAAATGTTGAGGAAATCTGAATAAAGTATGGACTTCAGTTAATAATAAGGTACTAATACTGGTTTATTAGTTTTGGTAAATGTATCATACTCATGTAATAGATTAATAGTAGGGGAAATTGGTATACAGCATATGAGAACCCTGTATACTATCTTCACAATGCTTTTGCAAATTTTAAGTTCTTCTAAAACACAAACATATTTAAGATCAAGTTAGCAACAAGTGAGAAAATGAATCAAATAAAGAAAAAAACTACATGAGTAAAAATCAGCAGATAAAATAAGCAGTAGTGTTGGAATCTCAAGTAAAAATAGTTATAACAGACATATATATATGCACACGTACACACATATATACATATAAATACATATATACACATATATATTGCACAAATATTTATAAAACAAAAATGAAAGACTAAAACAGAGAATAAGGAATCATTAAAAAGAGGAAAGCAGATTTTTTATAAGGACTAGTAAGTACTTTTAGGAATCCAAAATATGATTACTAAAGTTAAGAATGTTATGTTTGCATTTCATAACATGTTAGACAAAGCTGAAGGAAGAAATCCTGAACAGAAAAATCATAACTGAAGAGCTATCCAAAATTCATTCTAGAGAGGCAAGGAGATTGAAAATAAGAAAAAAAGCTAAGAGATATGGATAAGAGAATGAGAAAGTACAATATAAAGCTACCCTGATTTCCAGAAGCACAGAAGAGATTTACTGAGATAGATAAAATATTTAAGGAAGTAATGATTTACATGAAAATTTTTATTATCTCTTAAAGAAGTAACTAGATGTAATCAGGAATGGAAACAATCAGTATTAAACATTTGTATTACTTCTAGATCAACCTAGGACTGCCATGCATATCTTTTTAAAAATATATAACACAAATTCCTAAGTACTACTGACTTAAAGCATTGTAAGAATATGAATGCTCAGCATTGGAAAACTGTCACTATTTTTTCAAGGACCTATTGCACTCATGCTATATCACCTGTTAATTGAATTGTTATAAAAAAAGAAAAAGAAAGAAAGAAGGAAAAGAAAGAAAGAAAGAGAGAAAGAAAGAAAGAGAAAAAAGGAAGAAAGAAAGAAAACACTAGCTAACACACTGTAAGTTTAGATTTCTTTGAAAGGGCTCTATAGAATGGACTACAATGTCTTTTTAAATAAAAGCAAAGTGGTTTAGGTTTTAATTATTAATGTAGGGGGATTTTAACAGTTGATAAAATAATGCATAAACATGATGATATCCCATTTCTTCAAAATAGGCTGCATTCTAATTTTTCATGGATGGTTTCAAAGAAATTATAGCTGAGGGCAAAGGCTGGGTTTTATTCATGGCTTTACATAATAAACATTTATTGAGAACCTGTTTTTTGCTAACCACTGTATTGCATTAGACTTACATGGACAATTACGCCACTGGTCTACCCTTAGGGAACACAAAGCCTACAGGAAGAAATCAGCTTATCAACAGGTTAATGAGCTGATTAAATTTATGAGATGACAAATGAGATGACAAATGAAATGTGAGAAATATGTTTGAGGTATTAAGGAAACATGGCCTAGGTTCTTAACTGGGCTTAAGTGGACCTGGAGAAACTTACATCAGAGCAGTGACTAAAAGAACAAGTAGCAAGTGTCCAGCTCAAAGGAGGGAGCAATGGCAGCAAGATGGAGGATGCTCCAGGCTGCTTAACTTCTAAGGGTCTTTTCTGGTTTCGCACATGAATATAAATAATTCATTTTACTATTCCCCAAAGCTATACTATTTAATAAGGTGGAAAAAAGTTAAAACAATCAATTAACCACTAGAAGACTCAAAACCTAAATTAGCAAAAACTATTAATACTTGGAAGCTTCATTTAGCCAACCATTTTAAATAATAAGTTATACTGTTCAAGAGAGATTTCCAGTTCAATGAACATAGCTCCTTAAAATATCAACACTTTTAATAATAAAAATTTTTTAAAATATTTTTAATGCTACAGTCCTTCATAGGTATCCACACAGATTGGTTCCATAACCTCCTGCAGATACCCAAATCTGCAGATGGTCAAGACCTGGATATAAAATATTGTAGTATTGGCACCTACTCTAAAATTGATCACATAGTCAAAACTAAAACACTCCTCAGCAAATACAAAAGAAATGAAATAATAACAAACAGTTTCTTGGACCACAACACAAACAAATTAGACCTCATTATTAAGAAATTCACTCAAAACCATCCAACTACATGGAAATTGAACAACCTGCTCCTGAATGACTTTTGGGTAAATAACAAAATTAAGGCAGAAATTAAGAAGTTTTTTTGAAACCAATAAGAACAAAGATACAATGTACCATAATCTCTGGGATACAGTTAAATCAGTGTTAAGAAGGAAATTTATAGTACTAAATGCCCACATCAAAAAGCTAGAAAGATCTCAAGTTAACAACCTAACATCACAACTAAAAGAACTAGAGAATCAAGAGCAAACAAAGCCCAAAGCTAGCAGAAGACAAGAAATAACCATGATCAGAGTGTAACTGAAGGAGATAGAGGCACAAAAAACACTTCAAAAGATCAAAAAATCCTGGATTTTTTTTGAAAAAAATTAATAAAATAGACCACAAGCTAGACTAATAAAGAAGAAAAGAGAGGAGATTCAAATAAACACAAACAGGAATGACAAGAGAGATGTTCCTGCTGACCCCACAGAAATACAAACAACCAGCAGGGAATATTATAAACACCTGTATGCACATAAACTAGAAAATACAGAAGAAATGAATAAATTCCTGGACACATTCATCCTCCTAAGATGGAACAAGGAAGAAACTGAATCCCTGAGTAGACCAGTAATGAGTTCTGAAATTGAGGCAGTTATAAGTAGCCTACCAAATGAAAAATCCCCAGACCAGAGAGATACACAGCTGAATTCTACCAGAGATACAAAGAAGACCTTGTGCCATTCCTACTGAAACTATTGCAAAAAAATTGAAAAGGAGGGGCTCATCTCTAACTCATTTTATGAGGCCAGCATCATCCTGATACAAAAACCTGGCAGAGATACAGAGAGTGAGATAGAGAGAGAGACAGAGAGAGAGAGAGAAGGAGAGAGAGAAACTTTGGGCCAATACACTTCATGAAAATCAGTGCCAAAATTCTCAACAAAATCCTGGCAAACCAAATTCAGCAGCACATCAAAAAGCTTATCCACCATGATCAAGTAGACTTCATCTCTGGGATGCAAGGTTGGTTCAACATATGCAAATCAATAAATGTAATTCATCACATAAAGAGAACTAAAGACAAAAACCACATAATTACCTTAATAGATGAAGAAAAGGCTTTCAATAAAAATCAACATACTTTCATGTTAAAAACTCTAATAACTAAGTATTGAAGGAACATACGTCAAAATAATAAGAACTACATATGACAAACCCACAGCCAATATTATACTAAAAGGGCAAAATCTGGAAACATTCCCCTTGGAAACTGGGACAAGACAAGTTTGCCCTCTCTTACCACTCCTATTCAACACAGTATTGGAAGTTCTGGCCAGGGCAGTCAGGCAAGAGAAAGGTATAAAGGGTGTTCAAATAGGAAAAGAGGAAGTCAAATGATCTTTTTTAGCAGATGACATAATCTTATATCTACAAAATTCCATTGTCTCAGCCCAAAAGCTTCTTAAGCTGATAAGCAACTTCTGCAAAGTCTCAGGATACAAAATCAATGGGCGAAAATCACAAGCATTCCTATACACCAACAATAGACAAGTGGACAGCCAAATCATTAATGAACTCCCATTCACAGTTACTACAAACATAATAAAATACCTAGGAATACATTTAACAAGGGAAGGGAAAGACTTTTTCAACGAGAACTACAAACCACTGCTGAAGGCAATCAGAAAGGACACAAACAAATGGAAAAACGTTCCATCCTCATGGATAGGAAGAATCAATATCATGAAAATGGCTATAATGCCCAAAAGACTTTATAGATTCAATGCTATTCCCATTAAACTGCCATTGACATTTTTCGCAGAATTAGAATAACCTACTTTAAAATTCTTGTGGAACCAAAAAATAGCCTGTAATAGCCAAGTCAATTCTAAGCAAAAAGAACAAAGCTGGGGGCTTCACACTACCTGACTTCAAACTATACTATAAGGCTACACTAACAAAAACAGCATGGTACTGGTACAAAAACAGCATGGTACTGTTACAAAAATAGACACATAGACCAATTGAACAGAATAGAGAACTTATAAATAAGACCACAAATCTACAACCATCTAATCTTTGACAAAACTGAAAAAAACAAGCAATGGGGAAACGATTTCTTATTTAATAAATGGTGCTGGGAGAACTGGCTAGCCATATGCAGAAAATTGAAAGTGGACCCCTTCTTTACACCTTACACAATAATTAACTCAAGATGGATTAAAGACTTAAATGTAAAACCCAAAACTACAAAAATCCTAGAAGAAAATCTAGGCAATACCATTCAGGACATAGGCATGGGCAAGGATTTCCTGATGAAAATGTCAAAGGCAATTGCAACAAAAGCAAAAATTGGCATGAAATCTAATTAAACTAAAACGCTTCTGCACAGCAAAAAAGAAACTATTGAGTGAACAGATAACCTACAGAATGGGAGAAAACCTTTGCAATCTATCCATCAGACAAAGGTCTAATATCCATAATCTACAAGGAACTTAAACAAATTTACAAGAATAAAACAAACAACCACATTAAAAAGTGGGCAAAGGATATGAACAGACACTTCTCAAAAGAAGATATTTATTTGATCAAAAAACATATGAAAAAAAGGTCAACATCACTGATCTTTAGAAAAATGCAAATCAAAACCACAATGAACCATCCCACACCAGTCAGAATGGTGATTATTCAAGAAACAACAGATACTGGCAAGGCTGTGGAGAAGTAGGAACACTTTTACACTGTTGGTGGGAATGTAAATTAATTGAAACATTGTGGAAGATTGTGTGGTGACTCCTCAAAGACCTCGAACCAGAAATACCATTTGACCAGCAATCCCATTACTGGGTATATACCCCAAAGAATATAAATCATTTTCTTATAAAGATACATGCACATGTATGTTTATTGCAGCACTATTCACAATAGCAAAGGCATGGAATCAACCAAATTCCCATCAATGATAGACTGGATAAAGAACATGTGGTACATATACACCATGGAATTTTATACAGCCATAAAAAGGAATGGGATCGTGTCCTTTGCAGGGACATGGATGGAGCTGGAAGACATCCTCAGCAAACTAACACAGAATAGAAAACCAAACACTGCATGTTCTTACTTATAAGTAGGAGCTGAACAATGAGCTGAATACATGGACACAGAGAGGGGAACAACATACACTGGAGCCTGTCAGGGGTGGGATAAGGGGAGGGAGAGCATCAGGATAAACAGCTAATGCATGCTGGCTTAATACCTAGGTGATGATGATATGGTTTGACTGTGTCCCCACTCAAATTTCATCTTGAATTTTAGTTCCCATAATTCCCATGTGTTGTGAGAGGGACCCAGTGAGAGGTAATTGAATCATGGGGGAGGTTATTTCCATACTGTCCTCATGATAGTGAGTGAATTCTCATGAGATCTGATGGTTTAAAAGGGAATTTGCTCCCCCCCAACTTTGCTTGGCACTTCTCTCTCCACCACCATGTGAAGAGGGCTGTTTTTGTTTCCCCTTCTGCCATAATTGTAAATTTCCTGAGGCCTCCCCAGCCATGCAGAACTGTGAGTCAATTAAACCTCTTTCCTTTATAAATTACCTAGTCTTGGGTATGTTCTTACAGCAGCATGAGAAAAGGCTAATACAGAAAATTGGTATCTGAGGGAGAGGCGTGCTGTTATAAGGATACCCAAAAATGTGGAACTGACTTTGGAACTGAGTAACAGGCAGAGGTTGGAACAGTTTAGAGGGCTCAGAAGAAGACAGGAAAATGTGGGAAAGTTTGGAACTTCCTAGAGACTGGTTGATTGACTTTGACCAAAATGCTGATATAGCCAATAAAGTCCAGGCTGAGGTGGTCTCAGATGGAGATGAGGAACTTGCTGAGAACTGGAGTAAAGGTCACTCTTGCTATCCATCAACAAAGAGAATTGGCAACATTTTGCCCCTGCCCTAGAGATCTGTTGAACTTTGAATTTGAGAGAGATGATTTAGGGTTTCTGGCAGAAGAAATTTCTAAGCAGCAAAGCACTCAAGAAGAAGCAGAGCATAAAAGTTTGGAAAATTTGCAGCCTGACAATGTAGAAAATAAATCCCATTTTCTGGGGAGAAGTTCAAACCAGCTGCAGATATTTGCATAAGTAATGACAGTGAAATATTAATCACCAAGACAATGGAGAAAATGTCTCCAAGGCATGTCAGAGGTCTTCATGGCAGCCCCTCCTGTCACAGGCCCAGAGTCCTAGGAGAAATAAATGGCTTTATGGGCCAGGCCCAGGACCTTGCTGCTTTGTGCAGTCTCAGGACATCGTTCCCTGTATCCCAGTTATGGCTAAAAGGGGCCAAGCTATAGCTTGGGCCATGACTTCAGAGGGTGCAAGCCCCATGCCTTGGCAGCTTCCATGTGATGTTGAGCCTGAGGGTGCACAGAAGTCAAGAATTAAGATTTGGGAATCTCTGCCTAGATTTCAGAGGATATATGGAAATGCCTGGGTGCCCAGGCAGAAGTTTTCTGCAGGGTTGGAGCCCTTATGGAGACCCTCTGCTAGGTCAGTGTGAAAGGGAAATGTGCGGTTGCAGCCGTGACACAGAGTCCCCACTGGGGCACTGCCTAGTGGAGCTGTGAGGAGAGGACCATTGTTCTCTAGGTCCCAGAATGGTAGATCCACTGTCAGCTCGCACCTTACACCTGGAAAAGCCACAGACATTCACCACCAGCCTGTGAACTCAGCTGGGAGGAGGGCTGTATCATGCAAAGTCACAGAGGCAGAGCTTCCCATGTCCATGGGAGCCCACCTCTTGCATCATTGTGCCCTGGATGTGAGACATGGAGTCAAAGGAGATCATTTCAGAGCTTTAAGATTTGACTACCCCACTGAATTTCAGAATTGCATGGGGCCTGTAGCCCCTTCATTTTTGCCAATTTCTCCCATTTGGAATGGCTGTATTTACCCAATGCCTGTACCCCAATTATATCTAGGAAATAATTAACTTGCTTTTGATTTTACAGGCTCATAGGTGGAGGGGACTTGCCTTGTCTCAGAGGAGACTTTGGAGTTGGACTTTTGGAGTAATTATAGAATGAGTTAAGACTTTGGGGGACTGTTGGGAAGGCATGATTGTGTTTTGCAATGTGAGGACGTGAGATTTGGGAGGGGGCAGCAGTGGAATGGTATGGTTTGGCCAAATTTCATCTTGAATTGTAGTGCCCATTAACCCCCATGTGTCATGGGAGGGAGCTAGTAGAAGGTAATTGAATCATTGGGGCAGTTACCTCCATGCTGTTCTCATGATAGTGACTTCTCATGAGATCTGACTGGTTTTATAAGGGACTTATCCCCCTTTTGCTCAGCACTTCTCTCTCCACTGCCATTTGAAGAAGGATGTGTCTGCTTCCCCTTCTGCCATGATTGTAAGTGTCCTGAGGTCTCCCTAGCCATGTGGAACCATGAGTCAATTAAACCTCTTTCCTTTATAAATTACCTAGTCTTGGGTATGTCCTTATAGCAGCATGAGAATGGACTAATACAGATGGGTTAATAGGTGCAGCAAACTACCATGGCACACATTTACCTATGTAACAAACATACACATCCTGCACATGTATCCTGGACCTTAAAATAAAATAAAATAAAATTAGAAAAAGTAAAAATAAAAAATAAAATGTCTAAAAGTAAAAGATGCTGTGTGAGGTTGTGGAGAAAAACAAATGCTTTTACATGGTTGATGGGAGTGTAAATTAGTTCAGCCTTTGTGGAAGACAGAGTTGGGGATGCCTCAAGGACCTAAAGATAGAAATACCATTCAACCTAGCAGTCTGATTACTGGGTATATACCTGAAGGAATATAAATGGTTCTATTATAAGGACACATGCACAAGTATGTTTACTGCAGCACTATTCACAGTACCAAAGAGACAGAATCAATCTAAATGCCCATCAATGATAGATAGGATAAATAGAATGTGGTACATATACACCATGGAATTCTATGCGGCCATAAAAAGGAATGAAATCATCCTTTGCAGGGACAGGGATAGCTGGAGGCCATTATCCTTAGCAAACTAATGCAGGAACAAAAAACCAAATACCACATGTTCTCACTTATAAGTGGGAGCTAAATGATGAGAACACATGAACACGTGGTGGGGAACAACACACATTAGGGCCTGTCGGAGGGTGGGGGATTGGGAGGAGGGAGAAGATAAGGAAGAATAGCCAGTGGATGGTGGGCTTCATACCTGGGTGATGGAATGATCTGTGCAGCCAACCACCTTGGCACACATTTACCTATGTAACAAACCTCCACTTCCTGCATGTACATGTACCCCAGAACTTAAAAGTTGGAAAATTTTTAAAAAGTGTTGTATTTGCATATAACCTATGCTCATCCCTTCTTATACTTTCAATCATCTTTAGATTATGATATCTAATAGAATGTACATACTATGTAAATAGTTGTTATGCTGTGTTATTTTTGTTGTATTATTTGATTGGTACACTGTTTTTATTAGTTCTTTTTTGAACATTTTCAAAACATTTGAAAATATTTGTTGAATCTGTAGATATGAAACCTGTGGATTATAAGGGTCAACTATATTTTTTAAATATGTAACTTGATTTCATGCCCACTTAAGCAGAAAATAATTGAAGGCAATTTTCACTTTTTGGATATCCCAGGATCAAAATTATAAACATGTGTAACTGCACCAGTGCTTATACAGTTTTGGCCGTTTCAACAGCAGCACCTTGACTGTCTCTGCTACTGTCAGGTTAGTACCCTCTAAAAGCCTTTCCAATACATTTGCCAGTTAGCTGCTGTGGGACTGCACCACTGTGTAAACCATTATTTTTAAGTTTTAAAATTTTGATATTATGAAAAAATGCTTAACATATGGAGGGTTAAGCAAGGAAGGAGGGCTGGCACATATATTGACATGGTATCTAATATATGCCAGGTCTTGTGCTTAGTAGTTACCTGTGTATTATATATTTTACAGTTTTGGAGGCTGAAAAATCCCTGATGAAGGCCTGGCAGCATTGGTTTCTAGCAAGGGCTCTCTTGGTACATCCTCACGTGTGTCAGGGGGAAAGGTAGAGAGAGGGAGGGAGAAAGAGAGAGAAAGAGAGGGAAGGAAAGAGGGAGAGAAGAGAGGGGTAAGAGAGGGAGAGGAAAAAGGAGATGGAGGGAGAGAGAAGAATGGAAAAAGAACATGTGAATTTTCTGACATCTCTTCTTATAAGGTCACTAATCCCGTTGATAGAGCCCCACATTTATGATCTCAATTAACCTTAATTACCTCCATAGAAGTCCCTTCTCCAAATATAGTCACATTGGGGGTTTGGGCTTCAGTACATGAATTTTGGGGGAACATTTCTTATTCCACCTTGGCCTCATATCAGTTCTGAGACTCAGACATCATTATTCACACATTCGGATGAGGTTCAGAAAGTTGAGGGGCATACTGAAGTTTAGAGAGCTAGTACAGGTCCAAGCTGGGAATTTAATTTAGATATTTCAACTCCATATTTGTCTCTTGTTATGACATTTCTTGTGATCTCCAGGAATGATACCTATTCTTTCAGTTTTTCAAGCCACTAACCTCAGCCTCAGTTTGGTTATCTTTCTAATGTACAGCACCTTTCTTCTCTATCCAGTCCATCAGTATGTCTAAATATCTCTTGTCAAGTCCATTTTTCAACACTATTCCTGTCACCTTAACCAGGTCCACCCTCTTTGCTGTGGATTATTGCAAAACCTTCACAACTAATCTCACCACCTTCCATCTTGCCCAATGTATATCACCCTCATACTTACAGCCAAATTGATCTTCCTAGACTGCAAACCTGATAGTCACTGGGCCCCTAAACACTTCTTTATGAGCTAATATTGTAGAAAAAAGTTCAGATTTCTTCATTTGGCATATAAGGCTCTTCATGATCTGGCTCTCATGGTTTCTCACTTGAGGATGTTTGTACATCCTGCTGCTTCTTTCTGAAACACTGTTTTCCATGTTCTTCATATAGAGAGCTTTCATCATCCTTTAAACTCATCTTCAATGTCTTTTGCATTAAAAAGCCTCCCCTAATCCTGTCTCCATCTAGACTAGACATCTCTCCTCTGTATTCTTTCATTTCAATGTCATAAGTTCCATACCGTGCAGAGATTTAGCATTGAGCTGCATGAATGACACACAAAATTGTAACACTTTGACTCCGGAACCCTACTTTTGTAATACTTAGGTCTAGTTCTCACTCTATGTAATAGAGAAATACCCCAGAATAAAAGTGACTTAAACAAGATAGAAAAAATATATATATTTTTTTCATAAAAAGCATACCTGGAGTTTAGGAAGTCTAAGGCTTGTGTAATATCTTTTCATCATCAAGATGCAAACTACTTTTATCTTCTCACTTTACTCTCTTTGTCATGGATTGGTAAACTAGTTCCCATAGGATGGCCAAGTGTTTTGCAAATTGAGTTTTACTGGAACACAGCCATGCTCATTCTTTCAGGCATTGTCTATGTTGCTTTTCTGCTATAATGACACTTGAGTAGTTGTGATAGACTCATGGCCCACAAAGCCAATTGCTATGGATTGGCTTCTTCCTTTGGAATCTTAAAGAAAAAATTTTAATGATCTTAACGTCACTTCATGTTCCAAAATGGCTTCTGTAACTCCAGAAATTTTTTTATTATTTTAAAATTTTTCTGTAGGGACAAGTTCTCACTATGATGCCCAGGCTGATCTCAAGCTCCTGGCCTCAAGCAATCCCCCTACCCCGGCCTCTCAAAGTGTGAGATTACAGGCCTGAGCCACCATACCTGGCCAAATTCTTTTATATAACTTATAGCAGAAAGAAGGAAATGTAGAAATTCAGGTCACTCCCTTTTAGGAAATTTTCTCAGAAGTTCCACGCCACGCTGCCCTTACATCTTGAGAACTGGCCAGAATTCAATAATATGGCTATCCCAAGCAGCAAAGGAAGCTGGGAAGTGTAATCTTTTATTACGTGCAGCAATGTGCCCAGCTAAATGCCGATTAGGAAGAAGGGTTGGAGTGATGCTGTAGTAAACAATTAGCAGTCTCAGTCACAGTCTTATCAAAAATGTTCTCCCCAGCACCAAGAACCTAGTAGGTGCTCAATAAACTTATGATGAATATAATTGTCTGTAAAGTGCTCAGTGCTGGTTACTTCCAGTGTTCAACCAGTGACTTCTGGTTTATGCTACAGAGAATGAAAGTTTCCAGAGGGTTGACCTCTGCGTAAGTAAGTTGTGGCTGCCCTGAATAAAGTTTTATCAATTCCAGTGCTCCAGTTTGCCTTTCCTTTGTGGACACTGTTTTTACTAGTGATTTGATTAAAACTATATATTTCAGCTAGTAGTATAAAATGTAATAATATAAAATGTGTTAGAATTACTTCTTTGATAAAGCAAAGGTGATATTTCTGGGTTAGGCATGCAGGAATGAGAGGAAAGACTAATGATTGTTTTCTTTCATCAGTAGTGGGAGCAACACTACTGAACAAGAGCAGAAAGATGCCTCAGCGTTGTTTCGAAAATCTGTGGTTTCCAAAATCCTCAGTGTTTCTATGACAGTTTCTTTAGATGCTTATGGTGACTTTGGATGTGAACTCAAGCAGTGCGGTGGTTAGCAAACGTCTCTCACATATGGAATATAAAACAATGGGCTGTGGCCATAGGCTGTGATCCCACAGAGCCTCTCAACTTCTTATTTTCATGTCTCTTTTTACTCATCTGTCTTGAAAAGAGATGCTGGGTGTGATTTTGGCTGAGGCTTCTCTGATCTCTGACGCCACAGGGTCCTTAATGCCCACAGTTAGATTCCGCTATAATTTCTCAACCTCTTTCTGCTTTGGGATACAGTTCTTCATGTAACGATTGCCTACTCTAAGGGGTCATTTTACAATGATTAGAGAGTCAGGTTATACTCTTTAATTACTTCTTGAGTGTGAATGAAGCCCGCGCTAGTCAAACAAAAGTGTGAGCGGTGCTGGGCTAGCTAATATGGTCTGTCTGTGGATGGAACACAGCCTGCCAGTTCATTCTTTCCTTGCTTAATGAACACTGCATTGAAATTTTTTCCCCCAAATTTGTAGCTTCTAATTAGCTTTGAAATGATTTTGTGGTTCAATTTAAAGTCTGCCTTATCCCTTCCGTGATTCCTTTGGGACTGGTTGTTCATCAAAAAAGAAAAAAAAGAACATTTTGCATTTTTATAGTGCTGTGCACTGGCCCATGGAGGGGCAGCAGATGTTCTTGAGTTCTCCCACCCACACATCCAAATGCAAATAATCTTGGTGCTCCTGGCAAACTTCTACCTCATAAAGCATTACTCTTCTAGTATTGACAAAGGCTTCATCCCACAAAATGTTCATGAAGAACAAATTCAAACACTAACACATAACGGTAAAATGTACTTTATGTACCTGAAGGAGCTCTCAACTTGAAATTGGATAATCATTGTGTGACCTTGGGTAAATTTTTTATTCTTTCTTAGGCTTCAATTTTCTTATATGGAAACTAAAATTGGTACTATCCACATTATCAGACTGTGCTTGACACATAGTTGGCATTCAACTATTAACTTTTGTATCTGATTAGAATGTACAAAGTGTTTAGAGTCATTTTAAAGATGCTAAATATTTAGAATAAATAGCTTTTTCTCCTCAGCACTTTCTTTTATTTTGACTTCTGGGACAATAGTCTTTCATCATCTCACTGATATTCTGACTTCTTTATTTTCTTTAAGTAATACTATAATAGATTATTTCTTATGTATCCTTCTTTCTCCCTATGTATGCATCTATGTGTCTATCTACCTATCTAGCCATCCTTAATATATTTATAGTAATTTATTGATTTTCTCCCATTTGGATATTTAAACATTTCCTAGAGGCTCTATTTGGCGTTGTGGGTGAAACCAAGATAAATTAAGTATGGGTACTGTATCTCAAAATACTGATGCTGCTGATAGTGATATTTACCATGTGCTAGGAATTTATTTGCATTGCTTCATTTAATCCTTCCAACATCCATTTAAAGAGAAAGTACTGAGTTGATAAGTTTTCACTCAAGGCCACACTAGTGACTTAGTGAATAAATAGTGAAGGTAAGCCTAAATTCAAATCTGAGCTTTCCAACACCAAACCCTTAGTCTTAACCACTGCAGAATATTTCTTCTTAATTTTCTCTCTTGTGCTTTATGAATAATTTTATCATCAATAATTTGAATGATTTCTCTAACTTTTTTATTTTGATCTGTTCTAACATTCTTTTATTATTTAACATTATGAAATTAGATTTCTGTATAGTTTCTCTACCATAGTTAATACCAACCATTTCGGCTTTTAAAATTCTCATTTAGAAGTTCTCCTGTCATACTTCTTTACTGAATATTTCCACTGCAAAAACAGAATCAAGACATTTAAAAATTTTTCATGATACCATTGTACCTCATTTAAACTTTCAAACTTTTGAACTTTTCCTTTATTCTCTACTTCTGTGAGATTTCTAACTCCTTGGCATTGACTCTACAATTGCACACTTTGATTACTCAATTACTTGCTTCTATCTTGAGTTCAACTCCTATCCTGACTTTCACTGAAACAGCTTGTGGTGCGACATTTAGATATATTATTCATCCACCACTTTGAAAACAGCACGTAATTTCTCTCAGTTTCCAATTTTTAAATCTTTTTTGCTGTATTTCTTGAATTTTTTTATTTTAATGTTTAGACCTCAGGGATGGAGTTGGATTTATCAGATTTCTCAATTCATGGTATATTGTCATCATTGATCTCTGCTTCTTTCTAGTTTTATTATTTTTTATTAATATTTTGATGCTCATTTTTTTACCACAGATATCCACCCTAATGTGTAAATATATGTCTTTAATGTCTTTACATATTTAAGCATCCTTAAATATGTGTAATGTTCTATGTATTTATGTTTGACCTAAATATATGTTGTAGTTTTTATTCTCTTACAACCTTAAAATTTGATGTTATCTGATTTTCTAATTTCTGCCCATTCTAAAGGAAATATTTTATTATTTTAATATTTTGTTATTTTAATATTATGTTATAGATTTACATGATCCAAGTGACTTTTTGCTAAAAGGACATATTGCATAGTGGCAAAGTTGGGGCTTTTATTGCACCTGTTGCCCAAAGAGTAAACATTGTACCAGATAGATAATTTTATAATTCTCTTCCCTGTCTTGCCCTCTTTTGGAGTCCCCAATGTGTATAATTCCATTCTGTACATCTATATGTACCCATTGTTTAGCTCCCACTTATAGGTGAGAACATGCAGTATTTGACTTTCTATTTCTGAGTTATTTCATCTAGAATAATGGCCTCCAACTCCATCCATGTTGCTGCAATAGGCAGGATTTCATTCTTTCTTATGGCTGAGTAGGATATGTATATTATATATATTATATTATATATATATAATATGCATAATATATATATTATATTATATATATTATATTATATATATAATATGTATAATATATATATTATATTATATATATTATATTATATATATAATATGTATAATATATATATTATATTATATATATATAATATGTATATAATACACACACCCCATGTTTTCTTTATCTGAGTATTCATTGATAGACACTTAGCTTGATTCCATGATTTTGCTATTGTGAATCATGTTGTAATAAATATACAAGTGCAGGTGTCTTTTTGATATAATGATTTCTTTTCCTTTGGGTAGATACCCAGTAGTAGGATTGCTGGATCAGATGATAGTTCTATTTTTTAGTTTTTTTGATAAATCTCCATACTGTTTTCCATAGAGGTTGTACTAACTTACATTCCTACCAACAGTTTGTAAGGATACCCTTTTCTCCACATCCTCACCAACATTTGTTCACTTTTGACTTTTTTAAAATTATACTTTAAGTTCTGGTATACATGTGCAGAACGTGCAGGTTTGTTACACAGGCATACACGTGCCATGGTGGTTTGCTGCACCCATCAACCTGAGATCTACATTAGGTTTTTCTCCTCATGCTATTCCTTCCCTACTCCCCGACTCCCCGGCAGGCCCCGGTGTGTGATGTTCCCTCCCTGTGTCCATGTGCTGTCATTGTTCACCTACAACTTATAAGTGAAAACATGCAGTGTTTGGTTTTCTGTTCTTGTGTTAGTTTGCTGAGAATGATGGTTTCCAGCTTCATCCATGTCACTGCAAATGTCATGAACTCATCCGTTTTTATGGCTGCATAGTGTTTCAAGGTGTATATGTGCTACATTTTCTTTATGCAGTCTATCATTGATGGGCATTTGGGTTGGTTCCAAGTCTTTGCTATTGTGAATAGTTCTGCAATAAACATACATGTGCATGTCTCTTTATATTAGAATTATTTATAATCCTTTGGGTATATACCCATTAATGGGATTGCTAGTCATATGGTATTTCTGGTTTTAAATCAATGAGGAATCACCACACCGTCTTCCACAATGGTTGAACTAATTTACACTCCCATCAACAGTGTAAAAGGATTCCTGTTTCTCCACATCCTGTCCAGCATCTGTTGTGTCATGACTTTTTAATGATCACCATTCTAACTGGCATGAGATGGTATCTCATTGTGGTTTTGATTTGCATTTCTCTAACAACCAGTGATGATGAGCTTCTTTTCATATGTTTGTTGGCCACATAAATGTCTTCTTTTGAGAAGTGTCTGTTCATATCCTTTGTCCACCTTTAGATGGGGCTATTTTTTTTCTTGTAAATTTATTTAAGTTTCTTGTAGATTCTGGATATTAGCCCTTTGTCAGATGGATAGATTGCAAAAAAATTTCTTCCATTCTGTAGGTTGCCTGTTCACTCTGATGACAGTTTCTTTTGCTGTACAGAAGCTCTTTAGTTTAATTAGATCTCATTTGTCAATTTTGGCTTTTGTTGCCATTGCTTTTGGTGTTTTAGTCATGAAGTTTTTGCCCATGCCTATGTCCTGAATGGTACTGCCTAGGCTTTCTTCTACGGTTCTTATGGTTTTAGGTCTTATGTTTAAGTCTTTAATCAATCTGGAGTTAATTTTTGTATACGTTGTAAGGAAGGGGTCCAGTTTCAGTTTTCTGCATATGGCTAGCCAGTTTTCCCAATACCATTGACTAAATAGGGAATCCTTTCCTCATTGCTTGTTTTGTCAGGTTTGTCAAAGATCTGATGGTTGTAGATGTGTGGTGTTATTTCTGAGGCCTCTGTTCTGTTCCATTGGTCTACATATCTGTTTTGGTATGAGTACCATGCTGTTTTGGTTACTGTAGCCTTGTAGTACAGTTTGAAGTCAGCTACCGTGATGCCTCCAGCTTTGTTCTTTTTGCTTAGGATTGTCTTGGCTATATGGGCTCTTTTTTGGTTCCATATAAAATTTAAAGTAGTTTTTTTCTAATTCTGTGAAGAAAGTCACTGGTAGCTTGATGGGGATAGCACTGAATCTATAAATTACTTTGGGCAGTATGGCCATTTTCACGATACTGATTCTTCCTATCCATGAGCATGGAATGTTTTTTCATTCGTTTGTATCCTGTCTTATTTCCTTGAGCAGTGGTTTGTAGTTCTCCTTGAAGAGGTATTCCTAGGTATTTTATTCTCTTTGTAGCAATTGTGAATGGGAGTCCACTCATTATTTGACTCTCTGTTTGTCTATTATTGGCATACAGAAATACTTGTGATTTTTACACATTGAGTTTTGTATCCTGAGACTTTGCTGAAATTACTTATCAGCTTAAGGAGATTTTGGGCCGAGACGATGGGGTCCTCCTAAATATACAATCATGTCATCTGCAAACAGAGACAATTTGACTTCCTTTCTTCCTATTTGAGTACCCTTTATTTATCTTGCCTGATTGCCCTGGCCAGAACTTCCAATAATGTGTTGAACAGGAGTGGAGAGAGAGGGCATCCTTGTCTTGTGCCGGTTTTCAAAGGGAATGCTTCCAGCTTTTGCCCATTCAGTGTGATATTGGCTACGGGTTTGTCATAAATAGCTCTTATTATTTTGAGATCCGTTCCATCAATACCTAGTTTATTGAGGGTTTTTAGCTTGCAGGGGTGTTGAATTTTATTGAAGGCCTTTTCTGCATCTATTGAGATAATCATGTGATTTTAGTCATTGGTTCTGTTTATTTGATGGATGACGTTTATTGATTTGTGTATGTTGAACAAGCATTTCATCTCAGTTAGGAACCCAACTTGATTGTGGTGGATAAACTTTTTGATGTGCTGCTGGATTTGGTTTGCCATGATTTCATTGAGGATTTTCACGTTGATGTTCATCAGGGATATTGGCTTGAAATTTTTTTTTTATAGTGTCTCTGCCAGATTTTGGTATCAGGATGATTCCAGACTCATAAAATGAGTTAGGGAGGAGTCCCTCTTTTTCTATTGTTTGGAATACTTCCAGAAGGAGTGGTACCAGCTCCTTTTTGTACCTCTGGTAGAATTCAGCTGTGAATCCATCTGGTCCTGGGCATTTTTTGGTTGGTAGGCTATTAATTACTGCCTCAATTTCAGAGCTTGCTATTGGTCTACTCAGGGATTCGACTTCTTACTGATTTAGTCTTGGGAAGGTGTATGGGTTCAGGAATTTATCCATTTCTTCTAGATTTTCTAGTTTATTTTCATAGAGGTGTTTATAGTATTCTCTGATGGTGGTTTGTATTTCTGTGGGATCAGTGGTGATATCCCCTTTATCATTTTTTATTGTGTCTATATGATTCTTCTCTTTTCTTCTTTATGAATCTTGCTAGTGGTCTATTTTGTTGATCTTTTCAAAAAACCAGCTCCTGGATTTATTGATTTTTTTGAAGGGTTTTTCATGTCTCTATCTCCTTCAGTTCTGCTCTGATCTTAGTTATTTCTTGTCTTTTGCTAGCTTTTGAATTTGTTTGCTCCTGTTTCTCTACTTCTTTTAATTGTGATGTTAGGGTGTTGATTTTAGATCTTTCCTGCTTTCTCCTGTGGGCATTTAGTGCTATAAATTTTCTGCTAAACACTGTTTTAGCTGTGTCCCAGAGATTCTGGTATGTTGTGTCTTTGTTCTCATTGGTTTCAAAAACTTATTTATTTCTGCCTTCATTTCATTATTTACCCAGTAGTCATTCAGGAGCAGGTTGTTCAGTTTCCATGTAGTTGTGCAGTTTTGAGTAAGTTTCGTAATCCTGAGTTCTAATTTGATTGCACTGTGGTCTGAGAGACTGTTTGTTATGATTTCCATTCTTTTGCATTCGTTGAGGAGTGTTTTACTTCCAATTATGTGGTCAATTTTAGAATAAGTGCTATGTGGTGCTGAGAAGAATGTATATTCTGTTGATCTGAGGTAGAGAGTTCTGTAGATGTCTATTAAATCTGCTTTGTCCAGTGCTGAGTTCAAGTCCTGAATATCCTTGTTAATTTTCTGTCTCATTGATCTAATATCAACAATGAGGTGTTAAAATCTCCCACTATTATTGTATGGGAGTATAAGTCTCTTTGTAGTCTCTAAGAATTTACTTTATGAATCTGGGTGCTCCTGTATTGGGTGCGTATATATTTAGGATAGTTAGCTCTTCTTGTTGCATTGATCCCTTTACCATTATGTAATGACCTTCTTTGTCTTTTTTGATCTTTCTTGGTTTAAAGCCTGTTTTATCAGATACTAGGATTGCAACCCCTGCTTTTTCTTTTTGCTTGCCATTTGCTTGGTAAATATTCCTCCATCCACTTATTTTGAGCCTATGTGTGTCTTTGCATGTGAGATTTGTCTTCTGAATACAGCACACTGCTGGGTCTTGACTCTTTAACCAATTTGTCCATCTGTGTCTTTTATTTGGGGCATTTAGCCCATTTACATTTAAGGTTAATATTGTTATGTGTGAATTTGTTCCTGTCATTATGATGCTAGCTGGTTATTTTGCCCATTAGTTGATGTAGTTTCTTCATGGTGTTGATGGTTTTTACAATTTGGTATGTTTTTGCAGTGGCTGGTACTGGTTGTTCTTTCTATGTTTAGTACTTCCTTCAGGAGCTCTTTTAAGGTAGGCCTGTTGGTGACAAAATCTCTCAGCATTTGCTTGTCTGTAAAGGATTTTATTTCTCTTTTGCTTATGAAGCTGAGTTTGGCTGGATATGAAATTCTGGGTTGAAAATTCTTTTCTTTGAGAATGTTGAATATTGGCCCCCACTCTCTTCTGGCTTGTAGGGTTTCTGCTGAGAGATCTGCTGTTAGTCTGATGGGCTTCTCTTTGTCGGTAACCCGACCTTTCTCTCTGGTTGCCCTTAACATTTTTTCCTTCATTTCAACTTTGGTGAATTCAACAATTATGTGTCTTTGGGTCCCTCTTCTCGAGGAGTATCTTTGTGGTGTTCTCTGTATTTCCTGAATTTGAATGTTGGCCTGCCTTGCTAGGTTGGGGAAGTTCTCCTGGATAATATCCTGAAGAGTGTTTTCCAACTTGATTCCATTCTCCCCATCACTTTCAGGCACACCAATCAAATGTAGGTTTGACGTTTTCACATAGTCCCATATTTCTTGGAGGCTTTGTTCATTCCTTCTCATTCTTTTTTCTCTAATCTTGTGTTCACACTTTATTTCATTAAGTTGATCTTCATTCTCTGTTACTCTTTCTTCTGCTTGATCAATTCAGCTATTGATACTTGTATATGCTTCACAAAGTTCTCATGCTGTGTTTTTCAGCTCCATCAGGTCATTTGTGTTCTTCTCTAAACTGGTTATTCTAGTTAGCAGTTCCTGTAACTTTTTATCAATGTTCTTATCTTCCTTGCATTGGGTTAGAACATGTTCCTTTAGCTCGGTGGTGTTCGTTATTACCCACCTTCTGAAGCCTACTTCTGTCAATTCATCAAACTGATTCTCCATCCAGTTTTGTTCCCTTGCTGGCGAGGAGTTGTGATCCTTTGAAGGAGAAGAGGCGTTGTGGTTTTTGGAGTTTTCAGTCTTTTTGTGCTGGTTTTTCCTCATCTTCATGGATTTATCTACCTTTGGTCTTTGATGCTGGTGACCTTTGGATGGGGTTTTTGTGTGGATGTCTTTTTTGTTGATGTTGATGCTATTCCTTTCTGTTTGTTAGTTATCCTTCTAACAGTCAGGCCCCTCTGCTGTAGGTCTGCTGGAGTTTGCTGGAGGTCCACTCCAGACCCTATTTTCCTGGGTATCACCAGCAGAGGCTGCAGAACGGCAAAGATTGCTGCTTCTTTCTTCCTCTGCAAGTTTCATCCCAGAGGGGCCCCTGCCAGATGCCAACCAGAACTCTCCGGTATGAGGTATCTGTCGACCCTGATGGGAGTTGTCTCTCGGTCAGGATGCACGAGGGTCAGGAACCCACTTGAGGAGGCAGCTTGTCCCTTAGCAGAGCTCGAGCACTGTGCTGGGAGATCTGCTGCTTTCTTCAGAGCTGGCAGGCAGGAACGTTTAAGTATGCTGAAGCTTTGCCCACAGCCGCCTCTTTCCCCTGGTGTTCTGTCCCAGGGAGATGGGAGTTTTATCTATAAGCCCCTGACTGGGGCTGATGCCTTTCTTTCAGAGATGCCCTGCCCAGAGAGGTGGAATCTAGATAGGCAGTCTGGCTACTGTGCCTTTGCAGAGCTGTGGTGGGCTCCACACAATTCAAACTTCCCAGTGGCTTTGTTTACACTGTGAGGGGAAAACTGCCTACTCAATCCTTATTAATGGTGGCCCTTCCCCCACCAAACTTGAGCGTCCCAGGTCATCTTCAGACTGCTGTGCTGGCAGTGAGAATTTCAAGCCAGTGGATCTTGGCTTGCTGAGCTCCATGGGGGTAGGATCCACTGAGCTAGACCACTTGGATCCCTGGCCTCAGCCCCCTTTCCAGGGTAGTGAACGGTTCTGTCTTGCTGGCACTCCAGCTGCCACTGAGGTATGAAAAAAAACTTCTGCAGCCAGCTCAGTGTCTGCCCAATTGGTGGCCCAGTTTTGTGCTTGAAACCCAGGGCCCTGGTGGTGTAGGCACCGGAGGGAATCTCCTGGTCTGTGGGTTGTGAGACCATGGGAAAAGCGTAGTATCTGGGCCGGATAGCACCATCCCTCATGACAGGGTCCCTCAGGGTTTCCCTTGGGTAGGGGAGGGAGTTCCCCAACCCCTTGCTCTTCTGGGTGAGGTGATGCCCCACCCTGCTTTGGCTTGCCCTCTGTTGGCTGCATCTACTGTCTAAACAGTCCCAGTAAGATGAGGTGGGTACCTCAGTTGGAAATGCAGAAAACACTTGCCTTCTGCGTTGATCTCACTGAGAGCTGCAGAATGAAGCTGTTCCTATTCTGCCATCTTGCCAGCCACATACCAGTGATCCAGTTTGAAGCCAACTTTTGACTTTTTAATAATACCCATTCTGACTGGTGTTAAGATAGTATCACACTGTGGTTTTTAAGTTGCATTTCTCTGATGATTAGTGATGTTGAGCATTTTTTCATGTTTTTTGGCCACTTAGCTGACTTCCTTGAAAAAATGCCTATTTATATCCTTTGACCAATTTTTAATGGGTTTATTTTTTCTTGTTGAATTGCTTGAGTCTCTTGTAGAATCTTGATATGAACTTTTTGGCAGATGCAGTGCTTGCTAATATTTTTCCCATTCTGCAGGTTGCTTGTTTACTCTGTTATTTATTTATGTATTTTTTCTGTGCAGAAGCTTTTTAATGTAGTTAAGTCTCATTTGTCTATTTTTGTTTGTGGTGCATTTGCTTTTGAGAACTTATTCATAAATTCTTTGCTTAGACCAATGTCCAGAGGAGTTTTTCCTAGGTTTTCTTCTAGGACTTTTATGTTTTGAGTCTTACATTTAAGTCTTTAATTCATCTTGAGTTAATTTTTGTACTTGGTGAGAGATATGTGTTTCATGAATGTTACACCATGAGACTTTCATTCTTTTGCATATGGCTATTCAATTTTCCCAGCCTTATTTATTGAACAATGTGTCCTTTCTCCAGTGTATATTTTTGTCAACTTTGTTGAACATCAATAGGTTTTAGGTATCTCACTTTATGTCTAGATTCTCTATTCTTTTCCATTGATCTATGTGTCTATTTTTATACCAGTACCATACTGTTTTGTGTACTATACCCTTGTAATATAAGCTGGAGTTTAGGATTGTTTTGGCTATTTGGGCCCTTTTTTTCTTCCATGTGAATTTTAGGATTTTTTTTCTAATTCTTTGAAAAATGACATTGGCAATTTAATAGGAATTGCATTGAAACTGTAGATTTCTTTGGGCACTGTGGCCTTTTTAACAATATAGAGTCTCCCAACCCATGAGTATGAGATGTTTTTTCCTTTGTTTAGGTTATCTATAATGTTTTCATTAGTGCTTTGTAGTCCCTTTTGTAGAAATCTTTTACCTCTTCAGTTAAATATATGTGTAGATATTTTATTTTTTGGTGTGGCTATTGTAAATGGGATTGAGTTCTCAATTTGGCTATCAGCTTGATTGTTATTCGTATATGGAAATGCTACTAATTTTTCTACAACTATTTTGTATCCAAAACCTAACTGAAGTCACTTATAAAATCCAGGAGTCTTTTGAAGAGTCTTTAACATTTTCTAGGTATAATATCATATCAGTTAGTGAACAGAGATAATTTGACTTTTCTTTTTTCAATTTGGACGCCTTTTGTTTCTTTCCCTTGCCTGATTACTCTAGCTAGGACTTCCACTACTTTGTTGAATAGGAGTGGTGAGAGTGGGTATCCTTGTCTTATTACAGTTCATAGAAAGGATGTGCTCAAATTTTCCTCATTCACTGTAACATTGGCTATGGATTTGTCATATATGGCATTTATTATTTTAAGGCATGTTCCTTTGGTATCTAGTTTGTTGAGAATTTTTATCATGAAGAGACACTAAATTTTATCAAATAATTTTTCTGCACCTATTGAGATGATCATATGGTTTTTGTTTTCAGTTTTCTTTGTATGGCGAATCACACTTACTGATTTTTATGTTAAATCACCCTCGCATCCCTGGAATAAACCCCACTTGATCATGGTATATGATATGGTTTGGCTGTGTCCCCACCCAAATATCATCTTGTAGCTCCCATAATTCCCACGTGTTGTGGAAGGGACTTGGTGGAAGATGATTGAATTATGAGGGTAGGTCTTTCCTGCACTTTTCTCTTGATAGTGAATGAGTCTCACAAGATCTGATGGTTTTAAAAATGGGGGTTTCTCTACACAAGCTCTCTTTTTGCCTGCCGCCACCCACGTAGATGTGACTTGCTCCTTCTTGCCTTCTGCCATGATTGTGAGGCCTCCCCAGCCATGTGGAAGTGTTAAGTCCAATAAACCTCTTTCTTTTTTAAGTTGCCCAGTCTCAGGTATGTCTTTATTAGCAGCATGAGAACAGACTAATACAGTATATTATATTCATGATGTGTTGTTGGAATTGGTTTGCTAGTATTTTGTTGTTTGTAGTATTTTGTTGATGTCTGGTAACATTTGGCTGTAAATCCGTATTGTCTTGGGATTTTGTTGTTACTGGGAATTTTTTTTAATTGTTGCCTCAGTTTCCCTACTTGTTATTGATCTGTTCTTGGTTTCTTTTTCTTTCTGGTTCAATCTTTGGAGGTAGTATATATCTAGGAACTTATTCATTTCCTCTAGGTTTTCTAGTTCGTGTGCATAGAGGTGCTCTAAGTAGTCTCTGATGATCTTTTGTATTTCTGTGGTATTAGTTGTATTGTCACCTTTCTCATTTCTGATTGTGCTTATCGGAATCTTTTTTTTTCTTGGTTAATCTAGCTAGCAGTCTGTTAATTGTGTCTGTCACTTAAGAGAGAGCCAACTTTTTATTTTGTTGATCCTTTGTATTTTTTTTTTTTGGTCTCAATATCATTTAGATCTGATCTGATCTTTGCTATTTTTTTTTCTTCTGCTAGCTCTGAGGGTTGTTTGTTCTTATTTTACCATAAATGCATGTTGGATTTTGCCAGTTATTTTTATGCATCAATGGTTTAATCATGTGGTTTTTCTTCTTTCACCTGTCAATATGAGGAATTACACTAATTGATTTCAAATGTTTAATCAGCATTGTATACCTGGAACAAATTCCACTTAGTCATGGTATATAATTATTTTTATATATTGTTGGATTACATTTGATAATTTCATTGAAATTTTTCTATCTATGTTCATGAAATATATTGGTCTTCAGTTTTCTTTGCTTGTAATATTTTTATCTGATATTAGAGTAATGCTGGTCTCATACATTGAATTAGGAAGTGTTCCTTCTGCTTCTCTTTTCTGGAATAGATTGTAGAGAAGTTGCATTATTTCCCCTTTAAATGTTTGGCAGAATTAGACACTCTTCATGCATGGTGTTTTGTTTTTTAAGTGATTCCATTTGTTTAATAGATACAGACCTATTCAGATTATCTTTTTCTTTTATGTAAGTATTAGTAGTTTGTCTTTCAGGAAATTGGTTCATTTTATCCAAGTTATCAAATTCATGGCATAGAATTGTTTATAATACTTCTTGATTATTCTTTTAATGTTCATAGGATTAATAGTGATAACCCCGATTTCATTTCCTACATTAGTAAATTGTATCTTCTCTTGTTTCTCTTGGTTAGCCTGGCCAGAGGTTTATCTGTACCACTGAGCTTTTTAAATAACCAAATTTTTGCCTCATTGATTTTTCTCTATCATTTTACTGTCTATTAAAGCTATAATTTTTATTTTTAATTTTCCTTTGTTGGCTTTAAATTTATATTTTTCTTATTTCTTTAGATTCCCAGAGTAGAAACTTGGATGATTGATTTTAGATCTTTCCTTTTTTCTAATATATGCATTCAGTGCACAATCAGCTGAAGAATGGCACATTTACCTCATTTCATTAACTTGGATAAGCAAGGTAGAATAATTGTTTTCTTTAAAATCGTATCGCATCTGACCCTAAAGTTATTGTGTAGATTTATTTTCACATAAAATCTGACCCTAAAGTTATTGTGTAGATTTATTTTCACATAAAAGTAAGTCATTTACTGCATGGATGACCATAAGATTTCAAAGGTTTGGGCCATTTTTTAATAATATCCTCACATCTGAATTGCTCTATTGCTTTAGTATGGATCCCTTATTGGTATTGCTGTGATGGTGTAAATGAGGTAGGATTCATTGAGTTTCTTTTCCTCTTCTTTTTCTATTTTTGTTTATGAATTGTAGCTTACCTATATAGTGGAATTCTATGACAACTATTTGATTTGTAGACATTGAATAGTCTCATCTTTGCGCAATTGAAGTAAATGTGGAAATCATAATATTTCTTTGAGATTGCAATTCAGATTGCTAACCTGTGGTTTAGTGTATCAATCTAAATGATCTAATAATTTATCAAATAATATACTTGCAATTATCTATTTCAAAATAATATAAATTGTGTTTAACTAGGGGTCTGTACATATGTGTGTATAATATGCATATATATAATCTGTTACATAACATAAATGTGGGTAAGTCATTTGTCTCTTACAGAAACATTTGATTCATTTATTGCCAGTAAAATATATCTTTCAAACTGTGCCTCATTTGTTGATTATGGAGGTAGCATGATAAAAGTAAGTTGGAAAATAGAACATGTTGATAAGTCTGATGCAAGAAGCCACTAAAATCATCCTCTGAATCATAGTGGCATCAATTTGAGAGGGATTGTGGGAAATATTATTATTTCCCCTGAGAGTAAGCAACAGCTGCCTTTTGAATTCACAGTGCTGTTTTCTGGAAGGTTTTGTAAGAATGTGTGACCAAAGTATCCTTTTACAGGGAAATTACTTCTAATAAGAGTCAGTGGTAGCAGATGCATGAAAAGCATCTTAAACCTGTTTTCTCACTGGGTCACTAAAAGATCAGAACTGATTATACCATTAAGAAGTGTGAGCTTGCCCAGGAAATGCGTGAACACCCTCTTGTCTAATTGGTTTTGTCAAATACATGAATATATTCTGTTCAATTCATTTACTGCTGATAGATTTGTCAATGGCCATTGCAAATAACATTATTTTATTACCTAAGGCTTAGTGTCTAGAAGGGTGAGCAGGTACAATTTATTGCCAAAAATAAAAATACATTTAGATTAGAAGTCTACTTTAAATTTACAAGCATTCTCAGTGGTTGGTGAAAAATAAGTTTCCAATAGAATTAATTATTTGCAATTGGATTAGTTTGATTCCTTTAGAGCAGTGATTCTTAGATTCAGGAGGGAGGTAGAAAAGCATTTGAAAATCAGATGAAAGTTAAAGGTCTTCACTCCAGAAAAATACACAAACACTGCACATTTTTTATATAATTCAGGGAATTTTTGACTTACCAAGCTCAACAACTCGAAGGTAATAAAAGACCCCTGTTTTGGTACACATGAAGTTGGTGAAGCTGTTTTTCAAATCAGTTCATGACTTTCCTGAGGCCCAATGGGTCGTTATTTCAAATCTCTAATGGAGGATGGGGCAGCAGAAAATTCTAAAGTGGGAACCACTGTTTCAGTGTTTTTCAAGCTTTCACATGAGCAAAATTCATCTAGAAATAAGTAAAAAGAAGGACATATTCCTGAGCTGTAATTTCAGAGATTTTAGTTGAGTCATTCTGGAGTGGGAAGCATAAACTCCATTTTTAAATAATTAGTCTTAGCGATGCTTCCATAGATTGCAGGTGGGCTATGTTTTTCAGAAACACTTTCTAACCTTCGCTAGGAAATCCTTCAAACTGCTGTTCACCAACACAACCATCTCTCTGCACACCACGCTTGGTGGTCCTGCGTGCCAGGCTTTCCAACAAACTGAGACAGCTCACCTGGCTTGGGCATCTTCTCCTCTTCTTCACTCTTCCACGGTTAACAAAATGCAAAGTCTTAACCTTGTCATTGGGTAGCTAACTTATCTGGCTGACCTAATGTAGCTCACTGTTATCAGTACTTAACAGCGAGAACCATTCCTGATCACCCTACATTCCTTAATAATCTGTGATAACATTGAATATCTGCAGAGCTTTTTATCACTGTTTCAAAAATAGCTGACATCAGTTAGTAAGCAGTAGGGCAAAACCTCTAGAAGGAAATGGTAAGATGAATGTAGTCTTCCTCTACATTACTGTTTCTTCCTTCCTACATGTTTCTTTGGGGAAAGAACTGAGACAAAGAAAAAAAAACTAGTATTTTTAACCTGGATCATAGTGAGAAAATGTCCATAGCTAAAATAAGAAAAGTTTTCATTTTACTTTCAGATATGAATTAGAATTTCTATCTTCCAACAAAAGTTTCTTTTCAATCATTAGCTCAAGATTGGTATCTCTGGGTCCAGGAATATGTACATATGTCTTTAGGTCTGTCTTTTTAATAATAACAATAATTATTATTATATTAATACCTATTAAAATATTATTTACATATTTTTAAATTATTAACATTATATAACATGATATAATATTGACATTAATAATAATTTACTAGCTTATTATGTTTCTCCCCTTTGTTTTATTTATTATCTTGTCAATGAGAGTTATAGACGAGGCATCTTAAAAAGAAATTAAGGACATAAAGCAGATATTTCTTAAAACTCTGCAGTTGAAACAACAGGGTTTTCTTACTTGACACAATGTTTCTTCACATTTCCAGGTTCTTCTCAAGGAAATAATTTTTATATAATAAATCTTTAATGAAACATTTAACACTAACTCTTGGTTTTTTAAATGTGCATATTGTGAGACTCATGCTGTGTATTCTTTATGAAGTAAAACTTGGTCTATGCATTGTTATATTCACTATGTCCAAAATAATTCAACCTTGTTAATAATCAAGAGAAATGTTTTTTTTGCTTTGTGAAAAAAGAAAAGTTTTTGCTAAGCATAAATGACATAAACCCTCCAGAAGTTGGAAAGCCCTTTTCAATAGTAGAAATACTAAAATATGTTTAAGAGACAAATGTTAGTTAAACAATATAGATAAAAGATGGTCATTTTAGGGAAAGGCAATCTGAAAATTGTAATGTGAATGGTTGCTTTCTCAGTGAAATGGCAGAGCAGAGTTGAGTAGTCTTGATAAGAACTAAATGAATCTCAAAGCCTAAAATATTTACCATCTACTTTGTTAACAAAATATTTGCAGATCCCTGGTCTACATTTTTTTCTGCTTTATTAAGTTATAGCTGAAAAAATATTTATACTTATGGTGTACAATGTGGCATTTTGATATCTGTATACATTGTAAAATTATTAAAACAACTAATTAATGTATCCATCACCTCACATACTTATCATGTTTTTGTAGAGAGAACATTTAAGATCTACTCTCTCAGCAACTTTAAAGTATACAATAAATTCTGAAAGCAGATAACCTGACTAAAATGTGTGCAAAGAACCTGACTGAATAGACATTTCTCAAAAGGAGACATGCAAATGGCCAACAGATAAATGAAAAACTGCTCAACATCACTAACCATCAGGGAAATGCAAATGAAAATCACAATGAAATATTATCTGTTAGAATAACTATTACCAAAAAGATGAAAAATATTTGTTGGTAAGGATGCAGAGAAAAGGGAACCTTTGTACATTGGTAGTGGGAATGTGAATTATTACAGCCATTATGGAAAACAGTATGAAGGTTCCTTTAAAAATTAAAAATAGAACTAGCATATAATCCTATAATCCAACATCTGGATGTATATCCAAAGGAAATGAAATCAGGACCTCATAGAGATATCTGTGTTCTAATGTTCATTGCAGCATTATTCATAATAGTCAAGACATGGAATCAACCCTATTATATGATTGAGTGAATTTCCAATTTTTGGAACTACAGTAAGGAAAACAAAAACTCAAGGTTAAATTACTTTAAATCAATACCTTTGTAAAGTTTCAGCATGGTCAATAACACACATCTACCTAGAATTTTATTCTTGAAATCTATGGTTACCTACCATTACCTTCATTTTTTCTCTAAGTGCATACATTGATTCATATCTGCATTGACACTTTGGTGGAATGTTAACTTTTTCCAGAAAGGCCAAACAGAATTACAATTGCCTCTAATCTGTGTTTTATGATTGTAGAGTGAGCACTTTGATCACCTATATACCTTAGAGCCCTATTCCATCTGATCAGCAGCAGTTATTTGAATTTGGTGTGTCTGCCTTTGAAACGAATTTAAGTTTAAAGTAGTGATTTTCAGGTCATTCCACATTTGCTATCTAACATAATACAATCCCTCTACAGGAGATTTTGTTTTGGTAGAGCAGGGAAGGATTGTAATCAAGCAGTGGTATTTGCAAGGGATTAAAGGAAGAAATAAACAGATCACATGGAAGAAATGGCAAACAGCCTGCTTGGCAGAATAAACACTCTGTTTCAAGACTTCTTGTTTGGGAGGACATATTACTTTGGTCCTTCCATTTTCTGGGGAGGTGAATTCCACTGCATTCCCCAGCAGATAACATTTTAGAGAAACATTCCGACCCCTCCCTCCCTTAGTGTTTCTCCCTACATGAGGTAGAGTAATTAATCTAATGAGTAGGGTTAGGGAAAGAGGCTCTGTCCAATGAAACTGCCCCCTTCCTTGCATCTCTTTGGTTCCAATTTCAAGCTACCTACTTGCAGGCTAAATGTGTTCTCTCTCCTCCTGTCTCCCAGGCATCAGAACAGGAGGGTAGCCTCCTGTGAGGGACAAGGAGCAGAGGTATACAGAAGCCAAAAGTCAATTTTGGCCTCTGCTTTAAATTGCAGTGCCCAATTAGTTTTGTAAGCAATGAAGCTTATATTGTGATGCTTATCTGAATCTGCTATTACTCAATTTTAAATTTAAAGAGAAGAGTGTGTAATTGGCCTCTCAAAACCTTAACAGTTCTTAGTAGTGATATGGGTTATACTGAAATGATGGAGATTTATTTGGGCATATACTACTTGTTTGTGAGACTGAGGGTACATTTGACTCTGATTGTCTCAGAGTGGAAGAATCTGTCCCAACAGTCTTGTCTTCATAGTTCAACCAAGATTTAAAATGACTTTCTGGGTCTGGAATGATGGTTTACAACACATATGGTATCACTGAACAAGAATTGATGTTCTGTATTTAGGGACACAAAATAAACCACCACCAACAATAACCAAATATTAGCTTACAGGTAGAATGGCAGAAATCTGACATGAGAAAAGTTTATATTAAAATGAAGATACAGTCTCAGTATAAGCCAAGAATATTATATTAATGTTACCAAGGCCGACTAACAATTAGGCAGCCTTAATAAAAGAAGAATGTCTGGATTCATGGAAGTAATTATTCTTTTCTGTTTTATACTTGTCAGACGGTAATAAATTATTTGAACTGTTTTTTAAAGAGCCCCACATACTTTGAGTGTTCTTAATAGGAATGGTCAAGATGAGAGATTTAGATAATGTGTCATTGGAGAGTGATTTAAATAACTTGCCCTGGACAAGAAAAGATGCAATAAGGAACAGGATAACTCTCTTTCAATATTTGAAAGGCTGTTGTGGGAAAATATTCAAATATTCTTTCCTGTCTACAGTCAAAAATAGAAGAAGCACATGTCAAATCACAGGATTTTACAAAAGTTAGAACAGTCCAGCAAATGGAACAGCTGATTATTGAAGTTATAAGAGCCTGGCTCATGGATGGGTACAAGTAGTTGCTGAATAAACCAATTAAAGGAGTTGTTGCTAAAATGATTCTCACTTAGATTGCTCAGTAGCAACTCTTTAAGTGAAGACTCTTGTGTGCTAATTCTGATTGTACCACTGAACAGTTGGTGACCTCATCTGTCAGCTTCTCTAGGCTTCAGTTGTTGCTTTTCCAGAATATCTGCCCATACTTATCCAGATTATTAAGAAAATACAATGACAAAATTGATATTAAAGTGGTTTAAACAGGACCTGTATATAGGCATCTAGTAATATATTTAGAATGGAGGCCAAAGTAGTGAATTATAAAATTTTAAATGCAAAGTGAAGTAGAATAAAATTTCTTAAACTTTAACATGCAAACACATATCCTGTGGAATCTCTCAAAATACAGACTCTGTTTCAGCAGGTCAAGTATATGGCCTGGGACCATGCATTTCTAACAAGTGCCAAGCCAATAATGACGCTAGTCTGTACACTAGCTTGGCAAAAGTCTTTGCTTGGCAAAAAAGGTAGAAGATACGGTTCAGGTCCTTGCATGCCCAATTAAGTAGCTCTCAGCCCACTCACTCTTAGGGATTCTCCTCTGGCAAAGCTCTCAATGGAGCAATTAACAAAATGTATGATTCCAGAACAGGCTGATGATGAGAAAGTTGCAAACCCATCCAGAAACTGTATATATACATTTACAGAATGACTCTATTATGACCACTGTATCTTAATTAGCTGTTTGCTATGATAACATATATGTGAAATGGCATTTCACGACATTTAAGTGTCAATACTGTTTGCACAATGAATCAGATCATTTAGAAGAAAAGTGAGTTTTAAAATGCAACGAAAACATGTATATGTAGTTATGGTTATTTGCTTGCAGGCAGTACAAATAAACTAGCTAATTTAACTGAAAAGGTAATTTGTTAGATGTATTTGGGATGGTATTCTAAGTGAGGTCAAAGATGAATTGGTAGCTAATAAGAAGGTTATAAAGGCATGAAATACTCAGTAGTCATTGCTGTAATGAATGAACTCCAGCAATCTCTTCTGTTCTTCTGTCATAAACAAGAGCCAAATCCACAGGAACATGCATCTGTCTGGCCCAACATAGGTCATGTTTTACAACATAGGTCATGTGCTTACTTCCTGGTTTACAGGAGCAGTGGGAGAAAGCCTCTGATGTCCTGACAAGAGGAGAATTGTGGGAAATGGGGCAACTCCAAGGAAAGAGACCAGTGATAATGAGAAACCAAACATCAATGTGGAAATAACTCTGAAATGCGTGTGTGTGTGTGTGTGTGTGTGTGTATGTGTGCATGTATTTCTCAAGTAATCATATGTCCTATACATGTTTTTTAAATTTAATACTAAAATTAAATCACACGTTTACAGTGTTTGTTCCTCTTTTATGAAATGTTTACTTTTATTATTTACCTATTAACATTCAGTGGTTTTCTTGTCAATTTCAATTAGCTCTTTAATACAAGTCATTAAAGCTTTGAGTATCCAAAAGAGACCTAATCATATGCAAATACTCTTTTCAAAAGCAATGCCTATTATTATCATTATTATTTTGCTTTTGGAGGAAGAAAGAGCTAAAGGGACTGTAGGAAGCCATTGTTCTAAAAGTGACCAGCACAACCTAAAAACAATGAGGGTTCATGTGGTAAGATGTCTCATTCATACAAACAGTAATAGTCTGACAAAAAAAATCATGGAAAATCATTAAAATTCTTACTGGTAGTCTCAAGAAATATCACAGTTGTGGTGGGTGGGCCTTGGGTAGTTTTAATATATTCTTAATGTTTAGCAAATATTTTAAAAGTTATATTGTTTCACATCAAGCATTTTCAGTTTCTCCAAACTATAGACACAGCTATTGCATCTTTTTCTTTAATCTATCACAATCACAACATTGCAAAAAACAAACAAACAAACAAAAAAACCCTCTCTCTTTGACTTATTGACATAGTCCCATTGCTGGCTCACTGTCCCTGTCACCTTCTTCAACCTAACCACCGCACATCCCATATGGCTTCCTGCCCTCAAAACAGAGCCCACCTTACTATACTTGGCTCCACCAGGAATGTAGACTGGTTTCTAACTCTAATTTGTCATGACCACTTTTCTGGGTAAGAAAGACTAACCTGGAGCTGACCCAACAAGATTGAAAGCATGAGTGGGAGATGGGGGTGTGTGTGACAGGGGCAAGTTCTGTATATGCATTTCCATAACTATTGGCTACTGTATTCGTGAGATTATTTTAAAAGCTGACAAAGTCATCAACTAACTTTTAATAGTTTACCATTGGGCAGATATGGGTTCAAATTAAAATTCTAGTGGGTTTGAATATTTGATTCATTCTTCAGAATTTGGGCATATTCACTGTGGATAGATAAAGTTGCCTATTTTTCAAAGAGAGTATTGCTGAGAACGGATCTTGTTATAGACTTTTTTTGTATTAGTGTTATCAGTGAAGGGGTATGTCTTCTATATTAGCTGAATGAACTTCAATCCTTGGAGGAGAGAAAAAAATTAATTTTGCAACTTTCAGACAGAAATGAAGACCCATAATCCATGCACCTAAATCTTAATGATGCTTCAGCATATCTAGGGCATAGCGTCCATGCCATAATATCTTCCAGAGACCCATTTCTTTCTCTTTAGCTGAGGAAGGAGGGTCAAGGATATTCCCAACCAACCAGTATCCTGTCAGCATCAAATGTCACTGATTTGTTTAAAACGGAAGAGACACATTGACTTTATAACCCCCCGTAAAAACACAGAAACTTTTGATTGTAGACAAAATAAATTCAATTTAATGCCTGTACCCAGATATTTAGTTTATTTAGAAGAAAAATGAAATAAGGTATATAGAGTTTACACAGTACACAATTACACAGGACACTAGAGTGCCTGCCAGCGGGGTGAAAGACAATGAGGTTCGAGTTGTCTGGAGTCACAATTAATTTACTTTGTTTTTCAGTAGGACACTGTGAGGGAGAAGGTGTTAAGGTTCAATTGGCTATTTATCATCTCTGTGGAGTTATTTCTAAGGAATAAGTGACCTAGAAAGCTATCCGATTTTAGCCAAAAAAGGAAATAACACAAAGGCTGATAAACATAGGGACTGCGAATTATTTAATAAAGGCAGTTTTCATTAAAAATTAGTTGATTTACATACTTGGCAAAGTAGTGCTAAACACAGGCTATTAAACAAAGAGAGAACAGGCAAAATATGTTTGGGGCAAGTTCCTATTAATAGAATTGTACTTCCTCTAGAGTATGTATCTGGTAATCTAATAGAAATTTAAGTTAAACCGACATTCTTTAGGATATGGGTTTCTTCAAAGCCCTGGTGTGTGTAGATGGAGTGGATGCTGTGTGTCAGGTCTAGGATATAGATCTGCTCCCTCTGAATATCACCACTGCCCGCTGTACCCCATCTGGCCTGTGTGGCTGTAAGCTACTGAATGCCCGAGATGAATGGAAAAAGGAGACAGACTTCAGAATAAATTTAGCTTTGCAAAATTTATAGCATCGTTGTTGAGAACGTGGACTTTGGAGTGATGTCTAAATTGAAGTTCCATCACCTATTTGCTGTCTGGCCATGGGGAAGCCACAATCTTCTCAGATGTGATAAAATACACTAGACAGAGTTTTGTGTGTGTGTGTGTGTGTGTGTGTGTGTGTGAACTAGGTTCTTGTAAAACATGTAATATGCTTCTTAGAAATGAGTAAACATGCAATAAATGGTAGCTGTCGATATTATTGTTGTTGTATATTGTTATTATCAATCCCTTCCACCCATCTCCTACACCACTATCTGGTCCCCTTTCTCTGAAATTTCTCCTCATCCCCAGGCCTGCAATCAGAAGTCATCATGTACACAATCCCCTTCTAACACAGTAGTAAACTATGTGCTGTCTGCTGCTTGTCTTGGAAATAAATCCATACCTTTTTGACAAGTTTTCATCTCAAGGGATTTGTTTGACCTCTGCAGATTAAATTACCCTTCTGTAATGTATTGCAGATATATTTAATTAGTGATTCACCAGACCAAGTTTATGAAAGAGATAAGGAGATAGATATTTTTCTAAAAAGAGTAACATTTAGGGGAAAATACCAGAAACAGCAGGTAACAGATAAAAAGCAATTACTTAAAAATGTATACAAAGTGACTTTATAACTTGCACATATACAGATTTTAATAAAGGCACATAGTTGGTAAGGTGTGGCAGAGTTTCTCTCTTTTAAGAAGAATAGGGACTGTTCCCTTTATGGACTAATCTTTGGTTGCAAAATCAAACATGACTAAAGAGCAGAATCTGGTGACTGATCAGATATCACTCATATATTTTTAATGACTCACAAATCTGCTGAAAACTGTTTGGGTTTGTAATAAGAACAATTTATTGGCCTGCAGAAGACATGTCCATATTTCAGATTGACATTTTCACCTATGGATTTTTTCCTTTCACCAAACCTTTATTCTGCTGTTGGCTTTGAAAAGCCATTTGAGCAGTTTTATTTAGAATTGTCTACATCATCCTCTTTCCTTTTTCTTTTTTTTTTTTTTTGGAGACAGAGTCTTGCTCTGTCACCCAGGCTAGAGTGCAGTGGCATGATCTCAGCTCACTGCAACCTCAGCCTCCTGGGTTCAAACGATTCTCCTGCCTCAGCCTCCCGAGCAGCTGGGGTTACAGACGTCTGCCACTGCACCTGGCTAATTTTTGTATTTTTCATAGAGATGGGGTTTCACCATCTTGGCCAGGCTGGTCTCGAACTCCTGACCTCGTGATCCACCTGCCTCGGCCCCCCAAAGTGCTGGGATTACAGGCGTGAGCCACCACGCCCGGCCCACATTTTCTCCTTATAATATTACAGAGCATAGTATTTGCTTAAGTCCAAAAGATATAGCACTAACCTGGCTTTTAGTAAAACCTTTGCTATTTGCTGTAGAAATGTGGATATTTTTTCAATCTCTTCCTGCCTTAGTTTCTTTACATTTGGAGAAGGGAGACTTTATATGCCAACATGGTTACTGCTTTGAAGGAGAGTTAAGGATACTGTTCTGCTAATTTTTGGTTCCTTTTCACTTCTAACATCGTTCCTAGTATATATTAAAACATGATATGTTCATTAATAATAATGATAAAAAAGTAACCATCATTTAACATATAATCTATGCAGTGTTGGAGTTAGTCATATAAAATAAATAATTATTGAATGAATGATAGACTGAATGTACTATTAATGTTATCTGCATTTCATGAGTTAATCCTCATAAGGCAAGATGAAACAAAACTATAGGCCGGGCACGGTGGCTCACGCCTGTAATCCCAGCACTTTGGGAGGCCAAGGCGGGCGGATCTCGAGTTCAGGAGATCGAGATCATCCTGGCCAACACGGTGAAACCCCATCTCTACTAAAAATACAAAAAATTAGACGGGTGTGGTGTCACCGCCTGTACTCCCAGCTACTCAGGAGGCTGAGGCAGGAGAATTGCTTGAACCCAGGAGGCGGAGGAGGTTGCAGTGAGCTGAGATGGTGCCACTGCACTCCAGCCTGGCAGAGTGAGACTACATCTCACAAAAACGAAACAAACAAACAAACAAAAAACTATACTAGATGGGCAGTATCATTATGCCCATTTTACAGATAAAGAATTGAGGCTGAGAGAGGTAAGTCTAGCTGCCTAGGAAAACATAGACAATATATTGTGGTATTGGAATAAGGTGGGACCCAGGTTTGTCTAATTTAGGTGAAAAATAGGACCATGAGATGAAAAGATAAAAGAAAACAATTCATTGCTGGAAATCCGCAGCAGTAGTGGTGCAGCAGGCCTAGAGCACAGGCAGGATGTCCTTCCCTGCACCAACCTCCTGCCTCTCCAAGCAGATCTTTTCTCTTAAAGTTTTCCTTGACTGGCATCACAATGGATGACAGATGAGACTATGTAATATCCAACTCACAGCCCATGTTACTGGTAGCTGCCAAAGTGATTTGTGGCAGAGCTTCACTTCTTCAAACAATTATTGCAAACTAGAGAAAGAAAATTTAATTACTTTCCAAGCTGGCACAACATCAGAAGTATCACTGCTTTGTTAATCTCCCTACTCTGAGTGACAGACTGTCCATGTTCATTAAAGAGACACTTAGACATGACTGCGCAAGCGGAATGATGGAAATGAAACTGAGGGTGTAAGAGATAGCAAATCCATGCAGAAATAATCCAGCTAATAAAGAATTTTGCAAAACTGCCTGTTTTGTGCATATGTCCAGGGTATGTGTGTGATATGAGGCAACAACTCTTAAATTTAATTGTCAAGATATCCAGTCTGGGTATCTAATGCTAATGACACCTAGATACCTACAGGGAAATTAATCTCAGGATTTGGTAATGACAAGAGGATTTGTGGAGAATGAGTGAACTCCCATCTAAAAACAATGACACCATGATACACTTCACCATTCTGCAATAGTCATTGATAAAACATTTGTTTGCTAAGTTTCAATTCATTTATTATACTTCAAGGGACCATGAATTAGATAAATATTTTAAAAAGTCAGACTCTTTAAGGATGAATTCAAATATTTCATTATGTAGGACTTGTGTTATATATTAAAGATGGTACACTTACAAGGTGATGTGAAGTGTGGAAATACCAGTCTTCAGTGTTTTGGAAAAAGTTCTCTAATTCTTTCTCTGCATGTGTAGACTGAATACTTAGCATGATTGTTGACCTTAAATCCTTTATCTTGTTTGAAGCCTCACATCTATTTTTTTTTTTTTTATTGTTTGCCTCTCTGGCCTACTTCCCCATATAAGCTACCTGATGGCTGGGCTTACTGTCTTCTTTCATTCACAGATGTATCCCAAGTGTGTACAGTAGTGTCTGGGACACAATCAGATCTTAATGCATATTTGTTGAATAAATGTATTTCAATTTTTATATCTGAAATGCATGTATTGTATTATGAACTCTGTTCTTCATCTCATGTTCTACTCTTCCATTATTTTCTTCCAGGTATTTCACTATTCTCTTCCTAACATTTTCTCTTTTCTTGCTGTGTTTTGCTTCAGCTATTTTGGTTTCCGCTTGTGCTACTTTGTAGTTTTATGTTCTCAGCCTGCAAAAAGCTTCAAGGGCTTTGTCACATCATCAGTCATCCACAGTGACTGCCAATGTGGCTGCTTCTTGTTAAGCATACCCTGGTTTATTATGTACTATCTAAGTTTATAATTTGTTGGTGGCTCCAGACCCTGAGTTCTCACGTGAGGCTCCATTCTGATGTTCTCTTCATAACAGGGATCCCAGGTAAAGTAATATTTCTGAAATCTAGAAAATGTTATTTGAAAGTTGCTAGCAGTGTTTCGACTCCTGGGATGAAGCTATCATTTAACCTTTGGAATAGGTAAATTTTATGTTGAAAAAAAGTTATCAAAAATCCCCTTAAGTCTCAAAAACAACAAAAAAAATCCATGTATTATTTTTGGAGAATACTATGAAATTATAATTACAAAGAATGAGAAAAGTGTTTTGCTGAATAATGTAAATTGACTGGCCACTTAGTAGACTTGTGCATTTGTAGTGATAAATAAAATATTATTTATTTCTTCTAAATGTTGATTTTGACTCAATTATCCTGGAAGATGGATCTTTGTACTTTGGAGAAGAATGTTTCCTTTAATTCAATGATTTGCATATAAGTGATTGTATGGCCACGTCTCCCTGGGAAAGATTTATATGCCTGATATTTTTTGTGTCTTCTTCTAGTGTACAACACTCATAAAAGAAGCATACAGGGATTGCATAGTCTCCCTGGTTGGCAATGACAGGTTCCTCTTCATAGCTTTATATTAACCTGAATAAACCATCCTTTGATCAATGCACTCTTATGATGCACTGGTTTAGGCCAGGGAGGTCAGACAACATCTGTCTGCCAAAGAGGGGATCCTGTGAAGGAGTTTATGTTTCCACCACTAATTATGGAGTTGAAAAGTTAGGTGAATTTTATACTAGCATATGGGAAGTTTTATTCTCTCTTAGAGTCTAAAACAGAGTTGTGAGGCTACGATTATGAAGCATAGAAATATCTTCAAGTCCTTTTATGTGTCTTTGAATTGAGCTGTCATAGAGGGGCCGTAACAGTAGCCATTTATTTTAATACAGGTGAGCTATCTATAGCGTTAAACATGTATTATTCCCACGGCGGCTGCAAAAAGACATCTGAAGGACACTTACCGAGAAAGCAAAAAGCATTTCTATCTGTGGTGGTTGTTCTCCTTACAGCACCTCCGCTAGTGATGACAGTCAAGGTTGAAGCCAAAATCCAACCTTCAAATTCTAGGATTGCAACTAAGATTGGTGAGTGTGTGTGTGTGTGTGTGTAAATGTGGCCTCATTTGCTTTCTGTTTCTCTTCCTCTTTCACATTTTCTCTTTTTTCTTCCTTTTTTTCTTGCTGTTTTTCTTTCTTCTTCCATTGTCTCCGTTCCCTATCCCTCCCCTTCCTCTTGCTCCATTCTGTTCCTTCTGTGCTAATTCAAGTACTTGAGATGTTAGATGCTGGGGCCAAGGGAACTGTTCACCTTTGCCCTCTGAAGATTCACTGAAAACTCAGCTCACAAAAGGCAGATTAATAGGAGGAAAGGCATACCAATTTACTTATTATGTACACACAGAAGCCTTCAGAACGATGACCCAAAGACTGAGGGAAAGTGATCTGTTTTTATGCTTAGGTGAAGCAAAGTTTGGAGAGCCATGCAGAAATATGATTGAACAAAAAGAGTATCATCCAATTCTAACAGACTGAGTGAGGAAACGCAGCAAGCCCTGTCTATCTGGATTTTCCTTGGTCTCTCGAGCATGCTTTCCTTCCTCCTGAGTATGGAGTAGCACCCTCTCTGGAATAGGGGCCTTATGACCTACAGGTAAGTCAGATAATTGTTTATGGCCAGTTTTTACACAGAAATGTGGAAGGGAAAATTGGAGTAATATTTCTAGGTTTTACAACTGCCTTTAGGGAAAGGAGGTTCTGGTTTCTATGCTCTGCCTTAGGGAAGAGGGATTCTCCTTTCTATGGCTAGCCTTGGGGGAGAATGGAACGGACAGACAGAAGGGCAGGAGAAGGTCAGAGAAAAACTTGGCTTCTGAGGCTGCTTCCAAGGCCTTCATTTTGGGGTATTCTTTTCTGAGTCCCAACTATGTGCAAGAAATGTATTAGAAGTAACATCAGTGAAGAAAAAAGTGGAGAAGGAGCAGTAGGAGGCAGGAGCAAGAGCCTTCAGACTTCACTACAGCAGAAGAGGGAAAGGGGGGTTGGATGGGAGAAGCCTCAAACGGAAGCAGGGCTCTGGGAGACTCTTGGCCAGGCTAATGGGGAGCACAGATCAAAGGCTCCCCATTAGAGGAGTCCTGCTGAGTAGGAGTGGCCCAGCTCTCATTCCCCTGCCTTGCTCAGCTATTGGCTAAGAACAGCAAGGGAAAGGTGGACCTTGGTGTGAACCTTGAAACCATCTCTTCTCTCTCTCTTTTTCCCTTCATCCTTGTGTCCAAGAGGGCCTCAAAGTTTCCCTCAGATTTACTAAACTTTAGACAGCCTCCTTCCTGATGCCAGGCTACAGCCCTCCCTTTTCTTAGAGCATTTACTTTAGAAAACTTGTCATTGTAATTTCCTTCTCTGGCCCTTGGAGTTGTAAATTTTTGTTTTCTATTATTATTATTGTTATTATTAATTTATTTATTTTAAGAGATGAGGTCTCACCATGTTGCGCAGGATGGTCTCAAACTCCCGGACTCACATGATCCTCTCAGCCTGGCCTCCCAAAGTGCTTGAGATTACAAGCTTGGGCCACTGCGCTGAGTTGTACATTTTTAAAAAGCCCCTCTCCAGTTTTACAGTTTAGGAATGTCTTCCTCAAGGACCTGGAAGCCATTCCTCTGAAATGTAATCATCAAGGAAAGTAATAATGCCCCTACCTCCCAGTGTCCTAGAGAGGGTAGGAGCCCAACTTCATTGGTAACAGTGCCTCCTGTCATGAAGATAAGAGAAAGTTTACTTTTCCTTGGGGAAAAGCCAATTAACAAACACAGATGGCCTATCATTCTCCCATTCTCGCTTTTAAAACCTCTCCAATCCCTTGTTTCATTTCCGTGGAATTGAGCTCACAGAAAGTTCTGCAAGAGCCTTGATTAAAGTCTTCCTTGTCTGTTTAACTTTGGTGCAATTTCTGCTTTGATATTCCTTTTCTTCTTTCCTTCCTTGCTTGCTTCTTCCTTCTTTCCTTCTATTAAATGTTTATTAAGTGCCTACTCTGTGCTGGGAATTAGGTTAGCACTGGATTTATTAGTGCAAAAGGCACTTACAGTCATACTCCTTACTTACGTGGCATGAGCAATTTAGAAGTATAGACAGAAAATAAATGAATGAGTCAATAAATGCAAATTTTGGAATGCAAATTTCCTTTAAAGAAGGAAATTACCTTGGTGGTGTGAAAAATGGGGAGGGGACCTACTTTACATAAAATATTCAGGGACCTCAGTGACATAGTTTTGTTCAGGCTAGAGCCCATGTTTTGGGGATTAGCACTTTGGTTCCATATACAGTGCAAAGTAAGCATCATGTGTAGTCATGATCCTAGCTCTCCACATTTTACTTTTTTTCATCTATAAAATGAGAATAATACTTATTTCCTTGAATTGATTTTGAGAATTAAATGAAATAATGCATCTAAAGCACTTAGTGTACTACCTGGGTCAATAAATGTTTGATAATATTGATGGTGATAACTTGTAAGGGTGGCATTCATGAAGGAAATATCGTATAGTTTCAAAACTTATTTAATAACAGAACTTTTTTTGAAAATGAACTTCTTTTAAATATTTCTTGGAACACAGTCTGGGGAATTTTGGCCTACACTATTTATTTGGTCACTTACTTATATGCCTCTGAGAATTATGATTTAACAGTTCAACATTTACATGTCTTGCTTCTCTCATAAAATTGTGGTTTATTTGAAGGAATTGATGATGGATTACATGCTTTCTATGTTCCCACAGCACTTAGCATGATATTAAATGCATAAGATGTGCATATTGAAAGCTTTTAGAATTGAAATTCACAGTAGTGGTGAAAAAAGTAATTCAAGGTTCTTTCTGCTTTTATAAACACTGCTTTTCCCTTTGAAAGAAAGCAGTCTGGTCTTAGAATTATTGGTTGAAATTAATTCTAAAAAAAAATAACACTTCTTTTCTTTTTCATAATAAAAGATTGGCATTAGGGACTTAAAACACAAAGAGATTGAGAATCTCTTTTCATATTTCATAAATCTGTATTACAAAATGTTTCATAGTGTTGAGGTATCATGTGGAGCACAGAATAGAGACACAATGCGTTGAATAATTTCAAATTCCTTTGTCTAACATGGCTCTAATTCTTTGTGATTCTGGGATATGAGATCCTGTGATTTTTATTGTCTCATTTCTAAAAACAGATATTGATTTAAGCAAGTTCTTCCAAACAATAGTTTTTAAATTGTTTTTTGACTCACGGCCAGGAGTTGCTCTTTCTGGAACGATGTTCATCCCCTGAGGGCAAAGTAGTTAGAAGCTCAGAATGGGCTGTGGAGTCAGATGGATTTAGTTTAGAGCATCGACATTTTGTAATTGAACAAATTATCCATCTTACATGGTTATCTGTGGAAAGAGAATAGTAATAATCTCATCCTCATAGTACTGTCGTGAGGGTTAGCAGGTTATGCATGTAAAGCAGCTGTGAGCTGTAAATGTGGAACACTCAACTCAAAGGAAATACTCTGTACATGTGCCTCCATTATTTTTCCTACCGTAGATGGCACTGTTTGGAGTCAATTTACTTCCTGTTACATCTTTCCATAAACATCTATTAGTGCACAAATTTTACTTAAATATAAACTTGACCTTGTGTATTTGATCACTTTGAAACCAGGATCAGGATGGTAGTAACATTACTATATTGCCTGTTACCTGTCTCTGTATAATAAAAAAGGTTACTTCGGATTTAATTTTTTTTCTTTATATTTCAGGACAGTGTTATGCCTCTCCCCAGGCATTGAGTCTTACAACTCTAATTAACCTTCTTTCAGTGACGTGCCCTGATGAATTATACCCTTTTTAAAAATCAGAGACTGTTAAGTCATATAGCTCCCTCATTGATTCATAGCCCAGGGAGAATCAGATGCAGGCAACAGTCTCTTATCAGCAATCTATCATTATCAATTTCCTATTGTAAGTTTCTTACAGAAAACTTCTTTTTAGAAGCCAGTTCTCTCTAGCTCACCTGCACCTCTTCTGATTGTTCTCTTTGTTGGAGCAAGATTTTTCCATACTTTTTCTAAAAATATTAGTTCTGCAAATGCTCTGAGGAAGAAGAATGATGTGGTAAAATATTTAGAACACATTATTTGTCTGTTGTCCTTGTGGCAATTTATTTTAATAGGAACAATGTGATGTATATGTCTGTAAATTGATTTTAATTCAGTCTGTAGAGGAGGTTAGTGAGCCTGACATCTTCTTATCAGGAATCCACACTCAAGGGGTGGTTTGCCAAATAGCACAAGATATGCTGGTTACAATTTTTCATTCATATTGTAGCAGGACGAGCTGCAGACAAAACTCCTCAGACACCGAGTTAAAGAAGGAAGGGGTTTATTCAGCCGGGGGCATCAGCAAGACTCCTGTCTCAAGAGCCGAGCTCCCTGAGTGAGCAATTCCTGTCCCTTTTAAGGGCTCACCACTCTAAGGGGGTGCACGTGAGAGGGTCGTGATCGATTCAGCAAGCAGGAGGTATGTGACTGGGGGCTGCATGCACCGGTAATTAGATCGGAACAAAACAGGATAGGGATTTTCACAGTGCTTTTCTATACAATGTCTGTAGTCTATAGATAACATAACCGATTAGATCAGGGGTCGATCTTTAACTACCAGGCCCAGGGTGTGGCCCCGGGCTGTCTGCTTGTGTACTTCATTTTTGCTTTTTAGTTTTTACTTTTTCTTTCTTTGGAGGCAGAAATTGGGCATAAGACAATATGAGGGGGGGTCTCCTCCCTTATTCCCCGCCTTTGAGACTCTCACTCAATAGTGGGAGTTCTCACTTTCATTTTTACTACCTATGTCTTCTTGCAAGATAGATCGATAGTGATTCATATAGTACACTTGTGCTGAAGCATTTTGGTGAACTAAGGTAGCGATGAAGCTTTTTATCATTTGAGGAAGTACAGGTAGCAAACAAGGGAGCAGTAAGCAGCTTCCTATTACTATTATAACTCTTATTATAAGAGTTTTAAATCCTCCTAGTGCTGGGAACCATTTTCTAAACATGGCCCCAGGATCAAATCCATGCCATACTTGCATGGGCACATGTGCCAGTTTTGTCATATTTCTAACTATGTCTTCAACCACTTGCCCTTTATTATCTATGTGTAGGCAGCAATTAGTAAGGTTAAATTTCCTACAGACCTCTCCTTCAGCTGCTAGCAAGTAGTCAAGAGCTAATCCATTTTGATAGATAGTATTTCTCATCTGAGTTTCTTGCCAGGCCAGAATAGTCAAGGCTCTGGTGGTTTTATTAGTGATTATTTTTAAGACAGCTTGTAACCATATGATTCAGTTGGTCATGTAAATGGGGGTCCGGTTCCCCACGAGCTATCTTGTGCTTAAGTATCAGGCCTATAATATTGTATGTTTCTCTCAGGGGGCTATTTATCATTTTTTCAATTTCCTATAGCTATGCTTCTCTTTTTGCAGGAAGCATAGACAGGGAAGCCTAGGAGTTCACCTGTTTTTATGGGCAGTAGGAAGAAAGATGGTTTAATAGTGCCAATAACACAACTACCTGCCTACTGGTCAGGTAATTTGGTGTAAGCTCTATGCCTACATATCCAGTATAATCCAGTGGGGGCTGTCCAGTCCCGGTGGGACTCTAGATGGGTCCACACAGTTTGCAACTTTGCAAATTTACTAAATGGATTTCTCTCAGTGTGATTTGAACTTCAAATCACACAGATTTGAAGTGACTGTTTTTGTGCTGCCATTGTACGTTTCTGTCTTAGACAACTAAGTCATCCTATGGGGTGAGTGAATTCTTTTCCTTCTCTAGCTATGCAATATTGTCCAATAATTGAGGGTTTTAGGACCCAGAAATTATCAGGGTGATTCTTTTGAGCCAGGAATTCATCAGGAACTGGGTCTGTAGGTACTAATTCTTGGGCTTCCTGTGGCCATTGATCTCCTATTATAGTTCTTCCACATACATAACATGAAGTGACATTGAGACACTGGGCTACATGCCAGGCTAATTGCAAAAACAAATTTCTTGTTTTTCCTGGAATTTCTGGTACTGGCACATTTAGTTCATCACAGAAAGTTTGAAACACTGGCTCAGGAGAGTGTTTGTAAACTTCTCCTCGAACTAAGATATGTACTTGAGGATCCAGTCCAGCCCCATCAATTCCTAAGGTCACACGCTCCTCTTTTTTCCAGCAAGGATCAAGGGGATTGGTTATTACTAGCTCTAAGGGGTTACATTGTCCTTTGGTACAGGAGGGGCCATTTTTTCCTTTCTGAAGGTGGACTGGATCCTTTTCACTTTTTTGTTTTATCCAAGTGGCCTAAATGACACAAGACCAGTATTTACATTTATTTCCACACAGTCCTAATTTATGACAGATGTACTTATTTTCTGCCATATAGCCTCTTTTCTAATTAACATGCATCAAATTTTAAGGTGACTTGTTTGGGCACCTCTTTTTCTTCTGTTTTGGCTAACACTTAACTCGTATCATTTATGAGCCCTCACCAGTCCTCAGTCCTTAATCTTATTTTAAAAACTGTGGTCATGGGAGGCTCAGATGGGTCATAACACACATCAGTTTGGTCATTTCCTGGGCTACATACCTTGTATAGAATAACATACAAACAAGTTCTTTTTAGAGTTCCAGTACACTTATAATAACCATAAAATAATAGGACCAGAACAACCTTTTGTCCTACCTCAGTGACTGGATGTATACACTGGGAACAGTACTGTCTGAGGAAGGTCAGTTGAAGTCCTTATTGTAAAAATCCAAATTTTAAGGAAAATAAGTCCCACAATGAGTTTTCTCATGCTTCAGCCATGCATGGACCAGTCAGGTTCCAGGTGTGACTGGAACAGGACTTGTCGTCTTCTTCAAAGTCACTTTGCAAGGGTTGGCAAAGCTGCTCCCGTTCACGTACTGCTCAGTCTACTGATGTTTAAGGATGGTCTTGGAGGTTGGGCCTGCTAGAATAAACTGAGTCCAACACCTCTACACAGTTATGCTCAACTGGGCTCTCTGATACCGGGAACAAGGTGGTGGGGTTTAGGGTGTTGCAAACTTCAATGGTTATGTGGGGATTTTCACATAGCAAGCTTTGGTACTTGGTTAATCTAGCATTTGTTAACCAATGATGTCCTTTGGTAGTCATTAACGTTACCACAGCATGGGGGGCCTTTATATTCAGGTTTTGCCTAAGGGTTAGTTTATCTGCTTCTTATGCTAACAGGGCCATTGCTGCCAGAGCCCTTAGACATGGGGGACAGCCTTTGGAAACCCCGTCCAGTTCTTTTGAGAGATAAGCCACTGGCCTTGGCCAGGGCCCCACAGTCTGGGTTAAAACTCCAACTGCCATTTTTTCTCTTTCTGACACATAGAGTGTAAAGAGTTATGTCAGGTCAGGTAGCCTCAGGGCTGGGGCTGACATGAGTTTTTCTTTTAACTCATGAAAAGCTCATTGCTGTTGGTTGTAATAGATGTAGTTTATCTAAACTACATTTTTATTAACTGTCACCCACCAAAATATTGACTCAAATCCTGCAGCTATTTGATTTCATGCTTTAAATTGATCTGGTATTCCCCGTGGGACTCTAATTTGCATCTAAATAGACATGAGAGTTGAAAGACCCATAAGGGGCTTCTCTCACTTTACGATGTCTTATTTTTTTCCTTCCAGTTGATGAAATGCCAGGGTGAAAGGGATAGCCAATTGGACTAAAGTACAAGTGCCACTGCAGTTATTCGGCATAGTGCCCAGTAAAGGTCCACCACAATACCACCATACATCTGCTCAGAGATGAACAAGGGCTGACTGATTGATAAGCTCTTGAAAATTCTTAAGCTCACTGCATCCTTTCAGGTCTCCAAGGAATGCTAAGTTTCCTCCCTGTCAAAAGACACGAAGTGAACTTTGTGATGGGAGACGGAGGCTGGATGGCCCTCAGGGGCTGACCCGCATGGTGCCAGACTGTGGGACATAGCAGAGAGAGCTTGGTACAACTTATTACTCCAGGCTGTAGAATCCTGGAAAAGAGCTACCATGCAGCCCACACATGGTCGACTGGAGGACCACTTTAGTGGAAAGGGGACAATTTGGGCCTCTGGACTGCCATGTACACAAGCATAGCAATTGCTTTTGTTTAACATGCAGATGGAATATTTGATCCATTTTAACCAGGCATTTGCATCTTGGTATCCTGTCTTAATTGCTAAAGTTTGTTTTAAGTCTTTAACTTGTATGATCCTCTAGTAAAATGAAGGTATGATTTTAGGAAATTACAAAAACTGGTTGGGGCAGTCCATCCTTGCTCTTCAGTGGTCCACAGAACGTTGGACCAACTATGGCATGAAAGCTCTACATCGGGGCGGCAAGACTCCTGGTTGGCACTGGGGTCTTTATCGAAATCTCTCTGGATTAAATGGTCCCAGTTTACTAATACCCAGTCTGAGGAGAGGCAGGAGGGACAGAAGTACTTTTCTGAAGTAGAAAGCTGCCTTGGACTTGGCAAGTCCTCACAGGGTATAACAAGGCAAGCATTAAATGCAATAGTTTGAGGCAAAATTGACTTGGTTATGTTAATTACTAGATGGTCAGCAATAGAACGGGGAAAGAAGAAAGAGTAACAGAACAGATGAAAAGAGTTAAATTTTTCTTAGTTTTAGTTTGGTAGGGTTTTCCCCTGGGACTATGACCCATGACTCTGGAGGGGGTGGTGCTTTCTTTCTTGACTCGGGTGTGATGAGTCCATCCTTTTTTTTTTTTTTTTTTTTTTTTTTTTTGCTGTAGGAACAGCAGTCTTGGTGGTTAGCAGCACCACCAAGGTAGGGTCCTTCCCTGGCTGGCTTGAGTTTTTCTTCTTTCCACCCTTTGATGACAACGTGATCTTCAGGCTGGTGCTGGTTTACCAGAAATTCTAGGGTGGTACATGTGCTAAAAGACTTCTAGTTTTTGAGAGAAAGGAAAATGGAAGATAAACCAAGTATACAATTTTTAAGAAATTGACCTTTTGTTTTAAATATGGGGACTTCGGCAGTGGACTTTATAGTCCTTAGTGCCTTTTTACTAAGAAATTCCCTTTAGCACCTACTTTTATTAGTTTTTAAACCAAAGAAAGCCAAATAACATTTTACGTTTAAAAATACTTCTAGTATGATTTTTACACAAGATAAGCTAAATTTTATCTTTATATTAGTATGTTATTAATTTTAAGCTTAATTTTAATAAAACCTTGTAGACATATTTATCTAATTTTTAATGTTTAACCATAAGGTAAGATTTTATAAACTCTTTTTAACCTTTTATAATTTTTGCTAAAGAGCAGGTTGGTGCTTTAAGAAAAACCTGTATGCTTTTACTTTAGTGTCCAGTTCACAGAAAAACTGGATGATACTTCTTTAACTTTAGCTAATATGTTTACACACAGAATTTTCTTTACAATCAACATTTTAAAACTTGCTTAAACCTTCAAAACAATAACTTTTTTAACTTTTTAATGTAGGTAAAAATGTACATTCTTATGCCTCCTTATAATCCTTTACTAGAGGTATATTTTACTTTTCTTATACACCTTGCACATAAACTGTTTTTTTTTTTCTTTCCCTTAGCATACTTCTGAACTGGTGAGGTGTGCTCACCATGAGGTTTCCTCTAAAAGTTATTTTTTTTACTTTTTTGTTTTTTGTTAGTAAAGCAGTTGCTGCTACAGATTGAATGCATTTGGGCCATCCATGGGTTACTGGGTTAAGAATTTTTGATAGGAAGGCCTCAGTGCTTTCAGGATATGCCCTTGTTTACCTGACAACAAAGTGGCATTGGAGTGTTATAGGGTTACAAAGAATACCTTCAATTATCAATTACAGGTTTTAAATTTACCTTGGTTTTTAAAGGAATAGGGTACACTTTTTTTTTCTTAACTACTTGTATATCTCTCTCTTTCTCTTTCTTTCTCTCTTTGATTTTGTCTCTCTCTCTTTGACTTTCCTTTTGCCTGTCTCTTCTTCTCTCTCTCTGCCTCTCTCTCCTTGACTCCCTCTTCGTGTGTCTCTTCTCTGTCTCTTCCTCTCTCTCTTTGCCTCTTTTCCTCTCTGTCTCTTTCCTTTCTCTCTCTCTGCTGGTCTTTCCTTTCCTCTGCCAGCTGCTTATGCTGCTGTTCTCTCAACCACTGTGTGTTGGGAGCAGAGGGTCTAAAACCAGCTGTAACCAAGTGTCTATGTACAGGAACTGGTCTGGGTTCCCTGGCTTACAGGTTACCTTGTGCCATACCTTTGAAACAAGGGACTTGTCCAGGCTTCCTTCTAATGGCCAACCTACCTTTAATCCTGGCCAGTCTATCTTACACAAAGTTTTAAGTTTTCCTGGTGTCATAGTACTCCATAGTCTCCTTTAAATTCTTTTTTGAAATTTTTCAACATAATTCCTACTGGGGTGGGCTTATTTGTGCCTGACCTATGCTTCTTTGAGACAAAACACCACGCTCACACCACACGCACACCACAAAACAAAGAATGGGTAAAAAGGGCACACACACACTTTTGCAGTTTGTACCAAACCAAAATCAAAACCAAAATCAGAGTATCCAGAAATCCAAGCCAGGTCAAAACCAAAACCAAAGTACAAGCAATCCAAGTGAAGTCAAAAACAAAAACCAAAGTGCCGGTACAGGCACGTCGTGGGTGATCAGGCCACGCTTCCACTCAAATGGAGTGGGCAAGTTCCCAAGACCGGTCCTGTCAAGCAATTCAAACCAAGTCAAAACCAAAGCCAAAATCAAAGTGCCAATAAAGGCATGCCATGGGTGATCAGGCCACGCTTCCACTCAAACGGAGTGGGCAAGTTTTTTTTTTTTTTTTTTTTTTTTTTTTTTTTTTTTTTTTTTTTTTTTTTTTTGAGATGGAGTCTCGCTCTGTCGCCCAGGCTGGAGTGCAGTGGCGTGATCTCGGCTCACTGCAAGCTCCGCCTCCCGGGTTCACGCCATTCTCCTGCCTCAGCCTCCCGAGTAGCTGGGACTACAGGCGCCCGCTACCACGCCCGGCTAATTTTTTGTATTTTTAGTAGAGACGGGGTTTCACCGTGTTAGCCAGGATGGTCTCGATCTCCTGACCTCGTGATCCGCCCGCCTCGGCCTCCCAAAGTGCTGGGATTACAGGCGTGAGCCACCGCGCCCGGAGTGGGCAAGTTTCAAAGACTAGTCTTACCAAGTTTTAGATGTTCAGATTCCAAGTGCCCATTCCTTACCGGTGTTCAGCCACTGTGTTGATCCACCATGGGGGCCTGCCACACACTGCTGTGGCGAGGCGTCCCACCAGAGCAAATGCCTACCTGGGAGCGCTCTCAGGATCCGCGTCACTAGGGGCTAGTCAGAGTCCCCCGCAGGGATGTTCCACAGGGCAGACTTAAGCTGCCCAAGGAGCTGCCTCCACCATCTGCCAATCACCTCACTTCCCGGTCAGGGAACCAAGAAATGTAGCAGGACCAGCCACAGACAAAACTCCTCAGACACCGAGTTAAAGAAGGAAGGGGTTTATTCAGCCGGGGGCATCAGCAAGACTCCTGTCTCAAGAGCCGAGCTCCCCGAGTGAGCAATTCCTGTCCCTTTTAAGGGCTCACAACTCTAAGGGGGTGTATATGAGAGGGTCATGATCGATTGAGCAAGCAGCGGGTAGGTGACTGGGGGCTGCATGCACCCATAATTAGATCGGAACAAACAGGATAGGGATTTTCACAGTGCTTTTCTATACAATGTCTGTAATCTATAGATAACATAACCGATTAGGTCCGGGGTTGATCTTTAACTACCAGGCCCAGAGTGTGGCGCCGGGCTGTCTGCTTGTGTATTTCATTTCTGCCTTTTAGTTTTTACTTTTTCTTTCTCTGGAGGCAGAAATTGGGCATAAGACAATATGAGGGGTGGTCTCCTCCCTTAATATGTAAGACTCTTCCAAGCTCAACTAGCTTGGATAAAATCTCTAGAGGAGATTTTAAAGCTGGGAGCTTTAGTTCTTTGTCACCCTACTTCATAAAGTTTTCTGTTGACAGATCTGATTTTATAATTGCTAAAGCAATCATGCCTCTTTGGGTCAGCTTGCAAATAAATACCTGTATGTTTGGCAGAATGTTGTCTGAAATGTGATTTACTTGCAGTATTTCTTTTGGCATTAAGGCAGTAAGAAGGAATGTGTATCTCGCACTTGCCTCTAATCATTGCATTTTATCAAAAGAACCCTGAAGATTTGTAAACAGCTAGAATAATGTAGGTCAGGGAAAAATAACTCTAAAATATATTCCTGTTTTATTAAATCATAATGTATATGAGAATTAGTTTTAAAAAGTTGTTTGCAATTGATTAAACATACTTTTTTTCCAAACTTATTTGAGCTCAGATTTTTTTTTTTCTTGGCAAATGTCTATTAACGTCTTGAGTGACAGTGTGGTGCCAATGACAAAAATTTGAAAAATAATCTTTTAAGTCTATGTGCTTCTTTTTCTTTTTTTTTCTTCAAAATTTACTTGTGCTGTAGTCTTCCCTAAGATTTTTCTCTGCGAGGGAATCAAACTGCTCTATGAAGCTCTATGAAGAGGCTTATATGGAAAGATACAGAGACTTTCTGCCAGCAACCATGTGGTCAGCCCACACAGAAGTGGATGTTCCAGGCCAGGTCAAACCTTCATTCACTGCAGCCCCAGCTGAACTCTCAACTACAACCTCATGAGAATTCCTCAGAAGAATCACCCAGCAAAGCCGCTCCTGAATTCCTAACTCACAGGAATTGCGAGTAATAAATGTTTGGTATTTAATCCACTAAGTTAGAAGTAATTTCTTATACAATATGAATAACTAATACAGATTTTAATGGTTTTAATAAAGGATTAGATTAAAATTATATTCAAAGGTTCTAATGCTAAAAAGGACTCTTTTGTTTCCTAAGAATACTTTATTAATATTTTTAGCTGTGGTGCACTCTATATAAATGGTCAATGAAAAGAGAATTTTCAGGTTGGAGAATCTTTCAGTGAGTCCTCAAAGCATATCATAAAGTTGGCTGGCTAGTCTTTTCTCACCTAAGACTGTCTTGCTAATTCCGCTGAATTCCCATTCTCTTGCCACCTCCCCTCCTCCACACCAATTCAACTGTATTCCATCATTTTCAGCCTGCCTTGCTCCAATTTCTAATGGAAATGCAGTTGACTCTTGAACAACATGGGTTTGAGCCACACGAATCTGCTTGTATGCAGATTTTCTTCCATCTCTGCCACCGCTGAGGCAGCAAGACCAACCCTTCATCTTCCTCCTTTTCCTCAGCCTACTCAAAGTAAAGATGACAAGGAAGACCTTTATGATGATCCATCTCCACATAACGAATAGTAAATATATTTTCTCTTCCTTGTGATTTTCTTAATAACATTTTCTTTTCTCTAACTTTATTGTAAGAATACAGCATACAATACGTATATAAGATACGTGTTAATTGGCTGTTTATGTTATTAGTAAGGCCTCTGGTCAACAGTAAGCTACTAGTTGTTAAGTTTTGGGGGAGTAAAAGTTATATGTGAAATTTTGACTGCACAGTAATCAGTTCCTCTAACCCTCATATTGTTCAAGGGTTCATGGTATTACCAAATAATACTACAAATATTTTTGGATATCTTTAACAACTCAAAAAATAAAGCATATATTGTGAATAAATATATTATCATCTCTAACACAAAAACATTATCATGAATGTGATTTGATGGAATCAAAGACAGGTGTGGGGAGATGGGAGGAAGGAGTGGGAATGATTAAGCTCCTTAGAAATTTCCATCAGCTTCTATCAAGCCACTTCAGTAATCATACCATCCTTGTAAAAACAGTATGTGCTTCTTATAGAAATAAAGCTTTAAGACAAATTCCCTAGTCCCTATTTGGAAAGGGATTGAATCCCCCAAGCCCCTTAAATGTAGAAATTCCATATACGCTATTGCTAACCATGGTCATACTTGTTAGTTAATATTCCTAAAGTCAGCCCAAGTATGAGACTATGTATTATAAGTTAATAGGATGAGCATCTGATAGTAATTAATATTTTGACCAGCTTAATTACTGAGTCAATAATTTAATTGTCTTTGATCAATTAAATTAACTAGTGCAAGAGTCATCCTCCAAGTTTGGCAGTAAAGGATAACTTAGAATAATTAATGTCCAACTGTGGCTTATTTCCAAAGACAATTAATGATTTGTAGCTCCTTACAAATTTTACTGTTGTTATGGATTAATTGGTATCTAACTTTGAATTAGACAGAATCAAATAAAATATATTAATTATTCAGCCATGACATAATTTACAGAACCTAGTCACCATCACTGAATATTTCTTTAATTGGTATATAGAAACCAGAATACTGAGCCAGCTCAATAACTGCTAAGTTTTTAAAATACGTGTAGTTTCTGTTGGCTTCTTACCAGGATTTTCTTCCATGTACCTACATAATTTTCATAGGACTTGAAAGTTTTTGCTTTGATTTTAATTACTACCTGCAGTATCTTCTCATTAATCAGTTTTCAAGCAATTAATTGTATCATAAGTGGAAAGTATTGACCGAATTACTTAAAGGCCATTTCCAGAATTAGACATGGCAATTAATTTCCTGGTGTCTATGTTAATAAGTTGTCATAGATTGTTTGACAGACAGTGATTACAATCTACATCAGCCATGCAAATACACAAAGCAGGCTTATCGGCTTGCCTAATAATAAAGGAAGGCTGGGTTTTAAAAGGAGAAAGGAGGTAAAATCTGAGCCAACTACATTGTTGGGGAGGCAGTACTATCTCAGTCACAAAGATGTAGCATTGCTAGAGATTGTCAAAGCCTTTTCCAGGTCTTGAAAAATTCAGTTTAGAATATGTTCTTGGCTGCCCTAAATTCAACCAAGCATGACCACATTTCTACCATGATTGCAAGATACATATTATTACATATGGAAAAATGTTTATGTCTTAGGAAATTTTTTGACTTTGCTATGGAAAAGATATCTGAAGTCCATTTTTATAAAAAATGTTAATTTATTTCTAAATTGTATCCACTAACATAGGCACTCTTGTATAATTCATTAATTTTTTCAGCCATTTCTCTTTTTTTGCCAAACCAAGGTATGTAATGTTTGTTTAGTTCCTTAAAAGTGGTTTGTAATTATGATTTTAATGAACATATTTTCATGTATGAAATATTTCAAACAGATTGTAAAATACAGAGTGTAGTATGACAAACACTAATGAGTATCTCAGGTAGATTTAATAGATGTATACATTTTTGTTTTCACTTCCAATCTCTTTATTAAAACAATTATTTCTATGAATTTTTAAATACCTTTTCACAAATATAATTATGTGGCATAATATATAATTATATAACTATCTATATAGTTGCAACTGTTAGATTTTTTACATATTTGACTTAAGAGGTATTTCAAAGTTGCCCATTATCTCTATGTATATTTTTAAAAATTTATTAGGTGACATAGGCTTAAATATATATACATGTGTGCATGTGTGCATATACATGTATATATAGTATTAAACATATTTATGTAAATGTATATGTATACATGGGATTAAATATATGTACTTGTGTGTATACACACATGCACATATAAAATATAATACTGTGTCATCTAATAGACTTTTAAAATGTAACCAGTCTAGTGCGTATTCCAATGTTTTAACTTGCATTTTCAATAACGTATTTGTGCATCATTTAAAATATTTATTGAACATTAATTTTTGCTCATCCATTGATTGACTAATATTGCTTCACTCATTATTATAGGATTTTTTCTTATTTATTATAGGAATGCATAATATGTTCCGGATGTTCATTTTTTGTTTATTATACATAATAAAAATTTACTTCCCAATCTGTGGCTTATATTTTAACTTTGGCTGCTTTTTGATTTTTTCAAAAAGTGCAATTTTAATGTAGAAAGTTTTATCAGTATTTTTTCTCACTCTTTAGTAACTTATTCTCTATCCCAAAGTCTTATACTCTTCTATGTGTACTTCAAGAGTGTTTAAAATTTTGCTTTTTCTGTTTAGGTCTTTGACTTCTCTAGGCTTAATTTTTTTGCATGGTGTGATGTTTGCATACCATTTTCTATTGTTCAGTTGACCAATTTTCAATTGGTCAATTGTTCTAGCATCATTTATTGAACTGTGTATTCTTCTTTCATTATAAATAATGTGCCTCTGTCAGCTGCCCAATTCTTAGATCAGTGGTGCATTTTGAGATTTTTATTCTCTTCCATCGGTGTTTCTAGTTACTGTAGCAATCCTATGCTGATAAAATTATTATAGATTTATAATGTATCTTGGTATTTGATAAAGCACATACTCTTGCTTTTTCAAAACTGACTTGGTTGTTCCTAGTATGTTACTATGACACTTTAGGATTATATGGTCAAATTTTATTAATAACTGGTATTTTGGATGGCATTTTATTAAATTTATAGTTTCATATCAAGAAGCAATGGCCATCTTTAAAATATTGAGTTTTCCCATTCAAGAACACAGTGTATCTTTTCATTTGTCTAGCTGTTCTTGTATGTCCTTGTAGTGTTTTCACTTTATCCATTATATTTTTTCTAGCTTTATTTCTCAGATCTTTATAATTTGTGTTGCTAATACTTTTTTTTTTTTTAAGTTTTAAGGAGCAGAGAGTTTAATAGGCAAGAAGGAAGGGAGAAGACAGAAGGAAGAGGCTCCCCTGTACTGAGACAGAGGGAGGGGGGCTCCAAAGCTGAAACAGAGAAATCCACCTTCCACGGCTATCAGCCAGGTATATACACAGAGACTGGAGGAGGTGGTGTCTGATTTGCATAGGGCTCAGGGGATTGGTTTGACCAGGCATGTCATTCACGTAGCCGTGAAAAAGCTGTCCCTCCTACCCTAGCATTTTAATATGCAAATGCAGGACACCATGATGTTCTGCACACGTGGGGATATGTGTGGGTGGCCATGTTGCCAGAAACATGTGGGGCAAGGGCAAGAAGGCTGAGAGAATTGCAGTATTAGGGGAGACCCAGTTTCTAAAGGCTGGCATTTGCATACTAAAGATTGCCAGCTCAGCCATGTTGGGTGGACCCAGTTTCTAATGGCCAGCATTTGCATATCAAAGGTTATCAGCCTGGATCTAAGAGCTGGGGCTTTACAAGAAACTTTTCCAGAGATGCTTTAAAAAATGAAAACTTCCCAAGGACACCTTTTCTTCTCTATCTGCCTAAAATAATTTCTTAACTCCTACAACATTCCCCACTGTGGAGATGTCACACTAACCGCTATTAGGTGGTTTTGGATGACAACTCTTTCTGGCTACTTCCTGCTGAAAGGGGGCATCAAATGGGGAACAGTAGCTAGGGTTCCTCCTGGGGTCAGTCTATGGGTCCTTGGAAGAATGGCGTGTCCATGTGTGGCTCAGTTTGCAGCATCATTTAGAGTTTGATTGCTTCTAGGTGAGGAGAAACAATTCGAGTTATAGTATTGAGTATACAGGGTACAAATATCAATACAAGACATATAAGCAAGAGAGGGCTTAATAAAGCAGTTAACCAATTCCATAAAGAAGACTGGAATTCATTAAAGAGGGATTGTAGCCACCCGGGGCTGAAGCTGGCATTTTCCCTGAGCCTGTCAATAATTTTGATTTGATTTTTAAGTAACTGTAGATTTTTCTCTACTTTAGTAGAGGTGTTAATTCAGAAGTGGCATGTTTCATTTAGTGCATCACTAAACCCAGTAAAAAGTCCTAGCAGGCTCAGTGATATTAAAACTTTCATGCTTCTTTTTTTGTCAGAAACTGTTATCCCTGCTATAAGGATAATAATTAAGCAAAATACAATAGCAATGGAAACTCTGTCCAATATTTCAGTTAGAAGGTGCTACCGTGTATAACCCTATTGCAAATAGTAGAGTGAGTATAGCAATTTCCACAAATGAGGTGTAGTAGATAATTTCCATCTAAAATTTTACTTGCCAAGGTATAGAATTTCCCTTTGGGGGTCTATGATGTTCTTCGGTTTTATTTTCCCAAACAAATCTCCAGGTTATGGGCATCCTACTCACTTTCATTACCTGGCAGAATTTGCAGGATAACTGGCCAGAACTAGCATATTGATTCAGATTTTTACGTTACTCATCCCTTTTGTTTCTTCCAAGCTGCAGGAGATCAGGATTTAATGACAAATGTATGATAAGCTTTGGAGCACAGTTTCTCTCTCCGGTCCTTACTTTTGGTAAATACAAATTATGAATAAACTTTAGTCTTATGCTTGGCCTGATTATTTGCATAAAGTACAGCAAGAATGGTTATCTCTACATAGGCGTTTTTTGGGTTGGCTTTGATGAAACTCTGTTCTACAAGGAATCTCAGATAAGACCTTTTAAAGCCGAACCCAGCCATGGGTTTGTATCCTCAAATACCTGTGAGTTGGGTGATCCTCTCTTCTTGAGGTCCCAAGATAAAACTCGGAGCTTGCAGACCTGTTAGAAAGTGACATTCTTTACTGATCACAGGTTAGGAACCCTGTGCGGGGACTGTGTAAACAATGTATGAGCCCAGTTCTCCCTAAGGGGCTTTTATTGGCTCTGCATGTCAAGCTTGATTCCTTAAAGGGAAAAACACCCTTTCAGTCAAAGCCTTGGTAAAATAACCAGTTTTCCCAATTGCATCCTGTTGACAAAGAAAAATGGATTCTTATTGGACTGATGCAAACAAATATACTGCCATAAGTTAAGAGTACTCACAGATAGTCTCCAAATTCTAGAGGAACCAGGCAGAGAAAAATAAACATGCTCTAAATTTTGTTCACAGGAGTATACCTTACTCAATTATTAAAGGCTGTAAATAGTTCAATATCAGTTTCCTTGACTCTGAAAAACAAAACAAAGATCAGCAATATTCCAAGCAAAAGTCAAAAAGTTTCCTTTGACTTTCTGAGTACAGTCCACTTAGTTAACTCATTTTGCTTTATATTTGTGAACATGTTAGTTCTTTACGTGTCTTGTACATTCTTTCTCTACTCCAATGTTACAATCTTCAAAGCTATTAAAAGCTTGCATTTGAGAGCACCTGTTAAAGTCCTTAATATAGCTTTATTATAAACTGTCTTTTGAGAAGGAACAGAGCCAGACAACAATTGTCTGCCAATGCCAGAATTTCCAGGATAGTTACAGTTACAAACATGACTGACAAAGAAGTTTATTTATCTTCATGGTTTAGAATAACTTTACCCTTAATTATGATTGACAGCATATACTTAGACATTAGAGTTTTAGAAATCCCATACAATTTTGGAACATGTAATATTTACTAAAAGATAATTTAAAGAAGATTGGAGATCATTTTGGCAATCTCATGTGACTAAACATGTCAAATAATCCCATTTGCCTCTTCTCTGAATATTTCAGGAGCTCTCTGAACCATCCAAAAAGCCAGGCATCAGGAAGGAGAATTCCTAGATTGCCATAAATTACTTTGTCAAAATGATGACTCAAAAGGCAAAAACCTTTCATTAGCCTTTACTATGACATGAAAATCCTGTTCAAAGCCACAGTTTACCCTTGCTTTAGTTTGTTAATGTTAACCCTAATTTGTTTAAATGAACCTTTATACATCATTCCATCTAATCCTAACCAACTTGACCATGAGGTGAAATCTCTACAAACCTTTTATAACCCTTTTACTAAAGGGCAGATTAGTGTCTTAAGACCTCCTTGCTATGCTTTTATTTCAATGCTCAATTTATTAAAAGACCATTTAGATACTACAGGAGAAGATGGTGTAGTGCTTCTACCATGCCTTTCATTGCAATGCAACCCAAAGCCATTGGCTTATTTTGTAATCAGCCCATCCCTGATGGGAGTCTCATCTCCCGGTGTGGGGCAGGTATGTTTCCTTATTTTTCAGGTGGCTAAAAGCATGCTTCTCTGATTTATAACTACTCTTAGCCATCCCTTACAGTGTATTTTCTACCTAGTTATTACACACCAAAGATCTCCATTAATTCAAAGTAATTTTTGTTACCCCCAAAACTCAAAACTGTCAAATAACACAAAGCAAAACAGAACACAGCCTTTGATTTTGAGAGGGAAATATTTCCTTTTAATTCCTGGGGTTTCATGAGGAAAACAGAGGTTTTCTTTTTTTTCCCCAAAATGGGGTATGTGATGCCTCCTCTGTTTTTCCCAAGGAGTCCCATGCTATCAGAAGTTATCTTAGGGCCTTTCATGTATGCATTGAGTGGTAAGACAAAAAATGGAGAAAAATAATTCAGTCGACTGAGAAGAAAAGAGACTTTTTACAGAAAAACAAGATCCAAGAAGAGAAAAACATAAAGGCCTTTTACGGATACCTACAACTTGAATATCCACTTTTAATTAAACTGAACACTCTTTAAGAAAATTCTTTTATATCCCTTGTTACTTGACTTTAGCCATGCCAAGCAGTTAAGATTTTCAGCTTTTGAACTTTACTTTGAATTTTCAGCTTTTTAGATTAAAAAGTAACCTCACAGGTGAAACCAACAAGCATTAATCAGGTTATGGCTCAACCGTGGGAGTACGGTATTTTTAAAGGGGTGGTAGGCAGCTTTTGAAACTGTCATTGCAAAATTGTGACTGAGACGGTGAAAGAGATCCAACCTAAATGACTCCATTTTGTTTCCAGCCCCCTAGCTGTCCTCGTCCATCCCTGGGCATAGGCTGAACCAACTTTGGGAGGAGTCAGGTTTACAGTCTATAGTCTAAAACAAAGATAATAACAGCCGCTTCCCATCTTGCCTGGGGACCAGATAAAGAAACTAGCCACAGGATTAGAAATCATGGCCCAGGACCCATGCAGCTAGAGGCTACAAGATTTTGACCCTCCCTAAATTGCTCTCAAGATCATTGCTTAAGACATTTGCTAAACCCTGCCCTTGATGGATCAGCTGGCACCACCCAGATTGACAAACTGGTTTATCTGATTTAGCACCAGAAGACAGCCTCCATTGCAAAATGGCGGAGACTAAAACGAAGTATTGCCATGCAGTTACAGATTATGTTCCCAAGGACATGAAAGAAGATGGAGGCCTGTAACCAAGCTTGTTACTGACAGTTTTGTTGGGCTGGCTTGAACAGCAGGCTTATGGGGTCCTGGGCATGCATCCTAATCTAAGATACCCTTTCTTTGACAGAACCATACAGAAAGACATGCAAAGCACACAGGATTGTCTACACTTAAGACCAACCTTACAAATCCTTTTTCATTAATTATACATTTACAGAGAACATAGTGATCCTTATTATCCATGGTTTGCACAGGTAGAGAGAAGCCAAAAGCCCTACTGGTAAGAAATGTTTACCCTTTTGCCGGGATATCAGGCTTCTGGGTTCCTTTCCCCCTAGCTCAACTATATGCCAAGCATTTTGAGGTTTGGAAAATTAACTTTTCCCAGGTTGGAAGAACATTATAAGAGAGATAGAAGCCATTTTAAACAACAAAAGAAGAAAAAACACCACAGAAAGGAGTTTCAGTTAGGGTTCTCAAGAGATATTGCCTCTTTTCCTATCGGGAATGGTGTTTCCCCATTTTATTTTTTTTGCCATCTCTTTTTTTCTTTTCCCTTTTGGCCTGCTATGGGAGACAAATTGCTCATCTCCAAAATTCTCTTCTGCTTGCAAAGCTGCCTGTTTTAGCTGCAGTGAGGGTTTAACTCAGCAGCAACATAACATCCCTCCATGTGAGGTCAAATACCGGAGTTAAATTTTGGAAAGCTTCTATATACCTATCGGGGTCGTCAGGAAATCGGCCTCAGTTTCTCCTTATTTGCCTAAGGTCCTGTAATGAGAAGGGAACTTGAAAGGGTCCCAAATAAGAGGGACCCTCAGATGATTTCCCTGAAAGTTATTTTTTGAATTTTGGGGAAATATTTTCCCTGGGCCTGCCCGATATGGTTGCAAAAGAAAATAAGCCATATTTTCTTCAAAGTTTCCAGGTCGAAGGAGTCCCAGTGCTTTAAAATACACTCCAGGGGAGTGCATGTTGGAGATGATCTGTTGTTACCCATCTAAAAAAGAAGTGAGAATAAAAGTGTACTTTTAGTCTCCTTCCTTTCTATGTGATCCAGGATGGAGATGAAAACAGTAGAGGGTGTCCCCCCAACTATTCTATCTCCATTGCTCCTGTATTCCTGGCACCCACTTAAATGTGTTGCCCATGACTGCAGGCGTGACCCTCCAAGCCTTGGCACCAGAGGAAGTGAGTTTTGGGCCTTAGTCACGCTGCCCCTAAGCAATCAGTCCTCTGCCTTTTATTTCCCTTTGACCTGCTAGACTTGTGTGGCCTGTGTGCCTTCCAAAAAATGGATTTCAAGAAAAAGCATGTAATTGGGCAAGACCCCTTTAAAGGAAGGGGCATGCTAGATCAAACTATATCCTGCTATTATAGCCCATGCTAAAGCGTTTACCCATAGAAAAATGGTCCCAGCTAATTTCGGGACTTAAAATCCTCTTACTAATTAAGTACTGTCTTAATAGGAAGCAGAATAGATGGCTTAAAGGAAAGTAGGAACTGAATGGCCGTTTTCCTGCCAGTGGGACAATATTGAGACTAAAATTTGGCTACAGAAGACATCTTACTCCTGTTAAAAGCAGAAACTTCTCATTCCCAGAAGAGGCCTAGAGCCTGATTTCTACTAGGTGGCTTACAAATACCATGTGGTCGCCAGAGAAAATGGAGAGAGAGAGAGAGATTTTTTTTTTCTGAGACGGAGTCTGCCTGTGTAGCCCAGGCTGGAGTGCAGTGGGGCGATCTCGGCTCACTGCAAGCTCCGCCTCCCGGGTTCACACCATTCTCCTGCCTCAGCCTCCCCAGTAGCCCGCCACCATGCCCTGCTAATTTTTTGTATTTTTAGTAGAGACGGGGTTTCACCGAGTTAGCCAGGATGGTCTTGATCTCCTGACCTCGTGATCCACCCGCCTCGGCCTCCCAAAGTGCTGAAATTACAGGCGTGAGCCACCGTGCCCGGCCGAGAGAGAGACATTTATTGAGTTACAGCCTGCCGCGATTCGTGATCTTTTCTTTTCTTTCTTTTTTTTTGAGACGGGGAGTCTCGCTCTGTCGCCCAGGCTGGAGTGCAGTGGCGCGATCTGGGCTCACTGCAAGCTCCGCCTCCCGGGTTGACGCCATTCTCCTGCCTCAGCCTCCAGAGTAGCTGGGACCACAGGCGCCAGCCACCACGCCCGGCTAATTTTTTGTTATTTTAGTAGAGACGGGGTTTCACCGTGATAGCCAGGATGGTCTCGATCTCCTGACCTCGTGATCCTCCCGCCTCAGCCTCCCAAACTGCTGGGATTACAGGCATGAGCCAGGGCGCCCAGCTCGCGATCTTTTCTAACAGACCAGTTTCCCTGAACTGTAAAAAGATTACTGTACATTAGACACAACAGAGAGAGGGTAAGAGACCACAGATAGAAAGAGAAAGAAAGTTTGGTGACAGGGTAGCTAGAAGAGAGCCTTGAGATTAAAGGACAGATTTAAAGTTGAAATCCGCTCCATACTCGGCAGTCTGATTTTTGATTTTCTTTTCCTGGCCCATGCACCAAAATGATACGGCTTCCATGAGTGGAGGAACACCAGGTTCTTTGTCTCGAGTTGAATTAGAAAAAATGGCATGGACACACGTGGAGCAGTTTTAAGGAGTGGAGAGTTTAATAGGCGAGAAGGAAGGGATAAGACAGAAGGAAGAGGGTCCCCCATACTGAGGGAACCCCGCTAATGTTACATTTTAAAAAATTACATTTGCTAATTAGCTGTGACTGGATTGTAGGAATCCTATTACTTTTGCGTGTTGACGTTGTATTCACAATCTTCCTTAACTTTCTTATTAGTTCTAAGAACTTGTCTTTAGAAACTCTGGTTTTTTACTTAGGCAATCATCACATCTGCAAATAATGACAGTTTTGTTTTCTGCTTTCTAGTTCTAGTCTACTTACAAGGAAAGTATTATATATGCTTTGTTAATAGGAGCAGAATTTGGGAAATCGAGAGGACGCTACCTGAAGAAATATTAGTGTTGGAAGCCACCAAATACTGAAATTTTCCTCTAACTTCCATTCACCCTATTATTATTGTCTCTTCTCTATCGTTTTATAAGTTTGGAATGTTTACATCAAACATTGCTTTACAGAATTCTTTTCAGATGAAATACGTTAGATTAACCATGAGGCTAGGTGGTAGCATAACAAAGATCCACTGTGCTTCCCAGAGGAACTCCATTCATCCTAGGCTGTGTGCACACAAACTAGGTGTGGCCATTAGGAGATAAGAGGTAGGATCTGAGCATCCCCTTTGCAGCAAATCCAGGACCTCCTTTAGTCCAGGCTATGATTTAATTCTTCTTGTGCCTTAATGACTTTCATGTGCCAAGGAAAAGGTACAAACTCAGTAATGCTTTTGTTGACTTGCCCAAATGTCTTTCTTTGTTTATCAAGGCTTGAAATGTCACTGTTAGAAACTCATTCATGTGGGATTTAAGGTTCATTTGATTTTAACCATCTTCCCAGAAAAGGTAAACACCCTTAAGCTGTATTTTATTATTTTAATTTGCTGTGCCTACCCCCAAAGTTTACTTCACACCTGCTCCCTGATCAATCCCAGCACTGGCATAAAACCTTTGACAAGTTAAGCCAAAGTTTCTACATTTATTTAATTGACATATATTTAATTGGAATACTTTATGATGTTGTGAAAATTCAATAAAAGCATATATAAAACTCTTGGACATTGTCTGGCCTGTAGTAAGCAGTAAATATTTGTTACTTTTGTTACAAGCCATCATTATTGGTGACATCAAACACTTAGGGAGAAAATAATTACTGGTTCTATATTTGCCTTTTCATTTATGTCTAATGAAACTTATTGTCAAAATCAGTCATTCTTAATATAAAAGTAAAAATAAACTTTGTACAAATAAAAGTAATAAAATACAAGTCATATATATACATATAGTATAACTACATTATTAAAGATTATATTTAAAATACTGAAGTGAAATAATGGATTTACATCAATAACTCATTATCTTAATCTGGGCAGCCTTCCTGAAAAGAATAACTGGAAAAGTTGGATAATTTTTTTTAAGTTTATGGAAATTAGAGTGCCACCGAGACAGATTATTACTTAAGAACCTAAAATTTTGGAGAGAATGGGAAAGCATTGATGTGAGTCTAACATTTTTCAGCAATTTCCTCCTTAAGGATTTTTGCTTGTTATTGAATCTATTCTGAGCGAGTGAGAAGAGGAGGACAAAAGGGCCATTAAAGGTCCAGGAATATAAGCAGAGTTTCCAGCATTCTTAAGAGGACGGAAGGATAAAATTTGGGGTCCAGGACTAACAAAGCAGCCAGAACTTATATATAGAGAAAATTCCAGATGGAAGGAACACAAAAAATAGTGAACTCCACATTTGGCATATTTTCCTGCTGAGGCATTTTCTGCCTCAGCAGAAAATTAGAGCAAAGTCAAAGCCAAGAATCCAAGCAGAGAGCAGAAAGTAAGCAGCTGAGAAGCTGAACTAAGTTTTCAGAAGTCTTGTAAGAGTTAGACAAAACTTACAGCTTAATATCCACTGAGGAAAACAGACATTTGTCAACATCCTAAGCTTTCAATTGAGACACCGAATAGCTAAATTACAGAGTTAGGAACAAACCAAAATAAATTAACTTTCACAGAAATTAAAACCCAATTTTGAAATCATTTTAATTTTGGGTTACTCTGGCCTTTAATGTTCTCCAGAAGCACCAGTAAGTAAGTCATCTTTAAAGGAAGATAGTGTCACCCAGATCGCTATCATTTTTCACATGCAATGTCTAGCAGATAAGAAAATTTTACCAAACATGTCTGGAGACCGGACCAAGAAAACAAAACACATGTTAGGAATTGACTCACATTCTTTCTGAAGATGACTTTCTAGCCACAACCAGGGAAAGCTCTCACTGAGAGACCAGACCATCAAGAAGATGGGCACGATCTGAGTAGATCTGCAGGAGGAAGGCACTGAGAGTGGATGGAGGGAGGATACAGATCCTTGGGTGAAGTGGGAGGAAGCCGGGAACCCTGCACAGGGTTGTTGAGAACCAAGAATTGTTCCTGGCTCTAAGTGGTTCATGAGGAAGGGATGAGCGAAATGGGTAGGGAGTGGCCCACTCTCATTACAGACCTCTGGAATACTAGCTGCAGGAATACTAGCCCCTCAACCAACACAGACATTTGAGCTAGAAGAGAGAGACATTTGGAGAGTTGACAGGGACAGGACTTCAGGCTGTGCAGAGCCCAGGGGATGTAGCATGGGAACAGCTGCAGTGGAGCATGTTCAGGGATGCCCATCCCCTAAGGCTCACCATACCTCACTAGTTGGCTATGGCCTTTGTTGACTGTCAGACCTGGGCAGAACAGGGCTATCTTGCCTGTCTCATCTGAGTGCCCCCATGTCTGTAGGCCTCTCACAGAGTCCTTGCCTGACAGCACCAGCTTGCAGTATAGGCTCAGATGCCCAACCGGGGCACTTTCCAGTGGCCACCACATAGCTCTCTCACTGGCAGACCCCACCTAATCATCAGAGAGCTTTTGCAGATGGGCCCTTACCAGCGTGCACCAGCCTGCAGCCTCCCCCACCATTTTGCTTGTGCACACACATGCACACACCTTGCTGCCACCATCCTGACAAAGTGCTTTTGCTTGCACCACCCAAGGGAGTGCTGATGCCAGCAGCCCGGGAGAACCTCGGTCCTTCCAGTGAAGCAGGTGCTTAACCTTGAGAGGCCAGATAACAAAGCTATGGGCCTGTTTCCAGTCCCTCAAGGTTAGAGCAAAAAGCCCAGGAGGGCTGAGCTAAGCCTTGGTACCTTGAAATCATTCAGAAATAAAGATAGTTGTCTAAGCCCAACTTAGACCATTGTTAAACCCTCAAGGGCATCAAAGAATATAAAAGCAAAACACCTCATCCAAAGGACAGAAATTTCAAAGATGAAGGTAACATTAGCCCACACAGAAGAGAAAAAATCAGCACAAGAACTCTGGCAACTCTAAAAGCCAGGGTGTCTTTTTACATGCAAACCGCTGCACTAGATCCCCAGCAATAGTTCTTAACCAGACTGAAATGACTGAAATAACAGACATAGAATTTAGAACTTGGATGCCAATAAAGATCATTGAAATCCTGGAGAAAGTGAAAATCCAATCCAAAGAATCTAAGTAATCCAGTAAGGAGCTGAAAGATAAAATAGTGATTTTGGGAACAAACCAAACTAATCTGATAGAGCTGAAATATTTACTACAATAATTTCATAATTCCTATGGAAGTGTTAAAAGTAGAATAGACAAAATTGAAAAAAGAATCTCAGAACTCCAAGAGAGTTTGAATAAACTTACTCAGACAAAAATAAAGAAAAAAATTTATAAAAGAATAAAATCTCTGAGAAGTATGGGTTTATGTAAAGAGACCAAGCCTATGATTCATTGGAGTCTGTAAAAGAGATAGACAGCAAGCAACTTGGAAAACATATTTGAGGATATTGTTCACAAAAATTTATACAACCTCACTAGAGAGGTTGACATTCAAATTCAGGAAATTCAGAGAACCCCTGTGAGATACTGTATAAGATGACAATCCCCAAGATACATAGTCATCAGATTCTCCAAGGTAAAAGAGAAGAGGCAGGTCAGCTGCAAGGGGAACCCTATCAGACTAACAGTACCTTTCAGCAGAAACCTTACAAGCCAGAAGTAATTTATCTCCTATATTTGGTATCCTTAAAGAAAAAAAAATCCAATCAAGAATTTCATATCCTGCCAAATTAACCTTTATAAGTGAAGGAGAAATAAAATTATTTTCAGATAAGCAAATACTAAGGGAATTCATTACCATAAGACCTGCCTTACCAGAGGTCTTTAAGGGAATGTTGAACATGGAAATGAAAGACTGCTACTGGCCATTACAAAAACACACTGAAGTACATAGACCATTGATACTATAAAGCAACTACACAATAAACTGTGCATAGCAACCAGTTAACAACATGATGAAAGCGTTAAATCCACACATATCAATATTAACTTTGAACATGCACAGGCTAAATATGCCACTGAAAAGGCACAGTTTAGAATGTTGGGTAATGAAGCAAGACTTAACTGTATGCTATCTTTATGAGACCCATTTCACATGCAATGACACTCATAGGCTTAAAATAAAGGGATGGAGAAAGATCTACAAAGGGCAGGGGTTGCTATCCTTAATTTAGACAAAACAGACTTAAAATCAACGTTGATCAAAAGGGACAAAGAAGGGCAATACCTAATGATAAAAGGTTCAATTTAACATGAAGAGTTTATATGCACCCAACAGTGGAGCATCCAGGTTTATAAAACAAATACTTAAATACCTATGGAGAGACTTACATAACCACATAATCATGGTGAAAGATATCAACACCCTCCTTACAGTATTAGACAGATCATTGAGGCAGGAAATTAACAAAGATGTTTGGGACCTGAACTCTACATTTGACCAAATGGACCTAACAGACATCTACAAAACATTCCACCCAACAGCAGAACATACATTCTTTTCATCTGCACATGGAACATACTCTAAAACCAAGCATACATTCGACCATAAAGCAATTCTCAACAATTTTTTTAAAAAACTGAAACTGTAACAACCACACTCTCATTATCACAGTGCAATAAAAATAGAAACCAATATGAAAAAGGTCACTCAAAACCATACAATTTCATGGAAATTAAACAATCTGCTCTTTAATAACTTTTGGGTAAACAATGAAATCAAGGCTGAAATCAGAAATTATTTGAAACTAATGAAAACAAAGATAAAATATAGCAGAATCTCTGGAACACAGCTAAAGCAGCATTAAGAGGAAAGTTTATAGTGCTAAACACTCACATCAAAAAGTTAGAAAGACCTCAAATTAACAACCTGACATCACTCTTTGAGGAACTAGAAATATAATAGCTGACCAATCTCAAAGCTAGCATAATAAAAGAAATAACCAAAATCAGAGCTGAACAAAATGAATTTGAGATGCAAAAAACCATGTAAAAGATCAATGAAACCAAAAGCTGGTATTTTGAAAGAATAAATAAGATGGATAAATTACCAGCTAGACTAATAATGAGAAAAATACAGAAGATCCAAATAAACATAATCAGAAATGACAAAGATGACATTAACACTGACCCCACAGAAATACAAAAATCCCTCAGAAAAAATTATGAACACCTCTATGCACACAAACTAGAAAACCTAGAAGAAATAGATAAATTCCTGGAAACACAACCTCTCAAGATTGGACCAGGAAGAAATTGAAACCCTGAACAGACCAATAACAAGTTTTGAAGTTGAATAAGTAATAAAAACCTACCAAACAGAAAAAGCCCTGGACCAGACAGGTTCACAGCCAAATTCTACCAGACACATAAAAAAGGACCAGTACTAATCCTATTGAAACTATTCCATAAAATCGAGGAGGCCACAGTCATTCAGCTATTAAAACCTGGCAGAGACACAATGAAAAAAGAAAACTTGAGGCCACTATCACTTATCAACATACATGCACAAACCCTCCACAGAATACTAGCAAAGCAAATCTAGCAGCACATCCAAAAGCTAATCCACCATGATCGAGTAGGCTTTATTCCTGGGATGCAAGGTTGGTTCAATATACACAAATCAATAAATGTGATTCATCACATAAACAGAACTAAAAACAAAAACCATATGGTCATCTCAATAGATGCAGAGAAGGCTTTCAATAAAATTCAACATCTCTTCTTGTTAAAAACGCTCAATAAAGAAAAATACATCAAAATAACAAGTGCCATCTATGACAAACCCACAGCCAATATCATAATGAATGGGAAAAAGTTGGAAGCATTCCCCTTAAGAAACAGAACAAGCTAAGAATGCCCACTCTTATCACTCTTATTCAATATAATTCTATAAGTCTTAGCCAAAGCAATCGGGCAAGAGAAAGAAATAAAAAGCATCCAAATAGAAAGAGAGGATGTCAAATAATCTCTCATCACAGATATGTTTCTATACCTAGAAAATCCATAGTCTCTACCCAAAGGCTCCTATATCTGATAAACAACTTTGGCAGTTTCAGGATACAAAATCTATGTGCAAAAATTAGTAGCATTCTATACACCAATAATGTCTAACTAAGCTGAGAACCAAAGCAAGCACACAATCCCATTTATAATAGCCACAAAATGAATAAAATACCTAGGAGTACAGCTAACTAGGAAGGTGAACAATATCTACAATGAGAAGGACAAAGTGCTGCTGAAAGAAATCAGAAATGACACAAACAAATGGAATAGGAAGAATCAATATTGTTAAAATGGCCATACTCCCAAAGCAATTTACAGATTAAATGTTATTCCTATCAAACTACTAATAACATTTTTTCACAAGATAAGAAAAAACTACTCTAAAATTCATATGGAACCAAAAAAGTCCAAATAACGAAAGCAATCCTAAGCAAAAATAACAAATCTGGAGGCCTCACATAACCTCACTTCAAACTATACTGCAAGGCTTCAGTAATCAAAACAGCATGATATGGGTACAGAAACAAACACACAGTTCAATGGAACACGTTAGAGAACCCAGAAATAAAACTGCACACATACAATAATCTCATTTTTGATAAAGTTGACAATAACAATCAATGGGGAAAGGACTCCCTATTCAATAAATGGCACTTTGATAACTGGCTAGCCATATGCAGAAGATTGAAACTGGATGCCTATATTTCAACATATGCAAAAAGTCAACTGAAGACTGATTAAAGACTTAAATATAAAACCGAAAACTCTAAAAACCCTAGAAGAACACCTAGAAAATATTCTGGACCCCCTGGCAAAGATTTCATGATGAAGACACAAAAAGCAATTGGAACAAAACAAAAAATTGACAATTGATACTGAATTAAACTAAAGAGATTCTGTACAGCAAAAGAAACTATCAACAGAGTAAACAGACAACCTAGAGAATGGGAGAAAATATTCACAAACTGTGGATCTAAAAAAGGTCTGATATCCAGAATCTGTAAGGACCTTAAACCATTTAACAGGCAAGAAACAAATAACCTCATTAAAAAGTGGGCAAAAGACATGAACAGACACTTCTCAAAAGAAAACTTATAAGCGGCCAACAAGTATATGAAAAAATGCTCAACATCACTAATTATTAGAGAAAAGCAAGTCAAAACCACAATGAGATACCATCTCAAAACAGTTAAAATGGCTATTATTAAGTCAAATAATAACAGATGCTAGCAAGGTTGTGGAGAAAGAGATCACTTATACACTGCTGGTGGGAATGTAAATTAGTTCAGCCTCTATGGGAAGCAGTTTGAAGATTTTTCAGATAACTTAAAACAGAAGTACCATTCGATCCAGCAATCCCAATACTGGTTATATACCCAAAGAAATATAAATCATTTTATAATAAAGACACATGCATTTGTATGTTCAGTGCAACAGTATTCACAATAGTAAAGACATGGTATCAAGCTAGATGCCCATCAACAGTGAATTGAATAAAGAAAATGTGGTACATATATACCATGGAATATTATGCAGCCGTAAAATAGAAGGAAATCATGTTCTTTTCAGTAACATGGATAGGAAGGCCAGCTGGAGGCCATTATCTTAAGTTGATTAATGAGGGAACAGAAAGCCAAATACGACATGTTCTCACTTACAAGTGGGAGCTAAATAAACATAGAGCACACAAAGCCACAAAGAAGGGAACAATAGACTCCGGGCCCTACTTGCGGGTGGAGGTTGCGAGGAGAGTGAGAATCAAAAAACTACCTATTGGGTACTATATTTACTACCTGCATGATGAAATAATTTGTACACCAAACCCCAGTGACATGCAATTTACCCATGTAACAAACTTGCACATGTACACTCTGAATCTAAAATAAACGTTGGAAGGAAAAAGAAAAAAGAATCCACTCACAGTTCTGCATATACAAAGTTACATGTAAAAACTCATGAAAACATTCAATGGCAATTCTAGAACTTAAAAATGTCATAAGTTACTACCTCAGAATGTTTTCATCAAAAAAGCTAAAGGGAAGAGTAGCGATCTAGAAAATGACAGAAGACAATAACAGACTTAAGCATGAAGTAAAAAAAGAATAAAACATCTATAGGAAATAAATGGGACTTGTTGAAAGTGTCATATATCTACATATTCGATTGAAGTTTATGGAAGAATGGAAAGAGAAAAAGTGACATAAGCAATATTTTATATACTGATGACCAATTTTTTTAATAAAAAAGTCTCAATTCATAGAACCAATATGTGCTTCAAATTGCAGTCAGGATACATATTAAAAAACCCTAAACATACAATAATATGTACACATTTTTAGGTAATTAAATATATATTTTTGATTGGCATTTAACACCTACTTTTCTAGAAATGCATTTAATAGATTTCTAAAGTAGATATGTTTAACTTATAATATATTAGAAATAGAAATTATTAACATTGGATTAACAATGTGGTTATGCAATTATATTTGCACTTTATATCAATGATGATGCTGAGGTCTAGAAAATTTGAGCAACTTACTTAAAGTACTTCATGATGAAAAGAAATAATACATTATAAATGGTAAAATTTAAAAATAATGAAAATAAGATATAATACAAAAATTAAAATTTTAGCTCAAATTTTTCTTATGACAGAAACTATTGTTTCTTTATCAAAATATCCTTTTCATTTTTCATCCTAATAATAGAATTATCATTTGTGTGAACATAATTCTCATTATGTAACTCTCGGGAGATAATTCTCCATGAATATTTTTACACTGATGCATGGTCTAGGCCTTCTGAGCAATCACTGATAAGGTTAGGGAATGACTGAACAACTAACATGCTTTAAAAGCTAACAATAGTTTATTCTTTAGAAGAGATTTAGAGATGTGTCTCCCCAGAGACAATCACTTACTTTCCGGGGTAAGAAACCTAGAGGCTTAATCCATCTCTCCTCTCCCCAAAGTATATTTGTTTACATTCACAGTAAAAGTATTTTTCCTTCCAGAGAAGATCGGTAGTTGTGCCAGAATTCCCTGTATACACTGAGTTTGATCATTTTGGTGTTCCTCTTCTGGGATGCAAACACACTATATATGCAGGCAGTTACTGATTCTCAGAACCTCCTGTCTTAAGAGGAACTGGAGTGAGGGCAACTGACACAAACCATGAGTAATTAACTGCCTAGGTCCATGAACCAGAAATCCTGAGGCGCCTGTCAGAATTTACATATCAAACTATGGCAGGATAACTTGTTTGCTTGCATATAGGGTAAAATTTCAGACCCTTCACAGTTTTTGAGTTAAACTTCCAGTGTTCAACCAAAATACCGTATTCCCCAGCATCCCTTGAAGTTGAAAGCAGCCAAGTGATCCAGTTCTCAACAATGATACAAAAGCAAAAGTTGTTGTTTGGGACTTTTAAAATGTTCTTTTCCCCTGGATTCTCCTGTTTCCTGAAATATGGTTATAATGGCTGGGGACACAGCGTCCTTCTTTTGTTACTACAAGGTGATTTTGAGAGTTGGATAATAAAGGTTTACATGTAATAATGAGAAAATGGTTATTTATAACCAAGGGCGATATTATGAAAGAAAAAAGATTATTTCATCCATTCGCTCAATCAGCAAATATCATATTGACAGAATCTGTACTGGATGGTAGGAATACAAAGATGAATAAAACTCAGTTTCTATTTTCAAAGAGCTGTAGCAGGGAAGGAGAGACAAAAACTAATAACTGAAATAATTTGTAGTAAGAGCTATATAATGTAATGCACATAATATGATATAAACAATATTTATAGTTATACACATCTTCAAATTCCTTGTCTTTCTCTTGCTTCCTAGCACATGCTTGGCTAAACTAATCTTGGTAAAACCCAACTCTCAATGCCTATCCTCATGAAGTTGCATGTACCTGAAAAACACATGAGAATATTCTCAGAAGTCTATAGTCCTTTTACTTTCTCATTATCTTGGATGGCTATTCATTTCTTCTTCTCTTTTTTCTAATTTCCAAAATCTGCTTTACAACCTAACTCCTCTATTACTTCCCAGTTGCTCCACTACTTTCATTGCCAGCTAATAAACTTTCTTACTAATTTATTGAGTAAATAGAATTGGAAACGAACTTCTTCAAGTTCCCACAAACACATCTGTCCCTTTACCTGCATATATCCATATCTGCTCTACCTTCTCTCCTGTTACTAAGGGTTAATTTTTCTATTTCACACATAAGGCTAACCCCTTCACTTACATAATATTTCCTATCCATTTTTGCAAATTAAAGACATTGCTCCATAAATTTTTCCCCTTTTCTGAATCGATATTTTTTCTCTCTCTTTTCGATCATTCCCATAAGCAAATAAACTTCACAGACATGTTTTTCAAGTAATGAACCAAAGCCTAAAGAGATATCAAAGTCAATAAACATAAGGAAGACTCAGAATGATATGGATTGATCAACAAAAGGAGACCAGAGGGTAAAGTAAACATCTCAGCAAATGTCCACAGATACGAACAGTAGTCAGGGAGTAAACTGATACTCTGACACTGTGCATATCTTAAGCAATTTAGATACAACTCTGGGACAAAAAAGGAGGGAGAGATACCCTTGAGGAGACTGAGAACATTTATGACTTGATTACAATTTTTTAAATTGGAAATGAAACCTAAGATAAAATGTTGACATACACATAAAGGTAGACTTTTTAAGCAAAGGAACCCCTGAATTTGTAATTTTAGATGTTATACACACTTATATGTATTCAGTTTAAATTTCATCTAATTGTTATTATAGGATTTGGAAGTTTGACAGAAAATCATGTAAAGTTAAACTGTACTGTAAAAATAATCTATCAAACCACTAATCAAAAAATAAGATTCATTGTTTAAAGGATCAATAAAAGGTACTTTAACAACAGTATGTATAGAGTCATATGGTACATTGGCCTTTGGGAGGATATTCTAATTAGCAAAAGAAGTACTGGGGCTGAAGAAGTACTTGGGAAACCAAAATTTCATTGTAGAGGAGTTTAATATGCAAATCAAGTTGGATTCTTTAGGCTCTCATTTTAACTGAAACTAAATGTGTATCCCAAAGGAGAAATTTTCAACTAACTAGAAGTTGCATGTTTTAAACTCCTACATGTCATGCTATTACTTAATCTTAATTACTCTTTTTTAAAAAAACTTTTTTTGTTTGCTTGATAAAACCTTGAATAGAATACAAAAATATTGTTTACTTGTGTAGTACAGTCTTAGATGTTCAAGACCAGAGATTATGTCTCTCCATTCCCTAGTGTCCAGGCCAACCAGAAACAAGCCTAATTGTATGCTTTTCTTTACCACTTGACCAGTTTTCACAGCTTGATGTATCATCAACTTCAAGATTCTTCTAAATTTAGAAAATGAGTTTGCCCATAACTTGGCACTGATGAGATCCTTTTCCTTTAGTTTCTGAAAACACGACTACTGAAGCAAATAAAGTACTATCTTGTTTGTTTCTATAAAGAGGCAGAAAATAAGTGGAAAGTACATTGACTATTTTGCTTTTTCAAAAATATACTCTCTTGGGGAAATGATTGTGCTGTCTGCAAATGAGTTTGAAAGCCTGATCTGACACTGATGTTCTTTATGCATCATTTAATTGTTTCATGTTTAATTGCATTACGACAAAGCCAACATCTGTGGCAATGAAGATATAAAGTATATTTTGTAAACTTAGAAAAGTAGAATGAAGTCACAGAGCAGATTTCTCCACAGGGAAAAAAAAAATCCATGGAATAGACTAACCATCATTTTTATATTAAGGACAGAGGAAGCCATCATAAAGCAAAAGCCAGCAAGTTAGTAAAAAACAGAATTTAAGTGCCAATAATAGATACTAATTGACAGCATAAGCCACTGATTTTCTTTGTTTTAGACTGAGAAGAGAGGTTTTAAATGTTATCCTCATTTTGGTATTACATATTGAATATACTATTAATGAGATGCCACAGAAATTTTGTATAATAAAATGTACAACATATTGATGTTTGTTTTTGGAGGACACAGTGGTTTAATTTCTTCCTCATGAAATGAGGAATTCATTTTTAGATAACTGACATATGGCAATTCTAGGGTTAATATGCGCATTTTCACCTTGAGATGCTTTTTATTAAAATGAAAAATATTATCTGGCATATAGAAAAGAAATGTTTAAAATAAAGCAGAGAGACAATGTATATTTGATGAATGAAAAACAAACTTATAAATTGTTTTAGGGGCTAGCATAAGGTACGTAAAAAATGTATTAGGCTAAAATATTGAATTTTGAAAAAGAAGCAAGAAATCCTGAAAGTCAATTTTTATTATCATATTTTTATAAGGATAAGAGATATTATTAAGATTCTTCCTAAATAACTATGGTGGCTTCAGGGAAAAGATTTAAGCATAAAAGAGGTGATGAGTTTCATGTCCCTTACACAAAGTTAGCATATGTGTAGGCCTAGAGTGGTTTCATATGCACATGCTTGAATTGGTATTTCCTACTATTTATTACTGTGTTGTTTTAAGCATCTATGTTTGTATAAAATCAAGAAATTAAATTATTTTTGAAGTATTTGGAGTGTTGCATGGGAGCAGTAAGTCATTGCTTGTAGAGAAAGCTAAAACACATAGAAATTCTTACAATTCTCCCATTCCTTTGATTAAACAAACACATCAACAATATTGTATCATTAGCCAGCCACTCTGGTAGGTAACCAAATACAAAATCCTTCCTAGATGCAGTTTACAATGTACAGCAGAAGGCAGATATGGAATAGAAATTAAAGTGTGCTGAATATAAACTTCTATTGGGTACAACATGATGAACTAAACTAGCCTGGGCATTTGTGAGAATCTCCTGAAGAAGTGATTTAAGTTGAAATTTGATAAATGGGCAGGAATTAGCTTGGCAGAGGAGAGAGGGGAGAAAATAGAAATTCAGGCAGAAGGAAGAATAAGGCAAAGATCTTGAGGCAAATGAGAGCAAGACGTGTCCAAGAAACTGAAATAAGTCAAGCTTGACTGGTGCATAGAAAGTGTGGAAAGAAATGCAAGAAGTAGGGTGCAAATCACTGCTGCTCACCACAGTGTGTTGAATGAAAATCACAAAGCTCAAGATGTTGCACGATTCGCAATAAGAAAAGCGTGACATGGCAATATATACCAGCCTCCAATCCAATCCATTCTCTCTCTTGCTTTTATCTTCTATAAAGACTGTGTGCTAAATCTTCCCTACCCCACTTGCAGCTAAATTGGGCCAGAGTTCTGAGCAATGAGATGTTTAAAAGTCTCAGTAGAGGGCATCCCTTCTGAATAAAAGTTAAAGCTTCATTAGGAGGTGTCATTTTTTTTTTTTTTTTTTTGAGACGGAGTCTCGCTCTGTCGCCCAGGTCGGACTGCGGACTGCAGTGGCGCAATCTCGGCTCACTGCAAGCTCCGCTTCCCGGGTTCACGCCATTCTCCTGCCTCAGCCTCCCGAGTAGCTGGGACTACAGGCGCCCGCCACCGCGCCCGGCTAATTTTTTGTATTTTTAGTAGAGACGGGGTTTCACCTTGTTAGCCAGGATGGTCTCGATCTCCTGACCTCATGATCCACCCGCCTCGGCCTCCCAAAGTGAGGAGGTGTCATTTTTTCTCCCATTTGTCTTTCTTCTCTCTTGCTGTCTGAGAGTAGAGATGAGGCCTGCAGAGGGAGCAACCATTTTGCAACAAGAAAATTATTTCCTACGTGTTAACAATGGTGATCAAACGATAGAAAGAGCCTAAGACTAGGGATGAAAGATGGGATTTATTTTGCTATTGATGCCACAGGCAGCCCTTAGCATTGCGCACTGCAACAGTATGTGTGGCCCTACACAGAGGCCTTGCCTGGGTTCTTGATGGTAGATGCCACTGGGCCATCTTACCAGAACTGGGCTATCTATCCCATACATATTTTGGTATGAGAAAAATTAAGCCACTAAATTGAAGTTTTCTGGTAACTGCTGTTGATTACATTTCTAACTTTCAACAGCCTTGTATTTCATTTTTAATGGGTCTTTGCTGAGGGTGTACAATTCTCTCAGCAAAAAAAAAAGAAGACTTTTGACAGTCTGTTCTTTCTCTCTGTGTGAATATATAATTCTTGTCCTGGAGTACCACTTTCTCCCCCCAGGCAATGCCCTTCTAACCACTCAAATGTCATCTCCTCGGGGAGAGTCCTTCCCTGTTCCCTCCGGGCAGATTTAGTCTTTTCCAAGGCTCCTACAGAACCCTGTGCACTGACCATTTATCATATATTCTTCAGATTCTTTGCTTATATCTCCATCCTCTGCATCAGCTTGTGAACTTCATAAGGACGCTGTTTTTATATATTTTTTGTTCCCATTTTCTAGAATTTTTGTACTGTTACTTTAGAATATTAGTATTGATAAATATTTGTTATCCTCCAAATTAAATTTTATTGTAAAAAACATTTATATAGTGCTTACTATATCCCAGGCACTGTTTTGAATGCTTTACAGGCATTATATAATTTGATAAATTTATGAGTCATCACCACTCACAGAGGTAGGCATTATTATTATCCCCATTTCACAGATGAGGAAACTAAGTCCCAGAGGCTGAAATAACTTTCTGGAAGTTACGGATCTAGAAAATTATGGAGCTTGGATTAGAATCTAGACAAGGATGTTTTGTTTGAAATAGAATCTCAGAATCACACTTCAGATCATAGTAAACTTAGAAACAATCTAATATTTTTTTCACATACCAAGGTGTGTTGTATATCACATACAGAGACATGGAGATATTAGGTGACTTATTAAATGTCAGATTAACTGGTGTAAGAAATGGGACTTTAGTCCAGGTCTCCTGATTTATAGGTTATTGCTGCTTCATTGACTCCCTCAATTGGTTTTATAGCAAAATCTACTGGGAAAGTTTCCTGACAATCCAGAATTTAGGGCCTATTATCCAAGGATTCTTATTTGGCATGCATAGACCTCTCAAAGTTCTCCCAACAATATTTAGTTATGTAGATAGGTTTGGGAATTATATATCTACAGTACATGTGTATCAGTCTATGTTTGGTCAGGAAAATAGAACCTTTACAACCATTAAGGAAATATATACTTATTACAGGCATTATGGTTTATATTAATTAGGGAGGAACTGGAGTAATAAAGGCCTGGAAGAACATAGCCAGATAATTTTTTTAAAAAGTCACTAATGATTTCAGCCAGAAGCACTGAAGTATGTGTAGCAGACAGAACTCAAGAAAAACTCTGAGATGCTGTCCTGACTACATAACATAAGAGCTTCTGAAGAAGTCTGTGAACTCTTTACATCTGGGTTCCACAACATTCTAAGATAATAGCTTTCATTTGACCTCCACCTTCCACATTATGTAAAAGTTCCTCCCATTGGCAAACTCCAACCCAGAGTCATAAATTCAGGTTAGGAGATTCTGGGAATATAATTTCCACCTTTAGAAGTGAGGATTGGTGATGCCAAGTGGATTGCAGATATGGTGCCCACAATGATCCTCACCTCCTGGTGTTCACATCCTTCTATGATCCACTGCCGTCAAGTGTGGGTAGCGCTTGTGACTTGCTTCTAACCAATAGGGCCAAAGTGATGGAATGTACGTGATTAAATTTACATGATTAGATAAGATTGTAGTGCCTGTCTTGCTGGAGTCTCTTCCTTTGTTGACTTTGAAGAAGCAAGCTATTATGAATCCTACAGCTGCAAGGAGATAAATATTGTCAACAACCATGTAACAGTTCCAGAGACCCTTTTCCTAGTTGAACTTCCAGATGAGATTCCAGTCCTTAATTGCAACTTCATGAGAGGCCTTATAGCAGAGAATGCAGTTAAGCCAGATCCATATCACTGACTCATAGAAATAGATAATAAATGTATATTGTTCTAAGCCAATATGTTTGTCATAATTTGTTTTATAATATTGAATAATACAACAGACAGCCTGGTACAGAAACACGCTAAACTATTAGATTGCTCAAATTACTAAGATGAAATATAGAACATTGGCTTTGGGAACAAGTGGTGAGCTGAAGGGGAATTTAATAGGACATGGAAAAATGGTGAGCTGTTTTAGCAAGTGACAAAATGTTTCATAAAATCGAGCCTATTCTAAATTGGAGGACAGAATATGTATATAATGAATAATTTTGTAACTTTGGTCTAGGTGCTATTGAGTCAATATTGAAAGTATGAGCTGGTTTCAACTCACGGCATTTGCAAAGGTACTTAAGAAAAAAATAAGCTCAAGGAGAAAAACAGATTGTTTGCAAGCAGAATTTAGAGGAAATATAAATAATTCAGAAATTTCAGTGCTATAAACAAAACTATTTCTCAGCAATCAAAAGTGTAGCCATTATGGCATAGCCTCATGTTAAACTATGAGTGTAGATTTTGGCACATAGAATTTACTAGAATCAAATACCTAAAGAGCTGTGTCTGAGACACAAATGTTTGAAAGAACTGTGTTGGCAAAAACATTGCCAGACTAGACTAAAAGAAACAGAGCAGTTGGGCGCAGTGGCTCACGTTTGTAACCCCAGCACTTTGGGAGCTGAGGCAGAACAACTGCTTGAGCCCAAGAGTTCAAGACCAGTCTGGGCAACATAGTAAGACCCCATCTCTACAAAAAATTAAAAAAAAAAATAGCCAGGCATGGCCCCAGCTACTTGGGAAGCTGAGGTGACAGGATCACTTGAGCCTGGGAGATCAAGGCTGTGGTGAGCCATGATCGCACCACTGCACTCCGACCTGAGTGACAGAGAGAGACCTTGTCTCAAAAAAAAAAAAAAAAAAAAAAAAAAAGAAAAGAAAAAGAAACAGCTGTATTTGAGATGCAAAAGGAACTCTTGTTCCTACCAAAAAGCATATGTTCTTCCATGCCCTTTTCAGAAGCCAACATTCCAGATAATGAAAAAGGAAGAACCTCCCAGAGAGCAGAGCAAAACCTATGGAGAACAGTGAACCAGGGAGCTATTCTTGGCAGAATAACTGAAGTCTAATGGAGGAAAATCACCCACCCTAGAGTAGGGGAAACTTACATGTGTCTAGCAGTGTTTCCGAATTGTTTGGGAGCAGTGACTGCTATGTGCCATTTAGTCTTCTGCTTTTTGAATGCAAATGTTATTATAGTTATTCTTTTGTTATTCCACTATCATATGTTAGGAGTGTGGAGTATGTAACTTGTCTGTTTGTTTTTACGTCTCTGAATCAAGAGAGGCTAAGTTTGGATATCTATCTATCCATCTATTTGAGGATTATATATATATCTCACAGCAGGCTTTCTGGACTTAGTCTCATGCCATAATTGGATGAGACATTTGGGGTGTCTTCATTTGGAAATGGTATTTTTTCATGAACATTTTTTAACAAGAGAGTAAAGTGTGGTAGATTATTATTGAGCAAATATTCATTTTCTTCACTCCAATTTCTTTAGAAAAATGTATTTCCCTGCCCTATTGCTATTGAGACTGGCATTATAAACTGACTTGGCCAAAGAAATATGGGCACAGGTGACAGAGCGCCAGTTACAGACCTAAGTCTTTGGAGGCACCAAATGTTTCTGCTTCTTCCTCTGGGACTTTCAGAACTTCCCAATGTGAAGAACATGGCCCTGAGTGGCTTATACCTCTTGAACCTGGGGCCAAAATGAGTATACACAGTGCGGAGCCACCCAGCTCATCCATAGACCTGTGAATGTGAGAATAAATGTTTGTTGTTATATTCCACTGAGTTTGGTGGTGGTTGTCACCAAAAATGACACATGACACTGTACTTGCCTAATTATTTGATTATGTTTCAGTTTGTTGATATTATGGCCTTTGTCTTGATTGGGACATCCAGTCACACTAATGCTTAATGCTTTATATGTAGCTTCAAAAGGATAATAGAAACCTCTATTCATTTATTCATTCATTCAAAAGTGTACTATACATATTAAGTACTTAGGAGTAAAGGGCCATGATGTATGGGAGTATCAAAAAGGTTAAAATTATGCCTATGTGTACATCTATTTATGTATGTATCTATCTCTTTGTTTATAACTATATTGGAAAGGATTACATTTTGGCTGCCTAAACCTTCTTTCTTATTGCTGCAACTTCAATGTGTGAAATCACAGGGGTTGGTGGAAGAGAAGGAGAACAGAAAGGTACAAGGAACTATGAAGCAGAAAGTTATAAACCAGGGAACACACATGTGGTACTTGGAACAATGCAAAAGGGTCTTTATCTTTGCATACCTTGAGATGGGTGGAAAACATGGATTCTATTTGCTCTGGTTTTTTGTTAATATTGTTAGTGTACTTCCTGAACAAAGAAAAAAAATCTCTCTTGTCATGTTGACAGCTTTTGCTACATAAATAGATAGCGAAGTAGGCAGATACCAAGGTGTGAACTTCCCCCATGAATTTCTATTGGATGTTAGACTTGCAAGAGTGGGATTGAGCATTTAAATGGTAAGGATGCCTATCAAATAAAGTCCAGATATCAACTTTAAGTCAGTTTAATGGATACTGCCTTGTTAACAGTAGAGCCAGTTTGTTGCACATCAGTAACTAGTTTATAGGTCCCAGAAGCAGCCCTATAAGGGGATGTTTTGTAACTTATAGAAAAAACACATCTCTCCACATCCTTTTTTCTCTTAAATTATCCCTGTCAATAAGTTCTTTACAACACAAACTTCAGGCATCAAGCTTTCTGCAAACCAAAGACAAATCTCTTTCATTCATTTTTTTCTGCAAGTTTTTTTTTCTTTATTGGCACTTGTGAAATATTAATTGATTCACTATTATATTCATTAATCAAATATTTACTTAGTGCTTATGATGTTACAGCTCTGGAGTCATAAGGTAAAAAGCACAGAAATGGTGCTTATATTTGAAAAAGCAGTGAATTAGTAAAAAGAGAAATACATGAAGTGATTATTAATTATGATATTTTATAGAAATAATAGACTGAGACAGAATCCAAGGAAGTCTTCCATGAAAAGGTGAAATTTAAGCCAAAACCTAAAGGAGACAAAAATGAGATGGCCATGTGCATTTGAAGAGCAGAGCACTTCAGCAGAAAGACAAGCATGTGCAAACCTCTCAAAACTAGGGAAAAGCAAGATGTCTCCAAAGAAGAGCAAGGAGTATGAAGAATGAGGCCCAAGAAGAAGGGTGGTGTGAGAGGTATGGGATGATAGGGACTAGGCCAAACAAAACCTTGTCGTCCTTAGTATGGAGTGTTATTCAATAGACAGCTCTTCAAAGGTCAGACATTGACATGAATCTCGTGCCTTAAGATGCCTGTGGCCAATGTTTGGAGAGTGAATTGGAGGGACAAGAATGGAAGCAGGGAGACAAGTGAGAAGGCAGGTGCAGTAAGGCCAGATGAAAGAGGATGGTGACCAGATTGAAGTCAATAAAATGAATTAGGAGGTACTTGGTGGATCCCAGGTAGGTTCTGGAGGTAGATCCGATGGAACATATTGGTAGATTATTTATCAAGGGCAAGAGAGACAAAAAGAGGAATTAAATATCCTTCATGGGTTTCTGGCATGAGCAATTTGCTGAAATAGAAATTGTAAGTGGAAGTCAAGAATTCCATTTTAAGATGTCTGTGAAGCATCTAAGTATGAAAGTCAAATAGTTAGTTGTGTGTACCTGCTGGGCAGCCCAAGGAGAAGATTGGGCTGGGGATGTAAGTGTGGTAGACAGCAGCATAAATAGATATTTAAAGCTATGGGTCTGTGGAGATAGTCAATTGAGATAGTAGAGGAAACAGTAAAGAAAGCCCATTATGGATTCCTGAGGAACCAGAACATTAAAGGTTTGGTTATAGGATTAAAAACCAGCAATAGAAATGACGTGACCCGTGCAGGGAAAGAAGAGATGAGATATGTGGCATGATAAAGCATACATACTCCCTTAAGTGAGAGTGAACTCATGAGCAGAACTGCGTTTACAGAGCAGACATAGTGGGAAAAAAAATTCCTCTGAACCAGAGACTCTGGTCTCAAAGAATAACTTTCTAATGTCTTAGCTTGGCATTCAATGTCCTCAACAATCTTGCTAAGACATTTCCATTCATATCCACATGCAAAAATGTTCCCTTCACAAGGCTTTCTCTTCTACTATCTAGGCCATTCATCAATCTCAAAGGGATGTCTTATGGTGAGGTGACCTGAACATTTAAAAATTAAATTAGACCCCCTCTGAGAGTGAGAATGGAGTTGGAAATAATTAAAACCAGCATTAACCTAAAATATTCTGGCAAACACACAGGCTTTGGCAATATTGAATTTGGATATTTGTTGTCTTCAGTGCTCTTTGCCCATACTTTTCTATAATCTAGCACTTTTCTGCGTGCTGTCCCAAACTCTTAAGCATTTGGTTTTCCTCTTTTGGATTACAGCAAGTTATTTTGGCACTCTGTGTCAGTTGTCTCTGAGCATTGCCCATATTTCTTAAGTTTCCAAATGTCTTGCCAAGGGAGAAACCTTAAGTATCTACTTAAAAATAAATAGCTTATCCCCAACCATGCTACTGAATGGTTACTAATTGGTTAATGTACTTCCTCTTTTTAAAGTAACAGAATCTGCTTTGCAAAGAAGATATTCAGAGACATTGGGTTTAACTCAGGAGGTGGTTCACTGTGAAACATCCAGGTTTTGTAAAGGGTAGAAGGTAATTTTGAGACTCCAGGACTTCTCACATTTCGATGTTTGTACTGTAGAGTTTGCTACCTGTTGAATGTCCTTGTAGCTCCAGTCACAAACTACATGAAATTTAGATGGGGCATTACTGATGTCAAATTTATTCTGCAAAAGGATGTCTTTAAAGCACCTTAAAATCAAATTATATTCTTTTAAATAAACTGGATTTTTTCCTGTTGCAGAACATATTTTCATATTTCTTGTCCCATAGGTAACCATTAGAAGTAATAGCATTCATGCCTGCAGTAAATGTCTAATCTTCCATGATAGTGCCTAGACGTGTTTGCTTGGTGTTTCCCTGTTTCATTCCACCCCACGCATCTCATTGTTGGGTATTGTCTGTCATTCCCTTATGTGGTATTGAATAGTCCAAAAGATAAGGCTAAAGTCATTAGTCTGGAAGCAACTTAAACAATTTAATTCCCTTCCTTTGTGTTCTTGGAGTTTTCCAAGAACCGTCTTCTAACAGGCAACTTTTTTTTTTCTTTTTGCTTTTGACTTATTTTTCTTTCTGAAATATCTTACTTTAGTTTCTTCTATTGTCAATTTATTCTGTACTCATGCTGCTTTCATTCCACTCAAGGCAGAAATATTCTTCATGTTCAGGAAAGAAAGAGGACCTAATGATTTCTCTACAGTTAAAAATCTTTAGGTTCCAATGATGATGGCTTAGACTCAGCCTAAGGTTGTAACTATAAAGCATTGGATTTGGGCTTGTACATTATATGCATGGCATAAAATACTATTAGTTCTTTTCTTACAATTCCTTAACTCATATGCTAAGGGATTAGATAAAAAAAAAAAACATGAAATTTGTTCGTTGTCAATACCTTTCTGGGATAGAGTAAGTTTAAAAATAATATGTAGGAAAACCAGTAGAGATGATTAGAAGGATTGTAATATAAGTTAGAAGAAAATCTCTAATGACTCCCTTTGTCACTTAAGCCCATTCTGAACCTCACTGGTTTTGCAAAAATTGTCCCTTTTTGGATTGAGAAAATGTATTAAAGCAGAAAATGTATTAAAGAGAAACCTACTAGTTTCTCCTCTCTGTCTGTCTTTGATCTAGTTGCAGTAGCTGGAACCATGTCAAACAGGGATGCATTATGGAAAGAAAGTTTATAAATCAGAAGAGCCAACTCTATAATTTGTTAATAAGTGTGGTGAAAACCCAGCTCAAGTAATGTCCTAGTACTGGACGTCACATTACAGAAATGGAACTGTGTAATTTTGAAAAGCGGAGAAGAGAGAATATTGGGAAATGTACATCTCCATTTGAGAGGGTCTCAGGAATTTTCTGCTTACACTTTTGAAGAGAGAGTTTAAAAGCAGATGACAAGTTCTATGTGAATTTTTTATGGAGCACATTGCAGAGTTAGCAAAGCCCTCCTGCTAGTAAAAATCTGCAGAATAAATGTATGCTCATAAAAATAGAATTAACATAAGAAAATGTTTAATGATAGGTGTGATAGTGGACCGAGAGTTGAAAGAATGAATTACAAGTCCCAGGTTTGGAAAAAGATATCCCCCTTCTCAGGCATACATTTCTGATACTTAGTTGAGTTCAGGGGTCAAAAAAAAAAATAGTGTCACTATATGTGTGGCATTTTATTTTCTGGAGCACAGGTCTATAGCTGTCATCAGATTCTCAAAGAATCACTGTGATGTTAAAAAAAAAGGTTTGAAGTCTGTTTGAACTATATAAATGCATGCATTTATGAGATACTATGGCAACTAGGTTAATGATAATTAGGAGATGTTTCAGTTGCAACACCCCTGTTTCTTAAAAACAAATTACTTTGGGGATAGAACTATGATTCCAGTTCAAAATGTATATGTCAACTACGTTATACTGGTAGTGGAGTAATTACATCAGATACAGTTAACTTTGGGTAAGAAAATGGATATTTATATGCAACTGACTTTGAAGATCATGTTAACCAGAGCTTCTAAAATCCCCCTACTGTTTATCCCCTGAGCCATTCCCTTGCTCTGCTCTTTACTGGTAACTGAAACACGCAAAGACCACTTCATATTTGCTTATACCTTCTCTTCATTTTGTTACACATATGACCATTGATTGGGATAAATAAACAAACCCTAATAGTATTGAAACCAGATTTTGCCTGAAAGCACATGTTTTCTCTGGGAAACGTAACTGACCTAGACTAACATGGCCCTTGCCCCTTCACCTTCCCACCTGCAGTGCCTTAGGGATGACCTTTTATCAATTAGTCATTAAGTTTTCATATTCAGGAGCTTTTAATGAAGGGAGAACACTGCATTGCATTTTCATCCTACTTCATGTTATGGTACAGATATTCTTGTTTTATAAATGTTTATTAAAACTGTCAGTTATTAGAGATTGAAACTGGCATTTCTATTCTTTACTGCTCAGTGACTCACAGAAAGTTATCCTTTGACTCATCCATACACTTAAATGTTTTCACACATTTTTTTAAAAGTTCTAGAAATAAAAATGTAGGCTATTTGTGATGTTTCCAAAATTAGTCCAAGAAGTAGGTACAATAAAGCTACATGTACTGTATCAGCACTCTCCAGATGGCAAAAGGAAAATAAAATGTCACATCCACATACCCTCCTTTCTCTCCCTTTTCTGAATGTACAGTATGATGATAGCTATTAATCTGAAAGCCGAAGCCATTTCACTAGACTTTGAGCTATACTGAAACAGGAATTAAATGAAAAATAATAGTAATTTTAACCAGCTTTTATTTTGGAAAATATTTGAATTTTTCTCCCCCTAATGCAAACTCACCCATTTACCCTAATTACTTCCTACAGGGCAACAAATCCTAACTTTTGTTTCCTAGTCTTCCTCTCTTTTTGAGCCTCAGAGCAGTACATCCAGTTCTCTTTAATCACATTAAAATCAGAGTGATCTTTCAAAAGTGCAAATGATTTTATATCACTCTCCTGCTTAAAGTCATTCCTTAGCTTCCAATTTTCTTTTTAGATAAAATTCAATGCCTTAGTGGACCTTAAGACTCTGTATCTTGTGGCACCTGCTTAGCCTTCTCGCCTCAGCTTTTATCTCTCTTTTGTCTTTGTGGCAAAGATCATGTCAATATTTAGCTTTTCTGAACATAAAAGAAAGAAAAAATATACTTATCATTTACCCTTGCAGCTAAGTTGGGGGCAGATGAACAATTTGCGTTAATGGAATATGAGTAGAAGGGGCATATCCCACTTGCAATACTAACATTTTCAAAATGGTCTCCCTCTTTCTCTCTCTTGGAAGAGAAGTATTCTAAATGGTAAAACCACACAATAAACGAGTTAATGGGTGCAGCACACCAACATGGCACATGTATACATATGTAACAAACCTGCACGTTGTGCACATGTACCCTAAAACTTAAAGTATAATAATAATAAAATTTTAAAAAAAGAATCTTTATGCCTAAGGCACCGCTTGGAGGAGAGCCATCTGACCAGCTTTGGACAGCAGTAAGCAATACATTTTACTTATATTAAGCTATTGAGACTTCCTGTTATTTATTAGAGTATTTCTTTTAAATCTGAACTAATATATTCTTATTTATTAACTTTAGACACAAGATGTTTAAAATCCAATTTCTTGATTACATCAAACTCTTCTCTGCCATAGGGCCTTTGCACATACTATTCACACCACCAGGAATACACATTCATCTACTGCCTGTCTGATCAATTTCTGCCCATTTTCCAGATCTCAGCTGAAATCTGCAATCTTCCTTCCTTAGGTTTCCATAATTATTATACTTATTAAATCTGTATTTTTCTTTCAAAACACTCATTAAAATTAAAATGTGTACTGTATTTTTTTTTAACTGAAGCAGAAAACTATAAGCTCCATTTTCTTTGGTTTAATTCAAGCTAGTAAGAATTCTGCTGATGTCAGAGTTTGCAACCTTGAATTAGTAGGTGCTCACAAAAAAATGGGGCAGATCAATAGTTGTTGACTCAGCTTACAGTGGGGGGACAGGGCTCTGAGATAAAACAGCATTCGCAGACAGTTGATAAAAATAAATGTTGAAATCTCTCAGAGCCCTCTTACTCAGAGTTTTATTTATTCAGGTTGTATTAAAGATGTCTTCATATCAAAATTATACTTGTTCTGAATCTTGTCATCATGAAAGTATGCTAGACAGTATTTACAAAGTCCACTTAAGACATTTAAATTTTATAAGTTTAATGCTATTTTCTGTAAAATATTAACAAACAATAAATGGTTATATTAGAAAAAATGTACGTTTAACAAACCAGCTGCATTTTTCATATAGATAAGCAACTTTAATTCCTTCATTATGTGGAAAATACAAACTCTTTATATAAGAATACTCAGGGTTTATGACAATAATATGACAGGTCATTCAAGTGGTTTTTTTCTTAAAAACAATATAAATATAATTATTTTCCTCAAAATGGTTTTACTGACCATGAATTTCTAAAGTCCCGGCAGAAGGGAGCCAGGATCAGGCCTTCTCCAACTGGAATAAACTCTCACAGGTAAAGAGACTGCCAAATCCACATATAGGCTTCAGGGAGAAGGAGGGTTGTCTTCACCTCCTGTTGAGAATCATGTTAGTTCAAGATTATTATTATTATTATTATTATTTGCTTTGGGAGTCTTTTTTAGTCTTGGAATTCATTGGTAAAAGAAATACACAGCTGCCTTTGAAAGGATTCCTATGGCTTAGGAGCACAGCACATGAGAGGTTTTTTTTTTAACACAATCAAGGAAAAAAACTGAGCCATTCTCTGAGTATGGCTGTTCCCCCTTTCCCCCTTTTTTCTTTAAAAGAATTGTGGCTTTATTGAGACAAATGATTTTAACTGATAGATTCATTGGGGGACACGAGGTGGGAAGTCTTTCTTTTCTGAGTAGGTTGAGGCGTAAAGATTGTAAAACAAGGTAGGATGTACAGGCTTTATGCCGTAAGGGGTGATTCATGATCCAAGTGTCGCTACCTATTTGATAAAGGGAATCCTGCTGCTAGAGAATAAATCTTCAAATGGAGATTTTGATGTACAGGAATTGATGATCTAAGTCTGCGTGTCTTAGTTGAACTTCAGCTAAAGATAGGTATACAGAAGAGACCATTATACTTGACTAGACTGAAAGATTCTGAATATGAGCAGAATTTTCTTTGGATAGAGATATATTTAGGTACACATAAGTTTGAGCAAGTTCACAAAACATCAAAAGGTTGGCTATGCCAATGAAAGAGTGGTCAGTTTTCAAAGGCCAACTACAAATTGTGACCTAGCAAATATCACAGTTTATTGGGCTGTGTTGACAGCACAGTCTTCATTCATTCATTCATTCATTCATGAATTCATTCATTCAAGAAATATGTGTTGAGTAACTCCAAGTACAGCCTTATGTATTATAGATACAGAACAGAGAGAAATCCCTGAATTAATGGATCTAATTAATATTCTAGTAGGGAAAGATAAAAAATAAATAAAATGAGTAAATTACCCAGTTAGTTAGAAGTAATAAATACTATGGATAAAAATTTTAAAAAGGAAATAGTAATAGACACTTGTTGGGAGAGTTATGTGTGAAATTTTAAATATCATGACCAGAGAAAGCTACATTAAAAGATATAAAGTAGCAGGACTTCAAATGGGTGAAGGAGGTACAGGTATCTGCACAGGTATCTGGAAGAAGATGAATCCAGGTAGAAGGAACAGAAAGTACAAAGGCCCTGAAGTTAGGGTCTATATTTCTGAGAAGAGTTCTTCAATGTATCTTTTTTCCCAACCTGTGTGGTACACAAGTGCACACAGAGAATTTCAAAAAAGTTGTGAATGTTCTACTTCCTAAGTTAAATAAGGGGAACATGGTGGTTTTTATAATCGTGCTTCATAGGTTACATGTACATTTCTTATTTTCTGTTGCAATATACATTCTACATATACACTCACACACATATGTGGGTATTGCTAGTTTCTGAACACGTAGCCACCATAAATATAAAACTGAAGGTTTTTTTTTTTTTGGTGTGGCTAGTTTCTGAATAAGTAGCCCCCATAACTATAAAATTGAAGTTTACTTCTTACACATGTAATGGTTTAGTCGGTGTTCCTGGTTGGTGGACAGCATTTCTTTACATGATGATTGAAAGACAGAGGCTCTTTGCATCTTGTATCTCCTTTTGGCAGAAAGGAACAGAGCAGAGTTCAATTAGTGAATATTTTTTAAGAAGTCAATGTTATATAATGCATATGTAAATAATTTAGAGTATAACAAATGAATACCCACATATTCTCTGGTTAAATAATCAGTTATTACTGGGGCCTTCAAAGTCTGACCCCATGTACCCCATGTACAGGTACATGATTACATGTACCTGTAACCTAGAGGCAAACACTAGCCTAATTTTTTTTTGCCCTTGTTTGAAGTTTGCCATATATATACGTATTCCTACTTAATGTACTATTTTATTTTTTGCTGTTTTTAAACTATATATTGGAATCTCACTGCATACATTCATCTTTGACTTGGTTCTTTCATTCAGTATTATTTTGTGATTTATCCATGTTGATATTTGTGGTGATCATTCACTCATTTTGACAATGGCTTATTATTTCATTGTATCACTATGCCACAATTTTTGTCTTTCTCCTTAAATGGATATTCAGATTATATCACTTTTCTTTCTGGTTTTGAACTATTTTCTGCTACTATACATATGCCAGAAATTCTCTAAGGTTTTGTTTTGGACATTTTTAATACATCTCCTCACAGTTTAAAAAAATTCAGCTTCATCTTTGGCATTTTATAAACCCCAGCTGCTACCAAGACCAACATGTTGTCACCTAAAGTGGACTGGACATACACCTAAATTCTCGGGCTCTTCCTGCCTCTTATGGTCTTAAAGGAAGTGACTGTCACAGAGCAAGGTATCCAGCTTCCCAAGCAACTGCCAGAGGGTTAGTGATGCAACCTAGAATGGTCTAAGTCTCTTGGGCAGCAAACTAACCAATGAAAAAAAGGAAACCAAAAGGAATGGAAAGACAAATTCCCTGTTCCTGCAATCAGCCAGTATACTGTACCAATGCATCTTTTCTTCAGTATAGTCTTTTCAGAGTCATCCCATAACCAGGGCACAGCTGCCAAAAAACCACCTGCTGTCCATTCTCAGCACATCTTGGAGCAGCAGCCACTAGATTAACTCATGACTTCACATTGCTTTCAGTCTTTCCCTGTCTCACTTTCATTTTTCCTAGCATTCTTGGCTCTGGGATTGCAATTTCCACATTAACCATTGGCATTAAGGGTCTATTTTAAAATCCAGGCTAAGACAGTTATATTTGGACAGAAATTATTGGATCTTAGGTTATTAGTCTATTTTCCAAAATGGTTTTCCCAACAGCAATGGATGAAGGTTCTCATTGCTTCACATGAAGTCAACATTTGGAATTTTCCAACTTTTTTATTTTGGGGGGTTTGAAATTTTATCCTGACGAACACAATTACTTTCTAGTAATATAAAAATAAAAGGAAAGATTGATTAGAAAAAGCATCAAGCTCCATGCCTGGATCTCAATGGAAGTTAGTTTCCCTTGCTTTCTTAATCAATTGTTATCATTATACCTTTTCTCTAAGTTGATTATCTGAATTTATAACTCACTACTAAGACACAGAGATTATGGGAGCTACAATTCAAGGTGAGATTTGGGTGAGGACACAGCCAAACCATATCAGTAATTCTCATCAGTCAAATTTTAGTATGTCTCAAGATTCTACTTTTGTTGTATTCTTTAAGCATTCTAAATTGTTGATTTTTTTTACACGTATGTTCTATTTTCTTGAACATTTTTGGGAACAGGAACATAGTATTTACATTTATATTATTACTTGGGTGTTGGGGATAGGAAAAAAGGACCTATGTGATTAGTAAAGAAGCAAATTCTTAAATAGGTATCACCCTTTGACTTTCTTTTCTACATTTTTTCTTCTCCCATTGGTTTCTCTAATGACTCCACTATAATCATAATCACAGCCAAACTTTTCCATAAGGACAATGTTAATCTATGAATCCTGTGTAGCATTCAAAACAGGAGCTGGAACCAGTAGATGCTCTTCAATAAATGTTGTCTTTTTCCCAAATGAATGACTCTGCATAGGTTTGTTATATAAAGTTTTGATTTTGAATAGAAAAATTTAAAATACTAAATTGTTACTGAATATAGAATACAGTATTAACATCATTCTGTTTATATTTGTTAAAGACCCAATGTACCTGTTCTTGTGTATGAAAAAACATTATTTTCCCTCATTTTGAATTTGTGATGTTTTATTTCCTCTTTTCTGTTTTTTATATTGCACTTCCATTTCTCTTCTCTTAAATTTTATTTTTATTTTCCTCAATTAATTTAAATATTTTTGGCTTTTCAATGAAAATAAATAGCTCCTACATCATCATAAAGAAGTTTTTATCTTAGAAAATGATCTTGAAACTTTCCTGTGATTTTCTGACACTCAAGTCAATCGTAATTTCATTTTAATCATTACTGAAAGTGAAAATGTCTGGATTTCAAAAGCTTGAAAAGAAATGGCAATTTCTTTGTTTTTTGGTAACTGACTGACATTGCCACACAAGTTGCCTTTGCTGCAAGTGATTTTAATCACACTCATTATGTTTAAATTTTGTCCCGAATAATAATTTATATTTTAAAACTATTTCCAGTATGCAATTTCATTTCTGGAATTATTGCTATAAGTTGATGGCCAAAAATAAATGTCAGGAGGAGAAATGTGTTTAAGAGTGTAAAACATGGGGGAATCCTGAAGCTAGTAGACTCAAATGGCTAGATTATATCATCCCAAATTAAGTGAACAGCTAAATTACTCAGACAGATGTTTATCTTTAACCATTATATCCTCATAGTTCCCCTGAGATGAGGTGAAATGTCTATTATACTACTGGTGAGGCCATTCATGTGTTTAATCAAAAGTCAACTCTTACTGTCATCTTGAACAATAGAAACTAACATAATTTCTCGCTCATATAGTTATTTGGGGAACTAGAGAAAAAATTAGTCACTGTCTGGTTAATTTTGAATCTTCATACGCATTTTTCCAATGTTTCAATTTGCTGTTCTTTAAAAATCTTGGTTGCTGTCCTCTAGGCCACTTCTAGGTCTTTTGCATAATTATTTCAATATAGACACCAAACTTTATGTAATCCTTTAGAGGACAAGTAATATACAGTATAAAAAATGTCCAGTTATTAATTTAATAAAGATGTAGTTTTGAAAATATTGTTATCCCTTCTCAAGGCAACTGAAAACATCCTTAAACTGTATTGATTTAAAAGTTTTTTATTTTGTATTTCAGTAACTTTAGAGGTACAAGTAGCTTTTGGCTACATAGATGAGTTGTATAGTGGTGAAGTGTGGGCTTTTAGTGTACCCATCACCCAAATAGTATACATTGACCAAATAGGTAATTTTTTATCCCTCACCCTGCTCCCAACCTCTCCCCGTCTGAGTCTCCAATGTCATACCTCTCTATATGCCTTTGCATAGCCATAGTTTAGCTCTCACTTATAAGTGAGAGAATGTGGTATTCAGTTTTCTATTCCTGAGTTATTTCCTTTAGGATAATGGCCTCCAATTCCATCCAAGTTGTGCAAAAGACATTATTTTGTATTTTTATGGCTGAGTAGTATTCCATGGCACATATACACCACTTTTTCTTTAACCAGTCATTGGTTAAGGGGCACTTTGGTTTATTCCATATCTTTGCAGTTGTGAATTGTGCTGCAATAAACATGCATACACAGGTGTCTTTTTGATATTTATACAATAACTTATTTTGCAAATGAACTGGTCATCTAAGCAAAGAAATTGAATGGTTGATCTACTTTTAATTCTTTGAGAAATGTCCATACTGCTTTCCATAGAGGTGGTACTAATTTACATTCCCACCAGCAGCATAAAAGCTTTCCCTTTCACCACATCTGCAGATCACCTATTACTTTTTGACTTTAATAATGGCCATTCTGGCTGGGGTGAAGTGGTATCTTTAATCTGCATTTCCCTGATGATTAGTGGTGTTGAACATTTTTTCATGTCTTTTTGGCCATTTGTATGTGTTCTTTAGAGAAATATCTGTTCATGTCATTTGTACACTTTTAAATGGGATTTTTTTTCTTGCTGATTTGAGTTCCTTCTTGATTCTAGATATTAGTCCTTTATTAGAGGTATAGTTTGCAAATATTTTCTCCCATTTTGTAGGTTGTTTGTTTACTCTGTTGATTATTTATTTTGTTGCTTATGAAGGGACTTGGAGAATGGGCCCCTTCTCCCACTCAGCCACCACCGCAGACACAGCTGGGGCTTCTCCCATGGGAGCTCAGCACAGGTGTCCCTATAGATGGCCTTTCTGGGTTACTTTGGGGTGATTGCATCCACATAGGTGGGATGCCCTATAGGTTAAGGTTTGCACAAGGGGTAGAGTCTCAGTGGCTATCTACCTGGAGCATCAGCATTGCTATAGATGGAAAGAAATGCCTGTTTGATCTGAATAGCTGTAACACTGGGATAGGAGCATGAATTGGAGGGTAGATTGCTTTTTTGCTGGCCTGGAAGGGGAGCTGAAGTAACTCCCTCTCATCTCCCTGAAAGGACCTCCGTGCATTTCACTGAGTGCTCCCCCAGCCACTTCTATTAAGGCTGGGATCTTTGCCCATCTTTACAGTATTGCATATACCAACCTGCTGCAGTTGTAGCTGGTTTTTACCCAAAAGCACATCCCACCAGCCTAAAGGTTGAACTGTTCAACATAGTGGAAACAATACAGAGAAAAATACTTAAAAGAACATACCAGTGGGGAATGAGATATGATTCATGGGACCTCTGCCATTCTGGTCCCACAGGAAACAGTGAACCTGCCACACACCCAGCATATTACTACTAGAACCAGCATCTGAGAAAGATATCATACAAAGATTCTTTATGACCAAGGAACTTATACAGAGTCTTTGCCTCTGAAAGTGTCCGGAGCCCAAGCTAGGTAATCTTCAACTATATACATTAAAGTCACATACTCAAGAGGAAGAAATTAAAAAAAAAAGTTGAATCAAAAATACATCCTTAAATTTTGTAAGACATCTAGGCCTAGTAATCAGTAATTAGGTCATTGACTAAATAATTATCCATTTTAACCTAAATGAGATTAAAATTTCAGTCAGCCCATCTGGAAGACCTAATACAAAATTTTAATTAACATAGCCCAAACCTCAATTCAGACAACTTACCTACTAGAAGAGAAATGTAGATGTAAATATTTTTAAATTGAGTTGACTATTGTAAATATACATATATGTTTATATATACACATTCAGACACACAAATATGTATATGCACATATATAATACAAACATATAAATATTTTCAACAATGTAACATTGTTAATAGAATTTTTTGATCCTACTCATTGATGGGACTATTCTTTGTGAAGCTTGACAATTAATTTCATAATTTAGTTATCAAACACATTGACACTGGACTAGAGATAATGGCCAAAGTTGCACTGAATAGCTACCACAAGTGATGATCAATGGCATTATTTAATTACTTTAATAAGGAGTATAATATTTTGGAGTCAAGATATTTTAGATTAAATTTTTAGTTTTGAAATGTGCTAATAATGTCTGAAGTTATTCCAATGCACATAGTTGAAAGCCATCCTACATATTCCAACTGTACCATCTCAGCAAAGTCACGGAGCATATCTATGTTTCAGTATCTTCATTCTTAAAATAAGGAAATTAGAGTAGATGATATAAATGTTTTTCTAATCTTATATCACATAAGACTCGATAAATTCCAGAAATGGCTGAAGCATTTGGCCTCACCCTATGACATGATAATCTGGGATGTGTTTGAAATATGCATGCAAGGCAAATGGGAATATCTTCAAGATATAAGGAATTATGAAAAATACAGTTGATATAACTACATATCAAACTTGATCATGTTTTTCTTTTGTGTGTGTGTGTGTGTATATATGTATTTATTATACTTTAAGTTCTAGGGTACATGTGCACAATGTGCAGGTTTGTTACATAGGTATACATGTGCCATGTTGGTTTGCTGCACCCATCAACTCATCATTTACATGATGTATTTCTCCTAATGCTATCCCTCCCCCAGGACCCTATCCTCCAACAGGCCCCAGTGTGTGATGTTCCCCTCCCTGTGTCCAAGTGTCCTCATTGTTCAGTTCCCACCTATGAGTGAGAACATGCAGTGTTTGATTTTCTGTCCTTGTGATAGTTTGCTGAGAATGATGGTTTCCAGTTTCATCCATGTCCCTGCAAAGGACACCAACTAATCCTTTTTTATGGCTGCGTAGTATTCCATATGTGCCACATAAGGTGTATATGTGCCACATTTTCTTAATTCAGTCTGTCATTGATGGACATTTGGGTTGGTTCCAAGTATTTGCTATTGTGAATAGTGCCACAGTAAACATATGTGTTCATGTGTCTTTATAGTAGCATGATTTATAATCCTTTGGGTATATACCGAGTAATGGGATCACTGGGTCAAATGACATTTCTAGTTCTAGATCCTTGAGGAATTGCCACACTGTCTTAAACAATGGTTGAACTAATTTACACTCCCACCAACAGTGTAAATGTGTTCCTATTTCTCCACATCCTCCCCAGCACCTGTTGTTTCCTGACTTCTTAATGATTGCTATTCTAACTGGCACGAGATGGTATCTCATTGTGGTTTTGATTTGCATTTCTCTGATGACCAGTGATGATGAGCATTTTTTCATGTGTCTTTTGGCTGCATAAATTTCTTCTTTTGAGAAGTGTCTGTTCAAGGCCAGGCGTGGTGGCTCACGCCTGTAATCCCAGCACTTTGGGAGGCCAAGGCGGGTGGATCACGAGGTCAGGAGATAGAGACCATCCTGGCTAACACGCTGAAACCCCGTCTCTACTAAAAATACAAAAAATTAGCTGGGCATGATGGTGGGCACCTGTAGTCCCAGCTACTTGGGAGGCTGAGGCAGGAGAATGGCTTGAACCTGGGAGGCGGAGCTTGCAGTGAGCCAAGATCATGCCACTGCACTCCAGCCTGAGGAACACAGCCAGAGTCTGTCTCAAAAAAAGAAAAAAGAAAAAAAAAAAGAAGTGTCTGTTCATATCCTTTGCTCACTTTTTGATGGGGTTGTTTTTTTCATGCAAATTTGTTTAAGGTCTTTGTAGATTCTGGATATTAGCCCTTTGTCAGAAGGGTAGATTGAAAAAATTTTCTCCCACTCTCTAGATTGCCTGGTCACTCTGATGGTAGTTTATTTTGCTGTGCAGAAGCTCTTTAGTTTAGATCCCATTTCTCTATTTTGGCTTTTGTTGCCATTGCTTTTGGTGTTTTAGTCATGAAGTCCTTGCCCATGCCTATGTCCTGAATGGTATTGCTTAGGTTTCCTTCTAGGGTTTTTATGGTTTTAGATCTAACATTTAAGTCATTAATCTACCTTCAATTAATTTTTGTATAAGGTGTAAGGAAGGGATCCAGTTTCACCTTTCTACATATGGCTAGCCTGTTTTCCCAGCACCATTTATTAAATAGGGAATCCCTTCCCCCTGTCTTGCTTTTGTCAGGTTTATCAAAGATCAGATGGTTATAGATGTGTGGTGTTATTTCTGAGGCCTCTGTTCTGTTCCATTGGTCTATATCTCTGTTTTGGTACCAGTAGCATGCTGTTTTGATTACTGTAGCCTTGTAGTATAGTTTGAAGTTAGGTAGCATGATGCCTCCAGCTTTGTTCTTTTGGCTTAGGATTGTCTTGGCAATGTGGGCTCTTTTTTGGTTCCATATGAACTTTAAAGTAGTTTTTACTAATTATGTGGAGAAAGTCATTGGTAGCTTGATGGGGATGGCATTGAATCTATAAATTACCTTGGGCAGTATGGCCATTTTTGCTATTAATTCTTCCTATCCATGACCATGGAGTTTTCTTCCATTTGTTTGTGTTCTCTTTTATTTCATTGAGCAGAGCAGTTGTTTGTAGTTCTCCTTGAAGAGGTCCTTCACATCCCTTGTAAGCTGGATTCCTAGATATTTTATTCTCTTTGTAGCAATTGTGAATGGGAGTTCACTCTTGATTTGGCTGTCTGTTTGTCTGTTACTGGCGCATAGGAATGCTGGTGATTTTTGCACATTGATTTTGTATCCTGAGACTTTGCTGAAGTTGCTTATCAGCTTAAGGAGATTTTGGGCTGAGACAATGGGGTTTTCTAAATATACAATGATGTCATCTGCAGACAGGGACAATTTGACTTCCTCATTTCCTAATTGAATACCCTATATTTCTTTCTCTTGACTGATTGCCTTCGCCAGAACTTCCAACACTGTGTTGAATAGGAGTGGTGAGAGAGGGCATCCTTGTCTTGTGCCGGTTTTCAAAGGGAATGCTTCCAGTTTTTGCCCATTCAGTATGCTATTGGCTGTGGGTTTGTCATAAATAGGTCTTATTATTTTGAGATACGTTCCATCAATACCTATTTTATTGAGAGTTTTTAGCATGAAGGGCTGTTGTATTTTGTTGAAGGCCTTTACTGCATCTATTGAGATAATCATGTGGTTTTTGTCGTTGGTTCTGTTTATGTGATGAATTACATTTATTGATTTGCGTATGTTGAACCAGCCTTGCATCCCAGGGATAAAGCCAACTTGATCATGGTGGATAAGCTTTTTGATGTGCTGCTGGATTCAGTTTGCCAGTATTTTATTGAAGATTTTCACATCGATGTTCATCAGGGATATTGGTCTAAATTTCTCTTTTTTTGTTGTGTCTCTGCCAGCCTTTGGTATGAGGATGATGCTGGGCTCATAAAATGAGTTAGGGAGGATTCCCTCTTTTTCTATTGATTGGCGTAGTTTCAGAAGGAATGGTACCAGCTCCTCTTTGTACCTCTGGTAGAATTCGGCTGTGAATCCATCTGGTCCTGGACATTTTTGTTTGGTAGGCTATTAATTATTGCCTCAATTTCAGAACCTCTTATTGGTCTATTCAGAGATTCCACTTCTTCCTGGTTTAGTCTTGGGAGGGTGTATGTGTCCAGGAATTTATCCATTTCTTCTAGATTTTCTAGTTTATTTGCATAGAGGTGTTTATAGTATTCTCCGACAGTAGTTTCTATTTCTGTGGGATCAGTGGTGATATCCCCTTTATCATTTTTTATTGTGTCTATTTGATTCTTCTCTTTTTTCTTCCTTATTAGTCTTGATAGCAGTCTATCAATTTTGTTGATCTTTTCAAAACACTAGCTCCTGGATTCATTGATTTTTTGAAGGGTTTTTTGTTTCTCTATGTCCTTCAGTTCTGCTCTAATCTTAGTTATTCCTTGCCTTCTGCTAGCTTTTGAATGTGTTTGCTCTTGCTTCTCTAGTTCTTTTAATTGTGATGTTAGGGTGTTGATTTAGATCTTTCCTGCTTTCTCTTATGGGCATTTAGTGCTATAAATTTCCCTCTACAGAGTGCTTTAAATGTGTCCCAGAGATTCTGGTACATTGTTTCATTGTTCTCATTGGTTTCAAAGAACATCTTTATTTCTGCCTTCATTTTGTTATGTACCCAGTAGTCATTCAGGAGCAGGTTGTTCACTTTCCATGTAGTTGTGTGGGTTTGAGTGAGTTTCTTAATGCTAAGTTCCAATTTGATTGCACCGTGGTCTGAGGGACAGTTTGTTGTGATTTCTGTTCTTTTGCATTTTCTGAGGAGTGGTTTACTTCCAATTATGTGGTCAATTTTAGAATAATTGTGATGTAGTGCTGGGAAGAATATATACTCTGTTGATTTGGGGTGGAGAGTTCTGTAGATGTCTATCGGGTTTGCTTGGTGCAGAGCTGAGTTCAGTTCCTGGATATCCTTGTTAACTTTCTGTCTCGTTGATCTGTCTAACATTGACAGTGGGGTGTTAAAGTCTCCCATTATTATTGTGTGGGAGTCTAAGTGTCTTTGTAGGTCTCTAAAGACTTGCTTTATGAATCTGGTTGCTCCTGTATTGGGTGCATATATATTTAGGATAGTTAGCTCTTCTTGTTGAATTGATCCCTTTACCATTATGTAATGGCTTCTTTGTCTCTTTTGATCTTTGTTGGTTTAAAGTCTGTTTTATCAGAGACTAGGATTGCAACCCCTGCTTTTTTTTTGCTTTCCATTTGCTTGGTAGATCTTCCTCCATCCCTTAATTTTGAGCCTATGTGTGTCTCTGCACGTGAGATGGGTCTCCTGAATACAGCACACTGATGGGTCTTGACTCTTTTTCCAATTTGCCAGTCTGTGTCTTTTAATTGGGGCATTTAGCCCACTTACATTTAAGGTTAATATTGTTATGTGTGAATTTGATCCTGTCATTATGATTTTAGCTGTTTATTTTGCCCACTAATTGATGCAGTTTCTTCATAGCATTGGTGGTCTTTACAATTTGTCATGTTTTTACAGTGGCTGGTACTGGCTATTCCTTTCCATGTTTAGTGCTTCCTTCAGGAGCTCTTGTAAGGCAGGCCTGGTGGTGACAAAATCTCTCAGCATTTGCTTGTCTATAAAGGATTTTATTTTTCCTTCACTTACGAAGCTTAATTTGGCTGGATATGAAATTCTGGGTTAAAAATTCTTTTCTTTAAGACTGTTGAACATTGGCCCCCCCACTCTCTTCTGGCTTGTAGGGTTTCTTTTGAGAGATCCACTGTTAGCCTTATGGGCTTCCTTTTGTGGGTAATCTGACCTTAGTCTTTGGCTGCCCTTGACATTTTTTCCTTCATTTCAACTCTGATGAATCTGACAATTTTGTGTTCTGGGATTGCTCTTCTCAAGGAGTATCTTTGTGGTGTTCTCTGTATTTCCTGAATTTGAATGTTGGCTTGCCTTGCTGGGTTGGGGAAGTTCTCCTGGATAATATCCTGAAGAGTGTTTTCCAGCTTGGTTCCATTCTCCCCGTCACTTTCAGGTACACCAATCAAATGTAGATTTGGTATTTTCACATAGTCCCATATTTCTTGGAAGCTTTGTTCATTTTGTTTTACTGTTTTTTTCTCTAAGCTTGTCTTCTTGCTTTATTTTATTAATTTGGTCTTCAATCACTGATATCCTTGCTTTCACTTGATCGAATCGGCTATTGAAGCTTGTGCATGCATCAAGTTCTCGTGCCATGGTTTTCAGCTCCATCAGGTCATTTAAGGACTTCTCTACACTGTTTATTCTAGTTAGCCATTCGTCTAACCTTTTTTCAAGGTTTTTAGCTTCCTTTCAATGGGTTAGAACATACTCCTTTAGTTTGGAGAAGTTTGTTATTACCAACCTTCTGAAGACTACTTCTGTCAACTTGTCAAAGTCATTCTCTGTCCAGCTTTGTTCCATTGCTGGTGAGGAGCTGCAATCCTTTGGAGGAGAAGAGGCTGTCTGGTTTTTAGAATTTTCAGCTTTTCAGCTCTGGTTTCTCCCCATCTTTATGTTTTTATCTACCTTTGGTTTTTGATGTTGGTGACCTACAAATGGGGTTTTAGTGTGGATGGCCCTTTTGCTGACGTTGATGCTATTCCTTTCTGTTTGTTAGTTTTTCTTCTAACAGTCAGGTCCCTCAGCTGCAGGTCTGTTGGAGTTTGCTGGAGTTTACTCCAGAATCTGTTTGCCTGGGTAACACCAGCAGAGGCTGCAGAACAGCAAATTTTGCCAAACAGCAAATATTGCTGCCTGATCCTTCCCCTGGAAGGTTCGTCACAGAGGGGCACATGCCTGTATGAGGTGTCTGTTGGCCCCTACTGGGAGGTGTCTCTCAGGTGACACGGGGGTCAGAGACCCACTTGAGGAGGCAGTCTGTCCGTTCTCAGAGCTCAAACGCCCTGCTGGGAGAACCACTACTCTCTTCAGAGCTGTCAGACAGGGACATTTTCGACTGTGTTTTTCATATACTTTCTAGTATTTCACTTCCTCAGACAAACTGTCCCTGACTACTGTGTACTACAAACCCCAACCTCCCCAATGAAGTCACAGTCTACCACCATACTTTGTTTTCTTTTTCTTCCAGTAAGTACCACACCATTTGATATCCTATTGTATATTTACTTGCTTTTGTGTTTCTTCTGTTCCATATAAAGACAATTTCCAGAAAGTTGCAAGAGGCTAGAGTATTTCCCGTTTTCACTGATGAATTCCTGGGATTTAAAAACACATAAAACTGGTGCTCATTGTGTATATGTACACATTTTGAAGACATATGATTTTTAGGAACAATAAAGATTGCTTACATGTTTACCATCTAAAATTTGATAGGAAGGGGAGGGATTGGTTTAAGGGAGGCATTTTCTCTTCATTTTATATCCTTTTTATTATTTGAATTTGTCATATGCCTGCATTATATTCATTAAAAAATACACATAAATGAAAGGCGTTAGACATACCAGGCCCTCTGAAAATCTCAAGTGGCATTATTTTCAACCCATGGGCCTTGCTGAAGTCATGAAAGGTAGGAATCATATTCTTAATTCCTACAAGCCAAGAATGTGGTGTTTTTGAAAAGTAAGCTAAAAATAAACATTAAAGATAATATTCTAAATATAATTATTCATTTTAACATAAAAAGATTAAAGTTTCAACCATCCTTTTATGTTTTAGATTCATTTATTTGTAACATACTGATAATCTGGATAAATTTTGCTGCTAAAACAATAATATAAGGTAATATTGCTTTTCTTTGTATTTTTAATGAATTCCAAATATTCTGTAAGGATTATTACATAGTTTGCGATTATTTGAGGTTGCAAAGAATAAAATATACCCCCTTTCAAAAACAAACAAGCAAATAAGCAAAAAGTATAGTGAGTGTTTTGAAATTGTTTATCTCCTATGACAGAAATTTGGAGATACAGAGATGAGGCTGTTACAATGGTTCTAACACGTCAGCAGGGCCCAGGTTACTTCTACCTGCTCCACAGTCCTTAGGAGGGATTGCTAAAGCTCCAACCACCACATCTACATTTCAGGCAGTAGTAATGAAGCAGGGAGAAAAGACATACAAAGCACATTTCTGTACAGAGTCAGGTTCCTCATGGAGTCTCCTTCAAGTTCCCTCTAACACGTCTGCTTATATCATTTTGGCACATCCTGGTCTCATGGCCATGCATAGCTCTTAGAAAAGCTGCATAATGTATTCTCGTGGCCGGTTGTATTAATGGTTTGAATAAGTCTGATATCATTACAATGGAAGAAGAGAAAAATAGATATTGGATAGGCCTATATTCTCTGCCATAATCAATTGATTGTTTTGTAATCAGGAATCTATGACACATATGTCTTTGCAGGTAAAATCAAAGCAAAACCAAACATCCTGGTGAAATCTTGCTACTTGCTGGTAATTCATTTAGTTTTTTTCCTTGGTATATTTTCTAACCATGAAAATGGAATTTCCTTAGAGGGGAATCCTATATGATACTTAGGACAGAGGCATTTTATAGTGATTTAGTGATTTCTCTGTTCTTGAAAGCAATAGAGTTTTTGTTCTTATCTCTTTTATTTCAGGGAGTAAAAGATGGAGAAATTGATGGTGCTGAGATGGACAGGAAATGCTTTATCTTTATGCAGACCCTGGGCATTCGAAGAACGAGCTGTCAGTTTTCTCAGTGATTTGTGATAAGGTCACTAAACAGAAGCAGCAATGAGCTCAGGCAGCATCTGGTAGATGCCTTGGAACTGGGAGAGGGTACGGATGGAACCCTCAGTGGCTGTGAGTGATGGCAAGAGTAGTTTATACTCGATGTTTTCCATTTTCAGTTGCAATTTAAATATTGCATCTTTATAATATTATTTGTGTTTAGTTATACCTCTTCAAATAAACTATATCTAACATCTTTGAGCTGAGGTCTTTTGGGAGACAACTCTCACATATTTCTGCACATTTTACAAGCAAAGGTACTAGCTGCCTTTTTTCCAAAACTATCTTTCAAAAATTTTTGCGAGTGAACAACTTTGGAAGAGATGCTATCTCCCCCTGGAGCAAAGTTCAGGTTTGTTTACTGTACAGTATAATAAAGATAATGTCTTCCTTTGAGGAAAAGTTCAAGAAGGCTTACTGTCAATTTTAAAAGAGTTGCATCTGCTAAACTTGGGATTCTTCTGTTGTAGGTATCACATCCTCTTCTTCCTGTTATCCTGTGAGTACTGTGGCCTGATAAGCTGGTACAAAATGAACATGCTCTGGCTACTGTTATGAATAATAAATTACTGTGTGAGTAATAAATTGCCTATTGTCTCTTATCCAGAAGTGTCGTGTCTTCTGCTGGACTGGCATTCAAGATACTGTGGCAGGCTAATGTGTTAGTTCCAAGTAAGTTCAGATCTCAGATATTTTACAGTTCCTGACAGAGTTTCCACACGCAGACGTATCGGCAGGGAATTTATTAGGTTCATGGTACCTACAACTCTCATATACCTTTTTGAGGAAATCTGACTATGTGACCCTCCTTTCCTGACAAGTGGTTGTTTGAAGCATATGTGAATTTATGTCCACAAATAGCCAAATGTAACCAACTCTGGACTGGCAGAGATTATAACATAGCTTAACATGGGAGGGCTGCCCAACTGTGGGAATCCCTCTGAACTAATCTAATCCTCTCTTTTGGGGAAATGATTGTGAGACCTGGAGAGAATCAGTGTTCAGGAGCTGTGCAGAAACCAACAGATGCATGACTAGATAGGAGAATGGGTAGGCACAGTCATGCATCTTTAATTGTCAAGTTCTTGAACAAATCAACTTTTTCACTACAGCTATTCTTGGACACCTGGGAAAACTACTAATTTTTGAGCAGTAATATACATTTCCAGGATGTGTGATATTATTTACTTCTCCATGTTTACTTATAATATCCTTCTCTGACTGAAAGTGACCACAATGTGCTACTACTTCTTGTAATGCAGAGGCAAGTCGACAAAGAGAAGAAAGATGATAACCTTCCCAAATGAAATCTGGATAAGGATTTACCTGGCACAAGGTTTAACTAAACTATCCTTCTAGTGTTTCCTGAATGAAAGGATTTAGAAATCCTGATCTGACAATCAGGTATTACACTTACTGGCAACAGATGCTGTTAAAACATGAATTTAAACAGCTGATTTGTGTTGATAAAACATTAGGATCATTTCAGAATAACTGATTATAATATGCTGTGGGTTTTCTGCCTGTTGTGTTGTAACACCTGTCAGTGAGTTAGAAGTGATATCCCTAATGATCAATCAGGTAAAATGGAACAAACTCGAAAGTCTTTAAAAAGGTGTTCAAGAAAACAAAATATTCCTTATTCTACATAACTGATAGTTTTTTAGGTTCAACTTATACAGATTAAAAAACAGAGTCAAAATATGTGGATTTTAGTAATAGCTTCTAATTTATCTAGTTTTTGCTAGAAAATATTTACTCAGACGAAACTCTAGCACATATTAATAAATGATGGTCTACAGTGGGAAAAAAATCCCATAGCCTATGATTATCTATACTAATGTGAACATTGTACCAGAACCAGAGGAGAAGAAAGCTGGCTTAGCTTTACTTGACTAATGTTGATTCAAAATTTATACCATCATACTACAGCTAATAGTGTTCAGATGGTCATGTGCAAGACATGTGCCTGACGGAAAAAACAATTTCGTAGTCTCACTCTCTAACACAGAATGAATATATGACATGGAGCAAGAGAATAAGATTGCCAACTCTATTAACTTCTCTAAAATATAGTAATTGCAGAATACTTCCATGGTGTTATGATTCTCTCTGTGTGTGTGTGTGTGTGTGTGTGTGTGTGTACCTGTGTGTATGTGAACATACCTACACTGGATCTGGATCTCCTGACTTTATGTTTAAACATCATGTAGATCCCTTATATTAAGCCAGATCATTGTTTCCTAATGGGTGTTCTGTGGAACACTAATTATGTCAAATATTTTATGAAAATATGTTTGGAGATAATATATTTCAAACTTCGGCACTGTATACTCTGCTCTCATAGACTCATGATGCGGATGACACTACTTACATTTATGAGAATTTCTACAGCATGAAAATCTTTTCATTTTTTTAGTTCAGTGTTTCCTAAACTTATAGAGCAAGGAAATATTTTTAAAATAATATTTATTAAGATTACAGGAACTAGTGTTTTCTGTAGTTGCTTTGCAGTTGAACACTCTATAAACTGGTTTTGCAAAAAGTTTCTCAGTTTTTAATTACAACCATTCTAATCTTCACCATCATCTCTGTACTTTTTTGGGTAGTGAAGTGTGATGGGGTGGGTAAGGGTGAGAAACCAATTTAAAAGTGCCATTTCACTGTAACTCAGATATTATTATTTCAAAGCAATTTTTATAAATGTAGAATCTTTTCAGTAAATACAAATTCAGAGACTCTTGTTGCCTTCAACTCCAATCATAGATGAACCTGGAATCAAGTGGGAACTTGCTGCTGCCCCTGATGCCTGGGGATGGCGTTGTGATCTTGAGCCCACCAGTGGCTTTGACTTCTTGCTTGAGAGTCTGCCCATTGGCTGGTCTGCGAGAATTTTCTACTGATAGAAAATCCTTGATGATCTGGCCTCACCTTTGTTTCCACTGAAATTGAAGCTCTCTGGGTCTTAGCCAGCATCTACATCAGATAGCAGGCTTGGTCCACCAACCTTGTGGCCATGCTGCCTTGTGTCAGTCTTGTAGCTTTCCTCCAAACTTTTCTCAACTCAGTTGTCTTTCTCCTCCCTTCTGGCACATGCAGGGATTTCCTGACCAATTCCACACCACAGAGAAACATTAACTCAGGCCCTCTCCATCCCTAAACTCCAATGAACATATTTACACACCACTCTGGATTAAAGGGCACAGGGGCACCTTTTAAGGTGATCTTTTCCTGGATTTCCAAATACAAATCCAGATACATCACCCTTAATTTCGAAGAGCTTCTCCTTAATATCTCTGAGAGTTCTATTTTATCACCCCTTTTCCTCCTTTCCTATGTCTTGACCTGAAGTTTGACCTTGTGGAGGTTAGGTTGTTGGAAGAGAAGAAACGTGTCTGAATTCTCTATAGAATAGCAGAGGTAGTAAAGGGTAGGATAAAAATGTTAGCTCTGGATCCTGAATTCTTCAGTTTGAATCTGCCTACTGCCACTTATAGTTGTGCAAGTTACTTAAACTTTCTACCTTAGTTTTCATATTTCTTTATCTGTGGGACATGGAGGAAATTGTAAAGATTTAATTAAACAATGTGTCCTAAGTACTTGAAAAGTACCTGGCACACGGAGCTTCTCACTCAAAGTTATCTATTGGCATTATTTCTCTACCTCTTTCTGTTCAAGGTGTTCTATTTCTGTTTGGAAAAGGATGAATCTTTACGATATGTAGAATTCTCTCTAATAGCTCTTTATAGTAAACTTATATAATAAGTTGGCCTGGTATAACACTTAAGGATATTACCTTGCTTTGGGGAAAAAAAAAGAACAAAGCTATATGAATTGTGAATCAAAAATGACCAATGTGTTTACTGTCTTACCTCATATATTCCCTTGCCCTGAAATCTTGAAAACTGTCCACTTAACATGTTGAGAAGCACTGAGCATCATGGTTCAGGTAAAATGAAAAATTCATGGATTAATATTATGAGAAATATATCTATTGAATGTGGAACATATATTGGGAAAAGCTGAGTTAAACTAACACTTGAATGTATCAGTATATTAGGCCATTCTTGCAGTGCTATAAAGGAATACTCGAGGCTGGGTAATTTATAAATAAAGGAGGTTTAATTAGCTCACGGTTCTGCAGGCTGTAGAAGCATGGCACCAATATCTGCTTGGCTTCTGGTGAAGGCCTCAGGAATCTTATAATCATGGTGGAAAAGAAAGCAGGAGCAGGCACATCACATAGTGAGAGTGGGAACGAGAGAGCAAAAGGGCAGGAGGTCCCAGACTTTTAAACAACCAGATCTCACATGAACTAACTAAGTGAGAGCTCACTTATCACCAAGGGTATGGTACTAAGCTATTCAAAAGGGATCTGCCTCCATGTTCCAATCACCTCTCAACAGATCTCTCTCCAACACTGGGAATCACATTTCAACATGAGATTTGGAAAAGACAAACATTCAAACCATATCAGTCAGGCAGGATGCTTACCTCTTCTTTGTCCTGATTTCCTGTCTGTCTTCTGGGGACGGAACCTCTGCCCCTATCTCTTCTTCCCTGTTTACCTACCTTTCTAACTCCTCTCCCAAGGAAGGAAAAGTTGTTAATCTACTCACCAGACCATATCAGTGGGAGGGGTTACATCAGTGGGAAGGGTTATATCACTGGGAAGGATTACATGCCTTAAATATAGAAGCCAACTCCCACTTATAAGCATAACCTTGGTATAGCTCACCTTCTAGAAGCAGTCCCTATCATACCTGAGTGCTGTTTTAGCTTCTCTAACTGATGTGAGAGGCAGTCCTGCCATACACAGTCATGTCAACGGCTCAGGAAGTGGATTCAGAATCTGCTCTGCCAACAGAGCCTTCCACATTTGAGTGAGTAGAGAATAGGCTTTGAGCCAGGCTACTGCTGGTACATGGAGGCCACCAGCCAATATATCGGCAGAACTCTACAACGGGGAAGTAAAGAGCTCATAAAGAAAAGAAAGAAGCTGTACATGTGCTTCTTTTTCTCCATTGTTAGCCAAGTGAAGATCTTAATATAAAGTCATATTATTAGAAATGGCATAGACCTATTACTTCTAGAATTTTAAAATTCTGAAAATTTAAAAGTGATCTGATTTTACCAATGATAAGTCTGGCCCTGGGGAGATTGCCTGAAAGGGAATAACTTCTTGTAGCAGATGGATACATTCATTTTTAATATAAATGTAAAGATTTTTCTTCCATTTTTAGTTGTAAGAATAATTTCCTGTGATAATTTTTTCTCTAAAGCTGAGCTTTCTTAACCAACTTCAAGGTGAATGATAATGGTATATTTGACCTAATTATGAGTTTCCAAGAATGAATGTTATTTAAGGCAATACCCAGTGATTTTTTGCCCTTTTAGAATTACAATATACTCTTATTCTTTGGCATAATTTTAAAAACGTTGTTAATGTGGCCACCCACTTGTTAAATATTTGTTCTAATTTCACATTTCATCTCCTGGATTCTCTGTATCAACCTGTCCTTCTCCTTCTTCAAATTAAAAAAAAAATCAATCTTTTAAAACGAATACATTCTGTTTCTATTTATTTTTAAATTTTATTTCACATGCAGGAGTACATGTGCAAGTGTGTTATGAAGTTATATTGTGTGATGCTGAGATTGGGGTACAATTAAACCTGTCACCCAGGTAGTGAGCATAGTACCCAAAAGGCAGTTTTTCAACCCTTGCCCCCAACGTCTATTGTTTAAAAGGAATACATTCTTAATAAGCATGCTATTTTATTACTGTAATTGCTTTGAAAGAGGCTGAATGTCAGAGATTCTGAATAAGGTCAGGTATTAAATCTAAAGATGTCCCTTTTTAAAAATATCTACTATTCCAGTTTCAGCATTTATACCAGAAAAAAAGATCAATGATAACATACCTTGAGAACACCTTTTGTTTTAAAAGTTTCTATAAAATAACTTTCCATAAAATAAAGTTACTACATTCAACATGGAATGACAGACTATTTTGGGGTAAAAAATTGTCAGTTTCTTTCTTTAGTCATATTGTTCTTTTTCTGCTTGAAGAGGCACCAAAGGAACATTGGTACTGGCTTCCGTTAAACTTTGTTTAAGAAATTAGCATCATCACGGCCTGTAATCCCAGAACTTTGGGAGGTCGAGTCAGGCGGATCACTTGAGGTCAGGAGTTTGAGACCAGCCTGGTCAACATGGCGAAATACTGTCTCTACTAAAAATATAAAAATTACCCTGGCATGGTGGTGTGTGCCAATAATCCCAGCTACTCAGGAGGCTGAGGCAGGGGAATCACTTGAACCTGGGAGGCGGAGGCTGCAGTGAGCTGAGATCATGTCACTGCACTCCAGCCTGGGTGACAGAATGAAACTCCGTCTCAAAAAAAAAAAAAAAAAAGTAGCATCTTGGACTCCATTCTGTCAATACCCAGAAAAGCCACACATTGTGGTAAAAACAAGAAAGGGAGACAGGAAACTCAGTCAAATACCCACTTGACTAAATCTATGTAAAAATATAGGTTCATCTTCAGCAAGGTCATTTGAAGGTAATAATATTAGATTTTAAAACATCCCATTATGCAATTTCCATTTTTGTTTAACACATTGATTATTGAAAACATTCTTTGTGCAAAGCACTATGCTGGGCACTGTGAAAGAGTGACACAGATACAGAGAATTGACAATATGGTTGGGGAAAGAGTGTGGAATCATCTTCTAACAACATGAAGCTACAAATGTTTGCATTAATTTGATTAAAACAGAGCAAAAATGCAAAGAAGGGAGAATTCTAAATTGACAGAGTGGATGGAGTACAATAAAAATCACTTCCCTCCTTTCATCTCCTTCCTGAATCCTTATCCTAGCCCACAGCCTCCTTTTTTCTTTTTATGCATGACTACTATTGCTTTCTTGCAGCTATTTTCCCTGACCTGCCTTCTCCACTGCAGATTTAGATGACCCTTCTAAGTTCCATCTATCATTCACATGATAGTTGCAGCCAAGGTTGCAAAAGTTCTCTGACGGTATGTAATTTATCTCACTTCTTATTTATCCCAAAAGTAAAGAACAGTGTCTATTGCATGCTTAGGAGCTCACCAATTGGCTGGAATGGACAGGAATGACTTTCAGCTGGAGTGGGACATGAGACAAATCTAAGAGAGTGAAGTATGGTCAACTACTGCACACTACGATGAATCTTCTTTCCGTTAGAATTGTCAGAATCAAGTTAAAATGCATAACATCATTCAAGCAGAACAACTGAATTTAACAATTATATCAGGTTGTGTTTTCCATAGAGAAAAATGGATTACTATCATTAAATACATAGTCTTAAAACCTCTCCAAACTATAGATTGGATATTTCATTACTTTTCATTTGTCCTTATTAGGCTTGGTACTTGTGTGCCAATATAGAGATATAGTTTGCTTTATTTAATTAAGTTATTATAAATCCTGTGTTTAAAGACCTTGCTCTAATTCAGAATATTTTGGCATTTCTAACAATTCCTAACATTTTCATGCTAGAAATTCTGTTTTCCACCGTTACTAAACCTGTACTCAGACTTGTCCACTGTTGTGTTAATACTGTTGGTAAAGCTTGGTCTGTTGGCCTAAAAATGACTTGGTGCCAGTTAAATCAAGTAACTTATTATAGCCTGTTACTTATGTAGACTTGAATTAGTCATGTCCATTAATAACTAGTTAGTTCAAGAAAAGAATCAGTCAAATGCATGGATACTGACTAGCAAATCAGCTGGCAGCAATCAACAAATTTTTTTTCTGTCATCATTTTGCCATGGCATCATTTAGACATGGATTCAGGGATGTGAATATTAGCAAAATATTGAACAATCAAAAGAATTCATGTGTGAAATAGCATGTCTGCTTTATAATGAATATAAAATTGTGTTTAGCTATGAACAGGATTGAAACACCTTGCGAGATTATTACTGAGGCAACAGAAGAGCCAAAAATAAATTGCTCCAAACTAACGTAAGGCATTTATTTTTTGCTTTGTTCTTTCTTGCATTATTTTATTATCAACTCAGAACTATTCAATAGTTTCAATTTTCAAATTGTGAGTGGGTGCAGATCTATAGCTATCCTTCAAACCTATCAAAATGTCTATTCCTTTTCAAATGATTGTCTTTGGTTTAACCTATAAGGGCCATGCTTTAATTTGGAGTTTACCTTTTATTCAGACCAACTTTTAAATAATGGTAATAAATTGTGTATTTTGGGAATAGAGATGTCTTCCAAGCAGCACATCACTTATCAATTTGTCATTTATTTAATTATTTTTTTGGAAAAGAAATAGATCCCACACTCTGATAATTTTGCTTGAATGAATTTTGAGGGTTTTGAATTGATTCATTCTTGTACTAAGATGGAGAGTTTTTGTTTAGTTTTGTTTTGTGTTTGTGGTTCATTTTCCCTTGTCATCTCTAGAATAGATGGGTGATTTGCAAAGAATGGGAGAGATAATATAGAAAGAAAACAGACTTCAAATAAAAGTGTATTCTATTTCTTTTCCTGTTCTATATTCCCATTAGAATTGTTAATAAATTCTAATGCTCTGGATTAATTTGAATCAGCCAAAAATGTTTGTCTGAAAATAATCATGGAAAGATTAGTACTTTTTTCTTAACCACATAGCGATATTTAAAGTTTACAGATCACTTGTACATTTTTCTAATTTGATTCATACAAAAACTCTATGAATTAAGTAAAACTATCTGTATTTTGCAGATGAAATATCTGACTCTCAGAGACAAAGTTAATCAATTCAGGTCATGCAGCTAGTTGTTCCTAACAGAACTTGAATCCAAATCTTCTGACTGTGTAGATTTTTGTTTTTGTATTTAGTTTTATTTCCCTAGTGTATCACAGGTCTGCATTAGAATATAACCTAATTGTGTCTGAAATGATTTATTGGCTTAAGTGAACTCAGCAGAGTACAAGTAGAAAAAAACTTTTTTTTTTTCCCCATACCACTGTCATGTTGATTCTCCCTCATCCGTCACTGGCAATACCTTGGAGATTACATAGTTTTTCCATCACATTCAGGTAAATTAGGTCTCAAATCCAAGTATTAAAAATTCATTACGGTCTATCATCAAAGGCCTTATATTTTATTCAGTTCAAAACTTTTCCCTTTCCCAATTTAGGCCTATATCATACAAAAATGCTACAGCTATAGCATACATGCAGGAATTTAACATAGAAAACTAGTTACGTGGCCAGCACACACTAAGTGTTGGAGATATTTCACTGATCCAAACAGAGGTCTTGTGTATAGGGAGCTTACATTCAGCTTCCATGTCAGGGAAAAGGAAAACAGTTGAGTAAGACAGAACATAAGTACTAAGCATGGTGGGAAAGTGTCAGGTTGCAGAATAAAATAATCTTGGAGGGCCTCATGGAGTAACTGATTGTATTTGATAAAAGTCTTGAATAATATTAAGGAGTTAGTTGTGACAGTATCTGGGGCTAGAACGTTCTAGGCAGAAGGAACAATGAGTAGACTTGGCATGACCAAGCCATGGTGAGGAGGCCAGTAAGAGTGAAAGAAAGTGAGTGTGGCAAAGAGTGGTAGAAATGAGGTCACAGAAGTACAAAGGACAAGATCCTATAGGGCCTTCGTCCGTAGCAGATGCTGAGATAGAGTTAGGAGTGCAAGAAATTCACTTGGAGCAACAACCTATGAAAGAAAAAGGAAGGAAGGGGGCAGAGTTGTTGAGGGAAAGCCTTTAGACTGCAATGCAAATCTGATACCTGTGGAAGGTGAGAGAAAAGGAGGCCAGAATTGGTCAGGAACTACCTTCAGTGTGACCCATATTTAACATGATCTCAGACAAACCAATGGTTCCGAGCAAAAATTGCCTAAAAAAGAGTCTTGCATTTGGCAGGAACAGCCAGGTCCTTGTGTATCCATTATACTTAAGTCACTGGCTGGGGACAGCCTGGGTAAAGTGTGGCCTCAAATGCTGCATTAGATCTGGAAGTTGCTGTTGCTGGAGGCTCTGAACTAACTGCATCACTAGCATCTGGATGTCAAGTTATTTGTTGAAGGAAAACCTGAGCAACATACTTTGATATCTGCTCCAGGCCTGTAGGCTATTGTATAGCTTTGATTTTTAGTCTAAAAGAAAGGGGTCTGAGCAGAGGATTACATGATCTGACTTAGTTTTGAAAAGAGTCACTTTGGTTGTGCTGAGAATTAACTGTAGCGGAGAGGGGAGAAGCAGAGAGGAGGTCAATGCAATAATACATAAGAATTAATGGAGGCCTGGACCAGGATGTTGGTGGGGGCAGAGGTGCTGAGAAATGATCATATTCTGAATGCAAAATTTCCCATACCTGCTCACTGATGTTGCTGTTTCTTCAATACTTGCTATTTCAGTACAACAGAATAAAGAAGTCTATTCCATTTTACTCCTCCTCCTCCTCCAGTCGTTTTTGCTATATCAGATTCTCCAGTATTGAAGCTAAGAGACATAAGGCTCATAAAAATCTATCTTGGCTACTGGAGTTATACTCTAGTGTGGTACGCTCTGTGGGTGATAGATTTCAAGTGCTGAAATTTTGTATTGGGGAATTTTTTTTTTTTGATCGAACTATCAGTCTTTCTCAACTACAGTTTTCTGTTGGAGCCAAAAAGTCACGGCCATCTGGTTATTTATATTTTTTCCTCTGCTCCTATCTTTCAGCAGTCCACCCCAAAGCAGACTTGCCTGAAGGAGACTGTTTTGGATAGAATCATTTCTGTGTAACTCATTATTAACACTGCAGGATTTATGCATGTCCCATGGGAAACAAAATACTTGTTGTCACACATGAAAGAAAGTACTGCTTTCTCCCCCCAGACTCAGGCTCATCTCTCTTCCTCTTTTTTTTTTTTTTTTTTTGTTTCCCTTTAGCCTTGACTTTATTGTTTTCGTTTGTGAGTCATGCGCCAGGCACTGAATTCTCATTTCAAAAGACAATGACAAACTCTTCACGTGGTTCTCTAAGAGTCTGATTCACTTTATAGGGTAGAGTATAAAAATGGTCACGATTCTCTTTATTCCTATATCAGTACCACTTTTAACATAATTTGCAATTCCTGTTATCAAAGGATAGAGTCCCTTTCTTGACCCTTAAATATGAACTTAAACTTGGGGCAACCAAAGCAACGTTGGGTTAGTAACGAGACGAGTACTCTAGAGAACTTTTGCATTTAGGACCTCTATCATGTTACCGTGTGAACAAGCATGGGCTAGGCCCCATGTAAATGAGATGAGCCATCTCAGCCACACGTTTTGGGGTGGTTTGTTATGTGACAAAAAAATAATATGCTTGGATTAAGTAGAAGGAACAAACCCTACCATACTATAAAGAAGGGCACTACACTAAAAAAAAATTCATTTTCCTAATCAATATTCAAGCCTTTATATACTTTCAAGGTCAATGATAGCTTAGTAATCATCAACCTACTCTTGTGGTTACTACTTAACAAATTCTCTAAGAATGGTGAAATTTTTCTTTCTAGAATGTTCAGGCATTAAACATTCTCCATTTAGAAGATTCATCCAGGCCGGGCGCGGTGGCTCACGCCTGTAATCCCAGCACTTTGGGAGGCCGAGGCGGGTGGATCATGAGGTCAGGAGATCGAGACCATCCTGGCTAACAAGGTGAAACCCCGTCTCTACTAAAAATACAAAAAATTAGCCGGGCGCGGTGGCGGGCGCCTGTAGTCCCAGCTACTCGGGAGGCTGAGGCAGGAGAATGGCGTGAACCCGGGAAGCGGAGCTTGCAGTGAGCCGAGATTGCGCCACTGCAGTCCGCAGTCCGGCCTGGGCGACAGAGCGAGACTCCGTCTCAAAAAAAAAAAAAAAAAAAAAAAAAAAAAAAAAAAAAAAAAAGAAGATTCATCCAAAAGTGAAGTAAAAGGGAAAGGCAACATCTTTTTTTTTTTTATTATACTTTAAGTTTTAGGGTACATGTGCACAATGTGCAGGTTAGTTACATATGTATACATGTGCCGTGCTGGTGCGCTGCACCCACTAACTCGTCATCTAGCATTAGGTATATCTCCCAATGCTCTCCCTCCCCCCTCCCCCCACCCCACAACAGTCCCCAGAGAGTGATGTTCCCCTTCCTGTGTCCATGTGTTCTCATTGTTCAATTCCCACCTATGAGTGAGAATATGCGGTGTTTGGTTTTTTGTTCTTGCAATAGTTTACTGAGAATGATGATTTCCAATTTCATCCATGTCCCTACAAAGGACATGAACTCATCATTTTTTATGGCTGCACAGTATTCTATAGTGTATATGTGCCACATTTTCTTAATCCAGTCTATCATTGTTGGACATTTGGGTTGGTTCCAAGTCTTTGCTATTGTGAATAATGCCGCAATAAACATATGTGTGCTTCTCAGAAGAAGACATTTATGCAGCCAAAAAACAATGAAAAAATGCTCACCATCGCTGGCCATCAGAGAAATGCAAATCAAAACCACAATGAGATACCATCTCACACCAGTTAGAATGGCGATCATTAAAAAGTCAGGAAACAACAGGTGCTGGAGAGGATGTGGAGAAATAGGAACACTTTTACACTACTGGTGGGACTGTAAACTAGTTCAACCAGTATGGAAGTCAGTGTGGCGATTCCTCAGGGATCTAGAACTAGAAATACCATTTGACCCAGCCATCCCATTACTGGGTATATACCCAAAGGACTATAAATCATGCTGCTATAAAGGCAACATCTTTTTTTAAGGTGCAAAGAGCACACAGATTTTAGCCTTCTAGAGGCAGCATGGATTAGTGGTGAAAGGGGTGAGCCTCAAAGTCCTATTTAGAACCTGGAATCCAGTTCTAACAATCTGAACAAGTTACTTTACTTCTCTAAGCCTCAGTTTCTTTGCAAATGGTAAAATCAGAATAAAAGAATATCTCTCTTGTGTGTTGGTGGATCAAATGAGAATATATCCAAAAACTTAAAAGTGTTTGAATTAGTATATGAACTCAATAAACACTAGGTATCATTAGTATTATTAGCTACTGTTAGTATTATTGGTAGTATTAGTAGTATTATCATGGTGAAAGGCATGAAGAAGACACAATAAAAACATATTGAAAGACACAGCTTTCTAAAATTACTGGAGCTACTATGCTATATTTGTTTGCAGTCCTTAGCAATGTTAGATGTCTATGAATAGGGTGTGACTTAAGAATTATTTAATATAAAAAGATCAAATAAAAAATGTTGCCGCATTTATAAGAAATTACTGCTGTCACTTGACATGTAACTTCATCAGCTGTATCAAAGCTTGGGACTCTGAGTCCTAGTTTTAAATTCTGTGAATGACTAACTGAATGCCTTCACCAGTAATTATACATTTTTTATTTTAGTTTTCTCTTCTTTTAATATACCAAAGAGAATTACATATAAAAATCAACTTTGTGGTCATAAGTTTTAATATAATAAGATATGGTAATTGAAGATTTTTATCACCCCATCACTGTATTTATAGTCGTTAATTTGTATTTTTGTTACGGATCATTGTAATTGAATATAGTAGGTTTCCTGCTAGTTGATCTAATATCGAGGCTGTTCTACATAAACAATTTTTAATTAATGGCACCTGCCATCCAAGGTTATAGATGTAATTACTTTCATGATTACAGAGGCCAGTGTCCATAAGAACAGAGCATAAGACAAGGCCTAGAAACACAAAGCTGTGAGTATTAAATATTAATTGTGAAAATATCAGTGATTTTAAAATATTTTATAACAGCTATCCCATAAAATGATCCTTGCAACTACAGAATTAATAATGCTTAAATGAAAAAAAATTATAAAGAAACTCTCTCATTAAATAACTTGCGATTAGCCAGATGGTTAATCATCCATTGTCAAGAGCTGATCAGACACAAAAGACTTTGCTTTTCAATTGCAACTATATCACCTACATATCTTTATTACAGTTAGAAAAGCGGACAACAATGACAGATGTTTTTCTTTCACAAAATTTTCTTTCAATGTGAATGCTGAATTCCTCTAGTCATTATTTTTCCTACAAGAATGCATTCATTTAGCTTTAAATCTTAGTACTGTAGATGCATGACAGAACCAGTGTTATCCTTGGCAGCATCTTATTATCTATTAGTCTGAGTTGGCTAAATGATTCAGGCAAAGCATAAAAGGCACAACCATTCAAACAAAACCTGTTAAACTTCTAAGTGTTTCCACATAATTCTACAGGTCCCTTTTGCTTTACATTTTGTTAAAACACAGTTTGAAATCCCTAAGGTATGTCTAAAACTCTTGTTATTTTTTTAGCTTCCCATCTAGAGTACCAGTTCCTACTTCATGTGAGGAAGCTCTGATATACTGTGAGCATTCTTGCCATTGTGGTAGTACATTAGAAAGCATGAGGAATGTTGTCTTACCAAACAGAAGAATTGCTTCTATAGCACTTCATATTTGTTCTCATCTAGGCTCCAAGGGTAGAGTTTAGTACATCAGATTCATTCTACTGTTAAAAGACTCTTGTTAGTAGAACTTCCTTTAAAAACCAAGAATCTGTCACTTTACAGTTTCCACTTGCTGGAAATTAGTTCTGTCTCCTGAAACAATACCCAGAACAAATTACATTTTGAAGTCCTTCTAATATTTGAAGACCACCACCATGTTCCTTTGAATATTTTCTTTTTCCAGGCTCTATTTTGCTGTTTCCTTAAGCACAGTGTGTATAACTGGTGGACAAGAAATGTAACTTTCTTTATTTTTCTTTAACTAAACTTAATTTTTATCACAAACTACCCTGCAGCCAAGTGGCAAAATCTTTATCCCAACCTATTCAGCACTTGCACTGGTTGCTTTATTTTCTGAGGAATATAAGTACTGTGAGGGCTCTGGGGGACTGGGGTGTATGTGGTCCTCTGTGTGGCCGTCTGCACATACTGAGGCCCCATGAGGCACCTTTGTTGTAGGGTGTGTGGTTTATGAATGTCAATGCTACATCCTCTTCATCTCAACTCTAAGTGATTTTCCATGAGTCTTGTTCATAAAACAGGTCCTCTGTGATACTAACCAAAGCTTATTTATTTTGATTCTCATTGTGTGTCTGTGTGTGAGTGCGTGCATGTGTGTTTCGTCCATGAGCTACGCAGACAATAAAAAAATTAGAATCTGCTATTTTCTTGAACTTTACCCCCAAAGAAAGATAGAGGTTTGTTAAGTCTGTATTCACCAAACTTCAGTGGACTCAACAACATTTCTGCTCTTTATGTCTGTTTTCTCCTCTCAGTTATGAAATCTTTAAGAATTGAGTAAGTTATCCTGATAATTTACTGATGTTTAAAAATCTATATTTTTTATATATGCAGAATTATGTTTCCAAATTTTCTGGTATACCAACCCTCTCTTGCTTTAATAAAAATCTCTTTGTGTAGTCTAATCTTAATGACTAGAGCCTTCAAAGAAAATATTAGGAATTAATTTTGAGCTTAACCAATTTATTACACCTATTCCTAAGCCCATAACTATATATAAGTAACATCATGTCTATTATTTTCTTCAGTAATTATTATGCAGCCTTATCAGCAATGGAAATTCATCTGTTGAGTTTCTTTGTATTATAATATTAATTTTTCTCTAGTCAGTTTTTCTCTTACCTTAACTTTAAATTGTAATTTAAACTTCTGTTTATGAGTACTTCCCAAGTGTGCACTTCCAATTATCTGGAGGACCTCTTAGATTCTTGCCAAGGGTCTATCAGTTTAGAAACTAAAATATATAGTTTAGAAACCAAAATCCTGTCTTTTCATGCCATCAATGTAACCTTGTGTTTCCTTCTTGTGCCATCTTTGCTCTTAATGTCATGAGTTTTTATTGTATTCCCAAATTCAAATTCTGTAGTGTCATACATAGACACCATGAAGTCATTCATTCATTCATTTTATGTTCATGCCTCTATTATATTTGAGGGGATTGGTAGCCACTAGGATAAGGCCTCTAAGATGAATAATTGAACATACAATTATAATTCTTTTGGTTTTTTTTGTTTTTTTTTTTGTTTTTTTTTTTTTGAGACGGAGTCTCGCTCTATCACCCAGGCTGGAGTGCAGTGGCGTGATCTCGGCTCACTGCAAGCTCCGCCTGCTGGGTTCACACCATTCTCCTGCCTCAGCCTCCTGAGTAGCTGGGACTACAGGCGCCCGCCACCACGCCCAGCTAATTTTTTGTCTTTTTAGTAGAGACGGGGTTTCACCGTGTTAGCCAGGATGGTCTCTATCTTCTGACCTCGTGATCCACCTGCCTCGGCCTCCCAAAGTGCTGGGATTACAGTCGTGAACCACTGCACCCGGCATTCAATTATAATTCTATTAACCACATGCTATGATTAAATATGTACAGACAGGTGATGGATGGTATCAAAGAAAGAATCTTGTAGAAGTTCACTTCTCAGAAAAGTCTGGTGATAGATAAAAAATATTAGGCAACCATCATGTAGGAATTATTACGGTGAAAGATGTCCAAGATAGAGGATGCAAGATGTGTTAAGGCACACAAGTTCTTCTAGAGAAAAATAAGTTCGTTTGTATTATCGAAGAATACAGTTTTAAAGTTAAAGCTATGAGACTGCAGATTGGAAAATGAACATCTGTGGGCTATTCTATGGTGTTTGCATTTATTGTGAACACTAGAGGGTCCTTTGAAGGGTGATTTTTAGTGAGATGTTGAGTGACCATTATGTTTTCTTGCATATTTTTCACATGGATGGTATGAAGCAAGGTTAGAAAGCATGTTTCAAAACCAGATGCCTTTTCTATTGTGTCTCTTTGACAATTATCTAAATGAAGTAGTGATGATGGCAATGGAAAGGCAGGTACCATTTAAATAAATAATTAAGTCAGTGAAATAATGGGTACAGTGACTGAATAACTGTGGGATTCAGGTAGCTTGAACAAATAATGGTGACAGATGGCTGAGTCTAGTGATTGAGAAGATGGGCATGCTTTTGATTTGACAGGGAATTCAAGAGTATTCCTGAAAGGAAGATAACTTTTGTAGAAATTTTAAGTTTGAAATCCCTAAGGTATATCTAAGCACTAGATACACCTTAAGAAGCTAGCAATATGGTTTGTTGAGAACTTAAAGTATAATAAAAAAATATATATATATATAAATAAAAAATAAAACATGAGATTAGAAAAAAAAAAGAAATTGTAATCGGGGGTAAAAAATACAGCTGGAAGAATACACCTTAACTGATGACATGGGAATGTGTAAAAGTTCATGAAAGTTTTTAATGTGAGAAAGGAGAGAGATGAGTACAGATCCCAGGGACCATCAGTGTGAACAGAATGGGCTCAAAAATGTAATCTTGAGAAGAGACAAAGAAAAAGCTACATGAGAGGGAAGATTAAAGTCAGGTGATGTTGATGTCAGGGAAATCCGGACAGGAGGGCAGAGTCTACAGCATCTAACACTGTTGACTGACAGAGCATGGAAAGACTGAATGTGTCATGCACTGTGCAATAGAGACAAATTGTCATCGTGGTGAAAGCAGGTTCTATGGAGTGGTCGGGAACCGAAGGTAAATTTCAATTGCTTGAGAAAGAATCATGAGTATCTCTTTTATTGTATTCTCTGTGGATAAAGACCCTAGACTTGTATAATGCTCCAGATGTGGTTTCAAAAGTGATTAAGGTATGAGAAAATGGAAAGAATTAGCATATATTGCTCTGAGGAAACTGGTGGTGTCTCAGTGAGAGGAGAATGAAGAAAGAAAAGGTTTTTCACTTTGCATTTAAGTATGAGAGAGCTTGGATTTTTTTTTTTCTAGCTTAAGAGAGAAAAGAAACAGCAGAGGGGAAATATATGTGTGTGTGTGTGTGTGTGTGTGTGTGTGTGTTTGCGTGTTTGCATACATATTTGAGTGTGTGAGGTTGCTGGAGGAAGGGTGGGATGGGATCAAGAGGCAAAGAATTAGGTAGACATTATGCAGTATCACAAGCCTTATTTGGCTTACTGCCATATTTTGGATTTATATATTAGGAATGAACTTTCCAATATGCCAGTTGTTGACCACATGTGGCTCTTGAGGACTTGAAAAGTGGCTAGTCCTAATAGAGATGTACTGTAGGTTTAAAATACATACCAGGTATCAAAAATTTACTAAGTAAAAAATAATTTAAGATATATCTTTAATAATGTTTATATCAAATACATACTGAAGTGTTATTATGTTGGACAGATTGTTTAAATAAAATGTATTCTTAAAATTAATTTTACCTGTTTCTTTTTAGAGTGGCTATCAGAAAATTTGGAATTAAATATGTGGTTCATATTAAATTGCTGCTTCAGGAAGACTCTGCATCTCCTGTTTAGCCTATAAATGCCTGTCACTGAGTGTCACTGACCATCACTACACATATTTTATTCCAAAGACTAGGCCCAGAATTCTTCCTGTTTGCCTTGGCGTCTTTTTTTTTTTTTTTTTTTTTTCTTTTTTTGCTTTGTGGATGCTTTCTTGTAAGGGTAAGACTGACCTACTAAGGCCAGGAGAGAGGCCTCTTGTGTTATTTAAATATCTGGGAGCAAACAGTTTTTTTTCTCTTTGTCACATATTTTGTTTCACTGGTTCTAATTTTCTTCTGTTTCAGAGCAGTTATTTTTGTTGCTGTTGGTATAAACTCCTTTTTTTTTATTTTCCTTAAGGCTCTCATATTGTCTAATAATTTGCTCATTCTTTCCCTTTCTTTCTAGCACAAATCAGTCATTTTTAGAGCAAAGATCATTTGTTTAGGCTCAAGTAGGAAGACAAATGCAGCCTACTCTATAAGTGATTAGATTAGTATCTTTAAAGGTCTTAAGTCTCAAGCTAGTCCATTATTCTTTGCAGCTCACTGTGAAAATGTTCCCTGTAAACTGTGAGGGTGAGTGACATTTTTGCTATAGCTCTTAGTCCCTAGAGTCCTGATCAAGAAGAAACTTCTAGAAATTCTTATCTGCAGCCTGTCAGCACACTGATCTCAACTACTTTACTCTCTTTACCTGTAGGTCCTCATGGGTGTTATTTGCTGGGTCTTAGAAATTATCATCAATTATTTTTACCAGTTTGGGCTTATCCTTCTCCAGAAAACACAAGGAATACAAACTGTTGACCCAATTATTCTAAATTCTTTCCACAGCTCTCCTTGTTCCTTGCTGGGCCTCTTAGCTGAGCTCTGGTATTGAAAAATACTTGATTTTATCATGCCTACTGAAGAGCCAATTTAGTTAGAAAGATTACATGAATATCTTTACTTTAATCACCAAACCACTCTTGCTGTCTCTGTCTTCAGGCTCAGTCTCAAAGTTAATTGAAAGGTTTTAAATATGTACTCAAGGTCCTTCTGAAGCTCTATAAAGAGTCCAAAAATTAGGTCCAAATTTCAGGAAAACTTAGTTTTTAACTTGTGTGGTATAATGCACTTTTTATAATAAAATTTTAATTGGAAAATATTTAATTGGAAACTCTATTTCCTGCATCTTTCAGTGCTCCTATCAATAATATTCTTAGCCATAAAAGATGAAGGAATGATGTGTTTATTTTATTTCTACTAACTGGAAGACAAGAACTAATCTTGGAAAAGTTTTTCACTAAAAGGATTACTCTGTTACATTTTATGCTTTCCCTTAGAGTTCTCCTTTATTAAATGATATTACATTGCGAATATCCTGCTTCTATACATTTCCTGTATGTTAAATAAGGCAGCAGTTGTCTAAATGCCTCTTAGCTTGTCTTGCAGAATAGAGAATAAATGAGGAAAACAATATTTTTATTTCAACCAATTTTTGAGTTAGAAAGCTTTTTAAACCAGCAATTTTTCTCCAAACTAGAATTCATATTTCCTATTCTTTTTTGAGATGGAGACCTGCTCTGTCGCCCAGCCTGGAGTGCAGCAGCTTGATGTCAGCTTACTGCAACCTCTGCCTCCCGGGTTTAAGAGGATCTCCTGCCTCAGCCTCCGGAGTAGCTGGGATTACAGGTGTGCACCACCACACCCAATTAATTTTTTGTTCTTTTAATAGAGATGGGGTTTTGCCATGTTTCCCAGGCTGGTCTCGAACTCCTGAGGTCAGATGATTTGCTGGCTTCGGCCTCCCAAAGTGCTAGGATTACAGGTGTGGGCCACTGTGCTTGGCCCAAACTCGAAATTTTATTTCTGCACTTACACAGAAATTTCAATTCTAGATTATTTATAATCCTTTGTTCATTAAAAAAACTGATGAAAATCTATAATAAAAATATAGAAGTTAATAATTTCCAAGAAAATGTTATTTTATTGGCAAATGCAGTAATAAGTGTAGATTTGAAAACTGAAATTGGGCAATGATTCTTTGAACATATTTTTGTTTATCCGTGTGTTTTATACTCCACCTTTCTGGATAGATCTGGTTACTCAGCTATGAATGAATTTAGTGTTCAGGCAATCTTTCTGCCTGTCATATTTTCATTGAAAATCAATATGCCTGTTCCACAAACTGAGAATGTCCTATAATGCATTACTTATTGGCTGACAACTGCAAAAACCCAAAAAAGTGGAAACAGATTAATGCTATTAAAAATGCATCAGCAAATTATTCTTCAATAGCTGCCTTAAAGTAGGAATTGCCTCAAATGACTTTCTGTGTCACCAAAGGCCATTGCACCTCTATTCTGTAGCAAGCACAGTCAGAATTATTACTCATTCCATTTTAGTGCTAACCCTAGCACACAGATTCCCAAGGGCTACTAACTGCATGGAACACAAGTGTCCTTTGTCATTTCTAATCAACGGCAGTATGGAAAGTTTTGCACAGGATTTCTTATACTATTAAAATCAGGCATGCTGTTTAGAGAAGATGGAGTAGGATGAGGGGAAAGTCTGTAGTACCTGCTGTTGAAAATTGAGGGCTGATTATGCCTGTACCTGTGCTAGGATCGTAATATTGTGGTCACTTCCCACTGAGAAAAGAAGGGGACTCAGTTCAGTAGCCACAGAAAGTACAGAGAAATAATAAGGCTTTCAGAAGAAAATGCTTAATTGTTACAGAATGATTTGGGTTAATTACAAGCAAAATTAACTGTAGTAAATAATTCCAGAATACCAAAAGGAAGCAGATCTCAATACTGAAACACACTCTCTGGTTTATTAGCAGAGGAGGTCTACTAGAAATATGCAGAATTCCTTGAACCATAGACAATTCTCTATGCTTTCTTTTGCCCTATTTTTTTTTTTTTTTTTTGAGATGGAGTCTCGCTGTGTTGCTCTGTCACCCAGGCTGGAGTGAAGTGGTGCTTTCTCGGCTCACTGTAAACTCCGCCTCCCAGGTTCAAGTGATTCTCCTGCCTCAGCCTCCCGAGAAGCTACAGGTGCATACTACCACACCTGGCTAATTTTTTGTGTTTTTGGTAGAGACCGGGTTTCACTGTGTTAGCCAGGATGGTCTCCATCTCCTGATCTCGTGATCCGCCCGCCTCGGCCTCCCAAAGTGCTGGGATTACAGGCCTGAGCCACCGTGCCCAGCCTCTTTTGCCATCTTAATACCAAGAGTTACAGATTTTCCTACTTTTTATTTTTGAGAGGGTGGAGTGCTAAGAGGAGGATAAGTGTAAGTTTATCTATTTTTTCAAAATTTTAGCCCAAACCAAGAACAATATTATAGGATCTAAATATCCCACATCCCTTTGCAAGTGCTAAAATGTCAAAGTGAGCCATGCTCAGAGGGTGTGAAATGAGTTCTACCAGTATTAACTCAGCCATCTCAAGACTAAGCCGAGAGAAGGCTAAAGAGTTAATAGAATATTCAAGAGGGCAAGAATAAGAATTTCTTTGGAGAACAGTTGGTGTGCTCTGTATTCTAAGGCCCTCCTCACAGGGAGAAGAGAGTGCTTCCCCACCACTGCAAATTCAGTAAGAGAGAAACTTAGAAATAGCTTGGCAGGTGTAGTAGATGCTGTTAGTGTCCTGCTCAGATCTCTCCCTGAGCTTGTATACTGACAACATAATAGCTCTCTCTCTCTCTTTTTCTCTCTCCCTCTCAGAGGTTACATTTCTCTACCCTAGATGCTTTCTGCAGTCAATGATAACTGATGCAAAGCATGAGCTCCCTTGCCTTACATTGAGATCAATTCTGTGGGGCAATTCATGTTCCAGACACCCTCGTTGGATCAGCTGAAACTAGACACCAATTAAAATCTGTTCCTTTTTCGCTCTCCTGTTTCTCTGTCTTTCTCCTGAGAGATAGCCTCAATAAGCTAAATGTTATGAAATCCCTTCTTCAAGCTTTGATTTAAGAAACTCAATCTAAGAAAACAAGTATCCATGACTTTGTGAGACACAGGGACTGGAACTTGATTCATGCCTTCGAGAGTGTAAATATGTGAGGCTGTGCCCCATAGCCAGCTATACCATCATGGGCAGCAGAGAAAAGGGTTCTCTATAGACTTCATGAAAGCAAGCCAGCAAACTGTCTTGAAAAAAATCTTGCTCAATCAAACCTGTTTTGAGGAGTGAGGCCACCTCTGTAGGGATTCTTCAAAGTCCAGGGAGAAAAAGAATAAAAGGGATCAGAGATATGCATTCTTCCATCAACACTGGAAATAAACATCCCTAAGGGACTCACAAAGACATCTCTTTTGAGACAGAAGCAGGTTTTTAAATCACTTATAGCCAGAAGGCACTTCTGTAGGATTACAATTGAAACAGTAGGATTTATTTTATAAATTTTATTTCTTCATTCTCTACCTGCTCCAATCCTGGATGGCACTATAGCCATACCTAATGAGGAGAATGAGATAGAGGGAAGCAATGGTAGAGAAACCCACCAGAATCCTCTTCTCCCACAGCAGAACCTGCCTAAGGCTGGTCCAAGTTTGGTAAATGGGGGGCATTTGATATTGGATGAGAATGTAAGATAAATATTAAACTGGACTAGATTTTATTTCCTGAGAATTTCTGGAAAAGCTATGGAAATCTTGAAATTTATTTAAATGACAGAGGAAAACAGATTCACATAAGAAGATACATAAAAGAATAGAGCTACATTTTTCTTGTATCCTATAGATTCCAGCTTATTCATGAAACCTGTGGCTTACCTCTATATGTATGCCAAATATTAAGAAGGCCTTCTTTGCTCCTTGATGCCTTTGTTTTTATTTTTTATACTTTTAAAATTTCAATAGATTTAGGGGTACAAAGGGTGTTGGTTACATGGATGAATTATAACGTGGTGAAGTCTGAAATTTTAGTGCACCCGTCACCCAAGTAAAGTCCATTGTATCCAATATGTAGTTTTTTATCCCTTCCCCCCTTCCACAGCTTCCCCCTTCTGAGTCTCCAATGTCCATTATACCACTCTATATGCCTTTGCGTACGCATAGTTTAGCTTCCCATTTATAAGTGAGCACATAAAACATTTGGTTCTCCATTCCTGAATTTCTTCACTTAGAATTATGACCTCCAGTTCCACCCAAGTTGCTGTGAAAGGCATTATTTTGTTCTTTTTAATGGATGAGTAGTATGCCATGGTGTGTATATACCACATGTTCTTTATCCACTCATTGGTTGATTAGCACTTAGGTTAGTTTCATATCTTTGCAATTGTGAATTGTGCTTTGATAAACATATGTGTGCAGTTGTCTTTTTGATCTAATGCCTCCTTCTGTTTTGGGTAGCTACCCGGTAGTGGTACCGATAGATTGAATGGTAGATCTCTTTTTAGTTCTTTGAGAAATCTCCATACTGTTTTCCACAGAGGTTGTACTAATTTAAATTTCCATTAGCAGTGTATAAGCATTCCCTTTTCACCATATCCACACCAACGTCTATTTATTTAAAAAATAATGGTCATTCTGGCTGGAGTAAAGTTGTATCTCATTGTGGTTTTAATTTGCATTTCCCTGATGATTTGTGATGTTGAGCATTTTTTCATTTTTTTTTGGCAATTTGTATATCTTCTTTTGAGAAAACTCTAGTCATGGCATTTGCCCATTTTTCAGTGGGATTATTCTTTTCTTGCTGATTTTTTTTGAGTTCTTTATAGATATTAAGTATTAGTCCTTTGTTGGAGGCATAGTTTGCAAATACTTTCTCTCATTCCATGGGTTATCTGTTTACTCTGATGATTATTTATTTTGTTGTGCAGTAGCTTGTTAGTTTAATTAGGTCCCATTTATTCATTTTTGTTTTAGTTACATTCACCTTTGGGGTCTTAGTCATAAATTCTTTGCTAGGCCAATATCCAGAATCTTTTTCTGTAGCTTTTCTTCTAGAATTTTTATTGTTTCAGGTCTTATATTTAAATCTTTAATCCATCTTGAGTTAATTTTTCTATATGATGACAGGGATCCAGTTTCACTCTTCTACATGTGGCTATTCAGTGTTCCCAGCACCATTTATTGAATAGAGTGACCTTTCCCCAATTTATGTTTTTGTATGCTTTGTCAAAGATCAGTTGGGTGTAAGCATTTGGCTTTATTTCTGGGGTTCTCTGTCTGTTTCATTTGTCTATGTATCTACTTTTATACTAGTACCATGCTGTTTTGGTTACCATAGCCTTATAGTATAATTTAAGTTGAGTAATGTGAAGCCTCAAGATTGATTCTTTTTGCTTAGGATTGCTTTGACTATTCAGGCTCTTTTTTGGTTCCATATGAATTTTAGGATCAAAAAAAATTCTGTGAAAAATGATCTTGGTATTTTGATAGGAATTACACTGAATCTGTAGATTGCTTTGGCAGTATGGTTATTTTAACAATATTGATTCTTCCAATCCATGAATATGGGATGTATTTTCATTTGTTTGTGCCATGTAGGATTTCTTTCAGCAGTGTTTTATAGTTCTACTTAGAGATATATTTCACCTCCTTGCTTAAGTGTATTTTCAGTTATTTTTTTTTTACAACTATTATAAATGGGACTCTGTTCTTGATTTGGTTCTCAACTTGATTGTTGTTGGTAGATCGCAGTGCTATTGATTTGTATACATTGATTTTGTAACCTAAGGCTTTACTGAATTCATGTATCAAATTGAGTAGTTTTTTGGAAGAAACTTTGGAGTTTTCTAGGTATACAGTCATATCATTAGCAAACAGGGATAGACTTCTCTTTTCCAATTTCATTGCCCTTTATTTCTTTCTGCTGTCTAATTGCTCTGGCTAGGACTTCCAGTACTACATTGACTAGAAGTGGTAAAAGTGGTCATCCTTGTCTTGTTCAGATCTTAAGGGCAATGCTATCAACTTTTCCTCCATGCAATATGATGTTGGCTGTGGATGTGTCATATATGACATTTATTATTTTGAGGTGTGTTACTTCTATTTATGGTTTTTTGAGGGCTGTTATCATAAAGGACGCTGGATTTTATTGAATGCTTTTCTTGTGTCTATTAAGATGATCGTATGGTTTTTGTTTTTAATTCTGCTTATGCGATGAATCACATTTATTGACTTGTGTATATTGAAGCATCCTTCCATCCCAGGGACAAAACCCACTTGATCATTGTGAATTATCTTATTTAATGTGCTGTTGAATTCATTGTGCTAGTATTTTGTTGAGGATGTTTGCATTTATGTTAATCAGGGATATTAATCTGTAGTTTTCTTTTTTTGTTACACCCTTTCCTGTATCTGGTATCAAAGTGATACTGGCTTCATGAAGTAGTTAGGGAGAATTCTCTCTTTCTCAATCTTTTGGAATAGTTTCAGTGTGGTTGGTATCAATTCCTTTAATATCTGGTGGAGTTTGGCTGTGACTACATCTGGCTCAGGAAGTTTTTTTGTTGTTGTTTCATTGTCCTTATCATTATCAGCATTTTGGAAAAATCCATTCGACAAGTCTCTGTGAAGTTCCAAACTTTTACACATTTTCCTGTCTTCTTCTGAGCCCTCCAAGCTGTTCCAACCTCTGCCTGTTACCTAGTTCCAAAGTCGCTTCCACATTTTCAGGTATCTTTTCAGCAGTACCCCACTCTACTGGTACCAATTTACTGTATTAGTTTGTTTTCATGCTGCTGATAAAGACATACCCAAGACTGGGCAATTTACAAAATAAAGGGGTTTAATGGACTTACAGTTCCACACTGCTGGGGAGGCCTCATAATCATGGTGAAAGACAAGGAGAACTAAACCACGTCTTACATGGATGGCAACAGGCAAAGAGAGAGCACTTGTGCAGGAAAATTCCCATTTTTTAAAACCATCAGATCTTGTGAGACCCACTCACCATCACAAGAACAGCACGGGAAAGACCTGCCCCATGATTCAACTACCTCCCACCCAGCCCCTCCCACAACGTGTGAGAATTCAAGATGAGATTTGGGTGGGGACACAGCCAAACCACATCACCTAGCTAATGGTCTATCAATTTTCTTTATCTTTACAAAGAACCAATTTTTTATCTCATCAATCTTTTTTGTTTGTTTGTTTGTTTAAACATTATTTTGTTCTGGTTTGATGTTTGTTATTTCTTTTCTTATTCTATCTTTGGATTTGGTTTGTTCCAGTTTCTCCAGTATCTTGAGGTTTGACATTAGGTTGTCGATTTTTCATCTTTCAGACTTTTCGTTGTAGGCATTTAGTGCTATCAACTTTCCTCTTAACACTCCTTTTACTGTGCTTTTACTGTGTCTCAGAGGCTTTGATAACTTGTATCACTGTTATTGATTTTAAAGAATTTTAAAATTCTCATATTGATTTCATTGCTAACCCAAAAATAATTCAGGAGTAGATGGTTTAATTTCCAAGTGTTTGTATGGTTTTGAGGGTTCCTTTGGAATGATTTCTAGTTTTATTCTTCTTTGGTCAGAGAAAGTACTTGATATAATTTCCATTTTCTAAAATCTATTGAGATTTGTTTTGTGGCCTATCATGTTATCTATCTTGGAGAATGTTCCATGTGCTGATTGAATGAATGTATATTCTACAGTTCCTGTGTAGAATGTTCTGTAAATATCTGTTAGGTCCATTTGTTCTAGAATACAGTTTGAATCCAGTGTCTCTCTGTTGGCTTTCTCCCTTGACTCTCGGTCTAGTGCTTTCTGTGAAGTGTTGCAGTCACCCACTATTATTGTATTGTTGTCTTTCTCTTTTCTTAAGTTCAGTAGTAATTGTTTTATGAATCTGGGAGCTTCAGAGTTAGATGAATATGTATGTAGGATTGCGGTATTTTCCTGTTGGACTAATCCTTTTATCTCTATGTAATGACCTTCTTTGTCTTTCTTTTTTACTGTTGTTGCTTTAAAGTTTGTTTTGTCTGATATAAGAATAACTACTTTTGATTGATTGCTTTTGGTTCCCATTTGCTTGACTGAAAAAGACTTTATTTCTCCTTTGTTAGGGCTTGACTCTGTGTCCTCACACAAATTTCATGTTGAACTGTAATTCCCAGTATTGGAGGAGGGGCCTGGGAGGACGTGATTGGATCATGGGGGCAGACTTCTCCCTTCTGTTCTTTTCACCGAATTTTTAATTCCCTACATGTGTTTTTTAAATTTCCAAATGTTCTGATGTTTTTTATTTAAAATATCTAACTCTTTTGAAAATTTTTAATTTATATCCTATAAATTTTTTAATTTCTTTGTGTTGATTTTCACCTTTCTCTTATATCTCCTTGAGTAACTTAATAATCAACATTTTGAATTCTGTATTTGTTATTTCAAATATTTCATCTTGGTTTGGATTCATAGCTGGAGAGCTAGTGTGATCTTTTAGAGGTGTTATAGAATGTTGTTTTATCGTATTGCCAGAATTATTTTTCTGGTTCCCTCTCATCAGGATAGAGAGGATTATTATCTAATTATTTCTGCATTTATTTTTGATTCATCTGTGTTTCTTTGTAATTTAATTTTTTGCCCCTTGAGGATGTGACTTTAATATTTATAGTTTATTGTAACCTAACTTGGTTCTGGATTACCTTCAGCAAGTGAAGAATCTGTAAAGTACCGTGGTTATAGGAAGTCTTTGTATGATGGCTTTCTCAGATGCTTATTGTAGTAGCAATGTGCTCAGTATGTGAGCAGGTTAGCTGTCTCCTATGGGCCAAAATGACCGAAGTGTCATGAAGCATATCTTGCTCCCTAGTGGTGCACTTATTTATTTATTTTCCAGTATTTTATTCACAGGGTTGAAGTTCAGGCTTTAGGCCAGTAGGAGGTGTCCACAGGTAAAGGTCGTGGCTAAAGCAGAAGCAGGTGGATAATTCCAATACCCAATGGATGACATAAGTTCCAGCCTTGACAGAGGTAGCTGTGCATATCTCTCAGTGAAACACATCTTGTTCTTTTCAGGAGGAAGGGAGGGAACCACCTCAGCTTCCCTATCAGAACAGCAGGAAAGCAATCCATCTCCAAATGACACTCTTGATCAAGAATTGTAGCTATTCAGATCAGACAGACACTTCTTTTCATCTGCAGGAATGCTTATGTTCCATGTAGAGAGGGATTGTGACTCTACCCCTTGTGCAAGCTTGAACCTGGAGGGCATTCCTCCTGTGGGGATGCAGTTACCCTGAGATGTTCCAAAAAGGTTGTCCACAGGTGCACCCACCAAGCTCCTATGGGAGATGCCCAGCTGTTTCTGTAATGGTGCATGAGGGGAAGAAGAAATCCCCTTCTCCAAGACACGTCATGAGACCACGGTTACCTGACTTTGGGGTAGAGATGGAGACTTTCCCCACCAAGTCCAGCACTGCACCTGGGCCTCTGCTGAAAGAAACTTCCCACAGGTGGAGAGTTCTGGGGTTCAAGGCTGGCAGTCCAAATTCTTTTGCTCCATAAGGTGCTCCTTTGATGTGGTGCACTCCTCTTTCCCCTAGGAGTAGAAGTCCCTGAGGGCCAGACTACCGTGAATCCTGCTGCTCCTCTCAGTCTAGCTGCCCACTGTGGCTGCCAAACTCCAGGCTTGTACTGGGGAATGTCTGCAAGGGGTCCAGTGATGTGATCTGTCCTCTAGTCCCCCAGCAGCAGTTACCAACACCAGTTCTGATGTAGGTTACCTTGGACTTGGGAGTGATGTAGACTCTTGTGAAATTTCCTTGGTTATAAATAGCCTTAGTGTTTTGGCTGTCTCAAATGCCAACAGCAGTGGTAATGTATTGGTTAGGTGGAAAGACTCGAGACCTTCTGGTTAGTCAGAGTGGTGTAGTCAGTGGTGACAGCTGCGGTTGCACAAAAGTTTTCTCCTTCTTGGGCCCAGTTATTGTGCTGCAGATGCCGTAATGGACTGTGTCCGCTGGCCTCCCGCCAAGAGGTGAAACTTGCAAATGAGAGCCAGCTGCGGTGGTAGTGGTGAGATTTGTGCTTGCCTTACGTTACCCAAGGTAAGTACTCTGGCAGTGGGCAGGGCGATGGAGTTCCCAAAAGTCCCTGTCCGTTGTGTTAAGCTACCAGGGAGGGTGTAGGGGCAAAGCCAGGCGGGGGCTGGGCCAGGCAATCTATGCTCTGGCTCCCCACCTGGGGGTGAAAGCAATGGGCGTAATCGGAATTGGAGGGCAATTATCTGGCTACTGGTGTGATGTTCCATGGAGGAGCACAGCTGCCTCTGCTGCACAAAAGGATCTGCAAGGGGAGTGGGGTTAGCAGGTGGCAGTAAGCCCCACCTTGCTGCCACTCACTTGGAAAGGCAGATCTCACACCCACAGTGTTCCATTAGCAGCAGCTATTGTGGTTCCAGGCAGCCTGTGCTCAGAACTCAAAAATGCCCCAGGCCATAAGCCATTCCCAGGAAGACAGAAATTGTCTGTCATTCACACCATGCCCCTCTAGGTTCATCCATGTAGCCAGTACTGCCCATGACTATAGCACACTCCCCACTCACCCCTTGGTTCTGGCCAAGGGGGTTCATTCCCACACAAGATTATATTGCACATCTCAGTCAGGAGCTTCTCTCCACCTATAACCACTGCCTGAATTAACTGGCTGACTTCTGTGAGGTCCCCTGTGAGGTAGGATCAGGAACGTCTTTCCTCTGATCCTGCTGGAGTCTGGGAGTGCATTCAAAGCATATCCCAGTGCCACCCCTCCTCATATACTCCCCACCACTCACTAAATCAGCTCTAGGACTGCATAGGGTTAACCTGGATTGCCAGGTTCACCAATGGGAGAGTATATCACACAGGCAGTCTCTCTCCCTCTCCCACTCTGGGACTCACAGTTTTCTTCCTGGCTTATGGTCTAGGCTGCTGCTGGCCACTTCTTTCAAAGGGTCTGTGGCTTCTTTCAGTTTTCCTTTTAAGTTCCTGTGGTGCTTCTTGGAAAAAAGTTCACAGCATGAATCTCTACACAATATTTTGTCTTTCCAAGTGGGAGACACATACTAACAATGTCTTCAGTCCACCACCTTGGAAAAAACGTAAAACAACTCCCTGACATCTTTGAACCCTTGATTCTGCTACCTAGGTTTATCCAAAGTCCGTCTCAAGATTTCTATGGGTTCCCAGGAAGATATACATTGTCAAGGTCATATCTGTCCATGACAAATTTTACTTCATTTACATGAACATTTCCTTCCCAACTGTCGCCAACAAAATTAATTCAATGTCAAAAAGGTCTAATAGACATTTCTATAGATTTCCCAGGATATGACACTTTTGCTTTGATGACGTGCTTAATGCCTATCTATGAGTTTTTTTTGAAATTTCTGGCAGCTAGTGTACGGGCAGAAGAAAGTACTGGTTTGTCCAGTCAATTGTATCTACACATGGAGCCAGTGACACAAAGAAGTATAAGTGGTGGAGAATTCATTTTTAAATGAGCGGCAGCAGTAACACCCAGCTCCAGTCCCAGCATCGTCAAAACTGTCACCACCAGAATCCAATTCCCCCAACCAGTGGTGACAACCACATGCCTGACAGCTGCATTTATTGATCTATGGAAGCAGCAGTTTATGAATTTTGTGGTGTGATTTGGTTTTGATTTGGTCCATTCAGCTTTCATTTGTTTCTGCCTATTTTCAGACATAGTTTCTTCAGCTTCCCAGAGATTTCGTAAACTACTGAAAAGTGCTTCAAGAACTTTTTTCACTTGTTACCTAGAGTCTATTTTGTCTTGCTTTAATGTGAATATTAAATAAAAGACAAGAATTATTCAATAAATAAAATTCAGTGATGTTTTAGGTGTGATAGAGAGGATCACACTACAGAATGAAAGGCATTTGCAACCTTGTTTGGTTTTTCTGTGTTTTTCCTTCTACGGATTTACTTTCCCCCTTCCTCTCCTTTCCTCCATCTTATCTTTTTCTTATTATAATGAACATTTCAACTCATTTCACACACCTACTGTATCTTAATAAATAGTGCTCACCTTTACAAAGGGATCTTTAGTAAACTAAACCCATATACCTTCAAGGCAACTGGGTTTATAAAATGATAAATAAATTAATAAAGTCCTATTACATATATATTGCTAATATTTGTCTACACTTTAGATTATTATTTTAAACAAAACCTGTAATTATTACTGTCATTTTCAATCTATATTAGATTATGATTAATATAGTACATATAGTGAGTATCATGGTGTGCTTAGATTTATTTGAGCCAATATTCAGACAAACCAATGTAATAACTTAAGTTTAGGAGACTGATTTACAAACCTATAAACACCTATTTTATTATATGATACATTGAATAAAAATATCAAGTGAGCCATATTAAAAAGCTAAAAGATTTTAAGGCATAAGGATTACTATGAGAAATAAGTGAGCTATCTGGTAATAATAACAAACATTTATTGAGAGCTCACTGTGTACAACATACTCTTCTAAGTGTTCCGTTTGTATTAGTTTAATTTATGCCCATAACATCCCATAAGGTAAGCAACATTATTTCCCCCATTTTATAGATGAGAAAACTGAGGCATTATGTTGACATTTTCGTGATTATACATCTGAAAAGTTGCAGGGACAACTTTCATACCCAAGCAGTCTGAGTCAGGAATTCTTACTTATAGTTATGGGATAATCATTGCCTCTTGACGTAAACGAATCAGTACCATAGGAAGGATAGAGTAAGCACCCTCAAACTCAGTTTCTCTTATTCTTTTGTCCCCTTTAGGACAAAATTTTACAATACCAAATATACCATTTACAATAAATTATGCAACACTGAAGAATCACCGATTTTTTTCATAGAATATAATGAAAGAGCTGTATATACAAAGCAGCCCCCAAATGTTGAAGTTGCTGAGAAACCAACGAACAAGGCAGACGAATCCAGTTTGTCGACAAAGGGTGTTTGGTTGGGGAAACTTACAGACAGGAGCATAGTCTTGTGTGGCAGCAAGACAGGTATAATGGATCCCCACAGTGTTAATTCTGAGACCCAGGGCTATATACCATAGCGAAAGAGTGCTCGTGCTCCAGGAAGACAATTTAAAAAGAACCCCCCAGAACAGGCAAGAATGTTGTGTGCATTATAATCTATAATTTGTGCAAAAACATCAAGTTTGACATGTTCTATACTAAGGACAGTGAATAACATAGGAATCAGAAAGCACTCAGGGTCCTAGGGGTTAGAAGTCATGGATTGGTATCCAAGATGGAGTTACTTTTGTTTCTATGAATGACAAAAGAAATGTGAGAGCAATCCAAAAGTTGGATGGCGTTTGAATGCTTATAACTTCCAAGATTCCAAGCATACGCTATTGGCCTGATCTTCTTAAATCAATGCTATAAACTTTCAGTTTCTATTTCTCTTATTATTCACCATGTTTTAACTTAGAATTATATAGTCTCCTTTCCCACAATTACATTTAAACTCTCATGATAATATTTTAGCCACTTTGAGTGAGTTATTCTTATCTGCCTCAACCTCTCAATACCATTTTCACTCTTATATGTTCCTTCTAGATTCTTCCCCTTCCCTTTCCTTCCCTGTCTTCATATATGTACTTCCAAATTTCTGCTCATTCTGTGCTCCTCTTATTTGTATTCTGTACTCTTTTTATTTCCTGGGTGTTCTTAACAGCCTGGTCATTGGACCCATACTTTTCTTGCTCCACATGGGCCCCTTCCACCAGTTCATTTTCTTGGTCTGTTTTATCAGTCTTATGCTAATGCCTCACCAATAGTTATCTTCAGCCCTTATTGTAACACAGAGTTATATTTATAGGAAAATTTCCCACAGACAAATAGCCAGAATGACACAGACTGGAGAATCGAACTCGTCCTATCTTCCTTTTAAATCTGTGGTCTAAACCTTCATGTCCTATAAGTTTCCAATTCGATTTACAGGACATCTCCGCAGGGATATTTCCAGCACTTTAAATATAACAAATTTGTCTTTGCTTGATCCTTTCTTTATTCCACTTGATAAAACACCTTTCTCTTCTTTGTCACTTACCTGAATGTATAAAATACATCATACTCTCCACATTTTCTCTGATGACAATGCTTTTAATTCTTCACTGTTCCCACAAAATCTAAGAACTTACTAGTTCAAGCCTAAAGAGAAAAACGTATAGTTTATTTACTTATCCTTGGCCACCTACTCATTCATAGTGCTATTAACTTATTGTTTTCTTCAAACACAAATTTCTTGATATTGTACCCTTTCTCAGTAATCCATTGTCTATCAGTTTTATGTCTAATTTCATAGCCAAATATCCAAAGTCTTTTTTTAATGGACTCTATTTTATTTAACCAAAGGTTTCAGTATACCTCCAACACGAATCCTCTAAAATGTTAAACCAATTTTTCTTTCATCTTTTTTACATTCAAATTTATTTCTATCTCTGTGAGTTGCCTTGAGTCTAAACTTCAAATCATATTTTTTTAAATAAAATATTTTTTTCCTGTTTGATACCTACATTGTCCTATATATGTGATTAGAAATTGATTTGCATTATTATCTTTTTTCTGTCACGGAAATACGAAGAGGTTAGGGCTAGACGAAACTAACTTCGTTTTATGGATGAGGAAATGTGGCTTGGAGATTCTCTCTAAATCCAGGATTTTCAAGGGCAAGTCGTGTTCTCTCTTTGGCATTCATCACAGAGGAGTTAGTCCCAGCAGGTGCTTAATAAAATGTGTTGGATTCATTTTAATTTAAAAATGAAGAGAACATCTTGGTAAAGTTTAATTTTCACTGGGGTTACTTAGGAAAAAAATCATTTCAAACCAAACTCCAGGAATGATAAAACAACAGGATAATGACTCACAAGTCTACTTTCCAGATCTTGCTAATATAAAATATATGACTTTGGCAAACAGCTTTCAATACCACTGATACCATCTGTTACTCTGTCCTGTTTGGGTCCTATGCCATTGCTCTACCCGAAAAGGGAATATGAATCCATATAGTGCTCCCATCAAAGCTTATCAAGCTAAGGAAGGCCTGAATGAAAAAGGAAAAAATTCATTGTATAATAAATACAATTCATTGAAATAGAGAATAAAATGGTGGTTGCCAGGGGTTTGGATCATAATCCTGTATGGTGAAATCCCAAAGTATCAAAATCTTTGAAGTCTAAAATCTCAAAAGTCCCAATCCTGAAGGATCAAAATTCCAAAAATAGAGTTCTAAAAAAACTAATGAAACCAAAAATTTAAAAGACATTTATTTATATTTTTAAAAGAGGTCTTATTTGAGAAACATATAAAAACATGACAGAACAGTTCATACGCTACTTGACATAATGAAATAGGCAATAATAGCATACATATTTTTGCAAGCATAAATTCCCAGGTATATTTAGAACAGTCACACAGGCATAATGGTTATGAGCAGACAAACTGTATTCCTAAAGAAGTAGGTCAAAAAGTGAAACATATAAATGTATATCACTATAGTTGGCAGTTGTGTGTACTCAACTTTATAACTGTTGTCATCTGAAATATCATGATGGGTAATGTAAGCCTTCTGATATGATCAACCAAAAAGTTCAATGGATCACCACTGTATATGCAGTAGCCCAGTGAGATGACATCTTGGGAAATTTTATCTTTCATAAATGCAGAGGTACAAAAAGACATCTCTTTATTTACTGAGGAAGTTTTAATGTTTTCATGTTAAAAATCAAGGAATCTGATGGTGTCACTCTCAGTCTGTGGCCAAAAGTCTCAGGACCCAAGGTGGTGGGGACACAGATATAGCTCCTGGAATCTGAAGGCCAGAGAGACTGAAGTTCTGTGTTCAAGGCAGCAGCAGAAAAGTCTGTTCCAGCTCTCAGAGAGAAACCAATTTGCCTTCTATATTTGTTATTTCCTGGCCCCTGGTAAATTCTGTGGTGCCCACCAAACACTGAGGGCAGAGCTTCCCCACCTAGTCCATTTAGATTCACGTGCTGAACTCCTCTGGAGGCATCCTCAATGACACACCCAAAATAATGCTTTATTAAGTTTCTAGGTGTTCCTTAATCCAGTAAAGTTGACACCTAAAATTAGGTCCATAAATCCACTCTTTGTGATCAACATCTGCTGTTTTTTGACTTTTTAATAATATCCCTTCGATGGGTATGAGACAGTATCTCATTGTGGTTTTTATTTGGATTTCTCTGATGATTGGTGATGTTGAGCATTTTCTCATGTATTTGTTATCCACTTGTATGGCTTGTTTTGAGAAGTATCTGTTCTTGCCTTTTTCCCACTTTTTAATGGGGTTACTTGTTTTTTGCTTATTGAATTTTACTTGCTAAGTTCCTTTATTAGACCATTGTCAGATGCATAGTTTGTGAATATCTTCTCTGATTCTGTAGGTTGTCTGTTTATTCTGTTGATAGTTCTTTTTGCTGTGCAGTAGCTCTTCAGTTTAATTAGGTCCCACTTGTCAATTTCTGTTTTTGTTGCAATTGCTTTTGAGGACTTAATCATAAGTTCTTTCCCAAAGCCAATGTCCAGAATGGTGTGTCCTAGATTTTCTTCTGGGATTCTTATAGTTTGAGATCTTACATTTAAATCTTTAATTTATCTTGAGTTAATTTTTGTATAAGGTGAAAGTCTAGTTTCATTCTTCTGCAGATAGCTAGCCAACTATTCCAGCACCGTTTATTGAATAGGAAGTCCTTTTCCCACTGCTTACTTTTATTGACTATGTTGAAGATCAGATGGCTATAGGTGTGCGGCTTTATTTCTGACTTTTCTATTCTGTTCCATTTGTCTACGTGTCTGTTTTTGTACTAGTACCAAGCTGTTTTGTTTACTGTAGCCCTGCAGTGTAGTTTGAAGTGATGCCTCTGGCTTTGTTCTTTTTGGTTAGATTTAGTGATTCAGGCGTTTTTTTTGGATCCATACGAATTTTAGAATAGTTTTTTTCTAATTCTGTGAAAAATGACATTGGTATTTTTATAGAAATATCATTGAATCAGTAGATTGCTTTAGGCATATGGTCATTTTAATGACATTGGTTTTTCTAATCCATGAGCTCGGATTTTTTTATTTGTTTGTGTTATTTTTGATTTATTTCAACAGTGTTTTGTCATTATCCTTGTAGAGATCTTTCACCTCCTTTATAAATATATTTCTATATGTCTTATTTTTGTGGCCCTTATAAATGGGATTGTATTCTTGACTTGGCTCTCAGCTTAAACATTATTTCTGTACTGAAGTGCTACTGATTTTTGTACATTGATTTTGTATGCTGAAACTTTACTGAAATAGTTTATTAGCTCTTGAAGCCTTTTAGTGGAGTCTTTAGAGTTTTCTAGGTATAGAATAATATTGTAAGTGAAGAGAGATAGTTTGACTTCTTCTTTTCCTATTAGGATGCCATTTATTTCTTTCTCTTACCTGAATGCTTTGGCTAGGACTTTCAGTACTATGTTAATACGAGTGGTGAGAGTGGGCATTCTTGTCTTGTTCCATTTCTCAAAGGTAATGATTCCAACTTTTGCCCATTCAGTATGACATTGGCTGTGGGTTTGTCATAGATGGCTTTTATTATTCTGAGGTATGTTTCTTCAATGCCTAGTTAATTGAGAGTTTTTATCACCAAACAGAATTAAAAACAAAAATCCTATGATTATCTCATTTGTTTTTAATATTACAACTGAAATTTTGTCTTGGTTTGTAGGGGATCAGTCACTGTAGTTGGAAAAATTTTAAGATGAACTTATAAGATATAGACACACACCTTCTTGGAAGGCTGGAGGGTTTGCATAAGATCCAGTAATAGATCTGGCTGAAGGCAGCCTAATCCTTAACTTAATAGCTTAAGGTGGGTACAAAGGAATATAAGGGAGTTTATCTAAATAGCTTGTTTACTCATGTGGTCCTAAAACTAACCTTTGATCATTCGCGGGCAGGATGGGTCTCTGAGAGGAGGGGTGACCAAATTAATTACCTACAGGTGTGTTGACTCAAAGCCTTTGTCATTTAATGTATGCTGAATAAATGCTGGCAGGGCCAGCTAGTCAGGGGCACAGCTGCTACTTTTTACAGCACCTTCCTTAGGGTCTGTGAGGGGCCCGGACCCTTAGCCGAACTGACAGGCAGAATATCTGTGTCAGTGTATGTTATTCATGCATCACTGGGTCAGGTTCTGTGGGATGGACCCCAGCATTGGTTTAGACAAGGCAATAAGAAGTAGAGGAAACTTTAGGGTAACTGGAGAGCATGTGATCCTGACCCTCTGTTGAAAAAGAGTGGCAACCACTCTGAGTAGATGGATGTCACCAGGAAGACAGTTCAGGGTAGTCAGACATTCCAACTTACCAAAAGAAAAAAAATTCGGATTTTCATATGTTATTTTACAATGTCTGAGGATGGATAATTTTAATAAAACTTTTTTTTAATATGGGAATAAGTCACATCCATAAGCCAAATGTGGACCTCTGTAGTGGTGCTGTCAAGACAGATTTTGTATTTTTACTGTAGCTTTTGTTTTATTTAACAGAGTAAAAGTTTAGTTGTTTACTCTTTTTTTCTTTTAAAAAAATATTCTTTAATGTGGAATACTTTTATTAGGTTCGTGGAAAAGTAATTGTGGTTTTTGCCATTGCACCAGCCTAAATAGTGATAGTAAAAGAAAAACCAATCAGAAAATAGCTCCTGCCTCAAACACAAAAGAGTAGAAACATGCTTTCTTGAGTAGCTCTGGACTGGCTGTTTCTTTTCTTTTTTTTTTTTTTTTTTTTTTGAGACGGAGTCTTCCTCTGTCGCCCAGGCTGGAGCACAGTGGCACCAGCTCCTCTCGCTGCAAGCTCCGCCTCCCAGGTTCACGCCATTCTCTTGCCTCAACCTCCCGGTAGCTGGGACTACAGGCGCCCGCCACCACATCCGGCTAACTTTTTGTATTTTTAGTAGAGACGGGGTTTCACAGTGTTAGCCAGGATGGTCTCGATCTCCTGACCTCGTGAGCCACCCGCCTCAGCCTCCCAAAGTGCCAGGATTACAGGCGTGAGCCACCACGCCCTGCCAAGACTGGCCATTTCTTTACAGACTAACAAATCCTCTATAGTGGTTCCTAATTATGTCTCCTGGTTTTAAAGTTCCTCACTATTTTATTTGTGGCAAATATGAACAATTGTCAACTAAAATCCATGTTATTTGATATGTGCAGTTGTATGAACATTTTGGGGGGAATTATAGATGACAGAGTTATACATTCTTTTTTATTAATTTATGAATTCATTCAGCAAATATTTATGGGATATGTATTAAATATCAGACACCAAGTTTGCTACTGGGGATAAAATGATACAATAAGACAGGGTGTATACTGTCATGGTACTTTTGGTTGATTGGAAGACATAGGTATTAATGAAATAATCATGTGAAAAGTATAAAATTACCTCTGGTGGAAAATGCTATGGTATGGAAGGCCCTCAAGCAAGCGAAGAGCTTCAGGTCAATCTCCATACCTTATCTTTTAGCAGTAATGCCATAAGCACATACTAGCCAGCTTTATGGCAAAAAAAAATAGGATAAATTATTCACCTTTCTCTACAGAGTTTTTAAGAGATGCCTCTTTATTTTATTGATTGATGGATTAATTGAGACAGAGTCTCGCCCCTGCTGGAGTGCAGTGGTGTGATCTTGGCTCACTGCAACCTCCGTCTCCTGGGTTCAAGCGATTCTCATGCCTCAGCCTGTCGAGTAGCTAGGACCACAGGCATGCACTCCCAAGCCTGGCTAATTTTTTTGTATATTTAGTAGAGATGGGGTTTTGCCATGTTGCCCAGGCTGGTCTTGAACTCCTGACCTGAAGTGATCTGCCCACCTCAGCCTCCCAAACTGCTAGATTACAGGCATGAGCCACTGTGCCTGGCCAAGACATGCCTCTTTACATGGAGTTTTTGCAGCACTCTTCTGTGGTCCTAAGAAATAATGGGCATGTGGCTTGAACTTGGGTTATCTAGAGAAAGATTTTTTTAGACAATGATGACTCTTATCTTTGCCTCTTCATAACAAGTCTCTTAATAGTCTCCACTTGCTGGGGAAAATGTACTCTCTAACTCTGTTATGCACCACTTCTCCAGATTTCTCTGAATCTGGGAAAACAGCAGAAGAATCATTCACATATTATTCTCCACATCTGCCTCAGAAAACATTACAAGGCCTTGAGAGATCATGAGGGCAAACCAAATACATACAAGATATAGACATTAGCACTAAATTTTTAACCTAGTTGCCAGGAGAACTTCCTAGTGGCTATCCTCTTGAATTGAATGATATCCAGGGACCTTCATTGTAGAGAATCCCTTTTCACCTATGATTCTTATCCAATCAACTACAAATATTTACATTGGCATACTTACTTTATATTATGCTCTTAATATATGTCAGAGATTGTTCAAAATTTCTCATAGGCATTAGTTTATTTAATCCTTATAAGACCTTTGAAGGCAGGTGCTACTGTTATTTCCATTGCACACATTAAAAGATGGAGGATGAGTGAAATTCAGCAAGTTAGCAAGATCAGGTAGTTATCAAGTGCTTGCCCTGGATTTGAACTAAGCCTTTTTTTGACATGCATTGGTTGGCAATGCTATGCACTTTGCTGCTCAATATTGCTTGTTTTGTCCTCTTAATGTCTGTCCTGACCTAAAATTTGATTCCTGTTCATATTTTATCCAAGCTTCCATAGCCAAAGACACTGCAAACCTGCTGACTGTTCACCAAGTATTTTTAGTCCTTGAAGACTTTCAATTTCCATTTGGCAATCATCTAGGTGAAGAAGAATTTGAATTACATAAACAAAACTTGGTGTTGGTGCACAGGGAGCTCTAAGATGTACCCTGAATTTTAAAAGGACTTAAGCAAAAGAGGCTCCTTTGAATAATGTTACCCACAACTATAATAACAATATTTAAAATCCCAAAGCCCCAAGGTCTGAGCCCTGGAACAAATATAACGGCAATAGTGATAATTTTATTCGTGTTTGGGCAAGAAAGAAAAATATATAAAAAAAGGGGGGTTCAATGGAATAAGATTTTTATTCGGTAGAAAGGAAATTGAACAATTAAAACTTTTTGCTTTTGTCTCTTTTGTCAAAGTGAATGAACTTCAGAAGGAAAATTCTAAGAGGTAAAAGTAACCCAAGTAGGAAAAAGATTGAAAAATAGTTGGTTGCTCTAAGTGAATTTGTGTTTCCACCTCACCCACATAATTTATACAGGAGAGACAGGATTTGAAATAGGACATTTAAAATGCTAAAGGAATGAAAATTGGTTGTCAGGCTCCCCATGGCTCTTAAGAAGTGCTTCCTTGTGTTGACTGTTACTGTCTTAACTCTCCTGTTCTTTTGATCCTATTGAGGCAGATGTATAAATCCCCCAGACATCTTAATAGGCACCTGTGAATGCAACCCTCAGATGAGTCTTTATGATCATCTCTCAACTGCACTGGAGAACTTCAGCTAGCCTACTTTTTATGGCAGAGTTAGAGAAGCTTGGATTTAGAATTCATTATTTCTTCTCCAGTACAATGTACTACAAAAGTGCCTTCCTAACAGGTCTATGATGATAGTCAACTGAGTTACTACATGTAAAAAGTGTTTTGACCTTATTTATCTTTAACACTAAAGACATCAAGAGATTAGATCTTTAACTGCTTACTTAGTTTAATCAAAATATACCAGAGACCTAAATAAAATGCCTAGAGAAATGCATATTTTATGTAAAATGAAGGTTTTTACATGCCAATTTGTGGATTACATATATCGAAAAGTACTCTGCTTTGGACAAAAAACCTTGGCATTGTATTTAGACTAAACTAGAGTTGTACATTTCAGCTTTTCCATTTAATATGTGACTTTAGGCAACTGAGAAATAAAAATAGCAATAACAATGTCATAGGAATATTCTAAGCATTAAATGTAATAATCCTACAAAATTGCCTGGTGGTTAGCAATAAATGTGGTTGGCTACATATATGTAATTTATCATTATTATTATTATTTATAAAAGTTGTATTTCCTTGGCTTGGTTACTGGAATTCTTGATAGAAAAAGTCTCTTTGTTGAAATATTTTTGAAAAGCTTCCTAGGTGATGGACCTGAGCCTCAGGGTGCATAAGGGCTTCAGGAGAAAAGAGTTATTTAGCCAAATAATGTTGTAGATTGCACAATGTGATTTAACCCCTTTGAATCTCCAAATCAGCAGTCAACACTCCATTACTCAGTGATGCTTTGCTTTTGGTAGATTTGTGTGCATGACTGCACATATGTGTGTGTCTCCTGTGTTCTGTCTCCTGGAGGATATAAGGCTAACCATGGTTGATCTGGGTAGAGGAGGGCATGTTGCCATTTGTGTATTACCTCCACAGTGTTGGTTTGTGTTTTCACTGACAGGAATGGGAGAGTTCAGGCATTGGGTGATAGGATTGTGATGAAAGGCTTGGCTACCAATTCTAGCATGTCATTGTTAAATAACCTTAGCATTTCAATTTATCTCCAGAATCTTCATCTGTAAAACAACAGTAATTATACTTAGCATATACACACAAAACCCACTGGGGTTGTCCATTAAAATATCTACTGTTGCATAACATTGTAACAATGTAACAGACATACCACAGCTAACAATAACCAAGTCATGAGAAGAATTAGATAAACTCACTGGCATTTTATAAAGGCTCTCTAAATGTGGTGGCAATAATTATGCATGGTTTTAAAATTATTTCTCTCATGAATAAAGTCACCATGGTTTTTTACTGACTCTCTCTACAAGCACATAAAACAAAGCAAAGACAAATTTCACCTTATTTTTCACATTGTGTATGTTTTCCCCTTCTCTTCACATCTGCTCTCCTACCTGCCAATCTTCTCTGCTTTTGCTTTACTTCTTTCTTTCTAGTAACATACCTTGGCCTCTTTTCATATTAAATAAATTCATCAGTGACAATGTTACTTTGCTTCTCTGGCATCCACTGATTAAAAATCTGGGAGGTTGAATACCTGTAGAGGAGGAATACAAAGGTAACTCAGATTTGACTCAGTCTTTGAAGTAGACCTCTTCTTTGTGTCTGGCAGCTTCTTCTCCTTGAGGAAATCACCATTCAGGATACAGAATGGGCATGTAACCATGGCAGGAGCCAAGGGTGCGCATATGAGCCAAGCAAGGTCAGACAAAGTCTTTTTTTAGTAATTTCAAAGAGAAAATAAAGAAGCATTTTCTACTGTGGTTGTTAAACTAGGAGGATGGAAGTCTGGAACTGCAAACAGCCATCTTGCCTGCCAAGTGGACTTCATGCAGAATGGATTCAACTAGAAAATTTCATTGCTGAAGTGTGCGTTCCTCAGCTTCCCTGGAATATTTGGCAGTATATTTCCTTTGAACTTAAGCCAGTTTGAACTGGCTTTCTGTCACTGGCAATTCAAAGTGTCTTACAGAATACAGACTTCAAAGACTTCATAGTGTAATACAAAAATACAGCTGGAATGGTAAAATTGTCCTGAGGTGACCAAGCTAAACTATACAGGTATTTCCACTTGTGATTAATAGGAATAATTTTTTTTGCAATATATCATTCCAATAAATATTGCAATGATACATTATCTGTTGCCCTAGCTTTGTTTTACCTTGATTCCAAGGTCCTAAAGTTTTCCAAGAAACTCTCCAGTTTTCTTGGTGGTGCTCAAGCTATGTATGTGGGATAGTGGAAGTGAAGCTGTAGCTTTTTCTTGAGCAATCTCACCTACCCCATGGTTTCTACTGGGATCCTTCACTCACTGTAGATAAACATATCATCTAATGAAAACATCATAAAATTAACAAGAACAATGTGATAGCTATACGATCAAAAAGTCAGACCCCTAACTTTTCTTTTTAACTGGATTGCCACCCCAAAGCTCTGCCTGTTTATATTTTTGGAGTCACCACCCACCTGATGCATTAAATAGCAACTGGTTTTATACTAAAATCGCAGCACCCATTAACACCTGTCTTTGATCTCTTATTTGCAATGTGGATAGATTATAGCAAATTGTGAAAAGGCTACATTTTCTATCTACCATATTTGGCTTCCTTCCTTTTAAAATACCTTTTTTCAACTATAATAATAAATGACACACTTTCAAATTCAATTTAACAATAATAATAATAAGGGTCAGATAATAAAGTTTGGTGAGTACTATTAGAAATGCCTTATTGATAAAAATGACAAATTGTAACATTTTTTTCTTTCCAAGAGCTGAGCTTTCTATCTGTAGAATTGGCACATCATTTCACACAGCATTTTAATGGAGAGAAACAAATGCTACAGATAGTAAACAAACTATGAAGCCTCTATAATTAAAAACAGTATGGACTTTCATAAGAACAGGTAAGTTAACCAATAAAATAGAATGGAAAAAGCACAAATTAACTCAACTACATTTGGAAAACTAGAATATCAAAAAGGTGGATATTAAATCTCTAGGGCAAAGTGGACTTTTTAAGAAATGCTCTTGGGAAAACTATAGAGTCATTTTGTAAAAAATAAAATTACATCAATTTTCTATAACATTAACAAGAATAAAGTCCAAATGTAAGAGAAATGCAAATGTAAAGTGGAAAATGTAAAAATGTAAATGTACAAAAGAAAATTTAAAAATACTATAGGAAAAATAGGTATAAGGATAGGCATTAGAACTATGATTTAAAAAATCTGGAGACAATAGAAGAAAAGTCACATATATTTGACTATATAATTCATCAGAAATTTTTATGTAGAGAAAAGTGTTCAAAAGGTCAAAAGATAAATAAGTTAGGAGAAAATGTGTAACACATGTTAGAAACCACTACAAAGAACTTATTAAAAAAGAAAAAAAGGCGAAGATTCTGTAAAAAGAAGAGCAAAAACAAATCTAAAAATAGTTCTTAAACATATGAAAAGATATCCAATGTTCATGATAAGATAAATACAAATTGAAACTACATGAAGACAGTACTTCTTAATCAGCAGATTGGCAAAGACTCAAAAACTTGCAAACAGCTTTTATTGTGGAGGTTGTGAAAATATAAGAATTCTCATAAATGCTGTTGGGAATAAAAAATTTTATAAAGTCTACAGAGGGAAATTTTTCAAAACAGTGGCTTCTTGCTATCAGCAAGGGATCGGCTTCAGAATCCCTGTGGTTACCAAAGTCTGAGGATGCTCAAGTTCCATATATAAAATGACACAGTGTTTGTGTATAACTTATGCACATCCTCCCAAATACTTTAAGTCATCTTTAAATTACTTGCAATGCCTAATATAATGTAAATGCTATGTAAATCATTGTTATACTGTATTGTTTTAATTTGCATTTTTTGTATTGTTATTTATTATTACTTTTTTTTCCCATCCACTGATTGGTGGGGTCCATGGCTGTGGAACCTGCTGATACAGTGGGCCAACCATATCTAAGAAAACTAATATGCGCTTTCTCTTTGATTAAGAAATGTTATTTCTGAGAATTTATCCTAATGATATATATCCAAAAATATGAAAATCCATATATACATTTCATGTTTTTTGTGATGGCAAAATATTAGCTGTTACTTAAATTTCCAAACACAGATTTCTTTCAAGCATAGACATAAACACTGAAGTACTTATTACACACAATGGTGTATTATGCAGCAGTAAAAACAAAAGAAAGCTTGCTCTATGAACTTTATAGGGTCATTACCAAGATATATTAAATAGCAATTATTAAGGTGAAAAAAGTGAAGAGTAGATGTATCTTTCTATATCAATATAAATATAGATATATAATGCTATCTTTTGTTTAAGAAAGATGAGTAAATGAAAAACTATAATCTGATAATCTTTACAAAAATGAACCAGGAGGATAAATAAGAAAACAATGAAGTTGCTTACCTATAGGGAATAATGAGAAAACTTGGTGGAGGGATGATACAGTTCTGGATATAACTTTTCTATACTTTGACTTTTGGAAGCCTGTTAATGTTCTACATATTCAAAACATAACTTTATATCATAAGGCTGGAAAAATACTCAGAAAATAAGCTGAAAACAAACTCATTCTTTTCAAATAAATAAAATAATCACACTGAAGGAAGAAAATGTATGAAAGAGTAAATTCAAGGACATTTTTACACAAAATTTGACTAAATACTCACTCTTGCAGTCAGGGAAAAAGAGTAAACAAAACCTGGAATCTTTTGGGTGGGTTTGTCATAGTGGTGTAGGTGCAGCAATTCTAAAATTATTGTAGGTATATTAGTGGAGTAAATAATAAATGAATGTTGAAATTATTAGAAGTTCTATTTTTTATGTTTAATTTTTAACTTTTGTGGTTACATAGTAGGTGTATATATTCATGGTTTACATTAGGTATTTTGATATAGACATGCAATGAAAGATAATCACATCAGGGTAAATGGGATACTCATCACCTCAAACATTCATTCTTTGTGTTGCAGACGTTCCAATTATATTATTTTAGTTATTTTGAAATGTACAATTAAATTATTTCAGACTATAGTCAACCTGTTGTGCTAGCAAATGCTAGGTCTTATTCATTATTTCTAATTATTCTTTTGTACTCACTAACCATCCCCATTTTCTCCCACCACCTATTACCCTTCCCAGCCTATGATAACAACCCTTCTTCTCTCTCTCTCTCCTGGAGTTCAATTGTTTTAAGTTTTAGCTCCCACAAATAAGTGAGAACATACGAAGTTTGTCTTTCTGTGCCCAGCTTATTTCACTTAAATTAATGACCTCCAGTTACATCCATGTTGTTGCAAATGGCAGGATCTCATTCTTTTCTATGACTAAACAGCACTACGTTGTGTATTTCTATCACATTTTCTTTATCCATTCATCTGTAGATGGACACTTAGGTTGCTCCCAAAGTGTGGCTGTGTTGAATAGTGCTGCAGTAATCATGTGAGTGCAGATATCTCTTTGATATACTAATTTTCTTTCTTTTGGGTATATACCTCACAGTGGGATTGCTGAATCATGTAGTAGCTCCATTTTTAGATTTTTGAAAAAGTTCCAAACTGTTCCCCATAGTGGTTGTACAGTTTGAATTCTCACCAATAGTGGATGATAACTAAAAGAGTATAATTGGAATGTCTGCAACACAAAGGATCAATGCTTGAGGTGAAGAATATCACATTTACCGTGATGTGATTACTTGGTATTGCATGTCTATATCAAAATATCTCATGTAACCCATAAATATATATATCTGCTATGTACCCACAAAAATTAAAAATTAAACATTAAAAAAATAAAAATTCCTTTTTCTCCACATCCTTACCAGCATTTGTTATTTTCTATCTTTTAGATAAATGCCATTTTAACTGGGGTGAGGTAATATCTCACTGTAGTTTTGATTTGCATTTCTCTGATCATCAGTGATGTTGAGCACCTTTTTATATATCTGTTTGCCATTTGTATGTCTTCTTTTGATAAATATCTATTCAGATCTTTTGCTCATTTAGAAAATCAGATTATTAGATTTTTCCTATAGACTTATTTGAGCTCCTTATACATTCTGGTTATTAATTAATTGTCAGACGGGTAGTTTGAAAATATTTTCTCCCATTGTGTGGGTTGTCTCTTTACTTTGTTGATTGTTTCCTTTGCTGAGCAGAATCCTTTTAACTCGATGTGATGCCATTTGTTCAGTTTCACTTTGGTTGCATGTGCTTGTGGGTTATTGCTCAAGAAATCCTTGCCCATTCCAATGTCTTAGAGAGTTTCTCCAATGTTTTCTTTTAGTAGTTTTATAGTATAAGGTCTTAGGTTTAAGTCTTCAATCCTTCTTGATTTGACTTTTTACACACAAGATAGCTTTCTAGTTTCATTCTTTTGAATATGAATATTCAGTTTCCTAGCTCCATTTATTGATAAGACTGTCCTTTCCCCAATCTATGTTCTTGGCACCTTTGTCAAAAATAAGTTTGCTGTAAGTATATGAATTTATTCCTGTGTTCACCATTGTGAACCCCTGGTATATGTGTTTGTTTTTATGGCAGTACCATGCCATTTTGGTTACTATAGCCCTGTAGTATAATCTGAGGTCAGGTAATGTTATTCTTTCAGAATAAGAAGATATAAGAAGACATACAAATGGAAAACAGGTATAAAAAAAGATTTTCTTTTCGCTAAGGATAACTTTGGCTTTTTGGAGTCTTTTATTATTACACTTACATTTTTAGGATTTTTTTTTATTTTTGTGAAAAATGTCATTGGTATTTTAATAGAAATTCCATTGAATCTGTAGATTGCATTAGGCAGTGGGAACATTTTAATAATATTAACTCTTCTAAATAGATGCAATAAAAAATGATAAAGGGGATATCACCACCGATCCCACAGAAATACAAAATACCATCAGAGAATACTATAAACACCTCTATGCAAATAAACTAAAAAATCTAGAAGAAATGGATAAATTCCTGGACACATACACCATCCCAAGACTAAACCAGGAAGAAGTGGAATCTCTGAATAGACCAGTAACAGGCTCTGAAATTGAGGCAATAATTAATAGCCTACCAAGCAAAAAAAGTCCAGGACCAGAGGGATTCACAGCCAAATTCTACCAGAGGGACAAAGAGGAGCTGGTACCATTCCTTCTGAAACTATTCCAATCAATAGAAAAATGGAATCCTCCCTAACTCATTTTATGAGCCCAGCATCATCCTCATACCAAAGCCTGGCAGAGACACAACAAAAAAAGAGAATTTTAGACCAATATTCCTGATGAACATCAATGCGAAAATCCTCAGTGAAATACTGGCAAATCGAATCCAGCAGCACATGAAAAAGCTTATCCACCATGATCAAGTCAGCTTTATCCCTGGGATGCAAGTCTGGTTCAACATATGCAAATCAATAAATGTAATCCATTACATAAACAGAACCAACAACAAAAACCACATGATTATCTCAATGGATGCAGAAAAGGCCTTCGACTAAATACAACAGCACTTCATGCTAAAAACTCTCAATAAACTAGGTATTGATGGAACATATCTCAAAATAATAAGATTATTTATGACAAACCCACAGCCAATATCACGCTGAATGGGCAAAAACTGGAAGCATTCCCTTTGAAAACTGGCACAAGACAAGGATGCCCTCTCTCACCACTCCTATTCAACATAGTGTTGGAAGTTCTGGCCAGGGCAATCAGGCAAGAGAGAGAAATAAAGGGTATTCAATTAGGAAATGAGGAAGTCAAATTGTCCCTGTTTGCAGATGACATCATTGTATATTTAGAAAACCCCATCATCTCAGCCCAAAATCTCCTTAAGCTGATAAGCAACTTCAGCAAAGTCTCAGGATACAAAATCAATGTGCAAAAGTCACAAGCATTCCTATACACCATTAACAGAAAAACGGAGAGCCAAATCATGAGTGAACTCCCATTCACAATTGCTACAAAGAGAAAATACCTAGGAAGCCAACTTACAAGGGATGTGAAGGACCTCTTCAAGGAGAACTACACACCACTGCTCAATGAAATAAAACAGGACACAAACAAATGGAAGAATATTCCATGCTTATGGATAGGAAGAAATAATATCTTGAAACTGGCCATACTGCCCAAAGTAATTTATAGAGTCAATGCCATCCCTATCACACTACCAATGACTTTCTTCACAGAATTGCAAAAAACTACTTTAAAGTTCATATGGATCCAAAAAAGAGCCCGCATTCAAGACAATTGTAAGCAAAAAGAACAAAGCTGGAGGCATCACACTACTTGACTTCAAACTATACTGCAAGGCTACCGTAAGCAAAATAGCATGGTACTAGTACCAAAATAGATATATAGACCAATGGAACAGAACAGAGGCCTCAGAAATAACACCACACATCTATAACCATCTGATCTTTGACAAACCTGACAAAAACAAGAAATGAGGAAAGGATTCCCTATTTAATAAATGGTGCCTGGAAAACTGGCTAGCCATATGTAGAAAGGTGAAACAGGATCCGTTCCTTACACCTTTTACAAAAATTAATTCAAGACAGATTAAAGAGTTAAATGTTAGACCTAAAACTGTAAACACCCTAGAAGAAAACATAGGCAATACCATTCAGGACTTTGGCATGAGCAAGGACTTCATGTCTAAAATACCAAAAGCAATGGCAACAAAAGCCAAAATAGACAAATGGGATCTAATTAAACTAAAGAGCTTCTGCATGGCAAAAGAAACTACCATCAGAGTAAACAGGCAATCTACAGAATAGGAGAAAATTTTTGCAATCTACCCATCTGACAAAGGGCTAATATCCATAATCTACAAAGAACTCAAACAAATTTACAAGAAAAAAGCAAACAACCCCATCAAAAAGTGGGCAAAGGATATGAACAGACACTTCGCAAAAGAAGACATCTATGCAGACACATTAAACAATGCTCATCATCACTGGTCATCAGAGAATGCAAATCAAAACCACAATGAGATACCATCTCACACCAGTTAGAATGGCAATCATTAAAAAGTCAGGAAACAACAGATGCTGGAGAGGATGAGGAGAAATAGGAATGCTTTTACTCTGTTGGTGGGAGTGTGAATTAGTTCGACTATTGTGGAAGGCAGTGTGGCGATTCCTCAAGGATCTAGAACTAGAATTACCATTTGACCCAGTGATCCCATTTCTGGGTATATACCCAAAGGATTATAAATCATGCTACTATAAAGACACATGCACATGTATGTTTATTGCAGCACTATTCACAATAGCAAAGACTTGGAACCAACCCAGATGTCCATCAATGATAGACTGGATTAAGAAAATGTGGCACATATACACCATGGAATACTATGCATCCATAAAAATGGATGAGTTCATGTCCTTTGCAGGGACATAGATGAAGCTGGAAACCATCATTCTCAGCAAACTATCATAAGGACAGAAAAACAAACACTGCATGTTCTCACTCACAGGAGGGAATTGAACAATGAGAACACTTGGACACAAGACGGGGAACATCACACACTGGGACCTGTTGGGGGGGTGGAGGGAGGGGGAGGGATAGCATTAGGAGAAATACCCAATGTAAATGATGATTTGATGGGTGCAGCAAACCAGCATGGTACATGTATACCTAAGTATCAAACCTGCACATTGTGCACATGTACCCTAGAACTTAAGGTATAATAATAATAATAATAATAATAATGAAATCCTCAGAATAAAAAATAAAATAAAATAAAAAATAATAATATTGATTCTTCAAATCCATGAACATGGAATATCCATTTTATTGTGGCCTATTCAATTTCTTTTATTAGTGTTTTATAGTTTTCATTGTAGAGATCTTTCACATCTTTCTTTCTTAATTCCTGGGTACTTAAATTTATTTATAGGTATTAAAAATGGAATTACACTCTTAATTTTTGTTTCAGATTGCTCACTGTTGGCTTGCAGAAACACTATGGACTTTTGTGTGTTAATTTTGTATCCTGAACTTCACTAACTTTATCAGTTCTAATAGTTTTTTGATGGAGTCTTTAGGTTTTTCCAAATATAATATTATATCATCTGCAAACAAGGATAATTTGACTTCTTCTTTTCCAATTTACATGCATTTATTAGGTTGGTGCAAAAGTAATTGCTGTTTTTGTCATTGTTTGCAATGGCAAAATTATTGTATTGGCATCTATCTCTTTCCTTAGCTTAAATATTTGTTTTACATATCTGGGAGCTGCAGTGTTGGGTAAATATTATTACAATTGTTATATCCTCTTGTTGAATTGACTCCTTTATGTTATATAATGACTTTTTCTCTTATAGTTCTTGTATTAAAATATATTTTGTGAGATATGAGTGTAGCAGCTCCTGCTCTTTTTTGATTTCCACTGGAATAGAGTATCTTTTTCCATCCCTTTATTTTCAGTCTATGTGTGTCTTTATAGATTGTGTGTTTCTTGAAGGCAAAAGATCATGGGTTTTCTTCTTTATACCTTCCATTCAGCCACTCGATATTTTTTATTGGAGTTTAGTTCATTTATATTAAATGTTATTATTAATAAATAAGGACTTACTCTTACAATTTCATTATTTTTTATCTGGTTGTTTTGTGGTCTTCTTTTCCTTCTTTATTTCCTTCCTGTCTTATTTTAGTGAAGGTAATTTTCTTTAGTGGTATGACTTCATTTCTTGCTTTTAATTTTGTGTGTCTGTTGTATGATTTTTAATTTTTAGGTTGCCATGAGGCTTGCAAATACCATCTTAAAACTTATTCTTTTAAGCTGTTAACAACACTGCTTGCATAGACAAACAAGCAAAAAGAAACCTAACAAAAACTCTATGCTGTAACTTTGTCCCCAACTTTTAAAATGTTGTTGTTTCTATTTATACCTTATTGTACTACCTAGGTCTTGAAAAGTTGCTGCAGTTATTTTTGATTGCTTCATTTTTTTTTAGTCTTTCTACTTAAGATCAGAGTACCACATACCACAGTTTACATACCACAGTTGCAGTGCTATAATATTCTTTGCTTTTCTGCGTATATACTGTGATGGTTAATACTGAGTGTCAACTTGGTTGGATTGAAGGATACAATGTATTGATCCTGGGTGTGTCTGTGAGGGTGTTGCCAAAAGAGATTAACATTTGAGTCAGTGGGCTGGGAAAGGTAGGTCCATCCTTAATCTGGTAGGCACAATCTAATCAGCTGCCAGCAAAGAAAAAGCAGGCAGAAAAACGTGAAAGACAGATGGGGCTAGCCTCCCAGCCTACATTTTTCTCCTGTGCTGGATACTTCTTGCCCTGAAACACGGGACTCCAAGTTCTTCAGTTTTGGGACTTGGACGGGCTCTCCTTGCTCCTTAGCTTGCAGACAGCCTATTTTGGGACCTTGTGATTGTGTAAGTTAATATTGAATAAACTTTCATATATATAAGAGAATGCTGACTAATACAATACTATTGCCAGTGAATTTTGTACCTTCAGATGATGCCTTATTGCCCATTAATATCCTTTTATTTTCTGATTGAAGTACTTCCTTTAGCATTTCTTGTAGGGCAGGTCTGGTGTTTATTAAATCCCTCAGCTTTTGTTTGTCTGGGGAAGTTTTTATATCTCCTTCATGTTTGAAAGATATTTTTGCTGGATATACTACTGCATGGTAAACGTTTTTTCATTCAGCGTTTTAAATATATCATGCCATACACTCTTGGCCTATGTTTCCATTGAAAAGTCTGCTGCCAGACATATTGGAGCTCCATTGTATGTTATTTGTTTCTTCTCTCTTGCTACTTTTAGAATTCTTTCTTTATCTTTGACCTATGGAAGTCTGATTATTAAATGCCTTGAGGCAATCTTCTTTGGGTTAAATCTGCTGAGTGTTCTATAACCTACTTGCTCTTGGCTATTGATATCTTTCTGTAGGTTTGGGAAGTTCTGTAATATCCCTTTGAATAAAGTTAGTACCCCTATCTCTTTCTCTATCTCCTCTTTAAGACAATAATTCTTACATTTGCCCTTTTAAGGGTATTTTCTAGATCTTGTAGGCATGCTTGATTCTTTTTTGTTTCTTTTCCTTTTTTGTCTCCTATGACTGTGTAATTTCAAATAGCCTGTCTTCAAGCTCACTAATTCTTTCCTCTGCTTCATTAATCCTGCTACTAAGAGACTCTGATGTATTCTCCAGTACATCAATTGCATTCTTTAACTCCAGAATTTCTGCTTGATCTTTTTTAATTATTTTAATCTCCTTGTTAAATTTATCTGATAGAATTCTGAATTCCTTCTCTGTGTTATCTTGAATTTATTTGAGTTTCCTTAACACAACTATTTTGAATTCTCTTTCTGAAAGGGCACATATCTCTGTCTCTTCAGGATTGGTCCATGGTGCCTTATTGAGTTCATTTTGTGACATTACACTTTTCTGGATGGTCTTAATACTTGTGGCTGTTTGTTGGTGTTTGGGCATTGAAGAGTTAGGTATTCATTTTAGTTTTTTCATTCTGTGTTTGTACCCATCCTTCTTGAGAAGGCTTTCCAGGTGTTCAAAAGGACTTGGGTGTTCTGATCTAATCCATATCTGCATTAAAGTGCACCCCAAGCCCACTAATGCTATGGTTGTTGCAGATTTGTTGAGGTATCACATTGGTGATCTTGGATAAGAACTAGAATTCTCTGGGTTACCAGGCAAAGACTCTTGTTTTCTTCTCTTACTTTCTCCGAAACAAATAGAGTTTCTCTCTGTGCTGAGATGTTTGGGGTTGGAGGTGGGTGACACAAGCACTCTTGTGGCCACCACCACTGTGACTGTGCTGGGTCAGGCCTGAAGCCAGCACAGCACTGGGTATTACCCAAGGCTCCCTGCAACCACTACCTGGCTACTACCTATGTTTGCTCAATGTCTCAGGGCTCTACAATTAGCTGGTAACAAAGCTATCCAGGCTTGAGAAAGCTATCCTTTCCTTGAGATTGATGAGTTCCCTAGGCCCTGGGTGGGTCTACAGATGCCATTCTGAAGTTAGGGACTAGAGTCAAAAACCTTAGAAGGCTACCTGGAATTCTATTCTACTCTGGCTGATCTGGTCCTCAAGTCACAAGACACGTCCTTTTCACTGTTCCTCTCCCTTTCCACAGGCAGAGGAACCATACTCTGTGGCCACCACCACCACAGGCCCACAGGGAGTTTAGCTAGGCTACTTCCAATATACACTTAATACCCAAGATCTCTTCAGTCAGCCTGTGGTGGATGCTAGTAGGCCTAGGACTCACCCATCAGGACAGTGGGCTTCCTTCTGGTCCAGGGCAGGTCCAGAAATGCCATCCAATTGCCAGGGCCTTGAATAGAAGATCCCACTTGGTGTTCTACTCCACTGTAACCAAAATGGTACCTAAGCTGCAAGACGAAGTTCCCTTTACATTTTTCTCTGCTTTTCTCAAGCAGAAGGAGTCTCTAACTGTAGCCACCACCTAAACCCAGCACATCTAAAAGTCTCATCCAAGGCCCATAGTGTACTACCTGAGTATTGCTGCTGGTTATTCAGAGCTCAAGGGCTCTTTAGTCAGCATTTGATGGATTCTGCCAAGATTTGGTCCTTCCCTTCAAGGCAGCAGGTTGCTTCTGACCCAGGGTGTGTCTATATATGTTGTCCAGGAGCTAGGTCCTATAATGGGGGCCTAACAGCTCTATCCAGTGTCCTATTGTACTGTGGCTGAGCTGATATCCAAGATGCAAGACAAAAATCCTCTTTACCGTTCCCTCTCCTCTCTTCAAATGAAAGCAAAGGGTATCTTTTAGAGCTGAGAGTTGTGCTCCTTGGGGTTGGGGTAGAAATGGCATAAACACTTCTTTAACTGCTGTGGTTGGTGTCTAGTAAGCCATGTGCACCCCAAGTCTACTGGCTCTGAGCATAGCTTAGTACTAGGACTTGTAGTCTCTTTGGCCTACATTGCCTTTTAAGTTTATTTAATGCCCCAGAGCACTTCAGCCTGTGATGGTGAGACCTGCCCGAACTGAAGTTTCAATCACTGGAATGGATTATTCCCCTATGGCTAGGTCTGGTCTGAATGTTCCCTTCATGGGCAAGCATCAGCTGAGTTCAGTCTGATTTTGCCTTCCACTGTGACAGGGCAGCACTGATTTTGATAGAAGTCTATTTGCTGCACTTTCCTTCTCCCAATTGCATAGATTTCTCTGTACCATGTGGCCACAGTGCGGTTGGGCTCAGGGAAGGGTGATATTGGCAATTCAAGACAGTCTTTTTTACCCTCATCAGTGCCTCTTTCAGTGATATGAAATTAACACCAGGTACTGTGAGTGCTCACTTGATTTTTATTTCTTAAGAAGGTGATTTTTTTGTGTAGCTAGCGGTTAAATTTGATGTTCCTGTGAAGGGGGAGCAATAAATGGGGCCTTCTGTTGCCATCTTGCTCTTCCTTTTCTCTCTTTTTATTTCTTTGAGAAACCACAACACCCTTTGCCATGTGGCTATACCAATTTACATTTCCATGAACATTGGGCAAAGTTACCCTTTCTCTGCATCCTCACCAACATTTGTCATTTTTTTCCATCTTTTTGATGGTAACCATCTAACTGGAGTGAGATAATATTTCATAGTCGTTTGATTTGCACTTCCCTGATGATAAGTGATATTGAGCATTTATTCATATACCCATCAGTCATTGTTTGTCTTCTTTTGAGAAATCTCTTCAGATCCCTTGCCCTCTTCTTGGTAAGATTGTTTGTTTGTTTGTTTTTTTGCTATAGAGTTGTCTGAATTCCTTGTATATTCTGAATATTAGTGCCTTGTCAGATGAATAGATTCCAAATATTTTCTCTCATTCTACAGGTTCTGTCTTCACTCTTTTGATTGTTTCCCTCCCTGTGCAGAAGCTTTTTAGTTTAATATTCGTCTATATTTGGTTTTATTGCCAATGCTTTTGAAGTTCTAGCCATAAAGTCTTTGTTCAGACAAATATGCTAAATTGTATCGACTATGTTTTCTTCTAGTAACTTTACAGTTACTAGTCTTAGATTTAAGTCTTTAATCCATTTTTAGTTGATTTTTGTATAGGGTGAGAGATAGGGGTCTAGTTTTACTCTCCTGCATGTAGATATCCAGTATTCCTATCATCATTTAACAAAGAAATCTGCTTTCCCCAATGTATGTTCTTGGTGTATTTGTAAAAAATAAGTTGTCTATAAATATGTGAATTTATTTCTGGGTTCTCTATTCTGTTTAATTGGTCTATGTGTCTGTTTTATTATCAATATTATGCTGTTTTGGTTTATAGTTTGTAGTATATTTTGAAATCGTACAATATAATGCCTCTAGCTTTGCTCTTTTTACTGAGAATGGCATGATTACAGGCACACAGGAAGATGTAAGTGTTGGAACATATAGAGAATTTCATATATGATATAAATTTATACAGATGATATAAAATTTATGACATAAATTTTAACATCTTTCAACACCTATATCAGAAAAAAGAAAATTTTCTGATTAATAATATAAGTTTTCTTCTTAAAACACTAGAAAAAAACCAACCCCCAAAGTAATTAGATAGGTCAACTAGACCTGATTCAAAATAATACTATAAATTTTTAGCCATATACTCACATTTATTTTTCATAACACAGTGAAAAATGAATCATATTTTTCTATTTTATAGATTTCTTAGAATGTATTTGTTTAACACAAAATAATAGAATAAAGAAAAAAGTGGAAAGAAAAAAGACAGAAACATAGAAAACATATAACCAAATGGCAAATATAAAGCTAACCATATCAAATTAAATGTGAAGGTTCTAAACACCTCAATAAAATGACAGAGACTGTCAAAATGAATACAAAAAGCAAAAGCCAATTTATAATATTTACAAGACATACTTTCTAAATTCAAACATATAAATATATTGATATTAAAAGAATACAAAAATGTACCATGCAAATAGTAACCAAAAGAGAAGTTGAATAGAAACTGAAGTTACTATTTTAACATCTAACAAATATACTTTAAGAAATATTAATAAGTATGTCAAATAAGAAATTTTAAGAAAATTTAGAGGGTAATATAATCTCAGTGAAAATAAAGCACAGAATACCAAAATTTATAGATGTAGCTAAATCAGCACTTAGAGAGAAATTTATATCACAATATATGTGAATAGCTTTCAAGACCTGTAAAATAAAAAAAGTCTCAAATCGATAATCTAAGTTTTTACTTTCAGAAACTAGAAAACAAACAAACTGCAAAGTAACCAATAGGAAGTATAATCAAATTAATGCAGGCATAGAAAACCAAATACCACATGCTCTCTTATAAATCTAAGCTAAATATTGAGTACACATGGATATAAACATGGGAACAATAGACACTAGAGAGGGGAAAGAGGCAGGAGTGTCGGGGCTGAAAAACTACCTATTAGGTACTATGCTCACTACCTGTGTGAAGGGATCATTCGTACCACAAACCTTAGCACATTGAGCAATAAACTAATGTAAAAAACCTGCACATGTAATCCCTAAATACAGTATATAAGTTGAAATTATGTTTTAAAAAGAGGAAGGAAATATTAATGATTAGAGATGAAATTAATGAAGCAGAATACATAGTCAATGAAACTTTGAAAAGATCAAGAAAATTGACAAACTATCATTTATTCTAACCAAGTAAAAGAAGAAAGAAGCAACAGATTAATAAAATGAAAATTAAAAGAGAGACATTACTACAATCTGTATAGCAATTAAAATAATTTTAATACTATATAGAATTTTAAGTCAATGAATTAGACATCTTAGATAAAATTGAACAATTTCTTTTTCATGATGCCAATTGCCAAAACTGACTCTAGAAAAAATGGAAATTCTGAATAGACTCACAACAAGAAAAAAAACTGAGATTAAAATTCTTCCTATAAAGAAAGCCTAAGGCTCATCTTTCGTGTATGTTAAATTCTATGAAATATTGGAAGAAATAATACCAATCTTGTACAATCTCTTAAAACATATAGAAGAAGAAATCATTTCTTACTTCATTCTATAAGGCCAGGAATAGGCTGGTAACAAAGCAGGACAAAGACATTAAAAAAAAGAGAGAGAGAGAAACATATAGACAGATATTCATCATGAATATTCAAATATCCTTAACAAAATATTAGCAAATCAAATCCAGCAACATATAAAGAGAATTCAACACTGGAATTTATCCCTGAATGTAAAACTGGTTTGACATAAAATTAATTAATAAAATAGGCCATACTAACAGAATAAGGACAAAAATCACGTGATACTTCAAGAGAAGCATAACAAACTGTTGACAATACCCAGCACTCATTCATAATAAAACCTCTCAACAAACTAGTAATACAAGGGAACTTCTTCAACCTGATTATGGGCATCTACAAACCAAACCAAACCAAACCAAACCAAACAAACACAGCTATCAGCATTCTTAATAGTGAAAAAATAACCATTGCCCCATCCCTCTCCAAGAAAAGGAACAAGGCAAAGATGTCCATTATGGCCTCTTCTGTTCAACATTGTCATGTATAGTACAAGAAGGAAAAAAGGAAGGAAGCAAAGAAAAATTACAAATCTCCATTTTTAAAGAAAGAAGTAAAACTGTCTTTATCTAGAGAAGACATGATTCCCTATGTAGAAAATTCAATGGTATCTGCAGAAAATTACTAGAACCAATAAAGTTGTCCAAATCATAAGATAAAAATTAATGTACAAAAATTATTTTCTTCTGCCAGCAATGGACAATTTTAAAATGAAATAAAGAAAATTATCCCATTACAATAGTATAAAATGCATAGAAATAAATTTAACAAAAAAGTGTTAAACTTGTTCACTTAAACTATAAAATATTGTTGACAGAAATTAAAGATTAAGTAAACACAGAGACATTTTGTGTTTGTGGTTTAGGGGCCAATATATTTGAAGATACTACGTTTGCTCTTATTGACTTCTCAATCTCTTCTTCTCTATAAATCAAATTCAATATCTGTCAAAATATAAGCAGGATTTTTGGTAGAAATGTACCAGAAATAGATGGGAAAATGTAATACTAAAAAATAATCAATTAATCTAAAAATATTTGCAAAAAGAGAAAAAGAACAGAAGAGAAACAAATGAAAAATAGAATGTAGAATAATATATATAAACTCAAAATAGAATTAATTATAATAACATAAATAGATGAAATGCATCAGTTAAAAGACAGGTATTGGCAGACTTTATAAAAAATAAAATCCATCTTTATGCTACTTACAGAAATATAAAGACAACCTAAAAGTGTGAAGATGAAAGAAAATAAGTTGAAGAAACTGTGCTCTTAATAACAGATCCTTAAACCTTTATAATCCATAAAATAAATAGATACATGCTCTAATGGAGATTTTAAAATCTATCTCTCTCAATAAAGAATAAGACAAATAGACAAAAAAATAGCAAAATGTAGAACATATGAATTCCATCATTAACAAACTTGACTGTTCCCTCAAATGACAAAATATACACTATTTTCAAGCGCATGTGTAACATTACCAAGATTAACTATATGTTAAGCCATAAAGCAATTCACCACAAGTACTGAAAGAATAAAATCATAGAGAGTGTATCCTCTGACATAGCTGAACTAAGCTAAAATTAAACAAAATAAAGTTACCTAAAGACTACCTATGTTGAAATTAAACAATAAGCTTTTAAACAACCCATGGATTTGTTCACGGAGAGGAAGAATCAATATCATTAAAATGGCCATACTGCCTAAAGCAATTTATAGATTCAATGCTATTCCCATTAAACTACCATTGACATTCTTCAAAGAACTGGAGAAAACTTGGCCCAAATAGCCAAAGCAATACTAAACAAAAAGAACAAAGCTAAAGACATCATGCTACCTGACTTCAAACTATAGCACAGGGCTACAGTCACCGAAACAACATGGTATTGGTACAAGAACAGAAACATAGACCAATGGAACAGAATAGAGACTCAGAAATAAGACTGCATACCTACAGCTATCTCATTCATCTTCGACAAACCTGACAAAAACAAGCAATGGGGAAAGGATTCCCTATTCGATAAATGGTGCTGGGATAACTGGCTAGCCAAATACAGAAAATTGAAACTGGAACTCTTCCTTATACCATATACAAATATTAACTCAAGATGGATTAAAAACTTAAATGTAAAGCCTACAACTATAAAAACTAGAAGACAATCTAAACAATACCATTCATGACATCAGTATGGGCAAAGATTTCATGATGAAGATGCCAAAAGCAGTTGCTACAAAAGCAAAAATTGACAGATGGAATCTAATTAAACTAAAGAGCTTCTGCACAGCAAATGAAACTATCAACAGAGTAAACAGACAACTTACAGAATGAAGAAAACTTTTGCAAACTATGCATCTGACAAAGGTCTAATATCCAGCATCTATAAAGAACTTAAACAAATTTCAAGAAAAAAACAGGCAAAGGACGTGAACAGATACTCTTCAAAAGAAGACATACATGAGGCCAACAACCATGAAAAAAAGCTTGACATCACTGCTTATTAGAGAAATGCAAATCAAAACCACAATGGGATATCATCTAACACCAGCCAGAATGGCTATTACTAAAAAGTCAAAAAATAACAGATGCTGGCAAGGTTGTGGAGAAAAAGGAATGCTTATACCCTCTTTATGGGAGTGTAAATTAGTTTAGTCATGGTGGAAAACAGTGTGGTGATTCCTCAAAGACCTAAAGACAGAAATGTTATTCGACCCAGCAATCCCATTACTGGGTATATACCCAAAGGAATATAAATCATTCTATTATAAAAAACATTTGCTCACGTATGTTCATTGCAGACCTATTCACAAGAGCGAAGACATCTAGTTGACCTAAAACCTCATCAATGATAGACTGGATAAAGAAAACGTGATACATATACACCACTGAATACTATGCAGACATAAAAAGGAAGGAGGTCATGTTCTTTGCAGGGACATGAATGGAGCTGGAGGCCATTATCTTCAGCAAACTAGCTCAGGAACAGAAAACCAAATACCACATGTTCTCACTTATCAGTGGGAGCTAAATGTTGAGAACACATAGAAACATGGAGGAGAACAATACACACTGGGGTGCTTCAGAAGGTGGAAGGTGGGAGGAGTGAGAGCACCAAGAAAAACAACTTACAGTTATTAGGCTTAAAACCTGTGTGATAAAATAATCTATACAACAAACTCCCATGACACAAGTTTACCTATATAAAAAACCTGCACTTGGACCCCTGAACTTAAAAATGAAAAATAAATAAGTAAAAAATAAAGAATAAGTAACCCATGGATCAAAGAAATTACAACAATGGGAATTGGAAAACATTTTGAACTGAGTGATAATGAAAGTATGACTTGAACGATATGATTAAAACTCTGCTTAGAGGGAAGATTATTGTATTAAATGTATGTGTTTGAAGAGACAAATGGTTGAAATTAATGCTCTAAGTATCTTAAAAAGCAAAAACAGAAGAACAAAATAACTCCATGAATGTAGAAAGAAACAAAAATATAAGAGCAGAAATTGTTGATATAGGGAAAACATTATAGTAGAGAAAGTAAACAAAGTCAGAATTTTGTTCTGTACAAACAAAATTGCTTAACCTTATAAAAACTGCTCAAGAGATAAGGAAAAAAAGCACAAACAACTAATATTAGAAATATAAAAGAAGACAACATTGAGACCACAAAGTGATCATCAGGTGATATTCTTAACAAAATTGCCCCCAAAAATATTTTAAAAATTGATGAAATGGCCAAATTTTGAGAATTTATAAAATTAATGTAAGAATAAATTATGAAACATAATTCTAAAACTGATAACAAGAAATGACAATTAAAACCTTCTCACAGAAACAAAAATAAGTAAACGTTTTCCCAAAAAGAAAACACTAGGCCCAGAAGGCTTTGCTGTTAAGGCTTAAGGAAAAAATAATACCAATCTCACATGAATTCATTAGAGGAAGAAAAGAGGAAACATTTCTAGATTGTTGTATGAGGTCAGCATTGCCTTAATGCTAACTTGGGCCTTTAAGAAAAAAATAAAAATTCAGGTCAATTTTATTCATGATCACAGAGAAAATAAGAATCCTAAGATAAGTATTAGCAAGCTTATCTAGCAATACGAGTCAATACATCATAATCAAATTGAGTTTAGACAAGAAAGACAAGGTTTGTAAAAAACAATTTTGAAAATCAAAGTAATTTACCATTATAACAGAATAAGAAAAGAGCAATCTTTGACTAATTTTTAATGGGTGCAATTTAAACATTTGATACAATTCAACATTAATTTGTAATAAAAAATCCTAACAAACCAGAAAAAGAAGGGAACTTTCTGTTAAATGTCATCTACATAACCCTCTAGGTAAGAAAATACTTAATGGTAAATATTGATAGAATTCTTTCTGCGATTGGAAATGAGATGACAATGCCTGCTATCAACATTTTAATTTAACATTATTAGAGGTCCTAGTCAGATCAATAAGGCAAGAAAATTAAAGAAAACATTAAAATATAGTAAAAGAAAAATATCTTTACTTACAGGTGATATGAACACTATCCTATAAAAATTATAAATGATTAGAATTACTAAATAGATAATAAGAAATGAAGGTAAATTTAACAGAATTGTGAGATACAAAATCAAATATCAGTTGTATATAAGTAAAATAAAATTTCAAAATCGTTTAGAAAATATGTCATTTATAATAGCAGCATTTCATTGTGCAAATCAATCTTTCACTGAAAACAGTACCGTATACTGAATTTTAAAATTCACTCTCTTAGTGTATACCAAGCTGAGCTTTTCATAAATTTTTGGTTGTTTGTGGGGCGTGTGGAAGAAAGCTAACTCAAAGCCCTCACTAAATAGAGTGTTTTATCATTTAGTTTAGTCACTATAAACTTATATTTTCCCAAATTTTAACACTTTATTTGTTCTTCATTCTTTCTTATCTCTCAATACTTCAGGAAAGATTATTTCCTTTTTCTACAATATAATCTTGTAACTAACTTTTGTGAGGTTCCACAAATACAGTTTTTTGTGTATCTGAAAACGTTTTTATTTCACACTTGTTTTGAAATACGCTTTTGCTGAGTATAGAACTCTGGAAAGACACTTATTTCTTTCATTTCTTTGTACATTATTCCATTTTCTTCTGGCTTTTACTGTTTCTGTAGAGAAGCCTGATATCAGTGCCATTGATGTTACTGTGAGGGTAACAATGTTACTGCTTTTCTTTTCTAGTTTCTGTAAAGATTTTCTTTTGTTGTTGTTGTCATTTTTCTTCTGCACTTTCTCTAAGATGTGCTTAGGTAGAAATTTCTCACACATTAAAGGAAATATTTCTCTATTCAATTGCATATTTTAAGAGGGTCTTGGGTTTGTGTACATTGAACACACAAAAAGATGCCATTCCATATGTACCAGATTGGCAACAATGAAATATCTGAAAATTGCAAGTGTTGATGAGGATGTGAAGCAATGTGGGAATTGTATTGTGCATTGAAATAACCAATTTGGAAACCAGTTTGTCATTGTCTAGTAAAATTGAAGAAATAAATTTTCTATAGTACCAGCAATTATACTTCATATATATTGAATTAAATGTATATTTAGTATATATACTTCTATATATAATTCATATACATATACACTTTATGTATATACTCTAAAGAAACTCTGGCATATGTGTACCAAGATACATAAACAAAAATATTTATAAAAGTATTGCTTGTGGTAGCTAAATACTGAGAACAAACCAAATGTGATCCATTTACAGGTTTAAAAATGAATGGTATTACTTTGGAATGAATGCGTAAATTGTAAAACTATTTATTTAAAAGTAAGTAATCAATTATTACACAATTTTGGAGGGTGACTGATTCTTCAGAGCTGGGAGAATGTTGAAATTTGAGACGAGCACCTGAGACCTTGGGAGGGATTTGTAATATTCTATTTCTCAGTCTTGATTATATTATCAAGATTTGATGGATAAAAATATGGTAGCTCATGGAATTGTGTTACATGGATATTGCTCTGTAATTATTAAGCTAAACACAAACTTTTTTTTTTTTTTTAGACGGAGTCTCACTCTGTCGCCCAGGCTGGAGTGCAGTGGCGCGGTCTCGGCTCACTGCAAGCTCCGCCTCCTGGGTTCACGCCATTCTCCTGCCTCAGCCTCGCGAGTAGCTGGGACTACAGGCGCCCGCCACCGCGCCTGGCTAATTTTTTTTTGTATTTTTAGTAGAGACGGGGTTTCACCGTTTTAGAAATGTATCTCGTATAATAAAGTGGTCCTTTTTAAAAAGGCAATTCTAATGGTTGAGTTTTAAAAATGATTTGAGCAAATCTCACCATCATTGAAGTTATGTTTGGAATAAGAGGTAAAAAATAATAATATTAAGGGTATAGTCTTGTATAATTATGAAAACATTGTCACAAACTTTAGTATGTAGAATGATGTTTATTTGGATGTATAAATTCTGTTATGTTTAGTAGGTAAGCTTTATATTACAGTCACACCTCATTACTTTTGACTTGATCTAAAGGAAGAAATCCATTGTAATATTAACTTCAGTGTTTCTAAGTGTAGCTTTATACAATAGAGTGCTTAAGATTGAAGTTATACAAATATAGGTTACTTTTCTGGCAATGAAGCCTTTGAGGGTATACAATGACTCTTGCCTTTTGGTGAATTAATTGAGAAAGTCACCCAGACAAATATATTCTAAGGATGTCAACATTTGGGTAACTGCAGAGATCACAGAGTTTTGAGATTGACTACCTACACTTTCTTCTTCTTGGGGTTAAAATGCAGAAATTATCTTGATTTAGGCATCATGTTGTAAATTATATATTGGCTCCAAAAAGCACATGCTTATTTAAGAAATACTGTGTCTTGGAAGATTGGCTTGGAACATGTAGGCAACAGAAGGAGTGAGAATCCTAGAAAACATCAATCTCCTTCCAGATAAAAAGAGAGATTATTTGATAAAGTTAATGGGGAAGAGCCAGTGATGAGAAATAGTATTTCCGTCAGTTTAGAATTTACAGGGAGTTTTTACCTATATCATCCACATACTAATTCTGGATAGAGAAGAGATATGACTGACATTGTGCCCATTTTAGAGATAAGAATATGAAATTTCATGCAGTTGAGGTGTCTAGAACTAGATTGCTCAGTTACTTATCTGAATTTCTTTCTAAAAGAACATCAAGACAATGAATTATCAAGAGACATAAGTTTTAAGTATCTGCTGAAGGAAAACTTATCTTATTCGTTCATCCAGAGTGAATATACATAGCAATATACATAGTCCAGTGCTAAATGTTACATGCAGATTAAATACTGAAAGAATGTTCAGAGAAAGAACAATTCAACTTCTCTACTTTTGTCCTTGGCATAGATTTATATAATGCAATTGTTCAAGATTGGTGCTGATATTATACTAATAACTTTCATCTGGAAATATAATTAAATAATGGGCTGTTATATTAAATAAATCAATGTTGATTCTTCAGGATTTTCTGTTCTTTACTATTTATCAAAAATTACTGAGGATATGAATATGTCTAAATTTCAGTATGTGTCATTCTTCTGTTTTTTCCATAATAAGGCCCAGTAATAATATGGAGCTCTATTTCATTTGCTGAATGTTAATAAATAAGGTTTGCACATAATCAAATTGCACTTTATCTTTCTCAAGTTATTTTGATTGATCATTTAATTATTTTTAATATAAAAATCAATTCAAGCCATTTTACTATAAATTAGGGCCATTGACTACTTACTGTGGAATAAATGCTTTAGAAAGCAGAAAAAATAGGCTTAAATCTACACTGAGCTTCATACCTCCTGGCAATGTACAGTACACTAAATTCTCTTTTTGTTTTTAAAGTAAATTACTTCCTTCATTACATTTAGACAAATTCTTTCAATTAACTCTGGCAAGATCATTAAGCATAGTTAATAGTAATGTGAATGAGATTATTTATAAAATAGTCCTAAGAGAGCAATAAAAAATGAATGCTCCTATTCTTTAAGGTGGATTTTTGTTAAGACTAGTAATTTTGATAATTGCTATGCTTTGAATTTCAGTTCAACAAATATTTCATAAAAACGTGTCATGAGCCAAGTAATTATCTAGGAGCAGATCCTGAGATGAGATTGTTGTTCAACTACTCTTAGGGGAGGGGAAGTGAAGCATAAGGGTAGAGGAGAAGAAAATTAAGCCAGGAAGTACTTTCCATTGATTCTGGCTTTGATCTCATCCCAGCTAAGGTCCAGAGCGCAACTTGTACCATATAGTGTGTCCTATCTTGAAACAAGGGGACAGATCATTTTTATCCCTGTGCCAGTCAGTTATGGACTGAGGTCTTCACTGTGTGCGTGTGGAGGGCTCCTTTTGCATGAGGTCATTTGTTAGAAAAGAAGTTGTGGGCAGCTGTGAGCTAACACTTACTCACTGGGGGCTAGGAGGTTTGGCTGATAAAGGGAATTTGAATGTACAACCAACTGCATCCAGCACAGTATATAAGAAGATTCTGCTCTCTAGGTGTTGACAATCCAAGCAAACATTGGCACATGTTTATACATTGAAGATATTACTCCAAAAATATTTGCCAATAAATTTAAGGACAAATCCAGAGTTGGAGGCTTGATGGAAATGTTGTTGAGATTCATTTTATCTGAAGCGAAAGCTTTATGCAGAAAGCAGAGAAAACTAATCCAAAATTGAGTCAATGATTTAATCTATGGAGTGATCACAATTCCTGATACAAGGGCAGAGAGCATATTTCCTAAAGGGGACCTAGAACAAATCTGCTTCATAACAGCTTTGGAGTCTGAAGGGACAGTCTCAGAAAAGAGGGTGACGCTCCACTCACATTACCTATTGACTTAACAAAAGCCGACGTAATTATGCCCTATTCATGGACTGTCAGCTCATAATTTACTGGGTTTTCTCATGCTCTATGCTTGTCTGCATTCTACAGATACAGCATACTTTACTGCCTCTTCCAGGAAGAATACTTGATTGCTTCATCTTTCACACTCCCATACCAATTTGATAATGTCTTTGTCATCACACACATTTCATGTTTGAGTTTTGCTAATAAGATAAACTTCCTCTTAAGCAGAATCTGTATCCTATTTGTTCAAAGAAGGACAGAAAGCAGCTAAATGACTGAAAGGGTAACAGATGAATAATTTATGTCTCTTCCTTCATAAATTGAAAACTGAAGGAAATTTGACTAGCAATGCGCCCAGCATGTGCAGATGCCCATTAAATATTTTCTGAATGAATTAATGGATTATAGCAGAAGGTTTAAACATGAGGCTTCCCCTGATTTACTTTGAGTAGCTGCATGCCACTGGATATGCTCTTCAGCCTCCTTAAAACTCATTGGCTTGTTGAGAATTAAATGATATTTTATCTATCTGCCTGTCCAGTTAGTTTGCTAGCCAGCAAGCTAGAGAGCTGTTATAAGCTAATTGTGTTCCCCCAAAATTAACATGTTGAAGTCCTAACTTACTTCACTTCAGAATGTGGCCTCGCTTGAAAGAATTTTTGTTTTTTTGGTTTTTTTTGGTTATTTTTTTTAAATGAAGTCTCACTCTGTTGCCAGGCTGGAGTGCAGTGACATGATCTTGGCTCACTGCAACCTCCATCTCCCAGGTTCAAGTGATTATCCTGCCTCAGCCTCCTGAGTAGCTGGTACCACAGGCATGCGCCACCATGCCCAGCTAAGTTTTGTATTTTTAGTAGAGACGGGGTTTCACCATGTTGGCCAGGATGATCTTGATCTCTTGACCTCGTGATCCACCCGCCTCGGCCTCTCGAAGGGCTGGGATTACAGATATGAGCCATCATGCCGGCCTGCTTGAAAGTTTTTTACACATGTGTTGGTTAAGATGAGGTTATGCTGGAGTAGAGTGGGCCCCTAATCCCATACAATTCATGTTCTTATAAAAATAAAAATTCAAACCCAGACATTCATACAGGAAACACAATCAAGAACCACAGGGAGAGAAGACCGCCATCTACAAGCCAAGGAGAGAGGCCTGGAATAGATATGTTCCTCATAACCTTCAGAAAGAATCAATTCCAATGAATGTTGATTAGTCTCTGGCTTCCAGAACTGTGCAACAATACATTTCTGTTGCTTTAAACCATTCAGTTTGTGGTACATTGTTACAGCAGCCCTAGCATTTAATTATCTATCTAGCTATCTAATCGACCCAATCTACAGTGTTATTACCCAGTGCCTAGAATATAGTTTATGCCCAAGAAATGATAGCTATCTAATTATTATAATAGTATCAACATAATAGTAAAATATTAAGAGGAATTCTTGCACAAATATGGTGACCTACAGGTTACCATCACCACTGCGTCTATTCAGTTACTGATAGCTTTGTGATAGTAAGTTAGAATTGTGGCCTGTCACAGTGGCTCACACCTGTAATCCTAGCACTTTGGGAGGCTGAGGCAGGTGGACCATGAGGTCAAGAGATCGAGACCATCCTGGCTAACATGGTGAAACCCCGTCTCCACTAAAAATACAAAAATTAGCCGGGCGCGGTGACGGTCGCCTGTAATCCCAGCTAGTCAGGAGGCTGAGGCAGAAGAATCGCTTGAATCTGGGAGGCAGAGGTTGCAGTGAGCCAAGATTGTGCCACTGCACTCCAGCCTGGCGACAGAGCGAGACTCCATCTCAAAAAGAAAGAAAGAAAGAAAGAAAGAAAGAAAGAAAGAAAGAAAGAAAGAAAGAAAGAAAGAAAGAAAGAAAGAAAGAAAGAACTCTAGGTTAATTTGGGCAAAAAACAAAACTTGTTCATTCAGATCAGGAAGGAGTCAGAGTTTGACATTCTTTTCCCTTTTTTTTCACTTTATAAATTAATTTCTTACAGTCTACAGTAGTCTAGCAGTCCCTGTAGACTGCTAATTAAAATTTATGTTGATATTTCACACAAAAGCTTATTTTAATGGCAAAATATAGGTTCACAGTAATTTATATTCCTGATGCATATGTGTGAAGAGAAAGCCTTAACAACTGGCCAGGTAATATGACAATATCACTCCAGACTGCAGGACAACAGACATCTTATATATTAAATTTCCATGCCTTAAAAATCATACTCTAAATTTAGAGAGTGTCGAGGTCTCTTTTGGTAACTCAGTTGTCCTTTTGCCCCCATCTACCCTACATATACTTTAACACCCTCTTCTCCCCACACAGATGACCTGCGATGACATTGAAAGAGACTAGGTCACCTAGCACCATCATGACTCAAAGTTCACCAATGCATAATTCTAACGTTAATTAGAACTCTACTTAGAACCATATTTAGATCTTGAGAATGTAAGGAATGCTTAATGTTGATATCTATTTCTTGGTTTATGCAAAATGTAAAAAACATGTCTAACTCCTGAAACAACTTATGTTCAAAATGCTCCTTTGACATGAGTATTCTTTTCCTTTGGGTGATAAAACCAAGGTTATGCAATCCAATGTATCAACATGAATGGTTTGTGTTTCCTTACCACAGGGAAAGGTGAGAAAACAAAGGCTTTTGGGGGGCCGATGAGGTTTGCTTATAAGTGTGTTGTTCTATAATCTGTAAAAGTTCTTTCAGTAGTCCTTCCTTATAGTCTAGAAAGGGAGAGATTAGTGATAGGGAAGAAAGAATTGCTACCCCAGAAAACAGAGTCACTCTGGTAATGATCAGCTCCTGAAAGTGTGGCTAGGACTGACTACATAATTTGGGGAGGCCAGTGCAAAATAAAACAATGGGGCCCCTGCTCGAATATTGTTACAAATTTAAAGGCAGCAACCACAGAGCATTAAACCCAGCATAGGCCCAACGCAATTGATGCACTTGTGATACTGGTCCTGGAAGGAATTTTCAAACAATAGTAATGATAGTTAACATTTATAATGTCCTTTTAATGTGTTGAATTCTGCTCTAAGTAATTTTTAGGAATTAAGTCATATGTCTGCAAAATAATCTATTACATAAGGTCTAAGTGTATCCACACTTTCTTTCTCTTTAAAAAAAATTCATTTATTTTTATTGATATACAATTGTTGCATTTTTTGGGGGATACATGTGATATTTTGATACCAATACACAATGTGTAATGATCAAATCAGGGTAATTGAAACATCAATCATCTCAAACATCTTTTTTTGTGTTGAGAATATTATATTTTTTTTCTGGCTATTTTGAAACATACAACACATTATTGTTAACTATAATTTATTTACTGTACTATGGAATACTACAACCTATTCTTTCTATCTGACTGCATTTTTGTACTGCTTAATTAATTTGTCTTCACCCTTCTCTCTTTCCCAGCTTTTCTGGCCTCTGGTAATCCCAGTTCTACTCTTGACCTTCAGGACATCCACATTTTTAGCTCTCACATATGAGAGAGAACATCCTATGTTTATCTTTCTGTAACTGGCTTATTTCAAGTAACATAATCACCTCTAGTTCCATCCATGTATATGTATCCACATTTTAAAGATAAGAAAACTGAAAGCCAGAAACATTTTAATAACTTGCTCAAAGCTATATAATTGATTTGTGCCGGAGCCAGTAAAATCCAGGCATTTTGTTTTCAGAGCTGCATTTTTAAGTACCAGCTATTCTGCTTTCTTCTAAGTAAAAATCTCTCTAAAGAAAAGTATGTTAAGTTAACATAAATTATCTCTTACTGAACATTCAGCACAATAGAAATATTCCCCGATAGCAGCACTTGGATCGATGACTCTCTATAATGGCATTTTGTGCTTAGCGAAGGCTTCTTGCCATGTCATCATTGGTTTGTAGGTCAATTAGAATCACCATTAATCACTTTTATGCACAGCGTTGATTTTATAAGATACTGAACCTAATTATGATTGTTTACATGAGCCTGCTATAGGCTGAGTTAATCTGATTTTCTTTGATATTATTTTTAATAATTCTACATATACTCGATCTTTTTATTTTTAAGTAAAAATACATTTAAGTTTTTAGGTGATACACAATTAGTTGATGAATTTTTTATCATCTAAAAATTCTGTGCACTAACAAAGTAATCCTGATTACAGCAAGTTATCATAATGCAGTCTGCATGTGTTATTAATCAAAACTGGAACAGCTGGAACCCCAAAACAGCAAGGGATTTAGCACACCAAAAGACCAAACTTAATTATAAATGGGAATGTGCTCATCAAGTAGAGGCAGTCATAGTCAAGGCTGGCTTAGAGGCAAAGCATTCTGGCTCCTGGGAAACTCGTGATTGGCTTGATATTCTTAAGATGGTGTAGCCAGTGGAGAAAATTGACCCTTAGGCTACTGTTGAAATAGAGAGAAAGGCAAACCAACCGAGTGAGAACCATGGTCACGGAGTTGTCATCATTTCCATTCTGATTTGTAAAGGTGGTGAAACCTAAGTATCTAACCTGACAGACTCAAGTGCCTGTTGATCTGTAGGCCAGTAGGACACTGATCTTCAGGACAGCTGGCGATGACTGGGATGACTGCGTAAGAGGCATAAGCAACACTGAATGAAGTTCTGTTCTAAATTTGTTAATATTGATTTGAAACATTTGTTTACATTTTAATCAAATGAGAGAAGTTTCCCACTTTAAATGTTAAACTATGTGTCCTTCTTTCAAGGGTATCATTGGAGTGCAAACTGTCATTAACAACTAACATGGGACATGGACTATAGTAGGTAGTAACTGATTTTTTGTTGAACAAATGAGCAAGTAAATGAATGACTAATGGAATCCTGATTTTTTTTTTTTTTGGTAGGGGGCGCGGGTGTGAGTGGGGAGGGGAAATGTCCAAGTGTATCTAGAAGACATAATAGTTTTTAATTATGAGAAATTGTGTTACTCATTTATGAGCTAAAGTTCTCTGATCATCTTCTGAACAGCAATACATTCCTGTTGTCAAATTTCCAAATATAAAGCATCCCTTGCCTTTTTATGTCCGATATTAAAGCTTATTCCTATCACTTTATTGAGCAATATAGAATAGCAGCCTAATAGGCCTATCAAAGGATTGGATTGTGAATTTTAAATAAAAATTATTTTTAAAACATATTATAATTCAGGCCAGCCTAAGGGAGTAGTTACCTCTCTAGGTTTTGTTCTGATATTTTTTTCTATCAATCTACTCCGTCTCAGTCTTAACATAATTGCTTCCATTAAGTTATGAGTAAATGTAAGATGATCTGCCTTTCAATATGTATGTGAAAACCATTTAGTTTCTATGTTCATAAAACCATGGTCAAAGCGTGACTCTTCCCATTCATTTAACATCCTCCAAACAACTGTCCTAGTGATAAATTTCTATTACATTTTCATTCCACAAAAAAGTGCCTGTATATAAAAATATCTATAATCTGCTATTGATTGCCTTGGTTTATTTAAAATGATTGTTTAGTTTTTATTTGTAAATGTCTCTTATTTTTATTTTTAATTTATTTCATTTTTAATGTTTTTTTTAAATTTTTTTTATTTCAATAGGTTTTTGGAGAACAGGTGGTGTTTGGTTACATAAATAGGTTCATTAGTGGTGATTTACGAGATTTTGGTGCACCCCTCACTTGAGCAGCATACACTGTACCCAATGTGTAGTCTTTTATCTCTCAATCAGCTCCCATCCTTTCCCAAGTTCCCAAATTCCGTTGTATAATTCTTATGCCTTTGCTCCTCATAGCTCAGCTCCTACTTATGAGTGAAAACATACAATGTTTGGTTTTCCATTCCTGAGTTACTTCACTTAGCATAATGGTCTCTAATTCCATCCAGGCTGCTGTGAATGACATTATTTCTTTCCTTTTTATGACTGAGTAGTATTCCACAGGATATGTATATATCACATAAAAGTCTTTTATTTTGAAAATGTGTGTTTTAGTCTGATTGTATCTCAAATTATCTTATGAGTAGTTGAGAGAATAAAAATCATGCAATTAATGAAAGCTTGCATTGCTATCAATAAGGAGGTAGTTAGAATTATGATATAAAAAGAGCATATTGTATGGAATAAAAGGACCTGAGCTGTCATCCTAGCTGTGTGCATTTGAGAAAGTTACTTAATCTCTCTTGGCTCCTGTTTTTCTTTGATAAAATAGGAATACCAGTACCAACATCCAGTAGTGTGTTGGAGCTGATGGTTTGGCCCCAGTAATTTTTAAATATTCATTAATTTTACAAGCCCACTTTTAAATCCTTTGTTAGGTTGAATTTGGCCATGGTGGAGGTATTTATGCCACAGATATGGTCATGTATTATAAATAATAATAAATATAAATAAATATAAATTATTTATTATAAATAAATATAAATTATTTATTATAAATAAATATAAATTATTTACTATAAATAAATAAAGTTTATTTATTTTTTGAGAGCCAGTTTACTAGCACACTTCTGCTTGTTACTGTAAAGAGAAAATGGGACTCCTACCATTGGCAGCACCTCGATGAACCTGAGGGACATTATATTGAGGCACAAATAAACAAATACTGCATGACTCCACTTGTATGATGTACCTAAAATAGCTAAACTGGTAGAAGCAGAGAACAGGGCTCTGGTTGCCAGAGGATGGAGGGAGGGGCAAATAGGGAATTGTTGTTGAATGGGTATAAAGTTTTAGTTATGCCAAATGAATACGTTCTAGAGACCTGCTGTTCAACACCATATCTACAAGTAACAATACAATATGGTGCACTACAAAATATGCTAAGAGAAAAAATTTCATGTTAAGTGTTCTTACTACCAAAAAATAAAACAACAACAACAAATAAAAACATGCATAGAAGAACAAAAGAGGCCGGGCGCGGTGGCTCACGCCTGTAATCCCAGCACTTTGGGAGGCCGAGGCGGGCGGATCACGAGGTCAGGAGATCGAGACCATCCTGGCTAACACAGTGAAACCCCGTCTCTACTAAAAAAACACAAAAAAATTAGCCGGGCGTGGTGGCGGGCGTCTGTAGTCCCAGCTACGCGGGAGGCTGAGGCAGGAGAATGGCGTGAACCCGGGAGGCGGAGCTTGCAGTGAGCCGAGATCGCGCCACTGCACTCCAGCCTGGGCGACAGAGCGAGACTCCGTCTCAAAAAAAAAAAAAAAAAAAAAAAGAAGAAGAACAAAAGATAATTTTGGGAAGTGATAGATGTGCTTAGTACCTTAATTGTGGTGATGGTATTATGCATATATGAATATGCACAAACTCACCAAATTTATACATTAAATATGTGCTATTTTTGTATATCAATTATACCTCAATAAAACTTTAAAAAATTAAAAAATGTGATAATGCAGGTGTTTTGTAATCCTCTAAGATCCATTCTTACAAATTAGTGTAGTACTGTCAAAATGATTTATTACTGATTTGCATCAAATACATTTTTCATTACTTAATCTATAATTCAATTTGTTTTATTTTATAAAGTATTATGATAAATTATTATTTTTATTATTTTGGAGATGGAGTCTTGCTCTGTCGCCCAGGCTGCAGTGCAGTAGTGGAATCTCAGCTCCCTGCAGCCTCCATCTCTCAGTCTCCTAAATGGCTGGGATTACAGGCATGAGCCATCATGGCTGGCTAATTTTTGTATTTTTAGTAGAGACAGGGTTTCATCATATTGGCCAGGCTGGTCTTGAACTCCTGACCTCAGGTGATCCAGCTGCCTTGGCCTCCGAAAGTGATGGGAGCCACTGCACCCAGCCAGATAAATTCTTAAGAAATACCATTTTGAAACATACACGCACACACACACAAACACACACCCAAGAAAATAAGCAAGTTTTTCTTTGGAGGAGCATCACTGGAAAGATAAAATTAAAAGAATACTAATTTTTTCTCTCTTGAAGAATATGAAACAATTCAAACAAATACATCCATGTGGGGATTTTAAAAAAGGGTAAATGAATTCAAGTGAGCAGTGAAAAATACTTTAGATAGTAATTCCTAAAAAACAAAAGTAGTTGATCAGAAACTGATTATTGACAAACAGTTCCATGTGCAAAATCTTTTAAATTGTGTAAAAACCTTAAATAAGAAAAATGTATTTCTTATATTATTAGAACACCTGTGCATGAATATATGGTGTCTGAATCTTCTCTCCAAAATATATTCTCTCTCAAATGTCGGTGTAGTTCAGTGACCAGGAATCTCATTCTAGGTCTCACACTTCTCAGAGAGCAAAGGATAGTTTTTCATCACTCTGCTCCATTTCCTTGATGTTTCCTTCCCTATGGCTTCCATGCTAATTCTCAACCGTTTTATTCTCTCTCTCAGTTCCTTCTCTCTCTGCTCCACCACCTCTCCTCCACCTCCCCCTGCTCTTCTCTCTACTTCCCCATGTCATTCATTTATCATTCTAGAATACTAAGAAATATACTTCCTCTGTTTTCCAAGCATTCCCCACTCCAGTCTTTACTCAGGTATTACCTTTGCCTGAAATGACACGCATGCATCCTGCTACACGATAGGATCTGAATGTCCAAATACAGTTCATTCTTTGAGTTCCAACTCAAATGTTATCTGTGTTATGGTTATTTTACTTTCCTAGGGCTGCAGGAAGACATGATTACAAACCCCGTAGTGTAACATAAGAGAAATACACTGTCTCACAATTCTGGAGGCCAGAAGTCAGAAATCATGGTATTGGCAGGGTCACACTCTCTGAAGGTTCTAGAGGAGAATCCTTTCCTTGCTTGCCTCCTTCAGCTTCTGGTGGCCCGAGGCTTCCTGGACTGAAGCTTCCTGGACTGGTGGCTGCATCACTCCAGTCTGTGCCCCTATCTTCACATGGCTTCGTTCCTTGTGCCACTGCATCTCATATCTCCCTCTTCTTTCTCATACAAGGGCACCAATCATTGGATTAGGGTCTACCCTGAATCCCAAATGACCTCATCTCAAGATCCTTAACTTAATTACATTTGAAAAGACAATATTTCCAAGTAAGATCACACTCACAGGTATCAGGGGATAGGACTTGGACATACATTTTGTAGGAACAAAATTCAGCACATGATAGGAATCTCCCTTTATTTCTCAGCACAAAGTTTTCTTTCTGTAATCTGAATTTTCTATGCCCTTATCTTTTTGTCACTTACAGTGATTGTCACATTTTGCCCTGTATTAAAATTATTTATATATCTGCCTGATCTTCCTAATAAAGTATAAATTCCTTAACTGTTGTGTTTGTTTCACCTCTGTATTCGGTATCATCTAAAATGGAGACCTGCACGTAATGACAAATATTTATTGAATAAATGCTTTTGGTCAAATATGTTGAATTATCATTTGTATTTATCCCTTTAGTTTTAGAGGAGCTACAATTCCAAATTGCTTTGTTCATAAACTACACAATGTAAAAACATGACCTTGACGTGGAAAGTGTGAAATAAATATGTTGTAGATGAATCAGCTGTATTATTGAGCAGTATTTCCAATCATGCAGTATTTACACCAAGGAAAGACATTCTAATTTAAATAATTTCTCACTCTCTACTTTTTCTTCTGTCTAAGGAAATAGAAAGTAAACTTATCCAATAAATAAAATTTTATTTAAAAAAATAACCCACAGCAGTAAATATCTACATTTCATGTAAATTTTTACAGGTTACATGTCAAAGCCTGGTACGAAGTCTAATTTCTGTAAAAGATAACTGTTATTAGAAGTGACAAGCCTGTCATACAAATTTTGTGGAGGTAGAATTTAGTACATTACAACATTGAGCTGGAATTTAGTTTGACATGAACAAGAAGTCAGAGTAACCTGGTACTCAAGTAAGAAATGCATTTCCATACACAATAACTTAACATGCCATGCAATTTCCATAACCTTTTAAAAGACTTTCACCCCCTAGGATTTACTGATAGGTAATCAAGTGTAGTTTTCTCACTCCTCAATATGTTCAAAATTTATTGGTTGATATTGCTCAGCTGAATTTAATAAATACCACTTATCATTTTGCAAATGTGAAATTCATTCACTTATTGCAGGATTTACATTTATTTCAGATCCGATTGTTTGATTGGAATTTCAAATATATAAAACTTCAATTTCACCTAGCTGCAATTATATAAAATGCACGATTTAATTTCCAAATAAAATCAGCCTATATTTATGCTTTTACTACATCTAGTGGGAATTTGCTTTTTAGAACAGCTTTCGGCAAATGTTTTTGTCATTGAATATAAAGATTATAAAAGAAAGACATTCTGCACTCTTATGATTATAAAGCTTTCCAACCATTGTTTTATGTTTTGAGAGAAGAAAGCCAAATGGTTCCAGCTTCTATATGTCATAGCCAAATTGAAATGCAGTTGTGACAGCACCTATCAACTTGGGAAAGGACAAATTAATGGTGAAGGAAAACATGTAATTAGTCCCTTTGTATGTGAAAGCAAAATTTGCTACTTTGGAGATTGTCATTCAAATGTCAATGGTGACAAAAATACTTCTGGCACATTTGCATAAACATCCACTGGGGACATTGCACATTTAAAGGAATAAAGAAGAAGCTGCTGATAACCTCCTCCACATGGAAGCTGGTATCATACTTTCACCTCTCTCCCTCTTTCCCTGTGAAAGGGAAAAGTCAAGTGGGATTACTCATAATGGAAGTGTCTGAAGTGTCTGGGGTTAGCGAAGTGTCCTGAGCTGGGGCACATGCCCTCCTACAGCTCTTGCTTCTTCCTTTCTGTACACCTCAACCTCACAAGAAGTTGCTAGCTCTTCTGGACTTAGAAACTTTTCTCTCTTTTTTTTTTTTTTTTTGAGACAAGAGTTTCACTCTTGTTGCCCAGGCAGGAGTGCAATGGTGTGATCTCGGCTCACTGCAACCTCTGCCTCCCGGGTTCAAGCAATTCTCCTGCCTCAGCCTCCTGAGTAGCTGGGATTACAGGCATGCACCATCACTCCCAGCTAATTTTTGTATTTTTAGTAGAGACGGGGTTTCTCCATGCCGGTCAGGCTGGTCTCGAGCTCCCGACCTCAGGTGATCTGCCCACCTTGGACTCCCTAAAGTCCTGGGATTACAGGTGTGAGCCACCATGCCCAGCTGAAACTTCTCTTTTAAGCTGTTTGTGTTTTCTATACTGCTGAGGATAGGAAAAAGTGGGCTTCATGGATCTTTATAGTAATCTCTTCATGCTACGATTATTATTGGAATACTTGGACTGCAAGAAACTGAAGGAGTTTCCTTGTTATCAAGGAATTTTTCTGAAAAAACCAAATGACAAATTGAGCAACAATAACAGAGCTCATTAAATTTTCTAGGCAAGTAAATTATTAATAGTAAAGTTCATGGCATAGAACATAGGGAAAGAGTGTGTCAAAAAGGCTTCCCAAATGAAGTGCCTATTAAATTGTGAGGCAAAGGAGGAAAAGAAGAAAAGGATTAAAGTTAATGAACAAAGACTCAGTTATAAGTGAGACCATATCATCCTTCAAATGTCTATTCCATTAAAAAGTAGCCAAATTAATTCCATTTTACTTATGACAGATCAATAATAGAAGGTCAATAGCCTAGTAAGTGGCATCACTAAATCAACACTTACTTCCTTTTTCATTTCAAATTTAAGCTTGCCTAAGTGCAATTAGAGCTTTGCCTTGTCAGATATTGTATATATCAGCTTCAAAGCTCGTCGTCTCTACTGGCAGGTGAATATAACACTCCATTTCAGCTGCTTCCCCTAGTCCTTCTCTCAGATGTCTAAGAATTAAAACACACATATATCAGAAGGCTCGAGTCAGGAATACAAAAACTGCTCTAAGAATTTCAAACAGGGCATTAAATGCAAGGAATTAACTACAAAGGTGTATGAAAAACTAACTAACTAAATAAATAAAGATGAATGCAGAAGAAGAAAAAGAAATGTAATAATGCAAAATCCAAATCTGGTAATTACTGTGGATTGCTATTCAGGAGCCTGCACCTGCAATCTGTCCTGTTGGAGACACTATTATGGCCAGTTCTGGATCTGTTGAGCAGGCACTGCTTTGCTCAGGGTTGGAACTGCTGAAAAAGTATCACCTCTGTTGAGGTAACTGAACTCTATCTCACCTAGTTTTGCTACAGGTACTACAACCTTTATCAGTTTCCATAAAGTGCCACACTATTGGATTCCTGAGCAGAAAACTTCACTTTTTTTTTTTTTTTTTTTTTTTTTGAGATGGAGTCTTGCTCTGTTGCCCAGGCTGGAGTGCAGTGGTGCGATCTCAGCTCACTGCAACCTCCACCTCCTTGGTTCAAGCAATTCCCCTTCCTCAGCCTCCCAAGTAGCTGGGATTACAGGCTCATGCCACCACACTCAGCTAATTTTTTTGTGTTTTTAAGTAGAGATGGGATTTCTCCATGTTGGTCAGCTGGTCTCGAACTCCTGACCTCAGGCAATCCACCCCCCTTGGCCTCCCAAAGTGCTGGGATTACAGGCATGAGTCACTGTGCGTGGCCCACTTTCTTTCTTAACCTTGTGATCTCCCACAAGTCTTTCTATTAGTAGACCACAGACCTAGCAGGAAGTTAGCTAGCAGCAGATCATGGGATGTGTGATTTGCAGATCATCTCCCCATCACTGCAGAGCAGAGTATAGAAGAATGGAAGTGGGGGCTAAGAGACAGCTAAATAACCTCTTGAGCTTAGGTTCAGGATTGGAGTGGAACTCAACATACATACAGTCCACAAGAGCCAAGAGAAATTTTTTCTGTATGAATTTTTTTATGAGAACTTTGCTGGGTAAAAGTCATACTAGGATCTTTCCCATATTGTAACAAACAATTAATAATTATAACTTCTATTAAATTTACTATAGGCATATGCTATAAAGTATGATTCTGGCATCTCTTATTGGTATTTAAAGCAGAGAAGGGGAGACTCAAATGAAGCCACAGTGGCAGCTGTTCACCTCTGAAGCTATATATCCCCTCCAGGCACATTAGCAGAAGAACAATTAGGGGGTGAAGTAGACTGTCCCAGTTGGGAAAACAATGGCAGAGATCTTAGCAGCTATTGGTAAGGATGCCTTTGAAAGGCCTATGACTTCAAACATCATACAAATAAATAATTCTGTAAACTTCGTTACTTGATATTTGTCTCAGAAACCTAGTGTAGACAATTAGGACTTTCTAGGTAATAGAATATTGTATAGTCTCTCAGTACACATGTTGTAATGACAAAGTTTGTATTTGTCTACTAGGCCATTACTGTAAGGCAAGAAAGTTCAATTTTGTTTCTCTCTGAGCACTTATCCTACCATCTTAAACATGTGATATGCTCAATAAACGTTTGTTGATTACAGCAGTCTTTTTTTCCCACATACTTAAATAATTTTCTAACCTCCAGATTTTTCCTAACAAGTGGGAGTATAATTGGATATTGGTAGGCAAAAAGGAAACGAATATGTGGGAAAGAATGCAGAGGTAATTTCAGAGGGAGGAGTAGAACAGTAAAGGCATGGAAGAGGGAAAGAGTGTCTCTAATGGGACAATGCTAGATCATCAAGATATGGAAGTGCATTGGTCAATCAGAAGAAAAATCAAAAGCCATAGAAATATCAGTATGATCTCCAAGTACTCTTGGAGATAAGTACTCTTCTCCACCGACCTACATTCCTTCAATGGCAAAGCACATGCAAGTAGGAAACACATTTATAATTCTTTTTCATTGACTCTTTATTGCACTGGAACAAAGCCTTAAAAGGATATTCTAACTAGGAAAAATGCACCTTTGCCAAAGCTTCATCTAGTGGTGTCTTATAGTGGCATTGAGAAAATCTCCAAGAAAACAAAAGTGAAAATGAAGATTGCTGTTGTATCATAAAAACAAGCATAAGCAGGGGCAGAGTTATCAAAGGGTGTGTTTTGGAAGATGGAGAAAGGAAGCTCAAGATGAAGGGCAAAACCATTTGTGTGTAATTCTACCATTAGAGTTTTGGGATTTGAGTGTTGCAGACTTCCAGTGTTGATTAGAGATACTGATATCAGGCTTGGCTGACTGTACACACAGTTCCAGTACACAGAACTCAAATTGTCTGGCTTTTCAGAGGGCTCATAATTCTGTCACTTTCTATTCAGGAATAGTATGTCAGAAATTGAAAGAACAACTGAAAACACAGCCAGATGTAGCAACTAAATCTCAAGTGGATTTGGAGATGAGGTTGAGAGAAGGCATTAAGCTATCAACAAAGCAGCAGACTTAACTGTCATGGGCAACAGAAAGAGTAAGTAGTCAATATATGCACCCAGCTATTACAGTTATTCTGGCTTCTGAGTCACATAATGCATGGTGTAGGGTTTTGATCGCCTCCTCTTTACTCTATTGGTGAGGAAAAGGTTTCTACTCTAAGGTTATGGGACTGTCTGGACACCTGACACTGGACAGATGAGATCAATAGCAGTTAATTAGTCACATATACAAACAGCCCAAGGGAAGGGGACACTTTGATCACACAAGACCACATGGGGTTTGCATTTAGGAACAGGGTGAGCAAGCAGAGGCTGTGGGAGGCAGACTTTGAGGTAACAAGAGGGAGGACGGCCTCTGGTTCCCTAAGGAGGATGTGACTAGTTTGTTTGAATAAGTCCACAGTCTGGCAGAAAACTAAACAACACTACTCAGGGATCATTAGACACTGCATATTCCCAAGGAGGGTTGTTCTGTTAGCAAGGCAGGAAGAGAAACTTGCATTCAGGCCATTTGAGGCCCTCTTGATTTTATCAGGTTTCAAGGCAGCATTTAATATTGAACTCTAATTTCAGATCTTACACCACCAATGCAAGTACTGAATAGATATTCTTTATTTCCTAGTTTGTGTTTCTTTTTAAAACTAACTTCGAGGGTAATTGGCAGGAACAATATATGTAGACATCATGCATTGAAATTCTCAAGAGTGTAGAAACAGTTTAAGAATTTAAAAATTAACAGTAATGGACAATTGATTTTTAACAAGGGTGCCAAGACAATGGGGAAAGAATAGTCTTTTCAACGATAGCATTTTCCAAGACAACTGGATATCCATGTACAAAAGAATGAATCTGGATTCCTACCTCTCATAACATATAAAAGTTAAGACAAAAATGCATTAAAGGTCTGAATGTAAGTGTTAAAACTATAAAACTCTTTTAAAAAATACTATCTTAGTTCAAGCTGCTGTAATAAAAATGTCATAGACTGGATAGATCAAACAAATATTTATTACAGTTCTGCCACCTGGAAGTCTGAGATCAGCGTGCCCATATGATCGGGTGAGGACCCTCTTCTTGGTTTGCAGAGAGATGCAACAGTGTTTACTCCTCTTCTCACAGAGGCTTAACGCTTTTGTTCCAGAGAGGAGATGGGGAAGAGGGATCCAGATAGGTCTCAATGACTTTTCCACAACAGCTGCTGGTCTCCTTCCTTGGCATGCACCAGGAGAGGGACTTTCTCGAGTTTCTTGCTTTGCTCCACCATTTCATAAGCATTCAGCAAGTTTCATGGAGAAGCTTCTGTGAGTGATTAGTAATTTCCTTTGTGTTTGTGATTCTCAGTCATTCGACAGTTTTATTCCGGTCAACTGTTGGCTTTTAGCAATTTGTTTATAAAGTGAGCTGGCTGTTTCTTACCTGCTTGTATATCACCTGTTGTCTATCTCAGATCAGTATGTAATCACATCCCTCTCTCCCTAGAAGCATCTGTTTATTACTTGGTTGCTCTGTAACTTCATCTGTCTTACAGGTTCAAGAAAAGTTGTAAATATATGATTATTCAGTCTTTTCTCTTGTTTTCAAGTTGGTAGAAATATTTTCACACTTACTACATTCTAAGCAGAGGTTGGAAACCCACTATATTCTTGATTAAATTCATTCCTATGGCTAAAGATATTCTGAGATTTTTTTTCTCCTTATGTTATTTGTTTCTTCACTGTATTTTTGTCTTCCTAGTTCAGTGATGTACACATTCTGTTTCAATTTACCTTTCCTGGTATTTCTCCCTATTGCAATATAATATATTTGCCACAGACCAATGCTAGCTACCAATTTTCTTAAAGTCTTCTGTGAATAAACTCGTTATAGTGATTTTTATTGTAAAAAAACTACTTGTTTTAAATACAAGTGAGAAAGTATTCATGATGCTTATTTTTTTGCCCCAATTATAGTAAGAAAGTACTAATAATGATAAGGACGCCAACATTTTCCATACTGAGTTTCAGTATGATGGCTATTTAAGATTTTGTGTCTACAAATTGATACGGGATACATTTTGAAATAGATGCCTTTTCTTTGTGATGGCAAGTGATTGAATATCTTAATTCTAAAGTTTATATTTATTTTCTTTCACAGAAAGAAAACATTATTATTCTCAGCATTGCATAATGTCAACACTTTTTAAAAATAGAAATTTCAATAAATAATGTAGAATGTGTTGTGATGCCTGACTTGGTTTAAATTTCAAAACTATCCTTAGTAACCTATTCTTGCGATCTTTTCTTTAACAACCATATATATAAACATATATATTTACATACACATACATTAGAACAATCCTCTCTCCAGTTTTCATCTAATTCCAATTTTTAATTAAGATATTAGTTAAAAAAAGACTGAATGAAAAAACATAATTAAGATATTAGTATGCTTTGATACTCAAAAGGATGTTTATAATCTAGTAAATCCCAAATGTAAATTCATGCTTTATCTGCCCCTCATTCTTTTATATACCTTTGTGCTACAACTTCATACTCTAACACAATTCCCTCCATAGTTTGTTATTTTCTTAAGCATTATATACCTTACAGACTCTTAAGGACATTCAAATTGATCTGAACTATTACTGCTCCCATTTCATAAGCTAAATTACCCACCACTTTAAAATTATTCAATTGTGGTATAAGCCTAGCTCCTGAAGCCATATGTGATCCTATACAATAACTTATGTTTCAGAATGGAGGAGAGTTGGGAATACCACTGGGTTGGGGTGGGGAGAAAGGGAGGTTATATTTGCCCTAGCTTCAGAGTATCTGGGGATCAGATATAATCCATGCTTGTAATGACGGGAGGTTGTTTAGCAGATTAAAGATCACAGACGTTGGAGGCAGGCAGACATAAATTTGAATTCTGGCTCTACCACTTGCTAACTATATGACTTCAGACATTTCAGTTAACATTTTAAGCCTCAGTTTCCTTTTCTGAACACATGGTATATTAATGACAACTTACTCCTAGGACTGCTCCAATGACTGAATGAAAAAACATATCCACCCAGACCCTGTACATACTAAGACTTACTGCACAGGAGGTATAAGTGTGGTATTGATGGCTGGAGGTAAGAAGAGTCACGGTGGGAAGTAAAGTATCATTTCCTGAGGCCTACTGTGAGGTAGGTACAATGCTAAGAATTGTAGGTGCATGGCTTTCTCTTATCTTCACAATAACTCTAGAATGTAGGGATTATTATTCTCACTGTGTAGTTTGTTGAATGAAGGGATGAGTGAATTAATGGGAAATTAAAGCTTATAATGTTTAAGTCTCTTTCCCAAGTTTACATACCCAAGTGACAGAACCAGGATCCAAACTAAAGACTTGAACTATCTAGTGTTTTTGTTTTTGTTTTTTCCATATGTATTTTGTATTAGTTAGTGCCTAACCAGGAATAGAGAAATCTCATACATCTTTAAAACAGATGGTATTTAATACAGAGAGTTGGATACAGGCCAGAGTAAAGGTGGGTGGTCAAAGAGGGTCATTGAGGAATCACAGAGACACATCTGTCATTTTTAGAATAGAAGATTAAGGTGAGGAGGCAGTGTTACTGGAGCCCAGGTCACTGGGGTCACCTGGTGAAATCTGGAATTATGGTAGAACTGATTAGCAAGAGCTGGAGCTAGGAGAGCATCCAGCAACTAAAAAGATCACGAGCAAAAAAGTAGAGGAGGTACACCCTGGCTGCTTCTGTCCTCCTGCAACCTCTCCAATCTTCTGCTGTTTCCTTCCATTGGCTAAACCCAGTCAAAGCTCCTTGATATGGAAACCAAGAAAAGCCCAGCCGCAAGGGGTCAGTTGTGCTGTGATATAGAGCAAGGAAGAAGCATGAAAAATGAACTTCAGAACAAATCACCAAGGATAAGGACCCCTGCTTCCTCTGCACTGCCTTCCAGAGGGTCCCCACTTTCTTGAGCCTATTTTGTGAGTGCCTGTGTCAAATGAGTTTTTCTTTTTTTCTCCATCTAGTCAATTTTCTATGACATATTTTACATAGTTGTTCATTTTCCCTACTTTTTATTTCATTTATGTAGCTCTCTTGAGAACTGTGATCATACCATTCCAATCTGACAGAGACCCAACCTGTTCTCATATTTAAAAAAATGCTTGTTAGACACTGAGTGATAATGAAAATGGGTTTGGAATCATGGCAGTTTTGTGCCATATGCTTATTGAAGTAAGTTGCAGACACATCATTTACACTGATTCCATGTTTAGCTGTTACCAGATTAGTAGCCATGAAGTTATTTATTTCAAAAATGCCTGCGTAGGATGATTTAATTTTTTACTGGCAAAATATCTGTTGACTTTTGAATTTATGAACTTTTCTTTATCTTGGTAGTCTTTTGATGACATTGTATTTGTTTGATTTCTTGCATTTGGCTCGCTTTTCTGGCTAGAGTGTAAACTTGAGAAGGATAGGAACGTTTTCTGTCTCTCAAGGCCACCGGGCACAGAGTAAGTGCTCAATTAATATTTGTGATTCAATTCGTGGGTTCAATTCATGATCTGTCTAACCAATGTTTCATCTATCACTGTATTTTCATGATTAAAAATTGTTGTCTTCATGTATTGATATGCTTTTTAGTATTTTGACACTTAGTTTTATTAGACTTGTTGTTTTCTTAGATGTTATGGTACCTTTGTTACTATAGGAATCATTTTCTCTATTATAATTGTGTAGATTACAGAAGAACATTGTGTAAAATTTTTTTGTCTGCATTTTCTCTAATATTTGTTTATTCTATTTAACCAAGTTCAGGATTTTCACCCAGCTGTAAATTTACATAGCAGTATTCCTGAGAATTCTGTCTCCTCACTCCAGCTCAAAAACATGCTTTATTAACAAATAATTTAAGGCATGTTGTATTAAAAGATTCTCATAGAGTTCGGATTACTTCACATAGCCCACAACCCATCTTCATAAGCATGTTGAAATATATTCCACTATTCATTATTTAAGTTATTTAATACATCTGCTCCAACAAACTAAAGCCCCAGTAGTTCCTATGCTGGCTATGTAAGCAGTTGTGCAACCTGAGATGAGTTGATTATCTCCTTAGAGTGTCATTGTGTATCACATAAAAATTTTCATATATCCTTACATTGTAAAGTTATAGGATTTTAAAAGCTACTCTAAAATGTCTTGCTATTTGGGAAGAACAAAACATACAACTCCCACTGATCCCAAGGTAGAAGATATTTTCACAACATCCCTGATTTTGAGTTTGAGCAAAGACCCACAAACTAGCGCAGCATAGTAAGGTACAGAACCCAGATTCTGGAGCTAAACTGTTTGGATTTGAATCCATGATCTACCAGTTACTAGCCCTGCAATCTTCTAAATCTTGCAATAACTCAGTTTTCTCATCTATAAAATGGAAGGAGAGCATACCTACTTCAAAGAGTTGCTATGAGGATCAATTGAGTTAATAATATAGGTAAAAGGGTTTGGAACAATTCCTTGTACTTAGTAAATGCTATAAAATGATAGTTATTGTTTACCCAACCTATGAATTCATTGCTTAGAACCACTACGTGGCTTGCTAACACCCGAGAATACACCGTCCACACTTCTCACCCTGGCTCATATGACTCTCCACTACCTGGCACCCTCAACTCGCCTCAGGCTACTCTCTCTCTTAGTTTACTCTAATTAGTAACTCTGGCTCTTTTTAAGCTCCCAGAACATGCCAAGCCATCACCCATCTCAGAGCCTTCTCTCTGGTGATCTATCCCCCGGGAAGGTTCTTCACACAAATGACACTTTCTCATCTCTGGGTCTCAACTGAAAAATGCCCCCTTCTCAGATAGGCTTTCTTTGTCTTTCCTATACAATTACCCTTTACCCCTCCAATGCTTTATTTTCTAGCACGGATGTTTGCTTATTTTCTTCCAAGTTCTTATCGTAATTTTTTTTAAGCTCACAAGCTATTGTTAGTGTTAGTGTATTTTTCATATGGCCCAAGACAATTGTTCTTACAGTGTGGCTCAGGGAAGCCAAAAGATTGGACAGCCCTGTGCTAAATAATGATTATAGCAAGAACACTGGAGCTAGACTCTCTGGAATGCTATTATATTTATAAAAAATATTGGTGCATTCTGAGTATCTACTAATTGCTTTGGCACTCTTTGAGGTCATTCCAAGACTCCAAAAATCTGGGAAAGCCCATGAAGACTTAGGGATCTAGTACAAAAGTGTACAAGTAAGAGCTGAGCTGTGAAATAAACACTCCTTAAGGAAAATGAAGTGTCCCAAGTTAAGAAACTAATTAAAGAAACTTAGTTATGGCTCATGAACGCAACTTCCAATACACTGGGAGATAATTCTCTCTGTAAGTTCTGCTCCTGGACTGAAAACACCAGGAAGGCCGGGATCATGTGTGTCTTGGCCCCTCCTCCCTAGTACTCTGTCTCAAGCACATTTATACCCAGTCCATGGTTTTTGAATGGAGAGAAAAAAAAAAATTAACATCCATTTTCATTATCTTTCAGAAAAGAATCCAGATTTACTATAGAGTGTGCAGTACCTGCTTTAAGGTCAAAGGGATGCTTCTGTGTTTGAAGCCCCAGTTGTTCTCACTCCAGTTATTTCTTAAATGTAAGTTTCTGTTTCAGTTGAATACGACCAATGTTGACCTTTCTTCTTAGTCCCAGTAAGAGTTAAAATGATTTATTCCAATAAAATAGAACACATATGAAGTTTACCAGTGCATGCCAGATTTCAAAAATTGAAATGTGTTCTTAAGGCTTTAGCAATTAAAGAAAAACAAACTTTAATGATTTAAATAACCGAGTTTCCTCTTAACAAATTAAGGGAATAACAATACATATATCAACCAAGGAACACAAATGAAGTAACTCTTGTAGAAATCAGGTGAATGGCTGAAATTCACCAACTCTCAAAAACTCTAATTGAGGCATTCTTGTGCTACACAAATTGTTTCTTTCCATGTGTCACTTAGAATTACCACAGTGCTTCTCCAGCTGCTGTAATTTATGGATGCTTTTGATTGAGATACAGACTGATGCTAATAAAACCTCTCTAATATGAAGTTTTCTTCAATAACTTACTGGAGACTAAAGGGTATAGAATGATCACTTAGGATGGATTTCAATTCCTGCCAAATCCTCCCATTACTCCCTTTCACAATGTTCTAGTCCAAATGAAATTTCCTGTTCTCATCCTTCTACTTTTATGAAAGTAGTGACACAACAAGTAAAGATCTCGTTAAGTAGTTTTTTTGACTCTTTATCAATTCCTGTCTCTAGGACTAATTTATCATGATTCATATGATGCTTGGAATTATTAGTTAAGAGTAGGGACTCTGCATTGGTATTCTAAAGTAGGCTTCCCATTTATTAGGTTGTGGCTTTGGAGATTATTTAGTCTCATGGTATATTGCAAACCTCTCTGCCTCTAAAGTGTGATTTTGCTATGTTTTCCCTGTAGGTAGAGTATGTTTCCCTGCCTTATTTTCAAGGTTAACCATAAGACTTGCTTTGCCAATATCATGAGTGTTCAAGGTATTTTAAGAAGACCTGAGTAGCTCAACTTTTTCTCTGTTTCTCTTCCTCCATTCTTTCACCAAGAGAATGGCATGTCCAAAATAGGGTCTCATCTTCAATGTTTTCCTTTGAAAAAGATAGAGCAAATGTGTCAGAAGCTAATGTGAGGAAGAAATGCTCTATTGTTTTTTAAAAGCTGCCCAAATCCAGGAGCTGTTTTTTGCTGTAGCAAAAATAAGCAATATAAATTTTATTAGTAAAAGACTGAAATGACAGAAACCACCTGTTAGTTTTTTGAAGATTAAATGAATGATTCTGTATATCATATTCAGGTCACTGTTTGGCATATGGCAACCTTCTAAATAGTGACGTCAACTAAAGTTAGTATCATCATTAGAATAAGCCTCTTCTCTCCACAATTAGATATTGAGTATTTTGAGGAAAAAATGTGGTGACTTCACCTTTAATGTAGTTGAGAAACTAAATGAAAAAGGGAACCAACTTTTTAGGCATACATAATATATTCTGGACCAGGCTTACTACATAGATTAAATCATCTCATTCTCACAACATTGAGAAATAAATACTATCATAATCCTCAGCAAATTATAAAACTGAGTCTCAGAAAGGTTAAGAAAGCTTCCCTAAGTCATATGGCTAAATAAGAGGTAGACCCTAAATTTGTACATGGCTCCTACATCTATCCAGATGGTATCTTCTGCAGCACATTCTTGCAAGTGTAGCTCTCAACCTGGTCACACAGCTCCACTAACACAACTTCCAGTCCATGCCATGACTGAGCTGTGTTCTAATGCTGCACCTTCTAGCTCAGGTAAGTCTCTGTAAGAGGCTGTGTTAGCCTGGGAAGGCTGAGGGTGATAAAAAAGAAAGGATCTATACCAGAGTGTATGTACTCTACTCTGCAGTCTTATTGTATATTATATAACCCCAAGATAGATGAGGAGGCCTGAGACATGTCAGCTGGTCCCCAACATTCAGATTAATCTGTGTATAGAAATGCTCCAGCTTATCTATGCAGGTTTGGGCTCCAAAGAACTATGAAACAACCAGCAGCTCTGATGGCACCCTTAACTCACAAATATGTATCCACTGGCATGTGGTGCTTTTGGGAGGGCCTGGATGTTTATACTCCACATGACAATGGAAAATATCCACCATGTGCTCTTTCTTCTATAATGTTTAAGTCACTAAGCCTTGATGTCTGATATCCTTCTCCATATGAATATACCCCTGATATTTATCAATATGGTGGTTGTGGGACTCTCATTGAATAAGTAACGATTGACTGATGCTAAATTTTGAAATAAGCCTGAAAGGAATAGGAAATAACTTGTCATCATTCTCTGTGTGTTTTATTTTAAAATGGAGAGTTATTTTTAAAACTAGCCATTTGATTTCCTGCAGCATAAAGGATGCATTTAAAAACACATATCTATTTGTTTATATAATTAGTGAAACAGTCCTAGAGAAACCTCTTCACAGACTTCTAATTTTTTAAAAAAAATTAAACACTTTATAATTATACTTTAACAGGGACAGTACATGTCTTACTTAAAATAGATGATTTTAGTATTTCAAATCTCAAACCTAGCATGCCTCAATGTGCAGGATATGATGTAAGATAGGAGGTCAAATAGAATACGATACAGAAATGATGACTAAAAAGATTTCCACATTTGAAAGAGTGAACAAAGCAATTTATTGATGGGATAAGATGATGGAGAAGAAAATTTCTCGTGTGAGTATTGCGTGTGACATGTTAGGTATCCACAAATTCATTTGTGCTTTATTGTGCCAGTTTCCAAAAGCAGGCTCTGGGTCTTGAAAACAGTGACCCATGTTTGAATGTCATTCTTTTGTATTTCTTTAGAAAATCACCTTAAAACAGTGACATTTCTTCACCCACAATCCAATTTATTTATTTATTTATTTATTTATTTATTTATTTATTTATTTGATAGAGTTGCTCTGTCGCCTAGGCTGGAGTGCAGCGGCGTGATCTTGGCTCACTGCAACCTCCGCCTGCAGGGTTCAAGTGATTCTCCTGCCTCACCCTCCCAAGTAGCTGGGACTACAGGCATGTGCACCACGCCCGGCTAATTTTTGTATTTTTAGTAGAGACAGGGTTTCACCATATTGGCCAGGCTGGTCTTGAACTCCTGACCTCGTGATCTGCCCGCCTCAACTTCCCAAGGTGCTGGGATTACAGGTGTGAGGCTCCTCACCCAGCCCCAATTTATTTTTTCTTCATTGGAGGAGCAGCACAAGATGAATGCCACATTGTCTTTCTCAATTGCCCCACTCTTAGCAACACTGAAAGTGAATTCTAGTTCTAATAGGACTCTTAAAGGCTTTCCTGTGCTTCCTTTGCGGAGTGAAAAGCTAGTCCCTTTTCATAGAAAATGTGGTGTGACTTAGTTGTAGACAACCTAGCTCCCATGTGTGAACTGGAGCTTGTCTTTTCAGCAGTTGATTATCTTGGTACCCTGGGGAAATCTACTGTGGTCGGGCTTTGCTTTCTCCACCTTGAGTCCTTCTCTTCTCTCACCACCTCAATCTTCTTGCTCTCAAATGCAGAGTGGTAGTGAACAAAAGACTTGAACATTAACCTCAACATACGTGAGTCATTAAGTTCTTTACCTAGTGGGCTATAATTAACTCAGCTACATTATGCTGAATTCTAACACTTTTGGGAGCTATAACAGCATTTGTTTTTTCAAAGATCTGTATAACATTTTGCTTTGGGCCTGAGGTTTCCGATAACAACTGATGTTAATTCAGGAGACACCATGTGTGACTATGCTTGTGTGTGAGCACACGTGCGTGTGCGAGTGCATATTTATGGGTGAAATTCATGGTGCACGAAATATTTTACTACTTTTAAAATATTGTCAAGGAAAAACTGCTACTTTTAAAAAAGTTGTTTACATATGTTGTGGTATTTCTCTAGTAAAAGTTTAAAAAGAGAAGATACTGATTTTTAGAAACATTTTTGGGGGAACTATACATCCTCGGTAATCAAAGGGATCAATGTTAAGTTACATTTAAGAATGCTTGCAGTTCCTAAAATGTGCTTCCTTTATTCAAGTTACAGAGTAAATTAATATGAGTATTTGGTCTAAGAAAAAGGCAAGATATATATATTATTTGCAATTAGTGTAGATATATTGTCTGTCTGTGCACATAATGTAAGATATTTACATTGTCTGTCTCTCTACCTATCCATCCATCTTTGATCTTTTATTTCTGATTGCATGAGAGAACTTTCCACCTTTCCTATGAACTACACACTTATTTTTAGGCACAAAACCAATCCTACCTTAAGGGTAAACGTAGACATCACAAATCCATTTGTAGCTGTTCCAGTGGAAGCAGGGAATGAAAAATTCATTGGAAATCTTCACCTTGATGTTACAGAGCAGCTCCACTTTAACATATTCATAACATGACTCACCTTTCCACTCCTCCTGCCTGATAGAAACGTCTTTGTCACTTGATTAATGGCATTACCCTCGTCCCCATTCTCTAAGTTAAAAACTTCAGGGTCATTTCTGTTACCTCATCTTCCATTCTTGACAGAGCCCATCAGTCACCTAGGCTTATTATTTTGATTTCCTAAAAAACTCTAAAATGATTCTTCTTTTCTTCATGCCAAGTAAAGCTATCTTAATTTAGGCTCTGTATTAGGCAGGGTTCTGGATAAGCTTCTGTATAAGAGATCCCAAATTCAAGAAAAACTTATGGTCCAGAGTGGGTAAGCGAATCTGCTTCATGAAGTTATTCAAGAACAAGGTTTTGCTGCATTTTCACCATCCATTTGGTCAGAGCTGGCTCATCTGTAATGTCCAAGTTCCAGCCTGTAGGGGAAAGAAAAAAAGAGATGGAGAGAATTGGGTTTTGTAGATCACTTCTGTTTACATATTTGGCCAGAACTTAGTCACCTGCCTCCAACTAAATACAAACCATGATGGTCTATGTAATCTCTAGATGGCAGGTATGTGCCACAGGCATTTATTCCACCTAGATAGCTGTATTGAGCTTTGTGTCAAGCCTGTTGTACATGTTGAAGATCCAACAGTGAACAAAATAGAGTACTGTCTCTCATGACACCTACGGATACAGGAGTTAAGAAGAGATTACTTGGGCAGATAGTGAGGGTACAGGAGTCCTTGGTAAGGTTTTCGTTTTAATAAAAAGCAGTCCTCATATCAAAGAGCAGCCTGTAAAATCGATCTGCAGACAAAGACAAGCAAGCTGGAAGCTTGCACAGGCAAATGTAGGCAGTTGCGCCAATAGGAAAATACTACCTCTGACTAGACATGTTCAAAATGGCGACTCCATCTTCTCTTCTCTTTGCCAGCCACGTGTACAGTAAGGAGTAGAGACGACGACACTGGCCAGGTGGAAAGCCCATTTGCCTTATAAGATTAGGGTGGGGCAAACTAGCCTTCCCTGGGCACTGTGTAAACGTCACACCTGGTGGAACGAATCTGTGGGCCATATGTACATCAGATACCCCTCCTCAAGCCTGCCTATAAAACCTGTCGTCCGCAGCAGGCTGGCCTTTTCCCTTTCAGAAGCCTCTCTCTTGCAAGAGAGAGAGAGGCTCTCCTCTCTCCTTTCTTTTGCCTATTAAACTTTCCACTCCTTATCCCACTCATATGTGTCCCTGTCGTTAACCTTCTTGGAGTGAGATGACAAACCCCAGGTATTTACCCTAGACAATGATGCCACTTCACTACATTCCAATGAGAGAAGATCTGACAGCACAGAAATATAGCAAATACATTTGGAAGCAATCATGGGAAACAAGGCTTTTCTTTAAAAAAAAAAAAAAAAGAAAAGAAAAGAAAAGAAATAGGGGCGGGGCGCGGTGGCTCACACCTGTGATCCCAGCACTTTGGGAGGCCGAGGCAGGCAGATCATGAGGACAAGAGATCGAGACCATCTGGCCAACATGGTGAAACCCCACCTCTACTAAAAATACAAAAAAAAAAAAATTAGCTGGGCATGGTGGCGTGCGTCTGTAGTCCCAGCTCCTCTGGAGGCTGAGGTAGGAGAATCGCTTGAACCCGGGAAGTGGAGGTTGCAGTGAGCCGAGATTGCGCCACTGCACTCCAGCCTGGCGACAGAGTGAGACTCTGTCTCAAATAATAATAATAATAATAAAATAAAATAAATAAATAAAAGAAATAAAGAGTGACTTATCCTATGTTAATCAAAAAGTGACTGAAGCAAGTCTCAACTGATAGAGGTTTGTTGAGACAAAGTTGAGGGCATGCCTAGAGGCAAAAAACACAAGTTACTGGAGTAGCTATGACCTGTGCTTTTTCCAAAGAGGGTTTTGAGAACTGCGTCATTTAAAGGAGAAAGAGTAAGCAGCGGAGCGGGGTGGGGGGTGGAAGGAGGGTAGGCAGTGATTTAAATCTTTACATTTTTGTGAGGCTCTAATTAGCGTTCAGTGAATCTACATTTTACATGTGAAAAGGAGTACAGGAAAAAGTAAATTATGTATTCCTTTGGCACTCAGTAAATCTACATTTTAATAAGATAAAGTAAACTTGTGAAAAGAGGGCGTAGAGGAAAAAGTCAACTATGCATTTGTCCTGAGGTAGGTGGAAGGATGATTTCTAGTGTTGTCCTTGTCCCTTACTTGTGAAGATAAGTTGGCAATTGACATTGTCATGGTGAGATTTAACAGAACTCGATTTTAGGGCAAGTTTATAGGGGGAATATGTATCCTGAAAGATTTAGGGGCTCACAAGATATTTCCTTGTGAGCAATTTGTAAAGGAGGCCATCTGGCAGATATGTGGCCTTCCATCATTGTGGGAGCCTGACTAATGGATGAGGCTATGACACAGGGTTGTGAAGTTACAGCTATCTGGGAACAAAAGGGAGAAAGTATTACATGACTCAGCCCCCACGTTTAACTTTCCCTTTGGCGTAGTGAGCTTGGGGTCCCGAGGTTCTATTTTCTTTCACATCTATTATGCAAGCATGTATAGTTGTTTATTGTACTTCTTCTGATATGTGTGAACAGAGAAGCAACAATAAGTGGATAGAGGTGCAATGGTTCTATCCAATATAGCAAATAAATGTACTTACTATGTTGAGTATTATTAATGCTATAAGGAAACATGAAGTTAAGCAAGGGAACAGAAAATAATGAGGTGATTCATTATGTCAGAGGTGTTTGAACCATGGCAACTCCATTTTGATAGGGGCTGGGTAAAATAAGGCTGAGAACTACGAGGCTGCATTCCCAGGAGATTAAGGCATGCTAAGTCACAGGATGAGATAGGAGGTAGGCATGTGATACAGGTCATAAAGACCTTGCTGATAAAGCAGGTTGCAATAAAGAAGCCGGTCAAAATCCACCAAAACCAAGGTGGTGACAAGAGTGACCTCTGGTCATCCTCACTGATCATTATATGCTAATTATAATGCATTAGTATGCTAAAAGACACTCCCCCCAGCACCATGACAGTTTACAAATGCCAATGCAATGTCAGGAAGTTACCCTATATGGTCTGAAAAGGAGAGGAACCCTTAGTTCCAGGAATTGCCCATTCCCAGAAAACTCATGAATAATCCACTTGGTGTTTAGCATGTGATCAAGAAGTACCAATAAGTATAAGCAGCTGAGTGGCCCAAGCTGCTGCTCTGCCTGTGTAGTAGCCGTTCTTTATTCTTTTATTTTCTTAATAAACTTACTTTCACTTTGTGGACCTCACCCTGAATTCTTGCTCAAGATCCAAGAGCCCTCTCTTGGGGTCTGAACTGGGACCCCTTTCTGGTAACACTTAGATTAGGTGATCAGAAAAGATCTTTCTGATGAGGTATGTGATGAGAGACATGAAGAAATTGAGGAAATGTGTCATTTGGATGTCTGGGGCTAAAGGCATCCAAGGCAGAAGGAACATGAGTGCAGAGGACTTGAGGTGGGGGTGACCTTGACACATTCAAAAAGGAGAACATATGGTGTGTCTGGAGAGAAGGAGGAATAGCATGTAAGAAATAAACTTGGAGATGTGGTTGGGATCAGATTTCATAAGACCCAGCAGGCCATCGTGAAGACACTGGGTTTAAGTCTGAGTAGAACAGAAAGACATGAAAGGATTTGAGCAGAGGCATGACTTGTAACTGGCTCATTAAATAGTGCCTACACTGGGATGAGAGTAGCCAAACTGGAAGCTGTTGAACATTGAATGTCTGCATGGAGGCTGACAGTAACACTGTGTGCTGTGCCCTATGCTAATGAAACAGTCTACATAGGTGTTTCCCATTTAAACTTTACAACATAAACTTTTGAGCAAAATGCAAGGTTACTTTTGCATACTTTGCCTCCATGAGCTATGATATCATCATCTAAAAAATTCATTTTTGCATCAAGGAATGCAAAATTATTGCTAGATAGGGGAATAAACTCTAGTATCCAATACTACTGTAGGGTGACTATAGTTAACAATGATATATTAGATAGTTTCAAATAGCTAGAAGGAAGATATTGAATGTTCTCAGCACAAGTAAATGATAAATGCTCAAGATGATGAATATGCTAATTACCTTGATCTGATTACCATATTTTATATGTATAGAAACATCACTATGTACCCCCTAAATATGCATGATTACTACATGCCAATTAATATTTTTGCTTTAAAGATAATCATTTCTTGATAGGGTCAAAGGAAAGACTGAATGACACATTATGTAAGAAGGCTAAAGAACAGTGGTTAGGCTTTAACTGAAAATATGGAGAAAGTATTATACCTTCTTTCTGGGAATGCCCTGTAGGTTACTTTCAGCAAGCAAACAAATTTTAGTGTATAATGTTATTGAATATAGCCGTCCTGCCTAATGTGAGGGGAAGTATTTTTCTGAGGCACACAGCTGTAATATGAAAGTCTAGGGTTTGACTGCCAATTGATTTTCTGTGTGAAATAAATACACGGAGATTCAGCAGGATGAAACTGAATCCCACAGAATGCAGATGCTGTGAGACAAGGTTCTTAGTTTTATCTGAAGTTGTATGGACAACATGCATTCAATCTATACAACTGAATGCATGTAAGGAACAAGAAAAAGGGAAAAGGAATAGGAAAAAAAAAGAAGAGAAATTTAAAAAGAAAGTTGTTTATGCTAACAGCAGCTCAAACATGTTTTATGATAGCAAGTAGGATAAATTTCTACACATAAAGGATGAATAGAACCAAATAAGCAAAATTGGAGCTAAATTTTTTCTTTTATTGCTTTAGCTGCATATTTTTTTACCTTTTTTTTTTTTCTTTCTATTAAGAGTCTCCATCCGACGGTCAAAGCTTATCTCACTGGGCAGAGTATCAATGAATGGCATCTACCTAGGATTTTCCCTTCTACCCAGATAAAGCCAATAAATACATCCAACTTAAACTCGTAATAGCTAGTGAATTTGAGAATATATTTTTAAAGGGGCATTCCGTTGAATCTTTGGGAAGAGATAAATACTTCTACTACAATGCAAAGATAATTTTATTCAATAGGTCCTTTTTCTACATATATTTGTTCATTGACATAGAATTGTTATGATTATTTTGGAATCTGTTTTTTGTCTAGAAGGTGTTACTGATATCTGTTCCTTTCCTTAATTGATAATAAATGTATAGAGGGCAAGACTAGATTCATACTCAGGAGCCATAGTGTTTCAACTCATGGCTCTGCCAATTTACTAGCTGCATGACATTCAGCAAGTTACTTAAGCCCTTAACTCCCTCATCTGCAAACTGAGAATAATAATTGTAACTACTTCAAAGAGTTTATGTGAGGATTAACTGAATTCAAATAATACTTGGATAATAATAAGCTCTCAGTAAGTGTTATTTATCTTTACAAATAGGAAACCCATTAGTATTTTCCTAATACTGAGAGGAAGACAAGATTCATTTGGAGTTGAATGTCCTCAAGTCACTTTTTTACCATTAATATATACATTTTTCTATTCTACTTTTTCTACATATGATGATTCGGGAGAGGCTCAAATATTTCACTTACTTCCCACATGCTATCATTTCTGGATGCTTTCCCACCTCCCTCTCCCTTGGGAGAAACTTTGATAGAGTGGATAGGAGGAGGCTATTCCTAGGGAAAGTCACTCACAATGTTCTTGGCTTAGTGATCAAATTCTAGGCTCTCTGGCACTTAGAAATCTTGGAGTGGCCCACTTTGATCTCTGGAGAAAGTAGGTGGTGTATATTTCAAAAGTCTTGGCTGCAAGTCACAGAAACTCAACTCAAAATAGCTTAGGCAGAAAAGGGGACAATGGACAATTGGATAATGAAACTGAAAACTCCAGTGGTCTATTCATGTATGATGTGGCTGATCCAGATGCTCAAATGATGTTAGAAATATCTCCTTTTAATTTTTGGCTCTGTTTTCCTTCTCGCTTCCCTTGATGTAAGCTAGATTTTTTCTCCAATAGTGATGAGATGGCTACCAGGATTGCTAGGCTTATATCTTATGGAAGAAGATCTATTTTTCATAGGATCTGGCAAAAGTGCCAGGTTACAATGGTGTCTCTTTACTTGGTTTTAGTCAGCTCCCTAGGCCACACTAAGTATTTACTGTGACTAGAAAGCTAGAATATTTTGATTGGCCAGCTTATGTTGGGGACAAACACAAAAAATGAGGAGAATACCAACGATGCCCTGCTTCCCTTCTTCAAGATGCTTCTTATCCAAGAAAACGCTCACCCATTAAAAACTCCCTCCTAAGAGAAGCCCCAGGAGTAAGATGTGCCAGAAGATCTACTAAGTAAGATCTTGAAATCATCACCGGTCAGCTGATAGCTGATAAGCCCAATTTGGTGTAATAAAGCTCAATCTATGGATTAATATGGAGAGCATGAATAGCCAACTGCATAGAAAGTGACGATCACATTCACTACACCCTCTTCATGCATTTTGGTGCTCATCCAGGAATCTGGGGCTAGAAACATTATCCAAAAGCATAAACAGTAGAATCAAAAGTGTATTATGCCTAAAGCATTGAAATTGACTATAAAATATAAAGACATTGTGACTGTACAAAATATGCTTTGGATACAAGAATTTTCTCTTTTTTTTTATTATACTTTAAGTTTTAGGGTACAAGTGCACAACGTGCAGGTTTGTTACATATGTATACATGTGCCATGTTGGTGTGCTGCACCCATTAACTCATCATTTAACATTAGGTATATCTCCTAATGCTATCCCTCCCCCCTTCCCCCACTCTCACGACAGGCCCAGGTGTGTGATGTTCCCCTTCCGGTGTCCAAGTGTTCTCATTGTTCATTTCCCACCTATGAGTGAGAACATGCGGTGTTTGGTTTCTTGGCCTTGCGATAGTTTGCTGAGAATGATGGTTTGCAGCTTCATCCATGTCCCTGCAAAGGACATGAACTCATCATTTTTTATGGCTGCATAGTATTCCATGGTGTATATGTGCCACATTTTCTTAATCCAGTCTATCGTTGTTGGACATTTGGGTTGGTTCCAAGTCTTTGCTATTGTGAATAGTGATGCAATAAACATACGTGTGCATGTGGACATAAGAATTTTCAACACTTTTTGAGCCTGGGCTCTGTTGGACAAAGTGCAAAGAGAAAAAAAATTCTCACCTTGATGAAGTTTAGGCAAGAGACCACAGATCTGTAAATATCCCATGTGTTAGAAGATTGAGACTCCCTCAGGGGAAGGCTGATTGAGAAAATGGAACATGTATCACCACAGACTATCATGAGATAGGAGGGGGTGAGATAGATTCCAGTATAAACAATGTTATTGAATACAGCCATCCTGCCTAATGGGAGGGGAAGTATTTTCGGAGGCAGTAGGCACAGAGCTGTCATATGAAAGTCTAGGGTCTGACTTCCAACAGATTTCCTGTGTAAAATAAATACGCAAGGAGAATCAGTAGGACAAAACTGAATCCCACAGAATGTAGATGCTGTGAGACAAGGTTCTTAGTTTTTATCTGCACATTGTTTGGCTCCCATTTTCTAACATACAGTCTCCAGTATAGGGTCAAAGCAGTATCTCAAAGGGTAATACATCTGCACCGTGAGTTTTTGCAATTCACCCCCGCACCACCCTCCCTAAATACTTCACTTTTCAGTTACTTCAGAGGTTAAACAGAAATTAGTCATCCTTACAGAAAGTACTAAATGGTGCAAAAACAGGAAAGAAAAAAAAGGGTGTGTGCTACTTTTTATCTATAGAACTCATAAAAAAAGAATCAAGTTTTATTAATCATAATTGGAAAACTCATTTAGTTTTCTATATATTACATAGTCAAGAGGATACATTTTCTCCGGTTTCAACAGATTACATATCATCACAATTAGTTTACTCAGAAGTACACCTTTTTTTTAATGATACTTGGGCAAAAAGTGTCACCTGCAGATGAGTTTTATCATTTGCAATATTTTAAAGATAGTATTGAGTAAAACCAAAAGAAACTGATCAATGATAGAGAATTTTAAATATACACAACTTTTTTCCAGATTCCATTATAGCCAATTTTTTAAAATGTAAATTTAGCTCTGTTTTTTTTTTTTCTTGAAGTTTAACTAAAGATTTGGCTTTAGCAGTTGTCTTTTAGTTCTACTCACTCTTTCTTCTCAGGAATGATTGAATTCAAGCTTGTGTTTGCCAAGGAGCAAAGCACTTTTCTCTAGATAATCCTAATACTTTTTACTGTTGTTCTGACCTTCAGCTAAAAGATGTCCAAAGAAATCTAGAAGATATGAAATGCTCAAACCATAAAACTCATAGTACAGTAAATCTGAATCTGCATTTTAAAAATTCATGTATCCATATTTTATTAAATATTCTCTATAAACATATAGTCTTAGGTTTATTTATTCTTTCAAGAAATATTTATGGAGCAGCTAGTCCTTATACTGTGTGCTACACTTTCAATCCTGAGCAGAACTGACATGGCCCATGCACCCTCAAGACCACATTGAAATGGGACTATTGAAGGGAGCTTTCCAGGAATGTGCAAACTATGGCTTCAAAATATGAAAAAAAGGAGGGGGAAATCAATGCCACGTAATATGAATTAGATTCACAATTTAATAACATCATGGCCAGAAGTCTTATAGGAAGAAGGTTCAAGGAAATTAGCCTATGGGTGGATTAAAAAGGTTTAGTAAAATATGTTAGGTAGGGTGAACAATTTGATACAAAAAAGTTTTGGTTATAGCATAGGTTTTACGTCAGGAATTAGTGCAAAGCTAAGTAGGCTAGTGGCCAAAAGCACCAACTTTCATACGGGTCAGTAAGTGTTAAGTATTAGGTTGGTGCCGGAGTAATTGTGATTTTCATCGTTAAAAGGAATGGTAGAAACCACAATTACTTTTGCACCTACCTAATATTAGTAGCAGTAGAAATAGCAGGACAAAAGAGATGTTGAACAATATCCATAGAGCCAGATTAGAGAGCATAATGGATGCAAATAAATTTATACATGATTCTATAGTTCTGTGGTCTCCAAAATAGTGTGAGATGATTCATTGACATGTTTAGAATGACATTACTGGAATGTCTGTTTATGTATAAAAATAGAAAAACATTAAACTTTTTCTGGTATTTGATACCAATTGATATAGCACATATGTACAAATGATAAAATAATGAATGAATAAGTAAATATACTGATGATACATACTCTCTAATTTTTTCTAACTAATATTAAGTGTACAATTTTAAACAATGAAAACTGTTGCCTCAATTAATAGCATAGGAGAGTGGGGATAGGACTGAAATCTTTTTCTGTAATTTCACAAGTTGAACCTAAGCAGTAATTCTGAGATTATATGCTTTACTTGATTAGGCTTTTTTTTTTTGTAATTAAATGTCACACAAGGCTGGACGCAATTTTACCCAGCACACAAAGATTAATTATGCTCACAGTCTGTTATTAGCATGGTTTCATGTCTTCAGTAATTTAAATTTACTAACTTACAAGATGCAAAACATATTTTAAGAAAATGAAGGAAAATTACATATTGCACTGATACAGAAATTCATAGTATGTTTTGGAGACACTGTGCCATAATTGAGATAATTATAAGATAGATACAAAGATGAAGCTATGTCTTCATTTATCAACCATCATTAGTGCTTACATTTTCTCAAAGATAACTTACTTCTGCTTTTTAGAAAGACATCAAAACATACAGAAATACAATGTATTGAAGTATCAAAGTCCATGAAACCACTCTCCAGAATTAACTCTTGTTAATATCGTTATATTTGATTTATCTGTCTTAAAAGAACGAAAGCATTGGAAATAGAAAGGAAATCCCTCTGTTTCTCATCCTATTCACATTCCTACTCCCTTCCTCCATCTACCTAGAGTCATCAACTACCATGAATTTAGTTTATATGTCTCCATCCTATTTTTATATAAAAATACATATACATATGACACAGTGTTTTTTGGATTTAAAAAAAAAAATATGTAATTGTGCTATAGCATACATAGCCTATAACTTGCTTTGTTCATTCAGTATTATGTTTTTAACATCTACTAACATAAACATTTAAAGAGATCTGGATCAAAAGTCTAGCACATGAAAATATTTAGATTGTTCTCTGTTGATGGAATTACATTATTTACAACTCTCACTACTAAAAATAATTCAGCAGTAAACCACTTCCTATTTAACTCCAGGTAAGGTTTTTCCAGTGAGTTTATAAGTATAATTCCTAGATTGAGAGTATACGTAACTTTAAATTTTGCTAGTTTACAGTTTCTTCCAAACTGTTCCCACAGTGGTTAAGCCAATTTATATTCCCAGCAGCAATGATGGGAATTACAGTTTCCCTGCATTTTCACCAATACTTGATATCATTTTTAAACCAATTTTACCAGTAAAATAGTTCTCATTTTATTAGCATTTTTGAATATTAATGAAGTTGAGCATCTTCTCAAATATTTATTACCCATTTCTTTATTTTTACTTTTCTGAATTACCTATTCCTTTGGCAATATTTTATTCAAAGATAGTTTTTGTGGAGTTTAAAAGTTTACATCAAAGATCTCTGAATCCAATAGATTTTTAGCAAAGCAATTTAATATATAAATAATAAGATTATATATATTTAATAATACACGACGTATAATATACACATCAAGTATATTGGTGTGTCTATACATTTGGAAATATAAGTAATGCATATGCATGCATATGTATATATAAACAGGTATATGTATATATAAATATATATATAAATGTGTATATACATGCATATTGGTGTATATATATACACATTCATACATATACAATGCATATGTATATATAAACATGCATACGTATATATAAACCCAGAAGTATAACATACACATGTGCATATGCATGTATAGATAAACACTCCAACTCTTGCAGTATGACTCTTTTAACTTGGCTTTTGGCCTTACTTCTTATAGCCTGTTCTTTTCTCTTTGTTCTTTAGCCAGGACTTAGTTAAGACAGGCAAGTTAGTTTTCATGTATCATTCATGATGGGTCTGTTGAATTAGTCTCAGGGGGTAAGTTGTCAAATGACTACTTTCCGTGGCTGATTTTATATTAGAACAAATGTCCTTATCCTTTTTTATGACATATTCACCTTGAGACTACATCTCTTTTATGTGAACATTCCCTCAGGCATGACAGATAAGTTCAGGAGCTCCCTTAAGACAGCTGGGCTTAAAGTCATATTATTTTGCCTAACCCCTCTTTGTATATTCGCCAGGAGCACACCCTCACTAAGTTTCCATTGGCTTAGTCAGAATTTGTGAATTTAAAATTAAGTCATGGTTGGAATTTCGTTTTTTTTTTAAACAAATGCTGAAAATAAGTCCCCAGTCTCTGCTAGATGGAAGGTTTCGGTTGAGAATTCGGCTGGTAGCCTGATGGGGTTCCTTTTGTTCCCTTTGTATATGATCTGACATTTTTCTCTAGCTGCCTTTAAGATTTTTTTCTTTAGTTTTGACCTTGAACAGTCTGATGACCATATACCTTGGTGCTGTTAATTTTATATAGTATCTCACAGGTGTTCTCTTGATTTCTTGTATCTGAATGTTTACCTCTCTAGCAAGATTAGGAAATTTTCTTGAATTATTCCCTCAAATATGTTTTCCAAGTTATTTACTTTTTCTCCATCTCACTCAGGAATGCCAATAATTTGTAAATTTAGTTATATTATCTAATGTTTCTCAAGGACTTGTTCATTTTTAAAAATTAGTTTCTTTTTTGTTTGTTTGTTTTAATTTTTGTCCAACTGGGTTAGCTCAAAAGACTGGTTTTTAAGCTCTGAAATTCCGTGAAGCATCTTTTTATATGCTCATTGGCCATGCGTACATCTTCTTTGCTGACATGTCTATTCAGGTCTTCTGCAGATTTTGAAAAAATTTCCCTAGTTTTATTGTGATAAAATTACAAATAGTACATATTTAAGGCATAAGGCATATTTAAGGCATTCTGATATATGTACACATTGTGAAGTGATTAACACAATAAAGCTAATTAACAGATTGATCTCCTCAGCTAGTTAGTATTTCTTGTGTGTGGTGAGCACACTTAAGATCTACTCTCTTTGCAAATTTTAAGTATACAACACATTATTTTCAACTATAGTTGCCATGCTATACATTTGATCTCCAGGACATTCATCTTATAACTGGGTTTGTACCCTTTGACCAAAATCCCCCTATTTTTCCCCCACCCTGCCTCTGACAACCACTATTCTAATCTGTTTTCATGAGTTTGACTCTTTAGATTTAACATGTTGTTCCGGGATCTTTGGGGTGTCAGTTTGCTTCCTGGAAACCTCTGTGGCTGGTGGCACCTTTGCCTGAGTTCTTGTCCTGCGTCCAGGGAGAATGAGGCGTGTAGACAAGTGAAGGGTGAAGAAGACGAAAAGGAGCTTTATTTAGTGTTAAAACAGCTCAGAGGAGACTGCAGTGGGTAGCTCCTCTCTACAGGCAGGTCGTCCCATTGAGTGCTCAGCGCTCATAAGAGGAGGAGGCCCTGGAGAGAGTGGCTTCTTTCTGTAGGCAGGTTGGTTGGATATCTCTGCAGGTCTCTGAAGCTCTCAGCAGAGAGGGTGGCTCCTCTGTGCTGTTGGTAGTCCCGTTGTCTGCTGCTATCAGCAGAGAGGAGAGGGTAGCTCCTCTCTGCAGCTCCTCCTCTCATACCATCAGTCATCTCTTTATTCTCTCTGTCCCCTGCCCTGCTCTGGCTGTCCTCCTCTGGTCTGGCTGGTCCAGGCTTTCATGGACTTCCGAGGGGAGGAAGTGCCTGTGGATTTGTCCATTGGCGGCCATTGGTGGGCTGCAAGAGGGTCTATGAATCCCTACTCCAGTCTCTAGGACTGATGGCCCAGCCCCCAGCCTTCAGGCCCTCCCTGGCCTGAAGGTTGGGCCGTACTAGGGACCCACCCTCTTCTGCCCAGGAATCTGCCTGCTTCCCACTGCCATTCATGGCCCCAGGGCTTGGTGTGTGCCCTTAGACCCCGCTCTGGGATGGAGAGGCCCTGGGAGTGGAGAGAGGCCAGGCAGCAGGAGCAGACACCTCAGAGCCTGAAGGGACAGTGGGTTGCCCTTCCCCGCCCCTTGAGGGTGCAGGCTGCAGAGCAGCCCAGGTCCTGCACCTGGGAGGGCAACCGCAGCTGCACCAGGGGAGCTCCTGCCCTGCCAACTCAGAAGGAGCGGGGCTCCAGCTTGTCCCCAGCTCCTGCCTGCCTGCTCTGTGGAGTGGGAGGCCGGGGTCTTCAGCCGCCGGGTCCAGGGGCTGCAGCTACACCTGGGAGGGCGGATATCCTGCCTGAGCCCACCCTCCCCAAGAGCACAGGGAGGCTGGGATCCACAGCCGCAGTTTGGGCAGCTACAGCCCCGCCCAGGAGGGTGGGGCTTCTGCCTGGTCCATGGAGCTGGAGGCCTGGGTCGGCTGCAGCAGCACTCAAGGAGCTCCTACCTTAACTCAGAAGGGGCAGGGCTCCCACCGGCTCCATGGAGTGTGTGGCCCCAGCAGCGCCTCCCTGCTGCAGCCAGCATGAGTGAGATCATGGGGTATGATGGGGTTATTTATCTTTTGGTATCTGCCTTATTTAACTTAACGTAATGTCCTCCAGTTTCATCTACATTGTTATAAATGACAGGATTTCCTTGGGCTGTTCATTTTATCATAGAGTTTTAAGATTTTCTTTATGTATTCTGTAACAGTTCTTTATCAGACATACCTTTTGCAAACAGTTTCTCCTATTCTGTGGCTTGTCTTCTCATTCTGATGACAGTGTCTTTCACAGGGTATTAATTTTAATTGTGATGAAATACAGCTTATCAATATTTTTCTTTTCATGGATTGTGCGCTTTTGTTGTTCTAAAAAGTCATCACTATGCCCCAGGTCATCTCTTATGTTATCTCCTAAAAGGTTGTAATTGTGCATCTTGTATTTAGATTAATGATATTTTTTGAATTATATTTTGAATAATCTGTGTCTAGATACATTTTTAGGCACGTGGATGTCCAGTTGCTCCAGCACCATTTGTGAAAAGACGATCTTTTCCCCACTGTATTTCCTTTGCTCCTTTATAAAATGTCAGTTGACTATAATTATGTAGGTCTTTTCTGGACGCTCTATTTTATTTGATTGATTTGTCTACTCTCTCACCAATACCACAGCGTCTTGAGTACTTTTTGGAGTAAGTCTTGAAATCAGGTATTGTCAGCCTCCAACTTTGTTCTTCTCTTTTAATATTATGTAGGCTATTCTGCATCTTTTGCATCTCCATATAAACTTTAGAATAAGTTTGTCCATATCTGCACAAAATAACTTGCTTGAATTTTGATTGGGATTGTGCTCAATTATAGATTAAGTTGGAAAGAACTGACATCTTGACAATATTTTTTTTCTATCCATTTATTTAGTTCTTCTTTGATTTTTTTCAGTAGGCTTTTGTAGGTTACCAGATAGAGGTTGTACATATTTTTTTAAATGTACACATATATTTCATTTTGGGGGGTGCGAATGTAAATGGTACTGCATTTTTTAAATTTTAATTCCACTTGTTCATTGCTGGTATATAGGAAAGCAATGAACTATTGTATATTAACCTTGTATCTGGCAAATTTCCTATAATCTCTTATTCCAGTTTTTTGTTGTTGTTGTTGATCCTTTCAGATTTTCTGCGCAGATAATCATATCATCTGCAAAGACAGTTTTATTTCTTTTTTCCCAATCTACATATGTTTTATTTTCTTTATTATTTTGTTGCATTAGCTGGGACTTCCAGTGAGATGTTACAAAGGAGAAGTGAGTGGGAACATCCATGCCTTGTTCCTGATCTTAGTGAGAAAGCTTTGATTTTCTCACCATTAACTATGATGCTAGCTAAAATTTCTTTTAGATGTTTTTTACACAGATGAGTGAGTCCTGGTGTATCCCTAGTTTACTGAGAGTTTTTATCATGAATTTTTTTGAGGGGTTTAGTCAAAGGTTTTTTCTACGTCTATTGATACAATCATCTGTTTTTCTTCTTTAGCCTATTGATGGATGGATTTTTATTCTTTAGCCTGTTGAGGTGATGGAACATGTGATTTTCAAAGGTTGAATTGGCCTTGGATACCTGGTTTATGGTGTATAATGTTTTTTAGTAGTTACAGTTTTTTATTTAAATTGGCTTTTTTATAAAAATTCCAACTTTTATATTATATTCAAGGTTAAATGTACAGATGTGCACTTTTGTTACATAGGTAAACATGTGCCTTGATGGTTTGCTGCACAGATCACCCAGGTATTAAGCCTGGCATCTACTAGATATTCTTCCTGATCCTATTCCTCCTACCACTTCCTCCCCTCCAACAGGCCCCAGTGTGTGTGTGTTGTTCCCCCCTCCCCATGTCCATGTGTTCTCGTCATTTAGCTCCCACTTATGAGTGAGAACATATGGTATTTGGTTTCTGTTCTTGCATTAGTTTGCTAAGGATAATAGCCTCCAGCCCCATCCATGTCCCTGCCAAGGACATGATCTTATTCCTTTTTATGGCTGCATAGTATTTCATGGTGTTTATGTACCACATTTTCTTTATCCAGTCTATCGTTGATGGACATTTAGGTTGATTCCATGTCTTTGCTATTGTGAATAGTGCTACAATTAACATACACATGCATGTGTCTTTATAATAGAAAGATGTATACTCCTTTGGGTATACACCCAGCAATGGGATAGCTGGGTCAAATTGTATTTCTTCCTCTAAGTCATTAAGGAATTGCCACACTGTCTTCCATAATGATTGAACTAATTTATACTCTTGCCAACAGTGTAAAAGTATTCCTTTTTCTCCACAATCTCGCCAGCATCTGTTATTTTTTGACTTTTTAGTAGTAGCCATTCTAACTGGTGTTAGATGATATCTCACTGTGGTTTTGATTTGCATTTCTCTAATTATGAAGTTAATAATTTCATAATTTTATTAAATTTGATGAAATCAACTCAAGATGGATTACAGACTTAAATGTAAAACCCAAAACCTAAAAATCCTAGAAGAAAACCTAGGCAGTACTATGCAGGACATAGGCATTGGCAAAGATTTCATGATGAAGACACCAAAAGCAATTGCAACAAAAGCAAACATGGACAAATGGGATCTAATCATACTAAAGAGCTTCTGCACAGCCAAAGAAACTAACAGAGCAAACAGACAACCTACAGAATGGGAGAAAATTTTTGCAATCTGTGCATCTGAGAAAGGTCTAAAATCCAGCATCTATAAGGAACTTAACAAATTTAAAAGAAAAAAAAAACAACCCATTAAAAGGTGGGCAAAGGACATGAACAGACACTTCTCAAAAGAAGACATACATGGAGCCAACGAACATATAATTCTTTATATACACTGTTGGATATGATTTTTTAAGTATTTTGTCAGAGGGTTTTTGCATTTATGTTCATGACAAATACCAGTCTAGTTTTCTTGTAATGGCATTGTCTGGTTATGGTATTATGGTAATGCTGGAATCACTAAATGAGTTAGGAAGTATTCTCTCTAATTCTGTCTTCTGAAAGACATGGTAGAAAATTGGCATAATTTCCTCCTTAAATGTTTGGTAGAATCGCCAGTGAACTCATCTAGGTCTGATGCTTTCTGTTTTGGAAGATTATTAATTGTTGTTTCAATTTCTTTAATAGATATTGGGCTCTATATTATCTGTTTCTTCTTGTATGAGTTTTAGCAGACTGCATTTCAAGGAATTGATTTATTTCGTCTAGGTTAACGGATCTATGGGCATGAAGTTTTGTATAGTATTATTTTATTGTTCTTTTAATATCCATGGGCTCTGCAGTGCAGTGATGCCCCCCTTTTTCTTTTCTGATATTATTAATTTGTATCGCTTTTTTTTCTTAGTTAGCCTACCTAAAGACTTATACTTTTTATTGATCTTCTTTAAAGAACCAGATTTTGATTCTTTTGAGTTCTGTATTGATTTCTTGTTTTCAATTTCACGGGTTTCTGCTCCAATTTCTATTATTTCTTTTTCTGCTAACTTTGAATTTAATTTACTTTTCTTTTTCTAGCTTCTTAATCTGGCAGCTTAGATAATTGATTTTAGATCTCTCTTCTAATATATCTATTTAACGCTATACATTTTTCTATGAGCACTACTTTTGCTGCATCTCACAGATTTTGATAGGTAGTATTTTCAGTTTTATTTAGCTTAAAATATTCTTTTTTATTTCTCTCGATATTTGTTCTTTGACCTATGTATTATTTAGAAATGTATTGTTGACTATCCAAATATTTTGGGATTTTTCAGCTCTTTTTCTGTCATCGGTTTCTAGTTTAATTCCACTGCGGCCTGAGGGCATACATTGTATGATTTCTATTATTTTAAACTTATTAAGGTATGTTTTATGGCCCAGAATGCGATCTACCTTGGTATATGTTCAGGACAATGTTTTGAAAAATACTACTAGATAGTTCTCTTCATAATGATTTACCTACTTGTCTTAGTCTGTTTGCTGTTACTTACAACAGAATACCTGAAATGGGGTGATTTATTTAAAAAATAAATTTATTTCTTACAATTATGGAGCCTGAGAAGTCTAAGGTCAAGGAACCATAACCATATCTGGTGAGAGCTTTCTTGCTGGTGGGGACTTTGTCGAGTCCTGAGGTAGTGCAGGGCATCACCTGGCAACGGGGCTGGGTATGCTCACTCAGGTCTCTCTTCCTCCTCTTATAAAGCTCCAGTCCCAGTCTCTTAATGACCCGTTAACTTATTAACTCATTAATTCATTAATCTACTAATTGATCAATGGACTAATCCATTCATGGCAACAGAGCCCTCATGACCAATCACCTCTTACAAGTCCCACCTCTCAATATTGCCACATTGGGCATCAAATTTCAACAGTTTTGGAGGTGATAAATATTCAAGCTATAGCAATACCATATAGGATAACTTAGAAACATCTTTCTTCCCCAATAAAACTCAATCATTTTTTTCCACATTTGCTGTGTCTCTTTCTTTATCTGGGTGACAAAGTATACCAACTGTCAAGGTATCCACTAAAAATATCAATAAGGAAATATTTTTGCCAAGAGGGTATATTTTAAGTGTTCTTACCACAAAACAAAAAAACATAAAGAAAAGTGAACTATGTGAGCTAATGGATGTGTTCATTAGCTTGGTTTTGGTGATAACTTCACAACGCATAACATGTATCAAAACATCCAGCTGTACACTTTAAGTACATACATATTGTGTCAATTATTTCTCAATAAAGCTGAAGAAAAAGAATTATGAATTTTTAAACATAATATTATCTTTGTTATCTCCATCTGTATTGAATTTCCGTCAATGCTGTCAACAAAATCTGAAGTGCTTGTGGTAAAACTTCTGTACTGTTCTTTGTTAGAGATTTAATCTCAAAGAATATGTGTGGGAACAAAAGGATTGAGGATAGGGAGAAAGGAGAAACAACGTGAGGATGCATTGTGAAGCTGGCTGCTCCTTTGAATTAAGCAGGAGAGTTGGTGCAATCAGGTTAACCTGGATAAAATTGGTTGTAGTACAGATGTTTGCTACATGGAGTCTGAGAGAGCTGGATCCTTTGACCTCAGGAGTTTGGGGCTCTAGTATGCTATGCCAATTCCATATGGACTTTGGCATCAATGTGATGAAGTTCAAGGAACAGAGAATCCGGCTGTGCGTGGTGGCTCACTCCTGTAATCCTGGCAATTTGGGAGGCTGAGGGGGGTGCATTACTGGAGGCCAGAAGTTCGAGGCCAGCCTGGGCAACAAGGTGAAACCCCCTTCTCTATTAAAAATACCAAAAAATTTAGCCAGGTGTGTTGATGTACGCCTGTAGTCCCAACTACTTGGGAGGCTGAGGCAGGAGAATCACTTGAACCTGGGAGGTGGAGGTTGCAGTGAGCCAACATCATGCCACTGCATTCCAGCCTGGGTGACAGAGTGAGACTCCATCTCAAAACAACATCACCAAAAACGGAACACAGAATCATCAAGTTGCCTAAGGTGGCATGACAGCCAAGTCCTGGATTATATATTCAACATCTACAAATATTTACTAACTTTTACCACACTTATTTTTTATTCAATAGAATCAGGACACAACTCTTATAAATTTTAAATGCATTCTATTTCAGGAAATTGAAAATCTAAAATAAAAAAGTAGAATAATGAACTCTTATATAGCTATCACCAAATTTCCCTGCCCAACACATGGCAATATTATTTACATAATTATTATATCCTTTGCTTAGTTGTCATGAGTCAGAATTAGAATGTGACCAGGGACATAACAATCTTGATCTGATAGGGATAGATCAAGCAAACTCATCAGTTTAGATGAACCCCAGGGTTTGGTATATTACCAAGAAGTTTATCATGATACCATTTACGTGTTTTTTCTTATTACTTAGTTGTCATAGCCCTGGAGGAAGAATTTTTCTCTACAAGTCATTTTTGGAGAAGTGCCTTCATTTAGCTACTTAGCTTGTTTACCAAGTTAAGTATATAAATGGAAACTAGACAGCTTTTAAAGGATATCTAGTCTATAAATCTCATATAATGGTGACTCACGTGTAAATAAGACATCCAATGTCTTTGATGAATTAGTGTTAGGTACCCCTAGCACTGCTTAATTGAAGAGAATAAAATCGTAATTCAAGATAAGGAAATTTATTGTCCAGAGTGCTCTGAATTTAGTATCTGTGCTTTAGACCTGACCTGTGCAGGCTAGTTACTGAATAATTAAGAAGAATGCTATTCACCAGTCCAGACTCCAGGATTCTGGCTTTCAGTAACCATCTGCTAATGAAACCCCCGAGAATTCCCACAGCGCAGAGAAAACAAACGTTATACAATTATGCTAGGCATTTCTCACTTCCTTTATAGTAATACACCATCCAATTAACAATCTGGTGGGCCTAGGGATTCATAAAATTTTGAATAGAACCTTTAGGCTTTCTCAAGCCAACTGCTGGAATTAAATATAAAAGGAAACAAGATCATTAGATGAAAAACGAAACTATAAATATTTAATTTCTTGGCTTGGAATAGGATAACAAGTTTTAGTTCATGGCATCTGTTCATAGAATCAGGAAGGACCTCCAGACTTCATCAAGTCCAGACCTCTGCCTCTTGGAAAACTGTGCCCAGGACATCCTGGTAAATAGCTGGATCCTGTTTCCCCAAAATCAATAGGAAGGAACAAACCTCACCTTTCCTTGGTGATGCTGGAAAGACTCAAGTTATGACAGCATCCAAAAGTCTCACTTATTTCACAATTGACTTCAAATCTCATAGAAAGCCTTTATTTCTCCATTCCATAGAAGACCAGAATCCCCTACCTTGGGTTCCCTATAAATGTGCTTTGGAAAGATAGAAACTTCAAAATAAACGTTTTAGCCAAACACAACAGCACATACCCTGATTACAAACAGAGCAGGTCATTACACAGTGATACAATTTGACAGACAACATATCCCCGAACTTTTTCCTTTGAGGCCATTTTATATTATCTGACATTTTGCCAGAGAGTGCTGGTGATTAACTATCTTCAGTGTCAGCAAGGATCAAAATCTTCTTTACGTGATTAAAGTCTTCTTTACTTCATAGATAGACTTTCAGAGTAGCTAAGGTAAACAGTACCCACCAGCTCACCAAATTCATTCTCAATTTTGCAGTGATGAGACTAATGCAGAAAAATGTCTTCCTTTATTAATATTTCTCACATTTCTCAGGACATGGATTTGTACTTAGTAAACTTTCAACAAATGTTCAAATGAATGAATGAATGATGAATGAACAAAAACAAATGTACAAAAGATGAGCAAACTGATTTTGGATATCCTGCAAGTTTGAGAACTGAACCGACTTTGCTTGATAATACATGTTTTGCCATGTTGGTGCTGCTTTAACCCCAGTTAGTTTTTTCTCTGATTACAGGGGATTTGTTATTTTACCCTCTGAATTTTTTAAATGGTATCTCATATATTACTGTGCTCATTTTATATTTGCACATTTGAAAACTTATGAGACCAGGGGAGCCTCCTTTCTGATCTCTCTGCCTTCCAATGCTTTGCTTCTTTAGTTTCCTGCCTTCCTTTATACATCACTGTCAATGCAATCTCTTCGTGAGACTGTAATGTGGAAAATGTTAATAAGAGGAACCTTCTTTCAGTATCAATCTCTTCATTGGAAAATGGAGGATGAATTTGATAAACTGATGGGAAATGGTCAAAATATTCTCAGAGAAGTATGTTTGGAAGGCATTTGGCACTTTCCTTGTCATTGAAAAGCAATCAGCAAAAATACAAGATAAGGAATTAATAAGCTGGAAGAGAATCTGCACAGCAATCTTATTTTATAATGTATAGATGGGTGAAGCGTAAAAATAATCATATTGTGTAGGAGTTTTGGGATCATGTATTATATTTGGCACTAGGAAAGGGGAAAGTTCTAAGGTGATTAGGATCTGTCTGAGTATTACAATATTTCGGCCAATTTAAAATACTATATGAGTGTGGGAAAAACCAATAATAAAACCAGTTTTAATAAAGTCAAATCTTCCTGAACAAATCAGCATTATTTTGGTATTAAATTTTGTCAGTTCACACAATATCGTGTCTTTTTCAGCTTCTAAAGAATAATTTCAGAGTTGAGGGGAGGTGTTAATTATCTTTATTGAAACATCATGTCCTAACTTGTTAATATTCCTAAAAGGTTATCCCTGAGATAAAGTATTGGTTGTCTGTAGGAATGCTCCCTGCTGAGGAGACAAAAGTGGCTACTGCAGAAGACATATTTGGTACACATCTCTGTTGTTTTATGAAATAGATGTTTTTACAGAACAAATCTGTCAAACAGATTTTATAAATCATATAAATAGAGAATTTATATGATTCTCTATTTAATAGAGAAGCTTGATTCTATCATCTTTCTGTCATCTATCATCTGTATATATATGAATCCATGTCTATCATTTATGTAACTATCATCTATTTATCAATCAATCAAGACCTATTTACCTATTTAAGATTTTTACCCTTGAATTCCTCAAGAAAATATAAACAATTGCTGTTAAGTCTATATTTTGAGTAGACTGTTTTATACATTGAATTTCCTTAAGCAATGCACAAAAGAAAGGCTTTGTTCATGCGCTGAAAAGAAATATCTATCAGTCCTCCCTCATGTATAAGGGAAGTAGGTAGAGGCCTTTGATGGTGAGTCCCAGTAAACTGCTGATAAAACTAAGGATGGCTTATCATACAGATTTCCAAATCCCTAGGAAGGCAACAGAAAAAAATGACAGGTGGCCTAGAGCCACTTTATTGAAGCGATTACTACAAATCAACTAATTCAACTCCGAAATGAGAAATAAATAAAACATGGTTGTGTTTTGTCATAGCACAGAGCCTACATTCATTGCTAGAAAATAAAAGTTTGAATATATGAATTTTAATTGCTAAAATGATGGGAAATAATATACCAGTTAAGAAGCACATTGGAATCCTTGGGAAAGGAAATACACGCAATATACTTGGCCTGCTATGTGATACTAGTTTTTTCTTAGACAATATTTCCTTACCTTGTTTATGTCAAATTCAAGCCAATGCATGGGGCTAGGTACCATCCAAAGAAAACTCCTCAGAGAAAAGGCTAGGGCTACACGAGGCAGATGGACGCTTTATTTTTTCCTCAGCATTCAGGAATGCAACTTATATCTGTGAAGCGGTGAGGCTGTCATCCAAGGGACCTGAAGCTGACCTCTTCTATTTGAAGAGATGCAGAACATGAGAGCAGGGAGAGATGATTCCCCTTATGTTGTCACCTCTGTGAACTGGTTCTCTAATGATAGGTGTATTTAAAATGATTCTGCCAATGATACCCAAGGGCCTGGCCCTTGAGCAGATTTAGCCAGCTGCCGGGAGCAAGCAAGTTTTGAGAACACACAATCCTCCTTTTCCCCGTGGGAACAGCCTGCCATTCTGTCTGAACCCTGTCTACCCAAATGCTCTGATCTTTGCCACTGTCTCAAGAGCATTCTCTGGACACCATTGTATTTTCTTGGGACTTGAACATACCTGAGTGCTGGACTTTTCTTCTTTTAAAATGTTAAGACCTAGAAAAATTTATCTTCACAAATTTAGAACACAGAAAACAATGCCCAAAACTCTGAGTTAATCATTGTTAAAATTTTGTCATGTTTGTTCTAGTCTTTTTTTGTTTTATAATCTAAGAAATATATCATTAATTATTTTTTAAAAGTCTCTGTTGACTTCTACTTCTGATCTCATGACCTCTTCCTAACATTGGGTAGGGTCTTCCAGTCAATGCCTTATCATTCCAGTTTTTTTGTTTTGTTTTGTTTTGTTTTTTGTTTTTTGAGACGGAGCCTCGCTCTGTTGCCCAGCCTGTAGTGCGGTGGTGCGATCTCGGCTCACTGCAAGCTCCGCCTCCCGGGTTCACGCCATTCTCCTGCCTCAGCCTCCCAAGTAGCTGGGACTATAGGCACCTGCCACCACCCGCGGCTAATTTTTTGTACTTTTAATAGAGACGGGGTTTCACCGTGTTAGCGAGGGTGGTCTCAATCTCCTGACCTCGTGATCCGTCTGCCTTGGCCTCTCAAAGTGCCGGGATTACAGCCGTGAGCCACCATGCCCGGCCATAATTCCAGTTTATATAAATGTTATAAATGTTGTATCCTTGGAAATTTGGGGCAAATTTATTTTAAGTCACTTATAATCTCATTTATTGATCTTCTTTAAGCTGTATTCTTAATCTTAAATCATCTACATTATAATCTCATTTACTGATCTTCTTTAAACTGTATTCTTAATCTTAAATCATCTACAGTGAGCACTTTCTAAAGGCTGAGCTTAGCCTCAGAACTTTAAGCAGTCCTCCTGACAAGACTCCTTACTCAATGATTAGTAACTCAATTTAACTGCTTTTTATGAATGAGTTTCTTGTGGAAAAGAAAGCCTATGTGTGATTTTATATATATATATATATATATATATATATATATTTTTTTTTTTTTTTTTTTTTTTTTTTTTTTTTTTTGAGACAGGATCTGGCTCTGTCACCCAGGCTGGAGTGCAGTGGTGCAGTGGCATGATCATGGCTCACTGAAACTTCTGCCTGGCTCAAGTCCACTTCGGCCTCCTGAGTAGCTGGGATCACAGATGCATGCCCAGCAAATTTTTGTATTTTTTGATAGAGACGAGATTTCGCCATGATGTCCAGGCTGGTCTCAAACTCCTGTGTTCAAGTGATCCTCCTGCCTTGGCCTTCCAAAATGTTGGGATTACAGGCATGAGCTGCAGCACCCGGCCAATACTATTATTAATAATAACATTAATAGCAGTAAACATTTGTTGAGAATGTCTTTTTTAGACATTGTTATAAACACTTTACATCCATTATTTCATGAAAGTCTTACTAATTCTGGGGTCATTGAATTATGCCAGTTTTACTGTTGAAACATAAAACTTTTGGGCCAGGTGTGGTGCCTCACACTTGTAATCCCTGCACTTTGGGACGCCGAGGCGAGTGGATCACTTGAGGCCAGGGGTTCAAGACCAGCCTGTCCAACATGAAGAAACCTCGTCTCTACTAAAAATACAAAGAATAGCTGAGCATGGTGACTGAAGCCTGTAATCCCAGCTACTCCAGAGGCTGAGGCAGGAGAATTACTTGAACCCAGGAGGTGGAGGTTGCAGTGAGCCAAGATCATGCCACTGCACTCCGGCCTTAGAAACAGAGCAAGACTCCATCTCAAAACAAAACAAACAAACAAACAACAACAAGCAAAAAAAAAAAAAACAAAGAAAGACAGAAAAAGAAAATTTTTACCCAAATGATGTATCTTTTGGAAGGCAAAATAATTATTTTATAAATATTTTGCAAGAGGCCTACTTTAATTTTCTTTGTAAAATAAAGCTGTCACCATTTGTTGATTACTTACTTGTGTCAGATGTGCACCTTAATGCTCATCTTCACTGCAGGACTGTAAGGTAGGTGTTATTAAACCTATTTATAGGAGAAGAAAATCAAGACTCAGAGAGTTAAATATAAGTTGCTCAAGGTCACTCAGGTAATAATGGGAGAGGTCGGATATAGGCTTAGGTGTATTGTCTCCAAATTCCATTTGTTATCTTTGACTGTAATGCACAATAAGAATCCCAGAGCTGTGCTTTCCAAAAAGAAGAATTAATATCACAGGACAGATTTATTTTATTATTTGTCTTTCCTCTGGTGTTATCACCAACATCCTAAGCTTTGATAATGCTTTTGCATGCACAGAGATTTTCCACTCAAGATCTATTTTCAAACATATTTAACAAGAGGAGAAGAAAAAAAGAACCAACAACAGTTCAGCCAGCATTCTTGTAATGTTGTGTTAATAATAATCTCTTCCCAGACAGATGCCCTAAAAGTTCATTGCTGGAGATAGACACTTAGATTAACATTTCTTTCTCAGGATTAAAATAAAAAATGACAAGTGTGCTTGGCTATGCAACCTAAAACTGAGAAAAATCTAAAAAAAAAAGCTATGATCTCATTAAAGAACAAAACTAAACCAGTTATTTTCAAGATCTTAAAGACACATATATTGTGCATGCCTAATATTTTCTTTTCCCACCTACAACATTCAAAATTTAATAAATAAGAAATGTTAAAGTAATACAATTTTAAGGATTCAGGCCAATTTTATGGCCAGAGACATATTTTCAGTGTCTGGTAATACTTAAAACCTTGGCGATTATGGGTCTCAGCCCATCCTAATGTCTGAATTTTCTGGACCTCTTGGGGAAAGAATTAAATGTCAATGCTTCATAAGGATTGAATCCAGAGAAAATGAAATGTATTTGACTTTTTTTTAAGGCCATAGGAATAATACACCATAATCTATGGCTTGTGAAGCCTCTAGTATGCCCATTTAATATTATATGGAATTTCATTTCTGCTGAAGAACACTTAGCCTTATTTTTGTTAGAAAAAAAACTACTATAAAAGTTATCAAATAATTTAAGATGTGCTTGGATACTTTCCAAGTTAGGTAGAGAAAACTGTACTGAGCTCCTCAGAAAAGGTACAAAGACTCAGAGAATGTATGGAATACTTAGAGGGAGATCCTAGTTGAAACAGAGTGCGGAGGGTGCCTGGATTAAACTACATAGGAATGATGTATGTTGCTGAGGAGTGAGATGACAGTCATTGTCATTCCCACATATTTTTATGTGTACAATATATCAAATTAAGTATGGAAGTCACTGAGTGTCCACCCTTGCTTCCAGCAGGCCTTTTTAAAAAGGTTACCTCTGTAGAGATAGCATCTGTAAATACCACTTGAAAATTGTGAGCCCTGCCATCCCAGCATTTCCTACTTCCTTTGTCTGCAGTATATGTATTCATACATATAATTCATGTAATCCATATCAGCATCTGCTAAGTTACACATTTTATTTCTGTGTTTATTTTTATCATATCTTACTAGAGTATGTTTCCAGAAGACAAAGATTAATGGCCACTACATTCACCACTCTCTCTCCAGTATCTAGGAGAATACCTGACACACAGTGGGTTCTAAATAAATAGTTGTTGAATAAATTACTGAAAAAATATGTAAAAAGGGGTCACATTTGGCCATTTATTTTATGAGGCTGTTAACTCTGCTATTCAAAATTTCTTTTGGATAGGGGTACTAAAATACATCTCATGTTATGAGGCTAATACAATGTTGGTTAAAAAGACATTTTAACCTTCAGCATTAAAAAGGAAAATTTCAAAATTTAAAACATGTCTCACGTAAAAAGATGCAAAATCTCCAGGGAATATTAACACACTAGGCCGGCTGCAGTGGCTGATGCCTATAATCCCAGCACTTTGGGAGCCTGAGGTGAGAAAATGGCTTGAGACCAGGAGTCTGAGACCAGCCTGGGCAACATAGTGAGACCCCTCTCCCCAATCTCTACAAAAAAATTTTAAAAATCAGCTGGGCATGGTAGTGTGCACCTGCAGTCCCAGCTACTCAGGAGGCTAACACAGGAGGATTGCTTGAGCCCAGGAGACTGAGGCTGCAGTGAGCTGTGATCATGTTACTGCACTGCAGCCTGGTTAATAGAGTGAGACCTTGTCTTTAAAAAATAAAAAATTAACACACCAACATTAGTAATTAATTTAATTTTATTTAACTTTATTTATTTTTTGAGACAGAATCTCACTCTGTCACCCAGGCTGGAGTGCAGTGGCGCGATCTTGGCTCACTGCAGCCTCCATCTCCCAGGTTCAAGCAATTCTCCTGCCTCAGCCTCCCGAGTAGCTGGGATTACAGGCAAGTGCCACCACGCCCGGCTAATTTTTTGTATTTTTCGTAGAGACGGGGTTTCTCCGTATTAGCCAGGATGGTCTTGATCTCCTGACCTCGTGATCTGCCTGCCTCGGCCTCCCAAAGTGCTGGGATTACAGCCATGAGCCACAGCACCCAGCCAGTAGTTAATTTTTTAAAAGATTAACCATCATTATCAAGGTAGATTTATCCAAGGAATACTAGATGAATTAGTAGATTAAGACAGAAAAATCATACGTCCATCTGGGTAGCTGCAGAAAAGGTTTGACATAAATCAACATTTATTCATGATTTAAAATCAGATGCAGTGTGGGAAGAAAAAGAAGTTCCCCTAACAGATAGAATGTCTTCATAAGCATATAGCAAACATTATACTTAACAATGAAATATTTTAAGTATTGTTAAATTTTGTTTAACATCAGACATAAGGAAGCCTGATACAATAAATTCTCCTTAGCATTGTACTGATGTTTCTATTCACTGCAGTAAAGAGGAAAAAAAATCTATAGACATCTTAGAAGTAATAAGAGAGTTCAGCAATGTAACTGGGAAAAAATATAAAATGTATTATATTTCTGTATAAAACAATAAAAAGAAAAATTTGAAAGATCATAGTATTATCAAAATGTGAAGTACCTTGTATGAAATCACATTTATGGTTTTGAACATCCAACATTAAGATTATAATTTTTTCTCAAATTCATCTATAGATTCAAAGCAATTTCAATCATTCCCGTACATTTTTTGATAAATTTTAATATAATTGTAAAATGTAATGAATAACCAAGATAGTCTTGAAGAAGGCTAAATTGAGGAGATATGCCCTATCTAATATGAATAATTAGTTTTTTTAAAGAGTTTCAATAGTAAAGATAGAAAATGATAGTTTAGCAAGTAAAGGATGCTAAGATAATTAATTATCTATGTGGAAAAATACAATTATACCTTTACGTTATATCATACTATAAAAATCAATCACAAGTGGTCTAGAGAAATAAAAATGAAACTCAAAAGCTTTTAGAATGTAATATAGAAAATTGCTTTCATCACTTTGAAAAAGGAAGCCTTTCTTAAATAAGACATAAAGTTGATAGATTTTACTATTTTAAATTATAAATGCTGATATGGTTTGGTTGTGTTCCCACCCAAATCTCATCTTGAATTGTAGATCCCACAATATACATGTGTTGTGGCAGGGACTGGTGGGAGGTAATTGAATCATGAGGGTGGGTCTTTCCTGTGCTATTCTCTTGATATTGAATAAGTCTCATGAGATCTGATGGTTTTATAAAGGGAAGTTTTCCTGCACAAGTTCTCTTCTCTTGTCTGCAGCCATGTAAGATGTGCCTTTCACCTTCCACCAGGATTGTGAGGCCTTCCCAACCACGTGGAACTGTGAGTCCAGTAAAGCCCTTTCTTTTGTAAATTGTCCTGTCTCTGGTATGTGTTTACCAGCATCATGAAAACAAACTAAAAATTTTTAATACTTTTTGTCATTGACAGCATTTGTATTAGTATAAAAAGATAATTCCCTAGAATGAGAGAAAAAAAAATTTGTTACAGATAGAGCTGGCAAGGAAGTATTATCTAGAATATCTATGTATATATATGCATGTTAATTTATATTAATATTTATGTCTAAGTTTATTTTTATATTTATGTTTATTTTCTCAAAAATTATAATAGAAAGTAATAAAGTAAAAGAATCTAAAATGAAAAGGGACAGAAGATAAACACTTCAAAAAAGAAGCTATATGATTAACCAATACATATATGAAAATTTTTTATTTTACTAGTAATCAGAGAAATAAAAAGAAAAACACAATGAGAAATAAAAACACAAAATTTATATTGGCAAAATTAAAATTTCTGACAATACTTAATCTTGTTAGCCAAGTGCAATAGAGGAAACTTGCATTCTGCACTGTGAGAGTAAATTGGCACAAACACTTTTGAAAGCAGTTTGATATATTGATCCAGAAAATGCACTCCACAATGTTTTCTGTATGTTGTTTGTACAAAAATGATCATAGCAAAAAATTCTGAAAGCAACTCAAATGTTCATTAAGTATGTATTATGAACATATATTTATTTGTACAATGTAATATTATACACCAGTGAAAATTAATGAGCTATAGCTCCTTTTATTAACATAGATGAATTTCACAAACATGATGCGAAGTAAAAATGGTAAATTCCAAAAGGATACATAAAAATGAATATTTATTGAATGAATTAAAGAGTAGAGAAAAAGAAGAAATATTTCTTGTTCAGGAATTTATACAAAGGTGATAAAATTAAAGTATAATTAAAACAGAAGTAGGATTATTTTAAAAATTCAGAATCGAGGCTATTCTGAGGGAGGGTTATTAAAGGTTGTGTTGTTGGGTGTTCATTTATATTTCATATACTTCTCTGTGCATATGATGTTTTTATTATACAATAAAAATTTTTATAAAGGAAACAAAGACAAATCTAAATTTAGAGATTTACTGAAGTCTTAAAGCCAGAAAGTTCTAGAACAGTGCTATAACCCTGATTGGATCAATTCTCTTTAGGTCCACAGAAATACTCCTGCTAAATCTCTACTCTGGCCTTGGAAAACAATCAAATTCTTTACATCTCACCTCTACCTACCCCATCTGTGCTCCTCAGCTGGCACACTTAGCATGTTTCTACTGATGCCCTAGAATGACACTCGGCCTTATCTTAAATAAGAAATCTAGAGAACATCTTGAACTCTTTCTGCTCCTCCACGATGTGACTCCAGAAGTTCTGGATATGTTCCATGGCAGTTGTACAAAATGTACCATAACATAATAAAGTCAGTAATAATGGCTTATGTTTGTTGAGTCTGTATACTATCTTTTTTGCTACTGTCTATACTCAGCAGAAGACCAAATTTTTCCTTTAAAACTACAGTACAAATCATGTTTCTTTGATGTTCATAATGCACCTGTGATTTCCCATTGTACTTAGCATAGAAGCCAAGGTCCTTACACTGGTCCAAAGGTGCTTCCTGATCAGTTTCTTGCTATCTCTCTCACCTGATCCCTTCCTGGGCTCCTGTGGCTCAAACTACTTCAATCTTGGCTTCTAGGCTTCTTTTCCAGCATGTCAGTTCCTCAGCGTTCCTTTGTAATGTTCTGGGATGTTCTTCCCCAGATATCTGCGTGAATGACTTCCGCACTCCTTTATGGTTTTACCCAAATACTAGTTGGCAACAATGCCCTAGCCAGCTCATTTAAAATTACCACTGTGCCCTCCCATAGACTCCCTCCACTATCTCAGCCTCATTCAATATTTGTATTAGCATTTATCACCATCTATACACTTGTATCCATGCATGTGTGTGTATAATTATTTTGTATGTTTACTGTTTTCTGCTGATCTTTACTCCATGAGGCTCCATGAGGCAGGAATTATTCGTTGTTGCTGTTTTTTACTGATTTTTTTCACTAGAGTATCTTTGTCTCCTTTCTTTCTGTTCTGCATTCTGGATTTTTAAAAATATCTATGTTTCAGTTAACTAATACTCTTTTCAATAGTGTCTAATAGATGTTTCACATTTCCATTCATTTACTATGTTCAGGGATGGTCACTTTAATTTTGAGAAGACTTATTTTGTGTTTTTAAAAGCTACCAGGTAAATTGTTGTTATCTTTCTCCTTTTTCATACTATCAATTCCCATTCTTATTTCTTCAAGTCCCTTAAGTATATTTACTTTATATTCTGTGTCTGATAATTTTAACATTTGTATTCTGTGTCTGATAATTTTAACATCAGCAGTATTTTGAGATCTGAACTTGCAGTTTCTTTTTATATACTTTATTCTACTTTATTTTTTTTAAATTGTCACATAAAAATTGTACATTCTATGGGGTACATAGTGATGGTTCAAATACTATATTACCCTGTATAGTGATCAGGGTAACTAGCATATTTATTATGACAGACATTTATCATTTCTTCGTGTTGGGAACATTCAATATCCTCTTTGTAGTTATTTGAAACTATATATTGTTGTTAACTATAATTATCATATACTGGTATATAACAAGAAGATATTTATTCTACCTAGCTATAATTTGTGTCCTTTAACATATCTCTCTGCATCTAATCTTACGGTTTGTGACCATAATAATTCTTCATTGTTTCCTAATTAGCTTCTTCATTTATTTGTATATGTATATATGTATGTATGTATATATGTATGTATGTATCTATTGGTGATCTTCTAGAAGGTCCTTGGTACTTTATGATAGCAACAGGGTTGTGTGTGTGTGTGTGTGTGTGTGTGTGTGTGTGTGTGTGTTGGCTTGAAAGTCTATTGTTCTTAAAAAAAAAAAATTTCTGATTGCTTCTGCCAGTTTCCTAAAGACACTACCAAACGAAGACCTCTTTACACTAACTTTTATATTTCTTTGTGGAGCATGATTTTTTCCCCAATTTACCACTGATATATTGACTTTCAGGAGTCCTAAGTTGGTGAAGGAGACACTAAAAAATATTTCCACTAACTAGAGAACCCTAGGCCTCATCTCCTAAACCTGACATGCTTGGCATATTAAAACCAAGCCTCTGAGCCACCAGGATCAGCTGAATCCCAGGAAAAACACCGACTCTATGACTTGCCTACTTTCTGGCCTCTATGCATTTGTCTTACCTTACTAGTAGCTCAACAATGCATGAAAAAGTTTTAAATGCATTGTATTGGGTGGGGTTCCTCTGAACATCTGTCCTACTATATTGCAGAAAATGAACCCATTGATAGAATTTTAATTAAATTTCGAGGGTGTGCTGAAAATATGCTTCAGTGTAAGGAAACAACGAGCTACTCCCCAAGACACCAAATTTATAAATATCTAAATACCACTCAGTAAATATTGCATTTAAATATATGTTGATTTAACAAATAGAAAATACTTGTTACGGAGATGGCGCGGTGGCTCGTGCCTGTAATCCTAGCACTTTGGGAGGCCAAGGTGGGCGGATTGCCTGAGCTCAGGAGTTCAAGACCAGCCTGGGCAACACGGTGAAACCCCGTCTCTACCAAAATACAAAAGCAATTAGCTTGGCGTGGTGGCATGCACCTATAGTCCCAGCTACTAGGAGGCTGAAGCAGGAGAATAGCTTGAACCAGGGAGCGGAGGTTGCAGTGAGCCGAAATCGCACCACTGCACTCCAGCCTAGGCGACAGAGCAAGACTCCGTCTCTAAAAAAAATAAAAAATAAAAAATAAAATAAAATAAACAAAATACTTGTTATGGATCAGCAAATAAATACATGCAGTTTTTAGTTTACTTTAGAAAAGTCCATTCACTAAAAAAAAGCTTACAATATTTTGTATAAATGGTGTTCATAAAATATATGCATATTCTTATTCTGCTCTCATTCCCTGAGAAGCCATAATTCAATTTTATTGCAATAAGTCATCACAGAATTAAAAATTGCAATTTAAACATTTTTATGCATTAATGAAATATTCTGATGCTATCTTTTTTTAGTCTTGCAAATATTACTTTGAGATTTATGGAAAGACTGCTTTAATTAAAGACAACACTAACATTTAATTTAGAAATCTTTTGTATAAAAATTCATATATTGAAAAGGGATATATAATTATATCTTTATTATTTAAAACACAATTATCAAGTTAAATAATTCTGTTAGATGTACATATTTTAAAGAATATAAGGCCTTTCAAAACATGAGGCAGCATTATTGTAATAGAATCTGTGTATAAAAATTATGATTTTTGTATTATAATCTGTGATCTGATCTTTTTTCATTTCCCTATGTCAGAAGACTATGACAGAAAATTATAAAGTCAGAGAACATTAAACCTAGATGAAACCTCAAAATAATCTAGCTCAACTCCTTAGCTTTAAAAATCAGAAAACACAGATGGAGCTAAATTATTTTTCTTATGACAGTAACTAACTCATTTTAAGACAGGAGTGAAACCTGGGTCTTTCTAGTTAGTAACCAAGGCTCTTTTTCCATTACAACATTCAGATTCATATTTGGCACTTATTGAATAAATGCCTTCTACTCTCGTAGTATTTATTGTCCCTTAAGAGAATGCTATTACTGCCTATCTGGCCTGCTTGTCTGTATATGCTTCCAGTGTACGCCTGTGTCTTTGCACTTGGTAAAAGGGAGGCACTGAGTGGAAGAACAAAATAGCCTTGCATTACTCTTCCCTTATTGTGTATGTATATACAACTACACTACTCTACCTCATTAGGCCCACAGATCTTTGCCATTTATATTTTCAGAAGATCTAAGAATGAGGTACATACTTGATTTCTAGTTATTCTCTCAGTTTTCCCATGCATCTTATCATTAATGTTAAAATTGTTGTTTTCCTTAAATAGTATGTTAAATAAACATAAATCTTCAAAAGTTCTGAGTTTTCATTTCTAAAAATGTAAAAAAAAAAAGGTAACTTAAGGATGAAGACTCAGAATATATTAAAATGTACAAAACTGACCCAACTCTAGTTTTTGGCCAAATCTCTGTACCAAATTAATTTTTCTTTTTCTCTTTTTGTCCTTTCTCTCTCCCCATTACACACAACACACACAAACACACACACACACACACACACACACACACACACACACACACACACAGTACTGTAATTTTCAGTTTGGCTGAAATAAGTAAAATTTGTAGTGAGCTCCTGAGATCTCATCTGATACCATGGCAAATAGCTAAATTGTAATGTTTATTATGTTAGTTTAGGTTTTTTTTTAATTACAGAAATTGATGCTAAGCAACAATTAGAAAACATTCTAATAAACAAGCTTGCTAATCTCAGCACTAGTTATAATTGTTAAAGCAAATTAAAATGGAGACCAGGGCCGGGCAAGGTGGTTCATTCCTATAATCCCAGGACTTTGGGAGGCCAAGGTGGGTGGATCACGAGGTCAGGAGTTCGAGACCAGCCTGGCCAATATTGTGAAACCCTGTCCCTACTTAAAATGCAAAAATTAGCCAGGCTTGGTGGCACGCACCTGTAGTCCCAGCTACTTGAGAGGCTGAGGCAGAAGAATTGCCTGAACCCGGGAGGCTGAGGTTGCAGTGAGCCGAGATCACACCACTGCACTCCAGCCTGGGCGACAGAGCAAGACTCCATCTCAAAAAAAAAAAAAAAACCAGGCCTGAAAAAATCCTGAGCAGATGAAAACATTTAGACTTTAAAGTAGCCTTAACTTTGAAATGCAAATATAAGTGAAACATAACTTAGGCTATTTTTTTTGTAAATGCTTGTTTAGCAAAAAAAAAAAAAAAAAAAAAAAACAAAACTTAAGCTCAACCAATGAGATGCTACTAACCTACAATTTTATAACCAGGAAATTTCCAGCATAATAGAACAAATAAGGCAACTCTGTAACTAATCGATCAGATGTAGTCTTCGTTTTGTTTCTGCCTTCACCTCATAAAAGCCATCCCTTATGCTTTTCAACAGGACCCCACACCATCAGCTGGTTTGGTGCTTACTGACTCACGAATCACTGTTTGCACAAATAAACTCTTTAAATTTTTTATTGTGTCTCAGTCTTACTTTCATTATAATAAACCTATTAACAATCTAAATGTACCAAAATATAAGGCTGGTTAAATGGTATGGTCATCCACATTGTGAGACGCTAAGAATGCAAACTTTGGCATCAGACAGACCAGGTGCAAATCTGGCTAAGTTACTGACAAAGTGGTTCCCCAAATGAGCAGAGTTTGAGAATTACCCATGGAGCTTCTTAAGGATACAGAAGCCTGGAACTGACCTCATAAATTCTAATTCAGTAGGTCTGGGCTGGAGTCAGGCATTGATATGTTTAACAAGCTGCACATGTGGTTTATATAAACACACTGAAGTTTCCAAATTAGTTGGCCTCTAAAAGTCTGTTTCTCATCTATAAAGTGAATGACATATAATACCTATTTATAACATTACTAGAGGGTTATATAAGATAATCTACACAAGGTAATTTAAGAATTTACCTTTCACATGGTAAATGTAGTAAGTATGTAATCTATTCAGATTTTTTGCCAACTGCTGCTATTATTACTATTGTCCCTTCTACTATTGTAACTACCACTTTTAACACTGCTGTAATTATCATCATCATTATTAGATTAGGTTAGATTATCACTATTATATTATTCATTTATGAAATAGTATGCAGTCATTGTATTACATTCCTGCTTTAGAGAAAGACTGAGGCCAATAAATGCTCACAATGTATTTAGTCAGAAGGTAATTATAATTTTCTTTAATTATCCAAGCTGTAAAAAACATAAAATTATATATAAATGCACAGAAAAAAACTGTAAGAATTGCACTGATTATATAGCTAACCTTATCTCTGCATGGAGAATTGTTTCTTTTTCTTCTTTGGGAATTTCTGTATTTCTAAAATTTTCTGGTCTTGCCAAACTAGATTTAAGATTCCAATTGCGTGCTTAATTGACACCCATACAATGAGAGATGCTTTGTATTATGCACTGATGAAGGCCCAGGCTTCAAGAGGACCACAACGGGAAGAACAATGTCCGGTTAAAACAAAGTGGCTTTAATAAAGACTTTCCTGGATTCCCCTCATCCTCATATACAAAAAATTATCAATCTGTTTCATCAAGTAGTTCATTTCTCCCTCCTTTAGAAAATAGTCTGAGCTGGACTTGGGGCCGCATACACTTTCATTGTAGTTCTATCACAAGCTCCGCGCAGGTCTGGCCTCTTCATGAAGCTCTTTTCCTCTTGCTGTCTCCTTACATCCTTCACTGGCTCTTCCTTCCTTTTCTGGCAATACCTGTTGGTAGCAGGCATCTGCCTAACACTTACTCAGTAGTGGATTCTGAAAAAGCTCCTCAACTGTCTCATTGACTTGGTTATAGCCCCTCCTCATTCCTCACTTCAGGTCACCCATCTTTTTATCCAGCATGTCAGCACTGAGGCGAATCAACCATTCTCTGTTTCTTGCAGTCCTGTTTGCTTTCTTGGCTCTCCTCAGTACCCACTCAAGACTGTTTCAAAGAAAAAGCTGTGCAGAGGCCAGTGGTTTACAATTATTTATCTGTGTTGCATGGAATGAAGTGGATGGACTAGACTTGGATATGTAATATCCAAATTTTAGTTTATACACTGGAACCAAAACAGTAATAAAAATAAATTCGATTCAGCTTACTGAAGGACTATCATATATTAAAACCCATATGTGATATTTCACATTCTCTGCTTTTATTTAATAGAGGGTATATGTGGATTATGCTGGCTTATAAAACTGATCTATATGAAACCTAAAGTGGATTGACTAGGTAATTACCATTTACAATAAAAGGTGGAGTAGCAAATGGTTTTTCCGACATGGAAAAATAAACTAATGTCATAAGTCAGGTAATATCCCTCTACTGAGAAATTACCAAACTACAGGAGAGGAAAAAATGTGTGTAACTAAGCATCTAAATGTAGCTATAAAACAGATAGATTTTTGCTATGGGTGATAAAACAACCAGCATTAAATTGTTAAGGAAAAATATTTAAAATATAAGGTACCACATGAAGTGATAAATACATTTCCACAGACTTTTTAGGATTCATCACTAACTGTAGGAGTACTAGGAGCTACTGCTACCAACTACTTATTTTCAGTACATTTTCCCTTATTTCAAAGTTCAACCTGAAGTTTTTTGGACTCAAGATTGTGCTACTTAGATAGAGAGAATGAAAAAAACCAAAATTTGAAAAACTTATTTTGTCCTCCATCATATTACACATCATCTATGCCAAGCAATGGCTATGTCTCTTTCTTCTTTCTCCAAACATAAGAAAAAGCATACCATTTTCTTGCCTTTACCTTTTTTCACAAACCTCTGGTTATTCTAGGATTTCTATTTCCAGACACTATTCTGAGACATCTGTGCCTCTCCTATATTCATCCTAAATTATGCATCTTTTTCTCCATCATTTTTTTCCTACCTACTGTTATTGAATTTAGGCCTGTAGGAGTTGCCTTATTGATGATTTCTAAGATACCATATCCACTCTTTTTTTTTTCTCATTGGTATCATGTGCCAACATCTAATCAGATTTATGTTTTTGACCCTCTTCTTTTTTAAATCCTAGGATATGAAAACATGCTAACCTTTGATTTTACAATGTCTGATGAGCTAAAACAAAAAAAATGCAAAAAAATCTCATAATGTTTTAAGAAAGTTTATGAATTTGTGTTGGGCTGCATTCAAAGCTGTCCTGAGCTGCATACAGCCTGCCACCTGCGGGTTGGACAAGCTTACTATACAGAAATGATGTTTGCTATTGTATACTGAGAGAATGTATCTTTTTCTTCTTTTCTACCTCTTTTCTCTAGAATTTATACTACTTCTTAACTACCTACTTCTTATTCAAAAAGTACAAGAAAGTACAAAGACTATTTAATAAGTACAAGTTTATTTCCATTACAATCTAATAAATTTGACATTTAGAGGAGAAGATACACTTAATAAAATACACTTATAAGGACTGACTAGCTATAAAATTATTGAATTATAGATCCATATCACCTCTGGTACAAAGAAAATAGCAGGATTCATCTACTCACCTTCTGACTGATTGTTCAACTATATATATATATATATATATATATGTGTGTATACATATTTAAAGATCTAATATAATGTAACAGAATTGAAAATGACTAAACCAGTAGTGTTATTAACACAATTGCATTGTTATGCTTTTCTTTAACTATCTGGATGTCTAGCTATGAAATCAATTTATATTCAATCCAACACCAGAAAAAACTAGCTGCCTTACATCAATGTAAATACCTTGTTATGTCAACTTTTATTCTTTATGACTTATGACTGATTTAAGGCTCGGAGAAATATAGGTATGGAATTTAGTTTAATAGCATTTAGGTTTTGTTTTGTTTGTTTTGTTTTTAGATGGAGTCTCACTCTGTCCCCCAAGTTGTAGTGCAGTGGCACGATCTTGGCTCCCTGCAACCTCCACCTCCCAGGTTCAAGCAATTGTCCTGCCTCAGCCTCCCAAGTAGCTGAGACTACAGGAGTGCACCACCACCCCCTGCTAATTTTCGTATTTTTATAGTAGAGACAGGGTTTCATCATGTTGGCCAGGCTGGTCTAAAACTCCTGATTTCAAGTGATCCGCCCGCCCGCCTCGTCCTCCCTAAGTGTTGGGATTACAGGCCTGAGCCACCGCAATTGGCAGCATTTTGTTTTTCATTAGAACTTTACATTTAACGATATCCTGGAAATACAAGAAGGATAACCTACCTCTGTTAAGTGCTGAACTTTCTATCAGAGGTGAACTGAAAGCCTGGAGAAATTAGATTCCAACTAAACTACTAAACTTATTGCATAATCAGAGGCCACCACCTAGGATGCTTTTGGAGAAAACAGACTGAACTTTCCATGGTAGAAAAACGTGGTCTGACTTGCCAGGGCAGTACATTTCAGTTCTTACTAGTCCATTGGCATTGTAAAGAAGAACGAGGTTAATCCTTGCCCTCTGGATATAGTATTGGCTTAGTAGCTGTACAGAACCAGATGACCCATAATCAAAGGCTTTGTTGTATAATTTACAGCAAATGAAATAGAATTCTGCTATCTTTATTTTGTTTTCATAAATCCAGTTCTGAAAAAAATGAATAAAAGGAACAAAGGTTATTATATAATAGCAAACAACTTCTTCCCAAACAGTACAATATGATTAATTTATATCACTTTTAATATGAATTCTTAGAACAGCCAATGAATGCCCTCAAGCCAAAGGCACTAGAATCACCTGTAGTTGAGGAAAGTTAATTTATTAATTTGTTGACAAGACAGTGGAAAGCACACCACTGAAAATAATAAAGTATCTCTCAATGTTACAAATGACTTTTTACAGGATTTGGGCTTGGGTGAGGCGATTTGGAGGAGAGTTCAAGGAAATGGGGCTTTGTACTGTGTTGGATGTTGTCAGGAATTTGAATAATTCTATGATTGTTTATCTTTGTATTTCTTATTTGGAAAGAAAGAATGTGAGACAGAGCTACTGCTGTAATTGGTAAATAGCAGTTACTCATAATTGGCCAGAATAGAGGACTTGATGGTAATTTTCTATAGTTTAGACAATGAACTATTTAGCCTAATCTATAAAAATCACAGGATGACCTAATATGATAATGTCCTGTGAAAATCTTATGTTCAACAGAAGGACATTTGTATTAGTCCGTTTTCAAACTGCTATAAAGCAATGTTGGAATCTGGGTCATTTATAAATGAAAAAGGTTTAATTGACTCACAGTTCCACAAGGCTGGGGAAGCCTCAGGAAACTTACAATCATGGTGGAAGGTGAAGGAGAAGCAGGCACCTTCTTCACAAGGTGGCAGGGGAGAGAAGAGCAGGGGAAACTGTTATTTATAAAACCATCTGATCTGGTGATAATTCACTCACTGTCACGAGAACAGCATGAGGAAAAACACCTGGGATGGTTAATACTGAGTGTCAACTTGATTAGATTGAAGGATGCAAAGTATTGATCCTGGGTGTGTGTGTGTGAGGGTGTTGCCAAAGGAGATTAACATTTGAGTCAGTGGGCTGGGGAAGGCAGACCCACCCTTAATCTGGTGGGCACAATCTAATCAGCTGGGCACAATCTAATCTGGTGGGCACAATCTAATCAGCTGCCAGCAAATATAAAGCAGGCAGAAAAACATGAAAAGGTGAGACTGGCCTAGCCTTTCTCCCATTCTGGATGCTATATATATATATATATATGGAGATATATATATATATATATGGAGATATATATATATATGAAGATATATATATATGGAGATATATATATGGAGAGAGATATATATATGGAGATATATATATATATGGATATATATATATATGGAGATATATATATATGGAGATATATATATATATATGGAGATATATATATATGGAGATATATATATATCTCTCCTATTAGTTCTGTCCCTCTAGGGAATGCTGACTAATACAGATTTTGGTACCAGTAGTGGTTCCAGAGGGACAGAATATTAAGGATGGGGTTCTTTAATTTTGGGGATTCTGGAGTTGGCTGCTTAATATGATTAGATGCAAAAATGCTAAGGACTCTACTTCTAATAGTATGGAGAACACTGACAGTCTTTGGCATGAACTATTTAGAGAGTTATGCAAAATAAATACATTTGACACTCCTGATTCACTGCTTGTGAGAAGCAAGGAGTTTAGTGACTCTATACATAATACCTTTGACCATATGTGGAGAACTAAGGAACATAATGAAGCTAGTTGGTGCTCTTAAGTAGAGTGGACAAAGAGATGAAATAAAATGATGAACTCAGGGATTCTGTCTTCCAGCTTCAGAAGCAGATACTGAGCCTCAAATCTGCTAAGATTGCCCTCAGTGAGTCTTATCTCCTGTAGAGAAAAAGCTGAAGTTGTGGCAAAACAGACACAAGCTCTTATTATGTGAGTGGCTGACCTGCAACAAAAGGTGCATGCACATCCTTGCCTGCTGTCTACTGTTAAAGTGAGGGCACTGATTGAAAAGAATGGGACCCTACGTTCTTGGACTGGGGATGTGTAGGAGGACCCTGATGAAACTGGGGACACTGAGTTTGTAAACTCTGATGAATCCTTTTTGCTAGAAGGAACAGCTTCCCCATCCCCAGTAGTGGCAGTATCCCCTCCCAGACCCATGCTACCATCAGCCTTTCCACCTTTGTCTGAGGACATAAACCCTGTACTGCCTGAGGCAACAGTGCTGGCCTCCCCTGAGGTGGTTGCCAAGCAAACTCATGTTGATTCTCCTCGGAAGCCACTCTCAACATTCCTGTTTGCTTCTAGACCTGTAACTAAACTAAAGTCCCGGCAGACCCCTGGAGGTGAGGTTGACAGTGTGACCTGTGAGGAGGTGTGTTACACTTGAAAAGAACCGCTAGAGTTTTCTAATTTATAAACACAGCAATCTGGAGAACAGGCACAGGAATACATATTAAGGTTATCAGATAATGGCAGAAGGACCACAGAGTTGTATCAAGCTAAATTTATTGATTTGGGTCCACTCAGTAGGGACCCTGCTTTCAGTGGTACAGCTTAGGGCATTAAAAAAGGTTCTAATTGTTTATTGGCTTGGTTAGCTGAAATATGGATTAAAAGATGGCCCACTGTGAATGAGCTGGAAATGCCTGATCTCCCTTGGTTTAACGTAGAGGAAGGGGTACAAAGGCTTAGGGAGATTGCAGTGATGGAGAGGATTAGTCACTTTAGACCTACTCATCCCAGCTGGGAGAGTCCAGAAGATATACCCTTGAGCAATGCCTTGTGAAATAGATTTGTGAGGGTAGCACCTGCATCTTCAAAGAGCCCGGTAATTGCTCTTCTCGGTATGTCAGATCTAACAGTAGGAACCACAATCATTCAGCTACAAAATTTAAATACAGTGGGAATAATTAGATCTTGAGGTGGCAGAGGCCAAGTGGCAGCACTCAGCCTTCACAGGCAAGGTGGGCGTATAATGGACAGCAGAGACAAAGTAGCAGTCAGAATAGTCTGACTTGTGTATAGCTCTGGCATTGGCTAATTAATAACGGTGTTCCTAGAAATGAAATTGGTAGGAAAACTACTGCATTCCTACTTAATTTATATGAGAAGAAAACATCTAGGTCAAATGGACAAAAGACTAATTTGAATGATTAAAACTGAGAATCACGGTCTCTCAATCAATTTCCAGACTTGAGTCACTTTATAGATCCAGAACTCCTTGAATAAAGGGGAGGCTGGGTCCCCTTGAGGAAAGACCCCATTACATTACCAACAATTTATGCAGTGAATCTTTCTTCCATCCTCCTCTAGGACACCTCCAGCCTTTTACCAGGGTAACTGCAATGGGGAAAGAGAAATAATCAGGCACTTCAGACTGATCAGACTGGCTCTGAGCTGATGTTGATTGCAGAGGACCCAAAACATCTTTGTGGTCCTCCAGTCAAAGTAAGGGCTTATGGAGGTCAGGTTAATGGAGTTTTAACTCAGGTCCAACTTACAGTAGGCCCAGTGATTCCCTGGACACATCCTGTGGTCTTTTCCCCAGTGCCAGAATACATAATTGGCATAGACATACTTAGCAGCAGTCAGAAGCCCCACATTGGCTCCCTGACTGGTAAGCTGAGGGCTATTATGGTGGGAAAGGCCAAATAGAAGCCATTAGAGCTGCCTCTACCTAGAAAAATAGTAAATAAAAAACAATATTGCATCCCTGGAGGGATTGCAGAGATTAGTGCCACCACAAAGAACTCGAAAGACTCAAGGGTGGTGATTCCCACCACATCCTTGTTCAACACTCCCATTTGGCCTGTGCAGAAGACAGATGGACCTTGGAGAAAGACAGTGGATTATTGTAAGCTTAACCAAGTGGTAACTCCAATTGCAGCTCTTGTACCAGATATGGTTTCATTGCTTGTGCAAATTAACACATCTTCTGATACCTCGTATGCAGCCATTGACTTGGCAAAAGCCTTTTTCTCCATTCCTGTCTATAAGGCCCACCAGAAGCAATTTATCTTCAGCTGGCAAGCCCAGCAATATACCTTTACTGTCCTACCTCAAGGGTATATTATCTCTCCCGCTTTGTGTCATAATCTTATTCGGAGAGCCTTGATCACTTTTTGCTTCCACAGGATATCACACTGGTCCATTACATTGATGACATTAGGCTGATTGGATCCAGTGAGCAAGAAGTAGCAAAAACATCGGAGTTATTGGTGAGACTTTCGTGCCAGAGGATGGGAAATAAATCTGATTAAAATTCATGGAACTACTATCTTAGTAAAATTTCTAGGGGTCCAGTAGTGTGGGGCCTGTCAAGATATTTCTTCTAAGGTGAAGGATAAGTTGCTGCATTTGCCCCCTCCTACAACCAAGAAAGAGGCACTATGCCTACTGGGCCTATTTGGATTTTGGCAGCAACACATTCCTCATTTGGGTGTGTTACTCTGGCCCATTTACCAAGTGACCTGAAAGGCTGCCAGTTTTGAGTGGGGTCCAGAAGAGAAGAAGGTTCTGTGACAGGTTGAGGCTGCTGTGCAAGCTGTTCTGTCACTTGGGCCATATGACCCAGCAGATCCAATGGTGCTTGAGGTGTCAGTGGCAGATAGGGATGCTCTTTGGAGCCTTTGGCAGGCTCCCTTAGGTAAATCACAGTGGAGGCCCCTAGGATTTTGGAGCAACACCCTGCCATCTTCTACAGATAACTACTCTTTGGTGGAAACTAAACGTTTGATCATGGGTCATCTAGTCATGATGCAACCTAAACTGGCTATCATGAATAGGTTGCTTCCTGACATGTCTAGTCATAAAGTGAGTCATGCACAGCAGCATTCATTCCATCATCAAATGGAAATGGTATATATGTGATCGGGCTTGAGAAGGTCCTGAAGGCACAAGTAAGTTACATAAGAAAGTGACTCAAATACCCATAGTCTCCACCCCTACCACCCTGCCTTCTCTTCCGCAGCCTGCACCGATGGCCTCAGGGGGAGTTCCCTATTATCAGTTGACAGAGGAAGAGAAAACTAGGGCCTGGTTCACAGACTGTTCTGCACGATATGTAGGCACCGCCTGAAAATGCGCAGCTGCAGCATTACAGCCCCTTTCTAGGACATCCCTGAAGGACAGCAGTGAAGGGAAATCTTCGCAGTGGGCCGCACTTCCAGCAGTGCACCTGGTTGTGCACTTTGCATGGTAGGAGAAATGGCCAGATGTGCGATTATATATTGATTCATGGGGCTGTAGCCAATGGTTTGGCTGGATCATCAGGGACCTGGAAGAAGCGTGATTGGAAAATTGGTGACAAAGAACTTTAGGGAAGAGGTATGTAGATGGACCTCTCTGAGAGGTCAAAAACTGTGAAGATACCTGTATCCTATGTGAGTGCTCACCAACGGATGAGCTCAACAGAGGAGGATTTTAATAATCAAGTGGATAGGATGACCTGTTTTGTGGATATCAGTCAGCCTCTTTCCCCAGCCACTCCTGTCATCACCCAATGGGCTCATGAGCAAAGTGGCCATGGTGGCAGGGATGGAGGTTATGCATGGGCTCTGCAACATGGACTTCCACTCACCAAGGCTGACCTGGCTACGGCCACTGCTGAGTGCCCAATTTACCATCAGCAGAGACCAACACTGAGCCCTTGCTATGGCACCATTCCTCAGGGTGATCAGCCAGCTACCTGGTGGCAGGTTCATTATATGCAACCTCTTCCATCATGGAAAGGGCACAGGTTTGTCCTCACTGGAATAGACACTCTGGATATGGGTTTGTCTATCCTGCAAGCAATGCTTCTGCCAGGACTACCATCTGTGGACTCATGAAATGCCTTATCCACCATCATGGTATCCACACAGCATTGCCTCTAACCAAGGCACTCACTTTATGGCTAAAGACATGTGGCAGGGGGGCTCATGCTCATGGATTTCACTGGTCTTACCATATTCCCCAACAACCTGAAGCAGCTGGATTGATAGAATGGTGGAATGGCCTTTTGAAGTCACAATTACAATGCCAACTAAGTGGAAATACTTTGCACAGCTGGGGAAAAGTTCTCCAGAAGGCCGAATAAGCTCTAAATCAGTGTCCAATATATGGTACTGTTTCTCCCATAGCCAGGATTTATGGGTCCAGGAATAAAGGGGTGGAAGTGGAGGTGGCACCACTTAACATCACCCCTAGTGATCCACTAGCAAAAATTGTGCTTCCTGTTCCCACGACATTACATTTTGCTTGCCTAGAGGTCTTAGTTCAGGAGACACAACAACGATTACATTAAACTGGAAGTTAAGATTGCCACCTGGGCAATTTGGGCTCCTCCTACCTTTAAGTTAACAGGCTAAGAAGGGAGTTACAGTGTTGGCTGGGTAATTGACCTGGACTATCAAGATGAACTCAGTCTACTACTCCACAATGGAGGTAAGGAAGTGTATGTGTGAAATACAAGAGATCCATTAGGGCATCTTTTAGTATTACCATGCCCTATGTTTAAGGTCAATGGGACACAACAGCCCAATCCAGGCAGGACTAAAAATAACCCATATCCCTCAGGACTGAAGGTTTGGGTCACTCCACCAGGAAGTAAAACCACAGCCTGCCGGGGTGCTTGCTGAAGCCAAAGGAAATACAGAATGGGTAGTAAAAGAAGGTAGTCATCAATACCAGCTACGATGATGTCACCAGCTGCAGAAATGAGGACCGTAATTGTCATGAGTATTTCCTATTTCTTTCGTTAAAAACATGTTTGTGCATGGATACTCTTGTACTTAAAAAAAAAAATCTTCATTTTATTTCCTTTTCCTTTATCATGTGACATAAGATTTATTGACTTGATATTAGCATTTAAGTATTGTTAACTTTATGTAACAGTATTTGGGTTGGGGATTGGTGCGTTTCCGGTTGTACAGAGGACAGTTGTATTATGTTAGGCATGACTATGACCTTATTTTTGTCTGTATTTGAAGATTATATATGATCTCAGGAGATGGGTATGGCTTCAAGTTGACAAGGGGTAGACTTGATGGTTATACTGAATATCAACTTGATTAAATTGAAGGATACAAAGTATGGATCCTGGGTGTGTCTGTGAGGGTGTTGCCAAAATAGATTAAAATTTGAGTCAGTAGGTTGGGGAAGGTAGACCCACCCTTAATCCGGTGGGCATAATCTAATCAGCTGCCAGCAAATATAAAGCAGGCAGAAAAATGTGAAAAGGAGAGACTAGCCTAGTCTCCCAGCCTACATCTTTCTCCCATGCTGGATGCTTCTTGCGCTCAAACATTGGACTCCATGTTCTTCAGTTTTGAGATTCGGACTGTCTCTCCTTGCTCCTCAAGCTTGCAGACAGCAGATTGTGGGAACTTGTGATCATGTAAGTTAATACTTAATAAACTCCTATATATATATATATATATATATATATATATATATATATATATATATATAGACACACACACACATACACACACACACACACACACACATACACACATACATACATATGATAAGGATATATATATCCTCCATACAGGATATATATATATATATATCCTCCATACAGGATATATATATATATATATATATCCTCCATACAGGATATATATATATATATATCCTCCATACAGGATATATATATATATATATATATATATATATCCTCCATACAGGAGATATATATATATATATATATATATATATATATATATATCCTCCATACAGGAGATATATATATATATATATATATATATATATATATATATATATATATTAGTTCTGTCCCTCTAGGGGACACTTCCCCTATTATCCAATGGCTATTTCACCAGGTTCCTCCCTGGACACCTGGGGATTACAATTCAAGATGAGATTTGGGTGGGGACACAGAGCCAAACTATATCAACATTGAAGTTCTGGGTCAGCTCCTAGCAACACCAAGGCCTATCTGATAATGCCTGGACATCTCTCAGATATCACAGGTGGGCTGCTTTTCTATTACTTCAAACATCTTTAGAGCTCATAAAAATTTTTTCAGATATACTACATTTATATAATACAATAATAAAACTCCAAATCAATTCATTCATTAATTATAATGTTACTTTTTGCCAAGCCTAATGATAATTGTTTGATTAAAGCAAGGCAAGCAAGAAGGAAAGGAAGAAGAAAAGAAAGACAAAGGAGTAGGAGCAGAGGAAGAAGAAGAAGAAGAAGAACAGCAGGCTGGGCTTGTTGGCTCACGCCTGTAATCCCAGCACTTTGGGAGGCCAAGATGGGCAGATCACCTGAGGTCAGGAGTTTGAAACCAGCCTGGCCAACATGGTGAAACCCGTCTTTGCTAAAAATACAAAAATTAGCTGGTCGTGGTGGTGGATGCCTGTAATCCCAGCTACTTGGGAGGCTGAGGCAGGAGAATCACTTGAACCAGGGAGGCAGAGGTTGCAGCGAGTGGAGATCATGCCATTGCACTCCAGCCTGGGCAACAAGAGCGAAACTCCATCTCAAAAAAAAAAAAAAAAAAGAAAAAGAAGAAGATCAGCAGCAGCAGCAGTAACAACAAGGGTGGCTTTCTAGGAAATATAAAGGAGATGTGAGGAGTTTTCTGAGATTACTCCCAGTAATTCTTTGAATGTGGGCTTGACCCTGTGATTTGCTTCTAATGAACATAACATGACAAATATGATAAGAGGTCAATGTTAAGGTTAAATTATAAAAGACTTACTTCCATCCTGCTTACTCTCTCTTTCTTGGGTTGGATTTGCTTTCTTTGATGAAGCAAGCTTCTGTATGGAGAGGCCCAGAGAGCAGGAACCATGGGAAGCCTCCAACCAACAGCCAGCATGGAACCGAAACACTCAGTTCATCAGCCATGAGAAACAGAATCTTGCCAGCAACGACATGAGTGAACTGGGAAGCATATCACCCACTCCTCAAGCTTTGCGATAATTGTAGCCCTGGCTAACCTCTTGGTTCTGGACTTAAAAAAACCTTGAGATAGAAGACTCAACTAAACTACACCCAGATTCCTATCCATAGTAATAATGGTTGTTTTACACTAGTAAGATTTGAGACAATTTGTTACAGAGCAACTGATCACTCATACAGGAGATAAGGGCCAGGACAAAAGTGAGGTGAGTGAGGTATTTAGAACACACATTTTAAGAAAGCACTTGTAATCTTAAGGCTTTTCAATTTCTTCATTCTCCAGCTCCTGGTTTGGCTCTTCAGGAGATACCACTATATTCAAAACTGAAGCATTAAGGTGAAATTGCAGGAGAAGGGACAAGAGCTTTGATTATGGATCTACTAAACTACTATATATCACACCTATTTTGTGATAGCTCAATTCTGCTACTATTTAATGCCCAAATTACAATAAGTACTCTGGGAACTCAGCTAAAAGTGAAAACTAGTCAGAAAAAAACAGGAAATACAAGCACTATACACACCACTATACACACCCGTATTTAGGGAAATTTAGAAAATTATATTGTTAGGATAGAAAACAGAAGGCAGAAGAGTGATTTGTTACTTAAATGTTTTGAAATATCTGTTATAGGAAGGTAATAACTTATCTGCACTCATTTTGCAAACTAATCTCCCTAAATCCTCAGCAGGAAGTAGACAAAGAAAGGATAAATGCACCAACATAAAATATAAATACACTGTAAGGCACAGCAGGAGCTATGTGAATGAATGAGTCATTTAAGCTGAACCTTGTGTGTGCCAAAAGCCAAGTTGTGAAATAAACAGTTTTTAAGAACTTCAATTTAAAAGTAAATTATGTTCAAATACCAGATCAGGAAATATTGGTGAGGTCAAAGAAAAGTGAAAAGATAGAAAGATTTTATAATAATTTAATAAAAGCTAATTTTGATTGTAAGCATTTTAAGGACAAAAACTAATGATTGCTTTTATAGTATATCAAGAAAATATATGCCATTATTAAGCAGGCTAAAAAGTTTATTAATTAAAATTCAAATCATAGAAAATTTGAGAAATCTTAGTCCAGTTGTTCTTCAATTTTAATGTGCATATGAATCACTTAGGGATCTTGTTAAAAAGTAGATTCTAATCTAGTAATTCCAAGGTGGTGTTTATGACTCTGCATTTCTAACAAGGTTCCAAATAATATAGTTAGAACAAGCTTCCAGGTGATCACACTTTGAGTTAAAAGGTCTTAAGATAATGTGCTTCTAAGTGTGGTCCCCAAACAAACATTACCACTATCACCTGCAAACTTATTAATAATGCAAATTCTCCAGCCTCACCATAGACTACTGAATTAGAAATTCTGGAGATAGTAACCAGCAGTTTGCGATCTTTCAGTCTCCAGGTGATTCTGAGACATGTGAAAGTTTGAGTACCACTGTCGAAAAATATAGTGTTTCTGAACCAGTGGTACAAATCAGAAACCCCTGTGGAATTTTAGGAAAATGTACCTGCTCAATCCCCAGTTCTGAAGAGTCTGATTAAGTTATTCAGAGAAGGAATCAGGAAAAATGTCTAAAAAGTTTCCTTGGCACAAAAGGGAGTGACAAATGAAAATATGTTGAGAAGCACTGCTCTAAAGAGAGGAGAAACCAATTGCAGAGAAGTTCAATTACTTGCCCAAGATTTGAAAACCAGAAATAAAAGTCTATCCTAATTCTAATACCCATTCTTTTTCCTGGCATTTCAAGATGGTACTAGGAGGATTTAAAATAATCCAAGGTGCTGTCTCTTTCATGGAATGGATGTGCTCCCAGCCTGCTGTTATCCTTGTTGGGATGAAGAAACCATCACCTATTCTGAAGTGTTTTCTGTGATGCAGCTATTCAGAGGCCTGCATTAGTCAAATAATTACATTTTCTTTCAGGAGTTTCACACAGAAATTACAACACAGAAACTGAAGAATTGCTTGAAGCAGAACTGTGATAGATAGCTGGGTAAGGCTCTGAAAGCATGGTGAATATGTTACAGAAAACACTTGCTGAGATCACTAGTGCATAGGTATTATAAATAAGTAATAGTGTCTTAAAGGCTGTTTCTTGAGTTTTTATAAGGTGTTTGTAAAATAGGTTTTAATAGAATTGATAGTTTATTTACTTATAATTTCTATGTTTTATAACTTTTCCAATTAAATACTTTTTCCTCCAGCCTACATCTTCTTTTACTATATAATAAAAAACTGTGCCTTAAAAAAAACCTCTCATTATTAGAATAGAGAGCATGTTACCAAGTGTTTATTACTTGTATGTCTTACACATGTGCTCTTAGAGAATTCAAGTATTAGAAGTACTTAATAATACTGAGAACTCCTCTGGGATTCAATTCCAATGGGTGTCTCTGTGTCCTCCAGGGAGATGTGAAGAGGATTTTACATCTCCCTGGAGGACACAGAGACACCTATTGAAAATGGAATTGGGACACACCTGTGGGGGTGTCTAAGTCCATTCATGCACAATCGTTCTGAATTTGAATGATGCTGCTCCATTAAATGACTTTGAAGATAGGTGGAGAGATTTTGATTTTTACCATGCCTAATGACATTTAGTGGATAAAGGCAGGAAGACTATGCTGCAGTAAGAGTTTCCAAATGAACAAGGATTCCACCCAAAATGGCAGCCCTTTGATAAACACTTAACATTCCTTGAAATGGAAGGAGAAAATGCCCTCGGGCATATGAAACTCACTGTGAATCGACAGAGGTCATGCTGTATCAGGGAACAACAGCAGATGGAGGCAGCTAAGTGCATGCCCATCTGGGCTTCGAAAAAAATCATTAAAGGGTCCTGTTTGTTGAAAAAACGCACTGCTCTTACAATGCTCAGCAGGAAAAAGCAACATGCACTCTGGTACTGATGCTGAAAAGCATCTCCAGTTGAAGAAAGGAGGACAGAAGTCTGAAAGTTAAACAAGACACAATAGACAGGAAAGAATGTATCCAAAATGAAATCCTGATATGGAGGGTAATGGCATGATTTGTGGTCAGGGAGTATGGGGAAGAAAGACAATTGCAATAAATATAATCCAGGTATGCTTCTCTTTGGCTGTCTTGTTTAATTTGGGGCAACTTATGCTTTGTGGAAAAGGAGTTCGCAGAGGTGGGCATGGTAATCACACTGGTCATCATTTTCTAAATTAGAAATAACTTTGTCCTGTCACACTTGCATGAACAGAAGTTCCAAGTATTGCAACTGGGCAGGCATTATTTGTGCTTTAATAAAAGTTTCTCAGATAAATCTGAAACTCCTCCTTGGCTAAGTAGCACCATCCTAGAAAAATGTATGGATAGCGTATTTTAAGTCCTCCATAAAATATTCATTTTCTCTGCCCAGATTGCGATGATATGGGGTGCTGCATTTCTGTTTATACTTCTCAGAAAGAGTCTGGTATACAGCTATGCTGTCACACAGGGTAGTGTTTAATTAAAGTTTTGAATGAAATAATAACATAATCTTTCTGCTATTTTGCTTACTGAGCAGCAACAAAAATAAGGAATATTCCCCCTCTAATCTTGTGAAAGGTTTCTGGGAGTCCAGAAGAATCTTTAATATTATAGATTCAACAACAACAAAAAAACTTAGTCCTTAAATTTCTGACTTGGATACAGATGGGGGTGGGTGGATGGGGGGAGTGGGGAGAGAGAGAGAGAGATAGAGAAAGTAGCCATAAAAAGATAATTTAATATATCCTGGGCAACAATGACAACAACACAAGTCTAATCATATCTCTATAGGCATTTTTCCCCTTCATCCATACTTTGGTACCCAGCTGAAGAATTGTGAGGTGTTATTTACGAGGTAAGGAGACTCTCAGCCCTATTCTATTAAATGAGATTTCTCATGCAGTCTGTAAGACATGCAGACGGATGCTCAGTGACACCTGGCAGAACATCTATTCCATCTGATTGGTGCTTCACACATTTTTTATATTTGAAAAGTGTTGTGCTAATTGTTATTTAATGTGATATTAAAAATATTCATGTGAAATGAGTCTGGGGATCCTAAAGGGGATCAATTATAAACTAATTACTTTGACATGTGCTTCCTTCTCCCTAGAGTGGACTATATTCACTTCTAAAGGAAGTCCATAGATGACTAAATATTTGAAAGGCGTAGTCCCTGAAATAATTTTCATCTGCTCTGAATGACTAGACTAGATTATATAGTCAGCAAAAGGAGGCTTGAAATCCCGCAAATCCAGACCTCAAATGTTTAATTATTATATTTCTCTCCACACATATTTCTAGTTATTTTCAATATTTGGTCATAATAGTTTTACATCTAAAGAATAGGTTTTATACACAAAAACATCCATGTGATAGTTTTAGGCATAGAGGGACTGTACAACAGACATTGATGATAGATAGATGGATTTACAGATACATAGGTGTAAATAGATGTATAGATGAGTGGATGGATAGATAGATATGAACATTACTGAATTATCTCTACACAGACCATAAAGATAGTAAAACTACTCTTCACCTAGAATGAGTGACAATAAATATTCTACCCATTGTGTCCCCTTTTAATGTGCTTCTCCTGGTATAAAGAGCTCTTGTTAATATTATCAAATGGAAAAATGGGAAATGTCATTGTCAGTGGATAGCTTAGGGACCCTTTCTAGTAGGCCCATGTATAGACTTTTCGTGTGTGTTTTGTGAGGATGTAGAAGGGCAGGATAGGAGCAGGCTCATGTCCAGCAACTGCCCCTGACTGGATGAATAATTTCAAGTAAAATGGAAGGAGTAGAGAGGCCATTTTATACCTCAAAGTGAATCTGTTCTGTAATTCAGTTTCACTAGTAATACAGCTGATAGTTTTATTCTTATCTTTTTCTAATGTCTGTTTTTAATTACTTTAATATTTGAAGGAGAGGAAGGTGACAAATTTCCTCTGAGTATCTCTCATAAAAAAAATTTCTTAAAAATAGATTATGATCCTATTTCCAGTTAGGAATCAAAAAGATTGTTAATACAACAAGTTCAGCACTGATGGTCTATCATTTCAATCTCTCAGGTAGAAATACAATTTATATAATCAGTGTGTCAAGGTCTCTTGAATTTGTCCTACTTTTAAATTAAATTCATTTTGACCTGAGTCTGCCTCCATAACTTGAGTCCCTACATAACCAAATGCAAAATAACTTAGTATGTAAACATTCTGAAAGCCTGATGTAAGAGTTTACTTTGTAACAAATAGCTAAGTTACAGCCAATCATAGCAGCCAAGAGCTTCAGCCAATCACAGGCTGCCAACCAATCAGACTATGTCCAAAAAAGGCAAATGCAGAGCTGTAACCAATGAAGCTTTTTCTGTACTGTCATTTCTGTTTTCTCTCTGTAAATACTCCCTGCCCACATTGTGGAGTGGAGCTCTCTAAACCTCCACTGGTTCTGGGTGCTTTCCAATTCATGAATTGTTCTTATCTCAGTTAAACTTTGTTAAATTTAGTTTGTCTAAAGTCTTTCTTTTAATGCCATCAACCATTTGTCTCTATGCATTTTTAATATCTTTTCTGATTAACTTTTTTTTTTTTTTTGAGACAGAGTCTTGCTCTGTTGCCCAGGCCAGAGTGCAGTGGTGTGACCTCCACTCACTGCAAGCTCCACCTCCTGGGTTTATACCATTCTCCTGCCTCAGCCTCCTGAGTAGCTGGGACTACAGGTGCCCGCCACCATGCCTGGCTAATTTATTTTTGTATTTTTAGTAGAGACAGAGTTTCACCATGTTAGCCAGGATGTTCTCAATCTCCTGACCTCGTGACCCACCCACCTCGGCCTCCCAAAGTGCTGGGACCACAGGCGTGAGCCACCACACCCAGCCTCTTTGTTGATTGACTTTTTAACTTCTTTATTCACTGGCTGTAGAGTTATTGACTGGATCTGAATCCTATTAATGAGGAATTTGAAAAGTACATACTTTTCAAATTGTAGGGTGATTTGAATTTTTATACAAATGAGAGAAAAGTCCTTTAAATTGTTGTATACCTCCTGAATTTATCTCTACTGGCTGCCAAAAAAAAATTAAAATTTTCTCAGAAATTCTCCAACTTTATGCTTCTTTTCTATTTCTTATGAGCTAAATTTGAGAAAACCAAGAACTAGAAATCATAGTGTAGTAGAGAAGGAATAAACTGGAACTAATAGATGTGTGTAAAGACCTGACTTTGCTATTTACTAGATCTTTATCTCTGAGTATAATTAATCTATCTATCCTCAGTTTTTTAATTTATAAAGTGGGAATGATAATATGTACACTCAAGGTTGTTGCTCAAATTAAACAGAAGATATTTCTCTCATTTTTTGCTTGTTAATATTTTCATATTCCTAAATCTATAGACAATATCTCTAATATTTCACATATTAGGTATTAAATAATTCTTAGAGTGGATTTTCAGCTTACAACAATTATCTTTTCTCTGGTGATGGATTCATACCACAAGAATTACCCCCAAATAACATGTCTTTATTTTATATCTCTGAACCATTGGCCATAGCTTATTAATAATAAGCCAATTATTTCTTTACCTTAGGACTTTGAAACTGACAGTCAGTAGAGTGAGTTGTGTTGATGCCAGGACCTGAAAAATAATATGAGATCCCTGAAGCTAACTCAGTACATGCCCTTCCTGAAACCTGGACATGCACTAATCATGAGCATCTGGGATTCAATAGAGCAGAGTGGATAACAGCAAAGGACCAAGAATTGGGTTGGCTAAGTTTGAATCAGATCTGTTGTTTATTAACTGGTATCCTCAGAAAGATTATATAACTCCTGATTGCAACAGTTTATTCATCTATAAAAGACATATGATAGCTGCCTTTACTTTATAGAGTCCATAGGATAATGAAATATGGTAATTATGTAAACAACTTAGAATGGTGCTTGTAACACAGTGGACACCTGACAAGTGGCAGCTGTTACTGGGAATCTGAGGGGTGTTCCTTCCAATTAACAGCCTGCACTTTTGTATTTGTTCCATATTAAACCATAATGGTTTTTGGTTGTTTATAACCAAATCAACTTTAACTAATAGTCTGGAGGAGGCTGCCTTTGGTGTTTTATTCAAGCCAATTCAGCTCACTCTCCTTATATATGTTTACTATCAAAACCAAATTCCCATGCAGCTAAGAAAGACTTTACAACAGGAGTCAACTGGCTTCAAATGAGTAACTTTGTTCTCATTCCTTATCAATTCAAAATGATAAATTTAGTTTTTAAGATAAATGACATTTTTTCATAAATGAGCAAATATTTTGTAATTTCTAAAATATATAAGGCTATATTTTACAAATCACAAAATATAAATTATAAATATTTTATAAATAAATCCACTTATTAATAACAATAATATGGACATTATTTATTGAGTGCTTATGTGTCAAACTCTTGTAGGTTCTGAGGATACAGTAGGGAGGAAAAAGATCTCTGCCCCCATTTGGCTTGCATCTTAGTGGAAAGAAAATAAATAAACAAATATTGTTTATTTACTATGATTTCAGGTAATGAGAATGCCAGGCAATGAAGAAAACTAAAGCAGGGTAGAAAGCAATGCTTAGCTACTAGTTCCATTAAGGGAGTTAGAAAGGCTTTTTTGAAGAGGTGCCATTAGAATAGCAATATTGTACTGAGGTAAGTATCAATAAGCCTTGTTTTACAGATGAGGAATCTGACATTTTTTTGCCACAGATCACTCAGCTAGTAGGTAGACAGATCAGGCACTGAGCTCAGGCAGTCTAAATCCAGTTGGCCTTGGGCCTATTAAAAACTCTCTATTTTTCAGTGAGAAAAGAATCAAGATCATATTAAGGTCATTTTATTTTTATTTGCTATGTAGTTTTTGCACCATATACTTTTCCTATTCTTCTGTGTCCATTTTCCATTTGGGGTCTGGTACATTTTTTGTATGTGTACATAACCTAGAACAAAATACCACTCTTCAGTTGAGCTTGCTAGTTTGGCTGGGCAATTAATTTCACCATGCCCTCATTTTATGCTCTTTTTCTTTTAATACATTATAAATAACTGAGCAGCATGTGTAAAGGGCAGCTATACAAATGACCAAATAATTTGGCACACTTGCTGAGTCCTTTGACTTCAGAAGTTTTTAATGTATAATATATTAAACCAGTCAAGGTTCAAACCAGTCACCAATTAAAAGGTCCTCTATCTAGCTCAACAAGAAATAGCTCTGGCTTTTCCAAACTTTTACGTTAGAACAAAAAGGGAAATATATTAACTCATCAAAAAGCTAGTTGTTTAATTTTGATAGGTAGCATTTCAACAAAAATATGGATTTTATTCCTTTTTATAAAATGTATTCTTCTGTAAAATTTGGCACTGTGAATTACTGTAATGAAGGTTAAGGTGATATTGGGGGATTGGGCTGAAGGACTATGTTGCTTGTTGAAATGCTTTCAGTTTCTGAAAGGCAGCTGAGTCTACTTGGTAGAGTATTGTTTTGCTTTCTTAAGTTAGTGCAGGTAAAATTAGTAATTACCAAGAGATCCCCATAAAAGTACTCTATATGCCTGGATTTTTTAAATCCCTCATCACAATGGACCTCTTTAATATGTTTCTACATTAGAGCCCTTGACTTTGGCTTCAAGATGTATCTACCTAATGTGATATTAATAACAGGAAGAAATAAGGATATCTTTCTCTAATTCAGCATTTATTACAAGTTAAGGGGTTACTCTCTAAAAACTCAACAGATAAGTATGTATTAGCCCTAGCTGAAGAAATTTACACATAGAGTTTAAATAATTTTTCCAAGCTCACACCACTAGTAAGTATCAGAGTTAGGATTGGGAAGGAGGCTTGCTGTTTGTCCAACTTCATCCTCTTTCTCCTAGATAGTAGTTACAAATGCTTTGTGTATTCTTCTTAGCTAACATTTGCATGTTGCAGTAGCTGAGAATTGATTCTGTGAAGGCAGGCAAACCTGAGTTAAGCTAGAGGCTTTTAAAATTAGTCACTTAGCTTCTATAAATCTGTTTCTTTATCTATAAAATAAGGACAGTATTTGTGCCTACCTCAAAATATGGCTGTGTATTAGTTCATTCTCATGCTGCTATAAGGACATACCTGAGATTGGGTAATTTACAAAGGAAAGAGGTTTAATGGACTCACAGTTCCACATGGCTGGCAAGGCCTCACAATCATGGCAGAAGGTGCAGGAGGAGCAAAGGCACATCTTACATGGCAGCAGGCAAGAGAGCATGTGCAGGGGAACCACCCTTTATAAAATCATCAGCTCTCATGAGCCTTATTCACTATCACAAGAACAGCATGGGAAAAATCTACCCTCATGATTCAATTAACTCCTGCCAAGTCCCTCCCATGACACTTGGGGATTATGGGGGCTACAATTCAAGATGAGGTTTGGGTAGGGACACAGAGCCAAACCATATTAATTCACCCATGGCCCCTCCAAAATTTCATGTGTTTTCACATTTCAAAGCTAATCATGCCTTCCCAACAGTCCCCAAAAGTCTTAACTCATTTCAGCATTAACTCAAAAGTCCATAGTCCAAAGTCTCATCCGAGGTGAGGCAAGTCCCTTCCACCTATGAGCCTGTAAAATCAAAAGCAAATTAGTTGCTTCCTAGACACAATGAAGGTACAGGTATTGGGTCAATACACCTGTTCCCCATGGGGTAAATTGGCCAGAACAAAGGAACTACAGGTCCAATGCAAGTCCAAAATCCAACAGGGCAGTCATTAAACCTTAAAGTTTCAAAGTATTCTCCTTTGACTCCATGTCTCACATCCGAGTTATGCTGATGTAAGAGGTGGGCTCCCACAGCATTGGCAGCTCTGCACCTGTGGCTTTGCAGGGTATAACCCCCTTCCTGGTTGCTTTCATCGGTTGGCATTGAGTGTCTGCAGCTTTCCCAGGCACACAGTGCAAGCTGTCTGTGGGTCTACCATTCTGGGTCTGGAGGACTGTGTCCCTCTTTTTACAGCTCCACTGGGCAATGCCCAAGTGGGGACTCTGTGTGGCAGCTCCAACCCCACATTTCCCATCTGCACTGCCCTCTAAGTGTTTCTTCTGCCTGGACAGAAGAGGGCACCACCCCTGCAGCAGACTTCTGCCTGGACATCAAGGCATTTCTGTCCTTGATGAAACCTAGGCAGAGGTTCCCAAACCTCAATTTGTGTCTTCTGTGTACCTGCAGACCCAACATCATGTGTAACCTGCCCAGGCTTGAGGCTTGCACCCTCTGAAACAACAGCCTGAGCTGTACATTGGCCCCTTTTAGCCAGAGTTGGAACTGAAGCAGCTGGGATGCAGGGCACCATGTCCCGAGGCTGCATAGAGCAGGGGGTCCCTGGGTCCAGCCCACAAAACCATTTTTTCCTGCTAGGCCTTTGGGCTTGTGATGGGAAGGGCTGTAGCAAAGGTCTCTGACATGCCTGGAGATATTTTCCCCATTGTCTTGGTGAATAACATTCAGCTTCTTGTTATTTATGCACATTTCTGAAGCAGGCTTGAATTTCTCCATGTAAAGTGGGGTACTCTCTTTTATTGCATCATCAGGCTGCCAATCTTCCAAACTGTTATGCTCTGCTTCCTCTTGAATGCTTTGCCACTTAGAAATTTCTTCTGCCAGATATCATCCTAAATAATCTCTCAAGTTCAAAGTTCCACAGATCCCTAGGGCATGGGCAAAATGCCAACAGTCTCCTTGCATAGAAAGAATGACCTTTACTTTAGTTACCAATAAGTTCCTCATCTCCATCTGAGACCACCTCAGCCAGGACTTCATTGTTGATATTACTAGCAGCATTTTGGTCAAAGTCATTCCACAAGCATCTGGAAAGTTCCAAATTTTCCCACATCTTCCTGTCCTCTTGAGCCCTTCAAACTGTTCCAACTTCTGCCTGTTACCCAGTTCCAAAGTCACTTCCACATTTTCAGGTATGTTTACAGCAGCACCCCACTGTACTGGTACCAATTTATTGTATCAGTTCGTTCTCACACTGCTGTAAGGACATACCTGAGACTGGGTAATTTATAAAGGAAAGAGGTTAAATGGACTCACAGTTCCACATGGCTGGGGATGCCTCACAATCATGGCAGGAGGTGAAGAAGGAGCAAAGGCACATCTTACATGGCAGCAGGCAAGAGAGCATGTGCAGGGTAAATGCCCTTTATAAAACCATCAGATCTTGTGAGACATTCACTATCACAAGAAAAGCATGGGAAAAACTTGCCCCCATGATTCAATTACCCCCCACTAGTTGCCTCATGACACATGGAAATTATGGGAACTACAATTCTAGATGAGATTTGTGTGGGGACACAGCCAAACCATATCAGGATGTATGAGCTAAATGAAAAAAATGCATATAGATAATAACAAATTCTCAATAAAGTTCAGTAAATATTATAACCATAATTATACTTAGTATTTTAAAAATTATTATAATCGTTTGTTATTGTTATGAGGGGCTGAATCAGGATTGGCTGTAGATATCTTTGGGCTTGTAGATGGTTCTGAAGTACATAAATCAATCATGTTAGGTTGGTGCAAATTAATTGAGGTTTTGCTATCTCTAAACGGCAAAAAACCACAGTTACTTTTGCACCAACCTAACAGAATGTTAGAGCTCACCTATCCTCTGTAATAGGGTCAGTCATAAAACATAGTTTGAAAAATTTTCAGTGCCCCACCCCAACCATGTTGTGGCTGTGTTTTATATCTGCCCTGCACAGAGTTTTTAGAAAATTCTATTTAAATTTGGTTGCACTGCCCCCATTAACACTATTGTTTTGACTGTCTGACCCTTAACTTAGAGCTTGCCATTTATTTTAAACTGAAATTTAATCATTTTAAAATTTCAGTGATGTTGGTGGACTCATTCTAAGTCATTCAAGATTTGCTCTGAAGGGGCCTAATCTAAGAAACTCCAAAGTGAGGATTCTAAATGAATGAGTCACTTTTCTTTTCTCAAGTTGTGCTTTTCAAATTCTAATCACTTGAGGAATATGATTAAAATTCAAATTTTTAACTCAGTTGGTATAGGGTGGAACTTGAGATTCTGCATTTCTACCAGGCTCCCAACTTCTACTGCTAGTCCATGGACCACACTTTGAGAAGCAAGATCTTAAGGAGATTGCAGTTGTGGCTGCAATCAAGTATGAGTATTGAGAATTGTTATGAACTAGTATAATGTTACACAAAGTAATGAATGATCAATGATGTGTAGAATGAGGAGAATTAGGATTTGGTTGAAAAAGCAAAAGCAGAATTTATTTATTCAGTACTTATCTGTGTGTACATACATGTGTGGATATATGTGTATGTGCATATGGCTTTCTATACATACTTATATTTCCTAGCTTCCGTTTATTGTGGGAGCCTAGAAGTAGTGACACCCTAGTTTCCATATTCCATAAAAGGAATCAGGGCTTGTTGGAAAAGTAGTTGATCCTGGGACTGGGGCAGAAAATATACAAGGCAAACCTGGAACATATTAAGGTGCCAGAAAATAAGAGTGTCCTAAAAAAAAAGCAAATAAAAAGAGAACATGGCAAAGAGGCACAGGAGCCAACTGAAATAGCCAGCACAATTTACTACAACTGTCAATATTAAATATCAACCCAATAATAAATATTTTTGAGTATATATGATATACATACATGGGGGAGAATGGACAGCTTTTTCTTACAGAATAATTATAATTAATCAATGTAGGAAGAATGAGGGAAATAGAAAATCATTAATATACCAATAGTTGTTGCAGCAAAATCCATCAATTAAAGCTAAAACTCATGGGTAAAAGTTAAATTACAAAGTCTCAAAGTAACTGTACCAAAATAAATATCTACTAAGTGCAAAGAGGAATATAGTAACTTTATAGTGGAGAAACCTGGTGTACTCTACCTTTACCAAGAGTTCAAGATTAAAATCACCAGTAATAAGAGATATTGACATAATGTGTCCTTTGATATGATGCACTCTTAGAAGGGAACGTTACATTTGTGTCATTTTTTCCACTTATGCACAACCTCATTATAATCATGAAAAATAGTCATAAATATTTTAATGATGGGGATTAGTCTGAGATATACATCATTAGGCAATTTTGTCATTGCACAAACATCATAGAGTGTACATACACAAACCTAGATGGTGTAGCCTACTACACACCTAGACTATGTAGTTATATGGTATAGCTTATGCTCCTAGGCTACAAACCTGTACAGCATGTTACTGTACTGAATATTGTAGGCAATAATACCGAAATGGTAAGTATTGGTGTATCTACACATATCTAAAGGAGCCAACTAAAATAGCTGGCACAATTAAAAGATACAGTGAAAACATGGTATTACAATCTTATGGGATCACCATTGTATATGCAGTTTATCATTGACAAAAATGGCATTATAAGGCACATGACTATATATCAGAAAAATCCAAATTAAAGGACAGTGTACGAAACAAGTGGCCTATATTTTTCAAATCTGAGATCACTAAAGATAATGAAAAACTGAGGAGCTATCACAGATTGGTGGAGTTTAAGGAGACCTGACAACTAAATGCAATCTAAGATTCTAGATTAGGGCTGGGCTTGGTGGCTCATGCATGTAGTCACAGCACTTTGGGAGGCTGAGGCGGGCAGATCACCTGAAGTCAGGAGTTCAAGACCAGCCTGACCAACATGGAGAAACCTCGTCTCTACTAAAAATACAAAAATTAGCTGTGGTGTGTGGCGGCACATGCCTGTAATCCCACCTACTTGGGAAGCTGAGGCAGGAGAAATTACTTGAACCCGGGAGGTGGAGGTTGTGGTGAGCCAAGATCGCACCATTGCACTCCACCCTGGACAACAAGAGCGATGCTCTGTCAAAAAAAAAAAAAAAAAAAAAAGATTCTAGATTAGATCCTGAAACAGAAAGACAATAGCAGAAAAACTGGTAAAATAGAAACAGTCTATAGTTTATCTAATAGTATTGTAGTGATGTCTCTTAGTTTTGATAATTTACTATCATCATGTAAAATGTTAAACTGGAGGAACTCTCTATACTGTAAGGCTATAATAATCTGAAAATAAAAAGTTAAACATAATAAAAAGAATACAGAATGAATAAAAGTGGTTCCCTATTCCAGTTTCATTGCTAGAAGTAACCACAACTACCACTTATTACATGTCCTTATAGACATTGCAATAATTCTTAAAATAAAAAGTTATAATAAAGTTATAATAGTGAAAAAATGTTTTTTGATTTCAAGCATCTTATATTTAGTTTAAAAACATATCTAGAGAAAGCTACACAAGAATTATTACAAGGCAAATTTTCAAAAATTGTGCACAGACAAAAATAGATTTAATAGAAACTAAATGTTATATAAACCACGGCCATTTTGTTTTCAGTCCTTTGCCTAGGGGCTTGTTATGGCCTAAGGGACTTACTCATTCAACCGTCTTACTCCTTCCTGCAGCACTTTTTTGTTTAGCTTTCTCATTTCAGTATCACACTTGATTTCCAGCTCCTACTACTTCCTTCCCGAAGCAGAGTTGAGTTACTTGAACTAATTTACTTGAAATTCTTCCGGGATAAATGATGAAATGCTTATTAGAAACACTTTATGTTTAGAAATTTCATTATTCAAATTACTTAAATTAATTAAAGTGTAGAAACCTAATGACTAATGTTCAAAATCCATTAACTAATTGAGAGAGACAAATGAATTCCCATGCCTTTCTACAAGCTCTCCTTAATGCTGCTAGCAGTTGGTAACTTTCCTTATTGTATAAGAGTTTATGTACTTCTTGAGGGTAAAAATGACCTTCCTTTTCCAGTATTAAGCAGAGTTCACCTTTGATTACCTTTTTCAGTCTCTTCTACTTTCAAGTGATTCAGATTTTGAAAGCCTACCATCTGTTAACAAATAATGTTCTCACTATGGAGGCAGGGATTATGTTTATTACAATTTCACAGGATAAGAAACCAAGAAAAATATAAGAATATAAACTGGAGAAAAGCAAATTCTAAAGGAAAGAGGTTACATGAAATGAACAAGCATGAAGAAACTGTATCTGTAGCCATGAGATTAAGGGTAAAAGAATTTGAAACTGAAATATGGTAAGTAACAGGCTATAGAAGTGAGGAAAATGTTACAAAGGTGATCTCATTCTCTTTTATTATAAATGGGAATCACGGATGCCCTTCACTTAATATGATGTGAGGTATAAATCTTTTGAAACTCTAGAAAGAAGACTGTAGGAAAGACTTGAATGCTCCACATAAAGATGATCACTTAACATAATAAAATAATCACAAAATAACAGAGATAAAAGGAAACTCAGCAGCTGAACTGTCCACTGTATAGATGAACTCTTCAATTCTACACAGTCTATGAAGAAAGCTTAGCTATTATGACAATAGTGTTAACTTTTGCTGAGTGCCAGGGTTGTATGAAGTGCTTTAAATGCATTCTTCCTCTTCATTTCTCACAATATCACTATGATATTGGTGAGAAAAGCAAGATTCAGTGTTGTCTTCATCATCGTGATAAACATGCAAAAGATTCTTACTTTATTCACACAATGAAATAGGCCCAATGTGGCCATTCCATATATCCAACTTGTTTCTTTTCATAAATGTGCTCAAATTCAACTATGCCTTTTAAAATTGGTAGGATATTTAATACCTGTGTTCATTCAGCAACAACAAATGCTTCCAAGTGTCTGCTCTATGCAAAGCACTGTTCTAGGCCCTAGGGACAGCGTAGTAAACAAGAAAAGACAAGAACCTTGGTGTTGTGTGGCTTACATTTTTGTTGGGGAGGCAAAACATAAGTAAGTACATTTATAAGATAAGGTCAAAAAGTTACCATTACTATGAAGAATGTAAAATAAGGTGACGTGAAAGCAAGTGACTTGGGGAAATAATGTCAATTAAAAGGAATTCTCAGGTCAAACTACTTTGAAGAGATGAAGAGATGACTTCTGAACTAGTCCCTAAATATAGGAAAGAGTCAGTAGGACAAACATCATGGGAAGGGTGTTTCAGTCAAAGGAAGCAGAATGGGCAAGGATATTTTAGTCTGAATGAGCCTGGTGTGTCTGAAACATAGGAAGGTAGTGAAAGTCAGGGAGAAAATTAAAAGATTTGGTTGGAGAAGAAGGCAAAGGCCTTGAGACCAAAACAGGAGTTTAGGTATTATTGTAAAGATATGGGAAAGTCATTAGAGGGTCTTAATGGGGGAATGGTGTAATTTGATTTGCATTTCAAAAAGATCGTTGTATCTAAGGAGTGGAAAATGGACTGGAGGAAGGGAAGTCAAGCAGAAAAAAAAGGGGAGACTATTGAAATAATTAATCTGAGATGACAAAATTTGGAAAAAGATAGTTTTAGTAGAGATGGAAAGACATGTATTAGTTTGGATATATCTTGGAGGCAGTGCCAATAGGAGTTATTGATGGATTGAATGTGGGAGTGAGAGAAAAGAAAGAAAAGCTGATTCTCAGGAATTTGTCTTGATTGCCAAGGGTAGAAAGTAATAGACATTTACTCAGATGGGGAAGCCATCTGAGTGTATATAATATATACATATATATATATAAAATATATATGGGGAGTGTATATAATATATACACTCACACACACACACACATATATATATATAGAGAGAGAGAAAGATGATATTTAAAACTATGACATTGAAAGAAATGTGAAGTGAATACACAGAGAGAACACATTCACATACTGGACATGGTGTATTCCATTTCCAGCATTAAGAAATCATGAAAATGAAATGGGATCAATATCAGAGACTGATAAAGAATACCTTAGGAGATAGATTAAAAAAACAGGAAAATATGGTGTCCTAGATAGCAAGTGGAAAATGTGTTTCCAGGAATATGAAATAAAAAACTGTACAATGCAGCTAATAGGTCAAATAAGATGACAACTAGTAAGTGACCATGAGATGTAGTAATGTGAAAGTCACAGGTAATTTTAATTAGCATGTTCTATATCATGGTGCAATAATTTGATTGGAACTTTGATTATAGTCTCCCTGAAGTTTAACTTAAAAGCAACTTCTTAAAATCCCTATTGAGTTTTTAAGTTTATCAATATAGCTTTCATAATTTTTTTTTATTTTATTATTATTATACTTTAAGTTTTAGGGTACATGTGCACAATGTGCAGGTTAGTTACATATGTATACATGTGCCATGCTGGTGTGCTGCACCCATTAACTTGTCATTTAGCATTAGGTATATCTCCTAATGCTATCCCTCCCCCCTCCCCCCACCCCACAACAGTCCCCAGAGTGTGATGTTCCCCTTCCTGTGTCCATGTGTTCTCATTGTTCAATTCCCATCTATGAATGAGAACATGCAGTGTTTGGTTTTTTGTCCTTGCGATAGTTTACTGAGAATGATGATTTCCAGTTTCATCCATGTCCCTACAAAGGACATGAACTCATCATTTTTTATGGCTGCATAGTATTCCATGGTGTATATGTGCCACATTTTCTTAATCCAGTCTATCATTGTTGGACATTTGGGTTGGTTCCAAGTCTTTGCTATTGTGAATAGTGCAGCAATAAACATAGCTTTCATAATTTTTACCCTAATGTGATTCCTTAATCTTTTCCCAATACGACCACAAATTTTTTACATTGATATTCTCTTACATATTAATTCTGCCCTGTTAAGAACATAATTTTTTGCTTTTTTATGTTTATGGAAATTTTAAGTGACAGTAAACTTTGTTTTAAAATTTGCTTATATTTAATACCCAATTATCTTGAAACATCATCCTGAACATTTTCTCTTCTAATATAATTGCTTCCTCTAAGAGTGTTTTCAATATGGAGCTGGTTGAGGCCAAACTTCTGAGCATTTACACAAGTAAAAAATTGTGTTATGCTCCATATTTTTAAAATATGCTTTCTTTTTACAGTGTATACATACCTCAAACATCACATTGTATCTCATATACATGATTTTCAATTAAAAATAAATAAATTAAAATTATTTAAATAAAAATATTTTTCCTCATATAAAATCGTTGTTTTAAATTTCTAGTTTATTATATTCTTACATCCAGTATACATCCAGTATATTCTTACATCCAGTATACATCCAGTAGTGTATCAATTTGATTCTTATATTAATATTTTGTAGGCAATCTGTCTTTACTTCCTAGAAGCTTTCGGAATTTTATTTTTTTTCTATTTTTTTTTTAACTTTTAAGTTCAGGGGTACAAGCACAGGTTTGTTATGTAGGTAAACTTGTATCAAGGGGGTTGGTTGTACAGATTATTTCGTCACCCAGGTATTAAGCCTTGTATCCATTAGTTACTTTTCCTAATCCTCTCCCTCCTCCCACCTTCCACCCTCTGAAAGGCTCCAGTGTGTGTTGTTGTCCTCTATGTGTCTATATGTTCTCATCATTTAGCACCCACTTATAAGTGAGAACATGTGGTATTTGATTTTCTGTTCCTGTGTTAGTTTGCTAAGGATAATGCCCTCTAGCTCAGTCTATGTTCCTGAAAAGGACATGATCTCATCTTTTATGGTTGCATAGTATTATATGGTGTATATATACCATGTTTTCTTTATTCAATCTATCCTTGATGAGCATTTAGGTTGATTCTACATCTTTGCTTGTGTGAAGAATGCTGCAATGAACATACAAGTGCATGTGTCTTTATAGTAGAATGATTTATATTCCTTTGGGTATATACCCAGTAATGCGACTGCTTTGATGTTCTTAAATTTCACCAGATTGTGTGGGGAGTTATTATTGTCATTATGATTATTGCTTCTCTTATTTGACACTCTATGAATTATTTCAATCTGAGCATTTTCACCTATCCTTTAATATCCTATCTAGATCTATCGTATCTACATCTCTGTTACTACTACATATATTTTCATCTGGTTTTTATTTTCTCTTTACCCCTATTGGACTCAATTACATGATTTTGACTTTTTTGTTTCTTATTTTGTTTTTCCTACCTCTTAGCTTAAAAAAAAATTTACCATCTCTTTATCCTTTTCTACTACTTACTTGAGAGTCTCTCAGTGTCCACTTCCATCACAACAGTTAATTCTAAAACTTTCTCTCGCCTGTTCTTTATTCAATTAAATTGTTCTTTATTATAATTTTCAGATTAAACATTTCCTCTTGGTTATCTTTTATAATTCTTATATTAGATATGATCCATGTGGCATATGCTGTTTCATTTCATTTATAGTAGCTGTGTTGCTTAAGTATATAGACATTTTAGCCTGTGAATGTATGTTTTCTTGTGTGGCTCAGCTTCTCTATCTGATAATATATGTGAGACAAAGGCTGAAAGCCAGGTGAAATCCTGTGCCCCTTCTGGTAAGTTTAAGGAAGAGTAAGAGATTAGTTCTGAGCAAAAAGTATCAGGCCACCTGAAACTCTGCTGACCACTGTTGCTATTCCTCCAGGAAAAATCTCTGATCAGGACTTGCTTTGAAATTCTTAGGAGAAATATTTGGAAGATGCTTTTTTTTTGTGGGGTTGGAGAGGGGGAGCAGAGAGAAATAAGTTCCCAAAGCCACTGGTCTCTTCCCTCACACCTCTCTTTATCAACTCCTCACCTCAGAAACCTGTTCCTCTGCCATTATTGCAGATTTCTGTTGTACAAGGGCAACCGTTATAACAAGTGAGTGTGACATGGCAGCAGAAGAGGAACTTAAACACTCTCTTGCAATCTATTCTCTCAGTTCTGCTTCAATTTTTCTGCAGCTCATGGCTACAGGGAAGCAGACCTAAGATTGTCTAGATCTAGCTCTCTTACCAGAAGGAGGAGGGAGTGGGTGTCCCAGTAATATTTTATCTTATACCAGTGAATTTTATTTTATACCATGCTGCATCACAAATACTCTTAGTAAATTTTCTGAATATATCTTTATTTTCTGAATATGTCAAAACCAATAACTAAAAGACAGATTGAGTAAACTTGGTAGTTACTAATTCTCTCTCTCTGATTATCAGAGAGGGGCTGCGGGTAGCTAAAATGAGCAAAGGAAAGTAATGCAGTGTGGCGACATCAGGCTGTATACTGTAACAGGGTAGAAGGGCTCAGAAGAGCTGTGATGAGGTTGCCAACTGGTAAATTTGACACCGGAGGAAACATGGATAATTAGTGGAGTTTCTCCATCTGGTGTGCAACCACATGGGTAGGATGGAAACAAATCATAACACAACTGCAGTCAAAACTCAATTTAATTCTTATACTAGAAGCAAATATTCTAAATGTTAATTATTTTTATCCCTGGGTGGTGAAACGATGTATGTTGATTTTCTCCACTTCTTTCTAATATTATGAATTCTCAAAATGCTCATGATGAACTTCTATTATAGGTATAACGTAATAAGGTACATTTTAAGTGGAACACTTGTAGCTTTCTCATATGACTCTTTATTAAGTGAACCAAGAGAAAAATCCTTCTCTTTTTGCCAAAGCAATTACAAGAGATGCTTGACTATGTAAAGAAGAAGAAGATAAAATTAGGCTTTAGGAAAATATGAGAAAATGTGACTTTTTGCTGAAGAGGAACAACTGAAAGTTAAACAGAGGAAATTAACCTTAAAGAAAGCATACAGAAAAGGTTTCAGTCCCCATCAGAATTCAATGATATAGAATTGATTTAGCTGGAAGAGTCACTAAATTAACTCTGAGTACTTTTTTCCCCCCTGAGACGGGGTCTCACTCTCTTGTCTAGGCTGGAGTGCAGTGGTGTGATATTGGCTCACTGCAACCTCTGCCTCCTGGGTTCAAGCGATTCTCCTGCCTCAGACTCTCAAGTAACTGAGACAACATATGTGCACCACCACGCTCAGCTAATTTTTTTGTATTTTAACTAGAGATGGGTTTTCACCATATTGGCCAGGCTGGTCTCAAACTCCTGACCTCAGGTGGTCCACCTGCATTGGCATCCCAAAGAGCTGGGATTACAGGGATGAGCCCCTGCACCCAGCCTAACTCTGAGTACTTTTACAAGTATCTAGATGGGGAAAATAAACTTGCATAATCTTGTATATTGGATGCAAGCTATTGTTTGTTAGTGAATTTTCAAATTATGTGGTGCTTGATAAAGTTAGATAAAAAATATAATAACCCATCCCATTGTATTTTTTAAAAATACTGCTTTAAGGTATTGATAACGAACTGGTCTAATTATAAAATATAATTTATAAAGTATAAATTGTTTGAGGATAATTTAAAAAGACTAAAAATGACTCATAAGGTTAAGGTAATAATAGCTCTTTTGTGTTTTCAAAATGGTAGAGATTGGCTATTTAAAGAAAACGTAGTCAGCAGATACCTATAAGCCAGGAGATACTGGGGGCCTATTTTTAGCATTCTTAAGGAAAAGAAATTCCTACCAAGAATTTCATATCCAGCCAAACTATGCCTTGTAAGTGAAGGAAAAATAACATCTTTTCAAGAAAAGCAAGGACTAGGGGAATTTGTTACTGCTACGCCAGCTTTACAAGAGATCATTAAGGGAGTTCCAAGCACAGAAACAAAAGAACAATACTTTCTACCACAAAAACACATTTAAGTACATATCCCACAGACACTGTAAAGCAAAAATACAATAGCAACTACAAAGCAACAAGGTAACAATTTCACAATAGTATTGAAGCCTCACATATCAATATTAACCCTGAAAATAAATGGTCTACACACCCCACTTAAAAGGCACAGAATGGCAAGCTGAATAAAAAAATGAGACATCTATCTGCTCTTTTCAAGAGATCCATGATGAGTTGGAGAAAGATCTGTCACCTAGGTTCAAAGTGAAGGTTCAAAGTAAAGAGTTGGAGAAAGATCTATCACACAAATGGAGAACAAAAAAGAGCAAGGGTTGCTATTCTTATATCGAATAAAAGAGACTTTAAACGAAAGGCAGTGAAAAAAAAGGACAAAGAAGGGCATTGTATATTGATAAAAGGTTAAATTCAACAAGAAGACATAACTATCCTGAATTATCCTAAATATATCTACACCCAACATTGGAGCACCCTTATTCACAAAGCAAGCACTTCTAGACCTATGAAAAGACTTAGCCACACAACAATAGTGGGGACTTTACCACCCCCATCAGCATTAGACACATCATTGTGTCAGAAAACTAACAAAGAAATTTTGGACTTAAAATCAACATTTGACCAATTGGACCTAGTACACATCTACAGAATACTCCAACCACTAAACACATAATATACATTCTTCTCATCTATGTATGAAATATCCTCCAAGATTTTGACTACAGGCTCAGCAGTAAAGCAAGTCTCAATTAAATTTTTTTAAAATAAAATTATTCCAAATATAGTCTTGGACAACAGTGGAATAAAAATATAAATCAATACCAAGAAAATCTCTCAAGACCGTACAATTACATTGAAATTAAACAACTTGCTCCAGAATGACTTTTGATTAAACAACAAAATAAAGGCAGAAATGAAAAAAATTCTTTGAAATAAATAAAAACAGACACAAAACACACTGAAATCTCTGGGATGCAGTAAAAACAATGATAAGAGGAAAGTTTATAGTGCCAAACACCTATCTTGAAAAGTTAGAAAGATCTCAAATGAATGATCTAACATCACACATAGAGAAACTAGTAAAATAGGGCAAACTAACACCAAAGCTGGCAGAGGAAAAGAAATAACTAAAATCAGAGCAGAACTAAATGAAATTGATACCCCAAAAACAATGAATAAAAAGAATCAACAAAACCACAAATTGGTTATTTGAAAGGATGAACAACATTAACAGACTGCTAGTTAGTATAACAAAGAAAAAGAGAAGATTCAATAAGCATAATCGGAAACAACAAAGGTGACATTACAACCAATTCAACAGAAATACAAAACATCCTCAGAAACTATTATAAATACTTCTATGCACAAATTGCACAAATTAGAAAACCTAGAAAAATAAATTACTGGAACAGTCAGGAAGAAACTGAAACACCGAACAGACCAATAATGAGTTTTGAAATTAACAGGAATAAAAACCAACCAACTAAAATAGCCTGGCCTAGATGGATTCACAGCCAAGTTCTACCGAACATACAAAGAAGAGCTAGTATCAATTCTACTGAAAGTATTTTTTAAAAAATCAAAGAGGAGAAACTTCTGTCTAACTCAATCTATGAAGCCAGCATCACCCCGATACCAAAACCTGGCAAAGACACAATGAAAAAAGAAAACTACAGGCAAATATCCCTGATTGGCATAGAAGCAAAAATCCTCAACAAACTACTAGCAAAATGAATCCAACAGCACATCTAAAAGTGTATTCATCATGATCAAGTAGGCTTCATTCCCGAGATGCAAGGTTGGTTCAAAATATACAGATCAATAAATGTGATGCATGACATAAACAGAATTAAAACAAAAAACATATAATAATCTCAATAGATGTGGAAAAAGCTTTCAGTAAAGTTCAACAAAACTTCATGATAAAAACTCAAGAAATTAGGCATCAAAAGAACATACCATAATAAGAAACATCTATGAAAAACCCATAGCCAACATCATGCTAAATGGGCAAAAATTAGAAGCAGTTTCCTTGGGAACTGGAAGAGGACAAGGATGTCCACTCACACTACTCCTATTCAATGTAGTACTAGAAGCCTTAACCAGAGGATTTAGACAAGAGAAAAAAATAGGAGAAGAAGTCAAATAAGAGAAGAAGTCAAACCATCTTCCTTTACTCACAATATGATTCTACAGCTAGAAAACTCTTAAGACTCCACCAGAAGGATTCTTAGACTGATAAATGACATCAGCAAAGTTTCAGGATACAAAGTCAATGTACAAAAATTAGTAGCATTTCCATACACCAATAACACTCGAGAGCCAAATCAAGACGCAATCCCATTTACAATAGCCACAAAAATGATAAAATACCTAAGAATACATTTATTCAAGGAAGTAAATGATCTCTACAAGAACTATAAAATACTACTAAAGAAATCATAAATGACACAAATGAATGAAAGAACATTCCATGTTTATGGAATAGAAGAATCAGTATTGTAAAAATGGTCATACTGCCCAAAGCAATCTACAGATTGAACACTATTCCTGTCAAGCTAACAACATCATTTGTCAGATTTGGAAAAAAACTATTCTAAAACGTATATGGAACCAAAAAGGAGCCTGAGTAGCCAAAGTAATCCTAAGCATAAAGAGCAAAGCTGGAGGCATCACATTACCTGACTTTCAAACTACACTACAAGGCTACAGTAAATAAAACAACATGGCGCTGGTACAAAAACAAACACATGGACCAATGGAACAGAACAGAGAACCCAGAAATAAAGAGGCACATCTATAGCCATCTAATCTTTGACAAAGTTGACAAGTATAAGCAATGGGGAAGGGACTCTTTATTCAATAAATGCTCTGTCTAGTCATGCACAGAAGAATGAAACTGGACCCAACCTCTCACCATATACAAAAGTTAACTCCAGATGGAGAAAAAAACATTAAACATAAGACTTCAAATTGTGAGAATCCTAGAAGAAAACCTAGGAAATAACATTTTAGACATGGCTTTGGGAAAGAATTTATGACTTAGTCCTCAAAAGTAATTGCAACAAAAACAAAAATTGACAAGTGGGGTTTAATTAAACTGTAGGCCTTCTGCACAGCAAAAGAAACTATCAACAGAGCAAATAGACAACCTATAAAATTGGAGAAAATATTCACAAACTATCCGTCTGACAAAGATCTAATATCCAGAATCTATAATGAAATTAATTAAACAAGCAAAAAACCACCCCATTAAAAACTGGGCAAAAGAGATGAACAGACACTTCTCAAAAGACATACAAACTGGCAGCAAATATGAAAAAAGGCTTATCATCACTAATCATCAGAGAAATGCAAATCAAAACCACAATGAGATGCCATCTCATACCAGTCAGAATGTCTATTACTAAAAAGTCAAGAAAAAACAGATGTTGATAAGGTTGTGGCAAAAAGAACACTTACACACTGTTGGTTGGAATGTAAATTAGTTCAGCCACTGGGGAAAGCAGTTCGGAGATTTGTCAAAGAACTGAAAACAGAACTGCTGTTGACCTGGCAATTCCATTATGATGTATATTTCTAAAAGAAAACAAATCCTTCTACCAAAAAGACACATGCACTTGCATGTTCATTGCAGCACTACTCACCATAGCAAAGACATGGAATCAACCTAGGTGTCCATCAGCAGTGGACTGGATAAATAAAATGTGGCTCATATACACCATGGAATACTATGCAGTCATAAAAAAGAATAAAATCGTGTCCATGGTGGCACATGGATGCAGCTGGAGACCATAATCCTAAGCAAATTAATACAGGAACAGGAAACCAAATATGGCATCTTTCCATTTGTAAGTGGGAGCTAAATATTGGGCACTATGTACACAAATATGGCAACAATAGACTTTGGTGACTACTAGAGCAGGGCGGGAATGAGGTGACACAGGACTGGAAAGTTAATGGTTGGGCACAATGCTCAGTACCCGGGTGACAGTATTATTTGTATTCCAAACCTCAGCATGATGCAATATACTCAAATAACAAACTTGCACGTGTACCCCTGAATCTAAAATAAAAGTTGAAAATGAAAGTAAAATAAAATAAAACGTAATTAGCGGAAAGCTTTTTAAGGTTCTTAAATAATCAATCATATGTTATTTTTGTTTGAAGGTGTTATTTTATGAATTTCTTTCTTGTATCTCTATTTATGAATCTATAATTCTGTATGCAATAGAAGGATGGTCATCTGTCTAATGATAATAGTTTGGATTAATCAAAATAAAGAAACATATAAGATATTTTCTTTATCATTCTTCATCTAGATGTTCTGTGCATCTTTCCTATCAATTTCACTTCTTGAACTTTCACAGCAATGCTAGGAAATGTAATCATCATATCCTTCCTAAACTGTTTTTTAAAAAAAATTCAGCCCCCAAATTGAAAACCAGATAAATCTTTTTCCCAGTTCCCGTTATGGTGGAAAAATTTTTATAGGTTTCATTGATAAAGCAATAATCATCTTTTTTTTTCCTGGATGATCAATAAAGCAATTATTCATGCACTCATTGAAATGACTATTTGAATGTAAGCTCCTTATATTGCATTAAATATGTCAGTATTACTAGGATGCTTCCCAGTCAACATGAAATACTTAGGATCAGATTTATACTATTTCCTGAAACAACTGAAAAATAGACAAAATAGATGAAAATAGGCACTCAATCATTGGGCATTAGGAAATGGACAGTGATCCCTGAGATATAAGAAAGAAATGAAGAAAGCTCTAAAATTAAGGTGAATATGGCAGCTCATGCCTATAATTTTGGTACTTTGAGAGGCCAAGGTGGGAGAGGACCATTTGAGTCAAAGAGTTCAAGGCAAGCCTGGGCAGCATCGTGAGACCTCATCTCTATAGAAAATAAAACAAAAGACAGCCAGGTGTGGTGCTGCACGTCTGTGGTCCTGGGATGCTGAGGTGGGAGGATTGCTTGAGCCCAGGAGCTCAAGATTACAGTGAACAATGTTTGTGCCACTGCACTCCAGCCTGGGTGACAGAGTGAGACTCTAACTCTAAAGAAAAAATTTAAAAAACAAAAAGCCCTAAAATTTCCCTGACTTACCTCATGGAAAATGTTTCCAAGCACTAAGAACCCAGGCGGAGTTACAGAGTGGCAACCCTCTTCCCTAAATTGAGGAAATAACCCTGTGATCTAGGGAGCCAAAGCAGCTAGAGTAAGGGAAAAACACTGCAGAGGTGACAACTCTGTAGAAATAGAATTCTGAATACCTGGAGTGGGTCCCCTTCGAGCATTCATTTAAGCACTGATCAGTGCACATGTGTTAGTAAACTGAGGGCCCAAAAAAGAGGCAACCAAAAGGACTAGAGGTAATTGTTTGTGAAGTTCACACAAAGCTGGGAATATGGCCTCTTTCCAACACCATAAGTAAATAGAAAAATCTCATAATTCAGGAGACATCAGTGAAAATAATAAAGATCTGGCCTTGGTAGGGGGGAAAATTAGCCCCAGACTAAATGTAGCTCTTGTTCAGTCTAACAAAGCTTAAAAAGTAAGCTCTAAAAGGGTCAAATTTAAGGTAACGTAAGCCTGTTCCAAAGTTCAATACTTAAGGGAATATGAACTATTTGGCAACAAACAGGATAAAAACTTTGATGCCTGGCACCTAGTCAAAAATCACCAGCCATGTAAAGATGTCAGAAAATACAACCCATATTGAGGCATAACATCAACCCATTGAAACTGAACCAGTAATGATGCTGACACTATGATTAGTAGACAAGAACATCAGAATAGTTATTTTGACTATAATGGATATGTTCAAGAAATTAGGGGAGATTGATCATGTTAAGTAGAAAAATGAAAAATATTAGAAACAAATCAAACATCAAACTTCTGGAGGTAGAAAGAAAATGTTTTAGATAAAAAATACACTGTGTATGACTAAAGACAAATAGACACTGCAGAAAGAAAGAGGTTAGAAACTATCAAAAAGGAAACAAATTTAAAAAAAACCAACAAGAATAACAGTGTATGAATGTTATGTGAAAGTACTTCAAGCAGTCAAATCCATGTATAAGTGGAGTCATTGAAAAAAAGAGAAAAGTTGGGAAACTAAAACTATATTTGAATAGATAATGGCTGAACTTTTTCCAAAGTTGGTAAAGGTATAAACCAACAGATTTGAGATGCTCAACAAACATTAAGCAAACAAAACAAGGAGAAAACTGCATGAAGGCATATAATAATCAAATTCCTTAAAACCAGTGAGGAAACAAAGAGAAAACCTTACAGAAGCAGCCCAAAAGAAAGATACATTACATAGAGAGGGACAAGCGTTAGGGTGATGGCAGATTTCTCATAGAACACAATACAAGCTAGAAGATAGTGGAATGACAGTTTTTAAGTACTAAAAGAACAAAAAAAGTAATACAATTATTCACCTAGTTAAATACAATAAAGGCAAATTAAGGAGTAGTTCAGATATACAAAGGCTAAAAGAATTCATCACTGAAATGTGCACAACAAGAAATGTTACAGAAAGTTCTTTAGCCAGAAGTAAAATAACACCAGATGGAAACATAAATATATATAAATTAATAAAGAGTACCAGGGATGCTAACTACATTGGGAAACATGAATAATTTATTTATTATTTAAACTTCTTTGAAGGATAATACACAGTATAAAGTAGGAATATTTAAAATGTGTTTTGGAATTTTTAACATATATAGGACTATGATAACAATATTATAAAAACTAAAAGGGAAAAAATGGAAATATACTACTTAAGTTTCTTATATTATTTCTGAAAAAAAGTATGTCAATTAAGAATATATTGTGATAAATTAAATGTGTATACTATAACCCCAAAGCAATCACTAAAATAGCTTAACAAAGAGTTATAGCTAATAAGCTGAAAAAGAGATGAAATTATAAACTACAAAAACATAAAATACTCCTTAGCTATGAAATATGCAAATAATTTTTAAAAAGCAGATAAGGAGGTAAAAAAAAAAAACCAAAAAAGCAAATAAAAAAGAGCAAAATGGTAGATTTAAACTCAATCATATCATTATTATGTTGAATGCATATAGTCTAAACACTTCAATTAAGAGGCAGAGATTGTCGCATTGAATACAGAGTTAAGACACAACTCTGCCCTGCTTACAAGAAGTCTACTTTAAATATAAAAACACAAATAAGTTAAAATTAAAGAAATAGAGCCTGGTTGTGTGACTCATACCTGTACTCTTAGCACTTTAGGAGCCAAGATAGGAGGACTGCTTGAGTTCGGGAATTAGAGACCACCCTGAGCAACATAGTGAGACCCCTGTCTCTACAAAAAGTAAAAAATAAAAAATTAGCTGGGCCTGGTAGTGTAGGCCTGTAGTTCCAGCTACTCAGGAGGAAGCTGAGGTGAAAGGATTGCCTCAGCCCAGAAGTTCCAGGGTGCAGTGAGCCATGATCATGCCGCGGTACTCTAGTCTGGGCAATGGAGGGAGACTCCATTTTTTTAAAATAATAATAATAATAATAATAAGCGAAAAGTGTACCCTGTTAATGCTATTCAAAAGACATCTAGAATTACTATATTATAAAAGTAGATTTCAGAGCAAAGAATATTACCAGAAAAAACTTTATTTGTTTTTATAATGATAAAGGTTTATAATCTTTTATAATGATAAAGGTTTCAAGTCACTCAATAAGATAAACACAAAAAGCATTATCAATAAAAGTTAATAAATTAGAGCACACAAAATTATGAATATCTGCATTTTGAAAGACATTGCTGAGTGAAAAGAAAAGTCATGGGCTATGAAAATATGAGAAGATCACGTACCTGATAATGCACTGAGAACTGTGAAAGGTCTGAAATTTTAACCTACTTGTTAACCTAGCTAAAAAATTGACCTGCCTCAAAAGGCAACATGAGCTTCACGTTCTCATTGGTTTCTCCTTCCTTCCCCAATTCCCGCAGATGATACAGAGAAGCCCAGTGATGCCACACAGGTAGAGGGCTTGCATGACAGCTGAGGATCGCTGACCTTAGAAAACCCCAATCTTCTAGAGAGGCTGCTACATAATCTGCCAAACAATTTCCCAAAGGAAAAATTACTTATATTATCCTGGAGAGCAAGCGAATATGTCTTCCACTCTGAAAAGAGACACTGCTTCCATTTTCCAAGGATGTTTGTTACATAAACAAATAAATGCCTTTACACAGATGATGTGCAAAAATATGAGTTACCCATAGATCATTGTTTCTCCATATGAAATTCTGTCCAGAGTAGGTAAAGAACTCTCAACAGTCAACAACAAGAAAACAAACATCCCAACTTAAACATTGGCAAAATATTTGAACAGACACTTTACCAAAAAAAGGTACGTACATGGCACATAAGCACATGAAAACACCATTAGACATTAGGGAAATACAAATTAAAAGCACAATGGGATACCACTAAACACCTATTAGAATCTCAAAAAGTAACTAATCTGACCATAATACATGATTCTGAAGATGTGGAGAAAATGGAACACTCACACATTGCTGGTAGGTTTGTAAAATGGTACAGCTACTCCAAACAACAGTTTAACACTTTCTTAAAAAGTTAAAGATACAGCTGCCATATGACCAAACCATTCTACTTCTAGATAGTTTCAAGAAAAGTTAATGCAGATGACCACACAAAGACCTATATGCAAATGATCATAGCATCTCTATTGTCCTAGCCCTAAACTGAAAACAACCCGAATATCTTGCAACATGTAAATGGGTTAACAAAATGTAGTATACAATGGTACACTACTCAGAAATAAAATAAATGAACTATTGATACATGCAAAACACAGAAGAATCTCAAAATAATTTTGTTGGGTGAAACAAGCCAGACAGAGCATGCATGCTGTATAATTCCATTCATAGAAATTTTAGGCTAATCTATAGTGGCAGAAAGCAGGTCACTGGTTGCCTAGGGACAATGGGGGCCAGGGAGAAGTGGGAGGAAGAATAGTCTTTAAAGTTAACTTTATGCATTGTGTCTCCTTCATGTTTTTGGACACATTCTTTCTCTGTGCTGGCTTTCCACTGTGCTGATATTGAATTAGCTGTTCCAGATAAAGATCTGACATCCTCACAAAAATATATTTGGAGGAAAAGAATGATTTCCTCTTAAGTAACAAAAGGAACTTATTCCCACAGACATCACATATTTTTGTTGTAGAGTGTTTGGAAAAATAGCTATAATTTCTCTGTTCTCTGTGTCCACGCCCCTTGCAATGTGACTTTGCAGCTGCTCCCATCAAGAGATGGATTCTACTTCCCCATTCTAAATCCAGGCTTGCCTTGTGTCTTACTTTGGCCAACAGAATGTAGTGCAGGTGACAGTGTACACGTCTGAGCTTCGGCCTCAAGAGGCCATTAATGCCTCAGCTCTCTTGCTCTCTTTCTTGGAAACCTGCCCAGCTGCAATGTAAATAACCTGGGCTAGTCTGCTGGAAGATGGGAGGCACAAGAAACTGGAATTCTTCCAGCTGAAACCATTCTAGCCCAATCAATGCCCAGCCAAACAGGTAGCTCTCCTCAAACACACTCTTGAGCCCAGCTGAAACCAAAACACCATCAGCTAAAACCAGCCCAAATTGCCCACCCACTGAATCATGAGCCAAATAAATAATAAGTGTTTGAAGCTGCTAAATTTTGAGATGGTTTGTTATGCAGCAAAAGCTAACCATTACACATCTCAGCCCATATCACTGACCTTAGAAGAGCAGCTATGAAAACAGAATGGGCTAAGTGAGGAAGTGTAGCAGGGATGAAACAATAATGGTCTGTTGGGAGTAAAAGGGGAAGGAGTGTTGACAGGCAAATCACCAAGGGCATTTTAGCAAATCAGGCTTTGAAAATTAAGATAGTACTTACTGCTGGGTCAAATGTAGCACTACAGACAGTGATAGATGTCAGCCAAAGAGCAGTTCCTTAGAATCCTTTATAAAAGAGGAGGAAAAAAATGAATTTTTGTGGTGGTATTTCTTCAATTTAATTCTGATTGACTCATTAGGATAAAAAAATCTTCATTGCGCTATTTTTGCAAAACCTAGTACTGGGGATTATAATTGTCTTTTACTTTGTTTATGAAGATTTGACTTTACATAATTACATGAAAAATTACCCAGCAGATGTGTGTTTTCAATAGCATTCCATACGGCTTCTTAACATAGGGCATTTTTCAAATTGGTTTTAGTCATTTAAAAGAGGATAGCTCTTGTATGTATATTCTTCCTGCCAGAAATATCAATAGAGGGTTAGGGAGACATAAAAATAAAAATAAAATAAAATATTACTCTTCAATATATGGGAAATTTATAATTTAAGGTATGATAAGTTTGTTCTCAGAAAATGTGCTTATGAAGGATTGTGCTTCAAAGCAATTAAAAGGCTTCTATTAGAGGCATTTGTATGGCTGATTATAGGAATCTGGTCATCTTCCTAGCCTGATACATTGTTGCTGAAAAAAACCTAATGAGTATTCATAAACAGAATATTTTTAAAGGGTATAGTTAGGTAGCTAAAAAAGCATTATTTCTAGTTTATGCCTATTAGTATGTTTCAACTTGACAATTGTATCTAAAGCAAGATCGATGCCTCTTTACAGCACAAAATAATAGAAAGTCATGGGTACATATACTTTATTATAGTATAAATCCAGGCCATAACTAAGGATTGTGCTTTTCTTATGCCTGTTCTCTCTGAGATTTTTCTTTTTAGGTAGAGAAAATACATCAAAAAATTATCCTTTAAATTCACACAAAAATATGTTAACAAGTGATTTAGGTACAATTTTTTGTCAATAATCATCTGTGTTTCTTGAAAACCACACATAGTATTTATCACTTTAAAATAGTCATGGGTTACAATAAGCTTAAATAATATACCAAATAAGGGTAAAATTGTGTCTGTCTAGGATGAAACACCATACGGACATCAAGATATGAGTATTTTTGTCAGAAGGTCAATCAAGGACATGAGAAAAGTCTACCATGGGCCAAGGGAAAATCATATAAATTAAAAATGGGTAAAATAAACCCAAATAAAGAGAACTCATGGTGATATGCAGTGTTAATTTCCGACAAGGAAGTAAGAGCCAGGATATTGCAAGTATTTTAGGAACAAACTGCATTTGTGTTTTGTGTGTTTTGCGGATGACCAGAAGTTCAAACAAACAGGAATTATTTGGTCTTTGGCTTGAGAAGGACCATGAGACATCAACAGCAAAAATGACCCCAGTAACAAACCCTTCCCTACTTAATCTTAGAGGAGTTCATATTTTTGTGAAGATAAGTTTCAACACCCAAACAATGTGGGATGGATACGTGTAGATAAAATTAAAAGAGGATGTGAACAAAATAGGGTATTGACTAAGTAAGGAATAGGCAGTTTTCTCTTTAAGAAAAACCAAAGCCAACATTTATTTCTGATATTCTTAACTTCTCCTTCATTTTCTCTTCATTTTTTGAACCTCCCTGATCGGTGGTATTTTTCAACTTTTCCTTGTTGGGTGTTCAATTTAATAGTGAAGTTTAAATAGGGTTCAATTTCGGCCAGGTGCAGTGGCTCATGCCTGTAATTCCAGCACTTAGGGAGGCCAAGGCAGGTGCATCATCTGAGGTCAGGAGTTCCAGACCAGCCTGGCCAACATGGTGAGACGCTGTCTCTACTAAAAACACAAAAATTAGCTGGGCGTGGTGGCGTGCACCTGTAATCCCAGCTACTCGGGAGGCTGAGGCAGGAGAATCACTTGAACCCGGGAGGCAGAGGTTGCAGTGAGCCGAGACTGTGCCACTGTGCTCTAGCCTGGATGACAAGAGTGAGACTCCAGCTCAAAAAATAAATAAATAAAAATAAGTAAATAGTGTTCAATTTAATTTGAAATGGTTTTCCTCTGTGTCCCCACCCAAAACTCATCTTGAATTGTAATCCCCACATGTCAGAAGAGGGACCTGCTGGGAGGTGATTGGATCATGGGGGCAGTTTCCCGCATGCTGTTCTCATGATAGCAAGAGAGTTCTCATGAGATCTAATTGTGTAAAAGTGGCAGTTTTCCCTGCATGGTCTCTCTCTCCTGCCACCTTGTTAAGACGTACCTTGCTTCCCCTTCACCTTCCTCCATGATTTTAAGTTTCCTGAGGCCTCCCCAGCCACATAGACCTATGAGTCAAATAAACCCCTTTTGTTTATAAATTACCCAGTCTCAGGTAGTATCTTTATAGCAATGTGAAAATGGACTAATACACTGTTTTACTGTTCCTATTTTCTCAGGACCATCAGAAGGTGCTTTAGAGAAAGAAGTGATAAACTCTGTTTAGGAACATATAGTTGGTGCTGGTAAGATATCATGGGCTACTACATTCATTGTATGAAACGTCTGTGGCTTTATCTAAAATGTAATACTTTTTAACATTGATATTTTGTCACTGGTGAATCAAAAGGAAGATAAATCTTGCATGCAAGAGAGGTAAATAAAGCTTTCATATTACATTATATTGTCAGCTACCTAATCCACCTATGTATAATGTTTCATCAAATTCAGCAAATTACATTCATTTAAATAAATTGTTTTTATCATAGAGATCAGGGCTTATAAATAAACTCAAATGACTTTGGGGTGTTCTGACAAATAACACAAACTGTGAGGTGACCAGATACCATAATACATTATTATAAATATGTGAACCTAATATAGATATTATAAATAGATATTATATACCTACATAGCATATAACAATTCAGATTGTAGTTTAAAAAATAGATAACCATTAGCAATCCCTTCCACAGTGAATTTATTTTTTCCAAATGATTATGACTATTTTGATCATGAACAATAATTGTTACAGTAATAAATTTTTAATAACAACAGCTGGTGCATATCAAGGACTCACCATGTGAACAGCACTCTGATAAATGTCCCTTGGGTATGATCTCATTAAATCCTCCTCATAACCTGAAGAGCATTTAAAAATTAGAACTATTGTGAGTGAATACAAATGCTTTTCCTCTTACAAAAAAGACAGCAATAAACCCTTTTCAAGTGATTTTTTTTTCTTTTTAACATTAAGTCTCCAGTAGAAGCATCTTTCTTACAACTGCCCTCTATCTTTGAGTGATCCCTCCCCTTTCTTCCACATCCTCCAGCCTTCTCCCACCAGGGGCTCAGAGTAGGAAGTGGAGAGAGTGAGAGGGCACAGAATAAAAGGAAATGTCAATGGATAAGAGTTATACTTTAACTTTTTTCAGCAAGTACAAAAGGGGAAAAGCAACATTTGCTAGCAAGCTGGAAATGCATGTTTCCAGTTACACTCCATCTTCCTCCCGTCTTCTAGGCTTCATCTGAAAGTATCCCCCAGGAAACACAGGGGAGCAGCCAGAGTACACATTCTAGCTTTAAAAGTGGAATGATTGAATAGCCTTTAAGTCTTTAAACCAAGACTGCAGCTTGATCCTTCCTGTTTCACTGAAACATTTCAGCTATTGATAAAAATTCATGCATTTGACTTCGGCATTTATTATCCAGGTCCCTTCTGTCATTTTTCTAGATATAGCAAATTTATAGGCACTACAACAGAAAATATAAGAAAGGTTTATCTTTTGGATTCTACAGACATTCTGTTAAAATGGGCAGATTAAAACTTTGCATATGTACGGCTTATGACATATGCCGTCAAGTTCTGTTATAAGAGAGGTGGATAAATTAGTTAATAGTAAGCCATACTTAAAAACTGAGACCATATTTATTAAATTAGTGGTTGCAGAATGAAATGACCACAGAAGGCAGACTTGTAACTGAATGGGAAAATGGGACAATATAAGAGATGGTAAAAAGTGGAATTATCTAAAGTGGTTAGAGTGGTAGAAATCTGACCATATGTGATTTCTCTGAATCAGGTGCTCATGACTCAACTCTAGCAGATTTTTGCTTTGCAAGAATGTGGGCTCATTGTTGCCAGATTTTCTGACTTATAAGAGGAGCCGGAAATCCATATTTTCAAGTAAAATCTTCTTGACTTGAAAATGTTGGCAAATTTCTTCTTCCTTTTTTTATAGTATTCAGGCTGCTCATATGTTACCTCGCTTAACAGTGGATGGGTATTGATTTCAGAATGTGGGAAGCTTTGTGGTAATTTGCATTCCACTCTATTTAGGGTTGTTTTCATGAAGGCTTGAAAGACCTCATCATTTGAACTCACACTTGGGTCTCCTCTTACAAATTTATAATCTCAGAGATTTGAATTCAGGAGTTCTGGGGTAGGACCCAGAAATTCTGATGTGGTTGGCCCAGTGAACATACTTTGAGCAGTATCTTCAAAAGTGAGAGGGAGAAAATTATTAGATCAGGGATCAGCAATCTATGACTCACTGGCCAAATCCAGTCTGCTGCCTGTTTTGCAAATGAAGATTTATTGGAACAGAGCCACTTCCACTCATTTACATATATTGTCTATGGCTGGATCATCTTACAAGGGCACATTGAGTAACTGTGGTAGAGACTATTTGTCCCTCGAAGCTTAAAATATTTACTCTCCAGCCCTTTATGGAAAACTTTGCTGACTCCTGCATTAGACAAAATGGGTCTTATGTATGTAAGCCTCAATAAATCATGGCTCCTTAATATTACCCAAGTTGACAAAAACAATGTAAAAAGAACCATATTGTCGATGGTGTTGATTTATAATGCAGTTTTCTTCAAACTATTTCTTCCAAGTAGACTATCTTGTTGCTATGACAACAGTTACACAAAGCTATGTAGAGGAGAAGACAAGAAAACGGCCACAAAAATATGTTAAATGTTATACCAGAGAAAAGGACAGTAAAAGGCTTGTGATTTGGCTTTGACTTGCAGGGATAGCATTTTCACATTCTCCCCCACAGGTGAGATAGCCACATGTGACTCTAAGAATCCCTGCTTCTCCAACAGGCCGCCCCCATGACAGCCTCTGCAAACACCATCTGCGTGGACTAAGGAAGTTATTTCACAAATAAATGAGTCATATGCCAGAGCTTTTCACTTGTCAGGAATATGGATAATGGGTTTATGGAGGATTAAAAAAATAGATCAATGTTGAACTTCAGTTGTCTTATCCTAAATATATAACACTCTTATTACAACTGAATAGTCCCACAGAACCTAAGTCACTTTTATGTTTATCACTTCATTTGCAATCATGTAAGCCAGGTTCTTTGTTGTTCCCAAGTATGGATCCCCTTCTTTCCTGCTTACCTGCCCACAATATAGTCTCCTTTCAGCAACCGGGGCTCTATTTTCAATATATAGATCAGATTAGGTCATGCCCATATCAACTCCTCTCCTTCAGTACCTTCCTATTACACTATTTGAAAATCCAAACTCCACATAGACCTGGCCTCCAAAGCCCCATAAATCTGGCCTCTGAAGACATCTCTGCCCTCATTTCGTATTGTTCAGCCCTTGCTTTCTCCTCCCCAGCCATCCTGGCCAACTTCTTGCTTTCCAGATTCCTAGGCATGTTGAGTCCTGCTGCACGGCCTTTGGACTTGCTATTTCCATCTACCAGAAAATGTATTCCCATAGTTCTTTGCTTAGCTTACTCTCTCTTTTTATTCCTGTTGCCTCCCCAGGGGCCCTTCCCTGACCATCTATCAACCTCTGTCCATTTTTCCTGCATTATTTTTCTTCATGACACTTATCACCACATGAAACCCTATCATACGGTCACTTGTTTACTCATTTTCAGTGTACTCCACTCAACTGTAACCTTCATGAGAACAGGGAGCTTGTCTTGACTGTGTTGTTTCCTACTTTATCCACAGCATCTAGAACAGGGCACAGCAGCATAGAGACTAAATCTTGACTAAATGGATAATTAAAAGAAAGAATGAACATAAATTCCAAGATTGAATTTTGACTGACTTTATTGCTTTTTCTGCAAGATTGTAAGACAAATTTTGAATGCTGGGCCTGCCAGGTCCAGTAACTTCATTCTATCCCAGGAGACATACGTGAGTTGGATATCTAAGATGCTTGAAGAGGATTAAATAAAATGAAAAATACTCAGCATAGAATCCAAAAAAAAAAAAAAAAAAAAAAAAAACCAGGCCAGGTGATAGAGGTTAATTCTAAAAAAGAAAATAAAGAAGTCAGAAGTGAAGTCCGAGTTGTCTGATCAGCAGAAAAGCCAGGTGGGCAGCAGTCCTTGAGGGCACTGTGGGTCAACAGTCATGCTTGGGCATCTTCTGTTAGCCTGCTCCTGCCTGCGTCGTTGCCCACTGTGGCCTTTGCTCACCCCTGATAATTTTAGTTTCAGAATTTGTCCATATGCAGCCAGACATCTCACAAACATGTGAGGGTCACAAGGCTGAATAGGGTGAAGGAAGGTGACTGGGGTGCTGTAAAGTCTGCTATTCAACAAAACACACACACACACACAGAGGGGGAGAGAGAGAGAGAGAGAGAGAGAGAGAGAGAGGCAGAGAGACAGAGCAAGAGATATATAGAGAGAGCATGAGAGCCAGATGATACAATAACAGCACAGACCAATTAGACCAGGAGGATTGGTACTAATGTGGTTCGGATGTCCACAGGGCTTAAGAATCTCATGCACCATCATAACTCTACTTTTTTCTTAATACTCTTAAAAAGTGTAGTAGATGCAGATGGCTGAGAAAAAAATTCCTTGAAGCAATCAAATTGTCAAAAATAATTACACCTAGAGACTGATCATTTGCATATGGAAGATATAGGGATATCATGAAAATTGAGATAAATCATGACGAACTTCAAATTGCCTCTAAGCAAGGTTTTATTGGAGGGGGGATTTTTCTTAAATTTTTTTGGGAAAATGCATAATTAATTTTAGAACTATATATACACATACATATTATATAACATAACATATATAATATATATCACATATATTTCACACTCTTCATCTCAAATAACAAAAATTGTACATGAACTTTCATCATATTAGAAATTTTCTGTGGCCCTAAGTGGTTATAAAATCATGGGCTCAAAATTCATGAAATGATTGCAAAACAAATGGTGTGGTCATAGTTGTCTGATAATGTCTATCATCATTTCTTCTGATAATGTCTATCATTTCTTCATAGAAAATATAAACTAGTTAAGCAAGAAAGTATCTTTAAGCTGTTATATTGTTTGGATCTGTTTTCGCCCAAAATCTCACGTCAAATTGTAATCCCAGTGTTGGAGGTGGGACCTGGTAGGAGGCGACTGATTCAGCTAGGAGGTAGGGGTGGTTTCTCATTAATAGTTTAGCACCATTCCCTTTATACTGTCCTCAAGACATTGAGTGAGTTCTCATGAGATCTGGTCATTTAAAAGTGTGTAGCTCTTGGCCGGGCGCGGTGGCTCAGGCCTGTAATCCCAGCACTTTGGGAGGCCGAGGCAGGTGGATCATGAGGTCAGGAGACCGAGACCATCCTGGCTAACATGGTGAAACCCCGTCTCTATTAAAAATACAAAAAATTAGCCAGGCATGGTGGCAGGCGCCGGTAGTCCCAGCTACTCAGGAGGCTGAGACAGGAGAATGGCACCAACCAGGGAGGCGGAGGTTGCAGTGAACCGAGATCGCGCCACTGCACTCCAGCCTGGGTGACTGAGCGAGACTCTGTCTCAAAAAAAGAAAAAAAAATGTGTTGCTCTTCCCCGCTTTCTCTCGCTCCTGCTCCAACCATGCGAGATGCCTTGCTTCCCCTATGCCTTCCACCATGACTGGAAGGTTCCTGAGGCCTCCCCAGAAGCAGAAACTGCTATGCTTCCAGTGCATCCTGGAGAATCGTGAACCAATTAAACCTCTTTTCTTTATAAATTACCCAGTTGCAGGTATTTCTTTATAGCAATGTGAAAATGGCCTAATACAAGCTGAAAATATGGGTGACAAAATTATCTGTACACCAAACTCTCATGACAGGCAGTTCACCTGTATAACAAACCTGCACATGTACCCCTGAACCTAAAATAGAAGTTTAAAAAATAATAATAAATAAAATTCAGAAGATCTGGCATTCCTGGTCCCACAAAGAAATAGCTCTATTTATTTATTTCGTTGTATCTTTTATTATTTTTCCTCATAATGGAAGCATTACAGTAAAACCAGGAGGAAAACATACATGTACAAAATTCCATCCACCAAACCAATCATTGTTAATAGCTTGAGATATATTTTTCCAGATATTTTTCTACAGATATGATACTTGCCAGCTCTCATTCGTGAATAATACAGGCATGTATATGTGATACTTTTCAGAGAATTCAAATTCTTCATATTATAAGATAACATGCTTTCCTCACTTATCTGTATGTTACAAACATCAAGTCAGAAATACACATTTACGAAAGCTTTTTACAGCACTTTTACATTTTCTTCTTTTTACAGTATTTTTAATAGTTGTGTAAGATCACATGAAAGTTTAGCATTTACATAAATAATTCTATGCCATTTTAATATTTAATATGTTGTTTTTAAAAATAATTCATCAAACAGACAAAATGAGTTGGAATAAAGCTAGAAATTTAAAGGTAGAAATCCTCCAAGTCCGAATTCTAAAAAGCAAGAAAACATGCTTAACAAACATTAAGTTTTCAAAATGCCTGCAGTGCATCACTCTCTGCATGTTAGAAACAACCCAAAATTCATAGACTCACATATTTAATTTTTGGCTAATCTGTGATACTTTACACAATGTTATTTCAGTTACAAGTATTTCAGCTGACTGGTTAGGGCACAGCCACACAGGCATCACAGTTTAAGAAAGGAAAGAGAGGTCTTACCATGGCCTGGGGCCTGACTGCTCTAGGATTAACCTTGACATTGTATTTCTGATCCTCCTTTCACTCCTCGTATTTGTCTTGGTAAGTTTACACTAGTGGGAAAGGAGAGGTGTGTAAAACACTCCGAAACTGCTCTTACCCGAATTATTCAAACACCAAAAGTCCCTACCAGAGGTAGGTCCCAGACAGCTCACAGAAAATGAGATCTAGTTGGGGGCATGAAACTACAAATGCCTACTGAGCCTCTGTGCATAGTGATCACATTCTCCAAACCAGAGGTACAACACATGGTCTAACCAAAAGATGGGAGACTTGAAATCTGTGCTTTTTTGAAAAATTCAGAAAATTCAGCCCAAATCCAGGCATTTAATTTTTGGACTTAAGTTCAGCTTGAGAGTTTGATCATAGGCTAGGAAAGGATTTCATCAAGGATAGGATTTATATTTAAATCTGGGGCTTCTCTGTACTGTTGGAACTTTAGTGCTGAAGAATCCATATGGAATTTACTATACATTAATGCAATTCTACATATAATTTATTATTCATCAATGTTTTCATTTTATGTTATTGCATGGGAAAAAAAAAGTTTTTACATACTTTGGGATAAGAGTGGATATAATTAATGCTTTGTTCTGATTCATTCCAGAGTGTGTGTGGGCAAAATCTACATGGCCCACCAGTAATCCTAGAAGAATACTTGTAGGAGAGTGGTTGGGATTGGGGGAGTGACCTCATGAAGATAGTAACCTCCTTAAGAAACTAGCCATACTCCTGCATCAGCATAACCTGAAAAGTTAGTTTCAATGGGCTGGGAAGATAAAAAGGTAGGGAATGTTAGTAGGGAACATCTGTGAAGAGGCAGTTTTATGAAACATGTCTATCTTCTTGACCCTTTACTCTTTCCCGAGAAGTACAGTGAATTACCCGGTCATTAGGCTACAGCCACTAATCCATGTATTCAAACAGATGGAGTACATCTTTCAAAATTTCTGAACAAAGTATTTGACTTCTGATGTTTTACCTTTTTAGGAATCAGTAAACTGAAGCAATTTATGAAAGTGATACTTTTCTGCAGATTTAATTCCCTGCCTTTCCCACTCTCCCAAGGCATACCCTGTTCCAAGATCTAGCCTAGGTGGACAGACAGGAACAATTCTGATCTGGTTCCCATCCTAAACTGCCTCTTCCTGCTGACACTATAATATTTGGGTTCTCTGCTGACTCTTTTGTCTTATTTCTCTCTCTCTCTCTCTTTTTTTTTTTTTTTTGAAGCAGGTTCTCCCTCTATTTCCCAGACTGGAGTGTAGTGGTGCGATCTCGGCTCACTGCAACTCCTGACTCTTAGGCTCCAGCGATCTTCCTACTTCAGCCTCCCTGGTAGCTGGGACCACAGGCACACACCATCATACCCAACTTATTTTTTGTACTTTTTGTACAGACAGGGTTTCATTACATTGCCTAGGCTAATATCTAATTCCTGGGCTCAAACTATCTGCCAGCCTCAGCCTCCCAATATGCTGGGACTATAGGCCCGCCTGTCTTATTTCTCAATTGCTTCAAAAAGTAGTTGTGTAAGGGCATGCTATGTATTAGACTTTCCCTCACAAAGACACTAAAAGTAAATATTATTATTAATTTCTACTTTATACTTGAGGTAACTGGGACATAGAAAATCTAGGCAATGTGCCCGGTGCCATATACATGAATCCTGGGTTCAAATCTTGTTTAGAACAAGCAAAATATGCAACCTTTCAATTATTATAATAGAGCATAATTAGTGATCCATAAAATAATTTATTTAATTATATTTTGCAAAGTAATTAGCTGAAAACGTTAATCATTGTTATTTGGATTTTTCAACCTAGTTTTATAAATCTTCATTTTGATACCTTTAAGGATCTCTTTTAAGTAAAACCCCAGATAGTTATTCTACCAAAATCTAAATCAAATTTTTAGCATTAGTCTTATTAACTTTATTTAGGTAAAAAAAAAAAACTGCTAGAAAAATAACACATATTTGTACAAATTCAATCGTCCACATGGATTTGAGGTGTCAAGAGATGTTTGCTGCAAATTTAAATAGCAGCTGTAAAAAACTTAATTACTTACACACAATTTTTCACTATCTGGGGCACACTTTTAACTCTTTTCCAATTTGCTATTTGGGATCCTGATATGTATTTGCATAACGGACTGCAATAGAAATATATTTATATTACGGCTATAATATTTTCAAACCCAGGGAATTCTTCTTCTCTCTCTGTGCATAGTAATCACATTCTCCAAACCAAAAGTACAACACATGGTCTAACCAAAAGATAGGAGACTTGAAATCTGTGCTTTTTTGAAAAATTGTCTAGTTGATTAAAAAAACCATAGAGGGCTTTCATTATACTCTTTTGAAACCCACCTCCCAGCTGTCTGAGCTAATAATAACTCCTTCTCCCCACCAACTACCCCTTATCACCTACAAAGACTTTCTTACAAAACCCTTCACCAGCAAACACAAATTCTATACAGACATCTCTAATTCAAGATCAAGATCAATAATTACAGAAAAGATCCTGGTACAGGATTAATCGCCTTGACGTGGTATATCTGGATCATCTCTGATCATCAACAAAATTGTTGGACCAGAGATAACCGTCACAAAAAACAATTTGTGAAGATCATTACCATAAAAACCAACATGAATAATTTCTCCTCCAAATATATGGTGTCATTGCATAATGGTCCATTTCATTTCTTGGTAATTACATTGAACATGTGTTTATGCTGTCAAAAATCAGAATGATGAGCTATTAGATGTTTTTGTTTCATGGGCCCTTTTTCTTTTCATCTGAAAATATTTGATTCTTAGTAGCCCTACCTGCTTTGCTCTCATTATGACTCCATCGAAAACAAATATTCTGACTATGTTAGCTAAAAATTTTAATGAAGGCCTATTAGAATTGGCATATTTTCATGCTGAGTCTGCAGTTAAGAGCTATTTCAGCAAAAAGACAGAGTGAGGTAGATTCACAGGCCACTCGTACCCTTCCACACAGCAGTACTTCCCGTTCCTCCTGCACATGTTCATAATGTCTGTGGTTATTGAGACTGAATATCAAGACACATGTCTAATAGAGGCCCTCAAATGATTTATCTGGGTTCAAAAAGGTCCTTTTATTACTCCAGGTGATTGAACCAACATTTCTAATGTTTGTTTCACAAATGAAAACATGAAAAAAACAGCAAGAAAAAGAGAATGATAGAAAGGGATTAAATGAATGGGGAATTTAGGAGGACACAAAAATTACAATAAGAAATACCTGCAAAATGAGAAACAGGCAAGATTAGTAGAGAAATAGAAGGTCAAAATTCCCAGAACAAGGCACTGACATATAGTTACTGATAAAACTCTGTTTCTGTTTCTGCACCTCACTTTTTACCTTGTTTGTTCATTGCAACATCATTTGACCTGTTTTTACTGAATCCTTACTCAGTGGTGGCCATGAATGTAGTCCTGAGAATAGAGTCTTACATGTAACTTAATAAGTCATTTTACAATTGCTTCTACAAAAAAATTTCTATCGAATAGATCTCCAGCTCTATCAAGAAAGCCATCTACAAACCATTGACTTACATTGCTATATAAACAACCCACACATATTATTCAGAATTGACCCCAAGAATGCCATTGCATGCTGGACATCAAGAGAGTTCTAAGCTCTTGATCAAGCTAAAACTATTCAAAATGATGCTATAGTCCACTATCCTTATTATAGGAAAACAGTAAGTTTATTAACAAATTGTCTTAAGTATAACAATTCTTCCTTAGGTAGCAAGATGAAATAGTATTTTAATTGTCATAATTGGCACCAGAGTTCTTTCTGGAAAAAGCCCAGTGCTATTTGATAAACAGAATGATCTACCAGAATACAGTGTGTGATCATAAGGCCTGTGTATGAACTACAGCCAAATCAATAAAAAGAAAATTTAAGTTTCCGTATATGAGAAAAAGAATTATTTTGTCTTTGTTTCTCAATATTGTTGCTGGCTTCTGAAAGACGAGAACAGATAAAAGAAGAGCAAACTGCAGCAAGATGATCAGATGCTTCAGTGTAGGCAATAAAAGTCAGTAAGAAAGCTCCATGGAAGCATAGCTAACATGGCAATTAAAAAATTAAAATGTCTAATATGCCATTTAAATTGTAAGAATTGAAATCTGTAAACCCTATAAAAATGCTTTTTGTGCTTGTTTCTTTGTTTTTGTCATCTTTTTTGTGGAAACTATAAAAGGAGGGTTAGTTTAACATCAGGAATGCTCAGTGAGGAACAGAGACAGCACAGGCAGAAGTACAAGCGTACAAGCAAAGGTGACCTTGAGAATGTAACCCCTCCATCCATCTAGAAGTCTTAGATAGGACTTTCAATTGCCCTCCAGGTTAGAACTGGGGTTGAAGTCTGTCTCACGAAGATGGACCCTGGATTTCACCTATAATATAGTTTCACAGAAAAATCAAGACTAGTGATACGTAGATCGCAGGTCCTCAAACAACAACCTTTCTTTCAACCTTGTTTAGTTATATTAATGAGAAAAAAAAAGGATTATTACTGCATCCATTGTCTGTGTGGAGATGGCACGTTCTCCCCTTATCTGCATGGGTTTTCTCTGAGTAGTCCAGCGTCCTTCCATATGCCAAAGCTGTGCCTGTCAGGTTTATTGGCATTTCTACATTGTCCTTGTCTGACTGTGTGCGTGTGTGCGTGTTGGTGGGGGATTGGTGGGGTTGTGGCGGGGAGCGGGCTGTGAGTTGCCCTGCGATGGGATGGTGTCCTGTCCAGGGCTGGTCCTCACCTTGCACCCCAAGTTGCCAAGAGAGACTCTGGTCACCCTCGACCCTGAACTGCAATAAGAGGGTAAATTATTATCTTACCTGTTTTTTTTTTATCAACCTTTCTTAAATGTATGTAATGTCATATTTATTTCGCTGTTGAATATAAGAAGTGTTTTGTCGTTATTTAGAAGTTTGATGATATTTTTGTGACCAGAAACATCCTATAGGAGCTTAGCTTTTGTTTATATCAGTCTATGGTGAAAACTGGTCTTCTTATATGTGATTTTTCTTGAAGTCCATTTCCAGGAACCTATCCAGTAAGTGAGAACTTACTGTAGTTCGATTGTGTTTCACATGGCACCTAATAATTAATGAACTTAGTAAAAAGTTCTCAGTATTTTGAAAATTAAACACCATTTTCAAATGTAATACACCTCTATTAACTCCCCTGAGAAGGATTTCTGTGATAATAGTAGACAAAGTATCATTATTCTTATTTTACAGGAAAAGGATTCATAGATTTGTCAAAAATCACACACTAAAAGGATGAAGTTGTTTATGAATCCAGCCTTGCTTATTCTCCATACCAGTTGTTTTCCATTATTATGTTATTGTTTAGTAAATTTTAATAACAATTATAATGAATATAATTACCAGGAAGTACAAGACTCTTCCACATCTTAAACATGAAAGAAATACTGAACAGATTCCTAAATTCAAAAGCAGAACTTTAACAAAAATTTCTAGTGTAAAAAGTAGGTCATTTGCATATTTTTCTTTGACTTAAATACCTAATTGCCAGGTCATTTGCATTTTCATATCTGATTTTGCCAGCATATCCAATTCATCTACATGTATTCCTTAGTCTAGTTGCTGAAAATGGGTGGCCTTTCCTACCTATAATTAGAATAAACTTCAGCTTCAACACACTTCAAGAAGGGGGATTTTACAGAGTAAAAAGAGGAACCATTTTCAGACTTAAATTTTGTCAACCTTTCTGAATAATGAGTAGTTATTTTGATATTCTTCTCCTCCATGGGGGCCTGAGGCTGTACACGTAGGATTCATATTGAAGGTACCCTAATAACACATTCACACATGAACTTGGAGGTGAATAAAGAGGATTTATATTTCAACGTACAAATATTTTAACCCAGGTATTAGACACTAATGAGTTATACATTATTTCTCAATTCCCATAATATATATGCCCTTTTGCTGATGCTGATATTAAATCTCTAAATTTAGAAAGTTCAAAGAACAGAAATCTGATTTATTGAAGAGTCTTTCAACCTATGTAATTAATGTTCCACCAGTGCTCACAGCTGGACCTTAGGGATTCTCTGCCACTGTGCTCGAATGACACTATTTTTATCTAAGAGAAAATGAATATGAAATACAAATCATTTGGCCGTTAACTCATTGTCCCCACAGTCCATGTGCATTGCAGTTACTTTAACTTTCATCTTAAACATGATGACTAAGATGGCCTTAACGTTCCATTCAGCTTGACTCAATCTGAGACAAACTTCTTCCTGACTGTAGGCTCCTGACTCCCTTTTCTTAGAGCATTTACTTTAGAAAACTTTCCACTGTAATTTCTTTCTCTGCATCTTTGAGGCATAGATGTTGTCTCTGCCTCTGCCAGTTTTACCACCTAGGAATCTCTTTCTTGAGAACCTGAGAGTATTCATTTGGAATGTAATCATCAAATGAGACAGCACTCCCATCTCTCAGTCTCCATGGGAGGTTAGAAGCTTAACTTCAATAAGTGCCTATTAGCAAACATCCATGCTAATCACCTTGATCTCCCACTCCCTGCTCCCTCCTCTCTCCTTTTGATTCAGTGGCATTGAGTTAGACCTGTCTCTACCACTAAGGTAGTCTTAAATAAAGTCTTTCTTGTCCATTTAACTCTCTCTGGTTACAATTTTTCTTTGACAAGTATCATTGTTACTTCTCCATTTTTAGAACACTTACCACATGTCAATTTTTTTGCTAAGTCCATTAATATAGAGTGTCCTGTTGGATCCCTACAATAACCTAGAGATGATTCTTGGTTCCATTTTATAGATGAGGGGACAAAAGTACAGAAAAGTCCAGTAACAATGCCCTCTCTGGAAAGAGGCACCAAGCAGTTTTCAGAGAGAGGGGAAGTAACTCAGAGAAGAGAGGAAAAGGGGAAAGGAGGGGAAGGGGAAGGAGTGATGGAGGAAATGAGGAGAGAAAAGAGAAGACAAGATGAAAGTACAACCCCTAAGAAGTCTGGGGTCTGGACCAATCACACTACCTCTACTCACTGGTCATGTTGACATAAAGATTTTATGGAAATAAAACAATACTCATGGTATGGAGCAGTGGTCCCATATGTTGTAATGCAAACCGAAATATCTGTATGCAAGGAAATGCCTTTATCTAGATACAGGTAATGGTGGAGCACAGAGCAGGACTTATTATTTGCTGGGTATTTTTACCGTTAAAATTTTATTCTTTAGCATCAGATAGCAAAGCATCACCTTCTTCCTGCATTCTGCCTTTTGAGTCACCAGTGACAATGCCCACTGTCCACTGCCCACCAACTCTCTGAATCAAAATATTAATATAGAACAGGGAAAACTCTCTTAAGCATGACATGATGTGCTTCTAGCCTTTTTTTCCTCCTTAAATATGTAGTTTTGAAAATTGATTATTGAAGCAGATTCTACTTTAAGTTTTCCCTTTGTTCAGTAATAGAAATGTCTTTTAAATGTAGCTTTTTCTACAAACAACATGAGACAGAGGAATCGAATGGGTTCTTCTTACCTTCGTCCAAAGTCATCTCAGAAAACAGTTTACTGATTATTTCCAATTTATGCTGGCCTCCTTTCCTTCTGTCAGTAGCTTCTTATGTTAATTTCACCCTAAATTTTCAAAAGGAAAGTCCAGGGAAATTCAGCTTCTTAACCATGGCCCAGAACAAATGAAGAACCAAGGGGGCAAAGTGAAGTCTGCAGGTTGTGTTCTTCTCTACCATTAAATCCCTCCGAGGAAAAATCAGGCTGCCTACAGAGCCTGCATAACAGACCCTTTTGTCTCAATCCAGAAGAATGTGCATTCCCTGTTCCCATTGCCATTATTACCAGAGACAGCTGACGAGAGCCTATTTGTCAGGGTCATGTTCTCTATTTATTTCATGGTACTGGTAGCTAGGTGGTTCTGTCCTCACTGAACTTATTTATAGACACAACTCTTAGTATGGTCCTGCTATAAGATTATTATTTTATTTGTCTGGAATTCACATTTTGGAAATTTCTTAATCTTTCTCCCTCTTTCCATTAGTTCTATATCCTGAAACTGGACTGAATTATTCATATTTTCTTGGGTAATTTCTTATTACTGATTTCTTCCCTGGAACTTTAATTTCCACTCTATTTTGCCTTACGTTGCTATTGGGTGCTACTAGCATTCCCCTGAAGCTGTCTGGTGCTCATGCAGTAGTACCAACAGCAGCAGTAGTTATAAGAAGAAAAAGAATAAATATTTATGTAAATCCTAGTGTGTTCTAGGGATTGTCCCAAGTGCTTTGCGTATTTAACTTATTTAATCCTGAAAACAAGCTTAGGAGGTAGGTGCTGATTATTTCTACTTTATCTGATGAGACAATTGAGGCACAGTGATTAAGTGTCCAAGTTCATATACTTAGCAAATGGAAGAGCCAAGTCTTAACTGTCTGAAGTGACTGAGTGCTTATTTTGTGAGCATCACTGCCTCTCTATAGTGGGACCAAAGCTGGCACCTTCAGTTTCACATACACCATTTAAATTAATGAAATTAATCTTCTAATTAAAACAAAATGAATGAACACTTTTGCTAAGGGCTCCTTAAATTTATCTTAAGATAATCACACACACACACACACACACACACACACACACACACACCATCGTGATGCTATGCATGTGTGACATTCTGTATGTAACTACTAAAATATGATAGAAGAGTACTTTCACATTTTGTGTTCCATCATATAAGCTGTAACTAAAAAATATTTTGAGAGATATAATGAGAGAGAGAAAACAAGAAAGAGAAAGAAATTGACAGATGTAGAGGAGAAAGAGAAAAAGAGGAGGAAGATCTTTTAGGTTTTATTGAAAGATTGGCATACACATTTCCTCAGAGCACATGCACTATGAGAGTAAATTTTAAATGACTTTCAGGTGAAGCCGTTTTCCCTGTCCTTCATGATAGAAATCAATTATTAATGTTTAATCTGGTCCCTGAAGTTGTTGACATTGAATCCCAACATTAGAATGCTAACTGTCATTGTCATTGTTTCTCAGAATATTTTCATAGCAACCGACATCATTTTGCTGTATATACTAAGGCTCAGGTTGATTGGAAATCCTTAGCAATGGGTTTGATATATACATATTAAACTTTAACATTATCTATCTATGAAGGAATAAAGTAGAACTGACATTTTCCTAAATAAAGCACTGTTTCCATACTGAACTATATTGCTTAAAGTTCAATTTAAAAAGAGTATTAAAAATAATGAACTCTGGGTCTGAAAGTAAATGCCATTTTATTCCCCTAAATTATTTTAACATTTTGTGTGTTAAATATATCTTGTTTTTTCTTCAGGTATCAGAATTTCTCTACAATATCTGGGCAGTGATGAACACTTACTTTAGAATTTCCCCAGGTTGTAGTAGGAGATGGCAGGTGGCTCTGGCATTCTGTGCAAATCAAACAGAATTAACCTCATAACCCTTGCCAACATGGCCAAGAGATAAAGAGATGGGACTGCCTCTCCTTCATCCACACAGACCCCTCTACCATGTTACATTGAATGTAACTTCATGGGCATATATCTTATAGGTATGAGTTTGTCTGAGGTTTCTCTTTCAGATTCAGATTTAAATTTAAACTATAATAATAAAAGAAAGATCATCAGAGGATGAGCTTATTATTCTGACTTTGACCCTTCTTTCTTCTTTCCCTCACTGAAATGATAATCCTGACATTTAATAGGATCCTTGACCAGTTAGGGAAGAAGGATACATTGGGGAGTGTCTTTTCTTGTTTTCAATTTAATGACTATTTTTACATGAAGATTCTGAAGTAAAGTGCTAGATGCTATGTTTATGTCTAAGAGGAAAACAACAGAAGCTTCCACCAAGATATATTTTAGCAAGTATTCAATTATAGAAAGGAACTGAAGATGGCAATACGAGTCAGAATGATACCGTGAAGTTAGCAATAGATGTCAGACACCCAGGAGAGAAATGCTCAGACTAAAAAATCTCTAGGAATTGCTTGGTGAGTTGCCAAATGTGGGCATGGCAGTTGGTTGGCTGTCCACCAAATCTTGGTATTTCCTATTGCATGGTGTGAAATTGTCATTAGGAAGTGGTTGCCCAGCCAGGGACAGTATTTTCTGGTCATGCTTCCATGCAGCTATGGTCATGTTCTCACCGGTGGAAGGTGAGAAGTGACACGAAGTCACTTCAAGACCAAAGTTTTCAAGAAGTAAGGATGCCTTCCTCTCTCTTTCTTCTCCAGTTGGAGGCAGACAACTCCAATAAGTTCTGTCCTCACTGAACTTATTTATAGATACAACTCTTAGTATGGTCCTGCTATAAGATTATTATTTTATTTGTCTGGAATTCACATTTTGGAAATTTCTTAATCTTTCTCCCTCTTTCCATTAGTATTCACTCACCTATGAGTGAGAACATGCAGCGTTTGGTTTTCTGTCCTTGTGATAGTTTGCTAAGAATGATGGTTTCCAACTTCATCCATGTCCCTGCAAAGACATGAACTCATCCTTTTTTATGGCTGCATAGTGTTCCATGGTGTATATGTGCCATATTTTCTTAATCCAGTCTATCACTCTTGGGTATTTGGGTTGGTTCCACGTCTTTGCTATTGTGAATAGTGCTGCAATAAACATACCTGTGCATGTGTCTTTATAGTAGCATGATTTATAATCCTTTGGGTATACACCCAGTAATGGGATTGCTGGGTCAAATGGTATTTCTAGTTCTAGATCCTTGAGGAATCGCCACACTCACTGTCTTCCACAATGGTTGAACTAATTTACACTCCCACGAACAACGTAAAAGCGTTTCCATTTCCCCACATCCTCTCCAGCATCTGTTGTTTCCTGACATTTTAATGATCACCATTCTAACTGGTGTGAGATGGCATCTCATTGTGGTTGTGATTTGCATTTCTCTGATGACCAGTGATGATGAGCATTTTTTCATGTGTCTGCTGGTTGCATAAATATCTTCTTTTGAGAAATGTCTGTTCATATCCTTTGCCCACTTTTTGATGGGGTTGTTTGTTTTCTTGTAAATTTGTTTAAGTTGTTTGTAGATTCTCTATATAAGCCCTTTGTCAGATGGGTAGATTGCAAATATTTTCTCGCATTCTTTTGGTTGTCTGTTCACACTGATGGTAGTTTCTTTTGCTGTGCAGAAGCTCTTTAGTTTAATTAGATCCCATTTGTCTATTTTGGCTTTTGTTGCCATTGCTTTTGTTGTTTTAGACATGAAGTCCTTGCCCAAGCCTGTGTCCTGAATGGTATTGCCTATGTTTTCTTCTAGGGTTTTTATGGTTTTAGGTCTTACATTTAAGTCTTTAATCCATCTTGAGTTAATTTTTGTATAAGGTGTAAAGAAGGGATTCAGTTTCAGCTTTCTACATATGGCTAGCCAGTTTTCCCAGCACCATTTATTAAACAGGGAATCCTTTCTCCATTTCTTGTTTTTCTCAGGTTTGTCAAAGATCAGATGGTTTTAGATGTGTGGTGTTATTTCTGAGGCTTCTGTTCTGTTCCATTCATCCATATCTCTGTTTTGGTACCAGTACCATGCTGTTTTGGTTACTGTAGACTTGTAGTATAGTTTGAGGTCAGGTAGTGTGATTGCCTCCAGCTTTGTTCTTTTGGCTTAGGATTGTCTTGGCTATGTGGGCTCTTTTTTGGTTCCATATGAAATTGAAAGTAGTTTTTTCCAATTCTGTGAAGAAAATCATTGGTAGCTTGATGGGAATGGCATTGAACCTATAAATTACCTTGGACAATATGGCCATTTCCACAATATTGATTCTTCCTGTCCATGAGCATGGAATGTTCTTCCATTTGTTTGTGTCCTCTTTTATTTTGTTAAGCAGTGGTTTGTAGTTCTCCTTGAAGAGGTCCTTCACATCCCTTGTAAGGTGGCTTCCTAGGTATCTTATTCTCTTTGTAGCAATTGTGAATGGGAGTTTACTCGTGATTTGGCTCTCTGTTTGTGTGTTAATGGTGTATAAAAATGCTTGTGATTTTTGCACATTGATTTTGTATCCTGAGACTTTGCTGAAGTTGTGTATCGGCTTGAGGAGATTTTGGGCTGAGACAGCGGGGTTTCCTAAATATACAATCATCTCATCTGCAAACAGGGACAATCTGACTTGTTTTTTTCCCAATTGAATACCCTTCATTTCTTTCTCTTGCCTGATTGCCCTAGCCAGAACTTCCAACACTATGTTGAATAGGAGTAGTGAGAGAGGGCATCCTTGTCTTGTGCTGGTTTTCAAAGGGAATGCTTCCAGTTTTTGCCCATTCAATATGATATTGGCTGTGGGTTTGTCATAAATATCTCTTATTATTTTGAGATATGTTCCATCAATACCTAGTTTATTGAGAGTTTGTAGCAAGAAGGGCTGTTGAATTTTGTTGAAGGCCTTTACTGCATCTGTTGAGATAATCACGTGGTTTTTGTCACTGGTTATGTTTATGTGATGGATTACATGTATTGATTTGCATATGTTGAACCAACCTTGCATCCCAGCGATGAAGCTGATGTGATCATGGTGGATAAGCTTTTTGATGTGCTGCTGGATTCGGTTTGCCAGTATTTTATTGAGGATTTTCTCATTGATGTTCATCAGGGATATTGGAGTAAAATTCTCTTTTTTTTGTTGTGTCTTTGCCCAGGTTTGTTATCAGGATGATGCTGGCCTCATAAAATGAGTTAGGGAGGATTCCCTCTTTTTCTATTGATTGGAATAGTTTCAGAAGTAATGGTACCAGCTTCTCTTTGTCCCTCTGGTAGAATTCGGCTGTGAATCCATCTGGTCCTGGACTTTTTTTGGTTGGTAGGCTATTAATTATTACCTCGATTTCAGAACCTGTAATTGGTCTATTCAGAGATTCCACTTCTTCCTGGTTTAGTCTTGGGAAGGTGTATGTGTCCAGGAATTTATCCATTTCTTCTAGATTGTCTAGTTTATTTGCATAGAGGTGTTTATAGTATTCCCTGATGGTAGTTTGTATTTCTGTGGGATCGGTGGTGATATCCCCTTTATCACTTATATTGCTTCTATTTGATTCTTCTCTCTTTCCTTCTTTATTAGTCTTGCTAGCAGTCTATTAATTTTGTTCATCTTTTCAAAAAACCAGCTCCTGGATTCATTGTTTTTTTTTTGTAGAGTTTTTGTGTCTCTATCTCCTTCAGTTCTGCTCTGATCTTAGTTGTTTCTTGCCTTCTGGTAGCTTTTTAATTTATTTGCTCTTGCTTCTCTAGTTCTTTTAATTGTGATGTTAGGGTGTCTATTTTAGATCTTTCCTGCTTTCTCTTGTGGGCATTTAGTGCTATAAATTGCCCTCTACACACTGCTTTAAATCTGTCCCAGAGATTCTAGTACATTGTGCCTTCATTATCATTGGTTTCAAAGAACATCTTTATTTCTGCCTTCATTTCATTATTTATCCAGTAGTCATTCAGGAGCAAGTTGTTCAGTTTCCATGTTGTTGTGCAGTTTTGAGTGAGTTTCTTAATCCTGAGTTCTAATTTGATTGCACTGTGGTCTGAGATACAGTTTCTTGTGATTTCTGTTCTTTTACATTTTCTGAAGAGTGCTTTACTTCCAATTATGTGGTCAATTTTAGAATAAGTGTGATGTGGTGCTGAGAAGAATGTATATTCTGTTGATTTTGGGCAGAGAGTTCTGCAGATGTCTATTAGGTCTGCTTGGTGCAGAGCTGAGTACAAGTCCTGGATATCCTTGTTAACCTTCTGTCTTGTTGATCTGCCTAATATTGACAGTTGAGGGTTAAAATCTCCCATTATTATTGTGTGAGAGTCTGAGTCTCTTTGTAAGTCTGTAAGGACTTGCTTTATGAATCTGGGTGCTCCTGCATTGGGTGCGTATATATTTAGGATAGTTAGCTCTTCTTGTTGAATTCATCCCTTTACCATTATGTAATGGCCTTCTTTGTCTCTTTTGATCTTTATTGGTTTAAAGTCTGTTTTATCAGATACTAGGATTGCAACCCCTGCTTCTTTTTGCTTTCCATTTGCTTGGTAGATCTTCCTCCATCCCTTTATTTTGAGCCTTTGTGTGTCTCTGCACATGAGATGTGTCTCCTGAATACAGTACACTGATGTGTCTTGACCCTTTATCCAATTTTTCAGTCCATGTCTTTTAATTGGGGCATTTAGCCCATTTACATTTAAGGTTAATATTGTTATGTGTGAATTTGATCCTGTCATTGTGATGTTAGCTGGTTATTTTGCCTGTTAATTGATTCAGTTCCTTCATAGCATCTATGGTCTTTGAAATTAGGCATGTTTTTGCAGTAGCTGGTACCGGGTGTTCCTTTCCATGTTTAGTGCTTCCTTCAGGAGCTCTTGTAGGGCAGACCTGGTGCTAACAAAATCTCTCAGCATTTGCTTGTCTGTAAAGGATTTTATTTCTCCTTCACTTATGAAGGTTTGTTTGGCTGGATATGAAATTCTGGGGTTGAAAATTCTTTTCTTTAAGAATGTTGAATATTGTCCCCACTCTCTTCTGGCTTGTAGGGTTTCTGCCAAGAGATCTGCTATTAGTCTGATGGGCTTCCCTTTGTGGGTAACCCGACCTTTATCTCTGGCTGCCATTAACATTTTTTTCCTTCATTTCAACCTTGGTGAATATCTGACAATTATGTGTCTTGGGGTTGCTCTTCTTGAGGAGCATCCTTGTGGTGTTCTGTGTATTTCCTGAATTTGAATGTTGGCCTGCCTTGCTAGGTTGGGGAAGTTCTCCTGGATAATATCTTGAAGAGTGTTTTCTAACTTGGTTCCATTCTCCCTGTCACTTTCAGGTACAGAAATCAAACATAGATTTGGTCTTTTCACATAGTCCCATATTTCTTGGAAGCTTTGTTAGTTTCTTTTTACTCTTTTTTCTCTAATCTTGTCTTCTTGCTCTATTTCATTCATTTGATCCTCAATCACTGATATCCTTTCTTCCACTTGATGGAATTGGCTATTGAAGCTTGTGCAAGCATCATGAAGTTCTCATGCTGTGGTTTTTCAGCTCCATCAGGTCACTTAAGGTCTTCTCTACACTGTTTGTTCTAGTTAGCCATTTGTCTAACCTTTTTTCAAGGTTTTTAGCTTCCTTGCATTGGGTTAGAATATGCTCCTTTAGCTCGAAGAAGTTTGTTATTACCGATCTTCTGAAGCCTACTTCAACTTGTTAAAGTCATTCTCCATCCAATTTTGTTCCATTGCTGGCGAGGAGCTGAGATCCTTTGGAGCAGAAGAGGGACTCTGGTTTTGGGAATTTTCAGCTTTTCTGCTCTGGTTTCTCCCCATCTTTGTGTTTTTATCTACTTTTGGTCTCTGATGTTGGTGACCTACATGTGGGGTTTTGGTGTGGATGGCCTTTTTGTTGGTTGATGCTGTTCCTTTCTGTTTTTTAGTTTTCCTTCTAACATTCAGGCCCCTCAGCTGCATGTCTGTTGGGGTTTGCTGGAGGTCTACTCCAGACCCTGTTTGCCTGGGTATCACATGCAGAGGCTGCAGAACAGCAAATACTGCAGAACAGCAAATAATGCTGCCTGATCCTTCCTCTGGAAGCTTCACCCAAGAGGGGCATCTGCCTGTATGAGGTGTCTGTTGGCCCCTACTGGGAGGTGTCTCCCAGTTAGGCTACACAGGGTTCAGGTACCCACTTGAGGAGGCAGTCTGTCTGTTCTCAGAGCTCAAACACCATGATGGGAGAACCACTGCTCTCTTCAGAGCTGTCAGACGGGGATGTTTAAGTCTGCAGAAGTTGTCTGGTGTCTTTTGTTTAGCTGTGCCCTGCCCACAGAGGTGGAGTCTATAGAGGCTGTAGGCCTTGCTGAGCTGCAGTGGTCTCCACCCAGTTCGAGCTTCCCGGCAGCTTTGTTTATTTACTCCAGCCTCAGCAATGGTGGACACCTCTCCCCACACCAGGCTGCAGCCTCACAGGTTGACCTCAGACTGCTGCGCTAGCAGTGAGCAAGGCTCCGTGGGTGTGGGACCCACTGAGCCAGGCACGGGTAGGGAATCTCCTGGTCTGCCAGTTGCTAAGACCATGGGGAAAGCACAGTATTTGGGCAGTAGTGTACCATTTTTCCAGGTACAGTCTGTCCAGCTTCCCTTGGCCAGAAAAGGGAAATCCCCCAAGCCCTTGCACTTCCTGGGTGAGGTGATGCCCTGCCCTGCTTCAGCTCACCCTCCATGGGCTGCACCCACTGTCCAACCAGTCCCAGTGAGAAGAACCAGGTACCTCCGTTGGAAATGCAGAAATCACTTGTCTTCTGTGCCAATCTTGCTGGGAGCTGCAGACCAGAACTGTTTCTATTCAGCCAACTTAGAAGCCTAACTTCTGTTTCTTATTCTTTCTTTCATGTGCTGAAATTTAAACTGATCTAGAGCCAAGACCCTTTTGGGGCCTAGCCATACTTTGTTTCAGAATGATCATTGTTTCAGAAAATGATCATTGTTTCTTGTTTCTATACAATATGGCTGGCCAGAAAATAATAATATTTGATGATTAAACTTTTGACTTAGGTCTCAAAATTGAACTAAGCCTTCTAATCAAGCTTTATCAGAGTTCTGCCATGGCAAATACTACAGGAGACTCAGCTAACACTAAAGGGTTGATTTACCTTCCATTCTCTATGTATCTTAGGTGTCTACTTCCCTTGGGAATCTCATGATTTGGAAAGGTGATAGGCAAAGCAGAATTCAACTGCATCCTAGACTTTAGATATAAGACTGTCAATTTTTAAAAAAATTAGCTCAATGATAATAATAATTTTTTAAAAACCCTCACTTTAACCTGTAATGCATAACATTTTGGCTGCCTACATTTCTCCATTCAAACACAGAATGCTATATAAATAAAATTTTGTAGTCCAATGCACAAATCTGGATCTGGTACACAAGCCTTGGTATGGTTTAGATATTTATTTGTCCTGTCCAAATCTCATGTTGAAATATAATCTCCAGTGTTGGAGGTGGGGCCTGGGTTGTGGAAGTGGATCCCTCATGGCTTGGTGCTGCCTTTGTGATAATGAGTGAGTTCTAATGAGATCTGGTTGTTTACAAGTGTATGGCACCTTCCCCCAACCAACTCTTGCTCCAGCTCTCGACGTGTGAGATGCCTGCTCCTGCTTCACTGTCCACTATGAATAAAAGCTCCCTGAGTCCACCTCAGAAGCTAGTCAGATAATAGCGCCATGCTTTTTGTGCAGCATGCAGAACCTTGAGCCAATTAAGCCTCTGTTCTTTATAAATTACTCAGGCTCAGGTATTTATAGTGATGCAAGAACAGCCTAACACAGTGACCCAAAGGTCTGTTATACCCTGAGTCCCAGATATTACTGTTTTTCACAGTTACTTCCATGTTTAGTGTGAACACACTCATTGGAATATTACATGTAATGTTATCTTGCCTTCATATATAGATACCTTGTGTGTGTGTGTGTGTGTGTGTGTGTGTGTGTGTGTGTGTGTACAAAGTGAGAAAGCAGCTTCCTTGGACTTCCAAGCACACAGATATCCAACTGCAGAGACTTGTTTGTATCATCATTTCAGATGGTTATAATCTATGCTTTTCAGGTTCATGGCCACCTCTCTCCTGGACCATGTCTACTTGTCCCCTGATGATGGCCTAATGAAATTGCATTTTTGTATAATAGAAGAGTCTCTCTACTATTACATCTCTTGCCACAGCATAACTGATACACTTTTCAATTCATGGCTAGGATTTCTTATAATGGAGCATGATGTTCCAAATGAAAGACTCCCTTCAACTCTAGTTTTCATCTCCATTCTACAACTAAAGGCCAGTATCTGGGAGAACCACAGAGCACCTGGAAGAACTTCTAGGAACAATAGATTCTCTAGAAGAAATTCTGAGTGGGATGTGTAGCCTGATTTCACCCCATCATACATATACAATTGTCCAAGGATACAGAGACTGCTACCTGGGGACACTTGAGGTTATGGTGTGTGTCAGTGCTATGATCTGCTGAATCCAGTCTCACTATCTCACTGCTCACTATTTCAGGCTATTTCTAGCTCCTTGAGACTCTGCATTATCACCTTATACCAGAGCAACCTGCCACAGTCTTCAGGATGAGGACTGATGTATGACATAGAGGAGGTGCTGGAATATCAGTAGCTCATTAGCCACGGACAGTGTCTGGTATATATAAAGGGAATGGCTGAGAGCAGTGAGTTGTGAGAAATGTCCTTTGATCTCAGATACTCACCCACATGTGTGAGGACCTTCCATTCAGATGCTTCGGGCAAATACTGGCTTTCCTCTATTTCAGGAGAGAATCTTAAAGAAGGGATGGTGTTAACTGCATAGAGGTCCCTGCGTCAAGGAAGCATTCCTGACTTATATTTTTGTGTCAGCTCAAACCACTGCAAGTATCAGTCCCCTCTGTTTAGAACCTCCTGGACCTTCTAGTATAGGTCCATCTTCTCACCTGGCTCTGCACAGATACAGTGACTCATCTTCTTACTCCTTACCTCTTGGGTTCCAAGCCCCACAACAGTGACAGAAACAGACAATGCTGGTTTTATTAGTTCTGTATCGCCGCTGTAACAAATTATTACAAACTTCGTGGCTCCAAACAGCACAAACTTATCTCATAATCCTGGAGGTCAGAAGCCACAGTTGGATCCCACTGGCCTAAAATTAAGATGCTGGCAAGCCTGCATTTCCTTCTGAAAGTTTTAGGGTAGAATCTATTTCTTTGCCTCTTCCAGCTTCTAGAGGCCACCAGCCTACCTTAGCTCTTGGACCCCTACTCCCAGCATAAAAGACACCAATGTTGCATTTCTCTCTGGCTGCCTTTCTGTAGTCACAGCTCCCACTGACCTCTTCTGCTGCCCTCTCCCACTTTTAAAGACTTTTAAGGACCCTTGTTATTACTTTGGCCCACCTAGATAATGTAGGATAGTTTTCCTCTTTAAAGTCAGCTGATTAGCAACTTTAATTCTCCTATGTCATGTAACAACATATTGATAGGTTCCAGGAATTTGAAATGGCTGTTTTCTAGGGTATGGGGAGTAATATTTTGCCTATCACATCAGGCTCAAACTTATAGCTCACCTCTAGCTCTGCCTGTTAGAGGCTAGTATATCTGCTGTTGATTTTCCTACTAGCTTCTTGCAGTATCACTAGGTTACAAGCATCTAGGTAAAGCCTGTCCTTCTTCTGATTTATACTTTTACTGTTCACTTGATCAACATCTCAATTTCCATCTGTTTTTCATGTACTATGTTTAGTCCTCCTAAAATTCTGTTGCTTGGGAGACACCCACAGGATTGGAAACATGTCAACAAACCTAGAGAGATGTCATACTTTACTTGGAAACTTGAAACCTATGTTTGGTGTCAGATAAAATAGTTTGGAGGAAAAGACATGAGTACCTAAAGAGGCTGTCCTTCTGAGCAGTGGTTAAGGGAAATGAGATGTTTCTCGCATGTGATAGCTGAGATATACCAGTGACTAAACAATACAATGCAAAATGATACTTTGCAAGCTGTCACTTTTATTCTTTTTAATTAAACAGTTATAATTTTTTAAAGATGATGTGGAATTGTAAACTGAATGATTTAATTATTATATTCAAAAGCAGCAGGTGTATGGTACAAATGAAACTATGGAATAACAATTAAACACCAGTTCTCACTCCTGTAAAAACACAAAGGGAGGGCAGTAAGCAATTACATAGTTTGGTGCTGCCTATTCAAGCACAAGGATGCTCCTTGATTGTCTCTAGCAATTAGCATTTTCTATTTCTCAAAGCAATTATTTATATTCTTTTTGTTCTAATGGATCTTATTAATCACATCCGTCAAATATACAAATAGCATCTATTAACTCCGGCAGTGAAACATTTAAAATCTTGCATTTATTTCTTAATGAGAGAGGCAAACAATAATTGAAAAGAAATATCTAGAAACCAGGTCTTAAAATGTGGATCAGGTGATATTGGCAGCCCAACAAGGGAATAATGAGATGATCACTGCAGAAACCAGTTCGGGTTCTTTGCTGAACTCCGCATCTGGATTTCTCTGTTAAGTGCCCCAACCTCCTTCAAAATCATGCATTAAGAATCTCTGTGTGATAGATTGCTACAATAAAAAAAATACCATCTGCTATGTCTAAGTCATTATTCTAAATGCTAGAAGGGTAGATACATAGAGATGATAAGATGTGACAAATGTCCTCAAAATGTTGACAGTGGGAAAATGCTTGTATCTAAAACAGAATAAAAAGGTAGACTATCCAAAGTATGACAAAGCAGTCATACTTTGTAAAATGTTCTAACTGTAAACGAATCAGGTGAAAGTAAGAGGAATTAATCGCTAGAGGAGAAAATGAACTCTCAGAACCATCTGTGAACTGATGGTTAGATTTATGAAGCAGGCAGAATTTTTGTTGAGCAATTAAGGACACCTGGGATTTTGATAAGTTGGATATGTTGAGGTAGGAAAAGGGATTGGTAAGGGCAACATACTTCAATAGTAGGAACGGTGAGTAGTTACGTGGGTATGATCAGGCATGAGGCACATTCAGGAGATGGTGAATGAGAGTAACAGTCTCTGCTTGCTCTTCTCTGAAGAGCCATGGTGATCTTTTTCAAATACAAGTATGATTCTGTCCTTCCCTACCTTAGACATCTTCAATGATTTCCAGTTACTCTCAATGGAGACCACAAGCTTTAAAATGTCCCAGTGCACCTATAGGATCTGGCTCCTGTTAAAACTTTTAGGCTCATCTCTTATTTCCGTCTACATTAGGAATCTTCATAACCTGCTTTAAACCACCTCATGTCTTGATTTCTGTTGGTACAGAACCCACGTGGTCTCATCACTAATCATCACCTTTTCACCTGACTCTGCACAGATGACTCAGCTTCCTCTTGTTCACTTTCATCCTGACTTGGCAACCCTTGAGGATTATCTTGGGCCTTAACTGCACCAGAGTAAGCACAGTTCTCTTTGTCAAGTGGCCTATGCCTGCTCCTGACTACCTTAAGAACTTCTCACATGCTTTTCCCTTCTGCTCGAATGATCTCACTTCTTCCACCTCCAAAGCCACTATCTTTCTACCATCCAAGCTAATACCTACTCACTTTTAAAGTTAAGCCTAACCTTCTCACGGCACGTCTCCTTGACAGTGAAGACTTGGCTAAGTCCCTTGGTTATATGACCTCAGGACCATTGTATGTCTCCTTTACTGTCATTAAAATTTCAACTAAAAACCAATTTTGGAAATGGTCTGCAATACTTGCATTTCCATCTAGTTAGTAAGCCTATGTTGTGGGAAACTACATATGTTGTTAACCATTGCATTTCACTTGCTAGCAGAGTGCCTGGCAGCTACTATGTTCCAAATAAATACTATTGAATAAATAAACAAATGAGGAGATATTAGGACAGCAGGCTGGGCCTGGATTAGGAAAGGCTACAAATTTCATACTGAGGATTTTGTGCAGAGAAAACAAGGATGTCTACATTTGAAAAAAATAACTTGATAGCTGAACTGATGTTTAGATGTGAGAAGGCAGGCTATGCAATAAACTATAACTTTCTTTACCTCCAAGCCTGAGTGCTGAATCAATTTGAGAGAGATAAGAAAAAATCTGGCACAACTTTTTTCTGGGTATATAGATGTTCAAGTTCTCATTTTCCACTTCCTTTCTTTTTTTTGTCTGTTCTCTATAATGTCAACATTTCCTGAGGAATATCTTTCTTCCAGCTTAGCCAGACTACCTGCCTTTATTGTACTTACATTCTTCCACTGCTCCCATTTCATCTGACAATGAAATGTATTTTCCCAATGCTGCAGCTTCTCGTTGCTTTTCTATGCAGATCTGATTCCTAGAGATATGGGCCTATTAAATTGTCTTCTTAACTTCTGCACTTGTAACAATTTTATTGAGTTATTTCTTTCCTTCATTCTGAGCAATTTGTATATTCTCTTAATAATTAGATTATCCATTCATTATTTATTAATTATTAAAAGCTACTACCCTTCTGTGGGTAAAAGTCTTAATCTCCAGCCACTGAAATCTAAAAGGATGATAAGATTTGAGTGTAATGGACAACTTTGAGGCTATCTGCTTCAGCATTGCCCTTAGGAACCTGTGGAGAAAATCACAGTTCCTTCTCTTGGTCCTGGAGGTAGGTAAAAACAACATGGAAAAGAAGCAAAACTTCGAGCAGCTGGTCTAGCATCATTTACCTCTATCTGGTACAAGCCTCAACTTCTAATGCCCTGTAACACTTATAGATGTCAGGCACCTTTGCAGTTTAAACTCTCAGTCTCCTGACCTGCATACGTGGCCAAAAACCCAACAAAAGCAGTAATTGAGACTGTACTTGTTTCAAAATAAGCTTTTCCTGGGACTACAAGAGTCTTATTGTTAATAATCCTTGAAGCTGCTGTGCCTGCAGCATAGGTGCCTATAGAGGTCAAGGTTACACTGCAGAGACTGCACATCAAGACCCCTGATTCCCAGGCCTATCAAGTTCTGTGCCTGGTGCCTGAAAGTGCTGAGGCCCATACCACATACGTCAACCTTCAGCCTGTGATCGACACTGTCAAAAGCTGCAGGGCTCTGCTAATTTCAAAAGTCACATAAACCTTATTTACCAGATTCTAATGTGTACCTGTCTCTCCAGGTGGTACAAGTTAGAAATCATTTTCGTAACTGTACAATTATACATTTTCACAACTGTAAAATTAGCCACCTGAGACAACAGGGCCATTGCAAATTGATAAGGTTAAAACTGCTCAATACTGATCTTACTTAAGCTAATTCCTAAAGCTACAACCCCAGGTTGTGCCAATTATTTGGGCCTCAAAGTCTACACCTTGGCCTTTCTCAGTTTCCAGCCTATGTCCTAATGTTTGACTCTTCAAGGACCTACTAAATAAAACTCTTGTTTGTTCTATGTCTGAATTCTGAACTATTTAAAAAACAGAAGGGTTCAGCAGTTAAAGATAAACATGCCAAATTATTGCCAAGATTTACCATATAATTATACAATTGCTCTATTTATAAATGGCAATGTAGCTTCCACATCCCTGCCCCCCGCCAAAAAATAGATTCAAGACTCTGCCACATAGGTATAGCCTATTCCAATAATGCTACCACCTTCGGAGACAGCAAACTACAGTGCACCTTGATGCAAATAACTGTGGTCTTACACACATGCATGTACATATATGTACACAAGCCAAAAGGAGGAAAGAAAAAGTGGACCCACACCAATAAAGTGTTACACCTATTAGAAAAATGACTCCTCCTCCCCTGAGAAGCAATAAGCAAAACATGGCTCAAAGTACAAGTCATGTTCCCATGTGGAAACATGAGCTATGGGACAGCCATGCTGTTCCCTCCCAACATTGGGAACACTGAAAATCCCACTGTGGCTCTAAAATGAAAGGTCTTAGCTATCTGATGCATCAACTTGGATAGCATTATCTAGAGTGAATTAAAGATATATTAGGTAATTGACTGCATGGAACAGTGGAGACAAACATTAAATGTTCTCACTATGAAAAAAAATGATAAGGAGGAGAGGTGATGAATATGTTAACTAGCTTGATTTCATCTTTCTACATTTGTACAGATATGTCAAAACACCACATTGTACCCCATACATATTGTACGTACGATTATTATTTGTCAATTAAAGACATAAATAAATTTTTTAAAAATAAAAGAGAATCTAAAGCCAACCTTCAAACAATGTGGTAAAACTGTTTCCTCCTGGCACGGTAATTGTCAGGTGAATTTGCTACAAGTCATGGGAGGAAGCCAAGCCCTACAGAGCATTTGACTCTAGAAGATAAAGTATACTGAGAGTCCTTCTCTAGCTAGAGGGCGGCATCACTGGCAATTTTGACTTTAATTTGCAAACCAAAAAAGGTTTTAGTAGACTTAAAATTAAAGCCAGGCATGCTTTAGACTGAATTTTTTTTTTTTTTTTTTTTTTTTGAGACAGAGTCTCACTCTGTCACCCAGGCTGGAGTGCAGTGGTGTGATCTCGGCTCACTGCAACCTCCACCTTCCAGGTTCAAGGGATTCTCCTGCCTCAGCCTCCGGTGTAGCTGGGATTATAGGCACCTGCCACCATGCCGGGCTAATTTTTTTTTTCTTTTTGTGTATTTTTTGTAGAGACGGAGTTTTGTCATGTTGGCCAGGCTGCTATCAAACTCCTGACCTCAGGTGATCTGCCCTCTTCAGCCTCCCAAAGTGCTGGGATTACAGGTGTCAGCCACCATGCCCAGCCAGACTGAACTCTTAATTGGAAGTCATTACTGCCTTTCTGAAACTGTCCACTAATATAAAGATACCCTAATGGTTTTAAATAGAGAAACTACAACTCTAATACCTATTATTGAGAACTCACCTGCATTTTAATGCTCCTTTTCCTTTAGGCAGCTACAATAATCTTTCTAAGAAACACTGGGCAATGAATAATTATACATTTAAAATTTCAGATCTTTGATAAATACTTTATTTGCTGCCTTCTTTTTACAAATTATTTTCATGCAGTTCTAATTGATTATACAATTGCTCTGTTTATAAATGGCATTACTTGAGGAAAATTGTTTTTCACTATTGAAATATTTATTGTTTCCCTGGCACTTGGACACACATATAACACCATAATTATTGTCTTTGAGTTCATACTTTGTATTAAAGATGTAGTTTTTACTTTAAATTCCCAAACCAAGCAATCATGTTAATGCCTTCATCACCTTTTAAAGGCTTGAATAGATAAAATCTTAAACAGAATAAAAGAAACATTAACAGCACTTTGTCAAAAGACAGAAACGTTGCTAATGTATGAGGGATGCCTTTGTCCCACTAGATAGACAATATTCAAAAGTTCACAGGATTGAAAGGAACGTGAGTTCTTCCAACATTTCACTGAACTCAGTGGGAGAGAAAGTACCTATTAGAAGCACTACCATCTTTGAAGATGGAGGATCCTCTTTTTCAGTAACTAATCTTTTCTACTTTGTTTAGGCGAATCCAATGGAAGCTTCAGAAGAAAAAACTGTTACTGATAATCACAGCATCTTTCAGCATAACCTGTTGCAGAGGAAGGTTGAAACTAGCACAGAAGACATACTAATGTTGGGTCACATTCCTGGAGGGATGCGTGTCAGGAACAATCAATCCTGGCACCAAGATTTCCTGACTGCAGTGACAAGTTCAAGGGTGAGCATATGGCACAAGAAAACCAATATGCCTGTTCTCTGAGAATCTTTTTTTATTTTAATAGACCTGGAGAATAAATCTTTTGCTGTGGGATCTTGCATTTTTGTAACATGGGGGCCAAGCGAGACCTTTCCCCTTGGCCCTCTGAAAGTTCACAGGAAAATCAACTCTCAAAAGGCAGGTTAATAGGAGGAAAGGCATACAAATACATTTAACAGGTATACATGGGAGCCTTTGAAACCACCTTTGCAAAAATTATAACTGAGGAATGTATGACAGCAAAAGAGATAGACCTAACAGACTCTATCTTGCTTCTGACATTTAAGCTGTTCTTGTTCATTCCTGGGCATAGGCTGCACTAACCTGGGAAAGGAGTTTAGTTTATAGTTTGACTCTGAAACAAAATTGATAATAGCCCTTTGCCAAAAAGACCCTCTTCTTGCCTTGGGATCAATCTGTCTTTGTAGGACTAACAAATTAGCTCCAAGATTAGAAATTACATTTTAGGGGTCATGCAGCCTCTGGCTGCAAGGGTCTGAACCTCCCCAAATTGCTCTTGCGGATAACATCACTATTGTAAAACCTAAGATCAGTGCTTGAGATATTTTGCAGACCTTGCATTAGATGGATCTGCTGACACCACCCAGACCTGTAATCTGGCTTCACCAGTTCTGCCATTCCCACCCAGAAACAGAAGACAGCAAGAAAACCTCGCTTCAACCCCGCTATGATTCCATCTCCAACCTGACCAATCAGCACTTCCTACTTCCCAAGCCCCTACCCAGCAAATTATCTTTAAAAATTCCCATCCTTGAATGCTCAGGGAGACTGATTTCAGTAAAAACAAAACCCTAGTCTTCCGCACAGCTGGCTCTGTGTGAATTAGCCTTTCACAATTCCAATTCCCCTGTGTTGATAAATTGGCTCTGTCTAGGCAGTGGGAAAGGTGAACCCATCGGGCGGTTACACCTTTAGAGGGTAGGACCAAAGATACAGGGGCAATTTTCCATTTTTATGCTTGGGTTCAACAAAGTATAGACAGCCATATAGAATATTATTGGACAAGAGAGCGTGGACCCAGAAAATTGGAGGCAGGTCTCAGTTAATTTAGAAAGTTTACTTTGTCAAGGTTGAGGATGCAACTATGACATAGCCTCAGCAAGTCCTGATGACACCCCAACGTGATGGAGGCACAGCTGGATTTTATACATCTTAGGGAGACATGAGATATCAATCAATATATGTAACAAGTACATTGGTTTAGTCTGGAAAGGCAGGACATCTTGAAGCAAGGGCAGGAAGACTCGAAACGGGGAGGGAGTTTCCAGGTCACAGATAAATTTCTGATCAGCCTTTCTAAAGGAGGCAATCAGATATGCATCTATCCTAGTGAGCAGAGGGCTAACTTTGAATAGAATGGGAAGCAGGTTGATTCTAAGCAGTTTCCAGCTTGAGTTTTCCTTAGTGATTTTAGGGGCCCAAGATATTTTCCTTTCACAAGAGTGTGGCCTAATGCTCATAGACTAAATGGGAAAACCCAGAGAGGTCTGTCTGTTCAGATTCTTGGCCTCTCTGAGCATGCCTCCTTCCTTCTGGATGTGGGGCAGGAACCCTCTGGAATAAGGGTCTTATGACCTATAGTCGAATGAGGTAGATCAGATCATTTCTTTATGACCAGTTTTTACACAGATGGAGCAAAAAGAAAATTAGAGTAATATTTTTATGTTTTATGGTTGACTTTGGGAAAAAGGGTTCTGGTTTGTATGATTCCCCCTTGGGGAGCAGGGATTCTAGTTTCTATGACTGGCCTCAGGGGAGAATGAAACTGAGAGATGGAGAGCAGAGAAAAACTTGTGCTTCTTAGACTGATGCTGAGGCCTTCATATTGGGGTATTGCTTTCTGAGCCTCAACAATAATAACGTAGTGAAACCATGACCCCATGCACCTCATCATGTGCAGAAGCTTGTTAAGCAGTAGAGAAAATAAAATAAATCCTGAGGTGAAGCAGGAGAGAGAAAGATGAGAGAGCATGGGAATGAAAGCCTGCATGTGAGAGACTTACTGATGGTTAAATGTCTGAATTTTACATGGTTTACTTTTTCTTAGTAATAAATTTCTCCCATTATATACTTGTTTTTAAGATAAGTATAGAGAAAGGCTTAAATAAAAATCAACACAGCCTCAGGACCTAAAATAATAACTCTTCTCAAGACCTGTACAAACCAATAGAAAACAAATCTTTAATTTTGGTATGTTGAAAATGCCATAGAAGGAGGAAGATAAATGCATAGAGCTCGGCTTGCTCAATGGGAATAAGGAGGGTTGAAAAGAGTCCTCAGGATCTGATTTTCCCAAAAAGGCATGGTTAAGCAAGGCAATGGAGCATGGTGTGTGAATTCAGGGTGAGTACACATTGCATGCAGGAAATAGCAACTGGTTTTCGTGGCAAGATGTGTGTGGGAGCCAGAAGGACAAGATCATACAACTAATTATTTGCCACACTCTACGTTATTCTGAAAATAATGATGGACTGCTGAAAACTTTTCCAAGTAGGGAAGGGACATGCTCTGATCTGCATTGAGATAAATGATTTTGTCTTGTAATCTGGAGGATAAGCAGAAGTGGCTGATACTGCAGGAAAAGAGGCCACTTAGAAGGTGATTAAAATAGTTAACATAAGAAATAACACAGGCATGTACCAAGATTGTCAGTAGGCTGGAGAAGAAAATACAGATTCAAAGAATATGAAGAAGCAAAGATTTTGCCACTGATTAAGAAAAAGGTTCATATATAAGAAAAATTGGAATGGGGGATAAGAGTAGGAAAACAAGGTGATAATTTGGTTTTAGCCTTTTTACATCGCTTATTCTTACAGTACTTTGCAAAGGATGCTTCTAACAAATGTTAGAATGTAGTGTTTGGGAATGTAGACCTTTTGTTTAGCACAGAGGTGAATATAACTGCTAGAGATTCACAGCTGAGAAATATCAACAGAATTGTTAGCTGGTTGTATGACATTAGATATAAATTTCCAAACAGGGTATACAATAAAAAGTGAAGAAGTCAAAGATATCATAATCTAATGCAAAAATTATCTAGATATATTTTTAAAAGAAATATAACAATATGTAAGTGTTATAAAGGAAATTATTGAGAGAAGAGATTTTACTGAATCCTGGAAGACTAGAGCACTGACTATTTGTCTCTTCCCCCTCATACCTATGGAGGTATGAATTTGTTTCAAAGAAAGAAGAGTTTTATAGTTATTAACATTTCTTTAAGTGGCAGTGAGTAGATAGACAGTCTAAGTTCTTCCATTGTGGAAGTATAAGCCTGAGTAATACAGAGTTGTCCCCAACAGGTTCTGCAATTCTCCAATTTGGCACAGTCACCTGCAGGCGCATACTGCTTTAGGCTGAGCCTTGGGCTCTAAAGCAACCTGTGTTGAGACTTGAGGTGTCTGCTCCTGTCTTGTGTGTATGTGTGGTATGTGTATGTGTGCTTGTGTGTGGGGTCTTGTGTGTCCATATGTACATGCATGTGTGTATACTTGGGTATATGTGTGTGCTCATGTGAATACATATATGATCGCTTTCTTCCAAACTGAAATCACCTGAAATGATGCAAAAGTCAGTTGACCCTGTTCAAGTTATTTGATAAGTTAACTTCACCAAGCTCTAAAATTTTAAAATGATGTTGCAAGGTAACTACAAACAGTGATTCCGATATGAAATATCTTTTGAAACTGTTTAAGACTCAGTATACTGTTTTATAATGCAACTGAGTAGATATTCTAACTTAAATGAAAATTAGGATTTTTTCAAGTAGATATTTGATAAACCAAATTTGCCAGCTTCAGTCGTCTAAAGAAGACTTATATAATTAGATTAATTTTTGTCCCACGTATTAATAATTTTCACAAATTAATTTTTGCAATTAAGGGTTCTTTTTCATTTTTACCATTTTTAACTGATTAATTGAACACAAGGTTGCATCTTCTTGTTCCAACTGGTTGCTCAAAATACTGATGTTCTAATTTTTATAAATTGCTCCTTTTTTGTCATTAATATATAGAAAATAAATTGCTGCTATTCAAAGTTCTGGTAGCTTACATAATTAGTAGATTACTTTTAAGAAATATATTTTTATATTCTCTATTACAAACAAAAAATTCCCTTTATTATTTTGTAGCAACAGACAAATTACAATTCTAAAATGTAAAACTCTCTGTGTGTGTGTGTGTGTGTGTGTGTGTGTGTGTGTGCATGCACTATTACAATATACCCTGTGAAGTCTGTGTTTTTTATTTCATAAATCAAGTGTCAAGGATAATTTCCAAAGACATATGAGCACATAGGATGCATAAGAAAGGGCATCATGGTAATATAAATAGCTAGTGAATAAATATTTATAATTCTATAAAGACCACTCATTCCTCAAGCCAATCTAATCAGTATCTCTGATGTAATGGATAAGAGTCTGCTAATATTCAGGCAAGGTTCAGAAAATCACATTATCTAAATCAGGTAAGTGATAGATTGAGGAGCTATATGTATAAATATTAATATATCCTGTCATTCCTGAATTTTCTTTTATCTATTGACTTGAAATTTTGAAGACAGTTATTAATTTCATTTTCTTTAATGTACAGAAAATAAGGTGCATATCTTATATGTACATGCTATTGTTATAAACATCACTGCATATAGAAAACAACAAGTTTTGATTAATCAACTGGTTGACTAAAATACAGAGTAAAAAATACTTCTGTTTTAGAGACTTGGAGTTTCAAGACAATCTGAATGTTTTGAATTGATAAATGTGTATACTGAAGAAATACATTTTTATAATTGTCCTTACTAAGGGGTAATTGTCTTAGTATTATTGCTATGAATAAAGAATTAAAGATTTAGAGCTTATCAATACCTTACTTTTATTTCTGGCAGTTTGTTTTCATCAGTGCTTTAACAGGAGAGTATAGAAGGCATAACAGGCCAAATTTTTTTCACCTGAAGAAAAAAATAAAGATAACAATACATGCCTTACAAATAAGAACTTTAATTGTGCATTTAATGAGCAATAGAAAAATTTTCACTTAACCATGAAAAAAATTTTTTTTATATATTTTAGTTTTATTTTTGAGACGGAGTCTCGCTCTGTCGCCCAGGCTGGAGTGCAGAGGCGCGATCTCGGCTCACTGCAAGCTCCGCCCCCGCGGGTTCACGCCATTCTCCCGCCTCAGCCTCCGGAGCAGCTGGGATTACAGGCGCCCGCCATCACGCCCAGGTAATTTTTTGTATTTTTAGTAGAGATGGGGTTTCAACGTGTTAGCCAGGATGGTCTCTCTCTCCTGACCTTGTGATCCGCCCGCCTCGGCCTCCCAAAGTGCTGGGATTACAGGCATGAGCCACCGCGCCCGGCTGAAAATGTTTTTTAAAAGTAAAGAAATAGAATTACAATTACAAACAATATTCAATATATTTAAGGCTTAATGTCTTGTCATTTCTTTTGTTTTCCTCAGTCTGTCCTTACATACATATTGTATGAGTTATTTACTGTGATATAGCAACTTACTTCAGAATTTAGTGATTTACAGCAACACACATTTATGATCTCATGATTTCTGTGGGGTGGAAGGCCAGTTGTAACTTAGCTCGTTGCCATTACTGGCTCAACATCTGCAGTGTGGTTTCAGTCAAGCTGTTAATTAGAAATGCTGTCACCTGAAGACTCAATTGGAGTTGGAAAATGCACTTTTATGGTTACAAAGTTGTTGCCGGGATTCAAAAATTCCAATGCTAAGCTCGCTCATGTGGCCTCTCCACAGGGTTCCCTGGCAGCTGGCTTCCCCCAGAATGAACAATCTAAAAGACAGTCAGAGAAAGACCCAAATCGGAAGCTATAGTTTTTTTATAATCTAATCTTGGAAGTGATATTCCATTACGTCTGACATATTATATTGATTAGAAGTGAATTAATAAGTCCAATCCACAAACAAGGGGAGAGAATTGCCAGGTAGCAAGAATCACTGGAGGCCATCTTGGAAGCTGCCTGCCATACCTGTTAGCTCTCATTAGGGAATGTGCCATTCTGTTTAGTTTTCTGGAGCCATCATGGCCACTATATAAACATAAATCCATCATAATATGTACAGGTTCTTGGATTGCTTTGTCAGAAGATTACTCAACTGTCACTCTGCACTCTTCTCTATGTTTCTTACCTGTCCCCTCTCCCATTCCCCTCAGCTATGTCCAACCTTCACCATATTCCTTGAGCCCCTGATGGCTCCCTGTCTTTCTCTCAGTCAGATGGCTGCATATTCCTTTTTCACAGAGAAAATAAAGTTCACCAAGCAGTAGCAATCTCAACTTCCCACCATATCCCCAGCACACACAAACTTATTGGATCACATATTCTTTCTCACTTTTTTCTTTTCAAACTTCCTCTGAAGGGTTTTTCTCTGAAGTTTGGAAAGAAAACTTTCATTTTTTGCATTGTGGGGGTAGTTTTTTTTAATTTGCAAAATAATAGGGGTCAATAGACATTTTATTTATTTTTTCTGTAACTTTATCCAGCCCTTTTGGGTTGCTGAAAGCAGATTAGGTCTGTTTTCCATGATGAATTAGAGTTTCCTAAACTTTCCTAATGAGAACAAACATTTGGAAAGCTTTCTTCCTTGGAAATTCTGATTCAATGCATTGGGTTGAGGGCTCAGGAATTTGCATCTTAAGGAACACTCTGGGTGATTCTTACCTTCAGATAACTTTGGGAAACACTAGGTAGTGTCATTTAAGTAAGATTATTTATTAAATAGTCATTTTAGGGAGAATATGTACTACTGTGGGGAGTAAAAAAAACTATGTAATATAAGGAACTTGGCCCCAAATTAGTTTCTTTGAGATAAAACAGAGCATTCCCTGAATTAAAATAGCTAAAAAGATGACAGACAGAAATATAAACACATTTTAGTCACAAAAAAAGATGTTGTAGTCTCTAAGTGTTTAAGTGATTGCAATTTCCTGGGCTTTCTTTGAGAAGATTTTCACAGGAAATTGGCTAGTATTTAGCAATGCTTTTAGTAACTTGAACATGTTCTTGTTTGTGCTTTTGTTTTTCAGAGAGAAAATGGAAAACCATTGTGGGAGGAGTTTGTTTTTGTTTTTTAATTTGCCAAATAATAGAGGTCAATAGATTCAGGGGGCTTATTTGGCTTGGAAGAACATAGATATTATTACATTATGCAGCAAAGATGCAGTTGGTGGGAGGCCTCTGCCTTGACTTGAGTTGACCTGTTACTATAACACACAGATAATTCTTGTAGAAAAAGGTAGATTTGTGACCTAATGAAGCTTATTGAGTATCTCTTTGTGTGGTTCCAGGCTAAGACTTCTATAATCATTCTAAAGTCTAATTCAGTTCTAAGCCAACTTTATTTACTATTACAATATAGCCACATTTTTAATTAATAGATTAATGATTTGGATCGAATATCATTCTTAAAGTCACATTTATAAAACACACAGACACACAGAAAGAGAGAGAGAAAGAAAATCTATAAGCACCCTAAATGTTACATTGAAAAAAATAGTATTCCATATGTGTAATTTTGCCAGGCCAGGTGTCCATAAGCAGCCAGAGCTGCTAGTTTCCACAAACCCTTTACTATTAATATAATCCTGATGAATGTGTGAATTACACATTAAAGAACTGGAGAAACGGGTGCCTGAGTAGGAGGGCTGGAATGTGAATACAAACCCATTTAGACCCCACCTGGGTTTTTTCAGACCCTAAAGTCTGATAGAATAATAAAAGCATTCTTACACATACACCTATACCAGGGCCCGCTTAAGATTAAGAAACTTTCCAAGGCTCTAGAGAAAATTTTCCAGATCCCAGACCCTAGTTAAAGATTAGATATAGATGGAATGAAACACTTCACTTGTAGGTGACCTTCCACATGTAGGCGTAGAGCTTAAAATGTATATAAGGCCTGGAGAAAAACGTATAACTTTAAGTTGGTCTGGTGAGTTACTCTGACTTTCTTCCCGTAACCCACTGTAGAAATAAAATACCTTCCTTCCCAGTCTGTCTATATCTCGTTATTGGGCCTCCTCTCAGAACAAGCAGCCAGACCACGTTTGTCCAGGAACATAAAGATGGACAATCAAAACGCTAGGGTTCTTCCTTTACAGCTTGGAAAAAATCTGGCATTTTAAAATTCATTTAAAAAGTTTAAAATTATAGAATAAATTCACTGACTTCATTTAACTACTTTTATATCTGACTACAGCCTTTTTAAAAAATATGAAACTGAATAAAAGTTGAATTTCTTTGAATGTTTTGAGTCAACGTTTAAAACATTTTTTGTTAAAGTTTTCAAAATTAAAATTAGTAAAACATACCACAGAACTATCTCCATATGTCAGGGAGGAAATTGCAGGAGACAAAATAGTGTTTGATGTTAGTTACAACTCAGTAGCAGCATAGTGAACTCTTTGTTAAGCACCTTTGAACCTCTTATGAGACAAAGAAACCACCTCCTGTTATGCTTATCCGAAGCAATTTCTAAGAGCAGCACTAGGAGTCTTCCACTTATAAAAATTTAGGTAGAGGGAGATAATCTGAGCCTTTTTCTTTACAACCTATACCTCCCTGGGTCCAGCCCAGGCTTCCCTTTCTCAGGAGCCCTTCTGGCTATGGCATCTTACATTAACAACCCACCCACTTCTCTGGTACAGCTGCTGATGAAGCAAATCGCAGTAACTATCCCACAACCTAAGACTTCAACTTAACTTTCCAAAGCATAATTCCCTAGCAGGCACTCTTGATAAATCTTTGGCTCCTACTCTAACAGCTGCTCTCAAACTCTCTTTGGCTGGCTCCTGAGGCCCAGGAAAGTTACAAAGATCCAATCAACAGAGAGCATATTATTTACAAACACTTTAAAAGCTATAAAGTGCTCTAGACTTGTAGAGATTCTTACTAGTGCTTTTTCTCGTGAAAGGTTTTTATAGATCCCTTTAGAGTGGGCCAAAAGGATTTGAGCAATGTGGAGATATTACAAAAAAATAAAGTAAAATATTCCCACATTTTTCTAGATGCCAAAATAGCCATAGAAGTAAACTTTTATTACTGAATATTTACCGTGGCAAAATTGCCATTTTAAGATGCAGTAACATTACTCTTTTTCATTTCAATGTGATCAATCAGATAAGAATAAAACGAAGAAGAAATCTGCATTTGAGACAAATTATAGTGGGGCTAGAGTTTGATAAAATTAGGTAATAAAAAAATAATTCCATTTCTGGTGTGGATTTTTGTTTTATCCTTTTATGTGGATGTTACATGTGAACACTGAAATCTAGATGCATACTAATTAGTAATTAATATTCATCAACTTGTATAACAGTACTCAACATAATGGTGATTAACTTTAGGTATTTATAGTACCATGAATAACTAGTTAGAAAAATGCATCATTTTTGTTAAAATTACATTATGTTCCATAGGAGAATTTGTGCCCTGATATTGGGGGAAGATACAATGATGTTTTTAACCTCTGCATCCCAAGGAAGCTGAACAAATTTGTTCATATACCTGGAAAGTAGTAGATAATGAATTTATTTTCTAAAGAGTTCTTTTTTAGTCTTATCATCTGTTGTTTTTTTTTTTTTTAAACCCATGGAGGAAATTGGTCTGCCAACAAGTATTTTGAACTCCAATGAGCCTTGGCCTAGGCCAAGGAAATATAGGCATAGGCAACAACTCTTAAGGTCCCATCCCGTCTTGGCTACTCAAAGACATAGCTCTGGCAGGTAGTTAACCATTGCCTCTCCTGCATCCTATTGTTTTCTGTCTAGTGACTGTCTCCCTTCAACTCACAAACATGCCGTCATCTTATTGTAAATGCAGAACCTTCCCTTGATGCTACTGTCCCGTTTCACCTTGAACTATCAGCAGCATTTGACCCAATTGATCATTGCTTGATTCTTGGCTTTCAGAACACACCACACTCTATACTTTTTCCTTTTACTTCACAGACGGCTCTTTCTGTTACTTCTAGTCGCTCTGATTTTAAAATGTGAAACTTCCAGAGCTCTGTCCTTAGACATTTTCTGTTTTCTACCTCAGTTCTGTAAGTGTTGATCCCATCTAGTCTCATGGCCTTAAATTCTACCAGTATGCCAACAACTTACAAATTTATGTCTCCAGGGTGGATCTCTTCCCTGAACCCTAGAATAATAAATTTGACTGATGACTTTACATCCCCACTTGGAGATAAGTATCTTAAACATAATATGTCTAAAATTAAATTTCTAATATTCTCCATGAAAGCTGTTCATCCCACAGCTTTCTCTATCTCAGTAATTGGCAACTCTGTATTTCCATCTACCCAGGCTACACATATTTAACTGAGTCTTGAATGTATTCTTTACAGCATATATTCAATTTATGATCAAATTCTGTTGACTCTACCTTCAAAATATAATCAGCACTGACTTTTTTTCAACTCCTTCACTGCTACTAACCACATCTAAGCCTCCCTCATTTGCCACCCAGATTATAGTCTCCAAACTGTGCTTATAGTTCTTCCGTCTGTTATCAACATGGAGCCTCTTAAAATGACAGATCATGAACCCCACTGCCTAAAAACCCGTAACAGTTTCACTTTTAATTTAGAGCAATGGCTTAAATCCACACAGTGCCCATGTGTGAATCTAGCCCCCATTCATTCTTACAGCAGGGGCATCATGAATTATTTCTCCACTCCCTCTGCAGGGCTGATGTTCTTATTGTTGCTTGTGAGCAGTTAAATATGGTTCCACCTTAACTTTTGCACTTGCTGTTCTCTCTCCCTGGTATGCTTTCCTTCCTTATATCCTTATGACCTGCTTCCTTACTTTCTTCAGAAAATAATCAAGTTTTTTTTTTTTTTGAGATGGAGTTTGCTCTTGTTGCCCAGGCTGGAGTGCAATGGTGTGATCTTGGCTCACCGCAACCTCCACCTCCTGGATTCAAATGATTCTCCTGCCTCACCCTCCCGAGTAGCTGGGATTACAGGCATATGCCAACACACCTGGCTAATTTTTAGTAGAGATGGGGTTTCTCCATGTTGGCCAGGCTGGTCTCAAACTCCTGACCTCGTGATCCGCCTGCCTCGGCCTCCCAAAGTGCTGGGATTACAGGCATAAGCCACCACGCCCGGCCAATAATCAACATTTTAATAAGGGTTTTTCTGGCCACACTATTTAATATTACACTTCATCAGAGCTTCCTATTTCTATGCACTGTTTTATTTTCTCTATAACACGTATCACTTTTTGACATATTATATAATGTACTTGTGATTGACTTTGTTTCTTCACTATCTTACTGTACTTTAGCGCCTTGAGAACAGAAATTTTTATCTGTTTGGTTCATTGCTATATTCCCAGTGCTTGGCATATAGTAGGTGCCAGAAAATATGAATGTTGAATGAACACATGAATGGATGAAACAAGCTTAAAATTTAGTTGTGAAAATAAGGTTAACACTTAAGAAAGAAAATAGAAATGGCAGAGGATGTAAGGAATTATGACACTAAAGTTCAGAAAAAAAGATTTCAAGGTCTAGAAGCTTTAGTGAACATCTTTGCAGGCATTCTGGGCATTCAGTTATATTCTTAGTAACCATAAAATAAAGTTAAATTGGGCATTTGATTAATGAGCTCTGAGAATCTGAATCTTCAACTATATATTTCAAAAAAGATACCCACCCTCTCTCATCTCAGATCATCTCATCAAACTTCTGTGCTGCTGCTGGATACAAATTGTCTATTATGCTTAAATAGTAACTCCTCCATCTTTACAAATGGAGAAAATAAGCTCATCTTCCTTGTCCAGGATCAAACAGTACCTCCTCTTTGCATTAACTAGATGATAAACTCCATGAAGGTAGACACTTAATCTGTTTTGCAAACCACCACTTCTTCAGTACTCATTACAAAATAGGAATAAGCATTTTATAGGTATTTGCTGAATGAATGAGTGAATCTTCCCTGACTCTTATATTACTACCACTTTGCCATTTTTTATTTCATGGTATATTTCTCGTGCTCTTTCTTGTGTTGTATTATTGTAATGACATGTATTTGTCATATCCACAATAACTTTTCTTTCTTTCCAGCTTTATTGAGTTCTGATTGACCAATAAAAATTATATATATATATATTAGGGCATAAAATGTGCTTATTTGGTGTAGGTGTATATTGTAAAATGATTAGCACGATCAGGCTGATTAACATATCTATCACCTCACATAATTACCTCTCTTAATTTATGTTGCAAGAATATGCGAGATCTATTCTCTTAGAAAATTTCAAATACACAATACATTATTAACTATAGTCACCATGCTGTACATTAGATCTCCAGAACTTATTCAACTTATAAAAGTTTATAGACTTTGACCAACATCTCTACATTTTCCCTACCTCCCAGTTTCTTGTAATTACCATTCCACTATTTCTATGAGTTTGACTCTTTCATTTTCCACATATAAGTGATATCGTACAGTATTTGTCTGTGTCTGCCTTATTTCACTTAGTATATATATTTCAGGTTCATCTATGTTGTCAGAAATGACAGTATTTTTTTCTATTGATAATGCCGAATAATATTCCATCGCATATGTACATATAACAAATTTTCTTTATTCATTTATCCATCAATGGGCAGTTAGCTTGTTTCCCTATCTTGCTTATTGTAAATAAATAGCAATGAATTTGGGAGTGCAGATATCTTCTTGACATACTGATTTTATTTCCTTTGGAAATATACCCGGAAGTGGGAATCTTACAGTAGTTCTACTTTTAAATTTTGAAGAACCTTCATACTGTTTTCCATAATTGCTACACCAGTTAATATTCCCACCAAGAGTGTATAAGGATTTCCTTTTCTCCACATTCTCACAATACTTGTTATCTTTTATTTTTTTGATAATAACCAACCTGGCAGTTGTAAGGCAGTATCTCATTGTGGTTTTTATTTGTATTTTCCTGATGATTAGTAATTACTTAAAGGAATGCCTTTTATTATACCTGTTAGCCTTTTAGATATCTTTTTTGGCATGATGTGTTTTCAGGTCCTTAACCCATTTTTTAATAGAGTTATTTATTCTTTTGCTATTGAGTTATAGGAATTCCTTGTATATTTTGGCTATTATCATACTATTATCAGCTATATGACTTGGACATATTTTCTCCTATTGCTATGCAGAAACTTTTTAACTTGATACAGTCCCATGTGTTTATTTTGCTTTTGTTGTCCATGTTTTCATGTCATATTCATGAATTAATTGTCATGACCAATGTCAAGGAGCTTTTCCTCCATGGTTTATCTTAGAAGTTTTGTGATTTCAAGTGTTAAGCTATTATGATTTGATTTTTGTATATGGTTAAGATAAGAGTTCAATTCATTCTCCGTATGTGGATATTCCAATTTTCCCAGCACCATTTGTTGAAGAGATTATCCTTGCCCATTTTGTGTTCTTGGTGCCTTTGTCAAAAATTAGTTAACTACAAATGTGTGACTAATTCTGGGCTTTATATTTTGTTTCATTGGTCTATAGTCTGTTTTTATGCCAGAACTATATTGTTTTGATTATTATACCTTTGCAAGATATTTAAAAATCAAGAAGTATGATACTTCCAGCTTTATTCTTCTTTCTTGAGATTGCTTTGGCTATTTTGGGTCTTTGTGGTTCCACATTAATTTTTAGAATTTTTTTCTTTTTGTGAAAAATGCCATGGAAATTTTGATAGGGATTTTGTTGAATCTGTAAATTACTTTGGGTAGTATGGTCATTTTAACAATATTACCTCTTCCAATCCATGGACATGGAATGTCTGTGCATTTATTTGTGTCTTCCTCAATTTATTTTATCAGTGTTTTATACTTTTCAGTGTACAGATATTTCACCTAATTGGTTAAATTTATTCCTAAGTGTTTTATTCTTTTTGATGTTATTGTAAATGGTGTTTTCTTAAACTTTTTGGATGCTTTGTTGTTAGTGTATTAAAAACACAGCTCGTTTTGTATATTGATTTTGAATTCTGTAACTTTACTGAATTTGTCTATTAATTCTTACAGTATTTGGTGGAGACAGAATAACTTTTAAACTCTTGAGAGTTGGGCTATATCTATTCCATGTTTGCCTTTTTCACTTTTCCCTCTCTAAGAATGTATCATTACAAGGTACTTAATCAGTGAGCATTTACATTGCATGGTATATTAGTTAGCTGTTACTGCCTTAAAAATAACTACAAAATCTCAGGGACCCAAAACAATAAGTATTTTGCTCATGCTTTTGCAATTCAGTAGGGGTTCAGCTAATGCAGTCTGGGCTTGGCTAGGAGGCTATAACCTGTAGGTTCAGCTTGAAAATGTTCCACATGTCTCTCATCCGCCTTGGATCAATAAGTTAGCTGGGCTATGTTCTCATGGTAATGTTCTCAGACCAAACTGAGGGTCGGGCTGCTATTTCTCATGGCCCAATAACAAGATGCAGATGAACTGAGAAGGAAAAGAGTTTTATTTCTGTAATCAGCTACAGGGAGAAAGCCTGGAAATTATTGTCAGGCCAACTCAAAATTACAAAGTTTTCCAGAGCTTATATACCTTCTTAGCTGTGTGTCTACACGTAAGTGTGCATTCATCTAAAGACATAAGTGATTAAGTTATTTTAATCTGTAACTAAGGTCTGAGTCCTGAAGACCTTCCTCTGGAGCCTCATTAAATTTACTTAATCTAAATGAGTCCAGGTGCTGGGGTGATTACCCTTATCTTGTCTGCTGCTAAATCACAGAGGTTTGGGGAGTGCCATCAGATCTCCAGTAAACTTGTTTGTTTATTGGGAATTTCTTCAGACCCCTAATAGAACTTGTTTAATCCTGAATGGGTCCTGTTAAGAATTCTTTCATTACTTTGTCATGCTTTAAGGTCCAGGAAAGGCCTGGGCAAAACTCTTGGTGGGCTTTGATTACATTCCATCTTTTTATAAGGGCACTGGCTTTTTTTAGCGTTTAATATTTAATATTTAATTTAACCACTCAGTACTGAAGCAGTTGTTATGGAGGCCTGCATTAGTGAGACCTGGCCTGCCACAGTAATGGCAGAAAGCAAGAGAGCAAGCTGAACTGTACAATGCCTCTGATGGACTAGGCTTACCTAGAAAACTCGTTTGCACACACTTTCTTTTAATTCCAGGTCTAAGCCAGAAGACAATGGGCAAAGAAATGCACTTTGTCTGTCACTGGTAGAAAAGCTATAGAATCAAATGACAAAAGATGAACAAATAGGCCAGGGTGAAGAACATGGGCTAAAAATGTCACATACATTGAATGTGATCAGCCACATTCATTGGCTTAAAATGTCTGATCATTATACCAGAGCATGGAGTGTGGAGCTTTACAGGGTTTCACAGCACTTTCATTCATTCCACAAAACTTTTTAGAGTTCCTACCATGTGTCAAGCCTTAGTCTAGCTCATGAGGATACAAAATGAATAAAAGACACAATAACATTGTAAAACAAACAGGAAAATAGTGACCTATTTTACAAAAGAGTTAAGTGATTTGGTTTAGTTTATGCACATAGTAAATAGGAGATCCTAGAATTGAACATAGGTTGGTTTGTCATAAAAATAAAGTCTACACTATTTTCTAATTTACCTATAATCGTGACAGGATTAGAATGCCACTTAGAGTCCATAATGTAAATGCAGAGACAAGGGGAGAGAAAATCTAACTCTATTCTATATCTATATCATTGGATAAAAGAGGGCAGCTTGCTCAGTCATCCAACTATCCCAGGCCATGTGTAAGATATGCTGACATTAGCTAAGATGACTCCTGCGACCTACCTTCTCGTTTTCAGTGAGTGAGATTATACATATTATTTTGGGGCAGTGACTCCAAAGGAAGAGCCTGTGAAAAGAGAAATTACTATAAGTGTATGAAAACACACCTTGGAACTTCATTAGTAAAATGAAATCCTGTATTTTTCTTTTGTTGTTACCTTGTGCACTTTAACATTGCCTTCCCCAAGAAGCTGTTTCTCATAGGAACATATTGATTTAATCCAGTCTTACAGCTGGAGCTGGGAAGTGCCTTGAATAACAATAAGGTTTTTATATGGAATATGACTTAATTTAGAGAATAACTGCTGATACAAGATGGCAGATTCATTAAACTGCCTAACTGATCAATGTACTACCATTTGAAAAGCTAGACTGAGGACTAAATAGCTTTTCACATTGGTTGTCAGACATCCTTTTAAATGTCTTGTTATAAGTTATGACAGATGTATGAGAAACAGCTTTAGGTAATCAGAAAGTCAGGCCAGCAGTTTGAATCTATCAGTGGGGGAAATCACCTATGTACAACAGGTGCTGCTTCCTAGGCTTACGTTTTTCAAGGAGCATTCTGTATGAAACCAGAAATAAAATGTGGTTTGCTCTCTCCCTGGTAACAGTGGCAGTGGAATACAAATCCTTTATTATAAAGCACCTGCTTCCCCTGTTTTCTCAATTTGCACTAAATAGAAAGCTCCCTAAGTTCAAGTGGGAACCTGTTCTTCCTATAATCTGTGTCAGCACAGTTATTTTATATAAGAAAGTCACAGGAGCAGAGACTTTATTGAAGAATTTGGGGCTTCTGGTGCTTATTCTGGAAACATCCATGTCCCTGATACTTTCTAGCCATGAGCACCAGGTTTGGGTTGCACAGTTCATCGCTTGGCTCCAAATCTTAGAGAGTTGTCTTAATCAGCGACAGCCTAGCCCAGTTAGGATTAACAGAGGAGGGAAAATTTCTTGCCTCAAAGAACAGTCATGCAAACTGTACTCCAAAGTATATTCCACCAATGGGGAGCCACAGTTATAGACCTGAGAATTTTTAATTTTAGCTTGTTTTCAGTGGGAGTTCTATAGCTGTAGCTATGATTTTGAAAATGCTCTAATTTGATATAATAGCGATTATCTTCTAATCTCTTCCCTGCTTGGTGAACTCCTACCCTCCTGTGAAAGGATGTGGATATTGAAGTCTTTTTCATAATTCTGCTCTTATTCCCTTTTATATAAAGTAAAGGTCAGAACATGCCTCCCCTCAAAAAATTCTCTGTACTTTTTCTATCCTAAATGTCATTTCAAAACAAGGAAATAAAAACAGTATGAACATAATGTATGTTAGAAATGGTACTTGTGGTTGGGAAAAGAAAAAGAATTGATGACCCCAACCCCTTACCTGTGTTGTCATTGTCCTATCTGTAGGGTGCCAATGCATTTCAACTCACCTTCCTGTTGAGCTAATTAGAACAAATGGACTGATAAAGATAAAACAGAGTCGCTTCATTAAAATATGTCATACTTAAGGCTTTTCAATGGTCCAGATTCAGTGTAAGCAGGACATGGAGTATACACAGACATGAGTCAATTATAAGAGGTTTAACTAAGAGATTTAACGAGGTGGTCCAGCAGGCAGGTTTCTCAACTATAGGCAAAAAACAGTAGGTATAGACATAGTGAATGGAAAACCCCATTAGAGGTACCCAATGAGTCTGGAGTTGAAAGACTAGTCTACGGGTTGGCAAACTTTTTATGTTAAGATCTAGATAGTAAATAATTTAGCCTTTGCAGGTCATATGGTCTCTTTTGCAAGTACTGTACTCAACTTTGCTATTATAGCATGAAGACAGTGATAGTTGACATGCCAATGAATGAATGTGGCTATGTTTCAATAAAATGTTAGACTTAGTCAAAGATAAACCAGAGTATGCATCAAGGACTTAGGTGTGAGGTCACAGAGTATTGGGTCAGTTAACTAGATCCAAAATACAATTTCAGAACAGAATCCATGGTAAGACAGATAAGCTGAACTACTGGGGTATACTGGCTGGCAGATTCTCAGAAAACGCCCTGCTCAGACTAAAAGAAATGGTACTCAAATCTAGTTGAGTACAAAAATGTACAAAATTGTCCATCTCATCTAGTCCTAAGGCAAGTATAGTTACAGCAACTCTGGAAGATTAGATGAATGATGGAACTAGAACATGACATGAACTAGAACATGACCAGAAATAAAAGAATAAGAAAATTATTAATTTTGTCTGAGCAAAATAAAACACAAACACATACTAATACTCTTTATATTACTTGAGAAACTGCTTATTTTCTCTGAGCTGCAACTTATCCCACAGTTCTATCCTTTATGTAAATGAAATAAAAAGGGTGCTTACTTACCTTGAAAAGTGTTGTAAGGCCAAAAATGAGTTGTGACATATGTGAAACATTTGATCCAGTATACTTTTCCTGAATTAAGTCCCCTAATAAAAGGTAAGAGCCATTATTATTATTATTATTTTTTGTGATCTCAATTGGTACTGCACTTAAAAATATACTCTGTCATGTTTTATTGATTTTTTAAAAACTGCTATATTCTATAAAATGGTCTTCTAAAAGAATTCGTTTTAGGAAAGAATAAATAAAAAGAAAGCCATTGGATATAGATTGAGTGAAAACTTCATTGGATGTAGATATAGAGCAAATACCAAATTTTATTCTGACTAGGATATGACCACTGTGACATTGTATGACAAGGTGATTGTTTCTCTCTCCTCCTATTTTTCTTACTTCTTTTCCTGTTTCTTTATGCCTGGACATAGGGAAAGGAAAGAGTGGGAAAAGTTATAGGGCAAATGCATAGCTTCATTTTACAAATCAAATGCAGAATAATGCTTAATGATAATGTGAAGATTGGGGAAAACAGAAAAAAAATGATATGCAAATCTAATGGAAGAACTAATATCTGGATAATAGTGATAGTTCAGAGCATTTTAGGATATATGCTCTACTTAAACTTTGTGGGAAGTCCAGTACTCAAATTTACTCTAAATTCATTGCCATCTATTTGGCTGTAGCAACTAAAAACTCAATAATAAGAATAGCAATAGCAACTAAAATTAATGTGTTTACTGTAAGGCATTATATTCAGGACTATATATATTAACTAACTTAATGCTTAAAATATACCTAAGAGGCAAACATCATTATTACGCCCATTTTACAGATGGAGAAAACTGACATACAAACAGGTAAAGAATTTTACCAAGATGGTGCATTAAACAGCAGAGCCAGGATTTTCACCCAGAGGAGCTAGCTCCAGAGCCTAAGCACTTAAGTATAAAATGATGCCTCACATTTTCAAGAAGCCAATTCCAGCATTAGTGTGGCCATCTTGTCCCATTAAACCAGGACTTTTTTTGGTTTTGTTACTGAAAGTCCTGCATCCTGGGAACCCTCTGGACAGTGGATCACCCTAACATATCTCACTTAATAAAGTTTGGCTTGTAAAAGAAAACAAAAAGACCCTAAGCTGTTAAAATAGATGTCACAAGATCCACTCACTAATGCTCAGGCATTCTAATTAAAAAGGAACAGTCCACACTATCACAAAGTGCATCTGACCTTAGTTTAGAGGCAATTATAACGGATTTGTTTAATTGGCTTCCCAACTAAGAAGGAAGTAGCTAAAGAAGTCAAGAGTTGAAATTGACAGAGAAAAAAAGAAACTAAAAATTATAAGGACAAAGTATGAGGACATTTAATGACACTTAATAACATTTAATTGTGCATTAGTTAATGCGCTGTGTTTGTCAGTGACAAAAGAATCTACTTGAACCATCCTCAGCAACAGGAAAAATTTATCAGAAATACTTGTAAAGAAGGGCATGGACACCATTAGAAGCTGCTTCCTCTTATCACTGCTTCTCTTTGTTGTGGCATTATTCTTCTCTCAGGCTGCCTCTCTCTACATGGCTGAAGATAGGAAACAAACACATCCTAAATGTTATATCTAAAGTCATAGAAAAAAAATTGATTATTTTAGTCCAAAATTTAAAATCCCATGAAAAGAACCATTTTCCTACTTTGGATCATGCAGCCATTTCTGAGGCAAAATATCTGCTGCCAGAGTTGGGGGTCACATAATGGTATGGTTTGGCTGTGTCCCCACCCAAATCTCACCTTGAATTCCTATGTGTTGTGGGAGGGATCTGGTGGGAGGTAATTGAATCATGGGCTCAGGTCTTTCCCATGCTATTCTCATGATAGTGAATGAGTCTCATGAGATCTGATGTGTGTGTGTGTGTGTGTGTGTGTGTGTGTGTTTTGAGACGGAGTCTTGCTCTGTCACCCAGGCTGGTGTGCAGTGGCATGATTTTGGCTCACTGCAAGCTCCACCTCCTGGGTTCACACCATTCTCCTGCCTCAGCCTCCTGAGTAGCTGGGGCTACCATCACCCGCCACCAAGCCCAGCTAATTTTTTTGAATTTTTAGTAGAGATGGGGTTTCACCGTGTTAGCCAGGATGGTCTCAATCTCCTGACCTCGTGATCTGCCCTCCTCGGCCTCCCAAATTGCTGGGATTACAGGCATGGGTCACTGCGCCAGGCAGAGATCTGATGGTTTTATACAGGGGAGTTTTCCTGCACAAGCTCTCTCTTGGCCTGCTGCCATCCATGAAAGACATGATTTGCATTTCCTTGCCTTCTGCCATGATTTTGAGGCTTCCTCAGCCACGTGGAACTCTAAGCCCATCAAACTTCTTTCCTTTGTAAATTGCCCTTCTCGGGTTTGTCTTCATCAGCAGCATGGAAAAGGACTAATTCACATAACAACATGGCAGCCTTGTGTGGCAGACTGCCACTGCTACTATTTGAGACCATCATTACAGCAGTTACTACTGTTACTGCTTGAGACCACCATTACGAGACTGAACAAAGGGGAATGAACGTAGAAATGAAAACTTAAGACAAAAGAAACTGTTTTAAAGGAACAGGCCAGGGGAAGAAGAGAGCTCCCTGCTTCTAGTGAGCAAAGGCAGCCCCTGAGCTTCCACAGCCCTTCCTATTTATTGGGTAGAAAGAGCAGGGTGGAGGAGGTAACGATTGGTCAGCTGCTTAATCGATCACAGTTCACATTATTGCTAACAGGCTTCAGATGTGCCTAATAACAAGAAACACTTGTGCCTGGGTTGTGACTGCCCTCAGCATTCCTTCTGGGTGGCAGATGCAGTTTGTCAGTTTGCCAACATTCTGCATTTATGAGAAGAGTTTGCTGTTTACTCATACAGCCTCCAGTGTTAATACTGAGTTGATCACGACCCTCAACCTTTCAGCCTCCAACAGCCTTGAAGGAATCATATTGCTAAGTGGAGAAGAGTGCTTCCCAGAAGGACATTGTGAAGATGTTCACCACCATTCTCTGCTGAGCTGTACAGCACACTCCCATACTGACTCTCAACCAACCCCAATATACATTCTCTTTTGCTCTTCCTTTTGTATGTAGATTATTAAAATGTCCCCCTTTAATGAATTTTAAATATCCTACATATAAACAAAAAAGTTTCTCCCCCCCAACTAAAGAGAAAAATTCAACACTTGTCCAGCTAACTATGATTTTTACAGAATTGTTATTTACAAAAATATGCCAAGCCTGACAAACAGGGCGGAGGTGGAATGGGACAGCATAAAAGTTACTCTTGTTAAGTTTGGGCTTTCTGTGTGACAGCATAGCTAAAGTCATGGCCTCTTCAAATTAGTCTGCATCATGCCATGATCATACCTCAAACAGTACTTCACTCAATACTAATCAATTTAACAAGCCAAGATACCCAATATGTTATAATAGATAAAAAAAATCAAATTCCCTCTTAGTGAAAAGTTAAAAATAGGATCAGTATACCTTGGTCTAATAGAACATCAGGTGTATAGGGGTGGAGATATTTGTTTGTTTTATCGACTGATATATTCCTAGTACCAGACACATAGCAGTCACTCAATATGTAATTATTTAATAAATAGACCTCTTTTCTTTGTTGTATTCCCTGGAAGTAGAGTGTGTTATTTGATCAACTGACATAGCTGCTGAAATTCTGTTAGTTGTTCTCAGTATTGCCTTGAGAGAGTAAAAGGGATATATTAAGTTTGTTATGATACTGAGTGATAGACGATTTGCAGTTGACTGCACACTGAACTTCAATCATTAGTCAAAACTTGGATATTGATCCTCAGTTACTCTCATTCATTGTATGTGTTTCATCTCCTAACTCAAGTATTCAGGTTCTGACAGTATAACCGTGACTAAAAAATTAAGCAAGCAACTGTCTAGGTCGCAAAGTTCATATGACTGTTTCCTTCTATACTCCTCTTTTTTTACTGTTAGTTCTTAAATGTTAGCTCTGAAATTCAGGTATTTTGACAGGATTCAGAGAACCTGGTAAAAAGCTCAGATTTTCAATAAGGCTGATTAAATGTCATAATATATTCCATGTTAGGTATGCCTATGGACTTACTGAATATCTTGAAACTAGCATATTATTTTTCATATCTCTAAAAATGGAAATATAGATGAAAGTATGAGTGTTATTTGTAGCTATATAAAGCTATGTGAATTAATAAGTTTGCAGACTCTATACTTTTTTATATTGAGAAGTCATGCCTGTATCTGCCATCTGTTACAGTGGCTTCAATGAGGCTGACTTCTGGCTTCAATGCAGGCATGTAGTCCAAGCCCAGTTCACTAGAGTAGTTCATACCCTCGCCCCAGTTAGTGATTCAAGAATGGGTTGATGACTCCAGCTGAGCCAATAAAAGCCATCTCTGGGAGTTATTTTTCTGGGTTCATGAGTAAAATACAACTCTTACCTCTGGAAATATTAGTAATTCTAGTGCTTCCAGGGATCATATTTGCCAACAAGGTAGAAAAGCATTCCTAAAACCAAAGACTACCCAGGGATGAAGAGAGAGGCCTGATGATGTTTTCAATTCTTGAATACCAATATGTCTTAAGTCAAATCTACCCTGGAGCTTTCAGTTTTATAAGCCTCCAAATTTCATTTTCACTTACACTAGATATAGTTGTATGGAACTTAGATTGTTACAACCAAAATGTCCTGATAGAGTTTATAGCAATTTGAAATAAAAATATATAATGAAATATTTGTAAGGCTTTTTAATACATTATGAAAGAGTAATATTGAAATAATGTTGGTATGAGAATTTTAAAATATAAACATCTGTAAGGGTACAAATATTATACAAGCATAATTACTAAAGGACAAGTTATAAAGATAGAATGATGTACTCAAAACAATTCTCAGAAGCAGATTCAATTCAGAATAATGGTTTTAAAATCTCTCCATGATTCCAGCAGTACTATGAAATCAATGTGCAAATAATGTTTTCTAAGATCATATATAGTATTTATACTTATTATGTAAATTTTCTTGAAATGTACTTTGAGTTCAATTTTCACAATCAATAAATACAATTTCTTGTTGACTTTCAAATGATAACATGTAAGGAACAGTTTCTTTAACAGTAAGTGAAATTTCTTATTTCTGAAGTATAAAAATGGAATATTGAGCCAAGCAATAATTTCAACATAGCAATAAATAGCTCTTTTTCATTTAAAGATATAGAAAAGTGACTGCTTCTCAAGCCTATGTTAAATGTGCAGCCATTTGACTAAAGAAGGGCAATTAAGATAATGTATCTTTTGTGAATATTAAAAATTTGTTTGTAAGACTTGGTAGGTAGGATCATATTTACTTACTGAAGCTAAGAAATCAACTGAGTAGCTCAAACAAAAAGGCCTGTTAGAATACAACTTAATAACACAGTTTTAGGATAACATCTTCCACAAAGCACACCTAATGAATTTAAAAGCTTTTTCTTTATAAAATAGACATTTATAAACATAAGAAACTTTGGGAAGATTCATTGACTCTGTCAATCTCTTCTTTTTTCTTTTTAAAGCTAAGCCTAACTGACATTTTGGGATGATTACCAAAATCAATAGTAATAGAACTACCAACATAATAGCAAGATAGAGAAAAAATTAATGAAATACAAGATAATTTTGTTACATGGCCTCAGAAGAGCTGAAGGCCGTGGGAAATATTTAAATAAATCTTTTACATCAGTAATAAGCATACGCATACTAGTAGATAATAAAAATGACAAGCATATATTTTGCATGGAAAAAATACATTTGCTAATATTGTCTGTGTGAATAGCATCGATTTCAGTATTCCTCAAACACAGTTTGTGAAATGAGATTTACAAAAGATTTGGCAGTGCATAAATTTCTCTTAAGGCATGAAGTATGATTTTCAGAGCCAAACTGACTGTTTCAGAACAACCGCACATCTTTAATAAAGTGCTGTGGTACTGTTCTGAATTTTTTCTAGAGGCCAAAAGAAGTCTATTCATTATGTTACAGGCATCTTTATATCTTCTGAAGTTTAGGATTTTGCTATGCACTGAATAAAAAATAGACAAACAAAACACAGAAACAATAACAGGCACAGAACAAAATAAGAATAAAAAGATTCATGCTCTAGACAAAATCTTGGATTGGAAGTTGAAGCAAGAGACAGGGGTGATAGCATTATTCTCCTAACAACCAAATTTGTGTCCCCAAATTGAACATATCCCAAACTATCTGGAAACAGTTTTGTTCTATTTTTAAATCAACTGTAATTCGGTGCTAAACTCTTTTTTAAGGTCACTCCTGTCTCTAAATTTCTATGATGTTATTGCATTTCATATTTCCTGGGAAACAAAAAATCTAATTGATAGAAAACAGACACATGCTTTTAACAGTTCTGAATATATAGAAAGACATCCATTTAATTACAGGCAGTGAATTATATATAAAAAACTTCACAAGAATTCTTAAAAATTATTTGACTTCTCATCTCACCGTTCTCTATTATAAATTGTTAGCTTTGTCCTTCTTAATAGCACTTTAACCATACATTTATTACGGTAATCATCTCTTTGTAGTAGTGTACTTGTACAGTTCTCTGTCCTTTGTTTACCCTGCAGTGTGAGTTCCTTTAGGGAAGGACCTAGTTTCCTTTTTGTCTTTTTTAAAAATTTAATGTAATTCTATTTTATTTTCTTGTGATAAAAACATTTAACATGAAATCTACCTTCTTAATAATTTTTTTCTTCTTTTTTTTGAGATGGAATCTTGCTCTGTCACCCAGGCTGGAGTGCAGCGGTGCAATTTTGGCTCACTGCAACCTCTGCCTCCTGGGTGGCAGCGATTCTTCTGCCTCAGCCTCCCGAGTAGCTGGGACTACAGGTGTGTGCCACCACGCCTGGCTAATTTTTGTATTTTTAATAGAGACGGGATTTGACCATATTGGCCAGGCTGATCTCGATCACCTGACCTGGTGATCTGCCCGCCTCAGCCTCCCGAAGTGCTGGGATTACAGGCGTGAGCCACCGTGCCCAGCCTTAAGGAATTTTTAAGTGTACAATTCATTTTTGTTGACTATAGGTACAATGCTGTACAGCAGATCTCAGAGCTTACTCATCTAGCTTGACTGAAATTTATGCCAGTTGATCAGTAGTAACTCCCCATTTAACCTCTCCCTAGCCCCTGGTAACCATCATTCCACTTTTTGATTCTGAATTTGACTATTTTAGATACCCCACATAAGGGGAATCATGCAACATTTGTCTTTCTGTGACTGTCTTATTTCACTTGAAATCCATGTTGTCGCATATCGCAGAGTTTCCTTTTTTGTTTTTAAAGCTGAATAGTATCGCATTTTATGTATATCCCACATTTTTCTTTATCCATTCTGTTTATGGGCATTTAAGTTATTTCCGCATATTGGCTATTTTAATAAAGATGCAATGAATATAGGATTGATAATATATTTTAAAGATTCTGATTGCAAATATTTTGGAAAAATTATCAGAAGTGGGATTGCCAGATCATATGGTAGGATGATAGGTGTCTTTTTTGTGTGTGTGGAACTGTCATACTGTTTGCCGTAGTGGCTGCACTACTTTGCATTCCCACCAATAATGGTCAAGGGTTCTAATTTCTCCTTATCGTCACCAGCATTTGCTATATATATGTATTAAAACTGAACTGAACCTGGAAATCACCATCATTTGTTGCCTTTGGTATTGTTTCTGTTCTTGATTTATATATACATATATCATATATATATATATATCATATATATCAAATATATATATAATAACCATTCTGGTAGGTGAGAGGTAATATATCATTGTGGTTTTGATTTGCATTTTTGTGATAATTAGTGATGTTGAGCACCTTTTATGTACCTTTTGGCCATTTGCATGTATTCTCTAGAGAAATATCTTTTCCACTCTTTAACCCATTTTTAAATCGGGTTATTAGGGTTTTTGTTTTGTTTACTATTGAGTTGTAGGAGTTCCTGTATATATTTTGGAAACTCAACCTTTATCAGATATATAGTTATCTGATATTTCCTCCCATTCTTTACTTGTTTTTTCATTCTATTGTTTCTTTTGACATATAGAAGCTTTTTAGTTTGATGTGGTCCCTGTTGCTTATTTTTATTTTTCTTGCCTGTGGTCTTGGTGGCATATCCATGAAATCATTTTCAAGACCACTGATGTAAAGGTTTTTCCCTGGGGTTTCCTCTAGGAGTTTTATAGTTTCTTGTCTTGGGTTTAAACCTTTGTTCCATTTTCAGTTGATTTTTGTATATGGTGTAATAAAAAGGTCTAGTTTCTTTCTCTTTTTTTTTGCATGTGGATATCCAGTTTTTCCACCATCATTTGTCAAAGAGACTGTGCTTTTCTCATTTTCTATTCTTGGAACCTTTATGGAAGATCAGTTGACCATACATACTTGGGTTTATTTCTGGACTCTCTATTGAGTTACATTGGTCTATATATCTGTCTTGATGTCAGTACTATACTGTTTTAATTACTGTGACTTTGTAACACATTTTGAATTCAGAATGTGTGATGCTTCCAGTTTTTATCTTCTTTCTCAAGATTGGCCTAACTATTCATGTGTTTTCTTATCACATAGAAATTTTAGAATTTTATCTATTTCTGTGAAAAATGCCATTCAAATTTTGCTAGGGATTACATTGAATCTGTAGATTACTTCCAGTAGTGTGGACATTTTAATAATATTAAGTCTTCCAGTCCATGAATGGGATAGATTTCCATTTGTTTGTGTCTTGTCTAACATAAATGTTTTGTAATTTTTAGTATTCAAGTTTTTCACCTTCTTAGTTACATTTTATTCCTAGTTATTTTATTCTTCTTAGTGCTATTGTACATGAAATTGTACAAAAATTTCCTTTTAAGATATTTCAATTTAGTGTATAAAAATGCAACTGATTGTTGTGTGTTGATCTTTTATCCTGAAACTTCACTAAATTCGGTTATTAGTTCTAATAGATTTTTAAGTAGACTCTTTAGAATTACTTATATATAAGATCATAACCTCTTAAAATGACAGTTTTACTGTTCCATTTCCAATTTGGTGCCTTTTATTTCTATTGCTTGCTAAATTTCTATGGCTAGGACCTCCAATACTCTATTGAATAGAAACAGAGAAAGGAAACATTCTTGCCTGTTCCTGATTTTATAGGAAAATCTTTTTTTTATCATTGAGTATGATGTTGAGCTCTGAGGTAATTTCCTTACATTCCAAGTTTCTTTCCTTTTTTTTTTTTTTTTTTTTTTTTTGAGATACGGTCTTGGTCTGTCAATCAGGCTGGAGTGCAGTGGTGCAATCATGGCTCACTGCAGCCTCGACCTCCTAGGCTCAAGTGATTTTCGTGCCTCAGCCTGCAGAGGAGCTGTGAATGCAGGTGCGTGCCACCGTATGCAGATAATTTTTTATTTATTATTTATTTTTTTGTAGAGATGAGGGTTCACTGTGTTGCCCAGGCTATTCTCAAACTCCTGAGCTCAAGTGATGCTCCTGCCTCGGCATCCAAAAATTCTGAGATTACAGACTTGAGCAACCATACCTGGTCCTATCTCTGGTATCTTGAGAGCTTTTATGATCAAAGAGTACTAAATTTTGTCAAATATTCAAATATTTTTCTACCTCTATTTAGACGATCATGCGAATTTTACTTTTTCAGGTAATGTGGCGTATCACATTAACTGACTTCTGTGTATTGAACCATCATCCATGCATCATAGAAATAAATCCCACTCAGTTATGGTTGATGATCCTTTTAATGTAATTTTGGATTCAATTTGCTAGTATTTTGTTGAGGATTCTGTGTCTATATTCATCAGGGATATTGACTTGCTGTTTTCTTTATCTTTGTCTGGCTTTGGTATCAGGAAAATACTGGACTTGTAAAATGAGTTTGGGAACTTTCCCTTCTATTCAGTTTTTTGGAAGAGTTTGAGAATGATGGGTGTTTGTTCCTTAAATGTTTAGTAGAATTCACCAGTGAAGCCATCTGCTCCTGTGATTTTTGTTTTTGGAGGTTTTTGATTAGGGATTCAATCTCCATACCAGCTATAAATCTGTTAACACTTTCTATTTCTTCAGGATTCATCTTGGTAGGTTTTATGTTTCTAGTAATTTATTGATTTCTTCTAAGTTATCCAGTTTGTTGGCATATAATTGGTCGTAGTATTGTCTTATGTTCTTTTATTTATTTATTTATTTATTTATTTGAGACGGTGGTCTCACTGTGTCACCCAGGCTGCAGTGCAGTTGTGTGATCAGGGCTCACTGCAGCCTTGACTTCCCTGGGCTCAGGTAATCCTCTCATCTCAGCATTCTGAGTAGCTGAAACTACAGGCACATGCCACCATACCCAGCTTTTTATTATTATTATTTCTTGTAGAGATGGGGTTTTTGCCATGTTTCCTAGGCTTATTGCGAACTCCTGAGCTCAAGTAATACTCCCACTCAGCCTCCTAAAGTGCTAGGATTACAAGCATGAGCTGCTGGGCCTGGCCTTCTAATTTTTTTTTTTTTTGTAGAGTATGTGTTGCAATAACTGTTCCTTCATTTCTGAACTCACTTAAGTCTTCTCTTTTCCTTTTATAGTTAGTCTAGCCAAAGATTGGTCTGTTTATCTTTCCAAAAAATATTCTTACTTTTATTGTTTATTTCTATTGTTTTTCTGTTTTCTGTTTTATTTCTATTTGCACTAATTTTTGTTGTTTTTTTTCTTTATGCTGGGTGGCCAGACTGTGCTAAACCCATCAGAGTTCCAGGACTCGCAAGGAAGAAACCAGTCCTCTGGGAAGCCTTCTCAGAAAAGTTGGGGCACTGGATATATAAACTGACGCTTTCTTTCCCCTGGGTGAAGCTGGTGCTAGGGGATCTTATGGCCTTCCACCAGGGACACGATCTCCAGTTAGGAAGTATCCCAAACTTTAAGCATAGTTTATTCTTCATTTTCTGATTAGTTGTGTAATATGAGTTTGCTTATTTGTTTTGGTGTGTTGTATTTATTTTAGTTTGTCTAAAGGTATTTTCTAAGTCCCTTTTTGATTTCTTCTTTGACCCAAAGGTTGTTCAAGAGTGTGTTGTTTAATTTCCACTTACTTGTGAATTTTTTCATTTCCTTCTGGTACTGTTTTCTAGTTTCATTCCATTATGCTCAGAAAGAATATTAGGTATAATTAAAATCTTCTTATATTGTTCAGACTGGTTTTGTGACTGAATATGTAATCTATCCTGGATAAAGATTCATGTGTTCTTAAGAAGAGTGTGTATTCTGCTGTTGCTGGGTGGAAGATTCTGTACATGTCTGTTAGGTTCATTCAGTATGTACTGTTATTTAAGTGCCTTGTATCCTTATTCATCTTCCATCTTGATGTTCTGTCCACCTTTGAAAGTGTGATACTAAAGTTCGCAAGTAATATTGTATTGCTTGTCTATTTATTTCTTCAGTTCTATCAACATTTGCTTTATATATTTAGGTGCTCTGATGTAGGGCACACACACACACCTATGTATAAATATTTGTAACTGTTATATCCTCCTAGTGTATTGACCCTTTTATCATTTTATAATGACCTTCATTGTCTCTTGTGACAGTTTTTGGCTTAAATTTCTTAAATATTTTACCTGGTGTAAATATAACTACCCCTGCTCTCTTTTACTTACCATTTGCACGACATACCTTTTTCCACCCCTTAACTTTTAGCTTGTGTGTGACCTTAAATATGAAATGATGTGGTTTGGCTCTGTGTCTCCACCCAAATCTCATTTCAAATTGTAATCCCCATATGTTGAGGGAAGGTTATTGGATCATGAGGGCAGTTCCGCCATGTTGTTGTCATTGATAGTAAGTGAGTTCTCATGAGATCTGATGGTTTTATAAGGGGCTATTCCCCCTTCACTCTCTCTCTCTCTCAGCTACCGCCATGTAACATGTGCCTGTTTCCCCTTCCACCATGACGGTAAGTTTCCTGAGGCCTCCCCATCCATGAGGAACTATGAGTCAATTAAACCTCTTTTTTAAATATATAAATTACTCAGTCTCAGGTATTCTCTACAGCAGTGTGAAAATGGGATAATATAGTAAATTGGTACTGGTAGAGTGGTGTACTGCTATAAAGAAACTTCGAAATGTAGAAGCAACTTTAGAACTCAGTAGTGGGCAGAGGAATAGTTTGGAAGGCTCAGAAGAAGACAGGAAGATGTGAGAGAGTTTAGAACTTCCTAGAGACTTGTTGAATGGTTTTGACCAAAATACTGATAGTAATGCTGACAATGAAGTCTAGGTTGAGGTGATCTCAGATAGAGATGAGGAACTTCTTGGGAACTGGAGTCAAGATCACTCTTGCTACACTTTAGAAAGAGACTGGTGGGATTTTGCCCCTGCCCTAGAGATCTGTGGAACTTTGAACTTGAGAGATATTATTTGAAATTGGGACTTAATGTTTTAAAAGAAGAAGCACAACATAAAAGTTTAGCAAATTGGAAGCCTGACTATGTGATAGAAAAGAAAAACCCATTTGCTGAAAAGAAATTCAAGCCAGCTGCAGAATTTTGCATAAGTAACAAGGAGTCAAATGTTAATCACCAAGACAATGTGGAACATTTTTCCAAGGAATGTCATAGATAGACCTTCATGGCAGCCCCTCTCCTCACAGGCCTGGAGGCCTAAGAGAGAAAAATAATTATGTGGGCCTGGCACAGGGCCCCACTGTTTTGAGTAGCTTCAGGACTTGGTGCCCTGTGACTCAGCTGCTCCAGCTCCAGCCCCGGTAAAAGGGGCCAACATATAGCTCAGGCTGTTGTTTCAGAGGGTGCAAACCCTAAGCCTTGACAGGTTACATGTGATATTTGGCAGGTGCACAGAAGACAAGAATTGGGTGGGTATATTTACCAAATGCCTGTACCCCCATTGTATCTAGGAAGTAACTAACTTGCTTTTGATTTTATAAGCTCATAGGTGGAAGGGACTTGCCTTGTCTCACATGAGACTTTGGACTGTGGACTTTTGAGTTAGTGCTGAAATGAGTTAAGACTTTGGGGGACTGTTGGGAAGGCATGATTGGTTTTGAAATGTGAAAAGATGAGATTTGGGAGGGGCCAAAGTGAAATAATATGGTTTGGCTCTGTGTCCCCACTCAAATCTCATCTCAAATTGTAATCCCCACATGTCAAAATATGGAGGTGACTAGATTATGGGGTGGTTTCCTCCATGCTGCTCTCATGATAGTGAGTGAGATCTCACGAGATCTGATTGTTTGTATTTTTTTGGAAGGTTCTCCTTCTCTCCTCTATCCTGCCACTTTGTGAAGAAGGTGCTTGCTTCTCCTTCACCTTCCACCATGATTGTAAGTTTCCTGAGGCCTCCCCAGCCATGTGGAACTGTGAGTCAATTAAACCTCTTTCCTTTATAAATTAGGCAGTCTCAGGTATTTCTTTATAGCAGTGTGAAAACGGACTAATACATGAAGTGAGTTTCTTATAGACAGCATATTGTTGAATCTTGTTTTTGAATTCATTTAGCCAATCTATGTCTTTTGATTGTATAATTTAATCAATTTACATTTAAATAATTATTGATATAAAAGTATTTACTATTGCCTTTTGTTTGTTGCTTTCTGTTTTTCTGTTAGTCTTGTTTGTCTTTATTTATATCTGTGGATTTTCTTAGTTGATATTACTTGATTCTTTTCTTTTTTCTTTTCTGTAACTTCTGTAGTTTGTTTGTTTACCTGAAGGTTTACATAAAATATTATATAATAGTCTATTTTAAGCTTATAACAACATAAATTTAACCACATACAAAACCCTATATGTTAACTACCATACCACCTTATGTTATAGTCATAATTTACATCTATTTATATTGTATATCTCTTAACATTTTTAGTTATGCTTATTTTGAACACATTTAACTGTTATTCTGTAATAAAAAGTGATTTAACTACCTGTATTTGTCTATATATTTACCTTCACCAAAACTGTCATATTTTCTTATGCCATTGCATTTCTGTTTCGCATTCTGTATTACTCAGGGTTCTCTTAGAGAGACAGAACTAGTAGGATATATATGTGTATATATATCTATATCTATATATATAGATATATATGTGTGTATCTATATCTATATCTATATATAGATATATATGTGTGTATCTATATCTATATCTATATATAGATATATATGTGTGTATCTATATCTATATATAGATATATATGTGTGTATATATCTATGTCTATATATAGATATATGTGTGTATCTATATCTATATATAGAGATATATATGTGTGTATCTATATCTATATCTATATCTATATGAGAGTTTATTAAGTATTAACTAACACAATCACAAGGTCCCACAATAGGCTGTCTGCAAGCTTGGGGAGCAAGGAGAGCTAGTCTGAGTCCCAAAACTGAAGAACTCGGAGTCCGATATTCAAGGACAGAAAGCATTCAGGATGAGAGAAAGATGTAGGCTGGAAGGCTAGGCCCTTCTTTCTTTCATGTTTTTTCTGCCTGCTTTTTATTCACTGGCAACTGGTTAGATTGTTCCCATCATATTAAGGGTGGAGCTGCTTTCCCCAGTTCACTGACTCAAATGTTAATCTCTTTTGGCAACACCCAAACAGACACACCCAGGATGAATATCCTTTGACACTCAGTATTAACCATCAGAAGTCCACTTCTTGTCAACTTGAACCCATACACATCTCCTGAGATCATACATAATCTTCAAATAAAGACAAAAATAGGGTAATAATTATGCCTAACATAACACAACTGTCCTTCGGACAACTGGAAACACACCAATCCCCAACCCAAATACTATTTCATAAAGTTAACAATACTTAAATGCTGATATGAAGTCAATAAATCTTATGTCACATAATAAAGGAGAAAGGAAATAAAATGAAGTTATTTTCTTAGTACAAGTGTATACATGCACAAACATGTTTTTAAGAAAAGAAGGAGGAAATACTCATGACAATTACAGTCCTCATTTCTGCAGCAGGTCATGTGGTCATAGCTGGTATTGATGACTACCTTCTTCTTCTACCCATTCTGTATTCCCTTTGCCTTCAGCAAGCACCTCAGCAGATCATGTTTTTTTTCCTGGTGGAGTGACCATAACCTTCATTCCTGAAAGGGTTTGGGTCATTTGTAGTCCTGCCTGGATTGGGATGTTGTAGGTTCCCATTAGCCTTAATCACAGGGCATGGTAATACTAAGAGACACCCTAATAAATCTCCTGTATTCCATGCGTACTCCTCCTTACCTCCATTATGGAGTACTAGACTGATTTCATCTTGATAGTCTGGGTCAATCACCCCAGCCAACAGCATAACTCCCTGCTTAAACTCTTGACATAAAGGTAGGAGGAGCCCAAAGTGTCCCAGCGTTAGATCTGACATACAGAGAAGAGCAATTACAGGACTCTTCAAAAATGCAGGTGCTATTTTGCAAGGTATTGCTCAAGGATTTGTCTTCTGGAGCTTCCCAGCTGGGATGAGTAGGTCTAAAGTGACTAATCCTCTCCATCATCCCAATCTCCCTAAGCCTTTGGATCCCTTCCTCTACATTAAACCAAGGGAGATCAGGCATTTCCAGATCATTCACAGTGGGCCATCTTTTAATCTGTATTTCAGCTACCCAAGCAAATAAACTGTTAGAACCTTTTTTAATGCCCTGAGCTGCAACATTGAAAGCAGAGTCCCTATTGAGTGGGCCAAAATCAATAAATTCAGCCTGATACACAACTCTATGTTCCTTCCACCATTATCTGATACCCTTAATATCCATTCCCATGCCTGTTCTCCAGATTGCTGTTTATATAAATTAGAAAACTCAAACAGTTCTTTTTGAGTGTAGTGCACCCACTCATGGGTCACACTCCCAACTTCACCTCTAGGGACCCGCCAGGACTTTAATCTAGTTATATTCTAGTAGCAAACAGGGGTGTTGGGGGTGGCTCCTGAGGAGAATCAACACTATTTTGCCTGGCAACTGCCTCAGGGGAGGCCATCACTGTTGCCTCAGGCAGCATAGGGTTTATCTCTTCAGACAAAGGTGGAAAGACTGATAGCAGTATGGGTCAGGGAGCAGATATTGCCAGTACTGGGGATGGGGAAGCTGTTCTTTCTGGCATAAAAAAGGTTCATCAGAGTTTACAAACTCAACGTCTCCAGCTTTGTCAGGGTCCCCCTACATGTCCATGTTCCAAATTGTAGGGTACCATTCTTTCCCAATCAATGCCTTCACTTTAACAGTAGACACTGGGCAAGGCTCTGCATGCACCTTTTATTGCAGGTCAGCCACTCACATAAGTGCTTATGTCTGTTTTTCCACAATTTCAGCTCTTTCTCTACAGGAGACAAGACTCTCATTCAGGGCAACCTTGGCAGATTTGAGGCTCATTATCTGCTTCTGAAGCCAGGAGACAGAATCCCTGAGTTCATCATTGTCTTTCATCACTTGTCCACTGAACTTAAGAGCAAACAACAAGCTTTATTATTTTCCTTGGTTCTCCACATATGGTCAAAGGTATTACTCACAGAGTCACTAAACTTGCCTCTCACAAATGGTGAATCAGGAATGTCAAATGCATTTATTTTGCATAACTCTTCGAACAGTTCACACCAAGGACTATCAGTGCTCTCCATACTACTAGAAGTAGAGTCCTTAGCATTTTTGGGGTCTAATCATATTAAGCAGCCAACTCCAGCAACCCCCAAACCAATGAAGGAACTCCATCCTTAATATTCTGTTCCTCTAGAACACTCCTGGTACCAAAATCTGTATTAGTCAGGGTTCTGTTAGAGGGACAGAACTAATAGCATGTATATATGCTATATAGCATATGTATGTTTATATATGGGAGTTCACTAAGTATTTACTTACATGATCACAAGTTTCCACAATAGGCTGTCTGCAAGCTTGAGGAGCAAGGAGAGAGCCAGTCTGAGTCTCAAAACTGAAGAACACTGGAGTCAGATGTTCAAGGGCAGGAAGCATTCAGCAAGGGAGAAAGATGTAGGCTGGGAGGCTAGGCCTGTCTCTCGTTTTCATGTTTTTCTGCCTGCTGTATATTTGCTGGCAGCTGATTAGCTTGTGCCAACAAGGTTAATGGTCGACCTTCCTTCCCCAGCCCACTGACTCAATGTTAATCTCCTTTGGCAACACCCTCACAAACATGCTCAGGATCAATAGTTTGTATTCTTCAATCTGATTAAGTTGACACTCAGTATCAACCATCACACATCCTTTCATTTCAACTTGAAGAACTTGCTTTCACATTTCTGCATTATGAGCCCAGTGGTGATAAATTACCTCAGCTTTTGTTTGTCTAGAAAAGTCCGTATCTCTTTTTCATTTTTGAAGGAGATTTTTGTTGGACTTAGTGTTCTTGATTGGCAGTTGTTTTTCTTCAATACTTTTAATATACCATTCCACTCCCTTCTGGCCTGCAAGGTATCTGCTAAAAAAAAAATCTAGTGATAGTCTTATGAAGTTTGTCATGTATGTGAAAAGTGTCTTCTCTGCTGCTTTCAAAATTCTTTGTTTTCTGAAAATTTGATTACAATGTGTTTCATTATAATATAATGTAATAAATATAATATAATGTTTGGTTTTCATCTTATTTGGTATGCTTCAGGCTTCTTGGATCAAAATATTTATTCCTTCCCCAGATTTGAGATGTTTTCAACCATTACTACACTCAGTAAGCTTTCTGGTCCTTCTCTCTCTGGGATGCCCATAATGCATATATTGGTCTGCTTGACATTTTCTATAACTCCCTTGATATAGCTTGGCTGTTGCCCCACCCAAATCTCATCTTGAATTTTAGCTCCTATAATTCCCATGTGTTGTGAGAGGGATCTGGTGGGAGATAATTGAATCATGAGGGGTGGTTTCCTCCATACTGTTCTGATAGTAGTGAGTAAGTTTCAGGAGATCTGGTGGTTTTATAAGGGGAAATCCCTTTTGCTTGATTCTCATTCTCTCTTGCCTGCTGCCATGTAAGACACGCTTTTCACCCTCTGCCATCATTGTGAAGCCTCCCCATCCTTATGGAACCGTGAGTCCATAAATCTCTTTTTCTTTATAAATTACCCAGTCTTGGGTATGTCTTTATCAGTAGCATGAAAATGGACTACTACACCCCTTAACATTTATTTATTATTTTTAGTTTATTTTTCCTTTTTGTTCTACTGACTGAATTATTTCTAGTGACCTGTATCTGAGTTTGCTGATCCTTTCTTCAACTTGATTTAGTCTGTTGTTGAATCCTTCTAGTGAATTTTTTGTTCAGTTATTGTTTTCGTCAGCTTTACGATTACTGTTTGATACTTTTATATTTTCTATCTCTTTATTGAGTGCACTTCATTCATGCACTCTTCTCTTTACCTTGATGAGCACCTTTATGAGAGTAATTTTTCATTCTCTGTTTGGTAAATGATATAACTCCATTTTATTAGGATTGATTCCTGGAGATTCATCTTATTCCTTTATTTGGAACATCTTTGCCTGATTTTTCATTTTCCTTGACAGTCTGTGTTGATGTCTGCACTTTAGATAAAGACTTCTCCCATTCTTCATTGACTGGCCTCATACAGGAAAAGACCCCTATCAATCAGCTTAGTCAGAGATTCTGGGGGCCTCTATCAATTCTTTCCCTCCCCAGGCAGAAGGCAGGTGGCTGTGGTTTTTGTTTGTTCTTTCTGTGCTGAGCCAAGAATGGGAGCTCTGGCATCTATTCTTCTCCAGGCAGCTAACCCATGCTGGACCTGTCAGAACTCCAAAAATAGTGAGACAGATGTTAATTCCTTGGAAAGCATTAGATGCATGAATCAACATTTTTACTGTCTAGGGAGAAGCTGAGAAATTATATTTTTTAATCTTCTCACTCTGTGCTGAGCAGTCAGAAGCGCTGATAGTGCCTACCAGCCCAAGCCACTGCTGCCCTTCTCTCCTAGGCAGCTTGACTGTGATGAACTCATCAGGGTTGTGAGGCTGAAAAGACAGAATCCAGTCATCTGGGAAGTCCCTTAAAAAAAGTTGGGACACTGAATGAGTGAACAAATCTGTTCCTTCCCCTCTGTGAAGGTGGGTGCTAGGGAGACTTTTCCTGATCATATGTGCTTACCCCAGGGTCAAAGTTTTCAGTGAGTTTCCCAAATCTCTCTACGTGCTTCAATGAATTGATTTTACATCCTCTCTGGGTATTTGAGCCTTTCAACAGTTTCCAAGTTCTCACAAAGGGAGTTTGCCCATGAGTTGTTTCTCAGTTGGTGTTTGTCAAGGGAAAGATGGTCTAGGGCTTCCTACTTTGTCATGTTGCAGTTATTACTCCTACCATGCCTTCTTATCTATGGTGTTTTCTTCACATAGATTGACACTCAAGAGATGGTTTGGATGAATAAATTCATGAGTGAACAGACATTTTTAGAGAAGGATAGTTAGAAAAAGAGGTTTTTACTCCGTAGAATAATGTATACAATCTTACTTCTAGGTAACACAAACAAACACACAAAAGATATAAAGAATATATTTTTATGGTGGCATTATCTGCTAAACAATTTTCCCCTTTAATCCTTAACAATCAACAATTTAATTTCATTTTTACATAGGTAGATTTTGTTTTTTAATATAATATGTGATTTTGAAATAGTAGCTTAGCAATTGGTATTTTTTTTCTCCTATCACAGAGGGCCAGGGAGAATGCTAAAAGCTCTAGATGGCATAAGCTATTTAAAAGACAAATTATGGGCTCTCTGAATGCAGTCATGCACTTACTGGATACCTTACTAAGGGAGTGTCTGCCCTTATACAATGCGGTTTAAAGCAATGATAATAATGGTTGCAATGGTGGTGGTGATAATGGCAGTGATCCCAATGTTGATGATAATTACAGCCAATACAGCTAATTATCTGCATTGAATGCCTGTGTATGAGACTTTTAAAACACATTATTTCATTTAGTTATTGTAACATCCTTTTTTACTTATTTGTTGTTGCTCCATTTATTAACAAGGAATTTGCATTAAGTACAATAGTAAATTGACTATTATCCCACAGTTTATAGTTGGAGAAGTTGGTCTGAAACCCAGGTCTTTCTGAATTATACACAACACTCTATTGGCAATCAAACCAACAAGCTAAGTAAAAATTGAAAAATAATCAGAATCAAACTGTTAAATGTCATCAGCATGTTTGTGTTGCATTAATTAACTTTTAAAATTTTATTTTATCTGCACATGCAATTTTATATAAATGCATTTTGAATGTGATCATATAAATTTTTCTTTTTTTGTGCCTTGTGTATGAAGACTTTTTCATATTTTTTTCCTGGTTCAGTACTGCAGTCTCGTCCTTTGTCATACTTTTTTCACACCAGGCAACCTATGTTACAACTCAATATGTATCCTTTCATGTTTTTCTTCATGCTCATGTAAGAATGTGTATATACACATAAATATATACATATAATATACATGTGTATGTACACATCAATATATACATATATGTAAGAGATAGTCTTTTTAAAACAATTGTGTTTTTTATAAAAGTGTCATATTATACTCACTTTTCCTTAACTTACTGTTCTCAATTGGCAATACTTACATCTTATTAAAATCCCTGAAATGTAATTTTCACAACTCTATATTTAATGCATGTGATAGTTTTCATAGACTATAGTTGATTCAATTATTTAATTGTTAATGTATATTCACTTTGTTTCTAGTTTTATGGAATTATGAACTATGCTTTTTTCCCTCCTATTTTTTATTGAGGTAAAACGTGCATCTATATAATTTATCAGCCTTACCAGGTTTAAGTGTACAGTTCATTGGTAATAAATACATTGAAATGATGCTTTAATAGATATATTTATTTGAATATTCTTATTCACCTGTATTAATTCTGTCACCGTGCAATTATCTTACCAAAAATGTTGTGACAATTCACATTTCCACCAGGGATATATGAAATTGCCTATCATTCTGTTTCTCACATACATCATTATTCTTACAACAACATGTACTACCAAACAATTTTTAAAATCTGATACTTTAGAAATGGTATATTGTTGTTACTTTAATTTATAGTACATTAGTAGGGGGTTGGGACAGCCTAGTATGTATTTATTGGCCACTGGAATTTTCTCATCTTTGAATTTGTTTTTAAAAATCTTTGCTCATTTATCTATAGGGATTTTTCCCCCAGCTTCAGAATTAATATCACCTTTATGACTATTCACTCTGCAAGAGAGAATTTTCCACAAAATTTATTTGTATTTAATACATTTGATAAGTACCTTTTTTGTATAACTTAATATTTTTTTCTAAAAAATCTAATTTATACTTTCTGACTTTTTACTTAATCACAGAAATTTCCTGTTTCTAGAATATATTATCAGGACCTTAGATTTTCTTGCTAACTTTGTTATTGTTTTATCTTCTCTAGACCAGCAATGTCTGAAACGTAATGCTAGCCACAAATGTGAACCATATATGAAATTTTAAATTTCATGTCAAATGTATTTTTTAATGTAAAAAGAAACTAATAAAATTAAATTCAATAATATATTTTATAAGCCTAACATATTTGAAATGTTATTGTTTCCAACACAGTCCTTATAAAAATTATAAATTAGGTATGTATCTTTTTTTCTTTTTTTTATTTTATAATTATTATACTTTAAGTTTTAGGGTACATGTGCACAATGTGCAGGTTAGTTACATATGTATACATGTGCCATGCTGGTGTGCTGCACCCATTAACTTGTCATTTAGCATTAGGTATATCTCCTAATGCTATCCCTCCCCCCTCCCCCCACCCCGCAACAGTCCCCAGAGTGTGATGTTCCCCTTCCTGTGTCCATGTGTTCTCATTGTTCAATTCTCACCTATGAGTGAGAACATGCGGTGTTTGTTTTTTTGTTGTTGTGATAGTTTACTGAGAATGATGATTTCCAATTTCATCCATGTCCCTACAAAGAACATGAGCTCATCATTTTTTATGGCTGCATAGTATTCCATGGTGTATATGTGCCACATTTTCTTAATCCAGTCTATCATTGTTGGACATTTGGGTTGGTTCCAAGTCTTTGCTATAGTGAATAGTGCCACAATAAACATATGTGTGCATGTGTATTTATAGCAGCATGATTTTATAGTCCTTTGGGTATATACCCAGTAATGGGATGGCTGGGTCAAATGGTATGTATCATTTTTTTCAAACTGAGCATTTAAAATGTCATTTGCATTTTAGAAAACACATCTCAATTTGCTTTTCCTCAATAGCCTCATATGGCTATTGTAATTTAGTTAACCAATATGCATACATGGCTACTGGTTACTGTGTGGGAAAGTGCATGTCTAGAATATTTTTTTTTTTTTGTGGCAAAGATGACTATAACTTATTTCCTTTTAATTTACTGACCTTTGTAATATTTTTACATATTATCTATTCTTTTTGACAGATCTATTTTTAAGTTCTTATGTCAGGAACATTGATTTGAATATAATAGTTTTAAAGTATATTGTGATGATAGATAAGATAAGCACCCCCTTATTAGTCTTTTTTATCCAAGTTTTCTTGGGTACATTTGTTTGTATATATATTACATTATATTTTCTTATATTTTATGTGTATTCATTGTAATTACACACAAGTAATTTAAATTTTGGAAATTGTATAGAAAAATAACATTTTTATACTTACCTTCTATCCAGTAACTTTGCAAAATTTATTTATTAGTTCTAGTATATTTTTTGTAAATTCCCTGATATTTTTACCTAGATGACCATGTTTTATATGAAAGAATTTTTTCTTCTTCTTGTAAAATCTGTATGTCTTTCAATTATTTTTCTTGTCATATTGTGCTTGCTAGAACCACTACTATAATGTCAAATAGAAGAGATAGGAGAAAACATTCTTGTTTTGTTCTTCATACAAGAAGGAAAGCATTAAGTCTTTTACTGTAAGTACGATATTTCATAAATGCCCTTTATCAGGTTAAGAAAATTTTTATTCTTTTTTTGCTATACATTTTATTAGGAGTGGATATTACATTTTCTCAAATGTTCTTTCTGTATCTATTAAGGTGATATGAATTGTATTTTTAAAGTTTCAAATGTAGTGAATTTTACTGATTAATTTTTTCCATGTTAAATCACCCTCTCTTTCCTGAGATAAATCCAATTAATGGTTTTGAAGAGCTAGTATGTTTTAGAGATGAGTTCAAGTTAAAAAAATTTAAAAATCTTAATACCTGACTTGGAACTAAACACAGTGTAGAGAACATAATTACACAGATGCACTACATGCTAAGTGTATGCTATATAAATTATTGCAAATATGTCAAAATGAAATAACTCATCTTAAAGAAATGTTTCTCCAGTATAGTCTCACCCATCATATACATTGACTCAAGACAGGAAATGTTTTTCTTACATCAGCAATCTAAGTCAATAGGAATAGCTCTATTATACTGCCAAGTATAATTCTATATAGACCTAATATTTTTTAACCTTACATTCTCAGTCAAATGCTGGTTTGTCATATTTCATAGACATTAAAGATTTTCCCCTAAGAAAATGTTTGCCTACAACCCTAAAAATAAATAGCAAATTAAGAAAAATGTACCCTAAAAAAACTTCTTACCTTTAATTAAAGACAAACCTCACAAATCATGAAAAGTCAAGAAATAAACAGTTTTCCAAAAGGCCCTGGAAAATATACCAACTAATCCTGATTAATGTCATTAAAGTTAACATGGAATACATGAGATTTTATGCACTCTGCATGTATGGCAAAAGATTTTCCTCTTTCCAGAAACATTTCAAATTGTGTGAGTTTTATCCTATACTAGGAGGTTACTTCCACAAGCTCATTAAAAATTAAGGAATAGACAGTGCCATTTTTCAGTGCGATGACTGACATTGCAATTTCTTATCAGTGAAAATTACTTCAGCATCTGAGAATACAACCTCAAAATGTTTATGAGCCAATGTGGAACAAAAGTTAGATTAAGAGAAGTTATATTTATAAAGGATTGCCTGAAGGATAAACAATTCATGCATCTCTCTAGGAAATCTCAAGTTTAGTTTCTGGATAACTCTTAAAGCCAGAAAGCTGCACAATTTGACTACATTTTTTCACCCTATAAATTATTGCTTTTACTTTGGCATTCATGTAAAAAAAAGTCTTACTGTAATTTCTATTGTAGGGATATAGTTGAGGTCACTTATTTAAATAATGGTACACAGAAGATTTTTGTCTCAGACCATTTCTAGTAAGTTTAATTATACTGAATAACTAACATTTTGTCTGTTTGTTTTAAGGGACATGCTAGTCTTATAAAGCATAGTTCTCTCTTGCTTTGGCAATTGGTACCATTAAAGTCAAATTTCTTGCCGACTTTGAATTATTAAGCATAGCTCAATGGCTTGCCATTCTGTGCATAGCACACTTTGAATTAATTTCATGATTTTTCTGTTATTATCTTTTCCCTCTGATTATTTCACCATCATGTTATTTTCATTTCATGCTTTTTGATAAATATCTTCAATTTTTTTAAATGAAACAATTTGTTAATATGAAAAATGCTTCAGAATACTTGGAGTTTTAGGGACATGGATAAAGCTGGAAACCATCATTCTCAGCAAACTAACACAGGAACAGAAGACCAAACACCACATGTTCTCACTCATAAGTGGGAGTTGAACAATGAGAACACATGGATGCAAGGAGGGGAATATCACACACCAGGGCCTGTCAGCGGGTGGGGAACTAGGGGAGGGATAGCATTAGGAAAAATACCTAATGTAGATGACGGGTTGATGGGTGCAGCAAACCACCATGGCACGTGTATACCTATGTAACAAACCTGCCCATTCTGCACATGTATACCCGAACTTAAAGTATAGTAAAAACAAAACAATACAAAACAAAATTCTACACATAGACAAACTTTAAAAGTCAAAGAACAACCATAAAGGCACAAAACTAATAAATTTTTATGGTGGTCAAGAAAAGGGGACAGACACAGAGAATGGAAGTCTTCTTTGCCAGGTACTACTAAATTGTTTTCCTTGGTGAACAAATAAGAAGTATGGTACAGAGAGACGTGAAATGGAAGAAAACTGAAAGTAAGCTGTACCCAAACAATTTGCCTAGATTTTATTCTGCTGCTTCAAAAGTAAAAATAGCAACGCAACCTGGGTTTTCCCCACACAAAAATCTTTACATTACCTCCATTTTAAGAAGAATGATGGTAAATATATAGTTGCCTAAAAGGATATAGAAATTCAAAGCATTTGTTCAAAATTAGTTGTTAATATATTGAGCTGCTCTTCTCAAACATCAGAACTTTGGAGAGTGTGACCATGACTACGTCCAATGATAGAATTGTTTTAAAATGCAAGAAAATAAAACAATTCAACAATCAAATACCTTGTACCTTTTGTATAGCTTGTGGTTCAAAGCACATTGTAAGATCAACTCAGATATGATTTCTTGGTATACTTAAGTCAGTTTAATAATTTATAATTAAAATTTAGATATCTTGTATGTTCACATATCATCATCAATTCAACATCATGTAATTCTCATTGGTTGCTATATTGGTTATCTATTGCCATGTAAATGTATACAACAGACCACTTGGTGGCATATGAGAAGTGACACTTAAACTCACGTGGCTGTAAGGTTTAGCTAATTTGGGCCAGACTCACTCATGAGTCTGCATCAGCTGCAGGTCATCTGAACAGCTTTACTATTATTATATGGACTCACAGACACAAATATATATTAAAAATCGTCTCGTTGTTAGCTGATCTATGATGGCCTTGGCAGAAAGGACTTCAGTGAGCCAGCACAACTCCATGTATCTTTTATTGTCTAGCAGTCTAGCCCTGGCATGTTCAACAATGGCATAGATGCAAAAGAAGCCAAGCCCAATTGGGAAAGCATCTTTCAAACCTCATTTTGGTCACATTTGCTGATTTCCTACTAACCAAAGCAAGCTACGTGGCCAAAGTTAAAGTCATAGTAAAAGGACACTACAAAGTTATGTGGGGAAGAAAACAGATATAGAGGAGGGTGAAAAATGAGGGCCATTTTGCAATGGTTGCACCATAGAGTTTTATTCTAGCTACTTTACAGGACTGGTGGATGATACAGTCCATGGTCTCATAGGATTCATCGTTCCAGTAATACATAATTTGCTAATTAATATTTACCACGGAAGAAGAATTTCCTGACTCTATTATTGCTTACAGAAATGAGTATCGCCTACGTTTCCCTCTTTCTTTTTTCATGCAGGAATTTGAAGGGCGTGATTTTTTTTTGGCTCTCTTTTTATGAAGTGACTTGAAGTATTAGCTGACATTGTTTAATGACAAGTATAGAATAATGTTCTCTTGCATTCAGGAATGTTACAAGGAGATAAAGTGAAAATGAAATGACAAAAGAAATGAGCCAGAAAATAAGACCTCTAGATAACTAAAATTCAGTGCCCAAACCAAACAAGTGAAAATCTTTTAGGTGATTATATAAATTCAGCTTATTATACATTTTAAAAGAAAACAATTTTGAGGTTACTTATCACCACAGGCAGCTGCTAGACCTCCAAATGGAATTTCCTAATGAGGATAGCAACAAATCTGTTTTGTTATTTCGAAGATACTTTGTATTTGCCTGGCCAGCAACCAACACTGACCAGCAGCTGCTCTCTATTCTGCAGCCACCTGGTCTTATTGCTGACATTTGAGTTTGGAAGGAATACGTGCTTCTTTCTGGATACTCCAGATATTACCCCTTGTTTAGCCTGTTACTGGCTTCTGGATTGACCCTACTAGAAAATGGCAAAATCTCCCTGGTGTTTCTATAGGGCAAAATAAAGAGCTTGGAGGCTCCCATTGAGGAGACTAAGGTGCCATTCCACTTTTTTTCTTCTGTGCTTGCCTCTACACGGTTGAGGTTTAGAAACTTAAGTCTGCATTTCCAAGACCTTTTTACTTTCAGGATTCTTGATATGATGTGGTTTGCCCAGTTAGATTGGAATGTTAAAGGAAGCAAGAGTCATATTTCTGCAACTGCTGCTGTGACTGCTGCAAAACATGGTTAAGAAAACTCTGAGATTTTCTGCAGCTAAGTTAGCAGAAATTTCAGTGAACAGTCATCAGGTTTGTAAATTGAGAGGCAGAGTGTGGTATTGAAGTATTGACTTCGTGATTCCTGGATGGAAGCCAAGGCATTTGAGGACGTACTAGTTCCTGGGAGTAAGCTCCCACTTCCTCATCTTCTCTGCTGAAGTAGGGGTAGCAGCTCTCCTGGTAGGCTAGATTTGTAGTTTTGTTTTGAGCCTCATTCAGAGAGGGCTAGCCTCCTTGCCTTCCAGTGATTTTTGTAAGACTTTAATTCCCTTCATTAAATGCTATTCTGCTTAAAATACCTAGGTTTCTTCCTGTTATCTGCAACTGAATCCTGATAGATAACAGTCGTTCTCAAACCTGAGACATAGAGTTAGTTACATCCTTGCCTGGCTGCTAGAAATTAAATGTAAATTTGCTGAGAATGATGGTTTCCAGTTTCATCCATGTCCCTACAAAGGACATGAACTCATCGTTTGTTATAGCTGCATAGTATTCCATGGTGTATATGTGCCACATTTTCTTAATCCAGTCTATCGTTGTTGGACATTTAGGTTGGTTCCAAGTCTTTGCTATTGTGAATAGTGCCGCTATAAACATACGTGTGCATGTGTCTTTATAGCAGCATGATTTATAATCCTTTAGTTATATACCCAGTAATGGGATGGCTGGGTCAAATGGTATTTCTAGTTCTAGATCCCTGAGGAATCACCACACTGACTTCCACAATGGTTGAACTAGTTTACAGTCCCACCAACAGTGCAAAAGTGTTCTTATTTCTCCACATCCTCTCCAGCACCTGTTGTTTCCTGACCTTTTAATGATTGCCATTCTAACTGGTGTGAGATGGTATCATTGTGGTTTTGATTTGCATTTCTCTGATGACCAGTGATGATGAGCATTTTTTCATGTGTTTTTTGTCTGCATAAATGTCTTCTTTTGAGAAGTGTCTGTTCATATCCTTCACCCACTTTTTGATGGGGTTGTTAAACACCTCATGTTCTCACTCATAGGTAGGAACTGAACAATGAGAACACATGGACACAGGAAGGGGAACATCACACACTGGGGACTGTTGTGGGGTGGGGGTGGGGATAGCATTAGGAGATATACCTAATGCTAAATGATGAATTAATGGGTGCAGCACACCAACATGGCACATGTATACATATGTAAGAAACCTGCACGTTGTACACATGTACCCTAAAACTTAAAGTATAATAATAATAAAATTAAAAAAAAAAAGAAATCTTGCCTGTTCTAGAGATGTGTTACGCAGCAATGTGAGCATAGTTAACACTGCTGAACTGTACACTTAAAAATTGTTAAGGGTAAATTTTATATATTTTTTCTATACATTTTTTAAAAAGAAATTTTGCCTGCAATGATAAACTAATGTTATAAATACTGTTATAAAAGTCAAGCAATATGCAGCTTATCTTCTATGGAGAAAAAATTCTATATTGGTTAACATTTATTGAATAAAGTTCTTTACTCTTTAGCAAAAAAAAAAGAAATTAAATGTAAAATATAGTGTCGTGCTATTGCTTCACTTGTTTTGTTTTCATTTTATTTATTACTCTTCAAAATTATAAAATATTTCAAGTACATAGAAACAATGTGAAAAGTATTATAACAGTTCTTTGAGTAGTCAATGCACAATAGATCAAATGTTGACATTTTTGTATGTTTGCTTCCAATCTTGTTTTTTGACTAAAATATTACAGGTATATCTAAATCCCTCCACAATCTCATTCCTTTTAATCCTAACTCAGAGGTACCCAAAGTCTTATAGTGCTTTGTATATATGTCCCATGTATATTTTTATGATATAACTCTATGTATTTATGAACTCATACCAATATGTAGTAGTTTTTTGTATTTTTATGCTTTACATACATGGTTTCATATTGCATAAATCACACACATTTCACTAGTTATTTCAATCAGTGTTATATTACTAATATTTTTCTATTTTTATGTATGTAGGTCCATTTCATGTATTTTAACTTATGTATGATTTTCATTGGCTGATTATACCATTTCAAACCTGAGGTTGTTTCCAAGGATTGATTTTCCAGTAACATCTCAAAATCAATATACTAATAATTAAATTTGTAATTTCTCCTGACCCTTCACAATAGCTTTTATAATTGACCTCCTTGGTTTGGCCAGTGGTATTTACACCCCCAAATTTTTCCGCTTCAAATCTTTAGGATCATGTTGATACATTATTTTCATTATTGAGCATTTGATTGAATACTTGCTCTTTGTCAGCCTTTGAGTTTGCTAAAATGTCTTCTCCTAAGAGAGACATTCCTGAAGTTGTCTCCTGACCCCATGGATTACCTTACTCCAGCAACATGCTCCTCCTTCCTTTAGGATATTTATCATTTATCATAGTGTATAATCAATATTGGCTCACATTCTGTTTTGCTTGTTGTCTGTCTTCTACAATAAACTATAAGCTCTGTAAAATCTGAGACCAGGTCATTGTACCCAGAACTAGCATTAGAGCATGATAGAATCTCAGTAGATATTTGTTAGATAGTTAGAGAGATGTGATGTGCAGCCCATTGCATCCTAAATTCAACCTGTCACATTCTAAGGATTTTTTTTTCAAAACATCAATAATGTAAATATGAGCACATGACATTTAGAAGCAAAAGAAATATAAAAATCAGCAAATGCTTTCAGAGCTTAGCACATTGCCTGGTTGATATTAGATGTTTAAAGTTATAATCATTGAAATGGCAAATATTTTATGCATGTAAAATGTTCCTTTTATTTTTACCTTAGGATAAATGACCCATAATAAGATTACCTTATCAAATATGTCACTATTTAGTTGTACGTAGTAGCTGGAGATATTCACATAAGTAATTTTCTACTAGTAGCATGATTTTTTGAAAAAATTATTATATAAAATTTCATATAATTTCAAATATGTAGAAGAAGAATTAAAAATACAGACATCTGTGTACTCACCACTGAGATTAAACAGATGTTAACATTTTGCCATACGTTCATTAAATCTATCTTTACAAATAGGAAGGAAAATGTTACAGATACAGCTAAATCCCTACCTTCTTCTGTTTCCTTTCCTCCCCACCAGTAACCAGTATCTTAAAGTTATTGTATGTCTTTCCTGTGTATGTCATGTCATGTATTTAAAAATAATATAACTATGTTTTATGTATGTATGCCCTGGGGCCCTTATTTAAGAAAAAAAGTACACAATTACAAAAATAAAATGAGATGCAAGAATATTTGTTTAGAATAAGAAATCATAACACATTTAAAAATGTAAATAGGTGATAAATGCCACAAGCATCAAAAATATACAAGCAAAATCTAATATTTTAAAGTTTCCAAACCTACCTCTGTAATACATTTTTCTGTATATTTGTGACCACATAGCCTTTGATTACCTCTTCCTGTGACATTCTTAAATATTAATTCCTATGGTGGGATTAGAAAAAAATGTTTTCCCTCTAGCATGGATGAACTAAATTTGTTTTCAATTATTGATAACTGTATGCATTAACCTTACTACTTCATATGTGAGCTTTCTTGTTATAGTGTTGATAGAGGTGCATGCCCAACACACACAGGGATTGAGGAGAAAGAAACTCTTGCATTGCTGGTTTGAGGTCATAGCATTGCTGGAGTCAGGAGCAGCTGCCCAGGCAGAAAGAGACTGTCCTCCCGCAGGAAGGTAGCACATGCTTATCTTACTTCCTACTTATCCTGTTAAGAGACATAAATGTAAATATTGCACTAATCAAGTTTGTGTATCATCAATAATTTCTCTCTATATGGCCTACCCTTCAGCATTTTAAAACTAAAGATTTTATATACCACCTGGAGTTAATACTCAGAATGAAAACTTCCTCCCTGGAAAGTGGCATATGTAATTGAAACTTCCCAGAACTAAAGGTTCACTAGCAACATCCTAAATCTGCCTTCATTTGTGTGTATTCATATTTTACATAAATAGATTCGTCTGTATATTTTTAAAACCTTAGTGGCTCATTCAACTTTGTTTTGAGATTACTTGTGTTGACACATGTAGATATAATCTGTTCATTTTAATTGCTAAGTATTGCATTGTACTAATCAACAACATTTAATTATTCTCTTCTTTTTCTAAGGAGCATTTAAAGTTTTTATGCTGGGTTGTTTTTGGTATTATAAATAGTGCTGCAGAAAACATTCTTCTACATGGATCCTGGAACATGTGTGTGGCGCTGCCTCCAAGGTAGCCAGTCAATTGCAGAGAAACTCTGGGTTATGGAATGTGCCCCCTTAAGCAAATTGCTAAACAAAAGACTCTAAAATTTTATATTCTGCTAATAATATGAGCCCCTGCTACATTTTCATTATACCTAATGTTCCCATAGTTGATAATTTTGATAGTCAGTTGGATGTGAGAGAGATTCTTACTGTTGTTTTCACTGGCATTCAACTATTTACTAATGATATTGAACATTTAGTGTATTTATGCTTATGTCCATGATGATTTCCTCAACTGTGAATTGCCTGTTTGCATCCTTGGATTAATTTTATTGGATTTGCTTTGTTTTTATTTTTATTTAGAACTGCCCATTGCATTTTCTAATTACAATTCTTTATTTGTTATATGTGATATAAGTATCTTCTTCCTGTCTTTGACTTGTCGTCTTTGTTTGTTTCTAATATAGTTTGTCCTGCAGAGGATTTCATTAAATGTAGTAAAATATATTAACCTTTTATGAGTTCTTTTCAAGTGTATGTAAACCTTCTTTATTCTACCATAAAAATATAGTTTCATGCTTATTTTCTTTAAAAAATAGAGTTTTATTTCTTATATTGTACTTTTTTTTTTTTTTTTTTTTTTGATGAAGTCTCGCTCTGTCATCTAGGCTGGAGTGCAGTGGCACGATCTCAGCTCACTGCAACCTCTGCCTCCCAGGTTCAAGCGATTCTCCTGCCTCAGCCTCCTGAGTAGCCGGAACTGTAGACACATGCCATCATGTCTGACTAATTTTTGTATTTTTAGTAAAGACAAAGTTTCACCGTGTTGGCAAGGCTGGTCTCAACCTCCTGACCTCAAGTGACCCGCCTGCCTCGGCCTCCCAAAGTGCTGGGATTACAGGCATGAGCCACCACACCCAGCCTTATATTGTACTTACAATCCATTTGGAACCAATTTGGGAGTATTATATGAAATAAGGAATATTTTCTGCATAATTAGAGCCCTATTTACTTGATATACCTTCCTTTTGCCACTGATTTGTAAGGCCAGTTTGTTAGTTCGTTTTATCAGAATTGAAATCCTGTCTTTATCCTTACTAAGCATTATGATCTTAAGCAAGTTGTTTAACCTCTGGCATACACAGCTACAAATAATGCACACATCATAGGGACTTTGTGAAAATTAAATGAGTTAGCAGGCATAAAATTTTCAGATGAGTTCTTGACATCTAAAAAACCCAAAACAGCACCTCAGCAAATTACACTCTTCTTTCCCTGCCCCATTTCATGATATGTTGATAGCTGAAAGAGTAAAGGTGGCAACCAAAACATTACCTTTATTATTAAAGATGAGTTAAAGAGCATAGTTTATAAGAGCAAACTAGGATGCCCATATATGGTGAACCTCAGAGTTGGGCAGACATATTGACTTAGTCACAGACAAGACAGAATAGGGTAGGCTTCATATATGGAAGGCTTGTATGTATAAGAATTACATATTGCTCAGATTTTCTTTGAAAATTTTGCATGTATGTTAAGAAATTGTATCGATCTGTTCATTTCTTGTACTGTCTTTGTCAAATATTGGCATATATATTACACTGCTTATTTTTCTTTCTTCCCCCTTCCTGGAAATTGCATAAAATAACAATTATTTTTATATTAGAAGTTGGTAAAACTTGCTTATAAAACTACCTAGACTTAAATCCCCCTACCCACTCACTCACCAACTAGGATTTTATTTGTGTGTATGTGTAGATTTTATTCTATCTTCATTCTCTTTAATGATTATAAGACTATCCAGTTCTACTTTTTGAGTGAGTTTTAGTAAATCACATTTTTCCCAGAACGTTTTCATTTTATTTAAATTTTTAACTTTATTGCAAGAAAATCATGCATAGTATTTTCTTATGATATTTTGAAGTCTTTAGTATATCAGGGAATATTTTCTCTTTTTTATTTCTAATAGCATGGGGATGTGTGTGTTGATGTGTTGTGTGTGCTTTTGTGGGTGCTTCCTTTCTTTATTTCCTGGATAATCTCACCAAAATTTGTTTCATTTATTAGTCTTCTCAAAGTGTCAAATATTGGGGTTTGTTGATCTCTTCTTTTTGCCTTTTTCTATTGTATTTTACTGACAGCTCTGTCTGGCTTTTATTTTCTTATTTTTTATTTTTCTTGTTGGATGCTTATTTCTTATTTATCAATATTTCTTCTTTGCCAAAATCAATATTTAAGGATACATATTTTTCTCCAGTGTGATTTTTAGCTTCATCTCAATCAATTTGATATATAGTGTTTCAAAGGTATTTAATTCTAAATATAATTAAATTTTCTTTACATTTTCTGTTTATCCCATGATTTAAAGAATGTTATTTTTAGTTAGATTTTTGTAATTCATTTTATTGTAAGTGGTTATGTAATATGACTTGTTTTATACTTGTTTTACAATTTTTGAGACTTTTTCTGCTGTATCCTAGTACATGTTCACTTTGAAGAAAAATCCTATGATTACATGAAACTGAAATACATCTTCTATTAGTTATAAAGTTTTATATACTCAAATATATATTATTCTAACTTGTTAATTGTATCATAAAAATTTTATTTATTCCTTCACTAAAGAAATACTGAGTCACTCCTCTGAGCCAGTCATTTTTTTCTAAGCACTGAGTTTGCAGCAGTGAAAAATATAGGCAACTTTCTATTTTTATGGAGCTTACATTTTAGTAGGGGGAGACAGTAAAAAAAAAAAAGTAAATATATGTGATGTCTGATGGTAATAAAAGATATGGAAAAATTAAAACTGAAAGGGCTGGGGTTAGGAGTGGTTATTTTTATGAGAAAAATGTATTTTCAAGTAGGAGGAAGAACAAGTGTAATGGCCTTGAGGAAGGGATTCTCTGGTTAGAGAGGAGCGAGCAAAGATGAACTTGGTAGAACATGAGGTCAGTGAGTTAGCAGGTGGCCAGATCAAGTGTAGACATCAAATTGATGAGGAGGAACTACCAAATGAGACTTGGAAGGAGTAGGCAGTGAGGAAGCAGGTCTGGGGTGGATGCTGTCTATGTTGGGTACTCAGAATTTATCTTAGGATTTTTCTTATGCCATCACTTCGTTGTATCCTTTTTCTTGAATTCCATTTTGCCTCTTTCTTTTTTGCCAAGCTTTAGTCAGCAGAGCATTCTTTTTTCTAAGAAAGGATATATGGAAGGTTATTCTTTCAAGATGCATCACACTTGACAGTTTAATTGGAAAAAGACCTTTAACATAAAGCTTTCACTCATTTTTAATAGACTTTTTTTTTTTTTTTTGAGACGGAGTCTAGCTCTGTAGCACAGGCTGGAGTGCAGTGGCGCGATCTCGGCTCACTGCAAGCTCTGCCTCCTGGGTTCACGCCATTCTCCTGCCTCAGCCTTCCGAGTAGCTGGGACTACAGGTGCCTGCCACCACGCCCGGCTAATTTTTTGTATTTTTACTAGAGACGGGTTTTGCCGTGTTAGCCAGGATGGTCTCGATCTCCTGACCTCGTGATCTGCCCGCCTCGGCCTTCCAAAGTGCTGGGATTACAGGCGTGAGCCACCGAGCCCGGCCTTTAATAGACATTTTTAGAGTAGTTTTAGACTTACAGAAATATTGAGGAAGGTAATTCAGAGTTCCCATAGACCCTCTATATTCAGTTTTGTCCATTGCCATCTTACATTTGGATGGTACATTTTTAAAGTAATAAGCCAATATTGATATATTATTACTATCTAAAGTCCATAGTTTATTCACGTTTCCTTAGTTTTTAAGCTAATGTCTTTTTCTGTTCCAGGATTCCATCCAAGATATCAAATCACATTCACTTATCTTGTCTCCTTAGGAACTTCATGGTTATGACAGTGTCTCAAACTTGCTTTGTTTTGATGACCTTGATAGTTTTGGGGAGTACTGCTCAGCTATTTTGTAGGATGTTCCTCTATTAAAATTTGTCTGATGCGTTTCTCCTCATTAGAATGGGATTATGGTTTTCTGGGAGGAAGGCCAAAAAGGTATGATTTGTATCACAATACATCAAGGGCACATGCTATCACCATGATTTTTCTCCATTAATACTGACCATAATCATTTAAATGAGGGAGCATTTGTCAAGTTTGTTCACTAGAAAGTTGCCCTTTTTTTCCCTCTTACCGTATTGTTCTCTTTGAAAGGAAGTTACAATGCAAGACCTACATCTAAGGACTACAGATTTATGCTGCCCCTCCTGAAGGCTGAGATACATAATTATTTAGAATATTTCTTTTTTTTAAATTGTCAACTTTTATTTTAGATACAGGGGGTACATATGCAGGTTTGGTACACAGGTATATTGCCCACAGGTAGTGCATAGTACCCAATAGGTAGTTTTTCTAGCCTTCTCCTCTTCTGTCCCCAGCAGGCTGCAGTGTCCATTGTTCTCCTGTTTATGTTCATGTATGCTCAATGTTTAGCTTCCACTTATAAATGAGAACATACAGCATTTGGTTTTCTGTTATACTGCAGTTAATATGCTCTTGATTATGGTCTTCGGCTCCAATCGAGTTGCTGCAAAGGACATGATTTTATTCTTTTTAATGGCTGCATAATATTCCATGGCCTATATGTACCACATTCTCTTTATCCAATCCACCATTGATGGGCTCCTAGGTTGATTCCCTATCTTTGCTATTTTGAATAGCATGGTGATGAACAGATGAGTGCATGTGTATTTTAGGCATAGTGATCTATTTTCTTTTAAACATATACTCACTAATGGGATTGCTTGGTCAAATCGTATCTCTGTTTTAAGTTTTTTGAGAAATCTCCAAACTGCTTTCCACAGTGACTGAAGTAATTTACGTTCCCACCAAGAGTTTATAAATATTCCCCTTTCTCCACAGCCTCATCAGCATCTGTTGTTTTTTGACTTTTTAGTAATAACTATTTAGACCAGTGTAAGACAGTATCTCATTGTGGTTTTAACTTACATTTCTCTGATGATATAATGATGATGGGGAGTTTTTCATTTATTTTTTGGCCACTCGTATGTCTTCTTCTGAAAAGTGTCTATTCATATCCTTTGCCCCTTTTTAATGGGGTTATTTGATTATTGCTTCTTGAATTAAGGTCCTCATAGATTCTGGATATTAGACCTTTGTTGGATGCATAGTTGGCAAACATTTTCTCCCATGTTATAAACAGACAACCTACAGAATGGAAATTTTTCTATAAGAGACATCTGACTCCTCTCCCCAGTTCTTTTATTTATTCAATCATTTATTTATGTGAGTATGGGCTCATTAATATTTATTTTATGCTTTGGCATATAATTCGATACTATTTTCTTTTATGGCTCAAATTATTCCAGCTTTAGCTATTGGGATCTTTCAATTGACTTTTGTGTCACTTTAACATATATCCATTAATGTGTCTTTTGTTTGTGTTTTCATTTTTAGCACTTTCTTACTTTGTGGCACTACAAGACACTCTAAGCTCATCTCATACACTTCCTGATCCAATCGTAGGTCAACCTTATTTCTTCTTGGGAAGATATTAAAAACCATGATGTGGTTGTGAGTTGCAACCATGATACTAGGGCCACCCGTCATTTTTATAATTAGTTAAATTGATAGAGACCAGAAATGAGTCTATTTAAAGTATTTTGTCCTCCGTTTCTCCTTCTTGCTTCTTATTATATATGATTTAGAAAGTAGAGAAATGTGTACACATGTACACATTTATATATATGTAAATGGCTCAAATGAATATATAATTATATGTATATTCTTTTTTATTACTTTTAAGTAATATACATTTTTCTGTCATTAAATGCCTTTTATAAACATTTTTTATAATTACTACATGTTATATGATGCAGAACATATATTTAATTATAATTCTAAAGTAAAATATTTAGGTATCCTCAATTTTTAACATTTTAAATAAAAATTGATTTATATTTAATTGCTTATTTCTAGCCACTTTATTAAAGTATGAATGACATATAAAAGCTGTACATATTTAATGTATACATATCTGTAAATCTGGTGATAAGTATACACCCATGAAAGTATCACCACCATCAAGGCCATAAACATATCTATCACTTCCCAAAGTTTTCTTCCACCCCTTTTGTTATTACTATTGGGTTTCCCCTCCCAATTGCTTAAGTTAGATTTCTAAAAGTAGAATTTTCTGGTCAAAGAATTTTACATATTAAATACATAATTTGTCAACTTATTTTTCAAAAAATTAACAATATTCATTTTCAAAACTAGTGTTTGAAAGTATATTCTAACCCTAGAGATCAATGAATAAAAAAGTTTTAAAATATTAATTTATTAATTTTCCTCAGGAGTTTGGGTGCTGTTTCACTGTTTATTTGCCATACACAAATCAGTAATGCAAATGTCACTGGGATCTCCACTTGTTAGCTCTCTCACTTGCCTCTAAAAAAGATCTGCCTAGGCATTTCATCAACTCAGAATCTTCACTGGAGAGCTAGAAGGCCATAGGAAGGGGATATATCACATAGGTAGACCACAACATCATTGTTCTGTCCCTTATTTCTACCAATGTATTGGATTCTTTAGTAGATATTATTTTGAAAATAAACAAATACTACTTATTTACGTAATATTAACATATTCATTTATTAGACACTGGCAATATGCCAGACAGGATACTTAGCACTGGGGATGGAAAGCAAACACCACAAGTTCTTACTTTCAAGTTATTTACAACCTGGTGGGAGATACTTGTGGTCTCATGACTATTTTGAAGCAAAGAGGATTAATTATTTTAATCCTATGAATCCATGAATCTCATGTTAGAAGTATCTTACTTCTTAAGCTAATAAGCAACCTCAGCAAAATCTCAGGAAACAAAATCAATGTGCAAAAATCACTAGCATTCCTATACATCAATAACAGGCAAGCAGAGAGCCAAATCATGACTGAATTCCCATTCACAATTGCTACAAAAATAAAGAAATATCTAAGAATACAGCTAACAAGGGAATTGAAGGACCTCTTCAAAAAGAACTACAAACCACTGGTCAAGGAAATCAGAGAGCACACAAACAAGTGGAAAAACATTCCATACTCATGGATAAGAAGAAGCATTATTGTGAAAATGGCCATACTGCCCAAAGTACTTTATTGATTCAATGCTATTCCCATTAAACTACCATTGACATTCTTCATAGAATTAGAAGAAACTATTTAAAAATACATATGAAAGCAAAAAAGAGCCTGAGTAGCCAAGAAAATCCTAACCAAAAAGAACAAAGCTGGAGGCATCATACTTCCTGACTTCAAACTATACTACAGGGCTACAGTAACCAAAACAGCATGGTACGGGTACAAAAACAGACACCTAGAACAATGAAACAGAATAAAGAACTCAGAAATAAGACCACACACCTACAACCATCTGATCTTTAACAAACCTGACAAAAGCAAGCAATGGAGAAAGGAGTCCCTATTTAATAAATGGTGCTAGGAGAAGTGGCTAGCCATGTGCAGAAAATTGAAACTTGACCCCTTCCTTACACCTTATACAAAAAGTAACTCAAGATAGATTAAATACTTAAATGTAACACACAGAACTACAAAAATCCTAGAAGGAATTCTAGGCAAAACCACTCAGGACATGGGCAAAGATTTCATGATGAAAATGCCAAAAGCAACTGCAACAAAAGCAAAAATTGACAAATGGAATCTAATTAAACTAAAAAGCTTCTGCACAGCAAAAGAAACTATCCTCAGAGTAAACTGACAACCTACAGAGTGGGAGAAATTTTTTGCAATCTGTTTATCTGACAAAAGTCTAATATCCAGTCCACAAGGAACTTTTAAACAAATTTACAAGAAAAAAAAACATTAAAAAGTGGGCAAAGGACATGAACAGATACTGCTCAAAAGAAGACATACATGTTGACAACAAACATATGAAAAGAAGTTCAACATCACTGATCATTAAAGAAACACAAATTAAAACAACAATGAGATACCATCTCATGCCAGTCAGAATGGTGATTATTAAAAAGTCAAAAAACAACAGATGCTGGTGAGATTTCAGATAAAAAGGAATGTTTTTACACTGTTGGTGGGAGTGTAAATTAGTTCAACCATTGTGAAAGAGAGTGTGGCTATTCCTCAAAGATCTGGAGGCAGAAATACCATTTGACTAAGCAATCCCATTACTGGGTATATGCCAAAAGGAATATAAATTATTCTATTATAAAGATACATGGGCCAGGCATCGTGGCTCGTGCCTGTAATCCCAGCACTTTGGGAAACTGAGGCAGGTGGATTACCTGAGATCAGGAGTTCAGGACCAGCCTGGATGGTGATGGGTGAAACCCCATCTTTACTAAAAATACAAAAATTAGCCAGGCATGGTGGCACATGCCTGTAATCCCAGCTACTCGGGGGACTGAGGCAGGAGAATTGCTTGAGCCTGGGAGACGGAGGTTGCAATGAGCTGAGATCATGCCTGGCCAACAGAGTGAGATTCTGTTTCAAAAAAAAAAAAAAAATAGATACATGCACATGGTACATTCATTGCAGCACTATTCATTCACAATAGCAAAGACATGGAATCAACCCAAATGCCCATCAGTGACAGACTGGATAAAGAAAATGTTGTACATATACACCATGGACTATTATGCAGCCATAAAAAGCAATGAAATCATGTCCTTTGCATGGACATGGAGGAAGCTGGAAGCCATTATCCTTAGCAAACTAACACAGGAACAGAAAACCAAACACTGCATGTTCTCACTTATAAGTGGGATCTGAACAATGAGAACACATGGACACAGGGAGGGGAACAACACACACTGAGCCTGTCAGGGAAAGGGGTAGGTGTAGGGAGAGCATTAGGAAGGATAGCTAATGGTGTTGGGCATAATACCAAGTGATGGGTTGATCTGTGTAGCAAATCACCATGGCACAAGTTTACCCATGTAACAAACCTGCACATTCTGAACATGTACCACTGAACTTAAAAGTTGAAGAAAAATATTTTTTAAAAAAGAAAAATTAAAAGAAGTGCTGTTAGAAAGGCATTAGAGTGGGAATGTGGCTCTGACTTTAGTAACTCCCCATGGAGACCATCTGTGTTAGTTCATTTTCACACTGCTGATAAAGACATACCAGAGACTGAGTAATTTATAAAGAAAAAGAGGTTTAATTGACTCACAGTTCCATACAGCTGGGGAGGCCTCACAGTGATGGTGGAAGGTGAAAAGCACACCTTACGTGGTGGCAGACAAGAGAGAATGAGAGAGAAGTAAAAGTGGAAAATATAAAACCATCAGATCTCATGAGACCCATTCACTTTCATGAGAACAGTATGGGGGAAACCACTCTCATGATTCAATTATCTCCCACTGGAGATACTCCCACAACATGTGGGAATTATGGGAACTATAATTTAAGATGAGATTTGGGTGGGAACACAGGGCCAAACCATATTATTCCATCCCCGGCACATCCCAAATCTCATGTCCTCATATTTCAAAACCAATCATGCCTTCCCAACAGTGCCTTGAAGTCTTAACTCATTTAAGGATTAACTCAAAAGTGCACAGTCCAAAGTCTTATCTGAGACAAGGCAAGTCCCTTCTGCCTATGAGCCTGTAAAATCAAAAGCAAGTTATTACTTCCTAGATACAATATTGGTACAGGCATTGGGTAAATACAGCCATTCCAAATGGAAGAAATTTACCAAAACAAAGGGGCTACAGACCCCATGCAAGTCCAAAATCCAACAGGGCAGCCAAATCTTAAAGCTCCAAAATGATCTCCTTTGACTCCATGTTTCATCTCCAGGGTGCACTGATGTAAGAGGTGGGTTCCCATGGTCTTGGGCAGCTCCACCTCTGTGACTTTTCAGGGTACACCCTCCCTCCCAGCTGCTTTCCTGGGCTGGCGTTGAGTGTCTGTGGCTTTTCCAGGTACATGGTGCAAGCTGTTGGTGGATCTACCACTCTGGGGTCTGAAGGATGGTGGCCCTCTTCTCACAGCTCCACTAGGCAGTGCCGCAGTGGGGACTCTGTGTGGAGGCTTCAACCCCACATTTCCCTTTTGCACTGCCCTAACAGAGGTTCTCCAGGAGGTCACTCTTCCTTTAGCAAACTTCTTCCTGGGCACCCAGATGTTTCCATACATCCTCTGAAATCTAGGCATAGGTTCCCAAACGTTAATTCTTGACTTTTGTTCACCCACAGTTTCAATACCACTTGGAAAGTGCCAAGGCTTGGGGCTTGCACCCTCTGGAGCACAACCCAAGCTGTACTTTGGCACTTTTTAGTCATAGTTAGAGTGGCTTGGACACAAGACACCAAGTCCCTAAGCTGCACACAGCAGGGGGACCCTGAGCCCTGCCCATGAAACCATTTTTCCCTCCTACGCCTCTGGGCCTGTGATGAGAGGGCCTGCCTCAAATGTCTCTGACATGCCCTGGAGACATTTTCCCTATTGTCTTGGCAACTAACATTTGGCTTCTCGTTACTTATGCAAATTTCTGCAGCTGGCTTGAATTTCTCCTCAGAAATGTTTTTTGTTTGTTTGTTTAGCTGCAAATTTTCCAAACTTTTATGCTCTGTTTCCCTTTTAAAACTCAATGGTTTTAACAGCACCAAAGTCACCTCTGGAATGCTTTGCTGCTTAGAAATTTCTTTCACCAGATATCCTAAATCATCTTCCTCAAGTTTTAAGTTCCACAAATTTCTAGGGCAGGGACAAAATGCTGCCAGTCTCTTTGCTAAAACATAGCAAGAGTCACCTTTACTCCAGTTCCCAACAAGTTCCTCATCTCCATGTGAAAGCAGTGAAGCCTGAATTCCATTGTCCATATCATTATCAGCATTTTGACCAAAGCCATTCAACAAGTCTCTAGGAAGTTCCAAACTCTCCCATATTTTCCTGCCTTCTTCTGAGCCCTTCAAAATATTCCAACCTCTGCCTGTTACCCAGTTCCAAAGTCACTTCCACATTTTTGGATATCTTTACAACAGCACCCCACTCTACAGTTCACAAGGGAGGAACCCAAGTCAGTTACAGACTGTAACAGAACCAAAACCAATCTCCCCCATGATTCAATTATCTCCCACTGGGTCCTTCCCAGAACATGTGGGAATTATGGAAGCTACAATTAAAGATGAGATTTGGGTGGGGACACAGAACCAAACTATATCACCATCTGAGAACATCTTCAAAATGTCAAAAAGACAAAGAATAGACCAACAAAACAAAACAAAACCCGAAAAATCTACAAATAGAAAGGGACAGAGTGAAGGGAAAAGGTATGGGGAGGAGAGAAGGAAAGCTACAATGAAGAGATAGAGAAAACACTTGTGATCTGAAGATAAAAGTGTATCAATAAATTGAAAAGTTCAAGAAAGAACTAGAAAAAACAAAATACTTTTATATTTCAAACCTTTGCAGTGTGTTTAACTTCATCTTTTAGTCACTTATTTTTTCAGTCTCAAAAATAAAGCTAGCTCCAAATTTTGGTTATTGTTTTCCCTGCAAAGTTTCTCAAATTCAGTGTCTTCTCTCCTTTTTCATCCACAGCCTTCACAACTCTAGGCCAGGCTCTTTACTCCTCAGTGGGCAAGAAACCTCCAGGGGTGCATGATGTTCCTTCCTCTCTCTTCCCTCCTACAGCCTCAGGGTTTCTCCTGTCTGCTTCCTCCCTGCTATCATCATCAACGCTTCCATCTGTGTTATATTCCACTTGGGCTCTGCTTGGAGCAGTGTGCCAGACTCTAACTTTTCTCTATTCTGCTATTTTTGAAACAGCCACAACAAATCCTTCTGGGTTCTTCAATTTTTTTCTTTGTTATTGATAATAATTAAATGAAAGACAGCAATAAACCATTAATAAATCATATCACTAACTAATAATTATGACTACAATTATTGAACTCTATGTGCCTGGCTTTGGAATAAGACTCCTATGTTTGACATCCAATTTAATCCTAACAATGATTCCTGTGGTAAGTATTTATGTTACTTCAGTTCACAAGGGAGGAACCCAAGTCAGTTACAGATAATAACAGAACCAAAGTTACAGAACTGCAGGAGATCTTGATGTAACAGTAAGATTATTTTCACTGTTTTTTGTTCAAATTTAAGTAGTGCTTGGGTCAGACTGCAGTGTCAGGACTGACTCCTTATGGACATCTGTCTTGATGAGATCATCCTTAACCCTTCATGTGATTATTCTTGTTCCTGGAAATACAACTTATTCTGACCCTTATTTATTCTTTAAAAAAATTTTTCTCCCTGACATCTCACAATAAAGTCTCTTCCCCTTTTCTCAGTTATTGAATTAATTTATTCACACACTTCCCAAACCTGTTGAGTTCCACTGAGTTTCACAGGCTGTTATAAATGCTATGAAATATAGCACTTGACAAGAAGCAGTTTTACCCTCTTGGAAATTACATTCCAGTAAGAGAAAAAAGTAAGTCAACAAGGCATAAATGAAATAACTATAGATTTTCTTAGCATTATGAAGAGAATTAACAAACAAGTACAATAATACATCATAAGAGTGGCTTTCCTTAAATATGGTAATTCTTTTGTCTGAAGAGGTGACATTTTTCCAACGCCTGAATGAATGATGAGAAGGAGCCAAACATGAAATTCTCTGGGGAAACAGCATTTTCTTGAGCAGGAAGAATACGTTCAAACTTCTGTGGCAAAGGAGATAAGGTCAAAATGGTGAGAAGACCTGGATTCAGTAGGGTACTGCGGGCACTGATAAAAGAATCAGGGGTTTATTGGGATTCCAATAACTTGCTACTGGCAAGTTTTAAGTAAGGGAATGATAAGATCTGATTAGCGTTTTTAAGAAACACACTACAGATGCTGTTCGGCCAAGTGAAATTTTAGGTGCCAAAGAGTGGGTGATTCAAATTCTCCAAGGCTCGTATGAATTTTATTTATATCTCAGAAGAAAACCCCATATTCTCAGAGTTGTTTGGTTTTTTGCGAGAAACTTAATTTAAGAAAAACCTTGACTATATCTTGCTCCTGAAATCAGAGCACTTTCTTCGTATTTTTTTTCTTCCATGAAGAAAAAGCAGTGAGATTTACCATCTCCATAAAAGGAAGTTAATGATCATGTTGATTGATATCCTTGATTTCCTACACCAGTAGGATTCTTGTAAGAGCCATGTCTTTTCTGCTGTTTGGATCCAGTAGTTTGATTGCATGACTTGTTAGGGGCATAAAATGTTGAGCAGATGAGGCAGAGAGGGAGTCTCACATCTCTCCTGCTGTTGATACTTTGGTCTCCACGCTGTCTCTGTGCATCTTATTCACCAACTGCAAACGGAAGGTGTGATCTGGAACAGAGATTCTGAAATGTAACACTGTCGTGTGCTGGATAATCCTTTGTGATGAGAGGCTGCTTTTATCTTGCAGTATGTTTTTCAGCATCTCTGTCTTTTAACTACTAGATGACAGTAGCATCCCCTGGGTAACTGAGAATATCTCCAGACATCGTCAAATGTTCCCTGGGTGGATGGGGGTGGGGGAGCAAAATCTATGACATTTGAAAACCACAGATCTAGGAGGACTTCTTAGTTCTCTCTTTGCACTTACATGTTAAATGCACCAAGAATTCCAGCAATAGTCAGAGACTATGGCACTTTTGACATTTTAGTTATTTAGGAAGACATTTTTCTGTTAAGAAATGTCAAGCTTTCCACCCCCACCCCCCACCTTTTCCCTCTTCATTACCATGGTACCAAATTACTGTTCTTACTGTAGTGACTTACTATGAAGAACAGTCCTTTAAAGCCAACGTGGATAAAATATCCCTTTATCCCTTCCCAAAAGCTGATATGTAGAGAATTAAAGGTTGGTTGCTGTTCAAGTATATACAGTTCCTCTGTCTTTTGCAGGGCCAGTGATTCATTAAAGGAAGGAGAAATGTTTGTGCATTTGAGAACAAAAGAATATGAGGCAAATCTAAGTGAAGAAACTTACATTTCTAAATAACCACAATCTTACTTAAATTGGAATTTTCTATTTATCATTTTCCAACAGTGTGGGAAAAATATAATAACTAGAATAATTCAGACTTCAAAATATTGTATTTCCAATTTAAATCAAATTTCTTCATTGCCTACAATGCCTCTCTAATAATCCCAGATGGGTCGCCACCCACACAGTCCTTGAGATTCTACCTGGCCACTCTTGCCTTATATCTTGTTATCTGTGAGTCTTTGCTCACATTTTTCTTCATGAAATATTTTTCGTATATTTTCTGCCTGGCCAAATCCTGTTGATCCTTCAAAACTGATATAAAATATCACTTTCTGGGAAGACTTCCTGACCCCAACTCTTCAACATGATTTTGAGATTGCTTTGCACACACAAATACTCCATGTATAGCAAGAAAAACTAACACGTTCAGTTTGGAGACTATACAATTTCCAAGGGAAAGATGATAATGAATTTTATTAGGGCAGTGGCAGAAATACTGGAAATAACTGTATCAATTTAAGATATAATTTATATATTTCAAGCCAAGCTGGCACAACTTGGTTGGGGATCAAATATGTGGGTGAAGGAAAAGAGATATCTACTGAGTTTTTTAAGTGGTGACTTAACTGATTTTTAAACCTCTCTTTTCTTTAATGCACTAGAAAAATAGAATATAAAAACTTCTCTACTCCTGACTCACCAACGCACCAGAACAACTTTTAGTCCTGCAATCATGGTAAGTGCTCTATACGATGTACCATTTATAAACATTTTATATTGTATTTTTATTGTGTCTTTTCTATGTTTAGACACAAATATGCTTATCCTTGTGTTACAGTTACCTACAGTATTCAGTAGAGTAACAGGAGGTACCAGATTGAAGCCTAGGAGCAATAGGCTATACCATATAGCTATCAGGCTGTAGTAGGCTGTACCATCTAGGCTTGTGTAAGTGTGCTTTGTAATGTTTGCACAATGACAAAATCACCTAATGATGCATTTCTCAGAATGTATCCCTGTTATTGTGACACATGACTGCACATTAATTATGCTAAATCCAACGTCACTCTATATCAAAGCCAAGAATTCACGCCCTATTGTACTTTCAATTCCAAGTTATTCCCAGGCTACATCACTCATCACAGTTCTGCAATAAGACTATGAAAAATGAAAATGACAATGAAATGCCAATGCCTAGAGATTCCCTAAATTTAAGTGAAATTCAAGTTCTATGAAAGTTCAAAGCCATTATGAACTCTTATTCTTGTGAGTTCAAAGTCCAGTGAAATTATAGCACAAAACTATCCTCAATTTCTCATTCTTGAGTATTCAATAATAGAAAATTCTTGATGCTTTGGGATAGTTGAGCTTTTTGCAGCAGTTGCAGTCTGCATGTCTTCCACTGAAATAGGTGTGGTTACTTCAGGACTTAGAACTAGAAGTTGTCCTTCACCAAAAAGAGACTGAGTGAATATTTACTTTTTAAAATATGGTTTTTATTTTAGAATAGTTTTAAATTTGCAGAAAAGTTGAGGATATTACAGAGTTCCTATATACCCTACATCAGTGTCCCCTATTGTCAGTATCTTGCATTAGTATAGAACACTTGTCACAAGTTATGAACCAATCAGCACATTAACTAAAGCCCATAGTTTCATCAGATTTCCTTTACCTAATATCTCTTTTTTTTGTTCCAGAATGTCATCCAGGACATCATATTTAGTCATGATGTCTCTGTAGGCTCCTCTGGGCCATAACATTTCCTCAGATTTTCCTTGTTTTTAATGACCTTTTGAGGAGTAACAGTCAGATATTTTGTAGAATTTCCTTCAATTGGGATTTGTGTGTTGTTTTTCTCATGGTAAGCCCGGGGCTATGAGTTTTGTGGAGGAAGATCACAGAGATAAAATTTTACACTCATCATATCAGGAGCACATGAAATCAATGTGACTTATTACCATTGATGGTAACCTTGATCTTGTAGCTGGGGTAATGTTTTTCAGGCCTTTTTTTTTTTTTTTTTCACTTCTCCCCTTTCCATATTTTACTTTTTGGAAGAAAGTAACTATGTACAGCCTCCCCGTTCCCCAAGTCGAAGCAGGCAGTATTAGTCTTTCTGGCTTATTTCACTTAGGATATTGTCCTTCAGGTTTATCCATATTGTCACAAATGACAGAATTTCTTTCTTTTTTAAAAAGGTGTGAGGTGATATCTCATTGTGTTTTTAATTTGCATTTATCTGATGATTAATGATGTTGAACATTTTTTTTCATGAACGCTTTGGCCATTTTTATGTCTTCTTTTGAGAAATTTCTTTTCAAGTTATTTGCCCATTTTTAAATCACATTTTTCTTGCTATTAAGTTGACTCAGTTTTTATACATGTGAATATTCACCACTTATCAAATACGTGGTTTGTAAATATATTCTCCCACTCGATGGATTGTCTTTTTACTCTGTTTATTATTTTCTTTGCTATGTAAAAAATTTTTGGTTTGATGTGATTCCATTTGTCTATTTTTGCTTTTGTTGCCTGTGCCTTTAAGGTCATATCCAAGAAAGTATTGCCCAGACCAATTCTGTAAAGTTTTCCCCTGTGTTTTATAGATTTGTGTGTGTTAAACAATCCTAGTATCCCAGGGATAAATCCTACTTGGTCATGGTAAATGAGCTTTTTAATGTGCTTTTGGATTTTATTTGCTAGTATTATTTTGAGGATTTTGCATCTGTATTCATCAGGGATATTGACCTATAGTTTTCTTTTCTTGTGGTGGCTTTGACTTTGGTATCAGGGTGCTGAACTTGTAAAATGAGTTTGGAAATATTGCCTCCTTTTCAATTTTTAGGAAGAATTCAAGAAGAACTGGTATTTCTTCTTTAAATGTTTGGTATAATTAACCAGAAAAGCCATCCAGTCCTGAGTTTTTCTCTGATGGGAAACATTTTATTACTAACTCGATCTCCTTACTGGTTATTGGTCTACTTAGATTGTCTATTTCTTCATGATTTAGTCTTGGTAGGTTATATGTTTCTAGGTATTTATCCATTTCTTCTAGGTTATCCAGTTTTTTTGGTATATAACTGCTTATAGTATTTTCTTATGATCCTTTGTATTTCTGTGCTATCAATTATAATAGATCATCTTTTATTTCTGATTTCATTTATTTGAGTCTTCTCTATTTTTACTGAATTAGCCTAGCCAAAGTTTTGTCAATTTTGTTTTATTATTAAAAGAAGACAACTCTCAGTTTCATTAGTCTTTTCTATTGTTTGTCTAGTCTTTAATTAACTTATTTCTGATCTTTGTTATTTACTTTCTTCTGCTAACTTTGGGCTTAGTTTGTTTTTCTAGTTCTTTGAAGTGTTATATTAGATTGTTTATTTTTATTTATTTATAGATTTTGCATAAGTTATTAGGTACAGGTGGTATTTGGCTACATAAGTTCTTTAGTGATGATTTGTGAGATTTTGGTCCACCCATCACCCGAGCAGTATACACTGAAACATATTTGTAGTCTTTCATCCCTCACCCCTCTTGCACCCTTCCCCTAAGGTCCCCAAAATCCATTGTATCATTCATATGCCTTTGCATCCTCATAGCTTAGCTCTCACATATCATTGAGAACATGTGATGTTTGATTTTCCATTCCTGAGTTACTTTACTTAGAAAAATAGTCTCCAATCTCATCTAGGTCACTGCAAAGGCTGTTAATTCATTCTTTTTTATGGATGAGTAGTATTCCATTGTGTGTGTGTGTGTGTATATATATATATCACAGTTTCTTTATCCATTCATTGATTGATGGGCATTTGGGTTGGTTCCATGATTTTGCTATTGTAAATTGTGCCACTATAAACATGTGTGAGCAAGTATCTTTTTCGAATAATGACTTCTTTCCCTCTGGGTAGCTACTCGGTAGTAGGATTGCTGGATCAAATGGTAGTTCTACTTTTAGTTCTTTAAGGAAACTTCATATTGTTTTTCATAGTGGCTGTACCAGTTTACAATTCCACCAGCAGTGTAGAAGTGTTCCATGTTCACCAAATTCATGCCAACATCTACTGTTTTTTTTATTTTTTATTATGGCCATTCTTGCAGGAGTAAGGTGGTATCACATTGTGGTTTTGATTTGCATTTCCCTGATGTTGAGCATTTTTTTCATTTGTTTGTTGGCCAATTGAATATTTTCTTTAGAGAATTATCTATTCATGTCCTTAGCCCACTTTTTGATAGGACTGGTTGTTTTTTCTTGCTGATTTGTTTGAGTTCGTTTTAGATTCTGGATATTAGTACTTTGTCAGGTGTACAGACTGTGAAGGTTTTCTCCCACTCTGTGGGTTGTCTGTTTACTCTGCTGACAGTCCTTTTGCCATGCAAAAGCTCTTTAGTTTAATTAGGTCTCAACTATTTATCTTTGTTTTTATTGAATTTGCTTTCAGGTTCCTGATCATGAAATCCTTGCATACGCCGGTGTCTAGAAGGGTTTTCCAATGTTATCTTCTTCTTTCTTCTTTATTTATGTAGGTGTTTATTGCTATAAATGTCCCTGTTAGAACTCCTTTTGTTGTATCCCATAAATTTTGGTATACTGTATTTTCATTTTTATTTGTCTCAATAGGTTTTTGATTTTCCTTTTGATTTCTTATTTGACCCATTGGTTGTTCAGGAGGATGTTGTTTAATTTCCACATATTTGTGAATTTTTCAAGATTTCTCCTATTTTTATTTCCAGTTTTGAACTATTGTGATGAGAAAAGATACTTGATATGATTTCAGTTTTCTTAAATTTGTTATGACATGTTTTGTGGACTAACACATCATCTATCCTGGAGAATTTTCCTTATGTGCTTGAGAAGATGTGTATGCTCTTGCTAACAGACATATAAAATGTTTGCCATTTTATGTAAAATGTAATTACATTCTAATGTTTCTTTATTGATTGTTTTTCTGGATGATCTGTCTATAGTTGGAAATGAGGTATTAAAGTCTTCTACTATTATCATATTGCAATCTCTCTCTTCATATCTATTAATATTTGCTTTATATATTTAGGTGCTCAAGTGTTAGGTTATATATATTTATAATCATTATATCCTATTGATGAATTGACCCCTTTATCCTGATATAATGACCTTCTTTTTACACCATTCATGAGTTAAATGCCATTTTATTGCATATAAATGTTACTACTACTGTTCTCTTTTGATTTTTATTTATATGGAATATATTTTTTCATCCCTTCACTTTCAGTGTATGTGTGTTCTTAAATGTAAAGTGCATCTCTTGTAGGGAAACTATAGTTTGGGACTTGTTTTTTAATTTATTCAGACACTCTGTGCCTTTTGAATAGAAAATTTCATTCATTTACATTCAAAATAATTATTGATAAATAAAAACTTACTACTGCCAATTTTTATTTTTTTTCTGATTGTGATTTTTTTTCTTTCTTCTTGCTATATTCCTTTGTGGCTTATAGTTTTCTGCAATGGTGAACTTTAATTCCACTCTTTTTCTGTTTAATTTATCTACTATAGATTGTTGCTTTGTGGTTACCATTGGGCTTACATAAAATATCTCACAGTGTATTTTAAGCTGATAACAACTTAAATTTGATCACATAAAAAACTCTACAGGTTTACTGTTTGCCACCCATATTTTATAATTTTGATGTCAAAATTTATGTATTTTTGCAACTTGGGTTTTTTAACAAATTATTATAGCTATTTTGTTTTTGAACTGTAATCCTAGAGATAAAGTTGATTTACACACCGCAGTTACAGCATTAGAGTATTCTAAATATGACTACATATGACTTAAACCATTGAGTTTTGTACTTTTGTCTGTTTTATGTTATTATTTATCAGTCTTTTGTTTCAGCTTAAAGAACTCCCTTTAGCATTTTTTATTAGGTGGAGCTAGTTGTGATAAATTCTATTAGCTTTTGTTTGTCTGGGAAAATTTCTGTTTCTCCCTTATTCCTGAAGAACAGATTTGCCCGGTGCTATGTTTTGAATGTACCCCATCTGAAATCCAGGTGTTCATAATTAGATAGTGTTAAGAGGTGGTACCTTTAAGTGGTGATAAGACCATGAAAGCCTCTTCCTCTTGAATGGGATTAATACGTTTATTTTAAAAGCTTTACACAGCATTTGGCTAGTTTGCTCTTTTGGTTTTCTGCCATGTGAGGACACAGCATTTGTCCCTTTGCCCTTCTATCTTCTGCCATATGAGGATGCAACAAGAAGGCCCTCAGCAGGTGCTAGTACCTTAACCTTGGAATCCCTGCCTTCAGAACTTTGAGAAAATTAATTTCTGTTTTTATAAACTACCCATTCTCAGGTATTTTGTTACAGCAGCACAAAGATATCAGGGTAAAGTATTATTGGTTGGCAGTTTTTATTCTTCTGCTACTTTGTATATATTATCTCATTCTCTCCAAGCCTGCTGGATTTCTGCTGAGAAGTATATTGATAGCCATATTAGAACTCCCTTATATGTAATATGTGTCGTCTTACTTGCTGATTTCAGAATTTTTTCTTTGTCTTTGATTATGGATAGTTTGATTATGATGTGTTTTGGTGAACTCCACTTTGGGTCTGATTTGTTTGGAGACCTCTTCAAACAAATCATGTGCACTTGGAACTCATGCACATGGAAGTTGGTATCTTTCCCCAGATTGGGGAAGATTTCAGCCATTATTTCTTTAAATAGGCTTTCTGGTCTTTTTTCTCTGTCTAGCCTTTCTGAAACTTCTACTGTGCTAAAGTTAGTTCTTTGATGGTGTCCCATAATTCCTGTAGGCTTTCTTTATTCTTCTCATTTTTTTCTTTTTGCTGCTCTGACAGAATAATTTCAAATATAATGTCATTGAGCTCACTGATTCTTTCTTCTTGATTGGGTGTGCTGTTGAAGATTTTTATTAATTTTTTTATTTCTGTCACTGTACTTTCCATTTCTAGGATATTTTTCAATTGTTTCTAATTCTTTGTCAAACTTCTCATTTTATTTCTACATCAAATTTCAGATTTTATTTTGTTTTCTATTTGTATTTTCTTGTTGTTCACTGAACTTATTTAAAAGAATTATTCTGAATTCTTATCAGTCATTTTATAGGTCTCTATTTCTTTAAGGTCCGTGATTAGAGCTTTATTAGTTTTCTTTAAGGGGTATCATAATTCCCTGATTCTTCATAATCACTGGTCTTTGCCTTAGTGTCTGCACATTTGAGAAAAATAGATCACTTCTGCCAGCCTTCAAAGGTGTTCTTTGGCAAGGAAGAAATGTAACTATTTAATATTTATTTATTTATTTATTTTACTATAAGTTCTGGGATACATGTGCAGAATGTGTAGGTTTGTTACATAGTTATACATTTGCCATGGTAGTTTGCTGCACCATCATCTAGGTTTTAGGCCCTGGATGCATTAGGCATTTGTTCTAATGTTCTCCCTCCCCTTACCTCCATCCCCCAACAGGCCCCAGTGTGTCTTGTTCTCCTCCCTGTGTCCATGTGTTCTCATTGTTCAACTCCCACTTATGAGTGGGAACATGCTGTGTTTGGTTTTCTGTTTCTGTATTCTGTAAATCAAAACTGCAATGAGATACCATCTCATGCCAATTAGAATGGCAATCATTAAAAAGTCAGAAAACAAGAGAGGCTGGAGAGGATGTGGAGAAATAGGAATGCTCTTACACTGTTGGTGGGAGTGTAAATTGTGGAAGACAATGTGATGATTCCTCAAGGATCTAGAACCAGAAATACCATTTGATCCAGCAGTCCCATTACTGGGTATATACCCAAGGGATTATGAATCATTCTACCATAAAGATACATGCACACATATGTTTACTGCAGCACTGTTCACAATAGCAAACACTTGGAACCAACCCAAAAGCCCATCAATGATACACTGGATAAAGAAAATGTGGCACTGAGCTGAGATCGCACCACTGCACTCCAGCCTGGGTGACAGAGTGAGACTCTGCCTCAAAAAAAAAAAAAAAAAAAAAAAAATATATATATATATATATATATATATATATACACACAAAAAAATTAGCTGGGTGTGGTGGCACATGCCTATAATCCCAACTACTCAGGCTGAGGCAAAAGAACTGCTTGAACCCAGGAGGCGGAGGTTGCAGTGAGCCAAGATCACACCACTGCACTCCAGCGTGGGTGACAGAGCGAGACTCTGTCTTGGAAAAAAAAAAAGGGTCCCTGTTTCTCCACAGCCTCACCAACATCTGTTGTTTCCTGACTTTTTAATAATTGTCATTCTACATATTTAGTCTAGTCTGGCATTAAAGATAAGCCACTTGGTAAAAGCCACAGGCAGGCAGATCTTGCTGTCAGGCTCTCTAGTTGGACTGAGCCACTGCCTTTGTTCTGAGGTCAGATGGGGCTGCTTCCTTGTCTCTGCTATCCAGTGAGACCATGGCTAAACTCTGCAGTAAGACAGAGCTGCTGGCTGGGCACTTAAATTGCCTTGGATCAAGCAGGGTCACAGGCTGTATTACCTGGCCAGATGGTACTGTTGTTTTGAATCTTCAATTAGGAAGGGCTGCAGACTGAACTCCCAGGTCAGGTGGGGTTGCAACTTGGGATGGGTGTCTATGCTGCATAGTAACGGCATAGTTGAGGCTTGCCTTCCTGTCTGAGCAGAGTGTTGGGTTGAGCTTTGAGGCTGGGTCAAGTCACTTATTGGACTCCTGGGCTGGGCAGGGCCAGCGCCTATGTTCTTCAGAAATTCACAGCTGTGGGGGTCTTCCCTGCCTGGGCAGAGCCTTGAGGGAAGCTCTGAGGTTGAACAAAGTCACTGTTTGAACTCCTGGGTTGGTCAGGGTCAATGCCTCTGTTCCACAGTGGTGTGCAGTGGCAGGTATCTCTCAGCCTGGATGGAACTTTGAGGTGGTTTCTGAGGGTAGACAGGGTGGCTGGCTGAATAGAGAATCATACCACGTAGACTTCACTGTACTTCTTGGAGCAACCAACTGAGTTTTGTGACTAGGTTATGTCATTCACTGATATTTTTGATAGGGCACCACTGCTGGCAGGAACTTAGAGCTGCCACAAAGATGTGCATGATGGTTTCTCTGTGCCCTGACCTTTTTCTTTGTTTCTAGCTGACCTCAGGCAGTCTATTCCTGTTGTTATCCCCAGTATTTATTTTGATGTGAGACAGGAATGGGCATCTTAGGAAGTGCCACAGAATGTAGGCAATGTTAGATGTCTGCCTTGGGTTCTCTTTTCCCAGTGTAGAAACCATGGTGAATGCTTGATATGTGGTGCAGTGCCAAGTTGGAGAAGGGGCAATATAGTCAAAGTGAGGCTGTTCCTTTTATTCATCTGTGTTTTTTTGCTTGTTTGTTTTTGTTTTTATGTTCAGTTTCTACGGTGTCCATGCTTAGTCTCATTTCTCAGTGTCTTAGTCTCATTTCCAGGTTTTGGAATTTTTACAAAGGTGTTCTTGTCTGTGGGTAGCTGCTGGATGGATTTTCTGAAGCCAGGCTTCAGAATCCCAGGATCTGAATCCCACCATCTTGTTTACTCAAGGTGCCATTTTAAAAATTGAATGTCCAAAACCTCCTAACTTTCATTCCTGCTTTAAACCTTTGTTTCAGGGGGCTTCTTTCGCAGTAGAAAATTCATTTCTTTGTGTGAGTCCTTGGCCTCAGTTATTGTGGTGATGGGATCACATAGGCCTATGAAACATGATGTTCAGAGAAGATTCTCATAGCACGCATATCTATGACAACTGGAAATTCCCACCAGCTGCTTCAACTGTTGTGACTTCTACTGGTGTTTCAGAAGCCTGTGCCCTTAGGGGCTAATTAAGACCAATATTTTTGACATTTATTTCTCAAGATATTATTTTTCTCAAGTTTGAATATTCTCAATCTTAATGGATTTATTTCTACGGAAATAATGGATTTTTTTCCGTTGTGGGATATACTTAATGTTTTCTCTACCTGGACTGTGTCCCTCTTCCGTTTCTGCTGTAGACCCATAAGCATCTAATAGTTAAGTTTGTTTTTTAATTTGATCTCTTGATTTAACACAGAGAGAGCTGACACTGCTGTTGAATCTGAAAATTTGTTTCTTTTACTTACCCTTTGCTTGTTGGCTCAGATGTTTTCTTTCCTACCATATGCCTCTAGCTTTTATTTCCTGCAGGGAAATATATAAAATCAATGATTCTGGGCCTGCCAAATGCAGAACATTGTTCTGACAATCTTGCCCATCTTTGCCTCCACCCAGACAATAAACTCTCCATGCAGCGACATCATTCCCTTGTCTGGAATCTATAAATAATTATTCTCCCTGGCTCCACTTGAGAATGCCTCATTTTATTTATACTTTCCTTTAGAATCCTAAATCCATAGATGTCCTGAGCATGATACACACAGTCACACCTACAATATATACTTCACCTACAACTGTATCTAGTTGGAACTTACCAATTAATCTTTGTTTTGCGATAATTATCCCATCTTCCCTCATAAATCTACTCAGATGTTCTGTAAACAACTGATGAAATTGTGGCAATCATAAGGTAAAATGGACGGCACAAAGCCTAGATTTGATCCCTTTAGGTACTGGGGTAGATGGGAAAGGTTAGAGGTAACTAGAGTTCCTAGATTTGTCACGTCTGATATGAGAAGCTTTGTCCATTTGTCTGAATGTGCTACAAAAATATCATGTGCCATAATCTGAAAAATGTTGTGAAGCACTGCTTTAGAATTTTCTAGTTCCTGATTTCACTTAGTAGAGTCATTGTTAGGTCTCTAATGACCTTGCCTTTGTTGAGCCCCATCACCAATTTTGATCCAGTAATGCTTAGAAGAGTTCTCTCCTTTTCTTTTAAGTTCTTCAAGAACATCTGGACCTGGCTTCCTCTTCTCCCCTTTTTATTTTTCTATCCAGGCCCTTAAAGTTCATTCTCTAAATTTCCAAAATTTCTATCCTCTAATTCATCAATTTTCTTCTGAGATAACTGCTTCCTCCCATTTAAACAACTTATCATTCTTTATTTGTTTTAATTCACTCACAGTTTCTCTTTTAAAATAAAACTTTATGAGTAAGATGTTTAATGTGAAGCACATTTTTCAATTCTATGTCTACTTGTTTTTCTGAGCAGTCTTGATTCTTAGATTCCCTCAGGTTTTTTAAGCATGAGCCTTTTAAGTTTCCACCTTAGCCTAAGGATTTACAATGATTTTATTGAGTTGTTTCACAACTTCAACATGAGAAAATGTCAATTTAAAAAATAAACGTCTCTCAACTTTTTTGTGTATGCATTTATAAAATTCAACATCTCCTGTGGGTAAAGCAAAACGTTGGATCTCTAATACCTAAATCAGTGTGTTTAAGTAATTTAAAAAATTCAGAATTGATTGAAGAACACATAATAAGAGGTGACTCCTGAGGCTATATTTAAGTATATAAATCCAAGAATAAATTCCTCCTTCTTATCTAAATTTAATTCAAAACTATAGAGAACATTTGCATATGGTCAGCCAGTCTTGGCCTAGAACCAATATGGTTATAGCCAGAGCCTCCATTATAATATTAGTACTTCTTAGTCTATGTGGAATGGAGCAGATTTTTTTATTGCGGTAAAACACATATGACATAAAACTTACCATCTTAACCATTTTAAATGTGCAGTTGAGTAGTGTTGTTAAGTGTATGGATACTCTTGCAAAACAGATTTCCAAAACTTTTCCATCCTGCAAATCTAAAGCTCCATACCAATTAAAGAGCAAATCCACTTTCTCCCTCCCTCCTGTTCCTGGTATTCCACATCCTACCTTTGGTTTCTATGATTTTGACTATTTTAGCTACCTTATATGAGTAGAATCACACAGTAAAGGCATACCTCATTTCAATGCTCTTTGCTTTATTGTGCTTTGTAGATATTGCAGTTTTTACAAATTGAAGGTTTGTGGCAACCCTGCATCAAGCAAGTCTATCATTGTCATTTTTTTTTTTTTTCCAGCAGCATGTGCTCACTTCATGTCTCTGTGTCACATTTTGGTAATTCTCAGAATGTTTCAAACTTTTTCATTATTATCATATCTGTTATCAATGATTTCTGATGATACTATTTTAATTATTTAGGGAGGCACCACGAACCACACCCATGTAAGAAAACAAATCCATAAATATTGTGTACATTCTAACTGCTCCACTGACAGGCCATTCTCCCATCTCTCCCCCTCTCCTTGGGCCTCTCTATTTTCTGAGGCACAACAATATTAAAATAATTCTAATTAATAATTCTACACTGGCCTCTAAGTTTTCAAGTGGAGAGAACAATCCCACCTCTCTTGCTGTAAATCAAAAGCTAGAAATGATTAAGCTGAGTGAGGAAGGCATGTTGAAAATTGAGATGGGCTGCAACCTAGGCCTCTTGTATCAAACAGTTAGCCAAGCTGCAAATGCAAAGGAAGAGTTCTTGGAGGAAATTAAAAGTGCTACTCCACTGAACACACAAATGACAAATAAATGCAACAGCCTTATTGCTGGCAGGGAGACAGTTTATTGGTGTAGATGGAAGATTAAACTAGCCACAATATTCCCTTAAGCTAAAGCCTAACCCAGAGCAAAGCCCTAATTCTCTTCAATTCTATGAAGGCTGAGAGAGGTGAGAAAGCCACAGAAGACAACTTTGAAGCTAGTAGATCTATTTAAAATCACTGATGAAGGTGGCTGCACCGAACAACAGATTTTCAATGCAGATATAACAGCATTCTATTGACAAAAGATGTCATCTAGGACTTTTATTGCTACAGAGAAGTCGATTCCTGGCTTCAAACCCTCAAAAGTTTAATTAACAAGGCTGACATATTTGTTAGGGGATAATGCAGTTGGAGACTTCAAGATGAAGCCAATGCTCATTTACTATTGTTAATATCCTAGGGACTTTTATTTATTTATGCATTCATTTATTCATTTGTTATTTTTAACAGTAGGTCTTCCTATGTTGTCCAGGCTGTTCTCAAATTCCTGGGCTCAAGCAATCCTCCTATCTCAGCCTCCCGAGTAGCTGGGACTAGAGGTATGCACCATTGTGCCCAGCTTTTTAGAACCCTTACATTTATTCTACCTGTGCTGTATAAATGAAACAACAAAGACAGGATAACAACACATCTGTTTACAGCATAGTTTACTAAATATTTTAAACCCACCCTTGAAACCTACTGCACAGAAAAAAAAAAGGTCCTTTCAAATATTACTGCTTATTGACTATGTATCTAATTACCCAAGAGCTCTGGTGAAGTTGTACAAGGAGATTAATGTTGTTCTCATGCCTGCTAACACAACATTGATTCTGCAGTATGTCAGATCAAGAATTAAGTTTGAATTTCAAGTCTTACTATTTCATAAATACATTTCATGAGGCTATACCTGTCATAGAGAGTGATTCCTCTGATCAAATTAAAAATCTTCTGGAAAGGATTCATCATTCTAGATTTTATTAAGAACACTCACAATTTATGGGAGAAAGCCAAAATATCAACATTAACAAGAGTTTTGAAGAAGTTCATTCCAACCATCATGAATGACTTTGAGAAATTCAAGACTTCAATGAAGGAAGTAACCACATATGTGGTGGAAGTAGCAAGAGACCTAGAAGTGAAACCTGATGATGTGACGGAATTGCTGCACTCTCATGACAAAACTTAATGAATGAGGAGTTGCTTCTTATGGATAAGCAAATAAAGTGGTTTCTTGAGGTGGAATCTACTCCTTGTGAAGAGGCCATGAACATTGTTGAAATGACAACAAATGATTTAGAATATTAGATAAACTTAGGTAATAAAGCAGCAACAGGATTTGAGAGTATTGACTCCAATCTGGAAAAAAGTTATACCGTGCTATGGGTCAAATGTTGCCAAACAGTATTACATGTGGTTCATCATGGCAGAGAGGAGGCAGGGCAAGGCTGCAGCTCCAACTCAGACAGAGCACTGTGCAGAGGCTTGCATCGTGAATTTTAGCTCCAGAACGACTGCAGGAATAAATCAGGAATCCCGAGAGGACCTACAGACTCTCTGAAGGAAGCGGACTTCTCCTTCAGGACCCAGGAGACACCCCATGTACTGTGGGTGCCCAAACTGCGGAAGTGGGGCAGGGAGATCCTCCACCCCCAAACACATACCCCCACTGGGGAGACTGAAGGTCTAGTTAGTGGGAGAAGATTCCGACCTTATCTGAAGCTGAATCAATTTAGACAGCTGAGCAAAATACAGGGGTAGAGGAAGCAGCAGGACAGGCCCTGGGAGCTTGCTGGGTCCCCAAGCAGGCCATTTCTGCCTGGCATCAAAGAGATCCTTTGGGAGGGTGGCCAGTGGCACAGGGAAAAATGGCACAGGGAGAAGGAAGTCTCCAGCTGAACTTTGTAACAATTTGAACTGGTGGAGAAGCCTCTTGGCCAGAACTCTGAGGAGGGCATGAGTCTGGCATGCAGACTCCACAGGTGGGGGAAGAACTAAAGCCCTTTCCTTTCACAGCTGGGAGGTGGGTAGCCTGGAGCAAGGTCTCAGCTCTGCTTGTCCACTGCCTTGAAACAGACTTGCTGCTGTTAGCCAGGGCATGAAGGGAGTGAGACCAGCCCTTCAGATTGCGTGGGAGCTGGGTGAAGCTTGTGACTGCCGGCTTTCCCCAACTTTCCTGACAACCTGCATGACTCACCAAAGGCAGCCACAATCCTCCTAGGTACACAACTTCTTTGACCTGGGAACCTCATCCCCATTCCCCGCAGCAGCTGCAGCAAGACCTGCCCAAGGAGAGTCTGAACTCAGACACACCTAGCCTTGCCCCCATCTGATGGCTCTTCCCTACCCACTCTGGTAGCTGAAGAAAAAGGGCATATACTCTTGAGAGTTCTAGGGCCCCAACCACCTCCATTTCTTCTCCATACTACCACAGCTGATGCTGTCTGGAAAGTGCCACCTCCTGGCAGGAGGCCAACCAGCACAAAAGTAGAGTATTAAACCACCAAAGCTAAGAACCCTCACAGAGTCCATTTCACCCCCCTGCCACCTCCACCGGAACAGGTGCTGGTATCTGTGGCTGAGAGACCCATAGATGGTTCACATCACAGGACTCTATGCAGACAACCCCTAGTACCAGCCCGGAGCCTGGTAGACTCACTGGGTGGCTAGACCCAGAAGAGAGATAACAACCTCTATAGCTCGGCTCTCAGGAAGCCACATCCATAGGAGAAGGGGGAGAGTATTCTATCAAGTGAACACCCCGTGGGACAAAAAAATCCGAACAACAGCCTTCAGTCCTAGGCCTTCCCTCTGACAGTGCCTACCTAAATGAGAAGAAGCCATAAAACCAACTCTGGCAATATGACAAAACAAGACTCTTTAATACACCCCAAAAAAATCACAGTAGCTCACGCAGCAATGGATCCAAACCAAGAAGAAATCCCTGATTTACCTGAAAAAGAATTCGGGAGGTTAGTTATTAAGCTAATCAGAGAGGCATCTGAGAAAGGCAAAGCCCAATGCAAGGAAATCCAAAAACCGATACAAGAAATGAAGGGATAAACATTCAAGGAAATAAATAGCATAATGAAAAAACAATCAAAACTTCAGAAAACATTGGATACATTTATAGAAATGCAAAATGCTCTGGGAAATTCTCAGCAATAGAATTGAACAAGTAGAAGAAAGAAATTCAGAGCTTGAAGACAAGGTCTTTGAATTAACCCAGTCCAACACAGACAAAGGAAAAAGAATAAGAAAATATGAACAAAGCCTCCAGGAAGTCTGGGATTATGTTAAACAACCAATCCTAAGAATCATTGGTGCTCCTGAGGAAGAAGAGAAGTCTAAAAGTTTGGAATACATATTTGGGGGAATAATTGAGGAAAACTTCCCTGGCCTAGCTAGAGAATTAGACATCCAGATACAAGAAGCACAAAGAATACCTGGGAAATTCACCACAACAGATCATCACCTCAGCACATTGTCATCAGGATATCTAAAGTTAAGATGAAGGAAAGAATCTTAAGAACTGTGAGAAAAAAGCACCAGGTAACCTATAAAGGAAAACCTATCAGATTAACAGCAGATTTCTCAGCAGAAGCCCTAAAAGCTAGAAGGGACTGGGGCCCTATCTTCAGCCTCCTCAAACAAAACAATTATCAGCCAACAATTTTGTATCCAGCGAAATTAAGCATCATATATGAAGGAAAGATACAGTCTTTCTCAGACAAATGCTGAGAGAATTCACCACTACCAAACCACCACTACAAGAACTGCTAAAAGAAGCTCTAAATCTTGAAACAAATCCTGGAAACACATCAAAACAGAACCTCTTTAAAGCATAAATCTCACAGGACCTATAAAACAGAATACAATTTAAAAAGCAAAAACAAAAACAAGGTATACAGGCAACAAATAGCGCAATGAATGGAATGGTACCTAACATCTCAATACTAACATTGAATGCAAATGGCCTAAATTCTCTATTTAAAAGATACAGAACTGCGAAATTGATAAGGTTTCACCATCCAACTATCTGCTGCCTTCTGTAGACTCACCTAACACATAAAGACTCATATAAACTTAAAAGAAAGGGGTGGGAAAAGGTATTCCATGCAAATGAACACCAAATGTGAGCAGGGGTATCTATTCTTATATCAGACAAAACAAACTTTAAAGCAACAGCTGTTTAAACAGACAAAGAGGGACATTACATAGTGGTAAAGGGTCTTTTCCAACAGGAAAATATCACAATCCTATACATATATGCACTTAATATTGGCGCTCTCAAATTTATAAAACAATTACTAATAGACTTAAGAAATGATATAGACAGCAACACAATAATAGTGAGGGACTTCAATACTCCACTGACAGCACTAGACAGGTCATCAAGACAGAAAGTCAACAAAGAAACAATGGATTTAAACTATACCTTGGAGAAATCAACTTAATAGATACATACAGAACATTCCATCTAACAACTGCAGAATACACATTCTACTCAACAGTGCTGGAAATATCTCCAAGATGGATCATATGATAGGCCATAAAATGAGCCTCAATAAATTTAAGAAAATTGAAACTATATCAAGCATTTTCTCAGACCACGGTGGAAGAAAACTGGAAATCAACTACAAAAGGAACCTTCAAAACCATGCAAATACATGGAAATTAAAGAATTTGCTCCTGAATGATCATTGGGTCAAAAATGAAATCAAAATGGATATTAAAAAATTATTCAAACTGAATGACAGTAGTGACATAACCTATCAAAACCTCTGGGATATAGCAAAGGCAATGCCAAGAGAAAAGCTCATAGCCCGAAATGCCTACATCAAAAAGACTGAAAGAGCACAAACTGACATTCTGAGGTCACACCTCAAGAAACTAGAGAAACAAGAACAAACCAAACCCAAACCCAGCAGAAGAAAGGAAATAATCAAGATCAGAGCATAACTAAATGAAATTAAAACCAAAAAAATACAAAAGGTAAATGAAACAAAAAGCTGGTTCTTTGAAAAGATAAACAAAATTGATAGACCATTAGCAAGATTAAGCAAGAAAAGAAGAGAGAAAATCCAAATAATCTCAATAAGATATGAAATGAGAGATATTACAACTGACACCACAGAAATACAAAAGATCATTTAAGGCTTCTATAAACACTTTTATGCATATAAAGTTGAAAACCTAGAAGAGATGGATAAATTCCTGGGAAAATACAACCCTCCTAGTTTAAATCACGAAGAAATAGACACCCTAAACAGACCAATAACAAACAGAGAGATTGAAATAGTAATTTAAAAATTACCAACAAAAAAACTTTATAGCCAGACGGATTCACAGCAGAATTCTACTAGATATTCAAAGAAGAATTGGTACCAATCCTATTGACACTATTCCACAAGAGAGAGAAAGAGGGAACCCTCTTTAATTCTTTCTATGAAGCCAGCATCATCCTAATACCAAAATCAGGAAAGGACATAACCAAAAAAGAAAACTACAGACTGATATCCCTGATGAACATAGTTGCTAAAATCCTTAACAAAATACTAGCTAACCGAATCCAACAATATAACAGAAAGATAACCCACCATGATTATGTGGGTTTTATAACAGGGATACAGGGGTGGTTTAACATATGCAAGTCAATAAATGTGATATACCACATGAACAGAATTTTTAAAAAATTGCATGATCATCTCAATAGATATAGAAAAAGCATTTGACAAAATCCAGCATTGCTTTATGATTAAAACTCAGCAAAATTGGCATAAAAGGGACACACCTCAATGTAATAAAAGCCATCTATGACAAACCCACAGCCAGCATAACTCTGAATGGGGAAAAGTTGAAGGCATTCCCTCTGAGAACTGGAACAAGAAAAGGATGCCCACACTCACCACTTATCTTCAACATAGTACTGGAAGTCCTAGCCAGAGCAATCCAACAAGAGAAAGAAATAAAGGGTATCCAAATCGGTAAAGAGGAAGTCAAACTGTTACTGTTTGCTGATGATATGATTGTTTACCCAGAAAACCCTAAAGACTCCTCCAGAAAACTCCTATAGCTGATAAAAGTTTTCAGCAAAGTTTCTGGATACAAGATTAATGTACATAAATCAGTAGTTCTCCTATACACCAATAGCGACCAAGCAGAGAATCAAATCAAGAACTCAACCCATTTAACAATAGCAGCAAAAAAAGTAGAATACTTAGGATTATAGCTATCCAAGGAGGCATAAGCATTCTACAAGGAAAACTACAAAACACTACTGAAAGAAAACATAGATGACACAAACAAATGGAAACCCATCTCATGCTTATGGATGGGTAGAATCAATATTGTGAAAATGACTATACTGCCAAAAGCAATCTACAAATTGCCATGAATATATCACCATAATTCTTCACAGAATTAAAAAAAAAATTCTAAAATTCACTTGGAACCAAAAAAGGGCCCATATAGCCAAAGCAAGACTAAGCAAAAAGAGCAAATCTGGAGGCATCACATTGCCTGATTTCAAACTATACTATAAGGCCATAGTCACCAAAACAGCATGGTACTGGTATAAAAATAGGCACATAGACCAATGGAAGAGAATAGAGAACCCAGAAGTAAACCCAAATACTTATAATCAACTGATCTTTGACAAAACAAACAAAAACGTAAAGTGGAGAAAGGACACCCTATTCAACAAATGATGGTGAGATAATTGTCTAGCCACATGTAGGAGAATGAAACTGGATCCTCATCTCTCACCTTACACAAAAATCAAATCCAGATGGATTAAGGACTTAAATCTAAGACCTGAAACTACAAAAATTCGAGAATATTACATTGGAAAAACCCTTCTAGACATTGGCTTAGGCAAGGATTTCATGATCAAAAACCCAAAAGCAAATGCAATAAAAACAAAGATAAATAGTTGAGACCTAATTAAACTAAAGAGCTTTTGCATGGCAAAAGGAACCGTCAGCAGAGTCAACAGACAAACCACAGAGTGGGAGAAAATCTTCACAATCTATACATGTGACAAAGTACTAATATCCAGAATCTACAACAAACTCAGGCAAATCAGCAAGAAAAAAAAACAAACAATCTCATCAAAAAGTAGGCTAAGGACATGAACAGACAATTCTCAAAAGAAGATATACAAATAGCCAACAAACATATGAAAAAATGTTCAGCTTCACTAATGATCAGGGAAATGAAAATCAAAACCACAATGCAATATCACCTTACTCCTGCAAGAATGGCCATAATCAAAAAATCAAAAAACAATAGATGTTGGTGTGGATGTGGTAAACATGGAACACTTCTACATTGCTTGTGGGAATGTAAACTAGTACAGCCACTGTGGAAAACAGTGTGGAGATTGCTTAAAGAGCTAAAAGTAGAACCACCATTTGATCCAGCAATCCCACTACTGGGAGTCACCTCAGAGGAAAATAAGTCATTATTTGAAAAAGATACCTGCACACACTTGTTTATAGCAGCACAGTTCACAATTACAAAATCGTGGAACCAACCCAAATGCCCATCAATCAATGATTAGATAAAGAAACTGTGGCATATATATACTATGGAATACTACTCAGCCATAAAAAGGAATGAATTAATGGCATTCAGAGTGACCTGGATGAGATTGGAGACTATTATTCTAACTGAAGTAATTCAGGAATGGAAAACCAAATATCATATGTCCTCACTGATATGTGGGAGCTAAGCTATGAGGATGCAAAGGCATGAGAATTATACAACGGGTCAGGCGCAATGGCTCACGCCTGTAATCCCAGCACTTTGGGAGGCCAGGGTGGGAGGATCACGAGGTCAGGATATCAAGACCAGCCTGGCCAACATGGTGAAACCCTGTCTCTACTAAAAATACAAAAATTAGCTGGGAGTGGTGGTGCATGCCTGTAATCCCAGCTACTTGGGAGGCTGAGGCAGGAAAATCACTTGAACCCGGGAGGCGGAGTTTGCAGTGAGCCGAGATCATGCCATTGCACTCCAGCCTGGTGACAGAGTGAGACTCCATCTCAAAAAAAAAAAAAAAAAGAATTATACAATGGACTTTGGGGGATTGTGGGGGAGGGTGGGATGGAGATGAGGGATAAAAGACTACAAATAGGGTGTAGTGTATACTGCTTGGGTTATAGGTGGATCAAAATCTCACAAATCACCACTACAGAACTTACTCATGTAACCAAATACTACCTCTAGTCCAAAAACCTATGGAAAAATAAAAAAAAAATGAAAAAAAGTTTCACATGCTATAGAGAAATATTCCAGGAAAGGAACAGTCATTTGATATGGCAAACTTCATTGTTGTCTTATTTTAAGAAATTACCAAACTTCAACAAGCACTGTCCTGATCAGTGAACAGCCATCCGCATTAAGGTGAGACTCTCCACTAACAAAGAAATTATGACTTGCTGAAGGCTCAAATGATTGTTAGCCATTTTTAGCAATAAAACATTTTTATTAAGGTGTGTGCATTGTTTTTAGACATAATGCTGTTGCATAATTAATAATCTATACTATAGTGTAAATCTAAATTTTATGTGCACTGGAAAACAAAAAAAATTGTGCAACTCACTTCATTGCAATAGTTGCTTTATTGAAGTCATCTGGAACAGAACCCTCAATATCTCCAAAGTATGCCTGTATTTGTCTTTTTTTGACTCCCTTATTTCACCTACTATGACATCCTCAAGGTTCATTCACGTTGTAGCATGTGATAAAAACTTCTTCTTTTTTAAAGTTGAATAATGTTTCATTGTATGTATATACTGCACTTTATTATTTATTGTCGATGGACATTTGGTTTCCTTTTATCTCTTGGTGATTGTAAATACTTCTGCTATGAACATGGGTGTGCAAATATTTCTTCAAGACCTGGGTTTCAATTCCTTTCGATATATAACCAGAAATTGTAATTCTATTTTCAATTTTTTGAGAAATCTACATCCTATTTCCCGTAACACTTATACCATTTCACAATCCTATTAACTGTGAACAGGGTTCTAGTTTCTCTACATCCTTTCAAACATTTATTTTGGTTTTTGTTTTTCATAGTAGCCATTGTGATGGTTGTGAGATAATATCTCCTGGTGGTTGATTTGCATTTCTCTAGCAATTAGTGATGTTGAGCATCTTTTCATTTGCTTGTTTGCCATTTATATGTCAAATTTGGGAAAATGCCTATTTATGTACTTTGCTGACTTTTTAAATCAGGTTATTGATTTTTGTTGTTGTTGACTTGTAGGAGTTTTTAAAATATATTCCATATATTAACTTTTTATCAGATTTTTATCTCCAAATATTTTTCTAATTCTGTACATTGTCTTTTCACTCTATTGATTGTGACCTTTGATACAAAACATAGCACATTTTCAACTTTTAAATTCATGCCTTCACAGCTGAGATACACTATAAAATGGCAAATATTTTCTCTTCCCCTGTTACAAAACGATTTAATCCATACCAAGACCTCACTTGCAAGGACATACTGCATAGTTGAGGTCAAACTGTAACAGTTCATATGCTTAAACTAACATTAGCACACATTGCTGACTCCAAAAGGTCAGCATTTTCTAATGTCTTGGAAGTTCATGTTTGGTAAGAACTGATTATTCTGCATTTGCTAGAGACTCAATATTCTGTATTCGCCAAGCTCCGTATCTATTGAAAAAAGAAAAAGAAAATCTGCTTAGATAAAGCAATTCTTTACCTGTAGACAAAGCCACCCGAGGCTGAGTGACCCTTCAAAGTCAGAGCCAAAAATACACTCAACTACTATAATATGGTGGTCCTACACTATAACTATCTTCCCTATACAAGAAACTTTGCATTCTGCAGGTTGTATTTGGTCCTGAAAATCGAATCTCATAGGGTTTTCAAGGTACATAGCAAGCAAACTTGTTGAGGTTGAAGGGATTTAATAATAATACTCCATTTCCTGCCGGAATTCAGAAAAAAATTAAAGATTGAAATATGATGTTTAAATAATTATTCTTAACTAGTGTGAGATGGTATCTCATTGTGAATTTCATTTGTATTTTTCTAATGATGAGTGATGTTGAGCATTTTTTTCATATGCTTATCGGCTGTGTGTATATGTCTTCTTTTGACAAGTGTCTGTTTATGTCGTGCCCTTTTTTTTTTTTTTGAGACAAAGTCTCGCTGTGTCACCCAGCCTGGAGTGCAGTGGCACGATCTCGGCTCACTGCAAGCTCCGCCTCCCGGGTTAACGCCATTCTCCTGCCTCAGCCTCCTGAGTAGCTGGGACTACAGGCGCCCGCCACCACGCCTGGCTAATTTTTTATGTATATTTTTTAGTAGAGACGGGGTTTCCCTGTGTTAGCCAGGATGGTCTTGATCTCCTGACCTCGTGATCCGCCTGCCTCGGCCTCCCAAAGTGTTGGGATTACAGGCGTGAGCCATCGCGCCCAGCGTAGCGCCCATTTTTAATGAGTTTTCTTTTTTTTTTTTTTTTTGGCTTGTTGATTTATTTAAGTTCATAGATTCTGGATATTAGATCTTTGTCAGATGCATAGTTTGCAAGTATTTTCTCCCATTTTGTAGGTTGTCCCTTTACTCTGTTTACAGTTTCTTCTGCTATGTAGAAGCTCTTTAGTTTCATTAGGTCCCACTTGCCAATTTTTGTTTTTGCTTCCATTGCTTTTGTCATGAAATGTTAAGTTTTTGTCATATTTGCTAAGGCCTATGTCCAGGATGGTATTTCCTAGGTTTTCTTCTACGGTTTTTAGAGTCTTTGGTTTTACATTTGTGTTTAATCAATCTTGAGTTGATTTTTATATATGGTATAAAGGAAGGGGTCCAGTTTCAAACCTCTACATATGACTAGCCAGTTATCCCAGCACCTTTTATTAAATAGGGAGTCCTTCTCTGATTGTTCATTTTTGTTAACTTTTTCAAAGATCAAATGGCTGTAGGTATATGGTTTTATTTCTGGGTTTCCTATCCTATTCCATTGGCCTATATGTCTATTTTTGTACTAGTATTATGCTGTTTTGGTTATTTTAGCCTTGATATGTACTTTGAAGTCAGGTAACGTGATGCCTCCAGCTTTGTTCTTTTGCTTAGACAAAACCATTTTTTTTTGTTTCATATTGATTTTGGAATAGTTTTTTCCTAATTCTGCAAAAGTGGCATTGGTAATTTGATAGGATACATAGTTTGACAGCATTGAATCTGTAAATTGTTTTGGGCAATATGGCCATTTTAATGACATTGATTATTTCTTTCCATGAATATGGAATGTTTTTGCATTTGTTTGTGTTATTTATGATTTCTTTCAGCAGTGTTTTGTAATTTTTATTGTAGAGATGTCACCTCTCTGTTTAGCTATATTCCTAGGTATCTTATTCTTTTTTTTTTTTTGATTCTTGTTAATGAGATTGCATTTCTGATTTGGCTTTCCATTTAAATTTCATTGGCATATAGAAATGTACTAATTTTTGTCCATTGATTTTGTATCCTGAAACTTTACTGAAATAGCTTGTGAATTCTAGGAGCATTTGTATAGAGATTATGGGGTTTTCTAGGTATAGAATCATATCATCTATCAAGAGAGATAGTTTGATTTCCTCTCTTCCTATTTAGATGCCTTTTACTTCTTTATTTCTTTTTCTTATTTCAACTATTTTTCAACTTATTTCAACTTATTTTTGTTATTCAACTATGTTGAATAAGAGTGGTAACAGTGGGCATCCTTGTCTTGTTCTGTTTCTCCTGGGGAAAGCTTCCAGCTTTTGCCCACTTAGTATGATGTTGGCTGTGGGTTTGACAAAGATGGCTTTTATTATTTTGAGATATTTATCTTCAATGCCTAGTTTATTGACAGTTTTTAACATGAAGGGATGTTGAATTTTGTCAAAAGCCTTTTCTTCATTTATTGAGATGCTCATGTGGTTTTAGTGTTTAGTCCTGTTTATGTAATGCATTATGTTTATTGATTTGCCTATGTTAAACCAACCTTGCATCCCAGGAAAAAACTTAATCATGGTCAGCTTTTTGATGTGCTCCAGCAGCACATCAATCAGAGATTAGCTTATCTCAATGAGAGATTAGCTTTTTGATGTGCTGCTGGATTCAGTTTGCTAGTATTTTGTTGAGGATTTTTGTAGCTATGTTCATCGAGGATATTGGTTTGGAGTTTTCTTTTTTTTGTTGTTGTGTCTCTGCTGGATTTTGGTATCAGGATGATGCTGGCATCATAGAATGAGCAAGGGAAGAGTCTCTCCTCAGTTTCTTGGAACAGTTTCAGTAGGATTGGTACCTGTTCTTCTTCATATATCTGGTAGAATTCAGCTGTAAATCTGTGTGGTTTATGGCTTTTTCTGGTTAGTAGAATTTTTATTACTGATTCAATTTTGCAATTTGTTATTGGTCTGTTTGGGAATTCAGTTTCTTCCTTTCTCACTCTTGGGAGGCTGTATGTTTCTAGGAATTTATTCATTTCTTCTAGGTTTTCTAGTTTATGTGTATAGAGGTTTCCATAATAGACTTTGATGGTTTTTTGTATTTCTGTAAAGTCGATGGTAATGTTACCTTTGTCATTTCTGCTTGTGTTTATTTGGATCTTCTCTCTTTTTTTCTTTATTATTCTAACGAGTGGTCTGTCAATCTTATTTATTATTTCAATTAAACAACTTTTGATTTTGTTTATCTTTTGTATAATTTTTTTTTTTTTTTTGAGACAGAGTCTTGCTCTGTTGCCCAGGCTGGAGTGCAGTGGTGCGATCTCGGCTCACTCTGCAAGCTCTGCCTCCCAGGCTCACACCATTCTCCTGCCTCAGCCTCCCGAGTAGCTGGGACTACAGGCGCACGCTGCCACGCCCGGCTAATTGTTTGTATTTTTAGTAGAAACGGGGTTTCACTGTGTTAGCCAGGATGGTCTCAATCTCCTGACCTCGTGATCCACCCACCTTGGCCTCCCAAAGTGCTGGGATTACAGGCATGAGCCACCGCGCCCAGCCCGTATAAATTTTTAAATCTCTATTTCATTCAGTTTAGCTGTGATTTTGGTTATTTCTTTTCTTCTGTTAGTTTTGGAGTTTGTTTGTTTGTTTTTTTTTTTTCTAGTTCCTTTTGGTGTGATGTTAGGTTGTTAATTTGTAATCTTTCTAACTTTTTGATTTAGGCATTTAGCACTATAAAAATAATCAATTCATAGAAACAGAAAAGGCATGGTGGTTAACAGAAGCATTGGGGAGAGGAGTTGTTTAATCAGTATAAAGTTTTAGTTATGCAAAATGAATAACTTCTGGAGATCTTCTGTACAACATAGTGCCTATTGTTAACAGTGCTATATTGTGCTCTTAAAAATTTGTAAAGTGGTTCTTATGTTAAATGTTCTTGCCTCAGTTAAAAAAAGAGAAAATCAAAGAAGGAGCATGATATTAAATTTTCATACTTGAAATAGCTTGAGGTAAGGCAAAGATACAACTGAGGAATGGTCAAATAGACAAATGACCCAACAAAGTCTAAATTGAATTAATACCACCCTTTAAAAAGAGTTTCTTTTTCATGATAATTATATGAAATATTCATGTTCATAATATTTTAATGAGAACAGTCCTTAGGAAATGAAGTCAACAGTTATCAGGGGAGGAGCAACATATGGTATAACTAGCCCTGCCTTGGTGGGAGTTTTGCAAATAAGTTAGAAAGGAATTTACACAGTGAATACAGAGGGAGGAGGTCACAAGGGGAGAGTCTTGAGTTGTAAATAAAGATGATCTTGCTGAGCCTGCCAATTTGGGGAAGCCCTTGAATGTTGTTGTACCTCTTGATGACTTGGTTTTAGGTAGCAAAAAGGGACTAAAATGTATAGATCAATATTGTCTAACCTGCTTTTCCTGGGGGACTATTGCTGCATAAGAACAATTACTTACTCTGAGGGTTACAGAGGTTCTTACTTCCCAGTGAGATTATTTTGCAAATAAACTTGGATAGCCTACTCACTCACTGCCTCAACTGGGCTCCTAAATCCTCATTGCTATCAGTGGGGGTTGAGTTTACCAAAATAAGTTAATAAATGTATAGTGAAGTCCACATGATACCTATAAAATAGGACATGAATGCAGAAGTTTCAGTTACATGACAAAATCCTAGGTTTTTTCTTTTTTATTCATTTCTGTAATGTTAAAATATTTATTGTTTTAAATTAAAGTAAAAAATAGTTTAAAAATAAATAACTATTCAAATCAAACAAATTCACCTTAAACAAAACTTTTTGCATTTGGTTCATCAAACATTCATTGATTACCCAACATGACCCAAACAATGTACTAGGAATTGAATGTACAGAGATGAATGAAGTATACCGTCTTTTTCAAGGGACTTAACATTGGGTGGTGGTTTTCTGGGGTGGGAGTGGGAGAAGATTAAGTCATAAGCTGATTATTATGAATTACAATGTAATATCTTGATAATAAATGTTTATGAGTTCATTTTCTTTAGTAATAAATTCAATAGTATATGAATTTAAAAATAAACTTTGAAATATTCTGTCTGGTCTCATGTCCCCAAATTTGCAAGATTTCCATCTAGTGGCAATTTACTTAAATTGTGAACACAAGGCCTCAAGGGCTTAGAAACTGCTAGGATTTATAAGAATATAATTCAATGCACATTAAAAGACATTTGACTTAACTGGTGGCTGTAGATAACATAGAATTTGTGACACATAATACAAATTTGCATTTAAATCTTAATCTAACTCTTAATAAGTAGAACCATATTATAGTATGCTCTTTAACTTGAATTGTTTAGATATGACTTCAAATAAATATAAAGATTCAGCCCTGGAAAGCATTTTTTAGAGAGATGGTTATAGTAACATCACATTGTAATACACTTTAAAGTGACAGCGTACTTTGCAGTAAAGTAGTCCCCCTTTGTCGGTGGGGTACACATTCCAAGTCCCCCAATAAATGCCTGAAACTGCAGATAGTATAAAATCTTATATGTACTATTTTTTCTTATACATACATAGTTATGAAAAAGTTTAATTTATAAATTAGGCATCATAAGATATCAGCAATGATAACTAATAATAAAATGTATGAACCCAAAAAATCTGAGAAGGTCTCAGTTAATTTAGAAAGTTTATTTTGCCAAGGTTGAGAATGCGTGTTGGTTACACAGCCTCAGGAGGTCCCGATGACGTGTGCCCAAGGTGGTCAGAGCACGTTTGGTTTTACACTTTCTAGGGAGACATGAGCCATCAATCAACATATGCAAGATGAACATTGGTTCAGTCTGGAAAGGGAGGACAACTCGAAGCAAAGGCCAAGGACAGGAAGACTCGAAGTGGGGAGGGGGTTTCCAGGTCATAGGTGAATAAGAGACAAATGGTTGCATTCTTTTGAGTTCCTGATTAGCCTCTCCAAAAAAAAAAAAAAAAGAGAAATCATATATGCGTTTATCTCAGTGATCAAAGGGGTGACTTTGAATAGAATGGGAGACGGGTTCACCTTAAGCAGTTCTCAGCTTGACTTTTCCCTTCAGCTTAGTGATTTGGGGGCTCCAAGATTCATTTTCCATTCACAAATGGAACAATTATTACAATATACTGTAATACAAGTTAGGAGAATGTTCTCCTCACTCTCCCTCTCACTTGCATTCTCAAAATGTTTTATTGTGTGTTATGTTTCTACACAGTGGTTGACCTTGGATAACTGAAACCACAGAAAGCAAAACTGTGGATAAGCGAGGACTACTGTAATCTACTTTTTCTTTTAAAGTAAATTAATCCTTTTGTTATTTTCTTTTTGTTTTTACTTTTGTCAATATGGTGAGCAAATTCTGACAAGTGTAATTTGAATGTTCTGAGAATTAAATTTTAGGAAACAGAGGAGTAGTAAAATGAGGTGAACTGTCACTATGTATAGCACTTGCCATCAAGGGTTTTGTTTGTTTGTTTTTTTTGTCTGAAGAAGAGCCATTAGTGATTTCAACAAAGTAAATGCTATCTTGCTCAAGTATTTCCTACTGTTCTTGTGGCATACACTGACTTGAACATAAAATGGTGGGTCCAAATTCATGATTCTGTACTCCACAAGTTTAGTAAGCTCTAGAAAAATAGAAAAATAAAGTTTATTTGAAAATGATTTCATTTAGAAACCCAGTATAGCAGACCTGCTCTTATATATTAGTATGTAGTTGTTGTATTAGATGGGTGCAAAAGTAATTGTGTTTCTTGACATTATGCGATAGCAGAAACTGCAATTACTTTTGCACCAGCCTAATATTATTTATCTAGTTTATTTGACCTGCAGAAAATCCTCTATTAGGGCCTTTAAATACTGAGGAGGTTAAAAGACATCGTCTGAATTACATGCTTTTTATACTCTTGAGCATGTGGCTTTCCTGTCTGCCAGTTCTGCTGCAAGGTAGGCCCCGACTTAGTACATTCTTTTATTAGTTTGCATCACTCTATTTAAATTCTGTCCAAACTTATTGCAACTTTCTATTTCCCAAATAAGAACAGCAGAGATTCCTGCCATTTCTGACTTCCGTATTCAAAGTTGAGGTTTACAGGCTAAACAGATTGATGAACACTTTCTCTAGTGACCAGTTTAGTCTTCCACATGTTGATGACAAAGGAGCTAACCAATCTCTTCTATAATTGAATAACAAGAGACACTTTTCTTTGCTCTTTATTCTAAATGTGAATCTTAAGCAGGATTTGTGCAGGCAGTGAAGTTGTGTATAATAGTCTTCTACAGGCTCTTCTTTGGAGAGAATTCAATAGCCCAGAATTACTCACCAGCCTTCCAGATTTCCTCCATCTACCCCAAATGTGAAACCGTCAATTTGGCACGCCTTTCCCTAGAAGGTGTCCTAGGAGTAAACATTTCTGCTCTCTGCATTCCTACCAAAATTTACTTGGTGCTTGTTTCAGAGGTCTCAAGAACATTCTCAAGTAGGTTTACTCTCTAGGACTCATAAGATGCAACAGAGGTTGTACTCATAGCCAAGTTTCATTAGAGCAAAAGGGTACAGAGCAAGAACAATAGGAAGGCAGGCATTAGGCAGAGTTTAGAGAGGACAAATACACGATTCCTAGTCCTCATTATATAGGATGTGCTTTTCTTTTGATGTGAACTACAAGGACATATAAAAGGAGAATCTGCCAAGAGAAGGCTTTTATGTAGGCTCTTCGTGTAGATACCTCCTGCTGCACAACCAGCCATGGTAACAACAACTCAGGAACCCAACAATAAAACTAGGTACACATCATCAATCTTGATGTTAAGCTTGAGAAGCTCACATGGCATAGTCTATTCTCCAGGTGTATACAACAGAATCATCAATCGTCAACATAAAGAGTCTTCTGAGGCCCAGATTACCAGAAGTTGGTCAAAGGTAAATTGTGGTTCCAAGGTTCCATGGAGGCATACAAGGAGCATGCTGGGCTAATTCTTTCACAGCTCTCTTTTCAGAATCAGATCCTATTTTTAAAAGAGCTAACAAATTCATAATAAGATAGTTGTTCTTAATCAAACATATTTGATTAAACAGCACATTTTCTCTAAAAAAATGTGCATGCACACACACAGACACACAGAGAGACAATATGTGTATAAACTATTAGGATTCAAGGGCAAATAGTTAATTTGGCACAGGAGTGTGGAAATAAGAGAGGTAAAGAAAATAAGCCAATAAAATTTCATGATAAAGCCAGCTATCATTGTGGACAATCAGAACTCAATCCTACTGAGGAAATCTGGAGATAGTATACGATATTCCTCAGAGGTATCCCAACCAAGAGCACAGAAATGGAAATATTTATCTACCAATGCCCCTTCCATAATTTTCAAAGGCTGCTTCTATGATCATTATCTCCCAAGCACTTGTGGCTTGCTTTAGGTGCAAGTAAAATGTGCACACATAATATTAAAAAACCCTCAAAAAATTTGCAGTTTTTCATGTAAACAATCAGGTGTGTGTGAAAATTAATGCCAAGAGGATATGGGCAGGGAATTAAAAGTATCTGCTATATACACATACACACACAAAAGTGTTAACACACACAATTTTAGGTTTATGAAACTGTGAATTATAACCATGGATTTCTGGATCCTAGAGATTAGTCCAAAGTATTGCCAAACGAGATAGTATTCAGAGTTAAAGCTTTAGGAATAAACAATATTTACTTTTAAAGAATCGGTTACTAGTCTTGGAATGTCAGGCGTCATGTGTGATAATCAGAGATTACAATCAGTTGTTTAGTGCCCTCTGAATCATACAATATAAGTTATTGTGTTTATAGAAATAACACAAAAAAACAGCACTGTCTCCTTTTACCTCCTGAATAGAGAATGTCATTAATCTGAAGATAGCACTGATTATGAGACTTCATTATTTTGTTTCCCTGAAAAAGGAAGGAAAAAAAACAACTGCCAATTTACAATCACATGATGCCAACTACAAAATGCATTTCTATTTTCGAGATGGTAATATGTGGAAAACTCAAGTGTCTTAGAATTGATAGAATATGATAGTATCAATTAATTCAAAGAATGCTGGCAGGGAATGAACTGAAATATGGGAAGTGGGAACTGCAGCCTTGATCATTTGTAAAATAATCCTGATAACATACTTAGTGTTAATATGAGCTCTTTTCAAGAATATTCATGCCTCTTTCTATGTTAGGTACTTTCATCTCTGAACATCAAAACCTGTTTTAAGAACATTGCTATGTGGTCACAGGAAGCTAAATGTTCTTGCCAATATCACCCGCAAAATGACTCATTCATCTTTCAAACATGTCTTTTCTTACAAAATTACCTGTCCCCAACTAAGAAAAAGGAAAGAGAGCAAAGCTTCATTTTTCTTTCATCCTGGTTATCTCCCTAGCCCATCTTAGACTTTGTTCAAATACAACCTCTACAAAGCCTTGCGGCACACTGGACTTTAGGAAATAAGCTAAAAAGTTTAATCAGGACTTTGAGGTTCAATTCCCAGAAATGAACATTTTTAACAGCATGTTCATAAGCATGTTGGGACTTCCCACATACCTTTATAAATCATCACCTTGGTTCAACTCACTGTGAAAGAGAAGAGAGCGTGGCAGGCCAGGTTTCACTAACGCATAACAACTCTTTCAGTACTGACTAAGTGGTTAAGTTAAATACTAAAAGCCAGTGCCCTTATACAAAGGCTGGAATGTAACAAAGAGCCCACCAAGAGTTTTGCCTAAGCTTTTCCTTGGCCTTAAAGCATGAAAAAATAAAGAAGGAATTCTTAACAGGACCCATTTAGGATTAAACAAGTTTTATTGTGGGTCTGAAGAAACTCCCCAGGCCTCCAAAAACAAGTTTGTTGTAAGCCTGAAAGAACTCCCCAAACCTCCGTGATTTAGCAGGAGACAAGATAATCACCCCAGCACCTGGGCCCCTTTAGATTAAGTAAATTTACTGAGGCTCCAGAGGAGGGTCTTCAGGACTCAGACCTTAGTTATAGATTAAAAGAAGTTAATCCCATATGTCTTTAGGTGAATCCACACTTACACATAGACATACAGCTTAGAAGGTTATATGAGCTCTGGGAAACTTTGTAATTTTGAGTTGGCCTGGCAATAATTTTCAGGCCTTCTCCCTGTAACTGGTTACAGAAATAAAAACTCTCTTCCTCCCCAGTTCATCTGCATCCAGTTATTGGGCCACAGGAAAGAGCAGCCTGACCCTCAGTTTGGTCTGGGAATAAGAGGGGCTGAGCTGGTTCTTCATTTATCTCTGTCTTCTATCTTTTTCCCATTGTCTTTACTACCTGCTACAATCTGAATGTTTCTCTCCACCACTCTCTGAAATCCATATATTAAAACTTATTCACCAATATTATGGTATTAGGAGGTGGGGGCCTTTGAAAGATGATAAAGTCATGAGGGTGGAGCTCTCATGAGTGAGATTCATGCTCTTATAAAAGGAACCCCAGAGAGGTCTCTCACCATCTTTCTGCCATGTGAGAATGCAATGAAAAGTTGTCAGTCTGCAGCCTAGAATACGGTCCTCACCAGACATCACCTCTACTAGCACTTTGACTTTGAACTTCCCAGGCTTCAGAACTCTGGGAAATGAGTTTCTGTTGTTTATAAGCCACCTAGTTCATAGTGCTTTTTATAGCATCCTGGATGGACTAAGACACTAGCATTCATTCTTACTTTTAAAAAAATAATTGTGTGGATGCAAAGGTAGATTTGAATTTACATGTGCACATGAAGCTCCTGAAAGATAGAACTTATCTTTGATGAGTGATTCTGTGAATTATTTGAGGAATGTAATGTACAATTTGGTGCAAAATACTTATGATATGAGAAAGTTCTACATGGTACTTCCTTTCTTTTTCAAGTGAAGTGTTTGGGAACAGTACAGCTAAGTGGTTAGCTGTGGGCACTCTGGAACTCGCCACTTGAATACATTCTAGCTCAGGAAGCAATGCCATTTTTATTATTTTATCCTTTATTTTAATCTCTTCATCTGTAGAGTGGGAACAATTCTAATATTTATGTCATAGTGTTGTTAAGATTAAATGAAATAAAGCCTATAGTGTCCTGCACATCTACAATTTCAGAGTGAGTACTTCATAAATATCATTAATATTATTTTTTATTACTAATGGGGCTTAATAAAAATGGCATTAAATGTGGAGTCAGCATTTTGGGGCTCACAGTTTTGCCCCGTATTTTCTAGCAACACAAACTTGTGTCCTGTAACTACCCCAAGCCTCGTACTTTTTTTTTGAAATATAGAGGAAGTAACCCAAAATGAAAGAAACTATGTGAGAGAAACTAACTCAGTCTTTGGTCACATGATAGTTCTGCGTTTCCTATTAAATAGATACAAATTCAACTAGAATAGTGGAGAAAATAATCTTTGTTGGTTGCATGAACAAATATTTTTGTTGCTTAAGATATGTTTTAAAGCTGTATTCGAACATTAGTTTTGAGTATTGTTATCACTAGGTATGTTCGAAAAGGAAGGGGAAAGTTATTCCCCTAACGTTAAGCTCTTGTAAGACAGGCATATCAATTACACTGAAGGAGCCTTGCCTCTGAAAGTATGACTTATAGAAATAAAATGAAAATGAAATAGAAATCTCAAGATTAGACTTAGGGTTAAAAAATCTCTTGGTCACATAGCAAGGTAAAATATGGCTCTAAAAGTGAGGGAAAAATTATAATGTGATAGAGATTTCACGGGCTTTACTATTGCTAAAATATAATTGCTTTTTTGGAATTGCAGTAAGAGTGAAACTAGAATTTTGTTTTATTGCTTCTAGACCATCCTTCCTTCTCTAATATTCTGACCACATGTATCAGTATTCAGAAAAAAGCAAGAGCTTCTTCTCGCAGGCGGGATTGCCATTGAAGAGGATGTCAAGAAAGATGAGTCACTGTTAGGATTGATTCATGATACTTTATTGCCAAGCTGCATTTGCTGATAGAGTCATCTATATCCTGGTATCCATGGAACACAGTGGAAGGGAAATCTGTCCTTGTCATTACCTGGCCACAGGCCTCTTTTAAAAGATACTAGAAAATTAATTAGACTGCAAATTCACCCATAAAATTAAAGTAAAAGCTACCTGGGCTCAGGGCTCTGAAAGAGGATAACTTATTTGGATTAGAAAATTTGTCATGTTGAGCTCAAGTAGCATTAATTTGTTTAGAAGAGATAATGATATTTCATTATTATTCCCAACCCTGAAGTTAGTCAAGAAATAACTAAAATAAATACCTTGTAAATACTGACTACACATAATACTTATACTCTATAGCAACATGGCCACACTCAGTAATCTTGACAAGTTTAGGAAAGCATTTAAATAAAATAAAACTTGAGCCAGATAAACTCTGGAAGATCTTTAAAATTAAATATAATAGTTACTGGGTAAAGCGAATGGAAAACTAGATCAGAAATAGAAATTGTGCCTTACTCTTATAATTTCAACCATGACAATATAAATAAATAGTATGCTGTTAAAAAATAATTTGACCATTGGGAGCATTTAAGATTTCTACATGCTTTACCTATTTTACAGAGAGAATAAATTTTTAAAGAAGGCAGAACACGAAGACATTTCTTTTTACCTCAAAACTATTCCTTATTTCTGACTGTTGAGCAATATGGTTTTCCTGAAATGATAGAAACAAATTTTATACAGTTGAGAATAGAGTAACTGAAAGATTCCCAACCATTTTGCTGAAGGAAGTAAATGACTTTTCTGGTTGTGCACTGTTTTCAGAACTTGGGAAACCTAAGAGAAGACATAACTAACATTAGCTGTCACTGGCGAAATAGCATAGATTTTGACATAATATATACAGGAGAGGAAAAATTAGACTTAACTTATAGCAAGTAGCTTTGCACTCTTCCATTTATCATATATAGGAAGGAAAAGAGCCATAAAAATTGAATTTTGTGTGCTTCACAGACACCATTCCATTAGATGGGTCACAGAAAAGTAGTGTTGTGTCATATCTATATTAAAAATGCTAAATATAAACATCAAAATTGGAAGAATAAGAAATATTTAATACTCATTATTTCAAAAGTGAACAAGTGATGATTGAATCACATAATAAATTCTGTGTTTATAGGGGAAGGGATATTCAGGTCTTTATTTCTGAAAATTTCTATCACCTTCTATTTATCTCACTCACCATCTAGGCTTTCAGGCTTTCAGTTCATTCAGAATAAAGACCACAAAATAATATCAGCACACTAGAGTTGGCTTGATGGATACAAAATACCTCCACAGATACATCCAAAAAGAAATTTTAAAAATTTTGTTTTGAGAAACAAATTAAACATGTATAACGTGAGGTTCTTACTCTTTCTCTTATTTCTCTTACTGCACTTAAATTTTACACTATCTTGCTTTATAACCAGCATTTCTAGTGTTGACAAAGAAAGCATTTAGTTTTCATTTTCTTAACAAAAACCCCAACAGGCAAGATAAACATTAAGTTCATTATTGAAGGAAATGAGTTTGACAACAAAAAAGATAATTTAGAATGAAATGAATTCTCAAAATAGGACAAGGAGAGTACAGGTTGCCATAAAGCTAGATAATCAAAAGTGTTGAAAAATTTGTAAAGCTGTAATATGGTTAGGCTTTGTGTTCCTACCCATTTCTCATCTTAAATTATAATTCCCATAATCTCTATATATTGAGGGCGGGACCTGGTGGGAGGTGACTGGATCATGGGGGTGATTTTCCCTATGCTGTTCTCTTGATAGTGAGTGAGTTATCATGAGATCTGATGGTTTTATAAGCATTTGACAGTTCCTCCTACACACATTCACTCTCTGTCTCACTTGTCACCATGTAAGATGTACCTGTTTCCCCTTCCACCATAGTTGTAAGTTTCCTGAGGCCTTTCCAGCTATATGCAACTGTGAGTCAATTAAACCTCTTTCCTTTATAAATTATCCAGTCTCAGGAAACTCTTTATAGTGTGAAAACGAACTAATACAAGCTGTAATTAGAATCCACTATTCACTATGCACTGTGTAAGCTACAGAGAAAATACAAATAAAAGATAAGAGACAAAATCTACTGTCAATGTGTTTTAACCCTCATTGGGAAGACAAACTAATACCACTTTTTCATCATGAAAAGCAAGGGATTTAGTAGTATCAGGATTAATCATATTTTGTCTTCAGTAATTTAAAATGATATTAAAAGTTGCATTAGTGCTATAGTAGAAGACTTATGTCCCTTTAGTAAGTACTACTATATCACCAGGAACTACTACTACCACCACAACCACCCACCATTTACTTACTGAGTGTCTACAGTGTTCCAGTCACAGTTTTAATTCCTGTAGATTCGTTAGCTCATTTAACTTATGAAACAATCTAATTGTTCTTGAGGTAGTTGCAATTATTGCCCTCATTTTTGAAAACAAGGAAACTAATGTGGAGAGATATTAAAGTGTGTCAAAATTCTGAACACAGTCAGTCTGCTGCTTGAAAAACAAAAGCTAAAGGATGTCATATTTCTAAAACAGAGAAAACTAGATACTTTGAAGGGCCCCTGATGACATATAGTTACTAGATAAAAGAAAAAAAGCTTTTAATGCACTTCTAAACTCTGAAGTCTTTTTAACCAATGAGAAGAAATGTGATTGGTCAATAATGAGGTGTAAGAGGATGAGAGCTAAATTACAGTTTGTCCAACAGTAGACTTCTTAATAGAAACAACAGGAAAAAAAGACAAAGAAATTATATTGTCAAAATGCTAGGAAGGTGGAGGAAAAACTGTCAGTCTAGATTTGCGTGTTCACAACAATTACCTTTCAAGAATGAGAGTGAAAAAAGGTATATTTCACATACAAAAAAGTTGATTTTGTCACCAGCAGACTGCAGATTCTAGTTTAAAATTTAAACTAGATTCTAATGGATATAATATTTTAAAATAATAAGTATCCCAGAGCAAATGTTTAGGATGCAAGAAGAAATAATGAACACAGAAATTAATAAACAAAATAAAACATACATTATTTATATAGAAAAATAGAAAATAAATATGGGGTTACTAAAAGAAATAAATACTGAATGCTGGTTTAATAAGGAAATAAATAATAAAACAAAAAAAATATTTTAGAAAAGTCAAACAGCCAAAAAGATGAAGAATCTATTTGACAACAGGTCAAGTAGAAAGCACAAGGAAAGATTGAAGACGTGACTTACAAATATAATAGCAATAAGAAAACAAATGTAGTTATGGTATATTCACTAGCTATCAGCTAGGTATTATTATAATGTTAGATGGAAAACCAGGTCAATTATATTGATTCATAAGAAATACACTTAAACCATACAGATATGAAAGGTTGAAAACATCACAAGAAAAGTACCTGTACTATGTTAATAAAATAAAAAAGTATTTAAAACAAAAGAAATATTATTTTGGAAACAAAGTACTATATATCAGTAGATTAAATGAGGAGAAAGAAATGCAAATTTTAAATTTGCATGTTCAAAACAAAATAGCCTTAAAATATAGAAAGTCCAAATTGTTAAATCTAAAGCAGAAATTGACAAAACATCTATTATCATGAGGAATTTCAAAACTTGTCTTTTTATTTTTGTTAAGTAGGAAACCAGATAAAAAGTTGGTTAAGGCATGCTACATTTGAACAGTACAATTTGTAAGGTTGATTTAATAGGCGTATGTAGAACCCTGCACTCAAGGATTAAGAATGCACATTGTTCTCAAGTATATATATACAAGATTTATAAAATGTGATCATATAGTAGTCCATAAATGGAATCTCAAACTTTAAAGCAAGGGTCCCCAACCCCTGGGACATGGACCATTGCCAGTCTGTGGCCTATTAGGAATCCTCACAGTAGGAGGTGAATGGTGGGAGAGGGAGTGAAGCTCATCTGTATTTATGACTACTCCCCATTGCTCACATACCACCTGAGTTCTGCCTCCTGTCAGATCAATGGCAGCATTAGACCCTCATAGGAGCAAGAATCCTATTGTGAACTGCACATGTGAGGAATCTAGGTTGCATGCTCCTTATGAGAACCTAATGCCTGCCTGGGTGCTGTGGCTCACGCCTGTAATCCCAACAGTTTGAGAGGCCGAGGCAGACAGATCACCTGAGGTGGGGAGGTCAAGACCAGCCTGACCAACATGGAGAGACCCCGTCTACTAAAATGCAAAATTAGCTAGGCACAGTGGTGCATGCCTGTAAACCCAGCTACTAAGGAGGCTGAGGCAGGAGAATTGCTTGAACCCGTGAGGCAGAGGTTGCAGTGAGACGAGATTGCACCACTGCACTCCAGCCTGGGCAACAAGAGCGAAACTCCATCTCAAAAAAAAAAAAAAAAAAAAAAAGAGAGAGAATCTAATGCTGATCTGCCACTGTCTCCCATCACCCTCAGATGGGGCTGTCTAGTTGCAGGAAATCAAGCTCAAGGCTCCCATTGATTCTACATTATGTTGTGTTGTATAATTATTTCATTATACATGACAATATAATAATAATAGAAATACAGTCCACAATAAATGCAGTGCATTTGAAGCATGCCAAAATTATCTACTCCCAGGTCCATGGAAAGTGGAGGTGTCTTTCTCCATGAAACCAGTGTCTTCCATGAAACCAGTCCCTGCTGCCAAAAAGGTTGGGGACCACTGCTTTAAAGTACCTTAAAAGTGCCTAATGAAACATTTTCTAAACAAAATGCAGTTAAGTTAGAAAAAAAAACACAAGGATAAACTAAAATCCTTACATATTAGAAAATTATATAACACACATAAATATATCTACGATCAAAGAAGAAATCACAATGGAAATTTAAAATGTGTAGAAACAAATTATAATAAAAATACTACAGCAAAATGTGGAGGATGAAGTGGCTATGGCACCCTTAAGGGAATTTAGTCTTGAAGGCTTACATTGAAAGAGAAGAAAAGTTACAAACAATGAAACAACTATCTAATTAAAGAAATTAGAAAGGCAAAAAAGAATTAACTCATAGAAACTAGAAGCAAAAGGTAATAAATTAAAAACATAACATGAAAACAAAAAAAATATAAAATAGGATTGATAAACCAGAATAGAATTCTTAAAAAATTAATAAAACAGATAATATTTGAAGAGATTGATAAAGAAAATGGAAAAAAAGACACATCATCAATATTAGAAGTTTACAAGAGGATACAAATATAGATACAACAAAGATTTTAAAGATAAAAGAATAGTGAGATAACTTCACATTAATACATTACAAATCTTAGAGAAACTAGACAAATTCTAGAGGCCAAGACTCACCAGTTTTACTCTTTTTACTGATGAACATCAGAGTTATCATCAAGAGTAGAACACCTTATTTAATGAAGTGTTTAAATTGATATTTTTTTCTCTTAGCAGAAACAGATGTCTGAACTAGTTATATAAGCATGCAATCATGGACTTAATTGATATTTTTAGAATTATCCAATCCTATGTTTTTGAGATGTGGTTTTCAATTGACCATGGCTCCTTATCAGAAAGTCCTAATTTTTAAATTTGAGCTACCAAGGCTATAGGTGTAACGATCGTCCCAAGGTAAAAATGAAGCTGAAAAGTAGAAATCACCCTCCACCTCTCTTCATCAAGATTTCAAAAGTAGGCATCTTGCCTTTCTTCTCCAATTTTCTGCTTTGAAATCCTATAAGGAAATGGAAGAGAAGCGTGGAAGTAATTGGAATAAGCTTCTTTTAATTCACTGAGAAGTTTGGAACAACAAAATAAATAAATAAATAAAGTAAAAAATTTGAGTTGAGTTTCATCAACTACTCATGTGAAATCTGATTTTTGAAAAATTCATGACCAAAATAAGAAAAGGAGTTATTGGATTTGAGCTCTATGTTGTTCTTTGAAAGATCCCCAACTTGACAATATTGGACCAATAAAAGAATAGTAAACCTGTAAATATTATACATTTGTCAGCAGTTTAAGCTCTGAAGTTAAAAAAAAATGTAGTATTTTTGTAAACCCTGTTACACTACTGATCAGTTGTTTCAATGTTTCTCTTATAAATAAATAAATAATATCAGCACTCTGTCATAGCAGATTGAGAATTAAATAACATACACAGTGTTTGGCAGATGGTAAGCACTCAGTAAATGTTAGTTATTATCATAAATATTGTAGATATAATATTTTGTGTTTACCTACATTAAACATTTTATATGCTCTTTTCAAAATCTTTATATTTTCTAATGTCCTATGAGTTTGGTAATTGTTGTTTAATCAGAGATTACGCCCTTTCCATTACTTTACTGCTCAAATGTAGCCTTTTCTGATAAATGATAGTGATAGCATTACTTAGTGGTAGCTATTTTTTATTCTAACATACTTTAGCTGACAAAAATAAACATTGGGATAAGAGGAAAAATAGGAGAAAGAGAGGCAGGGCTGAAGTTGTATAATGAGTGCATTTTAAAATACAAATATAGTTGAAAGCTTCCGAAGCTTCTTGGAGAGCTTGGAATAGCAAAAATTAGAAAAGACTAGTTTTATCAACACATTATTTCTAAAATTACTCCCAGAATTTCAAACACATATAAGCACTAGTTAATTCCTTCTCTAATGTGAACTGATAAATCTAATGGCATAAAAATTAGAGAAAAACAAGTTCAGCATTTTGCACTTAAACCTTTATAAAAGGCTTTTGTGTGGATCCATTAGAATTCAGGAAAAATTCATACGCATAGCTTCCATTTCCTAATTAAGCAATGCCTTCAGTAAAAGCCATCAGTAACTTTTCTTTTTTCTTTTTGGGATGGAGTCTCGCTGCTCTGTCACCCAGGCTGGAGTGCGGTGGTGCAATCTCGGCTCATTGCAACCTCCAACTCCCTGGTTCAAGCGATTCTCCTGTCTCAGCCTCCTGAGTAGCTGGGATTACAGGCGTGTGCCACTATCCTGGGTAATTTTTGTATTTTTAGTAGAGTCGGGGGTCTCACTATGTTGGCTAGGCTGGTTTCGAATTCCTAACCTCAATTCCTAACCTCAACCATCAGTAGCTTTTTAGTTGTATTAATAATAACAGCTGCCATCCTTTCATTTTACCAGATGTTAAAATAAAGTTTCTCTATGGGCTTGATGGATCACATGGGCAAAAAATCTATATAAAGTATGTCATTAAATATATATTTTTCTACATTGTTTAGGTATCAACAGGTAGATACTCTTTGGTCATACAAGTGTACATTAAATTGAATCCAGTTGATAGAATGTTTGATTTAATCAACTGAAAGGGCTTTGAATAATTAACAGAAGTTGTGCTCTTCTGGCTGGGTTTATTGATGTATTTTGCAGAAGAAAATCAAATGCCTCTGTGATGGTTAATATTGACTGTCAACTTGATTGGATTGAAGGATGCAAAGTATTGATCCTGGGTGTGTCTGTGAGGGTATTGCCAAAGGAGATTAACATTTGAGTCAGTGGACTGGGAGAGGCAAACCCATCCTCAATCTGGGTGGGCATCATCTAATCAGCTGCCAGCATGACTAGAATAAATCAGGCAGAAGTTGGAAGGACTTGGCTCGCTGAGTCTTGGGGCTTTATCTTTCTACCGTGCTGAATGCTTCCTGCCCTCTAACATCAGACTCCAAGTTATTCAGCTTTTGGACTCTGAGACTTCCACCAGTGATCTGCCAGGGGGCTCTAGGGCCTTTGGCCACAGAGTGAAGGATGTACCATCGGCTTCCATACTTTTGAAGTTTGGGGACTCAGACTGGCTTCCTTGCTCCTCAGCTTGCAGGCTTCCTATTGTGGGACTTTGCCCTGGGATTTTGTGAGTCAATACTCCTTAATAAACTCTCCTTCATATCTATCTATCTATCTATCTATCTATCTATCTATCTATCTATCTGTCAGCATCTATCTATATCTCCTACTAGTTCTGTTGCTCTAGAGAACGCTGTCTAATACAGCTGGTTACTGAGATTTCTGTAGAACAATTTTCTTCTTCATTTTTTTAATGTTAGGGTAAATTAAAAATAGTAATAGTAACCTGTTCAATTAGTAACTTATTATCACAAGGGACTTAATAGATTTATTTTAAGTCTCTATAATGATAAGAATATAGTTCTTATCAGTATATTAGTCAAGAGTAATAAGATCCCAGTATTCTATGCTCTAAAAATATTTTAAGTGACTGATATGATTTGGCTCTGTGTCCCTGCCCAAATCTCCTGTTGAATTGTAATTCCTAGTGTTGCAGGAGGGGCCTGGTAGGAGATGATTGGATCATGGGGGTGGATTTTCCCCCTTGCTGTTCTCATGATAGTGAGTGAGTTCTCCTGAGATCTGGCTGTTTAAAAGTGTGTAGCACTTCCCACTTTGAGCTTTCTCTCTTGCTCCACCATGTGAAGATTGCGCCTGCTTCCCCTTCACATTCTGTTATGATTGTAAGTTTCCTGAGGCTTCCAGCCATGTCTTCTGCACAGCCTATGGAACTGTGAGTCAATTAAACCTCTTTTCTCCGTAAGTTACCCCACCTCAGGTATGTCTTTATAGCAGTGTGAGAATGGACTAATACAGTGACAGAGTGGTAATATTAAGCACGAATCTCTTCAGAGACAGCCCAACTTCAGAAATATTTCCAAGGAATGAATGTAAAATAATCTTACTTTGATCAATCATACCCAGATATTTTTCTTTAGTTCTGGGCACCAGGATAAAAAAAATGTAGACCACTAGCAATCTGGAAGACACTGAAAAGAAAATGATCAGAAAGAGAATGGACTTACATCATATTATTTGGACATCACTGAATGAACTAGATATGTTAGTCTGAAAAGGAGGAATTTTAAGTAAGAAACACAGACTGCCTTCATGTATTTTATGTATTATAATTGGAAATAGAAAGTACACTTAGTATATATGGCTCTAAAGGGTACAAATACAGTTAAAAGATAAAAGTTTCTAAGAAACAAAATTCAGTGTTATATAAAAAATCTTTTAGATAATTAGCAAAGTCTTAAAAGATAATTGGGGAAATCACTTATTGGTACTGAACTTTAGTGAGGTATTAGACTATATGACATCTATGGTGCCTTCTAATACTTTTATTCTGTAACTTCATGATCTATAATGTGGTATCACTCACTCTTTGGTGCTCCTAATCTATGTAAGCATAGGAAGGCTATCTATCTATCTATCATCTATCTATCTATCTATCTATCTATCTATGTATCTATCTATCCATTTTTCTAACAATCTACATACCTATCTAATCTATATATCTATAAAACTACATTCAGTTTTTAATTATCATCATAGTAGATTTTTAAAATTTTTATGTAACACTTTTCAGAGTGTGAATTCAATGCCTATTTGTTGAATTAAAGTGAAATGGCAAAATCCCACATAAAAAATATAATTCTTTTGGAGAATCATAGAATTTTCACATTTTCAAATAGATTGTTAATGTCTGTTTCTTACAGTGAATTATTTGATTTAGGAAAGTTTTTACTTAAACTGCATTAATCAATAAAAATTATTGCTTTTTCCATAGGATGCTTGCATAAATCACCCTTCTAGCTCCAAAGACTCAGCAGTTATTAAACCAAAAATGGTATCAATATGTGTCTCCTGGGAAGTATACTTTCAAATAAGTTTAGAAAAATAAGACAAAAATAAATCCTTTCAAGAGTTTATTAATCTAAATCCAAATTAATTCTGCTCTATGTCTGGGATTATTGGAAACTGTACTTAAAAAGCTGAAAGAGAATTGGAGAGACAAGGGGGTATTTTGAGAATGAGTGAAGATAAGGAAAGAAATGTTACAAATAATATTTTTCTCTAATTTCTGTGTAAATATGTTGATAAAATGACAGTTAAATTAATGTTGAGAATATTTAAATATTAATGAATTTAAACCATAATAAGCAAAATAATAAACATAATTATTTTGAGCTTAAAGAGTGTATCACATTTCTCTGTAAGATGATTCTCTATTCAGCTTAACGTGCTACCTCATTTTGAATTATTAAAGTGTGCTTAGAAATCTTTCCCATGAGATTTTTTTTGCTGTTTTTTACTACATTTGAGTTTGATGTTTGGTACAAACTGGATAGACATACACATTTGCATTTTGATCAAAGTTTGGCAGTGCTTTTCCCTCACATTTATAATCTATAATACGTGAATTTCCATAGGGGTGGAGAAAACACCTATTGAAGAGGAAATAGAAATAAGACCCCACTCTCTCTCACTCCAAACCCAGACTATTTCAATTCAAAATATTCCAGCATTTCTCTTTAATCAGTACAGCTGAAGTCCATATTATAAGGAAGAACAGATATAACTTCTGAGATACAATTCTACAGAAGACACTAGAATGAGTAATTTGCTACTCCTGGAAAACAAACAAAACAACAAAAACTCCATAAATAATCAAACAAACTAAATTTTGCTGACTTCATTCTCAAAAGTCAAGAACAACTGAAATTGGCCGAGCCACGTGGGAAGAGCAATGCGGAAGGTCAAGGGTATTCAGAGGCAACAGATTATAGAAGATGACCCCAGAATGGGCACCTTGGTTGTGAAAGGTTTACTCTAAAGAGCAAAAGCAATATTTTGAATTTATAACATCCATAGTGAGAGCTGTGGTGGGCAAGAATGAGATATAGTTGAAACCAAGTGTCGGAGAATTACAGGTTTAGGTGCAAAGTGTATGTGGAGAAACCAGTATCGGCAAACATCCAAAAATACTACAAGAGGCACATACATGTCCTGAAGCTCAAGGATTTACCATCAGGGTTCACAGGTTGTGTCCATTGGACAAGGCTATTAAGATACTTGGGGCTGACAAGGTTAGTTGCAAAATGTACCCTGGATATGGTTAGAATCAGACAGTAGAGGAGGTGAGTTAAACACCACCTCTGTGGAAACAGTAAAGACAGGAGCCTCTGTTTTACGTAACCTGGACAAAGAATCAGAACTTTTCCTTCACTGATGCATAGCAATGTCCTGTAAATATCTGACCTAGAAAAATCTAATTTATTCACAATTGAGTAGAAAAAGAAAACTGCTACTTTAGCCGTAGAAAGACTTTTAAAATCTTTACAAAAGAAACAAAATGTATAAACAGATATTTAAAACCCACTTATCAGAAAATGCATTGCTTAAAATAGAAAAAAAAGATCAATCCTTTTCACACAAATTGAAAAAAATAATGAAACAATTGCTTCTAGGAAGAAGTGCATGAAGCACAAATTAAAAAGCTTAGGGAAAAATTGGTGAGACAACTTAAGGAAATGTGAATAGTCTAAATATGCCAATTGAAAATATCAAAGTTCTAAATATACCAATTAAAAGACAGGGACGGTCAGATCCAAATATATGTTCTTTACAGGAAACCCACATTAAATATAAAGACTCAGATTAAAAGTAAAGGAATGGAGACAGATATATCACACTACTACTAATCAAAAGACAACTGGAGTTAGTCACATAAAGCAGACTTAAGAACAAGGAAGATTATTAAGGTAAAGAGAGGCATTGCATAATGATAAAGAGACCAATTCTCCAAAGAGACATAATTTCAATGTGCCTAACAAAAGAACATCAAAATAGGTGAGGCAAAATCTGATAGAACTGCAGGATGAAATAGGCAAATCCACTGCTATAGCTCAAGTAATTCTTTCAGTAATTCATAAATCATGCAGGCAGAAAATCAGTAAGGATACAGTTGATATGAACATCGCTATCAGTCAACTTAATCTCATTAACATTCACAGAATAATTCATTCAACAACCATAAAATAAACATCCTTCTCAAGCTCTCAGGAAGTATTGACTAAGACAGATCACACTCTGGTCTTTAAAAATACCTGAAGAAATTTAAAAGAGTATAAATTATACAAAGTATGTTGTCACACTACAATGTAATTAAGCTAGAAATAAATAACAGGAAAATCCCTTAGCATTTGGAAATTAATGACATACATTTAAATAACACAAGTCAGAAAAATTTAAAACTATTTTGGATTACATAATATCAAAATTTGTAAAGTACAAAATATTATACGACTTATCAAAGTTTCTAGAGTTGAGTGCAATTCTTATAAAGACACATGTAGTATTGGCCTGGCATGGTGGCTCACACCTGTAATCCCAGCACTTTGGGAGACCGAGGTGGGTGGATCACAAGGTCAAGAGATCCAGACCATCATGGCCAACATGGTGAAACCCCGTCTCTACTAAAAATACAAAAATTAGCAGGGCATGGTGGGGAGTGCCTGTAGTCCCACTATTTGTAAGGCTGAGGCAGGAGAATCACTTGAACCCGGGAGGCAGAGGTTGCAGTGAGCTGAGACCATGCCACTGCACTCCAGCCTGGTAACAGAGTGAGACTCCATCTCAAAAAAAAAAAAAAAAAAAAAAAAGACATGTAATATTAAAAGAATATATTAGAAAAGAAGAAAGATCTAAACCAATAAGATGAGTTTCTATCTTAGGAAACTAGAAAAAAAACTATTTAAGCCTAAAAGAAAACAGAAAAAAAAATAAAACTTAGAAGAGCCATCAGTGAAATTGCAAATAGTAAAACAATAGAGAAAACCAGCAAAACCAACAACTGGTTATTCGAAAAATTACTAACATTGATAAACGTATAGCCAGGTTTACCAAGAACAATGAAATGAAGACACAAATTACCCATATCACAAATGAAGGAGGGGTCATCAATAGTGATTCTGCACACACTAAAAAGGTAATTTAAAAATACTAGAAACCACTCTGTTCCCACAAATTTGATAAATTGAATGAAATGGACCAATTCCTTTAAAAAGCACAGACTACCCGAACTCACACAAGGGAGAATAGATAACACGAATAAGCCTGAATCTATTAAAAAAAGAATAAATAATTAATAACCTTCCAAAACAGAAAGCACCAGTCCCAGATGGTTTCACTGGTGAATTCTACCAAACATTTAAGAAATAAATCCTAGCAATTCTCCATAAAGTTATCTGGAAAATAGAAGTAGAGGGAATACTTTCTAATTCACTTAATGAAACCAGTATTACCCTAATATCAAAATTAGATAAAGACATTGGGTAAATGGAAGACATTAGATAAATGGAAGCTACTGAACAGTATCTCTCATGAATAAAATAGATGCAAAATTATCAAGCAAATATTAACAAATCAAATCCAAAAAGGTATTGAGAGAATGTATACTACAACCAAATGGGATTTATTCCAGGAACACCAGGCAAGGTAAACATTAGAAAATCAATCAATGTAATTACCACACCGACAAGCTGAAAAGAAAAATCACATGATTACATCAGCTGCTACAGAAAAATAAATTGACAAAATCCAGCACCCATTTACGACTTAAAAAAAAAAGTATCAGAAAACCAAGAACAAAAGGAAACTTCCTCATTTCAGAAAGGAAAGACAATAAATGGTGTTGGAACAATTGGCTAAATAGCTAGAGAAATTAATTCTGGTCTATACCTCACACTATAGAGCAGAATATACCTCAAATAGTTCAAATATTCAAAATTTTAAAAATTAAATATTACAGCATTGAAAAATATTTCTAAAACTTGGATCAGTGATGACCTTCAATTTATATTCAAAGCCTAGAAATTAACTCCTGTGTTGTGAAAACTGATATTAAAAAATGTTTCAAGAAAAAATAAAGCTCATATCACAAAGGCTCACATGTAAGAAACTCTTAGAAATCAATTAGAAAAATACTTCAAAGAATATAAGTAGCTAATGAAAATAAACTAAAATTAAAAAGGCTTTTAAACATATAAATGGTGCTTAACTTTGTTTCTAAGAAAAGAAACACGAATTGAAATTACACTGACATATTGCTTTCTACCTGTCACATTGGAAAAAATAAAATGGAATGATAATGCACCTTGTTGATAAGGTTTAGTAAAACAGAAACTTTCATTTTTTGATGATGTTAATGTGAGTTTGTACAATTTCTGTGGGGGTACATTGGGCAGTTATATAAAATTTAAAAATGTATTAAATCTTTAATCCAGTCACCACAATTCAGTTAATTAGTTTTCCTATAGACACAATTGCACAACTGTGATATAATTTATGATCAAGTAAGAATTGAGGCATTGCTTATTATATCAATGGATTGAAAACCTAAATGTCTATCAATGGGTCAGTTGGTTAAATAAATTTTAATATATAATGTAATATTTTATAACTGTAAAAGAATAAAAAGTATCTATAGATTAGTATAAAAATATCTTCAAAATGTAAAAAGTAAAAAACAAAAACAATCTGCATAGAATTATGTATAATATACCTTTTATTAAAAAGGTAATATGCTTTTTATTTAAAAAAGGGAAAATAGCACTATATATTCCTAACTTTTTGGTATTTTATTTTTAAAAACTCTGGAGAAATATGCAAGAAACCAATAATGGTAGTTACATATTTGGGGTAATAAGGAAGCAAGGTGCAATCAATTTTTTTGAACTTACAAATGTATTACCAAAATCACAAAAAGGTGTTAAATGTCTCCGTAAAGGAAGGCACAATATCTGATGGAATCCCTCTCTACATTAACACCCAGGCCTTTGGGTCCAGGTGCAAACACATGTACTGATGTTCCCCCTAGCCTGCCCACCACAGTTCCATGGATTTATCTCAGTGGAACATGGCTGAGCATGGTAAATAAAAAGAGCTACCTATTTAAAAATTTGTAATACGTACTCCATGTAGTTTTATTTTGCAATGTCCCTGTGATGGTTAATTTTAAGTGTCAAGTTGACTGAATTAGGCAATACCCAGAGAAGCTGGGCACAGTGGCTCATGCCTGTATTCCCCGCATTTTTGGGGGGCTAAGGCAGGTGGATCACTTGAGCCCAGGAGTTTGAGACCAGTCTAGACAACATGGCAAAACCCCTCTCTACAAAAAATATGAAAATTAGCCAGGCATGCTGTCATGCCTGTAGTCTCAGCTGCTGGGGCCTGAGGTGGGAGGATTGCTTTAGCCCAGAAGGTTAAGGCTTCAGTGAGCCATGATCACACTCACACCTCTGTACTCCAACCTGGGTGACAGAGTGAGAGCCTGTCTAAAAAATAAATAAAAAATAAAATAAAATACAGAGAGAGAGAGAGAGAAAGAGAAATACCCAGAGAACTGGTAAGGCATTCCTTCTGTATGTGTCTGGAAGGGTGTTTTCAGAGGAGATTTGCATGTGAGTCAGTGGACTGAGTGGAAGGTCTGCCCTCAATGTGAGCTGGCACCATTCAATCAACGGGTGGCCCAGATAAAACAAAAAGAGCAGATAAAAGATTATTTTCTCTCTCTTTCTGTCTCTTTCCTGGAGTGGTGATGCTTTTCTTCTCATGCTCTTAAACATCAGACCTCTAGGCTCTCTGGCCTTTGAACTATAGGTCTTACAACAGCGGTCCCCTGGTCTTAAGGTCTTAAGGCTTAGTCTGAGAATTATACCAACAGCTTCCTTGGTTCTGTGGATTTGGGACTTGGACTGAGCCATGCTACCAGCATCCCAAGGCCTCCAGCTTGCAGATGACTTGTCCTGGGACTTCTAAGCCTCCATAATCATGTGTGCCAATTTCCCTAAAAGATTCCATCTCATGTATCTTTCTATATCTCTGTCTATTATCTGTCATATCGGTTCTGTTTTCCTAAAGAACCCTGACTATTATAGCTACCAATTGAATACAACATTGGAAGGAAGAAAGTCCTAGTACTCCTTTCTGACTCAAAAACCCACCTTGGCCTGGCAGAAAGTTCTAGAGACCTAGTGGGATGTATGAAGCAGAAGAAAACTAGGAACTACTAGATCAACAGATATAGTAAAGGCCACATCTCTGCAGCTTGCTGCACCTCAATGAGTCTAATCTACAAAGTCTAGCTTCAAGGTCTATAAAAGAAAGTGGCCATGGGCTGGTCCCTGGTGTCCAGCAGCAGTGAGTAAGTGTTGAGAGAAATTTCCACTGAATCGATTTCACAGAACTCTGAGCACTGAAAACCACTACATGCAGGAGGCCTTGGCACTCAAAGCAGCCAGGACAAGCCTATCTATGGAGATACCCTGAGGTGCAGAGGGGTGAATATCAATCTGGAAGGGGAACATGAATAATTATGTATCCCCCAGAGTACATACAACAACAAAAATATGCTAATGGACTCATACCAGTCTAATTGTGTAATAAAACGGAGGAATGTGCCTGAAACCAAAGGATACCTCAGCCAAAGACTGACTTACTATTTAAAGTAGACAGGAGATTATAGCCATGAAAGATAATTGAGAAATGTGTATACACTAACTACAGAAGCCTGAGAGACTGATTGCAAAAATGCCCTCAGTTCTCCACCCCTCCATGATTCCTACCCTCTGCAACAAGACTTTGCAAATCCCCCTTTCAAAATGAGATCTACCCCTTTAATCTGAGCTGGTCTTGTGACTTGCTTTTGTTCAACAGGGTATAGCAGAAATGCCAGTTTCAAGTCTAGACATCAACAGGTTTTGTATACACTTGCAGACGACCTGTCCTGGGGCACAACAGGTTTTGTGTACCTTCAAAAGAGGTTTCACTCTCTTTTGAATTTCTATGCCTGCCATGAGAATAAGTACAGGCTCAACTGCTAGAAGAAAGAAACCATCCAGAGTAGTGCCAAGGCACTCTTTCTGAACCCGAGCCAGACCAGCCAGCTTTCAGTCCACCTACAAGTTATCAGCTAGATCAGCAGAACTGCTCAGGCACCACATCAACTCATGAGACATGATAAATGGTTGCCATTTAAAACTACCAATGGTTGGAGTTGTTGGTTCCCCAGCAACTGCATTTATATACGGAATTTGAATACTGAGAATAAGAAGGAAATAAGGAAAAGAGGGAGGGAAGGAGGAAGAAAGGGACACCAAAATAGATTCATATTTACTTAATGTGTTTGTCTTAGCGGATTTTATCTCCCCACTCCCCAGTGGTTAAACCCTGATAGTAACATAAGTGTTAAGTTAATCATCTCTTCAATTTGAGCTGCACTAATTAATTTACAGGCTAGAGTGTCATCATGCCTATTGCATCTGACAGTAACAATTTCAGACTTCAGATTACTAAAGGTTTTTATAACCATTGATTCATCTTTCCCCCACGATAAACCTGAGAAATTGGTCATTTCACTTATAAGAAAACTGGTTTAGGATATTTAACAGACTTGTTAAGTGCCAGAGTTTGTGAGTGTAAGTGGCAGAATTTGACCAGGACTCCTATTTTGTGAATTCAAATTCTGCAAGTAGAAAAGGTAAGGAAATTGGCAAATGACATATGTGATATGGTTTGGCTGTGTTCCCAACCAAATCTCATCTTGAATTGTAGCTCCCATAATTCCCATGAATTCCCATGTGTTGTGGAAGGGATGTGGTGGGAAGCAATTGAATCATGGGGGTGGGTCTTTTGCTTGCTGTTATCAAGGTAGTGAGTAAGTCTCATAAGATCTGATGGTTTTATAAGGGAGTTGCCCCACACAAGCTCTCTCTTGCCTGCTGCCATGTAAGATGTGTCTTGCCCCCCCTTCGCTTTCTGCCACGATTGGGAGGCCTCCCCAGCCATGTGGAACTGTGAGTCCATTAAACCTCTTTCCATTATAAATTACCCAGTCTCAGATATGTCTCTATTAGCAGCATGAGAACACACTAATACAATATGTCAAACTCTTGTTATCCTGAACACTTCTAAAGGTTAATAGCAGTATCTCACTTATCTATGCCACACTTATAATAGCTTTACCATTTACTTGTTTTGTAAGATTGGGAATATCATTTAAATACTTGTACCTTAGTTCTCTTAACTGTATTATCATTGCAACTGACTTACTGTGAGCATTAAAGGACATGATACATGTAGAACAGTTGCTCAATGTCTGTCACAAAGTCAGCACATAGCAGTAAATAAATAGTACCATAATATTAGTTGTACAAAATAGCCAATGACTAGTACATGGTAATTAAATATTATTGAGACAAATAATAACAAAAATACATTGTTTTCCCTTTAATTGTATTAACTTAAACTTTTTCTGCTGTGAGACACTTCTGGCGACATTTTTTTCAACATAGGTGCTAAATTCTATTAATAATTTGGCCAAAAACAAGCTTATTCATTCCCCTAATAATTTAGTATCTGCTTCAGTAATTCAAATTATTTGAAGACTTGAAAAATGAATGAAAACAGGGATTGTCTTTTATAACTTAGAGTAGATAAATACATGTAATAAACAGTACCTTGTTTGCTAACATAATTGTTACTTCTCACCCTGAAATAGATTAGAAACCAAATATTAAAGATAATCTTAATTAGAAACAAATTGTAAATGTAGATTATGTCATGAAAATGTCAAAACAAGTCAAGCAACTTAACAAAAGGTTCAGACATGGGGATGTCATTTCAGCTTGTTGTTAAATATCCAGACAGACTCAGATTTCCACTGACAGGGCTCTCTCTTCACTGAATTTGCCAGGCTTTTGGCATTACAGATACATCCTCATAATCAGTAACCTCTATATGTAGACACAGGAAAATCTAGAATCACACTCCTCACAGCAAAAATGAAATTGACTATTGCCACATCTTAAACTAGAAATTAAAAGATAATCTACTGTGATTTATTAATGGCAGTTAATTAAACCATTCCCTGAGTAATAAAGTTTTCTTTAAATTAGAAAAATATGATTTTATTTGTTTACTTTCAGAAAACATCACATGGGCTCAGACTCTGGACATTTTACTATAATTTCCATTTAATTCATATCAAAGTGTCAAATATTATTTTAGTAATATCTTATTTTGGATAGAGCAAAAGCAAAACAGTACCAGATAAATTATTATAGGACTATGAAGAAATATATGTCTGACAACTCTGTGGGAGGTATGTATTTTATCCTTCAGCACTGAGGCTTCTATTAGTATCTACTACCACATTAGCTTTTTGAAAAGCAGCTTTATATAATATATAAACAAACAGGGGAAAGCGGGACATTCCTACGAGACAGGTAGGCTCCACCATTCTTGGATTGTGTTATTTAGGAGCATCTTGGATCTTCTTCAGCACATGGCTGTGCTTTTCCTTTTCCCTGACTTCTGCAGTAAGGTGTGCTGCACAAAAGTAGGATTTCTCAACTATGCCACCATTGACATTTCATGCTGGGTAATTCCTTGGGGGGAGTTTGGATTGTTCTTTGCATTTTAGGTTGTTTCATTTGGCAGCCTATCCCACTTCTACCCAGTAGATTCCAGTAGCAATGCTTTCCTGAATCCAGTGGTCACAATTAAAATGTCTCCAGACAGTACCAAATATCCCTGGGGGATTTAAAAATCATCCACATTGAGAACTACTGTACTACATTCAACAGGATAAACTGTCACCCCAGCATTACCAGACCTATTCTCCCAACACACATTTTTGGCCATGCTTCATGATATACAGAGTTCTGCATCCAATGCAATAACCTCAATTCAATTCACTATATCTGTAAAAATGCTTATGTATCTTGCCCTGACTGCTGTCACCACTGGTGGTACCTAAGCATGTTGTCCAGGGGCCTGGCGATTGACCAACCTCATTCATCATCACCAGTGCCTGTACATGCCTCCTGGGAGCCTGAGGATAAGGCTACTTGGCCTGCCACTGCTGCCTGCACGCACTGCCTGGGGTCTGGGAATAGGCCCACTTCATCTACTGCCAGCACCTATGTGTGCCTCCCAGGAGTGTGGGGACAAGGTAGAACAGCCCACTACTGCCATCAGTGGCACCCATGTGCACCACTGGGGGCTTCAAGGTTGGTGCATCACTGCTACTGCCACATCTGATGTAACACATGGCATCCAGGGGATCAAGAGTCTGATCACTCTCCCAGGTCACTGCTACCACTGTTAGCACCTGAGCAAGGTGCTTGAAGGCCTAAGGGCAGCCATGCTGGACCTACCACTGACAGTGCCTGCATGCACCACCTGGGGGCCTGAGGACTGGCATGTCTGGCCTGCCATCAACACCATCTGTGTCTGGCATCCTTGTCCCCAGCAAAGCTTCACCACAGACTCCACTAACAACCACAGCCTAAGCCACTGAGGAAGTTATAGACCCAACTAACAGCAATTGCAGCAGAAGAAATCATATGCAGACTACACTACTGCACCTACCCAGAAACAAAGCCAAAGAACCCTATCTAACTAACACTATAAGTACATCTATTGGAAAAAGTTTTTCCTTACAAAAAGTCTTTCTCCTTCCAGTCCATAAAAATTGGAAGAAGTAATTGTTATACCAGGCATGCAGATATCAAAGTAAGGACACAAGAAACATAAAAAAGCAAGGAAACAGGACACCCCCAAAGGAATACAATAATTCTCCAGTAACAGATCCTACCAAAAAGGAAGTCTATTAAATGCCTGAAAAAGAATTCAAAATAATAATATTAAAGAAACTCAGTGAGATACAATAGAGCACACATAAACAACACAAAGAAACCAGGAAAACAATTAATGATTTAAATGAGAAATTCAACAAAGAGATAGGTACTATAAAAAAGAACAAAACAGAAATCCTGGAAGTGAAGAACTCATTGAATAAAATAAAAAATACAATTGAGAGCTTCAACAACAGAGTAGATCAAAAAGAAGAAGGAATTTCTGAATTTGAAGATACATCTTTTGAAATAACCCAGTAGGAAGAAAAACAAAGAAGAAAAAAGAATAAAGAAAGCCTACCTGAATTTTGAATTTCTACAGCTGCCATGTGAATAAGTACAGTCTAAACTGCTAGAAGAAAATAAATCACCTACAGTAGTGCCAAGGCATTCTTTCTGAATCCATGCCAGAACAGCCAGCTTTAAGTCTACCTACAAGTTGTCAGCTAGATCCTGGAAACTACTCAGGCACCCCATTAACTCATGAGACATAATAAATGGTTGTCATATATAGGCCACCATAAAGTGAAAATATTCAAATTTTGAGAATTCTAGAAGAAGAGACAGGCAAGGCTTAGAAAATGTATTTGAAAAAATAATGAAAACTTCCCAAATCTATCAAGAGATATAAACATCCAGATACAGAAGCTAGAAAATTCCCAAATAGGTAAAACCCTAAAGGTCTTCTCCAAAGCACATTATAATCAAACTGTCAAATATCAAAGAAAGATTTCTAAAAACAGCCAGAGAAAAAGGTCAAGTCATATATAAGGGAAGCCCAAACAGACTAACAGCAAATTCCTCAGAAGAAACTTTACAGGCCAAGACAGAATGGCATGAAATATTCAAAGTGCTTATAAAAAAACCCTGTCAGTCAAGACTATTATACCCAGCAAAATTATTCTTCAAAAATGAAGGAGATATAAAGCCTTATGCAGACCATCAACAACTGAGGGAATTTATTACCATTAGATTGGCCCTTCAAGAAATACTTTTGGAAGTCCTACATCTGGAAATGAAAGAATGATATCTACCAGCATGAAGGACAAAAGGATATACAAAATATACAAAAGGATAAAACTCAGTTGTAGAGCAGATATGCAAATGAGAAAGAGGAAGGAGTTAGGCATTACCACCACATAAAACCATGAAACCACAATGAAAATAAGTGATAAAGAAAGAAACAAAGGTTATACAAAACAAACAGAAAACCATTAACAAAATCACAGGAATAAGTCCTCATCTATCAATAATACCCTTGAATGTGAATGGAATAAATTCCCCAGTTAAAAGATACAAACTTGCTGAATGAATGAAAAATATAATCCAATTATACACTGCCTACAAGAAACTCACTTCACTTGCTAAGACACATACAGGCTCAAAGTGAAGCGATGGAAAAAAAAATATTCCACACAAACAGAAACCAAAAGGAAGCAGGAGTACCTATATTTATATGAGATAAAACAGATTTTAAGTCAAAAACTGCAAAAAGAGACAAAGTATTTCATTACATAATAATAAAGGGCAAGATAATATAACAGTTATAAATACATATTTACCCAACACTACAGTACCCAGATGTAAAGCAAATATTATTAGGTCAAATGGAGAGATAGACTTAAATAAAATAATAATTGGTGATTTCAGCACCCTACTCTCTACATCAGACAGATCATCTATACAGGAAGTAATGAAACATTGGATATAAATGCACTTTAGACCAAATGACATTCACAGAACAGTTTTTGCAACATCTGCAGAGTACACATTCCTCTCATCAGCATATGGAACATTTTCTAGGATAGACCTTACATGAGCTCACAAAACAAGTCTTAACAAATTTTTTAAAGCCCAAATTATATCAAGGATCTTCTCAGATTACAATAGAACAAAACTGAAAATCAATAACAAGAATTTTAGAAACTATACAAGCACCTAAAAATTGAACAGCATGCTCCTGAATGACCATTGGGCCAATGAAGAAATTAGGAGGAAAATTTAAAAAAATATATTTTAAAATAAAAGGGAAACATAAAATACTGAAACCAATGGACACAGCAAAAACAGTGCTAAGAATGAAGTTTATATCAGTAAGTGAACACATTAAAAAGTAGAAAGATTTCAAATAAACAACTTGATGCACCTCAAAGAATCAGAAAAGCAAGAACAAACAAAAATCCAAATTAATAGAAGAAAAAAATAATAAAGATGAGCTGGGCGTGGTGGCTCACACCTGTAATCCCAGCACATTGGGAGGCCAAGATGGGCAAATTGATTGAACTCAGGAGTTTGAGATCAACCTGGGCAACATGGTGAAACCTCATCTCTAGAAAAAAAAAACCAAAAAGTTATCTGGGTGTGGTGGCATGTGTCTGCAGTCCTAGCTATTCAGGAGCCTGAAGTGGGAGTATTGCTTGAGCTCAGGAAGTCAAGGCTGCAGTGAACTGTGATCATGCCACTGCACCACTCCAGCCTGAGAAACAAAGCGAGACCTTGTCTCCAAAATAAAAAACAAATAAATACATAATAAAGATAAAAGGAGAAATAAGTAAAATAGAGAATAAAAAACCACAGAGGATCAACAAAGTGAAAAGTTGGATTTTTGAAAAGAGAAATAAAATTGATAAACTACTAGTGAGTCCAACCAATAAACAAAGAGAGAAGCCCCAAGTAAAGAAAATCAGAAACAAAGGAGAAAAATTACAGCTGATATGAGAGAAATACAATGAATAATTAGTGACTATTATGAACAATTATATGCCAACAAATTGGAAAATCTAGAAGAAATGGATAAATTCATGGACATATAAAATTTACCAAGATTGAACTATGAAAATATTTTTTAAAAGCCTCACCAAACCAATAATAAGTAATAAAATTGAAGCTTTAATAAAAAGTTTCTCACCAAAGAAAAGCCCAGGAACTAATGGCTTCACTGCTAAATTCTACTAAACATTTAAAGACGAACTAACACCAATTCTACTCAAACTCTTTAGCTACTATGGAAAACAGAAGGATCCTCAAAAAATAGAACTGCTGTATGATTCAGCAATTCCACCACTGGGTATTTGTCCAAAGGAGAATAAATTAGTATATTAAAGGATACTTGCACACCCATGTTTACTGCATACTATTCACACTAGCAAAGATAATGGAGTCAATCTAACTGCCCCCAAGGATGAAGGGATAAAGAGAATATGATATACATATACAATGGAATACCGTTCAGCCATAAAGAAGGACAAAATCTGCTGGGCACGGTGGCTCATGCCTGTAATCCCAACACTTTGGGAGGCCAAGGTGGGTGGATCACAAGGTCAAGAGATCGAGACTATCCTGGCCACCATGGTGAAACCCCGTCTCTACTAAAAATATAAACATTAGCTGGGCTTGACATCGCTTAGTCCCAGCTACTTGGGAGGCTGAGGCAGGAGAATCACTTGAACCTGGGAGGCGGAGGTTGCAGTCAGCCAAGATCATATCATTGCACTTCAGCCTGGCGACAGAGTGAGACTCCGTCTCAAAACAAGCAAAAAAGGATAAAATCCTGTCATTTATAGAGACACGGATGGAATTGGAGGTCATTGGGTTAAGTAAAATAATCCAAGCCCAGAAAGATAAACATTACATGTTCTCAATCATATGTGGGTGCTAAAATAAATTTGACGTCATGAAGGCAAAGAGCTGAAGTATAGTTACCAGAGGCTGGGAAGGGGATAGAGGGCAATAAGAAGAGGTTGGTTAATGGGTATAAACATACAGTTAGATAGAAGAAATAAGTTCTAGTGTTTGATAGCACAATAGTGTGAGTACAGCTAACAGGAATTTATTATATATTGCAAAATAGCTAGAAGGGGATATTTAAATGTTCCCAATGCAAAGAAATGATGCATGTTTGAGATTATGTATATCCTAGATACCCCGATTTGATAATTACATATTGTATGCACATATCAAAATCTCATATGTACCCCATAAATATGTACAATTTTTATGTATCAATCAATATAAAAAATGTTTATGTAAGAGGCAATACTAAAAGGTAGATGTTAGAATGGTCCTTTAGATCTTGAATTTACAAAAAAAGTTTTATTATATTAATCCATGTTGTATATATTACCATCTATTAGTACTCTTTTTTAGTATTCTAACCTGTTCCAGCATATATATATTGAGATACAAGAGTGGAAAAGAGAGTGAGATGAAGGGTTTAGATTTGCATACCCGAACTTAACATACAAATGGAAATTCTATGTAATCAGAACATATTAAGTGGGTATATTTATATGTACATGTATACACATGCACACACACACACACACACACACACACACACACACACACACTATATTTATTACTGTCAAAGTCCCAAAATCAAAACTTATAACTGGAAGAAATGTTCAAATGAGAAAACGAACAGTGGTTTATACAGAAGAAACAGGGAAAATGGCCCTTTAATATAGGACTTTACCAAAAGTTAGATAAGAAAATACAATGTTGGGAAATGTGTATATATGGAACTAGAAAAATGATCTTTGAGTTTCCAATTGCTGGAAGTCTGTCCAATTCTCACCAATAGGGATTCTGGGAAATCTCCATCTTAACTGAGATCCATGGCTCCCAGGTCTCTTTGGACCTAGAGCTAGATGACAGTTATTACTTCTCAATTCCAAGACCCAGTTAATTTCCCACCACAGAGGGATTGATAGTGGGAATAGATATTGCTTTCCTTAGAAGCAGAAAAGTGGCTGAGAGAAAATCATATTATACGACAGGAAAATTTTTAAATTCTGAAGAGTCATTGAAAATGAGCATCATGAATAACATCCCAGCATTCGGGTCCATCTTCTTTTTACCAGCTAGTTTTGGGAACTTTGAGACATGTAGCATCAGGTCTATCTACACAGACATGTGCTGTTCATAAAATGTCTTTGAGAAAATGATTGGACTAACACAAGAGCCATATTGTAAAAATAGGAAGGAAAGAAAGAAGGAAAGAAGGAAGGAAGAAAGGGAGGGAGGAAGGGAGGGAGGAGGAAGGAGAGAAGAGTTCAGAGAATGTTAAGAATTCAGAGAGTTCAGAGGGTGTTAGGTATTTATATCATTTAGAGAAACATTCTTAAAACTTCAAGGGCACCGTTCTGCTAAATGTATATCATATTTAAATGACTAAGGAAAACTCTTCCATAGTTTTAGTTTCAACCAACTGCCTTCAGAGTAGTTTTGACTTTATAATTCTTTCTAAGAACAAGGGAACATTGCTTCTTTAACATTATTGTAAATAAAATACCCATTTTAATGATTTTCCCAAAGTCAAGGAGTTTTTTTTCCCAAAGATAAGTTGGTACTACTATTCCTATAACCAGAAATCTGTGAAAAATTTAAATGCCCTTTCTCTGGCTTCAAAACATTATTTCTACTAGAAAAGTCATTTGAAAGAGCAAATCACCTTATACACAAAAGCATGCAGTGTGTAATGCCTCTCAGCAGCAGACCCCCAGAAGCTTTTGCTTTGTAGCACTGGATAGCTTAACAATAGACTTCAACAGCAGCAGAAACACTGAGAAGACTTTAAAGACTCAAAGAGGTGCTTGCAGGTAAGAGTTACAATTATACACAAACACAAGCAGCCACCAAGCCAGCAGGACAGAAAAGCTGCTCAAACATAGAGGAAATGTGTAGAAAAGAATAAAGATGTCTGAGATAAAGTTGTAGAAGGGAAGCAAAGGTGATTGAGAGTATGTAAAAATGTACTTCAAGTTTTGAAATGTAAAGGTGAAGGCCGGGGCCATTAGAATAGGGCTTCAAAAACTCACCTTTCTTCTCGTCTTAAATATAAAGCAAGCCTTTACTTATCATTGCTCAATTCTTTTAGTATGCCAAAAATTATATTTTTACATAATGGCTTCAACCAACATTAAAGATTATTTTGATGATTTTCCTAAAGTAAAGGATATTTGGTTCAAAAATAAACTGGTGAGAAATCTGTGAGAAACTCCTAAATGCCCTTTCTTCAGCTCTAAAGGACGAGTTGGCGGGTAAAAGAATATCCCCGGCAGACCAAAATGTGGGGACCGTAACTGACTTTGAGATAAAACTTCTGAGCTTTAAAATCCATCACCTGGTGTGCCCAAAGGACATGCCACTCATGGTGCTACTACCAGCCAGTGAGGCGGGAGGTAGGGGATATGGGGAGCAACTAAGGCTGACCAGGGTTTCTCTGATGGCCCAACAACTCTCCTCTATAGCAGTCAAGGACATTTCCCTCAACTGTTTCTCTCTTCCTCATATGTGAGACCTGAATGTTGCTCACATGGCCCTACCAGCCTTTCCTAGTCCCCTCCCTAGTGTCTCTCATTAAAGCATCTCAATATTATCCTTGAATGTTAATTCAATCTTGATGTTTGGCCAAAACTAAGAACCTATTCTTAAACCTATTCTTAAACTTATTCTTCAGCTTCATGGCTTGATGCTTCCGAAATTCTAGGGAAAACCCAAGCACTGATACCCTAGGAAAATTCTGTCTTAGAATTTGTTTCTAAAAATTCTCCTCAAGGGAAAGCCTCCTATAAAATGAAATAAAAAGACAAAATGTTTATAATATATTGTTAAGTGAAATATGACTTTTTTTAAATTTATTTTTTATTTCTATAGGCTTTTAGGTAACAGGTGGTGTTTGGTTACATGGAAAAGTTCTTTAGTGGTGATTTCTGAGATTTTGGTGCACCCATCACCCAGGGAGCATACACTGTACCCAATGTGTAGTGTTTTATCTCTCACCCCCTCCCTCACTTCCCCCTAAGTCCCCAAAGCTCATTGTATCATTCTTAGGTCTTTGAGTTCTCACAGCTTAGCTCCCACTTATAAATGAGACCATACAATGTTTGTTTTCCATTCCTGAGATACTTCACTTACAAGATTAGTCTTCAATTCCATCCAGGTTGTTGCAAATGCCATTATTTTGTTCCTTTTTATAGCTGAGTAGTATTCCATGGTATATAAATATATACCACATTTTCTTTATCTACTCATTGATTGATGGGCATTTGGGCTGGTTCCATATTCTTGCAATTGCAAATTGTGCTACTATAAACATGCATGTGCAAGTATCTTTTTTGTAAAGTGACTTCTTTTTTCTCTGGGTAGATATCTAGCAGTGGGATTGCTGGATCAAATGGTAGATCTACTTTTAGTTCTTTAAGGAAACTCCATAGTGTTTTCCACAGTGGTTGTACTAGTTTACGTTCTGACCAACAGTGTAAAAGTGTTCTCTCTTCACCACATTCACACCAATATCTATTATTTTATTTTTTGATTAAGGCCATTATTGCAGGAGTAAGGTGATATTGCATTGTGATTTTGATTTGCAGTGAAATGAGACTTTTAAATGGCATAACAATTACTACAAATTATGATCTCAGTTATGTAAAATAGAATTCATGGAATGAGGAATGAGGATGCCCTGAACCACTTAGTGTTGTCATAAAGGAATACCTGAGGCCAAGCAATGTATAAAGAAAAAAGGCTTATTTGACTCATAGTTCTAATAATTGAAAAGTTCAAGATTGGCATCTGCATTTGGTGAGGGCTTCAAGCTTCTTCCACTCATGGCCAAAGGTGAAGAGCAGCTGGTGTGTGTGTGCAAGAGACCACATGATGAGAAAGGAAGCAAAAGAGAAATCAGGGAGGTGCCAGGCTCTTTCTAACAACAAGCTTTTGCAGAAAGTAATAGTCACCCCTGAGGGAGGACATTAACCTATCCATGAGGGATCCAGCTCCATGACCAAACACCTCCCATTAATCCCCACCTCCAATATTGGGGATCAAATTTTAACATCCAAATGGTTTAACATCCAAACCATAGCATAAGGTAGTGAATCATACTAGGTGTTTTTACTCTGTTTACTATTCTTTTATTATATTCTAGGTTTGCTAAATGGAGTATGTTATTATTTGATTTTGTATTTGGAAGAAAATGAAAAATACATATGAAATATATTAAATAAGTTGAGGACTTCGAGGGAAGTGAGACAAAAATCAAACAATGGAGAATATCTCTTGGATTCTTGTGTGTCTTCTTTCCCCAAGAAATAGTGAGAACTAGACTCTTAACTGATTCCTAGCATGTGCATGCTATGGTTTAAATGCCCTCTCCCACACTCATGTTGAAACTTAGTCTCCCATGTAGTAAGATTGAGCATTAGGGCTTTTAAGAGATAATTGGGTTATGAGGTCTTTGCCCTCATGAATAAATTAATTCATTCATAGTTAATGGATTAATAAATTAATGGCTTACTATGGGAGTAGAACTGATGGCTTTATGAGGAAAGGAAGAGAGACCTGAGCTAGAATGTTAGCATACTCAGCCCCCTTCGCATGTCATGCCCTGTGCTACTAGGGGGTGCTGCAAAAAGCCCCTAACAGGGCTGGGCGCGGTGGCTCACGCCTGTAATCCCAGCACTTTGGGAGGCTGAGGCGGGCGGATCACAAGGTGAAGAGATCGAGACCATCCTGGCTAACACGGTGAAACCCTGTCTCTACTAGAAAATACAAAAAAATTAGCTGGGTGTGGTGGCGGATGCCTGTAGTCCCAGCTAATTGGGAGGCTGAGACAGGAGCATGGCGTGAACCCCGGAGGCAGAGCTTGCAGTGAGCTGAGATAGCGCCTGGGCAACAGAGCGAGACTCTGTCTCACAAAAAAAAAAAAAAGGAAAAATAAAATTCCCTACCAGCAAGAAGACTCTCACCAGATGCACATCCTCAACCTTGGACTTCATGGCCTCCAAAAATGTAAAAAATTAATTCATTTTCTTTATAAATTACCCAGTTTCAGATATCATGTTATAAGCAATATAAAGTACACTAAGATAGTACCTGTTGTACCCTGTCACCACAGAAGTCTGTCCAATCTGAAATCCTTGCTTCTCTGCTAGAGGAGGTGCAGTCCTGATCTTTGTGTGCTAGATTTCTTCAAGGTGCTCCATCATCTCATTAAAAATATGTAAGACACTCAGGAAGCACCCAGAGATTCTCGTTCCACCTCACTGGTGCTTGCTGCAGTGACCAGTGCAGCTGGAGAGCCCAGCCAGTCCTCCAAAGTGTGACTTTGTGCCAATCTCCTGCACTCTAAGTTCCTGACCAATAGACTCCTCTTTCCATATTGGGTATTTTTATTTTTATTTATTTATTTATTTGTTTTTGAGATAGAGTCTTGCTCTGTTGCCCAGGCTGGAGTGCAGTGGCACGATCTCGGCTCACTGCAAGCTCCGCCTCCCGGGTTCACGCCATTCTCCTGCCTCAGCCTCCCGAGTAGCTGGGACTACAGGCGCCCGCCATCACACCCGACTAATTTTTGGTGTTTTTAGTAGAGACGGGATTTCACCATGTTAGCCAGGATGGTCTCAATCTTCTGACCTCGTGATCCTCCAGCCTCGGCCTCCCAAAGTGGTGGGATTACAGGCGTGAGCCACTGCACCCAGCCCTATATTGGGTATTTTAAAAAACATTTATCATCAAAATGAATAAGATAAACTAGAATTGAATGCAATTTTATTGACTTTTCATCATCCATCTCCTTTTGTGCTAGAACTTCCATTTCTTAATGGACAAAATGTACTTAAAATTTCTAACTAAACATGACTTTATCACATGCAGTTTACAACAGTTTCTTTCCAGTAAATATTCAGTCATCTCAAAATTTAAACTCCTTATCAAGCTTATTTTTCCTCACTTGAGGGCTGCCTCATCTTATCCTCATTTACAAAATCCTGTGTCTGAATATAGGGAGAAGTATGTATAACTTCATAGCATTGGGTACGGGGCTGACCTCTGTGTGCCATCTTCTTCTACCTCAGGAGACTTGGCATGTCTCTGTGATTTAGCCTCTGTTGTTAACGCACTTTCTGCTGAAGCGTCCATGAGTCATTTACTCATGGTCTGTTCTCTTTGAGAAGGGCAAGACATGGTGCTTTTCCAGGGAACTTGGCCATATCTCTCTGACTAGGCACCCCATTTTTGCTTTGACTGGTACTTCGGATGCCCCAAGTTACAGCAATGACTCTCTTGCAATCCAAGTTTGGAAAGTGTGATGGCCTTTGCTCCAGGGTCACTTCATATTTCATGGTGGTTATCTCTGATGAGTTTTCCAGCCAGCTCACTAAAGCCCACTAGGGAGGACTCAGTAACTTCTGGATACTCTCATTCCATGAAGTATCTGAGAAGACTGGCACTCAACACCTATGTAGTCACCTCCTTCAGCCATTTCTAACCTACTTTCCTGTGTCTTTTTGGGTTTGGCACCAGGCTGAGCATGTAGCTTAATGGTGGACTTTCCAGGTAAATACCCTGAATGAATGAATAGCAAGTTTGTTACCCTGGAGTTTTTTCTTCAAAAAATGTAAGCCTATGATTCCTTTTATTTGTAACACACCTTAAAGAATTCCAGCCTTTTACTCAAAGAAAGAAACCAGTTAACTAGTGTCTGTTTTTTTCACTACACTATTGATTTCTCCATGGGTATCTGTAAGCAGTAGATAGGCTTATCTACTGATGATAAGTAGAAAGGCTGTCAACTTCCTCTTCATGATGGTTGAATGTTTCTCCATGTGGTACTCTCTTCTACTCTATGATGCTTTTGTCCCTTTCGTTGGTCAATAATCCTCATGGTCTTGCTTTATTGCAAAGGGGCTGCTGAAGAAGGAAAAGAACAAAACTGGATTACTGAAACAGAAGATGCACTGGGAGTTACTCCCACACCATTTGCTCATACTTGAGTGTCTTTTATGATTGTTACTTCTTTAGCAAGATAATACCTTCCATATATTTATTTAAAATGTTAAGTAGTGATTAAGCAGTCTAAAGTTACTATTATCATCCTCATTTTATAGATATTAAAAGTGAGGCACAGAGGTGAAATTATGTATCCCAAATTTCTTAACTAGGAAGTGTTATGTCTAATATTCTAACCCAGGCTTATCTGAATTTACAGCCTTAGTTCTCGACTTCGTGCATACTGAATCTTCATGCCTTATTATGTATTCTGTGTCTTCTACACATAACCTAGTCTTCTGGTTAAGAAAATGGGGAAAGGGATGAGGGAAAGTAATTTCAATGCCTTAATCCCCATAATCAACTCATTTCTTCAGCCACATCACCCAGAAATACGCAGGCAAATAATCCCAAGGTGTTTGTTCATGACCTTGATGTGCCTTTTCCCCAGATGATAGTTATATTTACTCCTTCTTTTCAGAATGTAACTCCTTCAACTCTTAAGGAGACCTGTATATATTCCTTCCATAAAGCCTCTGGGTAGGTGTTCAAATTTTTGGCTTATACAAAGATTTGCTTAAAGCCTCCATATTAGAAACAATAACTAATTTGCATGGCTTGTTGCAGAAACAGTATGAAAGTCCTCGCTCATCCTTTCTCCCTTCCTCCCCTAATGCACAAAAACAGGAAACAAAACTGTAAAAAAAGATGGAAAAGATGTGAAGAAAAAAGGAAAACAGCAGAAATGGAACATTAACCAAGTCACCTATTTGAACCCATTTTCCTCAACACTCTGGTTAAGGAGAAGTTGATATTGAAAGTTAATTTCAGGTGTCTACCTATAGATATAATTTAAGGTCTAATGGTAGGTCAATTTAGCAATTTTTTATAAGTAAGTCTGGTCAGGACAAAGTTGGTATGTTATTCTTCAAAATAAGTCTTTTCTCTCCAAGTTTAAATAATATTTCTAACCAACTCTGTTGCATAATTTTTTTCCTAATTAGTACACAGGTTATAATGTCCATTCTCTTAAAATTAAGGTGTGTTAATAAACCAGAAGCCAGTGTTAAATGGGAGCAGAAAAGATCTGAATGATGCAGCATAAAATAGGCATAACATCAGGACTTCCACTGAATGTATTTTAAACACTTCTATGTTTAAAAGCCATATTCTACTGAATGTATTTTAAACACTTCTATGTTATTCAGCAAAGTAAGAAGTAGGCCGTTAGGTGATGTCACCTTATAGTGACATTTTGAAAAATATGTTCTAGCGAAAGTAGAAAGAAATTTCCTGCTTTCATATTGTGCAATTTGAAATACCCTAAATCAATAACTTGAACCTCTTAACTTGTAACATCATAAGAAAGGACACTTAACTGATTATTTCTCAAAATAACACAAGTGGGGCCACTTTATCCAAAGCACTCAATAGTCCCTTCCTACTTCAGCTAAAGTAGGATTTGATTGCTATGCAGAGGAAAAGCACTGGCTTTAGGGAATGCCACATCGTAATGTATCTTTTCTCTTTCTGGAACCCGTTTACTTTACACTTTTGAACCCATTTCTGTATTGCAAGCCCAGACATAATCAAGTTTCACTTGGCTTTGAGTCTAACCTTGACAATCGTATGTTCATATTGATTTTTGTTAATATGACCTTGACTTGGTCATATTCTGATATTGCCATCTAGAAAAGTGTCTTGTTGTAATTTGGGTTATATTTGCTTACTGGTACCAAGAGAAGATCCAATTTTATATTATCCACTTCCAAGCTCCCAGCATTTAATTTCCATTAATATTCTATATAATCACCTTTTAGGCTATACAGAAGATACAAAGAAAAATGTAGAATCTCTTCCCTCAGAGATAAATCACATTAATAGTAAAGATTAAAATGTCTGAGTTTGTAGTTTTTGAAGAAACAATGTTTATCTGTTTTAAGCAGGATATCAGATACCCTTCCTAATTTCCTGAGATGCCAAGGTTGGGGGCTGTGAAACCAGAAACTGTGCCACAGATCACACTGAAGTATTGTTTGTGGGGAGATGCTACTGCTACCACAGGGCCAGACACTGTGGCTTGTGGCTAGAGTCCTGAGGGTGATGCGCTGTGGATTCTCCAGCCTGAACCTCTTGCACTGTTTCTCTGGAAACTAGATGGGTTGCCATCAGCTTCACCGAAATGGTTCCCACACAGAGCTTCCATTTGGACCTCATTATCTTCTGATTCAACATTCAGCACAGATGCATCTGATTGGCAGAGCCTAAACTATGTGCCTTCACCTTAGCAGAAAAAGAGACTGGAAATTTCACATAGAAATTCCTCTCTTGGTAGAATTCCTTCCATGGCCACTTCCTACTATGGAAGTCCAGATATTCCCTAAAATTCTGGAAAAGAGTTTCTGAAGAGGAATGACTAATATTCGCTGGACAACACTAAAGCAAATTAAATGTAATCACGCAGTATATTACAGTATAAAATGAAATGTTGAATTATGTGACTCAAATTATTTATTCTTTGTGGTTTCAAACAACAGCAGCAGCAAGACTCTTAAAAATAGTAATATTACCTTAAAAAAGAAGGAAACCCAGTCACTTTTGAAACATGAATGAACTTGGAGGAGATTGCAATGACTGAAATAAACCAGACACAGAAAGACACATACTGTATGATCTCACTTATATAAGGAATCTGATAATGTTGAACTCAGGGAAGTATAGAGTAGAATGTCAGTTACCAGGGACTGGAGTCAGGGTGGTGGGAGATATTGGTCAAAATTTTAGTTAGATAGGAGGAAGAAGTTCAAGAGATCTATTGTAAAACGTGGTGACTACCGTTAATAACAACATACTGTAGTCTTCAAAGTTTTTGCTAAGAGAGTAGATTTTAATTCTTCTTACTACCAAAAAATAAGTATGCAAAGTAATGTAAGTTAATTAGCTCAATTTAGCCATTCCACAATGTATACATATTTCAAAACAATATGTTGTGCACAATAAATTTATACAATTTTACTTATCAATTAAAAATAAATTAAGAAAGTTAAAATAATAATATTAATTGAAAGATTACCATATTATACACTTCTTTTAGGCACTATCTCATTTAATCTTTGTAACAAGCATATAAATGATACTATTATAATCCTCATTTTAGGCTAACCCCTAAAGAAGTCCACAGTCTCATCACCAAAATCTGTAAATATGGTGTTCCCCCCCATGGCAAAAAGGAACATTGTTAGTGTGATTAAGTTAAGAATCAAAAAATGGGGAGATTTTCCTGAATTATCCAGATGGGTCTAAGGTAATCATAAGGGTCCTTATAAGAGGGAAGGTCAAAGTTTAAAAAAGGAGATGATAATAAAAGTGGAGGTTGGAATAATGAACTTTGAAGGAGGAAGGGGCCAGTAGTAAAGGAAGACAGATGGTCTCCAAAAGCTGGAAAAAGCAAGGAAACAGATCATCCCCTAGAGCCTCTGGAAGAAAAACAGCCCTGTCCATTCCTTGATTTCTGTATGTGAGATTCATTTTAGATTTCTGACATCTGGAACTGCTAAGACAATAAATTGTATTGTCTTAAGCCCCTAAATTTGTGACTATTTGTTATAGGATCAAAGAAAACTAATACAACTCTATTTTACAGATGAGGAAAACAGAACTTAAAATTTTTATTTCTTTACCTCATTTCTCATAGCTAATGAGTGGCAGGGCCAGGATTTGCAGTCCTGTTTGCCTGATGCCAAAATCTGCTCACCCACTTCTTGCTCCATGCCCTTGACTAAGCTATAGGCATTTGTTTTGGTGAAACAGATATTCTTGGGGGCAGGAGAAAGGAGAGAGAGTCTCATGCAATTTAGATGACAGAACATTAAACATTGATCAAGTTTCAATGAACAAAAAGGGATGAAAAGGGTTTTCCAAATGAAGTTATGGAAGTTATAGAAAGAGCTCACTACTATAGCATTTTAAATAGGCAGAAAAAACCCAGAATGCTGCCTAGTAGCTGTAATAACAGAATATACCAAAGTATGAACCTTTTGGGAGGAAGGGGAGCTGCCTTTCCCCTGAGATACTTCTACCTGAAGGTACACCACCTGGAGTAATATTCTTGGCCTCTCTATGCTTCAGAGACAGGAGTAGCTTCCTTGCTTTAGAAGTTGAGAAGTAGCTTATTTTATTAGTAAGTTTGGGAGAGGAAATGTGGATGCGTAGCTCATACTCTTCTTCTTTGGGGACCCTGCCTACCTGAACATAGTGGTGTTGTCAGCATCTCCATGACATAACTTTTTTTTTCTTTTTTTGAGACGGGGTCTTGTTCTGTTGCCCAGGCTAGAATGCAGTGGCACCATCTTGGCTCATGGCTCACTGCAACCTCCACCTCCTGGGTTCAAGCGATTCTCCTGCCCCAGCCTCCCCAGTAGCTGGGACGACAGGTGAGTGCCACCGCTCCTGGCTAATTTTTAGTATTTTAGTAGAAACAGGGTTTCACCATGTTGCCCAGGCTGGTGTCAAACTCCTGAGCTCAGGCAATCCACCCACCTCGGCCTCTCAAAGTACTAGAATTAAAGTCCTAAGCCACCACGTCCAGCCAACATAACTTTCATAGCATCCAGCTTCCACGTAAGAGGCATCCATTGTTTAATGCTGCCTGAGACTGAGGGGAAAGTTGTCCTTAGACTGACATGTGGTGTTGAATCCACTTCTATCACAGATGTGAAGGAACGTTCTCCAATATAGCCTTTCTCATTGATAAAGGTGATATTTTCCTCCTTTCCCTTTTGATTAAGAAATCCATCTTTAAGTGCTTTTCTCTCTCTCATAGTTTACTGTTAGCATTCAATAGAAGCCAAACTGCACCTTCAATAATTTGCTTAGAAATTTCTTCAACCAGACCAGGCGCGGTGGCTCACACCTGTAATCCCAGCACTTTGGGAGGCCAAGGTGGGCAGATTACCTGAAGTCAGGAGTTCCAGACCAGCCTGGCCAACATGGTGAAACCCCGTCTCTACTAGCTGGGTGTGGTGGCACACACCTGTAATCCCAGCTACTTGGGAGGCTAAGGGAGGAGTATTGCTTCAGCCTGGGAGGCGCAGGTTGCAGTGAGCCAAGATCGTGCCACTGCACTCCAGCCCGGCTGACAGAGAGAGACTGTCTCCAAAAAAAAAAAAAAAAAGAAGTTTCTTCAGGCAAGTATTCTGTCTCTCACAAGTTATTCTTTTCATAAAACATTACAACATAAACACAGTTCAGCCAAGTTCTTTGACAATTCATAACAAGAATGACCTTTCCTTAAGTTTTCAATGTTCCTCATTTCCATCTGAAACCTCATGAGAATGGCTTTCATTAGTTGAAAGAGTGAATATGTTCTAGATATAATTATTGGACCTTGTTCCACCTAATTCTAATGCCCATGCTTCATGTTATTCTGTTTATTAAAAAATTGTCTTCAAATGTTTCCTTCTGTGTAAACGTTTTCCTCATACCACCCCCGCCCCCCCCCACAACCGCCTCAGGGGGCTATGTAGTGATGTAGGGTACTGTCCAGGGGAAAGGAAAAACAATAATTATACATTCTGAATTGTAATTTAATATATTAAGCCTCATTACATAAAAAAATGTATTCCTCAGAAAGTTACTTGGTATCATCTGGCACAACATAGATAACAGCTGTTCATAAAACCCTGTTTAGTGAGCTTATTAGTACTTAAACAACTCACAGTTTCATGGTTTATTAACTGTAGAATTTCCTCAGAAAGAGGAACAATTCCTCCAACTGCTATAGAAATACAATTAATATACTACAAATAGGATCAATCTGAAAAGTATTTAATTTATATTAAGCTGTTACTAAATATATTTTGAGCAAACACATACCTGAAATCTTTTAGTGTACTAGACATTTAGTGTATATCAGGTATTACAAACTTTAAAAGGGAAGACTTTGACCTTTTAGTAGAATTATGTTGCACTGCTACACTGTGGTCTTTCTTACTGTAATAGCAGTAACAATAAAATGAAATTAGAAACATTAACTCATGTTTGCTCCGTGTAATTATTTAAAATGTTTTTTAATCTTCTCTACTTTTTCTAACATGTTCTGAAATTGAGAAGATAAGCATTTATTATCCACAATGTTCAGAATGTCTAATTCCTCAAGTCAGCAAAAAAAAAAATTCAGATCTCTTGAAATTTCTTTTTTTATTATTATTATACTTTAAGTATTGGGATACATGTGCAGAATGTGCAGGTTTATGTGTATACATGTGCCATGGTGGCTTGCTGCACCCAACAACCCATCATCTACATTAGGTATTTCTCCTAATGCTATCCCTCCCCTGGCCCCCCACCCCGCTACAGGCCCTGGAGTGTGATGTTCCCTTCCCTGTGTCCATGCGTACTCGTTGTTCAACTCTCACTCATGAGTGAGAACATGTGGTGTTTGGTTTTCTGTTCCTGTGTTAGTCTGCTGAGAATGATGGTTTCCAGCTCCATCCATGTCCCTGCAAAGGACATGAACTCATCCTTTTTTATGGCTGCATAGTATTCTATGGTGTGTATGTGTCACATTTTCTTTATCCAGTCTATCATTGATGGGCATTTGGGTTGGCTCCAAGTCTTTGCTATTGTGAATAGTGCTGCAATAAACATACATGTGCATGTGTCTTTATAGTAGAATGATTTATAATCCTTTGGGTGTATACTCAGTAATGGGATTGCTGGGTCAAATGGTATTTCTGGTTCTAGATCATTAACATATTGGTGATCAGGCCATCAATAAAGTCATTAGAATGGCTGAGACTGCCTAAGAATACAGTATTAAGAAGGTAGAGAAGATGGCCAGAGAGAGAAACACAAATGATACCAACACTTCAAAGGTGATGGGCTTCCGGAAGAGAATAGATTACTTGATTAAACAGTGAAAAAAAAATATGGTAACCATTGGAGAGTTTTAAGGAGATCAAGCTAAACTTCAAGAAGATAAAATAAATTAATGACTAAAAAGTAACCACTGTATTTATCCATTAGATCATTGGAGACCTTAACAAGAATAAATTATTATAAATAGAGGGCTATTGTATAATCCTGACTCCACCAGGTTGACTGGTAGATGGGTGATGTGAGTGGTTTTACTCAGTACAGATTACTATTCTGAAAAGTGGAGATAATAAAGAAAGTAAAGATAGAGTCAAAAGATGGTGGCAGAAAAGTTAAGCAAATTGAGAGGAACATGTAAGTAGAGAGAAAGTGAAGACAGATGAATGAAGGTATAACTGATTAGCAATGTTCTAGGTGGAGACAGGAGAAAATGAGATCACGGTCGTGACTGGAGGAAAAAACCCATCTCTGGGACTGGATAAAATAGAATAAAGATGATGTATTTGTTTGCTAGGGCTGCCATACCGAAGTATAATTAACTGAATGGCTTAAACAATAGAAATTTCTATTTTCATTCTGGATGCTAGAAGTCCATAAGGTTTGGGCAGTGTTGCTCTCTTCTGTGGCCTTTCTCCTTGACTTATAGATGGCCATCTTGTCCTAGTGTCTTCTCATAGTCTTACCTCTACACATGCTGTGTCCACATTTCCTCTTCTTATAAGGATATTTTTCATATTAGGTCATTAGTCATATTCCTAGTAACCTCATTTTAATTTACTTATTTAAAGATCTTATCTCCAGATGTGGTCACATTCAGAGATAATGGGAGTTATGACTTTAGTATACAAATTTTGGGGAGATGCAACTCAGTCCATAAAGATGGGTAGATACTTCTAATAATTAAATAAAAGTCATATTGAATATCTAACCAAATGTTTAACACATATTTTTAAAGCATGCTTATAAAATGCAGGTTGCACAATTGGAATCATAGGAGCAGAAAGACTATGGAAAGTAGGTCTTACAGCTAAAGAATATTCAAAACGAAGTTTCTGCATTCAGAGGACACAAGAGATTCAACCCTGAACATCTCTGCTTTTCTGCTTTCAACCATATTTCAAATCTGCTTTCTGGCAATAAACACTGATTGTTATTGGAGGTCACGCTTCAGGGTACGTAGTATAGAGTCATTGACAAATTGCTTCTGTGCTGTAAGGTGAAAATGATGAAATATTCTGCTATATCTCAAGCATTGTTTCTTCCAGTTACATCATCTTTGAAAACATCAAAAAGCCTAAACAGTTGCTAAGAAGAATATATCCAATCCTCTGTATGTCTATAGGGATTGTCAAATTTAATGATTTATTTATCTTTCACTCTTCATCAGATTTACTGAGCTTCACTCTATAAGAAAAATATACAGATTTAACGGAATGCTTATTAAGAACAGAGTAAATGCAGACTCAGTCAAAAAATGGCATTTTATCAACTGTCAGAAAATATGAGCAATCTTTCAAATTATCTGCCTTCATTAAAATCAATTTTTAAATTAAATTATATAAACATATGGTATAAGGTTATTCCTTTAGGAAATGTCATTTTATTTCCTCTATGTGTAAACCTTTGCATACAATTTCAATGCTCCTTATGCATCTTCTGTATAACAAACTGAGGCAGGACCTCCAAGCTGCATGACTCGAGTCCCTGTGGAACACAGCAGATCCTCAAATAACACTGTTTTGTTGAGTGTTGATTCCTTATAACATTGATGATAAAACTAAATAAATCGATTACCATTGAGGCCACTGTCTGTGTGGTGTGCACATTCTTCCCATGTCTGAAGGATTTTCTCTGAGTACTCTAGTTTCCTCCTACATCTCAAAGCTATACACGTTACAATAATTAGTGTGTCTCAGTGGTCCCTGTCTGAGTGAATATGGGTGTGTGTGAGTGCACCCTGTGATAAGATGGCATCTTGTCCAGGGTAAATTCCCACTTTGTACCCTGAGCTATAGAGAGAGACTCCAGCCACCTGCAACTCTAAACTGGAGTAAGTGGGTACAATAATTACCTTGCTTGTTTTTATTAATCTGTCTTAAATGTCTGTATAGCACACGCTTACTTTAATGTTTAATATTAGAAGTGTTTTGCTCTTCATTTAGAAGTTGGTGATGTTTTTGTGACCAGAAATATGCTGTAGGAACTTAACTCTTGTTTACATCAATTAGTCTATGTTAAAATTTGCTTCATTGCACCTCATTTTGATTAAAGTTACAGTTTCCAAGAACTTATCAAGACAGTAAGTGAGGATTTACTGTACTCTGGCTGCTGAATAACCCTGGCTGGCATCTGCTTTCTGCCAGAATTGCTGGAAAGCAGAAGGAACCAATCAAATGTAGTCATTTCAATTGGCTCTGCATTAACACAATATTGGATGCAAATTGCCACCACTTGCTCATGACCATTTTCATGGGCTGGGTCTTAGGAATTTCTTCTTCTATTATTTTAATACAAAAATCTACAGATAGTTTCCTTCAAGGAGCATGGACGGTGTTCGCTTCACTATTTTCAAATTCATATAGGCAAAGCTGTTGGACTCTGCAGCTATAGTGACCTCAGCCAGGAAGCTCCAACCACAGCACTTTCTAAATATACATTTTTCATTCCCAGGGGTACTCAGGAGCAGTGAAAGGGAAGTGATCTTCATTTTAAGTGGCTTCATGGAAGTGTTCATACTTAACAAATGCTTGATTGATGTTTTCTATTGTGTCTATTCAGCTGCAAATCCACTCTTTGTTCCAGATATTGGGAGGGTTACTGAATTCATGGATAATACAGATATGATAGACAGGGGTAGAGACCACTGAATAACTTCTGCTCCAAAGGTAGTGCGTTTACCTGCTACATTGGGCATAGGTATATGATATGATTTCTTTCAGGAGGCATCCTTAGTATCTAGTCTAATGTGTAATCCATATTTAGTTTTTTGTATTGTACATAGTCAAATTAATTTACAATTTGTGCATTTTCTATTTTTAGATGTTTCAGTAACTTGTGCCTCATAATATGAATGAATCTCATCTTGAAACAGTTTTTCAGCACTAGATCTGTGACTTCATAGTTTGTCATAATTATTTCCACAAGATTTTTGGATTTTAATACAAAGACATGCACATGGTCACCCTTTATCACAGGATCACTGACACTGATGGGGTTATCTGCCATCTACTTCGGCTTCATGGCATGGTGTGACTTTGTTTTGGCAACGTCTGACAATGCTATGGACTATACTGACTCTCTGATTTGTAATTTAAGCTCAGAGTAATTGACAAGCACCCTTCTTAAGAGTCCAGACTTCTTGAAGTTCTAGGTTGTCTTTTTCATCATCACTCTGAATAATGAACAGTAACTGATGTTGGTTTTACTCCATACTGAAGACTACTGGGTCCTGCTTATTTCTCATTAGTATTCACAAAAATAATTGCCTATTAGCTGGAGTATTACTTCCACTCTCAGCCACCACCTCTCCATCTTCTTGCACTTGTCTTCCATCTCATTCAACGTGTCAGGTGCAAACTGCTGCTGTCCTGGTTGCAGGTCTTGCTGAAAGTCATTGTCCTCATTTGAGTTATCTTTGTGATGGCAATTGTTGTCTTGGGATGTTGGCATTATTATTCTGGGCATTATTATCGTTGTTACTCTTGGAGATCTATTTGCTAACAAGGGCCAAGGAAACCCAAATTCCTATGCCTGCACTAAAGCAAACTCAAGTATAGCCCTTGAGTGGTTGACGAAACAATATAGTCCAGTCAAATAAACTCCAACTGGGCAACAATTCAATAAACTGGCCGAAGGAATCAGGCTTCAGTATATGGCACTGAACTAGGCTGATATTAACCAATCAATTCCATCTCGAGTGGTCTGAGATCCAATAGTATGGTTTATATAGATAAGACAGTTATAAATTACAGATATTTGATATAGGAAAAACTTCATTGATTACCTTTATTCCTATAATGATGATGATACCAGGATATTCTACCACATCAGTCAAACCATACTTTACCAGATCTGCATCAGCCATTCTGCTCTGCAGCTCACTCATCTACATATCCCAGATGGTGGGTTTCACACTTGTAGAACTTCAACTCTGACATCTTAATGAAAAAAAAAGACATAACTGTTGGTTCAGGAATGCTGGATTCAAACTTTATGTAAGCTACAGGGCAGTGAGGGTGAAGAACTAAGATCTTTTTTAAGAGCATTTTTGCAAACTCCCCAAACAATACTGCACAAATTTCTAAAATCATGTGATCTCTAACTGCCTCCAATTACATATCAGATGAGACCTACAATGAAAGGAACTGGAACCATTTCTAGGTGTTCCTAGTTTCAGGAAGAGGCTAAATATGTTACTAAAAAGATGTATTTTCAGGAATTTAAGGGTCCTTTACATTTCCTCATGATGAAAGATCTTAAGCTGATGCACAGAAAGCTTTTAAACAGCAGTGGTTTAGTAACTTTTAACTACTCCAAATAGAGGTGTCTGAGGGTTGAACTATAAAGAATTTCAGGAACATTTACCCCTACTAAACATGAAGTTTTTATTCTGGATCTCATAGAAATTTTCAGTTTATTTTCAGGAGGAGTCAGAAATGATTCATCATTCATTACAAGAATTTCCCTAAAATATAACCCACAGCGGCAGTAGGTTATGCTGTAGGTAACCTACAGAACATGTGCCATATTTGTCCAAATGGACTCTGCCAACTACAAATGAGAGGTTTCCACATCTAGTAACTTTGGATATGCTTGCAAAGCTTCTAGGACTCCTAGAATGCTAAATGTCTCATGGTCTTGTACTCTCCACCTCTCAAGGTATCTAGGGTGAAGGCCATGTAGTTGTTTGATGTCTGACATCTTATTAAAGTGTTGGAAAACTGGAAATCTGTAAAGCCACTTGGGATGTATTTTCACCACCACTCTGCACAGGACCCACAACCTTCACAACTCTCAGATACAAGGACATTGCTTTCTTTAGCTTTCTGAAAACATTCCATACACATGATATCCTACAGAAGGAGGTAATTAAAAATAAGGCAATGCACATCAGGTGAAAGTTGATTTACATAGTCCCTTAGTTCATCTGATATTATTTCCAGGGGGATTTCATTATACATGAAACACCTTTTAACATTCTTCTTTCATGGCCCTATTGCTGCCTTGTCTGTAGTATCAAAGAGCACATCTTCTCTCTTGGTTACTTGAGTTCAAAACACTTACACTGGCCTTCACAGTCTGTTACTGTGGTTGAGAGAGAGGGAGAAATGTGACAGACACTTCTGGTAGTACTCACCACCTTGGCTCCAGGGATTGGAAAATCTAATATAATTAGAAGGCACATAATTTTTAAGGACTAGCAATAAGTAATTTTGACAAAGAATAAATTTATGCAGACAACTGTGGAGGCAGTATTTTAGAAAAAAGATTGGATTGGTTAAAGGAGTAAATCTTCAAAATACTTCCCTTTTTCTTACCTATATTTACAAGAATGTTTCAAACAAAATGTTTCATTGCTATCATAAAACATGTCTCTTCAAATATTGTGTGTAAATTTGGTTCTAAAATTCATTTTAAGTCATTTAAGCCACTAACGATCTGTGCTAAGATGTTCTTAAAAGAAATTGGGCATATTTTCAATATTTGGGGGAGAAAATTAAAGCAAATTTTTAAATAACCAACACAAAATTCCAGGTTCTCATGATAACAGTTATATTAGACTCTATTTTTTCTTCTTAAATAAGCTTTATATACATTTTACATGCATAAAACATTTACTCCATGAACATAGATTTCATCTGTCTAGTTTATTGCTAATTCTCATTGCTAGACCAGTTTCCGGCATTCAATAGTCACTTAATACATATTAGTTACACAGATGTTCGCCAAGGGAACAGAGTTGCTGGATAATGACTTAGAGTCATTTTTTAAAAGTGATGACTTGGAATTATTATGAATGCCACTATAGTATTTAGCCAGAAAGCAGTCTTGCTTAAAGTGTTTTGGATGTAGGAGAATTTCGTCCTCCATTCAATGGTGCCAACTTGCGATATTTTATCTTTTATATTTGAGATTTTGTCTGTCTGTTTAGTTTTATCCCTTTATATAGAATCTTAGATACCAATTCTTGATGTTCTCAGCAAACATTTCTGGCAATGTCAATAATGATCTTTGCTGTCCTAAAATCTCTTAGAAGCCGTAAAAGCAGACACTGAGCCTTTCTTTTCTACCCTAATCTCCAGTGCCAAGCCCAGCACCTGGATTATGGTAGACAATTCATAAATATAGTTGAACTAAGTAATAAGTGTATCTTTGGAGGACAAAGACTACCAGAATCAGTCATCCTTCCTTTCATTTAGAGAAATCCTCTAATATTCCCTTTGTTTTATTTTGTATCCTTTTCAAAAGTTTTTTTTTTTAATTTGTCAATACTATGCATTTGAGAGAATGGGGGGATGGATTTTTTCCTTGTATTTCTTCAAACAAATGAAGCTGTTCTAAAAATTTTCAAATGTGATTAGAATTTGACATTAGGTTTATAATGATATTTCTATTTAGAATTGGCACAGATGAAATCACACATAATCCTTGTTTTGAGTAAACGTATTTTATAAGAAGAATAACTAGACACGCAGCCACTGAGAAGAAAATGTCTTCTTAACCCATAATAGAGTTTATTTCTTTATTTTTAAGTACTTCAACTTGACACGATTATCCTACTTGACAAAAATGAAAATGTCTGCAAAAAATATACAAAATAACTCATAAAAATAATTTATGAATAATGTTAGTTAATTATAAATAGCCACTTATTTCCTGGAAAAAAATCTAAATTTCCATGCAAAAATGTAATTCCAAATTCAAACTTTACAATTTAAAAATCAATTTTGATATTTTACAAAATAATTACTAATTATTAAGATTTAATCAAATTGCCCTTATAATGAGTGAAGAAATCTATGATCTGGTCCCTTATTTGTTTCTTTCCTACATTTCACAAATGTCACTTGGCCTGGTTTTCTAGAACACAAGTATTTTCCTATATTCATTAATATGACTGTTAGAACATATTTCTAACTTGGACAATTTCAAAAGTATTTTGAAGTATTCCACATGGAACTAATTAGTAGCTCATGAGGTAAAAGTACTGCCATATGACTATATCTTGTACACCAAACTATAAAGAGTAATTACTGAATCAGTTAAATAGCACATATAATCTGTATGCATTGTTTTTTTTAATTGCAAAGGACAGCAATTTCACTGAGCTAACTAACACACAATCCCCAAAACTGAGAATTTATTTGAATCATGCTGGGGGAATACCATTAAAGCCAAGGAAAAAATTAAACTGTGATGGTATTGTAATAGGAGCTCCCAAGACCTCAACAGCAGAACTTCTGAAACTTCCAACTGGACCTTTATGGACGTAAGTTAGCTCCCAATTCATAGCATCGCCTTTTCCCCTTCCTCTAAGTTGAAATTTGTGAGCACATCCATATGCACACGAACATTCAAAAGAAAGAGGGAAAGACAGACAGAGAGACAGAAAGAGATGGAGATTTGAATGGTCCACATTATTCAGATGTCCACACCTCAGTCAGTCAACTCTTGTCTTGGGGCGGGGTCACAGAGTGAAACATGTGGCCTGGTAATTACAGCTAATGTTTGTTGACTATGTACTGGGCACTAAATACTGTTCTCAACACTATCTATGTTCTAACTCATTTAAGCCTTTCAATGACTCTAGGGTCTCTTTACTATTAACCCATTTTACATATATACAAGCATATATAACAATAAGTGTCTTAAAATGTCCTTTCTTGCCTAGGAAAATGAGAAGTATTCAAAATCTTTGATTTATGTAACATCTTATGTTCATCTGTGAAGATCTTAGACATTTCTTTCTAATAATCGTTCAGGTCAGATTATACTGCATGAGTATCTTTGTTTTACACATGAAGCCACTGAGTCAAAACAATTGTGTGATCAACAATGGCCACAAAATTAATGCATAATAGAATAGAGACTAGGACGCCTAGGAGAGGTCTGGAAAACACTCAAAGCATGTGGCCTGGGCCTTTCTTTTCACAGACTAGTAAATTTACTTTTATTTTGACAAGATCTTCTATAGTTTATTAATAAAATTAGGAAAAACACATTAAATATATGAAAGAATAAGCACTTGACACATTAACAATTAAGCCTAATACTTTTATTTCTTGGGTTTCCTGATACAGATCTATGTACATTCAATCAGAAGGCTTCTATCTGGAAAACAAAGAAAATTATATTTTTGGACAAAAATTTGAGGAAATAAATATATCATAGTACCCTAGGTCTGATATACTCATTTCTCCCAGCCAATCCCAGCCCAAATGTTAGTTTCTTATTAAGTAGACCAGACCATATTTACTAGGTCAATATGTAAATATTAATAGCAAAAGTTTCAAAGTGAAACCTAAACCTTACTGTGGGCATTGGAAAACATAGTATAACTCTAGGCCCTGATGAATGACTGAACATACAGTAAGGAAGAAAAATAAGGTTGAAAGAAGGTGGAGAGAAATACATAGTACTACAGAATGTATGTCTCAGAGATTAGAACTCTGATAAGCCTCTTAACTGAGCCTGAGACCTGAAGGAGACCCACCCATAGCAAGAACATGGAGAAACTCCTTTCACTAAATGTGATTCACTGAAAGTTCAATTGTGAGTCATAAGCAGCATTACTTTTATGTCTTTGTGACAAAGGCTAAATTTAAGAGAGATTGAGTATAGAATATATTTCCATTTCTTTGTGTCTTATTCAATTTCTTTCATCAATGTTATAGTTTTCAGTGTAGAGATCTTTTACCTGCTTGATTAAATTTATTTCTAAGTGTTTTTTGTAGCTATTGTAAATGAGGCTCTCTTATTTTTCAGATAGTTTTCTATTCATATATAGAAATGCTATAGATTTTTGTATGTTTATTTTGTATCTTAAAACTTTACTGAATTTGATTATTAGTTCCAAGAGTTTTTTTAGTAAAATATTTAGGGTTTTCTATATACATGATCATGTCATCTGCAAACAGGGCAATTTTGCTCATAGATTGGAAGAATTCATATTGTTAAAATGTCTAAAGTGATCTGCAGATTTGGTGTAAGCAATATCAAAATAACAATGATATTCTTCCACAGAAATAGAAAAGTACAATACTAAAATTTGTATGGAACCACAAAAGACTTCAAATAGCCAAAGCAATCTTGACCAAAAAGACCAAAGCTTGATGCATTATACTTCCTGACTTCAAAATATACTACAAAGCAATAATAAACAGAATAGCATGGTAGTAGCAATAAAAATAGACAAATAGACCAAAGGAAGAGAATAGAGAACACAGAAATAAATCCATGACCTTATAGCTAACTGATTTTTGACAAAGTTGCCAAGCATGCACAATGGAGAAAGGACAATCTCTTCTATAAATCGTGTTGGGAAAGCTGGATATCCACATGCAGAAGAATCAGAAGAATAAAGCTAGATTTTTATCTCTCACCATATTAAAAAAATCAAATCGACCAGGCACCATGGCTCATGCCTGTAATCCTAGCACTTTGGGAGGCTGAAGGGGGCAGATCACCTGAGGTCAGGTGTTTGAGACCAGCCTGGTCAACATGGTGAAACCCCGTCTCTACTGAAAATACAAAAATTAGCCAGGCATATTGTTGCATGCCTGTAATCCCAGCTACCCAGGAGGCTAAGGCAGGAGAATCACTGGAACCTGGGAGGTGGAGGCTGCAGGGAGCCAAGATCACGCCACTGCACTCCAACCTGGGCGACGGAGCAAGATTCCATCTCAAAAAAAAAAAAAAAAAAAAAGTCAACTCAAAATGAATTAAAGACGTAAATGTAACACCTGAAATGATACAAGTATTAGAAGAAAACAGAGGAAACACTTTATCATATTGGTCTGGGCAAGGAATTTTTGGATGAGATAAAAGCACAAGCAATGAAAGCAAATGTAGAGAAATAGAATTATATCAAACCAAAAAGCTTTTGCACAGCAAAGGAAATAACCAATAGAGTAAAAAGACAACTTACAAAATGGTAAAAAAAATTATAAACTATGTATCTGACAAAGGGTTAATATTCATCATTAATAAGAAACTCAACAGGAAAAAAATAATATAATAATAATCCAATTTAAAAATGGATAAAAGACCTGAATAGACATTTCTCAATAAGAGACTTATAAATGGCCATAAGGTATATGAAGAAATGTCCAGCTTTATTTATTTATTTATTTATTTATTTGAGACGGAGTCTTGCTCTGTCGCCAGGCTGGAGTGCAGTGGCGGCATCTCAGCTCACTGCAACTTCCGCCTCCCAGGTTCAAGCGATTCTCCTGCCTCAGCGTCCTGAGTAACTGGGACTACAGGCGCACGTCCCCACACCCAGTTAATTTTTGTATTTTTAGTAGAGACGGGGTTTCACCGTGTTGGCCAGGATGGTCTCCATTTCTTGACCTCGTGATCCACCCTCCTCGGCCTCCCAAAGTGCTGGGATTACAGGCGTGAGCCACTGCGCCTGACCTAAGAAATGTTCAGCAGTATTAATCAGTAGTAAAATACAAATCAAAACTTTAGAGAAAAAATCACCCCACACCTGTTAGAATGGCTATTATCGAAAACATATAAAATAACAAATGTTGGCAAGAATGTGGAGAAAGAGGGACTTATACACAGGTGGGAACATAAATTAGTCCAGCCATTATGGGAAACAGTATGCAGATTCCACAAAATATATAAATAGAACTACCATGTATTCTAGCAATCCCACAACTGGGTTCATATCCAAAGGAAATGCAATCAGTATGCTGAAGAGATATCTACACTCTCATGTTTATTGCCACACTCTTCACAATAGACAAGAAATGGAATCAAGTATCCATCAATAGATGAATGAATAAAGAAAATGTGGTATATTCATACAATGGAATACTATTCATCCATAGAAAACAATAAAATCCGGTCATCTGTGGCAACATGGGTGAACCTGAAGGACATTAGGTTAGGTGAAATAAGCCAGGCACCAAAAGACAAAACTGGATGATCTCATTCATATGTGGTATCTAAAAGTTGATCTCATAGTAGTAGGGAGTGGAATAGTAGCTACTGGGACCTGGGGAGAGGAGGAGAGATGAGAGGATAGGGATTGGTCAATGGGTACAGCATTACAGATAGGAAAAATAAGTTTGGTGTTCTATTGCAGAGTGGGTTGACTAGGGTTAACAATATTATATTGTGTATTTCAAAATAGCTAGAAGAGAGAATTTTGAATATTCTCACCACAAAGAAATAAATCTATGAGGCGAAAGATATGCTAAATACTCTGATTTGATTTTACATATTGTATACATGTAACAAAATATCATACTGTACTCCACAAATATGTATAATTATTGTATGTCCACTATAATAATTTTTTAAATTAAAACAATAAAAAGCTTAAGTAGAGGATATTCTCTTTATTTATACTAGACACAGCCTATCTTTGGGGAAACTTAGGTCTAGGAGAACATACACCTGATGGGTTGAAGAGGGATTTTTATTAGTAGCAGCTGGCTCTATCACTGGGTAGTTATGGTAACAGCAGGAAACTAAGATCCTTACCAAGAAAACAAAGTGAGAAGAAAAACGTAGATGCCCAGCATGCATTGAGACCCTGCCATATGGGCATTCCCAGTATCATCACGGGGCTAAAGTCCTGGTTTGGCAGATGAGGTCACAAGTCCTTTAAACGTCAATTTACATATGGCCGTTTTCACTTTGCAGGATTTTCTCTTTCAACCACTCCGGAAATTTTACATTCAATATCAAGTGATGTGTCTTATTTATATCATTTATAACAAGAATTATCTTGTTACCTACATAATAATGATTAACATTCAGGAATTTTATTGCATTAAGGGCCTGGTATGCATAATATATGATTGGGGACATTTATGGCAAAATCTACCCCAATGTGGTCTCTAAATTACATTTCAAAGAGCAAATCTCTACGCAGTCTCCATCCTTACTTTTCATGTATCATATGGTTTTAAAATGTTGTGATTAATTCTAGAAAAATGAAACATTATTTCTGCAATGGAAATGTTGACAATGATCTTTCTTATTGAAATCTCTGCAATTTCAGATTAACTCTACAGTTAATAACATCTTTGTGTAGAAGAAAAGATTCTTAGAGAAGGGCTCTTCCGAAGGTTACATGTTTTATTTTTTAATACATCTCAGCTTTTCTGAATTCTCCTGGCAATCACTGTAATATAAAATATGGATTTCACAAACAGAAACAGAAGCTCAAACTCATTTTTTCTTTTTATATTAGTTCTGCCAAGTCCCTGATGCTTGCCATAGGAAAGAATCTATATGTTTTTCTTGTAAAAGCTATCAGTTCAGTCCATTCCCTCAGAAGCCTTTGTTACTCCATAGACACATTTTCTCATAGGATAAAAGATGAAACTAATGTTTCATCACAATATTATAACATAATTTTAAATCATTGTAAATAGGTTGGTGGTGCTGGGGAATGCAAGAATAAAAGGTTAAACGTTAAAGAATTTTGTACCTTAACCTCTTGTTTCTTGAAAATTGAATGCATCTTTTTTTGCCTCATTAAGGTTTCATCCATTCAACCATTTATTCACTTATTCTTACTTTCCTAGAAGCATTGATTGAACATCTTCTACATATTATCACCACCCTAGACACTACAACAACAAAGAAGGTAAGTACTTAACTACAAAGAGCTCAATACAATCATTTCTAATAAAGAACTATGAAAAAATTGCTGCCACAACCTGGAAGAGCCATAAACCAGGCCTTGTGGATGGATTCAGATTTTCCTATATGGAAACAAAAGAGCTACAAAAGCTTCTCTTTCCTGTGCGCAACTACCGTCTTTATTCAATGAAGACACTTAATTGTCTAATACTGCAGGCTCTCAAAGTGAATATAAAGAAGTCATTAACAATAGAGATTAGAATAAACTAAAAACAAAAATAGTAAATTCAGAAATATTTCTTTAATCCTTGCATGAAAGTCATATTTGATATTATAATCATGAAATAAATCAAATCATATTTCCCCACAACCCACATTATGTTCCTTCAGTTAAATAGATACTTAGTAGATGTGGTCATTAACAGCCATTACTTTAAAAACATACTGCATTTGCATTTAACAGATGTTTAGTGAGTGCCAAGTGTTGAAGGTATTATTTTGGAAATTAACATTTATGATGGGAGATTCATAAACTGTTGTTTCAGCTAGAAAGTGAATCTCTTCTAGATAATTGATAAAGCATAGAAAACATATGTGTGATTTTTGTACCCAAAGATCAAATTGGGTTTTCTTCTATTTTCTATTTCCTGTGCCTACATAATATTTCTCCCTAAACTTCACGATGTTGAAATAGGATATTTAAGCCTCTGGGTGTTCATAGACTCCTGAACTAATGGGACTTAACTTGGCCAACTGGCCTTTTATTTTTTCAAGTTAATATTATTCACCATAATGTACTCAGTAAAATAGAGGTACAAATCTACCCAAAGATAATAAAAGTGACTGTTCTTTTGTACAATTTTGCATTAACAAATATGGTGATTAAAAAACAAATGGGTGATTATAAACACATAAACCCACATTAAGAGACTATGAATAAGGCTGATATATTTCACACTGTGCTTATGTTGTAATATCTTTAAAATTGTCTTTAGGGGCACTGGAGCCAGAGCACATCCTTATAAGTTAGGTTGCTGATATTTTTCCCTAAGAGATTTGATGTTCCTGCTGTCATTCATCCTAGACAACTAAGACCTTGAGCTGGCAAGCTTTTTTAAAAGCTGGAGAGTAAACTTGCTCTATGGGTCTTGGTGGAAGCGGGAGATAGAGAAGAGAAAGGAAACCTTCCAGACTCTAAGTGGTTTTAGATGTTAAGGGGTGGGAGGGATACTGTGATCTTCCCTAAGTGACATAGAACTGATATAAACCAAAGAACTGGTCTAGTAAGAGATCCCAAGACAGATCTGGAATTGGCAGTAGTTTTTGCTTAACTTATTATTCTCCCATATCATTTTACCTACCTTCTGTTTCCTTAAAGTCAATACTAGTTTCAATTTGTGGAAAGCTGGAAATGCGATGATTCCCATGCCCTGAGTTTCTGCTCCAGACACCAGGTGGGGGCATGGCAATTGTGACTGGAGAGAGTGGAGGGGTCATCTTATCCACCACATCAGAAGCTGAGGTTAGGATATTGTGGCAAGAGATGAAAAGTGAAGTGATGTGAGGAAACTTCATCCTGAATTCAACTAAAGCCCTGGAATACTTGTTCAAATAACCAGCTGACAACTTGGGGTTAAGCTGTCTTGAATTTAACCTGTTTAGCTCAGCCAATACAATTATGAAATAAAAAGTTAACAGTCTACTATTTTGTAGTCCCTGGATAAAGAGGCCTAAATGGTATCCTGTAAAGTTATGCAGAGTACTATCTGCATAGATCTAGTCAATGACCTTGGCTAGTAGCATCATTTGGTTTCCAGCTTTATGTGCATCAATTCTTCTTTATATGCAGTAGTTAATTTAATGCACCATATATCTTATCTCTAACTCCTTGGGAAACATTTGAATTTAGTTATTTTCCATTCTACTATTGAGAATCTGTCTTCACAAGTCACATAGCACTGTTACAAACACAAATCACTTGGCGTACACAATCCAAATTAAGTATACATTTTGCCTGTGTTGCTATTTCATGGTAAATTTTATTTTCCATTTTCTTATTTTCATTTTCTGTCTTTTATTACCTTCTGATGACACTGAAATGCCTAAAGAAGTAGATAAATATCTTGTTCTAACTTTGCTGATTAAAAAGAAAACAGTTAAGCCTTGTACATTTCACAGTAATGAAGAAAGACTCACAAACATTTTATCAGGTCTGAAAATTTGTCACCAGATGTATGTGGAAACTGTCTTGGTGAACCTGCCTTCATGCAAATTTGAAACATCTTATTAAACTTAAAAATAAACATTGTCTCTTTTTCTTATTTATTAATAATGTAGTTTTGTTTTATGATTCAAATTTTCTTTAGAAAGTGGCTTTATAATTGCACAGGAGACAAGAATTAATTCTACTGGGGCTTTATATCAAAATGCTTCATTTCTAAGTGGATGATGTTTTCGGTGTATGCATCTTGTGCCTATTTTTTGTTAATGGTATAATCTATCTTTTCCTCAATTTGATAGAGGAAGCTGGCAATTAAGAATCTAATTTTGTATTTTCTTTTGCCAAAGCTTCCTTCCATTTTAACTCATGAATTTTTTTTTCTTTTTTTTTGAGATGGAGTCTCTGTCACCCAGGCTGGAGTGCAGTGGCATGATCTCAGCTCACTGCAACCTCCACCCTCCGAGTCAATTCTCCTGCCTCAGCCTCCCAAGTAGCTGGGATTACAGGTGCCTGCCATTGCGCCGGGCTAATTTTTTGTATTTTTTAGTAGAGATGGGGTTTCACCATCTTGGCTAGGCTGGTCTTGAACTCCTGACCCCTTGATCCACCCACCTCAGCCTCCCAAAGTGCTGGGATTACAGGCGTGAGCCACCGCGCCAGGCCGAAATTTTTAACTTAACCCACCCGAACCTACATCCCCATCCCAAACATTTTTGTTTCTCTGGGTTTTCTTAGCCTTAGCCTGTTTAAATGAGTAACCGTGCATGTTCATTATACAAAACTTGTACCCCTTCTGGTAGATGTCCAAGTGGAAGCTGGATATTCCTATCTTTTGCTTGTCAGGGTACCTTCCAGATGACTGCTCGCTTCATATTCTCTTCCTTTAACACTTGTGTTTTTTTTTTTTCCTAATTTAAAATTATTTTGACCTTTTGGTAGTCTAATTTGCTTACTCTAAAAAAATAAACTTGGGCTTTGAACTGCTTTTAATTGTACCTTTTGATTTTTCCATTAATGTTTTTTAATCCTCCCCAACTGCAAATGCTTAACAAAATTGTAATAACCTAGATATTGTTAACCATCAAAGCCCTATTTAATTATTCATTTGACCTCCATTTCCCTCTGCCTTTGCCATTCAGCCATTCTAAAGTACATTTTAGACACTTCAGAATTTAGAGTCCACTCATTTCAACCCGTTTATATTCTTCCTACACAGTCTACATACATCTAGAAACTAATGACATAACCTTACAAATGAGAAAACTGCATAATGAAAACTAAAATGTCCTGTCACATCCTCTGGTAACTTACTCACCCAGATAGCTATAAATAACATTGTTAAAATGACCTATGGCATTTCCTTCTATTGGGGGCACTAGAGGCTTTCCGTGTATGCAACTGAAAAATAATTGTGTTCTTTATAATTCTACATTCCAGATTGTTCTGGCTGCTAATATTAGAAAGAAAATAAAACTTCTTGGTAATACATTTCTCGAAAACATGAATTCAGAATATAACATGGGTTAGCAATTAACAATTTGGCCATCTACTTTCTTTAATATTAAAATAACAGAACCCCTCATTTTGCACGAGTAAAATATTTTTGTACACCACCTCTAGTATTAAGGTTTCATCTTTACTTAGAGCGCAGTTAACTCACTGTACATGTGCAATTAAATGCATCATTCTCATTTTTTAAAGTTTCAAAATGATTATGATAAAGTTGTAACATAAGTAGTAAATGAAGTAGAAAAAGAAAGATCTACTACAGGTCAATCTCTCAGTCAATAAAATTGATACAATTTACGTTTAAATCTTGCCTTTTACCCTAGACTCATATTACATGTAAAGGAAAAATATTCTAAAATATCAGATGAAGGCCTTTTGATATTTCTATGATGGCAGTCTCATAATTATCACCCCCACTGGCACCCAATCAGTACTACCAAAGGCGAGTGTTGCTTCAGGGAAATGTGGCTCCTGCCCAGACTGAAGTCATCATTGCTTATTGTGGTGCCTGAAAGCTGACCTCATAGAGTCTCTAGCAAAACAATACTTTTGAAAGTCATACTTTCTTAAGAAAGAAGTCTTCTAAACTCTAAAAGTTCCTCTTTAATATTAGTCAAACATAGTTTACTTTAATCATACAATCTCACCATAGGTAGTGTGATGACAAGGACAGTCTTGATTTCAGCCAAAATTTTGTTCAGTCATTCATCCAGTTTACCATTTGCCCTTCTTTTTACTTTCAATACTATTTCATTTTCAAGACTAATTTATGTATTTACTTTAACTATACGGATGGATAAGGAAGATAATGTAAATGAAGATTCTATGAAACGTGAATTCATGATTGAAAGCTCTTCTATTGTTGAAAAGAAGAGTAAAAATTGGCAGAACAAAAGGTCAGACATGGGTGTCCCTGGTGTCAACCTCACCTGGTGGTCAACCTGATGGGAGAGAATGGTAGACATAGCCAAATAGGTTTAATATAAAAAACTAATGCATGTGTGTTTTGAGGTGAAAAAAAAAAAGAAAAAAAACTTCCAGGCTTGCTCCTTGCTTTATTTCCCATATCCTGGGAAAGTTGCTAAATGTTTGGAAAACTTATTTACTCAGCATGATGCCACAGTCCCCCTGGTATCCATCCTGTGTTAGCTTCACAGTGGCTGAGAGAGTGTCCCAGATTCCCTACAACCTACATATGATGTAATGCATTCTCATATGCCTAATGATACATTTAGAAATGACATAATAAACCAATGGGCTGAGTAAGTACAGTGTCAAAACAAGGAAGTCTCCGAAGCTAATTGAGGGATGACCAACTTTGGCAGTAGAGACCATAGTGATTCAACCACACAAGAGACTTAAATATGGTTCCAGGATTCTTCCTGCCACCATGAAAATACCCAATGCTATCTTGAAAACAACAAAAGGGGAGACTTAAAAGAGAGACAGCACTAGTAAGAAATTTAGTTTTTGATTAGACTAACATCCCAGCATTTGGTCGCAGATTTTTTCTTATACTCTTCATTTTATCATATCAGTATCTTACATCTACACATAAACACACACACAAACACACATCCATCTTAACAGAGGCTTATTTGGTTTTAAAATACAAACAAATAATGTTCATGGTATAAAAAAAATTTAGAAAATATCTAGTCCAGCTTGCATTTTTTTACTATACATGGACAATTGAAGATGATCTAGAAGTTAAATGAATCGCTAAAGGTCACATAATTAGTAAACAAATAAACAACCAAAATCCTAAGAGTTTACCACAGCTATGTAATAACTAGGTCAGTGTTTTTTTACACACAAAAGAGTTTATTAAAGTCACTTGTTTTTCATCATTTCAAATACAGAACTAATTGATTCATTGCCTTATCTACCAGGAAAATATTTAGTTATATTATGAGTCAGCATTATTATGAGTAATTTGGATGGAAAGTTAAATACATCCATGTTCTTTGCCATTGAGTTTACAATTGCTAGACATGTAAATAAAAAATACATAAGAACACATTATATTCATAAAAGAAAGGGAGAAAATACATATATAAATGATTAGAATCCAAAATTGCTTATCAATTTATTATGGATTACAGTATAACTAGGGTGTCACAGACCCTGCCTATTGTTGAGCACAACCCTATAGATTTACAATCTAAAGCTCAATTTGACTAAAAGATCCCCCTAACTTCTAATGTTCTTTATCCCAAATACTCCTGAGAATCCTCAGTGATACTTAGATAAATTAATTAAATTAAGAGTCTTTAAACCCTCCCAGTAGAAGATCCTAGGTAAAATCATTTTCTCTGTTAAAATTGCTGGGTCAGAGATGGGCATTGAGAATGTCTCATAGAATCAGAGCTACCTCCTGCTGAACTGCAGTCCTTTTCTCCAGGATCACTGCTCTTGTCACCCCTCTGCTGTCTTTTCTGCTTTGCTGTGTGGTGTCAATGCATTGCCCAGGCTGCTGCCATCTCCATCAAAAGAGACATGACCTCTAGACTGTCGTCTCCAGTGATCTAGTGCTCTGCTATCCATCTGGGGAAAAAGCTTTTCTGCTTTGTCTCTAGCCTTCTATAAGCAAGACCTTTTATTTATATTAGAATTCATACATTAAAAGAATATAGAAATATATCAAACATATATCCAACTTCTTGCTTAATTCTAATAAAAATTGTTTTGTGATTTTATTTTTGCATTGTTTTATACTTTCACTCCTTTTATCTGTATCTTATCATGTACATTATCTAATTACTTTGTGCAGAAGCAAAGAATGGTTTTATTCTTGTTTTGTAAAGGATGACATTTAGAATGAGAGTGCTATAGTTCACAGTGCTAGTGACAAGGTTGAAATGAGAATACAAGTCTCCTGGCTTTAGTTTTCTGGCATTTTCATAACCATGCATCATTTAATACTTTCAATCAGCATTATGGGCAAAGACCCTTGACAAATGTCTTGATATGTATAAAATATTAAATAATTTAAACACAATTTCTTCCCCAAATAGACTTTTTAAAATAAAAAATTATTCATTCATTCAAGTAATAAATCATAGGCACCCTCCATCTTAACAGGAGGGTATAGAGCAGGTTTGGGTAATTGGTGACCAAGAAATGCCCTACATTTACACAGACATAGTGCCCTTAAGCCCTATAGTATTGCACCAATGAACCTGCTTCCAAAAGTCTTACTTGTCTGTCAGGATTTTCTCTCAAGAGCCCTATATTTTTTCCTACACCCATGGAGGAGGAAGTGTAAATTAAGGCATCCAGATTGGGATCAGGAAAATCTTTTTCCCTCCAGTTCTAATATAGAGTAGGTTCAAAATATCTATTGAAAAAATGATGCAGAAGGTTGATCAAACATGACCTCACACAAATTATGGATAAGGTTTGATGTTTTTTCCAAATGATCTTCTGGGAGCCAGAAAATTCAGGAAATATCCTTGTAAGTTAAGACATTTTTTCTCTGGGTTCGCAATTATAAAATTATTCTTCCTAGAGAAAGTAGATTAAATCCAGGTGAGGGTGGGAAATGGAATTATTTTATTACCCAGCAGCCTATTACAATCTTAATGTATTTCCAGGAAGACTATATTGTTTTATATGAAATGTACACAGAGCTAGAATAATTTTATAGAAAATGGCAATTACTTTTCTAATACCCCTGAAATCAGATGTCATTCAGAATGTAAAATTTTCAGGTTTGGAAAAAAATAATAAGGTTCATACATCAAAGATACATGGTACCTGCTGAATGGTCTAAGATAGCAATGCCAAAATCAAATCCAGAAATATTTTTTGGAAGCAAAATGTATGACTGTCTCCTTTAAGCAGGAAATGAAGATTATAAATTGTCTCATATCATTTCAAACAGGCTTTGCTGCCAAAAGAGTAAAGGACAGATGAAGTTGTTACCAAGTGAATGGCAAATCTCTTTTTGGTTTTCAAAACTTTTAGGATTTTGGAAAAGGAGATAAGTGATTGTGGCAGAGAAGTAATTGCAGCAGAGATAGCAGATAAAGCACCTGTGTTGCTTTATCTGTTATGTCTGAAGATAATTGAGAATTATAAGAACTCCATTCTGACCTCCAGATTAGGAACAGTAGGAACAGATACAGGTACCTATGGCCTACATGGGCAATATTGGCAGAAATTGCCAAATATAGTTGGATTAGAATGCACAGCAGGGTAAATAATTATAAATATTTCTTCTTTGATTGACTCCTAACATGCGATGTTGTCTCAGTTTTACTGCAATGTCACTAGCTGCTCCTTCGTGTTCTCCTTTGCTCTTGCCTCATTTTCTTAACTGCTCAATACTGAAGAGCTACAGTACTTGGACGTATCCCTTTTTGGAATGCATCTGCTCTGTTGGTAATCTCATTCAGTCTGAAGGCTTTAAAGCCATATAAGTGCTTTCTAATTTATTCTGTATCTGATTCTTCTCTGAACTACAGACCCATTAATACTGCTGTCTTCTCTACATCTCCACTTGAATGATGTATGAGCATCTTCAGGCATAACATGTTCAAAACTGAATATTTATTATCCCACAAACTCCACTCCCTCTTGCAGCCTTCCAAAATGTTTTCATAGTTGTTCCAGACACATATAGTTACTCCATTCTTTTAGCCATCTTATTATTCACACGTCACTGTCATCTTATACCATAATTTGTTTATATCTTTCTCCTATTAGAATCGGTGATTCATGAAGATGGGAAGCATGACTTACAATGTTGGAATTCAATTTTGTTCAACATTATTTGAGATAGATTGTTTGATGATCAAACTGCTATTCTTAACAATGGCATGCCCTAACATTATTGCTTGCCAAGATTAGAGGATCTCTAGCCACACAAAATAAAGATCCAACACATATCATGGCATCATTACAACAATAGTCTTACTTTGATTTTCTCAAAATGTGTTCCTCAGAAATATAATCCTATGAGCCTCTCCCACCAAAAATATTTTATAGTCATTCAAGTATGTAACAGGTGGCACATATAGAATAGTCCCCTCTTTGAGGTTCACAATCTCAGTTTCTGACAATCTTTCAGTAAAGTTGTTTTATCTAGAGTTTTCCAGTTATTCAACAATGGAAGACTTTTTTGCATAATGTCTATTAGCACATTATTAAAACTAGTATTTTTTCTGATAGTTTTTGGAGATGTTTCTCTAATCTACTTAAACCTATGTAAAAAGATAAAGACCTAAAGGGAAAATCCCCTGCACTAAACAGAGGCCTAGTTAAATGCTGTCATTCAAATCTTTCCTTTGAATGTTTAGGCAAGCTGTCCAGGCCTGACATAGGGATGAGATCTAGCAGGCTTATGTGCAACTTCCTAGAATGCTTTTTAAGGGGAAATATCAGTGTCTACTTCAAATAAATAGATACCAAATGGCTGCTGTCCATAACTGCTGCTGGCTGAGCTAGAGGAACCGAGAGAAACATGAGATTCCAAGATTCCTCATGATGGAATTGTACAGCATGACTAAAATTAAAAGCAGAAGCAGGCCAAGCACTTAACTCCAGTGCAGGTCCAGGGAAGGCATATTTATCTGGACACCAAGTGACTCTAGGGTATTTAGAGATCTCCTCCTGCTCAAGTCAATAGGACGGATGCTTTGGGTGTCAAGTTACAGCTGGTTGCCTGAAAGCTCCAGGTAGACTGACAGAATGCTCATAAAAATAGGTGCTATAATTGGAATGTATTCGTTCTCTGAAAAATTCATATTGAAACATAGCCCCCAATGCAACAGTATTAAGAGACATTTATTGGTCTGCCCTCATGAATGGAATAAGGTCCTCTTATAAAAGGGCTTGGTGGATGGAGTTCACCATTTTCCACCCCTTCTGTCTCTTCAGCCATGTAAGGACACAGCATTCCACCCCTCCAGAGGATGCAGCAATAAGTCATCACCCTAGAAGCAGAGACCAGACCCTCATCAGACACCAAACCATCTAGTGCCTTTATCTTAAACTCATGGCCTCAAGATCTGAGATAACATAAATTTCTGTCCTTTATCATGTTCTGTGGTATTTTTATAGAAGTACAAATTGATGAAGACAATAGGAGAACATATCTTCCCTGTCTATTGTCAGTGCAACAAAAGCATGTTCAAAGATTTAGTATCATAATACTTCATACAAGCAACATTCAGGAAGCCACTTTATAAGACAAAAATGTCGTGTTTCATCCTGGTGAGTCTAAGGTGAACTTTTTATTATCATCACTTCATTATAAAAGTGCAAGAGATTACACTGCCAAAACCACACCTGTTGAGCTAAGTACCCCAAGTCAACTTTTTCACTTATGTAATATCATCTGGTTCAAAGGAATATTACTTAGCAACTTTGGTGAGTTACTGAACTAAATAGAAATGGGCAAAGTTTAAGAAAACTGATTATGTACAGATGATGTTAATTACATGCACCCTTCCGGAAGGCTCGTTTTCTTTTCTTTTTTTTTTTTTTTTGAGATGGAGTCTCACTCTGTTGCCCAGACTGGAGTGCAGTGGTGCGATCTCGGCTCACTGCAAGCTCCGCCTCCTGGGTTCACACCATTCTCCTGCCTCAGCCTTCCGAGTAGCTGGGACTACAAGCGCCCGCCACCATGCCCGGCTAATTTTTTTGTATTTTTAGTAGAGACAGGGTTTCACCATGTTGGCCAGGATGCTCTTGATCTCCTGACCTCGTGATCCGCCTGCCTCGGCCTCCCAAAGTGCTGGGATTACAGGCTTGAGCCACCGCGCCCGGCCTCGTTTTCTTATTTACCCATTAAATTGCTAATATTTGACTCTCAGAATTACAGCCTTTTTTTCCAAGAGGGCTTATTGCTTCCAACCCCTGGTACAAGGCCAACATCATTACTTTGTACCTTTCTAGTCTCAGATTGAGTATTTTTTCTGGTCCTAGATTTAGCTTTTTTCAGCGCCTATAAATAAGGATTATCTTTGCAGCTACATCCACCATCCCTCAAGTGGCTATCCCTCTGGACTCTTGCTTTAGAAAGTTTGCAGTGACTTTGTACAGCCTTAAATCTACTATTCTTAACCTTTTGTTTCCTATTTTTCCCCAGTTCTAACATTCAGGATTCTTTTGTCTTTGTCACTGTATTTAAGAATCTCTTTGTTTTGAAAGGACTCTTCCCCCAGCACCAAATCTGAATCACTGATTTATGACTTCATGCATTCCAATCCCTTATCTACCCTTTTTGTTCCTTTTAATATTTCATAATTGAATATAAAATATACTCTTTCCTATTGGCATCAATAAAATGCTATTTTGTAGAACGTCTCATATAGATCCTTTTCCTCATTACAATATGGAATTTATATGAGTACATATTTGCATGTTAAGAGTATCATTTCTCCTGCCTTTATATTTGTTGACATCAATAAGTATCCTATGGAAAAAGATCTGTAATATGTTACCTTTTAGAAGCAGCAACTATAAATTCTTCTATATGTCTCTTGATCTGCAACTGACATTTAGCTAATTGACATACTGAAATTAAAAATTGCATTAGTAAAATTAAAAATATTCAAGATAGGTAGATTAACTAAGATAGTATGGAGATACTACAAACCCTTTAATAAACATATTGTTTTTAAAAACAGTGAGGTCTATAACCTGGATTTTTAAGGAGGTTTGATCCTTAATTGGGTCCGTGACCAACATTGGTTTAGGAGGCTTTCTAATAGCATGATTACCAATTAAGGAATTTAAAATCCTGCCTGTAGAATGTTATTGGGTTTGCCCCAATTGAACAATTCTATATAATCCATCATTAGAAGACCTAAAAAGGAAGACACAGAGAGAGAAAGAGAGAGAGAGAGTGTGTGTGTGTTAAGACTTCACTGAACTCACAGAACAGGTTGAATGACCAGGTTGAATGTTTGCTTACCAATAAAATGTGTAATACATGGCTTTGTGATTGATGCATTTTGTGTATTAAATGGCTTAGTGATTGATGCATTTGCTCTTGTACCTTGCTGTTATACCTGGAATGAGGTTTGGAGGAAGAAGCTAATCCTTTCCTTAAACATCTTTGGGGGTTTGTCATTATCTGCCAAAAATAATGTGTGTTGTGAAGGCCAAACTCTCTTAAGTTTGTTTGCAACACCTTAATTTTATATTTTATACATAAAACAAAAGGATACAAAATTGGGATATTGTCTGTAGTCCATTCTCAAACTATCATCACATTTTCTTGGTGGGTGAAAAAAAGGAGGAGGAATATTTTCACAAGCACAGTTTCAAAGCTTCTAATTTATGTAAGGGCTCCAAAGTTTTCCAAACTATATAAAAATTTTTGATGCCAAAATCATTTTTAAAATAAATAAATTATGCATAAAATATATTCCTGGCATGCAACTAGTAACTGGTAAGCTTTTTAAAATTAAGCTTTTCATTTGGAAGTGATTACACATTTACATGAAGTTGTAATAAATCATACAGAGAGATACTGTGTACCCTATGCCTAGATTCTCAAAGTGGTGACATCCTGCAAAACTGTAGTATAATATCACAACCAGGATACTGACATTGATACTAATGTAGTCAAGATACAGAACAATCTCATCACCCAAGTATTCTTCCAGTCACCTTTTAATAACCACAACCACTTCCCTCCCACACCCCTTTTCCATTATTAACCCCTGAAAGTCACTAATACGTTTTCATTCCTGTATATTGTCATTTTAAGAAAGTTATATAAATGGACTCATGCAGTATGTAACCTTTCGATATTGGCATTTTTCACTCAGCATAATTCTTTCGAGACTCATCCAAGTTGTTGAGTATATCAAATAGTTTGTTTCTTTCTTTTTCTGCTGAGTAAGTATTCCATATGGATATACTACTGTGTTTTCAAACTTTCACCTGCTGAAGGACATCTGGGTTGCATAAAGCTAAACATATGCATACAGGTTTTTGCATGAACATAAGTCTTAATTTCTCTGGGATAAATTCCCAAGAGCATAATTGCTAAATCATATGGTAGTTGTATGTTTAGTTTATTAAGAAATTGCCAACTGTTTTCCAGAGGAGCTGTACCATTTACATTCCTACCAGCAATGCATGAGTGATCCAGTTTCTCCAGATCCTGACCACCATTTGCTTCTGTCACTATTTCTTATTTTAGTCAAACTGATATGTGTGTAATGAGAATTCAATGGTTTGAGTTTTCACTTTTCTGATGATATCAAATGCCTTTACATTTGCTTATTTGATATCTGTATATCCTCTTCAGTAAATTGTCTGGTCATGTCTTCTTTCCATTTTCTAATTGTGTTCTTTAATTCTTACTGTTAAGATGAGTAAGTTCTTTATATTTTCTGGATAATAGTCCTTTGCAAATATAATCATATTATAATTATGATTATATTGCGATATTGTCATTAAGGTTTTTTTCCTCAGGTCATAATTAAATGAATGAGTGGTAAATTTTCTCAGATCTTTTTTCTGCATTCATTGATATGATCATATATAATTATCATGCATCAGGTCAGTAGTAATATTTTCTTCTTAGCCATTAATATAGTGAACTACACTGATAAATTTTCAAATATTAATCCAGGCTTGCATCCCTGGGATAAACTCCATTTAGCTAATATATATATTTTATATATATATATATATAAACCAATATATATATAATATATATAAACTAATATATATAATATATAAACTAATATATATATAATATATATAAACTAATATATATATTATATAAACTATATATTATATATATAAACTAATATATATATTATATATATAAACTAATATATATTATATATAAACTAATATATATATTATATATAAACTAATATATATTATATATATAAACTAATATATATATATAATATATATTGTGTGTGTGTGTGTGACAGAGTCTCACTCTTGTCACTCAGGCTGGAGTGCAATGGCGTGATCTCGGCTCACTGCAATCTCTGCCTTCCGGGTTCAAGCAATTCTCCTGCCTCAGCCTCCCAAGTAGCTGGGATTACAGGTGCCTGCCATCATGCCCGGCTAATTTTTTTTTTTTTAAATGAGACGGAGTCTTACTCTGTCGCCCAGGCTGGAGTGCAGTGGCGTGATCTTGGCTCACTACAAGCTCCGCCTCCCGTGTTCACGCCATTCTTCTGCCTGAGCCTCCCGAGGAGCTGGGAATATGCCCTGCTAATTTTTGTATTTTTAGTAGAGACGGGGTTTCACTATGTTGGCCAGGCTGGTCTCGAACTCCTGACCTCTGGTGATCCACCCGCCTCAGCCTCCCAAAGTGCTGGGATTACAGGTGTGAGCCACCGTGCCCGGCCAATGGTATATATTTTTTATGTACATTGCTGAATTACATTTGCTTAGATTTTTCAGGGATCTTTATATTCATGGGGAATATGGTAAATTGGTATGCGTATAATTGTGTGTTAATATAGACTCAAGTTAGTCATCTTTCATCATAGAATACACATAATTTAAAGACAGTCAAGGATTTGAATGACAATCTCATTTTTTTGATTCTTACTTCTCACCTGGCTTTGTTACTTAGAATACAATTGCATGTTCTTTTCTTTGCTGTGATTTTTTAAAATGTTTCCTCTAGGCAGCTACAGTTATTATTCTTCCTTCATTACTGGTACCATCACCACTGTTGGTTACCTTAGAATCACTGTCCTCCACACCATTGTGTTTGAGGTCCTCTTCCATTCCTCTTCTCATATTGACCCTAAAACTCAAAGGATATCATATCTCCCAATTGTATATTGGCATTAAATTAGTGTAACAAATTCTTTTCATTGAGATATTCTACTTATGTTAAACCCTATATTTGTCTGGTTTTTTTTTTGTCTGTTTTCTTTTGAAAAAAGAATTAAAAGCATGTCCTGCAGCCATGCCAAAGGACATTTGAGTGGCTCACTACATGCTCAAACAAAAAGAGAATATGCACTACAAGTCATATGGAGACAGGTTAGAGAGGGCTCCCTGCCTTCCAGATAGGCAGTATTACTAGTAACAAAGAGACAAACAAACAAAAACAGAAAAATGAGGCTGCCAAGTTGCCATTTCTGTTTGTACATAGTTTATAACATAATTGGTACCTTTTGGAGCTGATGTATCAAACAGCATATATATTTCAGCCCTGGGTTGCAATTCATCAGGTCATAAGTACATCGAATCTTCTTTTAAGTTTTTTGTGCTAGAAAGAATAAGGAAAATTTGGTAATGAAAAGTGAATGCCTGCCCAATAGTTTAACGGGTTAAAAAATTGTGAGAATTACTAAATGAATTAAACTAGCATGAATTGACTTAAAATAATAAATCAAATCACCAACAGTAAAATTGGAAAACTTTAAAAACTACCTAAAGAAATAAATAAGACTAATATATTTTAATGTCTACCAGTGACATATGATCTTTTTATGAGTTTTTTTAATAAGAAGAAAAAAGATAAAAGAGTTTGTATTATTAGAGAGTAAGTAAATTATATTTTTTAATAGATATTGAATAAATGTTAGCTGAAATTACTCCAGAGACATAGAATCGTAGTGGGAAATGGCATTCTGTGATTTTCTTTGCCCCATTTTCAATTGAGAAACACGAATTTGTATTTCAGCTCCTCTGCATAGCTCTCTCTGGGCTTTCTGGGTGAGGCAAGCAGAAAAGGATTCTGAAATTGTCTACTCAGAGGTCATCAAAATAGTTCTCCTTTTATTTATTTCTTATGTTGGGTTTAACTTTATTTTTTTCTTTGAAGAGACAGCCGTCCTACAATTTTTGCTGATATGTATCAGGTAGGTTGAAATCACAACTGAAATTGAATTAAAAATAGATTATAAGCCTTACTTCCCCATGATTTTTTGTCATAGAATGTAGTAAAAGTGGTCTAGCACAGTGCTCTTCACATAGTTATGAGAAACTAGAGCGTGGATGTTTATTATGTATTCTCCAAGTATCTGCTCTAGCAAAGAAGCGTATTAAATCTCTAAGAAAGACATTGAAGTTTAAATTTATGGGCAGACTTAGCCCATAAAATTGGGATGATACACAAACATATTTAGTCATATTGCTAAGTCAACCAGCACTATGAATTAATTCAACATGCCATTAAAAAACACATTTCTTTCACTGCAGAGTAAATGTATCTATGACTTACAGCCTAACAAGTAATGGGACTTTAAAATACTATTATATGTCATCTTGGATGTGAAATACACTACATCAGACCTGATCTATGCAGTGGACTTTTTTCACTGAATATGGATCTAGGCACAATTTTTCTTGTCCTTAATTTATATGTAAAATCGTGATCTGAAACTAATATATTAAATTATGTTTTTAAGTTCTTCTGAATAACTTTATATATTTTAACTTGATTTTGTACTCTCTAATTTTATTGTACCAATATCATTTGCATTATCCATTTTTCCATCAGTGGTAGCTTATCATGTGAAATAGATGCAGCAAGAATGTTCATTATAGCTATATTTAACAACATATAATGTAGATATTTTTATAATTATAAAATTCAAGAGGGAGCGTGTATTGAAATCCATGATCTTTCTGTAAGTTGCGAAACTAAATGTTGTAAAATAATATGTATGATAAATAGTGAATGATTTTTGAGTGCATATTCTGTACCAGACTCTGGGATAAATGCTTTACAAATATGAACTCACTTAAATTACTTAACCAGCCCCTAGCACAAAAATTATTATCCGCATTTTAGAAAGAAGAAAATTGGGATTTCAATAGGTTAAATAACTGACCCAACAACAACAGTTAGCATCTTGTAACTGCCATTTAGAACTCATTATTTACTTTAAAGTGGTTTATGAGTTCTACGGGCATACCACCCTGCCCAGTCTTGTCTAAAATAGTTTATGAGGTTGCACATGTAGAGAGATGAAAAAGAGTCTTCATGGAATTTTCTGGTATGGTTTAGATCCTGAGTAGAAAGACTGGTCTACATTGGTGATTTGGCTCAGAAATGGGCATCTATGAAGATACAAGATTCAAAGGTGGGTATGGAGAGATGGATTCTGCTTGAACTTAAATGGATAGTGAAGGGCTCTAGAGCACTGTGTTTACCCTATTTCCAAACATTGGATAAGAGTAGGTCTTTCTGACAAGAATTTTTAAATGGACATAATCTTGCATAGGTCTGCAAATAATTGACTAGCAATATCTTAAGGAATTGTGGTCTCAACTATGCAAAAGAAAAGACACAGTTTTAAAGTATATATTATTTAAAAACAAACAAAATTTTGGAAAACATTTAAAGTAAACTTGGACTCCAAACTAACAGATAGATGATTAAAAGAAAGAGAAACAGACAGAGATGGGAGGAGAAAACTTAAAGAGAAAAATAAAATAATGAAATAAAATGAAATATCAAGAAGTAAAACTTGCAGTGGTGGTAAAAAACAAAATGGCATCTAGAAATCCAAGTCAGTGATGCATATCACATTGAGGCAAAAATAAAGAAGAAAACTATGAGAATTATGATAAGGGTGGAGAAAAAAAGATATAGGTATGATGGGCATTTCTGAAGAGAAAAAACAGAACAAATGAAAAAGTAGCAACTATTAAAATCAAAATATCCTAGTCTACTGATCAAAATTTCTTACCATTCACAAAGCAAAATCAATGGAAGAGATTAATGTCTAAATCCATCCTACATCTTGTCTTCTGTTGTTATTTAAGGGATAAATATCCCTTCATCCAGGCAGATAAAAATGATGTAATAATATGGTTAATTGCATGATTTTCATGAATGCTAAATTCAAGAAGGAAAGTATTAAACTCTGAAGAGTACTGAAAGAAAAATTTGTGATCCAACAATTCTATACCCAATCAAGTTTTATTCATGTACATGACTAAGAATATTTAAATCCTAAATGGCTACATAGAACGTCTTTCATAAAATAAGTATTTTATGAATGGTGATAAAGTTAATTGAGCCAGAATGCAGCTGACTAGATTTTCCTCTTCATCAAAATGTTTAGCAGAATTTTTTTTTTAGGAGAGAGGCAATTCCTAAAAACCATTGATATTTTAAATGAATTTGTGAAAACAATCTCCAAATTAAAGTTCATTCTGCTTAATAAACTCCTGGGTTCTTAGTACCAGTGTTTTACCTCTGCCAACACTACTCGAGCTATTAAAACTTAACAAAAGATTAAGAGAATGAGAAGACAAGCCACAGACTAGTAGAAAATATTTGCAAAAGACATTTGGTAAAGAACTATTATCCAAAATATACAAAGAACTCTTAAAATTCAACAATAAGGAAACAAACAACATGATTTAAAAATGGGAAAAAGACTTGAACAACCGCCTCACCAAAGAAGATACACAGATGTCAAATAAGCACATGAAAAGATGCTCAACACTATATATCATTAGAGAATTGTAAATAATTAAACAGCGGTAAACTACCACTACAACCGATTAGAATAGCCAATATCCAAAACACTGGTTAACACCAATGCTAATGAGAATATGGAGCAACTTCAGGAACTCTCATTCATTGCTGGTGAGAATGAACACTGGTGCAGCAACATAGAAAGACAGCTTAGCAATTTCTTTCCAAACTAAATATACTTTTACCATGCAATCCAGCAATCAATAACACTCCTTGGTACTTATGTAAAGGAGTTCAAAACATGTCCATACAATAACCTGCAGATGATATTTATACAGCAGCTTTATTCATTGCCAATACTTGGAAGCAACAAGTATGTCCTTCAATAGGTGAGTGGATAAATAAATTGTGATACATGCTGATAATGGGATATTATTCTGAAAAAGCTCTATTCTACATGATTCCAACTACATACATGACATTCTGGAAAAGGCAGAACTGTGTAGACAATGAAAAGATCAGTGATTGCCAGGGGCTGGAGAGAAGGAGGGACGAATAGACCAAATACAGAGGGTTTTTAGGACACTGTCCTAAAAAACTTATAGAAGGTAGAACCAAAGAGTGAACTCTAATGTCAAAACTCATAGAAGGTACACCACCAACAGTGAACTCTAATGTAAATGGTGGATTTCAGTGATAAAGCCATATCAATGTAGGTTTATCAATTATAACAAATGTGCTACTCTAGTATGGGATGTTGATAATGGAAGAAGCTATGCATGTGTAGAGGCAAGTGCTTTATGGGAAATCTGTGTTTTCTGCTCAATTTTGCTATGAGCCTATTAATATAACTGCTCAAAAAATAAGTTTATTTTTAAAATTAATTATGTAATTAATTAATAAAGGATTGGTTTGACATCTGTTTCATCTCTGTTATCTGACTACCTTTCTGTGGAATATAAAGGAGAAATTAACCTTTTTAAAGAGGCTTTCTGGAATAGAATGAGAATCAAAAAGTCCTCCAAACCTGGAACTTGTATCTCAATCCCACGGTAGTTGAAAACTAGCCATATTTAATTAAATCAACATGACACTCTACTCCCAGAATAAGTGCTTATACTTGATCCACAAAGCAGTGGGTAATATGAAGTGGACAGAATTTTCATAATAATTAGAAAAATAGAAATAACAACAACCATTATTTTCTGTAACATGCTTTTATTGTAAGTGCTTTAACTATATTTTAATTTATTTAATTCCTACAATGACATTTTGATGTAGGTATTACCATTCCCATCTTGGAGTTGGGGAAATTAATAACAAATGACTTATTCAATGTCACACAGCTAGGAAATGATGGAACTGGAATTTAAACTCAGGATTTTATTTATTTATCTGTTTATTTATTTATTTCCTCATGCTGACATCTAAAAAATCCATCTATTTCTTATTTTGTCACTCTTAAGTCTGAGTCTCAGAGTAGGGTATTTTTTTTTCAACTTAACCATTTGTCTTAGTCTGCTTGTGAGGCTACGGCAAAATACCATAGACCAGGGGGCTTATAAATAACATAAATTTATTTCTCACGGTCAGGAGGCTGGAAAGTCCAAGACCAAAGCACCAGCAGTTTGCTTCCTCATAGACTGCCATCTTCTTCCTCTTACCTCACATGGCAGAAGAGGCAAGCAAGCTCTCCCCAGCTTCTTATAAGGACACTAATCCTATTCATGAGGGCTTTGCCCCCTACCTAATCACTTTCTAAAGGCCCCACCTTCTAATATCATCGAGTTGGAGGTTAGGATTTTAACATATGAATTTGGGGCGGGGGACATCAACATTCAGATCATAGCAACATTTATACATTGATTGTTAAAGTTTATTGATATCTGTTGTTCCTTGATCTCTAGCAACCTTTCTCTGAAATTTGTCTAACCTTACTAGGGACTAAAGAGTGGCATTCAATACCAACTAATGCTGATAAGTCAGAAATTATAATCATTTGTAGCTCACATGCTTCTACAAGTTCATGATGGAGGTGTTTTGCTCTATGAAATAAATATCAAAAATTACTTTGATTTGATAAGTCGATAGCAGAAGCCATGACTGAATGCTGAGCCTGGATAATGCCTTATGCTAGCACATTATTAAAAACCTTATTCAAGTTGGATTCAGCTTTTACATACACACATTTGTGCCTTGGAAACAAAACCATGGCTGCATTCCAATAATCAAGAACAAATGGATTTAGGCATAAAATGGTTCTTCTTTCCTCCCTCTTTGGCCATAGCTTGTTACTGAGATTTTCAGTAATCTTGAGACTCTAACTTGCCTTCCTGCCAATTCCTCTTTATCCATCTGTTCACCTAAAATAATGAAATAACAAAAAAGTACCGAGTTCAATAGAGTTAGTCATAGGTTCATTCATTCTTTCAACACTCACTGAGTGATTATATTGTAAATGCTGTGCCAGGCACTTGTCTACTTTTATCATGTGTAGATAAAAGTCAGTAATACAACTTTATTGATGAGATATCCAGTTTATTTGCAATGTAATTTAATATGATTATATAAATTTGGAACTCATTCTTGGGTGAGTTTTTAAATTGTAATTCTATTACTTTTCTATGAGAGTTATTTTTAACTCTGAATTATCGTCACTCTTTATTTTCACTCTTTGCCTCAGATCTATTTGTCAGATGGATAAACTTGGAATAAGAAATACCTCACAGAATTGATGTAAGAATTAAAGGAATATTCACTATCAGAGGGTACCCTGCACATAGTACATGCCAGCATATGTTGTGATCTCTGTTTTCTTCTTCTCATTGGCCTGTGACTGGACTAGCACTTACAGTTGTTAAGTGTCTTAAGCCCACTCTTTATATAAATCAGAAAACTGAAAGTTAAGATAGAATTCCAGTTTCCTAAATGTCACTGCAATGCTTATCAACAACGCTTGCTATTACTTTTATTCAGAGCTTTTATAGCGTAGCCCAGTATGCTTCTCCCACTGTCATAATATGTGATATTGTATAAAACTTTGTTGGTTTGCCTCCTAATTTTAGCTGATGTATAAAAGGTAGTCTTAACACACTAAGCATACATGCATATGGAATGTCATCAAACAGAAAACTAGCTGTGTAGGCCATGAAGCGTTGTGTAAGGCAAGGTCGCTGGCATTGAATAAGAATTAAGTTTGTCTGCTATAGATACTGCCTCAATGGTCCCTGAAAGGTTTCCAGACCCCAAGGCTGGAGAGGCCTAAGGTGACCAGAGGAAGATCCAGTACCAGCTCTGATGCCAGTTCCAAAAGGCCCCTCCTGGCACAGTGCAACAGGGTTTTCATGAAGAATGCCCGCTTCATCTGGATCCTCTGAAATGCTGGAAGACACACCTAAAATGACCCCAAGAGCTCAAACTTCCTGGCCTGTGCAAGCCTCGTGTGCTTAATTACTGATCATGATGGGGAGCTTACTACCTTACAAGACAACCCTGCTGGACACATCTCTCAGTGTGAGAAAGTCTCACTGTAACAGAGGAGTTTCCTGAGCAGATTCTGTAAGATAGAATTGTTTAATGTGTGTGTGTGTATGTTGTTTTCTTAATTAAAATCTTACAAGAAAAAAAAAAGAATTAAGTTTTTGTGTTACAGACTTCATAAAACCTTTTCCTCATGAATATGCAAGGGAGAAAATATGAGCAGAAAACCATTATATTCAAAAGGTAAAACAATGCGAATTGTTGGGTTAAGAAAATAATAATGATGTGAGAAACTGAAAATAATAATAAAGTAGCTAATTTTTATTGAACATCGAATTGTACTGGGCATTGTACAAACTATGTTACATAGATTATCTCATATAAATTTCAAAGAATGCCAAAAGTGTAAAAAGTCATGGACCTTGACCAAAATTACTCAGCTAGTGAATAGTGAAGACTAAGTTTAGATCCAGGCGGTCTGTGGATGCTTTTAGAGTTTTTGCAAGACATTGCTATAGTTAAGTAGTAATTATGTAATAATGATTGATGACTCATCCTGTGAAGTTGTATTCCTTCAAATATGCTGCCAAAACTTTTAGCATTCAAATATATGAGCATTCATATGTTCCTAGAGTGAGAACTAAGAAAATATCAGGTAGAGATTTTGAGACGCCGAAGGGTTCTCTACAGGATCAATTATACAATTGCTTTCTATCTGCAGGCTGGAGATTCACTTAGAGCCACAGAAACCTGTACTAAAAGGGGTTCTATAAGGAAGAATCCTGGCAACTTTTTCATATCAATGTTGCGAGACCTAGAATGCCCTAGAGAATAAGCCAATGTAGGCTGGTGGGTAAGAATTAGCCAGAGTACCGGCCTCTCTTTGAAGCACTTTCCAGCTGCAACAATTAGACAGCCACACAGCAGAGACAAGGACATTAACAGCAGTGGAGAGGAATTAATGGCATGTGAAAATGGCCAAAAAGAGGATAAACAAATGCTGAAAATCACTTTGAGTCTCTGAGCACAGAGTAGACCATGTCAGAGAATAGTGAGTATTCATCCCAACCCCTTCGGTTTTTTTTTTTTTTTTTTTTTTCTGAGATGGAGTTTCGCTCTGTCACCCAGAATAAGATAAAGCCCATGACTCTTTCTCTTTAGATGATTAAAATTATTAGGAACTCTGATGTTCCAGGATAATGTCAGTCAAAGTTCTCTTGTAGGAGTGCAGTGGTGTGATCTCAGCTCACTGCAACCTCCACCTCCCTGGTTCAAGCAATTCCTCTGCCTCAGCCTCACGAGTAGCTGGGATTACAAGCACATGCCAGCACGCCCGGCTAATTTTTTTGTATTTTTAGTAGAGATGGGGTTTCACCATGTTGGCCAGACTGGTCTTGAACCCCTGACCTCAGGCAATCCGCCCTTGGCCTCCCAAAGTGCTGGGATTACCGGCCTGAGCCACTGTGCCCAGCAACCTCTTTGTTTTAATATCACTTCAGTTTCTGTAGAATCCATCACTGCCTTCCAGGCCACTTTCTATAGGACACATCCAATCTCATTCATGTGTGGGCTCCATCTATTATTCCTCATATTTTATAACAGAACTTTTTTATCCTTTATACTTTTAAAAATAAGATTGGTGGTCAAATTCAATTTTTCTGCAGACCCCCAAAGTAAAGACAGGTAAAAGAAAAGTGAAAATGGTTTAAGTAAAAACCCATCCCTATCAGTTTCACTTCTAACTTCCTTTTGCCCTGGCTCACATCCTTGAATTATCAGTGGCCCTGGAGATCCTCCAAAGATCATTAAGACTCCAAGAAGTACCATTTGAAAGCTAATGATCTAAAACTAAGTGTCTGAACTTCTCAGCAAGATGCAGGAAACTCATTGAGTTCCTATGGCCCTATTTCTGATCTTTCCCCTTCATACCTGTGGTTCAAACAATTCCAGACAACATGCGGTCCCTGATTAGCCCAGGCAGTTTCCTACCATTGTGGATTTGTAGGTGCTATTTCCATTGCATAGAAAGTGTTACCACCACACATTTTTCTCTGTCAGAAAAGAATCCAGAACTAGTACATAACATCTCTGTAAAGCCTTTATTAACCCTCCTTTTAGGCAAATCACTCTCTTCCCTCTGTTCTCATGCACTTTTCACTAGTTAATTAAGAGCTAATGTCAATGCTCTTAACTTACTTGATGTTGATTATTGATGTATATAGTTATACATTTATTACTCTTCAAGCTCCTTTAGCTTAAGGATAGTGCCTTATTATTCTTTTAATTTAAGTGACCTAGTATGGCATCTTGTACATGAAAATGATAAATTAGTGATTTCATGTGAAAATTAAAATTTGGGATACTGTCAGTGATATGGAACTTGTCAATTATTATACAGCTAATTGCCAGCAAAGGCAATATTGCAATCCAGATCCCCCTGGAAACCATTTCAATTACTTGGACACAGCACAAACTAGCCTTTAAACCTCTGCTGTGGTTAGAAGGTCTGTGTACTTTCACATTTTTTGGGTTGCAACTTAATTACCAGTGTGATAGTCTGAAGAGGTGAGGACTTTAAAGATGATTAACTCATAAGGGCAGAGCCTCATAAATTGGATTAGTGACCTTATGAAAGAGGTGCAAGGGCACCTTTGTCTCTTTTGTCCTTCTATGTCCTCTGCCATATGAGGACACAGAAATCATTCATTTCACCCATGTGAGGATGCAGCAAGTAGATGCAAACCCTCACCAAACATCAGATCTGCTGGTGCCGTGATCTTGGACTTCCCAGCCTCCAGGATGGTGAAGAATAGATTTCTCTTATTTATAAACTACCCAGGCTGTAGTATTTTGTCATAGAAGCAGAAATCGACTAAGACATATACCGAACAAATTTATGACCATCCTACCATTCTCCAAGTTTGTGCCTCACAATTTACTGTCCCAACTGGATTTCTCCTACGGCTAAATTTAGAGAGAGTAATAAAAGTTTCAATAATTTGAAAGTGAATTAGATTGTAATGATGCTGACAGATCAATTAGTAACATCAACATTACTATTCAGCTATGTACGTCCTCTGCCTAGGCATCATGGGTTAAACAAAGGAAATTAAGAGTTCACCCTTGTTTTCTAATAGATTACTATCTATTGTGGGAGATGAGATGCAGCCCTAAATTGCTATACATTATGTATATGATAAATATGGTTAAAGTGATACCAACTGGTCATCACAGGAGAAGAGAGTTCTTTTGAAGCTAAACTCATTTTCTAAGGAGACTTTCTGGAAGAATTGGAATTTGAGGAGCTGAAAGTTGGCCTTCAACAAACATCTGTAACAGGTGTTAAACATGATCTTTAGGTGGTGCATGAAAAGGCCAGATATGACAAAAGGAACAAAAATGAACCAATCAGGTAAAGTGTGTTTAGGAAGAACTAGGATCAGACTAGGTATATAATCCTGGAAAGGAGGTTGGGGCTAGATTGGCAAATAGTATAATTCCACTGTTTATAAAAATATAGATTTTAAAATATAATCTAAATGTCCATTTAAAAAATGTCTTTTTAATAGCATACATTACTTTCTTCTTCACTCAGAGCAAAATAATATTTCCCATTAAGGAATCCTCTGCTGTACACATTTTCAAAAGAAGATTTGACCTTTGTGCTATCCCAAGGGCAAATGCTTGCAGCACTGATGATCTGGAGATAGTGCCTTGCTGTAGTTGAGTTACTCAGTGAATTAGGTGTCACTTCTCTGCTTCACTAACACTTTTTTTACTTGGTCCTCTAATCAGACCCTAAAATTGCAGTATTAGGGATAAAAGTCATTTGTCATGATTTGATCTTGAGTTAGTTAGGAGGATTCCGAATTTGCCCTTCTTTACAATGGGCCATTTCTGGTGCTGCTCTTTCATATTGGTTGAGATGTGATTAACTTTGACTGATTCAATAATACTGATTTAAATAAACCATTTTTGCCTTACTGATTTGCAATCAATTGATAGTCACACTCTTACTTATTAGCTATAATGAGTCAGAAATGGCTAATTTTAATTCCAAACAGCAAAATAATTTTTCGCATTGATTTCATGGTGTTTTTTTCTAGCTCCATTTTTAGTTCTGATGAAAATTTCTGTCAATTAAGAAATATTGTTAGTGTGGAAGTAATGCATTCAACAAAATTGCAACATGTTCCACTGTGCTGTATATGGAGTTTTTTTGTTTGTTTGTTTGTTTGTTTTGTTTTTTTCTTAGGAGGAGCTTCACTCTTGTTGCCCAGGCTGGGGTGCAGTAGTGCGCTTTTGGCTCACTGCAACCTCTGCCTCCCAGGTTCAAGTGATTCCCGTGCCTCAGCCTCCTGAGTAGCTGGGATTACAGACATGCGCTACCACACCCAGCTAATTTTTGTATATTTAGTAGAGACAGGGTTTCACCATGTTGGCCAGGCTGGTCTCAAACTCCTGACCTCAGGTGATCCACCTGCCTTGGCATCCCAAAGTGCTGAGATTACGGGCGTGAGTCACCGTGCCCAACCATATATGGAAATTGATATTGTATTTGTAAAATGACTTATTGTTTCAAAGTCATTTATTTTTCTTATATTTTTTCAAATAATTCTGTTGTCATGCACCCTATATCTTTATTATGTGCATGTATGTGAACTTCCCTTTCCTCCACACACCCACACAACATACACCTCATTTAATGAGCAGTCACGATATTCTCATTTTGAGAGTCCTTGCTACTTACTAACGAGGCACAAGAGAAATCTCCTCCTGTAATAGGCTAAAGAATTGGCACATTGTAGCTGAAAGAACTTTTAAAAAGTCCCCTGATTCTAATTTAAACTTGAAACAGTAAGGAAGTATCATAGAAAATACAATTTTCTGAATTTCTTTTTATATTTTTACCAAAGTGAATAAGGGGACTGAACAATATTGACTCTAGAAATACTTCCCTGAAAAGAAAACTAAAGCAGCTTGTGGTATTGTTTTCATTAAGAATTTTAAGCAAAAATTGCAAGACAGAGGTTCAGGTTAGTATTACATATTTTGGGAAATGTGAAGACAAAACAAACCTATGTCTTATAGATTATGACAAAAAAGAGATGTTATACGTAAATGCATAGTACCTACCATACCAGTTAATTTATCAATTTTCACTCTTTCCTCACCACTGCCTTATTCATTCATTTAACGAGTAGATTCGGAGGAGGGAAAGGCAAGAATAACAGACATTGACTGCTCTTTTTTGGGAAGAGAATGTAGCCTCATGGGGAATACATATAATCATGTAAATTTAGTAGTCTGTTATTCAGCCCATAGCTCAGCATACAATAATAATAATAATAATAATAATAATAATAATAGCTTTTATCAGTTTAGCTGTTACTCAGTTTACTTTCTAGCTTGAACTCCGTTATACTAGGGGGCAGAAATTAAACCTCAGCCAATTCTGTTAATTTTAGCTGATTCAGGGTAATCTCCTGTGTAGTTTTCCCTTGTCTTTTCCTTGGATAGTTTTTAAATCAGTGGCAAGAGGATGAGATATTTATGTAGTGCTATGGTGTCATGTAGGGGTCCTTGACTGGCATCTGTCCACTTTGTCACTTAGTGAGACATCTTGTTCCATGTGGTCTTGATGATTGTAGAGACAAATTGCTATTGTATCTACTTTGACTCTCATCAAGGCCTCTTGGCCACATTGGCTCTTTGTGTGAGATGCTGTTCCTTCTCTGCAACTGAGTACATCATGCTGCTATTCATGTGACCTCCCTAGAATGTAGAATGGATGGAGACTTTCTTAGTCTGTGCTGCTATAATGAAATACCACTACCTGGGCAACTTATAAAAAACAGAAATGTATTTCTTATACTTCTGAAGGCTGGTAAGGCCAAGAACAGGGTGCTGGCAGGTTTGGTGTCTGGTGAGGGCCCAATGTTTCTGCTTCCAGGAAGGCACCTTGTTGCTGTGTCCTCACATGGCAGAAGGGATGAAACAGCAACAATGGGACAAACACTGAGTCTTCATATGGCAGAAGAACAGAAGCTCCTTTATAAGGGCCCTACTCTCATCTATGAGTGCTCCACTCTCACAGTTTAATCACCTCCTAAGCGCCTGATCTCTTAATACTTTCATCAAGTTTCATAAAGTTTTAACAAATGAATTTAGGGGGACACATTCAGACCATAGCAGAGACTCTGTGAACCTGTCTGATGAATCTGCCTGGACACTATGCATGACTACGCATTCACCACAACCCTGTGAGGCTGGGTGCCTTCTCAGTTATGATCAAGAAAGCAGAGCATAAGCGTTCTCTGTTGTCAGTGCTCTTCACCTCTCTGGAGTTTCATTAATCCAAATCCATTCCATTGAGGGAACCTCTTATTAAGGACAGAGAAAATTCTAAGTTTTTCTTTCTCTACCAATTCTCATTTTTGTCCCAGAAATAATTTTCTTTGTTTGTTTGTATAAAGAGAGGAAGGAATCAGAAATGTAGCTCCCTCCTAAATAGTCTATAAATCAACAGATTTATAGTTTTCAATTAAAACTATGGTTTTCAATTAAAACTCTAAAAGATCATAAGGTCTTAGATCCTTAGAGCCTTAGAGTTTAATATTCAATACCAGGATTTTTTAACACAAAACACTTTTTAAAAAATTGAACCTTATTTTTGTTTCACTCAACATTCTTACTTGACATTGAGCACACAGATGTCAGAATATAATTTAATGGGGAAGAGCCATATGGTCAAAACGAATGACCAGAGCAAAAATAAATATTAATTAATGTCAAAATATTATAATGTCACACAAGTAACTATAGGATGTAATAAATATTATAGTACAGGGCATTGTGGCAACAGAGAAGAAAGTAATATTGGCCAAGTAGTAATATTATAAATTACATATATTTGCTATTTTTATAGGAATAACAGGTTTAATATTTTCCCTCTGATCTCAACTCCACCTAGAGTTTTGCTCATAGGAAATGTCTACATTCATGGATTGTACTGTATGTGAAATATGTTTATCTAGGATTAGATTTTACCTAGACTTTTGTATTTGTTAATTTTGTCATGAATGAATATACAAGGTTTTTGAATCAGAGACAGATTATCACTATTCATTTAAAACTGATTATTAATCATTTGGTTCCCCACATCACAATTCTTACCCCTGGGGAGATATAATAAAATTAGGTCAAGTGTTCTATACATAAAGAAATGCTTAAAAAATAAATCTGGATATTTATTATTTATGTAGAAGAAAGACGCAACTGTTTCAATTTTCTACTATTAAAAAAGGAGATAAACCTTTTCTCCTCAGAGATGGGATGAAAAGGATGCTGCATTCTCATTTTCATCTTTTGAAATATAAATAAATCAAAGGGCCCAATAATCCCAGTGTCTTTAATTTTGCAGCCTATAGATGTTTCCAAACTCCTAAGCCTCATTACCCATTTGAAATGTAAATACACAACTCTAGAGTTGGTAGTTTTCTTTTGAGTTCTCACTATCTCTACAGTTGTAAATTATTTCTAGGGTTTGCTTTTAGTCCAAGATCCAAAATTTCAGTAAAATTTTAATTTAATTTTAATTTAAAACATCAGTAACTGTACAAAAACACAAAGATATTTTCTCTGCATCATACATCTCAGATGCCATAGAAGATGCAGGAATTGGATTGGATATTCAGAGTTTATTCCATTCAAGTGTATCAACCATCCCCAACTTCTGTAAATCTCAGTTGTAATGAGCTAATATTTAATTTTCACAATCTATAAAAATCCCTTTTATTTTTAATAAGAATCTGTTACAAAATCCCTTTTATTTTTCTGCCCAATATATGTCTCTGGCCTTAGTGTCAGCTTGAACTAATATTCACTTGAACACAAAGTATAAGAGGATGCTTGACATCCAGAGATGATATCTTTTTGGAAGACCAAGAGTGGACTTTGACAAAACTGATTTTACTGTATTTCTTACTGTATGTAACTCTCAGATAAACTTTGTGAATAAAATATAACACATTTGCTAAAAATTGTCGAAGTTCACAAATAAAGCTAGATCTCTAATTTTTAGATCAATGGCACTGGAAATATTCTGATGATAGACTTAAATAGTCACTGTCCAGACAGACTTATGTGCTATTTCATAAAAGCTTTTCTTTTCTAGTACAAGAAGTAAATCATTTTTCCTTTACCTACCCGTTATATTTTCTTTTTTTTTTTTTCTTTTTTTTTTTTTTTTTTTTTTGAGACGGAGTCTCGCTCTGTCGCCCAGGCTGGAGTGCAGTGGCACGATCTCGGCTCACTGCAAGCTCCGCCTCCCGGGTTCACGCCATTCTCCTGCCTCAGCCTCCCAAGTAGCTGGGACTACAGGCGCCCGCCACTACGCCCGGCTAATTTTTTGTATTTTTAGTAGAGACGGGGTTTCACCGTTTTAGCCGGGATGGTCTCGATCTCCTGACCTCGTGATCCGCCCGCCTCGGCCTCCCAAAGTGCTGGGATTACAGGCGTGAGCCACCGCGCCCGGCCTACCCGTTATATTTTCTATAGCCACTTACTCAATTATTTACTGTTTCAGGACCAAAGACCAAATTGTTAAAATAAGCAAAAATTATTTTTAAAGAATTTGAAAAATATTTTTAATCCTTTGAATTAATATAGAAGATATTTGTTAATATGAAATTGACCAAAAATTGAAAACTGAATTAAAAATTAAAAAATTTTGCTTGTTAAAATATATTGTTTAGCTCCAAAAAATTTTAGTCTTAAAAGCTCTGAAACATTAAAATCAATATTTCTTTGTCTTTGAACAGATCTCATAACTTAGTAGCAACACTGACACAACCAAGACCTCCGTACAACCACCATTTATGAATATATTCACTAATTGAGACTGTAGTAAAATGGCTTGAATAAGACATTAAGCATTAGGAACATTTAACGTTCATCTTAATGCTGAGCTAAGAGAAATTTAATAAGTTTGAATTTGCATTTTCTCATTATTTCTAGTTAATAACACCTCATCCACTTCATCAGACTATTGTATAAATGATAACAGCAAAGGTATTCAAAAACTAAAGAGTTATATTAATTCAAATTGGAAAAAAATCCATTATATTAATTAACTGAGTGTTTCTAAATTGCTTCATGACATTTTCAACATAACAATACGTGACTATCTTTTGCATTTCTAACTGTGAAGGTGCGATTCGTGGTCTATATGACTGCTTTGAGTTCATTTATAAAGTGCTCATAAAATATGAATATAATAGAGCATACTTCAAATCATCTGCACTTTTGGGATCTGAATTCTGTTTAATGTTTGATTGCAGGTGCATCAAATTGTTTTGTGTGAAGATATCTACTTATGCTAATTTGTTCAATCAAAAATATATAAACATAATCTAATGTAGCAAGCTGCACAAAGAGATCAAATTCAGTTTTTCCCTAGACTTTGTTTTCTTGAGCAAGCTATTTTAATCTGTGTAATTTATTTAATCTAGGAAATCTACATTTCCAAGAGCAGGAAACATCAGGGATTTACAGTTGTGCCTAAGACCATAACTTGATTTTCATATGAAATAGGTGCTTTTCATTCATATATGTTCTCTTTTGTTAAAGAAAGTGCTGATGCGATTATCCACCAATACCAGGACAGGTAGGTTCAAATAATTTTGCTGGTATTGGGCAGTAAGTAAATAAGCACAGATTGGTGGACAAGGTCACTGTTAGCTGGGAGTGAGGAGTAAAGAGACAGAGACTCTTTCTTGGTTGATAGCACATTTGAGAGTCAGGCTTTGAAGGAAACATATGGATGAGTAGAAGTAAAAGAAACAGATATGAAAAGGCAGAGGGACAGGAAACTGCTGGATCTCTTTGTAGTATCATGAATAGTTGTGTTTTGCAGGACTTGTGCAGGAAAGCGAGCAGTGAAGCTGAATAGTGGAGTGTAACCACATCACAAAGAAACATAACAAGGGAAAAGTTTAGATTTTATCCCACAAATCATGGGAATTTGATGACAATTTTTAATCATTGAAATGGCATAAGTAAAGCTATTCAGGAGGTAGGAAAACTAACCTGTCAACATACTAGAAGACAGCTTGGCTGGTGGAGAGAGTAGAAACAGTTGAGAAGCTCTCAGGCATCATCCATGGAATGGCATCAGGAAGATAAATACGGAAAATAAGGTAGTTAAATCCAGAGGACTTGTTGACTAGATGCGAGAGGTGAAGGAGAAGGAGCCAAAGGCAACTGTGGGTGATAAAAATTAATATTAACAACCATAGGTAGGTCAGGAGAGTGGTGGCCAAGGGCAGCCATTCAAGTCTGCGATGAAGGAGGCAATGGCCTGCAAGAGATCACGTTTCATGTTTTTATTATTCCATTCAGTTCTTTCTTTCTATTTTTATTTTCATCACAAATGAGGAAAAAAAATTACATAGTGACTAAGTAATGGCAATTAAGGTCAGGCTAAAATGGGTTGAATGTCATCCATGCCACTTTCTAGGTGGGTGCAATTGAACAAATTTTTAGGTTCTCTGAACCTTGATTTTCTTAGCTGTTAAAAGGAAAATATACACCTACTTGTTATGAAAAGTAAATGTGACAATGTACATAAGATAGCTGGTGGGACATACAGTTATCACACAACCCAACAAATGCTAGGAAAGTATATATATAATGTGATGATAACACTAGAAAATGTAATTTTCCTGAAGAAGAGAATCTGGGAAACATGGTAAACTGATTGTGGCTTGGCTCCCGTTCCCTCAACTCTTGATACAAAGCTTCTTGTCCTGCCACAGCCAAGCAACTGCTGGAACCCACTGGTGACAGGATGTATAATAACTAAAGCCTCAGACTATGTTGGAGGGTGGAGGAAGGTCAGATAGGGAGAAATTTCTCAGGCAGAATTTCTCTTCTCTAGGAGGCTGGATACATGAATGAAAAGTATACAGTGTATATGGATACATAACAGAGAATAAAAATTGAAAATCTAAAACATTTAAAGGAAACTTAAAAGGTAATAATGATAGTAAAAGGGATTAGAAAATTGTATCTAAGACAGAGGATGCTTGTGATTTTAATGAACGAGTGCATTGAACTCTAGATTTTTAACAGCAAAAGACATAAATGAATGAGCATTTTGAGAGACTTTTTTATCTGATGAAAGGAAGTATATTTGATCCTCTGGAGATATGAGCTTTCTGAGTGAGTCCTATACTACTGTCTAAACTCACAAAAAGGAAGCAATTTCATATGACAATGTTCTCAAGAGTCTTGCAAAAATGCAAAAGCATCCTGAAATGTTCATAGTTATAATAGAAGCCAAGTCTTCTGAAAATGTAAGAGTGGGTGATAAAGAAGTTAAATATTCTCTGGAATATTTGATATTAAAATGAAGAGAGAGAGAGAGAGAGAAGAGTTTAGGACTGTAGCAGAATTGAGGGAAAACTGTGCATATACTTGTTTGTCTTTAAAGCATAGGGAGACCTGGATGTGTTTGCAAGCTACAGTAAATAGTTTACTGAAAATAGAAGCAATGAAAATACATTACACATGTAAGAAATAAAGGAAGCAGAAAATCACGGAAAAGTTATAGGAGCTATGTGGAACCTGGCCTAATATTGTGCATAATAATAATAATAATCTAAATATTGGTATATATTCTTGTTTTCTCTGTGACAACAGGGGCCACATCTGTCTTAGTCATAATCTATAGATCCCAGTCCTCATTCAGGACTGTAATAACCTCAAATAAGTATTTGAAGATCTAATAAATGAGTACATAAGATAAAAAAAAACATATTCAGAAACATTAGACTTATAAGGAAGGGAAAGTACAATACACTTAAAGTTAGAGTGAATGGCTGAAGTCCTTGCAATGAATCAGTCAAGAAGAAAAACTTCCAAGCAGAAAGATGAGATTGTCTTTGATGTTACTAAGAAGGAAGAAAAGATTGGTATATGTGAATGGTTTGTGATAAGAAATGTTACTTTTCTTTGATAGAGTAAAGGCAAAAAGTAAACACTTTGGAGTCAGGCAGTTGTGTGAATCCAAGATCTGGTCTTTATACGTTACATGATGTTAAACAAATTAACAATTGCTAAGTGTATCTATTTTCTCATTTATTAATGAGAAAATAATATTTAACTCACAGAGTAGATTTAAGGAATAAATGCGATACTAGAAATAAATCATCAGCCCAAGTCCGTCACTTAGCAAGCACCACACCCACTGTAAGGTTTGGGCTTCATTGAGTGATTGTGGAGGACAGTGGACCTGAACTGGGGAGCCAAAAAGTAGCCAAAGACTGACACAAGTCCACTCCTTTGTGACTTCCAGGGAAGGGCTTTGAGGGAAGTCTTGTCATCCTGGGCAAAGCCCGAATCTGAACCTGACAGCCTGACTTCCAAAGCTGGCTCTGCCACTTACCAGCTATGTGGCCTTTGGAAATTCACTTAACTTGTCTATGCCTCCACTTACTTATCTTAAAAATGACATCTTCCTCACTGGGCTGCTTTGAAAACTGGATGAGTTAATGTATGTAAAACACTTAAAACAGTATCTGGCACATAACAAGTTTGTAAACAACATTAATGTTAAGAGGAAAGAATACTCAGGAAATTGGGGTTTGGATACAAGATGTTTCCCTTAGAGAGAATACAGGTAGAGTGGGACACAGAGAAATGGAAAGGGTAGGGATGAGGTACAAGACAAGAAGGGACAGAGTGTGGCAAATGAACATAAAAACACTGAAAGAAAACAGAAATGTGAAAACTCATTTTAAGACTGGCTCAAACTGGGCACACATCATAGGAAATCAAATAGTAAAATATAATTCCATTGTTGTGAAAATTATATTAAAATGCAAACAAAGCATCTTCACTTTTTTTTTCATTGTTTTAGCATATCCCTTGTTCTAGTTAATTCTTAACAGACTTTCTTAGGGGAAAATGTGTTTTTTTTGTTTGACCTGTTATATTCTTATTGGCACCTGTGATTAAAATACATACTGTTAATTTAAAATTTGAAGGATGGACAACACATTTTTTCAACATGTCTCAACTAGAACTTTTTAATATTGTCAGACTTAAAGTGACAGAAACCTTGAATGTGTTGGATTCTAGTCAAATTTTAAAACTACACAATTAACATGAAATATTGAAAAGTTGAAATACTACTGTACTGTATATATGACTAGAAACGCTCTATTCTCTGAAAAGATACAGAGTTCAAGAAAGTGAGATTATTCATTTTTATATTCAACTCTTATTCATATAGAGTCTAGAAATATAAAGAGAAAATGACAGAAGCAAGGCATAGGGTGAGTTGTAAGCTGGAGACCCATGAAAGCCAATGGTGAGTTGCAGGCCAAGTCAGAAGGTCTAAGAAGCAGGAGTACTGATGGTGTGGTTGAGTCTGAAGGCCAGCAGACCTGAGACCTAGGAAGAACTGATGTGTCGGTTTCAGTTCAAAGGCAAGGAAAAGATAACATCCTGGTTCAAAGGTAGAAGGATTCTCTCTTACTTGGGAGAGGGTGATCATTTTTATTCTATTCAGGCCTTTAACCAACTGGATGAGGTCCACTCACTTTAAAGTGGGCAGGCAATCTGCTTTACTCAGTCTACTACCATCTCATTCAAAACCTCCCTTACAGGATTACCCAGAATAATGTTTGACTAGACATCTGGGCACCCCGTGTCCCAGTCAAGTAAACATAAAATTAGCCATTATATATGTGTTAATTTATATATACTCACAAGGATATATATCTCTCTGTGATAGATATGATATATATTTCACAGGTATAGTTGTGGGTACTTAAATCCTTGATGCCAGTCTGTTTCGCCCATCTTATGCTGAGTCTTTGAAGTCAGAAGCATGCTTCTCTATGTTTCCTAGTTCATTCTTCTCTAATTAGTTTTATTCCTAGCAATGACCCTTCATCAGGCAGACGAATGCTATCTGTCAGATCCCTTTGACTAGCCATAGCCCCAGTCTTGGCCCTGATATTAAAACTGGGATATTTATGTAGGTGACATTTCCTAAAAATGATCTTAACAAATAGTTTTACTTGAATGGTGATTTTTTTTTATTTTTTAATTTTATTTTTATTTTTATTTTTTTGAGACGGAGACTCGCTCTGTAGCCCAGGCTGGAGTGCAGTGGCGCAATCTCCCCGCACTGCAAGCTCTGCCTCCCAAGTTCACGCCATTCTCCTGCCTCAGCCTCCCGAATAGCTGGCCAATGGTGACTTAAAAAAAAAAAAAAAAAGGCCGGGCGCGGCGGCTCACGCCTGTAATCCCAGAACTTTGGGAGGCCGAGGTGGGCGGATCACAAGATCAGGAGATCGAGTCCTGGCTAACATGGTGAAACCCCGTCTCTACTAAGAATACAAAAAAATTAGCCGGGCGTGGTAGCAGGCACCTGTAGTCCCAGCTACTTGGGAGGCTGAGGCAGGAGATTGGCGTGAACCCGGGAGGCGGAGCTTGCTGAGTGAGCCGAGATCGCGCCACTGCACTCCAGCCTGGGTGACAGAGCGAGACTCCATCTCAAAAATAAAAGGAGATGAGCAACTCTGGATACTTTTATCCAGCAATTTAGGCCTAGGAAAATACAATGTGAAATTACAATTTGTTCCTTCTTAGAATTGTATTTATTCTTGTCCATCAGTTACTACACAGAAACTGGATGGTGAATTGATAAATATTTGATTTTAAGAGGCTTTTGAATATAGCAAACCTAGAGAGAAACGCCACCAAAATTGAACATGGAATAAAATATTCTAAATAATGGCAACATTTGAAAGCATAAATCAAATATGCATAACCTACTGAATTTTGTTCTCTGAATAGAAGGAAGAACAATTTTTGGCATTACAGAAAGTGAAACATAACAAATTATATTAGTTGATGGAAATGTGACAATTGATTTTTAAATATCTCCACGTAAAGAGATTACTTTTAATAATTTTTTAAAAACTATTGAAAGCACAATTGTTCCAGTCACTATGTCAGGCACTGGAGCACAGACACAAATACAAGAGAGTTATTGACTTTGAAGACTTAAAATCTAGTGAAGAAAAATAGACATTAAACTTAAGTTTCACATACTAAACTATAGAAAACAAAGTTTGACAAAATACTATGGAAACACTAGGGAGAAAGAATCTAACTCTGCCTGGAACATTGAGAAATTCTCAGAGGAGGTAACATTTTATCTGGGTTTTGAAAGATTAGATAGTTTCCAGGCAAAGTAGAGACAGACATTCCCGGTATAAAAGCATTAAAGACATCAAGATCTGGCCAAGCTGAGGTGTTCAGGGAATTTGCTGTAAGTTCAATGTGACTCCAGCTCAGAGCTTAATGGTTTAAAGTTTCAGGATAAGAAGATGTAGAAGTCAGGTGGAGACGCTTTGTAAGTGTGTCCTTTCAATCCGCACTAAGCGTTCAAACTAATCTTTTAGCCAGTGGAAAACTGCAGATATGTTTAATAACTTTGTTGTGTTTTATTTTGAATTGCTACATACTCATAGCAAAAAAAAAAAAAAAAGAAAACGTTCAGAAGATGTACCTAAGAAAATGAAAATCACCAATTTCATAAAACGTCCAGAGATAACTTGATAATACGTAGTGTCAACTTCTCCAGGTTTTTCTGTGGAAACAAACACACACGCAAAAATAATATAATATGTGTAGTGTTCTATTCCTTGCTTTTCCTATTTACAAATACATTGATTATATCTCTTCAAATTAATGAGTGGAGTTCTAAATTATTGCTTTTTAGAAGATACATGATATGCATTGTGGGCATTCAGATTCTATTGATATTGTAAACTTATAAGAAGAGTAATTATGTTATCAAATTGGATTTTTAGAGAGATAACTGACAATAATATGAAAGATCTAATTGGGTAAGTGATAAATTGGCGGCAGAAGAGCCAGTTTGCTGCCTATGAGGATGTACTAGATGATTAAATTTGATGGCTAGAGACCAGAAAATTAGAGAAGAAAAGCTGATTCTAAGAGTTATACCAAAGGCAATATTCACTTTATTTGAACACAATTGGATATCAAAATTAGGGTGGGCATATTTTTGTGTATATGTAATTTGTCATTTTATATTGCTGAGTGCCATTTCTTTGTAAGAATAAATTATAAACAATTAGGTGGTAGGCTAAAGCTTCACCAGTGATGTCTGCATCCTAATACTTAAAACCTGTGAATGTTACCTTACATTCAAAAAGGACTTTGCACATGTGATAATGTTAAAGATATTGATGGGGGAGATTATTCTGCATTATCCTATTATTAGACATTGGGTCCAATGTAATCACAATGATCCTTCTAAGAAGAAAGCAGGAGGTAAAAAGAAGAAAGAAGGCAAATTAATGGTGGAAGTGACACAGCCAAGAGACAAGAAATGCCATATCCTCTAAAGCTGGAAGAGACAAGAAAAAGATTCTCCCCTGAAGCCTCCAGAAAGAATCTGCCTACGAACAACTTTTTAGTCCCTTAAGACTTATTTCAGACTCCTGACCTCCTAAATTATAAAAGAATAAGTCAACGTTTTAAGTCACTACATTTTTGGTAATTTGTCATAGCACCAATACAACTCTAGTACAAATTGCCCATTATTTTGTTGCTGGGCCTTACAACTATTTCCATTTTGGAGCATTTATGAATAACATTGCTAGGAACATTTTTGCATAATAATTTTGTGGAAAAATTTACTTATTTTTGAGGAGCTCCGAGAATAAAATTTCTGGGTCATAAAATAGTTGCATATATATAATTTTGAAACTGACAATTTTCCAAAGTGGTTGTACCATTTTACACTCTTATTAGCTTCTCCGCATCTCCACACAAATTTAGTGTTTTTTAAAATTTTACATATTGTAATAGATGTATAGCGCTATCTCTGTAGTTTTGCTTTGCATTTCTCTAATGGCTAATATTTTTACATTTTGCACATTTTCATATGCATATTGACCATTTGGCTCTCACTTTGAGATTTTGATGAAAATCATAGATTTCCCCAACAAAAATATATATATAAACTAAAAACATCTTCTACATGATTTTAGGGGGTTCACAGAACTCTGAAGCCCTTCTCTCCTTAAATCCTTCACCAAGGCTCATCCCTGGCTGCTGCTGTGTTTACAGCCCTGTCTCTGCCCACATCCTGCCTCACACTTCGGGCTCTAGAAATCTTTAATAGCTGAAAGCTTCCTGCCCAGTTTAGCTCTATCTTATTTCCATTGTTTTGAAATGCAATTCCTCCTTCAGACCTCAATTCCCATTTTACACTTAGCTCACTATTTGCTTCTCCAGAAACTTTTCCTTGATCCTCCAGCTTTTTCTTTATCAGTTATCTCCTAGTACCCTGTCCGGACTTCTGTTACCAAACTTACTATACTTACTGTATGTCTCTTTGCATATCTCTCTTTATTTTGAACATCCTGAAGTCAGTAATTCTATCAAATTGCATGTTAAGCAGAATTACGGTTGACGCTCAAATATTTGTTGAATTAAAAATGAAAAGACAAATTAACTTAAAAAATAATATTGTCAGTAGTGATTGCTTGGAATGAGTTATCAGAATTCAGTGACTTGTGCAGCTCGTATAACCTTAAAAAAATTAATACCCTGGACAGTTTGGAGGGGGAGCTAAAAAGGGATGTTGTGAAAAATTAATTGAAATGCTTTTATACTACTATGAATTTGATATTAAATAAGATACCTCTGCCCTGTTTTACTTCTGTAGAAACTTTTTTATATTTGTATTATGAACCGTGTCCCAAATAAATATTACTTTATTTTAAGATGTAAAAGATGTATATGTGTCTCTAGATAACATAAACTTTTTAAGTTAGGTTTTTTTAATGTTGCAAAGTAGGTGTTAAATAAATTCTTGTTACCTGGGATATTTTTGCCAATGCCAGAGTCAGATCATTGGCCAGATAAAGCCTAAGTAGAATCTAGCCTGACAAATGTCATCATCTGACATCAACACTTGGGCCAGCTCTGTTTTGTTACACACATACACATACACATACACATACACATACACATACACATACACATACACACACAAGTCAATAGACAAATTGAAGGCACAAATACACCAGGAACTAAACTTTCTAAAGGGCATGGCAACAATTCTTTCATCATCTGTTAAGCTTACGTTTGTTCCATAGAAAGAAAAGTTTAATTCTCACTCACATGTCATGTTCTCCTATGCCAGGGAGAATGTAGGCTGCTGGCTATTATCCTATCTAACCAAATGCAATTCTGCTCTAAAAAGAAAACAGCAGCTGAGGCTCAAGCATAGGCCTTCCTTGGAGGGGCTAAATTCTTAACACTCCCTACACCAAGCCACAGTACTGTGGTCTTATCCATTTACTCATTCATCAAATCATATGCATTGAAGGCTCTGAAGCAAATTCTCTGCTGAGCATAGTGAGTAAAGAAAATTGTCACTTTGGGAGGCCGAGGCGGGCGGATCACGAGGTCAGGAGATCGAGACCATCCCGGCTAAAACGGTGAAACCCCGTCTCTACTAAAAAAAAATACAAAAAATTAGCCGGGCGTAGTGGCGGGCGCCTGTAGTCCCAGCTACTTGGGAGGCTGAGGCAGGAGAATGGCGTGAACCCGGGAGGCGGAGCGTGCAGTGAGCCGAGATCCCGCCACTGCACTCCAGCCTGGGCGACAGAGCGAGACTCCGTCTCAAAAGAAAAAAAAAAAAAAAAAGAAAATTGTAAAAAGCATCCATGCCTTTTGGGACATATACTAATAACTAGCATACAAGTAACTGCTTCCAATATTTTCCCTCTAATCATGTAATTTTAATCTATTTATTGTTAATAATTTTACTTTGAGAGTTAGGAAAAGATAAATTTTAAAATAAGAAAGATCTTGATATGATTTAGCTGTGTCCCCACTCAGCTCTCATTTTGAATTGCAGCTCCCATCATTCTCAGGTGTGGTAGGAGGGACCCACTGGGAGGTAATTAAATTATGGGGGCAGGGTTACCCTCATGCTGCTGTTCTCATGATAGTGAGTGAGTTCTCACGAGATCTGATGGTTTTATAAGGAGCTTTTCTCTTTTTTGCTTGGCACTTCTCCTTGCTGCCATCATGTCGAGAAGGACGTGTTTGCTTTCCCTTCTGCCGTGATTGTGAGTTTCCTGAGACCTCCCCAGCCCTGCAGAACTGTGAGTCAATTAAACCTCTTTTCTTTATAAATTGCCCAGTCTCAGGTATTTCTTCATAGTGGCATGAGAACGGACTAATACAGATCTAAATTTATCATTTACTTTTGTTCAAATATGTCCTTATTATTTTTCTCTTCCTGCAAATGTCAGAACACAGCTGTTTTATTTTCACGCATTTACTCCATCAGGAATTCTCTTTCCACCTTTGGCTCTTCAGTACTCTGACCTGTTTCCTGTATCACTTGCTACTTTTTCTACCTTCATCTTGCTGTGAAAGACTCCTGTCTCTCCTTGAATAGTTCTTTTTCCCACTACTTCAGAACCACTGAGCTAGCTATACCTGGAATAAGTGCTTTAAAATGTTCACTTATTAAATCTATTCTGCTGTTTCTAAATGATTAGTGTGACTGGGTTAAAGAATTTAAAGCCAGCCAGCAATATTTTTCCCAATCTAGGCCAATTAATAAGCATTTCTAACTAGAGAATTGAACTTTAAAAAATAAAAATATAAACCTCTTAATTCCCACTGCTGGCAGAGTGTGAATGCTAAATGGGAATATGGAAAGATTTTGCCACAATTTTCCTATTAAAGGTTTTTAGCATGATAGAGTTAAATTTTAGTGTTTCTTTATTTTATTTTATTTTATTATTATTATACTTTAAGTTTTAGGATACATGTGCACAATATGCAGGTTTGTTACATATGTATACATGTGCCATGTTGGTGTGCTGCACCCATTAACTCGTCATTTAGCATTAGGTATATCTCCTAATGCTATCCCTGCCCCCTCCCCCCACCCCACAACAGTCCCCAGAGTGTGATGTTCCCCTTCCTGTGTCCATGTGTTCTCATTGTTCAATTCCCACTATGAGTGAGAACATATGGTGTCTGGTTTTTTGTCCTTGCGATAGTTTGCTTAGAATGATGATTTCCAGTTTCATCCATGTCCCTACAAAGGACATGGACTCTTCATTTTTTATGGCTGCGTAGTATTCCATGGTGTATATGTGCCACATTTTCTTAATCCAGTCTATCGTTGTTGGACATTTGGGTTGGTTCCAAGTCTTTGCTATTGTGAATAGTGCCACAATAAACATACGTGTGCATGTGTCTTTATAGCAGCATGATTTATAATCCTCTGGGTATATACCCAGTAATGGGATGGCTGGGTCAAATGGTATTTCTAGTTCTAGATCCCTGAGGAATCGCCACACTGACTTCCACAATGATTGAACTAGTTTACAGTCCCACCAGTAGTGTAAAAGTGTTCCTATTTCTCCACATCCTCTCCAGCACCTGTTGTTTCCTGACTTTTTAATGATCGCCATTCTAACTGGTGTGAGATGGTATCTCATTGTGGTTTTGATTTGCATTTCTCTGATGGCCAGTGATGATGAGCATTTTTTCTTGTGTTTTTTGGCTGCATAAATGTCTTCTTTTGAGAAGTGTCTGTTCATATCCTTCACCCAATTTTGATGGGGTTGTTTGTTTTTTTCTTGTAAATTTGTTTGAGTTCATTGTAGATTCTGGATATTAGCCCTTTCTCAGATGAGTAGGTTGCGAAAATTTTCTCCCATTTTGTAGGTTGCCTGTTCACTCTGATGGTAGTTTCTTTTGCTGTGCAGAAGCTCTTTAGTTTAATGAGATCCCATTTGTCAATTTTGTCTTTTGTTGCCATTGATTTTGGTGTTTTAAACATGAAGTCCTTGCCCATGCCTATGTCCTGAATGGTATTGCCTAGGTTTTCTTCTAGGGTTTTTATGGTTTTAGGTCTAACAAAAGAACAAAGCCGGAGGCATCACACTACCTGACTTCAAACTATACTACAAGGCTACAGTAACCAAAACAGCATGGTACTGGTACCAAAACAGAGATACAGATCAATGGAACAGAACAGAGCCCTGAGAAATAATGCCGCATATCTACAACCATCTGACCTTTGACAAACCTGACAAAAGCAAGCAATGGGGAAAGGATTCCCTATTTAATAAATGGTGCTGGGAAAACTGGCTAGCCATACTTAGAAAGCTGAAACTGGATCCCTTCCTTACACCTTATACAAAAATTAATTCAAGATGGATTAAAGACTTACATGTTAGACCTAAAACCATAAATTTTTGTGTTTCTAATGTTATTTTTTTCTAGATTTTGCCCTAGAACAATAACTAATGCAGAATTTTTATGTATCACAAAAAACATGTTTAATTTAAAAATATAGTTTGCATTTGTTATCTATCGTAAACCAATCATATTTATCCTGGTATTATTAAAATATTGGGGGAATGTTTCTAAATGCTTAGGCATGAATTCACTCTCAAACAATACAATAAACATGTAGCATAATTGTTGAGTGTCTAATTTAATCTAGGCAATTTGATAAATGCACATAGCAGCACAGAGGAAGGAAAAAGATAGACACAGGTAGTTTTCTGTAGGTAATAGAATACGTGCCCCAAGAAAAGCTTGGCACATACCTTCCTGAAGTGTTTTCATAGATTTTCTCCAAAATCAGTACATCAATGACATTTGATATATAGTTTGAGAAGTGTTATGTATGTCCTAACACTGTTAAGGAATATTCCATTAATAATAAGCATTATAGTCATTAATTCTACTGCATAGACTATTTTGAACAATATTTTGATTTATGATTATAGTTATTAAGCCTAAAATCAATAAGTGAATTAATATGAATCAGAAAAGACCCCAAATAGCCACACTATCTAGAGAAAGAACAAAGCTTGAGGCCTCATATTCTGGTTAAAACGTATTACAAAACTACAATAATCAAAACAATATGCAACAGACATGAAGATAGACATATAGAACAATTTAACAGAATTGAGAGCCCAGAAATAAATCCATGCATATATGGTCATCTGATCTTCAACATGAGTACCAGGATATAAATGGGAAAAGGATAGCCTTTTCAACAAATAATGTTGGGAAAACTCGATATTCATATGCCGAAGAATGAAATTAGACCGTTACACTACACTATACATAAAAATCAACTCAAAACATATTAAAGATTTTTAATTTAAGACCTCAAACTGTAATAGAAGAAAGAATCTGAGAAAGGTTTCTTGACATTGGTCTGGACAATGACTTTTGTGTATGACCACATAAGCACAGGCAACAAAAGCAAAAAATAGACAAGTGGGACTACATCAAGCTAAAAAGCTTCTGAATAGCAAAGGAAACAATCAACAGAATGAAGGGAATAATCAACAGAATGAAGAAGCAACCTATAGAATGGGAGAAATTAATTCACGTATCCGATAAGAGATTAATGTCTGAAACATATAAGAAATTCCTATGACTCAATAGCAAAAAAAATTTAAAAAAAAATTTAAAAACCCACAAATAAGCTGATTTTTTAAATTGGCAAAGGTCTTGAATAGACAACTCTCCAAAGACATACACATGGCTGATGGATACACAAAAACATGCTCAACTTCAGTTATCATCAGGGAATTGCAAATCAAAACCACCATGAGATATCACCTCACACTTATTACAAGGAGTATTATCAAAAAGATGAATGATTAAAAAGTATTGGCTAGGATGCAGAAAAACTGAAACCTTTGTGCACTGTTGATAGGCATGTAAATTAGTACAGGCATTAAAATAGAACTACCACATGATCCAATAATCCTCCACTGGATATTTTATTCAAAAAATAATCAAAATTAGGTTCTCAAAGAGATATTTGCACTTTCATATTCATTGCTGCATTATTCACAATAGTCAAGAGATGGAAACAACCATTCTGCATAGATGGAAGAATGGATGAGGAAAATGTGGCACATAAATACAGTAGAATATTATTCAGCCCTAAAAATAAGGAAATCCTGACATAAGGTACAACATGAATAAACCTGGAGAATATTCGGCTAAGTGAAATAAGCCAATCATAGAAGGACAAACACTACATGATTCCACTTTTATGAAGTGTCTAAAGTGGCCAAACTCATAGAAACAGAAAGTAGAGTGGAGGTTTCCAGGGACTGTAGGGAGGTGCTATTTAATGGGTGTAGAGTTTCAGTTAAGGGGAATTAAAAAGTTCTAGAGATAGATCTGCTGTGCATTGTTACGCTTATAGTGAAGAGTACTGCAGTTTTAAACTAAAAAAATTTGTTAAAAGGGTAGATCTTATGCACTGTGTGATTTTGCCACAATAAAAAAGAAATGGAATAGCACTAAGCTCTGTAAAACAGACTTCATGGAGAGAGTCTGCCTCAGCAGATCTCAGTGCCACAGTAATTATTCTTGAATTATTGAAAAAAGTAATTGAAGTGAAGCATAACTTAACAGCAGTTTTTAACACTCACAATTCAGTTCTGTTTTGGAATGCCTTTTAAAACTACACCTTTGATAGTCACACACTGTATTTGTGTGTGTTCCATTTATGGGCTTGTATTGTGGATCTCCACAGATTTCTTTTTGTCTTGGTCCACTTGTCTTGGATATCCATTCTCTGAGGAGAGAAAAAAAAATCCACTTAAGTAAGAAGAGTCTCATTTTTAAAATATTTAGATCTGTGATTTGCAAACATTTTCGTCTCAGGCCCCTCTTTACACTCTCAAAAATTATTGAGGTCTGCATTCGAGGTTTGTGTAGAAAAAAAAACAAAGAAAAAGAAAAAAAATATTGGGGATTCCAATTGAGCTTTTATAAATATTAATTATATCTATAAATATTTACCATATTTGGAATTAAATTAATAATTTAAATCAATATTTATTAGTTCATTTTAAATGACAATAAACTATTGCATGATATATGATTAACATATTTTATGAAAAATATATTTCAAAACAAGAAAGCATAGCAAATAGAATATAATAGTTATATACATTTTATCAAAACTTTAAAAAAATTTTATTGCAAGAGTTTTGGGTTACATGGATAAATTATATAGTGGTGAAGTCTGGTATTTTAATGTACCCATCACCCTAAATAGTGTACATTGTACCCAATAGGTAGTTTTTCATCTTCCCTTCCAACTCTCCCTTTTTCTGAATTTCCAATGTCCATATACCACTCTATATGCCTTTGCTTAGCCATAGCTTAGCTCCTACTTATAAGTGAACATGCAATATTTGGTTTTCCACTCTTGAGTTACTTCACTTAGGATAATTGCCTAAAGTTCCAATCCAAATTGTTGCAAAATACATTATTTCATTTGTTTTTATGGCTGAATAATATTCCATGGTGTGAGTGTATGTATGTATATACACACACCATATTTTCTTTATTCACTCATCAATTGATGGGCACTTAGGTTGGTTCCATATCTTTGCAATTGTGAATAGTGCTTTGATGAACATACATGTGCGGGGTTTTTATTTTTTAATATAATGACTTATGTTCCTTTGGGTAAATACCCAGTAGTAGAATTGCTGGATTGAATTGTAGATCTACTTTCAGTTCTTTGGGAAACCTTTGTACTGTTTTCCATAGAGGTTGTACTAATTTACATTCCCACTAGCAGAATTTTAGTAAATCCTTTTTAGAAATGAGAGAAAGAATGAAAGTGAAAAAGTCACCTCTCACATAGTTTCTTAGAAGTATTTTGAAAATAACTTTCATATCAGTGATACTCCGAAAAGGTCTTAAAAATAATACTTTGTGAACTGGCAGGTTAGCACATAAAAAGTACTTTCGGCTCCCTGAGAGGCTGGATGGAGGTGGAGGCTATGTCCTTGCGGTATTGGTAGAGGTGCTACAATAGAATGTAATTTACTATGGTGCTGAGGTCACCCTAGTTAATGCTGCCTGCATGAAGAGGACAAATGAATAGAAAGACTCAAGAGAGAGGGACAAAACCAGATTGACAAAAGAGTGAAAGACTTCTGGAGTGTACAAATCAGAGGACCTTTTTTTTTCTGGCGTCATAATGCCTTGGAAGAAAAAAGAACGAGATTTTCATAAGAGTTCGCAATCACTGCTTGGCATCCCAAAATCTTGGAAAAACTAAATCAAAGATCAAATCCATGCTGTCGCAGCAATTCTTTATAACTATATGAAGCTCCCTGTTTGGAATACAAGAAAGTAAGACTTTATAAGTAGTATAAAATCCTTTAATATATCCTTTTTTTCAACTAAGTATATTTATCTTCATCTTGACAATCATGTCTTTGTTTTGCTTTTGATATGTCTGACAACCCAGTTTAAGAGTGATTATTCTAGTCCTTGATATTAGAGTCTATGTAGTGGATTTAGAGCTATGAAATACAAGTTGAGGTCATAACTTGGCAACCTAACAGATGATCTTGGGAAAATAGATTAATTTCATTACCTTTCTTTTGTTATCCATAAACTGAAGATAATAATGTTTGTCCTTCAAGGTTATAGTAAGAACCAAATGAAATCTATATTTGTTAACCTAAAGCACTCAACAAAGACAATAAATATAGCACTAATGCAATCAATTTCTATTATGTTTATCCTGATTATTTTTAATATGGTCTTTTATTAGTTATTTGCTTAAAATAGTCTACTTAGATCTTTGAAAATTTACTCATTTTCATTGCTAATTTTAAAATAATGTAAGTATTATTCTGTGATTAAAACCTAAAAAAACCCACAATTTTAGGAGTTAAAAAGTGATCAGTGGTATGTTTTTAAATTATTTTGCATGTCTAACTTTAAAAATCAAACAATATGAAATAATCATATAAGGCCACTTTTCTGGAAAGGCACAGTATGCAAAGTATGATTTTAATTTCAAGACCAGTTTCAGAAAAGACCAATTAAGGAATGACAGAAATGTATACAAGTTATAATACCTTTCTAATATTGGACAAAGCATAGAATTCCAAGTGATACAAGGGCACAATTCTAACATAAAATATCTATTTTTGCATGCTGTGCAGACAGATTTACTGGTTTTGAATGCATCTAACGTAAGATGTCTTACATACTCTTCAGTTAGAAGGCCTGGATTGGAGTATACAATCAGCTATTAAATAACTACTTCCATGGAAAACTCACTTAACTTTTTTGATACTTGATTTTCCATCTGTAAAACTGTGAAATCATAGTTGACAAGTCAAAAACGTTTTTTCTTTCTTTTTTTGTTTTTTGAGACAGTCTCGCTCTGTCGCCCAGGCTGGAGTGCAGTGGTGCGATCTTGGATCACTGCAACCTCTGCCTCCCAGGTTCAAGCAATTCTCCTGCCTCAGCCTCCCAAGTAGCTGGGATTACAGGCATGCACCACCATGCCAGGCTAATTTTTGTATTTTTAGTAGAGACAGGGTTTCACCACATTGACCAGGCTGGTCTCAAATGCCTGTCCTTGTGACCCACCTGCCTTGGCCTCCCAAAGTGCTTGGATTACAGGTGTGAGCCACCACACCCGGACCAGAAACTTTTTTCAAGCCGTATTAAACTAAAAGATACACAAACATGTCCACAGTCATTTGATCACATAAACAGATTTTTATTTTATCTTGTGGTAAGAATGCAACATGAGATCTACTCCTTTCATGTGTTTTTAAGTGCATAGTACAGTATTGTTATCTACAGGCAAAATGCTGTACAGCAGATCTCTGGAACTTCATTTGCATAACTCAAATGTTATACGTGTTGATTAGCAATTTACCCTTCCCCTCTTCCAGTGGCCCCTGCCAACCACTACTCTATTCTTTGCTCCTATGCTTTTGACCATTTCGATACCTCCTATGAGTGGAATTATGCAGATTTGACCTTTTGTGACTGACTACTTTCTCTCGATCAGGACTTTTTTTGTCTGGCTGTCACCCAGGTAGAAAACACTTTACTCTCACACCTCTGTTATGTGCATGGATGTGTTTACTGCATAACTGAGAAAGGGGAAGCAGTTTTAGAAAAGATGGAACAAAGATGACGAAGCAGAAATGAAGAAGGGAGCCAAAATTCTGTCTGTTCCCTCAGACCTAATTTTTAATGATTGCGTGAGACTGAGCTCAAACCCAACTCCTTCGGAGAACATAGTGACAAAGTGTGGCACAGAGAAAAGGAAACTTTCTCCTCTCCTCTGCTCACACCTACCACTATTCCAGCACACAACGTTTTTGTTTTTGTTTTTGTTTTGTTTTGTTTTTTTGCTGTGGGAATATCCTGTAATACCTAAGGCAAACTATTCATCTCAACGTGGCTAAAATAACATAGAACATTGATTGGTTTGTGCAACTGCCCAAGTCAGGGTGGACAGAGCTGGCTTCACTCTGCCTTTCTTAGTCCTGTTTCTTCAGTATTGGTCACATTTTATCAGACTCTTTCCTCATCACTGCAAGATGGCTGGCAGCTGAAGAAAAGTTCTTGTTGCACAACCAGGAGCACCAAGGATCTCTTTCAACGCTTTCCACAGAAGGAGAAATAAGTTCTGTTTTATTTTTCCCCAGAAGCCTCAGCAAACATAACCTGGTATCTCACTGGTTCTGATTGGGTTACACATCCATCTCAGAACATATCCTTGCGAGCCAAGATACAGGATACACAGAAAAGCTCTTCACAAGGAGTCAAGAGGGGTCCATACCTGAAGCTTAGGGAGAAAGAATGAATCTCTCCTAAAAGCTCCTGACTGAGAAGGAAGCAAGAGTGTTATGAAATGAAGTTAGGATAGGATATATGAAGGATGGGAGAACAAACGCGATGACAAGACCTAAAAGCTCCCAGTTTAGCCACTTTTATGTAGGCAATGGTGTCCTGCGGGGCTGTTTTAGCCAGCAGGTTTGCAGAAATGCATGTGAAAATCCGGAGGCTGGAAAGGGAGAGAGGACATTCTACTACCCTTTCATGATGACTCTAGTCTATCGACTGGTATATGGCACACTAAAGACACCCTTTGTGAACTCTCAGAAGCAAGGAGGAAATATTTTTAGTGTCTGAGGAGGTGGATACTTTGTGGTGAGATGTTTAAGTCCTCCAGAGAGAGTTTGTCTTCACAGGCTGAGGCTTTATAGAAAAATATCTAAAAATGTTTTATTCTACCCTCCTTTATCTCCCAACATCTCTTGTCATTTCCTACCTGATGTTGCTTTTCAGGGCTATCCAGTAGAAATACAATATAAGCACAAATGCAAGCCACATACACTGTTTAAAATGTTGTAGTAGTCACATTGTAAATAGTAACAAGAGAAAAAATTAATTTTAATAACAGACTTTATTTACCTCAATATATTCAAAGGATTATCACTTGAACATGTAATCACTTTTAAAACATTATTTAGGAGATATTTCACTTCCTTTGTGTGGTACTTGGTCTTTGAAATCCAATATACAGCCATATTATAAGTGCTGCATACCCACCTGTGGCCAAGAGCTACAATTTGGGACTATGTAGCTCCATTCTCTAGCCATATTAAACCAGTTCCTCTTCCCCAGTGTTTTCAGGTTTCTCTAACTTCACTTCTTATGAGAATGTTTCTGGATTGGAATATCCTTCTTTCATTCTTCCTGTTCCCAAACTCATGCCTATTGATCTTGGTCAATATATTTTGTCCTTTAGGGCTGTCTTTGGCTATTAACACATTCAGAAACCCTTCTTCATACCCGGGGCAAGTTATCTGGCTCTCCTGTGGTCCTGTGATTATCTCAGTCATCCACACGTTAATGAGCATGACAGGGTTTTTGCCGTGAAGAATCCAAAGATCTAGTGAGAATGAGATCATAAGCCATAAGCCTCTTTAGGGCAAAGATTGTGTCTTGTTCATTATTGTATGCACAGAAGTAAGCCCACTGACTGAAACAGAATGAATACACGATAAATAATAATGGAATACAAAAGAGAGGAAAGGATCACAATTTTTAAACATCTTGAACTCTCCTGTAGTGTTTCTGAGGCTTCCATAACACTGAAATTTTCTACTGGTAAATTGTATTGTCTCCTAAATGATGAACAAATTGAAGTCCACCAATACCTATCTTCCTCAAATTCAGAAATGACTCACAATACATGTAAACACAATGTAGACAATCTTTGACAATCTCTGTCAAGTTCATTTATATTTATAAGAGTATTTTCAAATAGTTATATCTGGCTATGTGAGAAATAACTAAATATCAGACGATTTTCTTTTTCATTTATCATGTGCCAGGCATTGTGCTAAGTGTTCTGTATGCATTACATCACTTAATGTTACCTTACATTATTAAATGTCATTAACACCCTGTTATTCCATCCTAGATGGAATTTTTTAAATTTCCAGTTGTAATAAGATATAGTATAGTGGTAAGAACAGGTTAAGATACCAGCAACCTGAGTTTATACCTGAGCTTATGGCTAGGCTTTTTAGTATGGTAGATTATTGTTCAGAAATATTAATTTCTCTCCACCTCTGATTAAAAGAGTGAGGTATATTTCACCACCACTTAACTTTGGACCTGGCCTTGTATCTTGCATTGGCCAATGAGATGTTAGCAGATTTTGGCATAGCAGAGGCTTGAAAGCACTTGTAAATTATTCTTATCTTCCAACTCTGCCATTTCCATGAGAAAATAGTCCCAGGCTAGCCCTTGGAAGATAAAAGAGGAAGAAAAACTTTTGGAGTGGAGCCCAGTTGCCCATCCCAGCTGACTTCCAGAGAACCAACAGCAAAGACTTCCAATCCAACCCAGCCAAGGGAACTGCCCCTTGGCTCATTTACATCATCAAGAAAATTTATGATTGGTGATTTAAGCCACTAAATTTGGGGGTGATTTTTACGAAACATTTTATATGGCAATAGTGGTTTCCACATTCATGAAACAAGGGTAACTACATATACCTCACAGTGATATTGTAAAGATTAATAGGTTGTGTTATGTAAAGGCTTGGAAGAATGGCATCCTGAAAGCACGATATATGTTATTATTATTTTTTATTATTAGTTAGTTTCATTTTTAAATGAAAAATAATATGTAGCCAAGAGAGTTTTAAGTAACTTGCTCAGGGTCAATGAATAGTAAATGATGGTAAATGACGGACATTTGATTCTGATTTTACTAAATTACCTCAAATATCTAAAACATTGACATTTCTGCATTTAAATTGGAAGCCAACACTATGGAAGCTATTCCTGGGAAATGAAAGATTATAGTATAAATAGCAAGGGTTTTTGAGTCAGACAGTTAAACTAATTCACTGAATAAACATTTGAGTGTTCTTTTGTAGCCAGTCACTGCTGGGCATGAATAACATACTAGTTAAGAAGAAAGTACTTAGGCAGATAGTGACAGTATGGGAGTCCTCGGTAAGGTTTTCCTTTTAATGAAAAGCAGCCCCCAAGTCATTTTCTTTTCTAACGGACAGCAGCTTGTAAAATCTAGCTGCAGACATAAACAAGCAAGCTGGAAGCTTGCACAGGTGAATGCCGGCAGTTGTGCCAATAGGGAAAGGCTACCTGTGACTAAGCATGATCAAAATGGTGCGGCTCCATCTTCTCTTCTCTTTGCCAGCCACGTGTGCAGTAAGGAGCAGACAGGATGGCCCAATGGAAATAAAATTAGGGTGGTGCAACCAGCTTCCCACAAGCTATTTAGTGTCACACCTGGTTGAACCAATCTGTGGGCCCTAGGTAAATCAGGCACAGCCTCCTCAAGCCCGCCTATAAAATCTGCTGCAGTCGGCTGAAAGCTGGCTTTCCCTTTCGAATTCCTCTCTCTCACAAGAGAGAGAGAGCTGCTCTCCTCTCTTTTCTTCTGCCTATTAAACTTTCAGCTTCTTAACTCACCCACGTGTCCATGTCCTTAATCTTCTTGATGCCAGACGATGAAACCCAGGTATTTAGCCCAGACAATGATGCTGACTCAGAATGTGAAGATAAATTCAAGAAGATTTCTGTCTTGAAACAGCAGAAAGAGGATTAAGCTCTTCTTCTACCATTTACTGTGAGTGTGATCTTGAGTAACTGACTTAATGTTTCTAAGCCTCAGTTTTCTCATCTGTAATATTGGGACATATTACTTCCCCTTAATAGAGTTTCATAAAGATTTACGGAAGTAACTTATGTAACAGGAGCTGATGTGTGCTAGGCAGTTAGAAAATACTCTTTTCTCTTCTCTAGTTTTTTTGTTTCTTTCTTATGAGAGTACTCTCACAGCTATTTATGTATCTCATGAAGATGAAATAAAATTAGATTTTCTCAGTAGACCTCATAAGAGAAGAGAATTAATTACAAAGATGCTTTGAGAGAATTACTTAAGTACTCTCAATCATAATTATGGAACTCAAATAACAAGTAAATAAAAACAATTTAAACAAAATTAAATTGTGTGATGGAATCAGAAGTGGCTCCATCAAACTATAAGAAAAGTTATCTGCCTTTAGACTTCAAGGTTTCTAGTTGGGTATCTCTGTTCTTGCTTTCTTCCCACCCTCCTGTCCGCCAACGTTAAGGACTTGAGAATAAACTGAAGGTTATCACTTTAATAATCCATTTGAATATTTTCAAGTGCTTTTCTCTAATTCTGTGACAGATATTATTGATTGACTAACCTAATATCCATACTCAACCCCCTATTCCATAACTTTCTCCACTCTAAAGAAAAGAAAAATTACATAAGCATTTTCCAGTCTTCCTTGCAGTTAGGGAAGGCCATTGGACACAGTCCTATCCAGTGAGATATGAGGAGAAGTCTGCTGAGAGATTTCTGATAATTTTGTTGTTCTGTCGAAACTGAGCCATTTGTACCCCTTCTCCTGCCCTGAACATAATTCTGACCTCTGGAGTTTCCTTAGCCATTTTAAGCCAAAATGAAATGGACAGTAAGGGAGACGAATAATTTGTTTACTGGGTGATATTGAGGTATATGTAATATTCTAAATATGTATTAGTAAATACTGCATAGGAGACAACGACTTAGAAAAGAGATTGGAATCAACTGAAATGGAGGATGGTAATTTCACCATATCTTGAAAACCATTGAGCCTCTGCCTTGAGATCACTGATATGTTACAAATATTTGGACTAATTCTCCAAACTTCTGAAGAAACTCTTAGGTATTCTGTTGCTTATTACCAGAAGCATTCTTAATAGACTCAAATTCACTGTCAGAATCCTCAAGTGATGCAGCACTATATAAAAAATATTTATTTGACTCCCTCTCTGTCTCTCTCTCTCTTGCCCTCTCTTTTTCCCTTTTCACTCTCTCTCTCTCTCCACTTTTTCTTTCCTCTCTCTCCTTTTTCTCTTTTTTTCTCTCTTTCTTTCTCTTTTCTCTCTCTCTGCCTCTCTTTCTCTTTCTTGGTATATGGATTTTGGGAACACAGTGGAAGGACGTTCGCTCATTGCCCCCATTTGATACTATAGGAATATGCGCCTCCCTTTAATTTACTCAATTCACTTTCATCCTGATCTATTATGTTGTCGTAGACCCAGTTCCAGTTGGTAAAGTACTGGGTCATCAGTTCTAAGGCCCTGGGAAGGGTGGTGGGGAACAGGTCCCACATAACTGCCCATGTCGACAGCTGTATACCTAAATTGGGAGGGACACCAGGAGCAAGACTCCCTGGGTTCATAGCCTAGATGCCCAAGGATGCAGCATAGAGCTTCATAAGATCCCTTTGGAGATACAACTTGCTCTAATACTTGGGAGAGGAAGTGAAAGTCTGCAGCATTAGTACCTAGGAGGCAGGGATTGGAGGTATGTGGACAATTTACTTTTAGCTGCCAGTTCAGAAACTTTGTGCCATCGAACCACCCAAGTGCTCTTAAACTTCCTTGCTGCCTGTGGCTACAAGGTTTCCAAACCAAAGGCTCAGCTCTGCTTATAGCAGGTTAAATACTTAGGGTTAGAATTATCCAAAGGCACCAGGGCCCTCAGTGAGGCACATATTCAGCCTATACTGGCTTATCCTCATCCCAAAGCCCTGAAGCAATTAAGAGGCTTCCTTGGCATAACAGGCTTCTGCCAAATATGGATTCCCAGGTACGGCGAAATAGCCAGGCCATTATGTACACTAATTTAGGAAACTCAGAAAGCCAATACTCATTTAGTAGAATGGACACCTGAAGCAGAAGTGGCTTTTCAGGCCCTAAAGAAGGCCCTAACCCAAGCCCCAGTATTAAGCTTGCCAACGGGGCAAGACTTTTCTTTATATGTGACAGAAAAAACAGGTATAGCTCTAGGAGTCTTACACAGGTCCAAGGGACCAGCTTGCAACCCGTGGCATACCTGAGTAAGGAAATTGATGTAGGGGCAAAGGGTTGGCCTCATTGTTTATGGGTAGTGGCAGCAGTAGCAGTCTTAGTATCTGAAGGAGTTAAAATGATACAGGGAAGAGATCTTACTGTGTGGACATCTCATGATATGAACAGCATACTCACTGCTAAGGGAGACTTGTGGCTGTCAGACAACTGTTTGCTTAAATATCAGGCTCTTTGAAGGCCCAGTGCTGCGACTGCACACTTGTGCAACTCTTAATCCAGCCACATTTCTTCCAGACAATGAAGAAAAGATAGAACATAACTGTCAACAAGTAATTGCTCAAACCTATGCCACTCAAGGGGACCTTCTAGAGGTTCCCTTGACTGATCCTCACCTCAACTTGTATACTGATGGAAGCTCCTTTGTAGAAAAAGGAATTCGAAAGGCAGGGTATGCAGTGGTCAGTGATAATGGAATACTTGAAAGTAATCCCTTCACTCCAGGAACTAGCACTCAGCTAGCAGAACCAATAGCCCTCACTCGGGCACTAGAATTAGGAGAAAGAAAAAGGGTAAATATATATACAGACTTTAAGTATGCTTACCCAGTCCTCCATGCCCACACAGCAGTATGGAGAGAAAGGGAATTCCTAACTTCTGAGGGAACACCTATCGAACATCAGGAAGCCATTAGGAGATCATTATTGGCTGTACAGAAACCTAAAGAGGTGGCAGTCTTACACTGCTGGGGTCATCAGAAAGGAAAGGAAAAGGAAATAGAAAGGAACCACCAAGTGGATATTGAAGCCAAAAGAGCTGCAAGGATATTGAAGCCAAAAGAGCCACAATGTGGGACCTCCATTAGAAATGCTTATAGAAGGACCCCTAGTATGGGGTAATCCCCTCCAGGAAACCAAGCCCCAGTACTCAGCAGAAGAAATAGAATGGGGAACCTCATGAGGACATAGTTTCCTCCCCTCAGGATGGCTAGCCACCAAAGAAGGAAAAATACTGTTGCCTGCAGCTAACCAATGGAAATTACTTAAAACCCTTAACCAGACCTTTCACTTAGGCATTGATAGCACCCATCAGATGGCCAAATCATTATTTACTGGACCAGGCCTTTTCAAAACTATCAAGCAGATAGTCAGGGCCTGTGAAGTATGCCAAAGAAATAATCCCCTGCCTTATCACCAAGCTCCTTCAGGAGAACAAAGGACAGGCCATTACCCAGGAGAAGAGTGGCAACTAGATTTTACCCACATGCCCAAATCTCAGGGATTTCAATATCTACTAGTCTGGGTAGATACTTTCACTGGTTGGGTGGAGACTTTTCCTTGTAAGACAGAAAAGGCCCAAGAATTAATAAAGGCACTAATTTGTGAAATAATTCCAAGAGTCAGACTTCCCCAAGGCTTACAGAGTGACAATGGCCCTGCTTTCAAGGCCGCAGTAACCCAGGGAGTATCCCAGGCGTTAGGCATACAATATCACTTACACTGTGCCTGGAGGCCACAATCCTCAGGAAAAGTTGAGAAAATGAATGAAACACTCAAATGACATCTAAAAAAGCTAACCCAAGAAACCCACCTTGTATGGCCTGCTCTGTTGCCTATAGCCTTACTAAGAATCCAAAACTCTCCCCAAAAAGCGGAACTTAGCCCATATGAGATGCTGTATGGATGGCCCTTCCTAACCAATGACCTGGTGCTTGACTGAGAGACAGCCCACTTAGTTGCAGACGTCACCTCCTTAGCCAAATATCAACAAGTTCTTAAAACATTACAAGGAACCTGTCCCCGAGAGGAGGGAAAGGAATTATTCCACCCTGGTGATAGGTATTGGTCAAGTCCCTTCCTTCTAAGTCCCCATCCCTAGATACATCCTGAGAAGGATCCTACCCAGTCATTTTATCTACCCCAACCATGGTTAAAGTGGCTGGAGTGGAGTCTTGGATACATCACACTTGAGTCAAACCCTGGATACTGCCAAAGGAACCCGAAAATCCAGGAGACAACGCTAGCTATTCCTGTGAACCTCTAGAGGATCTGCACCTGCTTTTCAAGCAACAAACAAGAGGAAAGTAACTAGAATCATAGATCCCAATGGCCCTCCCTTGTCATATTTTTCTTTTTACTGTTCTCTTACCCCCTTTCACACTCACTGCACCCCCTCCATGCCATTGTACTACCAGTAGCTCCCCTTATGAAGAGCTTCTATGGAGAATGCAGCTTCCCGGAAATATTGATGCCCCATCATATAGGAATTTTTCTAAAGGAAACCCCACTTTCACCGGCCACACCAATATGCCTCTGCACTTCAGGCCATACATTTCAATCCCTGTATCTTTAACCTCCTTGTTAAGTTTGTCTCTTCCAGAATCAAAGGTGTAAAACTACAAATGGTTCCTCGAATGGAGCCCCAGATGCAATCCATGACTAAGATCTACCGCGAACCCCTGGAGTGGCCTGCTAGCCCATGCTGCAATGTTGATGACATCGAAGGCACCCCTCTGGAGGAAGTCTTAACTGCACGACCCCTACTGTGTCCCAATTCAGCAGGAAGCATTTACAGCGATCATCAGCCAAACTCCCCAACAGCACTTGGGTTTTCCTTTTGAGAGGGGACACTGAGAGATGACTAGCTGGATTTCCTAGGCCAACTAATAATTTCTAAGCCTAGCTGGAGAGGGTGACGGCACCTACCTTTAAACATAGGCTTGGCTTGTAACTCAGCTCAAACCTGACCAATCAGGTAGTAAAGAAGGCTCACTAAAATACAAATCAGGCTAAAAGTAGGAAGTAAAGAAATAGTCAAATCGTATATCACCTGAGAGCACAGTGGGAGTGACAATGATCAAAATATAAACCCAGGCATTTGAGCAGGGAGCGGCAACCCCCTTTGGGTCCCCTCCCCTTGTATGGGAGCTCTGTTTTCACTCTATTAAATCTTGCAACTGCAAATGAAAAAAAAATTAACTGTTTTAAAGACAGATTTTTTTTTTCTTAAAAAAGCATCTACTTTGACTAACAGCCATTAATAAAATTGAAATGCCTTATAGGAACACATCACCTGAAAAAGGTAAATTAAATTAATATTGAAAACACCATTACTTTATGAAACATTTTGAACATATGGATATTTTCAAAATCACAAATAAAAAGAAAGCAAAGAGATATGCTATACAACATTGTGCTTAATTAACAGTGCTCCATTTTACACTTAAAACTTTGTTAGGTCGCTTCCAAGATGGCCAAATGGGAATAGCTCCGGTCTGCAGCTCCCAGCGAGATTGATGCAGAAGACAGATGATTTCTGCATTTACAACTGAGGTACCTGATTCATCTCATTGAGAGTGGTTGGACAGTGTGTACAGCCCATGGAGGGTGAGCTGAAGCAGGGCAGGGTGTCACTTCACCCGTGAAGTGCAAGGAGTCAGGGGATTTCCCTTCCCTAGCCAAAGGAAGCCATGACAGACTACTTGGAGAAACGGTACACTTCTGACCAAATACTGCACTTTTCCCACAGTCTTAGCAACTGCTAGACCAGGAGATACCTTCTGGTGCCTGGCTTGGTGGGACACATGCCCATAGAGCCTTGCTCACTGCTAGTGCAGCAGTCTGAGATTGACTTGCAACTCTGCAGCCTGATGGATGGAGGGGCATCTGCCATTGCAGAGGCTTGAGTAACTCACAGTGTAAACAAAGAGGCTTGGAAGCACAAACTGGGTGGAACCCACTGCAGCTTAGCAAGGCCTATTGTTTCTATAGATTCCACATCTGGGGGCAGGTCATAGTAGAACAAAAGGCAGCAGACAGCTTCTGCAGAATTAAACGTCCCTGTCTGACAGCTCTGAAGAGAGCAGTGGCTCTCTCAGCGTGGCGTTTGAGCTCCGAGAACAGACAGACTGCCTCCTCAAGTGGGTCCCTGACCCCCATGTAGCCTGACTGGGGAACACCTCCCAGTAGAGGCTGACAAACACCTCAAACAGGCAGGTGCCTCTCTGGGACAAAGCTTGCAGAGGAAGGATCAGGCAGCAATATTTGCTGTTCTGCAGCCTCGGCTGGTGATACCCAGGCAAACAGGGTCTGGAGTGGACCTCCAACAAACTCCAACAGACCTGCAGCTGAGGTGTCTGACTGTTAGAAGGAAAACTAACAAACAGAAAAGAATAGCATCAACATCAACAAAAGGGACATCCACACCAAAACCCCATCTGTAGGTCACCAACATCAAAGAACAAAGGTAGATAAAACCACAAAGATGGGGAGACACCAGAGCAGAAAAGCTGAAAATTCCAAAAAACAGAGTGCTTCTTCTCCTCCAAAGAATCACAGCTCCTCGCGAGCAAGGGAAAAAAACCAGATGGAGAATGAGTTTGATGGGTTGACAGAAGTAGGCACAAGAAAGTCGGTAATAACAAACTTCACTGAGCTAAAGGACCATGTTCTCACCCATCACAAGGAAGCTAAAAACCTTGAAAAAAGGTTAGATGAATGGCTAACTAGAATAAACAGTGTAGAGAAGACCTTAAATGACCTGATAGAGCTGAAAACCATGGCACAAGAACTTTGTGGTACATGCACAAGCTTCAATAGCCAATTTGATCAAGTGGAAGAAAGGATATCTGTGATTGAAGATCAAATTAATGAAATAAAGTGAGAAGACAAGATTAGAGAAAAAAGAGTGAAAAGAAATGAACAAAGCCTCCAAGAAATGTGGGACTATGTGAAAAGATGAAATATACGTTTGATTGGTGTCTGGAGAGTGATAGGGAGAATGGAACTAAGTTAGAAAACACTCTTCACAATATTATCCAGGAGAACTTCCCCAACCTAGCAAGGCAGGCCAACATTCAAATTCAGGAAATACAGAGAACACCACAAAGATATTCCTCGAGAAAAGCAACCCCAAGACACATAATTGTGAGATTCACCAGGGTTGAAATGAAGGAAAAAATGTTAAGGGCAGCCAGAGATAAAGGTCGGGTTACCCACAAAGGGAAGCCCATCAGACTAACAGTGGATCTCTTGGCAGAAACCCTACAAGCCAGAAGAGAGTGGGGGTCAATATTCAACATTCTTAAAGAAAAGAATTTTCAACCCAGAATCTCATATCCGGCCAAACTCAGCTTAATAATTGAAGGAGAAATAAAATCCTTTATAGACAAGCAAATGCTGAGAGATTTTGTCACCACCAGGTGACAACACTGCCTTACAAGAGCTCTTGAAGGAAGCACTAAACATGGAAATGAACAACCGGTACCAGCCACTGCAAAAACATGCCAAATGGTAAAGACCATCGATGCTATGAAGAAACTGGATTATTAACAGGCAAAATAAACAGCTAACATTATAATGACAGGATCAAATTCAAACATAACAATATTAACCTTAAATGTAAGTGGGTAAAATGCTCCAATTAAAAGACACTGACTGACAAATTGGATAAAGAGTCAAGACCCATTGGTGTGCTGTATTCAGGAGACCCATCTCACGTGCAAAGATGCGCATAGGCTGAAAATAAAGGGATGGAGGAAGATCTAGCAAGGAAATGGAAAGCACACACACACACACACACAAAAGCAGGGGTTGTAATCCTAGTCTCTGATAAAACAGACATTAAACCAATGAAGATCAAAAGAGACAAAGAAGGCCACTACATAATGGTAAAGGGATCAATTTAGTAAGAAGAGCTAACTATCCTAAATATATATGCATCCAATACAGGAGCACACAGATTCATAAAGCAAGTCCTTAAAGACCTACAAAGAGACTTAGACTCCCACACAATAATAATGGGAAAATTTAGCACCCCACTGTCAATATTAGACAGATCAACGAGACAGAAGGTTAGCAAGGATATCCAGGAGTTGGACTCAGCTCTGCACCAAGCGGACCTAATAGACATCTACAGAGCTCTACACCCCAAATCAACAGAATATTCATTCTTCTCAGCACCACATTGGACTTATTCTAAAATTGACCACATAATTGGTAGTAAAACACTCTTCAGCAAATGTAAAAGAACAGAAATCACAAGAAACTGTCTCTCAGACCACAGTGCAATCAAACTAAAACTCAGGATTAACAAACTCCTTCAAAACCACACAACTACATGGAAACTGAACTATCTGCTCCTGAATGACTACTGGATAGACAACAAAATGAAGGCAGAAATAAGATGTTCTTTGAAACCAATGGGAACAAAGACACAATGTACCAGAATCTCTGGACACATTTAAAGCAGTGTGTAGAGGGCAATTTATAGCACTAAATGCCCACAAGAGAAAGCAGGAAAGAGCTAAAATTGACACCCTAACATCACAATTAAAAGAACTAGAGAAGCAAGAGCAAACAAATTCAAAAGCTAGCAGAAGGCAAAAAATAACTAAGATCAGAGCAGAACTGAAGGAGATAGAGACACAAAAAACCCTGCAAAAAAATTGAATCCAGGAGCTGGTTTTTTGAAAGAGATCAATAAAAGCAAGACTAATAAAGAAAAGAGAGAAGAATCAAATAGACGCCATAAAAAATGGTAAAGGATATATCACCACTGATCACACAGAAATACAAATGACCATCAGATAATACTGTAAACACCTCTGTGCAAATAAACTAGAAAACCTAGAAAAAATGGATAAATTCCTGGACACACATACCCTCCCAAGACTAAACTAGGAAGAAGTTGAATCTTTAAATAGACTAATAACAGGTTCTGAAAGAGAGGCAATAATTAATAGCCTACCAGCCAAAAAAGTCTAGGATCAGACAGATTCACAGCCAAATTCAACCAGAGGTACAAAGAGGAGCTGGTACCATTCCTTCTGAAACTATTTCAATCAATAGAAAAAGAGGGAATCCTCCCTAACTCATGTTATAAGGCCAGCATCATCCTGTTACCAAAGCCTGGTAGAGACACAATGAAAAAAGAGAATTTTAGGCCAATATCCCTGATGAACATCAATATGAAAATCCTCAATAAAATACTGGCAAACCAAATCCAGCAGCGTGTCAAAAAGCTTATCCACCACAATCAAGTTGGCTTCATCCCTGGAATGCAAGGCTGGTTCAACATACACAAATCAATAAACATAATCCATGTTTATTGGATAAATTGTCATGTTTATGACAAAAACCACATGATTATCTCAATAGATGCAGAAAAGGCCTTTGGCAAAATTCAACACCCCTTCATGCTAAAAGCTCTCAATAAACTAGATATTGATGGAATGTACCTCAAAATAATAAGAGCTATTTATGACAAACCCACAGCCAATATCATACTGAATGGGCAAAAACTGGAAGCATTCCCTTTGATAATTGTCACAAGACAAGGATGTCCTCTCACCACTCCCATTCAAGATAGTGTTGGAAGTTCTGGCTAGGACAATCAGTCAAGAGAAAGAAACAAAGTGTATTCAATTAGGAAAAGAGGAAGTCAAATTATCTCTGACTTTGCAGATGACGTGATTGTATATTTAGAAAACCCCATCGTCTCCGTCCAAAATCTCCTTAAGCTGATAAGCAACTTCAGCAAAGTCTGAGGATACAAAATCAATGTGCAGAAATCACAAGAATTCCTATACACCAATAATAGACAAACAGAGAGCCAAATCATGAGTGAATTCCCATTCACAATTACTACAAAGAGAATAAAATACCTAGGAATCCAACTTACAAGGGATGTGAAGGACCTCTTCAAGGAGAACTACAGACCACTGATCAGTGAAATAAAAGAGGACACAAACAAATGGAAGAACATTCCATGCTCATGGATAGGAAGAATCAATATCATGAAAATGGCCATACTACCCAAGGTAATTTATAGATTCAATGCTATCCCCATCAGGCTACCACTGACTTTCTTCACAGAATTGGAAAAAACTACTTTAAAGTTCATATGGAACCAAAAAAGAGCCCGCATAGCCAAGTCAATCTTAAGCAAAAAGAACATAGCTGGAGGCCTCATGCTACCTGACTTCAGACACTACTACAAGGCTGCAGTAACCAAAACAGCATGGTACTGGTACCAAAACAGATATATAGACCAATGGAACAGAACAGAGGCCTCAGAAATAACACCACACATCTACAACCATCTGATCTTTGACAAACGTGACAACAACAAGCAATGGGGAAAGGATTCCCTATTTAATAAATGGTACTGGGAAAACTGGCTAGCCATATGTAGAAAGCTGAAACTGGATCACTTCCTTATACCGTATACAAAAATTAACTCAAGATGCATTAAAGACTTAAATGTAAGACCTAACACCATAAAAACCCTAGAAGAAAACCTAAGCAATACCATTCAGGACATAGGCATGGGCAAAGACTTCATGACTAAAACACCAAAGGCAATGGCAACAAAAGCCAAAATAGACAAATGGGATCTAATTAAAGTAAAGAGCCTCTGCACAGCTAAAGAAACTATCATCAGAGTGAACAGGCAACCCACAGAATGGGAGAAAATATTTGCAATCTACCCATCTGACAAAGCGCTAATATCCAGAATCTATGAAGAAGTTAAACAAATTTACAAGAAAAAAACAAATAACCCTATCAAAAAGTGGTCATAGGATATGAACAGACACTTCTCAAAAGAAGACATTTATGCAACCAACAGACATGAAAAAATGCTCATCATCACTGGTCATCAGAGAAATGCAAATCAAAACCACAATGAGATACCATCTCACACCAGTTAGAATGGTGATCATTAAAAATTCCAAAACAACAGATGCTGGAGAGGATGTGGAGAAATAGGAATGCTTTTACACTGTTGGTGGGAGTGTAAATTAGTTCAACCATTGTGGAAGACAGTGTGGTGATTCCTCAAGGATCTAGAACTAGAAGTATCATTTGACCCAGCGATCCTATTACTGGGTATATACCCAAAGGATTATAAGTCATGCTACTGCAAAGACACATGCACAGGTATGTTTATTGCGGCACTATTCACAATAGCAAAGACTTGGAACCAACCCAAATGTCCATCAATGATATACTTGATTAAGAAAATGTCACGCATGTACACCATGGAATACTATGTGGCCATAAAAAAGGATGAGTTCATGTCCTTTGCAGGGACATGGATGAAGCTGGAAACTATCATTCTAAGCAAACTATCACAAGGACAGAAAACCAAACACCTCACGTTCTCACTCATAAGTGGGAGTTGAACAACAAGAACACATGGACACAGGGTGGGGAACATTACACACTGGGGCCTGTCAGGGGGTGGGGGGCTGGGGGACGGATAGCATTAGAAGAAATACCTAATGTAAATGACGAGTTGATGGGTGCAACAAACCAACATGGAACTTGTATACCTAGGTAACAAACCTGCATGTTGTGCACATGTACCCTAGAACTTAGAGTATAATAAAAAAATTAAACCTTGTTGAAAGGTAGATCTCATTTTGTTTTTTAACACAATAAAAAAGTGTTTAATTCAAAGTCAAGATGAGAAATTTTCTGTCTTTTTGACATAACAATTCCACATTGACCTCTCCCTTACAGAATTTATTTACCATCCATCTAATGCAGCATAATAGGCATGTAGTCTATGTTGTATTGTAGCCCAGGTACTGGAAGAACATTTAAATTCAGCCAAACATTGGCATAATAATCAATGATTACTAATCAGTTGCCTAAAAAATAAAATTCAAGCTTCGCAAAGTCTGCCACCAGTTCCTCTCTCTTTACATCTCAATCCTCTTCATCAAGAATATTCTGCTTCAGCCAAAATTCAGCTTCAAACTCCCTACCACATATATCACATCTTTTCTTAATTACTCAGACCATTCTGTTCGCATCTTCAAGAACAGACATGGTGCCCCAAAAACCAGGCTTTGGAAAAAGACAAACCTGGCCCTGGCTCCCATCTTGAATTCTTTACTTGCTGTTTGTCTCTGGGCAATCTTTCTTCAACTTTTCTGAACATCAAATTTCTTCACTTTCAAATCAAAGATACTGATTACTTCTTTGTCTTAAGTAAAACTACTCATTTTAAGAACAATGAGCAGCGCCTGAACTACAGGAAGAACTCCATGAGTCTTAACTTCATTTCATTTCCAATTTGTCTTGCCAATGACATGAATGTCTGCTGAATGGTATTGACTCTTGCACTTCAAAGTCCAGATGATGAGAAATTTTCTCACAGCCTTTTTGATGGAACAATTCCACAGCAATCTCTCTTTTATAGAACTTATTTACCGTGATGGTTAATATTGAGTGTCAACTTGATTGGATTGAAGGATGCAAAGTATTGTTCCTAAGTAAATCTGTTAAGGTGTTGCTGAAGATTAACATTTTGAGTCAGTGGACTGGAAGAGGCAGACCCATTCTCAGTCTGGGTGGGCACTACCTAATCAGCTGCCAGTGCAGCTAGGATAAATGTAGCCAGAGGAATGTGGAAAGACTAGACTGGCTGAATCTTCTGGCCTCCATCTTTCTCCCATGCTGGATGCTTCCTGCCCTCAAACATTAGACTCCAATTTCTTCAGCTTTAAGACTCTTGTGATTTGCCAGGAGCTCTCTGGCCTTCAGCCACAGACTGAAGGCTGTACTGTCGGCTTCCCTACTTTTGAGGTTTTGGGACTCAGACTGGCTTCCTGGCTCCTCAGCTTACAGACAGCCAATTCTTGTCATCGTGTGAGTCAATTCTCCTAATAAACTCTTCATGTGTTCATCTATCCTATTAGTTCTGTCCTTTTAGAGAACCCTGACTAATACACTTACCATTTCCCTAATATGGCATCATAAGCATGTAGCCCATGTTATACTGTGTATGACTTTTTTGGTATGTCCTATTACAGAGTATACTCTCCTTGCAAGTGATTATTATTCATCCTCTTGGTATCTCTATTGTTTTGCACAAATAATTTAAATATTTTTTACAAATGTATTTGGTTGTAGAGACAGATCTCATAGTTCTAAATACAGACATACCTCATTTTATGGCACTTTGTTTCATTACACCTCACAGATACTCTGTTTTTTACAAACTGAAGGTCTGTGGCAAAGCTGCTTCTACCAAGTCTGTTGGTACCATTTTTCTAACAGCATATTCTCACTTTGTGTCTGCATGTCACATTCTGATAATTCTCACACTTCAAACTTTATTATTATTATTATTATTATTATTATTATTATATCTGTCATAGAGATGTGTAATCAGTGATCTTTGATTTTCCTATTGCAATTTTGGGGGGACACCATGAAAGATGCCTGCAGCAAACTTAATTGATGCATGCTGTGTGTTTTCTGACTGCTCCATGAACCAGCCATTTCCCAATCTATCTCTTTGTTCTCAGGCTTCCCTATTTCCTGAGACACAACAATATTAAAATTAGGCCAATTAATAATCCTACGATGGCAGAGAAAGTGAGAAAGAGTTGCATGTCTCTCACTTCAAATCAAAAGCTAGAAGGACGTGTCAAATTTGAGGTAAGCCAAAAGCTAGGCCTCTAGCTTTTGTCTTTGCTATTGTGAATAGTGCTGCAAGGAACATATGCGTGCATGTATCTTTATGGTGGAATAATTTATATTCCTCTGGGTATATACTCAATAATGGGATTGCTAGGTAGAATGATATTTCTGTTTCGAGTTCTTCGAGGAATTGCCATACTGCTTTCCACAATGGTTAAACTAATTCACATTCTCACAAGCAGTGTATAAGTGTTCCCTTTTCTTTGTAAGGTTGACACCATCTGTTACTTTTTGACTTTTTAGTATAGCCTTTCTGACTGGTGTGAGATAGCATCTCATGGTGGTTTTGATTTGCATTTCTCTAATGACTATGATGTTGAGCATTTTTTCATGTGCTTGTTGGCCACATGTATGTCTTCTTTTGGAAAGAGTCTGTTCAAGTCCTTTGCCCACTATTTAATGGGGTTGTTTGTGTTTTGCTTGTAAATTTGTGTCTTTATAAATTCTGGTTATTGAACCTTTGTCAGATTGCAATATTTGCAATTTGCAAATATTTCCCCCATTCTATAGGTTGTCTGTTTATTCTGTTGATAGTTTGTTTTGCTGTGAAACAGCTCTTAAGCTTAATTAGATCCCATTTGTCAATTTTGTTGTTGTTGTTGTTGTTTCAGTTGCTTTTGGAGTCTTTGTCATGAAATCTTTACCAAGTCTTGTGTCCAGAATGATATTTCCTAGGTTATCTTTCAAGGTTTTTATATTTATACATTTTACATTTAAGTCTTTAATCTATCTTGAATTGATTTTTGTAAGGAAGGGGTTCAGGATTAATCTTCCATATGGGTAGCCACTTATCCCAGCACCACTTATTGACTTATTAAATAGGGAATTATTTATTTCTCCATTGCTTGTTTTTTGTTTGTTTGTTTGTTTGTATTCTGAGACAGAGTCTCACTCTGTCGCCCAGGCTGGAGTGCACTGGTGCGATATCTGCAACCTCCACCTCCCAGGTTCAAGCGATTCTCTTGCCTCAGCCTCCCGAGTAGCTGGGACCACAGGCGTGCATCACCACACCCGGCTAATTTTTTATATTTTTAGTAGAGATGGGGTTTCTTCTTGTTAGCCAGGATGGTCTCGATCTCCTGATCTTGTGATCCACCTGCCTCTGCCTCCCAAAGTGCTGGGATTACATGTGTAAGCCACCATGCCCAGCCCCCCTTGCTTGTTTTTGTCAGCTTTGTCAAAGATCAGGTGGTTGTAGGTGTGCAACATTATTTCTGGACTCTATTATGTTCCATTGGTGCATATGTTTGTTTTGGTACTAGTATCATGCTGTTTGCGTTACTGTAGCTTTGTAGTAGGGTTTGAAGTTGTGTAATGGGTTGCCTCCAGCTTTGTTCTTTTTTCTCAGGATTGCCTTGGCTATTCAAGCTGTATTTGGTTCCATTTGAATTTGAAAATAGTTTCTCTAGTTCTGTGAAAAACATAATTGGTAGTTTGATAGGAATAGCATTTTATGTGTAAATTGCTTTGGGCAGTATGGCCATGTTAACAACATTTATTCTTCCTATCCATGATCATGGAATGTTTTTCCATTTGTGTGATTATCTCTAATTTCTTTGAGCAGTGTTTTGTAATTCTCATTGTAGAGAATTAATGCCTTCCTGATTAGCTGTACTCCTAGGTATCTTATTCTTTCTGTGGCAGTTGTGAATGGGATTGCATTCCTGATTTGTCCCTCAGCTTGGATGTTGTTTGTGAATAGGAATTCTACTAATTCGCATACACTGATTTTGTATCCAGAAACTGCTGAAGTTGCTTCTTAGATCACAGAGCGTTTGGGCAGAGACTATGGGGTTTTCTAGATATAGGATCTTACTGTCTGCAAACAGGGATAGCTTGACTTCCTCTCTTCCTATTTGGATGCCTTTTATTTCTTTCTCTTGACTGATTGCTCTGGCCAGGACTTCTAATACTATATTGAATAGGAGTGGTGAGAGAGGACATCCTTGTTTTGTGCCTGGTTTCAAGGGGAATTCTTGCAGATTTTGCCTGTTCAGTATGATATTAGGTGTGGGTTTGTCATTGGTGGCTTTTATTATTTTGATGTATGTTCATTCCCTAGTTTTTAACATGAAGGAATGTTAAATTTTATCAAAAGCTTTTTCTGCATCTGTCGAGATGCTCGTGTGTTTTTTGGCTTTAGTTATGTTTATGTGATGAATCACACTTATTGATTTGTGTATGTTGTGCCTCAACCTTGCATCCCAGGGATAATGCCTACTAGAGTGTGGTAGATTAGCTTTTTGACGTGCTGCTGGATTTGGTTTACTAGTATTTTGTGGAGGATTTTTGTAGCTATGTTCATCAAGGATATTTACCTTAAGTTTTTGTTGTTGTTGTTGTTTTTGTGTGTCTGCCAGATTTTTATATCAGGATGATGCTGGCACCTTAGAATGAGCTTAGGAGGGACAAGTCCCTCCTTCTCAAACTTTTGGAATAATTTCAGTAGGAATGATACAATCTCTTCTTCTTATATCTGGTAGAATTCAACTGCGAATGTGTCTAATCCTGGGCTTTTTTTGTTATTGGTGGTAGGCTTTTTATTACTGATTCAATTTTGGAACTTGTTATTGGTCTGTTCAGGGATTCAATTTTTTCCTGGTTCAATCTTGGGAGGTTGTATGTGTCCAAAAATTTACCTATTTTTTATAGGTTTTGTAGTTTGGATAGAGCTTTTCATAGTAGTCTCTGGCGGTTTTTTGTAGTTCTATGAAGTCAGTGGTAACATCTCCTTTATCATTTCTAATTGTGTTTATTTGGATCTTCTCTGTTTTTTACCTTATCAGTCTAGCCAGTAGTCTATCTCCCTTATGAATTTTTTCAAAGAACCAACTCCTGGATTTGTTGATCTTTTGTATGGTTTTTGTATCTCAATTTCCTTCAGTTCAGTTCTGATATTGGTTATTTCTTGTCTTTCAATAGATTGAAGTCGATCTGCTCTGGCTACTCTAGTTTTTCTAGTTGTGATGTTAGGTTGTTCATTTGAGATCTAACATTTTGATGTGGGTGTTTAGTGCTATAAGCTTCCCTCCTAACACTGCGTTAGGTGTGTCCCAGAGATTTTGGTATGTTGTATCTTTATTCTCATCATTTTCGAAGATTTCTTGATTTCTGCCCTAATTTCATTATTTACCCAAAAGTCATTCAGGAGCAGGCTGTTTAATTTTTGTATAATTGTATGATTTTGAATGACTTTCTAGTATTCATTTCTATTTTTATTGTACTGTGTTCCCAGAGTGTGGTTAGTTGATGTCAGTTTTTTTGAAATTGCCAAGGATTGTTTTATGTGTGGTTGATTTTGGAGTATGTACCATGTGGTGATGAGAAGAATGTACATTCCATTGTTTTAGGGTGGAGCATTCTGTAGATGTCTATTAGCTCCATTTGATCAAGTATAGCGTTCAGGTCCTGAATACCTTTATTAATTTTCTGCCTCAATGATCTGTCTAGTACTGTCAGTGGGGTGTTGAAGTCTCCCACTATTATTGTGTGAGAGTCCAAGTCTCTTTGAAAGTTTCTAACAACTTGCTTTATAAATTTGGGTGCTCCTGTGTTGGATGCATGTATATTTGGGCTACAAGAGGCTAGGGGTGAGTGGAGTTACCCACCCTGTCACCTTGGGGCAGAAGTAGGCCCCCTGGGCTCGAAGCTCTAGCAGGCATGGCTCAGTTGGCTACTAGTGAGGGGGGTGGTGGGATCACTTGCTCTGCCATCCGGGTGTTTCCTGGGAAAACAAGAAGCTGCCTCCTCTAGATGAGTTTACATAGAAGTGGACCACTGGACCAGAAACCTTAACAGGCCATTGTTCAGTTGGCTAGCAGTGGTGGAGATGAGTGGGGTCACCTGATCTGTTGTCCTGTTGTTTCCCAAGACAACAAGTGACTGTGCCCTCCAGCTGAGTTTCCACAGAAGCTGGACCACCTGGGCTATAAGCTCTTGCAAGCATTGCCTATCAGCTACATTGGTGGGGGTGGGTGGGGTTGCCTGCCCTGCTGTCTGGGTGCCTCCAGGGACATCAGGAGGCTGTACCCTCTGGCTGAGCTCACACAGAAGTGGAGCCACTGGGCAGGAAGCTCTAGTAGACATTGCCCACAAAGTTATCAGTGGCAGGGGTGGGTGAGGTCACAGGCCCCACCATCTGGGTGTTTTCCAGGACAATAGGAGGCTGCGCCCTCTGGCTGAGTTCACACAGAAGCAGGGCTGCTGGGCAAGAAGCTCAAGCAAGGTTGCCTGCCTGGCTACCCGTGGCAGGGGTGGGTGAGGTCACATGCTTTCCTGTACAGGTGTTTCCCAGGACAACAGGAAGCTGTGCCCTCCAGCTGAGTTCACATAGAAGCAGGACCCCTGGGCCAGAAGCTCTAGCAAGCATTGTCCTCTGGGAAATCAGTGGAAGGGGCGGGTGAGTCTACAGGCCCTGCCATCTAGGTGTTTCCCAGGATATCTGGAGGCTGTGCCCTCCATATGAGCTCACAAAAAAGTGGGACCGCTGGGCCGGAAGCTCAAGCAAGCATTGCCCACCCAGTTACCAGTGGTGGGAGTGAGTGGACTGGCTGGTCGAGTTCGGGCCAAAGCAGAACTCCTGGGCTGAAAGCTGGTGCCAAGCTCTGTCCAGCAAGGGGGAGTGGAGCAATCTTACTGCTCCCAGACACCATAACTATGACTTCTACTGGGGCTAAGGTGATGATGCGCTGCCATATTGGTATTGGTCTGCTCTGGGGCCCAAAGATTGTAGAGGTCCCCTTCGACTGGAGAGTTGCTCCTGCAAAGTGCTGGGTAGCTCTCTGCCTCAGGCTAGAAGGATGGTGGGGAGATGTAGGGTGGGGGCAGAAGTCTCCCATTCCCAGTCTTGCTCAGGTCACTGTGAAGATCATGAATCCCCCCAGGGGTCTCACTCATTCACCCTTTCCCATGTTGGAGAGATTTTCCTGGCTCTGTGCTGAGCTCAGACAGGCTAGTGTCCAGTTTCACTCTTCTCTGCTCTCCATGGTCCCTTGCTGCCTTGTGGATCCTAATGTGGTTTCTCAGATGGTCGACCCACAGCGTCAGTGTTCACTAACCCTTTTGTTTCCTCTCCACGAGGGCAGTGCACATGACGTGCTTATAATCCAACATTTTGGCCTAAACTGCTCAGGATATTCATTTTGTTTTTGTGTCTGCTAACACAACGTCTATTCTGCAGTCCACAGATCAAGGAGTATTTTTCAACTTTCAAGCCTTGTTATTTAGTAACTACATTGCATAAGGCTATAGCTTATAGAGATAGTGATTTCTCTCATGGATCTGGGCAAAGTAGGTTGAAAAATCTTCTGCAAAGGTTTCACCATTCTATATGAAATTAGGAACATTTGTAATTTATGGGAGGAGGTCAAATTATCATAGTTACCAGGAGTTTGGAAGAAGGGGAGTCCAACACTCATAGATAACTTTGAGATATTCAATACTTCAGTGGAGAAAATAACTGAAGATGTGGTAGAAATGGCAAAAGAATTAGAATAAGAGGGCCCTGAGGATGTGACTGAACTGCTGCAATCTCATGATGAAACTTTAAGGGATGAGAAGTTGTTTCTTACGGATGAGCAAAGAAAGTGGTTTCTTAAAATGGAATCTACTCTTTGTGAAGATGCTGTGAACATTGTTGAAATGACAACAAAGAATTTAGAATATTACACAAACTTAGCTGATAAAGCAGCAACAGGGTTTGAGAGGGCTGACTCCCGTTTAGAAAGAAGTTCTACTCTGGGTCAAATGCTGTCAAATAGCATTGTGTGCTACAGAGAAATATTTTGCAAAAGTGTCCATTGATGTGGCAAGCTTCACTGTTATTTTACTTTAAGAAATTGCTACAGCCACATCAACCTTCAGCAACCACCACCATGATCAGTCAGCAGCCATCAACACTGAGGCAAGATTGTCCATCAGCAAAAAGATTGCTACTTACTGAAGGCTCATATGGTCATTAGAGATTTATAGCAACACAGTATTTTTAACTAAGCTATGTGCATTTTTAGACATGATGCTATTGCACAATTAATAAGACTGCAGTATATAAACTAACCTGTATATGCACTGGGAAACTGACAAAAAATTGTGTGACTTCCTTTTTACTGTGATATTCCCTTGTTTTGTGTTGGTCTAAAACCAAGCCTGAAATATCTTCAAGGTATGCTTGTTTATCAAAGTCACCTACCTATCTGCTTGAAATAGAGAAGATATTTCAATTGAAACAACATATTAAAGCCCAAGTGCATCCCTAAATCTCAGAAGAAAACTACAGCCTGTTTGTAAATTGGGTAGCCTATTTTTCTCCTGCAGTAATAAATCCGTGTCTCTGTCATGGTTTCTATAATAAGGTTTCAACCTGAACTCCTTTTTGAAGAATTGTCACCTAGGAAACAAATTTTAAATTATTTGCAAATGGAAAATCTACCAAAAAGGACTTACAATTTTGAATTTCATACATCTTCAAATTCATAATCTCAAAAGAGTATTCTTTCACTGACATGGCAAAAATTAATTGGATGAAGTGATACTTAAGTTTTTCATTTTTCTGAAAAATGCTCACAGAAAGCACTAATAAAAGAGTGTTTTAAATTAACTAATTTTCTTCAAAATTTTCTCATTACTTGTATCAATTCCAATGTCATTTGAAGATGGAATTTTTACAGCCCAATTGGCAAAATTAGCAACATTTTAGGAATATGGCAAGATTATCGTGTCTTTTGACATGTAATATAATGGCCATTATTTCTTTAGGAAAGAATTTAGCAAAAGTTAAACAAAGCATAAGAACACAATTCTTTCCAAAATCAAGCAGCATAATTCTAAAAGGAAGTAAGGGGAAAAACAATAAAAAAAATTATTGAGATTGCATGTCACTTAGAAAATATATAGGAAATTAATATTGAACTAGAAACTAATGTGTACTAATGTCTATTTATGCAATATATACTTCATATGCTTATATAAAATCACTTAGGTCCTACTATTACTAGTTTGTGAAAGTTGATAACGTTTTCCCTGATGATTTTGTCAACCGGTATTTTTCTTCACTCTACTGGATGACTGTCTTAAGTTATTCATCACTTAGCATTTTTCAAAAGTATTAAATAACAATGATATTAATACTAATAGTACCATTCAAAAAGGTCATGATTATCTCTGCTCTTTTTTACTTTTTTTAAAATGGGTATCATCTACAACAGTGGAAGGCCATATCCAGGCATGCATTCTAGAACAGATTCCATTTGTGAGGACACAAGTAAACTGCAAGACCAATCTAGATATTATTTTTAACAGTAAAATGATTAATTGACAATTATTGCAATCACACTACAGAATAAACCACATTCAGTTTAGGAAATAACTAACTTTAATATGTCTATGTTAAACAGATTATAAAACAATACACCAATTGAGTTAAAAAAAAAAACCTTTTTTTCTCTGCTAAGGAGTTGATAAAACCCATAGCCATGAGTGACTAAGCAATTGTTTCTGTTCTGGGTCTATGCACTTTCTTGTTATTGTCTTTCTTTTGTTCATGTGTTTGTTCTCTGTTTGTCTTCAGTTCTAATGATTGTCCCTGTGTCAGGCTATGATTGTCCCTGTGTCAGGCTCATACAGCTTGGTCTCCTATAATTTCTTCTGTTGGTAAAATAAAGTACATATTTTCATCAAATACTTCTTTTTAACCTTTAACTATTTCTATTTCTATTTCTATTTCTATTTGCTGTTTGCACAATCTGTGTGAATGCTGGAAGTGTAGCTCTTTTCCAAATCCTTAAAAGTTCTGGGAATGTCTGCCTCTGAAATGCCTTCTTCACTGTGGGGATGGATGTTTCAAGAATTCTTGTGTTTCAGAGGGGGAAGGAAATTGTTGAGTGTATTCCCACTGTTCCTTTTCCATAATCCACTATGATTTTAACTAAATTAATTTATTCTCTCACCAAATATTTACTGAACATTCCTGTATATGAGACACTGCATCTGATTCTAAAAATACAGCAATAAGTTATACATAAATCTTTGCCTTCATGAAGCTTAACTTCTAGTGGTGAAGATAGACAATAATAGTAATTAAATAAGTAAAATATTTAATTTTACTTATTAAATATAATAAGCAGCAGAGAATGATATAACAGCAGAGAATGATGAGTGCTATAGGAAAAGGTAGGGAAAGTCATTGAGTAGGCTCAGGGTGGAAATTGTTGCAAATGTTAACCAGGTGGTAAGGGCAATGCCCCAATCTTGCAGAAGCAGACAAGTTTGTTTGTTTGTTTTCATTGCTAATTACTGCCCTGAATGTTTTCTCCATATGCTTCATGTATTAAGCAATAAGCAATATGTTCCTCCCTGACTTGAGGGAGGGAAAACAGAAAAACAGGGCTCTTGGCTCCTTTTATATCCTAATATATTCTATATTTAGAGTATGTTTACTACAGTGAAAAATTGCTCAAATTGAATCTACCTGCATCAAAATCATCTGGGATATTGGTTCAAATTCATTATGTATATCTCAGCTGCATTCCAAACCTATAAATCAGGATCTCTGGGAGGTGGGCTCATGGTGTCCATATAATGAAGCACCTTACCAGGTGATTCTTACGCATGCTATTTAAAATGAGGTAAATGGCTTCAATAGAATGCTAGGAAGAAGCAAGAAGGGCCCTGCCCTGGCCCTGCACTTTCAGGTGTCTTGCCCTGCTGGGCAAGAACTCAGGCAGCTGAGTTCTCTGGGAAACAATCTCTGAGACAGAGCTTAGTGTGCAGAAGGTTTATTAGGGAGAGCCCTTATGATAAATAACTGTGTAAGAAAGGGAAGGAAAGCAAGTTTGGATAGAAGGGAATTCAGGTTCCATGACGGCCTTGGCCCACCACAAAGGAAGCACTGGAGCTTAAATCAGTGTTGCTCCACATAGGGACAAAATTAGCAAGAATTTACATGCCCACCTATATCAGTCATTGGATGTGGACTGCCAAGGAAGAATGAAATCTTGGGCTAGGTGGCTCTCTCTCGCTGAGGCAATTCCTGCAAGTGCTCAAGACCACACTCCAGGTACCCAAGACCCTGGAATTCCCTGCTTAAATAACTCTCAAACCCACATACAAGGCCTGTGTTGGCCTGTTCCCTAAAGCTAACAGCACCACCAGTGGATGCATTCCAAGCCCAGAGGAGTTGTCAAGGTGCAGCTGTTTGTAGATACAGACAGAGCTCACAAGTGCAACCTAACATTGCTACATGCTTATGTTCAAGGCCACTCACACAGCTGAAGCGGGATGGAAAGAGCATTGAACAGGCTGCCAGCCCAGGAGTCCACAACTTCTCTATTCAAATATGGACTTTCAGGTTGTCATGTAGAGTTAAATAACAAGGAAGGGTGCCAGAACATATTTTATTGGACAGTTTACTAACTTGACTTATAATTTTGATTATTCACACACATAGCTTATGGCTCCCGCTTGTACTTGTTTCTAGGCCATGCAAATATTTTCAGTGCTGCACAATAGCATTTCCTATGATGAGAGGAAAATAAAATATTTGGAATTCTTTCTTTTATTTGCACCCTTTAAGTTATTGCTGTTTAGGAAAGTAAGGAACTATCGTAATGGATTATTTAATTTGAAGGAGTAATCTATTAAGTGGAACCATTATAGTAGACTTCTGGCTTTGCCTACTAAAGCAAAGAGATGTTTGTCTTCTCAATATTAATTACAATGATTTAATTTACATTATGAGCTTTACTGTCTGGTAGATTGGAGAATTGAGAGAATCCCATTAGTACGTATTTCCAGGTACTTTCTAAGTAATTGTCCACAGAAGCTCCCCTAAAATGTTGGCTTAGTATAATATTGTAGGGGTCACATTTATGTTGAAATGAGAAGAGTAGAAACAGCAAGCATATATTTCCCGGTCGATGCCTAAGATTTGGGGTTGTAAAGACAATGCTGCCTCTGCAGCGGGATGCTCTCTTGAAGAAGGGTGACCTCTTTTTATTTCTTAATGATGATGATTTGAAGTTTGTTTACTTAAACCTCAATTTTTTGGATAAACCTTGTCACTTTTTGGACATTTAAAAACACTACATCAACCAAATACAGAAAAGGATAAAAAAAAATTTAAATTCCCTAAAACCAATTCTATTGCCCAGTCTATTCACAATTAATATTTTAGTGACTGCTCTTGCAAACAAGAATACACAAGTAAAAATATAAAAATACATTCATTTAGAAAAGTAAGATGGTACTATATATATTCTTGTGATCTTTTCTTTGCTCAAAATGTTATAGATATCTTTTCATGTAGATGCATATAAACATACATTATTATTTTTAACCACCACTTAGTATTCCATTATGTAGCTATAGCTGTAGCTTGTTGTGATCATTTTCCAAATACTTTAGAAAATATATTTTGTCTGATCCCAGGTAACGTTTTTTATCAATTTCAAGTTAACTGCAAAGAAGGGAATAAAATAGCTAAAATTTGGTTTTCAAAGTGTCTTAATTGGTAAGATGCTAGATATTTTTAACATATTTTATTTACTTATACATGCTTTAATATGAGAATTCAGAAATTGATTTTTATTTATAGGCTGGTAGTTTTTATATTCATTTTTAGAATTACTCTACTGACTTGAAAATGTGAATCGTTTTTTTTTTAAGTGCCAAACTTACTTCTGAGCATAAATCTTAGTCTAAAAGGCATTGCTGCTAACTCATCATATTGAATTCTAAAATGAAGAAGCCACTTAAACTTAAATAAACTGAGTAATTTTTTAGTGCACAGATATTGGTGCTTTATGTTCATAGTGAAAAAGAAAACAGGTTCTCATAATCAGAGCTTTTGAAGCCATGCTCCACCATTAGCTCAGAGTCAAGAAAGTAACTCATTATCTAAATCACTTCTTGGGAAAACATAAGAGCAAGGAAATGCCTAGATTCTGTAAAAATCAGCAAATTACAGTAACTTGTTTGACTTGTAAGTTATTTTTGACTTTTTTCCCTCGTAACCCATTTTTTCTTGATTATAAAAATAGTAACCTTACTGAAAAAAAGTTAGTACAAGATCACATTCATCAAAATTTTTAAAACATACCTGCATAATTGTACAGCTTTAAATACCTCTTGTATTAGGTTGGTGCAAAAGTAATTGCAGTTCTTGCCATTAAATGGTTGTTTTAGCCAATTCATTTATTTCAAATAGAAGACTGTGTGAATGACACTCCATTCCCCAGATAACATACAAACAGATTCTTTACTACTAACTGGCATATCTGTATTGTCTTCAGTGACAGTATCAACTCATGAACTCACTGTTTGCAGAACTAAGACAGAAAGAACATAGAATCTGTCTGATGCAGGATTTTTCTCTGCCACTTTGCCAGCCAGAGATCTCCAGCTGGCAATGCCCTGCCCAGGCCTTGCTCAGCCCCAGGTTCACCACAGAAGGCACCCCACCCACTGGTCCTGCCGGGTGGTGCCCAGCTTGCACTCCAGGGCAGATCATGCAGCCACCATCACTGGATGCTCATCCCTGTCAGGGGAGGCGAGTGGGCAGTAGAGTGCAGGGTCTGGCTGACTGGTCTGAGTGCTAGTACAGGAATGGGCTCCATGTGGGCATGCAGCTGGACTAGGTGTGTCTCAAGCAACTCCTGCAGGGGACTCCAGTGTCCAGATGAGGCCAATGCGGTGTCACCCAAGCAGGGAAGCCTGCAATCCCAAAGCCCCAGAGGGGGTGTTACAGTATGTTAACAGCTCTTTGAGTCCCACTGCAGCCTGACTAATGAGGGTATGTTAACAGCTCTGTCAGTCAATTGTCCCAGTTTGCCCTGTGGCTCCCAGGCTGGACCAGTCCTGCCATTGCCTCCCATCATGTGAGGCAGCTGCTGAGCACTGACAGGGGGTGGAGGGCTAAAGTGTTACTGTGTTCTTTATACCCACATTCAGCAGAATCCCAAGTTCTTGACCTGCGTCCAAGAAGAATTAGATTATGCTGACAATGGAAGGGTGAGGCGGGCAGAAAAGAGTTTGATTGAGTGACAAAGCAACTCTCAGTGGAGAGGGGATGTGAGGATGGTTCCCAACTGAAATCAGATGGTCTCTGTCCCAGTGTTGCTGGACCTGGGGCTTTTATGGGCTCAGAATTGGGAAGTGCATGCCAATTGGTTTGTGAGTATGCAAAAAAGGCTAAAGCAAAGGCACCACTCAAAGGTGGGCACAACGGTGTGAGAAACCAATTAGGGAAGGGTAAGTACACATAAGATAAGGGAAGGGTGAGGCTCAATCAGAGGAAAGCGTGCCAATGGGAAGACAGCTTCTCAACCAGGTCCATGGATTTATCGAAGACTTGTAGTTTGGCTTTCAGGCTTTAAACTGTCTTTGGCTTAAAGGTGGGATTTCACCAGGGACCCACCCCATCTTCCTAAGGATTTGTCTGCCTCCTGCCACTATCATGTCTTCATAGCATATTCACCTTATGATTCTAATCTAGAATGTCTGCAGCCTACACTTTAAGAAATATGCTATAGTACTTATAAGTAAGAGTGTAGCTAATTCCCTCAAAGTGTCTGGATGCTTTCTAGATAAATGAGAGTCTCTAAATTGCCACATTTCTCTTCTTACCTTCCAATTCATGGCTGATAGAACTGGAACCTTTCTCTGCTCTTCATCTGTGTGCATGAAGCCCTGACACACAGCCTAACAGTTAATGGCTTCTCTGATTCTCATTACTGCGGTGTTCCATTCCCTGGCTGCCAAATGGATAGAGCACCAGGATCCATAGTAATCACATCTGCCTCACCTGGTGTATCCCCATCTGCCATCTGTGTTTTCTTCTCAGACATGCCTTTTGGATAGAATGAATGCCCACACTCTGCAACACTCCCTAATCTCACCGCATCAAACACTAACCTAAACTCTGCTTGAGTTTACCTCATCCCTTTCCAAGTATTGGATTATTCATTAAATTTAAGAGAGGCTTGCAACTGCCATTTCTACAATCTTTGTTTCTATTGAGTCTCTGTTGGCAAATGTTACTAAAGTTCAGCATCCATATGCTTGAATTCCTTCATGTTATGAATAATATCTAAGCAATGATAAACATAATGGATAAAATGAAGTAGTTTATTAAATTCATGAGTTCTCAAACTGAGAATAGGACCCTGAAATAAAAGAAATCATGTCTTTTTCTGCTTATTTGTGTTAAGTTGTTTTTGCTATTGTTGTTCTTTTGTTTTTAGGATGATGAAGAACAGTTTCCTGGGAATCTGCCTAGAATGAGAAAATATGGGTAAAGAAAAATTGAGTGCTTGGGCAATCTGGTGGTGGCATGAAGTCAGGGGTGTACATAGGAACAGATATAGAGATGCTGATAAGAAAAAAAAGAGGTGATACAGTGAACAATACTGAGTATCTATTCTTGAACTCTTTCCCAATATTTCTTGGTTATTCATTCAAAGCTCTGAATAAATCTACTTAAAAATCAATTGTATTCCAGTGAGAAATCTTCTGCTCTCTGCAACTGGGTGACTACTGACTCACTTCTAGAAGACTAGAACTTATTTCATAAAGAAGATATTAATGATACTCTGAACTGAGGGATACTAGTTACAGGTGCGAGCAGGACTCTGGTACTGGAAGGAAAAAGATGGAGGTAAACAATTGCTTACTCAATAATGACACTTTCACTTGTCTTGACCAACTAGGCTCCTAAGACTAATCTCTTCCCTGACCTGAAAGTTCTGCTTTGAAGGCTCTGACCAATTGAGGGGAAAAAGCTAACTATGCATGTATGTAGGTTAGTGAAGCGTGGTTATCTCTGGATCATCCACTGCTTCTCTCCTTTATACTTTTTTGTATCGTCTCATTTTATGTGATAAGCATGCATTTCTTCATCTGGAAGCATAAACATTAAAATTCATTGAGAAATACTTGTGCTAGGCACTACACTAAGCAATTCAAATATATTATCTCATTTAATTCTCTCAGTGATTTTATAAATTAGGCATTATTTAATTTTAATAATTGAGGAGACAGGGCTTTAAATAAATTGTTCAAGATCAGATAACTAATAAGTGACAGGGTTGGACTTGAACCCAGTCATCTGCTCCCAAGTCTCCTTAAGTACCCTAAAATACCCCAAATAATTTTAAAACATTGTTTTTAAAGGAAGAGTTTTTAGACCCCTCAAATTGTTCATTCTAACACTTCTACTAAGTGGAAGTATGAAAACACCTGATGTTTGATACCTGCATCTGCGTTGATTGATATAAATGGGTAGAAGTGCTGGTGATATTGTTCAGGAGATGTCTGGAGTAACTCTTGTTAGAATATGGTGAGTCTAGGTAGAGAAATGCAAGCTCAGAAGTGTGCTGCAAGTAGTTTGCCTTCCTCCGCGCCTGACTCACCTTAAAAGTGTATACATCTAGTTCATACAATGAGATGCTACAAAGCCATTAACCAGATATTTCCAAATAATATCTGAACAGTATCGATAGAGGCAGGTGCCAGAGAACTCTCCTAGGCAGATATGGGAGGGTCTCTGCAGATGCTCCCACCCGCCAAGGACGTTGTGCTCAGGGGCTTCCTTAAACATGCCGTTGGTGAAAAATTCCGTCCCTCAACACGTGCGCAGTAAGGGATATAAATCAATGTGGAGTGGCTCAGACAAAGGGCCGGCATGCACAACTGGAAGAACAGGGTGGAGCCGCCAGGAATTGGCGCTTTATACACCTAGGGAACCCAGCCCCATCAGCGGATATATAAAAGCCCTTGTGTTCAACTGTGAAGGGGGCAACCAACAACCTGCTTTTAGGACCCGTCTTTTCTCTGAGAGCTTACCTTTTTGCTTAATAAATTCTACTCCATTCACTTTTCAATATCTGCGTGCTTAATTTTTCCTGGTTGTGAGACAGGAACCCAGGTTTAGCCTAGCTAGGGAGTATAAATCCTGCATCAGTATTACAGATTATCATAATGTAATGTTACTATGCAATATGCAAGGAAAAATTTTAATATGACAGATAAAAAGAGAACAAACCAACAGAAAGATCAACTGAAAAAGAGAAAATGAGAAAATACTAACCAGGGAGAATAAAATAACAAAAAATTAAAAAAGGAAAACAAAGAAACTATGCATACTATTCCTATCCTGAGAGAAATAAGAGGTGTTACATCCATGAAAAGAACAAAGTAAAATAAAAAGAATAGATACAGAGAACAAAAGAAGCCTTGAATGCTGAAAATACAATGGTACACAAAGATTCAATAAGAGATTGAAGGATAAAGTTGGGGAAAACTGTCAGAAAGTAGAACCAAAGACGATAAAAGAGAAGAAAAGAAAAGGGAAGATCATTAGAGAAAAAATTCAGAAAATCTCTCATAGGGTTACCAGAAATAAAGAATAGAAAAAAGAGAGAGCATGAATCATCAAAAAAGTTTCAGGATTATTTCCAAGGACCGGAGAATATGAATTTTCTGTTTTAAAGCACTCATAAAATCACTGTAAAAATGGAAGACAAGGAGACTTAACCCAAGCCACTTGTAAAAACATAAGAAAAATGAGAGTCAAGAGGAGATTCCATAAACTTCGATAGAGAGAGCAGAAAGTATCAGATGAAAAGGGAAAGAAACAGAAGCTACAGGGAGACCTTAAGCATCTCAGGACAAATTAAAGGAGTTTTTCAGACAGGCAAGTCCAGAAAAGTCAACCTCCCATGTACCCTTTTGTAGGAAGCTTTGTTTGAGGAAACCACACAAAAACAAAGGAGGAAATAAAGTAAGTGGAAGACATGAGATTTGGAAAAGAGGGGATACATCAGAGAAGCAAAGAAAATGTTCAGGATGGTGATAAATGTGACATCCCATGTTGAAATTGTACTTGTAGCATCGAGGCTACCAGCCCAGATTCAGACAAGTCAATAAATAGTTTCCAAGAGTGATTTCTAAACTATATAAAATCTAAAGAATACTTGATGCATCTAAATGTATTAAAAATGTTTTCAGGAACTACAGAGAATTTCTAATGAATCAGGATAATAGTCCTTGAGTTCAAGTGTTTGCTACTGGTAGGGAAGTAGAAAAGTTAGATTAAAATTAAAAATGATTTTAATATATAGCATTATATTAAAATATGATGAAAACAAATAATAAAAACAAATAAAAGAAAAATAACCTGATAAGAGAAAAAAGTTACAAAGAATAAGAAATTAAAGAATTCATAAATTCTATTTGCCATATTTGGCTCTGAAGGAATATGATGCCTTTTAAAAATTAAGTTTATTCTCAGAGATCTTCCATGTCAAATTTTCCAAAACAATTTGCTCTAGTTTTTAATAAATTTTAAGAGTGTTAGGCATGCTTTGAATAGTATTAGCATTGTTAGAATAAATATATAGAAGACTGTTCCAATGAAGAAAAAGCAGCTGGATAAATTAGAACAGGTATGTTTGTTTAAGAAATTGTCTTACTAATTCATAGTAAGTAATAGAAAAATTATGGAATCCCCAATTTTTTAAGCCAGTATTTAATAGATTAATTTTCTCATTTTGTTGAAGGTGAACATGTTTCCACAACTTTTGTAATTCATTCAACACTCTGAAGAATGTACATGTAAGATGCTCAATTAGGATAAAATCTCTCTCATTTCTTCTGTTTTCCTACCTCCAAATTTAAAAGCAAGGAGGGATGAGGTGGGACTGTATCTTAGAAAAAATAAAAGGTTTATATTTTACATTTAAAAGATTAGCTACAGGACAGAACAGATTACTAAGTGGTACAAATCACAGTAGGTATTTCTGCAAATAATTACACATCAATTATTCAGTAAAAATTTAATACCACTGATATTTACCAAATAAGAGATGTAACAAAATAATGACTAAGACATAGTCTTCCTCTAGAACTGATGAGATGATCATGAAGATTTTTTGTATCAGTAAGGTAAGTGATAATAATTTTTTGCTCCATATTATGGCTAGAAATGAGCACATAAATACATTTAATGAAAGCAACTATTTGATGACATGTTTCTTTTTATAGAGACAGCCCATAATTGTGCCAGTCTAAAGATAGTGTTCCTTTCATCTAAGTTGAAATTGAAGTTAGAGAATTCTTTGTATTTGCCAAGAAAACACTCAAACTTCTCACATTTTCCTCAAGAGGTATCTACTACCTAAAACATTTTAGATCATGTGGGAAATTCAAGTGCTTATATGAATATTAGCTCTTAATTGCCCTTCTAGATTTTCTAAGTAATTGAAGAATAAATGTAAAAGAAAAAAAAAACTGAACACAAGCCAAATTTCTTCTTTGTACAATATTTCTTGAGCCAGCAGAAGAAAAATAGAAAGGGAGAGACTATGTGTTTTCAAAAGATAGCATTTCTGCCCCCTAACAATAAGAAAACAATGTGCTAGTTATTTGTCTTTCTTTCTCCAAAAAAATTTTTTTAAATACTGGGGATTAATACATACGTCCACAATCATTTCATTCCCAAATAAAAAATTAAGATTTGAGCAAGTGCAGAGAACTGTTTCTGAGTTTACAAGTGCCCCCGTGTGGAAATGAGCAATTATTACTCTTTCACAATTTCATTCTATTAGCTTACTATCACACCTGCTACCTGAGATTTATGAAGATTTCTGATGAAAGTCATCAATTAATCATTCCAACAAGATAATTGTGAACTTTTTAGCCACTCAGATATATTTGATGGCACCATTGATAAATGCGAGCCAAAGATACAAACAAGCATCATTTTGTTTCTTGTATCTGTAATGCTTATTATAGTTCCTGGCACAAAACAGAAGACAAAGACATATTTTTTGAACTAATAAAATTATGATTGTGCAGTCACATAAGCAAGAAATCTAAAGGCACATTCATTCTTCATACTCATTCAGATGGTGAGTATAAAGTAACCAAGTTCCATTGATTATACTTCTGAAATTTCACTCAAATTCAGACCTACTCCATTTTGCTATCCAAGTTTAAGTCCAAAAAGTTTCTTCTCTAATCATTGGTAAAGCCCAGTTTGACCCAACATTCACTACTAGCAGAGGTATTCTACAATAGAAAATTGATTAACTGTCCTTCTGGCCTTTAAGAAAACTGAAGTAGAACTTCTAGTTTGTTTGAGTGAGAAGATTGGCACATTTCGTCCTCAAAAACAAAAATAGCTGTAATACCAAATAAAATATTTAAAAACAAACTTTTTCAAAGCCCTAGAAATTGATGTATGGTAACAAGCAGAAATAATGTCTTTTCTGTAGCGGTCAATACTTAATGCTCTAGTTATCCATGTGGGTAATCATCCTTTGAAGTCATTAAAAGAATAATGCATGATCGAATTAAAATTAAAATTTCAGGTTCCAATTCACATTTGTGAAAAACTTGCTAATCTCAATATATTTGCCCATGTTTTCATAAGATATTTTGATATTTTTTAAAAGATATAAATACTTTGTTGGTTTTTCTTAATCTTCAAGATCCAAATTATCAATAATGCATTTAAGTTAATAAAATTATTTGGTAGTAGAATAATTCTAATAATAAAATAAGGTTAGATTTTTTACTAAACTAATACTTTTATGTACCTTTGTGTAGCCCATTGTAATTAAAACAAACAAAAGCAAGAGTAATTTTGAGCTAAAATTCTATTAGAATTAATAATATTTATTCAGATTTTATTAATGAAGAAAAGAAGGAGGCATAGGTATTTGACATTGAGAATTCAGAGTGCATTATCTTATAAGAGATTCTTTTTAAACTTCTCATTTTATCAAAATTATGAATAATTAGTTTTAAATATGAGTCGTGAGGATTGACAATTGAGTAAAGAGGAATAAAACTTATTGCAAAAATATAAAAAAATATTTTACTTATCTCTTGTCTGATCCTGTTACTCAGTTAATATATAATTATTATACAAAGGTTGAAGTAAGATGGTTTCCAGTATATTAGGGCCAAGGTCTATGCTGTCATTAATACATTTAGCAAAAAGTAGTTTGAAGGGTTTTCGTATTAATATGCCAATGCTGCATTACAGATATGCATGCTGTGCAGTGGCAGCATGCTGCTAGCTGGTAGGATTTTTTTTTCTCCCCATTTCAATAGAATTCCAAAAATTAACTTGATTCTAAGTGGACTTTCTACGTTTCGAATATAGGAATAATTTTTTTTCTTTTTTTTTTAAATGATTAAACAATATATATTTAAATTTGCCAGCCAATGTCATTCTTTTTTTTTCTTTTTTTAATTATACATTAAGTTTTAGGGTACAAGTGCACAACGTGCAGGTTTGTTACATATGTATACATGTGCCATGTTGGTGTGCTGCACCCATTAACTCGTCATTTAACATTAGGTATATCTCCTAATGCTATCCCTCCCCACTCCCCCCACCCCACAACAGTCCCCAGAGTGTGATGTTCACCTTCCTGTGTCCATGTGTTCTCATTGTTCAATTCCCACCTATGAGTGAGAACATGTGGTGTTTGGTTTTTTGTCCTTGCGATAGTTTGCTGAGGATGATGGTTTCCAGCTTCATCCATGTCCCTACAAAGGACGTGAACTCATCATTTTTTATGGCTGCATAGTATTTCATGGTGTATATGTGCCACATTTTCTTAATCCAGTCTATCATTGTTGGGCATTTGGGTTGGTTCCAAGTCTTTGCTATTGTGAATAGTGCTGCAATAAACATACATGTGCATGTGTCTTTATATCAACATGATTTATAATCCTTTGGGTATATACCCAGTAATGGGATGGCTGGGTCAAATGGTATTTCTAGTTCTAGATCCCTGAGGAATCACCACACTGACTTCCACAATGGTTGAACTAGTTTACAGTCCTACCAACAGTGTAAAAGTGTTCCTATTTCTCCACATCCTCTCCAGCACCTGTTGTTTCCTGACTTTTTAATGATTGCCATTCTAACTGGTGTGAGATGGTATCTCATTGTGGTTTTGATTTGCATTTCTCTGATGGCCAGTGATGATGAGCATTTTTTCATGTGTCTTTTGGCTGCATAAATGTCTTCTTTTGAGAAGTGTCTATTCATATTCTTCACCCACTTTTTGATGGGGTTGTTTAGTTGTTTCATGTTTTCTCATGGAAAAAACTTGTTGATAATTCAGAACTTTTCACTCTAAGTAAATGTTTACTACATATGTTTATAATGTACATTTCATAAAATCCTAATTGTATCACTCAATACAGAAATCTAATTCCTTGTCTTATATCCTCCAAAATATTGATATGAATAAGAACCATATACATTGAAATCTTAAAATTACTAAGTGTTACAACTCCAATCGAGAGGTAACTTCAGTGAAAATACATTTTATAAACCTCATGACACACATCATTGTACAATGATCCCATTTTTCATAAGGCTCTAACCCTCATTCTGATGCCCAAATCATCTTTTCTTGTTTCCCCAACATGTCCGTGGATACTACAAATGTGATGATGTCATTGCTCTGTTTAAATTCCATCAGGGGTTCTCTGTGGGCTGCGGAGAATAGTCAGAGCTCTTTGTTTACCTTCATAATCGTACTTCTGTTTCTCTATCTAGACAGATTAACCTATTATTCCTTTCTCTCGATTATTATATCAGTAGTAATTGACTCTTATCCAGTTACCCAAATCATGACGCTTCATGCCTCTTCCCATTTACTGAAGCTGTTTTCTCTCCCAAGAATTCCCTCCTTTAAATATCATTAGACTTTCTCCACTTTCTTTCTGCCAAACTTGTCAGATTATTGTTTATCAGTCCCTAGATTCTCACCCCCAAGAGAAGGTTAATCATATCTAGGTATATGTGTACACTGTGCTACTTGCGTTTCTTGCCCATGATTCTATGTTGTATTTGTAACTAATGCAATTTGCTCATTTCTGTATCTCATCAAACAGGCTGTGTGCATGGCAAAATCAAGTACTACATCACCAACATTTAATAATGTTGAGTCCACACAGTGCATTCCAAATAAATGTTTGCTCAAAGTGTAAAAGAGCAAAACTGGGGAACCAGAGAACCACACAGGAGCTTGAGCACAAGAACCAAGCAGGAACTCTGTTCTTGTGGAAACAGAATCTGTGATCAGAGATTGAACCAATGAGAATGACTTACTGTTAGGGGAGGTGCACGTCTCTGAGCACCAAAGCCTTGGAAGCCAGGCTACCAGTCATTTAATATCAACTATTTCATTTTTGTGCTTTCCAGACTTCAGTCAATGACATATTCTTTAATGCCTTTTGCTGTTTTTGCCTAATTTGTATACATAATGTTTACTTAATATCTTTGTTTAAATTGACTCACATTTTACTCACTAAATTTATTTTAATGAAAATGCTGCATCATTACTATAAATAGAAAATTCAGTGTTATGCTCCAAATTCACAAATTACACTTAAAAATAAATGTAAAAGGAATTTGGCTTTGGCTAATGCCACAGTAGGTAATTAGGACAATTCCTCCCACTAGAAATAACAAAAGAAGCTAAACAAGATATTTTAAAAAGTTTGTTTCAATGTACTGGAGACCTACCAAGGCAAGGAAGAATTTCTTTAGAATTTAATAAGAATTTAAAAGCAAGATCTGGGAGAATATAGGAAACCAGAGGGTGGAGTTTCACACTTTAGAGTCACCTTTTTTCCTGCAGGTACTTGTTCTGTGATTCTTAGGAATCAATCAGAGCTTTCAAAATATTTGCATGACTAAAGAGGAAAAAAAAATTAATTTCAGGGCTCAAAAGAGAGGGAGGCTAGTAAAACTGCAGGCTTTTATAACTGAAATCTCTGCCTCTAGAGAAACGGCACAGTTCTGATCATTTTAAAGCATAAAATTTTGTCTGGCCATGGTACTTTCTTCTCTTGTCTGTTATTTGTTCATCCTCATCTAAGCCTCATCCACCTCCAGAAAAGACTCCCACTTTCCATTTTTCTCACATTATACCCGCAGTGCCTGTGTCTAACTTGTTAAGTGGCAGTCCTTCACTAAAGATAGTTTAGCATTGCAGTGGTCATGTTAGGGAAGTTTTGATTCTAACAAAGTTTTATGGCTCTGCAGAGCTCTAGGACAAAAGGGAAACAATGATCTATTGTACAATGATCAGCCTTTTGAGTTGTTATGAAATCCGTCATGATGTGTGCACTCTGGAAGTATCTCACCTAGATAAATAGATCCTAAGAAGACTCAGCTGTGTTTTGTGAGACAGCTAACTGAGGGGAGTCCATTGAGGTTTCCATAGGTAAAAGAGGGCTAACCTCCTCAGGCAAGGATATAAGTATTGTTTTTCTGGCACAGAAGACTTGGTAGAACTTAAACAGTTCAGTATCCCCAGCTATAACAGAAACTGTCTAAACGTCCTATTTCAATTTTTAGGATCCTATTTCCTCCCAATCAATGCCCTGACTTTAATAGAAGGCACCCGGAGAGGTCAATTCAATTTGTCTTGTAATTAAGCCACTTGCAGGATGGAACTCTGGATTTAGTTTTCGGAAATCTTGACCCTATAACTGTAGTAAACAATGATGTTCTTTCAGGGAAGATATAGAAACCTTCTAATAGCTTATGCAGAACTTAACTTGGGGATTTCAAGCCCTGAGTTCATCAATTTATTTCTCCATTTTTTCCAGCACTGTTAGAAGCAACCAGCCAATTCCATTGAATTACTTAGTTCAACTAAAATGTTGTAAGGTAGCAAATACATAGTCACCCAGAACCTCGCCTGCTATAGATATTTGACTAGGAGTATCAAATAGCAATCAATACTTTCCTTATCTCAGCTGGGCGCGGTGGCTGACGCCTGTAATCCCAGCACTTTGGGAGGCCGAGGCTGGCAGATCAAGAGGTCAGGAGATTGAGACCATCCTGGCTAACACAGTGAAACCCCGTCTCTACTAAAAATACAAAAAAAAAAAAAAAAAAAAAAAAATAGCCAGGCATGGTGGCGGGCGCCTGTAGTCCCAGCTACTGGGGAGGCTGAGGCAGGAGAATGGCGTGAACCCCGGGAGGCGGAGCTTTCAGTGAGCCGAGATCGCGCTACTGCACTCCAGCCCGGGCAACAGAGCCAGAGCGAGACTCCGTCTCAAAAAAAAAAAAAAAAAAAAAACCAACACCAAAATACTTTCCTTATCTCTGTTGCCACATCATGCCATGAACTATCACTGCTCTCTTTACTACTGAAAATAGAGCCTTAAGTGCCTTTAAATCTAATCAGATTTGGTCTACTCAATTCCAGAAAACCCAGAGTCAATTCATAACGCTCATCATTCAGCTTCTGTTCCTCTAATATACCAAAATTTGTATCAGTCAGAGTTCAACCAAAGAAGCAGAACCAGTGGAAATTATATAAGAAAAGATTTATTGTAAAGAATTGGCTTTTGAGATTTTCGAGGCTGGCTAGGCAAGTCCAAAAACCATAGTACACTCGGTCAGAAACGGACAACTGGAATTCTTGGGCACATGCTGAAGTTGCTGTCCATAGGTGGAATTTCTTCTTCAAGGAAGCCTCAGTTCTGCTTTTAAAGACCTTTCAACAGATTGAATTGGGCTCACTCATATTATCTAGAATACTCTATCTTACTTAAAATCAATTGGTTATAACTTTAATCACTTATATAAAATACCATCAGAGCAATACCTAGATTCCTATTTGATGAGTAATGGAATTGTAGCCTAGCCAAGCTGACGTATTAAAAGATGATCACGCCAGGCGTGGTGGCTCACGCCTGTAATCCCAGCACTTTGGGAGGCCAAGGCGGGTGGATCACCTGAGGTCGGGAGTCTGAGACCAGCCTGACCAACATGGAGAAACCCCATCTCTATTAAGAATACAAAATTAGCCTGGTATGGTGGCGCATGCTTGTAATCCCAGCTACTCGGGAGGCTGAGGCAAGAGAATTGCTTGAACCCAGGAGGCGGAGGTTGCAGTGAGCAGAGATTGTGCCATTGCACTCCAACCTGGGCAACAAGAGTGAAACGCCGTCTCAAAAAAAAAAAAAAAAAAAAAAAAAAACAGATGATCACATGCTTCTATATGTTGTTTAATATTTAACAGGAATTATTTTTGAAATTTAAAAATAATAAAATACATGATTGAAAGTTTTTTCAGTGAAATGGAAGGGGATGTGTTTTGAAGGTTGTTTTCTTCTTTGTACTTCACTTAGGCAACCACATCCTTGGGATCCATTTCCCTTCCCTCATTGACCTTCCTTCAGACTTGGCCCACACTCCCTGTGTTTGAACTATCAAAGACTGGTGACATAGCACATATGATAGTTCTTGGATGGTAGTCCAAATGAATACAGCTTCCAAAGATAGTTTTCTTTCCCTGAAATGATAGATTACATCCTATGAGAATTTTACTTTTAAGTCTCAGAAGCTCTATCATCTCTTATTACATCAAAGCTACCAGTTATTCTTTATAACAGACTAAATTCTGAACTTCAGACGAATAAAAATGCACAATGACTATTAATCAATTTTAAAAGTCACATTAACTTGAAAAAATAAAGAGGAGACACTTTGCCATAGTGTCTATAACAGCACAAGGAGAATCCAACCCCACAGAGTTTGATATTCAGTCTCTTGGCTGGCATGGGCTATTTTCACAGCAGATTCAATTATGTTAAAGACAAAATATGACGTTCTTTTAACACATTTTATATCAACTCATTTTGTTCTGTAATCTAGTTTGGTCTCTGTCATGTTCTAAACAGTTCAGCAGAAAGATGTTACAAACCACTATCCCCATTTACACTGATTCATTTTCTGGGAAATCTCCATGCTGTCTCTTTTCATTAGAAAAGAAATGACTGACTATTCAACCAGCAATTTTTAGTGCCCTTGGCAACAAAACAGGGTGACTTCTTTTTAATAAAGTCCCGTGGAAAAGTCATCTGTGTTCTGAAAACATTTATCTCAATTAATTTTTTTAAAGAAAGAAAAAAAGTGTCATCTCCTAATTAAAACACACTAGACAGAAACCTGTTAAAATATGATGAGAACAAAATCACATTTATAAGTGATTTAAAAATGGAAGAAAGATGCTGCATAGAAAGTAACATAGAGAACCCACTTATTTGTTATACATGAATTATTTAACAGATAACATTTTTCTCCTTATCTCAACTTTTCAGAGTATTCCTCTAATTTGTCTTTTATCATCTTCATCAGGAATGGAATGAGAGAGAGAGAGAAAAAAAAAAGAAGAACTGAATGAGAAAGTTGTCCCTAAATAGAGTTGGTTCCAGAGAATTACTGGTTTATAAGGAAAGTGTTTCATACATGTGACCTCTAAGCAGTTGTGGAATACAATTGTTTATATTCAGTTGAAGTATTTGTCTTTTCAGTTTGAAAGACTTCGGTGGCCTTTCCCACCCAAGAAATAGACTGATGATATCTGAGCTGGTGTCAGTAAAGAGATATTATATTTGTCTCTCTGAAACAGAAGATTCCCAGATTGGGTGGGGTGAACCAGGATGTTTATGTAATTCTTTACCATTAAGACATCTTTTCTTTAAATTGTCTTAATCATTTAATCTTCACAATTATCTCATAAACTAGGAGCCATTGCCTCTGTTTTTAAAAAGAAGAACTTGAATCTGAAAAATTGAGTTCCTTTCCCAACTTCACAAAGCATTTAGCTGACTCTGAATCCCATTGATCTTTCTATTAGAATACCGATGTATCTTAGGCTACGCTTCCTTCCAGGGAGATAAGAATCTGTATGTTTCATATAGGCTCAAAGATTTTAACAGTCTGAAGGAAATTCATTTTATAGAAAAATAGAGGCCCAGAAAGATAAATTAACATATTAATAAAAACTACCAAATAATGGTAGAATTAGGACCGGAACTTCATCTTCTGATTTTCACAGCGGTGCTCTTACCACTAAACAAAACAACTTTACGTCTTATGATTTTATTGTTCATAGATAGTCCTGCTATAGTACCCAGAAGGCAGAAGGTAGAGTCAAAGTTATCAATTTGGAAGGGACTTCCAAGTAAACCAGTGGAATTGATCCAACTTGTAAAATAGTCTGAGCCAATATGGCCCCTCAAAATTACTGGCTTCATTTTAGTATCATAGCAGCCAATCTTCACAGGCAAATGAGCACTAAGGACTCTCTTCTAGACACCTACTGCCAGGTATCAAAGCAATCATTAGAGTGAATTCCATACACATACAAATGTTTATAACAAACAGGAGTTAGGCAAGTCATGCAACCTGTTCCCTAAGCGCAATGAAATCCCAGCTCTCTGTCATTTAAAATGATTTGATCATGCTTTGCACAAAATCTTTCCTAGACACAAAAGTGACAATATGCTAAAAACAGAAATCTGCTTATCTACTTGTAAGCAACAGACAACCAGATTCTTTCAAATTAGTGACTGAGTGTGAGACTCCTTGGGAGTAAAAACCCAGGAACCACCAGAAACATAGATTGCAGGGCTTAGGGTTCCTGTAATGAACAGTGTCTCTACAGTATTTCTAGTCAAGTCACAATCTTGTTCACTACTCATTTTATCAATAGAGTTCTTTTTGCAACATAGGTTTTCCTAGTTAAATATCCTCTAATGTTGATAAGAGATAAATAAAACTGAAGCCCTGTTGTAGTCATTTCTGATGTATGAGCAGGGTCTTTCAAATAGTATCTAGGTAGCCTGCAGAGTATGTTACTTGTGATGGTAATTAACCATATCTCCTGAGAGAGAATTAACACATACATCACAATGTCTCTAATGAAATATTTCAAAGTAAACTACATAGCAAAGGGATAAAACATTATTCTAGGTGGAAACATACATACTCTGATTTGTGAAATCCAATACGTTGCCCCCCATCTGAGTCTTTCTGTATTGCTTTTCCTCGCCCTCCTAAAAATTATTCTCAGAAAGTTCTACAGTCTAAATTTTCAGACATGCAAAAATCTGTTCAAAATGTGTTTAAAATTATTTTTAAAGATTTATTTAGTCATACAGCATTCATTTATTATCATTCTAATAAAAACTTACGTGGGAGTCTAAACTATGATGGCAATCCATGTGGCAATATATCATTTGTTATAAAAAGACTGCTTACATTAAATAGTTATCACTTTATTCACCGTTATCATTAGACTTTATAGAAGAAGGCAGTACTGATGAGGCTGGGTTATTTTTAACATTGCAGACACAGTGTAAAAATCAGCAGCTGGGAACTTGGGAGGCAGGTTGGATCCCAGAGCTACTTATAATCAGGATTCCTTAGATGAGGGCCATGAATTCATATATTTATGTAGCTGATTTCAATATGTAACCCAAGTATGGAGACTACTATTAAAAATATTTCTGCTTCTTGGATAATTTTCCCTAGATGCCAGTATCTTAAATACAAGTATAAGAAAAAAGCTGTTCAATACACACTGATAATGCTTTCAGAGCCCCTTTATTATGTGTCATTTCAGAATAGAAACATTTTTACACCAACAGAAGGAAACAATTGACAATAAATAAATGCACCATGTAAAATGAATTACATAGATTTAACCAAAGAGTTAGTAAGAGGTCCTAACTGGTTGTATTCTGAACACGTGAGTGTTTTATTTGAACTACAGAGTGTTTTGTCTTAGTTTTTAAGTTAAAATAGTTGCAAACATTTCAGGGTAACACACAAAGTATGTACTTCCATTTTCCTTTGAACAGAACTTGACATAATTCCACCAGGTCCACTATCTCAAATGGCAACAGCAGATATGTCTGAGCTGCAGCTGTCCCACTGAGAATGGCATATTCATGCCATATTCCTAGAGTTTCTAGTCCTTCCCAAGCCTATGTTCAGTGCTGCCCATGGGGATTTGATTTTATGACCTCTGAGTTCATGAATCACAGACATACAATCAATTAGCTAATTCATAATATGAAGCTATTAGGGCTATGCATAGCAACATATTAAAGTCTCAGAAGCATAATCATCAGATAAAAATAAAACTACCTGCAAATGAGTATATAATGATAGCATTTATGCAAATTTTAGAACGAAAAAAGCAATATTTTACTTTTAAAAAATATATAACTGTTGTATTGTTTGTAGATATAGGCATAAGTAATAAAAAATTTAAAAAGTGGAAAAAACACACACTAGTGGCAGGATCATAAATGTTTCCAGTTAGAGAGAAAGAGGATATAGAAGAGTGACCGCATTCTATTGCTATCTGTTTATTTTCTTTATCTATTCTATTCTGTTTATTTTATTTATGTATTCTATTGCTGTTTATTTTCTTTAAAAGATAGAGACAGAAAGGGAGAGAATCAAACAAATGCAATAAAATGCTATCATTTGATAAATCTATGAGAGAGTATTTTTCATTACATTTTCTGTAATGTTCTGTATATTTGAAATATTTAATAGTTACAATCAAAGTATATAGAGTTAGAATTCTAGAATAAATTCATTCTTCTTCATTAAAAAAAAAGTAAAATCCATTTCCAGTGGTGAGTAAACAAGTGTCAAGATCCCTTCTGTTTCCAAGCGGGTACTGTGCCATCACAGAGTCTGTCTGTGGTCTGTGTCCCTGTCATTTGTGACCCAAGCTAAGTTGTGCTGAAAGATGTATTTTTTTCCTATTCTAGAGTATTTTGTGAAGTTTTCATTTGGAAACTCAAATCAAAAGTGCATGCTCCAGAGAAGACATCAACTCATAAGCCTCATCTATTTTTAGCTTTTATCAACACCAGAATTTTGGTCGATTAACATAATGGATATTAGAAATGACTAGCTGTAGTGGGTTGTTCTGTTTCTGGAAGGAATAATGAGCTTGTGGATTTTAGGTTGCTGATGAACTAAGACGTTATGTGTTTTACTAAATAATAATGAATTACAACTTTTAGTTGTTAGTCTGGCATGTAAAGAACTTAGAGGTCACCACTCTGTCATAACAACAAGTAAAAAAGCTGAAAAATCTGAAAAATCATCCATTCTTCTTAAATCCATATGAGAAGTGAGGTCACAGGGAAAATCACTGTCCCCAAAATAAGACAGACAGAAAGGCAAATACAGAGACTCACAAGCTACTGGAGCAGAAACCTGAGTGGGAACCAGTACTAAAGTAGGAAAACTTAAAATGTAATTGACTAATGGGAAGCTAAGAATGGGCAAGACTGGGAGTAAATACTCCAGCAGGGTCCCATCGTAGGGGAAAGTATTAGGCCATTTTCACACTGCTGATAAAGACATACCCAAGACTGGGTAATTTACAAAAAAGAAGAGGTTTATTGGACTCACAGTTCCACGTGTCTGGAGAGGCCTCACAATCATGGCAGAAGGTGAAAGGCACATCTCACATGGTGGCAGACAAGGGAACAGAGCTTGTGCAGGGGAACTCCCCTTTTTTAAAACCATCAGATCTTGTGAAACTTATTCGCTATCATGAGAACAGCATGGGAAACACCTGCCCCTATGATTCAATTACCTCCCACTGGGTCTCGCCCACAACACGTGGGAATTCGAGATGAGATTTGGGTGAGGGCACAGCCAAACCATATCAGATACCCCCACACTTTTCTGGCTTTACCTACAGGAGATGAAGTAGATTCGCCCAGTAAACATTAGAGAGAAGTCTCCAGCTTCCAACGGGGAAAGGATTCTGTTTTTTACAAAGCCTGCCCCCTAGAGAAACTATTTTATCAGATCCTGATCTGAAGGGGTTTTATAGGAGCCTAACATACTTGGGAAAGGGAAAACCCCAACCCTAACCCTCTCTAGTTTTTCATATGGGGGATGAAAAACACTTGACTCCATCACCCTGTAGCCATCCCATACTGGTCGATAAAACTGAGAGACACCTGTGAAGTTCACAGTCTAGGGACACAAGCTCACTAAAAGACTGAGACATAATCACAGGACTCTAGAATACTAGCTAACCCCCAACACCTTACCGGCACATCACTAAAGGCCTATTTACTAGAGTTCCTTTTACCCACTACATCACAAGAAATTATAAGGCATACTCATAAAAAAGCATGAAATCATGTCCTTTGCAGCAACATGGATGCAGCTAGAGGCCATTATCCCAAGCAAATTACTGCAAGAATAGAAAACCAAATACCACCTGTTCCCTCTTATAAGTGAGAGCTAAACATTGAGTACACAGAGAACAATAAACATCAGGGACTACTTGAGTGTGGAGGGTAGGAGAAGAATGAGGGACAAAAAACTACCTACCAAGTGCTATGCTTACAACATGAGTGATAAAATCATTTGTATACCAAACCTCAGTGACACACAGCTTACCCATGTAACAAGCTTGCACATGTACCCTGCAAACCTAAAATAAAAAGGTGAAGAAAAGGAAAGTAAAAATGCCCTAATGCTAAAAAAAAAATAATAATTACAAGGCATACTAAAAGGCAAAAAACACAGTGTAGACAAGGAAGTCATCAGAACCACTCTCAGACATGGCTGCGATATTGGAATCATCACACTGGGAATTTAAAATGATAATGATTAATGTGCTAAGGTGTCTAATGGACAAAGTACACAACATGTAAGAAAAGATAGGTCAGGTAAACAAAGAGATGGAAATGCTAAGAAAGAATCAAAAGGAAATGCTAGAGATCAAGAACACTTTAACAGAAGGAAGAATTATTTGATGGGTTCATTAGGAGACTGGACGTGGCTGAGGAAAGAATCTCTGAGCATGAGAATGTGTTAATAGAAAATTATAAAACCAAAATGTGAAGAGAAAAATTACTGAATAAATGGAACAGAATATCGAATAACTATGAGGCAATGACAAAAGATGTAGCATATGTGTAATGAGAATGCTAGAAAGAAGAGTCATGAACAGAAGAAACATTTGAAGTAATAACAACTGATAATTTCCCTCAAATTAATGTCAGACACCAAACCACAGATCCAGGAAGCACAGAGAAAACCAAGCAGGATAAATATCCAATAATTTGCACCTAGCCTGAAAATAAAAGGTCAAGAAAAATCTTGAAATGAGTCAGAGGAAAAAAAAAACAACTTGCCTATAGAGGAGCAAGATAAAAATTACATCTGACATCTCAAAAATCATGCAACCAAGAAGAGAGTGGAGGGAAATATTTAAAGTGCTGAAAGAAAAGATACATCAACCTAGAATCCACTACCCTGCAAAGTTATCCTTGAAAGTCAAGGAGAAATGAAGTCTTTCTCAGACAAACAAAACTGAGGGAATTTGTTAACAGTAGATCAGTCTTACAAGAAGTTATTTAGAGAGAAAAAACGTGACACAGCTCAGGAACTCAGATCTGCATGAAAAACGGAAGAGGATTAAAGAAGGAATAAGGGAAGATAACAGAATTTTCAGTTTTCTTATTCTCAATTGATCTAACAGATAACAATTTGTTTAAAATAATAATAGCAACAATGTATTTGATGATTATAGCTTACGCATTAGTGAAATAAATGACATCAATGATACAAGGGATGGGAGGGAGGAATTAGGAATATTTTCTTATTATAAAATACTTGCACCACATACAAAGTAAAATAATTTTATTAGAAAATAATAATGAATTACTCTTACTGCTCTTGTTCAACCTCTTCCCTCTGCTCAGAATGTCCTCCCAGTCTCTGGTCTAAATGGAAAACATCTCCTCTTCCCTTAAAACCCTAAGAAACATTACCTCTTCTATAAAATTTTTCCTGGTCTTCCTTCCCAGCCATCTATTATGTGGAAATACTTTGATTTCTTTCTTTCCGTTGATTTTTCCACATTGTATGTAGATGTCTACATTAGTGCATATTTCTCTGTGTTGTATTTTTCTGTTAGGAATAAGGTTTACTTATTACTAATCTTTATACCCCAAGACTTTAGAAAACTGTAAAGTCACATATATATAGAAGTTATTATTGATATACTGCTAAGACTGCACTAGGGTTTCTTGAGTGTATCTCTTTGGGACAGCCCCCACTTATATTTTCCTATGAAATGCTAGACATAAAAGAGAAGCTCAAAGTCCAATTGCCTGAATTAAGAAAAGTACTGCGATGATGACTTTTGTCACCAGAGGGCATCACTGGCTCAGCAGCTGCTTCTCTAATGCTAAGACATTTTAAAACTTTGTATTTAAGGTTCCTTGACTAAGTCAAAAAAGTATTTATTGAACATATAGCTTGTGCCAAGAAATGTTCTAGGTCTTGGGAAATACAGCAATAAATAAAAGTGACAAGGTTTCTCTGTTTGATCTTGTTTACATTTCACTCAAAACTGATGGTTGGAAACAGCCTAAATTCTGTCAGTCTTAAGAATCTAAACTTGCCTAGATTTTGTTTCCAGTGTGGGAAACTGGGTTAGTTTTGAGTTCTCCTTTGGTCACTCAGTCAATAAATACTTACTGAAAGCCTACTATGTGCTATATTTGGATTGAGTATTCGATAGACATGACAAGGTGGCCTTAGCTTTCATGGAAGTTACAATATAGTAGAGAACACAAAAATTAATTTTAAAATGTCCATTTGTGGCCAGTGATAAAAACGTAAATAAATTACAAGGTGACTTGTACAAGAGGGTAAGCCAATTGTTTTTTAGAGTTTAGGGAAAGCTTTTTTGAGGAAAGAGAACGTAACTCCACCACCACCACCAAGACGAAGGATGAGCAGAAATAACTTGGGGAAGAATTTCTATGAGGATGTTCTAGAGAGAAGTAACTAGAAAGATTCTAATAAAATATGGCATGATGCCAGAATGAGGGAAGAACTGTCTAGTCACAAAGAGAGTTTGGCATAGCATAGTAGCTACATAGGAAGCTGTACTAACTTTTCTTTGTGATGATCTGGGATATGCCTGCTAATCTGGCGCTTTACCTAATGTCATCTCAGCCATACAACAGCCTCACGACACATGTAGAACCGTAAGAGTTTGGGACAAGACTGAGGGTGTCACTGAATGAAATATGGTAAATCTCATTGAGTTTAAATAGAAGACTAGCTTCTATAGTAACAAGATATGGAATAAACAGCCAATAAAATAAAAAATGTACAAAAAATTTACAACAAAAAATGCATTATAACACCAGATAATTCAAATTAGTTCCACTTTAAGTAAGAATAGTCATTAATCATCTCAAAGGTACTGGAAATTAAGGATAAGGCCCACAAGAAACCAAAGTACTCTCATGTATTTGAAGAATGAGACATGACATTTTAGGTATATTTAGCTAGCTTCAAGAATGAAAAAAATAAATTTGTTACATTTTTGCTTTTTTAAAAAAAAAAATACACCCAAGAGATCACCCTCTTCCAAACAGGGAAATCTCTGTTGTAAATAAAATACATTATTAAACTTGCATGTTTTTTTCTCATTGACTTCCTTGGAAAGTGATTTGAGAACTAGATGAAGTGAGAAGAAAAATTAAAAGGAAATATAAGAAGAAAGAATTTAAGAAAGCTAGATAAGAAAATAAAATAATGTCAAAACAGAGATAAGGAGAATACAACAGTTGTACATATAATTAACTAGTAGAATTATTAACCATCTATCGAAGAGCTAGTAAGTGCCAAATACTGGATTAAAACATGAAAAGAAAATAATTACAACAATTTTTAAAAGTAATAATATTGTCTTCTTGTCTCCAGAATATTCCAGATATCAGAAGGGCAAGAAACATAAAAATAATTGTGATGCAACATGATGAATTCTATAATCCAGGAAAGTATAATATAAGGTAGCTGTAAGGAGAGACTGAAATGAAGAGATACACTACTGTTACTTTTGTCTGTTTAGCATTTCTTTTCCTTTCTTTCTCTGGTGACCAAGCTAATATTTTCTGGGGCGAAACAATTTCATGTGGTTCTATGGAGCCAAAGACGAGACAAACAGGGCTTTTAAGAGGTCTTGTGACAGTAATTAGTTCAATGATGATCATGTTATCCAAGCCGCACTAATTTGCTTTTTTGTGAACTTTTCTTCAATTGCTATCTTAAAGACTATTTTTCCACAGAGGTTTTAAGTTCGAAAGATATGAGTATAGGGCTTGATGATGAGAGGGACAGGATGTGAAGGAGCTCCGGGATCTAGCCATGACTGAAATCTGCCATACTCCGTAACTTGCAAGAAATTTAGTGTGAAGTATTCTTACCCTACTTCCAAGTGAAAATAATTCTTACTTATACAGAATATATTACAATCTATTCTTGTTACATGCATTTAAAAAAATCTTGAATTTCAAACTTGAAAATGTTTTTAAAGATAATAAAGTCGTAATTTCTGCATTAATAGGCCATCGAATCCTGATATTTTGCATTGTTCATTAAGCAAATCTAAAATAGTTCAAAAATATAAAAAAGCAAAGCAAGTTTATGAGATATTAGATTACGAGACTTCTGGGATTACACAAAAAACACATGGCTTATGTCGGATTCTGAGGTCATGAATTTCTCATGCAGATAAAAATACATGTAGGAAATGAGGTGGATTAGTGAGTGAGTGCAGAGAAAGAGTCTAATTTAAAACTCATTATAAAATTTACCTACTAACAATGTAGGACGCTACACATGCAGTTATAAATATATCTTAACAGGCTACAAAATGAAACAGAATTTTTGAAGTGTTTAGCTCCAAGCATAAAGCTGCTGGAGTTGACAAGTTCATTTTTAATATTTGATTTGAAAATCTTGGGCACAGCAGTAACAACTTAAGATGCAAATTAAATTTTTCAGGAAACAGGAGAGACAGACATTTTAATTGCATTTCCCATGAATAAAATGTTATAAAGTCCCCCACTGGAAGGGAAGCAGCTTTGTTTCACAGTCTAAATTTCATTTTGGATGGTTTGGGAGGAAGTCTTAATTTTACTCTCTTTTTTCCTTATTTTCTTCTCCAGTTTGTATTAAGAATCCTCCTATACCCTGATGTCTTAGGATGTTGTCAGAAGAACTACCAGGACACAAGCTTTATTTTAAAAGGAGTTAGTTACAAATGAGACCAAGTGAATGGGCTACATGTGACCTAGGATTAGAAGTGAATGCCTTGGAAAGGCAGTTCCCTCCAGATCTACCTGCCCAGCTAACAATGATCTTGGGTTTGCATTTCAACACAATCTGCAATTTTTTTGCTTTCAGAGATATCAGTGAGCCTAAACTAAAAATTAAGTCCCTTGTTCCTTGACCAACCAAGAGTAACCTGCCTTTTCTCCAGATATACATGTAGCCTGTCACGGCTTCATGTTCAACTCTTAAGACAAACTATATGGTCTGAATGTTTGTCTCCCCTCAAAATGCATATGTTGAACTCCTAATCCCTAAGATGATGGTAATAGGAGGTAGAGCCTTTGGGAGGTGATTAAGTCATGAGGGTGGAGTCCACATGAATGAGATTATTGCCTTTATACAAAAGGGCCTTGAGAGGTCCTTTGCCCCTTCCAACATGTGAGGTTACAGTGAGAAAATGACCATCTAGGAACCAGAAAGTGTGCCCTCTCTAGACACTGAATCTGCTGGCACCTAGATCTTGGACTTTCCAGGCTCCAGAACTGTGAGAAATAAATTTCTGCTGTTTATAAGATATCTAGTCTATTTTATTATAGCAGCCTGAACAGATAAAAATGCTATTACTAACTCTATTAGTGCTATAATGACTTACTCTATTTTCTCCCTGATATATTCAGAGGCTCACTCATGGGAGACTGCCAATTGATGTTCAATACTTTCCCCGTAACACAGTAAACATAGAGATACATAAGGGCTTGCGAAGAAAAGAGCAGTAGAAGAAAAAAATGACCTTAGGAATTACATTTTCAAAGGCAATAAATTGTCATGTTCCTGTTATTGATTGACAGTGATCAGATTGCAGACTTCAGGACCCAAAGCAATATCAAGAGAGGAAGTTACAGGATCAGAGGTGAGAGCATGTGGCTTTAGCTCAGGACCTGAGACTGCTGTGTGACACTTGTGTAAAGTCAGTTCAAGCCCATGCTGAGCTGGTCATCACAGTGGCAGCTGGGATAAGAGACAGGTGAGGCTGAGAGGCTCTGGCATGGTGCATAAGAGGTGTCTAATACACAGGGATTGACAGAAAATTTAGTTCCAAATTTGGATACAACCACTGACCAGTGCAGAGAGTCTATACATGCATTTTGTGTATTAACTCCATTTCTTTTGGATATTTCCAAAACTTATTCAAATTTTTTTGTCTTGAAGCAAACAAGACTCTGCAATGTTAACCAAATGTATAACCAAAAAGAAAAGGTGCTATTGATCATACTGCACTATATAAAATATATAAAGGGAAGGCAAGATTCAATGTCACATATGATAGAGAAAATTTTACATTTTGACATGTTTGAGATAGTTGGAATCTTACCAATACAAATCTGGTATCAGGGGCTTCTTTTCCCTCTCATGATCAAAGACATTTAGTATATTGAAAATATCTTTCAGCTTTATTTTTATATCTATTTGATATAATTGTAACTCAATGATTACTTCACGATTTTTTAAATGTTAATAATGAAGTTTTTATTGTGTATTTATAACTGTATGTAGAGTATATATGTACATATCTATAATTTACGTATATAGATAACATATATATGCAGATGTATATGCATGTGTATGTTATGTTTATGTATGTTATCTATATACATAAATTATAGACATATACTATGTAATGCATATATGTGTTATTTACATACATAAGTTATAGATATATACAGATATATACATGCACAGAGAAAGAGAGGGAAAAAGAGCAAAAAAGTATCTAAACTTTATAATTTGCTACTCTGAGGAAATCATGAAGCTGATGGTTGTATCATTTATTCTAATTGGTCTAATGCATATCTTAACATATTATATTAAACAGAAAGTCAATTGCACTTCACTCATGACACTGTCCTCATTAACAATGATCCAAAGAAGAAATTATACTTCAATTTAGTTTACAGCTATTCTTGGGAAATGTAAACTATTATTCTGGAATTTTTGCATATTTAAATATTTATGATTGGTTTATACATATTTATACTTTAATAATTCTGTATATTAAAAGTGAATGAAAACTGCTCTCAATGTGTAGTGGAATTGAGTAAATAGATGACAGATGGTAGGTGCCAGGTATGACTGGCATCTATAAAAAAAGGGAAATTTGAACACAGACACAAACACAGTAAGAACACCATGTGAGCCTGAAGATAGAAATCGAGATGACACATCTACAAACACAAGAACTTCAAAGGTTGCCAGCAAACTACCGGAAGCTAAGAGGAAGACATGAAACAGATTCTCCTCACTGACCTCAGAAGGAACCAACCCTGCCAATGCTTGATCTTGGACTTCTAGCCTCCAGAACTATGAGACAATACATTGTTGTTTAAGCCACTCAGCTTGGAGTACTTTGTTATGTCAGCCCTAGCAAGCTAATACCGTGACTTGGTTACAAAGAGTGCAGAATGGAAAGAGAGAGAGAAAAAGAATAACTTTAAAGTAGAGAAAATTTACAATGATCTCAGCCGGATGATCAAGGTAACATCAACAGCGATGAGTCATAATGATAGGAAACTTTGGCATGATGTGATGACAAAGGCACTTTACCTCTGTGGGCTTCCTTGCAAAACCCCTAGCCCCAGTCTGGTCATGAGAGAAAGTATCAGGCAAATCCCAACTAAGCAACATTCTACAAAATGCTGACCAGTGCTCCCCCAAACTGTCAAGGTCATCTAAATCAAGGAAAGTCTAAGGAACTGTCACAGCCAAGAGGAGCAAAGGAGACACGATGACTAAATAGAATGTGGAATTTTGAAAGGGATTAAGGAATAGAACATTGGCTTAAAAGGAAGAAAATCTAAAAAACATTCTGAGCTTGAGTTAATAATAATGTGTCAATATTGGTAAGTTAATCAAAACAGATGTATAATATTAACATAAGTTACTAATAATAGGGAAAATGGGTATGGAATATATGGAAATTCTCTGTACTATCTAGTACCTTTTTATGTAAATCTAAAACTTAGTTCTAAAATGAAAAGCTAATTTAAAAAATAAATGAAAATTTGATCAGCTGTATGCTTTGTGATGTATTTAGAGTACATAAGACAAACAACTGTGAAATACAGACATATTTAACATAAAATGCAGTTTGCAGTAACCCCCATGTGCTCATAAAAGTTAATGTATACATTAAATAAAAAATAGTGTGATCATAAGTTATTTATATAAATAATGTAGTTCAGTGAGGCAGAATATAAATTTCAAACATGATCTACAACACTTTTTTAACCTTTTAAAAGTATAATTAATAAATTATTTTCCCCTATTAGGTTGCCAGGAATCATAATACTTTTTGACATATTATCCTTAGACAGTTACATAAACAACCTGTGGTTCATTTATTTTTAGTGAAACAATAATTTTTGGTTCTACAATAATGACTTAAAGGGAAGTAAAGGAACAGACTGAAATATTTATCGGTAGATTTTATCTTCTGTATTATGTGCAAAATCAAATGTGTCTGGGGATTTGTACAGAATTGTTCTGTCGTTCTTCGCCTTGTCAATTTCAGGCCACTGCTTCTTAACATCAACACAAGACAAGATAGACCACTTACAAAAACATCTGAGGCACTAGGATACCAACTCATGTATGGTATATTAACTTTCCCAATAGAATAACACTTCTTAAGAAGACATTAGAATGTTATTACTGAGAATTCTGTATCTCGGAATAATTAATGAATGTCTTGCTTTCTATTTGACTAATGATTAGCATTTATCATTTCTTCGGGAATCAACACAGTTTTATCTGGTGGAGAACTGTCAGTCTGAGAGTCTTCAAATCAGTGATTATTATAGAAAGTAGACCTTACACAACTGTAGGAAACACAGTTCCAGATGAGGGATTGAATCAGAGATTGAGTCACCAAGCAGTCAATTAGAGAAGCCGTGTCCTTCCAGCTAGAGATATGAAGGGGAGTTTGTGGAGAAACCTATGAAAAGCTATTGCTTCTGAGTAGCTACTGCCTCAATTGGTCAGTAGGACCAGCAGTAGGAAGAATGACTGAACACAGAAGAGGCATCTCTGTGAACGTCTGTCACTGCATAGAGTTGGGAAAAGACCTTTGGAGAATCATGGCCACTGCCTTATTTCTGCCTTCAAATTTCACAGAAGTACTTTTTGCCAACTCTAATTTGAAACCATACAGGGAAATGTAGCTCTTAGTATAATCAATTTAACCACAGTGGGTGTCATATGTTTACTCTGTCCTTCTAAAAATCAGATAAAGCTATGAAATGTGTGTGTGCTTGAAATATTTTAGTCTACACACATGCAGGACTTTGTTAGAACACTGCTTTGACCATTTGATTACCAGGGTATACCCTTTATTAGACAACTTAATGGACTTAGATAATGACATTTTAGTGAGGATCCCATAAGTTGGGGTTTCACAGTGATGCTGCTGGTAAATGCTTTCTTGAGAAATGTAAGAAAGAAAATAAGAGATACTAGTGGTACAGCTGTGATTACATCTATGTCTGGATGCAGCCATCAAATATATTATACCTAGAGACCAAATCTATTATGGAATGAAATTCTGCTGCAAGAGATGGGAAGACAAAGCCAAACTGGTAGCCTGGGGTTAGTGGGAGAGGGTCAAAGAATTCACAGAACAAAAGGTGTGCAATAGGAGATAGCACAAATAGTATTTAAAAGCAAGCATTAGGCCATTAAACTTCTGAGTCAGATGTCAGACAAGCCTGGGTCTGAGGCTCAGCTCCCTCACTTACTAGTCACTGGACCCTGATCAGTGATTCACTCCCTCTAAGCCTCACTCTTCTCATTCTATGCTTGTATAATCCTTGCCAGAAGAGAATCTGCTTCAAAATTTTGTCATGAAGAATAACAGTAATAACTGCCTATGAAAACTCAGCTGTACATAATGCCTGAAACACGTAAGTACTCCATAAATAGTTCCAGGAAGGCAGAGATTTTATCTATTTTGCTATCACTAGATCATCAGCTCCTGGCACTGCTTACCAGCCTCTCAGATAAATTAATTAATTGAGTAACTAATAGCAGCTGTTTGTATTGCTATTCTTGCATTTGTTGGTGTCATATACTGAAGTATACAGTATTAATAAGGAGATATATCATGATTGGTTTGTTTGTCTATCTCAACACCACATAAGCATGTGCTGCTTTCAAAATGTTTAAAGAAGAAAGATTTGCCGTTGCGTTTCCAGTATACCATGAGTCTGTACATTCTGAGTGTAGCCATGATAATCAGTCTTTTCTAACATCACCATTGCTCAGCAGCATTTTTCCACATAAAATTCTTCACATGAATGCTTTTTTAAAGGCTGGTGGTGATCCCTTTTGATTTTTACTTCTGGCCTCAGGCACTGTAGGGTATTTTTGGTGAACAAAATGCTGTTATTTCCCAGAACTACTTTCTAACATTTGAAGTCATATGTCATGCTGTCTCTCTTTTTTTCTTCTCAGCTCCTAGGAGTAGCAAATGCCATTGTTGTTTCATGTAATCTTTGCAGTGTCCTGCATATAAAGTGGGGACCAAAATGTGCCATTTTAAAGGCTACAGCCATTTCTAAACTTCAGGGTAAATGCCAACATTCTCCCTTTGTACCTACTGGGGATGTTTGGGTGACCCTATTAGCCATGCGGATATAAGGCAGTGTAGAAATGAAAATGAATGTGCTTCAGACCAAGCTTTTGAGAATTCTGTTTAATCATTTAATCATGTAAAAGGCTGTATTTACTTTGCGTTGACTTAGTCTTTGCAGATATAATTATGTTGTTAGGATATATAAGTTTCCTCTGGCTGAGTCAGGTAGGCAGAGTGAATAAAAAGCTGAGAAAGGATGAATTTGTCCCCAAAAAGAGAATTTGATTATATTCCAGTAATATGTATATAATTTTTATTATACTATTGGAATATAGTTATTTTTAATAATATGGAAATAAGCCAGCAGCTTAGAAGACATGTCCAATGTCCAGAGAACTTGAATCAAAGAGAATATCCCAAAATAGAGAAAGTTATGAGATAGCCAGTTTTAACGTTTTCATTTTTACATTGTAATTCCCTTCCCTTTGAGAGAATACACTATACAGCCAGACTGTGTGGGCTTAAATCCTGAGTTAATCGCATATTAGAACTATGTCCTTGGGAAATTTATATGCCCTCTCAGTGCTTTAGAGTCTTATCTATAAAATGATGTTTTCTCCTGTAAAATGGAGAAAAATAATACCTATATCCTAGGATTGGTAGGATAATTAAAAGAATACATAAGTATACATAGTAGAAATGATATTGTTAAAGCAGTGTGGAGTTCATAGCAAGTACTGAATAGGTGATTGTTATTTTACCAACCATATTATTGTCCCCAAAGGTAAGTAAAATCTTAATCTCGAGAACATTGCAATAGCTGTGTTTAGGAACTTATGGCCATGCTTTGGGATGCTCAGGAATAAGATGTGGTCATGAGACGGCTGGAGATAACCTGTAAGGGCAGAAAACAGGTAATGTGGAAAACAGGATGGATTTCTAGGACTTGCCAGGAGGGATCACAGAAATCCTTGGGAAGAGAACTAGACTTCCAGCAATTATCCAGTACGGGGGCTTAGATTATTGGAGCGTGTACATTAAAAGTACAGCTTGAGTATCCCTTATCTGAAATGCTTGGGACCACAAGTGTTTTTGAGTTTTGATTTTTTGGGATTTTAAAATATTTATATATACATAATGAGAGATCTTGGAAATGAAACCCAAGTCCGAACATAAAAATTCATTTATGTTTTATATAGTCATCTATATATCTTTATATGTATATATATATATATTTACACATAGACTGAAGGTAATTTTATACAACATTTTAAATAATTTTGAGCATGAAACAAAGTTTGTGTATATTGAGCCATTAGAAATTGTTACTGCTTATTATAATACCCCCTGGAAATACTTTCCTCATTGGCTTCCAGGATGCTACATTCTCCTAGTGTGGCTCCTGTTTTTCTGGATGATTCTCAGTCCCTCCATGGCTCTTCATCTCAATCGCTGCTGGTTGGCATATACTGGGCTTCATCTCTATTCTACCTATACTTCCTAGATGATTTTCTCTAGTCTTGTGGCTTTAAATACCATCTATATTAAAAAGTCTCTCAAATGTATATCTTCATCTTGTACATCTACACTAAATTTCAGATCCACATATACAGCTATCTGGTGACACCACAGATGTCTAAGAGCTATCTGCGGTTACTATGTTGAAAACATAGCTCCTGGTGTTCATTTCTCACCACCTTGCCCCGCCAAAGAAACAGCCTCACTCTTTTAGCAGCAGCTTCATTAGTCCAATTATACAACAAAACCTTGAGGTCATTTTGACTCATTTCCTCTTCTTTCATCCTAGATCCAATTTATTGGCAAGCCTGGTTGATTCCAACATCAAGATATGATAGAACTACTTAATATTATTTGCACTGCTAATACCTCAGAAAACTATCATATCTGGCTTGGATGAGGGCAATTGGCTCCTAATTGGTATCTTCATTTTAACTTTTATTTCCCTAAATGTATTCTACATATAGCAGCCACTAGTGCTACTTAAAAAAAATAAACCTATCATCTCTTCCAGACTCCAGAACTGTGAGAAAACTTATCACATTTCTCTTGAAACTGTTTAATGACTTCTCTTTGCAGTTGAAATGAAAGACAAATCTTTCTCTGTAATTTATCGGGCCCTGCTACCTTTTTGACATTATTTTCAAATACTTGCTTCTCATTCACTTTGCATCAACCACATTGCCCCCCTAGCTGTTTCTCAAATAGTGCTCTGTACTCGTTCTTCCCATTTCCTGGACAATTCTTCATCTAGACATTCACAAGGCTAGTTCACTAATGCCCAACAGGCTATCAGCCAGGACACAGAAACTATATTAGGTATTTCAGTGGAGAAGATTGGAAGTGGAATTGGTTAAGCAGGTACTGAAGGACAGGAACAGCCGACGGCAACATTAAGGCTAACATGACATAGTAAATGCAGGCAGCAGCTACCACTGCTCCAACTGAGACAAACAAAGGGGACGGTTTTAGGTTATCAGAGCCTTGTCACTCAGAGGAGTGTCCACGGAGTTGTGACTCAGATATCTGATAGTGGGCTGGCCATCTGGCATTGGGAGCTTGGGAAATCAAAGGAGGAGTTCCGTGAGATTTGGACTCATACCTCAGAGGAAAAAAAACTGAATGGTGTCTCTCCTCCCACCCCAAATCTATATATTGCAGCCTTAATCCTCAATGTGACTGTGTGTGGAGGTAGGATCTTTAAAGAGGCAGTTAAGGCTAAATATGATTATAAGAGTTGGGGGCCCTAATGCAATATGGCTGATGTCCTTATAAGAAGAGGAAGAGGCACCAGGGATGCGTGCACACAGAGGAAAGCCCTGTAAAGACACACAGCCAGAAGGCAGCTGTCTGCAAGCCAAATAGAGAGTCCTCCGGAGAAACTTTGATCTTGGAATTTCTGCCTCAAGAACTGTGAGAAAAAAATACCACAGACCCAGCCTGTAGTATTTTATTATGGCAGCCAGAGCAGACTGATACAGACCCACTACCTGTGTGTACTGATGCTCAGGGGATCGAATGGGGAGTGAGGATTCTGAGTCAGGGACTCCAAGGAGTCAGAATGTGACTGGTTCAGAAAGTGCCTGAAAACTAGGATCATCTATTTCTTCCAGGGCGGAAGGATCATTTCTAGAGTGATGCTGTCAGAAACAGAATAGGAAGGAAGAAATCCTTTCTTCCTTCTGCACTCCAGTCTTCCTCTAGTGAATTCTATCGGAAAAACTTACGAAATCATCTGACAACGGAGAAACAATTTGCAGAGTCCCAACCACCAGCAAGCCGAAAACAGCATCAGAATCACGCGATCTCTGGCTCTACTCATAGGGAGAAAATATGGTCCCATAAGTCTCAAGTGAGCACTGAAAATCTGTGTTTTTAAGGTGTCCAGTGGATTTTGAAGTTCATCTTCATTTGAAAACTCCTGACCTAAAACAAACCTCTCGTTTTTGTGGTGAGGAAACTGAACAAAGGGCAGTGAAGTGTCTTACGGTCTGTAACTCTGAGGTTCTGGCTACATGTAAGGAAAAAATTAGCACTGAACATCCTAAGCATTTGCCATTAACAACCACTGCCTGCTTAGCTTGGTTGATTTGTTTTTGCATAATTGGTTTATTCATCCACTGGGTGTAAATGGTGTGTTTTGCATTAGCTTGAATTAAAAGAGAATCCCATATATTAGATTATAATAATGTATTTTTTCTAAATAGTTAGGAGATCGCCAATAGGGTACCATAAAACACAGCACTTAGCCCAGTGATGTCTAACAAATTGTTAGACACTTAGAAAAGAAATATAATAGCAAATCAGTAAAACGTATGGGATGGTGGATAAGAGTGTAAACGATATAGCTGACAATAAAGATGAAAACGGAGTTAGTAGATCTGCAGGGATTTTTGTTTATACAGAAAGAACAAAGTGGGAATTCATATGACAAAATTCTCATATCAATGTAGCGTGAAATGAAAAACTATTCTAGTAAGGTATGAGCAGTGTTAGACTAGAGTATAGCTATCCTTTTTGTGTAAGTGGAGAAACAACTCTTTTTGTCTTTAATAAGCAGATTTGGTGGTGAATAACAGCATTTCCTCAGTCTAGGGCACTGAATCATAAATCTTTATAATTTAGTTTTTTTTTTAAATCCAGATCATTTATCAAAGGAACAAAATCAATGTCAGTGGAAGGCACTGTAAAATGTATCCTGTCCTCCATACATTTTAAAACAGCACTATTATTAAACAGTACAGTGCAAGAATCCAATGAAGAATAATTATAGGATTTTATGTTTAAGATTAAAATACTAACCTGGCAATATCTGATTACTTGGCTTGTCTTTTCCTAATTGTATGAAAATATAAAATGATTTTTACTAAACTTGCTGCTTCTCAAAGACAAAGGAGATAGTTCTTGGTGTTAGAATCCTGTGAGAATTTTTTCCCTGAATTTCATACACTGTTCTTCCACTGAGAACAATAAGCAGAGAAACACATGCATAGGACTTTGCATGACATCTACTGGTTAAGTGTGTACATGATACAAAAGCTCATTTTTCTTTGCTCCAAATATATCAGTGGATAACCTCCCCAAGGCTCCCCATGGAAGGACAATGTCCACAGGGCTGAAAGACTTCCTTTCCCCCAAAGGGTTCCATAGATCCATTCTGTAACCCATGGGATTTCATTTTACACAAATAAACATGAATAAATTAGAGAATAAAAGATAATCTAGTTGCAATATCTGGGCTTCCTCATCTATATCTGATTATTTCCTTAAACTCTAGAGTTTTCCCCCTGAAATACATTAACTTGATAAATCAGCAAATGGAACTGGCTTAGAAGTTTGTGAATGACTGAAAGCAGCAGCATGTTCTAGTAACACAGGAAGCGTGTGGTAGGGTTGGTAACTTGTCACACACTGGTAGTGGTCTGAGGGTCAGGTGGAAGTCTTCAGCATCCAAAAATACTTTTTAACATTACCTTAAATTTCACTATTAGAAGGTTATATATTTAAACCACAAACAGGTACATCCCTTTATTAACATGCAAATAATGCAGTGTGTCCATTTGCAGCTTAATCTATTTTTGTGCTGACAACTCTCCACTGTATTTGCCTCCTATCCAGATCCTTCCTCTGACCTTCTCTATGCCCCAGGTGTTGACCACAGCAGACTGAACCGCCCAGGTTCCCTTCTTGGCTGGCTTCTAGTTGAGATGGCTAGTGAAAAGCACTAGCAGGAGATCAAAAGGCAGAAGGAGTGAGATCCTGTGTTGTGGTGTTTTTTTCCTCACTTCCTCATTGCTTTGGTGCTGTGTCTCTTGCAAGAGCTGTGACTCTCCATGAACGTAGTTCCTGTATATGGCCCTTCCTTCAGAGTACAGGAACTTAATATTGTCGATTTCTAAGTGCCTCACCGCCCCTCTATATCCTGTGTTTGTTTTGTAGCTCTGCCTATGACTCTTTAAAAGTAGTGACTTCAATAGAGACTCTATTTGAACCTTCTACTTATTTGCCAGAAACTTTAACAATACCTTTCTAGATGAGACTCAGTTTACATAAAAGGGTACATAAAAGGGTACATAAAAGGGAAGAAATGGAAGAAGGGGAGAGGTAGCATGTGAAGAAAGAAGAGCAATGAAAGGCCAGGAGGCTAAAAAAAGGGACCTCAAACTCTCTTATTTGGCTAAGAACTTTTCCAAAATGACATGTATTTATATGAAAGTGTCCACCTCCATCCCCAAATTAACACTCTGTGCCTAGGGGTAATTTTGTGTTTTGCTTCATTAGAACTTAAGCTCTATGAGAGAATGGTAGTTTTGGGGTTTTGTTGTTGCTTTCTGCCTGCATCTACAGATAACCAAATATCTAGATTGATTAAACTTCCTTGTTATTGCAAAGATTAAAAACATGTTTATATATTAATTACAACAAGTACTTTTATAAAGACAATTGAATCCCTATTTTGTCCTTTGGAGAAGTTATTAACCTTTTCATGCTTGCACTTTCTCATCTATTTAATAGGATACGGCGTAATATAATGGTTAAGAACAGTGATGTACTGGTAAGTGTTTACCAACTGTCTCTCCAGGAAAAAAAATATATATAACGTTTGCTGATCTCTTTGGAGTAAATACTCCCACTAAACTCCTTACTTTTCTATTGCTGCCATAACAATTTCCTTCTCATGCTGCATCTCTCTGACCCTACTTCTGTTTTCACATTGTTTTCTCTGACCACAGGTGGGACAGGATCTTTACTTCCAAGGATTCATGTGATTATATTGAGTCTACCTGGGTAATCCAGGTTTCCCATCTTAAGGTCCTTAACCTTAGTCACATCTACAAAGTTCCTTCCGCCGTGCAAAGTAATGTCTTCACAAGTTCCAGGGATTCAAACATGCATAACTTTGTTCATGGGGACCATCATTCTGGCTACCACACCCACCATGGACAATTTCAAGCAACCAATGTAACATCAGTTGGCTCACAATGTAACATCCAATGTAACATCAACTGGCTCACAAAATCCCTGATAATTCATCAGTTCTGTGAGCCAGATGAAATCACTCCTGCTACCATAATTCAGAGTATAAGTTTCAGAATTAAAAAGTCTGAGTTTGAATTTTGACTTGCAATGTGACTTTGACGAAGTTGCTTCTTTCCTATATCTCAATCCTTATCTGCTTAATGGTGATAAAAATAGTACAAATTCACTAGGTTTTTAATGAGAATTGACAACAGAGATAATACATGTAATTAGAAAATGTGAGTATTCAATATACATTAAGAATTACTTTTATGTTTCCATCATCTTTTCAAACATTTTATGTTTGATAGTAGGAGTCCAAATGTTTCTTATCCCAGTAAGCGAAAATATTAAATACCAATGTATACAGTGACTACATAATTAGAAAGCTCAGAGCACTTCTTTTCTTCCTAAGGCACGTGTAATGTATGTTCATAATGATTATTCTAAAATGGATCGAGAGGCTCAAGGGCCTTCTGAAACTTCAAAGAAAGACACAGTAAATTTGGCAGTATTAGTGTTACTTCAATTTTGAACTAGCCAAATTCTTAGTTGCTGTTATTAAAATTTTCAAATAACTGTAATATTAAGGCTTAAGAACAAAACACCCTAAGCTAGGTAGGAGTAAGGCTGGAGTAAAATGTCCTTGCAGCATAGTCGGAGGGGGGGGGGAAGCATTGTTGTGAATGTACTCCTTTCGGTAAAGATGTGAATGAACCAGGAGCGAGGGGCTTGAAGGAGGTGGGGAGACTGACAAGACGTTATATTGAGTGAAGTCTGGGTTACAGCATCTCATATATTTGATACACAGGGTTGGAGATGTCACCTTACATCCCTCTTAAGACTTCTGACCAAATAAATGTTCTTCCACGATTTTTCTCATCTCGAGTATCTAAAATATTCTATAACTTTGGAGCCACAACAAGACTGCCAGATGGGACACAATTTACTTGTTCATGTATTTAATAGTTACATATTTATTGTGAAGATTCAGAAATTATTCATAAAAGAAAAAAAGTGGACAAAAGATATGTGAGGTTCAGATGTGATCTGCAGGTTTGCTTATGGCTCCAGCCACTTGTTCCAAACATAGAGAGTAGTTTCTGAGTTATCTAAGGTCATGAAGTATTTCAGGTATTGATTCTCTGTCTAGTTCATTTAAATAATATAGAAATATGTGAGGGGAATATCCCTGATCTCAAAAACTTTATGATTGAAGTAAGGAAAAAATGAGATTATGTGTACCTGCAAGAGCTAAGTAATAACAAATCAATAGTCAAAACAAACAAACAAAAAAACCACAAGAAGCATATGGCTAAACAGGAAAGGGTAATAGGGGTGAGGTGTACAATGAATTCAGAGATCACTGTGAGTTGGAAAAGCCATGAAGAAGAGAAGACTTGAGAACCACATCAATTGATTACAGGCTTGAAGAGAAGAGTATATTCCAGGTAGAAATAATTAGCATGTGCAACAGACCAGTTCTGTATGTGACATGTCTGTGGGACAGTGAGGAGAGTGATTGCACTGACCTCTCCACTTATTTAGAATTTTCTCCTTCATATCCCAAATAATGAATTTTTATTTCAGCCATGTCACACCAAACTTTCTAGCTTTTCTTATGAAAAACAAACTGGAAAAGCTGTAAAAGCAGCCTCAGTTCTGTGTAATTTTTTTTCTTCATTTTTCTCATGCATCTTTTTTGGCATGGCCTCTACTTAAAGCTATTCATATGTTTATTTTTTAAAGATCTCTAGACTCTCCTAGCAGGTGTAAGATCAAAGAAACCTGAATGCTAACCACATGGTCAGATTTTTAGGGATGTCAAATGTCAGAGGACAAGATAGCCTGATGGAGAGAAGGCTGCATATCAAAAACCACAGCCATGACACTCTCCTATTCTCTCACAGGCTCTTGTTCTGTTTCGTGTCATTTCCATGTGAAAATCAAAGTATCCTGAAAACCATATACTGATAAAAAGAATAGTAAATAAAATCAAGGAAGAATAATTATTACTGTTTCTCTAAGTCTTTTCATCAGTTTTATATCTATAATCATACTTCCCAAAATTTATTTTACATTGACCCTAATCCATGTTTCAGCACAATACACTGATATGGCAAATATATATTAGATTAAACTGTTTATTTCACAAACTTTATTTCCAAGGCAAAGATTAACTGTGACTCCTCCCCCATGAGGTAAATAAAAGAATCTCCCTTCTCTTTCTTTCCCTGATTTTTTTTTTTTTTATACTTTAAGTTCTAGGGTACATGTGCACAATGTGCAGGTTTGCTACATAGGTATACGTGTGCCATGTTGGTGTGCTGCACCCATTAACTTGTCATTTACATTAGGTATATCTCCTAATGCTTTCCCTCCCCCCTTCCCCCACCCCACAACAGGCCACGGTGTGTGATGTTCCCCTTCCTGTGTCCAAGTATTCTCATTGTTCAATTCCCACCTATGAGTGAGAACATGCGGTGTTTGATTTTTTGTTCTTGCGATAGTTTGCTGAGAATGATGGTTTCCAGCTTCATGCATGTCCCTACAAAGGACATGAATTCATCCTTTTTATGGCTGCATAGTATTCCATGGTGTATATGTGCCACATTTTTTTAATCCAGTCTATCACTGATGGACATTTGGGCGGGTTCCAAGTCTTTGCTATTGTGAATAGTGATGCAATGAACTTACATGTGCATGTGCCTTTATAGCAGCATGATTTATAATCCTTTGGGTATATACCCAGTAATGGCATTGCTGGGTCAAATGGTATTTCTAGTTCTAGATCCTTGAGGAATCGCCACACTGACTTCCACAATGGTTGAACTAGTTTACAGTCCCACCAACAGTGTAAAAGTGTTCCTATTTCTCCACATCCTCTCCAGCACCTGTTGTTTCCTGACTTTTTAATGATCGCCATTCTAACTGGTGTGAGATGGTATCTCATTGTGGTTTTGATTTGCATTTCTCTGATGGCCAGTGATGATGAGCATTTTTTCATGTGTCTCTTGTCTGCATAAGTGTCTTCTTTTGAGAAGTGTCTGTTCATATCCTTCGCCCACTTGTTGATGGGGTTGTTTTTTTCTTGTAAATTTGTTTGAGTTCTTTGTAGATTCTGGATATTAGCCCTTTTTCAGATGAGTAGATTGCAAAAATTTTCTCCCATTCTGTAGGTTGCTTGTTCACTCTGATGGTAGTTTCTTTTGCTGTGCAGAAGCTGTTTAGTTTACTTAGATCCCAATTGTCAATTTTGGCTTTTGTTGCCATTGCTTTTGGTGTTTTAGACATGAAGTCCTTGCCCATGCCTATGTCCTGAATGGTAATGCCTAGGTTTTCTTCTAGGGTTTTTATGGTTTTTGGTCTAACATTCAAGTCTTTAATCCAACTTGAATTAATTTTTGTATAAGGTGTAAGGAAGGGATCCAGTTTCAGCTTTCTACATATGGCTAGCCAGTTTTCCCAGCACCATTTATTAAATAGGGAATCCTTTCCCCATTTCTTGTTTTTGTCAGGTTTGTCAAAGATCAGATGGTTGCATATGTGTGGTATTATTTCTGAGGGCTCTGTTCTGTTCCATTGGTCTATATCTCTGTTTTGGTATGAGTACCATGCTGTTTTGGTTACTGTAGCCTTGTATTATAGTTTGAAGTCAGGTACCGTGATGCCTCCAGCTTTGTTCTTTTGGCTTAGGATTGACTTGGCAATGTGGGCTCTTTTTTGGTTCCATATGAACTTTAAAGTAGTTTTTTTCCAATTCTGTGAAGAAAGTCATTGGTAGCTTGATGGGGATGACATTGAATCTATAAATTACCTTAGGCAGTATGGCCATTTTCACGATATTTATTCTTCCTATCCATGAGCATGGAATGTTCATCCATTTGTTTGTATCCTCTTTTATTTTGTTGAGCAGTAGTTTGTAGTTCTCCTTAAAGAGGTCCTTCACATCCCTTGTAAGTTGGACTCCGCGGTATTTTATTCTCTTTGAAGCAATTGTGAATGGGAGTTCACTCATGATTTGGCTCTCTGTCTGTTATTGGTATATAAGAATGCTTGTGATTTTTGCACATTGATTTTGTATCCTGAGACTTTGCTGAAGTTGCTTATCAGCCTAAGGAGATTTTGGGCTGAGACCATGGGGTTTTCTAAATATACAATCATGTCATCTGCAAACAGGGACAATTTGACTTCCTCTTTTCCTAAATGAATACCCTTTATTTCTTTCTCCTGCTGGATTGCCCTGGCCAGAACTTCCAACACTATGTTGAATAGGAGTGGTGAGAGAGGGCACCCCTGTCTTGTGCCAGTTTTCAAAGGGAATGCTTCCAGTTTTTGCCCATCTAGTATGATATTGGCTGTGGATTTGTGACAAATAGCTCTTATTATTTTGAGATACGTCACATCAATACCTAATTTATTGAGAGTTTTTAGCATGAAGGGCTGTTGAATTTTGTCAAAGGCCTTTTCCGTATCTATTGAGATAGTCATGTAGTTTTTGCCTTTGGTTCTGTTTATATGCTGGATTATGTTTATTGATTTGCATATGTTGAACTAGTCTTGCATCCCAGGGATGAAGCCCACTTGATCATGGTGGATAAGCTTTTTGATGTGCTGCTGGATTCAGTTTGCCAGTATTTTATTGAGGATTTTTGCATCAATGTTCATCAGGGATATTGGTCTAAAATTCCCTTTTTTTGTTGTGTCTCTGCCAGGCTTTGGTATCAGTATGATGCTGGCCTCATAAAATGAGTTAGGGAGGATTCCCTCTTTTACTATTGATTTGAATAGTTTCAGAAGGAATGGTACCAGCTCCTGCTTGTACCTCTGGTAGAATTTGGCTGTGAATCCCTCTGGTACTGGACTTTTTTTGGTTGGTGGGCTATTAATTATTGCCTCAATTTCAGAGCCTGTTATTGGTCTATTCAGGGATTCAAGTTCTCCCTGGTCTATTCTTGGGAGGGTGTATGTGTCAAGGAATTGATCCATTTCTTCTAGATTTTCTAGTTTATTTGTGTAGAGGTGTTTATAGTATTCTCTGATGGTAGTTTGTATTTCTGTGGAATCAGTGGTGATATCCCCTTTATCATCTTTTATTGCATCTATTTGATTCTTCTCTCTTTTCTTCTTTGTTAGTCTTGCTAGCGGTCTATCAATTTTCTTGATCTTTTCAAAAAACCAGCTCCTGGATTCATTGATTTTTTCGAAGGGTTTTTTGTGTCTCTATCTCCTTCAGTTCTGCTCTGACCTTAGTGATTTCTTACCTTCTGCTAGCTTTTGAATATGTTTGCTCTTGCTTCTCTAGTTCTTTTAATTGTGATATTAGGGTGTCAATTTTAGATCTTTCCTGGTTTCTCTTGTGGGCATTTAGTGCTATAAATTTCCCTCTACACACTGCTTTAAGTGTGTCCCAGAGATTCTGGTATGTTGTGTCTTTGTTCTCATTGGTTTCAAAGAACATCTTTATTTCTGCCTTCATTTCATTATGTACCCAGTAGTCATTCAGGAGCAGGTTGTTCAGTTTCCATGTAGTTGAGTGGTTTTGAGTGGGTTTCTTAATCTGGAGTTCTACTTTGATTGCACTGTGGTCTGAGAGACAGTTTGTTATAATTTCTGTTCTTTTACATTTGCTGAGGAGAGCTTTACTTCCAACAATGTAGTCAATTTTGGAATAAGTGCGATGTGGTGCTAAGAAGAATGTATATTCTGTTGATTTGGGTTGGAGAGTTCTGTTGATGTCTATTAGGTCCGCTTGGTGCAGAGCTGAGTCCAACTCCTGGATATCCTTGCTAACTTTCTGTCTCATGGATCTGTCTAATGTTGACAGTGGGGTGTTAAAGTCTCCCATTATTATTGTGTGGGAGTCTACGTCTCTTTGTAGGTCTCTACGGACTTGCTTTATGAACCTGGGTGCTCCTGTATTGGGTGCATATATATTTAGGATAGTTCTTCTTGTTGAATTGATCCCTTTACCATTATGTAATGGCCTTCTTTGTCTCTTTTGATCTTTGTTGGTTTAAAGTCTGTTTTGTCAGAGACTAGGATTGCAACCCCTGCCTTTTTTTGTTTTCCATTTGCTTGGTAGATCTTCCTCCATCCCTTTATTTTGAGCCTATGTGTGTCTCTGCACGTGAGATGGGTCTCCTGAATACAGCACACTGATGGGTCTTGACTCTTTATTCAATTTGCCAGTCTGTGTCTTTTAACTGGAGCATTTAGCCCATTTACATTTAAGGTTAATATTGTTATGTGTGGATTTGATCCTGTCATTATGATTTTAGCTGGTTATTTTGTTCATTAGTTGACGCAGTTTCTTCCTAGCCTCAATGGTCTTTACAATTTGGCATGTTTTTGCAGTGGCTGGTGCCAGTTGTTCCTTTCCATGTTTAGTGCTTCCTTGTAGGGCTCTTGTAGGGCAGGCCTGGTCACCACACAAAATCTCTCAGCATTTGCTTGTCTGTAACGGATTTTATTTCTCCTTCACTTATGAAGCTTAGTTTGGCTGGATATGAAATTCTGGGTTGAAAATTATTTTCTTTGAGAATGTTGAATATTGGCCCCCACTCTCTTCTGGCTTGTAGAGTTTCTGCCGAGAGATCCACTGTTAGTCCGACGGGTTTCCCTTTGTGGGTAACCTGACCTTTCTGGCTGCCCTTAACATTTTTTTCCTTCATTTCAACTTTGGTGAATCTGACAATTATGTGTCTTGGAGTTGCTCTTCTCGAGGAGTATCTTTGTGGCGTTCTCTGTATTTCCTGAATTTGAATGTTGGCCTGCCTTGCTAGGTTGGGGAAGTTCTCCTGGATAATATCCTGCAGAGTGTTTTCCAACTTGGTTGCATTCTCCCTATCACTTTCAGGTACACCAAGAAGACGTAGATTTGGTCTTTTCACATAGTTCCATATTTCTTGGAGGCTTTGTTCGTTTCTTTTTACTCTTTTTTCTCTAAACTTCTGTTCTCGCTTCATTTCATTCATTTGATCTTCAATCACTGATACCCTTTCTCCCAGTTGATCAAATCAGCTACAGAAGCTTGTGCTTTCATCACATAGTTCTCGTGCCATGGTTTTCAGCTCAATCAGGTCATTTAAGGACTTCTCTATACTGGTTATTCTAGTTAGCCATTCATCTAATCTTCTTTCAAGGTTTTTAACTTCTTTGCATTGTGTTCTTACTTCCTCCTTTAACTCGGAGAAGTTTGATCATCTGAAGCCTTCTTCTCTCAACTCGTCAGTCGTTCTCTGTCCACCTTTTGTTCCATTGCTGGCGTGGAGATGCATTCCTTTGGAGGGGGAGAGGTGCTCTGATTTTTAGAGTTTTCAGCTTTTCTGCTCTGTTTTTTACCCATCTTTGTGATTTTGTCTGCCTTTGGTCTTTGATGATGGTGACCGACAGATGCGGTTTTGGTGTGGATGTCCTTTCTGTTTGTTAGTTTTCCTTCTAATAGTCAGGACCCTCAGCTGCAGGTCTGGTGGAGCTTGCTGGAGGTCCACTCCAGACCCTGTTTGCCTGGGTATCAGCAGCAGAGGCTGCAGAACAGCAAATATTTCTGAAAAGCAAATGTTGCTGCCTGATCATTCCTCTGGAAGCTTCGTCTCAGTGGGGTACCCGGCCATGTGAGGTGTCAGTCTGCCCCTACTGGGGGGTGCCTCCCAGTTAGGCTACTCGGAGGTCAGGCACCCACTTGAGGAGGCAGTCTGTCCATTCTCAAATCTCAAACTCCATGCTGGGAGAGCCACTACTCTCTTCAAAACTGTCAGACAGGGACATTTAAGTCTGCAGAGGTTTCTGATGCCTTTTGTTCCTCTTTCCCTGATTCTATAGCTAGAAGAGGGTACTCTACTGGAACTACTTAGTCTGCTCCCCCAACCTCAGGACACAGAGCACCTAATAAATTTTATTAGAATTTTGTGAAGAATTAAAATGAAAACTCAAAAAGAATGAGAGCAGAGACTTAGCCATGCCTGGTTTTGTTTACTGCTATGTCCTCAGAAACTAGCAGAGTATACGGCACATAGACATTCAGATAGCATATGCTGAATGAATGAATTGGTGAATGAAAGCTTCTAAAGGAAAGAAACTTTTACAAGTCCTTGAAGTCACAATTCTAGCATTGTATCTGACCCTAAGTTTGATGGTGTTCAATAATTTTTTAATGAAAAAACTTATAAATAATTAAATAAAAGAATAAAATCATCTCCACTAAAAAAAAAATGTACATCTCTTTAAAAGGGAAGGCCTCTACCTCACATTTTCTTCTGACGTTTTCTTTAATCATGAAGATACACAAAATTTTAACTTATCTGCTGACTTTACCATCTTGTCATCTTAAATAACAGAGAGAGGCTCTTTAATGGAAAAGGTATTTATTTGGAAATAGAGCATTGAAATGGGAATAAGCATGTGTAAACTCTATGTGTATTCCCATCGCAAAGCCCAGTTCCCAAATAAGCAACTTTTCCATTAGAGAGCTTCTCTCTGTTATTTAGATTTACACTTATGGTGACATAACTGGGATCTGAAAAGTGTCGCTTGGAAAGAATCAGTGATGCTTGGAACTTGTGTGCAGTAGCCATTCGAGTCCTTTGAGCTCTCCACTTTAAGAGCCAGACTTTTCCGCCCTTGTGAATCTTCTCTCAGGTTGAGCCTCCCTCCTTTTGTCAGTGGCTTTAAATGGATCTGGTTTGGGAAAAGCCACCTTAATAAAGGACCATACATTCCTCCTGGGATAATAAAAGCTTTTTTGTCTTTTCTCTTAAGTCCTTTCTGATATAAACACAAGTATCTTTTTGGATTGAGTACTTATTGTGTCCAGAATTGGTGGGTTCTTGGTCTCACTGACTTCAAGAATGAAGCTGCGGACCCTCACGGTGAGTGTTACAGTTCTTAAAGATGGTGTGTCCAGAGTTTGTTCCCTCTGATGTTCAGACATGTTCAGAGTTTCTTCCTTCTGGTGGATTTGTGGTCTCGCTGGCTTCAGGAGTGAAGCTGCAGACCTTCGCAGTGAGTGTTACAGCTCTTAAGGTGGCATGTCTGGAGTTGTTCGTTCCTCCCATCCGGAGTTGTTCATTCCTCCCTATGGGTTCATGGTCTCACTGGCCTCAGGATTGAAGCTGCAGAACTTTGCGGTGAGTGTTACAGCTCATAAAGGCAGTGCAGACCCAAAGAGTGAGCAGCAGCAAGATTTATTGCAAAGAGCAAAAGAACAAACCTGCCACAAGGGAGAAGGTGACCCCAGCGGGTTGCCACTGCTGGTTCGGGCAGCCTGCTTTTATTCCCTTATCTGGCCCCACCCACATCCTGCTGATTGGTCATTTTACAGAGACTGATTGGTCTGTTTTACAGAGAGCTGATTGGTCTGTTTTGACAGGGTGCTGATTGGTGCGTTTACAATCCCTGAGCTAGACACAAAAGTTCTCCAAGTCCCCACTAGACTTGGGAGCCCAGCTGGCTTCACCTAGTGGATCCCACACTGGGGCCGCAGGCGGAGCTTCCCGCCAGTCCCGCGCCCTGTGCCCTGCACCGGCACTCCTCAGCCCTGCGCCCGCACTCCTCAGCCCCAGTTGATGGGACCGCGTGCTACAGAGCGGGGGGCAGCGCTCGTCAGGGAGGCTTGGCTGCGCAGGAGCCCATGGCCCCAGGGAGGAGGCTTGGACATGGCGGGCTGCAGGCCCCGAGTCCTGCCCCGTGGGGAGGCAGCTGAGGCCCCGCGAGAATTCGAGTGCAGGGCCGGCAGACCGGCACTGCTGGGGGACTGAGTGCACTCTCCGCAGCTGCTGGCCCGGGTGCTAAGCCCCTCACTGCCTGGGGCAGCCAGCCGGTGCCAGCCGGTCGCTCCAAGTGCAGGGCCCACAGAGCTCGCGTGTGGAGCTGATGCCCACCTGGAACTCGCGCTGGCCCAGCAAGCGCCACGTGCAGCCCCAGTTCCCACCCGCGCGTCTCCCTCCACACATCCTGACAAGCAGAGGGAGCCAGCTCCGGCCTCGGCAAGCCCAGAGAGGGGCTTCCACAGTGCGGTGGTGGGCTAAAGGGCTCCTCAAGCACTGCCAGAGTGGACGCCAAGGCTGAGGAGGCGCCGAGAGTGAGGGCTGCTAGAACGTTGTCACCTCTCATTATGATTTCTACGGAATGTACATTCTGTCTGTGAAGCATATCTTATCTGATTTGATCACCAAGTTTAATATTTTATCTGAACTATACGCCTATGTTAATATCTTGTGAACATTTTTATCTTGGTTTCTTTTGATTTGGTTTGATCTCCTTGCTTGTTTATGAAAACCTGAGCATGGTGGCTCACGCCTGTAATCTCAGCACTTTGGGAGGCTGAGGTGGGCAGATCATGAGGTCAGGAGATCGAGACCATCCTGGCCAACACAGTGAAACCCAGTCTCTACTAAAAATACAAAAAAATTATCTGGGCGTGGTGGCAGGCGCCTGTAGTCCCAGCTACTTGGGAGGCTGAGGGAGGAGAATGGCATGAACCCAGGAGGCAGAGCTTGCAGTGAGCAGAGATTGCGCCACTGCACCCCAGGCTGGGCGACAGAGGGAGACTCCATTTCAAAAACAAACAAACAAACAAACATTCAAGGTGATGCTTGTAAGATGGCTAACTAAAAGCCACTATGGTGGTTGCAGCCATCTAAAACACAAGTTTAAACTCCTGACATTTCCTGATTGCATTTATAGGATTTTCTTTGCTCCTGGCAGATTATTAAGAAATGGAATGGGATTCTCAAATACTGACATGCCAGGTTTTCTGGGAGTCTAGCCAGCTACATATTAAGGTCTGTTCTTGTGTACATGTTAAACTGATAGACAAATTACATCAAGGAAAATTCAGAACTCAAATCATCATTACTGGAGAAACCTACAACTATAGAGTTAATATGCAGAGTCTTCTAATTTCTCTCTCTGTATGTTTTTTTTCTGCTTTTTTTCAATCTGTTGACTTTTCTACTGGTGTTCAGATAAAAATTGCTTGTAGCATTCCAGCTAAGATTTGAATATATATAGATATTCCAGATAGATAGATGATAGAAATGTCTTAAAGGGCTTTCAAATTAATGACTTTGCAGACTAAAATACCTCCCTGGTTTCCAAAAACCTAGACACCTTTTAGAAATATAAATTTAGGTGTGCTTGATTAGCAATTGTCTATGGTGGTAGAAAATTCATTGGAAAATTAATAATCCAAAAAAGAACTAGATAAATGTTTATAAGTTAGGATCTCAGATCAAACAGGTCAAAAATCTTAAGCTCAAAGTAAAATATGGTATATGCCCAGCATAAAAATTGTGCTTTTCCTTTCACACAGAGGGCAAAAAGAAAAAGCCAAAAACTAAAAATTTAACACCTGCTAAAATTCTTTCCCATCTGCATTTTGCTAATCAAACACATCTTACTAATAAACAAAAGATAGATTTTTTATGAGTTCAAGGCTACTTGAAGACTTTGTTTTTCTTCTGCAATTCATCCAGTCCTAGTGAAAGTGTAAACACTGAAAATTTAACCCTAAAATTATTTGAAAAGGAAAATAAAATGGTAAAAGGGGCTTTAAAAATCATATTGCCATACAAACTGCTTTATCCAAATTTTGATCCACAGCATTTATTAGATTATCTATCAGGGAAAATGAAGTTTAGCCATATGAACAGATTCCAATTTTGTCAGAAATATTGTCTTATACAAACTGATGAGTTGGTATTACTACCTCAGTACTAAAATTCTAAAATAAAAGTTGAAAGATCTTCTGTGTGTGTGTGTGTGTGTGTGTGTGTATGTACATGTGTTTAGATTTGTTTACCTGTACGTACATCTATTATATGTTTTATCTACGTGCTATAATCTAGCATAGTTGACCAGAAACCCCTTAAAGTTAAATGAGTCCTCACATAAAATATAACATTATTAATTAAGCCAAATGTATCTTAGTTCACATGAGTTAAGTAAATCTTTAATAAATATGGTGGTTTTAAAATTATGAGTAAAATAGAAATTGAAATGTCTTAAAATAGTCAGCATATATTCTTGCCTGGGTTTACTGGTCAGATAGTTTTTATATTTGCCTTTACCAAATATTTTAAAGTGTCAGGTTTTGACAGGAAGGTTATAAAACTATAAACCCAGCCTAAAACAGGGAGATCTTTGTGTAATTTTTGATAAGTAAGATTAAATTAATATTGTTAGTTTAATGAAACAGCTGTATCTTTTGAGTTCTCAGAAAAGTATCCATACATTTAAATTTTAGGTTCTTTCTTAGGTGATCATATAATATTCACAGCCTATAAATATGCTTAACAAAGAAATAACTTGAAATGATGACTAGCTTTGTCTGATATCTCAGTTCTCATAAATAATGTAGGTAAACTGTTTAAAAAATTAACTAAGTCTTTTCATGTAATTTGAAGGCTTAAAGTCATGTTAAGTTAAACAATAGATACTTATTCAATGTCGGAGTCATTTCCAAGTAGCATTAAAACATTATGTTATAGGAAAACATGTTTCTAAAAATTATAAAATAATTATTAATAAAACACTGATATGTTACAGTTAATTCAAAATTTTGCCTTCTAATTTAGTTTTCACTAAAATTTAAGGCTACTAAGGGTTAAAAATTTTAATTAATATTTAATTCTGCCTACAAAGTGTGTCCTAAAATATATAAGATGTGCTTTTAATTAAAAAAGTATAAAAATTATTAAAATATTCTTTATTACGAAAAATAATAATTTTGTTTAATTTGGAGGTTATTTCAAGGTTGCTTCAAAATATGCATTAAAAATAGAAACAACATAGAAAGAAACCAGTAAGTAGAAGAGAGATGTGAAAAAACTTATGAATATGAAGAGATATTTTAGGTAAGGAAAGTTAAAAAGAAAAGAAAGTAATTTTGTATGAGAAAGAATCTCATATGGTGAATTTTTGTCCTAAAGTAAAATGACTGATTATTTAAGAAATATAGGACAAAGTAGAAAGTACAAGCTTGTCATCAATTATCTAAGTAAAGCTGTGATAAGATTCATGAAAAGAGAATTTATGAAAGGAATTTTGTGTGTGATTGACTGTAATTAAAAGGGAATTATTTGTGATAATCTTTCTAAAGATTGAAATTTGATATTAAAAATACTCTAATATGACACTAAAAAATTGTGGTCTTCTATTTTAGAAGAAGATTTTTCTTACAATACGGATTTACTCAGTATACTTGCAAGAGGTTTTGATTTTTGATTGTGAAAACTGCTTGTCTTTGAAACACTCAGATTTAGATCTCAGGAGCTCAAGTTTTGCTTACCTCACTGCATGTGATTTGCAGGTCATCCATTATTGCCTTCTGTTTTTTCTCCTCTTGAAAAAGCATATCTTTTTGCTTGGGTGGGGTGATAACTCTTTCCTTCAACCTTTTTGTCAAATTCTATATGTTTATTTTTTTAAATTCTGTATGTTGTAACAGCCTGGCACTGAAATGTTTATATGAATATCTAGAAAAATAATATTTCCTTCACTATAACTTGATTCTATACTCTTGGCTTTTGTTGATATGTCTGAGTTGTTCCATGTAACCAGGTAACTTCTCATACTGTTACTAAAAGCCATGTATTCCCCTGCCGAAGGTACTAGTTTTCTTGTTTATGTTTCTCTATAATGTAGTGTACACTTATAATTCCAGATACACTCTTCCTATATCTGATTAAATTCAAGCACCTTTTATCAGGTTTGATTTCCAGTTTGTCAAAATGAGCTTCCCATAAAGAGGAGCAATCACACTATAGGAGGTTTTTCTGTATCTTTTAGGTAACTAGACATAGAAAATGACTTTGTGTTCTCAAAATAATTTCTGGGTTGTCTTTATTAGATTTTTTATTACTTTGGAAAACTGAGCTTTCAAAGGGTTAAAGTTTTTACATCCATATATATTTCTGTATCACTTTTGAAGTATTTTCATTATTACTCTGGTTAAATAAATAATTATTATGTAGCAATGACCTGTAATTCTGTTTTGATCAAGTGTTTTGAACCTTTTGACATTTTTGGCAGGTTTCTCCAAGAACAAAATACCAAATTAAGTCTTTCTGACCTAAAATTAACTTTGTGGTTTTTGCAGTTGGACTCCTGGAAAGAGTATATATATTAAATAATTAGATAATCATTTAATATCTACATAAATATTAAATATTATTTAGTATTCATTTAATTTTCTTTATTATATTATTTAATATCTATATATTAAATAATATTTATATATTATTAAATATTGTTTAATATCTACATATTAAATATTATTTATATCTAGATATTAAATATTATTTTAATATCCATATCTATATATTTAATATCTACATATTAATATCTATATGTTAAATATTTAATATTAAATATTATTTACTATATAGATATTAAATAATTAGACTTATTTAGCAAATTGTATAAAAGGCATTTGGAAATAAATGATACTAGATCTTTTTTCAGTTACATCTATGGGTATGTTATTGATATAAATTTCTAAAATGAATATAAATTTATAAAAATCTAATGTTATCAATCATAATTTTGATTATATTAAATCTTTTCTATGGTTATATTTTTATGTTGCTAATGTGAGTACTCTAAAGATTATATGAAATTTATAAAGTTTGATGATATTAATGCGACACTGTCAGTAATGATTCTGGTTGTTACAAGCTGCAGGTAATAGAAATAATTAAATTTCCTTGTCAATTGGGAAAGTTCATCAGATTTTAACCATGGCTATCTTAACTTTTTGTCATCCACAATTATTAAGTTCTTCTTTAAAAGAATTTGCAATCAGCTGTAGTCCAAAATTGCTTTTCATGGGAAAACTCTAGCAAACACTTTTGAACACAAATTTCTTATAAGATTAAGATGAATAGGCTAAATATAAAGATCCAAAACTCTAATAAAGAAACCAATGGGTTTATAAAACTGTTAATTAAGATAAAGCAAGCAAATATTAATCACATAACATTAAATAATTAATAAAGATTATGACTTTTAATTAAAACAGTGTTAGTCCTTTACTTAAATGTTTTGCTTTCTAGATTTAAGAAAATTTTCTCTCATAAGCTATCTATAGTTTTACAACAATTTGGTCAAGTATACTTTCATGAGTGAGGTATGGGTTGGTTGCCCTCTCTGCTTAGGCTGGGAACTCTCCAGGGCAAAGCCCAGAGACTCCAAGGGTCATTAGTTCTCACCCTACCCTGAAAGTGATCCTCAGTGGGTCAGAAGCCAAAGTCAGTCCCCTTTTTCTGTGTGCTTTGGGAATACTGGACCTAGGGAAGAACAGAAATTAATCATCCCCGAATTTTTGCTTAATCCTCCTGTCAGTCCTTCAAGGTGCTTACTATTTTCTCCTTTGGTCAACTGAAAGAGCCACATGAAGGGCCAGGAATCAAATGTGCAACAGTCTTTTTAAAAAACCTGTGTCCATTATTTCTACATTGAGATACCTCCTTCCAAGGCTTATAGAGAAAGCTTCAGGGAAGGAAACACTCTACCAAGGCTCCACACTCCTATGACTGTTCTCACTATTACCAACATTCTACTCCTCTCAAAGTAGTTGGTTCTCAAACCCAGTCCTACAAATGCCTCTCACATTCACCCCCTTGATTTCATGTATTCGCTCAGCAAACATTGAACAGGCTTTCTGCTTAGTGCTGAAAATACAGCAATGAACAAGGCAGACAGGGCCCTGTTGTCTTGCAGTTTACAATCTGGTAGGAAAAAGAACAAAGTAAATAGGCCTTTGTCATTTTCCCTTTACCCTATCACTTAATGATAGACTTTTAATTCATCACTCAATTCTCAGCTCTGCCCCTTCAACTGCCAACTGATCTTTTAAAAATACCATACTAACTGTGGGCTATTCTTGCTTAAATCCTTTACTGATCATTCAGACCTAAAAGACTCTATGGTAAGTTCCTTAAGTGTAACAGTCAAGGTTCTCCAGAAGCTGCCCTTATCCTTCAGCCATTACCTGCTATTTCTCCCCCCATCATAAACACCCCAGTTCAATTGGATGACTCCTTATCCTCCCAATATGCCACCTCCAATATTTCCAAACAGTTTGACTTACTTGCCAACATTTTTTTTAAATGAGAGATCTCTATGTGAACAGAAATCTGTATCTATGCCTCATCTGTCAACACTGTCCACATTTCACTGTGGCAACAATTGGCTGAAGCCAAGGAGTAACTGCCTATTCTAGATTGGGTGTGGATTTTCTGAAGTGCCAGGTTCCCTCCTGATCTGGGTCCTTTCATCATTTATGTTGTCTGCCACATAGGCATTTGTGCCAGTGATCCCTATACTGCACTACCTTTTAAGTAGAACAAGAATGAGAGAGCATGTGTTGTATAATGTTAACAACATAGATATGTGTCAAAACCAACAGATTTCGAATCATGGAGAGGTTTCCTTGGGCAAAAACTTTCCCATGAGGATTACCTTTGGCAGACCAAAGACCAATAACCCACAGACTACTGAGTTTGAAGTAAGCTTTAATATGACACGACTGTGCTTTATACCCCCATCCAGAAAATAGCATAATAGGTCAAAGGGCTCATTAAAAACAGACAAGTTTTTAAAGCATACTTTTATGAACAAAAGTAGAGACATTTTCTTTTTATCCCTACCTGATTCCTTCAAAATTCAGAAATTATTTATGAGTATTCTTATTTTTATTTATATAAGCTCAGTAAAAATCTGCCTTATAAGCAGGATACAATTGGAAATACTGTTTATATGACCAAAGCTTTGACTAAAAGTCAAATTCCTGGCTTCAAAAGATCCTAGACATACAATGAATGAATAAAAATTGTCACTTCCTAGCAGGTCCCAGAACTTAAGACAATTGAACTAGATCTTGAATTCTCTTGATTTCCTCTAATATTTGGCTACAACTCTCCAACTCAAAACAAAATCTGCCCTGTTTCTAAAGCCCCATGAGCTGAAACTAATAGATTGTAAAAAATAAACCTCATGCATGATATATAGACCACATAAAAAGTTTATAAAGCTGCCTGATGTCATGACCTCAGACATTAAAATTACAAACCAACAGTTAATGTTTTCATGCTGTAGACAGCTTTCCCAAGATGATGGAACAAGACTTTATATTATAACGAGACTTTTACCTCCCTTAATGCTACCTTTTTACTTGCAGAATAATGGTGTAATTGAAATTTCACAGTTAATAGCTTCTTCTGGTAATTTAAACTTAAAAAAAATCCTTTAGTATCCATTACTTATATAAGAAAATGGTCATGCTATTGCTAATACCACTTTGCTATACTTGAATAATTTCTTAGGGAATGTTGAGACCCAGAAACACAAAATAAGTAAACAGGCCACATGGTTACAATAGATCTCATCTAATTCCTTTTGGTCATTGGAATAATTCAATTGCTTGTCTTTAAGCCTAGGTTCATGGCTCAAAGCCATTATGTAAACTGGAATTGTCATATTACTGTTAATTTTACTTTATATTTTTCCTTTTAAAACTTTGTGTCTATCACTTGTTAAGGTTTGGCAGATGCACAAGTCCTAAAAAAATAATGCTGGACCAGCATTTTAAGATGATAGCTAAAGACACTGAAACAGACAAAATTGAACTTAATATGGACTCCAGTCACTTCCTTCAAACTTCCTTTGTCGCTCAAATGTGACTGAAAGGGTTTTGACACTGATTCCTAATCATCAATCACTCCCTGTGATATGGGACAAGACCAGCAGCTGAGATAGATCCATCCCAACATGAGGGCACATCTAAACCTATCTATAGGATTATTCATCAGTGATGCTTTTGGAGAAAGATCTTGATCAAAAGGGGGAACTGTGAAAGTTGGCAAAATCAAGATGGTGTCAATAATATTAAGAAAACCCTGGGCCAGGCACGGTGGCTCACGCCTATAATCCCAGCACTTTGGGAGGCTGAGGCAGGAGGATCACGAGGTCAGGAGATCGAGACCCTCCTGGCTAACACAGTGAAACCCCATCTCTACTAAAAATACAAAATAATTAGCCGGGTGTGGTGTCTGGCACCTGTAGTCCCAGCTACTCAGGAGGGAGGCTAAGGCAGGAGAATGGCGTGAACCCGGGAGGCAGAGCTTGCAGTGAGCCGATATCACACCACTGCACTCCAGCCTAGGCAACAGAGCGAGTCTATGTCTAAAAAAAAAAAAAAACCAAATACAAAAACAAAAACAAAAACCCTGAAAAATAGAATTAAGGGAGGCCATGAAGAGAGGGTTCTCACATTTGTATGCCTGATAATGAAAAAGACTCCACAAAACCACAACCTTGCACAAAGTCCATCCAAAACTTACACAAAGAAAATGCTTCTGCAAGTGTATCTGTTCAGTAACTGCACATCTAACCTTGAACTGGCATTACTCACCCTTGTTATTGATTTTTGCAGCCAAAGATAATTATTTAAAAACAATTATCTAATTCTCATTAATTTCTTTTAAAAACTTTTGTCTTCCTTTACCTCCTTGGATATGCACATAGTGTACTACAGCATGCATATCCCTATTCTAATACTCTATTCCCAAATGAACATCTTTTCTCTTAGGAAACCTCTCTCTGTTATTTAGGTTGACAGCCCTAATATAGCCAAATAACTACATTCCCAGTTTGGCTGGCAAACAGAGTACTATGGAAGCCCCCAGCTTCAAACTAATGAATAGAGACTTTCCCACTGATGCTTCCAAATGGTGCATGGAAGGTTTAAATTTTCATCTGTTACTGTCACTCATGATGCAAATGTCACTGCAGGTAGGCTTTTGACTTTTCACTTGCCAAGGAAAGTATCTTTGCAGAGTCCAGGAAGAGATGGATGTGTTTTCAAGCAAGTCTCCTATGTTCACTTGTCAGATTAATGAACAAAGCAGATATTTCAACTAACAAAAGAGTGGGCATCCTTCTCTGAAGCAAGGACCACAATCCATCAGTCTAATGCTTCTGCCAGGGCTCAGGGAGAGGCATCCTCCTGTTCTTATTTACTTGGCCTCAGCATCGATCCAGGTGCTTTCTATTGGATAGAAATCATTCAATCATAATGCCCTTTAGAGTCAGCCTTAAGTTCCCTGTACTTTAACTCCCAATTTGTATGAAAAGCTTATCCGGATATGACATTTCTTATAAAAGCATTGACATTTAGTTTTTCTGCTCTTCAAATTTTTTTTTTCTTGAAACCTTGGCAGACACTAATTGCACTTCTGATCTATTTTCAGAAAACTGAAATAGAGAGCTGTGCTCTTATTTGATGCCCATGCTTTGTAGAGGCCCTTCTCTACCTTTTCTCCCTGGTAGATTTATGGTGCTTGACTCACATTCATTCCATGTACATGATCTACTTGATGCAAAAAGCAACCCTACCTTCATTTTTACCCACAGCACACCTTGTACCTATCTCTGTCCTAGCACTTGACACTTGGAGCATATAATTCTCCCACACAAGTATGATCTTCTTGAGAACAAAAACTGACTTATTTATCTCTGTATGCTTGATAACAGTAGATGCTCAATAAAATGTTTGCTGATTAGTGTGATGAATGGATAAAGACATAGATGGGCAGAAGGAAGGAAACTGCATGTATCAGAGTCAAATCGCTCTCAGCATGAAGACAGAGGAGGAGAAATCTGATTTGCCCCAGGCCCCAGAGAAGCAAAATTAATGAAACATTTATCTAATTCTCAATATAGCTGATTAGTGATGCAATGCAGGGGTTACCTACTAATTAGTCTTCTAGAAACACTCCTTATAAGTAGAAATTCTGAAAACCTTTTGACTAGTTGTAACTAGTTGATAATCACAGTACCATCTTTCTCAGCCAGGAATAATCAGGGTGGCACATAAGGTGAGATGGGGAGGTAATTGATTGACTTTCTTCCCACTCAGTCTGAGTTTGAATAAACTCAGTTGGTGAGACATATATTGGCATATATGATAAGTCAAAAGTGATTCAGAGATTTCCCAGAAATCAGGATAACTAGGAAGCCTTTTTTTAAAATTTGAGGGATTGCCTTTTGGCCTCTCTGCTTCCAATAAATTCTAAGCTGTAAAATGAAACTTTTTACTTCCCTATGTTCATCTGAATTTATTTTCTTTTTCCCTTATAAATGATAGTAATCATTATTTACTCATAATTTTTACCTAAAAACTGAGTTTCAGCTAGTCTCAAAAAGGCTTTTGCTGAAAATATATGAAAAACCACCCAAAAGAGCAACCTCACAAATAGGAAAATTGATGAACCTTCTTATGGTTGGAACTGAGAGAGGCCAGGAAGGTCCCATGCCAACCTCACCACCTACCACATGTCAAAATGTTTACATTTGCACATGGAAGTGTATACATTTCCATATTACATTTTTCAAGCTTTTGGAGGCCCTTCATGGGAGTGATAACACTTGCTAGTGTCAAATAGTCTTCGAATTGAGTTTGCCAGGTATGTGACACATGGGCTGTCATGCCATCTTCATTCTCCCTCCTTCTCCTACAGGCTGATCTTAGCATTCAAAGCCTCAGATTCCTCAGGACAGATTTCCAGGCAGCTGTCAGCAAGGGATTGAAATTGGCCTGCAAAATGATACCTGTTTGCTCTCCCAGCTCTAAGGAGACTTACTGACAGCTGGCAAATATCAAGAAATTCACCTATCTTGATCTCAGTATAAGGTGATGTAAGTGATCATGGAAAAAATCCCTGTGGTAATTCTGTGATTATCAGTAATCAAAATGTTAGAATGACTCTAAAGGAAAAGATAGTAATCTGGATGGCTCAACACTTGAGGGAAATGAGTGACATAAGGTTTTTTTTTAAAATGTATAAGGAAGTGTTATTTATACTTATTATACTTATTATACAATAAGAAATCTTCATCCTAATTGACTTTGTGTATAATTACTCCATATCCATTTTGAATATTGTCAAGCAGGACCCCAAGAGAAAGAAAGAAAGATAGGCGTTTGGTTTTCCCTCAGGAAGTGTTCAGTCTGAGGGAGAGTTATGTTGTTGAGCTAAGGAAGCATACAGAATCATCAAGCAATTGAATGAGTACAAACCCAGGACAGAGAGATCACAATTTTGTCTGTGAGATAAGCTGGGAAATAGCATGGTATAGTATAGTCACTTAACTGTTTTAATTCGGTGTTTCCCAAATCTCACTTATTCTTAAACCATCTTTACAGTTTTTTAGCCATTTCCACATACTACTGGTATAATTATTTAAATGATATTTAAAAATCAACTTGTTGACTTTTAAATAATCTTTTTATTTTAGAATTTTTTTTGTCTTAAAGAAAAATTGTGAAGATAGTACAGAGAGTTCCTACATACCTCACACTCAATTTTTCTTATTATTAACATCTGGTGTCAGGAGAGTGCCTTTACCATGATTAATGACTCAAGACTGATACATTATTATTAACTAAAGGCCATAGTTTACTTATAATTCCTTAGTTTTTTATTTAACTAATAAAAACATTACTTTTGCCATTACTTTTAATGGCAAAAACCACAATTACTTTTGCACCAACTAGTATTTTATATCCTTTTTATCTTCTAGGATCCCATCCAGAATACACAGTACATTTAGTCATCATGTCTGCCTAGGATCCTCTTAGCTGTGACTAAGTCTTTCTTTGTTTTTGATGACCTTGACAGTTTGGGAGAGTATGGGTCAGGTATTTTGTAGAGTGTTTCTTAACTGGAATTTGTCTAATGTTTTTCTCATGATTAGACGGGGTTATAAGTTTTGTGAGGAAGACCACCGAGGTAAAGTTCCCTTCTGGTCACATCCTATCAGGATTACACACTGTCTAGATGAGTTATCTCCGTTGATGTTAGCTTATTTATTTTTCACTTCAGCCTCACTTCAGAAGTCAGGATCAGATCACGGTTTAGATGTGCTGTTTGTATTTTCTAATACATTTTTCACAGTCTTTTATCTTTGTGTTTCAGTTTAGGCAATTTCTGTCAACCAGTCTTGAAGTTCACTGATTCTTTTCTCAGCTGTGTCAAGTCCACTGATGAGATCACATAAGCTATCATCCCTGTTCTCTACTTTTATTTCCAGTATTTTCATTTGACATCTTCCTGCAGTTTCCATCTCTCCGCTGAATTATCCACCTGTTCATCCATATTGTCCAACTTTTCCACTAGAGCTTTTAACATATCAGTCATGGTCATGTGAAATTGTGGTCAGATAGCTCCAATATCTGGGTCATATCTGCGTATGTCTTTATTTATTGCTTTGCCCATTGACGGTGTAACATATGTTGCTTACTTCTGTGTGTGTTTCATAATTGTACTGAAAGTTTAACATTGTGGGTAGGACAGCAGAGACTGAAGTAAATAGCATTCCTGCCTGGAAATGGGTATAGCTCTTTAGCTAGGCTTTTAGTGTATGGGAATGCAGGGAAAGAGTGGAGTCAATATAGGTAAGAGTTGAGCTGGATTTGAGTTTAGCTGTTGTGGTGATACCTTCAGTGCCTCACTGGCTTCCATTTCCTCTACTGTCACCTTGTGCTTAGGGGTTGGTTTTCTGGAAGTCTTCTCACCATGTTCCTGCTCTACTCTCAGCTCTAGGTTTTCCCTGTGCTCTTGCCCTTCAGAGAGGCTTTCTCTGCAAGATTTTGGCCCTCCCCAGTCCAAGATAGCTATTGTTTTTTAGGTGGTGCTTGCTAGCCTGCTGATGGTGGGCAGCAGGATTTTCTGTTGCCCTGATTCAGCCTCGTATCACTGCATCTCAGGGCTCTCACAATGATCCTTCTCCCTCAGTGGTAGAAAATCTCTTGTGGTCTGGCCCAGTAGGTTTTGTGCCCCTACCAAGATGTACAGAACATTTTCCTTTCACGAGCTACAGTGGGTCCTGACCTGCGACCTGGGCGTGGTAGGGTTTGCTGTTCTTCCCAGTGACATAGGCATTTTTTCCCAGAGGAAGAAGCATCCAAATGGAATGTCTTTCTCCCAGGTTGTGATCTCTCCCTTTCTCCAGGCCTGAACCACAAGGGAAACTTTCTCTCTTTTCCCACCTGACCCCAGTCTTTCTTGTGAACACCCAGTGGAGAGTTGCGAATAGCCTGCACGCAGATACAAATTCCCCTTCTGTTATCAGTTCCCAGGGCTTCTATATTCTCACACTTTTCCACACTCCACTTTTAGCAACTCTTCTTTAAATTTTAGCTGAACTCTTCCTAAAACTTGCTTGGAAGCCCCATCTTTCATCTGTGATCTTTCAGGTGAGTCAGAATATGTGGCTTATATTTCCCTCCATAGAAGTACCTATTTTCCTTCAACTTTGGGGTAGATGATAGACCTGTGACCTCAGCTCTCTAATGCATTCAGGAAACTGTATCATTTTGCAGAATACCTTGCTATTTCTGGCTGTTAGAGTGTAAGCAATGCTTTTCTCAGTTTTTATATCCTATGCAAAAGCCAGAAGTCCCTGTTACATTTTCAAATAAACATAAAATAACTTTTCAACGTTCATCCTCATCTACCTGGAATTATCTAGTTTACTACCATATTATACATATCAGACTTTGGGAGATTTTCCTGTACTAAAAGAAAAATGGACTGGATATCAAGAACCCTGGATTGTACCCCTGCTGTACCACTAACTAGGTGTGTAGCCTGTGGAAAGTTATTTATACATTTTGGATTTCAGTTTTCTCATCTGCAAAATGAAGGTGTCACATCTCATTGATCCTGAAGATTCCTTTCTAGCTCTAACTTTGATTATGTTTCATATTTTTAGAAGAAAAACATATTTTCACATGCTTTTAATTGTGTGTACATTCTTTACTGAACAGAGAGCTGAAATTAGAACTTAGACAAATGTTCCCTGTAATTTAAGTACTTCCTGGCAGCAAGTTACATGCTTGATAAATTCACTGAATGGTAAATGTTACTTTAGGAAGTGAGAATAGTAAACAGCTGACAAAGAAGGCCTGTGCTTTACTGGCTGAATAGTTCATTAATTTCAATAATTGATTTAATTATTGGCAAAATATAAATCTAGATCAGCTGTGACTCCACACATAGAAAAAAAATGAGATTTTCTGTAAATAATAGCCATAGAATTGCACCTCAGATTTCCAAAAGGAAGTTCAGTTTATAACTCACATGAAAACCAAATTTTACAGGATCTACATATTTTATAAAATATATCTATGTGTTCACTTTATTATTTACTTTTTACATTAAAGGGAGTATCCAACTAAATACTACATGTATTTAAGTGTTAATGTTAAGGTTTATCTGTTTTTAAGATTTCAATTTGTCTTGATTTAAAGCATAAATAAAAATTACTTGTTGAATTGTTTTACAGTAGAAAAGCACAGGATTTAATATAAATTTTAATAGTGAAATATACATGCAAGCATATTTATTTTTGGCTTGTCATCTCTCTGCTTGTCCCCAGAAGAGATATTCATTTTTTAACCTATTTGTTTATTCTTGTTCTCTAACTTTATTTGATAAATTTGACATGGAATTTGTGAAAATGTCAAATATTACATTAGAAATATTGCATTTATGTTGGTAATATATTTAAACTGACCATAGCATTGCCCTATCATACTGGCCATTTTCCGATTATTGTGAAAGAGCGGTGCTTCTGATTGATCAGCAGTGTTGTTCTAGGTGAAATATGGGATTCAGAGCCTTTGGTTCCCAAAAGCAGTGTCGGACTCCAGGTGACCTTTCAGGTACATTGTGCCCAAACCTCTACTCCTCTCCTCTGCAGTGTTGGGTCAAACTCAAGAAATTTCTCCTGTAATTCATCTTTTTGTCCTTTGAATTAACTTATTATGATTAAATTTGTTGACTGAACATAATGCACAAATGTCACATGTGATGATGTAGTAAGGCATACACAAATATAAGTAAGGCAATTTTTGCTTTTAATATGCTTATAATTTTAGGAAAAACATAAGTAAATATCCAACGTTGTGAGGATGAGCATCAAACCTGATAATCAAACAAGCTCTATAGTTTCAAACATGATACCATACATTTTTGCAGTGCCTTATAGCAATGATTGTGAAATCTGATTGTCAGGATTATTTGAGGAACCTACTAAATTAGAATCTCCAGGTTTGGGCCTAGGATTTGAATATTTAGAAAACACAACAGTGATTCTGATAACCATCCAGGTTTGGCAGCCACATCTTTTGAGTTTAGCAAAGTGAAGAAGAGTTTCTTTAACCTATTTTTTTTTTCTGGTAAGATAGCCATAATTTTATGGAGGGATGTACTTTAACTAATGCATGGATACAGAAGGAAGGTGAACCATGGTGTTATCAGAGCTTTAAGGAAGAAGAAACTGCTCAGCATTAGCATGGATAAATGTGTTGATTGCATTATTCCTTGTCACTATGAGTGTATCAAGTAACCCTGGCACTCTCCTGATCATCAAGATGTATTTAGGATGGTCCAAATACTGCGAGGTGAAGGTTCTTGGTCACGGGTTTTGCTGTGATCTCTTCTCCTCATAGTGATGCGAAAGAAGCTATTGTGCTATAATCATGGGCAAAGGCAGCCTATGGACAGTCAAATGATTGATAATGTTGAGTTTGAGCAAATCGCCAAGAATTAGTAATAGCGTTGAAGGGCTTCCTGTGTATGAGAGAATGCTCTAAATCTCTCCCTACCTGTGCTCTTATCAGTTATGTGAACTAAAAATTCACTCTGTTATCTAACCTAGTTTGAATTAAATTTCATCCTACTTTCAACCTACACTACCTAATGAATATGCTCATCAAACATTTATTGAGTACCAATTTTGTGTTATGCACTTTCTCAGCACTTGGGGCATATAAACAAACATAACTGAGAACCTGCTTGCATTTTGTTGACTAGATGCTCACAGCTATATCACAAATTACTAATAACTGGATATAGTTGCTTCTTTGGGGATGGGGCTTCTACAGTGTTTGTACCTGACCAGCAAGTCTAGTCATCTGATTAATGTGATCATTTATTCAGTAATGATTTATGAGAGCTTTGGGAGCTAATCATCTGAGTTAATCCACATTAATGTATCTTTTAGGTAATATGCTTCTTTTCCCAGATAATAAACTATTGCAACATCGTTCAAATGTCTCTGCTTCCAGGAGGAATTTAGAGCCAGGGTGGAGTTTTCCATATTTCAGTTTCCATCAGAAGACTGCCTGCTATATGCGTAAAAGGACAGATCTTGTTTTTCACCCTTAATCACGATTTCGACTTACCAAGCTTGCCAAAAACTTTAGTTTGAAGTGGATGAACGTTGTGTGGAACTCTGTTTTTTTCTCATAGTCTACTATTTCCTTTGGGCCCCCATTTGCTCAACTTCCACTCCATTCTATTAGAACATCCTCTAAGGAAAGGATTGTACATATGTGTTGCCCGATGGAAAGACTTCAGCCAGGATCTCTTTTGCTTGGTCAGCATTTGAATGAAGTCCAATCCAGCTCACAATCCTGCACGCCCCAGCTGTGAGGGCTTTGCACTTTTACATTTCCTGCTTGTCTCCTCAGGTGTTTGGCTTTCTCCTGCCCCAACCTGATGTTCTAATAGCAGTTACTCATACTTTCGGGAGAATTTTGCTCCATGTGTCTCCTGTCTGAAATATTCGTACTATCTTATTTCTTCTTGAAATACTAATGGCAAGCAGGTAAAAGAGACTTGGAAGGGAAAAAAAGCATCTGGCTCAACCTGTGTGTTCCAATACGGCTTCCATTTAACCCTGTCATCCCCTAAAGCTATTGGATTTTTTTAAATTAACTTATTTAAATCACTTTGTTTCCTGTTTTATCTATTTTCTGTTTTTGATATTAGTTTCTGTCAATGAGATTACTTAGTAAATTCTCAAGAGACAGTTGGCGTTATGTACTTGGTTCAACACTTGGCAAGAGTACACAATCACTAATGAACTTTTTGATATTAAATATTTTAACAATTATGTTCCTTGGACTATTAATACTAAAGAAAAATATTTTTAATTCAAAACCCCTTGTGAAGAGCGTAACTCTTGAAAACTAAAGACTTTGAAGTGCTCCTGTTCCTGTTGGTTGTATCTAACTATACTTTCCGTGTTTTTAATTAAAACAGAAATTCTATTTTTTTGAGACAGAGTCTCACTGTGTCACCTAGGCTGGAGTGCCATGGTGCGATCTCAATTCATTGCAACCTCTGCCTCCCAGATTCAAGTGATTCTCCTGCCTCAGCCTCCCAAGTAGCTGGGATTACAGGTGTCCACTAACATACCTGGCTAATTTTTGTATTTTTAGTAGAGATGGGGTTTCACCATGTTGGTCAGGCTGGTCATGAACTCCTGACCTCAAGTGATCTGCCTTCCTCAATCTCCCGATGTGCTGGGATTACAGGTGTGAGCCACTGCATGTGGCCAAAACAGAAACTCTTGGTATTTTTATTGATTAATTCATTTATAAATAACAACTATATTAAACCCATTATATGTTAACATAAATAACATTTTCACTAAAATAACTATATTTTCCAAAACAAATAAAAATGAAAAAAGTGACATTGTTTAAATTTTTGCAAATTTCTTTAACATCTGGTTTAATACAACTCAGCTGAAGTCTCATATCTTCTTTTTCATTCAATCATCACACATCACGTAGCCTCTGCAAAACTCCACTGTCTACTAATAAAAATGTAAAAGAAAAGGGCAAATAACATCTTAGTAGCACCATAAAATGCCCTTACCTTGTCTTTTGAGATTCCATGAAAAGGTTGCAGAGACCTTGCCACTGCCACCATGTTTTGAGAGCTGCTACTCTGAGTGATAATCAAACTTAAAGAAACATCAGAGGCATCTTACTATAAGCATCATCTGGAATAGCAAAAATGGCATGTAGAGTTTCATCATGAAAAATGTGAAGAAAACCAAACATATAGTTTTATTTGTCCAACCATGTAGCTTGATATTTACCTGCTCAGATGGGAAGGCGACAGGAGAGAGACATCACCCAGCACCTCCAGTTCTGTGGCTGCCAGGTTTTCTGATGGTGTGAGCATAACCACGAAGGTCCTGGTGTATGGCACATGACTTGGCCTTAACATCTTTATTATTCTCATCATTTAGAAAGAGAGTTTATGTCTCCCGCCATGAACCCTTCTAACAAATTGATGAAGCCTATAAATTCTATTCAGAATACTATTTTCAGTGTTAAAAATAAAATGCATAAAATTAAAAAGAAAAATTTATATTAAAATAAGTTACTAACATGTTTTATTGAGACATAATAAGAAATGGCCTTTATAATAACTCATAATCAAATCTAATGACAGATAAATAGCCAATATTATGTCAGAGTGGTGATGTGCATAAACCATATTTCAAGATATCTGAAACCATTGTAGGATGATATGAAAATATGTCTTATTTATATTGGGACAAAGTCAGGTACAACTAATATTTCTGTGGTTTGTTGCCTACATTCATAGTAGTTTAGTAAAATATAAATGCAATTGTTTAAACCATCTTTTTCTTTTTTATACTCTCCCTGAAATCTATCCATAGATGATTGGAGATCTACTAACTCTAGGTTCAGTAATGTTTTAGACAGAAATGTTTCTGAAAATGTTATCCTTGGAGCAGCAGCATCACAATCACCAAGAAACTTGTTGGAATTGCAAATTCAAGGGTCTCACTCCAGACCTCCTGGATCAACAACTGAAGTGGGGTACAGAAATCTGTGTTTCTCCAGATGCTGATGCACACGAATGTGTGGGCACTAATGTTCTAATAGTTCATTAACTGTACTCATGAGCAAAGTGTGTCCTGCATTAAGGAAAAGGCAGTCAACCAAGGCACATAGTCAAGAACTGAAGCAAAAGGGATCCCTTTTAGAGGTTATGCAAAATTTCTTGCACAGAAGGATCCATGCAAGATCACAGAATACTAGGAAAATAGAAGAGGGCTTGGAGACCATCTGCTCTGGGAGTAATATTCATGTTAAATGACAATTCAATTATGTTCATACGTGTGTTGAAAACTACAAAGTTTAAGAATGAGGGTTTTGGTCAAGTTTTAATAAATGAATGAATGAATAGGGTCAGGTTTAACTATCTATATAGATGAATGTGGAGATGGCGGAAAGTAACAACCCTCAAGCAGTATATTTGCTATCTTAAATATTTCCAACTCTTTTATCTGTAACTAGAAAAAGATTTTTGAAGCAAATATGTAGGAACTTTCCAAAAGTCATCAGAAAATTAGTTCCAGAGCCTGAACTAGGAACTCGGGACCTCTAACCCATAATCTAATAATGATGCTCTCTTATATGTCATAGGGCAGTAACTTCACAGCCTGTACAATTTTATATGCTCAGACCTCAGAGTCTCCTCCAGAAGATAGATTGTTTCTTTCCAAGATTTTATAAACTAGATAAATAACTCCTTTAGATATATCACATTCTGGCCAGGTGTGGTGGCTCACGCCTGTAGTCCCAGCGCTTTGGGGAGGCCGAGGTGGGTAGATCGAGACCAGCCTGGCCAACACAGCAAAACCCCGTCTCTACTAAAAGCACACATGCACACACACACATACACACACACACAAAACAGCTGGGTGTGGTGACGGGTGCCTGTAATCCCAGCTACTCAGAAGAATCGCTTGAATCTGGAAGGCAGAGGTTGCAGTGAGCCAAGATCACGCTATTGCACTCCAGCCTGGTTGACAGAGCGAGACCCTGTCTCAAAAAAGAAAAAAAAAAGAGAGAGAGAGAGAGAGATCACATTCCATTAAATGATTAGGATTGGAGTGGCAGTTTAAGTTGTTTACATGCTATTCAAAACATTGGAAACCCCAAGCCAAACCAAGCCAAGCCAAGCCATCATTGCTTCTATAAACGCAATTTAAGACATCAATTGAAACAATGTTACTAAACAAAGAGAAAGTAGGATTGTTTTCTTGAATGAAGACATATAATTCAATGTAACAAGTTAAAATGAAAAAAAAAAAGAAAGAAAATCAGATCTGGAAATAGGGCATTCTAATTGTAAATACCAATGAATAATGGAGCACACTTCAAGGGAAACACTAGGAGATTCATTGCTGAGGAATGGATCTGAGAATAATTTCTCATTTCAAGACTTCATTTCATAGAGCTGTAGGTTAGATGAACAATTTGCTGCTGCTGTGCCCTATTTTTCTATTTGTAAACTCAGTAAACTTTCAAGACCATGTTGTTTACGCTCTCTTATAGAATGTTGTCCTAAGCCCTCTAATAATACCAAGTAATATTTACCATAGACCTTGAAATTGGAAAGAAATTCCCTAAAAACTAAAATCATTTATTTTCCATGTAGTTTAGCTAAGTGACATTTTATTATAGATACATTTTATGTATAGGAAAAATTAAAACTATTCATGAAGTTTTTGCTACAGAAGAATACTAAGGTTAAATAAAAAATAATCTTACACAAAAATCTTGGAACTTGCCCCCCAAAATTCAATGCTCAATGAATATTTAACCTATGCTACATAAATAACAACAGAGAAAAAATACTGGGGAGAGTTCAAGGTTATTGTAGGAAATATGTGCATATAAATAAAAGACTATAGAAATGAAAGTCCCCTTATACTTGTTCATACTGTCACCATGGGGAAATCTTTTGAATGGGCTTCTGAGTCCACATAAATAAAAGAATTAAGAATGCTAGTCTAACTGCTACAGAGAATTGTGCAGTCATGCCAAAGTTTCAAATAGGGAAATATTTAAATTAAATGACTCATGGCTCCGGAAAGTATTTCTTGTTCAAAGTCGTATAATATGGGTGGACCACAACAATTCAGAAACCTTCACCCATATTCAACAAAAATCTCAATTAGTGCATATGGTGAAATAATAAAATTCATACGATTACTTTAAAAAGGGACTTGAGAGGTCATCAAATCAGAAAATAAAATCACATGCTCTACAATTTAGAAGGCAACTTAGCAATCTTACAGTAAAATTATTTCTCATCTTTTTTTTGCCTTACTCTTTACTGATCAAGCATATTTCTGAACTCTACTTTCCTACCTTCTATGAAGATAATTCTAAATATAATTAATATTTGTATTAATGACTTAAAGTTATCAGTCTAAGAGGGCATTAGTTTTCTATTGTTTTGTAGCCGGTTATCACATACGTAGTGACTTGAAATAGCACCTATTTATATCCTTACTGTTTCTATAGTTGGAGTCTAGCACATTCTAGCTAGTCCTTTGATCAGGGTCCATCTCAGAAGGGTGAACTCAAGGTGCAGATGGCTGTGTCCCCATCTGGAGCTGTGGCTAGGGAAAGATACACATCCAAGCTCCATCAGGTTGTTGTCAAAATTCATTTCCTTGTTATTGTAGGACTGATGTCCCTATGGTATTGCTAGCTGTCAGTGAGGATTTCTCTCTTCTTCTTGAGGCTATCTTTGGGAGGGGTGGAGTGGTTGACACCTGTAAACCCAGCACTTTGGGAGGTCGAGGTGGGAGCGTTACTTGAGGCCAGGAGTTCAAGACCAGACTGAGCAAAAGCAACATAGAAAGAGTCCATCACTACAAAAAATTTTTTTGAATTAAGAAAAAAATAGAGGCTACACTTGGAGCTTCACCAGGTGGCCCCTTCTACTTCAGGAATGGAGAACCTTCTTCAACTGGAATTTCATTCATGCTGCTTTTGACTTCCCCTGCTGAGACCAGTCAAAAAAGGGCTCAGGTGACTAGGTCAGGCCCAGCTGAATACTTTCCTAATTCCATATAACATTACCAAATCCTATGAGTTAAATCCATTTCAATTCATAATGTGGGGAATTATTGAGTGTATATGACAAGAGGATGGTAAATCTGAGAGAGTCATCCTACAATTCTGTATGCTATAGAATTCCATGCAATGGAGAAGACATGGACTTTGAAATCAGAAAGGGAGGGGTTAAAAACCTAACTTTGCCACCTGATTTATTTATAATAGGTGCTTAAGAAATATTTGTTGATTGAATTATGAGTGAAAAAGTGAACAAATGAACAAGGAATATGTAAATGAATGAACTTAACATTTCAAAGCCTGTTTCATCATTGAGAAAGAAAAATAATAGCGCTGAACTGAAGGATGCTTATGAGAATAAAGTGAGATTATACACAAAAAGATCTTGGCACATAGTTAATATTCAATAAATTGGCACCTAGTATTAATCTTTCTACAGTGGCATAAAAGTGGCTTACCACTTTTATAAGGACTTCTAATGTCTCTGGTTTGCTGCAGCAGTCTGCTGCTAACACCAGCAATAATTTCAATCTTTGCATTTTCCTTCTCTTTCCCTTGCTTGTAGGGCTACTGGTTCTGCTACTTCTTTGATCAACATTGAAGTCAGATATCTTTAATAGCCATACAGTGTTTTCTTCCTTATGCTTAGTAAATTAGTTGTATCGGTCAGGATAATAGGGGTTTACAACAATAAAAAAAATGCATTTTTACATATTTGCATGCTGCTTATCACAAGTAGGCTATGGATCTCTCCCATGCTTCAGGACCTAGGCCAATGAAACACCCCTCCCTAAACCACTGATCCTCTCAAGGCAGAGAGGAAAGGAACATGGTGGAACCACCCCATGGCTCTTAAAGCTTCTGCTTAAATATGGCATTCATATTTCATGGGTACTCTAAATCATATCACCAAGCATAACATCCATGGGGCAGAATGCATAATTCCCCCACAGAAGAGCAGCAAATATTTTAATACAATCAGTCTCATTTTAGTGCTCATCTTTATATAGTTAATGGTTTTCAATTATGCTGCTCATTTTTGCTTTATGTTCAGGGGCTGTTTTACTGACACCACATTGTTGGTTTATGTGCTTAGAGATGTAATGTGGAAGGAGTCATAATATTCAGCTTTGTTTAGAATTTATCTCACAAAATACATTACTTTAAAATTATAACTAAAAATATTCTGGAAAATATCACCCAATTATTTGTTTAAAAATCATCCTAATTTAGATATTCACTTTTAATGTATGCTAGCCACTTTTTGTAAACCAACAAACCACAGAAGCACCCTTGTTCAGAACATTTCAAAATCAAGAAGGTAATTCTTTAGAATGTCAGTCAGTAGCATTTATTGGAGAGTGAATTTAATCAAAAGTACATTTATTTCATAGTACTATCCATAGTTTATATTTTCAGTTTCCATTTCCCAGTAATTCAGAGAAATTACAGTCAGTTCTAATGATCAATAATATATGTCATCATTACAGTTGCTTTGATTAAGGAAACAGAAGATACACTGTAATGTAAAGACCTCTATAATGCACCAGTTCTTGTAGATAGTACTTTGTTTCTTCACAGTGAATGGAAATTAGACATTTCAGAACATTAGAACACTACATTAGCCACAAAATAATGTACTATTGCATTGACAGTATATTGGCCATAGGTGAAATTATTCCCTCTAATTCTACAATAACTTCATAATTAAAAAAAAAAAAAAAGTATCCTGCAGAGCAGGTCTTTCACTACATAAAGGAATTTGTGAGGTCTTGAACATTTCCTTAATTTTATCTGTGACACAGAGGCCCCCTCGTGGTGGCATCTAGGCATTTGCAGTGACTATTTCTAAAGAAGAGTTTCAGGCTGACTGGCATAAACAGGGCCTTTCAGGTGGAGTGAGGCTTGGATCAGTTCAAATTTCTGAGGCTCTTGGCATATGTAAAAATTACCAAAAATAAGTCTAATAAAGATAGAATATATTGCGGTGTATTTTAAATTTTTTAGCATGTACAAATGCAGTGGAATATAATTTTATCCTTTAAATAGAGAGAAAAGGTCAAAAATATTAATTCAAAGTTTATAGATGGAGGTGACATGTATTCATAGAACCAGGTTTAAAGGTGCACACCGAGCAGCTTCCAGGGAAGTCAGTTAATCTTTGTGATAGTGGTGGGCTCTTCTCATTAACTACAATTTTAAATTTGAGTTCTGCTGTTGATGGGGGATTAAGCCAAGTGTTCCTCCTTCCCAACCAGTCCAATTCCGTGCCTCAGCTCCTCGGCTCCCCACTCCACCCTGCTTATTCTTGTGAACAGATAAATCATCTCAAATGAGGACTCTAAGAGGAAAAAATGGATATTCAGCATAGGACAGAGCTTGCACTGTTTCCTTTTTTTCCCTCCTATGTTACCCTTGGTTCAGTAGTAATCATGAAAAGTAAAAATAAAAATTGAGAAAGTGTTTTGGACAAGAAGTGGAATATGATAGGCAATGTCTTTAATCTTCCATGGTGAGAGTGTGACTTGAGGTCTTCATTAACCTTACAGAATACTCAGGTACATAGCCAAAGATTTTGAGTTAGAAGGTTGTTTTGGTCCTGTGAAACTGAATTTGAATATCCACTCCAGGGTATCCTGTATCCTGGGTCAGTTTGGCATATATCACCTTGCCTACAAATTAGAATCAACTGGGGAACTTTGTAATTCTGATTCCCAGAACACGCCTCTGACTAATTCAATCAGAATTTCTCAGAAAGGCTCCAGGAATCTCCTACAAATTCTAATACGCTGCTGATTTGAGAAACACTGGGCTGGAAAACAGAAAGGTCACAGGAGTGTCCCCATCAGGCTAAGACAACCAGGGACACACCTGAAATTCCACAAAGTTAGATTTCTTAATTCATTGCCATGAAGGGCTTGCACACAGAGGAACTGTGAGTGCCTCGGTAAACAAAAGCAAAGATGGAGTTATTTGAGTACACAGGAGGAGGGTGGACGCTAGTGTTTTGATAGGCTGAAAGCAAAGCAGAGCTGTGTATAAAGGGGTCAACATCAGGTCTGCAATGCAAAGTGGACCCAGAGTTTTCCTTCCTTGGCAAACAGGAATGTTGAGATAGATATGCAGTGTTGTATCCAGAAACCCTTTATCTGAAGCTCTGCAACTGGGTAGAAATCAAGAATGCTTTTCTGTGTCAAAATGACTTAGATCTTCCCGGCAAGAAAAGAATACGTCTTTCTCACAGATATGATTTCAGGCAGTAAGGTTTCTGATAATCCATGATTTGGGAGAACAAAAATGTCTCAGTGTATAAGAAAGCAGCAGTCACTCAAAGAAGGGGACATATTATAGCTGCAATATGTGCTTGGAGGAAACACTGATTCCTGTTAACTTTGCAGGTGGCTTCATCAGTGTCTGTTATTCCAGCTTGATGAATGGTGGGCCAGATTTTTACAGTCTGAGCTAATTTTTTTACCTTCTCAGACATGGCAACTATCCCCACAAAGTTGCTTCCAATAAGAAATATAGGGCACAAAAAGAGGATCCCAATAACATGTCAGTGTGTAGATGTTATTCATGAATTAATTCAGTGAAGATGTATTGAGTGCCTACTATGTGCTGGGTTCTGTGCAGGGAACTGAAAATTCACTGATGAACACTACTCAATCCTCAGCTCTCAAGAAACTTACAAACTGGTTGGAGAAAAGCACAAATAAATAGGCAATTACAACAGTGTATAGAAATGTTATAGCTGGATTTAAAATAGAGTTCCACAGACAATTAATCCAGTCCGGGGTATTCAGAGACTGAAAAAATATTATCAGACATTATGGAAGAGAGAGAAATGGTGGGGAGTTGGGTGTAGGGAAAGGGGTAGAAAGGTGGAAGTAAAAGAAAAAGGACTTTGAAAATATAATCATCTGGCTTCTAATCCAGGTTCTACTGCTGTAACTCAGAAAGAGTTTTCTCGCTTGTAAAGTAAGGAAAACAAAACAGAAACATTCACTGAGTGCCAGACAGAGTTCTAAGTAATAGGAATATATCAATTAAAAAAAGAGACAAGCACCCTGGAAATTAAATCAGGTGTTTATTTGCAGAAAGTAAATAAAAATGATAACTAGTAAGTAAATTATTTACTATGTTAGGTAATCAATGTCGAGAGGTAGTGGGGAGAGAATGCTAGCAGAGGAGTCCTGGGAGAGGCGGAGGGAATTGAGGACTCGTTGTGACATCTGTCAAAATGTGTAGGCAGTACGGGGCATTCTGGTGAGGTTAGATCACAGAAGTCATGCTTAGTTAAGCTAAGAGGGAATCCCCTGGCCTGTGTCAGCCACAATTTTGACCTTACTCAATATTTCCCTGTTCTTCTGACTTCAGAAAGGCTGACTTTGTACCTTAGATAAACTTCTTATTCTATAGCACAGTTTTGGACTTCTCATTGAGAACATTTCTGAAAAAGCCATCAGACAGCAGTTGACATTTCTTGCAAATACTGGTAGCAGTTGAACAGTTTAGGCAAAGCCCTGGTTTGCTTATAATGTTCTAAATTTCCGTTAGATGTTCTTCCCCTTTCTTTCATGCCCTACTTCAACCAAAAGCTGATTAAAACATGGTCCTCAACACCCACTCTTTCACCCCTAACCCTCATAACCAGAACAATGTGTAAGATATTTGGCTTGTCACATTCACTAGGATGGAGAGGCATTTTGTTCATTTGGTGGACAAGGTCAGGGATGCTGAATGGTCTGCAATTTATGAGCCAGTGCATGTTAATTTTTTGAAAACGGATTTCTTTCACAATGCCAATAACATCTCATTAAGAAACACTGGATTAGAAAAACAAAACTTTATCCAAAAGATTTAGCTATTTTGAAAATTAGATTATAATGTGCTCAAAGCCTACCTACCTCATTTGTTAAGGTATTTCTATTTTAGTCTAAAATACTTCAGAAGGGTGAGGCATGGTAATGCCTGTAATCCCAGAACTCTGAGAGGCCAAGGAAGGTGGATTGCTTGAGCCGACGAGTTCGAGACTAGCCTGGGCAACATGGTGAAACTCCATCTCTATAAAAAATACAAAAATTAGCCAGGTGTAAAGGCCTGCACCTGTATTCCCAGCTATTTAGAAGGCTGAAGTGGGAGGATCACTTGAGCCTGGGAGGCCAAAGCTACAGTGAGCCGTGACATCATGCCACTGAGCTCCAGTCTGGGCAACAGAGTGAAACCCTGTGTGAAAAAAATTAATTAATTAATTAATTAATTAATAATAATAAAATACTTCAGAATATACAAGGAAATATGTATGTGTTCATTTAAGCTACATTTTAGTGATAGTCAATTGCTGTAATCAAGAATTTACACTCCAGATGCTGTAAGTATCTAATCAAGATGACTATGGACATAGGTTTTGGTAATTCAAATAATAAATGTTACAAGATTTTATTTATAAAATTTGATGCTTAATAATTAGCAAAATGGTGACTGTAATGGTTTTTTCAATAGTGAAATTGGTGTTATTAAAAATGTATAGATTCTAAATGGTAGTGCATTCTTGCGCTTCCATGATATGAAATAAACACATGAATAATGATGTTCAAAGTTTAATTGCTAAATGGTCCTGAATATAGAACACGGTTAAATGAACTATGGTAAACTATCACTTTGCTCTTAGGTATATATTGGGACTACAGTCTAATTGATATGAAAATTTTAATATATGCATATAATAGAATATTATACATTAATGAGAATGAACCATTGCCACACACAGCAAAATGGATGAATTTCAGCAACATAAAGTTGAATAAAAAGTCAAACATAAAAGAATATATACTGCAAAATTTCATTTTAACCAATTTCAGAAATTGATTATACTAAAATTAATTGTGCTATGGTTATGAAATAGGATATTATACAGTCATTAAAACATTCGAAGACATTAAAAACTCATAATTTAATAAGACAGTAATTTTAAAAACTGTATATATAATATATGACTCCCATTCTGGGAAATAAAATACATGTATACGTTGCTAGGAGCATAAGAAAGGTGTGCAGAGAGGTATCAATCAGGGTCTCAATGAGAAATATAGTGATATACTCAAATTAGAATAATAAAAGGAGGCTTTATTTTAAAAAGGGGAGAGCAGGATGTAGGGGAACTGCAAGGAATAACACAGTTACTCCAAACAACAAGAGAGCTATTACCACCCTTAGACTTGAAGAGACAAGAAGAAGACCAGTTACCAAAGCACAGGAGAGAGTTGGCTAGAGGTGGCCTTCTTGAGAGGAGCAGTGGTTGCAGGCCAGGGACACAGCCAGGCCAAGATGAGCACAGGGAGGAAAAGGGGAATGGTATAATTCACTCTCCTTCCTCCTGTCTGTCTTCTGCTGGGGCTTTGCATTAGCAAAAGCGAACAAGGCATCTCTGATGTGGTCCATACAGGTTGGCTCACCAGACAGAGAAATGGGTATGCAAAGGTATGGGTGTGTCTATCAATACTGAGGGTGTTCAGGGGCAGGTCTCAATCCAAGTGGCACAGATTACACATGGGATTGATTTCCTGGATTATCTTAAGAGAGGAGATGCTGCAGGGATGATCAATTGTTTTCTCTATGTACCTTTTTATTGCTTTACTGTAACAACAATATGTGCAGTATTTGTTTTAATTCTGGGGGAAAAATGTATCTGTGTTGTGAAGAGGTGTGTATATGTGGCTGTGAGTGAATGTATGTGAGTGTATGTGTGAGAGAGAGAAAGAAAGACGGGAGGGTTATGACAGGGAGTGTTTTAATGAGATTGTATATGTGCAGGTGAAGTGGTAACGGTAAAGTGAGATGTCGTGTGTGTGTGTGCATGTGTCTGTGGGGGAGGCATATTAATGAGTGTATGCGTATATGAAATGTGGAGGTGGGGTATATGTGAACGAGGACATTTGTGAGAGTGTACAAGTGGATCTGAAACTATATGTGTGTGAGGGGTGTGTGTGTGTGCACATGTATTTATGTATGTGAATAGGTGTGTTTCTGTGAGAGAGTTGGGAGCTGGGTGTGCAGGAGGGGTGTGTTTGTGACAGCATATGTGAGGTGCACAAGTGGACCCGAAACAGTGCTGATAAAGGGTAGGCCTGTGTGTTTGAGGGTGCATTTGTGAGAGGTGTGTGGCAGGGATGTGTGTGATGGGACATACATATTAGCATGTGTGCATGCAGGTGAACACATATGTGAGTGTCCTTAGATACATCTATACCGATAGAAATAGAAATATTTTCTTCCAGAAAAAAAGAAAAACTAGAAGAAATTATGCCAAAAATGTTAATAATAGTAATCTCTAATGACAGGATAAGAAGCAACTTTCATTTTCTTTACTTTTTTGTTCGATTGTAATCAGGAAAACAATGAACATTTTAGTCTGTTTTCTTTGCCCCAAGAATACATGAAAATACATATTGTACCTTTTTGGCAGCATGTAAAAAATCTTGACTAATAAAATATTCCTTTATGGGACTATGTTTGAAAATGGGAATCGCCTTTTTTGATATATACCTGAATAGATATCTAAATCCCTGGTTAATTTGTAGAAGGAAGTCTTGCGTTTAAATTTGAAAGAGATTAAAACATTTAATTTTGTAATATAACTCAATTAATTCCTAGGTATTCAATAACTGAAACTAATTGCTACCGATGTTTTCAAGCCAACGACCTAATGGTTTTTGCATTAATGAGTCAGTGAAACTAGTTCAATGTCCCATTTATATCCAACTGCTTCAGAGAGCTAAAGGGCGTTAGGCTTTCCAAAAACTCAAAGCTTATACTAGACATTAATAGCGATTATCAATAGAAAGAGGGGTTTAGATAAGTTTTAATTTTTTCTTTCATTTTAATGTTCTATTTACAGATGTTTTGTTTATTTTTAATGATGTATATCTAGGGCTTATGTAATAAGGCTTCTGTTAACTAATTTTAAAGCAGGTTTTCTTCCTAAGTAGAAGAAATAGGCCTTGAATTCTTTCACTGATAACTTATTTTCTCTGCACTGCCTCATTTCGCTAATAACAAAATATGGAATTTTCCCTCTTCCAAGTTATATTTTTATAAAGGAAAAGTCTGTGCCAGTAAATGGCTGAAGTGTTATTCTATTTTTAATTTATTTCGAGCTTAGAAAGGTTTTTTTAAAGTGAGTTACTACCACCGACATCAAGTCTTTCAGTCCAATTTATTTTGTATTGTTTACTGTAGGCTCTATGGTATCTATGTAACTTGAATTGGTTGCCTGAGTCAACCAAAAATAAAATTCTAAGTCTCCCAACTATCTGAACAAGCCCCTTCTCTCAGCCAAGGGCATTTCAAAGTTATCCTGAAAAACTAGTTTAGGCCATGCTGGGAAGGGGAGGTTGGACATGACTCCATAATACCCTCCTCTCTTTTGGAATTCAGGAAAAGCTGGCCAGCATAAATTTCAACAGACCTTAGGACTGATCAGAAATATTTACAATCTATTCCCTCTAAAGTCTGCTACCTGGAGGCTTCATCTGCATTATAAAACTTTGGTCTCCATAACTTCTTATCATAGCCCAGGCATTTCCTTCCTATTGATTCCAGGTCTTTAGATAATAACTGTTCAATCAATGCCAATCAAGAATCTTTAAATCTACCTGTGATCTGGAAGCCCCTGCTTTGAGTTGTCCTACCTTTCCAGATTGAGCCAATGTACACCTTACATGTATTGATTGATATATTATAACTCCCTAAAATGCATAAAAGCAAGCTCTACCCCGAACACCTTGGGCATATGTCATCAGGATCTTCTGAGGCTGTTACGGGCCTGTCCTTAACCTTGGCAAAATAATCTTTCTAAATTGATTGAGAACTGTCTCAGATATTTTTGGGCTCACACTTGAAGTCACAGAAAACTAGTTTAATTTTATGTAGATACCAATTAATAAGTAATTACATATATCAGATCTTTTCTTCACACTTAGCTTTTAAAATGTGAACAAGTCAAACTCAATTGCAAATGCTATTAAGTGAGGCCAAACTCAAGACAGTCATGGTTGCAAAACATAATCACTCAACCAGAGAGGAGCGCTCACACCCAGGAATGCTTTCTATTATCTGATCCGTGCTTCTCCCTTTGTCTCACATCATTAAATAGCACATCATTAAATAGACTGACTTCAAATAATATCATTCGGAAACTTCCAGGAAAATGTTGACAGAAACAAAAACCCACCGTGTGCCTTTTCCTAGGGGTAAAGGAAGAGAGATCAGGCTTTTACTCAGGGGCTACATCAAAACACTGCTGTGGTTCAGTGAACACTTTATTTTCCCACTTGAATTTGAGCTCTTCTGCAAGATCACTCCTGCCAATCTTGCGGAGATGTCGAGCCAGGAGGCGAAGTTTGTCGGTGAAAGTTGGAAGCGATTTTTTCCAGAAGCAAAGAAACTCGTGGATCTGTTCTGTGAGATCATCAGGGTTCTTGAGTTTGATGAGCTGAATGGTGCTACGGCGCAGAGGGAGAGTTGAGGAAAGAGACTCAGCATTTTCTTCTGAGAGCTCCTCAGCCAGCCAATGGAGCAAGTTATCCCAAAGGGCTTCTGTCAGGCACAGGAGGAACACTCACGGTTAGGACCCTCTCCTGGGGGATGCATGGGTCTAACCCTCCACACCTGTTTATAGGAAGTCTCCCTGCTCTTTTGTTTGGCCTTGGAGCAGTGCAGAGATATGAGACTACCTGGAGCAACAATCAAAAGCCTCTGAATCCCTGGCATTCTGGGATCATCTCCTGAGGGTACTAGCTATTGCAGAGAGTTTTAAATGCTTATGAAATTTTAATGTACCTGAGAACCAAGAGGGCATGTTAAAATGGTTTTTACGCTCTGCTCTACATGATCTAATTGAGCAAAACTAGGGTGGGAGCAAACTTGGCATTTTTAACAAGCTCCCAGAAGATGCTGGTGCTGAGGTCCGCAACCATGCTTTGAGTAGCACTGTTTGTTTGTTTGTTTGTTTGTTGAGTCTCGCTCTGTCTCCAGGCTGGAGTGCAGTCGTGTGAGCTGGGCTCACTGCAACCTTCGCCTCCTGGGTTCAAGCGATTCTAGTCTAGCCTCAGACTTCTGAGTAGCTGGGATTACAGGCACAAGCCACCACACGATGGGATTTTTTTTTTTTTTTTTTTTTGTATTTTTAGTAGAGACGGGGTTTCATCTGTTGGCCAAGATGGTTTCAATCTTCTGACCTCGTGATCTGCCCACCTCGGCCTCCCAAAGTGCTGGGATTACAGGTGTGAGCCACCACGCCTGGCCGAGTAGCATTGTTTTTGAAGGGTCATTTTAGGTTCAAAACCTATTTCTCCTTATTAGTACTAATCTGATGCATAAATTATACCAGCAGCTAGCCAATCCTCACACACATCCCTAACTATACACACACTCACACACACACGCAGACATACACACGACATGATCTACCACCCAAAAACAATTCTGTGGAAGATCCTTTACACCAACACTTTCCACTGGGCCGTCCTCTGTTGACTCCTGTTCACCTGTTGTTATGGTTGTTACTGATGTGTAACTTAGATCCATAACTCTGAATAAAACCTCTGTCCCCTACTATCTCTCTCCTTTCACATTCCAGCCCTTCCCTGCATTATAGCCACTTTCTCCCACTTTCATGCTCACCCCTGCACCAGTTTCCCTGGTCTGGTGTTAAGCAAGCATTCCATCTGCCTTCCATTACTGAACTATTCCTTCCTCCTACACACTCCTGTAAATTGCACCCTGATTTTACAATACAAAGCCACCTTTCTGCGAAAACAAGGAAAAGGGGCCAGCACTTCCTTGTTCTCCATCATCACTTTCAACCCAGAGTTCTGCTACCTCCATGCAGTGCATTCATTTTGAAGTCCATGTTATCTGGGCAGGCTTTTCTCGTCCCATCCACGTCATCAGCAACACTCTGTAGGCAACTTCATCAGCAGCCCTGCGGATCATCATTCACACCTCCGACCCCAGTTTCTTAATTTTGTCAACTCCAATGACACATCTTGTGACTCCAAACTAGAAACTGACTTTCAAGGCCAATCTTCGTGTTTCATGCTCAGCCAGAATTATTCTACCTCCTTGGCTTTAGCCCCTTAATATTACTGCTGACCTCTACCTCCTAAACATATTCCATGGCCTCTAGTCCTTTGCTTCTGCTCAATATGCTCTTTGCTGCCATCACTACTATAGTGATCCCTTGGTGTCCCCCAGTCATTCGGTCACCTCTGCAGGGTCTCATATATCTCTGTACCTGCACTGCTGCTAGTGATCAACTATGCACATCAATGATGGTCTTGTGTCCACCTTAGAATATGTTGTCTTTTTTAGCTTTCATTTTTCTCAGTTTGTCAATCTGAATCTTGTGTTATTCAGATTGCATTCAGTTACCTGGGCTGCCTGAGGTTAGGAAAATATGTTGAATGTGATCAACAAACTGTAAATTATTTTATACCATTTGAGTCCTTAGTCGCTTGAAAATCCATTAAAAATATTTTTTCTAAACTCAATAAAAATTTGTTTGTAACAATGACATGAATCTTTTCTCCTATCTTTAGCCCCAATCTCACTCTCATTCTGTTTCACTCAGCCCATGTCTGCTTCTCCTACTTTACCCAAAGCCATTTGACTTGAGTTCTCCTAACTTTGTTTTCATTTCAAAATTACTTTCTTACAAAATCTCATTCCTCTGTGTTTGCTGGATTCCATCCCTCACACTGCTTTTCATCAAGTATTTTCCCTTCACACCTGCCCCTTAATCTCCTCCTCACCAAGGCTCCTTCCTTGCTTCCTATAAACACTCTCAGGCCTCCTCATCCCTTGCTACTGCTACTGTGTCAAGCTATTGTGGTATTTCTTTCCTTCTCTTTATCACATACTCTTTCAAAATCTAATGTAAACTTGAGGGCTCAAGTTCCTCACTATCAACTCACTACTTAAACCTCTGCGTTAGGCATTCTATGCCCTTCTTCAAACCTCTGTTGAAGCCTTTCTTTCCAATCTTATGAGAGGCCTCCTACTTCTACTCACTGCACTGATTCCTGGCCTGTGTCTTCTCTTACTTCCTTGGAGCATTTTACTCCTCTCCTTGGAGCCCCTGGCCTCCCCTGCTTCTCCTCTTTCCTCTCTTGCCCTTTGCCAGCTGTCTTCCTTCCAATATTCTTTTCCCCCTGCTAACTCTCTTCCTCCTAATACTGCTGTATTACTGCATCCCATCTCAGGCCTCTTCTATTTCTGTCCTCACCCCTCAATGAATGCATCAACTCTTACTGACGTTACCATCACCACTAACTATGGGAAATATCCTAGATCTACCCAATCTTTATCTTTTGGCATTATTTTCCTAAATCCTGGTGTAGCACTCACAATATTCATCTCCTAATTATCTCTATCAGTGTATTCTACAGCCAATACAAATGTCATATTTCTAAAATCAGAATAATCAATGATGGTCTTTCCTTCTCACTACTTGATCTTCCTTTACTCTATTCACTTTCTTAGTTAATGCAGCCACTCAGCTGAGCAAGCTGAGACATGTGATGTTCTTCACATTTTTCAAAGCCTATTTCTTATCCCCTGCACCCAAGCCCTAATGTTCCTAACTCCGAGCATCTCAAATATTTGCTTTACTTTCCTGCCTTGCTGACTCAATCTTAACCATGTCCTACCTAGCTTCTTCCTTGACTATTGCAGGAACCAGGGTTCTAGCTTGTATCCCTGCTGTCAGTTTTGGTTCACCTGAAAGTCTAATTTGATTTTGCCAGTCCCCTGTTGACAAATTTCTTGTAGGGTCTTCCTATTGTCTAAACGTCTTTATTTGGCATTTAAAACTTTTCATAGTTTTCTCCCACTCAAAATGTCTAACCTCATCTACTGTCACCCTTCCTACAGCAGTTCTGATGGCATTGGTCATGTGGGAGGATTCATGTGAGGACAAATATCTCCCAACCTGTGTAATAAACTAGAACTCCTAGTACCCATAAGAAGGATCCTTCTACCTTTGTATTCTCCAGTGACTGTTAATGATGGCAGTGATTATGCTTTTATCTGGACATCAAATTCTTCAAAGGTTAACAGCATTATTAAACTTGCAAAGCTTTTATCTATTGCTGTTGTTGTTTTCTATATCATCTGCTCTCTTTTTAAACACCGTTTATTTATCCCTGAAAGGGTTTATAATATGGTGTTTATTCTATCCTATTCCTAGTGGAGTTTAATAAGACCTGAACATTTTCTGTACCAATCCGTAAGGGCAAACTCATATCATTCATAATGGACCTGATGCACTAGTAAGAATATCCTCGCTGATGTCTTTTGAAGACCAATAAGTTATCACATTAGTAGCTACTGATATCACAAAATAAAATGTTTCAAGAGCTAAAATAGAATAAAAGTTTCCAATTCTACCCTGAAATCTGTAGCATTGTTATGTACTTGAATTATGCATAATGATAACCAAATATTAAATGTTTCTTATGGTTTCATATCAATATATACCTCAAATTCAAATAGATTGACTTCAAACGTTGATTTGAATTGAACGTACTTTAAGATTTACAACTTAAGAGTCAACATTTCAGCTCAAAGTATAGTCATCTATTAGTAAACTAAGCAATTGCTAGCCATACAAATAAAATAAAACTCAGTAACATTTATATTTCTTGTTGATTTCAACTCAGCTTTAATTACATGCAGATTTAAGAATGCTAGTTTGGTTTATTTGTATATGACCTCCCAGGAAATAAGTATTTATTAGGCCAATAAAGTTAATGATTGTTTGATTGGAAAGTCACTTTCTCCATTCCTTTTTATGAAATGATTCACATATATACAACATATAAGGGGGTGGGGAAGCACTATAATGATGACAAAGCAAATATTCCTCACCTACAGGATCCTTAGAAACTCTTTTGGTACTCTGTGGACGGTTGATTAATTTCTTATGCTATTGGGGGAAAGGAACACAAAATAAACAGAAGAAGTAATTAATTTGTGAATAAGCTACAACGAAAATTCATCTGAACATCATCTCTGTTTCGAAGAAGTACTGAATTGCATACCTTGCAAAATTAAATACTGTATTTGTGCATGCATGCTCAGCAATTGTTTTCCTAAGATAAAGCCAAGTATACTAACCCAAATATTTCAGCACATTTAAATTTAAGAATACCCATTTAAATATTATTATAGCACTCAGATTAACTCTAAATGAACATTTTTCCAACTAAAATTTAAAACTGTTAAACCAACTAGCGTAGAGCAAGCTACCAGCATGCTGTAAAGATGGTATTTTGTAAAATCCCTTGTGGGGCAGGCACTTTGCCTCAACACAGCACAGAACCTGGCACCTAACAGGTTAAAAACAATCAAATCAGAGTGCAGATATTATTCGAAAATCAACCTTTTATCAAGAAGTAAATATATTTATTTCACTAGCTTTCTACACAGTCTGCAGAACAGTTTTTTCTCAGGTAATATGAGATAGTGGAGACAGCATATGAGATAAAATAAAATTATCTGGGTTCAGATCCCTAGCCAGTGGTTGAGTAGCATTGCACTTTGGAGAATTTATTTAAATGCTCAGCCTCAGCCCTGAAATGTCTTTATGGATGCCTACATCACAAAGCCTTGCACACAAATGTTCATAGCATCTTTATTTGAATTAGCCAAAAACTGGAAACAACTAAAATGTTCTTTCGTGGAAAAATAGTTGAACAAACTGTAGAATATCCACACTACAGGAACTAAAGTAATAAAACAAAACATTGATACATGGGACAATTTGCAAGGGCCTCAGAGCATGATGCTAAGAGAAATATTCTAGTCTCAAAAGGTTATGTATTCTGATTATATCACATTCTTGAAATTACAAGATTATAAAGATGTAGAACAGATTAGTGATTGCCAAGGGTTACTGATGAAGGGAGAAGGGGTGAGGGAGCACAAAAGGGATCTTTGTGGTAATAGAATAGTTCTATATCTTGAATGTGGTAGTTGCATAAATCTACACCTGATAAAATGCCAGAGAACTATACATATACATTGTATCAATGTCAACTTCCTGATTTTGATATCTTGCCATAGTTATCTAAAAAGCAACCACTAAGGAAATCTGGGTAAAGAATACATTGAACTTCTCTGTACTATATTTTGCAACTTCTTGTGAATCTATAATTACTGTATGTCAAAACGTTTTTTAAAGCTTATTTCACAGCAGTGATACAAGGATGATGTAAGTGTTACATGTTAATGAGTAGCATACTGCTTCCCACTGAGCACTCTAATACAAGTTAGTTGAATCTGAATATCATATTTTATAGGCATCCTTGTCACAAATATTACATAAACATGGAAGCATATAAAACTTCCATTAAGAAGTTTTGATGGGAAAAAATTAAGAAACATAGCATGAGTTGAAGTATGCTATTATACTGTAGCACTGCAAAATAAATGCATATAATTTCCAAGGCATCAACTATGTGTTTGAACCCCTGAAAATATTGAGAAAGAAATACTAATTTAAATAATGCAGCAGATTCTATCATTCCCATCAAAGGGCACATGGCCTTGGACAAGAGATACATATTGAGACTTTTCTTTATATCAGTAGTATTTCCCCTCCATAACTCTTTGTTCACAGATGTCTCATCGCATTTTGATGCACACAGAAATGGTTCCAGTGTTTAAATTTTTTTTCATGCACATGAAATTGCAATTCAAGTACTTCACCTGATGCACAACCATAGAAGCAGTGAATTGGGGTAGCTCAGGCTCTTTTTAGACTTCCAGGCACTGTGTTGGTCTCCCATGTGGCCCCTTCATAAAGGATTTTCTACGTTGCCTTCTTTTCCCTTCACTTTCATTTTCCTCCTCTCCATGCCCCCAAGCCTTTTTTGCATGATTTTGGTCTGTGCCCTCTTTTCGCTTTGCACACTACCTTTTGAACCTCCCTGGTGCTCAGGGTCAGCTACAAGCAGAACAGTCAGCCAACATTTGGCCTCGTGCGGTCTCCCCTCCCACAGGTTCCTAGCATCCCTGTGTGGCTCACTGGATGCCTTCCTTAGCAGAAACAGCTCTCATTTCCCCCCACTTTCCTCTCTTGCCTCCTTGCAATCAAAAGATGCTTTCAAAGGCCCTTCTCTGGTTCTTATTTAGTTTTTATTTGGAGGTTCTATTCCACAGTTTTCCAAGTCTAACTCTGTAACTGAGTATCCCAACCTCAAAATGCATTGTAAAACTTTTATTTTTCTTTTCTTGCTTTTAGCCTTGAAATATACTTTGAAACTGTTTGTTTCTCCCTTTGCCACCAGGCACTTCTGTGAACCATGCTTGCTTATCTAATTACATGCTTGCTTAGAAATTCCAGGGGCCAATCTTGAAACAAACCAGGCAGAGAGACCAAGCTGTGAAATCCTCCCTATTAGGGGGAGTTACAAACAGCCCACCACTACCAGGCTGAAGTCAGGATCACACATACTGGACCTCCAAATGGGTGATTACTCAAGACAGCCATTACAACAAGACACTCAGACCTGCACTCTCCTGCATGACTCCTGCGTGCTTTCCACACCTTTTCCTTCTTAAACTCCTTCACTCTGCCCAAAATGTTGAAATGGTCATTTGAAGGCATTAGCTTGGCCATTCCCCCAAGTGCTAGCATTTGATTAGCAAAACTGCTTTCCCTTCAAAACAACAACAACAAAAGGTGCCATTCGATTACATTTTCTTAGGTTCTATTTGTGAAAGTAATATTTCTTATTCCTCTCAAGTACTCTGTTTTATGTTAATGTTGCATATTTTAATTTGCCACCTATGATATCTTATATGCCACTTGCAACATGTCACTGCTCTGGAGAAATGCTGGACAAATTTAAAGGTGACTCTCCAGCCCTCTATAAACTGTTTCTTTGCTGCACAATCCACATTTAAATGGGCATAGTGGGGCTTATGTGGCTGTTTTCCCTGAATTATAAGCCTCTTGAGGGCATCAGTATAAAAATATAAGCAATTCAGATATGTACAGATGTGTCATATTTATGCTGTTAAGCACAATGCAAGCCTTATCTATTTAGAAGTCATTTAAAAAATTGAAACCAAACACAGGCACCTACACCAGAAAGAGGTACGAGTGTCTTGAGTTTTATAGCCACTGTCATTAGGATTCCTTTGATTACTGACTACTCTTTCCATGCTCCCTAATTATAGCCCTGTATTGAATTCTTAAAGCTAACTAAACCATTTTTTACTTGAACTCATATGTGTGAAAGTTTGATCTTTTGTGTGCAACTCAACAAACTGGACTTGGTTACATCTACTCAATTACCCAGTGTTATTTCCCAAGAAACCTCCAAAAGTTTTTAACCCTCCTTGGGGCTTTTCAGTGCTCCAAGATCCAGCCATTATCAGGCTTCCCTTTACTCAATAGACTTAACGTTTTTGAGGGCCAGGAAAGTATATCTCATTCCTGTACATGTTAGACATCATAGTAGGTAAGGTGTTGTACACAAAAAGTGGTAAAAAATATTTTATTGGTTGGGTGCAATAGCTCATGCTTATAATCCCAGCACCTTAGGAGGCTGAGGCAGGAGGATGGCTTTAGCTTAGGAGTTTGAGATCAGCCTGGGCAACACAGCAAGACCTCATCTCTACAAAAAAAATACAAAAAAATAGCCAGGTGTAGTGGCTTACTCCTGTGGTCTCAGCTACTTGGGAGGCTGAGGGAGGAGGATCACCTGAGCCTGGGAGGCAGAGGTTGCATTTAGCTGAAATCATGCCACTGCACTCCAGCCTTCATGACAGAATGAGAGCACCCCCCCTCAAAAAACTTAACAAAAATTTGTATTCACATGATGATATCGTCTCTCGATTTAAATGATACGCCCCTTCAAATCCTGCCATATTTTCAAGGAACTGGTCAAATTCTACCTCTTTTATAAATTAGTTTCTTATTTGGGAATTTATGCACTATACTATCACACAATTTATCTAACAACTTAATATTATATTGTTGTTAATGCCATTCATATATGTTGTTTTCCCTCCCCAATTAGACATTCACTGATTTATTGTGCCCTCTTCTGCATCTTCTTTTATATCAGTACTTACATTTGCCACATGTTAAGCACATCATACCTTTAATAAATACTTAGTAGCCAGAATGGCCCTCCATGGACAATCACAAGGATTGTTATCATCATACATTTAAGGTCAGCAGTTTTAGCTGTTCACACAATCTGCACAGCAAGGTTTTTATGTATCCATGAAGATTACTTCCACCATTTCCTGCAGAACACATTTCAGATCTCCGCTGCTTTTTGAAAAACACATGCCTTACACCCTGTCTACCACTCTCTCACGAGGCGTTTAGTTTTCTATTTTCTGAGAAAATTAAGCAGTGTGCTGAGCATGGTGGCTCATGCCTATAATCCCAGCACTTTGGGAGGCCGAGGCAGGTGGATCACCTGAGGTCACGAGTTTGACATCAGCCTGGCCAAGATGGTGAAACCCTGTCTCTACTAAAAATGCAAAGATTAGCCAGGTGTGGTGGTGCACACCTGTAGTCCCAGCTACTCAGGAGTCTGAAGGCAAGAGAATCGCTTGATCCCGGGAGGCCAAGGTTGCAGTGAGCTGAGATCGTGCCACTGCACTCCAGCCTGGGTGACAGAGTGAGACTCTGAAAGAAAAAAAAAAAAAAAAAACCAAAAAAAATAAAAGTAGGCAGTGGTTCTCAAACCTGAGTGTTCCTGACAATGAACCTTGAGAAAGGGGCAAAAAAGGGAAGCTCACACTTGGATTCAACTGGTCTCAGATAAGGCCACATTTGGAATAAGCAACTGGGTGATTCTGATGCTGAGGCTGAGTGCACATAGAAAAAGCCAATCAAGTATCAAACCCTACATGAATTATCAACTAGCACCCCTATAAATATATCCCAATGAGTACATGGAAGAATGAAAGAAACATCTTTATCCAAAAAGTGATGAAGATTTCTAACGTCACATCAGGACAAAAGTAAACTTCAGATTGCTTCACCTTACCTAAAGCTATAGGGATGTAGTAATAAAAATATTGATTTCTATTAAGTAATTTCATAAATTACCTCACAGGAATCACGCAGATGACCTAGCTCTGGGGCCCATCATCTCATGCAGAAATTTCAGTTTCTGGCAAAGTTTTCTCAAGTATTTCTGGCAGTTTCATGGGCTTTACTCTCTTGGCATCCACACTGTTCCACTAGGTGCCCCCCAGTGCTCAGCTGGACCATGCAGCCCTCCACACTCCTTCTGTGGGCACGGCAGCTTCTCCCCATGCATCTATCACCACGTAGCATGCCATGATGGTTTCTACCTGTCCTTTAGTTTTCCTCTCATGGTGCCATATAGGTCCAGATGACATCTGTGGTTTCCACAGGTTCGCACAGCTGCTGCCCTACTGCTGCTCTGCTGGATCCCACCAGCAGTGATCCCACTGCACCTGCTTTATATGGAGCTCTTGGTCTCTCCTGCTTCCCTTCCAAGCGAAGCAATTGTCTGTTAGTGGCCACCCTAAGCTCTCCCGGTGTGTGAGCTGTGTGGTAAAACATGATAGGATAAAGGAAGTGGCTTCCTACCCCTCATGTCACATGACATTAAAGTAATATTGACTGTGCCCTGATATGCCACAGAACTAAATAAAATAGGCCTTCTTTTTTTTAATTAAAACTTTTTTCCTTCAGACATAATCATGCATCTAAGGAGTGGAACTTCGGTGCTCAACTCTAAACACTTGCTGGCCCCAATGACTAGAGCTCTCAGTGTATGATATGATATATATTTGTATATTTCACATATATGTAACATGTACTATATATAATTATGCTATATAATAATGTGTAATATTTATATTACATATGATATACTTAACATGCAATATTTAATACATTCATATATATTTAATGAATTTTTATGCTAAATTTATAAAATATGTGCATGCATTTTTAGGTAAAACCATCCTAACTCCCCTGCATACAGAATTCTGTCAAGTCATATCTCATATACACAGTTATTTCTGAAACTGAGGTTCATTTCTTACCCCAGAAACACCTCAGCTTTTATGCAAATAACTTTCTAGACTGGTTCCTTCTCTGCACACTTATGAGGCATGTGTGGAACTCTCAGAATTGAGCCTGAGCTCAAATCTGAGTTATATAAACTTTGCTTTCTCCTTGGTTACCTCATCTGCCTTTCATTAAAAAAAAAGAAAATTAAAAAAATTGTGTGGAAGATGGGGAGCTCTTACTGTTTTCCTCTGTGATAGATGCAATATCAAGGATCAAGTGTGATCAGGTCTCCTGATTGAGAGCTAACCACACTAGTCTCTGACAGTGCTTGGGACTGGAAAGAAGCTCAATGCTTCAGCCTGGCCGGGACTCACCCTCATTGTAATGTGCTTTCAGGGAGCTTTGGGGTGGTAACTGGCACTGACTAAGCTGATGTCACTGTAGAAACATGTGCATGAAAACAAGTATGAAAGACAATGCAGCGGAAAGACAATTGCCATTGTGGACCAGCTTTAGGGCTGATTTGTTTGGTGATATCCCATCATCATAGTGCCTTCCCAGCCGCAAAGAATGAACACAGGTCATCATAGGAAGCACAGCAAACATAATGGGGCTCCTCACAATACCCAGTAAAACCTAAGGTGAAAGTTAGAAAGGGGAAAGTCTGGAAAATTGTAAATCCTTCTCTCCATTTTACACATATTTGGAAGGGCAAAACAGTAAAACAAAATGCTACCTTTGAATACTAGAGCAATATTATTATTTTATTTTATTTTATTTTATTTTATTTTATTTTATTTTATTTTATTTTATTTTATTTTATTTTATTTTTTGAGACAGTGTCTTGCGTTTGTAGCCAAGGCTGGAGTGCAATGACGTGATCTCGACTCACTGCAACCTCTGCCTCCCGGGTTCAAGTGATTCTCCTGCCTCAGCCTTGAACTCCTGACCTCAGGTGATCAGCCCATCTTGGCCTCCCAAAGTGCTTAGGTTACAGGCATGAGCTACTGCGCCCGGCCAGAATGCCGTATTTTTAATTGTTCCTTGTGCGGTCAATAATTTCAAGGGCAACCGAAACAATACTATAGCCATTTGTCATAAGAAGTTGTCGAGTTTGTCCTCTGTAATTTCTACTGCTTCCCAGTTCTTGGGGACTCTAGTGCAGAGCAAATTTTTGTGTAAAGTAACACGGTAAGAACTTTCTGATACTTTTAGCACCATTTAGCATGGATGCCACATAGCCTTGTAGCTAAGCATCAATTTTATACAGTCAATGACAGAAAATGACACGCTGTTTTTATTAATTTGATTATTTACCCTAGAGCACTTATGCATGAAGACATTCTAATAGGTTATTATTGTGATATCTGTGGCAATTAGCTCTTTCATCCAGCTGCCCTAACCTCACACTCCTCCCATTCCCACATATTACTGTAGGATTTTCTGGAAATAAGTCTTTTCTTACTAAAAGACATACAAGTAAAAGTGATAGGATTAACAATAGACTAAGAAAGTATATATAATTAGTATTTTTCTGTGTATCTTTAGCATGGATTTTTACCAGAATCATTTAGGGTATTATAAGTCCTGACTTTTCCTGCTTACTGTACTTGGTATTTATTTTGCATATAGACCACTTCAACTAAGTAAGCGTCGCCATAAGCAAATGGCAATGCTTACTTAGTTTGTAATGTAAAATCATAACTTGTTTATAATGTAAAATCATTAAGAATTGTATGAGTCATACATTATAAAATTCAGCATACCCTTTACTATTATGCAATAATAGTTAAGCAAAACTTGAGCTCATTTATTGCATATAGTAAAGGGTTATTTACTTTATTATAATCTTATCACTTTTACCTGTGTGTATTTTAGTAACAAAATAAAAGATTTATTTATCAGAAAAATCCTACACAGACATCACAACAATCACCTATTAGAATGTCTTCATGTATAAGTGCTCTAGGATAAATAATAATAATAGTAAAGGTTATGCTGAATTTTATGATGTATGACCTCAAGTTTTGCTTAATGTGAGCTCATTTATTGCATAACAGTAAAGGGTATGCTGAATTTTACAATGTATGACTCATACAATTCTTAATGATTTTACATTATAAACAAGCTAGACATTATATTGATCAAGAAAGTAATCTGGTACAAAAATTAATGCTACTATAAAAGCTTCGTGCTGTAGTTTTGTGTTCAACATAATCACAAATCAAATAAAAGCTTATGTAAGTATTGAGTGAGGATGTACTTGTAACTATATCATTGCAAACCCATAACAATGGTCTGGGGTGTTATTATCCCCATTTCACAGATATAACTTCTCCAAGGTAATATGGCTAGGATATGGCAAAACTAGTCATGAAACTGAGGTCTGTCTGAAGCTCTAACAATAAATAATACTTCCTCCAGATAATAATACCAGCTACTATAATTGCCATGTACCAGGAATTACTCTAAAAACTTGAAGTATGTTATAGAACCTTGAAGTATAATATGGCATATAGTCCAGCATAAACATACACACCCATCCTTGTGAGGTTATTATGCCTATTATACAGACAAGGAAACAAATTTAGAAAGATAAAATTATTTGACTAAAACATACATGCTAAATGACAAATATGACATTTAAACTGACATCAGTAAGAATCCAGATCCTGTTTAAATTAACATTTGTATGTAACATGAAGGTTGTAATGTGGAACTTTCCACTCAGTCACTTCAGTACCTCTGGCACTACGCTTACTATTTACATATATCAATTTTACTGACTTGACAGTAGTATTAGATGGAGGTAAAGAGCTCAACTCCTAACATATTCATTAAACTCGTACCCTTAAGCAAAGTAATCTCTTGTGCCTCAGTCTCCTCCTTTTAAAAGTAAGCATATACAATGCCATTAGAAAGATGCATTGAGTTATATCATGTATCTGAAATTAGGGTATCATATGTAATAAGTGCTCAAAATAGTACCAGTTATTACTTAATATAGTTTTAAAACATATTTGTTGCCTACATAAATACGTTTTAAAAGAAACACTTCTATTTAAACCATAAGTGGGAAAACAATTTCATCTATATAAATACTAGAAAACCTTAAAAATACAATTAAAACATAACAATATTATTAAATTCGGTTGCCAGCCAAGATCTCTGAACCCAAGAGCTATTCTCTGTCAAAAAGAAAGCTTTGCAATTGTTAAGGAGATGTGAAAACATGTTAACAACAACCTGAGTTCTACTCAGATTAGAGAAAAGTTTAAAAAGAGAACATTGTTTCACTGTTTCGATTCCTTTTTATTTAAAACTGGTGTGTATATTGTACTAAAACAGCACCTGCAATTCCAAAATTTGGGAAACAGCAGTATAAGCAAGCATACCTTTTATTTGCTGTGAGTCATATCATTCAGTATAAACTTATATGAGAAGTATTTTTGTCTTTCAAAACTGTACAGATAACATTTTAGGGGGTATGAATGATAAGTCATAAACAAAATGCAAGGAGCATGAACTCATAACTTAAGCTGGAAAAAACTGGAGCTGTCCTGCTCAAGGAACGGCTGTCATCTCTGCTCTGACAATGAACTAAGAGCTGATGTCACCATATGGATAGAACAGAAAAACACTAAACTATTCAGAAGTGGCAAAGTATTCAAAATCAAGATGGCTGAGGAAGCCAGCTTCTGACTCAGGAGCTGAAAATTTTAGGTAAAGAGAAAAACCACTATCCAAGGCTACAGAAGTTCTATTCCAAAGCTTAGTTTCGGCAAAGGGTACTACCCTCCCTCCTAACTGGCTCTTTGAAAGATCTAGATTTGCCAAACCCTCTAAAGGTACAAAGGAAATGACAGGCGGTATGACATAGTGGTAAAAGTGGTGGACGTAAGGAAAACAAGGATCTGGCTTGCCCAAGGAATAGAAGGAAGCTGGTAAAGCATAAAAGAAAAACAACCTTGTAGTCTGGGTCCTCATGCGGGCTCTACTCCTGTGAAGTCCTACAAGCTGAGCCAATAAACTAAACTTTCTTACTGAAGTCTCTAACTGACTGAGATAATGTCTACAAATGACAGGGCCTACATCAGTAATTCATCAAATGAACCCACATGTGATGTGTAGGCCCTGATTGGACATTGTTTTTGAACAAATCAACTGCAAAAAGAAAAAAAATATTGAGTCAGTAGGAAAATAGGGAATAGGGGCTGGGCAGTAGCTGATATAGTGTAGTAATTACTAATTTTATTGGGTGTAGCAATAGTAATGTGGTCATGTGTCTTTTTTTAAAGTTTTTACCTCTTAGAGAAGCATTGTGAAGTCTTTACACATAAAATGATATTGCACCTGTGATTTGCTTTAAAATACTCCAACAAAACAAACCCACAAACCAGGGTACTAGACAAAATAAGTATGGCAGAAAGTGATGGGAGGTGTGTCCATGTAGGTTCATTGTATATTTTCTCTGTTTTTGTGTGTATTTAAGTATTTGCGCGTGCTTACGTGCATGCCCACAGGCATGCACACGTGGACACACACACACGGTTTTTTTTCTAAATAAGTACATTAAAAGATCGTAGTACCAGCATCCACCAATAATCTGCTGTTGTCTTCGTGAACTTTCTTATAATTACACAGTGTAGAACTTCCTGAAAACCTAGGCAGAAACGTTTGGCCCTCAAAATAAAAGGAAGTACCTCCACATAGAGAGGTCTGGAAATCAGCACAAATCCACAGAGAAGTAAGATTGCTGTGGAACAAAATAAGAACAGAGTTTAGAGCAAGAAGTGCTGACCAATAGTGGTCTCACTTGGAGGTAAATACAGAAATTCGATTTGGAAACAAAATCAGGCTACTACCAATCATGGAAGCAGTGTAGTTCTGTAGCTTTGTTTAGCTCAGATCTTTGCTTCAAACCCATGCACATTTTTTTATGCAGCCAGCTTTATATTTTGCTTCTTCATTATTTTTTCAGTTGCTTGCTTCTTAGAAAATCACTCTTTCATAACATCAATCTCTTTATAGTTTTTTCAAGGGGAGGGGGGATTGATAAATTTCTCAGTCCTTGATTGGACAAAAGAAGACAGCTTTAGGCCCCTGGTAACCAGATGGATGAATTCAAATAACTCCAAAGAATCTAAGGAGTGGAGACAGATAGAAGGAAGGGGCATCCAGGAATGTGTACAGATATAAAGTGGGCAAAGATCTAGATATTTCAGAAAATATAAATGGAATATATATGGAAGCAGTGAAGAAAAATTATCAAAAGCAGTCTGGAATAGATAAATCTGATTTCTAAATGCATGTCTCTATCTTCATTTTTTACCTACTAAATGGGCAAAGTAGGTGCACCACATGAGGTTGCCATGAGGATTAAATGACGTAATGCACATAAAGCACTTCAAACATGCAAGCGCTCCATAAATCTAAATAATCGTTAAAATGCATAAGACTTTGCTCAGTATTCCAAGTAATTTTGTCAAGAGCAGATATCCTTGACCCATAAATGCAGCTACGTGGAAGACGCTATTACTTCTTAAAGCAGCTCAACAAATCAAAGAAAGATATACAGCATTGCCAGAACTTGCATTAATATTAACCTCCTCTCTTTATTGTTCCACTTTTAGATTATAATACCCACAGGTTTTGTCACTCCACTTTAATCCTGTCCCTATTTATTCCTGTGCCTATTTAACTCTTAGCATAATTCTTTCTAGGTTATTATAGCAGATTTAAAAAAATCCTGGGCCAGGCGCGGTGGCTCACACCTGTAATCCCCGCATTTTGGGAGGCCAAGGCAGGTGGATCACCTGAGGTCAGGAGTTCGAGACCAGTCTGACCAATATGGTGAAACCCTGTCTCTACTAAAAACACAAAAATTAGTCAGGCGAGGTGGCAGGCACCTGTAATCCTAGCTACTTGGGAGGCTGAGACAGGAGAATTGCTTGAACCCAGTAGGCAGAGGTTGCAGTGAGATGAGATCATGCCACTGCACTCCGGTCTGGGTGACAGAGCGAGACTCCGTCTGAAGAAAGAAAAAAAAAAAAAAAGAAAAACAAATCCTTGTTTTGGTTTGGCTTTTTGGATCATAGCTAGAAATAGTTTTTCCAATAGAAAGAGTAATCTGAATGTTTCTGGGAAAGGCCTGGACAGCCACACACAAAATGTCACCCTCCCAGGTCTTGCCACAGTGTGTGAAATCCTATTAGTCATTCCTTTAAAGTCATGAAAGGCTTCTGCTAAATGCAACTGCTAGATGGGAAGAAAACAGGTAAGGCTTCTGTCAGCTATTAAAACTCCACCTTCAATTGCTTTTTCAATTTCCCCAGCATGCTTTCATTTATTCATTAAAGAGTTCAGCAAAACATTATTGAATGCATCCTCGGGGAAGGGATTACAAAATTGAATGAGCAGTGCTCTCAACCCTGAGGAACTCAGTCTCAAAAGCAGACAGTAGAGTATAATGTTAGGAGTGTTGCCATTGAAATCAGACAAACTTGGTTTCAAACAGTAGTTTTGCCATTTCCCCTTGGGGAAAACCTCTATATGCTTCAGTTTCTTAAATGAAGAAACTTTTATTTAAGGTTTTTTTTTTTTTCAATAAATAAGTTAATGTGTAAATGCTTTGTCAAGTTACTAGCAGGGAATAATTTAGTAGGTATTCATCATTATTATCATTACCATGATTTTTATATAAATAAAAATTATAATGGACCATATGTTTATATATATAATATATATGTTATATATATATTCAAAGTGCTTTAGTTACAGATACAGTGCAGTGTCTAATACTTCCTGGAAAACTTAAAGACTGCTCCTAAAGAGGGGATAATAGGGTTAAGTGTGGAGTCATTGCTGTCACAATGGCAGCCCGTGGGAAGAGTCTTGAAGAGAAGTGAGGCTTTAAGTAGAACTGGAGCAAAATATGTTAGTTGGGGAAATGTAATATAAAAAGGTTATGACGATGAGCTGTGGGAGTTTGCAATGGGCCCTATATGCCACGGTAACTGGCTTGGACTTTTAATCAATAGACATCCAATGAGAAGTTTTGGAAGAGTGATGAAATCATATTTGTTTTTGAGAAAAATCAAGCTGTCAATTGTGAGGAAGGCAGCCTAAAGCAGATAAGGGAACTAGTGATAGGCCTCCAAGGAAAATGTTGCTATCATCTGTGTGTTAAGGCAATATTAGAGGGACTGAAGATGAAATGCAAGTTTAAACAACACTTCCAAAGTAAAATCAACAAACACTGTATTATATCACAGGACAGTAGCTCAAACCAGTGTACTGAGAGCAACCTTGGAAATCCCCTTCACGACTTCCTCTATCTGCCAATATTCTCCTGCCACCCAGTCCCACACACATTCACTCTATCACCAAGACCTGTTGATCTCAAATCCTGAATCTCTCTCTAACTCTGTTCTTTTCTTGCTATCTTTACTGTCATGATCTTACATAGGCTATCACACTGTCTTCTGTGGACTATTTCATTAGCTCTTTATTTTACTATTGCTAAGCTCATCCATTTCTAGTTTATCCTTATAGGCTGTCGTAGTAATGTTGCTAACAAAACTTGATCATATCACTCTCCTAGTTAAAATTTTCCAATGGCTTTCCAATGGCTTTAGCTGTTACTCAAAAGATAAAAGATCAACTTAATTATAAACAAACCAGATACCTATTTCTCCATCCTCAATTATGGCCATACCAGTTTCAAGAGTATCAGTAGATGAGAGATTTTGTTGTTTACTCAAAAACTAAGGGTCTCTGGTTTGCATGTGCTCTCTATGTCATGAAATCAATCACAGTTTTTTGGTGAATTTTGACAGAAAGCTTGCTACCACAACTACAGAGTCATTTAGTTAATCTAAGTAAGGAATTAAAGGCCCTCCATAATCTTTCCCCAGCTTATTTCCAACATGACATTTCCAAATCTTCCCCTGAAGAAACAGGTGCATTCATCATCCTTTCTCGGAACACGTCTTGTGCTTGACCACTTCAAAGTTTCTACTCATGCCATCTCTCTTGTGTGAAACTCATTGCCCCTTTCTCTCTTCCTCTCCAGACCCTAAACATTCTCTGCAATCATTTTGCTCCCTGAAGCACCCGCAAGTCACCTCAGTCCACAGCGTTCACCCCCTTCTCTGAAATGCCCTAGCATTTAACATCTTACTATTCATTTGCAATTAACAATCAGTTCCTGCCTTTTGCTATTGCTGTATTGTTGTATTCAATTATTATTTATCTCTTGCTTTGTTTTATAACTTTTAAAGTTTTATACTTTATTTCCTAAACTGGACTGTAATCTCCTTGAAAGCTAGAATTTTGGCTTCTACTATTATTATTATCACTTTTAGGCCTTACAGAATATCTTGTATATATTAGGGATTTTGTGGTTGCTAAATTAACGTGTTGACTGATATAATACATCTACAGAAGAAAAAATAAAAACAAAAACAGTTGAAGTTCATAAACTAAAATCTGTTTGAGTTAATGAGCATAACTTTTTACTTATTAAATGTTACAGTTTTAAGAGAATAAGTGCAAACACATCAATGAAATTTTAATTATCAAATTTATTTAGATAGGCAGGAATATCTGTGCTTCCTTTGTAAAAGAAAAATCAAAAGCCCTATAACGATACAGTGCCCAATTCCTGTTTAGTTATACTGCCCTCTAAACAGAGAAAACCTTATCTTTTAAAGCCAAGAGTTGAAGGAGGAAGGAGGAGGGAGGCGTTGAGAGGGGCCAGAGAAGGAGAAAGGGGAGAAGGGACAGGAAAAAGAAGGTGCAGAGGAAGAGATAAGGGGAGGAGAGTGGAGGGGAAAGGAAAAAGAAAAGGGAAAGGGAACAAGAGAAAGGAATGGGGGGGAGGAGAAGGGAAATAATCTCTTCTCATTAAACTGGTTGTCAAAGTACTTTCCAAAAAAGAACACAGGATCCTGTTTCTGACTAAACCAGCTTTGTTCATTTTCCCCTCATGTTCCTCTTAGTGACATGGTCAAAATTGTGGCTTTGAAGGTCATTCTGGTTGCCTGTAGGAAAGTGGAACTGCAGACATGAGGATAACATGTAAGGGAGATGCATGGAGTGCCAGAGTTCTCCCTTCTCCATCCATCCTTCTCATTGGAAAGAGTGAGAAGATTTTGGAAACTTTTAGAGGTTAAAAAATTAACATAATATTTCTACTTACCAAGAACCTAGTGGCTTTCTTCTGTAATTGATAGGGGAAGGGACATGATGCACCAAACATGTTACTGGAATTAACTCTAGTATAGAAAGCATGACACTAAGTTATGGAAAACTTAACAATCACAATGTGGGCACTATTCCCTCAAAAACCACAGCAAGAACAAAGCAAAACAAAACAAAATCCTGATTTTTCTTATAGGAATTTCTTCTAATGTGCTCTTTCAATCTGCTTTTTAAAATACCTAGCAATAACATAATAAGTTCCATTTGATCCTTCAACCCTAATATAATTTTGTAAAATTACTGCAACTGAGAAGTCTGAGTAGAATTAAAATGCTTTTGGATGTAAACATTTTTTAATGGTTCAGAATCATCTCATTTATCTAGTCAAAATTGCTTTGGTATTTCATATTGGTGGAAAAAATAATATAGGAACAACATTATCCCTAGCAGAGCAGTGAGATGGTAATGAAATCCAAAGTGGTGAAAGTGGCGATTCTGACGAACTGATTCTTGCACTGCCATCTGCCTGCTTCCTCCCTTTGACACAGCAAGTTATTTAATGTGGTGAGAAAGAAAGTGTTGAAGCAGTATCATTATTTACTAGAAATCACATGTCAGGAGTTCAGTTTAAAAAAATAATAATCCAGGAAGTTCAGGCTAAGCAAAACTTGGGTCAACAGATGGCTTACGTAAATGTGTGGGTTAGGTTTTACTGGGAAACTCCAGCCTCGAATAGGTGACAGCAGTCAGATCTGGAGCCCTTCTTTCCTTCAAAACAAAACCTCTAAGTAGGAGGAAGGAGTCAAAAGCAGTCACAACCCAAGTTAGCACAAATAAGCAAATGGCATATAGTCACCTATCTGGCGTGACTTCAGACGCACGCACACATGCACAAAATATTCTCTCCACTCCCTTCCATCTAAAAAACCTTTGAGAGTTTTTTGAAACTTGCCTTGTTTCTGCCAAAATACAATTATGTGCAGTGTGAACTGAATTTACTTGAACATTTTGTGAAAGGAGAAAGGCTGAGGCACAACTTCAGAAAGATTTAGTGGTGAATCATTATTCTTTTCAGCCACATATTTTCAAATATATTGTTTGTGGGATCATTTTCAGAAGATTATATAGAATATGAAGTATCACCAGGACGCTTACTATCTTACAAACCTCATCATCTTTCTGTGGCCCTCACATGCGCACTGACCATCACAGCCTTCCTTCGAGTCCTTGACTTGAAATGCGTGCCCGTCTCGGAGTCTTGGAACTTGCTGCGTCTCCCACTTGGATGCTCTCCTGGCCATACAGGAAGGTTCTGGTCTCCGGTTGCTCCTCAGCTCGGTAGTCCCCTCCACAGTGAGGTCTTCCCTAGCTATCCCACCTACCAACTCACACCACCAATTCTGTCCATCTTCTAATGCTAATTTATTTTCTTCCTTGGCACTTCTCACTGTCCTCCTCACATTTTTGGTCCATAAAATGCAAGTTCTATTTATATATACCCATTCACTCATGTTTATTGAGCATCTAACTTATGCCTGACACCATTCTAGGTACTTGTGATTTGGCAGTGAACAAAAAATGTTCCCCGTCTTCACAGAGCTTACTTTCTAGTTATGGAAGAGAGGGTTTTTCTGCAAGAAATGTACAAATGAAGAAACACATGTAAAAACGGAGAAATGACTTAGAGGGAAAAAATAGGGCAGATTAAAGAGGATTAGGAATGTCAGGTTGCAGGGTAAGAGTAGATTGCAATGTTAGAGTCAGGGTAAACCACAGAGAGAAGGTGAAGTTTCAGCAAAGAACTGAAGGAGGTAAGGGTAACAGACATGCAGATATCTGATGGAAGAACATTCCAGCAAGGGGAATCACTAACACAAAGACCTAAAGCAGAAGCAGGTGTGGCATATTCCAAAAACTCAAGAGGGTCACTGTGGTTGAATAAGTGAGGAGGCGAGTAGAGCAGAGAATGCCTTGGAGTCAGTGAGGGCCAAGTTCACACAGAGCCTTTATTCTGATGGAAGCTGGGAGCCACTGAAGGGTTTGGGGCAGAGGCATGAGATGATTTGACTAATGCTTTAAGGCAGTAGTCCCCAACTATTTTGCCACCAGGAACCAGTTTCGTAGAAGACCATTTTTCCATGTTGGAGGGATGGTTTCAGGATGATTCAGGCAAGTTAAATTTATTGTGCTCTTTATTTCTATTATTATTATATTGTAATATATAATGAAATAATTATATACCATAATGTAGAATCAGCGGGAGCCTTGAGCTTGTTTTCCTGCAACTAGAAGTTCCCAGCTGGGGGTGATGGGAGACAGTGACAGATTATCAGGCATTAGATTCTTGTAAGAAGCACACAACCTAGATCCCTGGCAGGTGAATTTCACAATAGGGTTTGCACTCCTACAAGGATCAAATGCCGCCACTGATCTGATAGGAAGCAGAGCTCAGGCAGTAATGCAAGCAATGCAGAGTGGCTGTAAATACAGATGAAGCATTGCTCACTTGCCCAACGTTCACCTCCTGGTTCCTAACAGACCACGAACTGCTACCATTTCATGGCCCAGAGACTGGGGACTCCTGCTTTAAGGGATAACTCTGCCTATGAGTTGAAAACATGCTATAAAGAAGAAAGGGAAAAATGAGACCCTACATACCAGGACACCACTATACGTTGAGCCTTTGGGATACACTGTTTGTTGAATTAATTAATATATGAATGAATGAACTACAGAGGCTGAAGAATAAGAGACGCAGAGATCCTCACAAGTATGAAGTAAAAAGTGATATGTCTTCTCATCTTTATGAATCAGACACAGTATATTAACATCACACATTATAATTATGTGTGTGGTTCTATGCCTAGATACATATATGTAAATATTTACTGTTTGTTCTCTGTGAAGCACTTTTAATTTTGACAAATACCTTCACCTATTTTATGCTACATGTATAAATATCCACATAGTGTCATGTTCATTAATGCCAAGCTACTGCTATATTAGGCTACTTCCATTTCCTGAAAAATAGCACATTCTAATACTGCTTAGTTGAGGTGAATTTTTTAAATTCTGATGAAATAAGTCTCATCTTGCAAAACTAAATGTCATAGTTTCAATTCCCATTTAGTTATACTAGTTTGAAAAGAAAAAAGTTCCCACAGCCACAGATTCTTTTTCAACCTGACAAACTTATTTCTGAAGACTTTGGGCACAAGAAAGGGCTCAAAGAGTGAATCTGGAAAGCCCTATACGAACCCATCTGGAATAAAAAGAAAGCACAGATGGCCTATTGGCAGTAGATTCATCTATGAAAGACAGCAGAAGTTTAAATGTACTATTTTTAAACATGCCAATATAGTTTCAGGATTATCAATTTCAAGGTTGAGTAACTGTAAGGTTTGCAGAGATTATCTTGTTCATCTAGTTAGTCACAAATATTTATCAAGCATGTACTATGTGTCCGCACTGGCAATACAGAGTTGAGCTGGACAGTGTCTGTGCCTGCGCAGTTCGTTGCATGCATTCTCAATTTTGGTAATGTCACCCTTGGGGAGAGAAAATTCGTTCTTGGCTGAGACACAAAAAGGCTTACTCTTTCAGATGTATAAAACACAGATAAATATATGGTACATAGACATACAGTATATCCGTGGTAATAAAATTTCACAAGGAGAGGTGATTAGAAAAAAAAATATTTCAGAAAAAAAGACTCCCTGAAAAGCCATTACAGCAACAAGGGAAGGAAACAAGCAAGTGGATGTCATGAAATATGGTAACTACAGTGATAAGGAAAGTACAAAATGCCGTAGCTCCATATACCAGGAACACTTAACCTGGTACAAAGGAGGAGTGAGGGAAGGCTTCCTTGGCAAGGCTGCACTTCAGCACCGATGTGAAAGAGGTTCAGTAAGAATTACTCAGGCACATAGGTAAGGAATGGTGTGTTACAAGCAAAACAGAGAAGAAGCTGACGCAAAAGTACTGGACAATCGTAAACACAGACTTTTACTGAGGAAAATCTATACAAACCCCTAAATTATCTATGTTGGCTAATTTGGCTTGACTAATTTGGCTACTTTTATAAAGTCAGGCAACAGAGGAAACACTAATAAGTGAAAGCTGAATTCCTATCACATTTTTGGACTTCATGTCTGTCGTCTCTGACATAACGGCCTTTCTTTGCATGGTCTGCCATCATCTCAGTAAGGCCCTTACCGCCTCTTGCCAGAGAATTCCAACCACCACTGGCTTGTCTCCCTTTCATCCTCTTATGGCAGCAAAGCAACGTGAGGCTTTCTGGAAGCAATGTGCCAGCTGAGCTGCCTGGAGAGCAGCCCTTAGGTACCCCTCTCCACTCCACATCTTCATGCTGATCCACATCGATGCCTTAGCCTGTCAGTTAAGAGTTTGTAGAATCAGGCTCTAAACTACGGAACAGAGAGAATTTGAGTATTCCTTCAAGTCAATAGTTCTTAAACTTTTAGAATCTGGAGACAGCTATAGACCTCCCCTTATTCACCAAGTCATAGATATTTAGGGTGCCTACTATGTGCCAGGCACTGTTCTAATCACAGAAGAAGGAACCTGGATAGAATAGACAGGGTCCTTCATTCATGGAGTTTGCTTTTTAAAGAAGCAAAGGAAAATAGAAAATACATGAACAAATAAATCTAAAAATATCAATGATGAGTGTTAGGAAGTAAATCGAGAAAGGGTAACAAGTTAAAAAAGTGACCTCAGATTAGAAGATAAGGGAATAAGAATAACAAGTGACATCTGAGCTGAGCCCTGAATGATAAAGAAGCAGCTATGGGACTATCTCAGGGAAAATTGCCGCATGCGTAAGTAACGGCCGTATGGTGCAAAGTCTTATGGTGGAAATGAAAATGCACAGAAGAGGCCAGGCATAGTGGCTCACGCCTGTAATCCCACCACTTCGGGAGGCCGAGGCGGGCGGATCACGAGGTCAGGAGATTGAGACCATCCTGGCTAACACGGTGAAACCCCGTCTCTACTAAAAATACAAAAAATTAGCTGGGCGTGGTGGCGGGCGCCTGTAGTCCCAGCTACTCGGGAGGCTGAGGCAGGAGAATGGCGTCAACCCAGGAGGCGGAGCTTGCAGTGAGCCGAGATCGCGCCACTGCACTCCAGCCTGGGCGACAGAGCGAGACTCCGTCTCAAAAAAAAAAAAAAAAAAAAGAAAAGAAAAAGAAAATGCACAGAAGCAAAACTGATAGATGTACACCAGATTGGCTGGCTATACTGTCATCAAAGCCTCATTTTCAGTATCAATGGCTTAATAAATTCCTCTACTTATGCATGCTTCCCATGGACCACGGGATCTCCCCCAAAACAGCAAGTAAAGTTAATGTCGCCAGGAGACTGTTCCTCTGTACTGAGGGCTGCTTTCAAGTTCACTGGTTGGTGTCCAGGTCATATCATTTGTTAAATATTTCTAATATTATCTCTGTACTAAAGCATAGTACAGACATCATACAACATCAAAGGTGTACCTGGATGCCCTAAAATCCATCTTGTATCTTTGACTAATAATCCTAGCTTTATGTGCTAACAAAGTGACAGCATAATAGCCATTCAACACACAGGAAGCAGATTTCTTGGGTCTGAATTTTAGCTCTGCCATTTACTTAGCCATGAGAACCTGGGCAAATTGCCTAAAATTTCTGTGCCTCAGTTTCCCATAAAATAAGAACAATTATGTATCATAGGATTTCTGTGAGGGTTTAGTGATACAATGCATGTTAAGTATTTGAAAGGCCTTTGGCATATTAGACATTATTACAATGGTTATTACACAACTTGTGAATTCCTGCTAAGCTATGCTTACCACCCCGGTCAAATGCATTATATTCTCTCCCCCAACTTGCCTTTTTTCTTCATTTCCACTGTCTGAATTTCCACCAACTTACAAAGCTCAGATAAAATGCCACAAACACCACAAAACTTCTACTGGTTACAGATTATAAAAAAGCCATTTCCCTTCTCTGAACAACTATTAGTACCATCTAGTACCAACTATTAGTACCACTGTTTATATCACCTAAATATAACTTCAATCAGTTACTATTTTACAACGTAATTTTGTGTATTGTTTTGTGTACTTATTCACTGGATTATAAATTCATTTAGAGAAGCACTATTCCATAGACATATAATTTGAGATACATATGTAGTTTAAAATATTCTATTAATAGTAACTATTTAAGATGTTTAAAAAATAAAAGAGGAAGTTAATTTTTATATATTTTATATAACCTCATATAACCAAAATATAAATTTACCATGTAGTCTATGTAAACAAATTATTAATGAGATAGTTTATATATTATTTGTACTGAGTCTTTGAAATGCAGTGTGTATCTTAAACTTACTGCCCATCTCAGTTTAGACTAGCCATATTTCAAGTGCTCCACAGCCACATATGGGCAGTAGTGACCATTCAGAACAACACAGCTTTAGGGCATGTATTATCCTTTACAGCTCTGTATTTATCACAAAGCCTAGCGCAGCACATCCCCTATTTCAGAAGTTCAATATTAATATTTGCTAAATTACTTTAATGATTTATTTTAAATCAGTGCAAAATCTAACCGCATGGAAAACACATTCCTGCTAGTCATAGACAAAAAATATAAATGTGGGAAAATGATTTTAGCTTTCTTTAAAGAATAAGAAGTTTGTTTTTACCTCAAGATTAATGAAGTAAATTTTTCAGTTATATTTCTTGTTAAAAAGGTAGTTTAGATTCACCAAGTCCTGTTTCACTGAAATAAACTGTAATATACAGCAATAAAATGTATTTATTTGTGTGTTTGACATGTTCAAAGAAATAATTTAATCCTACTTTCTGACATGAGTAAGAATTTTAGGCAAACATAACTCATGAAACAACCATGCAGAATCTGGTAAGTTTCAGTATAAATATTTTGAGGTCATTTTTCTCTTCACCATGACTTTTCCTTAAAATGATGTGCTCTGTAATGTATTTTTTTCATAAATGATTTTCCAGTGACTCAGAGGCAGTTACAGAAAATGAATGACATTATTTTCATAGTTAGCAACAACATGCTGTGGGGACCAGACCAATCTGAAGCATTCTTGTTAGAAAGGCTGATATGAACAAAAGGAGAAATCCTAACATGTTTTCTAATACTCTAAAATTGGACCTACCTACTCCTTCTTTATTACCTCTATTCTTACCTTTTCTTTTAACTGTATGTGTCTCTATGACTGAAAAACTGATTGTGTTACAGAATTATAAATAATTAACAAAATGTAGTAATTAGAAAAGTAAAATAACTCACCTTTGGCAATTTCAATGGTAATTTGCAAATTGGCAACTGAGAATGGTTTTCATTAATTACGAGAGATTGATTCAAGTTGGGGACTATCTTTCCTTTAGGTACTTTATAAACGACAATGGTGCCTTTGTAATGAGGGCAACTATAGTTTCCAAATTCGTCCACTTCTTTGATTTGGAGTTCCAGCCTAGGTTTTCTTTGCAAGTGAAAAATAAGTGTGTAGTCTTTTCCATAATCCTTCCCGTTGCCTAAATAGAAGTAAAATGTATTTATTACCATTAAGTTATCTCACTTTGGGAGGCCGAGGCAGGCGGATCACGAGGTCAGGAGATCGAGACCATCCTGGCTAACATGGTGAAACCCCGTCTCTACTAAAAATACAAAAAATTAACCGGGCGTGGTGGCAGGCACCTGTACTCCCAGCTACTCGGGAGGCTGAGACAGGAGAATGGCGTGAACCCAGGAGGCGGTGCTTACAGTGAGCGGAGATCACGCCACTGCACTCCAGCCTGGGCGCTAGAAGGAGACTCCGTCTCAAACAAACAAACGAAAAAGATGTGCCACTTTGTGTTACTTAATTTTAAAAAATCCAAATAATTATTTTATTTTAAAAATACGATTAAAACTTTTGTGTATCATTGTCTTTTGTCAAAACATAACCTGACAAAGGAGCAATAGGCAGAGACCATGTAGATTACTCGAAAGATTTCTCATCGGTTGTTGGGCCAGGTGCTCTCTGGCTGCTTCTAAATCAAGTAATCTTTAGCTTTTCTTTCTCTATTCCATTTTGATATAACCAGAAACTACTTGAAATATTCAGCTTTTGCAGCATTTAGAAAATTATTTTCACCCGTTGAGAATTATCTTTTTCCTTTCCCCTAACTATTCATATTGTGACCTCACAATAGACATTCTAGAACTGCACTCTCCTATAACATGTGGCAATTTAAGTTTAAATGAAAATTAATGAACAGTAAATAAAACTCAATTTAACTCCTCAGTCAGTCTACCCACATTTAAAAGTCTCAATGACAGCATAGGCATAATGGCTACCGTAATGAACAGCACAGATATAAAACATTTCCACAAGTGTGGAATTGGACAGTGTTGATCTAGAACTTTCAGGTGTAATAGTTATTGAATTTGTGTTACTGAAATTTCTATGAAAACCTGACAGATTCTCCTAAAATGATAATATATAAATGTTTTATCAACTCCTTACTGAAAATTCTAGAGCTTTTGTGAACATAACCTTTCACTTACTGGGGTTTTATCATGACAATCAGGATATTTCACGTTGTTATTTCAACAGTAGAATAAACACTACCATGTTTCCTAAGGCAATATATGTCTACATCAAAATTTGTAAAATTTGTAGGAAGCTATAATGTAGCACTTAAGATGATATGTCTTGGATGTATAGATCTAGGTTCAAGTGCAGCCTCTATGATTTGTGTATTCTGTAATATTTATCTGTTAATACTTGTCCATTGTTTTTCATATCTCTGAGCTTCTTAGAGCCTGAGCTTCCCTTAGCTTCCTTACCCTTAGAACAGGAGAAATAAAGCTTAACTTCTAGGATTGTTTAGGAAATGAAATGAGAAAATTTGGATAAAATAATTGTCATAGGGCCTGGCACACAGTAAGTGCTCAGTAAATGACAGCAATGATAGCAAATGATAAGAGGCAGGATTCTTCCACTATTTGGAATTTGCATGCAAAAAAAAAAAAAAAAAAAAAAACTCAGATTGTTTAAAGAAATGTCAAGACGAAGCTTTTTTTCTTTTCTTTTTTTTTGAGACTGAGCCTCACTCTGTCACCCAGGCTGGAATGACACAGCTCCACAGTGGCACAATCTCAGCTCACTAAAACCTCCACCTCCCAAGCTCAAGCTGTCCTCCCATCTCAGCCTCCCAAGCAGCTGGGACTATAAATGTGGGCCACCACGCCTGGGTAATTTTTTTTTTTTTTTTTTTTTGTAGAGACGGGGTTTTACCATGTTGCTCAGGCTGGTCTCGAACTCTCCTGAAGGCAAGCAATCCACCCTCCTTGGCCTCCCAAAGTGCTGGGATTACAGGCATGAGCCACCGCACCTGGCCAAGATTTAGCTTTCATGTCTACATGGAAACTTCCTTCGGTTATTGTAAGCCAGCATGCAGTTGACTGCCCAGAGTTCTCCCTCATGGAAAACTTTCCATTTTGCCCAGTGAACAAAGACTTCAGTGAGAGATGTAGAAGATACCATGACCCTTCTCCCGGTCCTGACTGCTTGAGATCATTTTGGTGATTTTTCTAAAGCTCAGTTAAATCTAGAAATAGAATAACTCCAGATTACAGATGGTGTAGGAGTAGATCCCTTTGCAAAAGTTTATATTTGAGAGGCAACCTGGCTACTTGGAAAAAAAGAAAAAAAAAAAAAACAGATTCCTAGGAGACAAATGAGTAGCCAGGGTTTGTCTTCTTAAGAGTGTCTCACTTTGGTTAAAAAAAAAAAAGTAGACTATTTGGGGTCATTTAAATGTTATCTAAATAGTAAATTAGGTAAATTGGGGTTTCCAGCTCACTGGAGTAACATCTGGCTAACTTCTGTTTCCATACTACTAGAGTGCTGTCAAGAAAACTTTTACTACTTTGGTCCCTGTGGAATACCAATTAGTAAATTTCCCCTTCTATCCCTTGAAAGACATTATACTCTCTGCCGGGGGCACAATTATTCATAAGAAATGGTTTACACAGAGGATATAAGGGTTGAGGGTGAGGCATAGCCACACTGGTTCAATTGAGACCTAAAATGTATACCAATTTTTAAAACTAAAGACCTCTAGGGCAACTCTCTAAAGATCACATTTATATATGTAGTTGGGATGAAATTATTGAAGATTTACTAGCAGTAAATAGCATAATCTTCATGTTGTAAACAGAAACCATTATGTAATTTTGGAAAGTTGGAGTTTCATTGTTGTTAAGGCATAATAATATATTTTAAAGACTCCTGGCCCCTGAACAAAAAATAAATCCAAAAAAAGAGAAGTGGCATGAAGAAACTGCACTACTCTGTTTTTTTTTTTTTTTCCTCCCTCACTGGCATATTTAAAGGAGAAATAAAAGAAAAACTCATTCATTCCATACCCAAAGTGTAAAATCAACCAGTAATTGACCTTTTGAGAATCTTTTTCTTTTTCTCAATATCTTAAGTATATAGTCCCCTAGAAGTGTCTTGAGATAGTAGCTATTTAGTAAATACTTGTCATGTAAAAAGTTCCAGAATGTACTTATATTTTGTGGATTACCTGCTGTCCCTTATAGCAATATATTTTCTTCTCAATAATGGGCATTAAATATTTTTCATTGATGACATAGAAAATACAAATGTAACAATAAATATTTTTGCTTAGGGAAGTCATATTTAAAAAATTGAAAGTGCTAGCAGTCCGGGAAACCAGAAAAACCCTGTGAGAACCACTGGCTCAGTGTATTTCTATATTGTAACCCATTCCCCACCAGCTCTACCTCTAAGCCATGCCATTTTTTGCCTGGTTTACTGCAATTAAACAGTAACTGATCTCCTTGCTTCTCCTCTTGCTCTAAAGCCTATTCTCAACGCAGTTATAATCTAACTCTGATCACTTCTCTGTTGAAAACCCTTCATGTTTCCCCAAATCACTCAGCAGAAAAGGCAGTCTTTCCAATGGCCTACAAGGCATGATCAGTTCTCACCTCATCTCCCACAACCTGTGCTCACTCCCTCTGATCCAGCCATCTCAGGCTCCCATTGTTCCTCATACACACAAGGCAAGTTGCCACCGAGTTCAGTGTCACTGGCAATCCCTCTGTCTGGGATAAACTCCCTGAGATAGGATTATGGCTTGCTTCCTCACCCGCTTAGAGACTTTTTTTTTTTTTTAATGTCACCTTTCCAGAAAGGTCTTCCCTGAGATAAAACTGCAAGCCTGCTACACCCTTTAAGGTCCCCCTATCCTTTCCCTGCTTTATTCTTCTATAATTCACTTTTCAGCCCAAATTAAGCTATGCATTTTATTTACTTATTTGCTTATTCTCTGTCTTTCTTCATTAGACTTTAATATACCTAAGATCAACAAATTTTTGTTGAGCAAATTAAAGAATGGTTATTATATAGGTGTAGAGATAGATGTAGAGATACATCCTATAGAATATCTAGAAAAATCACTTCCCTGGGCCAAAGGGCATTCAGGGCAACTTTAAAAGGCAGACCTCACAGGGCATTACTAGATGTTATGGATGATGCCATGGTGTCATTATATAAAATCATATTAAAACACTTCCTGGCACTTTCTGGATTTTGTGTGCAGTTGGGGCTTGAATAACATGCAATAATCCAAGTGCTAAACTGACAACTCTAACCTAGAGAATGAAAGCTTGCTGTAGCTTGTTTCCAGAAGAATGCCAAAAACCGTCATAAAAACCAAAGGACGCACCTATCCATCTTCCTTCCTATTAGAGATAGAAATACAGTCCATGTCCTGTGACCTTCACTGAAAAGTCATTCATATTCTCTATAAGTGAATAGAGAGATTTTGGCATTTCTCAAAGGCAGTAATCTAAATTTATTAATTAAAGTTTTAAATACTTTTAATTGCACTTAATACTATAATGCTTTTTTTCTAAACTTTGGTCTTCATTTCTTTCAATGAATACTGAGTTTATTCTAACTGTCAGGCTCTGCCCTAGGTGCTGGGGACTGAATGCTGCCCTCCAATAGGATGGAGACTGAATGCTGCCCACCAGCAGGACAGTGCCTCCATGGATGTGACCATGGTAGGAGAAACTGGCATTGGTCAAACAATTAAATGAAAAAATAGAAAATTGCATGTGACAAAGGCCACAAATGAAAAAAGGAGGATCTGCAAAAGTATAATAGAACTATTAAAAAATAAAATAAGGTCTGACATAATCAGGAAGGATAGAGAAAGCTTCTCAGAACATGATAGTTGAGGTGAGATCTGAAGATACAGCAGGAGAGAACTGGGGGTGAGGGTGGGGGTGGGGAGGGCGAGGAGAACCCTCCAGGCAGAGAATCTCTAGCTTTATCTCTTTGAGATTCACAGAGACTACGCTAGGCCCTGATAAAAGGATGGATCTATGCTTTTACCAGGATGAGGTATCAATTGTTTACTGAGGATCTTTTCCCTCTTAGGCAGAGAAAAACCCAGTGAGGCTCCAGATCTGAGCCTGTCTCCCTAGGAAAAGCAAACCCAGGATCTGGGTATCCTGCCTGCTCATTTTCCCTGAATGAAGATGAACTCTTCCCCAACCCTTATAGGGAGGAATTGCACAGGTGACGGCTGCCTTGGACGCTCTTGGTTTAGCACGTGCTCCCCGGTCTCCACAACAGGCAGTGGGATATTCAGTACCACTGCTTGTGAGTAGAACAGTAATGCACTCCTATTTAGGGTGGTTGGTAAACACAGCTGCTGTCCACAGTATTACAGGAAAATCATTTGCATCATTCGTTTGGGTGGGACCCTTCTGCTTAGTACTATGTCTCAGTAGAGAGATTTCTCCAGGGTGGACGCTGTGGTTTCTGCTCCGGAAGCCAAGTAGGAAGGGGCCTCTTCCACCCTTCCTTCCTCTCCCTCCTCTCTCTTCCCTGCCCCCTTCTCTGCCATCTTTGTCACTTGCTCACTAAGTCCCGTCAGCTGGCTCAGATGCTGAGATCCTGTATGTGACAGTAGAATAGACACTTAAAATTGGGACACTTTAGGTCTCACTTATTCCTGAGATATCAAAAAAGCTGGGAGGGCAGCATCAGCTTCAAGCCTTGTCCCTTTTTTGAAGCAAAAAAAGAACCAATGAAGCTTGGAGCTATTTCCTGAATCAGAGAGAAAATAGGCATAATAAAATTAAATCGGATCCATATTAATTTATAAGTAAACGGAGCACATCCCCTCAAGTAAAGTATGTAGAAAGCCTCCTGGAACAGAAATCTTCATAAAACCTGTCCGGAATTTTCCCTCTCACCTCATTTTTACACACACACCTGTCTGATTCTATTCCACCACAGGGCAAGCAGTTAGAAAGAGGAAGGTGTTGGCTTAATGAAAAAGAAATTGTTGTGATGGCAACTCTTTCAAAGACGTTTCCTCTCTATTCCCACACAGCTGTTTTCTCTTCTTGTTCTTTTTCTTCCTTTTCTCTTTCTCTTCATCTCTTTCCTTTGAACTCTTTAGTCTCATCTATTCCTTCACTTCTGTAATCTCTCCTGCCACCTCTCATATTCATCCTGCTTGCTTTCCTCATCACTGTCATATAATCATTCATTCACTACACACTTATCAAAAGCACTTGCATGTTCACTGCAGCACTATTTACAATAGCAAAGTCATGGAATCAACTTACGTGCCCATCAATGGTGGACTGGATAAAGAAAATGTGGTACATATACACCATGGAATACCATGCAGCCACAAAAAAGAACAAAATCATGTCCTTTGCAACAAAATGGATGCAACTAGAAGTCATTATCCTAAGCAAATTAATGCAGAAACAGAAAACCTAATACTGCATGTTCTTATAAGTGGGAGCTAAACCTTAGGTGCACATGGACATGAGGATGGCAACAATAGAAACTGGAGACTACAAGGGCTGAAAAACTCGTTGTTGAAATCATTCTCTAGATATAAATCTATCAAACATTGTACAGAAAAAATGAGGATGATAGTTTATTTGTCAGTCAATGATATTTCTTCAGTGTATTTGATTAAAGTGTACAATAACTGGTAATACATTACTGGTGTCAGTGTTTAGTTGGGTTGATATAAAAAATAAAGCATTTTGTAAAGAAAAAAAAAGTTTTGGATATACCAGTTCCTATGTTAGGCTCAGAGGATATATTAACAAGAAAGACATGGTCATTGCCCTCATGAAGTTTTCATTCCGGTGAAGGGTAAAGGACATAGCATAACTATATGAACAAAAAGTAAATAAATTAATTAAATAATTTCAAATTGTGGTAAGATTTAGAGTGAAAACAAAAATAGCACTAGAGAAATATGGGAAAAGAAGCAAGCAAGGTATCTCGGCTCACTGCAACCTGCGATCTCGGCTCACTGCAACCTGCAACCTCCGCCTCCCGGGTTCAAGTGATTCTCCTGCCTCAGCCTCCCAGCGGCTGGGATTACAGGCACCTGCCACCACACCCGACTAATTTTTGTGTGTGTGTGTTGTGTGTATTTTGAATAGAGACGAGGTTTCACTATGTTGGCCAGGCTGGTCTCAAACACCTGACCTCAAGTGATTTGCCTGCCTCAGCCTCCCAAAGTGCTGGGATTACAGGCGTGAGCCACACACCCAGCCTAGATCAATTATTCTTAATTTCTTTTTTCCCATAGACTCCTTTAGAGTTTGGTGAAAACTGTCCATTGATTCTCAGAGTAGTCTTTGAAAAATATAAAATAAAATACATGGAATAAAAAATATAGCAATAATACTGAAATATAGATCTATTCACACATTTTTGGGAGTCCACTGACCCCCAGGTTAGATTCTTTGTAAAACATCTTAAAGAGTTTGGATATTATTTTAGATAGAATAGGAGGTAAAAATAAGGTTGTAATCACTGGTATAATATAGTATGATTTATGTTTTTAAATGATCACTCTTATTACCACATGGTAATTGATTTCATATGGCCAATAATGGAAGCACTTAGAAGGCAACTTTACTCCTGTAGGAAAGAGATAATCCTAGCTTGGACTCAGATAGTAACTGTGAAGAAGGCTATTTCTAAAAAGTGTCACTTAGAATCTTCCCATAAAGGAACATGCATTCCCTAAGTAGAGAATAAAGAAATAGGAACAAAAAAAGTATAATAAATAAGTCTTTTTCTCTTCCTACTTCCTAAAGTCTCTCGTCAATCCTCTGAAGGTTTCCTTAGTAACACAAGTTTAGCAAACTCTTCTGAAGAGCTTGTGGCTTATAGCCAATAAAATATATAAAAAGATTTCTTTATACTTACTTGAAGCAAATATGTTTCCAGTAAATCTTAAAAGAAGTTGTTCTCCTTCTCGAACTTGGAAATGACGAGATGGCTCTGGAGGTCCTCCAAACCCTTCCAAGTGCAGGTCCTTAAGCACCTGGCTTAAATCTTTGGAAGGCACCACTAAAACAGCTATTCTATGTGGATTGTCCTTCTGGTGAGACAGTACTATGCAGGCAGTGGTGCTGAGCATGGCTTCCTCTAAAGATTTCACAAAAGTAACCAAATGACTATTGTCCATGGTGGAAGAGAGGTGAAGTACAATAAACCTGCATGGAAGAAAGAGGTGAGACCCCAGGGAAAAATGCAGTGTCAAGAACATCACTGATATCTAATAACACCCAAGAAAAGAGTCATATCAAACAGACGTCTTTTAAAATCAAGTATTCTCAAAGACAACAGGTGAGATTCATTAATGATTGTAAAGAAACTCTTGGCCATCAAGAAACCAGCTCAGGCTGGGCACAGTGGCTCATGCCACTTGGGAGGCGTCCCAGCACTTTGGGAGGCCATGGAGGGTGGATCGCTTGAGCCCAGAAGTTCAACACCAGCCTGGGCAACATGGCAAAACTCAATCTCTGTAAAAAAAGAAATAAATAAAAAAAGAAACCAGCTGAAATCAAAATAAATTCTAAAACATGTTCTTAAACGAAGAAGTCATACAGTCTCAGCTCAGCTCTAAACATGGCAGCATATTTTAAGTGATATTTTAATTAGAATTACAAAAGAGCATATTTAAAATATAGAAGAGAAAGATGAGCACAATAATTTATTGACTCCATAGGATGCAGAATGTATACCATAATTAAATGGGGATTAAAATACGCATCTCTGTGTAGGTGGGAAGGATCGTTAGGATGGACGTTGGTAGGAATTGCATTGTGTCTCACCCTCCCCACACACATACACATTCATATGTTGAAGTACTATCCCCTAGTACCTCAGAATGTGACCTTATTTGGAGATAAGGACTTTACAGAAGTAATCAGGTTAAGGTGAGGTCGTTAAGGTCTTCTCTAATCCAGTATGACTGATGTCATAAAAGAGGGAAATTTTAACACATAGAAATGCATACAGAGAAAACACCCTGAGACCATGAAGATGGCCATCTACAAGCCAAGAAAAGAGGCCTGGGCAGATCCTTCCCTCACAGCCCTTGGAAGGAACAAACCCTGCTAGCACCTTGATTTTGTACTTCTGGCCTCCAGAACTGTGAAACAATAAGTTTCTGTTGTTTAAGCCACCAGTATGTGGTACATTGTTAGAGCAGCCTTAACAAACTAATACAGACCTCTTTCCCTGGACTGGGCTACCCATTCTCAAATTCTTCTTCAGTGATTTGGCCTAAAAGAGGCCCTCACCCAGAGCAGCCCTACATCCATAGACAAGGACTGACCAATGTGGGGATGTAAGGCCAGCCGCCTTGGTACTCGCACTGCAGAGCTCCCCGGAGCGTGTCAGGCTACAGAAATACTTCATCTGAAACCATGGTTTTTTCCATCTTCCTCCTTTGCCCTACAGGATTCACCCAAGAGCTTTCTTTCAATAAATCACTTGCTTTTCATCTCAGACTCTATTCCTAGGAAACTGGATTCAAGACAATCATAAATGTAAAACTTCCCATTATGAAATAAAAGCTATTTTTAGATATATGATCACCTGTCTCTATGAGTGGCTACTCTTCATGAACCTTAAATCTGTCTAAAACTCTTCTCATAATGGGCTGTCTAGAAAACATGGAAATGAGAAAGCAAAATGAGGGCACTGAAGTAACAAATTCCGCTTATCTATACATAGTTATGAGATATGCATAATATGAACAGTTAATTACTATCTCCATGGTATTTCAGAAATGAAGGTGCTATTTTAAAACTATTTTGGAGTTAGCAGAAACCTGTAGTTATGAGTGCTTTCCCAAAGTACTTGTTTAACTATCATAAATGAAATTACAGATAGCATACCCATGTCAATTCTGGTTTGTATTTTAAGTACCCTTTAAAGAATGGTTAATATTTCTATTCGAAGAATAAAAATTTAATCTTACTATTCCATTTCTATAAACACCAGTTATGACCATCAGAAAGAGTATCATCAACTTTGATTGTTTTTGATGGTATTACCTCTCCAAATGTTCATACAATTCAACTGATACCAAGCCGCTCTGTATGGTTTTCACAACATCATCAAGCCCACACCAACCACTGTCTTGGCTTCTGAATCCCAGTAATTTCAAACATTCACTGGCATTTTTCCTAGGTTTTCTTATGGAGGCAATTTTTGTCCTATATAATGGTAACAGAAGAGATATTGGTACAATTTACATGATATAAATCTTATTTAATGCATTCATTCTTTCATTGTGAATGATCTAATAACAATTCATTAAGTACATACTATGTGCCAGGAATTATGCTTTGCACCAGGAACACAGAGATCAAACTATATAACCCTTGCCCTAAAGAAGCACGTAGTAACACAGTATTATCTGATTACAGCACAAGGTGACTTGTGTGATAATTAAAGAAACGTACAGGGTGGTTTAGGAGCAGAAGCAAGAGGTTCGGGAAGCTTGCAAAGTGAAAATGCTAATATTTGAGATGAGCTTTGGAGAATGACAAGCTTTTTGCAACTGGCAAAATAGATTTAAGAGAGTACCCAAAAACATTAATAAACTCGCTGATGTAAACCCAGATGCTCTAGAATAGCAAAGAGTGGTTGTATAGCAAAAAAGGGAAGAGCACACACCCAGGAGCAAAACTGCCCAGTTTCAAAGCCTGGGTGACTCTGCCTCTTATGAACTGTATGACCATGGGCAAATTATTTGATTTCTTTCTGTCTGTTTTCTTACCTATCATATGAAAATAATAATGGTACCGATATGGTTTGGCTGTGCTCCCATCCAAATCTCATTTTGAACTGTAGCTTCCATAATTCCCACGTGTTGCGATGTTGTGAGAGGGACCTGGTAGGAGATAATTGAATCATGGGGGCAGTTTCCCCCCATACTGTTCTCATGGTAGTGAATAAGTCTCATGAGATACGATGGTTTTATAAGGGGTCTCTCCTTTTGCTTGGCTCTCATTCTCTCTTGCCTTCTGCCATGTAAGACATGCCTTTCACCTTCCACCATGATTGCAAGGCCTCCCCAGCCACATGGAACTGTGAGTCCATTAAACCTCTTTTTCTTTATAAATTATCCAGTCTTGGGTATGTCTTTATCAGTGGCATGAAAATGGACTAATACAAGTACCAACATCATAGAATTAAAGGAATTAATATTTCTAAAGCACTTATAATTGTAGTGAGCATAAATAGTATTAATATTCTAACTCTGCTTTCTGCTGTAGACACAGCCAATTTGCTTTCTTGTACAATTTTCCTTCTTGTGTAGCCTGCCCCACCCAAAGGCCCTGAAGAAATTGGCTGTATGTACCATGTGATACTTTTCCCCAACCACAGCTCATGTGACTAACAGTATACCAATTTCCAACAGCCAGCCAATTTGATTCTTTTTCTTTGGAATTTGACTAAGTGGCCCAGGGACTGTAACTTGTCACAGTCCTGTTTCTGTGGTACCTTGGTCAATGAAAATTAATAAGCAGAAAGATTATTCAGAAAGGAAAAATAGATGCTAAGAGAGAAAAAGGAGAAAAATCAAGAGGAGAGGATCCACATAGTCCTAGAGATGGAGAAAGCAGAGGTTCACTGTTTTAGCCTCACAATAAACTCTTTTCTTGAGTTCGTTTAAGTGAACATCTGTTCCCTACAACTAAAGGAAGAAAAGTCCCTATTACTGAACATCTTTGGGGAAAAATACCTAGTCTGATGATGCTACCTACACTCCACAAAGAGACAAAGCCATGGTATGTGAATGGAGACCAGAATGTGAATTTCATGTCTTCATTTGTCAAGTGAACTAGAGTTACACTCTAGTTTTAACTAGAAGTTAAAAACCAACTTACTTTCACAGGTTGACCTGTCCTATGACCCATAGATTCAGATTAGAAACTGAACTTGATTTAATATGTCTACTCTGAAAACTTCTTACTCTGTATTGGTTACTTCAGGAGATCAGCTAGATTAAAATTAGGAGCTTAGGGGAAAAATAACGTTTACTTTTATGCTGTTGGGTTATAACCACAGATATGGTAAATTCTATAACCCTTGGAAGTTAATAATTTATTCACACAGGAAGTTATACTCTTACTGAATCCAGAATATTGGTCATTTACTAGAAATTGACTTCAATGTAATTTTTTTCTGATAGCATTCATTCACTTTCTTTTCTGTCAAAACCTAAAGTATTTGTGGAGACCAACAGGCTCCCAAGGGTAGTGGGGCTGGTCCCTACTCCCAGGACCATTGGGTATATAACCTGAGCCAAATAATGCATTGGTCATTCATTAATGCTGCTCACCAGAATATCCAGTTTCACCCTGATCTGAATACATGACAGGGTTACACTTCCTGGCCTCTGTGGTTGAGTGGGGCCAAGTGACTAGTTCCAGTAAATGATGTGAATGAAAAAAAATATGTGTCACTTTGAGGCCAAGGACTTAATTGCTAATATAGGTCTATCCAAAGGTCTTTCTTCTGCCACAGTGATAGCAACCGAACAGTGGCTGTTCTATCTAGAGTGAGGATGACCAAGAAGCAGCCTACCTTTGATGGCCATGACAGATGCAAAGATTGTCATTTAAGCCCTTGGGATTTGAGAGTTTTGCTATCATGCCATAACCTAGGCTAATCTGTGCTATATCTGTCTTCCGGTTCCAGTGATCCATTCAGTGATGGATTTGTGACAGATCTGGAGTGAGAATCAGGCCCTGCACTTTTATGCATATTCATAGGGAAAAAGCTTCCTCTTTTCTACGAACTTAGACTTATAAAGATGTAACTATGTTGCCAGAATGAGGAACAAGCATGTCAGAGAATGGAATTGGCACAGAGGAAAGCAGATAGAGATGAAGAAGAGAGACTAGGTTCTTCCTGGTTGAGGAAAAAATATATAGATAGATACATCCTCAGATTTTTAATTTACATATATCAAAAATTCTTTTTGCTTAAACACTTTGGATTGGCTTTCCTATCACTTAAATCAAAAGAGTCCTTAACGATATAAAGATTAAACTTAAACTTTAATAGGCACAGTCCACATTCAAATTAAATAATCTGATAGTATACTTGTGTCTCACAACTGGTAACAGCTCTGCAACTAAACTATTTCCTTAATATATGCTAATTGCAAAGTTTGACAACTAGTATTGTCTGACAGTGAGTAGCACTTGATCAAACTCCATAAAAGGCAACATGCTGACATAGTGACAGTTCCAAAAATAGTAAAGATTTATTTTTTAAATGTGTTTATTTTAAAATGACCAATTTTGCTTGGGACTCACCCAGACAGTACTAATCTCCCTGAGGCTACAGATTAAAATGTCATGCTAGTTTATCTGTGGAAAAAAATAATATATGATACAGAATTTGACAAGCATTCAAACCATCAAAATTCTCATTCTATATTGTATTTTACTTTCAGGATATTTTCTTTGTGATATTCATGATGCGTAGATATTTAAACATGAATGTCACCAATGTTTTGAGGTTAACTTTTTCTCAGAAAAGTATAATTTAGTCATTAAAGTATTAATTTTAAATAGTGTGCTGTATTCAAAAAACTTCAAATATTTTCCCACTTTAAGTTATTCATGTTGATCATAAAATTCATTTAAAATGGAAAAGTAAAGGGAAGAAGAAAGTCCACATAGCCACATTGCCTGAAGTCAAATATTATAATATATTGATAAATTTCTGGTAGTTTTTATTTCTACATGGATTGTTATTTGTCTTTAAAGTGGTGAAATATTTGACATATTTTAAAACGTCATATTTACATTAATATTATGTCATAAATATTGCCATATTTATGTCAATATTTGACATATTTTATGACAAACTCTGTACCTTAATTTTACCATTTGTAATCGGTGTAATCACTGTTGGATATCAGTTCAAATGACCTGAGTGCTTACCACACAGCTGAGAGAAACGTTCTCTCCTGATGTAACTGCATTCTGACTGTAGGTCCATCTACCCTTGGAGCTTTACCCAGTTCAAGGTGTCACAGTTACAAGTATTGTACAGAGAAAAAAACCCTACATAATCTAAGTAGTCCTCAGTCTTCATGTATGGTCCCATTCTCTTTTGCTTTGCTGATGTTGCTGCCTCACTGCTATTGAAAACGGAAGATCCCCCATGATCTGATGCAATGCCCTCGTTTGGTGTATTTACCTACATGTGCCACTATTCGGGCAATAGTTTTTAAGGTGAGGAAAAACAAGAAAACTCTCCACTGTTACGCTATGCGTGGTTCAGTTATTCCACCCTGAGCTTGAGCTCCCGATGACGCTGTACCTTAGTGGGCCCCCGCACCCTGGCCCCCAACATGCCCACACAGTAATTTTTTCAAAGAAATTTTCACAGTGCTAGAACTGTCTTATATTTTATTCAGTTTCTGGACAAAAATGAGCCTAGGTCATCCTAGGATGAAATTTAGTCATCCATTCAAATTTCTTTCTCTATTATGCTATGTTTTCTTGCCAGCTGACAGCAGAATATCCACTTAAACCCAACAGAAACGTTTCAATAATGTTGCACCTCAGGAAAAAAAAAAAGGGAGTGATGACTTCAATCTCTTTCATCTTAGAAGGTTCTGTTCACTCTGTAGATTTGCCTGTGTATTCCTAGGGACGATCAGATTCATATACCAAGGAGTATACAGATAAGTAGATGTATTGGCTAAGACTCTTTGGGGTACAGGTAACAGAAACCCAAATCCATTTTACTTAGTTATAAGTGAATTAATTATAGTAATCCTTGATTGTTAATGGGGCAAACAGACAAATGTGGAGGGCGTCAGATAAAAACTCTGTCTCAAATTGGAACATCATCTTTATCTAATTACTTCTCTTCTCTGCATCTTTCCTTTTTCATCTAGTACTATTAATGATCATTTTTTTTCCAGCAGCAGAAATCACGGCTGTCGACAACTCTGGAGTTTTATATCCTAAGATATGAGCTACTCCCAAAATTACCCTTTTTATTAGGCATCAGGGAATTATGATCAGCCTCTTGTAGGTCAAGTGTTTAATTAAATGTAGGGATATTAATGAACATAGAAGCTCCCACTGCATCTGCATGGATAGAAAGGGCAATTTGCAGAAATTGTAGTACAGTTCCCAAAATACAAGGTGTCTAGCAGGGAAAGCAATAGATATACCTTCCAGCCTGCATTTTCTCAAGCCTAACAGTGCACAATTACATCTTTCCCAGTTAAATGGCCTAAGTACCTCATAAACAATATTCAAAAGATTTTTCACAAGATTAAAAAATCTGCTCCAATGCACCTTAATATTTTGTTTCTCTAACTGGGAAATAGACACTATTGGGAATTTTTCAAGGATAGTTTCTTTTTTATTTAAAAACTAAATTATTTCTCACTTGGCATTCCAATTCACAGGGAATCTTATTTTCTTAAGGAAAACAGTATTTATGAATTAAAAATACTTCTAAGTACACTACCTCCAAGTTTAACACATGAAACAAATCTTATTTTCTCAGTAAGCATTTACTTTAATGTTTCACTGAAACAATTTTACTCTATTAAATGAGATTTGCCTGCGTTGACAATACAGCACTCATTGAGAAGCACAAAGGAAAATGTAGTATGTGTGATTTCATTATCTATAAAATTATCATTTCCTTCTTAGGTAGACTCTAAAATATCATAAATTTAATACACAAATTCCAGAATTATAAATAACAAATTTAGAATAATCTTTAGTGTAAAACAGCGAGATCTTGATAAATGTGCTTTTGGATACGTATTTTTTTGGCTTGCATACTTTTAAAAGAATTTTTTGATACAAATTCTTTTGAAATTTTCCAAACCCCTCTCCAAATAAAATGTGTGAAGTCAGGGTTGCAGCTAAGGGAGCAACCAGGCAGGAATGAGGGGATTACTAAGATGGCAAACACCTTTCCTGTAATGTAGATGCAGGAGTATCAAACTGTAAGCAATAATCAAGTGAGCAGAACATGACACTGTCAGTCCTTGGGATCACAGCCATGTGGGAAAGGTGAACTTGAGACCTTCACCAAGACTCTCAAGAAGGCTAATGTAGCCCCAGGTAAGTAGCAGATGGTTCTCAGCAGAGGTAGGAACAAATGCCACCTTGAGGAAAGCAACTCCATTATGCCTGAAGAAACCCCACGTCTGCATGCTTGCAAGCAAAAGTTCTCAAACAAATTAGAAGCTAAATACCATGGATGACAGATATAAACACGCCCAAAGACTTCAGATGTTAGACTTAGCAGATTTAAGATGAAAACAACTATATATGAAAAGTTTAATAAAGGACAGTATCCCAAAAATAAGAAGGCAGGAAGAAACTCTAAAGATAATTAGGGAGATTTAAATAAGGGCCAAGTAGAACTTTTTTTTTAGACAGGGTCTCACTCTGTCACCCAGGCTGGAGTGTAGTGGCATGATCTCAGCTCACTGCAGCCTCAATCTCCTGGGCTCCCACCTCAGCCTCCCCAGTAGCTGGGAAAATATAACTTTAAGAAATAAAAAATAAAATTGTCTAAAACAAAACTCAAATAATAGATTAAAAGTACATTTTTAAGGTATGCGTTATTTTTGCCATTTCAAACTGGAATGTGAATAAATTGCACAGAATATGGCACATAGAGACAGGGAGCTGGAAAACAGAAGGGAAGTAAACAATACGGAATTTAAAAAGAGGTGGTCATATATACATCTATGTGGAAACTCGGAAGGACAGAGTGCATACAATGGAGAAGTGCCAGCATTTGATTAGAAAGCACATAAGAACTTTTCAGAAATGTGAAAAGGCATACATCCACTTATTCAGGAAGCACAATATATTGTATTCAGAAAAAGTTTAAAATTTGTATCTAGACAGATCATACATAGACGCAAAACACCAAGTGCAAAGAAAAGATCTTGAAAGCAGCAGGCAAAATAAAGCAGATCACCCATAAAGTTATGAAAATTGCATCCACTGCAGTCTTCAGAACAGCAATAAAGAGTGGCATAATATCTCCAAAGAAGTGGAAAAAATTCATTTTCATCCTAGCATGTTATATCAAAGGTGGTAGGTGGTCTCCAAAGACGATGCCTAGTGAACTATGCTCTCTCCCAAACAAACCAGAGTTACTCAACTTTAACCTATAGAGTGCTGCCAGAGAAGAAGAAGAAAATGTATCAGGACAAATATAAGTATATGTGATCAAACAGAGAAATACATAAAAGCAAAAGAATAATTGAAAATTTCAGAATAGTGGTTAAATTTGGTGGGGATGAGTGACTGTGGTGAGGACAAAGGGGATGGAATGAGGTGGGGCAAGTAAGGAGATGCATACTTTTATCAATAATGATCAGTTTATTGTTTGATATTAGCTTTACTAGTTGTCCATTTCATTATATGGTGTGACTTACATATATTTTATAAATATTCTCAGGCATGAATCACATATTACATTTGAACAACTTAATCTTAAAAACAATTGCATTGTGTAGGAAATGTCATTTTTCATGGGCAAAAACCATTTTCCTGTCTAACTCTCTAAAATATTGATTGCATAGTAAGTAATAAGCTCCTATTTAATAAAGTATTGTTCCTCTTTACTGCTATGAGAAATCTTTTCTGGCTCATAATTAAATGACTCTCATCCTTTCACTAGAAATCATTCAGACATAAAGGAATATAACACAATACAGACCTTTCATTCTTAATATTCAGACTATGCTTTGGCCTCAAATAGTTTTTATCTTTTTCATTACATGGGGTATGGATTGCTTTTTGTGTTTCTGTTTCCATAGAAAATGTCCAACTGGCTTTCATTCTTTGATTAAAGAATGTTAAATAAACAGTTGAGATGGAGTCTCATTTGCTTGTTTTATGCTCCACTAGATGGAAAAAAATGCACCTACTATGTCTGAGACTAATAACAACATAGCACATTGTAATGTATCAATTTAACATTGTCAAAAAGTGCAGATGAATTTGCAATACAATTTACATTTCCACGAGTTTGCTCATTAATTTATTTAATTTACCTAATGTTTTTAGCACTTACTATGTTGCAATTGTGCTAAGTCATGACATGTAAAAAAGAATATATATTATTGCTACAGTAGTAGAATGTGGGATGTGTACAAAGGATGGGGTTGGCACACACACAAAAAAAAGAGCACTTGATTCCTCCTAGAGAGCTTAGGATATCTGGACAGAAAAAGAAAGAGTTGAACTGGAACTTATAGAATGGGCAAGAGTATATCAGTTAAATGTGGCAGAAGAAAGATTTTCTAGAAGACAGATTATGTACAAAGGCAAAAAAAAAGTGGCTTATTCTAGCAACTTGGCCAATTTAACTGATGACAAATAGCCACTTTCCCACTCCACAGGAATTCTGGACAAAATGTCACATAAACACACACACACACACACGTGCACACACACACACACACACAATTATATGAACTCAAAAGCTAAAAAAGAAATCCCCCCTAGATCTGGACTCAAGGATCTAAAAAGCAAGAATTCTCTTTCTTCACTAGGGAACTCGAGGAATTGATTCTGTGGGTGCTCCTCCCCCTATCAGCCTCTTCTTTTCAACCCCACCCATGCACACGTGCCAGGGGCTTGAGGTACAGTTTAATATCTATTCCCAGACATACGATACAACCTCCAGCTGCACAGGGAGGGAGCTTGAACTAAGTCATGAAGCTGGAATCTCAGAAGGGCATCACTGGCCATGAGAGAGGCATAACACTCTCTGGTTATTTGGTTATTGGTAGCAATAACCAAAACCCTTTTGCTTGTTGGCTCAAGAAAATAGTCAAGAAGCACACACAAAAAAAATTAATTGCTTCGGCTTGGGGGAAAAGGGAGAAGAAGAACTGATATTTATATCTGATCAAAAATTAAAATCAATACTTGGAAATGAATGTCTAAGGGCAAGAGCCATAGAACAGAATCAGTATGAAATTCTGCAAGATTACGCTGTACTCCTAGATAGATGATATGGTGTTATACATCATGTTAATAGATAGATGATGGAATAATCAATCTAAAAAAGACCATAAAATAAGTATGCTTAAATAATTAAAGGAATAAAGGAAGAAATACAGTTGGCCCTTGAACAACATAGGTTTGAATTCTGTAGGTGTGCTTGTGCACAGATTTTCTTGCTCCTCTGCCACTCCTGAGACAGCAAGACCAACCCCTCCTCTTCCTCCTCCTCAGCCTACTCAACATGAAGATGACAGGGATAAAAACCTTGATGATTATCCACTTCCACTTAATGAATAGTAAATATATTTTCTCTTCCTTATGATTTTCTTAATAACGTTTTCTTTTCTCTAGCTTATTTTATTATAAGAAGCAGTATATAGTACATATACCTTACAAAATATGTGTTAATAGACTGTTTATATCATTGGTAAGGCTTTTCTCCTGGTCAACCGTAGGCTATAAGCAGTTCGGTTTTCGAGGAGTCAAAAGTTATACGCACATTTTCAACTTCTTGGTGGTTGGCACCCCTAATCCCCCTGCATTGCTCAAGGATCAACTATATAAAGCATAGTAAAACAATGAAGCAGATTGGAAAAAGCACTAAGCTTTTAGAAATGTTAATTATAGTGAATAAAATGAACAATTTAAACAAATGATAATAAATTAATAATGTGTATAATAAACCTAAGGAAATTACCCAAGCACATCATATAAAGTATTTAAAAATATCAAAGGAAGATTATGAAATATGGACAATAATATAAATTATGTTTAACTCATTTATATTTATTGTCATAACAGATTATTTTACTTATATTATCTTGCTTACACTCGCTCTTAAAAGTAGACACATATCACCATGCTGATGTTTTGTTTGTCTGTTTTCTTTCCATTATCTCTCTTTCATATAAATTTTTACTTTTGATTTTTTTTGCTTTTGTATTATTTATGCTCAATATCAAATTTTAAAAATAAGAATAATACTTGCTTGTTCTCGATATCTTGAATCTTATTAAGTCAGCCTATTAATTTTATCTACTTATTTTGTAGATAAGAGCATGTGAGTAGTCCATTCTGAGAGCCCTTGTATTTAAAAACAAAACAAAACAAAAACAAAATGACTTGTTTGTAGGATGAAAACCCTGATTCCCCAATCTTGCCCTTTGAGAACTTGAGAACTTTGAAGATTTTGGTCCATTTCTATTTCCTGATATTAGTGCTGCAAAGAATAAAACTGATACCAGATTGATTTCATTCCTTTTTTACATAATCGGTTTCTGGTTAATGGATGCTTATGGAATTATGTTTTATTTAAACCTACATTTCAGTTTGCCATGTTATGTCTAAGTATGGGTCTTTTTTCATAAATATTTTCTAGTAACCAATCAGCACTTTTAACTCAAGGCTTTAATCAACATCAAAAAATCAAATTCACCTAGGCCTTTGATTGTTTCTTTTTTTATGATTGCTTGCCCTCTTCTTCAATGGTACCTATAATTATTAGTTTGCAGCACTTTGAAATGACTCCTTATCATATTTTGGTCCCTTTTCATCTCAGCTTGTTATCTTTATGCCACATCCTTTTGTCCTTTCATCTTTTCTTCATCTATTCTGATGATTTTCTGCTAGTGTTTCTTGGCAATTATGTTTACTGGCTACAACTAAACTTATAAAATAGGTTTCTTTAATATTCTCCAGGTAACTGTAATTCTCATTATTCAAATGACTGTGAAATATCAGGATGATGCTCTCTCTCTCTTCCTTTGTATTTCTACAAGTTTTTTTTAATATATATTCTTTAGAAATCTTGGTATTGATTTGTTTTTCTTAAAACACCATGTAGGATTTTGGTTTTTTTCTTACCCTTGAATGAATGCTCATCCACCTTTTATAGTTTGGTAACTATTTGAATCTCTTTCTTGACTCTAGAGACGAGATCCCTTTGCATAATATCTGATTCAATTGTCAGCATCTAGCTATTTTTACTGAGTGTAATTCCTCTGGACTAAGGTATGTCTTTCTCCTACCTGTGCTGACTAAATTTCCAGCGCTTTGAATAGATTGAAGGTTTCAAAATGCACCACCCAGCATGCATTTCTGCTAGAGTTCTTATTGTCTCCATCTTTATCTTTATACTTGCAGGAATTTTGGGATCCATAACAGCTAAAATTATTACCTTTTGTGGATCCACAATATCTTCTTTCTAGATTAAAGATATTTCATAATATTTTAATACAGAATTTAAATACAAGGCATTTGACTGCAAGTTTTAATCATCTAAGCTTCTTTGTTTGACATTAAGCCAGTTTACAATATTAGAAACTTACTCACCGGTTGAAATACGAAGGTGTAATCCTATTTATTGTGGCACTTGCTCTTCTTTTATGATCTATCTCAGAACCAAGGTTGTTTTTATCAAGGTATGGAGAACAAGGTAAAAACAAAGTGACTGGCTTCTGAAAAGGATAAGTTGATGGGTGCTGAATGTGAATCAGAGGGCTTGTGGATTGGACTGAGTAGAAAGTATCTTGCTGTGCTTTTAAATGTGCCACCAGAGCTGGGTCAACTGGTTGGATCTAAACAAAAAATATATTTTTTCTTATGTTTTAATAGAAAAGATGCAAACTATTGGTACATTTCTAATCCAGTTTTTTGAAAATTCTATGCAGCATAGTTTTATACATTTCTCTATGTATTGTTAGTTGTAATCAACAATGCATTTTATAAAATATTTATAATATATAAAAGAACACAGTATTAGGGCCCTTTTTACAAAGTCCTTCTGAAATCTGGGTTCCCTGTCTTATGTTATAAATAACTAAGAAACAGACTTAATTGCAGGCAACAAAATGACCTAGAAAACAAAATAGATGTTTTATAATGATTTCTAATTAGAAATTGTTAGATCAAGTGATCTTTAGAAACTAGAAAAACATGACTTGTTTCTTTTCACATAAGAATGGTTAAAAATAAAAAATAGCTAAGATGATTCCAACATTTCAAAGTGCGTGGAAAATATCTATAAATAAGATATTTATTATATGTTTTCTTCCTAATCGTTCTTCTTCACTTACCACTTACATTAACAACTGGGAGAAATAGAGAGGAGAGCATGGGAGGGGAATGAGGGTAGACGAACAGGGAATATTATTTGAGGAAATAAATCTTGTAAAATATACATTTACATGCCCTTTGCAAATAGTGTTTGCGTATATTAAATCCTTACTCCCAGAAAATGGCTGTTTCATAATTAAATATAACAAAATATTTATTATAATAAATATTTTAATTGATTGTCCTCTTTTTTGTCATCCTCGCTGATCAAAATCTTTGAATTATATGTATGTTCCAAAGTCTGTTGTCAATTCTTTCATAGCCATGCAACATAAATTTTCCCAATAAATATCATAAAGAAAACAACACAACACAAAAGACTAACTGGGAAAATCTTTCGAATAAAGAGAAGATTTATTTTTAATGAGATTTAATATGCTCAAAATCATTACATTATTGCTGATATCACTATATATTAGGCCGTTACAACTACAAGAAAATAATCCATTTTTTGTTATATTAAATATTGATACCTTCTTTGTTGTTTAGAACCATGCTTGATGACCCACAAAATCTATGAGCAGGAACTCACCTATTTTTAATATGTTTACCTTTAACTGCACCAGCACTGGAGAGGTAAAAACTCCTGGAGGGTAATTTAAGGATATTCGGGAATCCATGCTTGACTTAAGAGCGAGGCCTTTCTTTGTTACTGTGAACGACTCTTTCTTTAAACAAGACACAACAGAAAAGATACCCAATTTGTAAACTTTTACTGAAGCACAGGTCCCCTGTATAGAATAAAGAACATTAAAATAAGCTATAGCACTGATTTGAAAAATATTTGCTGTATAGACTCTATGGATTGTCAAAAAAATCTATACACTCTTTATTTAATCACCTACAACTTAAAATGATTCCAATAACCTAAAATGGATGGTCATTATATGAGATTAAGTAGAAATAGATAAGAGTTTCTCAAATTTAGACTACACAATAAAAAACAGAAATAAACATACTTCTTATATTTAAATTAAATCTTCCCCAAAATTGTGTGAATAATGGGCAATTATTTTCAGTGTTTTCACAAATATGATTGTTCCTAGAATTCTAGCCTCCATTAGCGAGAATCGATTTTAAATATTGACCTTTATCCAAAACATTCAACACTGTTCTAGGGAATCCTAAGGACTGGAATTCCATTATTTGTGTAGTTTGCTCAAACACTGTAACACCTGTGCTGTCAGCAAATTCTTTCTTCTAATAGCTCACAGTATCTTAGGTTCCCCAAATAAAGTCATTTTCTCTTTGCCTCTCCTCTGTGCAGTGGGAGCAAATGACTAAGATATTTGTGTTTCTTTTTATACAATGACATTCAAATTTGTAATGCATATATACAGACACATACTCAAGGTTTTTTATTGCACAAAAGGGAACTGCGTACATAAATGAAAACAAAATGATCTTCTCCTATAATCACCAAAGCTTAAAATGAGGAGGCAGACTTAGAAGTAATTTGGTCTATTCATACTTCCCCAATCAGCAGCCGGGCTCTGCCCCAGCATGCGTGGATAATCATGCTCACATACACGAAAAAACATTTCAGGGACAATCACAATGGAAAATAGTCTACCATTTGAAAGCTGACTAAGGAAGAGATTTCACAATATCGCTGAATGAATCTGTCTCTGGGAAAATTCAGGGCATGGTGAATATTGTTAACCGGCCAGAGGGAAAATTGTGAGAGGTGAAAAAGAAAGATCTTCTAGAAACCAACAGTGGTTGCTGTGCACTTCAATCATATTTGATAGATACTGAAAGGCCAAAAGGGTTTTTAAATAATTAGAATTTTATAATGTCATACGATCCACATAAAAATTTGGAAGTAATCCAAAGTTTAAAATGTTTTTCTTACTATAAAGAGAAAAATTCACGCCTGTATTTGTTATGATAGACAATGATTCCCTCGCTCTCTCTTTCTCTTTCTCTTCCTCTCTCTCTCTCTTTTTTGCTTTAATTATCCATTTACTGAACATCTTCCAAACCCATTTTGTGACAAGTGGGCTACAAGCAGTTTTTGCTTGTATTGTGATAGTTACACAGACTGGCCAAAACTTAAGAGCCCCAGTCAAGGGCAATGCTGACTAGACTATCATACCTATAAACTTCTGATACTAAATATAAAATGTATTAGTTGCAGGAACTGAAATAAGTAAATGTAATAGGCTTAGCTTTCATACTCAACTATAAAACCTTATTTGTAACCCAGAAAAAATCAAAATCACAAAATAAATATATAATAAATAATTCCATGTATATATGAATTTTTTTACATTTATTCCCTGCCTGTCTCATCAAACGACAACTTACATAAAGCTGAAAAAGATAAATATTTTAATTGCTTAAAAAGAAGTTCAGTGGCCCAAAGAAAAACTTTAAGTATTAGTCTCCATAAACTCCATACTAAATTTATTATTTTTATTGTTTTGAGACAGAGTTTCACTCTTATTGCCCAGGCTGGAGTGCAGGGGTGCGATCTCGGCTCACCGCACCCTCCGCTTCCCGGGTTCAAGCGATTCTCCTGCCTCAGCCTCCCCAGTAGCTGGGATTATAGACATGCACTACCAGGCCCAGCTAATTTTGTATTTTTAGTAGAGACGGGGTTTCTCCATGTTAGTCAGGCTGGTCTTGAACTCCCAACCTCAGGTGATTCGCCCACCTTGGCCTCCCAAAGCGCTGAGATTACAGGCCTAAGCCACCACGCCTGGCCTCCATACTAAATTTAATAGTTGTTATATTCTCTCTTCACAGCATATGAATTTGTGATCATACAGAGCCTCAGAGTTATTACAATTAAAATTTGACATGAAAATGATAATTTATTAACAACTAACATGTGTTTATAGGCTTCCGTCTCTCTTCATAAGTTTATTATCTATTTAATTCTTACAACCATACCAGGTAGACACTATTATCATGTTTATCTCTCAGATGAAGTAACTGAGTCACAGCAAGTTTACATAATTTTCCCAAGTTCACACAGCAAGAAAGTGTAAAAACCGTATTTCAAACCTAACCAGTCTTCTTCCACAGCCCACATCTTAACTACCACATATACTTTCTCCCATGTGTAGACTAAATTTCATTTCTAGACTTACTAACAATCTCAAGGCATACACAAACACATACACAAATTTTTAAATTTTTTATCTATTTTCCCAACCCGTGGATAATAAAAATTAAAGCTACTATCATCTGGAGATTCTAACATTCTTAAATTTAGACAAGGGTCCATCATATTAGAAATGTTGGTCTGAAGTTAGTCTAAAGCACAAAAGTAATTAAGCCATGATTTTGGTTTTGTTTCCTAGGTGAAAAAAATAACATTTGGTAGGTGTTCGACCCAAGCTCTCCATTCCTAACTTTGGCTAATCATTTCCATCCTTTGATCTTTATGGATGGCAATAAACTGTGAACGCACTGGCACAAATTCAAAAGTCCTTCCATTTATTACTAGTGGAGCAATTATATCTACACTACAATCTGTTAGTCTGAGTGATATTTATAAGAGGAGCCAAACAGCAAATGTAGATATAGCCAAGAATTTACTAACCTTATAACCTCCCTTCATTCCTTCTAGTGAATTTGGGTTTAGGTAACTTGATTGAAGGTTTATGTCACACACTTTCACCATGATATCTCTGTAATTTCCTCTGTAACGTGCAGTAAATGGAATTGCAATGCCTATTGGAAATGGAACTCTCTTTTCCTTATCTGAGCATTCAATAGTTATGACGTTGCTAACTAACTCTTCATTATCACCCACTATTAAAGAACTCATGTGATTTATTATCCGGCATTCTAGTTGTTGTAGAACATATGATGGTGCTGTAATATAACAAGACACTTGGGGGCCAGTAACATCACTCAGCACATCAAGATACCTGGAGGGGGAAAAAGAATGTCATTTTTCCAATTATTTGATTTATGTACTTTACAGCTAAATGCAGAAAAGCACAGACTCTAGATCTACATTGTCTTGGTGTGAATTCCAGTTCTGATCAACTCTGTGACCTTGGGCAAGATCCTCAGCCTCTCTGTGCCTCAGTTTCCTCAATGGTAAAATGGTGATAACATAATACCTATCTCACGGGAGTATGAATTGAATTAAATGAACCATTACATGTTAAGTAATTAGAGCTATGTCTGGTACACCATAGTTGTTATATATATTAGCTATAATTACTTTTGTTACTATTGTTATTTAAGCAATTGATTATTCCACAATAAGAAGCTGAAGATTGCTGAAGTTTCTTGGTAAAATCAGTACTAATACTTGAATAATTTCCTCAATTGTGAGGAGAGGGAGTAAACATATATGAAGTATTAGAATTGTCTAAACACACTAGATCAAATGATGATGATGATTATATATTTTTAGAAAAGCTGAGAAAGATACAAAAGAACTGTAAATTTATCATTAATCATAGTAATTAGGCAAAGATTACTTATAATCCCCAAAAAAATCAATCCAAAATTTTATTTTGATCATTCATTTTACTCTTTTTTAACCATCAAATTTGCCAAGGATTATAGAGTTATAGATTTGAATTCAGATTTGAGATCAGTCACTATTTACTTGACCTTACACATTAATAATTAATATTAAAATAGTTAATATTTTGCTGCTTTCTATTAAGTAGTTTTTAGGTTACACACTATTCTCACAACTATTGTATTAGGTAGGTGCTACTAACATAATTATTTTACAGATAAAAACACTGAGGCTCAGAAAATTTAACTTTCTTTTAAAGATCCCACAGATGGTAAGTTTTAGACCAGATAATTGGCTCCATCTATCTTTAATGTGAAAGTCCAAACTCTTTAATATAATATCATAATTCCTCAAATCATTCAAAAGTGCTGGTTACTTTATTCATTACAAATTGAAACTAATATCTAATTCATAACAGTGTGAAGATTGAATGTGATAAAACATTTAAACTTACAATAATGTGTTGGCCTAAGATGTATGCTCAATAAATTCTGATTTTCTACATTAAAATTACCAACTTGAGTTCCTCTTTTTTTACTACTTCTCATTTATACCAGTGAAATGATTGAAATACTGGAAATGTTGAAGAGAAATAAGAGGATCTATATATAACATAGCATTAATGTCCAGCTCTAAAATAATCAGATTTTAGACGTTTTTCAATTACTTGTAAATAGAATTTTAAAGCACAATTTAACATAGAAATCCAAAAAATATGTAGAAATTGCAGAGAGGGTCATTGATTTATGTTTACAATTCTAAACTCATAGTTAGAAGGAATAGAAAGTGACTCAGCACATTGTTCTGCTTGAGTATTCTTTGGTGATGGTGATAAAAATAATTCAGAAAATGAGAAACATTGTTTAATAGAGGATACAGTGACCCAGCGTTGTATAACTTTAGGAATGACTCTCCTCTGTGCCTTGGAAACCATCTGAATACACTTTTCTTCCAGGAGTTATGTTTCTCAACTGACAGATGAAGTAGAACAAGGTGACTTTTAAATGGTTCCATTCTCTTTAGCCCTAGTCAAATAGATTTAGGCTAGACAGTAAAATACAGTTATGTGGCATGGCACTGGTATACAAATAGACACATAGACCAGTGGAACAGAAAAGAGGACCCTGAAATAAAGCCAAATACTTACAGCCAACTGATCTTCAGCAAAGCTTACAAAAATATAAACTGAGGAAAGGACACCCTATTCAACAAATGGTGCTGGGATAATTGGCAAGCCACATGTGGAAGAATGAAACTGCATCCTCGTTTCTCACCTTATACAAAAATCAACTCAAGATGTATCAAGGCCTGAAACCATAAAATCAGACCTGAAACCAAAAAAAGTTCTAGAAGATAACATCAGAGACCCAGCACAGTGGCTCACGCCTGTAATCTCAGCACTTTGGGAGACCGAAGCGGAAGGATCACCTGAGGTCAAGAATTCAAGACCAGCCTGAACAATATGGTGAAATCCTGTCTCTACTAAAGATGTAAAAATTAGCTGGCATGCTGGTGGGCGCCTGTAGTCCCAGTTACTTAGGAGACTGGAACAGGAGAATTGCTTGCACCTGGGAGGTGGAGGTTGCAGTGAGCTGAGATCGTGCCACTGCACTCCAGCCTGGGCGAAAGAGCAAGACTCCATCTCAAAATAAAATAAAATAAATTTAAAAAGATAACATCAGAAAAACCTTTCTAGACATAGGCTTAAGCAAAGACTTCATGACCAAGAACCCAAAAGCAAATGCAACAAAAACAAAAATATATAGGACTTAACTAGACTAAAAAGCTTCTACACAGCAACATAAACAATCAGCAGAGTAAACAGACAACCAACAGAGTGGGAGAAAATCTTCTCAATCTATATATCCGACAAAGGACTAATATCCAGAATCAACAAGAAACTCAAACAAATCCAGAAGAAAAAACAAACAATCCCATCAAAAAGTGAACTAAGGACATGTATAAACAATTATCAAAAGAAGATATGCAAATGGTCAACAAACATATGAAAAAATGCTCAACATCACTAATGATCAGGGAAATGCAAATCAAAATCACTATGCAATACCACCTTACTCCTGCAAGAATGGCCATAATCAAAAAACAAACAAACAAGATGTTGGTGTGGATGTGGTGAAAAGAGAACACTTTTACACTGTGTGTGGGAATGTAAACTAGTAAAACCATTATGGAAAACAGTGTGGAGAATCCTTAAAGAACTAAAAGTAGAAGTACCATTCAATCCAGCGATCCCACTACTGGGTATCTACTCAGAGGAAAAGAAGTCATTATGTGAAAAAGATACATGGATACTCATGTTTATAGCAGCGCAATTCACAATTGCAAAAATATGGAACCAGCCCAAATGCCCATCAATCAAGTGGATAAAGAAATTGTTACATATACATATTTATATCATGCCCTGGAATACTATTCAGCCATAAAGAGGAATGAAATAATGGCATTCACAGCAACCTGGATGGAATTGGAGAACATTACTCTAACTGAAGTTACTCAGGAATGGAAAAACAAACATTTTATTTTCTCGCTTACAAGTGGGAGCTGAGCTCTGAGGATGCAAAGGCATAAAAATGATACAATAGACTTTGGGGACTCTGGGGAAAGGGTGGGAGGGAGGTGAGGGATAAAAGACTACACATTGGGTACAGTGTACACTGCTCAGGTGATGGGTGCACCAAAATCTCAGAAATCACCACTAAAGAACTTATTCGTGTAACCAAACACCACCTGTTCCCCTAAAACCTATTGAAATAAAAAAAAATAAGAAAAATTTTTAAATTAAAACTTTTAAAAATAAAATACAGGTATATAGAACATAAAGGCATACCAGTCAAAAATGGACTGCACATATAATGGTGGTCTTAAAAATTATAATACTGTATTATTGCTGTACCATTTCTATGTTTAGATATGTTTAAATACACAAATACTTAGCATTGTGTTTTAGCTGCCTAAAGTATTCCGTATAGTAACATACTTTACAGGTCTGTGGCCTGGGAGCAATATGCTATACCATGTAGACTAAGCGTGCAGTAGGCTATACCATCTAGATTTGTGTATGCACATTCTGCAGTGTTTGCACAATTGACAAAATCACCCAACCATCCATTTCTGTGAACATGTCCCCATCATTAAGTAACCGATGACTGTAATCACATTGGTTTACTCTAGCCTTATTTTCCCTTTTTGTATACACCAGGACAGCTAGGAAGAGATAGGTTGCTTTCAGAAAGCTATACGGGGGAATTGACAACACATTCTGAGTGAGGTTTTGTTTATCACACACATCTTTTATGTGGCATGATGGCTTCCTAGGCCGAGGGATTGCAATGAGTACTCAACTTCTGAAATATACAAGCCAAGCACAATTGGTTTGGGTGCTGCAAAGAGGAAGTCACTAACCAGGAAACACCTAAAGGAGGTGTTAGAGGGAGTAGTTCAGGCAATGACTCATTAACCGATGCTTTGAGTCATTTCTGAATGTGAGAATATGGAGCTTCAATGTTTTTCTCAAGTGAAACAGGTAACCACATATAGACTACTTTAGCAGTTGTTTTGTTGGAGCGGTAATTCTTACAAATCATGTGGATCTATCATGCACTGAATATCCTCAACCATAGAATTCATCAGACTCTGACCTGTAGAAACATTACGGCCAAATTAGAACCACCTCTTCATTTTATGGGCGAGATAACTAAGGTCAAGGTGAGCAAAATGACTTGCCTAAGATCATAGTCCTCAAAATGGTATCATACACCTGAAAGAGCATCAGTACATCAAAGCAGAGATGGGGGTAATGGAACAATGGTAGTGAGTGACAGGTGAAGAAAGTGAGAGTTTTTGGAGCTAAAATAAATGAATAGACTAACATTTACCTGGTGTGAATATCTGAAAAAGTGGCCTGGTGTTAGGTCGTTTAAGTGATTTTCTCATTTGACCTTACCAAATAATCCCAGGATGTATATATTATTTCTACAAATAAGTAAATTAGGCTGAGAAATGAAGCAAGTTGCCCAGGGTCACAGAATTAGTATGTAATAAAACAGAAAGTGAAATTTAAGTTTGTCTGATGCCCAAAACACATATTTTTTTTTTTCACTTCTAAGCGTGTTATGTTTGTCTGGGAAAATATGGTCTGTGAATATCTTATTTTATACGGACAAATAGGGCCTTATTACCTCTTTGCACAGGAGAGAAAATTTATAAAATAGATTGGTCTTTCTCACTTTTTTGAAGTTATGGTCTCCTAGAGAATCTGATGACAGTTCTAGACCATATCCAAGGAAATGAAATAGGTCTGAACATACACATTCAATTTTAAGTACCTCCCAAAGCTCATCCATAAAATCCCTAGAGTTCTACAGACACGGGTTTAAAACTCATAATGATTTTCTTGAGAATATAAATAAAGTGAATCTGAGGCTAAAACATTCTCTCCAAATCTTCTAACACCCTACAGTCTTCTAGTTTTTCTTATTATATTTGAACTCGTAGTAATTTGCAAAGTATTCATGATCTGGACAATTGCTCATTTTAACTACTTTCGTATCTACTCAATTCCTTCCTCTTTAAAAAAATGTAATGTGTTTGTTTCTTAAAGCTATAAGAAATAAACAATATTAATAATAGTGGCCATATAAATTTTTATAGGAGTGATTTAAGCTGAATTACTGATTACAATATCTTTGGGAGGTATGAAATGGAAATACTATGCATGTTGCTATAGTCTAACTGTTTGTGTCTCCTCAAAATTCATGCATTGAAATCCTGACCCCCAAGGTGATGGTATTAGGAGGTGGGTCCTTTTGGGATATGATTAGGTCATGAGGGTGGAGCCCTCATGAATGAGATTAATGTCTTTATAAAGCAGGCCCAAGGGAGCTTGTTCACTTTTTCCACCATGTGAGGACACAGCAAGAAGGCACCTTCTATGAACCAGAAAGCCCTCACCAGACACCAAATCTGCTAGCACCTTGATTTTGGATTTCCAAGCCTCCAGAACTGTGAGAGATAAATATCTGTTGTTTAAAAGCTACTCACTTTATGATGTTTTGTTGTAGCAGCCTGAATGAACTAAGACATGTACTAACTATAGAAACACACATATAAGTAGGCATACTTAAGCACTTCCCACATTGCATTTACTTACTCCTTTTCCATTATGTTATTCTTGTGCTTTATATTCTCTGAATCATTGGGAAGAGTACTATTTATATATTTCTTGGAGATATCACATATTATTGAGGATGTGGTCATCTCTTCTCTTGGGCTTTCTGAAGTCTCTTGAATTTCTGTCTCTGTTGTCTGAATTATGCCATGAGTCTCTTCCCTGTTGCCATTTATGTTCTCAACAGTCATGTGTTCTATTTGTTTATCATCTTCATTTTCTGCATTATCTGGGAACATTTTATTCTGTGACTCTTCTTGCCCCAGTACACGTCCATTCAGTGATGTATTGTTTTCTTTTTCCACTAATGCTGAACTCATATGTGTTTTATTTTTTTCTAACTGGACCTGGTTTGTGTAATGACTTTCCTCTCCATTTGTGGGAGAAACAGTAGCTGTTTCTATGACATTTAGTTCCCCTCTTGCAGCAATGTCTGCTGCTTTGGTATCTTGAATGGAGGACATTGTCTGCTGTGGAGTACATTCATCATGCATGCCGCATAAATTACAAATCTCCTTTTCTTCTTTCTTTAGAAGTGCAGCAGTGCTCCCCAAATGTTCAGTTATTTTTATGAGGCAGTCTATGAAAGTAATGATTTCTACACACACATACATGGACACACAAAGAATAAATACAAAACTAAACCAAATTATGTTTCTGCACTGACATCTAATGAAACATGGCAAGATAATTTTAGAAACCTACAAAGACCTTTACTGTGCATTTAAGCCAAACTCCTGAAGGAGAAGTAATTGTATAACTGTCACTCTTTTAACAATTGTAGGATTGACAACAAACCATTTTTAACATGGTAGCAAAGAGTAAATCTAATCCCTCTTGCTTATAAAGATACTTCGAATATTTAAAGACAAATGTCATAACCTCTTGCTCCCCCAATAAGAACTGAAGTCAACATCTCCCTCAATTGTTTTTCATTTGGTATGATTTTGAGAACTCTTCTTTTACCACTGGATGTACAATAGTTTATCAATGATCCATTTAAAATGCTGGGCTGAAAATTAGGCGAACACTCCAGATGAGGCTTGGGTGGCAGAAACACCATACCTCCATTATTTCTGCCAATGTAGATGCTTTGTTTTGGAGCCTAGTTTACTGCTATAAGAATTGGATTAGGTTTATACTATTCCTCCTGATGAATTTGTGAGCATTGGAAATTTTCAAATTAGTCCTTCAGAGAATAGCTCTGACCATACCAATTCTCTGATTGGAACCTGAAGTGGCTACTCAAAGCCTACTAACTCAGGTCAACCTTCTTCACTCTGAAGTAAACTCTTAGCATGATCAAATCTTATATAATCTCTCACTCCGTCATCATTCTTCCCACTCTCCTATTTGTTCATCCTGCTTCTCCTCACTACTGAGGTCACCTGATGACTTCTTGCAGGCTTAGTACCTCTCTAGTCTTTAGAATTCAGTTCTGAACTAAAGAATAGGTAATTTAAGGCCCCATAGCTTAGTGTTTTTAAAGCCATCACCAAATCATCCCTTCACCAGTCAGGGCTTTTCTTTGGGATCCAGTTCTGACAACTTGTGTTTTGTTTTGTTTTGTTTTTGTCTTATACCTGAGAACTTGTCTTTATTTTTAACTCCTATTCTGGTAACCAAGTCCTTGTTTTTTTCTGAATATATATTTGCTTGTTATATTGCCAAAGACCATGTTCCACTCCCTCCAGAGGCTAAAGGTCTCATTGTGGGCTGCAGCTGATGGCTTCTCAGTCATGCTGCCTTTAGACAGATTTCCCTGATGCCCACTATTTGCCCTTTAGATTGAATTTCTTAACATCATCTACCCTGGATTTCCTCATAGATGGAACCTGCCCACTTATCTTGATACTGTATTATTTAGAGTTGAATTTCATGATGCCACCTATATGCTTATCTGGAGTAACTGTTGTTATCTAGGATTATATTCATCAGATTCCACATTCTTCCTGCCTTACTGTACTTTTCCACATCCATAACTGGACCTATTCCCAAGAATCCCTCTCCAGCCCCAGTGCATGGGGATCCAATTCCCTATCCCAACCCACTCCAGTCTTCCCAGTAATTTTGCAATCAATAAGGCTAAGCTCAAATGACCCTAGAGATAGAATACTATATTCTGATATAAAAAACAAACTACTAGCTCTGCCTCAGTGGCCTGTATTTTCCTGTCTCTAAGTCTTGGATCCTACTAAAATTACCGACTCTCTCTTTCCTGCTGCATAAATCCAATTCACTCTTTAAGCTTCAGCTTAAATACTACATTTTTCTAGCAAACTTCTCAATTCCCCACCCTACAGATGGGATTTAAACTGCTTCTGAAGTCCAAAAGCACTTCATTCATGTGTTTCTAATGGGACTGGCCCCAATGTCCCTGGCATTATTGTGCATTTGTCTCAACTTATTTCCCCTTTGAAATTGTTAGTCTCTTGTGGACAGAAACTCTATCTTAGCCTATCTGGTATACTCATAGCCCCTCTCAGATCTTGCCCTAATCAATATTTCTTAGAGAAAGAATAAACTAAAAAAAAGAATACTTGCCTTTTCTCGAGACACATTGATTCTCTTTGTCAAGCAGCACATGCAGCTGCTGGCAGGTGGAACGCAGGGTGCCTGAGGTGTGCTCCAGCAGCTGGTGAAGGGCACTGCTGAGTTCCTGACCCAGAAAGACCACAGTGGCCATCCAAGTGGCCCCACCAGCCCCCTCACAAAGGTCATCACCCAAGAGTGCCTGCTTTAGCATCTGGTTTTGTCTCCAAATCTGCTTCAATATTTGGCCCAGTTTACCTGAGCCCATGTATTCCATATCCATTTTATGATCCAAAAGTGGTATTTTCTCTCCTGCCAGCAAAGCCTAAAGGTTTTGCAAATTCAAACTTTGTGATTGTTATTTCTCCTAAACTCTAGGAGATGATCCGAGTCAGCTAGCCCAGCACTTTCTCACAACATAGTGGTTATTCAGTTTGGTGTTGACTAGTGAAAAGTTACTAGGTGACCGAAGAAGGGGCGTTCCTGTACCATGGGTGCTACTGTGTACAGAATACATTAATCACTGGGGTAGAGCTGACTCACATGATCCAACTCTCTGTGTAAGTTTTACAAATTCAATATACTGTGGAAGTACCAAATACTTTTCAAGTTTTGAGGCAACAAAATACAGATTCCAGGTAGGGTAAGAAGTTTATTAATCAAAGGTAAACTGTATGAACAATATTGCTGGCAGGATTCCTGTAAACTTAAAAATATTTATGAATGAAATAATGTGATGTCTGATTTTGCTTCTAAATAATCAGGGAGCATAGGGGTGGGTAGAGGTATAAAATTTGCTGTAAGAATTAATAAATGTTGAAGCTGGATATGTTTACACATGGGGTCTTGACAATTCACTCTAATTAATGTGTATATGTATAGTATTTTTATAACCAAGAGTTTAAAAAGATTCCTCTACTGGAGCAGAGCCTATTGCATTGGTTAGGAAGTTATAATTAGCATCTTCTTATGTGGTAAATCTGCAGAGACTGAGATAAGAACTTGGCCTCTGATAATTTCCCTCTAATTGGATAAAATGCCCCTTCACTGAAAGAAAGTAAACCTGAAGAGTAGCTTTCTCTAAACTAGCAAGGATTCTTTACCATATGTAATTAAAATTCAGATACAACAAGCTCTCCCCACTGCTGCCCATCTGCCTGCCAGCGCATCATATATGGGGCTATGCAATGCAGCACTTGCGGGTATTTGGAGGAAACCAGAACAGTCTGCCTCCCTCTCTCCAATCCCACTGCTCAGAGAGAACACACACCTAAGCCAAAGGAAGAGGGCAGCAAGTACATTCCAGAGAGGCTCATGTTCCCTCGGGTACTGGAACAAAATGAAAGCTTTTCAAGTGGAAGCCGGAGTGCTTCCCTCCCACAGGCAACACATTATCTCATCTTAAGCCCTGGAGTTCTAAGAGCTACACTCAGGGCACCTGGAAGACAAGATGGGAAAAACAAGCCCAGAGAATAAATAATGAAGAATGACTGCCACTGCCCTAAAGACTGTCAAAGACCCTGAAGGAAAGGAGCAGTATTGAGTACTGGTGGCTGCAGAGTGGAGAGGGGCTCCTTCACCACTAAGTGTCTTATTTTTCAGTTAACTTCTGTTCACTGAAAAGGGGACCTTTTTCGCAGTATGAGTTCATATCACTTCATGGATTGGATCATTTAAATCTTCTCAAACTAAAGACTCACTCATTCAATTCTATTTTCTTTTCTTACTCCTTAAATGGATGTGTCATTCTCAATAATAATGTACACATGGCTTTAATTCAATGCTAATTTTGAAAACTTCCTATAGCATTTACTGTGGGACAGGAACTAAGTGCTGGAGGTCAGGCCTTTTTAGGATTTCAAGAGACAGATGCATGAACAGATTATTGAAATAAAGCTTAGTCTGTGTTGAGAGCTAGAGCAGAAGTATAAAGAAAAAGTATCATAAAAGCTTTGAGGAGTTAAAAAAATAATTCTGCTTAGAGGCCTGGAAAATGTTTGAATTAGAAACTAAAGGATAAGCAGGCTATGGAGTAAAAGAAAAAAAATATTCCAGCATAGGAAATAATATGATCAAAGTCACGGAGGCATGAGATTACACAGTAGGATCAAAAATGTAAAAGTATGGCTTTGGAGGAAGGTTCAGTTAACGAGTCAGAGGTGACAAATGAAGAGTTCAGTAATTGTAGATAGTGAGGAGAAGAAATTAGAATTTTGGTTTACAGATAAGACAGAAATTGAATATATTTGAATCAGACTGCAATGTGATGAAATCTGTGCTGTAGAGATGCAGATGTATTAGATGACAGAGATATAAGAGTTAGGAGGCTCGAAGGTCTGTATAAAACAGCAACAGAGCAGATGAGAGAAGGGGATGGCGTGAGAGGGGATTTGAAGTACAGTGGATAGAACTTACTAAACTTACCAAACCATCAGATTATAGGGAGAGGAATAGAAAGTATTGAAAATGCATTCATTTATTTGAGAAATATTTATTGACCACTAGTATAAGAACTATGCTTAGTATTAGAATATGACTGAAATATTTAATTTAGGTGATTACATAGACTATAAGACTATTAAGGAATTTAAGTGGGATTTTGGGCTCGATGGGTAGATAATTTAATTTTAGATTTGTTGAGTTTGAGGTAACTCAGAAAAATTCCTTAGAATGTGTTTTAAGTTTAAAAATTAGAATAATATTGGCATATTTGAATGTTACCAGTAAATAAGTGGTAAATGAATCCCTGGAAGTAGAAGAGATCAATGGAGAATTTACCATGCACATTTTAAGTATTGAATAAAACTGATAATGAAATACTGCTTGATCATTTGAGCAGTCTACATTTATTTCTAGATATGTGGGAAAATCCTTTCTCAGGAAGAAAAAAACAAACCCAGACATTCTCTTTGTTTCATTCACATTTGCTATCCTCAAGTTTAAACTTGTTCTCTGTTTGGCTTCTTAAGAACATATAATATTTGCAAAGTGAGACCTACCACAGGCCACACTGCATTTACTTGTTAAAACACGCATCAGCATGTTCCTGCACCTTATTTTCCATTAATTGATGTCACTAACCACAGAAAGAACAGACATTTGCAGTCAAGACACCTACAGAAGTTCACTGCAGAAATTCATCTGGATGATTTTAACATTTGATTGTCATCTTCATTGTTGCTACTAGTTATTATGACTCCTTTTACTTTCTTACTGAAAATTCAGTGCTTCCATTGACGTTAGTATGCAGTCTTGAATTCATACCATTATGTGGTCAAAAAGACAACAGTTTTTCTTAACATTAAAAGTATCAGAGTGGATTAGAGATAAAATTCAAATAGTAGGATAGTTCTTTGTTTAGTACCTAAAGAAATAAAAATATGCAGTTGATTGGACAGGCTATTAATGACAGGCTATTAATTGCAAAGGTTGTGAAGACAATAAAGTTTTAAAGCATAATGAAGACTGCTATTTTTCATGGCATTTATAGTGGGTAGTGGTGGGTAGGTTAGATGTAAGCAAAAGAGTTATGTATGCCTGAAGTATTATGAGCCAATGTTATTAGTTCTATAATGTGATTTTATTTTCATTGAATTTCTGTAGTTGCCTACATCAGAGACTTTGGTACTTACAGTCCAGAATAATTTTTCCCCTTTTGAACATTCATATTCAATGTCTGGTCATCTTTTCCCTGTTTAAGATAAACTCATGCATTTGGATGATGAGTGGATGGAGAAGGAAAAGAAATTTTCTTTTTGTTTTGTTTTTGTTTTCTTTAGTAACTTTTGGACTAGTAAAATATAAATTATATATTCAAATTTTTAATGTACTTACCAATTTGAAAATGTTTTCAAAGACCACATGGTAAAAATCAAAGCTAGCACTTCTGATTAAACAAAGTAGACTAGATATATATTCCATCTCTGATTTCTAGTGAGATGCCCTGAAAAGGATAAAACAATATATAAATCCCAAAAGATAAAGAGAATGGGCAATAAAATGATAGACAAAAGACGTCAACAAACTCCTGGAAGACTAAAAGCAGATGGGCAAGTAGCAAATAATCAAACAGGGCTGAAACCTAGGCACCCAGACAGTGGAAAACAGGTGAGTTCTTGTCACAGAATCTCAGAAGTTCCCGGAATAAGAGAAAGTTAGGACCTCTGAAAGTAAAGATGAACTTAGGGCTGTAAACAGGTGTTTTTGCTGAAACTCTGTTTGGAGAGCAGGTAGATTCCCAGATACCTCGCTTCTGCCCCAAAGAACCAGGCAACAATCTCTCTCCCACACATCAGAAGCTAGAGACTTTCTCTATGAATAAATCGTGGCAGCAACACTCAGCAGAGCAGAGAACTGGAGGGGGTGCTATGCTGACCATGAGGGTTAAGTGAAATTCTATTATGAGGTGCTGCTCTATTCTTCTGCTCAACTCCAAGAACACGAGCTGGGAAGCATAACCTTCCAGGCAGAAAATGGAAAGTTTCCTCCATGGAGTAACTGAACACTCCATGAGAAAAACCTACTGATAGTGAAACTTTCAGTGTCCCTCTCCCTATTTCCAACCCCACAAGCCTGGTCTGCCCCCGCCAGATCATCCACAGTGAAGCTCTGCATCATATAAAGCTTCCAAACTAGGCTCTTCATGCCTCACTTTAAGTGGAATAACAACCAACGAGGTCAGGCATTTGAAAAAGCCTCTAATATAAAGCTAGAGACTAAAGTAAACAAACAAAAATAAAGAACTTGGGAAAAAAAACAAGAGAACAAACACAGGGAAGAGGAAAATATCAAATCAATCTATAATTAGCATGTTCAGAGTCTAGGATAAGAAGAAATAATGCACTCACAAGACAAGAAAATATTTTCTTTTTTTTTTTTTGAGACAGAGTCTCACTCTGTTGCCCAGGCTGGAGAGCAGTGTTGCAATCTCAGCTCACTGCAACCTCCGTCTCCCAGGTTCATGCCATTCTCCTGCCTCAGCCTCCTGAGTAGCTGGGACTACAGGCGCCTGCCACCACGCCCGGCTAATTTTTTGTATTTTTAGTAGAGACGGGGTTTCACTGTGTTAGCCAGGATGGTCTTGAACTCCTGACCTCGTGATCAGCCTGCCTCGGCCTCCCAAAGTGCTGGGATTACAGGCGTGAGCCACCAAGCCAGGCCGAAAATATTTTCTTTAAAAGGGGAGCATTCTGGCAATGAGAAAGGACTCACAGAAATTAAATTATGATAATAGAATTTTCTTAATATGGGAAAGAAAAAGCGGTTGAGTAAATTCCCAAAAACATCAAACAAAAAGACAAAGAGATGGACAATAGGGGTAAAATGGAGGTTAAGAAAATTAAAGGTTAAATCCAAGTGGTCCCACTAATATGAGTTCTGGAAAGAGAAAGTAGAATGAATGAAATTATCAAAGAAATAATATCGAAATATTTCTCAGAATTAAAGTATATGATATTCTAGACAGAAAGAGCCCAGAACAGTATATACAAAAAATAATCATAACCAGTCATATCAAATTCACACCAAGGATCAACATTCCAGTAGCCTCCAAAGAGGGAAAAAACTGTCACATTTAAATCAAAAGGCATTGAACTTCTCAACAGCAACACTAAGACCTAGCAAATAATGAGTTGTGATTTCAATATTCTGAGGGAAGCCTCTTTCCAATCCAGGATTCTGTTGCCAAATGCCAAATGCCAAAGCATCATTCAGGTGTGCCGAGAAAGAAAGGGCATTTCGAGTATGCAAATGTCAAACTACTTATCTCCTGTGTACCCATTTTTGGGAAGCTACTCACAGATGAACTCTATCACAAGAAACAGAATGACACAAGAAAAACGCAGACATACGAGTCAGGAAATGGAAAATCCAGCAAAAGAGAGAGAGCTAAATCAAATGCTTTAGATGAAGTCCCAGGGTGACAGCAATGCTGTGGCCCTAGAAAGCCCCCATTCCAGACTGCAGCAGTCACCTGAGTGTTTCAGAAGTCTGTCTGCAAGCAGAAAAAATGGAACTCATGAATTAGCTGATGTTTTAAACATTTTAAGAGAAGTTTTACAATTCTATTAGAGAATTGAGGAAAAGAATTGTTGATAATTTAGCAACAGAAACAAAAGACAATTATTAAAACTGGGAAAAACTAAATTGTAAAGAAAAGGATATATAATTATAGTGTATTGCATAGTTCTGTTATGAATAATATTTATACAGCCACGGTAATAAAGACGTTTATAATTACTTTAAAATAAAAATTGTGGGCTGGGCGCGGTGGCTCACGCCTGTAATCCCAGCACTTTGGGAGGCTGAGGCGGGCGGATCACGAGGTCAGGAGATCGAGACCGTCCTGGCTAACACGGTGAAACCCTGCCTCTACTAAAAACACAAAAACTTAGCCGGGTGTGGTGGTGAGCACCTGTAGTCCCAGCTACTTGGGAGGCTGAGGCAGGAGAATGGTGTGAACCCAGGAGGCAGAGATTGCAGTGAGCCGAGGTCGCGCCACTGCACTCCATCCAGCCTGGGCGACAGAGTGAGACTCTGTCTCAAAAAAAAAATAAATAAAAATAAAATAAAAATTCTGATACATGTGTATTATTAGGACGAGTATAGGAGGTATGTACATAGCAAATGTGTATAGCAGGGTGGATACAAGAGAGCAAAAAGTCTTATTTCTATAGCAGGAAGTCAAATATTTAAAAATAAATCAAACATTTAAAAACAAAGAAAAACTATTAGGAATCTGGAGGTAAGTGCCAGAAGAAACTTCTAAAAGGTTTAATGTGATTGCCTCTGGGAAAAGACATGGGAAAGAACAAAGCAACTTCTGACTTCCAGGAGCTAGCCTGGCACTACCAGCAAAGCCTTGGGGTTGCTACCAGCTGTCCTGGTACTCACAGCTAGGTGTTAGTATTCTGTTGAACATTAAAAAAAAAATTAACATGACATCAGCACTATGATGGATCAAAACAAATTGAAAATCACTCTACAATCATGTCTAAACACATGAGCATTGTTCAAGCCACAAAATACGAAACATTCCCCTCTCTCAGCTAATACGAATGAGGACTGCTTCTTAACAATTGCATCTTTAGCATTACTCTAGTCTGCCCTCTCTAAGGATAAGACTTATCGAGATACCCAATCACAGATTATAACCACTTTTAGAGAGCATCCAATTCAGAGCGGGAAACTTCCGTCGAGTCACCCAACCAAAGCCCAAATCCTGTTATAAGTCCCTTTTAACATCCTTCACCTGAGACACCCCAGGATTCTCTGTGGTGTGAGTTTTCCCTCACTGAAATGGGTAGTGAGTCCTGCTTATTCAATTATAGGTGTGCTCCTGACGGCCTTATGCTGGAGGACAATGACAGATGCTCAGGTACTTGGGGAGGAAGAAGAGCAACCTGCAAGGATCTGTTGCTTTTCTTTCAAGTTGTTGTCATACTATATGATTTTTTTAAACTATGTGTATTATATTACTTTGATATAAACTAAATTCACATGTTAAAAATGAAATAAGCCAAATGTTGCATTCCCTAGGGATCATTTGATGGTGATATTAAGGTTGACACAGCGCATCACTTCAAGTGGGTTACTTCAGATCGGCTAACATACACTCCGTTGAGTTTGTAAGAAGTAATTCACCATTTGAAAATGCTTGGAATTTGGTGGCACATGCTCAAGAATGAACTCAAATTTAAAGCAACAAATGGGCTGGGCATGAACTTCAAACAGAGGTAGAGTAACTACCACCTGGTAATGGCTTAATATCTCATACTTCATCCCGATCACAGAGCTCTAGATACAGCAGAAGGTCAACAAATGTTTGATGATTAAGAAAATGTTGAAATGTAATAAACAATCCACACATTATTTTAAGAATATCATCATATCATTCCCCCACCTAGAAAATAATTAATAAAATTCCTTAATATCACAAAAATGTGGTCAGGTTCAAATTTCCAATTGTCTCTTAAAAGTCACAATTATTTTTACACAATTTTTAAGAATTAGGCTCCAAATAAGGTCCTAAAGGCAACTAACTCCCTTTTAATAATTCTCATATGAATTATGAAAACTGAAAAATGTATTTGAAAAAACATATACCAACAATGGAGAAATTTAATTATAGGCTGGAAAATTATCTTTCATTTTTGTCATTTTTATGTGGATGAGGAACAGACGTAAGGGAATTAATTCGAAAGAAGTCACCAAATTTGAAAAGTCAATAGACATATTTGCAGAGATATTTTCATTCCTTTGTGTTTAAGTAAATTCTTTACCATTCCATTAAAGTAGTTACTGATTTTGACATGTTTTGTTTTACATAGAAGTTTAGTATGAAAGTTCTTACTGGCAAGTTCTGCATTCACTATGTAAAGAAAATGGCTTGTTTTGGTGTCAAGAACTGAACTAGAACTGAAAAGTAATTACGAGTATTCAATTATTTGGTTAACAAAAGCGCCTTCTTAACACCATTAATGGCCTCTGAAATCAACATCAGTGTTTTCGATTACAGCTTTGCAACATGTCGCTGTGAGTCATTGTTGTGTTTGTAAAGATTATGACTCTTTATACAGTCATGGGCCTGTGACATGAAACCAGTGAAATAAATTTTCATGAAACCAATGAAATAAAAACCAGACAATTTTATCTTCTGTCAAAATCTTCTGAGACAAATGTTCAAATGAGGGTGTGCCAATGCATTGCTACAGTATACTTTATGGTATCATAGTATTTGGGATGTGTTTCTGTGCCATCTTCATTGCTTGACTTCTACCAGGATGTGAATAGTGATTTGAGAAGTAGTTCTGAAAAAGACAAAGAGGAAACACATGAATGAAAAAGAGTTTTTTAAAAAGAAGACAAAGAAAAGGTCTCATATGTGTTGACACTAACATATTCCTCCCAAATCACTTCCAGGTTCTCTGTTTTACTTCTGGACAATCATAACAAAATTCATCAATTAAACATGACTGTCCTATTCTACATCTTACCTCCATAAAAAGTCCCTTCTACATGCACTCCATGACATCTCTTAGAGACGTCATACACTCATCCCTTTGAATGTTGAATTGTCAGCAGAAATATCCCTCGCACTGTAAAAATAAATTTGCAAGAATCAAATTATTCAGCATAAACTCAACCCTCAACATCAAGAAAACTCTATCTTGAAGTAGGGAAATGATGCAAAAGAATGCCTAATTTGTTGCTTTTTAGAAATATTTGAGCTCTTCCAGCTAAATTTCTATGAGCTGAGAATACCTCAGGACCCCATAGTGTTCATCATTACTAAAAGGATGACATTGTATACAATGAGCCTCCAAGAATATTTGTTTCTCAGAAAAATGAATATATATATATTATAAATGGACAACATTAAGCTATTTAGGAGTATAACTATTTCCCCTCTTAGACTGTTGCTATCTTGACACATTTGACCTTATGCTATCAACTATCTTACATTATTTATATCCACTATAGGCATTAACCATGTCCAATATCAGAAGAGAAAATGTTATCAATCTTCTTTTTTACTTTACTTCCCCTCATCACTGTTCTTATCACCAGGTTCAGGGACATTCTAGAACCTCAGCAAGTGGCAATAGGTGGGAGGAACAGCCATGGCCGGCCCTAGGCTAGCATGTTTATTATGAAATTATCACCGACATCTCCTTTCTGGCCATGTTTCCCATCCATCTACCCCTTTCAGCGTATCTTCCAAGTTACCCTTTATCTCTTGCTGCCTTGTGTCATCTGTCAAAAATCACCCAAATAAACCCACTTGCATTAGAGTCTTGGCAGGTGTTGATTCTCCTCAGCAGCATTATTTGATTTTTTTTTTTGACACAGTCTCGCTGTGTCACCCAGGTTGGAGTGCAGTGGCACAATCTTGGCTCACTGCAACCTCTTCTTCTGGGGTTCAAGCGATTCTCATGCCTCAGCCACCAGAGTAGCTGGGACTACAGGGACACAACACCACCCATGGCTAATTTTGTAATTTTAGTAAAAAGGGGGTTTCGCCATGTTGGCCAGGCCAGTCTCAAACTCCTGGACTCAAATTATCCACCCACCTCGGCATCCCAAAATGCCAAGAGCCACCGTGCCAGGCCCTATTTGAATTTTTAAAGAATGAACCTGTAATAATAAAATCTGAAGCTTCTATGGGATGCCTTTCCAGGTGCATCTCAGCCTATGTGTTAGGTCTGTATGTGAAATGATATCATTAGAAGCATGTTGTTTTCAGCATTGTCAGAAATACATAACTACTAACTAGTTCATTTCTTAATTCAGAATTAGCTGTAACATTCCAAGGAAGCTGCATTTGATTTTTAAAAATTTATTTTACCTCCTTGTGATAAAAATGAGAGCAATGGTGAATTAATTTCTATCCTAGTGGAGAAGTCATTTTTGTTAGACAGAGTCTATCCAAGATTGTGCTACTGTTTAAAGATGTTATTGCAGTTACTGGCAGACCCAGATAACAGCTCCGATGTAATCCCAGATTCCCATATTGAATTAAATCTGATTTGGGTTATTTAGGTCACATATTGAAGAAATGCCCTCTCCGTGTCATTTCTCTGTAAATAGTGGGTGTCCTTTGGTTTTCTCTATAATATACATTTATTTTTGGAGCTCATTAAACAGGTTAGGTAACTTAAATAGGTCTAGTCAGTAGACAGGAGTTAAAGCTGAGGATAGAGAAACTCTCTGTGGTATTATCTAACACACAAGATGAGGGTTGTTCTTAATTCTTGGCTCTTACCTACAAAAGCACTGAGAGAGCCATTTGAAAATAAGGTCTTAAAATCAGATCCATATTTGAAATGGAAAAAAAAAGACATCACCTTTTATATTTGTGTTTCTTAGGAATATTAATTTTGTTTTAAAAGCAAAAACTTTAATAGACAGTGGATGTTATAAGAGCCATTTTGTCCAGGTGGGGGTGAGAGTAAGGAAATTCGAGCTTAAATAGTATAATACAATTTGTTTTCCCCATCTCTCTTCTCATAACTGCTTTTGTTGCAAATACATAGTTGCAATTGCTTCTTAATCTTAAATCAGTCTGTATTTTTGAAAGTCTAGAATAAACTGGGTGCTTAGGAGTTAATGATCTCATTATACTTCAGTAATGGTGCCATATGAATTCATGTGATTATACAGGATAGTACAATAAAGTCAGAACCTCTGGTGGGAAGTGGCTTCCTTGTGTCTTGAGGGACTTAATTCCTCAGTGTCTCAATTATGTCCTAAGAAGGACCGATGGTACTAGGAAATATATGCCAGAATGTTCAGTACTAGAGGACTTCTCTTATTTCAAATGTACAAGAGTAATAATATATTCACTCATGAGAGAAACTGGTGCCTCTGTTTGGGTTCTTTTAAAAATCACAATTTCATTCATTAAATTTTCAAAATGTTAAAGATAGCTTAGAATAGTAAAAAGGAGTAATTTCTAAAAAACTGATGATTACTAATTCAATATCTGGAAGTACAAGGAGCCCTTGGATTGTATTTTATGAAATAAGCTGTAAGATTTTAAGATATGGATTGTTAACATATTCAAAATAGTCTTATTAAAAAACTCTAGATTTTTTTTTAAAAAACAGACTTTCAAATATTTTACTGTACTTCACTTGGTCTCATTTCAGCAATAAGATCTAAACTTAATACCTGGAGAATAATCTCAACATTCTTAAGGACCCAGAAAGTGGAGTACTTCAAAGATAGCATGGGACATGCCATAAATTAAACAAACAACAACAACAAACGCAAGAAAATATCTTCAGTATGCTTTTTGAGAAGAGGTAATTCATACGAGGACTATTTATGAGTAAATCAGGGTGTTATGATGACTTTTTAATGAAAGTTGGAATTCTTATTCTGGTCCAAAGAGATAGCCATGTGTTTGAATGACCTTGAAGACTGTTATTTTGAACCATTACGTAATCCAGCAGCTGTGGCAATGCCCTTTTCTGAGATACACAAACAAAGAAGCAAAATAGAATAGACAAGTGAATTCTTGAGAAAGTTTGCACATCGCCATGTAGCTATGTGTGTAGAGTGTCAGCCTCCATACAATGTTAACTGTTTCCAAGTGATAGTGGTGATGCCCAACCTGCAGTTTAGCTGTGAGATTTGGGCCAGTAATTGATGTTACAGCCCATTTAGGGACGACTTTAATTAACATCACCTGTGAGCCATGAATAGCGCAAACAGCAAGTCAAGATCATCAACAGTCATCCACTGTAGGGAACCAAATGTATTACCAAATCTCTGCTGGCTAAAAATGAGGACTGCTGACCTGTATAACTACATATTACAGAGAATAAGAGCCCTAAAGTGAGTCATTTGTCCATCAGCCAATATAGATTGTGTTTATTGTATACTAAGCATTGTTCTAATCTTGGAGGTGGCTTAAATAGTTTTTCTCTCTGTGGATCTTAAACATCTAGCTGGAGTGACTAAACTTGCGTTTGATAAAGATCAAAGAAAACTAAAAATGTACATTCAAAAGAGCAAATTAGCAATGTATTAAACAAGATTTTTAAAGAATGCATGAAATAGACAAGAAAGCAATAGAGAGAAACACAACCAACAGATGTCAAATATCAAAAACTTGAGACATCCTCAAATGCAACTTCAAACTGTTGCATAGACCTCGATTTGTGGAAAGAACGGGGGAATCACAGATGAACCAATAGTGTAGCAGTCAGAAGAACTTCACAGTGAAACCAGCCCCAGTGATGTAGCCACAGCTGTGAAGCTGTTTCCCTCTGTCATCTTGTTATACCAAGCACATCTTGTTTCCATGGGGACAAGAATTCGGAAGCAGCCATATCTTGAACTTAAAAGAAAGAAAGAAGGGTCTTCTGGGTTATATACCAATTTATTATTAATGACGAGACATTCTTCTGCTCAGTCCTTGAATTTCTCATGCTGGTGGATTTAGTTTAATTTGGTTGATCCAGAGAAGACTTTGTGGATGTGAGTTTGAATGAAAATGTACAGTGTTTTTTTTTTTGTTTTTTTTTTTTTTTTTCTGGCCTACAATGTGTAAGCCATGAAAGAAACAGTTTTACTCCTGCCTGCTCCTTCTCTAGGTGTTCCTGGGATTTTTACCTCTGCTGTATATTACTTGCTAATGCAACTTTTCCCCTATGTTTACTCTCAAATGACTTTCTTGGATACAAAAAGGAGAAAACATAGTAGTATATATTATCAGATAATTACTTCTAGCCCCTTTCAGCCGAATCTTGAGATTGGAAGTTTGGATCCCTTACAAGTCTTCAGAAAAGTCTTTTATGCTGTGGCTGATTGCATTAACTACACAAGATACAGTTTCCTTTGAGGTTTTGAAAGATACATTTTTTGGAGAGCCTCAATACTGAGGTAAAATATAGCTTATAGCACTTCATAAGATCAGGCTGAAAGGACTTCTCACAAGTAGACAATTCTATTTCAATATTTTTGAAGAAAACAAGAGCAACCACCATAAACAGCTAAACAAAACACCAGAAATATAACAAATATCAGTGGCATCTAAGTATACATATAGAGTTATACACACATTCTATCATAAATTCCATGTCTTATGGAGAAATAAAATTCATCCATTTTGGTGAATGCTAATAACTCCCACTTTAGACACTAAGCTTATCAAGATAACATAAAAGCATGTTTATTTACCAGATGTTTGCTAAGCATCTACTATGTGCTTTCACATTTGTGTGCCTACTCTTCTAGGCACTGAGAAGAAAAGTTTCATTTCTCAGGCAGCTGAAATTAAAGTATGTATCTTACGTCATGTTTGTGTAGGTTAGCCTACATGGCACAGCTAGCTAGCTAACTATGTTAGTTGGACTTAAATAAACACATTTCTATTGCTATGTAATCTGCCCATATCATATAATTTTGTTTGGAGATCAAATTAATGCTACAGGTAAATAAATACTCAACCTGTTGCAGCATGCAAAGACTATCTGATATTTCACAACAAAGTTAATGCCAAGGTCCTTCAGATGGTATTGCTCTATCATGACTGCTAGAATGAAGTAATTGGTAACAGCTATGCTTGAAACAAAGCAAATTGCTGTATTTCTAAATAGTTACTGAGTCTATTCTTTGTTGTTGTCAAGCTTAGAATCTTTTTTGCACAATATATACCAAAACAGTATGTTTTTAAGCTGGTTATATAATAGTTTCACAGAGCTACTATAATGACTAAGAAATTGTAGATGCTTTTGTTTCATTTTTTCTCCCAAAATGAATTAGCTCTTTTGACTGGTTAAGGATCCATTTTCATGACGTCAGACCACTGAATGGAATTTTGAGTTCTTAGAACTTCAAAAGCTTCATTATCTGATGTAACATTCAAATCTAATTTGAAAGGAAATGCTTCATTACAGTCCATGTCCTCAGCATGTCTTTGTAAAGAGAAAAGAGTTAGGAAACTTCCTCTTGCATAGTCACCTCTTAATGTCATTCTTGAATGTGTTCTCCTATGATAATTAGATGTTTAAATATTGAAATAGAATAAGTTTAAATTCAGAAGAAATCATACAATTCCAGAGCTAAAAATGATCCCTTAGGTCTTCCTAGTCCAACCCTCATACTTTATGAATGGAGATACCGAGGGAAGAGCTAGCTGGCTCTCATGATACTACAGAACCAGATCTGTAACCAATCAGCTTCGTGTTCCAGTGCTGCTACCTGACACAGGTTAAACAAAAAGATCCATTCCTTTAAATAAAAAGCATGAGATGTAAATTCGCATGCTTGCTTGAATTGAAACTATTAAATTTTTCACAACTCCCTTCAGTATTCTTTCTTTTTTTGTTCTTTTTTTTAGAGATGAGGGTCTTGCTTTGTTGCCCTGGCTGGAGTGCAGTGACACAATCATACTTCACTGCTGCCTCAAATTCCTAGGCTCAAGTGATCTACCCGCCTCAGCCTCTTAAAATCCTGAGATTACATTCTTGAGCCACACCACCTGGCCTGTTTATTTCTAAAACTTCATCAGTGATTTTTAATCATGGTTTGGGCATAGTAAACATTGATATATACGTACATGTATAATTTATTTAAAATTTTATAGCCTACTTATTTCCATCCCCTCTAAAAAATCCAACTATTTAAGCTTACCTAAAATAAACTCACAAACAATATAAGTACTACTAATAAAGTTTTACAAATAAAAAATTATACAGGGAAAAGAGAAAAAGAATTACTAGGAAAGTGGAAACATCATTCTTAAGCATTGACCTTCACACTGAGTTTCCTGGCCATCAAGGCAATGGCAGAATAAAGTCTTAGTCCCATTTTTAGATGAAAGGAGGTATAAAACATTTCTGCCAGGGAGAGAAAAGGGGAGGTAGCTGGGAAAGGCTTGGTTTGAACTTGGTTGAAGAATAAAAAGAGGGAAGGAAGAAATGAAGGAAAGGGAAGGAAGGAAGGAAGGGAGGGAGGGAAGGAGGGAGGGAGGGAGGAATGAAGGAAGGAAATTTGAATGGGAGCATTTTAGATGGACCCTGCAGTTTTAAGGAGTGATCAACCTAGCCATCCGGGAGGTATCAGGTACTGAATTACAGATGATTTTAGCATCTAGATCTTTATGTAAAGGATTATTAATATAATGAACAAGGTCTCCAAAAGAGGCTTTGAAAAAGCATCAATATTTCTTTCTGGTTCTTATATTGAATCCAGTGAAAGCATTTGAAAATTAAACTGTCTTCCTGGGAACTAATTTTCTTTTAGGCAATAGAGTACTAACTTAGCATATTCTTGATCATCTCAATGGAAGCTGAAATAGAAGATAAAGCAATGGAAGAAAGGAAGATGAGCTTATCCTTTATAGTCTTATTCAAATATTAGATCAACTATGCTTTGGGCCAGAATAAGTGTCAGTCCATTCAATGTTGCATTATATACAGTGAGGTGAAGCGTATCTTCACCTACTCGGATTTCCTGGAACTTGGAAAACTTGCTATATTTTCTCAGATACTCTTTCAGAGATAACTTCACTCTAGACAAAAGACTAGTGGAAGTGAGTGAGAACATAGGCATGGAACAGGTAAATTTCCATGGATGTTCATCCGTGTGGTCTCAGGACAACTGGATTTTCCCATTCTAAGTACACTTTCCAGACATAGCCTGGCTTCTGTTAGGGAAGGAAGGGTATGTGAACTATGAGTGTAAACTCTATATAAAGAAACTCTTATCTTGAAACTCTATGTGGTGAAAAAAAAGGTCTAGAATTAGCACCCAGGCAGTTTTGTTGGTCTAATCAAATTATAGAGGTCAATTTTTCTAAATTAATTATTTGTTTATTAACTTTCCTTTTTTTCCCTCTTTGGTTCTAGACCTTATTTTCTTAGTGTGCTAACATTTTTCTTTCGCAGTTGTGTTCATCCATGTCATCCAAGAAGCAAATAGCTGTACCAGATTAAACATGTAAGAAATTTATTAAGGGAACTGCCAGAGAGAGAAAAGGGGTGGGAGCTGGGAAAGGCTTGGTCTGACCTTGGTTAAAAAAGAAAAACAGGAAAGGAAGGAATAAAGGAAAGAAGGAAGGAAGCAAGGAAGGAAGTTAATTTTGGTGGAATCATTTTAAATGGGTCCTGCAGCCCTGCGGTTTTAAGAAAAGATCAACATAGCCATCTGGGAGGTCTCAAGCCAAAAATCTCTACTCACAAAGGACTTCTGGGTTTCCCAGCAACACACCTGCCTTGGTGTCACTGCCACACCCAGACATTGGCTGAGAGCCAAGGAGAAACTGTGGTCCTAAAGCAACTGAGGCAATGAGTTCCAGAGCTTAGCAGCTAGAGGCATTGGTTAGTTACACTCTCAGCAGTCAGGGGTCCGAGATGCACATTCTCATGGGAGCCACAGCAATATGCATATTATTGCTTTAATGCACTTTGAGCAAGTTAATCATATTACTTCCCATTTTTGTCTATTTGTTTAATATAGAATAATTAAAATCATTTTTTGAATATTCAGTAGGTGACTTGTTAAAAGCTTTCCATGCATTATGTTATTTCATCTTCTCAAATACCCTGTTATGAGTCCCATTTTACAGATTACTTAGTTCATTTTCTTACACGAACAGGCTATGATACACTATTACATTATCTTGGTAAAACTAAGAACTACGTTTCCCAGAATCCCCTCACCTATATAGTCCCTTACCAATATAGAGTTAGTGAACAGAAAAGCTTGCAAAAGATTTGAAAATTGGAAGTGACACAGCAGACAATAGTCTGTGAAAGCTGTTTTGCAGTCTGAGGAGGTAATGGATAGATTAGTGGTGCTCAGTAGATTCCAGTGTGCCTTCTTTCTCTGCTCTGCTACTAGGTCTTCCTCCAGCCTACTGGCCCTAAAGATCAATGCTGGCCTCAAGACATACTTCCAGACATTTGGCTGTGGACCCCTAGAGTTGTAGAGTTGGTCTCTGCAGGGAGCACTTCCTATGGGCTCCCCTTTGTGGCTCAAATTTAGCAACTGAATATACTTGGCTTCTCAGATTAGCTCCTTGCTAATTTCTTTTCTGATCCTTTAACTCATCCTCCCACACCTTCTAGTTCCTTCCACCATTGTATAAAGTCTAATTCCTATAATGAGTCCTTTTTCCTAGAACACATAGGGACTTTCCTCCTCTGCCTGAAACTTGACTGATATAGCACAAGGGTAATAAACATGTGTTGAAGGAATAGGCAATTTAGGCCTAGCCCAGGGATTAAGATCTATGCAGTTTGGATTCAGAGTCCAATATCGTCTATTTTGGATTAAAGCAAGCAGAATTCATTTGTTTCAAATACCAAATGCGAGAATGAAATTTGACCAGAAGTTACCGAAATTAAAATACCTCACGTGCAATATGAAGTACCTCATTTGTAGTTTCTCAGTGTAATAATTCATCCTACTGTTTCACAATGTATGATATGTAGAGCCAAAATTTTGTCAAAAAATTAAAAGAGCATGAGCACCTACAAATGTACCTAGCTGAGCCTTGTGATTTTTGCATCCTGGAAAGCAGAGGATAAAAACAGGGATTATCAGTCAAGCTACTAATATTAAATAATTTCTCCTGTGTCTAAAATTGCCTGTAAAATGTATCTTCAAGATGCTCAATTAAGTTATTCAATATTATTATGTAATTTAAGCGATCCCATCCCACCCCTGCTCTACTTCAACCAGATCTGTATCAGTTTCATCTGTTTTATTTTATTTTCATTTCCTCTGACGATTTTATTTGAACAAAGTTGTCTTCTTTTTTCCTTTCCTTTTCTGTTCTTTTTTTCTTTTCTTTTTTTTTTTTTTTTTTTTTTGAGACAGAGTCTTGCTCTGTCACCCTGGTTGGAGTGCAGTGGCATTATCTCAGCTCACTGCAACTTCCACCTCCTGGGTTCAAGCAATTCTCCCACCTCAGCTTCCCGAGTAGCTGGAATTACAGGTGCCTGCCACCACTCCTGGCTAATTTTTGTATCTTTTTAAAAAAAGACAGGGTTTCACCATGTTGGACAGGCTGGTCTCGAACTCCTGACCTCAGATGATCCACCTGCCTCAGCCTCCCAAAGTGCTGGGATTACAGGCATGAGCCACTGGGCCCGGCTGAACAAAGGAGTCTTCTAATACAAAAATATTTTCAAAACCACTAGAATTGATTCTCCAGATGTGCTCAGATTTATCTATGTCCAAAAGTGAAAATATCTAAGTTTCAAGCTGAGACCATCACTACAAATATAAAATATACTCATGTAGCCCATAACGCTTAGGATTCTGTATAAAAATTTCTGTATTAAAATTCTGCCTAAAAATCCAAGTTTTTATAACATTTAGAAAAGAATACATCTTCTATTTGTTAAAGAGTATCACTGTGTTTGCATGATCTCCTAAGAAACAGAAACCTACACATTTTGAAATGGTATTGCTGGGTCCAGTGAACTTGTTAATTACATTCGGTGCTTCTTGAAGGCTGCAGAATGCAGGAGAATGCTCATCAGTTAAAAATATTACAAATCAGGACTTCTGGATTTTACAAAACAGGAGAAAATTCAGAAACATTGACCTTCAGACATTCTAAGACATTGTACTTTGTATTAATAAGCATTAGTAAGTAAATGAAAGTTACTAATGTAAGAAGTAAATGAAAATTACATACGAAGGGATTTAAAAGCTCTCTAGTACTAAACAAGAGAGCTGTAGTTATTTACAGTGCTCCTCCCAAAGTGAATGCATGGAAAAATATTTGACAAGGTAAAAAAATAAAAGAAAGAGAGATGAAAATACAGAAAATGACATTAGAACTCTATATAAGTCGAAGCCATATAAAGGGGCTCTTTTTAATTGACTCATTTTTCTTAAAGTGGTAAATTCCCTGTAAGTTAGTGTTTATTAGTTAAAGTAAGCAAAATGTGGGAAAACATTAGTCTTCAACATTGAGCCATTTGCTTTTAGTATTACAATATTTGCAATAATTTTTTTTGTTGTTCCGTAGTTGTTTTTGTATATGTATCTTCAAAAGAAAATGACTTTTAATGGAAATGTCTATAAAATGTTTTTGATGTATTCTATCTTCATGGACTTTGGAATGGGTTGCTGTTATGTTGATTTTTCTCTCACATGTAGTCCAAGTTAATCTTATAGACAATCTCATAGATAGCCTGACGGTTTTCACATGTGCGTTTATATTTTTAGTTAGAATAACTGTTCTTTATTGCCTACAATGTGACTGTTTTAATTAGTGAATAGCATATTATTTATATTTTCTTATTTATGATTCATTTAATCTATTAATCCATTGATTGTCAATAGTGATCATGACTACTCCTTGACCCTTGCAGACATGTATTATTCATGGACTCATCTGCATGGGCTCAGTGTAGATCTTTCAGGCTTTAACACAATCCACAGTTAAAATTTTTTTGCTTGTTTTCTGCATTTTATTTTTTCTCTTTCCAACATAACAAATTTTTTTAAATTTAAGTTAATTTTGAGTTCTGGTTTACGTGTGCAGGATGTGCAGGTTTGTTACATAGGTAAACATGGGCCATGGTGGTTTGCTGTACCTATCAACCCATCACCTAGGTATTAAGTCCCCCATGGATTAGCTATTTATCCTGATGCTCTCCCTCCTCCTGGTCCCCCACAAGCCCTAGTAACCACAGTCTACATCTTAATAGCACCACAGCAATATAGGAGGTATTTGTTATCTCTAGATGGAACAGCAACTAGTTTCCAATGACTTTATATTACTTTTGAAGAAGTTGGATGCACTTTCCATCATGATCACAGAAAAATCAACACTCTCCTATTCTTGTTAACAAATAATTTTCTATTGACCCAAGCTTTGTGCCATCCCAGGCAAAAAGCCTTGCTATTCAATTTCTAGCAGTAAGGATTGCCTAGTATTAACTACTTCAAAGCTAAATCAAAATATTTGATAGAACATTCATGTTTAGCCTAGAAGTGGATGATTCTATGATAAAAACTGCCAGTTGGGACTCTGCATATGTATATGTATGTGTATATATATATATAATATGTATATATTATATATATATTATATATATATAATATATATAATATATATATATAAAATCCCCAAATAGATATCCTCCTTTTATTCTCTTAGTAACAGAACCCTGGAATTTAACAGAGTACATGAATGCCCAGAATAAGGATTTCATTTTTCTGCCTCCTTTGAAGTTGGACGTAGCCATTTGATTAAGGTCTAGTCTATAGAATATGGGTAAATGTAATGAACAACTTCTAGTTCTGGTCTATAGAAGTGTATACTGTGTCCTTTCTTCTTTCCTTCCAACTGAGAAGGGGATGTAATGGTAAGAACTAGAGTAGACATATTTGGCCATAGGATATATGCTGCATGTTGATAGGCTTGATGGCTGGCTGGCAAATTGGCTGGTTTAGAGTCTGTCCAGCAGGCAAGAAGCTGGCAGGAAGGCAGGTTGAGAGCCTGCACGGCTGGCTGAGAGACTGGATTGCCAGCAGACCAAAAGTTTGGCTGGGAGGCAGGCGGAGAAGCAGGATGGCTAGCTGGCTAAGAAGATGTCTGGGAGGTTGGCCAAGGGACTAGATGTGAGGCTGGCAAAGAGGCTGGCTTGGTGGTGGCCACCAAGTTGGCTGGCTTAGAGGCTTTCTGGCAGATAGGCCGAGAGGCTGACTTGGAGGCAGGCTGAGAGGATGGCTCACTGGCTGAAAGTCCGTCTGGATGGCTGGCAGATCCAGAGGCTGGCTAGGAGGCTGGCTGAGAACATGGATGTTAGGCTGGCGGAGAGGCTGGCTGGTTGGCTATGTTGTCAGGCTGCTAAAACAAAGTACTATAGACTGGGTGGCTTAAATGACAGAAATTTATGTCTCACAGTTCTGGAGGCTGGAAGTCTAGAATTGGGATGCCAGCATGGTTGGGTATCGGTGAGGGCTCTCTTCCTGCCTGCAGACTGCTGATTTCACCTTGTATCCTCACATGGAAGAAAGAGGGCCCAATAGTTCTCTGGGGTCTCTTTTATAAGGGCTCTAATCTCATTCATGAGGGCTCTATTCTCATGACCTAATCACTTTCCTATATCTAATATCATAACATTGGGTATAAGGACTCCAACTTTGAATTGTGAGGAATACAGTCAGTCTCTAAGAGATAGAAAGAGCTGGATCTAGTCCTAGACTACTTACATGAACTAAGAGAGAATAAACTTCTTATTTAGGTAACTGTTGTATTGTCCTTTGTTGCTGCATCCAAACAATTTTGTTAACTTATAAAACTCATATACATAAATATCCTATACTGGACTATTAAATAGAATGGTTAATTTTGGCCTAACTACTTACTCCCCTTTTGATTTTGAGCAAATTACTTAAATTCTCTTAGCCTCAGGTTCCTATCCCTTCTATAAAATATGGGTTGCAGCTGGGCACAGTAGCTCACACCTGTAATCCCAACACTTTGGAAGGCCTAGGTGGGTGGATAGCTTGAGCTCAGGAGTTTGAGACTAACCTGTACAACATGGCGAAACTGTCTTTTCGACAAAAATACAAAAAAAATTAGCCAGGTGTGGTGGTTCATGCCTGTAGTCAGTCCCAGCTACTTGAGAGGCTGAGGCAAGAGGATTGCTTGAGCTCAGAAGACAGAAGTTGCAATGAACTGATATCACAACACTGTACTTCAGCCTGGGAAACACGGTGAGACCCTGTCTCAAAAAAATAAAAAAATTGAAAAAAAAGAATTAAGAAAAAGCTGAGTTTTAGGCATAATAAACAAAATATTTTTTAAAAAATGAAGAAAATGTGGGGTTGCTATGAGGGTTAAGATAGTTAATCCACTTAAGTGCACGCCTCTACACTTGACACAAAATAAGCCTTCCCAAATAGGAGGTAGTATTATTAAAGCAGTATTTCAACCCGTTCAGTTATACAGATGTATTTTTGGGAAATAACTATCTCAAAAGTTTCTTTGGAAGTTATGTTTTTCAAGACTGCGTGTCCTAAGGATACTTACAGTGATATCTTTTAGGACTTTTATTGACATTTGTTACCATCCATTAACAAATTTTCTAGGTTAAATTTTTCCATAGGATAGAGCTTTATGATCTTAACTACTAATTGGCTGTGAGAAGATTGCATTCACGATTAATTTTTAAGTAAATGTTTTAGATTTATCCTTAGGGACTTTCTCATTTCATTTCTATGAAGAGTTGGTCAATCCAACTCTTCATAGAATTGACCTACAGAGGCCCATATTGTAGGGGCTCTATAATTCTCAAATGAGCTTGTTAGCCCTACTTCTAGCTTGAAGTCTATGGACTTTGAACAGACATCTAGAATATCTGCCTGCTGGTAACATTTTAATGATCATTTAGTCTTAATTCATGCCCACCAGAAAGTTTTCAATAGCTTTGCTGCAAGAAGTAATATTCAGTAATCTTCTGTGACTGCTACCTATTGGCTATGAGATTCCCTAATTATATTGGACCATTTTTTTTTCAAAATGTGGTTCAGTAAACTAAACACATTGTACAAAAAGATGGTTTCCTGATCATATACATTTGGGAAATGCTAAACTAAACAAGATTAAACAGCTTTCTTTCCAGCAGGAATCCCTTGAAGACTTTAACATGGTGAAGGTAAGCCACAGATCTCCAGAAAAGAGTATTGATTGAAGGATTTTCTAGGATTACATGATCAAGTAGCTCTTGTTTTTATAAAGCACTACATATACCTAATATAAAACCGTAGTTTGGAAATGCTTATTGTTTGATTGGCTTAAGGAAGGTCATTGGAAAGCCTCATGGGTTTCTGCTGACATAACTGTCCCAACAGATTAACCATTAGTCAGATGTTTTCTTGGATCTATTTCTTGCTCCTTAAACACCCTTAGACACTATGCATTAAAATAATCACTATTGCAAGGTTCTGCCCTCAGTCCCAGTTCTGGCTTTTGCCCTCACTGAACCTTGCAACTGAGGTCCCTGTAGGCCTAATAGCCAAGAACCTTAATTTGTTCAAGGCTTTGACATGCTATCTTGCCTAGTAAGCAAATCCATTTGCTTTGAATTCTCCATGATATTATTGTGGCTTGTGGATGACCTGCCTGGTAATGTTATTGACTGAACCCATTTATTTTCTCATGAGCTGTTACAAGTCATAAAATTATTTTCAATGCTCAATGATGCCACAAGGAACCTAATTGAAAATTAGAATTCAGAATGCATAGCTAGATTCTGAGAAATCATAACTAAATTACAAATTTGTCAAAAGAAATTCCAATCAGTAATTATTGGCTATATTATTGATACATGAGAAGATATGTGAGGGAGTGGATGGAATGCTTTGAAGACGTGGCTCTTGTTATTGTTTCACATTGTTTAGTAAGAAAATTATCATCGTGTGAAGGCCTATACCCAGGACACACCACACTCAGTGAAAGATTTCTATCAATAGCATAGATGAAAGCTGCTGTTGAAGTCTGTTATCTGGGCTAACTTTTGGCTATGGATGCAAGAAGCCATTTTAATAGTCTAGCTCCAGTCACTATTTAAACTAATAAACTCCAGTCCCATAGGGAGTTGGTCTGATATGGTAATTACAGTGAGCTAAGCTATGCATCTGACAGTGATACTAAACTTGAGTTCCAGCTCTACTGTTTACAAAGTAGGTGACCTTAAGCAAGTTAACTCTTAAACCTCCTAAATACCCTCATTTATAAAATGAGGCTAGTAATAGAATCTAATTCATGGAGTTGCTGTGAGGATTGAAAAAGATAGTTTATGTACTGGGCTTGCATATGGGTAGTATTTAATAAATATAACCCTAGTATTAGTTATTAATTAGTATTAGTATTAGTTATTATTCATAATAAAAAAGAGATTATGTACTGGGCTTGAATATGGATAGTATTTAAAAAATATAAACTGGCCGGGGGCAGTGGCTCATGCCTGTAATCCCAGCACTTTGAGAGGCTGAGGCGGGTGGATCACAAGGTCAAGAGATCAAGACCAGCTTGGCCAATATGGTGAAACCCCGTGTCTACTAAAATTACAAAAAAAATTAGCTGGACATGGTGGCGTGCGCCTGTAGTCCCAGCTACGCGGGAGGCTGAGGCAGAAGAATCACTTGAACTTGGGAGGTGGTTGCAGTGAGCCGAGATCACACCACTGCACTCCAGCCTGGCTACAGAGCGAGACTCCGTCTCAAAAAAAAAAAAGAAAAAAGAAAAAAAATATATATATATGTGTGTGAGTGTGTGTGTGTGTGTGTGTATAATAAAAAATATAACCCTAGTATTAGTTATAAATTAGTATTAGTTTTTATTATTAATAATAAAGTTATTTATGTACTGGGCTTGCATATGGGTAGTATTTAATAAATATGACTACCCACACATACGTGTATGCACACACTCCTTTAATAATAAAAAACTCCAGCCTTGTTGATGTAGTGGCTTGTTTTTTTCTAACTCCAGTCTCCTGAATGATATACTTGGGCAAAGGCTCTTATCTCTTATTCTTAGTTTATGCCAGATATAGTGTGCAAAGCAAGTTTGAGGTTCAGCACTGAAGAAGGTAGGACATCAATTCACACATCAGAGGCAAATGCCAGCAGTGTATCTTGAACTTTACTAGAGGCTGTAGGGACTATGAGAGAAGATTGCAGTAGGCCTCTGGGGACACTTAATTTATTAAAGAAACTTAATGCACCAAAAAGGGACCCAAGAGGGATGTTAAAAGCTGCTGCTAGAGAGGAAGTATTCCCAGAATCTCAGGAGCAGCTGGAGGACTCCGGACTCTAGCAGTGGTTGGCCGGTGGTGGGTGGGGGATGGAGTAGAAAAGAGAAAGTAAGCGCCAGAAAATTACAATTGCACTCACCAATTCACAGACTGTCCTTCCTCTCAATCTCCTTTTCCCCTTGACTTTACCCTTGAGGGGCCAGATGCAGCAGCTAGCGAACAAGCAAGGAAGTGAGCATGTGGGAAGAAAAAGTTTAGCCTTCTCCATTTCACTCACCACACCGAAACAAGCGAGACAGGCTTTCCAATTTAAAGTAGGCTTGTAAGAGAGGGGTGGTGACTGAGTACAGTAGGCTTTATAATGAATGAACTATACTAGAGATAGTCTTGCATACTAGATTAGACCAGACACTTTTATAATATAAATTTTCTTGTCATTGACACAGATGAGAAGACCTAGGAGACCCACCCTATATTTCATTTGGGGGCAGGAGAAGTGTAAGTTCAGAAGCACAGTTTGGAAGGGACAATAAAAGAAAAACTTCAGTTCTTTATATTTCATTGTTCCCTGTTCAATTCTGCTGTCTCAATAAAACATTTACCCATCTAATAATTATTCAAATGTTTTGCTTTTTATTTAGAAGTTCACTCTGTAGATTATAAAGATAATCTAATAAATTAAGTTGCTTTCTTTTATTAAAAAAATTGCTTTGTAAAAACTGTCTTCACCCAGAGAATAAAAGGAGTATTTCCTATGCTGTTTCGTTTTGTTTTTTTTTTTTTTTTTGGAGATGAATGAAAAACAAAAATCTCCTTTTTTTAGTGTCCTAGAAACTGTTTTTAAAAAGCCAAGCATTCATGGCTGAATGAAGGCATGAGCAGTAGTTCCTTTATAAGTGAAAGAAAGAACAGTTCAATCAAGCATGACTACCACAGTTTCCTTAAAATGTTTGCAAAATCTACTGGGCAGACACCATGTTTTCTGATTGCTAAACTAGACTGAAGTAATGTGGGTATGAGAGTTTCCACAGGAAAGAACACAAAACATGACACAGGATGCCACAGAAGCCATGTGGAGTGAAGGAAATGCAAACCTGTGAGTTAGGCCTTTGAAGCTCTGCGCACCTGCTGTTCAGCATAACCGAGATGGTATGTCATATTTCACACATAGAAAAATGATCAAATGGCAGATAGATACCTTTTCTAAAAAAAATGTGTTTTAGAGAAATTGAGAACGCTACCTTTTCAGATAGAAAAACAGGATATATGGATTTTTGTTTTCTAAAGTAAGAACAGCAGATTTCACTGGCATACAAGTTACTAGCAACTGATGTACACACTGTACATTAAGTCAATGATTAATGTCTTTTTAAATCGTGTCAATTTCTGGAACTAGCTACAGGGAAAGTAATTAGGTTAGCATCTTTACTGTCCAATCTACCAAAAAATTTTCATGAAGTGCTGACATATTCTTATTCTCTGTTCCCCTTCCTCCAATCTATTTTTAGTTACTTGGTTTGGGGATAATTATTGAATTTGTTTATATAAAACAAAAGGGGCATCTCACATTAAAACAAATTAAATCTTCCCTAATTGCTTAGAATTCGACTGTAGAAAATGGAAGGATGAATTCACTGGATGTCCTTTTTATTTCTCTAAACCCAGAAGTATTGAATTATAAATACAAAATAATTTTATGAAGACCTCAAAAAGATTAATTATTCCTATGTATTATCTGTTATGTTATGGTCTATAAATGCTCATATGCCATGACAATTCTATAGATTAGACGACTGTGGACTTCTTTGCACACATGGTATGCCACTATGGTAGAGTGGGTGAAAAGATGGCCCTGAAATCATATATGAGCTATCTAGTAATGCATTTGAAATTTAATCTCCCTGCATCTCCATGTGTTTAGCTGAAATATGGGCATAATAACAGTATCTTTCATTAAAGGTTATTTTGAAGATTTTATAAGGTAAGGAAATAAAGTGAATTACATTGTCCCCTCTTAAATCCACTCAATGACTTTCTATTGTCCTTTTGATAAAATCTCCACCCCTGAACATGGCCTCTAAGGCCCTACATGATGTAGCTACCTGTACATCCAACTTCATCTTGTCTACTCTATTCACTATCTAGCTGAAAGCTTTTTTTCTTTTTCAGTTCCTCCGAAGTTCCTGCTTTTTGCTGCCTCCAAGGTTTCACAAATTCTCTTTTTTGCCTAGAACACATCTCCGCCCTCCTCCTCACAGCACACATAGCTCCCTCCCACCCAGCCTTCACATCTCAGTTTAAATGTCACTTGCTTTAAAAGGACTTTTCATATTTACCAATCAAAAATCATCCCTTCTCCTTATTTTTCTGTAGCATATAATGTTGTTTTTAATATTTACCACAAATGTTTGTGGTACCTGGTTTGAAATGAATGGACAGACAGACAAGAATCAAGCAGAAGAGTAATTCAATACTTCTTTTATTAATTTTAGGCATGTCAGGCTCTGGAAGCTATGGTTAGATCCAAACTTCCCATAGGTCTTATAGCTTGGAAGAGCAACACAGAATTCTGGCTTTCTGAGGGCAGCCCACACAAAAAGAAAGAGGAGATGAAGGAGAAGGGATCATCGGGCCAGTGCCTCCTTCCAAACCACCAAAAAATAAATTACTGACCTATCACAGGCTGAAGGTGTGGAGTGGAATGCAGAGAAGGCAAAAAAAGTTAGGAGGGTTAGAAACTCCCTCCATCTGAACTAAAGACTGAAAAAGCATTTCCTCCATCTCAACTAAAATTTGTGAACTTGAACCATATGCACTGACTGTTTTTGAGGTTAGAGACAAATATAACCATATTCATATGATTTAAACATAATTATACATGGAAATGTATACACATGGAAATATGTATGTATGCATGCCTAGGTATGCTATGGAGTCTATGTAATATAGATTTATATATGTATACCATACATACAGCATGTGATATGTAATATTTGTGTGTATTCATAATACATGTATATGCCATACACACACATATACATATATACACATTTGTGTGATTATTTGGGTAATATTTGCTCTGCAATCATTCTGTAAGCTCTAAAATGAGAGTGAAGTAGATCTACTTTGCTTACCACCATATCTTTGTGGTTCATCACAAAATATCTATAAAAATTAGTTGAATAATAGCTGTAAGGCGTTTGACATGTAATTTGACTTAAGAACTCAGTAGATGGTACCTATTATGATTGTACTGCTTCTGCTTGTGCCGATAAAATAGTCTTAATGTGTTGGGTATTACATTTTGATCTGGACTGTATATTTGTAAGACTTCCATTTCAGAAATTCATAAGCTTGCCTCAAAGGTTGCTCATACTGTTTGTCCTTAATGGATTATAATTTCAGGTAACATCTCCTAGTTGCAACCTCCACAGCACTGGAGTCATAACCCCAAGGAGAAACAGGGTGAGGAGGGACTATAGCAAACTAAACAGTGCATGTCCTGCCCAAAAAGGGCAGCCAGTTTTCCAATCCATTTTTTTTTTTTGAGATGGTGTCTCACTCTATTGCCCAGGCTGGAGTGCAATGGCACAATCTTGGCTCACTGTAAGGCTTGGACTGCCACCTGGCTTCAAGCGATTCTCCTGCCTCAGCCTCCCAAGTAGCTGGGATTACAGGCATGCACCATCATACCCAGCTAATCTGTATTTTTAGTAGAGATGGGTTTTCACCATGTTGGTCAGGCTGTTCTCGAACTCCTGACCTCAGGTGATCCACCAGCCTCAGCCTCCCAAAGTGCTGAGATTACAGGCATGAGCCACCCCACCCAGCCTCCAATCCATTTAGACTTGCTTTGGCAAGTGTGAATGTAGTACTAGCAGGCCATCTAATTTTTTTTTCAAGAGAAGCTAAAATTCCTATTTTAAAATGAAAATATACATTTTGAAAACTAAAAAATTTCTGTGGTCTGAATCATTCTGTGAACTTTTTGCCTTCATGCTACTCACAGGCAGTTAGTTTGTGACCTCTGCTTTTAGAACAGTTGTCTTGTGGTCTGAGGTTTTATTAATACTTTTAGTGTATTTCACTTACCTTTTACATTGATATTATTCTGTGCTTTTCAAATAAGTTTTAACAGCTGAATTTCAGTGCTTTATAAGAAATCTATTTCTAGCTGTTGCTTTTGCATTTCTACCTGTCTTTTGCTTCTCCAAATTCCTCTTCCATTTTTTTTTCTTGATGTCAGAAGAGCTTTTAAAGCTAATTATCTATTTTAAGTATAGCATTTTTCATAAAAAGGAAAAAATGGAACTACACAGTATTTTCAAGCCACAGCACAAATAAATCCATTTTTTCATGTGTTTAGTAAACTCAACTACAGACATACATGAGAAGAACTGACACATTAAAGTGGAAGCAATGAATTTATATACAGTCAATGTATTCTGTCTATAAATCCATTGGGCAAAAATTAGGTTTTCTTTCATTTTTCTTAGGAATAATTTTTGTTTTCTTTTTCTTTACAATTCAACTTTTCTTTCACACTCAAGTGGTATATACGCAGGTTTGTTACTTGACTCTGAGGCTTGGGGTGTGAATGATTCTATCACCAAGTGGTTAGCATAGTACCCAATAGGTCGTTTTGTAGCCCTTACCCCCCTACTCTTTCTCCTCATCTAGAAGTCTCCAGTGACTACTGCTGTCATCTTTATGTCCAAAGGTACCCAATGCTTAGCTTCCACTTGTGAAAACATGCAATATTTGGTTTTCTGTTTCTGAGTTAATTCATTTAGGGTAACAGCCCCTATCTGTATCCATGTTGCTGCAAAAGACATCATTTTGTTCTTTTTTATTGCTAAGTAGTATTCTATGTTGTATATGTACCACATTTTCTTTATCCATCCACCCTTGATGGGAATCTAAGTTTGCTCCACGTCTGTGCTATTGTGAATAGTAATGAGATGAGTATATGAGCACGTGCATCTTTTTGGTAGAATGATTTATTTTCCTTTGGGTATATACCCATTAAAGGGATTGGTGGTTTGAATGGTAGTTCAACTTAGCTCTTTGAGAAATTTCCAAACTCCTCTTCACAGTGGCTGAACAAATTTACACTCCCACCAACAGTGTATAACCATTCCCTTTTCTCTGCAGCCTCACCAACATCATTTATTTTTTGACATTTTAATAATAATAGCCACTCTGACTGGTGTGAGGTGGTATCTTACGGTTTTCATTTACATTTCTGGTTTTCATTTGTATTTCATTTTTGATGATTAGTGATGTTGAGCTTTTTTTTTCATATTTTTGTTGGCCACTTGTATGTCTCGTTTTGAGAAATGTCTACTCATGTCCTTTGCCCACTTTTTAATGGTGTTATTTGTTTTTTGCTTCTTGAATTGCTTAAGTTCTTTACAGATTCTGGACATGAGACCTTTGTCAGATGCATAATTTGCAAATATTTTCTCCCATGCAATGATTTTTCTTAGGAAACATTTTTTCCATAGAAAAATAAAACTAGATTTTTATGTTAGCAGTGGCAGAAACTACTGGATGTCAACGAATTTAAAATGCAAATTTAAAATTTAATATTAAAATAAATAATTACTTAGAATTTTTATACACTGTATATCTACAAAAACGTTCTTTGAGATTTTTTAGACATAGATTTTTATCAAATATCACACAAAATCACACTGCTCTGTTTCCTTATCTTTCTGCGGAAACCCAGTGCAATTTTTTGAAGATGTTTTGAGTCACGAACTCAACATATGCAGCACTGTTGATGCAAGTAACTCAAATGAAGTGATGACAATATAAAACATTTTTGATCAAGTTCAGGAGCGTGTAGGCAGTGACAATTATGTTGTGACTGCCACCTGGCCAACAGTAATTCATTTTAAGATGAATTCCTCTTTCAGAAGAAGTGTAAAAATATGCATATTAGTATTAATGAAACACTCTCATCTATAGTGCTTAAATGAGTTTCTGAAATATTAATTTTATAGGAAAACTTTTTACTTTTCTTTAAACTTTAAAATGATTTTTTAAAACCTTATATTTAAAAATAAATTATTTCCACAATACCATCAATTTTTGGTCAATGATTGAATTGACTGAATAGTTTTCACTGCTCCTTTGTCTAGGGTAACCTGCAGTGCCATCTCACTGAACTGCTCTCTTGCCTCAAGAAAGAATGAATAAAACTTTCAAAGTAACTCATAGCTTGTAACAAGGAACTGAAAGCAGTCAACATAATGAATATAAACATTTCAAACTTGATAAAAACAAACATTTACCTAAAGCTCTAGGTTGGGTACTTCAGGGAATACAAATAGTAATAAAAATATTCCAGGCTGGGCACAGTGGCTCACGCCTGTAATCCTAACACTTTGGGAGGTCGAGGCAGGAGAATCACTTGAGGTCAGGAGTTTGAGACCAGCCTGGCTTACATGGTGAAACCCTATCTCTACTAAAAATACAAAAATTGGCTGGGCGTGGTGGCAGGCACCTGTAATCCCAACTACTGGGGAGGCTGAGGCAGGAGAATCACTTGAACCCGGGGGGCAGAGGTTGCAGTGAGCTGAGATCACACCATTATACTCTAGCCTGGACGACAAGAGCGAAACTCTGTCTCAAAAAATAAAATAAAATAAAATAAAATAAAATAATAAAAATAAATAAATAAATAAATAAAGTATTCCAAGTATGCATAATGCAAGACTGACTGACAAGAGTACTCAATAGAGATTTTTTAAAAAAAGGGCAGTAGGAGAATCAGGAGAGAGTATTATAAATTCCTAAATATAAGGTACATCATTTCCCCCAAATAAATAGTGTCTCAGAACAAAAGGTCCTTATTATCAAAATGTTAAAAAGCTTTCTCTGAGGCATCACAGCATAATACTTAATGCATGTACTTTGAATTCACATTATCTCAATGCCTGATTACCTTATTTACTACTCGTGAGTTCTTGGATAACCTTTCAGTTTCATCATTGGCTAAAAGGGAGATACTGATATTACTTACCTCCTAGCCCTGCTGAGAGAATTTACAAAGCTAATAATGTGTCACAATGCCTGGTACAAAAATATATGTGTCATAATTTATTTATTATTTCTATATTTCCTCCCATTATTGTACATTAATCTGAATGGCAAACTACTAAACTCCTGAGGTTGAAGAGGTATCTGCACTCCCATGTTTACTGCAGCACGGGTCACAATATCTAAGATATGGAATCAACTTGTGACTATCAGTGAATCAATGGATTAAAAAACATGTGGCATGTATACACAACAGAATACTATTCAGCCTTAAAAAAGAGGAAAATCATATCATTTGTGACAATGTAAATGAACCTAGTGGGAATTATGTTAAGTGAAATAAACAAGGCAGAGAAAGACAAATATTGTGTTATCTCACTTACACATGTAATCTAAAAAAGCTGAATTTATAGGAGAGTGGAATGGTACTTAGCGGGCTGGGAAAGGGGGGAGTTGGGGTGATACTGGCGAAAGGATACAAAATTTTGGTTAGATAGAAGAAATAAGTTCAAGAGATCTAGCACACAATATGGCGATTAAAGTTAATAACAATGTACTGTATTCTTAAAAATCCCTGAGAAAGTAGATTTTAAGTGTTCTTACCACAAAAAAAAAAAAAAGAATGCAAGGTAGAGCATATGTTAACTATCTAGTTTTAGCCATTCTACAATGTAAACATATTCAAAACATGTTGTCCATTATAAATATATACATTTTTGTCAATTAAAACTTTAAAAAAGAATTTACCTTTTTCCAGGCCAAAAAGAAAGCTTGTATCTAAAGCAGAGAATAAGCTACTGAACAAATAAATATAAGAGGATGTGATGAAAAACGTCTTAGCCAAAGCTCCCCCAGAAAATACAGCCTGAGGCAAAAACCTATATGTGAACTCTTTACTGGGGAGTGGATCCCTGGGAGCAGGGCTGAAGGATAGGGCTGAGATGGTATACAGAAAAGCAACAAAAAATATATATCAGAAATATGCCTGTAGTGGCCAGGTTCGGTGGCTCATGCCTGTAATCCAGCACTTTGGGAGGTCCAGGTGGGCGAATCACTTGAGGCCAGGGGTTTGAGACCAGCTTGGTCAACATGGAGAAACCCCGTCTCTACTAAAAATACAAAATTAGCCAGGCATGGCAGTGCATACCTGTAATCCCAGCTACTCAGGAGGCTGAGGCAGGAGAATCACTTGAATCCAGGAGGTGAAGGTTGCAGAGAGCCGAGATTGCACTACTACATTCCAGCCTGGGTGACAGAGTGATGAGACTATGTCTCAAAAAAAAAAAAAAAGGAAAAAAGAAAAAAATCAGCCCATAGTGATGAAGTCGTTGAATGTTAAAATTTGAAAATGTGAATTAAATATTTCATAAAATATAAGTGGAAATAACAGTATAGTTTAAAATATAATTTTACTTCTATAGATATTCATCTAAATTGATGAATTAAATAAGTAGACATTTGCTTATTTTATCTATATACCTAATTTTCATATTTGGCAAAAGCAATACTGGATTTTCTTTTAGAAAAAAAAAAAGGAAAGATTATTTTAAATCCTGTTGTGTACATATTTCCGAGTATCAGAGATTTTGAAAGTCTTGAGAAGGAGGTAGGATTTGAATCAAATCTTGAAGAATAATTTGAGAAGATAAACTAAAAGTAAATGCATTGAGGGGTTACTATTTTTTTAGGTGCTGTAGATATATAATCATATTAAATTCTCATAGGTATTATTATTCTCAGTTTACATATGGGGAAACTGAGGCTCAGGTAAGTTAATGAATTTGCTTAAAAAAATGCCGCAACCTATACTGGTTCCATCTTGAATGCAGCCTTTTCCAAGCCTTCTACTTTCTTCAAGACACAATACAGTGCAGAATAGATCCTGGAGAAGACTGGGTTGGAATTCTCCCTCCCGTACAGTCCTAATTGTTTGATTTGTGTAAAGCATTCAATTTTTCTGTCTCTTAAGTTTTCTTATAAAGGAGATAACATCTCTCCAAGGAACTGCTGAGATACTTAAATGAGCTCTTGTAATTAAAATGCCTGGAACAGCAATTGGCACACAGTGCTCAATGGGTATTAGCCATCATGTTGTAAGAAAAAGTAGAAGGAGGAAAAGGAGGGAGAGAGGAGAGAGTGAGGAGGAGGAGGAGAGGAGGAAGATTTTCACTCTCTCAAATTGTCTCCTCGACAAGTAAAGCAACAAGAGATCACAATAGTAAATACATAGATAGGCACAGACACATCTTTACCTGCTTTTTTACTAAAAATCTGGGAAAAATGTGCAGGAGCTCGTCATTGTGGAATCATTTCAGCCTAGATGAAAATTACTGGGAATATATGTTCCAATGGTCTTGAGATTAAACATATTTTCTTACCTTTTTTTTTTTTTTTTTTGGAGGGGAGGGGATGGAGTTTCAGTCTCATTGTCCAGGCTGGAGTCTGGAGTGCAATGGTGCAATCTCGGCTCACTGCAACCTCCACCTCCCAGGTTCAAGCGATTCTCCTGCCTCAGCCTCCTGAGTAGCTGGGATTACAGGCATGCACCACCATGTCCAGCTAATTTTTTTGTATTTTTAGTAGAGATGGGGTTTCGCCATGTTGGCCAGGCTGGTCTCGAACTCCAGACCTCAGGTTATCTGCCCGCCTCTGCCTCCCAAAGTGCTGAGATTACAGGCCTGAGCCACTGTGCCTGGCCCATACCTTAATCCTTGTAAAGCCAATTTCCCTGTGTACTTTGCTCTCTGAATACCTCACTGTGAAGGTTGCAAAATAAAAAATTTATACCCTAAGAATATAGCCTAAATGTATTCAATGTATTCACTATTTACTACTTAACCTCTTTAAGTTTCAATTAAACCTATATTTATAAAATTGAAAAAAGAATTTTAACTCACACACGTTGTGTATACACAGCATATATGTTAGGTATTTGACTAGAGTCTGGTGACTATCGATCAATTAATAAAAGATAGCTTTTGCCGTATTTCCTCAGACATTTTTATTTTCCTCCATATATTAAGATTCATTAAACCAGAATACATCTTATAACTAATGTATACATTCAATAAGTGAGCATTGTTCTTCTTTATTTCCCAGGGCTATTATGAAGTCATTGTTGTACCTTGTAGCATTTACCTTTATTTCCCCTCAGAAAACATAAATCCAGAGATTGCATTGTATTTGCTAAACACTGTATTTTCAAAATGCCAAACAGTGATTAATAATTTTTAAAGAATAAATGACTGAATAATAATCAAAGAACTAAGATATTTTTGCGAAGAGGGAGAGAGACAATTTCTCAATTAGTTTATAAAATCTACCAAGCGAAGTAACTTGAGGACAAAGCAATGATTGAACCTCCCACACATAAGATAACTGATCTAATAATTTTTATTTATAACCCACCTTGTTTAGAGAAGGACCGAAGATGGCTTACAATGATAAAAATAGAGCCAGGCATGGTGGCTCACGCCTGTAATCTCAGCACTTCTGGAGGCCAACGCAGGCGAATCACTTGAGGCCATGAGTTTCAGACCACCCTGGCCAACATGGTGAAACCCTGCCTCTACTAAAAACACGAAAATTAGCTAGGCGTGGTGGTGCATGCCTGTAATCCCAGCTACTCAGGAGGCTGAGGCGGGAGAATGGCTTGAACCCAGGAGGCGGAGGCTGCAGTGAGCTGAGATCGCGCCACTGCTCTCCACGCTCCAGCCTGGGCGATACAGCGGGGCTCAGTCGAAAACAAAAACAAAAACAAAAAAGAGAGAGATAAAAAAAAAGAGAGAAGTATGTGAGAATTTGGAGAGGGAAAAGGGAAAAAGAACAAAAGAAACACACACACACAGAGAATGAAGCCAGAAAAGAGCCACATAAATAAAATTCCTCCTATAAATGCTATAGGAATCCAGAGAAAAAGTTCCCGTGGTTTGGAAAATGTCAATAAAACTTTCCTGGTGGAAATGAGGTCGGCTATGAGGTATTAAGTTCAAAAGGAACTGGATATTTGGTGTCTCTAGTAAGACAGAGCTGCTTCAGAGTCTCCCCAGGGAAAGACGGTGCTTTGGGCAGGTAGTTAGTGTGGGTGAAGGTGATGACTGAAGAATCCTAAGGGCCCAGGCTTGTGGGAAGCCTCTCTCTTTCCGCACTTCACCAATTATCTCATTTTCATAAGGTCTGCGCTTTCCTTAATTGCTTCACTTCCATCAACAGGAACAGGGGAAAGATAAATACATTTCACCTTTTAATGAAGAGAATTTCAGGTAGTCTGTGGGAGATGTTTATAAAAAAAAAAAAAAAAGCTGGTAGGGGGCAGTGTCTCACGCCTGTAATCCCAGCACTTTGGGAGGCCGAGGCAGGTGGATCACTTGAGGTCAGGAGTTTGAGACCAGCCTGGGCAACAAGGCGAAACTCCGTCTATACCAAAAATACAAAAAAAATTACCTTGGCTGATGGTGCGCGCCTGTAATCCCAGCTACCTGGGAGGCTGACGTGGGAGGATAGCTTGGACCCAGAGGCGGAGGCGCAATGAGCTGAGATTGCCTCACTACACTCCAGCCTGGGTGACAAAGTGAGACCCTGTCTAAAAAAAAAAAAAAAAAGTAGTTGGTCTGTGAACTCACTTGCAAATAACTGGATTTTACGGACGCTTAGATATTTGGAGGTCCACAAGGGTTCTTTGGGATCCCCTATTTTCCTTCGCTGCCTCCTTTGTCAGAGTCCAACTCAAAGGGGAAATGCCCCTCTGGGATCTAACCGCCACAGGTGCAAGAAGGAGCAAATTTACATAGAAGCAGCCTGGGGAAAATAGTGCCCTAGATGAGTCTTCAGTTTGGGAAACGCTGAGCTAACACTTTAAGTACTTGGAAGAGTAATACTAATAATCAGTCGTGGCGAGGTTCCGCCCATTTGACATTCAACCCCCCATGAGTGCGCACAGACAAACCCACTGGCCAGGAGGAGCCAACACAAGGTCCTGGGCATCTCCGTCCCGGGAAGGTGGGTAATGCCCCTGTCGCTCTGGGCTCCAGGGCGCGCCCCCGCAGCTTCCCCAGCGGGGTCTGACGCCTCCGGGCCGAGGTGCGCCAGGTGGCGAGGGTGCCAGGCGCGGCCAAGTCGCGGCGGTCTGAGTCAGTCACCCAACTATGCTGCGGAACCAGGGAGGCCGGCTGGGCCGCCCCCGCCGTTGAGCTCCGGCTTCCCCCGCGCGGGGCGCCTGCTCCCCGCCCCCGCGGGCGGAGAGGAAGCGGCGGCCGAGGCGAGGCGCGGGAGCACCTGAGCAAGGCGCGGGCGCCGGGCTCGGCGTTTCCGGAGCTGAGCGCGGGTCCGCGGCCCGCGCTCCCCGCCTCCAGGTGCGGCGGCCGCGACACGCCGGCCCCACTAACAGCGCCGCCCGCGCGGCCGCCGCCAGGCAGCAGAGGCGACTGCGGACAGCCGGCGGGGACCGGGAAAGAGGAGGCCTGGCGCCTCCGGCAGAGGGGCGAGGACCGAGCGCCCAAGGCTGGGAGAGACGCCGGCGCTGAGCTTCCCAGCGCCGCCTCACCTCGCTTTTCGAACTCCGCGACCCGAGCGCAAGGCGAGTACCCGGGGCCTCGGGAAGGCTGGGCCGGGATGGCCCACGCGGGGGTGGGAGGACCCTGTCTGGAGGGGCTGGGGCTTTTCGACACTTCACCGGGTAAATTTCCTCAGCGCAAAGTGCTCGGCTCTGGTGTCCGCCCCTTGGATTTCGCTCCCGCGTGTGGGCGTCTGAAAGGAAACCAGAAGCCGGTAAGTGATCCAAGAACTCCACTTCTGGGATTTGACCCGGGAGGGTGAGGATCCGGATAGACAGCTGGACACTCCCTCCATTCCTCTCCCCTACCTTTAAATAAGAAGAAGCTGTAGTGAGTTTCAGGCACCAAGTTATTTACTCGGTAGAGATCATGAATTTGCCCGGGTGTCTGTGCTGCCCCGCACCCTGCTTGTTAACCACGTTAAGACGACTGGCCTGTTAATTAACTTTAATTACGATCATTTGGCTTCCACCTGCCTGAACCCGATACCTTACACGGGAACCTGTATGATGTGAGTTTACCAGATTGATCTTTCTTGTTTACTTTTGGAGACAGTTCTCTTGGGAGAAGTGGTGTCCATCCTATTTAATAAAGTAAGTTTTACTTTATCTAATTCTGGCTTGTTTTCTTAAACACCTCCTACCTTGAGGTGATCTGGAGTTATTTTGATTTGGGGAAAGGGTTCGTGGATTATATAGCCTTTGATAATTAGAGGAAAACACAAGAAAATAAGCTAATTTGTGTGGAATAATGACATCTTAGGGTGTTGTAAGTAGGTATCCTGATAGCAAATTCTTTTTTTTTTTTTTTTTTTTTTTGCAAGCTTGTCCTTGAAGTAGGCTGTTCAGTAGAATACAGCCTTCGGTTTAAAAAAAATCAAGAAGTGTATTGAAAATAAGCTATTTTTAAAAGTACATTTAATAGGATGTCATTGTTATTACTCATAATAGTATTGTACTTACAAGCTCAGTATTGATTTATCTGCACTTAAGCACTCTACACCCCCACAGGCCCATGGAACTTTGCCCGTAAGTAATTGGAAGATAAAAAGCAAGCTAACTTTTTTTAAGGAAAAAAAGAGAAATACCTTTAAACTCTTTTTTTTTTAACTCTTATTTATGACTTCCATACACTTACAGGAGAAATATTGAGAGAAAATACTCATGACATTTTTTGTCCAACAACGTTTAAAGAAGAAAAAAAAGTGGGTCATGGAACTAGGCTAGGGTTAAGTGCAAATATCTTCCTGGCTTCTTTCTAAACATATTTAACACATACACATTTAAGGTGGTTCCTAACACGAAGAGGGTTTTATATAGATTTGTCAGTACTCAAAGATTTATTTGAATTAAAATGTACCTAGAGGGTAAGTGAGAGAGCTTGTTAAAACGTATTTATATGGGTGTGTGCTTGTGTTTGTATTTTTTCCTTCGTCTGTAAACCTGTCAGATTTTATGTGGCTTGTCTGTAAAAGGAGAAGCTGATGGTACGTTTAAAAACAAATTCTTGTTTTTCTAATATCACTGCAAGCTCCTTGCAGTGTAAGGCTCATGGATATGCAATAATATCAGATCCAACTATTCTTGGATACTGTGGAGAAGTATAGAACTCAGATTATAATGAATTACAGTTTTCTTAAGAACTTTAACGCATTGAAACTATGAAGTTTTAAAGTCTACGTAGAATTCTGGGTTATAGACTTCATGATATATGAGAAGTTTTTTGTTGTTGTTGTTGTTTCGTTTTGTTACTTTCTAACCCACCTCCCTGCAACTGTGAGAAAGTTTGGTGAAAGTGACTATAAAAATGCTAAGTATAAATAATAGTCATTGCTTTAATAGTTTTCTTTTAGCATACATTTCCACCTGTCCTCATTTATTTATTGATACATTTCTTGGATACAATCTTTGCACATGCTACATTGTAAGAGTTTTGGGAATTCTTGGTGAAATATTAATTAGGTAGAGAACTTCTTAATAATCTGGGAAATATGTCTTAGCTTTGACCACATATGGTGGATGTGAGATTAGAGGCTATGAGACGCTGTCTTAATCTTTTCTGCAAAGTTCTGGACCTTGTAATTTATCATTTTAGTTATTACTTGTAAGTATTGGCCAGATTAAATATATAATGGTAGTTAAACCATTTTGCTCACTTGTTTCTTCTTTAAATGAAGCAGTACTTAATGGTATTCTCCTCACGTGATCTTTTCTAGTTAGAAAGTTGTCCTGTGAAATTTTGTTTCAGTTTCTGTTCAGCACAAGCTTACTTATTTACCCATGCTGCAGAGAAAACAAAGGAGGCCTGATTTGGGTTGAAGCAGTGGTTTAGGTGGCAGATTTGAGATTTTTTAGAGTTCCTGAGAACTCATGAAGGATGATGGGGCCACTTCTCCATGTATTTAAAACAATACTAAAATATAAAACCATGTGGAAATTAGGGTCATAAAATTGGATTTTTCTCACCATTACAATTTAAGTGTTTTTTTTGGAATATATCAAATTCTTTGCAAAAAGTTGTTTTTTTGTGGTGTCTTTGGTATTGTTTATTGGCACTTACTGAGTAATAATGAACTGATTGTTCATATACGTGCCATTTACCTTTTCTTATAGTCATGTCTCATCTACCCTTTTAGATTGTAAACTCTTGGAGGGAAGACTGTATCTTCACTTTCTTTGTAGCCCTTAGCACTGTTGTCAAATGAGACAGTAGAGGCTGTTATCTTGAACACCAAATATCTCCCTCTCTTATCTTGGAGCGAGTAGTGTTGCTTAATATATATTGAATGAATACATGTTAAAAAATGGTCCAGTAAGGTAGGAGACGTTTTCTGAAATGCCCTCTTTTTATAAGAAAAAGAAACTTTGACAATTGCTAAACCAATAGGAATAAACCCTCAAACTCAGTTGGAAAAGAGGTCAGAGTACTATTTATAAATGCAAAGAGAGGAAACACAGTAGGCTATTCTGAAACATCTGGTTGTTTGTCTAAAAATATGACTTACATTCAGAGAAATGGTGGAGTATATACACTTATACAAAAGTTTTAAAATTCTGCTTTTGTAGAAACTCTAGAAGAATAAATTATTCTCTGATATCCCAAGAATTATGGCTTTACCTTAGGGATCTCTCTACATTAGAATTTTTAAAAATTCTCAAATCTTAGTGAATTAACTTAAAATCTGGATGGACAGCTTGAAAGGAAAAGACTTACAGAAGCTAAGGAGATTATCAAGCATTTAACTATTGCGATATTATCCAGAACACCTAAACCTAGGTACCTCCTATGCTACTAATATGTTCTTATACTAAGTAAAGGAATTTGTACTTGTGGCCTTCACTGGATGGAAATTGTTTTTAAGTTTTAGGTTTTTTTATTGTGTTTTTCAGATTGTGCTATAAGTAAAATAATCAAAACATAGCTTAGACAATCCTTACTCCTTGATCAAAGCTATGAAATGATTTTGCCCAGAGCCTACCTATTTTCAGCTAAAATTTCCATTATTCTCCATCCAGAAGACACTAATTAAATGCTTGTTGCTTACCAGGCACTGTTCTAAGATTTTAATGCATATGCGCTCATTTCATCCTCAAAATATCCCCGTGAGGTAGGCACTATTATTTTCCCTGCTTACAAATGACAACAGTGAGGCTCAGGAAAAGAGAGGAATTCTCCCAAGGCCACACAGGTAGCACATGGCAGAGCTGGAATCCCTGGTAAATCACTGTGCTTTGTGTCCCAGGTGTTAAGTCTTCAGGTGAAATTATCATCATTCTTACAACTCTAACTACATGTATACGTTACTACATTAATAAAACTATGTTAACTGCTGTGTTAGGTGCATTGTGGGTTTATTAGAAGAATGATTTACAGTGATAATTTAAAGGAATGTAATACTACTATGCAGACCGAAGAATTCCATTCAAACCAAGTGCAATATAGTGGTATGAATATGATTAAAGGCAATATTGTATACAATGGGTGAATTAATATTAGCCAACGTTTATGGTGCAGTTGTAACTCATGTCAGGTATTCTTATATATCTTAAATTTTTACTTGTTTAATTCTAATAGAAATACTATACGATATAGGGTATATTACCCTCATTTTATAAATGAGAAAAACAAGCTTCAGGGAAGTTAAATAACTTAAGTTACATAGTTAAAAAGTGGGGAAGCCTGGACTGGAATTCGGGCATTGTGCTATCTATACTACTGCCTGGGTGGAACTAATAAGGGATTGAGGAGGGATGGGATAGGCAGGGAAGCCTCACGAATGTGGTGTTACCATACTTGTAAGACTTGAATTGGCTCCCAAAGGAGAGAAAAAAAGTCCAGGTATGTACAGGGAGTTCCATTTGAATAAGAGCTGAGAGACTGGCCCAAATCTTCTAGTCTGTTTTCTGATCTCCTTTTTTACTGGGTAAAAATAACACATACTATAAAATTTACCGTCTTATCATTTTAAAGTGTATAGTTCAGTAACGCTAAGTATATTTACAATGCTGTGAAACAGATCTCCAGACCATTTCCAGTTGGTAGAACTGAAACTCTATGCTTGTTAAACAACTCCTTACCTCTCTTCTCCTCTCTGGTAATCATGGTTCTACTTTCTATGAATTTGACTACGGTAGATACCTTATGTAAGTGGAATCATGTATTTGTCTGTTTTATGACTGTTTTTTCACTTAGCATAATGACCTTCAAGGTTCATCTGTATTGTAGCATGTGACAGTATTTATTCCTTTTTAAGGCTGCTTAGTATTTCATTTTGTGTATATACCACACTTTATTTATCCATTCATCCATTCATCCATTCATAGATATCTGGGTTGCTTCCACTCCTTATCTACTTTTGCACCACATTTGAAGTTAAACCTTTAAGATCATAGTCAGGTATCTTTTTTGTGTTAATACTTTCTCTTCTTTTTTTTTTTGAGACAGCATCTTTCTCTGTCCCTGTAGTGGCGTGATATTGGCTCACTGCAACCTCCGCCCACTGGGTTCAAGCGATTCTCATGTCTCAACCTCCTAAGTAGCTGGGATTACAGGTGTGTGCCACCATGCCCTGCTAATTTTTGTGTTTTTAGTAGAGACGGGATTTCACCATGTTGGCCAGGCTGGTCTCAAACTCCTGACCTCAGGTGATCCACCCACCTTGGCCTCCCAAAGTGTATGGGGATTACAGGCGTGAGCCACCATGCCTGGCCTTAACACTTTATTTTCTCGTCAAGCACATTTGTTTTTGTTTTTGTTTTTGTTTTTTACCATAACCATTGACTTCATGTGGGCAGTGAATACTTATTTTGGTCATATTTGATTATTTGATTTTGGCTTCATATTGTTGCATTATATCAATTGTACTATAGTCCTGTGTTAGCTGTCTTTCTGCAGTGATAGATGCAAAATAAATTTTAATAGACTAAATTCTACATTACCATTGCTTTATATAGCAATTACAAAGATGTTCTCCCTTAATTTGTCATTGGCTCTCAACTCTCAGGCAATTAAATGTAAATGAATGTAGGCTTCCAGGTTTAGCCACGTACATGGACACATATCAAACTTAAATGGTGTATAAAACTTGAATTTGCAAGATATGGTATATTTAAACAGCATTTCCCTAGTGTGAATATAAGCCCTTATGAACAGCTAGACAAAGGAGAGGGAGACTATTAAGTCTTTGCTACCTCTTTACTATTAAATCAATTTTATATCTACTATGAGGCTTTACAGTTTATAGCACAGGTTGTGGAGTCTGACTCTTAGAAACACTTAAGTTAGTGTTTCCACTGTTTATCTATTGCGTGACATTCAGCGTCGGATTTTCCTCCTCTGCAGCTGTGAGGAGTAAATGAGGTCCTACAAAAATGGTTTGCAAACATCCACAACTACTGGTTATTATTATTATCAATGTCATTCTGAGGGAGAATGAAAGAAGATGGATGTGTTTTGGTGGGTGGGAAAGAAGTAGTGGTTGAGGTAGAGAACAGGGTACAGAGGAGGTCAGAGCCTGTGAGTGACCACAATTTAAAGAGATGACCACATTGAGGGAACTGGGCTTCCTGTAAGGGGTTTAATGGGGCGGATGTTGCCACACACTAAGGTAAGTGAATGGATGGCGGAGGAGAGAGATGCCAAACAACCAGTTTTATACTTTTTCTGGGGGCTAAGCACTCAGACTAGAAAAATAAGTTAGCAGGCCTGACCTTCATCCTTTTGCAGTCTGCTCTATACTGTGGGATGGAAGAATATAATCATAAGCATATTTTCTCTAAAACACTTCCTCTTTTACATGGTTCTTGGAAAGAGTTAAGTTGAACATGTCTTTATCTATACTTGGAGTGAATATCTTGATATTAGTTTGCTTGATGTGCAAATAACACGGTACCTATTTCTGTGTTTTGTACCAAAGCAAAGATGGTGTATTAGTCCACTTGTATTGCTGTAAAGGAATACCTGAAACTGGGTAATTTATAAAGAAAATTGATTTATTTGGCTCACAGTTCTGCAGGCTGTACAAGCATGGAGCTGGCATCCACTCAGCTTCTGGTGAGGCCTCAGGAAGTTTACAATCATTGTGGAAGGCAAAGGGGAAGCTAGCATATCAGATGCCAGGAAGGAGCAAGAGATGGAGGAGGTGCCAGGCTCTCTTGAACAAGCAGATCTTGCATGAACTCATAGAGAACTCACTCATTACCACAAGGACCACACAAACCATTCATCAGGGATCCTCCCCCATGACTTCCCACTGCGAGGTCCCCTCCTGCTAGACCCACCTCCAACATCAGAGGTCACATTTCCACATGAAATTTGGAGGGGACAAAACATCCAAACCATATCAGGTGGACTTCTAGAAGACCTGTACCCTCAGCTAATTAGTTCAGCATGTTGTCCATATGGAGACGTCCAGTTTTCCAAGGAATTAGTGATTTTTCCACAATAAGTTTATTAGCAAATAATAATTTGTTATTTGATTTTGGCTTCATATTGTTGCCTTATATCAGCTGTACTGTAGTCCTGCATGAGCTGTCTTTCTACAATGATACATGCAACAATAAGTTTTGATAAACTAAATTCTATATTACCACTGCTTTATATGGCAATTACAAAGATGTTCTCCCTTAATTTGTCATTGCCTCTTAACTCTTGGGCAGTTAAATGTAAAGGTATGTAGACTTATAGGTTTAGCCATGTACATGGACGCACATCAAACTGAAGTGGTGTATTGCAGGGACACTTGAAGGCAGGGACACTTTTCTCTTTTATCATCCGTAGTGTTGGGTACCATATTGAGAACTGATCAATTATAGAGAATTGAAGGAGTAAAAATCACACTTGAATTTTTTATCTGGGTACTATTGCAGAATGTCATAGTCACTTTTTCTGTCTACTGGTGTCACTTAGTCATTTGTTGGTCATTAAGACCAGCAAAAGCATTTTGTCATATATCTCTGAATCCAATCAAGGGATATAGTTCCAATCCATTGGGAACCACTGTTCTGGAATATGGCCAGCTCTTATTGTTATGGAAATTTGTAAGACTTGTATTGATAATGTTGAAAAGTTTCATGATTCATTTAGCAGCCTAATTTGTAAATCTATATTTTTAAGCTTTTTTTCTTAGTTGTGTGATCCTCTGACTGCTATTAAGCCCATTTTCTCACAAAGTTTCTAACTTTGCTAAGGATGTGTTTCTGATTTTTCAGTGGTATGCTCTCTTTTTGTTTTAATGGATTGATCATATGACTGATTCGATTGTATTATGCTGTTTTCCATCCTGTAACATATAGTTAGGCAAAGGTGATTCTAGAATTTGTCTCAATGACATCATGGTTTAATGAAGTAACCCATGGTTTTCAGTTGTTTGCTTTCCTTGTTCAACTAGGGGATTTATGACAAAGCTCCACTGGTAATGGGTAATGGGGAGGGAGTTTGGGAGGGGCTTACTATAGTGGCTTTCCTTATTCGAGACATTAGGGGGAAGCTTGTCCAACCCATTAATTTTTTTTTTTTTTTTTTTGAGACAGGGTCTGGCTCTGTTGCCCAGACTGGAGTTCAGTGATGCAATCTCAGCTCACTGAAACCTCCTCCTCCTGAGCTCAACCCATCCTCCCACCTCAGCCTTCTGAGTAGCTGGGACTACAGGTGTGCACCACCACACCCGGCTGATGTTTGTATATTTTGGTTAGAGACAGGGTTTCACCATGTCACCCAGGCTGTTCTGGAAATTGTGGGCTCAAGCAATCCACCCACCTCTGCCTCCCAAAGCGCTGCAATTACAGGCATGAGCCACCTCACCCGGCCTGGCCCAACCCATGAGTTTTTAAAAGTCCCACAGATGGTTTAGAATGTTTCTAATTTATACCTACTGCCCCACCCCTCACACTCACTCCTGATTTGAGGACCTCTGTTAATGGTTAGATGAATTGGAGAAATCTGTGCTTGAAATCAATCCGCTCCATACTAGCTTGGTTACTTAGACAACATTTTAAAACAATGTGCACCTTCCACTTCTCATCACAAAGCAAGGGAGAAATTATTCAGCAAACATTTATTGAGCTGAGCAGTGAACAGTAGACAAGATCCCTGACCTCTCAGAGCAGTCAACAGATACCAGCAGTAGTAGAAGCCGTGGAGACAGATAAAGCAAGGATAAGGGATGGTGAGTCACAAGGCATGCTTGTATAGCATAGATTAGGGAGGGATCACCTATCTGAAGAGGGCGCATTTGAGCAGAGACATACCAAAGTGATGGAGTGGCTGTGGAGACATACGTATATGCTGGAGAAGAAGGTTGTAAAGAGACAAGATCAAGAGGTAAGGTCTGAGGAAGGAACAGAAAGGAGGCTGGCCCTGAGGCTGTCAAGTGATGGAAGGGGAAAGTCAGGGAAGATTAAGTTTGGAAGTCATAGGGAGTGATATGGTGTGACTTTTCTTATGACATTAATTGTTCTGGCCCCTGTAGTGAGAGAATCTACTGTGTGGGGGAGAGGGGTTCAGGACAGAATCAGGAATATCAGTCTAAGAGGCTATTGCAGTGGTCTAAGAGAGATATGATGGTGGCTTAGGCTAGGATGTGAGCAGGGTAGATAGGTAGTGTTACTGAATTGAGGATGTAGTTTAAAGGTATAGCACAGTAAAGTAAAAAGGTGCTGTTTATTGAGTGATATGGTAAGCTGGGCATGTAGCAGGTACTCCTAAATGTTACTTCCCTTTTGTTGCCTCATGGAATTGGGTCAGGATAGCATGGGCAAATGCACAGCCATGTCTGTAATGCCAACTATTTATACATTCTCTAAACATGTACTGCATATACATGATGCACCATGCTTATAAGCAAGTAATCTGGTATTTATTGTGTAGCTTATATGGGTTTGTCCTGTTGGCAGAGTTTATTATAATAAAATAATAGTGATAATGGCAACACTTACTTAGAATTTTTAATGTCCAGTTGTTGTTATAAGTGCTGTGCCTGTATTAACTCATTTAATTATCACAGTAGCCCTATGAGGTAGGTACTAATATTACTCCCATGATTTTTGACTAAGAAACTAAAGCACAGAAAAGTTAAATACACAAGATAATAAAGCTAGTAAGTGGAGGAATTGGAATTCAACACAAGTTGTCTGTATTCAGAGTCTTGGCATTTATATTACACTATCTATGGAACAGCAGAATATAGTTAAACACTTGCTATGGTCTGAATGTGTGTGTCCCCCACCCCCCGCTCCCGATTTGTATGTTGAAACCTGACTGCCAAAGGGAATTGTATTAAGAGGTGGGGTTTGGGGGAGGTTATTAGGTCATGAGGGCAGAGCTCTGGTGAATGGAATTAGTCTTCTCATAAGAGAGGCCTGAAGGAGCTTGTTTGTTTTCCCCTTGCCCTTCTGCCATGTGAGGACACATAGAAGGCATTATCTATGATGTCTGCAGGCGCCTTGACCTTGGACTTCCCATCCTCCAGAACTCTGAGCAATGCACTTCTGTTGTTTATTAATTACCCAATCTAAGGTACAGATGCTTCCCAACTTATTATGGTTTGACTTGGGATTTTTCGACTTTATGATGGAGTGAATGTGATGCATTTGAGAGAAACCGCAATTCTCTAGTGATGCTGGGCAGTGGCAGCAAGCCCTGGCTCCCAGTCAGCCATGCGTTTTCAGTCTATAATATTTGCAGCATACAATGGGTTTATTGGGATGTAACTTCATTGTAAGTCCAAGAGCATTCGTATTTTGTTAAATCAGTCTGAACGGACTAGGACAACACTCTAAGAAGTAAATAGTGTAGGAATACGGAGAAGAGGATGCATTTCTTGTTCACTAGAACTCTTGTGAAGGAAAGTGTTTTAGACCTCAAAGAACAGAAAATTTAACTGTGGGGACAGAATGACTATAGTGGTGAAAATAATTATAGTGACAGAAGTGAATGTTTACTAAGCATCAGTACGTGCTAGGCACTATGTGCGAGTCACTTATGATGGATTATCTCATTTAATCCTCACCAATGCTAGGTACCCTGGATTATTTCCATTTTATGGGAAAGGAAGTAGAGACATTGACATGGGCACGGGCCTATGTTTACACTGCTAGAAAGTGGAGGAGGTGGGATTTTAATTTAGTCTTACTGCAAACTTGTGTGCAGTATGTTAGATGGGGGATTTTATCCAAGAGGAGGACAGTGATGAGCTTAGGCTCAGGTGGGCTGGTATAAAGCATGTTTGGGAAGCCTCAAGAACTTAGGACTGTAATTACCACATTTTGTCACACATCCTAGTTATAATTGGAGGGTGTAACAAGTGTAGACTCGTAGGACCCACAGCAGTTGTTGATGTACAGAAGATCCACAGATCAGTACCTGGAGGGTCACTGATCTAGACTGTGGCATACATGCCATAGACTGCAATTGGAGGTCAAAACATGGAGAGCTTCAATTTCGTATTAAGGAGCTTTCACATACTGGAATTTTATAATTAGGCATGCTCATCTCTGTGTATCTAATGATGTGCTTGGGGCTAGAGCATCTAAGAATTGGATCTGTGAACACTCTTGGGTGTTCAGACAGTTAAAATGTCAGACAATTGGAGGACAGAGTTGACATTAATGTGCAGAGAGGATTTTAGGGCTGTGGGAGGGAGCCTTTTCCATGGCATGAAAAGGAATCAGATTCATTAACCATATTCAGCATGTTGAGTGATAGAGATGGTTTTGGGTAGAGCTTCTGGTATATCTTTCTTTGATTTGACCACCTAGGAAGTATGTATGTGTCTGCCAAAGAAAGGAAAGGGCTGTTTATTAAAACAAAAATACACACATGCATAGCAAAAAACTAATACAATAGGCTTCTCAATCTCTTCTGCCATTTTTATCAGCCTCTCTCACATCTCTTAAACATGTTCCAAGTGCTTTGCAAAGCTCTGGTATAGAAATTATAGATATATGTCAAGGAAGGAGTGATTTATTCTATTTTGAGGGGTTGATAAGATGCCTTCACAGAGGAGGTAATACCTGCCTGTTTATAATTTTGAATGGTGCTTAAGAAAGCAGATAGAGTGTATGCAAAAAGTTATGGAGCTGCTAAACAGTTTGTTGCCTCAGGGAAATAATTGACAAGAGTGGACTAAAGTGAATGAAGGATATTGGTAGAATGTTTGGCAAGGGTTGAATATGAGCTTGTAGTTGATACATAGGAATGCCTGTCTCATAGGAAATATGAGCATGGTGTCTGACACATAATTGCTGTTTACATCAATAGCACCTGCTATTATTATTGTTAGAGACAAAAATGTGATTTGGCACTATAAGCAATATCAGCATAGACTTTATCTGGTTGAGCATGTGGAGTTACATACCGAATTTGTGTGTTTGATAGTTCACTGACTGATACGTGGAGACTGGGCTGAGAGATTTGTTCAGAGACGATTGCAGTAATCCATGCAAAAGATGTCATGAGTTTCGGAACCATGGCAAAAGCAGTGAGGATGGAGAAGTGTATTAGTCAGCTCAGCTGCTGTGACAAAATACCACAGGCCATGTAGCTTAAACCACGTAAATTTATTTTCTCACAGCTCTAGAGGTTGAGAAGTCCAAGATCCATTTGCCAGCTGATAAGTTTCCTAGTGAGATTCCTCTTCCTAGCTTACAGATAGCCACCTTTTCCCTGTGTCCTTACATAGAGGGCTCTGGGCCTGGGGGAAAGAAAACTCTCTGGTGTCTCTTGCAAGAAACTAATCCTATCTTATCAAGGTCCTTTCCTGATGACCTCATTTAACCTTAATTATCTCCTTGGAGGCCCTGTCTCCAAGTACAGTCATGGTAAAGGTTAGGGCTTCAAGATAGGAATTTTGGGAGGACATAATTCTATCAGTAGCAAGGAGTAAAATCGGTAGGTCACCTCATTCCTTGAGTGTGGTGGATAATACAAAGGTGGACTTGGGAATACAGTCTAGGCTTTAGATTTGGGGTAGGGACAGATCAGGAGGTTTCTTGGTGTGCGTGTGTGTATGTATTTTATTAAAATTGTTTTTCTCCTATTAAGGTTTTTATGAACAGGGGTAAGCAAGACTATGACTTTTTATACTTTATTCTACTTCAGAAGGAAAATGCTTCTAATCCTCTCAAGTTATTGGCCAATTTATCATGTTTGTAAATTCTAAAGTGGCTGAATACATTATGTCCACTTATTGTTCCATTGGTAGTAATTATTTCCATCCTGTGATAATGCTAGTAAAAATAGACAATACACTTGTTGCAAAATAATTGTGTAGAAAAAGAGTGGCTTATCTGAGAATTGAGTTTGTATGTAGTGTTGTGTAACTTTTCTTTTTTTAAAATTTTTTATTTATTTATTTATTTATTTATTTTTGAGATGAAGTCTCGCTCTGTCTCCAGGCTGGAGTGCAGTGGCACCATCTCGGCTTACTGCAACCTCCGCCTCCCAAGTTCAAGCTATTCTCCTGCCTCAGCCTCCCGAGTAGCTGGGATTACAGGCACGCACCCTCACACCCAGCTAATTTTTGTATTTTAATAGAGATGGGGTTTCACCATGTTGGCCAGGATGGTCTCCATCTCCTGACCTCAAATAATCTGCCAGCCTTGGCCTCCCAAAGTGCTGGGATTACAGGCGTGAGCCACTTTGCCTGGCCGAGGTGTAACTTCTTTGTGTGTGACATTTTAGCATTTTAGGTGTTACTCTGGGATGCCTTATTGACAAAGGCATTTCTTGCCTTTCATCATTTATTTTGTATTTTTATTTCTCTGCTCCTGCAGTGTGTCCTGAAGAAGATATACTCTTTCCCTTTTATCCTATACCTGTTTGTTACTGCTTGCTGATATTTTAAAATAGTTGAAGCCGTAGCTTATGGGCAGTTGGCGTGTGGCATATGCAGAGTCCAAGTAGTGCCTTTTGTAGAGGGGTTTTTCAGTCCTGCATCAAAGCTTACTCAGGGAAATTTTCCTTGTTTGGGTGTGTCTCATTTTATTACTTCAGTGTATGTGTGTCATGCCTGCTCTGTACTTTTTTATTGACGCACAATGTACAGAAAGTTGCACATATGCATTTTCATAAACTGAACACACCTGTATAATTAGCATCTGGAAAAATGGACTTTTAAAAAATTTTATTTTGTTTTGGAGAAAAATAAACCTTTATGAATCTGCTATGTACATTGGAGGACATGTGACCTTTCATATTAGCATATTTTCTGTTATCTAATGTATTTAAGAATTAGCTGATTATTCAGTGTCATATCTTGTATATCACTATTGTTTACATACAATGCTGCCTGTTTTTATGAAATGAAAATTATTGAACTGAGAAATATGTTCTGACTGCTTTTTAAGTATTTGAAAGAAAATGCAGTGAAAGGGAAAGTTGTTATATTCAACTACTGTTAAGAAAATTGCATAAAACTTGAAAGTCAAAAGAACATTCTTTCAGTGCCTTTGTGGGAATATTGTTTAACAGGACCACCTTAGAGATATTTTAATCCCAATTTTAATTCCTGTGCTTGACTTGGCTATTTATTATTTGAGTAGCACATAGACACTGAGAAGTTACCTGTATGCTTATAGATTTTTGTCCAGTAGAAAAGATAACCCCAAATGTTATGGCTTATTATCCTGTAGGACATTAAACAGTTTTTTATCTAAGCTAGCTATCCTATTCTAATACTTTAAAAAAACCCTTTCTGATGAACTATATACATCTTTCCCACAAATGCTCTTGAATCCAATCTTACTGACTTACTGGTTCCCTCATTTTTAATGAATAAGTTGAATAAAGTTTTTGATATATGTTCATTCAGTACATGTGTCAGTGTCACTTTTTTCACCTTTTTGAAAGTCATAGTTTGATGCTGTCATAGCATTTCTGTCCTGTACCTTCACATACTGAGAAACTGGTTTTCTAGGGCATGCAAAGCAATGCACAAAGATTCCAACTGCAGAGTGAGAGTTAGTGTCCTAATTTCTGCTGTTTTTTTCAGAGAAAGTATATAAAAGTAGATTTTAATAATTAAAATAGCCTAATGAATCATTTTTTATTTTTTTCTAGGCTTAAGCAGGTAAAGCAGTCACTGTGAAGAAAATAACATTTTAAGAAACTTTTCTGTCACAATTGATAGAGGAAAAGCCAGTAGAGAAGTACATCTTCTTGTGTGTGTGTCTCATCGTGCCACTTTTTGTAACTCAGCTTAGTAATGAAGCCACCATTATGTCCTCAGTCAGTGAAGTAAATGTGGATATAAAAGATTTCCTAATGAGCATTAATTTGGAGCAGTATCTCTTACATTTCCATGAGTCTGGTTTTACTACTGTGAAGGACTGTGCAGCAATAAATGACAGCCTGCTGCAGAAAATTGGAATATCACCTACAGGTCACCGTAGGAGGATACTTAAACAGTTACAGATAATCTTGTCAAAAATGCAAGATATTCCAATATATGCAAATGTTCATAAAACTAAGAAGAATGATGACCCTTCAAAGGATTACCATGTTCCATCTTCTGATCAGAATATCTGCATAGAACTTTCCAATTCTGGTAGTGTTCAGACATCTAGCCCACCGCAGTTGGAGACTGTTAGAAAAAATCTTGAAGACAGTGATGCAAGTGTGGAAAGAAGCCAGTATCCTCAATCAGATGATAAGCTGTCTCCTCCTAAACGCGACTTCCCCACTGCAGAGGAACCACACCTGAATTTGGGTTCTTTGAATGATTCTTTATTTGGTAGTGACAATATTAAAATAGAATCATTGATTACAAAGAAGACTGTGGATCACACAGTTGAAGAACAACAAACAGAAAAAGTTAAATTGATCACAGAAAATCTCAGTAAGCTCCCTAATGCAGACTCTGAATGCCTTTCTTTTGTTGGCTGTTCAACATCAGGAACAAATTCTGGAAATGGAACAAATGGTTTATTAGAAGGATCACCACCATCCCCATTCTTTAAGTTTCAAGGAGAAATGATTGTAAATGACTTGTATGTTCCATCATCACCAATCCTAGCACCTGTGAGAAGTCGTAGCAAGTTGGTTTCAAGACCATCTCGATCTTTTCTGCTAAGACATCGACCTGTACCAGAGATTCCAGGGTCAACAAAAGGAGTTTCTGGGAGGTAAGAATCTTTACAATAAGCTGTAAATATTCAATTTGAGGAAATTCAGTGATTTTTTTTAACAGTTATATTTTCAGTGTTCCTATCTAAATTTGACTGTATTCATTTACCTATTCAACCAACCTTTTCTTTTAAAAAAAAAGTCTTCATCCCATTGGACATTATTTCACAGTCTGTTTCCAGCTAATAATGCCTGGGACTCTTTAGCTTTTCCCTATTTAAGCGGGGGGACATCCCTTCCCTTAATTCTACCTGGATATTCCTTTCCATACCAAGTTTCCACACCTAGTATTGTAGTCTTTCCATTAGTGCAGTTCTCATATTTGAAATGTTGACTCTCTCTCCCCAATAGATGATTTGTTCTTTGACAGAGAACATGTTTTTAATGTTTGTATCTCTGCTGCGTGGTACAATGCTTGGCACCAAGTAATAATTCAGCACATGTCTATTGAACTTGGTCTTTAGTCACTGTGCTCGGTGGGAAGGATGCAAAGAGGAATACGGTGACTTGCAGTCTCGTATAGAAGTCACATGTAAAAAGATGGTGACAGACAGCTCAGTATGAAGCTAGGCTCACTAGAGATGAGACCTCTGGGACCCCAAAGAGGGGCTCTACCAGTGTAGGTTCTTATACGCAGGTAGTAAGTCATTGGTATCCTGAGGTCACAGGAGGATTACCTAAACAGTTTGGGAGGAGGTAATTTATAGCAAAAGAGGTCATCAGCTTTAGCTTTCAGAATTTATGAATCTCAAAGTTATACCTAAAATAGTTGTGGTTTTCTCCAGGGTTGGAGTAGGATATTGCTTTTCCCATTAAAACTTAACCCTTGTGTGTCTGCTGAGACACGAGGCTGTTCAAGTTTGACTGTTACTGTAGTGGCACTAAATGCTTTACACACGTCCTGCACAGGCTCCACGCTGGAGTTTCAGCAGGATTCCTCTTTCCCCCCATGCCTGCTTTTCCTGCTACTCCCTTTGAATCTGTGGCCGCTACTGATTCTCTTGGCCTTAGGTACCTTTGGTAATTGCAGTGCTAATAGTAGTTACAAGATAAAAGGTGGCAATTTAGTGTTTGTGAGAGAAAACATGACCGTTTACAAGGCTCTGTTAATGTAAGTATCTCCTATTAGAGCATAAACGTTTTGATGGCAGAGACTCTAATTAATTTGTCTTTATCTTGACATCCCTAGTGCCAGTAGCAAAGTCTGGTATTTACTAGGAAATCAATATAGTGTCATGTATTAACCACATTTATTAAACAACTAGTGTCATCTATTAAACACTAGTTTGGTTTATAATTTTGCAGGAGTTATCTAATATAAGGGCCACTCCTACTCCATGTGAACATGGAGTAGGTAATGTTCATCCCATTTTACTTTTGAGGTAACTGAGCCTTGGGTTAATTTCTCCAAGATCACATGGGTAGTGAACTAGGATTTCCTACCAGTACATCTGACTCTAGATCCCACTTCCTTAACCACTCATTGAGTAAATATTGTTGAAAATGTTGATTGGCTATATAAGAATTGGATTATTTGTTGGGACTGTAAAGGACACTCATTTTGTTTGACACTTTAGCTTTAAAATATTTTGCTAATTTTGAATAATTAAAAGAAGGTGAATGAGAAATGACAAGTCTTCAGATGGCAGATGCTTTTGACATGCCAGAAGGGTTTACTATGTGTACACATGTTAAAGCTGCATCTTTGCCAGGACTGAATCCCTTTGGGAGCTGTAAAGGATCATTTGATTTAAGTTTCAAACAGTCTGTGCTAATTTTCATGAATTTTACAGAGAATCTTGATACTCATTTAGTTGTATAGGGGCAGCAAAATTCCACCTCTTTCTTCTTAGGGTCCCAGCTGGGCCTGAGAATTAAATGGATATAAAACAGATTAACAGGAGAAAAGCATACAAATTTATTTCATACAAGTAATATGAGTTTTATGTGCCACAAGAATCCTCATAAAGAGATAAAGATCCAAATAAGTAGTTAGAGTGAAACGCTTAAATAATGAATTGCAAAAAGAGCAGTAAGTTGTGAAAAACCAACTAAATTATGTGGGGGGGGGCTTAAAAGATACGTTTTTTTAACAAGGTCTGTACAGAATTCTTTGGTCTCAACTTCTTGTCCTTGAGGACAGGATGTTAATTTCTTTCAGGGGAATTTCATCTTCTGCTTTTAAGGAGGCTGGAAGATCAGAGTCCTCTTTTTACACCTGTTATTTTCCAATATTTGAATTAAATGCCTTTATTCAAAATAGTAAGTATGCTGGAGTGGTATATTTTCAACTCCTTCTGTTGTAAGCTTTGTATCATATGAAAAGCTCGTTATTCAATTTGTGACTGAGTCTTTGAGAGTGGAAACATTAAAATTAGTAGTAAATAATTTAGTACTAGCTATATCATAGCACTGTTTTTTTTTTCATGTGATTTTTAGGCCAGATTACTTATCCTAACCTTTCTTTTCTTTGATTATGGTAGTTAATAGCAGCATTGCTTTTGTGGTGCTCAGATCATAAAATGAGCAAATAAATTATTTTCAGACTTCACTGTTTGTTTTTCCTTGTGCTCCTTCCCTATGTTGCAAATAGTAATTCCATGATTTTAAAGTGTTATAATATAACTTTTTAAATCAAACTGTGGGTTATGTAACGTGAGTTTCTCTTTGGTCAATGATATTGATATTGATTGGTCATTGATATTGAACCTGCAAATGATATTTAGTGCATTCCTTGATATACCAAAAGAAAATATTTCTTTATGGCCTGTGTTTTTAAAGGAATTACTAAACATTTCATACAGCTGCTCAAAGGAATGTGGATATTGACTTTGCAGTCTTTTCCTGACATAGGGCTCTTTGTTTTTCTCTCCCTGGACACGTGCCCTCCTGCCTCCTTCCTCTCAACAGAATCTGATAGAACTGATGCTCTATTAAATTTTTTGTCTTTGTTGTGGACTTGGGTTCTTCCCTGAATTCCTGCCTGCTCCTTTTAACTGGAGGGCTGGCCTGGACAATAACCTCAGGTTATCTTTTGAACTATTTCTTGAAAGCTAGATCAGGACTAGGCTCCAAGCACCAGCTCCTTCCTTATCACCTTCACTTGGAGGCCTTGCTAGTCCCTGGGAGCCCTCCAAGCAGAAAGCAGATGCCACATTGCCCATGGGAGTTGTAGGTGTGCCATGTGATCTTATGCAGAATCTTCTTAGTGCCCCAGGCAGGAAGGAATCTCACAGCTACTGAAGGAAGTACATTTTTCCTCCTCGCTTTAGTGATTTTTGTACATCTTTCATGCAATTGTATTATCCTTGGGATAGGTCTCAAAGCCTTCTTTTTAAGGTGTAGTGCCTCTGAATGTTTTGGGGGTAAGGGCAAATGAAGAAGCAGAAGTAGTGGGAGAGGGATGGTGTGCAAAGCTGCACTGTTGTGGAAGTACAACTGTTAGAAAACTGAGGGGCTGTGTTGACTCCTTTGAGGGCTTTTCAAAAGTTTGAAATCTAAACCTGAAGTCTCCTGTGTTCTTTGAACTTTTTATTAAAAATAAAAATCTTGGATATTTTTCCTCTGTATTCACATAGACATTCAAAATGGTTGACATTATTTTATAGATTTTAATGTCAACAATACATATGAGCAAAAAGTACAGAAAAGTAATCAGCATTTGTTTGCTGCACTGAATAAGAAATATACAGAAGGATATCCTTCATTTTCATCTTCAAGAAAATTTTATGTTTCACGTTATAGTAGAAAAATACTTAGCAATCTTAACATTTTGATTTCTTTCTTTTAAAATGCTTTTTAAATTCTATGAAAAAAGGCTAATTATTTTAATATTTGCTAAATTTTGAATTGAATACATAAATAATTAAATCTAAATTTAAATAGAAGTTAGATTTATTGTTAGAAGGTGAGGGTATCTATCTGCTCAATAATCTAAGTTAAAAAGTCATTACATTTATATTTCATTTTTGTAAATCCATCTTGTTTGAAAAACGTATAAAATTGAAATTTTTGCTAGTAGATTAAAAAATTCATGATGTTGTAAACTTATGTGTTGCAGTAGTTCTGTAATGATAATTCATTCTTACCCTAAGGATGTTTTTTAAAACTTCACAGATTGAGGCTTAATTATCTGTGCATTGTCAGTTTCACATTATTGGTCTATGCTGTAATTACACTCTCATGCTTTCTGAATTCAGATTTGTCTGTTTTAGTTAGATATTATGAAAACCTCAAGGCAGTGTTAAACTGCTGCCTAATGATTGTGTTTTTTTTTTTTAATTTCACTCTAGAATGACCCATAGTCTGTAATCAATTGTGAGAACTGTTTTTATTTATTTATTCATTTATTTATTTATTTATTTTTAACATTTTGTGAAATGATGATCCACATATTTGTTGTTTCTTTTTTTATTTGGCTGCCTTGTCTAAGTAGTAAGTAAGTACAGTTCATAAGGGGATATCTTTGACATTAACCTTTATGCCACTGCTTTTCTGGGCAACTTTAGTGATTAAAAATATTAAAAAAAAAACCTCTAGGTATGCTGAACACTCACTTTTATAATCAGAGTTATTCATTACTTTCTCTTCTTTTATATTAAGGTTCTTTAAACAAACCATTTTAATTCTGATACCAATGATAGTTGTCTTTGTCTCTCTGGCTACCATGACGAAATACCGTAGACTGGGTAGTTTAACCAATAGAAATTTTTCTTATCGTTCTGGATACTAAAAGTCTGAAATCAAAGTGTTAGCATCCTTTGGTTTTGGTGACGGCTCTCTACTGGCTATCAGATGGTGGCCTTCTTGATGTCTGCTTATATGGGCTTTGTTCCTGGGCTGAGAGAGAGAGAGAGAGAGAGCCATCTCTGGTTTCTGTTTTTAGAAGGCTACCAGTTCTATTGGAACAGGGCCCCACCCTTATGACTGTATTTAACTTCAATTACTTACCTAATTTAAATACAGTCGCCACGTTGGGGGTTAGAGTTTGAACATATGAATTTTGTGGGGTAGGGACACAATTTTATTCACAACAATAGTTTTTCTTTACTTGCATAGAAATTTGTTAATTCTCTATTTAAGTAATAGAATTTAGGTATTTTCAAAGGCCTTACAAACATATTACATTCCACAGGCAACGACTGTTTATAGTAGGTCAGCCCATCACAATTGAACATCTGCAGATTTCCTCTATTTACTGATTTAGGGTTTTAAAAATAATAAAATCGACATAGGGAAAGTAGTAACAAGACATTTAGCAAGTTAATATGAATCAGAATCATTGATATTTTTGATTTGGGTTTTATTTTTAGATTTTATTATTATTTGGGGTTTTAAAACATTATTTCCATTTGAACATAAGTTTTAACTTACTAAAATAAAGCTTTATTTTAAAATTTCCCTTTTTTGAAACTCCGCAAATCAAGCTGTAAATATACATGCTTTATTTCCCAAGCTCATTTACATATGACAAGATTTCTGAGCCCCTCAACAATGACGTATATTACCTGGATATGTTTATGATGGTTGGGGTATTTTTTTCAACAAGGGTTAGCTTGTTGGTCCAAAGCACTGAGGGGAAGGGAAAAAGGAGTGCAATACAAGGATGAAGATGAGGTTATGACTTTCAGGGAATTTATGAGGAAGAAGGAGGTACCTTCTCCCTATTTGAAGTTAAGCTAGTAATTCTGGCTTCCTGGTCAGAAACTGTAGTATGAGTCATATTTAAAAAATGGTTTGAAAGCCACAACAAAAATATTAAGACAAAATTATTTATAAATTGGAAAATTTCAAACATACATAAGAGTATGCAAAATATCATGTTACCATATAATACCATCTAGATTAAAAAAAAAATCTTGCCATAGTGGACCCAGACTTTAGTTTATTAAGAAATAATAAATTCAGCTAACTTTTCTGCCTCCTTCCTTTGTGCCCGGAAGTAACCAATATTCTGAAACTGGTGTTTATCCTACTCGTGCATGCTTTTGTACTTTTACTACAGATGCGATAGCATTGTTATAGATGTTTTTGATTAATGAAAATGATATTCTTTTGTAGTTTGGTGTTTCACTTACTATTTTTGTGATTTTTCCACATTAATATATATATTTTATATAATAACTTGTATAATGTTTGATTTTAAAAACAATTTATTATCCTAAGTTGTTGACACTTTTCAACTATTACAAATATGAAGTGTTCATTTTGAGGACTTTAAGAAACAAATGCACACATTAGGTTTACCAGGAGGACCAACAATTTTTTTCTGTAATAAAAATAACATTTTTTGCTGAGGTTTTATATTATGTAGGCCACTGCCTTATGTTCTGTAAAAGCATCATCTCATTAATCATTGTAATATTCCTAGGCAGCAGGCCCTGGATTTTCCCCCCTTTAATAAATGTGGAAAGCAGGTTCAGAACTTTTAAGTAACTAGGCTAACATCATACAAGTGTAAGAACAGGAGAGGATGATGACTATGGTTCAGTTTTTAATTTTCACAAATCAACATGCTTTATATTTCAAAGTTAAAAGCAGTTTTCAGGATAACTGGTAAAATAGTAGAAAAGAAAGACAAAATTGATCTTGAATCTTGGCTTTCTTCTTCTTAGCTGTGGGACTTGCGCTGGCAGAATTTCCCGCCTTTATTGGTAGGATTAGGATACCAAGTCCTACTTCACAGGGCTGATACAAGGAATTAATGTGAGCTGTAGCTAAAGAAAGCCACTTGCTTTTTGCTTTGGGCATAATAAGTGTTAGAATATAAGAAAGGTTGTGATAATTTATTAATAGATAAATGAAAATGTAAGTTGCTACTCAAGAGTTTTCAAAACAACTTACTTCCTATATTTGTGCCAATTTTTCATCTCCAGCAGTTCATCTGAACTTGGTTGATAGATTTGGTAATCCCTTGTAGGTAGATATTACATGAGGAAATCAATACAAATTATCACAAACTTTTTTCTTCACATTTTATTTATTGGTAAAACCAACAAAATATTCCTTAAAAATTCCAGTAATGGATATACTTAAAATATTCAAAATCTTTTTTTTTTAATGTAAGTTAAGCATTGTGGCTTAGGTCCTGGGTGAGGAACAAGACTGCCCAGGTTTGATCTCAGATCAGTTACTTATGAGTTGTGTGAACTTGAGTAAGTGACCTAACCCCTTTCTGTGCCAATTTTACCTACTTTTAAAAATGCGGATAATAATCTTATTTCTCATTTTTTTTATCTGTATGCTATATGTGTGTGTGTATACACATGCATGAGTCCTTTGACGATGGCCACACATTCTGAGAAATATGCCATTAGGTGCTTTTGTCCTTATTTGGACATCATGGGATGTACTTACACAAATCTAGATGGTATAGCCTATTACACACCGAGGCTATATGGTAGAGCCTACTCTTCCTAGGCTACAAACCTGTACAGCATATTACTGTACTGAACTGTAGGAAATTGTAAGACAATAGTAGATATTTGTGAATTTAAACAAATCTAAACATAGAAAAGGTACAGTAAAAATATGGTGTAAATATAAAAAATAGTACACTTGTATAGGGCACTTAACGTGGGTGAGTCAGTGAGTGATGAGTGAAGGTGAAGCCGAGGACATTACACCACTGTAGACGTTATAGACCCTGTACACTTAGGCTACACTAGATTTATAGCAATACTTTTTTCTTCAATGATAAATTAACCCTAGCTTATTATAACTTTTTAATTTAACTTTTCAAGCTTCCTACTCTCTTGTAATGATGCTTAGCTTAAAACACACATTATACAGCTGCACAAAAATATTCTTTATATCCTCGTTCTATAAGCATTTTTCTATTTTTAATTAATTTTTAAAAAGGTATAAAATTTACAACTCTTCCACGTTCCCATCTTCTGGAAGGTCTTCAGGGACAGTTACATGCATGGAGCTGTCATCACCTATGATAACAATGCCTTCTCCTGGAATACTACTTGAAAGACCTGACTGAGGCTATTTTACAGTTATCTTAAAAAAAAAATAAGTGGAAGGAGTACATTCTAAAATAAAATAAAAAAGTATAGTCAATATATGAACCAGTAAAATGATCACTTATTATCAAGTATTATGTACTGTGCATAATTTTATGCACTATACTTTTATATGACTGGCAGTGCAGTGGATTTGCTTGCACCAGCATCACCACAAACATGAATAACGTGTTGTACTGTGGTGTTGCAATGGCTACAACATCACTTGGCAATAGGAATTTTTCATTCTCATTATGTTCTTATTGGATCACTGTCATATGTTCAGTCTGTCATTGATCAAAACGTGCCGGGGATGACTGTACACACACACACACACACACACGTGTGCCTATATGTAAAAATCTGAGACCTATCTGGCATATTGTAAATGCTCAGTAAGAAGTAGCAATATTAATTACTAGTGCAAGTTACCAAAGACGTACAAAATTTGAGTACTGCTCCACTCAAGGGTTCAAATCAGTAGTAAGTACTTGCCTTAGTAGTATACAAATGTCAGGAAACAATTGCAGCTTTATAGAAGTATCGAGAATCTGGACATAATGAACACATAAAGGATGCTTTTAAAAAAGGTTTTACCTTTTAGGTTTGATGCAAACAGTATAGCTTTGCCCATTTTGTGATCTTAAAAAATTGCAATCTTATAGTGAGTATATTTTTAGTCTAGCTCATTTTGCTTAACTTTGAGAAACATTCATGTTTGTGCCTGTGGTTATAGTTTATTTTTCCTGCTGTATAGTATTTTATTGTATGAATATGCTATAATATCCATTCTTAATTTTGTTAGATATTTCATATTTTCTACCTTATCCAATATTTTATGTATATATTTATTTTTAGGTGCATGTGTGTATACATATATATACATGCATATAATGTAAATGTGTATACACATATAAATCAACTAGACATAATTTACATATAAAATAGACTAATTTTCCATATATACATGCTTATGTGACCACTATAACAATTAAGATTTAGAACATTTCCATCACTCATCTCCACTTTTCCCAAAATTCTCTTGTGACCATTTGCAGTAAATTCCCTACTTCCTGAATCAGGCACCTGTAGATTTCACTATTAGTTAGTTTTGCCTATTTGGGAATTTTATATAAATGGAGTCACACAGCAGGTCCTCTTTTGTATCTCACATCTTTATTCAGTAAGATGTTTTTGAGATGTGTCTGTGTTGTTGCATGTCAGATTGTTCTTATTGCTGAATAGTGTTTCTTTGTGTGAATCTCCAATTTGTTTATCCATTTGCCCATTGACATATATTTGGGTGGTTATTCTTGAGGCATATTTGTATGCATGGCCGTTGAGTACAGACCTAGGAGTAGGATTGCTGTGTCATGGGACATGTATATTTTCCATTTTTGTAGATAATGCAAAATGGTTCTTATAAAGTAGTTGTATGAATTTGCATTACCATCAACAGTGTATGTGCATTCCTCTTGTTTCATACCCTCAACATTTGTGTGTTTTTTGTTAGCCATGTAGATACATGTGTAGTGTTATTTTGTTGTGGTTTACATTTGCATTTCATGATAACTAATGAGATTGAACACCTTATGCACTTGTTTATTGACCTTTTGCTACATTTATATCTTCTTTGGTGTGGTGCCTTTTCAGATCTTTCACCTATTTTGGTTTTGGTTGTTTTAAATTGCATTTTTTTGTGTGTTTCTTAAGTGTTATTTATTCTTAAGAGTTACTGATAAACTGTGGGTATAAACCCCTTGTACAATATATCTTTCTGCCTCTGCATATTGTTTTTATTTTCCTTAATTGTGACTTTTTAATGAATAAGAGTTCTTCATCTTAATTTAGTCAAATTTATGTGCACTTTCCTTTAGAGTTAAAACTGTTATGTCTTAGGACACATAAAAATATTCTATTTTTATCTTCTAGCTTTATTGTTTGGCCTATTACACTGAGGTTTATAATCTGTCTTGAATTGGTTTCTGTGTATTGTCTGAGGTAGGAGTAAATTTTCATTTGCTTCCATATAGATGTGCAGGTGATCTAGTCTTTCAAAAGACCATACTTTCCTCATTGCTATAGGTTGATGTCTTTGGCTTAAATGCAATTGGATCTCTGTTTTTTTTTTAATATTTTAGTTTTAGGGTACATGTGCTGGGTTGTTATATAAGTAAACTTGTGTCACAGGTGCTAAGCCTAGTACCCAATACTTATTTTTTCTGATCCTCTCTTTCCTCTCACTTCCCCACTTCTAGTAGGCCACAGTGTCTGTTGTTCCCTCTTTTGTGCTCATATGTTCTCATCATTTAGCTCTTACTTACAAGGAAGAACATGTGCTATTCAATTTTCTGTTCCTGCATTAGTTTGCTAAGGAAAATGACCTCCTGCTCCATCCATGTAACTGGGTCTCTTTAAGTGGGTTCTTAATTCTAGTTCAATAGTCTGTTATCCTTTTTATCAGTAATATAGTGTTTTAATTACTACAGCTATATAATAAATCACGAAACCTGGTAGAGTATGTCTTCTCACTGTACTCTTTAAAAATTTGTCATTATTGGTCCTTTGTTTTTCACATGTATTTTAGAATCAGTTTGTTAAATCTCACACACCCCCTTCCCTGTAACTGTTTTGATTAGGGTTGCATTGACACTACAGATTCATATAGGGGGTATTGTCATATTTATCTAGTATTATCGTATATCTAGTATTATCTAGTATTATCATATATCTAGTATTATCTAGTATTATTTATCTAGTATTATCATATATCTAGTATTTCATATTTTTCTAATTTAATTAGATTTTTTTCTAATTTTCTCAGTAATGGTTTCCAGTTCAGTTCTTGCAAATCTTTTGCTAGATTTAATTCTAGGTTTTGGTAGTTTTTTAATGCCCTTATACTATTTGGCACCATTTTAATGTTTCATTTTGTTTACTGATATTTGGGGATGGAATTGATATTTATATGTCAACCCTATTAGTAAGTTTGCTAAAATCATTTTTATTTTTTATTTTTGTATTTTGTATTTTATTTATTTATTTATTTTTGAGACGCTGTCTCCCTCTGTCACCCAGGCTGGAGTGCAGTGGCGTGATCTTGGCTCACTGCAACCTCCGCCTCCTGGGTTCAAGAGATTCTCCTGCCTCAGCCACCCCGAGTATCTGGGATCACAGGTGCCTGGCGTGCCGCCACCACGCTCAGCTAAGTTTTGTGTTTTTAGTAGATATGGGGTTTCTCCATGTTGGCCAGGCTGGTCTCAAACTCCTGGCCTCCGGTGATCTGCCCACCTCGGTTTCCCAAAGTGCTGGGATTACAGGTGTGAGCCACCATGCTTGGCTGCTGAATTCATTCTGAAACAACTCCTTTTGAGGTCAAAAAATATATATATAAAGTTATAATCCTTTAAAGCATGTAATTTGATGAGTTGTGAAAGATATGTAAACCTATGAAATTTTTACCACAAACAATAAACAGAGCAGTTCTGTTACTTCTAAGAGTTTCTTAGTTTCTTATACAGTCCATCCCTGTTTCACATGCTCATATAGAATAAGATAGAATATGCAGTCCTGCACCACACAATGATGACATTGGTCCTGTAAGAATATAATGGCTATACCATGTAACCTATGTGTGAAGTAGGCTGTACCATGTAGGTTTATGTAAGTACACTCCATGATGTTTGCAAAATGATGAAATTGCCTAACAACCTATTTCTCAGGATGTATCCCTGTCATTAAACCATGCATGACAGTATTTCTTATGTCTTGCTTCTTTTGCTCAGCATGATGATTTTTGAGATTTATTTAGATTATTAGTTTTTTTTAGTAGTTTTTTTTTCTTTCAGCTGGGTAGTAGTCTCTTGGATCCATACACCACTATTTGTTTATCATTTACTTCCTGATGTCTATTTGGGTTTTTTCAAGTTTTTGATTATTGAGAATAAATCTGCTGTGACCATTTGTATACAGGTCTTTCTGTGAACATCTGTTTTCAATATTTTTGGTAGGATTGTTAATAGCTGGGCCTTGAAGTTTGGTGACTATTTATTTTTATAAGAAAATACAAGCAATTTTCTAAAATGGATGCACCCTTTCACATTCCTGCCAGCAGTATTTATTTATATATTTGTTTGTTTGTTTATTTGCTGCCAGCATTACTTAAATGTTCTAATTATTCCACATATTTTCCAACACTTGATATCGACAGCCTTAATTTTAGCTATTCTAATGTGTATGTGGTGGTATCACACATTCATATATTTTGTGATACAACTATTTGCATTTTTCCATTTTGTTTATTTTATTTATTTTTTGAGACAGGGTCTTGTTCTGTTGCCCAGGCTGGAGTGCAGCGATGCAGTCATGACTCACTGCAGCCTCAACCTCCTGGGCTGAAGTAATCGTCCCACCTCAGCCTCCCAAATATCTGGGACTACAGGCATGCACCACCACACCCAGCTAATTTTCGTTGTTTTTTTTTTTTTTTGTAGAGATGGGGTTTCATTATGTTGCCCAAGCTGGTTTCAAACTCCTGAGCTCAAGAAATCTGCCCACCTTGGCCTCCCAAGATGTTGTGATAATAGGCATGAACCACTGTGCCCAGGCTTAAAAAAATAGCATTTATTATTACTTATTTTTGTAGAGACAAGGTCTCTCTATATTGCCCGTGCTGGTTCTTTTTTGTTCTTGTGTGTGTGCTTTGTTTTTGTTTTTTTTTTTGAGACAAAGTCTTGCTTTGTTGCCCTGGCTGGAGTGCAGTGGCACGATCATGGGTCACTGCAGGGCTCCGCCTCCTGGGCTCAAGCAGTCCTCCCACCTCAGCCCCCTGAGTTGCTGGGACCAGAGGTGAACACCATGGCAGGTTAACCCATTTTAAAATTGAGTTGTATTTCTTATTACTGGATTGTAAGAGTCCTTTTTTTGGTTTGGGCAAACCACTTGTCACTAGTACGTGACATTATAAGTTTTAAATTTTGGTAAATACTAAATTTCAATGTTTTTTAGGGTTTTAGTTTTTTATTCTATTTAAGGAATCTTTCCTACTCAGATGTTACAATGATTTTTCTCTCATATTTTTCAGAATTTCTAGAGTTGTAGCATTAAACATTTGGGTCCCAACTCCACTTTGAGTTAATTTTTGTGCATGATATGAAGCAAAAGTTGACATTCATTTCTTTTCATCATTGAGATATCCAGTTCCAGCAACATTTGTTGAAAGGGCTACTCTTTTTCCACCGCATTTCTTCGGAACTTTTTTCTTAAATCGATGGACCAAAGATGTGTGGGACTGTATATGTGGACTTTCTATTCAATTCCATTGATTTATATGTCTATACTTTCAGCAATGGCACAATGATTGGATTACTGTAGTTTTAGATTAAATATTGAAATTGTATAGTATAAATCTGCCAGTTTTGTTCTTCTTTTTAAAAGTTATTTTTCCATTTTTTAGATGGAAAAGAGAACTCTGTTATATGATAGAAGGCCTTCATCACCCTCTGCTTCTACAATGTTTACCTCTGCCACTGCTGTTATCATGTTGTATTCTAAATAATTGCCCTGTAATATCTTCCTTCCGAGACTGTAAGATCTTTGAAAGATCTTGTGTGTATTTTCATATTGTGTCTACAGAGCCAGACACATTTTTGACTCAGTATTATAAAGCTAAAGACAAAAAGCTACACAAATACTGACATCTAGTTAGTAAATCTGTTTCAGAGATATGACTAGCAGTTTTGAAATTACTTTATGTGCATATTAGCATTGGAAAAATATGTTTACTTTTGTAAATTATAGATGTGAGTAGCAAACACTTGTACAAAATGTCCTTTGCAAAGAAAATTTCTTCCTTTAAAAGTCTAAATACAAAAATACATTTGTGGAATTTGGCTGTTCAGCTTTTTTCAAGTCAGAATTAATTTCTGAATATTGTTTTTTCTACCCAAAAGAATGTATAGCTCTCTAATAAATCCTTCACTTAAATATAAATCATAAATATTTTCTCATAATATTTTCTAATAATTTTAATTTTACTCATAAATATCATAAATATTTTCACTCATAAGTATTTTCTCCTTTGCTTTTTAAGCTATTTCCGTGAAAGAAGAAATGTTGCTACCTCAACTGAAAAATCTGTGGCATGGCAAAGTGAGTCTATGTGTTTAATGTCTCCTTAAATTAGAGCTCATTTGATAGTCTTAACTGTGTTAAAATCATGATTGCGAAGGCAGCCCACCTGTGGTATAGGGAACAATGGAAATAACTGTCTGCCAGTGTTCATAGTACTTCAGACACTTTTAAAATGGACTGAATAAAAGGCAATAACATACACTCTGACTCCTGGAAATTTGTACATGCTAATGTAAGAAGTTTTCTTTTTATACAAGCTTCATTTATCATTAGCCACAGTTGCAGGCATTTAACTAAATTAAATGGTTTCTGGCAGTTTGAGCTACAGAACAAAGATATATGTACGGAAAGTGATTTTGCCATGGTAACTGGAAAGGGCTGTCATTGTTGCTCTGGCAAATTGAACAGTGACAGAGGCTTTTCTTTCATTTTGAAAATTCTGATTATACAAGTTTGGGAACATTCTTTTTGACAATAAGATGTCAAACACTTGGGTACTGAATTTTTAAGAAAAATTTTTGCCAGAGTAGAAATGCAAATATTGAGAATTCTTTTTTTGTAGATTAGTATAATTCAAGGATGGTGGAACTTCTCTTGAAATAATTTATTTACAGATGCATTAGTAGCTATGGCATTAGAGGAATTATATTAAATGCCTTCTGGGATTTTAAGTGATATCTAGCTATTATGTTAGTGACCTTTTTATAATTATTTATTGTAAGTTATAGAATTAAGCTTAATTTTCTGCCATTTAGAATATTTCCTTATTTAGGAATTAGCATTATAAATGGCACCATGACAATTTATTTTGTATGTGGGCAATGTATTTGGTTATGTTAATGTGGATCCTAGAGGTTGGGAAGGACATGTGTGACAGGTTGCAATTTAAGGAGCAGTGAGTTATGTTTGTGAAGCAAGTGGTGGATACCATGTGTGTTATATCAAGAAGACGATGGGGAGAATTGATTTGGGGATAAGAATTAGCATAATTTGGACTCTTACAGAATAAAGCTTACGTTGTGATAATGCCATAAAAAACTCATGCTTTTAATCTTTTTTTAAAAACAGTATTTCACATTATTCACATCTTTCTGTTCTCATCCTGTAATTCCCCTAAAAGATTCAAATGAGGAGAATTCATCTTCCATCTTTCCTTATGGAGAGACCTTTCTCTTCCAGAGACTAGAAAATTCCAAGGTTAGTCCCATACATTTTAATTGTTTTCCATAATCAATTATTTGCTTTTCTGCCTATTTGTACCTCTTCATTTTTCTCCAAGCTATTTGAAGAATGGCATTATATTGAAGATTGAAATTTCCAGTCAGCAAAATTTTTGTTCAGTAAAATTATGGTAAAATCTGTCTCTTTCAATATACATTATAGGAACACATGTTTATTATGACTTCAGGAATCCAGGATAGTGAGTTTTAAAAATTTGCCACAAGATTGGGTTAATTAAACAAAAGACAAACTGTATAAAACTTAAGCACTCTCTAGATTTTTGCTTTGCCTTGTAGCCAAGTGCAGACTTCTGAAGTGCATAGATTTCCAATTATGTATATATTTTAATTATTTAGTTTATCACTCATTCTTTTCTATTACTTGTGCTCTTTTGCTACTTTATTTCTTGGTCTTGATAAAAGAGAAGTTGGAAGACAAAAATGAATCAAGGAGTAAAAGTACATAAATTTTATTTTTGGTTACCATTTTCTTTTATTCTTACTTGAATTGATGAGTTAACGATTTGAATAAAATAGTGAAAAAAAAATCAAAAGTCTGTTTAATGTAGACTAACTTTTTTTTCTGAAAATTGATCTAAGTAATTAGACTTATTTAATAAAACTAAACTCAGATATTATGGATTTTTGTAGAATATTGCTACACATACAAACAAATCCCCAAACCAAAAAGCAAAACAGTATGTGTTTTTTGTTTGTTTGCTTTTTTAATAGAAGCGATCTATAAAGAATGAATTTTTGACCCAGGGAGAAGCACTCAAAGGGGAAGCAGCTACTGCAACAAACTCTTTTATCATCAAATCAAGGTATGAGATCATGATTGATGATGATTAACTATTTAGAATAAACTGTTATACAATGTTGACTTCTCATTCTTAGTATAATATTGTGTGTCAGAGAAAATAGTTTATGGTGATAAGTTCAATTTTTTCCTCTCTAAATGTAAGCATAGCAGCACCCATTTTATTAATTGAATTATGCTCTGTAGATCAAGTAAATAGTTGCATTCTGTGGCAGATTATTTTTGTCTTTTTCTAATGGAAACCACACCCCTTCCCCACAGTAGCAAATACAGGTGACTATGATTGCACATTAAAGATGAGAGGTTATGTTAATAAAAAGGAGAAAAGGGCAGTGCAGAACATCACTATGCAAGTTGCAGACTTTTACAAGTATAATATATTCTTTTTATTGGAGTTTCAGCACTGGCAAGAAGCATGACAATTATCCAGTTATTTGGATCACATACAGAGTTAGAATTTGTATGCACCAACTTCAATTTTGGTTTTCTCTCAGCTTTATTGGAACTTGGCATACTGGCACATTACCTGATACTTCATTTTCTTTTTCTTAATTTTTAATTTTTGAGATTACATAGTAGATGTATATATTTCTGGGGTACATAACATATTTTGATATAAGCATAATATAATCACATCATGGAAAACGGAATATTCATCCCCCAAAGCATTCCTCTTTTGTATTGCCAACAGTTTAATTATACTTTTTAGTGGGACATTCATTTTATTTTTGTCTTTCATTTTCTAAGGCTAACATTGTTATAGGTTTCCCTCAGTTAAAGCTAAACAATTAAACATCTTTAGTAAACATTTGACATAATCTAATATAATGCAAAATATGAAAGGGCCAGGCTAAATTATTCTTTGAGGCAGTAATGGTTTTTAGAATGCTATATCCAGAAAGATGTAATTTGAGCCCAGGCATATCTGTTTCATTGATTAGCAAAAAATGTCCTTTGGCATTAATGAATGAGTTGATCTATTATGTCATCCCTTGAATCTGTAGAAATATGCTTAGCTATTATGAATGCATTCCAATAAATATTGTGCATTACATAGCTTTTACTTCCTGAATGTACACTGACCCTTTCTTGCTTTCTAGCTAGCAGTGTGCTGCAATATTTTTCCTCATCAGCATTGCAAAATAATACTGATGCTCTCAGCAGTCAGGCATACTCTCTGTTTTATTGCATTGTGGTGAAACATGGGGTCCTTGGAGTTGATTAGAGGATAGTAGAGAGGGGTAAGCAAATTGGAAATAAGATCTCCATATAGATGAGTTAATGGTCCGTCATGTTGCCCAGAGGGATTGGGCTGGCCACTTAATTGTGCTATTAAAGATGTTTAAATTGTGATGTGAAGAATATACCCAGTCTGCATTCTTAGCACCTGCCCCTAACCTTCCAAAATAAAAGGGATAAGATTAAATTATACCTAAGAAAAAACTTGTAGTAGTATTCAGATGTCATAGGTTAATGAAATAATTTTACTTAGCTTTTCTGGAAGAGTTTAAAAAATTTTCAATAGGGTTAATGGAAACTCTAGGATTTTCCTGGCCTTATGTTTCTGTTATTAGTTATTTATAAATTTTCAAAATGTCACTGATGTCTTAAATCACATATAGCACTTTGAAATGTTTACATCATTTTTCCGTTTAGCATATACGATAACAGAAAGGAGAAAATAAGCGAGGACAAGGTGGAAGATATTTGGATACCTCGAGAGGACAAAAACAATTTTTTGATAGACACTGCTTCTGAATCAGAATACTCAACAGTAGAAGAATGCTTTCAGAGTTTAAGAAGAAAAAATTCAAAGGCATCTAAATCTAGGACTCAAAAAGCCTTGATTTTGGACTCCGTTAATAGGCACAGTTATCCGTTAAGCTCAACAAGTGGAAATGCTGATTCATCAGCCGTTTCTTCACAGGCAATATCTCCCTATGCCTGCTTTTATGGAGCATCTGCAAAGAAGGTTAAATCAGGATGGCTGGATAAACTCTCTCCTCAAGGGTATGTACGTATGCATTTATTTCATAAGTGGCATATTTTTAAAATTTCAAGTTTATTCATTTCTAAACCTCCAGGGTTGCTGTTCCCCCACTCCACCGCCACACACACACATACACAGAGATGCCATTTTTAGGGACTTTCAGCACACTTTTGCCAGTGCTATTCTTTAGACATAAGGAGAGAGATGTGCAATGCAATGCTGCATTAAGGTCCAGAGTCGCAAATTAAAATAGAAAGTTATGACCTCACATCTAATTTCTTAATGTTACCTTCTAAGTTCGCATCAAAATGTGCTAATCTGTGTCCCAGTATGTAACAAAGAAAAACAAGACAGACTGAGTTAGTATTACTCAGCCCACACTGTTTGGCTTTTGCTCATATCATAACAGTGTTCTGTTTGAGAATACAAGGCTTATTGTTGTTAGGGAAAAGTACATCTTTGTTAGGTTTAGGTCTTCACTATTATTGATATCTTATTTTGATTTTTGTATGTTACACAGAAGGTCAGAGTCCCGTGAATATTATACTTTTCTTTGGATTTATCAACAAATGTTTACAAAGAAACTTTTGTCCCTTAAGCATTTTACAGTACTGAGAAATCTTTAGGGAAGGATTATATTTAATTAGAATTGTTTACTGGCATCCTAATTTTTAGATGTCTTTTTGAAATATTTACTTGAAATGTTTTTCATGGATTATTAAATTCTTTTGAGATTAAAGCTTTCATGTATCAGTAGCTAATGTGGTGAGTCCCTACAGTGTGCTGGTTTTCACTCCTATTCTCTTGAAATGTGTGTCATTTCTAGAAAGGATTGGTTTGATCTAAAATAATTTTAATTGGAAAAAAAAACTACCAGAAGCAGCATCAGATGACTAGTAGAAGCAGGAATTAACATTTCAAAAGATAGCAAAACACCCCGAAATTGTATGGTTAGCAATTATATGTTAATACCTTATATATTTTCATTCTTTTAGGAAATTTGATTTTGAATAAACCAAAGCAGATTACTTCTTACTATCAGCTATGTGTGTCACTTCTTTCTGGTTACATTATGATGACAAAACCCTCTGCTTGTTCTTTTTAGTCCTAAGTATTATTGGTAAGTGCATATTCAGATGTCGAACATGTGGATCAGTGCTCAGGTCTAAACACTAGTGGAATGAATCAGTGAACTTGAATATTCTTGAATCTTTCATTTTTATAAAATCCAAGTATTTAGGGAGGTCCAAGTGCTCTCTTAAAGTATCACTGGAAGAAAAAACAGACTTTGAGTACAAAGCCCCCAGCGGCTGTGGTTTCCTGTGCGTCCCAGGTGAGATCTTGCTCTTTACAGGGTTGGTCTGTTTATGCTCCAGGCACATTCAGAAAGTTTCACTATTGTTGGCCACCTCTGGGACAGTTACAATATATTCTGTCTCTCTTTTTCAGAACTTTGACTTTCCATTCTTTCTATTCTGAACCTGCCTAAGGTTAGATGCTGTAAGTTTTCTGGATTTATATTTTTCCATTTTAGGGGAAATAATTGCATTTTCTGTCCTAAAGCTCCCCCCACCCCACCCCCAACCAAAATACCGAGATGAGTGGATATAAGAAAATAAACCAAGGGGCTTGGTATATCACCAAGAAATTTTAAAACACTTCTACGTGATTATATTGCTATGACTTGAAAGAAATATGTGTAGCTGGCCAAAAGGCATGCATTCATTAAATCAGAAGTAGAATCGAGAATTTTTCCTTTCCTAATTAGGCTCTGTAGGCTATTGTGAGGGTTTAAGATGTTCATTAAAGTAGACAAAGTGATGCCTACCCCTTCCTTATGCAGTGGTTGCTGAGTTTCGTTTAACTCATGGCTGCGTGTCTCTTTGATGCAGATAGCGCTGATTGAGATGGGATTCCAAACTCCATATAGCAGGTGTCAACAAACTTTTTCTGTAAAGGGTCAAGTAGTAAATATTTTAAGCTTTATAGTCAAATGGTCTCTGTTGCAAGTATTTAACTCTGCAGTTATAGCATAAAAGCAGACGTAGCCAATACGTAAGCCGATGAATGAGGCTGTGGTCGAATAAAATACAGAAGTAATAAAAAGCAGAGGTCCTCCTTAGGGGCCTCTGCATTTGTAGTTCTTTCTGCCTGAAATGCTCTTTCCCCAAGAGTAACATGGCTTGAACCTCTCTCAAATTCATGCTAAAATGTCTCCTTTGCATTTAAGCCCTGGCCACCAAATTTACTACTACGACTGTTGCTCTCCCCTGCCACCCCATCACTCCCTTAATTACTTTCTTCTACAGGGCTTACAGGCCAGATGATTTATTTATTTCATACAAGCTCCGTGGGGACAGGCATCAGCATTGCTTTTCTTGTGCTGTGATAGCCTTAGCAGAACATTGTCTAGCACGTGGTAGATGCTTAGTATTTGCTGTGGAACGAATCTGTGAAAAACCTAGCATTAGGCATATTTTTCTTTTAATTTTTCTAAAACAGCAATTTATAAGAACATTGTAATACAAGCTGCTGAACTCAACAACATATTTGTGGGTGAAAATTTCCAGGAACCATTGATAATACTGATAAACATTAACAGGGTAGTGAACTCTTGGGTTTTTTTTTTAACAATTGTTTCCCCCTTAAAGACATGCACATAAATTATCAAAATACAATTGTCAAAATACAATTTAAAAACTAACAGACACATTCTAGTTTATACTTTTTCAAATAGTGTTTGAAACTGTCTTTTGTTTAATGAATGACATTAAGCAAAATAATCACATTCACAATCTGAGCTTATTTCGCATGGTTGTCTATTTACTTTTGAAATGGAAATGCCAATTCTGAATCAATGCCTAATATGTGAGCATTGCCCAATATTTGGTTAAGAATATAATTGCATAACACCATACAACAAAAGAAATACTGAAACATTTCCAGTTTAAAATATGAAAAGTTGTTTAAATATTTGATTGACCTAAATATAACATCCCTAAAACTAGTGGTTTAAAAACTGTGTGAAAGAAACAATAAAATGTTGAATTTGGGGGGCTGTATTTCAAACAGGTCAAAGCAGATGAAAAGCTTAATAAGTGATACTTGCTTTTAAAAACCTCTCACTGGGTTTTGAGGATTAAAATAAATCATCTTCTTCACTTTTTCGCAGCTGTAAATAATAAACTTAAGCTTTTCAGCAGATTTGCATAGATGCAAATATGAAAGACTGGATATAATTTATTCCAGCATTTCCCAAATATGCATCTCAGAAGAGAAATGTTTGAAGCTGTTGTAAAGAAAAGAGAACATGGTTGGATGGCTGTGCCTCTTCGAGGAGATGCATAAATTAACATCTCCAAGAATATCTGCAATAAGGAAACCTTTTTGAATTTTTACATTACTATTTTCTAAGGATGTTTGTGCGTTCAGCATAACACACAGAGCATCTTTATAAAAACTGCACTGTATATTAAAGAATTTCTATTTTACTTGAAATGTTTTAGGACTTTCTTACTTGGGGAAATTCCTCTTTTTTTAAATTTAACTTTTTTTTTGGCCATGAGAAGGACTGATGTGGCAGTGTGAGCCTGAGACAGCTAAAAGTTGATCATGTGAGGTTAAGTCAGCACTTGGAGGTGGAGGAGGACACAGATGAGCAAGATGTGTTACTTGTCTTTTTGTAGCTTCCATTTAGTGCAGAAAAGAAATATATATGTGAATAGTGATAAAACCCAAAGACAAAAGTATAATAATTGGAGCAAAAAGGTCTGCAGAATACAGAGTCCTGAGGTTACCAAGGGTTGAGAAAGCATTTCTTCAAAGACCTTCCTGGAAGGAGAGGGTAGCAGTTGAATTGCCCTTTGCAAAACGGATAAGATTTTAACTGGCATTTTTAGGTAAAATGCTCTTCTGTCTACAGGGAAAGGTACTCATAGAGGTGATATCTAGATGTACTTGAGGGTTGAGATAGTGAGCAGGTGGAGGTTGGAGTTATTTTATTGAAGATGGACAGTTGGGTTCTAGGACCAGGAGAGAGAAACTGCCAGTGAAAAGCATGTTCAGAGAACAGGTAACTAGGGAAAGTGAAAAAGCCAATAATCAAATACAAAGGAAAGGTCAGAGCTCAGACAACGACTGGCAGTCAGAGCTCCCAGAAGCCAATAGCCCAAGACCTGGGAGGAGTTCAGAGCTTATGCTGTTTGTGCCTTTGTCAGTGACTGGTTTCCATGTCACCATCCAGTCTCCAAGGCTCCTTTACTGGAACAGTTCTCCACCTGGCTACGCAAGTGTTTGAGTGCCTTGGGTCTCTTGGTATGCTTTCTTGGGGCTGCGGTGAAGGCAGGTGTTGCAGAAAGTTGGCAAGTCCATGTTTGACTAGGGTGTTATATGTCAGTCACCTTGTTGATCTTAAAAGTGAATCCGAAATCCTTGATAAAAAGTATGTTTTCTTTTTAATCTGCAAATTAGCTGGGCATTTCTCAAAGCACTAGCTACTTGTAAACATTGTGCCAAGGAAATAAAAAGCTTTAATATTTTTGTAGTTTGAGGACGAAAAAAGTTTCATTCTCCATAAAATTACCTGGTTAATTCCTTTCAGCCATCCTAGCTGCAGAGAAATGAATAGGGTTTGGAATCAGACAGACATCATTCATTTGCTGTGTGACTCAACTTCTTAGAACCTCCATTTTTCACATAAATGTGTGAGGTCAAGACTATCTCTGTGAAATCATTTGGAAAAGTAGGTAACTTTGGGCCTCACTCTTAATTGATGCTCAATAAACCTCGATTTTCTTTTTTTTTTTTTTCAGGACACCATTTTATTGCAGAGGACCTTAAATAATGTTACTGTGAGTCCTAGTCAGTTCATACTTTGATAAATACAAGGCAAAGAAATCGTGTGTTCACACTGAACTTTCAGAATTCATTTTTTTTGATTGTTATAAAAGCACATAGTTTAAATGTCAGAAAGTAGTACATAGCTTATTTTAAAAAAAGTGACATTTCTTACCTCCAACCTCTTCATAAGAGGCAGCCACTTTCAACTCTTTTGTAGTTACTTTAGCATTTGTTTTATATGTCTTACTGTTTTTATACTGATTTTTTTTTAACTTTTCAGTGTTAGGGATTAGCTATTGATGTACCACCATGGAAGATCATATTTATTCATTTTAACCACTGTTCCCTCCTTCCCTTCTAGACACAATTCCTATTATCCTTTTAAAATAGTTACATAAAATATTTAGATGTCTGTAATTTTGTTTTATAGTATAACTATAAAGGCTACTCATTTTTGAACAATGTAGCATAGTATGATTAATTTTTTTCATTGACAATGTTTAGTTTTTCTTGAAATAATAATTGTTGATTTTTTTGTTTGCTTGATTTTTTTTTTTTTTTTTTTTTTTTTTTTTTTTTTTTTGAGATGGAGTCTCGCTCGGTTGCCCAGGCTGGAGTGCAGTGGCTTGATCTTGGCTCACTGCAAACTTCACCTCCTGGGTTCAAGCAGTTCTCTGCCACAGCCTCCCGAGTAGTCGGGATTACAGGCGCCTGCCACCACACCTGGCTAATTTTTGTATTTTTAGTAGAGACGGGGTTTCACCATCTTGGCCAGGCTGGTCTTGAACTCCTGACCTCGTGATCTACCCTCCTCGGTCTCCCACAGTGCTGGGATTACAGGCATAAACGACCGTGCCCGGCCTGTTTGCTTAATTTTTAATATGTGTACTCATTCATCTGAAAATTCTTCCTCAACATATGAATCTCTGAAGTAACCAAAATAAATATACCTATCAATTTCATCATCCTGTAGCCCGCTAAGAAAACTTTAGTTTGGGCTGGTTGTTCCCCAGGCCGAGTGCACACTAACATCTTGGGATTCCCTTGTATCATCTTTGGGATTCTCTATGCCTCTCTCTAGTGTTTTTGTCTTTCCATCTTTTCTTTAGATAAAGCACAAGTCTTTGAAGCTTCCTGAGAAAAGGAGGATAGGGAGTCAATGTTTTCAGATCTTCCATGTTTGAAGATGTCTTTTTTTCCCCCCTAAACATTGTTATTGTTGGTTTATTATGTTTTAGAAATCTTAACTGGAAATAATACTTCTCCAGATCAGTAATTTGTATTCTAGATCCATAGTAATCTAGAGGTAATATTGAGAAATCTCATTTTTGATACTTTATACATAGCCTATTTTTCAGTTCTTGGAGATTTTCTTGTTTTATTCTTCAATTACTTTTCTTCTTTCTAGAATTCCTGATAGTTTGGTGTTGGACTTCTTGCCCTGAAACACTGATAAAAATCCAGCTTTTCCATTTTCCCTTTCTGCTCACTAGGAAGTTTCTTCAGTTGTGTTTCCTAACCCAGTTTTTTTTGTTGTTGTTGTTATACTGTAATTAACATACAAAACATGTTCTTTTGACTGTTCTTTTTATGGCATAGTGTTACTTTTTCACAAATAAATCCTTTTACTTCTCTGAAGATACTAATACTTTTTTTTTGACGCTTTCCTGTAGAGTCTATTTCTTTTTAACTTTTTGGAGGAGTGGTTTTGTCCCTATCTTTTACCTTAGTGGTATTTTTCTCAAATGTTATGTTAATCTTGAGCTGTCAATTTAGAGTAAAATACTGCAAAACTGATCGGAAGCACCGTAGGCTCTGATGGGCCTTGCTATTTGTTTCTTGTAAGACGATCATGGTAGGTTTTTTAGTAATGTATTTCCATACAGAAGCCTCATGCTAGATGCTAGTATCTTTTAAATGAATCTTCTTCCTGAGTGTTATAGGCCTGGTAACCAGTTTTTTTTGTTTTGTTTTGTTTTGTTTTTTTGAGACACAGTGTTGCTCTGTCACCCAGGATGGAGTGCAGTGGCACGATCTTGGCTCACTGCAACCTCCACCTCCCAGGTTCAAGCAATTCTCCTGCCTCAGCCTCCTGAGTAGCTGGGATTACAGGCACACATCACCATGCCTGGCTAATTTTTGTATTTTTAGTAGAGAGGGGGTTTCTCCATGTTGCTCAGGCTGGTCTTGATCTCCTGACCTCAGGTGATCCACCCACCTAGGTCTCCCAAAATGCTGGATTACAGGGTGAGCCACTGCGCCAGGCCTGGTAACCAGTTTTTGGGTGGCTCATGTGGGAAAGTGGACTTTGAGTATTGATAGTTATGATGTAGACTTTTATTTGATTCCTCTGCTTTAATATAGCCATGCCTGAGTCTCCCAGCCCCAAAACCTCCTGTTTTATTCTCTCCATTGAATAAAACTAGACTATTATGTTGAGTGAAGGTGGAGAGACAGTTTTCCAACAGTGAGAAGTAGGGGAGAAGGATTCTGTGATGTTGGAGTGCAAGTCTACATCTTAAACTGCCTTTCAATATATCCATTATCAGCACCTCACCCTCACTTTCATAGTCACTTCCAGAGTTACTTGGTATCTATTTCCTGAGATTTTCAGAGGTAATGCAAGAGTAAATGTGTTTTTCTCTTAATTTAATCGAATGCTGGATTAGCGATCAGTTCACATCTCTCCTTCTGTTTCCAGATTTCTAGATATTGTTACTGTCCTCGACTTCTCTGGTCAGTGTTGATTTGCAGGCATTTATTTATTTTTATTTATTTCTTAACCCTTTGATGTCTTTTAGTGAGGTTTGGGGAGGAGTAGAAGTAAATGCAAGCTTTTAACTGAGATTTTTAACTGGAAGCTGGTTCACGTTGTATTTTATATAATATGACTCCATAAAATAAAGAAGTGTGAATCTTTTAACATAGCTTTTTATACACCACTTTATGAAAGCACTAAGCTCTTTGTAGATATTTTTAAAATTGGTAGTTGCACACTAAAATTCAGGCTTTATCATTGACTTCCAAGAATCTTTTTAGCCCCTAGAATTTTATGTTGAGTACCTTTTTTTTTTTCTTCTCATTTTAGGATGTAGATATAGCAGAGATGGAAGCTGAGATTGAAGATACTTTTTTTGTTTTATTTTCGTTTTTTGGCCCCAGCTCATTTGGTTCATATAATCTTGGAAATTGCTATTTTGGTTTGCTCAAAAGTGAGAAAGTGCTCTTTAGAATAGAGAAGTGCTGGCATTTTATAGAAATATTTTAGTAATTCCTTGCATCTTTCTCTCTCTAAAATATTTTGTTACTGTATCGTTTAAAAGTCTTCTGCTTCTTAAAAGAATAATTGGATAAATAAATAGCTGAATAAAAATGAGTAATTAGATAAATAAAAATAAATACGTATGGAGATTGTAGTCCTAGAAAATATTGGGTCTCGTTAGGGTTAGAGGAGGGAATAACATAAAATATGCTGTGATTCTTTAGGGCTATGTAAACAAGGCAGATGAATCTGGAACAGCATGGTGATTATACTTTTTCCTTTGAGATTGTTTAGAATATTTGAGAAGTATGTTTTTCATTGCCTTAAATGGCAGGATTAATAAAAGCCATAAATTTGACTTAATGTCTTTGATGTTCTTTCCAATTGTGTGATTTTTAAAGGTGACAATTTGGTAGCTTCTCACACCTTAGATTGGTATCATTGGTTAGTTAGCATGCTTGTTAGATATTAGGATTTGTTTTTTAAGCTTAAAGATGTAATCTTGAAAAAAAAAACTCTGCTGGCACTTAGGAATTAAATTAAACAAGAGTGCCTCTGTGTGAGTACTTCATAAATAGAGATTTAATTGTGTGTGTATACAGTGTTGTTAAAAAATAATTTTTAAGAAACACATTTTGAGACAACAAAAACTGATACCAGATGGTGAAGCTGTTTTTATGAAAGCAGTTGAAACTTTACACCACCTGCCCTACCAGAGCTCAAGGGAAGAGTTTATAGAAATATGTTCAATAATACTGCACAAGTCTAATAAATTATTCGAAAAAAGCTTCTTAAATAAATGTTTCCCTTCAGAACCCTAAAAACAAAATGAGATAAAACTCAGGCTAATGTGTTTCATGTCTGCTTTACCTTTTTTCCTGAAGGAATTCTGAAGTACTTTGCAAGACTGAACTCACATATAAAATGTAGAGGTCAAATGTTATTACTACCTACAGGGATGTCCTGGGTACTTAGCTATAAAATGTACTAATGTCTGCTTTGTATAGCAGTTAAGAGCAGTCTTTGGGAAGACACTCCCAGATATGTTCTTTATTACCTGTATGACTTGGACATATTATTTAAGCAACCACTGCCTCTGTGCCTTCAACTCTAAAATGGATATAATAATGTTACCTGTCTCACATGTTTGTCTGGAGGATTAAATGAGTTAATATTTGTGTGTGGCTCTACACAGTTCTTGGAAAAAAGGACTATGTGTTTGCTATTTTTATTACCAAATGTAGTACCAAATAACTTCTTTATTGATTGCAACTTTAAATCTATTTTCTGTGTAATAACGCATCATTATTTCAGATCTAATTTGTATTGTATGGTAGCCGGAACATAGGCTAAGAAGGCATTGTCTTGTATACATTATCTTTTCCTGTTTTTTAAAATTTGTGAAGCAAATTAAGCTAGTAATTGAAATTTAAAGATACAACTTCAGAGAAAACTTTTCGAAGTACTTTGGCAAATTCTTATAGTGTATGTATTAATTATATGTAATTACAATGAAATTAGTTGCCGGATAGTGAATATATGTTTAAAAACACATGAGAGGAGTATTGAACTTTTGCACAGAAAATTCTTAAACATTTAGTAATCATTGATATTTATTAATTTAATTTTACATGGGCAGTTAGAAGCACAGGACTTCTCAAGCTTTTCCTTTTATTATTTAGTTGAAATTTTGATTAATTTGTAAGGTTTACCAGTATGAATTAATCTAACTTTCCATGTGCTAGAAAAGAGGAGGCCGGGCACGGTGGCTCACACTTGTAATCCCAGCACTTTGGGAGGCCGAGACAGCTAGATCACCTGAGGTTGGGAGTTTGAGACCAGCCTGACCAACACGGAGAAACCCCATCTCTACTAAAAATACAAAATTAGCTGGGCATGGTGGTGCATGCCCGTAATCCCAGCTACTCAGGAGGCTGAGGCAGGAGAATGGCTTGAACCTAGGAGGTGGAGGTTGTGGTCAGCTGAGATTGCACCATTGCACTCCAGCCTGGGCAACAAGAACAAAACTGTGTCTCAAAAAAAAAAATAAATAAATAAACAAAAATAAAAAAAGGGAATAGTGCTGAGAAAAGATATAAGTGTAAAGTTTTATCTTTAATTAACTAATTATTGGAATTCAGTATTGAAGTTCACATGTGGAAAACAACTAATTGAATGTTGATAGTTTTAATGAAAATAGATTATTCAATGTTTATATGAATTTAGGTTTAAAAATAAATTGGTTATTTAACATTTTTAAATAGGAGAGTATCAAATGCATACATTTTAAATAACCATATTTAAATTTTTCTTTTTGTTTCCAGCTTTATTGAGATGTGATTTTCAAAGATTATATGTGTTTAAGGTATACAGTGTGATGATTTGATATCCCTATATATTGTGAAATAATTAACACAAAGAAGCTAATAACAACTGTCACCTAACAGAGTTTGTTTTTGTGTGTGTGTGATAAGAACACTTCAGATGTACTGTCTTAGCAAATTTCAGGTGTACAATACATTATTAGCTATAGTCACCATGCTGTATATTAGATCTCCAGAATTTATTCTTATAACTGAAAGTTTGTAACCTTTACGTGGTATCTATGTATATGTGGAATCTAAAAAAAATACACTCATAGAAACAGAGTAGAATGGTGATTAACAGGGACTGGGAGGTGGGGTTAAGGGTGAGATGTTGGTTAAAAAGTTTTTAATTTGGTCAGGCGTGGTGGCTCACACCTGTAAACCCAGCATTTTGGGAGGTCCAGGCGGGCAGATCATGAGGTCAGGAATTTGAGACCAGCCTGTCCAATATGGTGAAACCCTGTCTCTACTAAAAATACAAAAATTAGCTGGATATGGTGGCATGTGCCTGTAGTCCCAGCTACTCCGTCAGCTGAGGCAGAAGAAACACTTGAACCCGGGAGGTGGAGGTTGCAGTGAGCAGAGATTGTGCCACTGCACTCCCGCTTGGGTGACAGAGTGAGACTCCACCTCAAAAAAAATTTTTTTTAATTCTAAAATGTATTTTGAAATTACATGGAAATTAATGGTAAACTTTTCAAGCTTTCTGTAGGCTCTTATTTATTCATTTTTTAATAACAAGGTAGTGATGGCAGTGGTGACCCATCTGGAGCCGCTGCTGCCATGACACTGGCTGCAGCAGAGAGGTGTGGCCAGGGCTGCATACTCTACAGAGATGGCGTGAGCCAAGGACAAGTGGGAGCCCTGCCCCTTCCGAGTTGGTAAGGTGGGAGCTCCTCGGGTGCAGCTGTAGTTGCCAAGCTGTGGCTGTGGGACCCAGGCCTCCCACTCCAGGCCTCCCACTGGAGCAGACAGGAGTCCTGCTCTCCTGGGTGTAGCTACAGATGCCCAAGTTGTGGCTATGAGTCCAGGCCTCCCTGTGCTCTTGGTGGAGGCTGGAAGCTGGCAGGAGCCCTGTGTTCCCAGTTGCAGCAGCCTCTGCCCAAGTCAGGGCTGCAGAGCCAGGCATCTCTGCACTCTTGGGGACCAGAAGGCCACCCCCTACCTACGAAAGCTCAAAGATGTCTGCTCCAACTGCCTGGCTTCTCCCTGCTCCCAGTGTCTGCTCCTATCTCAGAGCAAGATTGGGGCCCGGGCCAGGTACTGTCACAGCCCATCTGGATCTGTGCACTCTTGGGGAAGTGCTGACATGCCAGCTCCCTGCTGCCTCAGCCCCACTCTGGACTTTGGGTCCTGATGAGCATGGGAGGGAGGAAAGCCAAGGAAGCGCTGAGGTCAACTCAGCACTGGCCTGCAGACACCTCTTGACATGAACAGCCTGGGCGCCATGAACAGCAGCAGGAGGTGAAGCTGGGCCATGGGCAGAAGGGGGCAGGTCCTTGGTGAGTCCCCACCTTCAGGCCAGGGAGGGCCTAAAGGTTAGGGGCCGGCTAGTCCTGCAGACCACAGTAGGAACTTGTGGTGCCTTTTCTGGGTCTGCCTATGACTGCCCATGGACCAGTTGGTGCACACTTCCTCCCCTGAGGCCCATAAAAGCCCCCGGATCAGCCAGAGCTGCGCAGACATCAGGACGACCAGCTGCAGGGAGGAGCTACCCATGGCCAGGGCCTACCCTCTGCTGATAGCTGCAGACATCAGATGACCTGCCTGCAGAGAGGAGCTCCCCACCCAGGACCTCCTCTGAGCTATTCTATCACTCAATAAAGCTCCTCTTCGCCTTGCTCACCCTCCACTTGTCTGCGTACCTCCTTCTTTCTGGACACAGCACAAGAACTTGGGACCTGGGAGATGTCGGGGCTGAAAGAGCTGTAACACAAACAGGGCTGAAACACTTCGCCTTCTCATCATGTTATGGGTGAAAACAAGGAGAAGAGCTGCGGCCCTTCGGGGAACCGAGACCTGGAAGCTCCCTGAGGCAGGGCTGTGACTCCCTCTTTGGACCTCTTAAGTTCCTGGAGTCTCAAGCTTCCAGCCGCCACCATGTTTCCTGGTGGCAGCTGTGGAAGCTGCTTCTGGTGTGCCTGGTCCAGCTGCAGCCTTGCAGAGAGCCGGCACCCATGCAGACACCTTGTGCTGGCTGCCCCGCTGCAGCAGCTGGGGTGCCTCACTGTGTGCAGTGGCTGGACCCCATGCTCACTTGCTCACACACCCCTCACTGCTCCACACCTGGCTTGCCGTTGGCAGTGATGGGATCCAGGCTGGTAGCGTGAGCTGAGCACAGCCTGCTCAAGCCAAATGGATGGAACAAACCCAGTGGGCCAGAGCAGAACTCAGGCAAAGGTGCCACCAGCCACAGAGGCTTCTGGCCAGAAAAGCAACACCCTGAGGATCCTGCAACAGTAGTTTTACAAAGTGTTTATTTTGTCATATAAAAATCTGGTTTTTAATATTTGCAAAAATAAAAGTAAGGATGAAGTTTTTCAGTAGTGTTTATTTCTATATTTATACGATAGAAATTCAAGTAAATATCTTTCAGTGAAAAATACATTCATTCGTTTCTTCGCTGTACGTGAGGAACTATGATAGTCACTGGTTTTATATTGATGAACGAAACAGAAATGGATTCTGTACTCAAGGATCTCAAAGTCTGTTTGATGTGATGGATATATTTACCCTGATTGATCATTACACATTGTATGCGTATATCAAAATATCACATTTACCCCATAAGTATGTCAATTAATATGTATCAATAAAATGCGTATTTTGCAAAAAGATAAGGAAGGCTCAAGAAAAAGAAATCTAGTATGGGTGGTATACGAAGCCAAAACAAATATATCATTACACATTCTGCTTAGTGTCATTAAGTAAAGAAATGGAGCAAGAGAACAAAGAGACCTAAATGATCTATGCATAGTCAGGAATGGTCACTTGGTGAAATGACGTTAAAGATGAACTCTCAAGAATAAGAAGGAGCCAGCCATGTTAGGAGCAGGCAGGCAGCATTCCAAGCAGAGACAATGGCATATGGGAAGGCCATGAGGCAAGAAAGAGTCTGGAGAAGAGAGGCAGTGCGGCCAGAGAGTGGTGTCCACCGAGTATGTACCCACAGATTTTGATGGCTGACTGGGTGAATGCGTGACCACAGAAGCCAACTTTCGATGGTAGGAGTGCAGAATAGCTTTCTCCACCTGTAGGGCAGTTGTTCTTTCATGTTCTTTCATCTGCTACACCCTGTGGTTTCTCATTCCATTTCACTGTGGGCTGGGATTTGTCTTATTTACCTGTCCCTTCATAGAATGTTAAAGAGATTTAATAATCTTTAAAAATATTGAGTTAAAAATAGATGAAGACATCAAATAGTCACCTGGCAGTTGAAAAAAATTAAAATAATTGGGAGAATATCTTAGGAGCTGATTCTCTCAGAGGCTGAGATTTTCCTCAGAGAGCCAGTGGTAGGGTGTGTCCTTTGCATTATGAGCGCCTGAGAGGGGAGTTGTAGCTAGTCAGATGCTGCATCTTCGACTGATCCTTAAGCCTAACACATGAGTAAGCTATCGGCCCTCCCTCTTCCCCTCCTCCTTTTTCTGTGGACACAAATATTAAGTAACTGGATGATGCCTCAGACACAAACTGTCTATCAAGATGGTGATGGAATTCTAAGAAAGTTTTAAGTGTTGGAGTGGCTGCAGTTAATCTTAAGTAAGACATGTGAAAATAGGTTGTAAACCTTTTATACTTGATGTTTTGGCAGGTTTCAAAACTTTGAATTTAATTCTGCGTGTTCTGAAGTTTTCTTGCATTCCCTCAACCGTTCTTTTAAAAGATGCTGATTATATGAGTGCTGATCATTTGAGTTTTTATTTGTCTGTTATCCCACCCATGGTGCCAGAAGGACTGTGCTTTTAATCATGTCACTCATTCCTTCAGCAAATTCTTTTTCAGTGCCATATTCCTCTCTGTGTTACTTGCTGATCCTACAGAAGGAAATAAACATTGTCCTTGTAAAGCATAAGACCTGGTGTGGGAGACAAACATTAAGCAAATAAGCAAATATATAAAATTAGAGGTTGTGTTAAGTGCTATGAGGAAAAGTAGAGGGTATTGAGAGAGAGAATAACTTTGTTATCCACTTTGGATCGGGTCATCAGGGAAGGGATTTCTTTGTAGTTGGTTTAGATGTAACTGAAAGATAAGGAGTCAGCAAAGGGAATAGTGGGGTAATGGGAGGCCCTAAGGGCTCTATCCCCCACAGATGTTAATTATTTTTATCTTAAAATGGAAGATTATATATGTAATTGAGCTCTAGCTTACTGTCATTCCCAGTGTGAAGTGGGTTGTGTCCCAAAGCAAAATCTTGATTTACTGAATTACTGTTTGGATTGTGTTAGAAGGTATGTATTTCTCTGCCTTTAAGTGTGGAAGAGATAAAATGAAATGAGCAAAAAGTGACTAATTTATCCAGTGTATAATTATTGTGTTTGCTTAATATTTCTTTACCTTTCAACATTTAATGCTGAGAATTTAAGGAACCCTGTGTTGCTAGAAAAAGTAAAAACCAGATGGCTCTAACACTGTTGGATGTTGCAAAGTGAGGAAAACCCATTGCAGACAGGCCAAGAAAAGTTAAATTCTAGAAGCTGAAAGATGAAAAATAAGATGGAAAGAGGGCTGGGTGGTCAGTTGTGGTAATATGCTTTTAAAGTAATTTTTTTGAGATGGGGCTCTCACTGTGTTGCCCAGGCTGGAGTACAGTGGTGCAGTCGTAACTCACTGTAGCTTCCACCTCCTGGGCTCAAATGATCCTTTCAACCTGAGCCTTCCAAATAGCTTGGACAACAGTTGTGCGCTACCATGCCTGGCTATTTTTTTTTTTCCTGTATGTTTTGTAGAGACAGGGTTTTGCCATGTTGCCCAGTGATCCACCCACCTCAGCTTCTCAAAGTGATGGGATTATAAGCATGAGCCACCACGCCTGGCCAAAATTTTTATTTTATATTTTTTTTCTGTAATTAGAATTAAATATGAAGTGGTTATATGCTTTTAAGATATTTACATGTAAATTTACATGTTCTTATTACTTCATAATTAATTCAATGCTTATATGTGAAAATGTTGTCTGCAGTAAAGAATCTCAAAAATTTTTTATATTTGATCAGATTTGGTATAATTTTATCTTATGCAGAACATATTTGCTAACAATTAATTTGGGAGGCTTGCTGTGTTTCACTTGCATAATAGATGTGTGGCTGGGGAACCAGCCCAGAGACAAGCTCTCTACACTTCCTGAAGTTCTTTTTCTATTGTCTTCTGAGAGCCAAGAAAAGTTATGCCAACTCCTTGTTTTAAACATTTCAGAAAATTGCAAAAGCACAAGGTAGACAGAGTTGATATTTGTTTAGAAATAATATTTTTTAAATTTTTTAAAAAATAAGAAGTTCGTTTTCGTATATTTTCTGTGTTAAAGACCAAAAGTACCTATGGTTGTCTGCCTTCAGGGAAGGAGAATATAAAATAAAAATAAAAAGCAAGCCTAAGTAAAAACAGTTCTTCACTTCTTCCTTATATAGTCAGAAAAATAGTTTATTTTTTCTTTTAAGCCTGCAACATGTGATATCTTTTTTTGCTTTTGTTTTTCATGTCAGTAGCCATTTTAAACTACCTTTGCCTTTCATATGATCATTTAAAAAATATACTAATCTTTCACTGAATTTTGAATGCTTATAAATGATTCTGTATATTTGTTCAGGTCTTTTTCAGCTTAATCAAAATTCAATATGTTTTCCATGTAAATCCAATTGACAAAGCCTTGTTATTTTAGTAAGATATTTATGCCCTAAAACAAAAATCAAGGGAAAATAAAATAGATATATAAGCTTAATGAGGGATGAAAGCTTATATTATCTTCGTGGAAGGATTATCTTTATTATTAGAAATGGGTTCAGTGACAGTGTTTCTGACCACATTTTGTTGTGCACCGAACCTTACAAATGTGTGCAACAACGCTGTTAATTTTGTCATTAACAAAAAATTCCTAGGTCAACTGATTAGAAAGTACTATTATGCTATTTTTTCCTATGTGCCATGGCCAAAACTGTGTATTATCATAGCCTATTGTTGTCTATGGTGTTTAACATTAAATAATAATATATTTACACGGTTACATTACAAATGAATTTAACAATCTAAGTTCATGTTACTTGAATGTAAAATAACAATTTCATATGTTTTGCAGAAAACGCATGTTTCAAAAGAGATGGGTGAAATTTGATGGCCTTAGCATTTCTTACTACAATAATGAGAAGGTAAATACATTTTACAGTTTTCAAAAATTGCTTTTTTATGCATACGAAGAGTAAAATAAGCAAGCAGTTTGGTTTTTAAGAATAGGAGGTAGATTCTCAACATGAAAAGAATTTGAAGTTGCAACTAATAAATATATTACCATATGCTTAGTTAATTAAAATCAGATGATTTTTGTCTTAAGTATGTACTTTCTCTTAACACACTAATTTTAAGATTTAACCACATGCTCTTTTTTGTAGCTCATAATCTAACATAATTTTCTCATTATTTGGAGATTTCCACCCCCTAATATTGGCAATACCTGTGGCTCTAATAGATATTTAGCCTTCTTTTTATATATTGCTTCTTTATTGCTGCAGGACAGAAGAATATATGCTTTTAGACAGTAACACATACTGCAACATAACACACATTGCATGCTCTATGGCTGAGAATAATGGAAGATATAGAGAGGTGTTAATTGTTTGGTTTCATTTTGCAGTGACTCAGAGCATCAAATCGGTATAAACACATCTCTTGGAGGTTTGCAAGATGGTTGGATGAATATTTTTGAAAAGCCATTTTCTTTTTTTTCTTTTTTGGAGACAGAGTCTTGCTCTGTTGCCCAGGCTGGAGTATAGTGGCAGGATCTTGGCTCACTGCAGCCTTTGCCTTCTGGGTTCCAGCGATTCTCCTGCCTCAGCCTCCTGAGTAGCTGGGATTACAGGTGCACACCACCATGCCTGGCTAATTTTGTAATTTTAGTAGAGACAAGGTTTCACCATGTTGGCCAGGCTGGTCTCAAACTTCTGATCTCAAGTGATCTGCCGCCTTGGCCTCCCAAAGTGCTGGAATTACAGACATGAGCTACCACGACCAGCCTTAAAAGCTGTTTTCTGTTTTAGCTACTATTTTTTTCTAGTTTGCTTGTACATTTGAGTCTTAAGACAATTCGTTGCCTAGGTTGAGTAGAAGGTAGTCTCTATAGCTGATGGAATCTCACTGCTGGTTTTCTCCAGCACCTGTAACCTTTTCTGGTTTGATTGAAATAAGGAGGAAAACTACTCAGGAGTGAGACAGGCTTCCATGCCATAAAACTGTTGCTGGCACTACCATTGTTTTCATTTGAGATAATTTCTAGTAACTGTGTCAAACTGGACTGTTTTTCCCTCTTTCCCTCTGTTTGTTCTTTTAAAGCTTATCTCAACTGCAGTGAAGAGATGAGGACCTCTCACGTTTTTAGTTATTGATGCAATGAAAATGATGCAGCTTGGTTTGAAATTAAAAAGTTCATATAAAAATGAGATATTGCAAATCATTTAGCTTAATATTAAAAAAATTTAAGTTGTTATTTTCTGTGACACTTCATCCATTTATTGTCTAGATGGTTGGTTACATTTTGGCAAAAAAAAAAAAAAAAAAAAAAAAACAGAAACACTGGATTTGGTGTTTCCTAAAAGGAGAGAGAGTTTCTGTTGTGACTCTTCTAGCAAAAGGGATGCATAGGTGTGGCCATAGCCACTATTTTGGCTGGGTGACCCGGTGTTAACAGCTATGAGAACTGAACAGTTGGGTCTTTTAATGTTTAAATGTGCACTTGAGGAGCATGTGGTTGGGCCTTTGGGAGGTAGCGTGCACAGTTACACATTCCCTAGGTTTCTTCCACTTTCTTTGAGGCCGCCAATCATGTCTCTGTAAGGACTCCTTCATTATATCACAGAAAATGGCATGATCCAAACAGCCTTGATATTTTATCCCCTGCAAAGAAATCTAACTCACCCCCATTTTCACCCAGCTGTGGGCAGAATTGCCCTGTGATCGTTTCATTGTCTCAAATTGGTAGATAAATGACAGGCTTGCCCTAGATACCTGTGTGTTACAGGCTCAAGGGATGCTTTAAAATTTCTTTCCTTAAGGAAAATTTTATACTCTGAAAAACACAGGCATTTTGAGCATTGTTGTCATTTGAGTATTTTTTTCTTTATTGTCTTTATCTTGTACTGTTGCAAGACAAATATAAAAATCAGCTCTACAGTGTTAAAAATTACAAGATTTTTCTTGGGATCTCATACTAGATTATAAATCAGCCATTAGATAAACTACAACATTCTGAGGTTTTAGTGACATAGTATTTTGCTTGTTAAGTATATTTTGATCACCTCTGGGGAATTATTTTTTTCTATTATTCTACCAGAAATATTTACTTGTTAACTATATCCTTGTTATAGGTGTGTAGGTTATTTTTTAAGGAATTGTTTTCTCTTTAACAGGATCTATTAGAAAGATAATCTTTTTTTAGTCCCTGTTTCTTTCAGTACAGTGCTACTTGACTTATTTCTAGTGACAAAATGGGTTAATGGTAACATTTTCCTCAACAAATAGTTAATTATCTCACTAGAGGGATGTTGTTATAAGTTCCTCTAATTCTTATGCAAGCTAAAATTTGGAAACAGATCACGTAGGGGATAAACTGTAAATGTTTTTAGGCATTCTAATTCCTGCTGTCTGGTCTCAGTCTCTACAGACTTAGAGCAGAGGGGCTCTTACACTGTCCCCAAAGATGCTGTGCCCTTTCCCACATCCTTAGGTTGCCTGACAATGGAAAGAGTTTATCTTCCTCTTCTGAATTTCTAGAGCACTTATTGGTCTAGTTTTGGCCTTGTATTGCCATTTTAACCTACTTGGATTTATAGGGTTTCCTTTGTTAAGCCAATCATGTCATGTGTCTCTGCCTAATGATCTTTTTAAACAGTGACTGAGTATACACTATGGGAAACTGGAGCATGTCTTTTCCTACATGTTCCCCTTGTGTTTTTGTTCTTCCATCTGAGCCTCCCTAGCCATTGCCATCCATCAACATTCTGTGCAAACATCAGACCCATCTTGTTATTCACCTCCATGAGCCTTTTCTTGATTTTCTCCAACTGTGTGACATTTGAAAAATAATATGCAGGAAAATTCAGAAGAAAAACAAACTGAAAGTAGGGAGGCAAACCAGGAGACTGTTACACTAAGCCAGGCGTTATTATCATGTAGACTAATGTATAGGCTCAGTGGAGCCTCAGTGGAAGTGATAAGAAATGAATTTCAAGAAATATTAAAAATGAGCCATCAGAGATTGTTATAATTGTGATTGATTAGACATAGGATTCATTCATTCAGAAAATATTTCTATAGTATTAACTACATGAAAGGTGGTGAGGAATGTAGATAAATGACCTGAAGCCTATTTGGGGAGAATATATTAATTAAATGATCACACAGGTAAATATAAAGTCACCGTTTAAATCACAATGAATAATTGTTATAAAGGAAAAATCCAGGTTGCTGTTAGCTTAAATTAGGGTTATCTGTGAGGATGAGGGGTTTGAGAGAATGTGCTGGTCAGAAAGGCTTTCTTCAGGAGGATATATTTATGCTGAAATATGAAGGTTGAGGAGGCAGTAAGTATGTGCAGATGGGCGTGAAGACAATTCGTTGCAGAGCAAACAGTGTATGCAAAGGCACTGGCTTGGGTAGAAATGTGATATATTCAGGAAACCTCAAGAAAACCAATGTGACAGTAATTCACAGTTGGTGAGTGGTGGGGAGGAAGTTTATTCTAGATGTGGGGAGAATGCAAGCTATGTGGGTGCAAAGGAACCAGCAAAGGTCAAAGATGACTTCATTCTATTTCAGATGGACTGGAAGAGTTGATATTTTAATGGACAGATATAAGGAGAGTGTAAGTCTTCAGGTGAAAATAAATTCAGTTTTACAGTTTATGGTGCTTACAAGACAGTTACATAGACTACTGATGACTTGAAATATGGCAGTGAAATTGAGTGAAATGAATAGATAAGAAAGGAAGAGAGAAATTTTAGATTACTCTGCATAAAGTTGGTAGAGCTGGAGGACATTATATTAAGTGAAATACGGCAGGAACAGAAAGTTAAACAGCCCATATTCTCACTGATGAGGAAGCTTTTTTCAAAGTGAATCTTACCAAAGTAAAAAGTAGTACAGAGGATAGTAGAGGCTGTGAAGGGTAGGGAGAAGGAGGACATAGGGAGAGATTTGTTAAAGGGCAGGAACTTATAGCTAGAGAGGCGGAATAAGTCCTAGTGTTCTATAGCACTGTAGGATGACTGTAGTTAACACTAATTTAATATAGTTTCAAATAGCCAGAAGGAGGATATTGAATGTTTCCAACACAGAGAGATGATGAATAATTGAGATGATGGACATGCTTGTTACCTCTTCTGGTCATTATACTTTATATGTATCACGACATCACTATGTATCATGACATCACTATGTATCCCATAAATACGAACAGTTATTATGTGTTAATTTAGAAAATTAAAAAAAAATAGTGGAAAAGGATTTTTATAGGGAGAGAAGATAAAGTAAAAAGGAGAAGAAATAAGTTGTTTACTAAGTGCTTATTTCTTGACATCCTTCTCTCTTTTCTGTATAAGGTTGCCCATTCATCTTCCTGAATCACAGCTCATTTGCCATACTCAGTTTTGGCTGCATGGGAGGACATAGGAGAGCCTTCATTGCATTGGTATTTAAGATTACATTAAAGAATGGATAGGATTTTGATGGATAAATAAAGTCAGGGATGGGAGATTGGAACAGAGCTAGTGAAGGAGAAGAAACTTAAAAAATACTCAGAGATAATGCCATGATGATATAGTGTATCTCCTTAAATAGCAGAAGAGGATATCCTTCTGGTAGAATGCCATGATGCTAATGATGACTGTCCCTTACCAATTGCTAAGGCAGGAATTTATGGCTAGGAGAAATATAAACTCAGTACTTGCTCCCTGCATGGAATGGTTTGCTGTTTTTTCCAAATCAGTTATATCTGGGACCTGCTCAAAAGTGTGGGTTCCAAGGATAACGCTGTGGAAGGGAAGAGATAAAGAAATCCCTTAAGGATGTATCCAAACTCTTTTAATATTGCAGACCTTCTATAATGTGTCCTTGGTATGCGTTATCAGCCTCCTATCTTTTGACTCTATGTTGTTGTCCTCTTATTTCTCTGCCTTACACTTCCATTATTTAGTCTTTTTGACTAGAATGCCCCCCACGCACTTGTCTATCTGGTTAAAATTAAGGTTTTTTAAAAGTCGGATTTAAATACCACCATGTTTGTAAAGGTATACCTCACAGCCTTTAAGCAGAATTGAGATTTTCCGTCTTTGTACTCTTAAATCCCTTAGTTTTTACCCAGTTTTAAACTCTTCTCTCATTGCAGTAGCTGGGTTTTCATTTTGAGGCTCCTTGAAAGTATAAGCACTCTGAATTTTCTTTCCAACACGGGGCCCAGAAAACATAAAGAGTTGAAATTGTGCAGTAGTTATCATGACATGATTTGAGAGGGTCCAGGAAAATGAAGATGGATTAAAAAGTTATCGAAGTCTTAAGAATGACCTTTTTTAAACAAAATTTGTAATATTTATATGCTGTTTGGAAACAGAAAAATCTGTCTTTTTTTATTCTTTATTCATTGAAGAGTAAAAATTAAAATGATACAGTTTGAGGTTGAGATGCTCATCATCAGAGCTTTGAGTAACATGGTTAATTTAGAAAACCCGATATGTGTTTAAGGTATATTTTGGTTCCTAATAAGTAACAAACTCGTTTCAAAATGGTTCAGTTACAGTACCTGTTGTGGCCAGCAGATGCCTGCAAACACCATAAAATCATTTTGAGCAGATTGTTTTAAAGAACATGCTGCTGGTTTTTGGAACTCTGTATTGCTAGTTTAGTAGGATTGTTTGTATTTGATTCTTTCCCTTTTAATTCCAGATGAAGAGAAAGTTGAAAAGATCTCACTTCAAAGAAGGGGATATTTAATAGTTTCTTTTCTAGGGTATTACATGAGAATATGAGTGGACAAATTACTTGTATGGCATTTAAAAAATTTGGATTGAAATTATAAAGAGAAGCAGTTATAAATACTGTGCCATTCTTTTTTGATAAGATCAAGAGAATTTCGTTTTCATATGTCTTCTCTTTTTTTCTAACCAATACAGGAGATGTATTCGAAAGGAATAATTCCCCTTTCTGCTATATCAACAGTACGAGTTCAAGGAGACAACAAATTTGAAGTTGTTACAACACAAAGAACTTTTGTTTTTAGAGTAGAAAAAGAAGGTGAGATTATTTATTTATCCATATGAAATACATTAATTTCTGACTAATCATATTAATAAACCAGTTAGACTAGGAATGTCAAGAAACCTTTAAATATATTACTTTTTGATAATTTACATTTTAAAATTAATTTTTCAAATGCATAATGTTAAAACATAAATAAGTTGACAAGTTATTTGTTTCCTCTTTCATGCAACAAATATTTAATGAGAGCCTATTGTGTGCTAAGGACTCATAAGTTCTGCATATACAATGTGAAAAAAAGTAGACACAATTCTCTGCTTTCGTGGAGCTAACCTTTGAGATGTTGTTTTGATAATGCAAAATAGTTATTTGATATGCAAAAACAATTTTTCTAACTATTAAGTTGGTTATATGGACATTTATGGCAGGCTCAGTGGTTCCCAACCTTTTTTGCACCAGGGACTGGTTTCGTGGAAGACAATTTTTCCATGAACCGGTGGTGGGGAGATGGTTCCTGGATGACTGAAGCACATTACATTTATTGTGTGTTTTAGTTCTGTTATTATTACATTGTAGTATATAATGAAATAATTATACAACTCACCATAATGTAGAATCAGTGGGATCCCTGAGCTTGTTTTCTTGCAACTAAATGGCCCCATCTGGGGCTGATGGGAGACAGTGACATTGTCAGGCATTAGACTCTCATAAGGAGCACACAACCTAAATTCCTTGCATGCACATTTTACAGTAGAGTTTGTGCTGCTGTGAGAATCTAATGCCACCTGTGATCTGACAGGAGGCAGAGCTCAGGCAGTAATGCCAGTGGTGGCTATAGATGCAGCCAGGAGTGGCTGTAGATACAGATGAAGCTTCACTGGCTCGCCTGCTGCTCACCTTCTGCTGTGTGGCCCTGTTCCTAACAGACCATGTAATGGTACCAGTCCATGGTCTTGGGTTTGGGGACCCCCGCTTTAGCTGACCGCACAGGCACAGTAATCATTCTATGGTAGATTTTGGAGCATCTTTTATATTTCTTGAATTCTTTTCATCTATATCATCTATGGGGCACTTGATGGTAAAAGCCGACCCAAAGATGGCACATGTTTTCTGGATTGAGTTTAAATGTGTACAGAGAAATATTTTCTGAATTTTGTTTGAATAAGGGTTGGGGAGGAGCCAGAGAAATTAAAAGTTCTCTGTTGTGTATTTTATTTGACTATCATAATATGTCATTACTATAAATTCACTGGTTTTAATAATTTAGATAATACCATCGCATTAAGAATTAGTATTTAACTTATTTTATGGACAACTTTTATTTAGGAATAGATATATAATTCAACTTGATTTTTAGAAGTACTTCTTGGTGCTTTAATTATTTGAATTATAATGGTATGGGAAATTGACTGAATACCTGATATGTGCCAGACACTTTGCTAAGTCTTCATTTTCACAACAGTCTCATAAGGTTGGTAGTATTAAAATTATTATCCTTTTTTTTTTTTGAGACAGAGTTTCACTCTTGTTGCCCAAGCTTGAGTGCAATGGCGCAATCTCGGCTCACTGCAACCTCCGCCTCATGGGTTCAAGCGATTGTCCTGGCTCAGCCTCCCAAGTACCTGGGACTACAGGCATGCATCACCACGCCCAGCTAATTTTTTTTTGTATCTAGTAGAGACGGGGTTTCACCATGTTGGTCAGGTTGGTCTAGAACTCCTGATCTCAGGTGATCTGCCCACCTCGGCCTCCCAAAGTGCTGGGATTACAGGCATGAGCCACTGCGCCCATCCATTATTATCCTATTTTTACAGATAAGAGTGTTCACCACCAGTTGGAAATGACTACAGTGTTAACTGTTATGGGGTAACATTTTCTTTTTTTTTAACTGCTAGATTCCTGGCACATATGTCAGTGCATAGCACATAAAAAGCAGTCAATAAATATTATATACTACTAAAACGTTTCCATTGTTTCTTGGGGTACTCAATAAATGGGTACATTCCAGCCGGCCTTCACACTGGAGCAGCTTTGTTCAAACTGTGGATTACTGAGATCAACTTAGTGGTTTATGATGTCACCAGAAACACCCTCCCTCAATAAAAAGACAAACCCCAAACAGAAAATAATAAATATCAAAGTGCATTGCTTAAAGTAGATGTTATATTGTGAAACCTATCTATGTACATAGTGTATAGATGTAACATAAAAAAAGTTTCTTAGTATTTAAAAATAATGTTGAACGAAAGCTAGAGTCCCAGAGTAGGGGTCAGCAAACTGATCTGCAGCCTAAATCTGGCTCAGTGCCTGTTTTGGTAAATAAAGTCTTGTTAGATAACAACCATTGTCATTCATTCATTTCTCATTCATTCACACTCAGTGGTATCACTGAGTAGTTGTGGCACAGACTGTGGCCGGTAAAGCCTAAAATGTTTACTATCTGAATTTTCAAAGACAAAGTGTGCAAACCCCTGCCCTCAAGCATTTTACCTAGAATTACCTATATGAGGAGCCACTTTTTGTGAATTATTGCCTGAAATTCAGAAAACTGTCCACAGTTGTGATACTTGATATGAGAGTTCCATTTGAAATCAGAGTTTTTCTCTTACTGTGTTTCTTGAAGCACATGGCATTGCTTCTCTTGAATGACTATTATGACAGTCTTTCCTTATGGTTTGGTTTCCACCACCCTGAAAGGTAACTGCTTGTTTCTTTGAGGTGCTTATCACCTTTCTCTTGGACTCTCCAAATGAATTTCACATTGCTATGTAGCCTGCATTTTAAGATAGACACACTAAATACAGCTTCCAACTTGTATGAAAATCTGTTTAGCCATATTTACTTGACACATTAAAAGTTAAACAGACACGTTTTATTTAAGTAGAGTGTACCAATCCACACATGTTTAAAAAGTGCATGTTCACAATTGACAGATAAATCCTTCTGTGGTGTATAGTTCATCTTTCTGATATAAACTTGGGGCAGTATAAAAATTTCATTAACTTCAGTATAAATTTTTCGTTTTTAAAATAAGTTGTAGGTCTTTAATTTTTGAAACCATAGACATATTGCTTCAGTGAAAACACTGTATACACATGGAATTACTGAATGAGTTATTTTGATTAAAAGTTCTTTTTACATAGTAACAACTCATGATTTTAAAGATAAGTGGGTGTAGAGGTGTGTGTACGTATATATATATATATATATGTTTATGCATCTATATGTTTTGTATGGAACTTTCAACAGTACACTAAATATGTTTTATTAAGTGTACTTAATACACTTAATAAAGTGTTATTAATAAAGTATTATTAAGTGTAAACTTAATACACTTGATAAAGTTTCCTTCTATGTATACAGATGGTTAACTATCTTTTATTTTGTGGGAACTGGTAGATCAACTAGAGTGGCTTAAGGACTTTAACTTAATAAACTTGAAGCTAAATTCAAGTCTATTTTGATTGAGTGAAGAAGCAAAATTAAAGTTTAGAACAAAAAGGGGAAAGTTTTGGCGTCTTAACAGACATGAATTCTTTACTTTTGGTGATAAGGCTTTGAATGATCTATATACAATAGCTATTCTTTGTCTTCCCTGACCAGTGTTGTTATTTCTAAACTGCTCCATCACCCCCTGGTGTTACTAAGACAGGATTATAGTTTGGAATCTTTTCCTCACGAGTTTTCTAAGGCTCCTATCCCTCCCCGGCTAATTTCCTAATGAAACATTGTTCTTCTCTTAGTTGCAAGTGAATTTTATTGAAATAATAACATTTAAAAAATACACTTCCCAAAGTACGAAATTAAGTCTGACTCCTGTTGTTCTCAAGCAGAGTCACTGGAATTCGTCTGTGGATCATAACAGCTATTGATCTCTCCAATCAGTCTGTATTCCTTTGCACCTGCAGTCACACATGGAGATGTGATACTTCAAAACACTCGTGATGTTTTGAGTGCACAGTTCTGGTGCTTAGAAGAGAGCTTAAGAATTTTGAGTGGGCATTCCCTTTCCAAGGCCATTTTCAGAACTGGTGCTCACCTGCAGGCCCTGTGCTTCTGTCCATCTTAGCAGATTCTAGACCCCGTGGGAAACATGCACGTGTGTTATTCTCTCAGTTCTGCTTTTAGACAACATCATACAGCCATCCAGTGGCAGCTCTGATACTGATATGGAAAAGTCTTTTTTTTTAATTAAAAAAAATTTTAAAAAGAACATAAGAATGCCCCCCTTAGTTTTTCTGGGCAAGCAGACTCTTACCTCTTTTGAAATCTTCAATGTTTTTCAAAGCAAGGCATGAAACATTTACTATCCCTTTACTTAACTCACCCTCCTTAGTCTCATTAATGATGGTTTGCTAAGTGTTTCCTTTGAAGACTTCATTATGATATTCTGGAAGTTTCTGACGTAATGTATTTTAGGAACTTGCTAGGACTCCAAATTCTGTTTAAAATACTCGATTGTGGGGCCCCAAGTCTGGTTTTAAAGGCGATCTCTTGGTTTTAGGGTGACTGATGTCAAATGTGTATCTCCATCCTGACCTCTTCCTGTACTCCACAGTCATATATTCAGCAGCCTACTTGACATGCCAACATGGGTGCCTAGTAACACCTCACACTTGGCATATCAAAATTCCCATTTCCACCCTCTCAACCAAACTTTCTCCCTTGTAATCTTCCTCATCTCAGCAAATAGAAGCCTCAGGTGCTTAGGCCGTGAAGTATGCAGTTATTCTTGAATCTTTTTCTTCTCACTTCATATCTAGTCCATCAGTTTGACTTAGAAAATGTGTTTAGATCCTGACCAATTCTCAACAACTCCACTGCTATCAGGATTATTTTAATCATCTCATGAGATCAGCTGTCATCACATTTTTCCTGTACTTGTCAGAGCAGTTATTTAATACGAAGGTCAAATCATGTCAGTTCACTTTACGCTCCATGGATTCTGCATCTTATTTATTTATTTATTTATTTATTTATTTATTTATTTAGAGATGGAGTCTCGCTCTGTCACACAGGCTGGAGTGCAGTGGCACAATCTCGGCTCACTGCAAACTCCACCTCCCTGGTTCAAGCAAGCGATTCTCCTACCTCAGCCTCCGAAGTAGCTGGGACTATGGGCGTGTGCCAACATGCACGGCTAATTTTTTGTATTTTTAGTGGAGCTCGGGTTTCACCGTGTTAGCCAGGATGGTCTCAATATCCTGACCTCGTGATTTGCCAGCCTTGGCCTACCAAAGTGCTGGGATTACAGGCGTGAGCCACCATGCCCGGCCAGTTTCTGCATCTTACTGAGAGTAAAAAGTACTTGTGAGGTCCAAAAACCCCGCATGATCTGGCCTTGGTCTTTCTGTCCTTATCTTTTTGTGTTCCCTTTCTCCTGTACTGTGGTTGGTTCACCTACCAGGGCCTTTTGTTCCTTGAATATACCAAATCTGCTGTTGTCTCAGGGCCTTGTTACATGTTCACCTTATCCTAGAATGCTCTTCCTCCAGCCTGCTCCTCAGCTGGACCTGCTTCTTTACTTCCTTTCCCATCAGGCTTTTGGCTAACCATCCCCTTCTTCTGAGGCTTCTTATGTATCCTGTACAAAATAATACTCCCTGGGCCCCCCATCTTGTGTTTAAGGTACCCAATTGCACTTGCCACTGTGTAATGTATATTTAAGTTTTTATGGCCTTCCTCCTTTCACTAGAGTGTAAACTCCAGGAGAATAAGGTCATGGTCAGTCTTGTTCACTGCTCCATTCCTGGTATTCAGAATAGGTTTGGGAACATAATAGGCTTAGTAAATATTTGTGTGAGTGATTGGTTATCAATTTGAAGAACAACACTTATGTGCACTACTTCCTTCTCTGATATTGATCAGGAATTTCATTGAGGGAACTTTAGTCAGATCATATTAACATATCAGAAGTAAAGGTCCAGCTAAACTTTATTAGATAATGTTGTTGATGTTTTGCATGGCCCTTATGTAGTAATCTCTAGTATAACCAATCCCTTGTTATTAAGGAGTATGCCTACTGCTAAACCCAGTAGTCCAGAGAATATTGTCTCGATTTTTCTTAAACCTCTTTTTTTTTTAATTCTTATACTCTAAGCTGGCATTCCTGAAAACATCAAGAACTAATTTGAGGTTTTAGGAATTTACTATTGTTTTGTATTTACATTCTAGCATAATCACAAGAAAATGGCAATTTCAACACTTATTCTTTGCTTTCCCCACTCCCTTTCTTTTTGTCCAGCCTGGAATGCTATTCTTAGAGCCAAGCCATATGTAGGTCAGAGCTTGTTTCCAGGAGGATTGGTGCTTAGCACAGTGCTAAGATCAAGATAGACACTCAATAGATATTTGTTATCGGTAAGAATAAGAAGTATCTTGGTTTGAAGAACAGGCAAAAGCTAGCACAGTATCTAACTTTACCCTAGACTCTTGTCCAATGGGAAATCATTATTTGGTTTGGAATATTGTGACTTATCAAAGCATATTCCCCCATATCTCAGGATGCACACATTGCACGGCCAAATACAGTTGACACTTGTAATCTATTTTATTGTGTTTAGATTATCTGTTCCGTTGTTCCTTTCCATTGACATGGCTAATTCAGAATAAACTGAATGCTACTATTAATTCCTGTTCTTCTTCGTGACTGTTTACTTCCTATTAGTAACTGAGTCCCTCAGGAGCTAGATAATTCTTCTAGGCTATGTGTTGAGATGCAGCCAAAGTAAGGTTAATTCCAACAGATGCAATTGCCAGTTTTAAAGTAATTCCTGAGAAACTGAAATATATGCTAACAGTAATCTAAAAGCCATAGACACTTAGGCCCAACTCATTAAATTATGACCTACATTTCAAACACAGTGATTTATATGGGTTAGCACAAATAAAGAAACAAACAAAAACCATTATGTACCATTTATTCGGCAGGAATATCTTACGTGAAACTAACGATCACAAGTAATAACCAGGTTAAGTGGAAGTTCTGTTGCTGTAACTGAAAATGTAATAAATTATTGTAGTACAATCTGGATCTGTTTATGTAGATGGAAAAATGTAGAATAGCTGCTGCATATGGACATTGACTTAGCTACTTGAATATTTTAATGTCTTTTGGTTTATGATGTATAACAATGCTAGGGACATTTGATAAATATTTCATCCTGATATATTGCAACAAGCACCAATTCTTTTTTTTTTGGCGGGGGAGCGGGGGGACGAAGTTTTGCTCTTGTTGCCCAGGCTGGAGTGCAGTGGCATGATCTGGGCTCACTGCAACCTCAGTCTCCCAGGTTCAAGCTATTCTCATGCCTCAGCCTCCTGAGTTGCTTGGATTACTGCCACCATGCCCAGCTAATTTTTGTGTGTGTAGTTTTAGTATAGACCGGGTGTCACCATGTTGGCCAGGCTGGTCTTGAGCTCCTGACCTCAAATGTTCCTCCCCTCTTGGCCTCCCAGAGTGCTGGGATTACGGGTGTGGGACACCACACCCAGCCATCAAGCACAAATATCTGGAAGATTATGTAACACCTGCAATAAAGCACTATCGAATGAGTTTTTTAATAAACATTTTGACTTTGGTGATTAAAGACACAATCAACTGTTTTTATTAGTTTTGAAGGCGAACAAGAACAATGATAATTGAAAAAGACTCATTATGAAATAACTTTGGATTCAAGTTTGAATATGAGTAAGTGTAATACGGAGACTTACTTCAATCCATAATGAAGTCACTGGGCAGACCTGTCTGAGAAGGATCTGAGAAACTGTCCCATTTCCCAAACTGGGCTCTGCTTTCTCTTCCTCCTTCATCCTGTGAAAGCTTTTACTACTCGTGATTCAGTATGTTTTGCTTTATTTCCTTTTGCTTTGATAACTACTTCTCCATATGTTCTGGTAGCCCAATTTCCAGCCTTATAGATATAGTTGTACCTCAAGGTTTGCCAGTTTCTTCTCCTTTTACACTCTATGTTAATTCATTTCCATGGGTCTTCTTACGTACAGGTTACTGTTGTTCACATAGTGCTATGAGTCTGCGTGGATGCGCATGCCACGGCACTGAAAACCTGAGGTTGTTCTGTTAACTAATTGGATTCTCCTTCTTCGCCTGGCCAATTTCTGATGCCACGTTACCTTTTATTCTGAGTAATTTGTTTTTCTTATCAACACCCATCATATGTATACAACTAATTTTTTTCACTCTCCTAAATGCCTTAATTCCTCATTAGTCATTGTATTTCAATTTTCACAGTATTTTAAGCCTTCATTGCCTGGTCCCTGATCTTCAGGCTTCCAGTATGGTCTACCTGTCATTGTCTGTATTATTATAATGTCTTTTTATTGCTAAAAATGGTGAAATGGTTTTCTTTTGCCTCTGTAATAAAGACAACATTCCTAAACAGGCAGTATGAATTCCCTGGTCATATTTCCCATTTTTTTCGTGTGAGTTCAGAGTTATAAATGTATTCATTGATAAATTAATCCCTGAATGGATGTTGGTTTTTCTGCCTTTGTTCTTCTGGTAACCTCTGCTCAAAATCCTATTCTCTTCCCTCTTCCAAATTCCAGTTTAGTCTTTTGAATTGCTCTTCATCCTCAAGATCTACCACATATACCTCTTTTTTACCCCCATAGTTTCAAGAAAAGTTGTTCGAGAGTTAAAACATTTGATTCTCCTCACTTTAATACTAACTTGCTATATGACCTTCAGCAAATCACTTATCTCAATTGACTCATATATTATTTCATACCATTTATATGACGTTTATACTACTGTGTTCCATTATGTGTTCAAATCTTGCTTGACTTATAGCTTTAATTGCTCCTTGGGGACTAGATCGAATTCCTATGCCTGTAACACAGTGCATTGTTCATAATTGAAGGTCACTTAGCTTTTGTGGAAGGAGTAGGAGAACCAAATTTTAATTTGCCAGGTGAAATGCTATTGTTATTTACTGTGGTGAGAGTGGAATGGGTAAGTGACACTGAAGCAGGCATACTCTAGAGCAGGTTCCAAGTGATTGGAAGTAGGATTTTCGGGGTCTTTGAGTAACTGACTTGCCACATACAATCTGTTAATTGTTGGGTAGCAATATCACATTCTTCTATTAAAAGAAAATCTAATCTCATGAGTGATCTAAAAGAGGGCTTCTCAGATATTAACAGGGATACAGAGCATCTGCAGTTCTTTTTAAAATACAGCCTGTGATTCATCAGATCTGGAGTAGGGCCTGAGATTTTGCATTTCTAATAAACTCTCAGGTAAAGCCAGTGGAACTGATTTCAAGACAACTGGATATTGTTACTCCTTTTCCCTCAAAGAATTGAGTCATTGGCTCTGTTTACAGTAGCATTTAGATTGTGGTTGTGGGAAAGAATCTGTCACTTATGTGTTGCAAAGGGCATGGATTTCTTCTTGACGTTTCTGTGTCTATGTAACTTATATGTGGATTTATGTATTTTCTCCTGTCTTCATTTTCAGAGGAGAGAAATGACTGGATCAGCATACTATTAAATGCACTGAAATCACAATCCCTTACCTCGCAGTCTCAAGCTGTTGTTACACCTGAGAAATGTGGATATCTTGAATTGAGAGGCTATAAGGCAAAAATTTTTACTGTGTTAAGTGGAAACAGTGTGTGGCTTTGCAAAAACGAACAGGTGAGCTCTGTTATAGTCATTGCAAATTGCTGCTATTTTATTATAGTAACAACTATGTTTTGTTTGGAAGGATTATTAGTGATTTTACTTATAGAGTCTTGTTTTAGCATTGTGTACTCCACTAAATATACCAAAGAAATAGTGATTTTGTTGAATTTTCTTGGTGTCTCCACCAGCAAGAAAGTACCTCCATCAAACTTGAAACTGGACATCACCTTTTGTGGTATTGAGGAAGTAAAATTATTGAAAATAATTTTTGAAAAGTCTTATTTAGTTGAAATGACATTGTACGACTACATGAGAGAACAATTAAGGACCAATGAACCCTTACAGCTGTTGATGAAATAGGACCAGTTCTGCACCCTGTGCTGCTTTTATTTTTTGTGATAGAAAATTATAGGGTAAGCACAGGTAACATATTTGCTTGAGTTTACAGAATATTATTGGTCTGTTTTATTTTGAACAGATGTATGTAAGGTATATATGTATACACACACACGTCTATATAAGTACAAATTCAAGTGCACATACATACATACATCTAGCTATACACGCACATCTACATAAATAAAATCGATTAAAATTATTGGTTTACTAAATTTGATTAATGTCAAAGGACTCAATAGAGTATTTAAATGTTTTGATGAGTCTGATGGTAAACTAAAATTTTAACAAATCCTGTTAGCTTTGTTTGATTCTGTAGACTTTCTTTTTTCTAAAATTCCTTGTTTTTAATATGTATATGTTTTTAATATGTATAATATATAATTCTTTACCCCTTTTTTTTTGGAAGAACTCCTTTTAAAATCCTTCAGCCTAGAATATATTAGATGCTTAGTAATTGTGGAATTGAACTGTGCACTTTGGATAGCTGATCTAAGATGAACTCATTTTATGATACATCATTATGGGTTATAGTAAGGTGGAATATAAATGCTGACTATTTTTTATAAGAAAAATAGGAATATCAAAACAAATAGTAGTTTCAGAACAATTAACTATAGGCATCCTCTGAACTTTAGTGTGAACTTACACATTAAATATTTTGGAGGAGAAGATGTCTTAGCCAATTAACAGTTGAAGGCATCATCAAGCACTCTTGGCTTATTAATAATGTGGGTAGTTAGCATATTCCTCAAGCATAGTTTAATAATGTATACAAATTGAATATGAACATTTCAGTCTACAAAATAAGATGATTACAACTTTTCTTATTGGAATGGAGGTTAAAAATACATAATTTGCATGTATCTGTATGGAAGTTACTCTGCCAAATTAACTAAGGTATTCAGTTTATACTTGCATAGACCTGATAGCAAGACCTGATAGACTTGCATAGAGTTCAAATGATTAGTTTCATTGCTCACATTAAACTGTCTGAGTTTCTGTTATTCTCTAGGAATAAGATAAATATTTTAAAAGTTTTATTAACACTTTCTGATTAGTGAAAATGTACATGAAATTATTGCCTTAGTATTAGGAATTGAGTGTGAAAAGCATAATGAATACTGTTTGCTGAGTACCAGGTACAGTAGACATTTCCTTTTAATCTTCACCACAAATATAGGAGGAAGACATTTTTGTCTATGTTTTGTAGATGAGGAAAATGAGGATTAAGTAATAGGTCTAGGAATTACAGTTTATAATGCAGAGTTGAGTTTAAAACCGGAACAGTATAACTCTAATTCTAGCTTCTTAACCACTCTACAAACTTCCTTTTTAAAGTCTAGGTTGAAGAGAAATTTTCTGACTTGTGAACTTTTAGAAATAGCCTAAGGATTCTTTCATTGAATAATTTAGTTGCCCAGGAGTTTCAGGGTATGCTTTCAATAAACATTGTATACCATGTCAGGCACACTAAAAATGATGGGTTTACTGAGAAGGACACAAGTCTTGTCTTCCAAGAGGAAAAGTCAAACAAGACCAGAATATATGATGGATGGTGAGGTCAGTGCAATAATAGGTTGTACAGGAGTTACAGAGAGGTGCAAAAAAAGGGCATCTGATGAAGTCAGTGAATTAGAAGCATTTCCATATACATGAGAAATGAGTATATTCTCCTTAAAAATTAAAGCATTAAGGCTGAACCCCTCTCCATCTTTTGATAAGTAAACATTTTTATGCTTGTATACAAGTTCTTTTCTATGCGTTAACGTACATATATACATATATATACACACACACACCTTTAAAATGTATACTATTGTTTGTGTATATGTGTGTGTTTTTTTTAAATTGCATTATATCATATAGATTCAGGTCTTAAGGGACTTGGTCTTTAGTCAGTCTTAAAGGATGAGTTGGCTCAAGAATGAGCCGATAAGGAAGGCCGTCCACGTTCAGGCCCTGGCATACCATTCCGTTTTCATGTATTTTCGCATCCTGGTATGTGCCTTTTTCCCCAGAGGAAAGTTGCCCATTGGTTTTCTCCCGTGATAGAGCACATGTGAAAAACCTGGTGACATGCTGAGTAAAGGGTCTTCCTCCTCAGTGCAGAGGGCTTTCTGCCAGTGTGGGCATCAACCTGTGTTTTAGGAAAAGCACTAAACAATAGTAAGATGATTTGATGCAACTTCGAAAATTTTATACAAACACACACAGTAATCTTGTGTATCCTTTCAAGGTGATGAAAAAAATCTATTCATCATAAAAATGTAAGTGATGTGAGATTTGAACCTCTGTATCTTAATTTGTGTTGGATTTAGTGACATGCAACAAGGCTTACTTTTATTTTAAAATGGGATTTATTGCCCACATAACTTAATAGCATGAATAGAATAAAAAATAATGAAATTGACCTACACTACCCTAACATAGGAACTATTTTTATTTTTCTTGCCTCTAATTTATACATAGTTTTAGTAATTTACTTTGGCAGTTACTCCAGAGAGAGTAAACAGACAATGGCTAGAGGTGGAAGTGTAGCTATTACAGCAAATGTTGAAGAGTTTTTTAAAGAGGAATCTCATTTATTGCAAAGAAGATTGGACTGGGAGGTTGCAGTTGTGGGTTTTTATTCTTGTTCTGCTACTAATTGGCTCTGGTAATTAAGTTAGTCTCTTCAGGTTTAAATGGCATCATGTGAAGAAGGGAGATGGATTACTATCTCTAAGGCCATTACTTAGGTTGCTTGTTAAAATTCCACATTTCTGAGCTCATTTCAGATTTGTTAATTCAGAATTTCTGGAAAGGGGTTGTAGAATCTGAATTCACAAAAAAGCACCCCAGGTGATTCTGTGATGGATGAGCCAAAAACACACATTGTAAAACACTGCTCTCAGTTTTCTTCTTAAAGCCTATCTTTAGGCTTTAAGAAGAAGTGGAAAATAACTATGAAAATATTTGTAAAAACATTTGTTAGAGTAGAAAATGGCATAGTAAAAACTGACACTCAGATTCTTTACCTAATTACCATGCTGCAAAACAGTGGGGTGCTAATATCACATAAATTAAATGTCATCCCTTAAATATTTAGCACCATTTCACAACTGCATTCTGCTTTAATTTTTGCACATTTTCTCCCATTCCTTATCTCTGCTTATGTTTTGGATGCCTGCAATGTGTTATAATATGACAGTTTTTCCATATTATTTCAGCATTGTTTAAAATGAGCTGTGTAATTGGGTTTGTATAGGTTACACTGTAGTGACCATGTTTCTGGATTCATTCATCCACATGACACATGCAGGGGGCATCTTCTCATTTCTGGGCACTGCTCTAGAAACTAGAGGTACAGTGGTAACCCACAAGATCTCTGCTTTCTGGGGCCTTCCTGAAGGGGTAACACATAATGTCAAATAAATAAATTAGGTTTCTGGTAACCTTCTATATGTAGCCTTGTCTTCCTTTCTGATGATGATGATGATTATTATTGGCAAGAATTCCTATGAGCTGTTCCTCAAGAGTAGTTTACATTTAAAATGTTACAGCTATGTGATAGGAATCCAGTTACATTATAACCTTAAAAGTGTTAGATTTATCATTTTTATATTCCCAAATTGACAGTGTGAATATTTACTTTATTCACTGCTGTATCCTCAGGCAATAAGCTAGCACTCAGTAAACATAGGTAGGGTGAACTTGTTGAATTAATGATCATTTATAGCTGTTTTTATTTTCACAGAAGAGTTTTTTTTCCTCCAATTCGCTTTAAAATTTTTTTTTCTCAAATTGTCTCTTCATCTTCTTTGTCCATTTATTTATTGGGATCTTATGTATTTCTTGCTAATTACTTTATGTTCTTTAAGAAAGACATGAATCTTCATATTTTCTACAATTTTTTTCTGAACTATTTTGTTTGCTTTTCATTTGTCGGTTCCTTTTTGTTTTGCAGAAATTTTGTCTATGTCCTAAACTGTTTTTTAATCTGTTCAAAGCTGATAGAGCTTCCGTATTCTGGAACAAAAATTATTTTGTAAATTATTTATCTTTAAATGATAGGTGTATAGTGTGTAAGTCAGAATTTTTTAAAAGTTTAAATAAGGTAATCAAATATGGACATATATTTAAATATATGAATTCTTAAATAAGTGGTATTGCTAGTTGAAAGGAATTTCTGCAAGCGTACAAGAGGAAGAGTTAAGACAATTGGCGTTGGTTTCCATTTGTTCTGTTGTCCTGACAGCCCGTCTCCCTTCTTCTCTTGATACTTTTTTTTAATATCATGTTAATATTAATGAATTCATTACAACCAGATGTCTTGCTTGGTGGGTTTGGGTATCCATTTGATGATAATTGTGGCATTGAGGTTTAAACTACATAAACTCACTTGATTAAACATTCTCAAATCAGGGTATAACAAGAGACTCATCCTCCCTCATTCCCCCCCAACATAATGTTCCCTGGTGTTCTGGCATGGGAGTGAAACTCTAATAGAATTTAAATAGACCTCATAGGGCGATGGGTTGTGTGGCACAGAAAGGAGCAGCAGGATGGAGGTGGTGGCCTCAAATTCTCTGGGTTTTGTATCTGGCCCAACTCTGCATCTGGTGTTTCCCAGGAAAGCTGGTGCCAATGTCATACAATGCCACATCTGTTTTCAACAAATGTTTAAGCACCGAGTTCTTAAATTCCTGGCATGGAAACCTGGCATCCAGTAATTCCAAAAATAGGTTTGAGATTTCAGCAGATTTGGGGTTAACAAACCCTTCCCTATTTTTCTTTTTAGGAGTCAGTTTTGTATTTTCCTCTTTCACTGTGTAGTTTTAAAATGTAGTTTTCGCCAGGTCCTGTTGCTGCAAATTCATAAGAATAACCCGTTTCAGTATCTTGGTAAATATTTACCATTAATTTTATCCGAATGTTTAATATGGAATCAATGGTATGAATACTTTCTGTAATTATTAAAAAATGGAAATATTTATATTGAAGATAAATTCTGCTTTTAGAACCCTCAAATGAAAGAATTAAGTGGATGTATCAGACCCTTAATTTATGTTGCTTTATTTACTCTTTATAATAATACCATGTAAGGTAGACCTGACTATTTTCATAAATAAGGAAACTGAGGTCTACATAAACTAAATAACTTGCCAGTGATCAAACAGCCAGTAAATGGGTCAGCTTCGATTCTCCCTAGGCCTGACCTGCAGTGCCTACATGGTCATTGTACCACCCTTGCAGTGGCCAGATCTGCTAAGCTAAGCATAGCCATTGTTATTTTAGTGGGATTCATGATTCTTGACAACCTACGTTCTATCACAGCAAATTAAATTTAAAATATTGCTTACTTCAGAATCTATTTTCAGCCTTCTGCTTTCTATAATACTATAACTCTACCCACTGAATTTTTGTGCTACTGTTTTTTTCAATCCAGTTTATAGCATTTTAAAGGTTGATAGTTTGGCTTATCCCTGGCTCATGCCTATTTTTCATAATAAGAATAAAGCTTGCTATCAGATTGTAGTTAATGGGCAATTTATTTTTAATTTAATTGAACATTTACCATTCACATTGCATTCTATTTTTTAAAAATTATGCCTGCTAGTTATTTTTGGACAGGACTTTTTTTTTGTAATTAAGTTTTAAATAGATACTATGTTCAGTTGGTTTCAAATTCAAAAGGTATAAAATAAAAATAATAATAACAAGAGCTAGCTAGTCCTGTGTAGTACTTACTGCATGCCAGGCATTCTTTTAAACATTTTTTTTTTAATTATTATACTTTAAGTTTTAGGGTACATGTACACAATGTGCAGGTTAGTTACATATGTATACATGTGCCATGCTGGTGTGCTGCACCCATTAACTCATCATTTAGCATCAGGTATATCTCCTAATGCTATCCCTCCCCACTCCCCCCACCCCACAACAGTCCCCAGAGTGTGATGTTCCCCTTCCTGTGTCCATGTGTTCTCATTGTTCATTTCCCACCTATGAGTGAGAACATGTGGTGTTTGGTTTTTTGTCCTTGCGATAGTTTGCTGAGAATGATGGTTTCCAGTTTCATCCATGTCCGTACAAAGGACATGAACTCTTCATTTTTTATGGCTGCATAGTATTCCATGGTGTATATGTGCCACATTTTCTTAATCCAGTCTATCGTTGTTGGACATTTGGGTTGGTTCCAAGTCTTTGCTATTGTGAATAGTGCTGCAATAAACATACGTGTGCATGTGTCTTTATAGCAGCATGATTTATAATCTTTTAAACATTTTTATTCCATTAATTTAACCCTCACGAAACTGATGCTGTAGGTGCTACTGTTATCCCTATTTTGCAAATAAGTGAACAAGCGAGAGAGGAATACCTGAATAATAAACCTGGTCTGGGTTTTGTCCTTTGGCCAGTCAAATGTCACAGTCTTTGGAAGGCCTGTTAGGAACACAACTCTCTCTTGTGGGTTGGATTCAGTACCCCTACCACCAGGCCACCAGGCATTTTTTTTTTTCCACCTACTGCATTTTTCTGTTATCTCATTTTTAGACCAAAAGCTTCCTCAAGGCAGATACCCAGTCTTATGCTTTTTTGCAGCCAAAGGACTAAGCACAGTTTCTGGCACAACTAGATACTTACTAAGCACTGCTTTGCTTTGCCAGGACTGTTTTCCCATTAAAAAATGACTGTAGCTGCTCTGCTTACTTCACAGAACTATTTAGGAAATCAAACGAGAGTTCATAGCTGTTTGTAAACTTCATAGCATGCACAGATAGATATTAAACCAATTATAGAGTCCACTCTATATGCTTAATGAAGACAGATGCTTTTAACACCTCTGGACGTTAATGCAGGAGTTGGCACCCAGGACAAATAGGATCTCACCAATCCAATGTGTCATCCTGTTCTGGCCTGCTTATTTGAAATTGATAGTCTTAATTATTTCAAATGGTTTTTGGTTTTTGTATGTTCTGATTGCATGCATTCTACAGAAGCAGATAAAATGGAGTCTTTTTGGTTTTCGTTTGTAGAGACAGGGTCTCACTATGTTGCTCAGGCTGGTCTTGAACTCCTGGCCTCAAGCAATCCTCTCACCTTGGCCTCCCAAAGTGTTGGGATTAAGGTGTGAGCCACATTGCCTGGTCAAGAGAGAAGTATTTATGTCTTGATAGTTACATATTGCATACTTATACTGTCTAAATTAGTTACATAATGGTTCTGCTATCTGAATCAGTGTTTCTTGGCGTTGGCCACATATAAAAGCCATGAGGTTGTACTTTTGTTTTTGGAAATTAAAAATTCTTAGGTTCTGCCCCCAGATTCATGGAATCAGAGTCTCTGGGTGGGAGGGAGAGATCACCACAGGTAATTTTTGTGAGTATCTAGGGATGAGAAGTATTCTAAACATGTTCTAAATACTATTTAAATACTGTGAAAATAATGGCTTAATGTCCACAGTTTTTTAATAGAAAATGCAGTTGTTTCATATATGATAGCTCTCAAGAGCACTGACATTTATTGTGTTACTCTTATGTATATTTTCCAGTCAATTTATGCTGGTCAGTTCTGTAGATACTCTAATTACTCAAAACCATATGGCCATGGCAAGCAGCTGATAAGTGGGTGGTGCTGTGGCTCACGCCTGCAATCCCAGCACTTTGGGAGGCCAAGGCAGGCAGATCACGAGGTCAGGAAATGGAGACCATCTTGGCCAACATGGTGAAACCCCGTCTCTACTAAAATACAAAAAAAGTTAGCTGGGCCTGGTGGTGCACACCTGTAGTCCCAGCTACTCAGGAGGCTGAGGCAGGGGAATCTCTTGAACCTGGGGGGGCCGAGGTTGCAGTGAGCCGAGATCGTGCCATTGCACTCTAGCCTGGGTGACAGAGCAAGACTGTCTCAAAAAAAAAAAAAAAAAAGTCATCTTTGCCTTGTTTGGGGGAAATTTGAGGTGTTAACCAGCTAGCACTCCCTTATTTTAACAGAAATTACAGCTTTACATGTGGACATTTTATGACTTTCTGTGGAGATGAGCAGCCATCTATTCATGCAGGAGCCTTGATGAGGCTCATCAGTTTCCATAAAAGGTTGTCATTCTTACCATCTGCTAGTATGATGGTCAGAGTATTATGTGTGCCCTTAGTAACATACAGGACTTACAGGCCAGGCCCCCGTCAGAGAATATAACCTGGAATGATCTGATACACAGCTTTTGTCAAATGCCTCATTATGGAGGATTGTTTGAAGGACATGCAGTCCACGTATTTATTCTAGAGTTTATTTATTTATTCTAAAGTTTATTTCTGTATCAATGTGAGCCATCAAAAAGCTGTTTTAAAAATATCTTATCTTGCTACTGCTACCTTACTTAATTTCCTCACTTGTGAAAGAGAGATTGAGTTCCCAATCACATGCATTGGAAGTTTATCCAACGGGTATGTCATCCAGCAGGAGTATAGCTGTGGATAATTGGGGAATTTAAAAAAAATAATAATCAAGTATAACCCTGTGCCAATAGGCTGAAACTTATTAAAATGCGGCAGATTGGAAAAGCTTGATTTTCTTCCTTCCGTAGAGATCATGTTAAGTGCCATTTTTCATTAAGTGGGCTTACTATACAAAGTGGAAGTATGGCACTCCCATTCTAATTATTTTACAGCACTCAGCATTTCTCTGCATCTTTTCTTTTATATCACTGATTGTCAGTTTCTGGCTAGTTTCTCCTAGTACAGTGAACCATTAGTTCTTTCATCAGAAAAAAAAATTCGGTTGATGATTTGTTTTCTAAATGAGTCATTTCCTTATTCTAACTAAAAACTTTATATATTAAAAATGTAAGAGGCTTTCCCACAATTTGCGTCTGGAAACTCTGGATACTGTTACAAGTTGGGGGGCATTTGTTATAGAATTATTTTTTTCCACTTACTTTATAAGCCGGGAACACATTAGTACTAAATGACAAAAACCTGAAGAAGAGCTTAACTAGATGGAGATTTGTTTTAACAAATCTGGTGGTGTAGGCGGTTAAGACTTGGTACTGCCAGAGAACAGGGTTCTCCCTATTTTTGTCCTCACTTTCGCATCCTTAGAGCCTAAGAATTTGTCCTCAATTTTCCCTTTTCTAGGATTGTGAAGTTCTAAAATGACTCTGTGCTTCTAGCAGTTACTTCCCCAGAAGATGGAAAAGTAAGGGCTGAAAGGCTTTCTTCTTCTAAGGCTTTTCGGCCCCTCCTCTTCCATTCTACCAGGAGTTGCTTAAATTTGATTGAAGGAAACTACAACACATGGCCACTTCTAAGTGTAGGGGAGAGGAGAATACACTTCTTTTACTTTTGGCGTATATAGCAGGAGAGACAAAGAGAAGAGGCAGATGAATGGCTCTTTCACAGTCTCTAACAAGTGTCCTTACTGAAAATGGGCCAGTATTTTTTTTTTTTTTGTATTTTGCCTTTAATATTGCTACTTTTCTTTAGTCATAATTTAGGAATTCAGAGCACATTTAGTCTGAATTTATTCAAATAGGTCATTTTTTGATGTACATATTGTTTTGTAAAGTGTGGAGATTATTTAATTGATAAGTCACATTCTGAAATCCATGTGGGTAGATGATGTATTGCAAACTTTAATGCTTTTAGAATGCAGAGTCTGTTGTAGCCTTTTGAACAATTTTGAATTTTCATGAGACAAGCTGAACATAGTAACTATAGATTTTGAACAAATGGCAGTTTTTATACCAAAGTAGCATTAGAGGAGCTTTTAGGAATCTGATTGAAGGGAGATGAAAGCAATAAAATATTGGAAATGAGGTAAAATTGTATATCTCCTAAGACAAGTAATGCTTTTGTTGGAGAGTAAATGAGGGGAAAAATAATGATAAACAGCAGAGGTAATCTAAGATAGTAAAACAAGGAAAGAGCAATCAGATTGGGCTCCAGATCTTTTTTCTACCACATACAACTAGCTGAACTTTCCATGTAACCTTCTTCCTTTGTGCCTCAGTTTTCCCATCTTTTTACATAACTAGTAATGATGCTAACTTCCTAGTATCATTTCCACCTAGGAAACTGCTTGACATACAATAAGAGGTAGTTAATATTTAGCTTCCTTTAATGAATGGATAAGGGTGAATATTGTGCCTACTTTCAAAAGCAAAGCATGTCTAGTTCAGTGTCAGTGGCCTAGTCAATGTTTCTTTCACATGGAAGAAACCCATACGCTATCAATAGTCCAACTGTCAAGCTTAAGTTGGCCCAGTGCTATTATGTATTGAGAGTGGCTACCTAAAGTGAGACTGATTTTGTTGTAAAATTTGGTAGAATTTATTGGAATTTAGAAAATGTAATTATACTTTCAAAATCTTTTTTTTTGTTTCTTTATAGTTTTTTATGTTTTTCTCCAAACTAGGATTTTAAGAGTGGACTTGGTATTACCATAATTCCTATGAATGTAGCAAATGTAAAGCAAGTGGACCGAACTGTGAAACAATCTTTTGAAATAATCACTCCCTACAGGAGTTTCAGGTAAGCTATTTTTAAACATTTTGTGTTCGTACTACTATAGGAAAGCTTGGGTGATCCACCTTTATGTTGTTCGTGGTGATTTTTCTCTTGTAGGCCATTTAAAATTATCTCCCTACTTTTCCATATTGTCTAATTTGTTAGCCACTATATAAAAACACCTTGTAAAAGTGACCTCAATAATCACAAAACATGCAAAAATATGTATTTCATGAAATTTGAGTAATTTCTTAATACTTATTTTTCTTACTAGGCATGGTGTATGTTTTTTTTTTGAAAATATGTGATAAATTCCTTCTCATTTAGAAGGAATAAAATAAAAACATATTACATTGTCTTTAAGTTGTATTGCTATTTATCTTCTTTTAGCCTGATCAAATACAATCCCTCATTTAAAATCAATTCCTAATTACATTTGTTCCATATGATTTCCTCCAGGGCTTAAAATGATACCAAATTTAATGAATCTCATAGCACCTATTGATCCAAATACTTTAGCATTTTTTTATATATCTCATATTATGGTATTCTACTAATTGCATCATTATGACAATGAAAAAGATAATTTAAAGTATTAATATGGTTTAATAAACTAAAATGACTCTATAGTTTTAGTATACAGAATAGGCATAAGTCAACATCTTTTGAGTTCAACTGTATTAATTCGTTTGTTATAAATAATCAACATCACGTGGTAGTGGGCAAGTCAGAGGCAATTGTTCTAGGCCTTTAAAGGACTAACAATTAGGAATTTCAAATATACTGTCAATTGTAGTTACTCATTTTGCATGTCAAAATACATCCATTGCCTCAAATTTTGAGAAAGAAATGGTTGCATAAAATTAACAAGCTTTATTTTTACATTTGCAGATTCTAGCCAAAACTAAAAATATAGGTATTAATATATTGGCTGTGACAAATTTCTAGTAGAACCAGAAACCACTGAGAGTGATGGAATCCTAAAGAGCTTCAAAAAGTATAATTCATGTAGGCCATTTATTTTTAAGGATTATTTAGAATATGTTAGCTGTGATTTTCATTATATTTCAAAGCATGTTCCTCTTTACAACAGAAAATTTTAATATGAATCAGTTTTGTGGGTCATTGACCAAGTATGTAGCACTGTAGCACATTCCTTTGCACATTGCAGGGGCTCAGTAAATATTTCTTGAAGGAATGAACTGCTGTTTAATGTTTTTATTCATTCACTCGAGTTCCCAGTAAACATTAAGATTCAGAATAAATCAGAACGTGGCTAAAAATGTGTTAGAAAACTGTTAGAATAGTAACCACTTAAAACTTTTTTGATTTCCCAGTTCCTTAGAACCATCTGGGCATTCTTCTAATTAAAAAAAAAAAAGAATCTATTCTTAAATCTGAAAAAAAAGTCACAATTCTGGTGGGTGTTTTTGATAACATAGTTTCAGACTATCATGGCATACTTGCTTGGCAAAATATTCCAGTAGCCCTGAAACTCTGCCAAAAACCTCTTATTGATGATTACATAACCATTGCTTAGGAAACATAGCCTCTTGTTTAGGCTTGTGACCTAACAAGGCAAATTTTATGTTTTGTTTAGAAAATGTGTATGTTAATTTTGGTTCAAGATGCATAAACAAAGACATAAACAGTGTGGAAAATTAAAAGGAAAAAAGACGAAGTTAAATGATTTTTAACAGAAAAGACAACCCAGAACTGCCTAGCAGCCATATTTTTCAGCTGTTGTTTAATTTGTGAGTGAAATGAATATGCAAACTGAACATACTGCTTAATTGGCCTTTACAAGGGAGATCGATAACACAGAAACGTTAATTGTTTCAGCTTTACAGCCGAGACTGAAAAGGAGAAACAAGACTGGATTGAAGCTGTGCAGCAATCAATAGCAGAAACTCTCTCTGATTATGAAGTAGCTGAGAAGATTTGGTTCAATGAATCCAACAGGAGCTGTGCAGATTGTAAAGCCCCAGATCCTGACTGGGCATCCATCAATCTCTGTGTTGTCATCTGTAAGAAGTGTGCAGGTAATTAGTGACAAGTTATGCTCATCACAGCTTTGTGGCAGATTGGCATTGAATGCTCTTCATTGTTGCATATTATATATCCTAGCTAATGGTTATGAGAAGTAAAACCAGAGAAAGCTTATTACATTTAAATCAAATTCAGAAATATGAGTCTAAACTTCTCTTATGTATGACTTGGATATAAAAATGGATTTTTAAGCATGCAATCATATTTTATGCCTACTGGTCCATGTATAGATTTTAAAAAGACAGTGTTGAAAATTCTAGATTTTAGGTGAGTATGTTTTAGTATGGATCCTGAAGAAGCTTGCATCTTTAACTTGAAGATTTGTCCACCTTTCCCCAGTCATTTTTGGTAAGACATATTTTTCACCTCAGTGTTGTTTTGAGCACTAAACTTCATATGCCAGATCTGGTACCTCTTAAAATAAGAATTTTTATAAAGAAGCATTTCACAAGACTATTGATGTTTATGAATATAAACCAGTACTATGACTGGTTTTCTTCTTGTGACCTCACACTGGACAACCTGACATCTCAGTGTATTTGAGAGCTCAGACAGTTGCCCAAGTGAGTGGAAGGAAGTGGACCCCAGCTTAGGTGTGTGATCATGGAAGTTTTGAAGAAAGTTAACCACAGTCTAAACTTCAGTTATCCTGGACTGCCTGTGTCCCACCACCTTCTCCCCCACTGTATGTACACACACACATACACACACAAACACAGATGAGAGAGACAGAGAGAGAGAATTCAACTCAAGTACTAGGCACTGTGCTGGTGCGGGGAATTAAAAACATGTATAAGACATGACATTTCCTCCACAATAATGAGACAAATGTTGGACTAGAGTTGAATACAGGCTTCAGTGAGAATGCTGGAGAGGAGTTCCTACCTCAGCTAGAGCGCAGTGAGTAGTGCAGTCACAGGAGTTGCTTCAAATCCTGAACGCTTTTCTAGAGCACTATTCAACTGCATTTCTCATCAAACTAAGATAGATTTCCTCACCAGCTAATTAATAATATCAATCACAACAAAAAATGCCAGTGAATCACCTTCTACTTTGAATTTTATCCCATCCTTTTCTTCTCTCCAGTTTCATTGGAAGAGACGGCCTTTGTGCTGTTCACAGCTGTTTTTTTCTACCTTTGCTTCCTTTCTTTCTTCCCTCCTTAGGATACATGTTCGTCATTTATTCACTCTCTTATGTAAGTATTTAGCCATGGTTTCTTTTGTTTCATTGTATAAACTTGCACAAGTTTGTCTCATTACCACCATCAGGATTTCTAAAAGTTATCCATTTCCTTCTATGTGTCATTCTCTGTCCCCTTTTTCTTTCATAGACAAGATATTATGAAAAGTTGTAGTGTGCATAGGTTTTTTTTCATTCCTTTAACTTCCTAAGTTTTCTTCAGCATTCTGTAATCAGCTACCTTTTAACTGCTGATGAGCTACCTTTTCTCTCAACTGTGGTAAAAATCTTTTCACCACATTTACCAACGTATTTTACCTCTCAGTTTCGGTGTGGTCACTTACTATCTTTATTATTGTCTCTTTATTTGAGTGTCTCGACAACATGTCTCTCTATGACATCCATCCTCTCTCAGCTTCCAAGATACCAGTCTCTCTTTGTGTTCTTATTACCAGTCTTTTTTTTTCCAGTATTTTTTTTCCCATGTATTTCCATGCTTGTGAAATACATGTGTTCCCTTGGGTTACATTCTCACTTCTCTTTTACTGTGTTGCTCCTGAGTGATATTATTTATCACTTTAATTCCACACTCATTTTTAAGCAAATGATTCTCACGCTGTTGGACACCAAACTCTTATGATTATATGCCTACTAGAATCTCTACTTAGATTTGCCAAATACACCTCAAATGTAACATGTCAAAAATGGAGCCATCGTTGTTCCCCTCAGCCCATTTCATAAAACTGCACATTTTCATATATTCTCAATCTTGGTCAAAAGCAATACTGTCTACGCTGCACACTCAAAGCCTAAAATCTGAGACACCTTCTTGACTCTTCCTCTTTCCTTCAAACCCACCAAGTCTCATTCATTTTATCTTATCAATCTCTCTCAATCTGTCTGCTCCATTTTATTTTCCTGCTGCCTCAACTCAGAATCTGTCATGCCTAGGTTACTGCAGCAGTCCCTTTCATCTCTTCCTACAGGCTTTTAAGTTTTTACCTGCTGGGTACTGTATTGCCTGTAGGTAGTCATTATAAATGCAAACCTATGCAGATTTCTTCCAGGGGAATTTAGGGCTTTGTGCTTTGAATAGTTTCTACTTAAAAAAAAAAAAAAAGACAAGAACTTCTTACCTATTGTAGGGAAAGGAATGAACATTCGTTGTTCATTAGACAAAGGGCCCTTAAGATCAAGGATAGTGGACTGTACACTTTTTTTCCTTCTCAGCTTTGAAATAATCTGACATAGCCTGGTTGCTCAGTGATGACTGAATGATGATTTATACAGCACAATTGAATTGACAGTAATAAAATTCTGGGCTCTTACTTTCTTCCAGACATATTTGCTGAATAAAGTATTCATGTCAGATTTTTAAGTACACACTTATTAGACATGTAACTAGTTTTTCAATAGTCAAGTTTTTGTAACAGTAAAGAAATATTATCTGCATTTACATACGTGGGGTTTTAGCAAGCTTTACAAAAGGTTTTCAGTGGCCTATTTCTAGCTGATTACCAAATGAGGAAATATTTATACATGTGTCTGTACATATGCACTCATGCACATATATATATATATATATTTAAGTAAGTGTAGTTCTTTTTTTTTTTTTTTGAGACGGAGTCTCGCTCTGTCGCCCAGGCTGGAGTGCAGTGGCAAGATCTGGGCTCACTGCAAGCTCCGCCTCCCGGGTTCACGCCATTCTCCTGCCTCAGCCTCCCGAGTAGCTGGGACTACAGGTGCCTGCCACCTCGCCCGGCTAATTTTTTGTATTTTTAGTAGAGACGGGGTTTCACCCTGTTAGCCAGGATGTTCTCGATCTCCTGACCTCGTGATCCGCCCGCCTCGGCCTTCCAAAGTGCTGGGATTACAGGCGTGAGCCACCGCGCCAGGCCGTGTAGTTTTTTTTTTTTTTTTTTTTTTTTTTTGTCAGTGCAGATGCTGATGATGATTGCTGCTGTTTTTATTGTAGCCAGCTGCGATTTGTCTAATTCTCACCACTACTGTTAGTGCTCTTGTCATCTTGTTATTGAGGAAAGCAGGTATTGGTGTGTTTTAAGTTGAGAAGATACGCAACGAACATACACAGACATATGCACTTTCTTTCAAAACAAGGTAAAATAAATTTACATACAAATTAAAATAGAAATGCAATTGTGTTTTGACTCTAGGACAGCATAGATCTTTAGGACCAAAAGATTCCAAGGTTAGAAGTCTAAAAATGGATGCTAGCATTTGGAGCAATGAACTCATCGAGGTGAGTCCTATTTAACCTGAATGGGGTTGTGATAGGGGTTCAGTTTGCAGAGACTGGGAGGAGGTTTGCTGTGGGTTTGGGTGGCAGGAATTTTTCTCGGGGCTGTTTGATAAAGTTCTCACCACATTATGGAAGTGGCTTATAGCCTTTTTGATAGTAGTAACTCTTTGAGAATGCTTCCTAAATGAGATAGTTATTTTAAAAGTATAGAAGATCCTTAATAAGTACTTAGAAAGGTTTGCCAGCTTGTTTTTTTTTAATGCTAGAACTGTATATGTGTGTGTGTGTGTGTGTGTGTGTGTGTGTGTGTGTGTGTGTTTGTGTGTGTGTGTTTTAAACCCAACATGGGTAAAATAATAGGAGAGTGAATGAAAACATTTGGAAAAATTTACTGTTTTTACCTTGGCCGTACTCTGTCATTAACTGTGATGGAGGCTACTTTGCTGTGTCCTGTCTCCATTTTTGGCTCCTTGTTCCACCACCAAGCACTTCAGACAGCATTAGCCCACCTACTCGGCCATTTAAAGTGAAGCTGTCTCAGTTTGAGTGTCAAAGAATGAAAATACTTTTGCTACAATTTGTGTTGTTTGCAATTCTTTCCAAGCTAATTTTTCTCCATTATTTAGAGTGGGTAGGCTGTATTAAAAACTGATCATAGTATCTGCTTTCATACTTCCTTTTTCTGGAATAGTTGAGTCTTTCATGTGTTTTCCTGTATTTTATACTAAGTTATGCTTTAATTTGTAATATAATTCAGTTTCCTGCAGATTCAAATATATTTTATGAACTGATATATTATGGGGTTTTTTTTTTGACAATTCAGCTTTTTATTGTCATTGGAAACAAAAGAGCAAATGACTTTTGGGCTGGTAATCTTCAAAAGGATGAAGAATTACATATGGACTCACCAGTAGAAAAGAGAAAAAACTTTATTACTCAGAAATATAAAGAAGGAAAATTCAGAAAAACTCTTTTGGCATCTCTCACCAAAGAAGAATTAAATAAGGTATTCAATTAAACATAACAGCAGACGTGGATTTTAATGTCTTTTTAATGATGTGCCAAGATTCTTGAGAAAAAGTAAAAAATTTTATACTATCTGACAAAATTATTAATTTTATTTTATTTCCTTTTGTGACATTATTTCAGTGGTTTCCCCCTTGTTTCATTTAAGGATTCATTGTCAAAAGAGCATAAATTCTTCCTCCATAATTGAAGTTTCCTGCTAACTCTTGTTGCCACAATCTGAGGATTTGGAAGCAAATGGGATCCAGTAAAGTGAAGTCTGAGGACTGATATAATGTGGGAAGAAAGGATGAGAAGAGATGTAGAGGCAGCTTATTATTTCAAGGCAAAAGAAAAAAAAAGGATTCTAACAGTTCCTATTGTTTGTACAAAGATGATATATAACATAAGTCAATAATATTTTTTATTGCCGCCTTCTCACTGTTCTTCCTCCTTCCTATCCTCGGCCCCTGAGGGGAAGATCCTGAATTTGCTTTGCACTCATCTTTCAATTTCCCATAGCACTTAATAATTCAAATATTCTGCAGCTCCTGATTAGATTGGAAAATATATATTAACATTCACATGAAAAACACTTAATGGTTACTTCATTATTATATTGAAATATTTTGATTCTCTGCGCATCAGTCATTATCATAGTATGTAAGCATAAAAATGTCTTCCAAAGCAAGTATGATGGATTAGGTTTAGAAGGAACATCATAGCAACCAAACAATGAATTGAGACCTGGAGGTCTTGGGTTGTAATTTAAATTCACATAAACCAGGCCTTTTGTGCCTATTGCCTAATTCATGGCATAATTATTATTAGCCGCCTTAGGATAAAAGGAATACAGACTTTATCCCATACATGAAATTATCAGACTTTCACTCATTTTAATAGCTAGAATCTTATTTTCTTTCCTTAAGATGTATATTTTCTTTTAATGACCAGGCTCTATGTGCTGCTGTAGTGAAACCGGATGTTCTAGAAACAATGGCTTTGCTGTTCAGTGGAGCAGATGTCATGTGTGCCACCGGAGACCCCGTGCATAGCACCCCCTATCTGCTAGCCAAGAAAGCTGGGCAAAGTCTGCAAATGGAATTTCTCTACCATAACAAATTCTCAGGTTCGTCACTGTCTCTTCATTAACCTGGTCTCTTCTGATAGATCCGTAAAAGGACTGAAGCATAAATCTATTGATTTTTCAAATAAGAGAAACCATCAGAATGAAGAAAAATGTAATTACCAAAAAGATGGAGATGCCTAAGACTATTTTTTATATCATTTCAATGAAAAGTTTAGGAAGTCAATCTTTTATGTTCCCGTAATCTTATAAATGTAAGATTAAAATAGCTAATCCCACATAATCATTTCCACCAACATTAAATCCGATTTTCATATATGAATAATAAATATGACTTAAGTGCTTATTTGCAAATTTTATGCAAAGTAAAATAAGTATCTCTGTAATTATTCTTTGGTAAATTTGAAGTAGTTTTTCTTCTAGCTCAAAACTCATGTACATATTATAAACAAAAGGAAAATTGTTTACATTTTAGATTTCTTGTGCCTTATTTCTTTAATTTTTCTAGATTTCCCTCAACATGATATTCATTCCGAGGGTGTATTAAGTCAAGAGTCTTCCCAGTCCACATTCCTCTGTGACTTTTTATATCAAGCTCCTTCTGCTGCTTCTAAACTCTCTTCAGAGAAAAAACTGCTTGAAGGTATTTTTTCTCTTCTTTTTAGATATTATCAGATAAAAACTTTATTCCATTATCAAAACAATTAGGTTTAGATTTTGATTTTTTTGAGATGTTAGATTTGATCTCCAAGTAGAGATATTTTTGAGGATTTATAAATGCTTCTAGGTGCAAATATTATTTCATGTACTGCAGCAGGGATTTACCATTGGTTGGAATGCTGAGTGAATTCTCAACAGAATTCACTTATGTCTACCTTAAGGCTAACCAATTCTGTTTCAAGTTATAAAGGTTATTCCTTTATAACTCAGCCCCTTTCCTTAGGGATGGACACCCCAACTGGCTCACCAGATAATGTAGATAAATGTGAACACATAGGAAGAAATGCAGGTTTTTAGTACATATTCAATTAGAGTACTAAGTAATATCAAATAGTTCAGGTTTTTTTTTTCTGATGAAAAGTGTGTGTGTGTGTTTAAGTAAAATAAAACTTAAGCTTGGTTTCAAAAAATGATGGGAATCTGATTTAACAATATATTCTAGGTTTGGGGAATTATCTGAGCAGAGTTACAATGGGGCATTTATTCATTTATCCTTCCAACTCCTTGTGTCAAACCAATGCTATGTATCGGGATTTTAGAAATGACTAAGACACAGTCCTTATGCTCATGTATATACATTGGAACAAATCTAAGAAATATAGGCAGGAAAATATAATGCAGTCTGCCTTACTGTAACAAAGAGTGTAAGAGAGATTAAGCTGTACATGCCAATTGATGGTGGCCATTGATCGGGCTCGGGAGCCTAGTATTCACTAGGTGGTATAGTTCAGTGATATTACTCAATCAAAAGAATGATAGGATGACAAACTCACTGTAGAGTGTTAATCCTCATATATGTGATTTGAAGTTCTTATTTCAATATAAAAGCTTTATTTCCAAATATATATATATATAATATATCCTAAAGCAGAATTATGTTGGGATTAACTATGCATTATTAGATTTTCCTGAAAAGAATAGCTGTCCTGTAGTGAGTGAGTATGTACTATGTGTAAGGCATGGCTTTAGATACTTTATATACATTAATTGTAATCCTCATGAAAGTCTGCAAGATCGTTGATGTGATGTCAGTTTTCACCTGAATAGTGAAGCTCGGCGTGAAGCAGAATTTTACACCTGATTTGTGTTATCATTGTTACAGGAGCACTTTGGCTTTGGTCAAAGCGTGACAGCCAGATGACAGTAGAATGGCCGAGCATTTTTATCCTTTGAATTAGATGTTTTTGGTTCTTTCGACAATTGGTTTTTGTCATCCTTTACTCAGCCTAACCAATAATAAATGTCAGATTTTACTGAGTTTTTTTTTTTTTGTCTTCCATTTTTACTGTCAGTATTATCCCTAAGTAGTTAAAAGATAAGTGATCAGAAGATGAAAGTTCTTGGACAGTCTGTGAATTGACTATATCAATCATCAAAATAATTACGGTACTTTCATAAAAGTTTAGGAGAATGTTTCTTCTAAATACTGGGATATCACAGACTTACTCTTCAAACCACTTAACTTTTATAAAGATCAAATGGGGATTGAAACACGAGATTTTCTTCCTAAGGCTTTTCAATATGTTGTAAGCATTCTGCAGTTTAAAAATAAGCTTTATTTTATTTTTTGGCAATTGTGGTTATAATATTTATAAAATTACTAGTCTTCTTTAATATTTTCTTGAAACAGATTGGTTTTTAAATTTACTTGAGTACCTCATTGATGTAATAAACAATTGTAACTAAATAATTCCTTTTTTGAATATATTAACAATGGATTTTTGGTTAAAATTTATTTAAAAAAGAAACTGATGCGTTATCTGTATATGTAATTTAACTAGGGATATTTTTCCATTTTAAAACATTGCATTTTAGGTAATACGAAAGTGAGCTTTTGTATTTTGTCTGTATAATTCAATAGCAATGATTTTAGTGAACATAATCTGGCAGGGTATTCTTTGATTGTCTTAATATCTTCCATCCAATTTACCAGCAAATTCTATCATTTCAAACTCAAAATAGATCTTAAAGCAGTTGGCTACTCTTCATTTCCACTGAAGTCCTCCCAGCCACAGTCACCATCCTGACCTACCTGTGCTGCAGTGCCTTCCTTAATTGTCTTTCTGTATTTACCCTAGCTTCCCTTCAAAACTGTCTCCAAAAAAGAGGCTTATCTTTGTTTTCCTTCCTTCCTTCCTTCCTCCCTCCTTCCTTCCTTCCTTTTTCTTTCTTTCTTCTCTTTCATTTCTTTCTTTCTTTCTTTCTTTCTCTTTCTTTCTTTCTTTCTTTCTTTCTTTCTTTCTTTCTTTCTTTCTTTCTTTCTCTCTCTCTCTTTCCCCCTCCCTCCCTCCCTCCCTCTCTCTCTCTCTCTCTTTCCCTCCCTCCCTCCCTCCCTTCCTTCCTTCCTTCTTTCCTTCTTTCCTTCCTTCCTTTTTCTTTCTCTTGCTCTGTCACCCAGGCTGGAATGCAGTGGCACAATCTCAGCTCACTGTAACCTCTGCCTCCTGGGTTCAAGTAATTATCCTGCTTCAGCCTCCTGAATATCTGGGATTATAGGCATCCACCACCACACCCAGCTAATTTTTGTATTTTTAGTAGAGATGAGATTTCACCATGTTGACCAGGCTGGTCTCGAACTCCTAACCTCAAGTAATCTGCCTGTCTCAGCCTCTCAATGTGCTGGGATTACAGGCATGAGCCATTGTGCCCAGCCAATTATCTTTAAAAATGGAAATCACACAGGTAGTCAGGAGGCTGAGGTAGGAGGATTGCTTGAACACAGCTTGGGCTACATAGGAAGACCGTGTCTTCTAAAAGTAAACAGCAACAACAACCAAACAGGAAAACTGATCATGTAATTCCATTGCTCAAGTATACTTACTGGCTCCTCATTCCAGAATATAACCTTATTTTTTATTGTGACCTAAAAGACCTTTTTAGGAGAATGACGTGAACCTGGGAGGCAGAGCGTGCAGTGAGCCGAGATTGCGCCACTGCACTTCCAGCCTGGGAGACACAGCGAGACTCGGTCTAAAAAAAAAATTAAAAATAAAAAAAAAAATAAATAAAAAATAAAAAAGACCTTCTTGTACCTCCCTCCCTTCATCTCCTGCATCTACTGTTATTCTTCTCCATGGTGGTGTGGTCCTCTACATGGTTACTTGCCTGGCTGCACTGGTTTCCTCCTTATTCCTGGAACATGCCAAGTCCTTTTCTGCCTCTTCTGGACCTTTTCACCTGCTGTTCCCTATGCAAAGAGGGCACTTCCCTCAGTCTGGTTCCTTCTTCTTATTCAGGAATCAATTCAGTGCCCCCTAGTTAGTGAGGCCTCTCTGGCACCCTGCTAAAGTGTGAGCCCACTGCCAGCCCTTCTCTTTCATAGGATGCTGTGTATGTTTGTCCTACCACTGATCACATGGAGATGATCCTGTTTCCATTTATTTGTTTCTCTTTCCCCCTGAAGTGAAAGCTCAATGAGGCATCAGCTTTTTCTAGCTTGTCAAGGATTATCAAATCTTTGATACCCCAAACAGTGTCAGCACATGGTAGGACATGATAAATATTTGTGGAATGAATGAAGAATCATTTTTTAGGGAAGTTACTACTAGTGTAAATGGGTGACTCATATATCAATATTTTTGTTTTGATCTGTGGATAAAAAGATATAATTGCTGGCACAAAGCATATCTTGTGCAGAAAGCCCCTATTTACAAATAAACAGGAAAAGTTGAACTATCCAGAAAAACTTCTGATTTTGTTTCTTTTTCACCCTTGAAGTTTGTGCAATAGTGTTGTTTCTGTTGAACATCAGATTTATGGAAAAAAATGAATTATTTGGAAAGTTTTAGAGATTAAAGTGTGGTTGTCACCTTTGCCTCTGAAAGCAAGCACCTGGATGCTACCACTCCATCAGCACTTGTCAGGACAGCCATAGAGCAAAATGATTAAAAACAAAGACAAAAGTCTGGGAATAAAATGCATGCAGTCCCAGAGTTACAGAGGCTTCAAATTGTCAGTTCAGGTTTTTAAGATTTGAAGTTTTTCTGGCCTCTGGTTATAAAGACTGATCTGTATTTTTCTTTCTTTTTTTTTTCCTTTTCAATTTAGTGTTCATGAAAAGAAAGATGGATTGCTTTTGTTGAACCTAAGTACACAGTTGAATAATAGCATCCTGGTTTTGTTTTCCCTTTTCCCACCTCAACCATATTTTTTCCCTTGATATCTTACCTTGATTTGTTTACATAGTATTTGATTTTCAAAAAGAAAGTGGTTGATTTGGATTACTAGAAATTCTATTTCTGTTTATATTTAACTTTGTAAATTAGCATTGAGGAATTTTGAAGATATTTTGTTCTGTGAAATCCTAGATTGTATAGCTTAAACATGTTTTTCCAAGGCTAAATCACATGTATTTTAAATGAAAAGGATTACTAATGTATCTTACTGTTTGTAGTGGGTGCCGAATACTATTAATTTAGGAAATTCCTCAACATGAAGCAAATTCATAGTTTCAAAAATAATAGTTTTGTCTTAACTACCTCAGATGTATTGTACACATTCTTTACCGTAATACATTTTTTGAGTTGAATGTATATAGTTCAAGCATATAACAGATACAGTGAGTAACTGTTTGCAAGCATAAAGAGGGCAGCTTCCAGAACCCACCTGCCTGTTAGGTTAAAGCAGCAACTTTCAGAACCCAATTGCATGGAGTTCCTTCCCCAGCTCTGATGCTAAATACTTAGTGTGACCTCAGGAATGTCGATTAACTGTTATGTGCCAGTGAAAAGGGTACAAGGAAGGGGAACAACATAACTGACATAATTGGGTTGGTCTGAGGATTCAATGAGTTAAAGCATGAACAGTGCATGGCACATAAATATGATGATGATGATGAAGAGGAGGAGTAGTGAAGGGCTTATGTTTAAACAGTTTCCCCTGGCTTCCAGTTAGCCTATGAGTTTAGGTATGTTGTCCTGTAGGCTGTAGCTGACAATCAAGGTATCCAACTATATTACGCATATCATTCCATGGTAGCATTTCAGTGGGTCACCTCTGGGGAGTTCTTTACCTGTGCTTGAGTAAATCCTGTCGTAATGTTTTTCTTCACTGATCTCAACATGAAGATTGAATTGAAAGAATGAATAATCCCTCTTGCCAATCCACTAACTTTACTTGCATCTTACATATAAGTTCCTGTTTATGGAACAGCTAAGTCCTGAGTGTCATTCATTCTGTGGCCCCAATTTTATGTTGGTAGACAGCTTCCTTTAACAATTAAAATGACTTGTGGAGCAGAGAGGGTTTCATGGAGGGTACCGACATTTCTCAAAGTCAGATTTAGGAGTGAATATCTAAATTGGCCCAAACAGACCAGTATCATTCAATATAATCTTGTTAAACCTTTAAATTGCTTCCCATATCAATGGGAATGTCACGATTTCCTGTCACAGCTTTGTTATTATAAACCCTCAAAGACAATACGTGCACCTGCCTTGTCTGACTTCTGGCCCATTTCACTTACAAAAATAAAGCTAAGAAATGGTTACAGAAATGAAAATGCTACAGGACTGACTCTCCTCAAGCTTATTATTCTAACTGAAAATGAGTTTGTACATACCCTTTTAAAGAGATCTGTCATTTGTTTCCCATTAGAATTTACATAATGAGATCTGCAGTCACATTTATGTTATGCTTAATTCATTTGGCACTGTTTGTTTAAGACCTTTGAATGGCTCCCACTTGTCTAAGTGAGAGAGGCACAAACTCCTGAACACCCATCAAGTGAGACTCTTAGGGTCTGGCCTCTGCCATGAACCTGCAATCTTGTTTCCCATTTCCCAACTTCACGTGTAATCTGATTCTCTGGGCAAATAGGGTTTTTGCAGTTTCACCTTTCTATGACTTCCCTCATACTGTTCTTTCCTGATATTATGGAAGGATTGTAGCTCTGAATGCATTTTTTGCTACTTTAGAAACATGGCTCCTAAATCGTAAGGGATTATTTTATAGACATTTTTCTTTGCAGTTTTTTTTTTTATCACTTCAGTATGGTGGGGGGGCTTACCTCCTTGAATGCTTCTAATCTACTAAAGAGACAACCTGCTGATTATCATTTTGGACACATCTCCCCTTTCATTGGATTATAAGCTGCCTGAGAACAGGGGTGGATCTCCTAATCTATGCCAGTGATTATCTATGTACTGAATAATTATGCATTTTTTATTTATTCTCTTACAAAGATTCTTCTAGACGTCTGAATACATTGTTTTGAAATTACTTCCAAACTCCCTTTGATTCGTATTTTGACTTTACCTTTTCTTATATTTTAGAAACTCACAATGAGTGTTCATTTAAAAATTGTGGCTTTTCATGATTTTTATCTAACTGTGCAGGACATACACTGTGACTCAAGATTTGAGGGCCCTGGAATTATATTTCACCTTTGACCAGGAATTGCTTTGGTCTCTGTTAACTTTCTTTTCCATTGTCCATAAAGGATTCGTTTATGCTATTTGCTTCTGCCAGTTATGATTGGACTTTTCATTTGGTAATTCATTTTCAGAATACTGTGTCCTATCTAGCTCTCTAGGTGTCACTGTTTTAATGGTTACTCCTTGTGATTGTTTTTTGAAGCCAAATACATTGTCTTATTTTCTTTCATGTCACCCCCACACCCACCTAAGATTCTAATCATATGCTAAAGGAAAAATTTGAAATTAGTTTAATATATTCTTAAACTTTTAAATTAGTTTGACTAATAATTTGAGACTTACAGAAAAGTTCTAAGAATAGCTCAAATAATTCTCATATACATTTTACCCAGATGTATCAATTATTAGCATTTTACATTTGCTGTATTTTTCTTTCTGAGTATGTGTATATATATGCCTATGTATAATACACATACATATGTATCATATGTATGTATATACGGGTATATATTTATCTCACACTTTATATGCACACTTAAAAGTAAGTTGCAGACATGATACCACTTTACCTTTAGTAATTCAGTATGCATTTCTTAAAAAGAAAGGCTTTTATAAATAATGCCCTAAAGTAACCACAGAACAGTAATCCAGCTTCAGAAATTATCTAATATATAGACTTTATCCATTATATCTAATATATAGACCTTAGTAGTCTTAATGTCTGTAGATCTAATCTATATTTTAGGTGATGTTCTGATTTAGCCTGCAGGTGGTAATGTGCTGACTTCAGTATAAGATGAATTTGAAATCTTCTGAACAAGCATTAAGGGCCGTGCAGATTCTGATCCTTCTTCCTTTGCATACCTACCACAAGCTGCAGTCTCACTTTTCATGCTACGTTTTTGTTTTCCTTTTAATACTCTACAGACATTTTATTCTTTGCAGCTTCAGAGTTGTTTTTCAGCAACCTCTTTACAGCTCTGCCTTCTCTGGTTATCAATGTCACAGTCATTTTTGTTTTGTACATTCCTTGCTACTAGATTGTAAATTCTTTGGAGAGCAGAGAATGTGACAACTTTATATCCCATGCAGCAATAACATATACTTTATGTGAAATAGGAAATTAATAAATTTATTTACTTGCATCCAGCCATTATTTAGAAGTATGTTTTTGTTTTTAAAATTGGATTCGTGATTAGCTCAATTTGTTATTTGTTTTGTTTCAAATTCTTAGAGACAAATAAAAAATGGTGTGTTTTGGAAGGAGGCTTCTTGAGTTACTATGAAAATGATAAGTCTACCACACCTAATGGCACCATTAATATCAATGAAGTTATCTGCCTGGCTATACACAAAGAGGACTTCTATTTAAATACTGGGTAGGTCTGTCATTACACAATTAGGAGGTAAAAGGTATTTTCAGATAATTATAACAGGTAATGAGAGTTTTGTTATCATTTTAGTTCTTTAGTTGCTTCTAATAGAAGGGTTGAATGGTTTTTGAAGCTTACTTATCTTGCGCCTTCTGAAATTTCTTTTGGGAATTCACTACAAAGTAGGAAGACTAAAATATTTATAGTAGGTAATATGAAGTGCTAGCATCTTCGAATCAAATCTTATGTAAATTTTTTTTTTTTTGAGATGGAGTCTCGCTCTATCACCCAGACTGGAGTGCAGTAGGCGATCTCGGCTCACTGCAACCTCCGCCTCCTGGGTTCAAGTGATTCTCCTGCCTCAGCCTCCCGAGTAACTGGGATTGCACATGCTACCACACCCAGCTAATTTTTGTATTTTTAGTGGAGATGGAGTTACACCATATTGGCCAGGCTGGTCTCAAACTCCTGACCTCAAGTGATCCGCCCACCCCGACCTCCCAAAGTGCTGGGATTACAGGCGTGAGCCACCGTGCCTGGCCAAATCTTATGTAAATGTATAGCATATCACTTATGACCATTATAGTCATTTAATTTTGTTACTTATTATTTAAAATAGTGGACTAGTGGTAAAATTCATTTATTCATTTAATGAGTATCATAATTAAAACAGGTAAGAAAGGAGAATATTCTATGACGATCTGTTCACATTAAAATAAACAATATTTAGTAGCATATTGAAATGCTAAATTTCTTAAAGAGCTGTTTGTTAATTTAATGGTCAGAAAAAAGTAACAATGAATAGATTAAGCATTATTTATGTAATATATTTGACTCACATCTACTATGGTTTAAATAAATCTTTGTCAGGACTTTAAAAGCAGGCCATCTAAGATCTTTGGTGTGAAAGTGTCTTATCATGTTTTTTGATGTAATTAATGAAAAACATTGATATTAAAATCTGAAAAAAGTTTTATAGGAGCATAGATTTTAAATAAGATTTTTATATGAGAAAGGAAAGAGATTTGCAAAGCTGTTATTTACATAAAACTACATTGAACATATTACCTTTATTATATGATGACTAGTTGAGATGACTTGTTTTATAGTAAATCTGATTTGATTTTTGATGTGAACAAAACTGATTATTAATTGACTTGTTTTTGTTTTAATAGTGCTTTTACTCTAAATGATTATTCAATGTAATATGACTTATGGAATGTTAAAATAAGTAGATTCTATATATTAAGTTACTAAGTAGTAAATGAAATATAAAAAAGAATAGTTTATATCAGCATATTAATATGTTTAAAATATTCTTGATAACATTACTGATACAAGTAGCTATGCAGAGAGAAAGTATCTACAATGAGATGTGGTTAAAAAATAATTGTTGCCATAAAATTCTTGCTGAATTGCCTCAAATAACACATTGGAGAGTATGACCTCAATAATGTAGGCACTGAAGATTTATATAGACATATTTTAGGAAGAGAGCTGGAAGAAGTGGTAAGGAGATTGGAGGAAGAGAGACTAATTGTTGAGAATTTAACTAGAGGAAGAGGGTGAACTGCTAAGATTAAATGACTGACTGGACAAGAGTTGATGTTAAGGGGAAGAACAAGTTACACTCAAGGGTTTTGAGCTTGTTGTGATGAGATTGATTGTGATGCTTCTAAATTAGGACATGAAGGGGATACAACAGGCTTGGGGTGGAAAAGAGGAGAAAGGAAGATGACTTTAGCATAGGGTATTTTGAGATTTTTAGGTAAGAATAGCACACATACTTAGCATGTGCTAAGAAATAAATGGAGTTGTGAATGAGGAACTCAGGAAAGAATTCAGAGCATGGAATGTCGCTTTAATTTGATCTATAGTAAGAATAAGAAATTTGGGGTAAGTTGAGATGATGAAAGGAAAATTTATCTTTCTTAGGAAAACTGTAAGATTTAATGCTTGATGTGTTTGTGTTCTGGAGGGAACCTGCTGTGTGACTGGGACCATTTGAAGTTAGAAAAGAAGAGGGTTAAAAACTGTTTGGGCAGTGTTTGCTTTGAACAGTTGGTCAGAGTAAATCAAGAAGGAGTGGTGAGAGAGGGAAGAGGAGACCAAGGAGAGCCCTTTGCTACATCAGTCAACTGATGAGTGTCCAGGGCATAAACAAAGTTATACAATAGAATGATTAAATGATTATACAAAATATTCCTTTTGTCCAATCCAGTGTGTTCCATTTACCTCATTTGAATAAAATGCAAACCATTAACAGAATCTAATAGGATGATTTCATAACATTAGTTTATTTTAAAAGGAATTTAATTAAAAACATGACCTTTGTGTTATTCATTTTCTTAAGAGCTAAATATAACTGGTAGTATCTTTTTATTTGTGCATGTTTTAGGCCCATCTTTATCTTTGAGATCTACTTACCCTCCGAACGTGTGTTTTTATTTGGAGCTGAAACATCTCAAGCTCAAAGAAAATGGACAGAGGCAATAGCCAAGGTATTTAAATATTATGTTACTGCTCTAAATCCAGAGAAGATTGTGAACTGGGAGTCTGTGTTTGAGCTTCAGGGGTCCATGAAAGTTTTATATAAGATTGTAGGAATAAAGTTCATACTTCATTAGATTTTCAAAAAAAGTAGTCAAAAGAGGTAGCTACCTTCTAGGAGCCTTAAGCAGGGAAGAAATTAAAGTAAGACTTGGAGAAATCATTCTTCAAATTAAGGCCATGTTTTTGATGGTTAGGATATTCTCAATACTGTAAAGTCATTTCTGTATAAGTCTTTTTATAGGTAGATATTTTATTCAAGGTATACACAAAGGAGAAAAGAGCAGATTCAGGAAAATATATAAATGGAGAAAAATGCTGAAGGTTGACATTTTGAAAAGTTCCACAAATCAGTTAAGAGAATGCCTTGCAGTTTCAACTCTATACATAGCAAGAAAAATGGTTTAAGATGCTGCCATTTGAAAATGCATTATAGTTGTTCAGTTTTAAGACTGATAGCAAGTTTAGTTGTTTTGAATTTGGTGTTACCTTTGAATCTTTAAAATTGAAAAACTAAGATAATTTGTCTACCTTCTCTCATATCAGTAGATAGGGAAGGGATTTCCTATTTTCACTGTCTTTATTACTTTTTTGTATTTGTTTTAACAGCATTTTGTTCCCTTATTTGCTGAAAACTTAACAGAAGCTGACTATGATTTGATTGGTCAACTCTTCTACAAAGACTGCCATGCCCTGGATCAGTGGAGAAAAGGCTGGTTTGCTATGGACAAATCCAGCTTGCATTTTTGCCTTCAAATGCAAGAAGTTCAGGGAGATAGAATGCACTTAAGAAGACTGCAAGAGCTAAGTAAGAGCTTTTTTCTTCCCTTATCTTTGGAACACTTTTCTTTATTGCATACAATAGTGATAGCCTTTAGTAAGATCTTGATGGCTTACTCCCAAACTTATGACTAAGCAGTATTAATATTTGTGTCTTCATGGGTGTTTATTACAGTGTTTTAAAAAATAAATTTTTGCTTTTCATTCTCCCTTCAGCAATCAGCACAATGGTTCAAAATGGGGAAAAACTGGATGTTTTACTCTTGGTAGAAAAAGGGAGGTAAGTGCCTTTTTGCTTTTTATTCCTTATCTCAACAACTCTGGGCAGCGGGATTTTGTTTTTTGTTATTATCTTGAGGGAGAAAACAATATTTTAAAACCTGTTGAAATTTTCTGAATCATATAAATATACATATATAGTATATATTAGCTCTCTTTGGAAAGACTATACCAATGATATTTACATATCTTTATAATTTTTATGACAAACTTATTGTGATCAATTATTGTATAGTTTTCTATAGACCTAGATTCCTCTGTGACATTTGCATTTAAATATTTGGAAAGCAGTTTGGTAATTATAAATATATCTTCATTGTAAGAATATGATGACTATAAATTATATTCTGAATTATCTATGCATGTGGGTCATGCATAGCTAAAACTTGATTTCTTGAATTTATTCAGTTTTTCAGTAACTATTAAGCATCTACTGTGCATCAGGGACTCTTAAAGGTATTGGTGATATCATGATGAGTAAACAGACAAGTCCCTACCATCATGAAACATGTATATTATTAGGGAAAACAGTGTAAGCAGACAAAAATAATTATATGCTATTCTGTCCATCAATTTTAAATTCTACACAGAAAAATAAGCAATATAAAAATAGTCTGATGGGATAGTATCCGTGTTTGCTAGCTAAGAAAAGAGATCTTGAATGAAAGAGCTTCATAAAACGAAAAAGTAAACTTTGCAGTAATCCAGATAGAGTATTTCAGGTGTAGGGCCAAGGGTATTTGAAAACGCTAAGAGTGTGTTGTGCTTGGCATGTCCAAGTTCTGCAAGGAAGCTGTGGTGGCTGGGAATATTTGAATGAAAGAGAGAGTGGGAAGAAATGATTTCAGAGATACCCACAACCTGATCATGTAGGGCCTTATCGGTCATGATGTGTGAATATTTGAAATTTAATCAAAATATGATGGGAAGCTGCTCAGTTTGAGAGCTGGGGAGTGGAATGGTCTGATTTATGTTTTTACAGGATTACTCTGACTCCAGATGAATAAGCTTCTGGGGGACAAAAGTGAAAGTGGGTGTTTAGTCAGGATGCTGGGCAGGAAAGCAGTGACTTACCTGAGAATAGGAGTGAGTGGATGTTTCGTGAAGTTAGAGGTGTCAGGATCTGCTGATGGATTAGATAAGTGTAAGAGTCAAGGATGATCCCAGAATTTTTGACCTGAACAATTACTGAATTATGGTGCTGTTTTTTTGAGAGAACAAATTCTTGGAGAATAGAGGTGTAGGATATTAGTAAGTTTAAGACAGTAGATCAAGAGTTTGGTTTTGGGAATGGTAACTCGGAGATGTCTCTTTGGTGGCAAAGTGGATCTGGTGAGTAAGCGGTTGAATACGCATGTCTAAAATTAAGTGAAGAGGTTGTATCTGGAGATATAAATTTGGGAGTCACCACTGTGTTGACGCTATTTTGCCAAGGAACTGGACGGGTTCACCTCATGGAGAGTATAGCTAGAAAAGAGAGTTGAAGACATAGCCGGAGGTCCCCCAATATGTAAAGGTCTAGAATAGGAGAATGATCACACAAAGAAGCCTAGGAAGGAGCAGCCAGGGACATACCAGAGCAATAAGGAAGACAGTTTCTTTTATTTTTAATTTTGGATTCAAGGGGCACATATCTACATATGTGCAGGTTTGTTGCATGGATATATTGTGTAGTGCTAGGGTTTGGGATTCTATTGAGCCCATCACCCAAATAGTGACCGTAGCACCCAATAGGTAGTTTTTCAGCCCTTGCCCCCTTTGGTCCCCACTTTTGGAGTCCTCAGTGTCTATTATTTCCATCTCTATTTCCATGTAACTCATTGTTTAACTCCCACTTATAAGTGAGTACATGCAGTATTTGATTTTCTGTTTCTGTGTTAATTCACTTAGGATAAGGACCTTCAGCTGCATCCATGTTGCTGCAAAGGACTTGACTTCATTCCTATTTATGGTTGTGTAGTATTCCATGGTATATATGACGACATTTTCCTTAGCCCGTCAACCACTGATCGGCACTTGAGTTGATTCCACGTCTTTACTCTTGTGAATAGTGCTGTGATAAACATATGAGTTCAGGTGTCTTTTTGGTAGAACCATTTTTTTTTCCTTTGGATAGATACCTAGTAGTGGGATTGCTGGATCAAATGGTAGTTCTATTTTTAGTTCTTTGGGAAATCTTCAAACTGCCTTTCTTCTTCAACAAATTGGTTTTTTTCCCCTTGGCTTCTTGTAATTTGCTTAAAAAAACTCTTAATTACACTGGTTCAGTATGGTTTGCTGTATAATAGTGCAAGATTATTTGTATTCTTACAATAAAGTAAGCTAGAGAAAAGAAAATGCTATTAAAATCATAAGGGAAAACATATTTACTATTCATTAAGTGGAAGTAGATCATCATGAAGGTATTCATCTGTGTCGTCTTTATATATGTAGGTTGAGGAGGAGGAGAGGTTGATCATGCTGTCTCAGGGGTGGCAGAGGCAAAAGAAAAATCTGTGTATAAAGGGATCTGTGCAGTTCAATCTTATCTTGTTCAATGTTTAACTGCGATATAAAAATATAGCTAAATAAGCCTTCATTTGATTATTTTTATTGCTGTGACAAGGATAATGACTTTCAGTGGTTATCTGAACCTGCCTTTCCTTCAACTTCATGGGACGACATCAAGAGCTTTATACAGCGAGCATATTGCTGATTAGATATTTATGTCAGATTGTGTTTTTTAGCTTCTAGGCGTAATTAGGACTTTGCATTTTTACTTATTTCTTAGATTATTATGGTTAATGATACTTTAGATTCTTATTTTTGTTACTAGATGATGATTTCACTATACCGTGAGAGTATTGTTAATTTTATGTCCAGAAATAATGAGGAATTATTAGGTATAGATAGGATTTGACATTAAAATACTAGCATAAATGCAGTTTTACAATCATTTATTAATATTTATGGAATGCCTACTAACTGCTACTTCCATGGCAGGAAAATAAAAAAGGTAAACAATTCAAACTTGGTGTCTGACCCCTCAGAGCTTATGTTCTTAAACAAATAGACAAGTATCAGCTTAACAAATGTGTTTATCCTTTTCATTTTTTCAGGTTATTATAACCAACGTATTTTTGTACCCTTTTTTTTAACCTATGGAGTATTTGGCCAATGATACATAGGTTTTAATTAAAATGTAGCAAACATGGATTAGAATGATTCAGTTTAATGTAATTCTATTTAGTGCTTACTGCATGCAGTCCAGCCCCTCATATATGGAAGATATGGAAGCCAGAGCACTAAATGTTTTATTATTTTGTACATTTTGATCTTACCGCTGGACTGCAGAAATCAGGAGATGAAATTCATTTGTAATATTATTTTTGAGTTCATGGAAAAGTAGAAAACTAATGAAATTCCAAAATAATGGTCACAGACAGTTAATAACATTTTTGGTAATTGAAAGTTTTCGTCTACATGTGTTACTAACAAGTTATGTTCAAAGTATTTTTATGAAAGTGAAGAGTAATAATAGGAGTGGGAGAAATGTGAGGATAAATATAACCAAGTTACTTTCTGTAAATCTCTTCGTATAGCTAATGTACCATCCCCACCATTTAAACGCAATTATATTATCACATGCTTCTGTCTTTGGTTTACTTGCTTTTCCTTTTTACTCCAAATCAATAATCATCTGATAATAACAATGATGACAATGGGGGCAGTTACCATGTGCCAAGCCCCATTTTAAGTACTTAAACAGCCTTCTTTTGCCTATATGGTATTGAGGAAAATAATTCATTTTGAAGTTAAAGTAAGGTCAATTTGTAACTTAAATTTTTTTTTAAAAATCAAGTGTTCAGTATTAATTTACCAATACCTTTGTAGAGATCTTTCTCAGGATATAAAGCAACAAGTGTTCTAGGAGTCTGGATAGACACTATAAGTTACTAGAATTCAAAATTGAAGCATTTATTAGAAAAATAAAAATGTTTACTAGAAAACATTTTTATAAAATTATTAGAAAACGTGTCCATAGAATTCCTACCTAATTGAAAATGGAGTAGAGAGAAGGGAGGTCCACCGTGTGCATAAAAGTAAAGAATCTGCACAATAGATGCCAAGAATGTGAGGTTATGAACCCTGATAGAACAAGAACAAAGACTATACATACGTGACAGGCACAGCACCCTGTATGGTGCAAAACAGAGTCTCATATCTACTTATTTACATAGACACATAAACATATGTTTGTGTATTCTGTGACTACATAGACATCATATAGGAAATAGTGGAAAAAGGAGCAGGTTTGGGAGAGAGCCTGGGAGATAATGAGTTTAAGACATGTTGAGCATGAGATTCTTATAAGAAATCTAAGAATAAATTGATGGGAGAAAGTTATTTTTTATGGATAAGATATTCATGAAAAGATTAACAGATTGGAGATACAGATTTTGGAGTTGCCAGCGTAAAGAAGGAAGAAAGTGAAATTACTTAGGGTGATTCTGTGGAAATAAAAAGGAAGAAGTCCTGTGTTGGAGCTTTGATGACTATACATCATTTTGGGTTAGGGGAATTTGTCAGGGAGAAGTAGCTGCTTGTTTCCTCAGAGAGTGAGGCCAGAAACTAAGAGAGAGTACAAAGTGTTACAAAGCCCAGGAAGAGGGTGTCTCAAAAAGGAAGGATCAGTTAAAAATGTCAAGTGCTGACAGAAGGACATGCCTAGTGAGAATACATACTCCATAAGATAAGTGATTTGGAGTCCCTCTGGTGACTTGGGGGAGAGCAGAAGTGAACAGGCAGGTACTAGATCAGATTAAGAATGGAAATTGAGTAAACCAAGACAGCTAGTGAGGTCACTTTGTCAAAGATATCTGGAGGGAGGTTCATAGGATTAACGAGGTAAGGGGTTTGACCCAGAAAGGGCATATATGTGCAGTTTGTTTTCAGATGGCTTAAACTTACACAAGTTTAAATTTTGATGGAAAAGAAACAGAAAATGGGAGAGATTGAAGGTCTAAGAGAGAGTACAAACAAGAGAGCAAGATCCCTCAACTGCAAAAGTAAGAAAAGAAGAATTGATGGATGATTTTGGATGTTGATAGTTTTCTCCATGTGGTAGTGGGATGTTGAGAGAGATACCAGTCAATTTTCAATTGCTTTGTGAACTAGGAGATAAGAGTGATGATCCCTGAGCTTCTGGCATGGGTGATGCTATGAATGATAGTATCATTTGCCAAGATAGAGAATATGCACTTCTCTCCCAGTACTCAAACATAGCTAGTTAATTATAGCTGTGATTGTTGAAAAGCTGTTTCAGTACCATGCCAAAATGAGAAAATTTCATTGTACCACCCTTGTTTTCATCTCCCTTTTGATCTATTAGCCCTTTGGGAAATGATGACTGTCAGCAATGGTAGATTCTGTTGGACTTGTCAGTGACAGATAAAATTGTGGCTTTTGGAAGTAACACAACTTCCAATTATTTATACTGTTGGCCTATAGAGATAGTGTGAATGATTGAAAGAAAGAGAAACCAACCAGCTATAAGCTTGAACCTTATATTTTTGCTAGTAACAGCTTGAGCCAGAAATGTAAATCATACATAAATTTAATGAATTAATTTCACATATTTTTCCTGTTCTTATCTACCTTTGATTAAAATGCTAAACTACATTAATGTTTCTTAAAGGCAAAGAGGAGAAAGAACCCCCTAAACTGGAAATGTTCATAAATTGATAATTATCCCCTGTATATAGTCACTATTTAGATAGATATTTTAATCTTCATGGTCATTTTCTCTATATGCATAGCATGAGTGTCTTTAGACAGAAAAATATTGCAATAATATTTTCCACACACACAGCATTTTTGCTCTAAAAAGCTCTAAACAGAAGGTGTTCCAGATGGTGTCGTTTTAATGTGTATTCCTTGTATACTTTAAAAATTATTTTGGAAAATAAAGCTTTCTTGATCACACTTAGGGGTTTCTGGCATGCTATTTGATGTTGTTATTGGGACTTAGATCCTGTGCTTTTCTTTTAGACCTTAGTACTGTTTGTGCAAATAAAAAAATAATATTGTCAAATATCACTTGTTAGTGAATATTCTAGACCAGGAAGGCAGAAGGCATTTTCCTGGACGGTAGGAAATTGTATCATCACTTTGACTGAAATGTTCAAGAAATTACATCTTTTTCTCAAAATTTGAGAACTATTTTTGCACTTTAACCTACATCTTCTGCATATCTTTTTCTAAGAAATAAGTTACTGTGTTTACCATTTTCACATTCCATAGCTGCATGCCCATTGCCATAGACACTTATTATGCTTTTGTTGAAAGGTTGTTGGTTCTAATAAACACAGTGTGAATAAGTAAACTGTGTTATCAGAAACAGAAAAGGCTAGTGTGTTTTTTTGTTTTACATTCCTTAGTTGATATATAATAAAGCATAATACACTTGATGTCTCCCAAGCTTGACTGCATTTTAGTTTTAATTGCAAATTCTTCACATAAAGAAGCTTAATACTGGGGAATAAACACTTTATCAGTATGTTTCACAATTATGGAACAGATTACTTTTCTCAGTTTGGGAGATTAGCACCCTAAGTTTAGTTTTCCTTATTTCCTATCACCTTATTCCATATGATCTTTTCTCCCCCTTGAATGTGTTTTATAGCAGCTAATATGTTAGCAATACTCCAGAGGCTGAATTATCTTAAAGTGGTTTTTAAATTGTGCATGTAATTGCAAATTAAACAGTAGCCTATTGCCCACAATATAAGCTTGACTGCTTTTGTAACTTTCTGATGATTTAATTCTTAGAGATGGCTTAATCTGAATATTGCCAAGGCAAACAAGAGATTCTCTTCTCTCACCACTCCCACAGGTTTTTAAAAAAGAAAGAGACTATTACAAAACAAATATTAAGTGATTTTATGTTAAAGAAAATTATGAAGAAGGGAATGTATGTCTATTAACAAAAGGTAGATTTTAAAACGTGTATTATTTGCTTCAACAATTTTGTTTCAGTTAGTTCAAAGTACCTCTATGTACCAGGAGATAAGCTTATGAAGAAATAAGTATGATATGATGGGGAAAAAATGGACAAAAGAATGAGCAAATCCCTCTAAGATGTGTGTGTGTGTGTGTGTGTGTGTGTGTGTGTGTGTATTGTTTTTGTTTTGTTTTTTAAAGAAAAGTATTTTTATCTGGATCTACAATCCAATGAAGGACTTTAGTAGGAAAAAATGAAGGGGGCCTGAGACACTAAGGTAGTCCAAGAGGTGGAAATAATAGGTTCAGAGAAATAGGATGGGCTAGAAACAACCTCAGTATGGGTTGGCCTTAACCTTGAGTGCTTGAGGAGGACACATGTGACAATGGGCCTGGAAAGATAGATTGATACTCTATTAGTATTTTCTATTGAATTTAATTCATAACTTGCCTTATTCTGGAAAGGATTGCAGAGTAATTCCTGAGTATTTGGAAGTTAAACATGCTTCCAAATAAGCCATACTTCACAGTAGAAATCACAGGAAAAATTAGGAAATATTTGATCAATGATAATACAATCATAACATCAAATTTGTGTGATGGAGCTATAAAACTATTTACAAGGAAGTTGAAAGCTTTAAATGCTTACACTAAATCAAATCCTCTTTGAAGCTTTAAATGCTTACACTAAAATCCATCCTCTAAACTTTTACCTTAAAAATCTAAAAAAGAGCAAATTAGACCCAAAGTGGTTCAGAGAATGAATTGATACAGACAGTAGAAAGAATGAATAAACGGAATATATTTTTAAAAAATCTGAGCCACAAATAGCTGGTCCTTTGAAATAATCAATTTATTTAATAAATTTTTAACTTTTTTTGGAAAAGTTAAGAAAATTGATAAAACTCTAACTAGAAGATAGGACAGAAGATACAAATCACCATTGTTATAAAACTGTGCATCAGTTTAATATTTAAAATATAAGAAAATATTACGACCAACTTCATACCAATGAATTTAACACATTGGATATAATCAAAAAATTCTCTCAAATGCAGGAATTAGGCAAACATATTTATTCCCACCACTTCTATTTAATATTGTGGGTTTAATATGATAAAGCAAGGAAATTAGAAAAAATCACAAGTATTGGAATTATAAGTTAAAAACTCAATTATAATTTGTTCTTTAAGCAACATGGTTAATAAAATGAAATCATACACTGGTACTATTCAAAATACACGTGTCTGATAAAGCACTCATATCCAAAACATGGACAGAATACATATAACTAGAAGACAAAAACCCAATAAAATAGCAAAAAATGATGAATAGAAATGTCTAAAAGGATGTCTATGAATAGCCAACAAGCACATGTAAAGTTAAGTACCAGAGAAATACAAATTAAAACCACAGTGAGATCACACTGAAAAAACTAAGTTTTTTAGAAAGTGGCAGTGCAAAGTGTTGGCAAGTATGGTGGGATTGTAAAATAGTACATTCATTTTGGGAAGCAGTTTAGCAGGTTTTTGTTTTTTAAAATAATACAGTTGGTTTACACTTAACTATACATCCCAACAAATGAGCTGCTAGGTATTTGCCCAAAACAAATCATAATATATGTCCACAAAATGACTCCTATACAAATATTCAAATCAGCTTTATTTATGATATAAAGTGAGGAGACCCCAAATGATTTTTAGTCAGTGAATGTGTTAACAGAGTATGGTATGTGTTCATATGTGAAGTACTGATTATCATTATAAAGGGACCTATATTAACAACAACATGAATGAATCTTAAAAAACATTGTGCTGAATAAAAGAAGCCAGACACAAAAGAGTAATACTGTGTAATTCCATTCCTATGAAGCTTTAGAGCTGGGAAACTAATGAATGGTGAGAGAAGGCAGATAAGTTCTTGCCTAAGATTGTGGGTGGGGAAAGGAATGCAATGCAAAGAGTTATGAGTGAACATTGTGAGTGATGGAAATGGTCTACATATTAATCATGGTGGTAGTTACACAAGTGTACACATTTGCAAAAATATTTCAAACCATACACTTAAAATGAGTTCATTAAAAATTCTAATGACCAAACATCACTCACAGAAATAACACAATTCATACTTTTCCAGAAGAAAACAAACCCAAAAGCTTATTTGGATGAGAAGTAGGGTCTTCTTTGAGAGGCTGCTTAGGAAGTATAAAGAAAAATGCACAGCATACCCTTCTAAAGCTATCTTCCAAAGTCCTATGCATTACATTTCCAACATGCCTAGGATGCTTTTCAAGGCAGAATGTAAGTGTACAGTCTTGAAGAAGAGAAATAGGTCTTCTATTATGAGTGGCTTTAGTAGATCATCTTTCACGTCCATTCTAATAGTGTGACTGTAATAAATTGTTCAGGAAATTCTGTTTCATGAATCTTAGGTGTGATAGGACTAAGAAGAAAGGCAACAGAAATACACATCAGCATTTCACTTCTGGAATAAGTATTTTTGGACTCGAGGACCAGAGTTTTAAATTATGGAGATCTGATTCCTCAGGTAAAGGAAAGCTCATGAACTAGGCTAGTACTGAGTAGCTCAAATGTGCAATTCCTACCTAGTTCTGATACCTTAAACACGTTGTTTCTGGCTCTTAGTTTCCTAGTCATATATGGAAAAAAAAACTTGGCAGAGATATTTCCAGTTCTCTGGCTCAAAAGCTCAATGACAGTCTAAGATGGCATGTTTCAGACGGCTTTAAATATCTTTTCCTTTAAGGGATCAGTCAAAACTTCGGCTTATGTGATTTGTTTCTAATTACATTTTTAAAAACACAGACATGTATAAAGAAGGAAACAAAATGTCCATGAGTTTTCTACACAGAGTTAATTTAACATTTTAGGAAATGCAATTGGATTTATACATATGTGCGATTATGCATTCTCTGCTCATTGTACTAAGTTTATAATATATATCTCTGGATGTAGCTAAATCACTTAACCTTTCCCTAGTTTTTGGGATTTCAACTTATTTCCATTTTTGCAATGCTTGGCTAAATGCATGTGTTTGTGTGCATGTGCACATGTGCATGAGAGAGGAACAGAAATATATTGAAAGAAACAGATATTGTGCCTTCATTTCAAATCATGTACTTATGAAAGAGTCCTGTGGTTGGAACTAATTGTCAAAACTAATGCATACGTATTTTAAGATTCTTAGAACATATTTTCAAATTTATTTTTAGAGTATCTCATCAGCCTTTAAAATGCTATGCTCATCTTGTTATACTCCAGTGATGAACATTAAACATTTTAGATCTTTGATAAATTGCCTTTGACACATCATTGATTTTACATATATACGTGTATATGTGTGTGTGTGTGTGTGTGTGTGTGCGCGCGCGCGTGTATGTGTGTGTCCATTCTAATAGTGTGACTTTGTAATAAGTTGCTCAGGAAATTCTGTTTTGTGAATCTTAGGTGTGATAGGACTGAGATACACAGACACGCACACACACACACACACACACACACACACACACACATATATTTGATTCTTAGACTGGTTTGTGGTTACATCGGCTAATTCTTTCTGTGACTTACCTTTCCATGGCTGATAACCGTATTTCTGTGGAAGACTTACTATTTTATTTTTGTATAAATCCTTAGGATATTATCTTTTCCAGCCATATTTGTAGAGTATTTCATTTGCTTTTCAGTTTTGTTTAAAATCTTTTTTATATGAGCATATTTATTTTTTATGTGGTCAAGTTTATTGATCTATTATTTGTGAAGGCACTTCTGGTTCTTGTCATAGACTAGGCTCAAATATGATTGTTTATGCTTCATGGTTATTATATTGCAGTTTTAATATAATTGTTTTTGTTAGTCCTAGGACTTGGTTTCTAAGGTCTTATTGAACTGTCTTGATTCATTATAGCAAATAAGAATTTTTCTTTATATGGCTTTGAAGTGCCCTTTGGAATTTATGCTTAGAAAATAGACAATTAGCATAACTAATTTCTCTGTAATTAGAGTTCATCAACATTACTTTTCAGATTGTCAGGATATAAGTAAATGTTTCTTTGGAATTCGAATCCAGGAATGTGAATTTGATAACACTTGAAATCTCAAAGTCATCCAGCATTTGTGTTGAAAATATCTTTCGATGCTTTATTCAGTGTCCACAAATTTTAGGTAAGCATCAGAGAGGAAAGTTAGTGCACCAATGCTATTAAATGTCAAACCATCTATTGCACTACATATATATTTTAGGATTCGCCCTTTGACAAGTTGAGAAAGTTCTACTCTTCACTAATTCATGAGGAGACAGCTCAACTCATCATCAGTGGATTTTTTTCTGACTAGAAAGAAAATTTGAAGTTCAAAAATGTCACAGTTTATGGCAGAATTATACTCATATTGTAGGAGGGCCACTGCATTTTGGATTTCTTTCACTGCTTGCTAAAACACCCGTTGTAGTTGTTTATAAGCAAATAGTTACAAAGATTTTATATCATATTTAAAACTGAATTATTAGATAAATTATGTAAAAGTTTTTTCTCTTTACCTAAACTTGTGAATATAGCAAGACATAATTTTGATTAAGTTCACATAATCAAGAGGTTTGATGTTTCTCAAAAAATTATCTGAGTTATATGATTTCAGTTAGACAAATACATCCAGCAATAGAATACTTTTGAGCTAAAGATGATATAAGATCAATGAAAAGGCTGTAGCATGTCAGGTGTATTAGTGCAAATTTCAGAATTCTTCAAAAAGAAAATTACAACACCTGGAGGTCAGGACTGCTGTAGTGTTGTGGAAAATAGAAACAATAGATAAAGACGTCAAAAAGCAAGAGATGAAGATTACAAGCACCAGTATTAGTAAAACAGTAGTAGTTATAGCAAGTTCAGATGTTAAAAATGAGTGTGGTAAGGTGCAGGTATCTTTGTCTTCTTACAGGAGCATTTCAAGAAAGAAAACAAAGGAAAGAAAGGAAGTTTTTTGTTTCTCTTTTTATATTAGGTACAGTGATTATCAGAAATGTAAAAGATTACATTCCTTATTACCCACACCTGGCCCCCAAAGCCCCAGAATTCATGCGGTTTATTCATGCCTCTTTGGGTTGAATATAAACTAGCCCTGTCAAGTCTGAAATCAAGATTATATCGTTTTACTTTGGTGTAAATAGACTTAAAATACATCAACAATTAGTTTATGTTTTAAAGCAAACTTTGTATCTAGTGATAGGTCTTTAAAACTGCTATGTATCCACTAAATGCCAGACACTATGCTAATGACCGGAGATACTGAAATACTTTCTTTGCTTGCCTGTGTAAAGGTTGGAGTTTCGTGGCTAAAACATTCAGATAGCTACAGAAGGTGATATGATGCAGGACAAAGCCATCAGTGAAAGATTGAGAAGGAGTATCTGTGACATACTAAGCATAAGAGGGAGATCAGGAACAGTGTTAAGGAGTTTTACCTGGAGTATAATTCTGGGGGAAGGTTTGGAGTAGCCAGCCAAAGAGCAGGCAATATGTATTACAGAATCCAGGAGGGTGTGTGTGTGTGTGTGTGTGTGTGTATTTGTGTGTGTTTATGTTTCCTGAGTACCTTAAGTAAAGGAGAATGACAGATCAAGTTGCAGGTAAAAATATAGGCTAGATTATGAAGACTTTTTATCTTGAAAACTCAAGAACTGTAAGACAGTGATCTGGAAGTGATGTCATTAGCTTTGCGTTTTAGATCATTCTGGCAATAGTGAGGAGTAGACATTACAGGGGTTGAGAATTGGGAAAGGAATTCTGTAAGGAGGGGCTGTAGTGACCTGAAAGAACAACATGAAGATCTGAAATAAGGCAGTCTTGGAAAGGAGAGGAGACAGAGTGAATACATTGGGAAACTGTAGTCAACAGAATTTTGTGACTGAAGACATGTGGCAGTGGTTGGGTAAAGAGACTGATCTACACTTAGTTAATCCTAAATTTCTCGTGGGGTACGTGGAAAATTTTTGGTGCCAGAAGCTTGGTATGGGAGAGCAAAAGCTTTGATATGCTTATTGCACATTAAGGTGAAGATGCTCAAATATAAATATTCTTTAGTAGTATAGTTTATACATTAGTCATTAATGTTACGTCTATTGAGTGTTGTCCTAGGTGCTATTATTATATTTATTTTGCCAATGATGAAACTGAAGCAAAAATAAGGTTGACTTGTCTAAAGTTACAAAGGAAGTAAATGGCAGAGCTAAAATTTAAGTTCAAAAAGTCTGATTGTCATTCCCACTCTCAGGTGCTCTATTCTCCTGCTTTTCAGTCACATGGAGATCTGATTTATGAAAGTTACAGCCTGGAGATAGGGATTTGGAAGTAAACTAATTTATGTGAAAAGATTAAACTACTGGCCTGAATGGCATGTCCCTGGAGAGTCCATGGAGCTTTTGTGTGTGCTGAGGTTACAACTTTGCCATTCAGAAAGAGGAAGTGAGATTGGGAAAGAGACTAAGTGACCAGAATGATAGGAGGAAAATCCAGAAAGAATTATGCTATAAAATTCAAATTGAATGCTAGTTTTTTTCTCTTTTTAAGAAATAAAATCGACAATTCTAAAACCTTAAAAAACGTAACCAGAAATATCCGTCAGAAGTCACAGGTGATAGCCACAATGGTTTTAGTTTAGTTATTCAGAAAGAGAATAAAAGAGGCTAGGGAATGAAAAGAAGTGAGACCATAAATTCAGAGAGCTTCCTCAATGCTATGGAGTGATGTGACTATGCAGGCAAAAGAGGGATTGAGTGGAAGCTCGTGGTGGATGAGATAAAAGAAGAGTTTGTCTTGCATGATTGTGTGGATTTTAGGGTAATCTGTCTTGGAGTAAGATTTTTTTTTAAAGAGCAAAATTATAATTTGAAATGCTTTTTAAACTTTACAGAACATTATACATCCATGGGCATACCAAGTTGGATTTCACAGTCTGGCATACTGCAATTGAAAAAGCAGCAGGTACAGATGGTAATGCTTTACAAGATCAGCAGCTCAGCAAAAATGACGTTCCCATTATAGTGAACAGCTGTATAGCATTTGTTACACAGTATGGTAAGTATCACTGAGTTTTTATTCAACCCTTAGAACTGATTGTATCGTTCTTACAGGTTTTTAAGTGGTACCTCTATTGGACTGAGTTAAAACCCTTTATATTTGTAAGTATCCTAGTGAAAAATAAAGGCAGATTTACTGTTCAGCTAATTACCATTCCTTCTCCCAATAAGACTCATTTAAACTATACATTTTTACCATTTGCTCCTTCCTTTATATGCATAAAATATTACATAACATTGAAATAATCTAAATTATAATATGTACATAAAAATAGTAGATTATATGTTTTATTCAAGTAAGAAAAAATAGTAGATTGAAGACTATCTTTCAGAGATTACAAGGCTAGATTAAAGCCTACAGTGACACAACACATCTAAGCATGTTTTTAGAAGTGATGAACTGTGGAACAATATGTCAAATAATTTGCTTTCTTTGGCATACATAAAGTGTGCATGTAGTTTATATTCAGAAGCATAGCTATTAATTTTCACAATTTGTGCTCATTTTCAACAGATATTTCAATGAATCGTTTGCAGATAAAAAATACATTGATCTGTACCATGGTCCAGCTTCATGTCAGTTTTATATGCTATGTTAGTATTTTAGATATGCCTGAAAGATATCCTCTGTTCTTCATGTTTATTTTCAAATGGTTATGAGTTCTTCAAATTCCTTTTGTTGCATATATCTTTCAGACTGTAAATTTCTTGACCCTATTTTAAATGTAAAAATGTTAAAATGTTACCATGAGCCCTTTTAACCTGTAGATAAATGCCATTTATTTAGATCACAAATGTGGAAAAGAGGAAAATGATTTGATATTTTGGACTGTATTAAAAATTTTTATTCTCCTAATATTAGAGGTGTCTTTGGGTGTTTTTAATTTGAAAAGAAGGTACAAATAGTGAGAGGGCTGCAGTAAAGCATTGTGTTATTAGTTCATTGCTTCTTTATCGAGTGCTTGTTGTATGCCAGTCACTGGTCTCACTCTTAGAAACACAGTGGTGGAAGTAAAAAGTTCAAGACAAAGCTATGAATCATATCTTCTAGTATGGGAAACTGATAATACACTGATATGTAACAAAATATCAGAACTAATGATATGGATAAAGAAAACACTTTTCAGAAATTAAACTTAGGCATATTTTAATCTCTTGTTCTAGGGAGAGTGTCATTTTAAGTATTTTTCTTACTTTGTATGTAATTCAAGTGCAATTATTAATGTCCAGATTCATTATGTTTTTGTTATATATCTACTGAAAAAATATACATAAGGCCCACATATTTGGGCATTACTATAAAAGTTTCCTGCTATGATATGTTTTTCTTATTAGCTATAACCATCTGTTTACTTAAAAACAGAGGAAGGAGAATGTTACCTTCATTTGTTACAGTCACTCAGTGTTAGTACATTTTGCAGCTATACATGAATCACATATATGTTATGTTTTAGCAGGAGCATAACCTTATTGGGAATCTTCATACCATGTTAGTTTCATAATAGCATAAGGCCTTTCTTAAGCAAGAAATAATTAAAATACCTTGACTAGCTCTGATGTAGCCAATTTAATGTTTTTCTAGGGAAATCAGAATTTTCCTTGTGTTTATTTAAGTTTAAAATAACTCAGCATTCGATTTTTTCAACTAAAACTCATATATTATAACAACTTTATACCTCTATTACAAGATGCCTTCACTTGCATGTTAGAATAATAAAGCCAATGGAAGATTGTGTTTATATAGTTATACACACACACTTACATATGTACACACATATGTGTACATACATATATTCATATATATACACATATAGTCCTATATAACATATGATGTATATGTATTATATATAAATATGTGTCATATTTTTATATTATATATAGTTATACATATAATTGTGTTTGTATTATATATCTACTGAAAGTATATACATAATCACATATTGGGCACTACTATAAGAAGCTTCCTGCTATGATAGTATGTTTATATCATATATATATTTATATTCAGAACGTTGGGGAAACCTCAATGCTGCCAGCATATATAGAAGAAAGATTTGACAGAAACTTAGAAAACACCCAGTGATTATAGGATGCAGATGGTTTCATTGTAGCAATTATTTTGAACCCCCTGACCTGTGGGTTAAAATCTCAAGACCAATTTTCTGTGCTCATTGTGTCATTGTGTCAAGGTTTGAACTTGACTGAGTTCATAGTATGACTCTTAGGGCTTTAATTTTTAAAAAGTAAATTACACTAGTTCTTGGGGAAAATTATTTCAGTTATATAAACAAAATTATGTTCAAATTATTTTTCAGTTAACTTACTTGAGTGCCAGCTATTAGAAATTCATTCAGCTGGGGATATACTATCTCAAACGCTTAGTCAGCATTGATGTTTGTAGAACTTGCTTATTCTTGCATTAAGCAGTCATTTATTGAATACGTGCTGAGTAGTTCTAGGCACTGTGTAACTGCCGGATATATACAGAGATATGTCACAGAAAATAAGACATAATTTTTGCCTTCTAGGAGTTTACAGATTTATGAATAAGAGACAAATACATGAGCAGTTACAAGTCAGTGTATAAAATTCTCTAGTAAAGAGGTTCAGGGGGTGCTACTGGTGTCCATGGTGTAGGGGTAAATTTTACCCAGAGAAGGCATGGAAACAGAGAGCTTCATGGGTAAAGCACAGTGCTTACCATGAGCCCTAAGAGAAAATGGGAGCTAGTTAGAAGAAGAGGATAGGGACTCCAGGAGGAGAAACAGTGTGTGCCAAGGTATCGAGTCACAAAGTTTGTGCTGGGAGCTTTGTGGTATTAAATGTGGCCAGAGCTTAGTGTGAGAAGGAGGAGTTGATCAATATAAAAGGCAACAGGTTAGGCCAATTCAGGTAAGGTTTTATATAGCAAACTAAAATCCTCAAACTTTGCCGCATAGGCAGCAGGAGGGCAGCATTCAGATTTTTAAGCTTGTTGCTAATACATACAGACCTGAATTTTAGATCATGCTGTTATCATTGTTGAGACACACAGAGGGCTGCATAAGAATATGGGCAAGGAGTTGTGACAATGTAGTAAGAACTCAGTCCACAAATAATAGCATATGGGATGGAAAGGAGAGGGCAGTTCTGAGAGTGAGATCATGATGAAGAATCTATGTGATGCAGTACTGCATTTTTTGTTTTTAATGTGCTGATTGAGAAAGAAATACTCTGACTTGTAAAGGGCTAGGGAGAAGGCAATGCCAAATATTGAGGCAGAGAGGAACAAGATAAAGAACATGGTGGGGGTGGAAGGTGAGGTAGTAAACAGGGCAGGAGAATTAATTCCTTCGGGTTATTTTGATTTGCCATAAGATGTATGGGTGTGTGTGTGTGTATGTTGCATGTATATGTAATGGTATGTGTATATATATGTGTGTATGTGTGAAATCATGGAAATTAAAACCTGAGTTAAAATGTTTATGTAGAAGTGATGAGGTTGGATGGGTTCTCACCCAGTGGGCAGGAAGAGAAGAGAATTGAGGAAGGATCCCTGGAATGACCAGTAAGTATTAGTTGAGCAGAAAAAATTAGAAGACTGAGAGAGCAGTCACAGAGGGAAGGGAGAAAAAAGAGATATGAAATTATGATATCATGGAAGTTAGGGGGTTAAAAGAATTTACAGGGATTCGTTCAGAATGTCAAATGCTACAAGGAGTTCTCCCTAGATAAAAACCGAAAAGCATCTAGAAAAAAAAGAACATTGTTAATATTATTGATGAAGGGTGACCCCAACAGAATGGGGATTGGGCAGAGAAGCAAGATTGTGTGGTCAAAGGATTAACAGGCATGTGAGACAGTAGAAAGAATAAATATAGAAAACTCAGCCTGGTTGTGAAAGGAACAGGGAAAAGAAGCCTGGGAGGAGGCAAGGGATGCTTTTGGGGTTTGAATTATTGTCATTGTCATCATCACTCTTCCTCCTAACCACTGCTCCTTTTATTTGGTATGGAGTACTTCATGAATCAGTAACCATGAAAAAGAGGTAACCCAACTCTCCATTGGAAATAAGGTGAAGATGGGAGCATACAGAAATTCATATACAATATAGGGGCAGGTGGTTGATGACATTTATACCAGAGAGCCTCACTTTTGTCAGTGAGAAATGGAGGTAAGTTGTTTGCTGGGAGACTAAGTGAAGATAGGGCACTTTAAGAAAAAGAACATTTGGAAAAGATACTATGGAGAGCTGGAGGAAGGACTGATCAGGGGCTTGCCAAAAGCTGAGGCTGCAATGATTTGCTCATTAGGTTTACATTTTAAATACTAAAATCAGGAGTAAAAAGCCTTTCCTGCTCATGCATGTTTATATCATCTCTTGCGTAATGATTTCATCATCTTCTCGTCTCAACACAAACATTTGTTTTGTTTTTAAAATATCAAACTGGCTTTTGAATTTAGACTTTTAAAGTATAACTTTTTTTTTTTAAACAAAGGTTTAGGATGCAAATATATCTATCAAAAGAATGGTGATCCTTTGCATATAAGTGAACTCCTGGAGAGTTTCAAAAAGGATGCAAGAAGCTTTAAATTGAGGGCTGGAAAACATCAGCTTGAAGATGTGACGGCTGTGTTGAAAAGTTTTCTCTCTGACATTGATGATGCACTGCTTACTAAGGAGCTCTACCCATATTGGATCTCTGCTTTAGGTAATATTTATACAGATATTTGTAGATATGTGTGTGTGTGTGTGTGTGTGTGTGTATAATATAGACCATAATACATGCTTGCCTTTTAATACTTAGACTTTAAACATCTTTGATAAGCTGAAATTTTAATTGAAAGAAACAATGTACATAATGGCTGATAACAGAAATTATATAAATATCAATAGCTGTTTCTCTCTACCTCAAGAGAAATTCAAAATATTCACTAAATCGTTTGGTATATACTTAGTTTTCAATGGATTTCTTAGTGCATACTTTGCTTCAACTTTGGAATGTTACAGTCAAGTCCATGTGTGCTACTAATTTCTCATTAAAAATAAAATGAAGCATTTACTACAGGATACATTTTGCAAGATTTTCACCCATGACTCTTTTGTGTTTCTTCTATTATGTGTTCTACATCTTTAGTGTATATAACAATTTTTTTAACTTTTGCTTCATTTATTCTAGATTCCATCTAATGAAATAGAGTTTTGTTATACACTGTAAGAAAAGCTAATTAAGAGATGACCCTAGAAAAGGAGTTTATTAAATCCCTCATGGGTCAAATTAATTTTAGTAAAACGTGTTTTTAACCTCCGATGATTTAAAACAAGTCCTTTTATTGAAACATTACAATAACAAAGACTTAAATATAAGCATTGCCTTTCATTCCACCTTTTTACTGAAGCTACTTTTATTTTTCCATATTATAGTCCTTTTCTTCACTTTTATAATTTATGTATATGACATTTTTATTTTTATTAATAAATCATAAGCATTTCTCATATATCTATAATATTTTCCAAATGATAATTTTTATTTCTCTCTTGTTCTAGGTTTTAAAACTTACTTTTGAATTATTCCATAATTATAATGTGTTTGTCTCATATATTTAATCTCTTTCAAGATTTGGAAAATGGCTTTTGAATCTAGTCACATGGCATTCCTCTATTGAGAAGTAATTTTCCTCATTGAAAGTATTTGTTTAATCTAAAACAAGTGATATATTTAAAGAGATTAATTTTCAAATGATGTCACAAAACATGCACAGTTTGAAAATTATCCCAAGAATGACCCTAGTTAGTGTCAGCAAAAGTAGTATTATAATGAAAATAAAGCTTCTCACGATATAACTACCTTTCAGAAGTCTTTCATTTGCCTTCTAATGTTTCTCAAATCAGTAGGGTTCACTGTAATCACAAGAAGAATTAAGTGTATAATTTTCTAAGATATAAAACACAGAGCTAAATACATTGCTTTAAGCTCAGTTACCTTGCACCCCTCATTTTTGTTTTAAGAAATTGTATTGAAATGTATGAAGCTGTTTAGAGTATCTCTACTTTATAGACTTATAATTTGTCTTTATTATAAAATTGGTTATCAGTAGTACATGGCAAGACTGGGCACAGTGGCTCACGCCTATAATCCCAGCATTTTGGGAGGCCAAGGCAGGAGGATAGCTTGAGGCCGGGAGTTTGAGACCAGCCTGGGCAATATAGTGAGACCTTGTCTCCACAAAAAATAGAAGTGTTAGCTCAGGCATGATGTGCTCCTGTAGGCTCAGCTATTCTGAAGACTGAGGTGGGAGGATCACATGAGCCCAGGAATTCCAAGCTTCAGTGAGTTGTGATGGTGCCACTGTACTCCAGCCTGGGTGACAGGGCTGAGACCCTGCGTGTTAAACAACAACAACAACAGCGACAAATATATATTTGCTAAAGTTGTCAAATTGAGTGACAAACAAGTCTTCACTGTTGTCAGTCTACCAGAACAAGGTAGTCAGCAGGGGTAGGAGTGTTCACCTTTCACTTGCATGTGAGTTCTTGGAGAATTTATTTGGAGAAGGCTTTGAATACTGGGTCAAGTAACCTTTAACTCCTTTGCTTTTGCCAACAGTATAGTTTAGCTGGACCCTTCAAAAGTGGCCATGTTGGGCCTGAAAAGAATAAACTAGTACTGTCTAAGTGAATTCATAAAACTCTTTTGATGTACTGTATACCTGAGGTAGAGAATGCCTTATAGCCGTGTACCACCTATATTTATATGACATATGATCTGTTCTTCTAGGAGGACTGTTAACTTATATGTTTCGTTGAATTGCTCATTGTATTTTCTATATGGCCTGAAATCATTCCTGAGTTTTACTTTCAATTTATTTAGCTTTATTTTGAAAATATCATCTATTTTATAAGATTTGTGGAAATATGCATACTAGCATGACTTTTTGTTTTAAGCGTAGTAGTGTTAAATTTTAAGGAATAAATGCAATTTCTCCTACAGTTAGAAACTGGATAACGCGAGGATAAATGTTTGCATTATACTGGGAATTATACATAATTAATTTCCAGTAATGTCTTTGAATGTAATTTGGGTGTTTCCCCCTCTTTCTTATAGAGAGTCATCTACTAGTGCACTTAATTCAGTATACTCATGTGTATGGCTATTGCTTTCAGGTACAGGCTAAATCAGTACAAAAGAGATATCACTTGCAATTTTGAATAGGTGTGCACTTGAAAACTGTGTCATACAGAGTTTCTTACCTAGCCAGGGATCCTAATGTCCTTTACAAGTGACTTTGTACTTTTAAGACATCATTAGCGTGCTGCTGATTTTCTGTGAATAGAAGAGGTAAGGCTAAGCAAGAAATAAAATCGTCTTGTTTCCAAAGATAGTTGCGAATTGAGAGGAAATAATAAGTGTGGTCTCCTTGAGTTACCAAGTCAGCACAAGTGATTTATTTAAAGAATGATCTATTTCCACTTCAGGTAGCATAGGCTAAACTGTCACTGCATGCTCTCTACAGAGAGTTTAGATCTTTGGGGGTTTCTGTCTCTGGTTTCTCCAGATATTTGCCTTCTTGGAGTCAGGTGAGTGGAGGGTAAGTCCTTCTCATCCTTCTCTCCATAAACCAACAAATTTCTGTTCATGACAAAAGCAGGAGGTCTATCATCCTCTAAATCCAGATTGTAGTTATTAAGACCTGGGCTTGACTTCTTCCATTGCACTCTCAACTTTTCAAAAGATTTGAAAGTACCCTTTACCTGGATCGAAGGGGTACTGTACAGTTCATAGTTCCAGGATAGTTCATAGCTTTGGAAAGATTTTTATAATTTCATGAGAAATAAAAATCAGAAATGTCATTTTCAAATACAAATGATAAAACATTTCCATAGCCAGAGTTAAAATACTTTTGGCTTAACTCTTCAGTTTGTACTCCAGTTTGAGTAATTAATTGAATGTATTCCTGTTAAGTTAAAGTTCAGTATTCCATAAAGTAGAAGATAAAAAAATATAATCCCACCTAACCTTCTATTTTAAAAGTTCTTTATTTTAAATTACAAATTGTAAGAACTAGAGCACATAATACTGGAATGTTATGTAAATAAATGCTTTTCCAGATTAATAGGCAATTACTTTAGAACTTTGAACGATTGTCTACTGAAACCTGATTGTATCACCTATTAAAATGCATTTGTTTGTGACTGTTTTACAATACTGCTGATAGACAAATCCATAACATAGATAATTAGTTTAGATCTCAAGATTGTTTTTTTTTCCCCTTCAGATACGCAAGATGACAAGGAAAGAATTAAAAAATATGGAGCATTTATACGTTCTCTTCCAGGGGTCAACCGAGCAACACTAGCAGCTATCATTGAACACCTGTATAGGTGGGTAGATGAATGAACTTTTCTCGACATTTCAAACACAGCACTCAATAAGTCATTATTTCTTATGTGATTGTGAATCTTTCTACGTATCATAAGAACTCACCTTAGTCTCTCTTTCTGTAATTAAGTCACATTTACAGATAAATAGCACTGGGAATTTCTTAATCAGAAATAATTGTATACAGTGTCCTCAAATGCATCTGATGCATAAGCAAGAATTTAAAAACTCACTTGGTTTGGAAGCTGGAGAATAAAGGATGTGCAGGGACCAGAATTCTGTAACAAGAATCTGTCTGTGATGACAGTATTTTCTCATGGTGGACATTTCTTTATTATCAGTTTATATCTTACCTGACCTTTATATTTTGGTATCAGGCTATTGATCCAGTGAGGAAATTTTAAAAATCAAAAACAATTTTGTATGTCAAGGCATGAAGGTCTCCTTGCATTTGGGAAGATATGAGGAATGTAATGGTGACTTTACCAATGAGGTCTGAAGGATGAGGACATTTGAAAATAACCTTTTAAGTCAAAACTAGTTTTTTTTTTAAATCTTAGCAGGAATTATTACAAAAAGTTAAATAAATATAAATTTTGATTAAGGAATATATTGTAGCTCCCTGAATGGATGAAATACTCTCTTGAGTAAATTTCTGTAAAGCTGAATTTTACTAAAAGTACCTTATTTGCAGTCTCAATTTAGAAATGTTTCACAATTTGTGTTCTTTCCTCTTGTTCTTTTCTTTCCCAACCACTACTTCTCATTTATGTCAGCTCCATTATTGTAAAACTGATTTTCTTATTGCATCATACAAATATAGTCCACATTATATAGTCCTATCTCTATGCCTGTGAGATGTTGAGACAAACTTTAATATAGAGAATTTTAGCGTGCAGCATGGAATTATAGAGGATAAATTGAATGATTCATTGTGTGTTGTGGTCCAGGGGATGCTTCTATGCTTCAGATTTAAAGGGACATATGAATTGGGCGTGAAAGAAATGAGTGAAGGATAATGTCTGGGACATAGGAGTACTAGAAGATGACAGAGTTATAGTTGGCTGGCAGGAAGTTGTGGAAGGCTTTGTAGGTCATGCAAAAACATTTGGATTTTATCCTTTAAGTGATAAGAAGTAACAGATCAAATGTGTTAGGATAATAATCCCTATGATGGTATTGTTAGGGAAAATGTAGCATAGAGACAGATAAACTAACTAGGAAACAGTTTTGTTGAGTTTCTGGTGAGAAAACCTGGGAGAGAAGGGACTGGGCAAGCTGAATATGGAACACTTGGAAATGTTAACACCTCGGAGCAGAGAAGTAAAGGAAGAAAAGGAAACACTATATTATACCTATTTTGTCCCAGAAACTAAGGCAGCCACTTAAATTAAAGACAAGAGAGGTGAAAAGTACCAAAGGGGATGATACTGCAGAAGGAAGTCCCAAGAAATGCAGGAATGTCCTTAAAGATAATGTCCTTAAAAGATTGAGAAGTAAATTGGATGAGGACAAGTTGATTTAGCCTTTAATTCAATCCCTACCCTAGCTAAAAGAGTATTTCCTCCATCAGTAATATCCTCTTAATTCCATTCGCCAGGTGTTTATCATGCACCACAATGTAATTAAAGAGTTTCTGACTGTGAGATACATAGATTCTAGTAACAGAGACAGACATGCAGATAAATGTTCCAGATGTTTACAGTTAAGTGTACTGTAAAAGCATAGACATTGTTTTGAGAGGGGTGTTCACAATTATCGCATCCTCTTCTATTAAACTCCAGTTCCTTTTGCATGTTGTAAATCACGTGTGATGATTGCACTTGCACCATCTCTGCTATGCAATTTGGTATTTTATTATGAATTCTCTACATTAACATATGTATTGCTATCATGTTTATTCACCTTTTCTTGTAGCTACCTGAATCTGTGTTCTTCATAGATGGGAATGTCTAGCTTAGTCTTACTACATTCATTTGATGGAGTTACTATATTCATTTGATCAAGTGTGCCACTTACAGTTCTCGTCTGTTACATTTTTAGCAATGTAACTTTCCCTTTCTTAGGGATGATGCTTCAGGGAGTTGTTTTGGTTTTTTTTGTAAACTTTTAAGTTCAGGGGTACAGTGTGTAGGTTTGTTACACAGGTAAACTTGTATCACAGGGGTTTGTTGTACAGATTATTTCCTCATCCGGGTATTAAGCCTAGTACCCATTAGTTATTTCTCCTGATCCTCTCCCTCTTCCCACTCTTCACCCTCCATTAGGCCCCAGTGTATGTTGTTTGCTATGTATTCTCATCATTTAGCTCCCACTTATAAGTGAGAATATACAGTATTTGGTTTTCTGTTCCTGTGTTAGTTTGCTAAGGATATTGGCCTCCAGCTCCATCCATGTTGCTGCAAAGGACGTGATCTCATTCTTTGTTATGGCTGCATAGTATTCCATGGTGTTTATGTACCACATTTTCCTTACTCTGTCATTGATGGGCATTTAGGTTTGATTTAATGTCTTTGGTTTTGTGAACAGTGCTGCAGTGAATATATGTGTGTCTGTGTCTTTATAATATAATGATTTATATTCCTTTGGGTATATACCTAGTAATAGGATTGCTGGGTTGAATGATATTTCTGTCTTTAGGTCTTTGAGAAATTGCCACACTGTCTTCTACAGTGGTTGAACTAATTTACACTCCCAGTAACAGTGTAAAAGCATTCATTTTTCCCCATAACCCCTCTAGCATCTGTTATTTTTTTGACTTTTCAGTAATAGCCATTCTGACTATTGTGAGTGTGAGATGATATCTCATTGTGGGTTTATTTTTTTTAATTACTTTATACTTATTCGTAAACAGTTTAACAACTCTTTTAAGACCCCAGTGTTATAGCCTACTGATTGAAAGAGTTGACTCCTTCGTTCATTTCTGTTCATTATAAAAAGGCATTCTTAGTTATATCCAAGAAAAATGTAATTGCATTTTAAAGTAGTCTGCCTTGTGATAATATTTTATTTAGAATAGCTGTATGGACACATGGGCCCAGATATTCTTTCTCATTTGATTTGCACTTTCTGGAAAATTTAGCCCAGCTTGGCACCTGGAATTTGGAACTGTCAATTATATGTCTAATGACCTACCTTTTTTGCCTGTTTTCTACATACCTCCTGCCCCATTTCCTCCTCCTATGCTGCAGCCCCACAAGTCATTTTACGCCATTCTGCAAGCATACTTCTATACTTTGGCCACAGGTTGTTTTATAGTTTGCAATTGTTTGAATATGGTCAGCCCTTTCTCTAAATCAACAATTAAGTATGACTTTGTAACTTTTACTAATCTATTTAACAGTACTTTTTCTGATGTTCTTAACTATCATTATAAGCTACTTAGAAGAAAGAACCATATGCTTTTAAGTCACCACTGTATCTTTTATGTCAGAGAATTCCAATATTGCTGTGTTTAAAAATTGATAAACTGGCTTTCTGTTCTATGAAATTTCCAAATAAAAGTGTATCATAATAAACTATGCTTTTCTCTGACAGGGTTCAGAAATGCTCAGAAATCAATCACATGAATGCCCATAATTTGGCCTTGGTCTTTTCATCCTGTTTGTTTCAAACGAAGGGACAAACTAGTGAAGAAGTGAATGTAATTGAGGACCTAATTAATAATTATGTAGAAATATTTGAGGTAATTATTTTGTATCCTGCCCTTGTTAAAATGGTTATAATGTCACTGTTTGCCAACAAATATTTATGTTGTAGGGTGTTATTATTCAGATCTTTATTCATATTTAGAAATACATAAAATAAGGAATAGTCATATTTTTTTAAATTATAGATATAAGTAGCTTTTAAGCTATAGTCATTATTTAAATTTGGTTGCATTTAAAACTTTTTACCATCTGATATCTGTTTGACAGAATATTTCTATTTATAGGATTTTTGCATGTGTTTTCTTTTTCTTCATGTGTATGAATTATATCTACTTAGAAGTGTGAAGTTATAAAATGAACAATTCATTAATAAATACCAGACTCTTAAATTCTGCAGTTGAAAGCCCTTTGGTTTTTTCTTTTAGTTGTGTCCCCAGTTGGAAACAAATAACATTCTAAAATATTATTATTCTATGGTGTTTTACTAAGTCATCTGTTTTAATTGACTTTTTAAATTTCCATTTTATAAAGTTAATATTTTCATGTTTCATCAGAAAACTGTTGGAGTAGGGATGATTTCTTGGTTCAAAGAAGTAAAAATAGGGGAAATAAGCCCAGGATTCAAATTGGTGGATTTGGGCAAAAGGTCCAGTTCTATTATATAACTAGTTCTAGCACCTCAATTTTGTCATTTAACCTTTTGAACATTCCCTTAAATGGTGTTTATGAGTCCAGTTGTTTTCCGGAAGTATGGCTGTACCACATGAAGTCAAGACAGTTAGTGTAATTGGTTACCATTGTAGAGTTCTTACGTTCTTATTATAATCACTTATCATAAGACAAGAAAAAGAAGCTATTTTAATAAAACAAAATATCACAGTCTGTATCTTAATTTACATAGGAATAGACACCAGATTGTGGGATTTTCTTTGCTCTTTGATCTCCTCTTTACTTCTTTCTATATGTGTCCACTGTTTTTGATCAATAGCAACTTCTTTGCAATAATCTGATGCTGAGAAAATAAAGATTTAGAAAAATATGATGTGTGGCTTACATGCTGTCTCTATTTTCTGTATTTGTAGTTTTCCATTAATAAAATGGTTATCTTCATAGTTATGTTAAACTTTACCTAAATGATGGAAATTTAATAAGCACCTAATGAACATTTCAGTTTGATACATGAGCTTTGTTTCTCAACCTACATAAACTTAAGCCAGTCATCAGATCCTTTGCTTAAGTTTCCTAAGAAATAGGACTTCCATCAATGCAATTGCAGCCTGAAGTAGTATCATCATAAAATATTTTGAACTTTAGGATACTCTATCTTGTTGGCTTTGTTTCCACCCTAGCTGTGTGGGCTCATATTGATTCCGATGGCCATTCTCATTTATTTTTAAGTTGTTAGTATTTAAATTCCTGAAGATTACATGAGGATGAGTGTCATCACTCTTCGTATTCTACATTATTAGAATGTCCCGAATTATATTTTAAACAGGTTAAAGAAGATCAAGTCAAACAAATGGACATAGAAAATAGCTTTATTACCAAGTGGAAAGACACCCAAGTGAGTAGTAATAGTTAGATCTCTAAATAATTAAACAAAACAAAAACTTCCATTGTAAGTAAAGACATTTGCTGTGTGTATTTTCAAGTTCCTATTTTAAGCAAAGTAAAAGTAATGAGTGAAAAAAAAAACTAATTGGTTGTGTAATTCAGCAACCTGATACATATATGCAAAATATGTTAATGTAAATTTTTAAAAATAGAAAATCAGTTTTAATTTACCTTTCAAGGTTTTCTTTATAAAATCAACTTTTGTGTATAAAACCATGACTGAAAATGCTAATGGATTTCAAAGGAAGCATTTAAAACCAAAGAAATACTTAGAGTAAGTTGAAAATTCAGACAGCCTAGTGATTCTTTCTATTGTTATTTTGAAACTATAAATTATTTCTTATATGCTTTTGCTTTGCATGCTTTCATATGATTGTATTAATGGAATGCATCTAATTTGATCTTTGTAACACATTCTAATTTTTGTCCTAAGTTGACTTTTCTATATCCTGTCCTGTTTTCCTCAGTCACATTATACTGGATTTTTGTGTTCTGGTTGCACTATGCTTGTTTGGTGAATATTCACTGGAATTTCTTAAGGTTGATGATTAGTCATCTTCTAGTAACTAGGAGTTAGAGTGGATTCAGGGTACCAATATAAATGATAGAAATGGATCAGATGTGCTCTGTTTACAGATACATAATGAGGCAAATGCTTTTTTGTTAGTCAGACATTAAATTCTCCTCAGTCCTGAAATATCCACAACTAACTAGAGTCATTGAAACTGTCATTCCATATAAAGAAAATAGAGGAAGGCCTAGATCAGTACTAATACTATGATATTAATGAATTATTTTCTCCATTTTGACCCAGAGTAATTATGCAGCTTCCAAAGGAGTCAGCTTTAACCTTAAAAAATCTAGGTCATTATCAATTATCTTAAATTCTCACTTTTTTTGGGAGCGGGGAGGAAGTCTTTAGTCATGAAATAAAGGATTGTGTGAGGCTGAGAGGTAAACTTTAACCACACTATCTACATTGTTATTAAAAAAGTTTGAGTATCCTTTTGCATTTTTTATCTTTTATATTCATATTACAATAAAGAAAGATGTTTTGAATGCTTTCAGTTTAGTCTGTATATGTAAGTAAAAATAATAGTATTTGGAAAAGATAAGTAAAAGAGTCTGGGAAAATCTGTTTTTTTACTTAAATTTTTCCTCTAATCCATTTAAAACTGTCTTCTGGAGTATTTTTTTCTGACATTCAGTCTCTTTGTCTTACCCCTGTTTGAATTTCTTACCTATTCTTCTTTTTTATTTCATTCTATGAGTTCTTTGTATTTACTTTTTAAGTTTTTTTTTTTTTTTTAACTTTTTAAGTTTTAAAATGTGTCCTTCCTGGAGAGCTGTTTATGCAAACATAGTGAAAAGCAAAAGTGTCAACTGTATCTTTTACTTACTGAAATGTATCTGTAGCATTGAAAGTCAGGAGGAAAAACTGGAAATAAGCTTTTCTAAGCCTGTAATGCCAGAAAAATTAAGGAACTTTTTCAAAGTTCATCTTTAATGTTTTCCCCACAAAATTTTTTTCCCCACAAGTTTACTCATTAGATTTTATGCTGAGGTGAATTTAATTTGAGAATGATTTCTTGGTTATGATCTTTTTTATTTAAATCAGGTGATACTGTTTCTAATTGGTTACATAACTTAAGGGAACTTCTGAAAAAAGTTACTCAAAATATTTTTCATAGATTCATTTGGTTCTTTGTTAACCTTCTATACTGTTAATCTGTATAGTGATATGACATCATAAGGCCTTTTATTTTCAGGCTTGCATCTTCTTCACTTTGTCTGTCTTTTGGGATATAATAATGACCTAAATTAGTACTTAATTCTTGGCCAAAGATAATTAAAAACTTCTTTTTATTGTCTGCCATATTCCATGAATGACCTCACTTTTATTTTTCTTTCTAAATTTATGTTATTTGTAGTTTTAATATAGCTCTGACCTAGTTTATCCTCAAAGTTCAATTTTCAGGCATATCTTCTCTTTAAAAACGTAGCAAGCCATAATTTGCCTTTTAAATATTGGTATCATGCACACATTATAGCTTGAAGCAAAACTTCATGTGTTTTGTTTTCACCCCTCATTTTGTTTATCCTGTTAACGTACATGCTGATGGCTCCTACAACTTCTGTTGTCACAGCCAGCATATATCTATTGTAGCTGGATTCATTATTTTAGGAAAAATGTAAGGTATTTGAGAGTACTAAGCTCCTGAGTAAGAGATAAAAAAGAAAATCATTGTGGTTGTTGTTGCTGATTATAACATTTGTGTAAATGCCTTGTCCTTAACCATATGTGGAAATGGGCACATCATGCTTGTGAGCAGGGGAATTGAGCTTGTTTCATTGTTATAAAATATTCAGAAATATGACTGGGGCTTTATAGCTGTCTTCAGTTTCAAATATGTGTTTTTACAATATGTTTATCTGTGTTGTTTCTACCTCTGCCCTTTTCTAGGTTTCCCAGGCTGGAGATTTGTTAATTGAAGTATATGTAGAAAGGAAGGAACCCGACTGTAGTATTATAATTCGGGTAAGTTCTAAAGGTGGATGTAAAGAGGACTGTTGGAAGTCACAAATGTTAGCATTATTTTATATATTTTGAATTTTCCATTATTATATTTTATATTACCTCTCCAGTTCAAACGACTGACAACATAGACTTTTTATAGTGATATCCCCCAGGAATTCTGTATTTTGATCGTTTGGAAAGAGAACATCTTATGTGCTTTGGATTACGTGTTAAGATTTTCTTCAAGTTCTGGAAAATACCCCAAGCTTAAATACTTGTTCCTCCCCTTCCTAGCTTCCTAACGTTAGACAAGTTATTTGCTCTGAGCCTCAGTCTTCTCACCTGTAAAATTAGGAAAAATCACAGTATTACATCATAGCATTGATGTGAGGATTCAATAAGATAATGCATGTAAAACCCTTAGCACATTGCTCAGCATGTAAGTGTTTAATAAATAACTATTACTACTAGTGCTGTTATAATTAATAATAATCTCTCACCCTTGTTTTCTATACTTTAGCATCCAGTCTTCCAATTGATTTGAATATAAGTCTGGGATATTTATTTGGATAACTCTTTTCTCCCTTGAGAGTACTGATCATTTGTGATGAATTAAAAATAGATGTTTGACATGCTACTATATTTAGTAATTTGTCTGCCTTACATATAGTAACTGATATTTCAGGTCGCTATTTGGTAAGACTGCTTTATTTGTATGAACAGTAGACATTCTGCCATGTAACAGAAATTTGGCTTTAGCTACTTATCTTTTTTAAAGTCCAGGATTAAACAGTCACAACATTAGATATATTTGGACTTAAGTTAAATATATATTGATTTTAAGTTTTGTGTTTCTAATGATTATGAATTGTAACTATACACCATTAAGTACATTACTTAGTACATGAAGCTGAAATATTAATACTATAATTATAGGTTTTGTCTTTATGAGGCATTTGCCTTGCCACTCCTTGGCCATGTCATATTTCTTATACTGAATGCATAATGCTGATCATAAGAGATGTGAGGAACTAGTAAAGACCAATTAGCACAAGTTCATCACTAATGCTGGAGAAGGTATTCAAAGCTTGTGACTTAAATCTATACAAAGGCTCTTTAATAGCGCATTTTAATTTTATCTTCTAAAGTCACAACAGAAGTTATAATTGAGCCATGTTCTTATGTTATCCGGTGTGTTTAGATAAAGGACTTTCCAGTTTCACCTATAGTAACTCCAAATGCTCTTTAGAAAATAACAAAAACTATTTAAAACCAATTACTTAGGTTTTAATGCTTATGATTCTGCAAAACCCTTTAGTTACATTTATCTCTGCTAATTATTACCTCAACCCATGGAGGTAGATGAAGCAGGTGATGTTCCGAGTTTATAAGAATGGAAACTGGGAAGTAAGAATACTAAGGCCAGAAATACAAACCTGGGTCATCATAATCTCGACTGGACGTTCAGTATACTGATCTGTATATTCTGTAGAGTAATAATTTCCCAAGTGTGGAGTGTTAGGTGTTACTAAAGAGGAGCTTTTGGTCTCTCTTGATGCAAGGAATAGAGTTCTGGTTTTCCTGTTTCAGACCAAGGTGCTTCCTGCTGCCTGTTTCACAAGTGGGTTTCTCAATAATTTATTATTTTTTAAAGAAAGTGCTAGCCTTAAAAATATTGTTTGTTCATGCATATCAACAGCATCACTGAAATGATTCAACTACTCCATACTGCTTGGTGTTCTCTGTTATTCCTAGATGCTATAACAAGTTTTTTTCTTTTAAGTTTATATTTCTTTGGGCTTTTCTAAATAGAAAATAGTGGACTTCATTGTATAATTATATTCCAAAAAAGCACTAAATTTCATAAAATACAAAAGGTAGACTTTGCGAGTTACCTGCAGTGAAATAGGTTTTTTGTCATTTATGTATGTGCAATATGCTTATGGGTAATTATGGTCAAGAGAAATGGAAACAAATACATTTCTAAAGAACTTTTAGTAGAGACATCCTTTTACTGAAAATGTGCAAATCAAGTTGCAACTGCAGTATTATAATGTTTAAAACATCATTATGACTAAATTCTAATTGAAGAAAGCCATTTTGCTTTTGGCCAGCATGCACTTAAGATTGGCATAAGCAAAAACAAAAAGAAACAAATAAAAAATTCCAAAAGTCCCTGAAGAGGTGATGTGCTTATACAGTGGCCTCAGGCTTTGGGACTTTCGTAGAACCGACCCCCAGGTTGGCATTGCAGACTCTGACATCTGCCCTGGAATCCTGGTTCCAGCATACTTTGGTATCCCACCATCTGTCACTTGGCATGGCAGGGCACACCACAGACTACCAAGACCCTGGAGCTTTTTGGCATGACCGATAGCCATTGACTGTGTATAATTTAGAATCTAGGCTGAATAAACCAAGTCACTCTACACTCTTAATTATAGAACTGTTGAGTAAAAATTTTACATGTAGATGACTGTTGGATTCATTGTCTGGCGAAGGTCATTCCGAATGTAATTAGGTACATTCTTTCCTTCTGAGTGGTCTAATTGCTCAGTAAGAGATTAAAAAATTCTCTTATGTCTATATTGTGATCTCTTTTTGTACTTATGTACATTTTATGGAAAAGATCTGAACATGCTGTTTTCTGTATGGGATTAGGGAAGCTGGTTTTAACCATGCTCAAAATAAATTCAAGATATCATTAAATGGTGGATGGGGAATATTATTGACCTAGCATAAGGCTACTTCTGTGTCTAACACGTTTTTTGAAAAAATATTACTTCTCTTACAGATATCTCCTGTGATGGAAGCAGAAGAATTAACTAATGATATATTAGCGATAAAAAATATTATTCCTACAAAAGGTGATATTTGGGCCACATTTGAAGTCATTGAAAATGAAGAGCTAGGTAAGTGATTTTTATGCTAGGGATTCTTAAATTACTTATACTGTAAAAAGTACTCTTTAAGACAAGACTTTATAAACATTTTATGTCTTAACATCTTGTTATGATTTTTTTTACCTTAGTGCATGTATTAATATATGTTTGAGGTTGCCTTTTTATGATTTTACTCATCAAAATAATTATATTACCTTATTGACTATAAAAATACAGTGCAAGACTTTAGGTACCGCTTTTGCTGCCTCAGAAAAGAAGACCTTTGTTTATAAGGACAAGCGATTTGATTTGGCACAATATTCTGAGTGGTATGAATTACTGTTATTTAACAAGAACAAGGAATGTTGATTTAAAATATTGTTTATTATATAAAATAATTTTAAGAGCAGCAGAAGCTTCATTTTTTATTTTTCTTTTTTCTATCTTTAGTGAATCACATATTTTGTTGTCTTTCATCTCCAAGATGCCTAGGGATGAAGGGAGCATTTAAAGCACCTTGACTACCCCAACAGTCAAGTGCTGAATGAGCTTAACATTTTAATAACACCATGTGGTTTCAAAGACCTCCAGAAAAAAAAATAATACACAGAATGTCTTTGTACCTTCACCATCTGTCTAGCTGCTACCTACTAAGGTCTTGGGACACTTTGGAGTATAGCTGCCAAACTGCCAAAAGGAAAATCTTGCCACCCGCAAGCTTAGGATAAAAATTAAAATTCAATGTTTAAAATACCCCATAGTGTGTTATTAGGAGTGTTGCAATAAGTGATAAAATGAAACGGGATTGTCAGTACTTTGTCTTTATGTTTTTATTCCTGTATTATGATTGTGCACAATTCTTTAAAATTTAAAATGTTTCAATGTTATTTTTAAATATACATTGCCAAGATCTAATGACTATGGTACTTTGATGTCAGTTCACAGTGTCTCCCTCAATCGGTCTCAATCCTCCTCGTGCACAGAAATACTCTGGCAAATGACTCCTATGACCTCCCAACTGTCAAGTTCCCAGATTCACATCTGGGTTCACTTTACCTAACCTTCTGTGGCATTTATTGTTAATGACTATTCCCTTTTTATTTGATGATCTTCACTCTGTTTTCCATACTGCCTGGATTCTCTTTATGATTTTCTGTTCATTTTACCTCTTTTGTAGATTCTCCTTATTCTGTTTTCTAAACATTGGGTTTTCCTTGCTGCAACATCCTTTGCCATCTTTTCTCATGTTACCTGTTTTATTTTTTATTATTATTAGATAATCTCTTCTATTTTTTGTGCTTGGCTAACATGTATTAACTGGTGTTTCCCAAATATACCTTTGTTCTTCCTCCATCTGGCTCACACTCTTACCTCTTTTAAAACCTAGACTAAAATTTTCATTGTACTTTGTCTCATTTCTCTTTATAGTACTTATTACCTTGATTTGTACTTGTCTCTTTTGATGGGAGTTCCTTGGAAAGTAGGAGCAATTCTGTTTTTTTTTTTTAAATCTCTAATGTCTAGCATAGTGCCTAGTATATAGGAGCCATAAAATCTATTGAATAAGTGAGGCATGATTTTGTATGACCCTGTGGTACAAGGGTGACAAAGTTTTTATTTTTTGTCTTTGTTTAATTTTAAAGAATGGGTCACTTGGTTACCAGCTTTGTTATATTTGTGCGTAAAGATTAACTGTCAGCATTATTGCCAGAAATATCTTTCCACATTACAAATTGGTTTACATTGTTCCACCACATAAAACCCTTTATTTCCTCATTGCATATTTATCCTTCACAGTCTAAGTGAAATGTCTCTTCCTTCATGATGTTCACACTGATGTCTTATAATTTGTTTAAAAATCTATAATACTGTATACTGTATGACTTATAGAATAGCAATGTGTATATACCTGGTTCTGCCCTAGACTATACTTTTTTTAGGGCATTTACCGTGTATTTCAGGCTTTATATTTTTGACTACTTCTCATAGTGCAGTTGATGTGGATCAAACTCCACAAAAGCCTTTTCAACTGAAGTGGGGCAAAAAAGTAGATGCATTCTGGACCTGAGTGATATGGATTGTGGTTCCTGGTATAGATGCATCCAAATGTGGGAGGCACATAGACAGAGATCTCTGCCTGTAGATTAGGAACCATGAAGAGATCTCAGGGCCCTGTTTAGTGCTTAGAAAGATGATTGTCTCCTACACGCTTCTATTTCTGTTGCTTTTTAAAAGTTTGATAGCAGAATACTGAATTGTGGGTTTAGGAGTAGGCATCCCCTCCCTACCTCCGTTGCCCTCTCAAAGTTTGAGTACACTAAAGTATATCTGTGTGCCACTGGAGCTCTGTATCTCTGGCTACTGGCCATCCTAAGAGGAGCAAGCAGGTGGATGAGGATAGAAAGGAATTATATATAGCTAGAAGAGGGGTTGCATTATACCAAGAAACATTGTTTTGAAATTTTATCTTGAGCAATCAAGGGATGTTTACCCTCAGAATGACTAATTATAAACTTGAATGTGATAATTAGTATATACAATGCTAAGACTGAATTGGATTTTTTCTTATTTTTACTTCTAATTAAAATAAAGTTGTCTTTATGCCAAGATATCTAAAAAACTAGGAGTCATCAAGTTTTGATTTGTGAATGTGTCAATGTATAAACAAAGAAATGTGTCATGTACACCTAGAAAGAATACACTTAGAGTTAAGAATTCAAATTTGGCATGGTCTTAATGTTTTGTCAACTGTACAAGTAGAAATTGCAGTAAGGGAAAACCTCCCAGAGGAATAATGGTAGGAGAGCAACAGAAGGGCCTGTGGTTATGTGGGTTTACTGAAGCCAGTGGAACATGTGTGTACCACATGTTGAAGGCTTTATATCTAGTAACATGCAGAGAAGATAAAGTGAAATATGAGAAGGAGATAAAAGTAAAGGCATAGGTAGTAAGAAGGTTGTAGTTGAGAAGAATGTCAGCCAGGCAGTTGGTGTGTTTGCTAATGTAAACATAAATCCTCCAAGTAATGCAGTAAAAAAATGAATGAATGAATATATAAATTTATAAATATGTAAGCCAGAATGCTAGATTTTAAGTATCTGTATATTTTAAACCAGGAGTTCTCTATATTCAGTATTTCCTTTGTATAATAAATGTTTGGTAATCTTCCCTTTACTGTCCTGAGATAACCTATTGTACTCATTAAAAATTAATACCCTAATTAAAATATAAAAATAAAGGGAACATATGCATTATTAGCATGTAAATGCTGGGAAACTCCTATATGCCTGAAGATGATGCAAATAGATTCTTAAACCTGTAAATGGAATCACCATGGATGTGGCAGCTACTAATTCAGATTGCTATAATCATGTACATTTTTTTTCACTTAAATGATATTTCGCCATTACTGTCGTTGGTGAGATGGTGCACAACTTTTCAGGAAGTTCTGACTAAAACAGCAGTCATCTTTTCTTCTTTATATGGTAGTCAGATTCGTGGGAAAATATAACCATTTAAAATATTTTAACATTTTTGATGTTTTCATTTTATATTACATTGGTATGAAATATACATTAAGCTGAGTTAGATTCTCTTCCATAAGAGCCAGTCATCCAAAATATGCTATTATTTTAATGCTTTACCTTAAATCCGAACCCATCCTCTGCCAATGTAGACCCCTTTACCTTCTAGGTTTTTCACATCTTGAAAGAAATTTAATTGCTGAAGGGCCTCATTTAAATAGGCTTCACTGAGAGATCCAAGTTTGAGAATCAGTTACTTTTTATGCAGTACTATCAGAAAAAGATGGTCTTATTTCTTCCTCATACCTACTATGATGTGGAAGATCTGTTTATTTTATTAGGATTCTTTCTAGCTCTTCTGACTGACACATAAACTGCTGTTATCTTCTGATTATGTGGACAGGGCAGACGTTGTTTTTCACTTTGCATATGTTACCTAAGAAAACAAATTGCATGTGAGAAAACCATCATGGGAAGGCTTACATATGTGTACAGAATAAAATTAACTATAATAGTTAAGATTTTGGGCTTTAAAGTTAGATAGGTTTGGGATGCACATCTCTGTTCCTCACCTTAACCAGCCATGTGATGTGAGGCAAGGGGCAAAACCTTTGTGATCCTTAGGTTTCCTTACATGTGAAATATGAATAATAATATCTAGTGAAGCATGTTATTGTGAAGTTTGAAAGTGATAACTGATTTAAAGCATCCAGTATATATAATGGCTGATACATAATTGTTATTCCATAAATGGCAACCGTTATTGGGATCAATAGTATCTCAAAGCTTGCAAGTAGTAGGCTCAAAAGGGGGAGGGGGAGGGATAGCATTAGGTGATATACCTAATGTAAATGATGAGTTAATGGGTGCAGCACACCAACATGGCACATGTATACATATGTAACAAACCTGTACTTTGTGCCCATGTACCCTAGAACTTAAAGAATAATTTAAAAATATATTTAAAGCCATACATAAAGGGAGTGCTTATTTTATAATTAGTCTTACCTTCAAATATATCTAACTTCAATTAGAAGACAACAAACTTATGAGTTAGTTAACAGTTGAATTATAACATTGAAAAATTGTGGGCAGTTATGATCTTTTCCCAATCTTTTAGAAAATTATTTGAAGAAAAGTAATATTGACATAGCACAAAAGATTTTATCTGGCTTTATGATGACTCATTTTGTCTGTGAGTCTTTCTGTTAATATGTTTTTTTGATTTATGGGCCATCAAAGAAAATAATGCAATAATTTGTCAAATATTTATTGAGCATTTATTATATATTCAATACTATGCTGTGAATAGGGGATATATAATAGTAAACAAGATGTATATTTGTCTTCAGGATGTGTGGCCTAGTGGATTTTTTCTTTCCTTCTTTATTCTTGCCATTATTATAATGAGTTAGCTTGCTCCAATAAGCACAGAATGCAGAATTGGATTTCTCTTTACTGGATAGGAAGCAAACATCTGGTAATTTACATTGGAAACAGACAATTTATTTTCTTATCTGAAACTAGGAATTGTTGATGACTTCTGATATGATATGTTCATAGCAGGGGAAACCAGTATTAGGGAGGATGTGATATATTTATTTAAACTTGTGATTTTATTATCAGTTACATTATGATGGATCATACAAGTATGATGCTTTTGATATGCTCTTTCCTGTTTGTCTTTAGCCTCATTACTTTAACCGAAAACAAAAAGCTCAGGTGGTATGTGCTTTATGTTTTGGATGGTGTGAAAGAGTTGAATTGACTTTTACATGGCTACAACACTAGGAAAGCAGCATTGACATCTTCATGTCACAGCTTCTTTTCTTATTATTTTCAATTATGCTATTTTCAGTGCACTGAGAAAAAGTTTGAATTTCCTTTATTCCAGCATATGTTTCTGTTGCTACATTTTATTAACTGATTGACATATTTTGATCATCAAAAACTTTTCTGTGAGACTTTGATTGTAATTCTAAAACTTGTTCTTTTTAACTCTATGCTAAGAATATATGCTGCATTTAAAATTATGATTGCCTAAATCAAAATGTGTATGGATGAATATTCTTCAGAGAGATATATTGAAGATGTCATGTAATTTCTTGCTAGTTGGCCTATTATGTCAATAGTTAGTCTATAATATTGACACATCATGTTTTTTATATTCCCACTAGTAGTTAAATATAGACTCTTCAGTACTATTTTGTAAATGATTTTAGTGTTTTCTATAGAAGTTACATTTTATAATTTTGTATTGATTATGAAAATATTAGCTATGAGGTATTTACTAGTGTTGATCCAAAATTATGAGTTTGATCTTGTTGGGATAAACAAAGGATTATGATTAATTTATGATTATTATTTAGTAACGGACAATATTAAGTTTGTTAGTCCTTTTAAAACCATTTAATTGCATATAAAAATAAGAAGGTTTCCCTAAACAAACCAGTATGTTATCTACAAAAGAGGTTAGAGGATGGGGATGGTGGTTCATGCCTGTTCATCCCACCACTTTGGGAGGCAGTGGTGGGAGGGTAGCCTGAGCTCAGAAGTTTGAGGCTACAGTGAGCTAGGATTGCATCACTGCACTCCAGCCTAGGTGACAGGGTGAAACCCTGTCTCAAAATAATAATAATAATAATAATGTATTGTACAAGGGGTAGAATTTATTATACAAAAGGTAGAATTCTGAGATTTTTATCAAAAGTACTTCTGATTTTTAAAAATAGTTCAGTAACAGGTATTCCTGCATGATTAATTTATATAGTAAATGTTATTATGTGCTTAATAATTTTCTAGGTCTTAGGATATCTTTTACATAGTCATAGTGCTATTACTGTATAATATAACATAAGATATGATTGTGTATAATGTTGCCTACAGATGTTTTCAAATGGATTTTTTAAAATTTATGATTATAAAATAAAAAATTGTTATCCTCATATATTTTCCATTTGATTTGGAATTTATTTTTTACAGAGCGTCCTCTTCACTACAAGGAAAATGTACTGGAGCAGGTGCTTCGGTGGAGTTCATTAGCTGAACCTGGCTCTGCTTACCTGGTGGTGAAGAGATTCTTAACCGCTGACACAATTAAACACTGCAGTGGTAGGTGTCATTACTTCACATTGCAGCTATGATTGAAAATTCAAGTGGTTAAAGGGTAATTAATATGGCACAAGTAATATTTGAAAATGTGAAAAACGAGTAGCTAGATACAGAATGAACTGAGATAGTACATATATAAGAAAGAAGAATATATGGACAGGAAGATATTTTCCCAATGTGTTGCTCTGTGGTAATAGTTGGCTAATTTGATTGTACCAAGTTCAGGTTTTTGGAAATAATAGTTTGTTTTTAAAGGTTGTTTACCATGCTTATGCTTATGTATTTTCCTCAATTTTTAGACTGAGGGCAAGTCATCTCTGTGAATTACATTTACATTAGAAAGCTTTCTAGGCATTAAAGGAATGCTAATTATATAGGCTCTGAGATAGAGTGCTTGCTATATATCTCACATTTTTGTGATGAAGTTGGAAAATAAATACTTACAAAATAAAATACTTCCAGTAAGAATGCTTCCCATCCAACTGGAAGGAGATAGTGCTCATGTACGGTTAATTAAGTAAGTTAGCTAGCACAGTGAACTATATAAGACCATTTCTGAACCTCTATGAGATCTCAGAAAATTTTTATTTTGAAACTTAATTATTCTTCTGTTGTGTTGTTATCAACTGAAAGATCAAAAAAAAGCCAGGATTATATACAATCCAACTCAATAAGCTAAGGATTGAAATTTATGATTACTTTTATGATTAATATAAATAATAACCATTATTATTTCTTAATTGCATACCAGCAGAGCTCAACACACACCAAAGCTCATTTAAAGTTTTTTTTAACTTCCTTGTAAGTTATATTACCTTTTGAATTTTACAAATGAAGGGAAGAGAAACTCAGAGAACTTAAGTAATTTGCCTTATATTATTCAGTTACTAAGTATTGAATTGAAGAACTGATTGGTGTTCCTCCTAATTTTAATCATGTGAAAAAAGGTGGGGAGGATGGTACAGCTCTTCAGTGCTGTAAACTACTCAGTATCATTGCAGATTCTCTAGTTAATAGTCATAATTCAGAGCTCTTAATTGTACCAAAGCTTATCATATAAACTTCTGATTTAATACACTGTCTTTTATATCTTACATACTTTTACTTACGTGAAAGTACTTTTACAAAATGCAAGTAGTATAACAACTTTTATGTCATTGTGTTCTTATAAGCATCTAAAAAGCCAAAACAGATACTAACTCTTTATACTGTAGAAATGTAGCCTTTCCGAGACCTTTATCCTGTTTGAAATTTTTTCATGCTCTTACATATGATTCTGACCATATACTGCCTGTGCCTTCTTAATGTTTGCAATAGGATTTCTCTGTACTGATGTGAATGCACATGTATGAATGCACATGTCATAAAGTAGTGGCTTTCAGCTAGGAATGATTTCCCCTCCCTCCCCTCCCCGCCCACAAGACATGGAACATACAATGTCTTAAGACATTTCTGACTGTCACAACTTGGAGATTGGGTAGGGAGGCAGGGCTTCTGGTATTTAGTGGGTACAGACCAAGGGTCACTGCTGATGTTGAGAAACCCTAATTTAGATAATCTGTGATATCTGTTCTAATTCTTTATCTTTCTGTTGAAATTTTTATTTGTTTCTTTTCTTCTGATATTCCTCTGCAATATCTCTAATTCTCCATGTTGCAACATGTTTAAAACCTACACCTAGACATAATACCTTTGCTGTTGTGTGAATGCTAGTAGGTTGGCTATATGAATAAAAATGGATAAGAATTAGATCCTAAAAGGCTATGTTATAAGTGAAGGTTCTGTATGTCTGAGGGTGCGGGTAACCCAAAACAAGTTCACCATTAAATGCTATTAATCTTCGGGGCATGGCTGGGGGTGGGTGGCAAACAACCCAACAAGGTGTAGATTGCGCTGGTTTAGAGCAGTCATATCTGGGTAAAACCTTTGTTGTGTAAGGGCAAGAAGAAATGGTACAGTGACAGCTGGTACGTTGGCTGTAACCACAAACTGGGTAGGAAGATTTGGTGTTTTCGTGATGTTCCACCTATCCCATTACATCTTCTAGATGGAGTTATGAGTGTGTCCTTCTGTTATAAAAGCATCAAGCCTCTGTAAGATCTAGACAAAGAATCTTGTAGAAAAAAAGCTAGAGAAGAACTAGAGAAGCAAAGCAGAAGAAAGCAAGCTGGAGGCTTAAGTGATGTTTCAGAGATTTGGATGAAATATTCTTTGGTTTGTGTTGTTGTTGTTGTTTGTTTTGAGATGGAGTCTTGCTGTGTCACCTAGGCTAGAGTGCCACCGGTGGCGTGATCTCAGCTTACTGCAACCTCTGCCTCCCAGGTTCAAGTGATTCTCCTACCTCAGCCTCTTATGTAGCTGGTATTATAGGTGCTCATCACAATGCCTGTCTATTTTTTGTATTTTTATTGGAGACTGGCTTTCACCATGTTAGCCAGGCTGGTCTCGAATTGCTGACCTCAAGTGATCCACCTGCCTTGACCTCCCAAGGATGAAATATTCTTTGGAGTAAAATGTCAGTAAACTTCTGTGTCACTCTCTTACCCACGTCACATCTCTAACAGGGTGGGAGCCATAAAACCTACCTCTGTCCCTGAACTATCCCTACTACCTCATTTAATCCAACAAATATGCATCTTGTTATTGTACCAGGAACTTTGCATGAAAAAAATAGTGATTTAAAGGAAAACCATCAGCAAATACATTAATTGGATCATTTCATATTTGTAGTTATGTAGTCTGGTCAAAAATAAGAGAACCTATAAAATAAATGTCTAAAGTACTCTTATTTTCTAGCCCATAAAATTTTTATAAGTATTGAATTAGAGTTTGATTTATATTCAGATTGTAAAAGCAAAATAATCTCTTTCATTATGGTTGGTTCTCCATTTGTTTGAATTGAAGCTTGCCCTTTTAAGGAATCTGTAATATTTTTAAAAAATCAATTTCTTAAGTCGTGATTTTTTCTTATAGTTATGACTTAGAGCAGCCTCAACTTTATTAATACCTCTTATGGGGCATACTTTGTGATAGACTTCTGATAATTTTGGTATTCAGTCTCATTTATTTTTGTCTTGGAAAATGTCTCCTAAGTCAATCACAACGACTACCTACTCCAGAGTTATTGCTCCATTTCATTACCTCTGCTACACCTTAAAATTGGGATCTAAAAGGGAAATAACGAAAATAAATCAAATATGATTTCTCTGTCATTGTGTTAGCAGATAAACTAGAATCATCTCAGAAATACTCAACTGTTCTTCAAAGAAAAATGGGAATAATGTTAAAGATTTATTTTCCTTTCTTAAGAATTTCTTATTCTAACCTGGGGCCAAGTAGAAATCATCAGAATTTGAAAAAAAGGTGGGGGAGCAGTTGGTTGCAACCACATTTTTTCTCAGTAACAAATAGCTAATATGTTAACATTTTGTTAAAACATAGAGTTGCCCTATAACATCCCTTGTACCTTACACCCCCACATTAGATACCTAATTGCCACAAATTTTACTCTGTCCCTACATTTATAATTTCTGTCTGTCTATCTATGGCTTGCATTTCATTCGTTTTAGGAGTTTTTTTCCTGATATGTAGAACAAATTATAACCATATACTTTGCTTGACGTTATGTTTTCACCACTTCCTTTTAACGCGAGAATGTTATATAAAAAATTTGCTAAAATTAAGGGGTTTTAATTTTCTCAATTTTCTTTCTTTATCTGAACTATTTAAAATGTGGACTTCACACATAAGTAAGAATATATTTTAGAATCTAGCACTTAATTTCTGCTCATTCATTTAAGGTAAGGAGGTAACATAATTTACTTTTATAGAGTTAGATAGGAGTAAGTGTGTTTTTTGTTGCCTCTACTTAAAAATTATTTGTGTTTTTCAAAGGCATTTGATTTCTTAGGAACATTTTGTGCCATTGCCATTATTGTAAAAAAGAGCTAACTAATTTGAAAACAAAGGTAATAGTCCTCAATTTTTTTCTATTCCATATATTATGACTGAACTATTAAGATAGGGAGAATGAAACTTCATTTACATTGCTATTTAGACAGTGTCATAGCTTACCTAATTAAACCATTATTTATTATTATTATTATATATTATACTGAACTTCAACATATCTATCACAAGCAAACCATAAATGTATAGCTTCTGTAAGGCTCCAGAATAAATAATCTCAAGTTGCGTAAGTCTTATTTTAAGCACTAAAGTTTTTTGAAAATTATCCCAATAGAATATGATACATGAGAATGAAATTTTAATGATCTAAATGGGAGAGAAATACTTATATATAAAGATATAAGATGTAACTCAAATGCATATTTCTTTGAATTTCTAAGTTTAGATTGCTGTATATGACAGATGCTATGGAATTAAATTTGCATTAGAATAGTGTAATTCAAAATGCAACTGCTTCAAGTAAATTCAGACCTGGAAAGCTGAGCCATTCACTATCTATGAACTTAAAAAAAAAGACAATTTCAGCAAATATAATACAAATCCATAAATTTACCTAGCTGATATAATTTACATTTCACTCCCCATCATGTTTTCTTAAAGCCAAAGATGTACAAGATATTAAAAGTAAGACCTAGGCCACTTAAATTGGAAATTTTTCTTTTTTTTTTGAAATTGATGATAGTCACTGATATTTACTATGGAGTACCAATTTCCTGACATTTTCTAAAATATAATTCTGTGGTGAGAAACCCTATTGGTAAATTTGTATTAACTCTCTGTATCATGCAGTAATCTATAGAAAATTTAAGGTATTTAAATGTAAGAGTTTTGTTAAACATTGTCTATACCCAGAAAGAACAGAAATTTTAAATGTATGACAACTGTTGAAATATTAGAGTACAAACAGCATGAAGTAATAGACTACTCTAGGTCAGGATGTTTATGAAGAGCTTTCAATCACAGAAAAGTAGTTCAACTGGGTAATTGTAGACATCTCTTCTTTCACTGAATGTGTCTTATTCAAGGAAATATCATTTCTTAGTTTTTCTTGTGCATGCTATCCTTCTTTAACAAGGCTATATTTTACTCTTACTCACTAAAAGTACATATTGAATAAACTTTAAAAATATATAAATATATGAAACAGTTTATAACTGAGCAAGTACTGACCAAATTTTAGAGGACTGCCAACTCACTTTTGTCTAGGTAGTTAGGGAATGCTTTCCAGAGTATATATCATCAGATCATTACCATGAAAGCTGGATTGTAGTTCTTGGTATTTTGGTTTGGATAACTCCTGGGATATTAAGATAGGGAGACTAGAAGAGCTTGCTGGTTGGGAGTGATGGATGGAGCCACAGAATTCAGTTTTGGACGTGCTGAGCTTTAAGAGTCTGACGTGTGTTTGAGGATATATGTCTAGAAGGGAACTAAATACCTAAACCTAAGAGCTCATTGTGTGGAAAGTGGTTTTAGCCTTGGCAGAATACTAAGTCATGCAATTTTAGTGTTAGAGTAAGAATATCAGAGATACAACACAAGCATTTAAAGAACAGATGTAGCAAAAGAGGCCTTGTGAAGGAACAATCAGAAAAGTTTCAAGAAAGAGAGCAATGCCACGTAAATTGTCAAAGGAGTAATTTTTAGGAAAAAAGAGTGCTTAACAGTGTAAAATGATACATGAAACCAAGAAAGGCACCTGGACACGTATTGTTATTGTGGTTGATAGTGATGGTGGTCATGGTAATCATGACTATTACTTAGAAGTATCCCAGGATAGGAGACAGAATTTCATGTTAGATATTAAGAGACCTGAATTCATATTCTAGCATGTTGCTTTCTAATCTTGTCACATAATTGTGAGCCACAATTTTCACATTTGTCAATAAGATGATATAACCTGTCTTCCCTACTTTGCAAAGTTGCATGAGAATCACATGAAAGAAAATATATCTGAATCACTGATTTCAGTGATCAGAAAACATATCTGATCACTGAAAACTCCAGTGCTATCTCTGCATTTATTAACAGTATGCTGAAAATTATACATTCATTGAATATAAACTAAATATATCACACTAAATTATATTTTAGAAATGTTTATTATAATTCAATGTAATAATGAAAACAGTATAGGAAAACAATTTTCTGAATTCTGCAATTTGCTGCATTAGTAGTAAAATAGCAAAAAAAAAAAAACTCTGGTACTTTTGTATTAAATCCTGTTCCAATAGTAACTATATTTATAATTTAACTATTTATAAATAATTTAATGATAGAAGGATGTCAACAGGCTACTTGTTCTGTTAACCACTGCTACTTCAATACAGTCTTCCTTCAGTATCCATGGGGAGGTGGGTTACAGGACACTACCACGTCTCCCCCCTGCCACCTGCTTGTCGTGGATACCAAAATCTGCAGATGCTCAAGTCCCTTATATCAAATGGCAGAGTATCTGCATGTAATCTACGCACATCCTTCCCATACTTTCAATCATCTGTTTATTTATAATACCTAATGCAATGTAAATGCTATGCAAATAGCTATGCTATGTTTTTTTCTGTTTGTATTTTAAATTGTTATTTTTGGTTTTTCAAACATTTTTTGATGTGCTATTGGTTGAATTGACAGATGCGGCATCCATGGATACAGAGGGCCAACCGTATAAATAACATAAAGGAGAATAGATTGGAGTGAAGGGGGCATACTTGGCTTATCCTAAGAAATAGATTACTTTCTTGAAGTGTCACAGTGTGTCTATATCTGTTAGCCTTAAAAAGATGCTCCCCCATTAGTGTTCTAAAAATAAATCTTCAAGTGTTAATTAAAAAAAGAAAGTAAGAAAGAAAGAAGTAACATACTTTCAAGCAGTGATTATGCCCAGTTTGGTGTCTTCTCATGTAAATTTCACCAAAGTGCATTTTGAGTGAATATCATACAGTGAATGAAATATATGAGTAATTCTCCCTCATCAAAATTATAAAAAAAATACATCTATACAATCAATTCTGAAGAAAAGAAAATATGCATAATTTTGAATTTGGAAGGACTTTTTAGATGTTATCCTGCAAATATTGCAAAATTACTTGATCTTGGCATAATTTCAAGGGAGTTGCTTCTCATGGAAACTGCCCATTTGTGCCCTTCATCACTTAGAGTACATGGGACAGGTAGAACTTGGAACAAATAATTTTTTAAGATAAGGCACAGCTCTGAAGAAATAGTCTTTGCCAGCAAGAGAAGAAGAGAGACACATGCAGACCACGAAAAATAGATCAATTTGTTGTGTATTTCCTTGTCACTGATCAGATAATATGTGAGAGATAACAATAGTTCATAGTTACTGTGAATTTACTATGTGCGCTGGGCTAAATGCTTTACTTACATTATTTTATGTCATCTTCCTACTGTCTTAGGGTTACTGCTACTTACAAATGGAGAAACTGGGATGTAGCGGTATTACATAACTCTTTCAAGGCGACCTGCTGATAAGTGGAGAAACAGGCATTATAGTCAAGATCGCTCCATATCCAGCTTATATATTCTGTCCTAAACCCCTTACTATCCTGAAATCAAGGATAAATCAGATATGAGGTTTTTAGACTCTTAGAAACTAAATCTATAAGTCATCAGACTTTTGTAAGGGTAGTTGTTTCTGTAGTGTTTGCCTTAGATTCTGCAACACAGAAAAATTATGTCCTCCCTCCATTAATTAAACAAGGACTTACATTCTTCTTGTTCTCTGCCAAGCTCTATTCTGAGCAATTTATATACCACATCCACTGGGTAAGTACTGTATGTATTCTCATTTTGCAGATAAGAGAATTGAGATTTAGAGATTACTGTCTGCGATCTAGCAGAGAATGTGGTTGTCATTCAAGCCCAGGCAGTCTAGCGCCAGAATGTGCTCTTAGTCACCGTATTGTTTCAGCTCTTGCCTAGATTGAAGAAGATTTAAGTCTACATTATTTTAAACAGGAAATACAAAATGAATATGTACTTAAGAGAGGTGAAGCTGTTACAATGTTTGTTTGTCACAAACCAGGGAAGGCTCAGAGGAGTAAAGAGTAGCTCAAATAAAAGTGAATTTTCTCTTCCTTTATAGCTTGTATGACAGGCGTACGATATTGTAATGGGAGTAACTATTAGATTATATTTTCTGTGGATTTCTTGTAGTCAGGTCAACCCAGCACTGTAGATAAGGCCCATGCCCTTCAAGAAGTAGAAATATTTTCTTTCAAAATACAGTGTTGGCAATAGCAAATATATGGAAGTAACCCAAATACTCATCAACGATAGACTGGATAAAGAAAATGTGGTACATATACACCATGGAATACTATGCAGCTATAAAAAGGAATGAGATCATGTCCATAGCAGGGACACAGATGGAGCTGGAAGTTGTTATCCTCGGCAAACTAACACGGGAACAGAAAACCAGACACCGCATGTTCTCGCTTATAAGTGGGAGCCGAATGATGAGAACATATGGACACATGGGGTGGGGGAACAACACACACCAGGGCCTGTCCATGGGGAGGGGAGGGTAGGGGGAGGGAACACATCAGGAAGAACAGCTAATGGGTACTTACATTAATACCTAGGGGTTGGGTTGATCTGTGCAGCAAACCACCATGGCACATGTTTACTATGTAACAAATCTGCACATCCTGCACATGTACCCCAGAACTTAAATGTTGATAAATAAAAAAAAGAGTTAAATTATGAAGCAAATATGATGTTTCATGAATTCAAGGGTGATATTACATCTTGGAGTTTAGTGGCATGAGAGAAAAAAATATGGACTGAAGTAGTTGGGAGAATCTTCATGGATGAGTTAGGTCCAGAAGTAGGAATCAAATTTGTACAGAATCAAAGAAAACAGGATTTCTCTCAAGATCAATCAAGTGATTAACTTGAGTCATACCACAGAGACAAGGATTGGTTTTCCAAATAGTGTATTATGATCAATTGAACTTAAATATTATATTTTAGTTTAATAATTTACAGAGATGTATAGGAGTTGTCCATTTATTTCATGTTTTAAAAGTCAGGAAGAGGAGTGTAGGCTTTTGGCTTTAGGAAGGTAAGGCTTTAATCATTAGAACAGTAGGGCTCTGGACAGGGCTTTTATAAAATCATGGAGACTGTGTTTTCATAACAAGAATCTGCAGTTGTATGTTGGAGCCATTAGAAAGGTAGGACATGGAGTTAGAGAATTCTGAAATCCAAGGATTAGAGAGAAAAGGAAGTGTGTAGGGTGATAACAATGGGAATGAAGTGGAATTGAGTCCCAAAGAGAATTGCTGAAAGAATAATGATTGATTGCTAGCTGCCTGGACATGGAGGGTAAAGCGGGGGATATATATCTGAGAAATGCCATTCCTGGGTGTATGTTTCTCTCTCCTCTTCCCCTCAACCCCAGCCTCCTCCACCTATCAATTATTCTGTTGGAATTTGGGGCTGGTGGTTTGGAGATAACTATTTTTGTACTAAAAAACTGAGATTTTCAAATGGCTTAGAAAAACTATTTTTTTTTTGGAGGTGCGAGCTTTTCAGTTTCATTGCCTGGTTACATGATATGTCTGTTCTGCTTAAATAAATTTGGCCATTCTGCTTTGTTTCCTACGTGTGACTTTTAAAGAGCTTTTCTAAATTAATAACAAGTTGATAGCTCAGTATAACTTACAATACATGTTTGTTTTGTTACCCGCAGTTTTAATTTTAAAGACCTTTCAATAAACTCCAACCTATCCTTTCTCATCCTAGCAACTACCAAGAATAAGGGAGGGTTTTATGATTCAGTAGAGGTAACAGTATGCTGTAATTTGATTGGAATGAAAGATCAAAAGGTAGTAAATGAAATAGTACCTGTTAATGTGCATCCTAGGATTTATCTCTGGGAGAATTTAGTGCTTTGGGGAGTGCATTAAACTTTCAAACCTGTTATACTCACACGAAAACAATAGATGGTTTTCCCTACTAGCAAGGGAGCTTTCTGTCTAGCAAGAGGTCAAGGGAGTAAAAAGTATGAGTGAAGTACCCCAAAGTTGAGAGTCCAACCAGTACCTGAACAGTTTGGAAGAATGAATTACTGGAAGCCATTCAATTCATGACCTTCATTTTGTTACATATAGAGTTACACACAGTGTACCCCAACGTGTGTAGCTTTATTTTGGCCTTTAATTGGTGGCTTTCTACTTATTTTAACATCTTGGGAACAGACAGGAATTTGGTTTTGAGAGCTTTTAGAAAGTCTTTTAAATCATAATATTTATCATAGAGCTTCATATTTCAAAGTTTTTTTTGCTCTTCCCTCATCCTTAGCATATATTCCTTTCAAAACTTTCATCCTGAGTCCCTTAATAGGGTGCACGCTGAGGTTTGTACTCAATATACTCAATCACATACAATGATTGTTAAAGTAAATGTTACTATTTAAACGATATTTAAAATTTAAACAATATTTTCCCCTAAGTCTGTTTTTTATGACTATGAGTTGTTTAATACGAGACATAGGATTATTTCTTGGTAAAAATGGAAAGGTTTATTAATTTGAGCAAAAATGTAAATGAAAAGTACTGTCAGAAGGTGTGAATGGATTTTACTGACTTAAGCAATTTAAATATCTATATTTCACAACTTGATTATAACTTGCTTTTAAAAATACCTATTTGTAAACCAACAAGGCATTATAGATGCCTTTCTTGACTCTCTTGTTCTAAACCAGCTATATGACCAAGTCCATACAATGTTTAACAAATTGCTTACTCTACTTCTTAGCTATAAAAATCCTTTACAATATTTCTCTGTGGAATTGAATATTAAGACATTGTACCAGAAGACAAATTTTAGCAGTATATTTTTCAGTAATTATTTAAAAGTCACGAAGTACCTAAAAAGAATCTATTAGTATGACGGTGTGATCAATAAAATACTGTCTGAGGTCAGTATGTGTATCATGAAAACTATTGGGTTTGTTATATATGTTTATTCATGGTTAGGATCAGTAATGTGATTAATCCTGGGCACTTCTGCTTCCAAGTGGTCATTCCATGCTCATATATTTGAGTTGTAAGCAACTATTTGTATTTTTAACTTTTGTTCTCTTATGCTAATTTTAGGTGTGAACATTTGTGTATTTGCTGCAATAGTAAATGTTTTCCCCAAACAGATTAAGGGTTGTTGGGTTTAAGACTACTTTTTTCCTTTTTCTTTTTTTTTTTTTTTTTTGAGAGAGTCTCACTCTGCCGCCCAGACTGGAATGCACTGGCACAATCTAGACTCACTTCAACCTCCGCCTCTCAGGTTCAGATGATTCTCATGCCTCAGCCTCCTGAGTAGCTGGTACTACAGTGGCACACCACCACGCCTGGCTAATTTTTTGTATTTTTAGTAGAGATGGGGTTTCACCTTGTTAGCCAGGCTGGTCTCAAGCTCTTGACCTCAGATGATCCACCTGCCCCATCCTCCCAAAGTGCTGGGATTACAGATATGAGCCACCGTGCCTGGAAAGACTAATTTTTTTTTCTAAAGTTTTTATTTTATAAATTTTAGAAATGATGCATGGATATTTAAAGTTCTATCACCTTAATATCAGAAAGGTATTAAACTGATAGACCTGATACAGTGTTCTGCCATACATCTTGTGTGTGCGTTATCCTGTGTAAGGCCCACAACAATCCTTCCGGATAGGTGTCATTACTCTTGTTTTACAGGAAAAGCAGAAGCTGACAGCATAATGACCATATCATGGCTATTTGGCTTGAGGTTTCTCTTTCTTTTTATTGTTCTTCGGTTCTCAAGTAAGCAGTTGAATATGTATCTGGATTTCAGGGGAAAGTTTTAGACTGGAGATATACTGACAAATTTGTGCATGATAAAAAACAAATACAAATTTGATGTTCTCACAAAATGTTTTTGTGTTACAAAAATTAGTTGAAATGATTTCTACGTGTGGCACATTGTCAGTTTTGCCCATGAAATACAATTGCTGTTAAAGGAGCTACCCTTTTTTATGCACACAGAGCCTTTTATTCATAAGCTACAACAAATTACAGTACACAGGAGCACAAAGTGTATTGTGCTTTTTGGTTTTGCTTTGTATTTATTTCTGCTAGTCTTCAATCCCCTTTTCTATCACTTACTAATTTTTATGTCTTTGGGCAGGTCATTATAATTCTCTGAATCTTATTTTCTGGCTTGTAAAACCAGATCAAAAATTATCTAACTTGAATGTCACAGAATAGGAATCCCAGAAACACATTTAGCCATTTAGAACATGCTAAAAATAAAATGTAAAAATAAGGAGAAAAAGATGAATCATTATAACAATTTAAGTGGAAAATTTAGGGCATGCATTCAAACTATAGAACAACATCTATCGCTGGTGGCTCTGCCTCCTCTTCTTCCACCCTGCAAGGACTGGGCCATGGGCGGAAAATTGTGGGGCAAAGGAGGGGAGCTTTTCTGACATAAGCCAGAGTTTTCCTGGGAAGGAAAGAATATCTCAGTGTCTGATGCCCCTGTCAATACAAATTAATCCAAAAATAGATGAATCTGACATGTCTTTATACATCACACATCATCAAAAATGGATTTTAATGACAAACATTTTGTTAGATATTTTTGATCTTTTAATACCTGTGATAGCACCTTCCCAGTCTAGCTAGGTGGACCTGACTTTGAATTCTGATGACAGCACTCTTTAACTGTGTGCCTTGGATAAGTTTCATAATTATATCAAACCTGTTTCTACATCTATAAAATTATATTAATTGTGATTAATTTACCTAAAGTGTGGTTCTGAGCCTTTAATGAGGCATTCATGGAAAGGGCTAGCACAGTGCTTGCCTCGTGCTCCACATACACTAGAGGTGATTCTATGAGTTGTTCACTTAAAGGGTGCTCAGATTATTACCATTGTGTTAACACTTCATGCCTTCACATATTCTTTCTTTCTGAAATATCCTTTGCCTTTTCCCTTTCTGTTGTGTTCCTGGGAATTCTATAATTTTATTTGTCCCTCTACCACAGTGCCAAACACAATGCTTGATAGTAAGAAAAAGTACATTTTTGATGGAAGAATGAATAAAGAAACTACTGAACTAAAGGCAAAGAGATTGAACAGGTTCTTGGTGGAGAGGAGTTTCCCCTAAGGCTATTCTTGAGAAGTGAGAGTCAACAAGCTTTTTTCCGTAAAAGGCCTAGAGTTAATGTTTTAGGTTTTGTAAGCCATAAGGTCTCTGAAACAACTACTCAGCTCTGTCCCTGTATCATGTTCGCAGCCACAGATAGTACATAATGTGAGGCTGCATTCCAATAAAACTTTATTTTTATAGGACTAATGAATTTCATGTAATTTTCATGTGTCATCAAACTTTTGAGAAATTTTTTTCAACCATTTAAAAATGTAAAAATTATTCTTAGCTCATGGGCCATATAAAAATAAGCAGAGGGTTGGATTTGGCCTGCAGCCATAATTTGCCAATCTCTGAGCTACAAAAATAACGTGTAAACCAAACTGGAGGGAATTCTGGCTTATTAGTCAATGTCCATTAGACCCATCATAATAGTAGGAAAAGGATATTATGGAAATGTGAGGGGGCTTCTCTAGTGATATGTTAGGTTTAAACTTGGACTCAATTATTGTAAAATTCCTCAGTTTCTTCTCTGAGGTAGCAATGTCTAGAAAAGAACATGCATTTAGAATTGGGGTTTTACCAAATATCTTATGTTCTGACTTACAGGTGAGAGCTAAACCTTGGGTACACACAGACATGAATACGGAAACAGTAGACACTGGGGACTCCAAACGGAAGGAGGAGGATAAGGGCTGAAAAAACGTTCTGTCAGGTGTTATGTTTGCTGTCTGGGTGACTTGATCAATGGAACCCCAAACCTCAGCGTTACACACCGTTGTAACAAACCTGCACATGTACCCCTGAATCCAAAATACAATTTTTTTTTAAGTTGAGTTTTAATCTCCTTCAATTAGCTCTGCAGCCTTGGGAAATCTGCTTAACCTTTCTAAGCCTTAGTATTATCGTGTGTAAAATGAACATAATAATCACAATTTTTTTAGTGTTGTTATTAGAGAGTGTATATAATGTGTGGATGTCTAATAGGTAATCAATAAATTGTAGCAATTATTGCATGTTTAGATTTAGTTTTTCAAGTATGTTATTTCTCAAATCAATTCTGTTTTCTCCTGTTATTTCTTTTTTTAAAAAAAATAACTTTTAAGTTCAGGGGTACATGCGCAGGTTTGTTACATAGGTAAACTTGGGTCATGGGGGTGTGTTGTGCAGATTATTTCATCACCCAGATATTAAGCCTAGTACCTATCAGTTACTTTTCCTGATTCTCTCCTTCCCCCCACCCTCCGCCTTCCAATAGGCCCCAGTGTGTGTTGTTCCCCTCTATGTGTCCACGTGTTCTCATCATTTAGCTCCTACTTATAAGTGAGCACAGGTGGCACTTGGTTTTTGGTTCCTGCCTTAGTTTGCTAAGGATAATGGCCTCCAGCTCCATCATGTCCCTGCAAAGGACATGATCTTATTCCTTTTTATGGCCACATAATACTCCATGATGTAAATGTACCGTATTTTCTTTATTCAGTCTATCATTGATGGGTAAATGTTCTACCTTAGCAGTTTTGCCTTTCTTACCCTTGCCTGTTTCACATTTATAAAAATTTCTTTAATGCCTTAAAAATTTGTGGATTTGAGTCAGAATTCTTAAAGGTGTTTCCTTTTTTATCTGCGCATTTGCATTGTTTATACCAGTGGGGTTCAAAAGAAATATAATACAAGCCACATATGTAATTATAAATTGTATAGTAGCCACATTAGAAAAAAGTAAAAAGAAACAGGTAAAATTACCAGTATGTTTTATTTAATATCACATATCCAATATCCAAAATACATTTCAATATGTAATTAATATTTTAAAAATTGTGATATATTCTTTTTTATTATTTTATTTGAGACAGAGTTTCTCTCTGTTACCCAGGCTGGAGTGCAATGGCACAGTCTCAGCTCACTGCAACCTCTGCCTCCTGGGTTCAAGCTATTCTCCTGCCTCAACCTCCTCCAGTGGCTCGGACTACAGGCATGTGCCACCACACCTGGCTGATTTTTGTATTTTTAGTAGAGACGGGTTTCCCCATGTTGGCCAGGCTGGTCTTGAACTCCTGACCTCAGATAATCCGCCCGCCTCGGCCTCCCAAAGTGCTAGGATTACAGGTGTGAGCCACTGCGCCCAGCCGATATATATTTTTTCATATAAAGTCTTTAAAATTTAGTAGAAACTTTATACTTATAGCACCTCTCAACCTATACTAACCACATTTTGTGTGATTTCTAGCCTGTGGCTACTTGAACAGTCCAGGCAGGCCCATACATGATAAATAGCTATACTTCAGACACATGGTATTCCCGGAAGTTCACCTTAGACTTTAGCGGTAGTAAACAAGTTCTTATTTTTTCTATATGACAATATAGAAATGTTTTGTATTGTATTTCAAATAAGTAAAAACGTACCCAACTCACAAAAGTAATGCTGTACTTTACAGACCGGAGTACACTGGGAAGCATCAAAGAAGGAATCTTGAAAATCAAAGAAGAACCATCCAAAATACTATCTGGAAATAAGTTTCAAGACCGGTATTTTGTTTTACGAGATGGGTTTCTCTTTCTTTACAAGGATGTGAAGGTATAGTATTTGAACATGCGTACATTTTTATTTGTGTGGGTATTAACATTTGTATTTTATGCTACTGTCAGCCATCTCTCTTGGAAGTCACTGCCTGTAGTATATAAAATGCATGGTAAGCTGATGATTTGCTTCAGCCTATGGTATAAGATATTAATGCACTCAGTAACACAGTGAATAATTTTATAAGGCCTTTTTAGGCACCTCAGATTTTGAGGGGCAGTAAATGACTTAAGCCCTGAAGAAAAGTCTAATATGTATTATAAATCAACATCTCAGTCAATAAAATTAATAGAGAATGTGTGATACCCTAAAATAAAAGGCTTCAGATTAGCTACTGGAAATTAATAAAAGGTGCAATAAAATGACCAAACCCAAAAGTTAAAATAAATCTTATTAGTATCTTTCCTATATGGTTGAATGAATTGACTTATTTTTAATTTCATATGTATTAATGTAATCTTATTGATATATTCCGTCTAATTTATTTCCCTAAAAGATCTTATTAAATAATTGTGGAGTGGATAAGAGAATTAGAGATATAAAAGAGGGAGTAGATAAATGATGTAGCTATAAAAATATTGAACTTAACATCAGAAAATCTCATCTCTGTGAAGAGCTGGTTACATGAATAAGTAACTTAACCTCTCAACCTCAGTATCCAAATCTGTAATTTAAGATAGTATGAGTTCTGCATGTCAGGTTGTTTTAATGCTTAAAAAATAATATATGATTTTTTTTATATTCTCTGGGTGCAGGTTACACCAGTATGTTCACTTTATTAAAATTCACGGAGCTAATATGTATGATTTGTGTACTTTTTATATGTGTATTATATATACACTGCAATTTTTAAAAAGCATTAGGATAAAAAAAGTAAAACAAATGTGCACAGGCCCCACCTCCAGGGATTTGGTTTTTATAAGACTGCGACAGGTTAACAGCATTTTTCTTTAATTTGTTGAAATTTTTTTTTGGTTTTTAAGTTCAGGAGTGCAAGTGAAAATTTGTTAGATAGGTAAACTTGAGTCATGGGGATTGGTTTTACACATTATTTCATCACTTAGGTATTAAGCCTAGTGCTTATTAGTTGTTTTTTCTAATCCTCTACGCTCCACCAACCAAAAGGCCCCAGTGGGTGTTGTTCCCCTCTATGTGTCCATGTGTTCTCATCATTTAGCTCCCACTTGTAAGTAAGAACATGCGTTATTTGTTTTTCTATTCCATGCTAGTTTGCCAACGATAATGGCCTCCAGTTCTATCCATGTTCTTGCAAAGGACATGATCTCATTCTTTTTTATGGATGCATACTGTTCCATGATCGTGGTGGATAAGCCTTTTGGTGTGCTGGTGAATTCAATTTGCCACTATTTTGTTGAGGATTTTTGCACTGATGTTTCATCAAGGATATTGGACTGAGGTTTTCTTTTTTGTTGTATCTCTGTCAGGTTTTGGTATCAGGATGATGCTGACTTCATAGAATGAGTTAGGAAGGAGTCCCTCCTCAATTTTTTGGAATAGTTTCAGTAGGAATGGTACCAGATCTTATTTGTACATGTGGTAGAATTCAGCTGTGAATCCCTCCGATTCCTGGGATTTTTGTGGTTGGTAGGCTTTTTATTACTGCTTCAATTTCAGAACTGGTTATTGGTCTGTTCGGGGATTCAGTTTCTTCCTGGTTTAGTCTGGGAGGCTGTATGTGTCCAGGAATATACCCATTTCTTCTAGTTTTTCTAGTTTATATGCATAGAGGTATTCATAATATTCTTTGATACTTGTTTATATTTCTATGGGGTCAGTAGTAATATCCCCCTTATTGTTTCTGATTGTGTTTATCAAATATTCTCTCTTCTTTATTAGTCAAGCTAGTGGTCTAATAATATATGTAAAAATTCTTTTTATAAATATAATGTAATAATAATAGCATGCTCATCCAAAGATACCACTAAGAATATGAATAGGCAAGTCCCAGATTGAGAAAAATGTATTAATAGGTGTACTAATAGTCCCAGATTGAGAAAATGTGTTAATTAACATATATCAGAAAAAGACTTATATCAGGAGTATAAAGAGCTCTTCTAAATCAACAATAAGAAAAGCAGTTCAATAAAAATTATGGCAAGGATAGAACAGACATTACATGAAGGAAGATGTAGAAATGTCCAATAACCCATTGATTCAAAAGTGTTCAATATCATTAATAATCGGGAAATTAAAACTAGAACCACAAGACACTATTTTACACTCATTGGTATGACTAAAATCTTAACAGTGATAACACCCAATGTTAAAAAATGATGTAGAGTAATTAGAACTCCCACATAAATTGTTGGTGGAAGGGTAAAATCACACAATCACTCTGTAAAACTGTTTGTCAGTTTTTAAATGAAGTTACTAACATAATCTACCCCATGATCCAGTGGCTCTACTCAAGCAGTACAACTACTTGTACTCACTTGTACAAGAATGTTCATAAGCAGATTTATTCATAAAAGCTGATAACTGGAAGCATTCCAAATGTCCACCAATAGGAAAATATTCTATTCATATAATGGAATACTACTCAGCAACAAAAATGAATATTAAAACAAGCCACAGCATTGGTGAGTTTTTAAAACCTTTGAAACCAAAGAAACTTGACACAAAATAGTATCATATAAGTCTGTGCATAAGAAGTCTAAGAACAGGCAGAACCATTCTATGGTGATAGAAGTCAGAAAGTGTTTGCTTAGGTTGGGGACAGAGTTTGCTGCAGAATTGCCAAGGAAAAGGGTCAGTGGGGTACTTTCTAGATAGAAATGTTCTTTCTCCTGTTTTGGATGGTGGTCACATGGGGGTATGCAGCAACAACTCTCTGAGATTCAAGTAGTACCAAGGCAATTACTTTAAATGTAGAATGGAAGTCAGCAGGACCTGGAAAATACTTTTTAAATATTGAATTATAAAATTCACTTGGGTAAACATTGCTTGCACACTTATAAGTGAATGATGCTTCACTGTGTTCTGTTGTGGAGATGCACAAAGAAAGACCAGACTTTAACATCTGTTAATATGTTACAAAGAAAGAATTGTTAGGCAGCTTTCCAAAGCTGTGGCTGTCTTGTTCTGTGGCTTCTGTTCAGCACTCCGTGTGCTTTAATTACTTTCTCTGTGTATTCCTCCAGCAGGGGAGCCTCCATGTGGGCATGAATAAATCATAATAGCATTGTATTCTGTGTATACATTCCAATGTTTGCTTTCCTCAAGGACAGTGGAATGTCCAGGCAGGAGACTAATAAAACAGCCTGAATTCTGCAGCCCTTATCACAGATTCATATTATATACTGCATTTGAACCCCCACTTGATATCCAGAAGGGAGTCTGTGTGGGTATCAAGTGGTTACTATCATTTATTATCATTCTTCAATTTTACCCATAGAGGAATAGTAGATTTCATAGAATTATGGGGTTATGTGATGGAACACATCAGATTTTAAGGTTCACAAACTTTACGTTTATGCTTGTGAAAATACAGGCTAGACTTCACAGCTTATTATTCTAGTCAGCTAGAACTGAATCTGATAGAATTGTGTTTGGTTTTGTGCAGTGGACCGCCCACCTTGATTTTCAAAAGACTGATTTCTTTAATCACGGTCCTTGCATATACATAATATGTTGGTTAAGGATCACTTTTGCAGTTGGCGTGTTTAGAAATCAACCTGAACTTTTTCATCCTGTCAAGAAACTGACACTTTTCATTGTGTAGCAACAGAAGGTTGCTAAAAACAAATATAGTAGTTGGTGGTAGTAGTAATGACAGTGCAGTAATAATAGCAGCAACTAACATTCAAGTGGGTACTCTATGCGAAGCAGAGTTCCGTACATTTTATTTGGATTATCTCATTTTATCTATACAGTTACCCCACGAAATTGGTACTCTTATTATTCCCACTATGCAGATGAAGAAAGACTCTCAAAGACATTACATAACTTGTCCAAAATCACATACACAGTAAGCGATGGAGTCAGAATTCATTTCCAGGCATTAGACTCCAAAGGCTCTATGCAGAAACTTACAAAGGAAATTTAACATTTGTATTACCTTAGTGTTTTTGCTGAAAGAATTTTATGTGTAGAGAGTAAGTTTACTTTTATTAAATAGTATCAAACATTTTTAAATAAGGAAATGCAAACAGTTCAGTTTTTATAGTGTTTTCTCTCAAGCTGATGTACACTTTAATATCTGCCACAGGGAAGGCTGTTCATGCAGTGACTTTTACAGATGCATTGTTTTTGTAAGTGAGATGAAGGGTCTCATATCCCTTAACAGAGTAAGTTTTGCTTTAAGAATTTGTATCTTTTTGAAAGGATCATCTTGCTCAATCTGAGCTAACTTATATAACCTGGTAGGCAGTGATAGTCTCAAGAACTTCTCTGAAAACAGTGTTCTTTAAGGATACTGAACACATTTTTTAATAACAGTGACCTCAAGTTGTGGAATTATTGTCTGATTATTAAGCATTTGAAAGTTAAATTTGCATATCTGTCAGAATAGATTAATGCAACTGATACTTTAATTTTTACATTTTGAAAAGCAGATGAGAGATTCATGCTTTTCCTTTAAACTCAAACTATGATTATTTTCAGCACATGACTTCATTTTGTTGTTTTTTCATGTTACTGATCTGTCCCTATTAATATTGATGGTGAAGCCATTGGCGATGTTAACTTTTTAAATGATTTTATAGTAAATTATCAACAGTAAAATATCCTAACCTTTTTGAGTAAAGACTTAGCATTTGTTTTAGTGGTTGCCATTAATATATGCATGCTTGTATATATTTTTTAAATGATTTAGTTAAAAGGGAGGAAAAATTACAAATTGAGAAGTGTATTTAAAGCGACTTTGTGTTAATTAGAGATAATTTATGAATGCTCATTAAAAACAAATTGGGGTAATACACAGGGAAAGATATCTTTTGTTCTGCAAGTTTTCCCTGAACAGAAAATGTTAATTGCTTTCAGACTTAATTTACATAAAAGGGGAGAGGTTTCAGAGAATATTACCATTATACTGTTAATGGTGTGAAGAAAGCAAATGGGTAAAGGGGATCATTAAAAGTTGCCTATACTTTAATAAGCAAACTCTTTTTATGTGCCAGGAATAGTTGTTTAAGCACACTCATTTAATTGGCTAACTTAAAAACTTCACTTTGAAATGGAGTGGCTGAAGCAACACATTTCAGACTTCATAATAGTCTAGTATATTGAACTTTTTGGAGAAATTCTCTGTAAGTTACACATACCAAAAGAGAAAGTTGTAATAAGCCAACAGTAAAGCGATCTTGCCAAATGACATTTCCTTTTATAGAACTTTCCATTAAGATCTATATAGCTCTTCTTTATGAATATTCAGTTTCAAAACTGAAATGGAAAAGAATGTGTTTCTACAATTGCTGATCTCCTCTCAAATTATATCATTTGTGTTTCTTTGGACATGCTGTGGTATAAAGTAATGAGCCTGCATGCCAGGAGTGACTTGGGCAGTCAATTCCCTCAGACTCTCAATCTACTTATTACCAAAAGTTTTTCAAAATGTAGGCAGTCATGAAATCATCAATGTCCTGTGTAAATGAAGACTGTCTGGTTCAGGCATAGTGCTTCTCATTCTCCAATATGCAAGTCCTATCTTCCCCATACTGCTAGAGTTGCAGCCAACCCTGCTGCCTCGGTTGGGACTGTGTCTGAGGGAATAGCAATCTAAATTATTAAAAGGAACACAAACCTTGGTTGTAATTTGATTTAACCTCTGACACAGGTGGCTAGGAGTCACCTATACTGCATACATTCCTGATAGCTCTCTTCTCCTTGAATATATCCTACTGTGGGCACTTACTACCTTACAAAGCTACCTCATACTAGACAGTTCAAATTGTTAAAATGTTCTTCCTTAAAATTCAGCAAATTAGCAGGCTATAGAATCAATATCCAAAGATCAGTCCCCAGCTGGATTTAAAAGACAAAATGCATAAACTACTTGAAAACAGCCTTAAGAAGTGGAAGCTTATGAGAAGAAAACTATAGACTTCTCTGATAGGAGTAAAATTGATGTTAAATCTGCTAGTATTGATTTATAGGTTTAATGCAATTATTTTCAAGTTTGCAAAGGAAATTACTTTTATAACTTTTCAAAAATATTTGACAATTCACCTCAAAGGATAAATAGATAAGAATAATTTGAAGACATTTTGGGAGATAAGTAAAATGGATTTGAGTTATTTTGCCATCCAACTATTAAGATATACAGTAAAACTAAAATACTTAAATATTATAATCCTTGTATAAAAGTGAACAAAGAGCAATGGTGCAGTGCCATAAATTTAGGTAAAAAATGTTATGTTAGAATTTAATTTTAATATGTCACAAAAAGTGCATGTCTAAAGGGATGTTTGCTCCATAAATTGGGGTAGAATAATTGTCAACAAAAAAATTTCTGTCTAACTTATCATTTATACTGTATATATAAAAAAATGTATTCCAGATTGACAAAAGATTTAAATCCTAAAAAAAGCAACCCTTAAAGCTGCAAGACCATGGAACTGAATATTTATCAGCTATGGGGGAACACTTTAAATTTAAGCAAACGTTAAGAAACCAACCCCCAAAAGACCAGTATATTTGACTTATTAACAATAAGGTAAACAATGAGCTAGGTTAAGGCAAAGAGCAATTTGGATAGAATATTTAATTTAAAAAGACAAGGCAATTTCATATTAAATACATAAAGAACTAGTACAAACAAATAAAGACATGGATAAACTGTTCACCGCATCAAAACTGCCGATGGCTAGCAAATACATAAATACACGCTCACACTTAACATTTGTATTACCTTAGTGTTTTTGATAGGGTAAATAAATGTACCCTATCCGTGTAGATAAGATTTTTTTCTGAATCATATTCTTAGCCTATGACTCAGTGGTTAAATTCCTAGAAATCTAGCTATAAGGGGAAAAATTCAAAATATGGTTTTTTTAAAACATATTATCTACTATGATAATAATAGTGAACTTACTGATAATAGTGATTAGGAATAAATTCACCATGTAAATTCCAGGCCTTTGGTCACCACAGCATTATTTCTGATCATCTTCCTGGTTACTTTTCCCCTGTATTTCTGTTATATCCTCCTAACCTATTTGCTTTATGAAACTAATTTTTAATTTTATGAGCATATTTTCCTCGCTTTTCTAATTTGACTGCTGAGTATTGCGAGAGGTGTAAAGAAAATATAATTGCTCTAGGGCAACTGTAAATTTTTAATAGTCTATTTTAATTAGGATAATTTTCATTAATTTGGATTTTTGAGATACCTCAATATGTGTTCATATATATTCACGAGTCTGTTTTCCATAATTCCGAAATCCAAACAGTATAGAAAATCCCAGCTCATTTGGTGGCAAAATCTGACCCAAAACAACACGAAGATATATATAGCCTTTATCTTGAAAATATGAATATCTTTGAATACAAGGTACTACCCCAGTCAACATTGGTGATGGGGAGTTACAAAACATATGGCATATGCATTGTATTATATTTTTAAAATATGAAAAATCACTTCTGATGTGATTTGGTCAGGGTCCTCTAGAGGGACAGAACTAATAGGATAGATGTATATATGAAGGGATATTGACTCCTACAGTCACAAGGTGAGGTCCCACAATAGGCCGTCTGCAAGCTGAGGAGCAAGGAAGCCAGTAGTGGCTCAGTCCGAGTTCCAAAACCTCAAAAGTAAGGAAGCCAACAGTGCAGCCTTCAATCTGTGACTGAAGGCCGAGAGCCCCTGGTAAACTGCTGGTGTAAGTCCAAGAGTACAAAAGCTGAAGGACTTGGGAGTCTGATGTTCAAGGGCAGGAAGCATCCAGCACAGAGAAAGATGAAGGCCGGAAGACTTAGCAAGTCTGCTCTTCCATCTTCTCCTGCCTGCTTTATTCTAGCCACACTAGCAGCTGATTAGATGGTGCCCACCCAGTCCACTGACTCAAATGTCAATTTCCTTTGGCAACACTCACAGACACACCCAGGAACAATACCTTGCATCCTTCAATTTAATCAAGTTTGCACTCAGTATTAACCACGACATGATGCACATCTGACCTCAAGTGTTTTTGAATCAAGAATTATAGAGCCATGTGCATGTCTGTATATACATGTGTACAAGTATATAACATGAATATATCCAACATTATTAATATGTATTGATTGTATTGTAAATCCTAAGAGTCTTCATTGTAAATCCAAAGAGTCTTCATTTACTAAACTCATGAAATGTTTGTTTTATGAAACACTGAGAAACTAAACAATTCTAAACCCAATCATTAATGCTCAAAGAAAATGTAAGGAAATGTGTAAATCCATTTAATTACAAATTATTTTTTTACCTTACAGAGTAGTAAACATGACAAGATGTTTTCTCTCAGTTCCATGAAGTTTTATCGTGGAGTGAAAAAGAAAATGAAGCCTCCAACAAGGTAAAGTTTGAAAGGGAAGTGCTGAAAGGAAAAACTTATGGGAAAAATATGTCTATTTAAGGATTTAGGGATCAGTGGCATTAGTCTAACTTTTTATAAAGTAAGTTTTAGGCTATTTTTTTTAAGTTGCTTCCCCTGTCACAGGGTTCTTATGGCAGATCAAGGAACTTGTATGAGTAGATAAGGAGGGACGATGTTCCCACTGAGACTGAGACCAAGCTCCTTGGTGATTGCAATCTCTCTGTGTAAAGTAAGAAATCCCGGGAGGCTCTGTCTACTGGGAAGTACATGGCTTCCTCTGCATCTCATTCCCTGAGCTGTCACATCACAACCTGAGGGCATCTCAGGCAAGTCTACAACACAGGAAAGCAAATGCTGCCCTCCAGCTTCCTGATGCTTGGCTTCTACAATGTTTTGGTTCTGGCTCTGTAATTTTCCCTTTTTACTATGCTGACTTTGGTACTGAAAACCCATCATAGCATGTAAGCGCTAGAGGAGGTGGGTGCCTCCTACAGATTGCGTGCCTCTTTAACACTTCATGTACCCCAGCATTTGATTTACACCACAATTTCTTATCACAGGTTACTTTGATTAGCTAATAAATGTTTGCACTAATACTTAGTATCATGAACATCATTTATATGTGCTTGCTTCTGAGATTTTGCTGCTGAAAATTTCTTCACTTTTGCCTTCATACTCAGTTTCTAAGCCTAGAGCATATACCTGTGTTTTAATAGGCATGTTCTTTAATTTCCCCCAGTAACCGTACATCTCTCTATATTATCTTATTTCAGTCATTTTCGTAGACATTTGGCCTTATTCAGTTAAGAGTATCTTCTCAGAGACATCTCCTCTCTGCCCCATATCATCACAAGCCTCCTTCCTTCTATATAAATGTGTAGCCAGATCCCTTAGCATTTAGCATTCACCTCTAGCTAAGTCCAACACATTGAATCACCACTTGTGGAAGTCTATGCATTCCCACCATTAAATCTCATCTCCTTAACATCTAATCCTGTTTTCTGTCTTGTAAAATGTATTATTTTTAATTTATGTGTGTTTTTTTTTCTATGTGATGCAGCTGGGGATTGACCGCATATTCTGAGAAACATCACTGGTAAGTTAACAGCTGACAACTTTTGGACATAATATATTGGTGACAATTTCAGGAAAAGAATAATTTCAGTAATTGCAGATAGAACTACAGACGGAAAGTGTTTTGCCTAAGTGAAATTAGGGTTGTTTGTAAAGACTTTGAGCCTAAGAAGAGGAAAACAGATTTGTATCAGGGTTCAAGTCCCATGTATCCTATTTGGCAATGCCTCTGAAGTGAAACTACGCCTGATTTCTTCCATAGTTATTATGAGTGTGGAATTCAGCTTTTATGAGATAAGTAGGTGATAGTTTTAAAACAGAATAAGAACTAGCTAAAATCAGATTTAAGAAAAACATATATCCCGCTCTCAACCCTATTTCTATATATGTACTTTTTGCCATATACTGTTACCAGTATCCATCAGTATTTCTAGAGATTGTACTAGATGTTTCCTTCTCTTCACCTCCCTGTGTCTAATCGGTCACTGAGCCACACGAGATCTGCCTCTTCCTTGTGCCCCTCCTCCACCTACACCTCTCTACCCTGAGGGCCTGGCCTTCATTGATCTGCCTGGATTATTCCAGGAGTCCTAAGTGCTCTTCAGGCCTCTTCTTTGCTTTTGTTTTGTCGTACATTCTCCACCTCTCCACTGAGGAGTATTTTCTATGCTGTACCATGTTTCTCTCCTGCTTTAAAACTTCTGTGAATTCTTTCACCTATAGGATCAAGCACAGAATTGTTGCGTGGCATGCAAGGCTATATATGACTCCACCAACTTCATCTCCCACAGTTTTTCTTTTTCACTTAATGACAAAACAATCATCTATCTTTATTCACCACGCATTCCTTGCTGTTTCAGATCTGCATGTGTGATGTACATGGTCCCTCTACTAAACCTTTGTTCATACTTTTCACTTCTCCTTCCTGTCATACTTTCATTCTCCCCCTGATGACTCAACCAACTCAACTGTCAATGTTCTTTGAAATCATAGCTCAAATGCCCCAAAGCCTTATCTAATAGCTCTCACCTCTGATCATTATTTCTTCTTTGCACCTACAGTATTTTATAAACAAGGGTACGGAATTAAAATGATTTGTGGCAGGAATGGTTTGTGGCCTGGACATGGTAATAGGGAAAGACAATGTTTTCATGAGGTGCTGATGAAGAAAACACAGATTTTTTAGAAATTTCATTTTCAACATTTTTCAGGTAAATTATTTTGATAATACAGGAATGTAAAGAATACAATTACTTTGAAAAGCCCATTAGATCTTTCCAATATCAATTATAAAATTTTCCTCTTATAAAGAACAACCCTCTCCTCATCCCCAAGTCTGTGGTTTCTATGTTTGCACTCAGTTTTATTTTTGCTTTTTCTCACTGTGTTGTAATTTATTTGTCTATATGCTTAGCTCCCCTAATAGACTACAGGAGCCTTCAGGACAAGGTCTCTGTTTTAGTTAGTCTTTCAATAAAAGGTTACTTAATCACTGTTATTGGATATGCAGTGGTTTTTCATGTAGTTTCATTTTTTATGAATCTGTGGGTATTAGTGTTTACAATTACAATGATGGAGACTATGTCTCAGCCTTTTAAAAAGAAAGATCTGCTCTTATGAGGATGTGCACATATTTTTCTTCTCAGGCTCAGAATTTTAGTGGAATACAGTGTTTTACCATCAGGTACTTGAAAAGGCAAAATGAAATAAATCTTTCTGCCTTTCCGAAAAATATTGGTCATCATTTTGCAGCACTTACCAAAGGCTTCAGTTGTATTTTGTTTAAACCAATATATTTACACTATAACTTCGTATTGTACATTTAGCAGAAGACCAAAACAACTTGTACTGAAATGTTCCACTTTTGTGATTGCATTACGTCATTAATCAGGAGAGACCCAGAGATTTTTGATCACCAAATCACTCAGCAGATACACTAGAGAACAGTCAATTGTCTTTTTGAATGACATAGTTTATAAACCTCGTTTTGCAGGCACCTGTGTTGTGATAGTTCACGAACTCAGACGGAGTGGATGACCAGTATCTTTATTGCCCAGGTACGAGATTTGTTTGAACTATCCAGTAGAGTATAATAACTTTGTTTACAGGAAATGTTAGTGTGATGGTGATTTCTAAAGAATTTTTAATAAGCATTTTAAATGTATGTACAATTGGCATAAACTTTGATTCTCTCATTCTTAGTTTTTAAAATAGTATATTAAAGTTCAAATTTATTCATTACCTTTTGAAAGAGAGTTTATTCCATTAAAGCGTCTTTTCTGCCAGCCCCACAGCCTCCTTGGCTTAGGTGAGGTGTGTTGCTTTAAAATGGTCGTGTAAGAAAGAGGGACTTTTCTAAGCTGTCATCCTACCACAATCCCACATAGACCTTCATTTAGAAAAGTGTTCTATTTCCCTTCTTGTTCTCCCACTCTCTCCACCCCTGCCTTTCCAGAAACAAGGACAGGAACCTACTTTTCTTTAATAACTATTGTGTGCTAGATACTTCATAAGAATAACTCATGTATTCCTTGCAGCAAACCATACAAGATGTTTTTGGTTTTATAAAACAAATGTTTGGTTGTTTGCTCAGGACCATATATTAGTAGTTTAAACCCAGGGATGTCTGAGGCCAATGCTTATACTCAGTTCCGTATTTGTTTTCCTCCCTAGAGCAGGACTTACCCTTTTGAGGAACAGTTATATAGTCCCATTAATTGGACTGGTTTGTTTCCCAACCTTGTCTAGCTAAATTCCCAATAATGCTTCTCATGGAGCATTGAAATTCACTGGTAACGATTAAGTTGCCATTCTTTATTACTGAGGAGGTATTTTCCTGTTTCCCTTATAAGAAATAAGTTAGCTCACTCCAAAATCTAGTTCTTATTTGTTCTGAAAATAGTTTTCTCTGTTCATTTAATGTATTAACTTTTTCAGTGGTTAATAAACACAGCTCTTCTCAGCCTGTCTCTCTACCATTACTACCTGGAAAAACATGTGCACAAGAGACTGGCTGCTAACTTTTTAGAGGCTTTTCTTCTTCTTTTTGTAACTTATTAAAATTCAGATATTCAACTTTTTTTTTTTTTTTTTTTTTTTGAGACAGAGTCTTGCTCTGTTGCCCAGGCTGGAGTGCAGTGGCATGATCTCAGCCCACTGCAATCTCTGCCTCCTGGGTTCAAGTGATTCTCCTGTCTCAGCCTCCTGAGTATCTGGGATTACAGGCGTGCACCACCGTGCCCAGCTAATTTTTGTATTTTTAGTAGAGATGGAGTTTCACCATGTTGGGCAGGTTGGTCTCGAACTTCTGACGTCAGGTGATCCGCCCACCTTGGCCTCCCAAAGTGCTAGGATTACAGGCATGAGCCACTGTGCTAGGCCACATCGAGTTCTACTTTAGGAAAAACAAAAGACTGGATTTGAAGTCTTTTGGTAAAGTTGGGACTATAGAGTCTAAAGCTGTTACAGTGTCATTTGTGGCACAACTAAACTGATGTTTTTGTTTTTATAATTGGAGTCAGTAGACTCTGCAGTTGAAATTTAAACAATGAATGCAGGAAGCAAAGCCTACTCTCACTACAAGGTTATTTCTTACTGTCTCATGTTTTAATCCTAGTCCTCGTCTCAAAGATTTAGCCTAATTATCTTTCCTCTGTTCTTTTTACTTCTTGGTATTATTCAGGTCCTCCCTTAAGATAAACACAGAAGCCTTCTTGGATTTAAGGATTTATGGTTCATCTCTGTAGGGAAACAGCAAAATAGCAAATATTTATATATATGTTAAAAGCGTAGACATACACACAAACACGTATGCGAATTAACAGTAAACACCCCCTATAATGAGCTCCTTTTGGTATTCAGAGTACTTTTGTAATCTCCATCCTTTCCACACCCCTGCCTCAGAAGTCATCTAGACTTCAGCTTAAATATCCCATTCTCAGAGAAACTTTTCCTGACCTTCAGATGACTTAGACCTTCAGGCTATCACCCTTAGCATCCCGTACTTCTCCACTGTGACACTAATTAGTAAAGAAAAAAATGTAATTAGCTATTTCATGTCTGCCTCTCTTACTAAAATGTAAACTCCATGAAAAGAAGGACTCTTCATCATATTTGACTTGTATGTCAAGTACATGTTTAGTTAGTATTTCTAAAATAGGAAATAGGGTAAGAAAATCAGTAATCAGATAAAATTTCAAATGGATATCCATGTGATAAAATAGGAGAATCATAAAATATGGCAGGTAAGGAGAGCATGTGACTGACATAAGGAAGGCACTAATTGAGGAAGGTTCTCAGGAAATGGCTTTCTGAGTAGGTGACAGGTGACCTGAGACCAGTCTGAAATGAGAGGGGTATCATGCAGGCTTCCAGGAAGGATCATTCAGGAATGGGGCCAGCAGGGTATGTCCTGAGACATCATCACTGTCTTGTTTTATTCTATAAACATCATGAAGGTAAGATATTAGAGATGAGGAAGGCTTGTGACAAATTATGTAGTTCCTGCTTAATAGTTTGAAACAAGGGAAGGATATAATCTAATTTTAATTGAAAAAAATTATTTTGTTCACTTCATTGAGTCTGCAGTGTAGAGGGTCAAAGATGCAAGTGGGATGAACAGCTATAGGAAAGAAGATGTCAACTCAGACTAGGGTGGTAATGAATATGGTAAGACAAATTAAGATTCAGGAATATTTTGAAGGTAGAGCCAATAAGGCTTTTGGAATTATTGCGAAGTGACTACGTTGTCTGTGGTATATACCCTAGAGTTCCTTGTCACATGCCAGGAAAATTTAGGACACAGACACACACGAGAAGTTTAGGAGCAGGAGGTTTAATAGGTAGAAGAGAAGAGAAAGAGAAACAGCTTCCTCTATAACAGGAAGAGGTCTCCAAGCAGAAAGTACCAGCTAGTGCAGAATGCGCAGTTTTATAGTCCAGTTTGAGGAGGTTGTGTCTGATTTACGAAGGGCTCACAGATTGTTTCGATCAGATATGGCGTTTACATAGTGTATGGGTAAGTCTGGTCACCCCCACCCTAATCTTCTTATGCAAATGGGCTTTCCAGTTGATTGACACCATCTTGTCCTCTCCTTACAATGCATTTGGCTGGCAGAGAAGGGAAGATGGAGCCACCATTTTGAAAATGTCTAGTCCTTAGTTCCTGCCAGCATTCACCCCTGCAAGCTCCTAGATTGCAGGCTGCTTTTTGTTAGAAGATGGCTTGGGACTGCTTTTCATTAAAAAGAAAAGCCTTACCAAGGACTCCCATGCCCTTGCTATCTGCTTAGTAATTCCTTCTTAACTCCTGTGTCAATTGGCTATTGCAATTTGAGAGGAAGAGTAGAAATCAGAAAAAATTCTAGTTTTTTGGCAACTGTCAGATGTAAGTGGGATCATCAGAGATGTAGAAGGAAATGGAGAGTTCTATTTTGGCCACATAAAATTTGAGATGCCTATTAGATACACAGATATGTATGCTGGGCAGCAGGTTGGATGTGTGGATCAAAAACTCAGGCACAGGTTTGGGGCTAAAATGTAAATTTGGGGGAAGTCAGCACTTAGATTATATTCAAAGCTATAGGATTAGATGAGATGCCTGGGGGAGAAGGTTTGAGGTGGAGAGGGAAGCATGGAGGTGGAGAGGGAAGCATGGAGGAGGGTTGGGGAGAGAGAGAGAATGGAGGAATAAGCCCTGGGACATTTCAAAATTTAAAGCGTAGGCAGAAGAAAAAAAAACAGCAAAAGCAGTGATAAGAAGTAAGAAAGGAGGAAAACCAGGTGATGGGTACAGAAAATTCTCTCAAGTAATTTCTTATGTAATTAAATGAGGTTGTGACTAGATAGAGGTGAAGGTAGGTTTGGGGGTTTTGATTTATCTTTAAGATGGGGGAGTGTGTACTTGCATACATTATATGAAGACAATCCAATCAGGAAGAAGAAATGGACAGAAGAGGAGAGATGTTATTAAACCAGCAGAGGCCCTGAACAGACATGAAATGATATGATCTAGTGCATGGTTATTCATTATTAAAAATCATCATACAGCAGAGACTGTGGCACATTTCTTCTCAAATTATTGACCACCTAAATTTATGACCCATTGAGCTGAGCAATTATAGATATGACTGGATAAAAGTTATTTGCAATCAGCAAATACTGATTGCAAGAAGTAAACTCACTTAGATGACTATAGATGCAAGGAGATTGGTACATTTCATGATGGGAGTATTTTCTTAAATGATCAGTAATAATTGTTGGATTGAATCAGTGAGATCACCACATGTGACGCAGGCAGGGTTTTTGAAGTGTAAGGGCAGAGGCAAAGGAGAGAAGTAATCTTCAGAGAGTGAGGAAACCAGTTGTCCCATGGTAGAACTTCAAGGCAGTGCTGAATGGTTTCTTAAAATTTAAGGTTAAATTTAAAGTGTGATGGATGTACAGAGTAATTTGTTTTTGTCCTCCATCAACTGGCAGGCACTCATGAAATAAGCTGAATTGTGTTTAATTAGGTTTGGGGCTTTGCCAGGCAAGTATGATAGAGAACGAAGGAGCAAGAAAATAAATAAGTAATCAGATAAAATTTGAACTTGAAGATATTTACAAGGAAGTGAGTTTACTGATTGACCATGAAATGAAAGCCAGGCAATGAGGGAAGTGGTAAAAAATGTTGTGAGAAGAGTGGTGGTGGATTGGAGGTCTCAAGGAGTGAAAAGAATAGTTAAAATGAATGAAACTAAATTTAGTTAGCTGGAAAGATAGGCAAAGGTTAGAAAATGGAAGGCAGAAATGGAGATGTTTAGGTGTGGTCTTTGGTTATAAAATGAAAGTTTGATCCTCACCTATATGATCCGTGCTGTATGACTTTTGAAGTCATTTACAAATAACTACAAATGTTAAATCAGAACACATCACTTGGATGTAAAGTAGAAAAAAATGCCTCTTAGTTCAATTCAAGGAGAGTTAGCTGGTATTCACAGTTGTATATTATTTCAGAAAAAGAGAAATATGGATTTGGGAACCGCATTTGCTCTTAGATTCTTCAAAATATATTTTAGCGTATGCACTACACATCAGTGATTTGAAAGTGTAAGGGTAATTCACAAAATTGCCTAATTCCCTCTCAGTCAGTTTTCTCCCAGGTTTATGTTTTGGGAACATCACAATTATATAATATGCTTTTTTTAACCATGTTTGGTACTGTGTCATAAAAATAATGTGAAGCTATAACTTTCCAATTGAAATACTGTATAACCTACCATTATAGATTTGCGGAACTAAGGTAAATGCTTCACTAACATTCAAGGGTAGATACGATGCACATTAAAGGATCTGCACTGTAAGATCATTGAGGAATAAATGAAAATTATATGTACATTGATAAACATACAGCTTGGCAGTTTGCCCCTTAGTTAAATTAGCTGTTATTATATGGTAGGTAGACAGTAAATATTTGTTTAAATGAGTTCTTTGCCATAAAGCAACACATTAAAATAAGAGCTGCAACCTAAGAACAATAATCTGTTGCTTAAGAACTGAGAGAAATAAAGAGTAGGCATTTAGCTATATAGTTTACTAAATGGTTTTCATTTCATTACAATATCTGTAAACTTTTCATTTTATACTCGGTATTCTGTGTTTACGTCATAGATTGTTGTTTGAAAATCAATATACTTTTTCCAAATTCTGGAAAGTTAATCTACCCTGGGGAGTACAAAATTCTTTAAAGAATTTTTTATATGTATATATCAGAGATGAATCACTCCAGAGCTTATATTTTTACCTGTGAACATTTATCCCCATCCAAATTAACCTTTCTCCAGTCATATGTATAATTATTTAGAAGGCAAGAATATATAGTCAATGATTTGAGAACAAATGTGCCCCACTCTCCGTTGTACAATGATTTTCAGTAAAGATGTTGAAATGTCTGAGTAAAAAGATTATATTTCTTTGGAATTCAATTAGATAAAATAGTAACATTTTTCAAGAGGTCATAAAGTTAGGCTAATTTTTCTGATAGTCATGCCTTAGGTTGATTTGGGATATATAAGATGAAATTATTTTTACACTGAAATCATATTTGGTGTAAATGTATAGTTACTTAGATTACAGTGCCTAGCAATGTAGACAAGTGTACTATTTTTCTTCCACAAAGAGATTTGCCAGTTGCCTCAAATACTTTTCCCCTTTTGGTTTGATAAGTAGTATAGAAGGCATGTATTTGAAACTTAGAAATTGAGCTGAGACCTCAAAGCTCAGTTCAGTTAAGAGTTTCATGTCCTGGAGCGATGCTGCCACCAGAGTCAACATCATAATCACAAATGGAATTCTCATGGAAATCAGATCATTTGATGTGGATATGTGGGAAAGAAACCAAGTGGCTTTATGACATAGTATACCACATAATAAAATCACACACCAACAGCAAGAAATTGTGTTTCCACAGCATGAATATGATATATGGCCACCAGCTGGAAAGGAACGAAAACGTTCAATAACCAAAAATCCCAAAATTGGAGGTTTGCCTCTGATTCCTATACAGCATGAGGGGAATGCAACCTTGGCCCGGAAAAATATTGAGGTAGGTTAGGATTTTGTTTGTTTTATATTCAATTATAGAATATATTTTCCTGTGTCATAATGTGATTAGGTCATTAATTACTTCATTGGCTTCAAAAGCACAATAATAATCACTTTGTAAAGCATGGTAATAATCACATACAGCAAGAAAACAGTATGAATAACCTTATACCTTTTATTTTAATATCATTGACCACCCAATCACATATGCACAATACTACTTATTTTCTTACCTCTAAAGTAGCCAATTTAAAATATGCGTATAGAAATTCTGGTGGTAAAATCACAACTTCAAATTCGTTTTACAAGCTTACTTAAAACACCTTCAGAGTAAGCCCATAGCAGAATATGTCTGGAGCCCTGGTAACTAAACTTTCTAGTAATATAATCACATTCCAGTGCTTTGGGAACTGATGGGGTCTCTCAGTTAATTTAAGGACCTACAAGATGACCCCTGAGAATCAAGAAAGAAGATTTGGCATCTTTCATGAAAGCTACTGTTTGTTTTCCTTCTCACCTTGAGGGTTGGGAGATCATAAGCGGCATCAATCTTGACATGAAGTTTGGCCTCTTCAGCAAAGAACATAGGCTGTTTACTCTCAAAACTCATTAGCCATTTTGGGACCAACACATATTTCAGTGTCTTAATTGAGTCTCTGAAAGCAAAAAGAAAAGCAGTTAGAAGGTGTTCTTATATCTTCCTTGAGCCTAAATTTGGAATTAAGCTGTTCAAATCTTTTGCTCTCCAAACAGAAATAACTTTTGAAAGACGAAAGCCATTTTAACCTAGTGATCAGATTTTTAAGCTTTTTGTGCATATCCTTTCTTGAACATTTATCCCACTGTAATATTCCTTCTCTAAAAGAGAAAAGCTTCAAAAATAATGGTCCTTTGTTTACTGCTTAGTCATTCTGCCCTGATGTAATCAAAGTAAGGAATATGTCTCCAAGAAATCATGACCTTGTCATTTCTTCCATTCTGTACCTAGTTTTTTTTTTTGTTTTTTTTGGGGTTTTTTTTTTGTTTTTTTTTAGGTAATAAACCGCTCTGCAGAGTTCCTTATCTAATCAAGTATCTTAAAATTCTAAGAGTTACATTTCCCAGGAACCCAGGACAGGGAACACAGGCTGAACAGATGAAACTAACATAGGGAGAGATACGCCCTACAGTGACTGTAGAACCTTTTGACATTGCCTTCAGATCAATTATCGGCAAAGCAAAATAAATTATTGGGATCAAAATACATTAACCAGTATCTAATATAGATGATGATTGACTGTATAATAATTTCTTAGCCTTATCCCAAATCCACAATTTCAGAGACAATTTTTAACATATTTAAGATAGGAAAACTGAAGAACTGAAACTATAAAGTGTTTACAAGCTTTTAAAAGAATTACATGCATTTTCAATTACTGGAAAATTTCTGAGTCTTTAAAATAAACCAAGCTCTTTGTAAGATTAGTAAATATAAGGTAGTTTGGTGATTTGATAAATTTGGCAAAGACATTTTTTAAATGTTTAATTTTGGAAAAACATAATGAAACTTACTTTATAAGGCAATAATAGAAATTTTTTTAAAAAAATTCATATAAACCATGAAAATATCTGCCATAATATTAGATTCATATAAAAATTTTAAAAAATATATTTACAAAATAACTAACCATTTTTGACCCTTTGTTTTAAAAATGAAAAGTGAGTTAAAATATTAAGTATTTCAAGAACAAAAAACCAAACACCGCATATTCTCACTCATAGGTGGGAATTGAACAATGAGATCACATGGACACAGGAAGGGGAATATCACACTCTGGGGACTGTGTTGGGGTGGGGGGAGCGGGGAGGGATAGCATTGGGAGATATACCTAATGCTAGATGACGAGTTAGTGGGTGCAGCGCACCAGCATGGCACATGTATACATATGTAACTAACCTGCACAATGTGCACATGTACCCTAAAACTTAAAGTATAATAAAAAAAAAAGAAAAAAAATTAAAAAAAAACTCAAAAAAAAATTAAGTATTATATATTAATAAAAATCAGTCATAACAATGAATATATTCAAGAAGAATTATTTTTCAAAGAAGTTGTTGGCAGATTGATAAATTTTGTGGCTAAGCCTGGCTTTCATTCAGTCCTATTGAAAGTCATATGAGAATACCTTATCCAGGTAGGGAAGGCTTCATGGTGGAAGTGACTTCTCAAGTTAATTGGGGAAATTAGTAGTGAGCCAGCTGAATATGCCAAGTTGTTGGCCGAGGAAATCACACATGAAGAGGCAAACAGAATGCTGAAGAATGCACAAACTAGATACTACCTGTGGTCCTCCTACTGAGTCCCTGTAAAATCATGGATATCTTACTTTAACGCCATCGTTCTAAGCTGCTTTATCTGTAAGCATGTGGGATTAATAAAAGCCCCCACCTTATAGTGCTGTTGTGATTAAGTGACATTATACATGAAACTTTATTAGAATAATGACTAGCATATCTTTAACATATATTGAGACAAAATATTAAGGAACTGGGAAGATGATATGGAATAATTCATTAGTTTTTTTCAAAATTGCTATTTTAACAGCAATATCTGTAAAACAAAAATAACGAGCAAAGAATGATGATGCAGTGAAGCAGAAAATAGTGACATAGAATCCCACCCATAAGCCCCTCTCTTTGTTGTTAGTATCCTGAGCACAGTTTGATGTGGTAGAAAGCAGCACATTGATTTCAGAAAGGCCAAGCTGGGGTCCCCTCCCAAGCTCTCACTTATGCAAACTTGGGCAAATTTTTTTCTTTGAGTTTCTATTTCTGCATCTTAAGATAAAGACAATTTACTTTAAACTATGAATAATACAGAGTTTAAAGCGTTTAAAGTGTTGTGATGATTAAATTTATTGATATGATTATGTATTTTACAACATGAAGATTAAGTAATACAGTGAGTTTGGTAATGAAAGCCAATTAAGAGAGTTTCTAGTATACTCTGTACATATTGGTCATATTACTTTTTGGTGTCCTAAGACCTCTGTAACCATTGGCTTGCCTCTGGATTTAATGGAAAATATGAAGGCCCAGGCTAAAGCCATGTGAATGATTTGCTGTGAGAACCCATCCATTATACCATTCTCTAGCTATGATAAGTAAAACCTGCTCTGTCTGCCACTGGGAGAGACAGACTCTGTTTCAGATTATTATTTCCGTTCAAACAACTGGTTTTCCCTCAGCACCCTGTGACATGAACTGGCATTGCCTATAGCAAGCCATCTCTTGCTCTTCCACTTTCAGACTTTATCTCTCTCTCTTTTTAAATTATGAATGCCTAATCTTTTAAGGACAGTACAGTGTATAAACTATGACTTTCTTTCCCCATTGTCTATGCACTTGGCTTTCTTTCTTCATAGCATTCAAGGCAATTTGGCACACCATATTATTCATGCAAAATTCTTCCTCACTCTCCCATCCCTAACTCTTGACAGTTCACTTCTATCACATCTCCCCACCTTCATTTAAGGTTACATAATTTAGGCTAATATTATAGATGTATTAGTCTATTCCCTCATTGCTATAAAGAAATGTCTGAGACTGGGTAATTTATGAAGAAAAGATGTTTAATTAGCCCACGGTTTCACAGGAAGCATGGTGGCATCTGCTTGGCTTCTCGGGAAGCCTTAGGAAGCTTACAATTATAGCAGAACGCAAAGGGGAAGCAGGCACATCTTACATGGCTGGAGCAGAAGCAAGAGAGAGAGGGGGGAAAGGTGCTACACACTTTTAAAGGACCAGATCTCAACATAACTCACTCAGGAGAACAGCACAGAGGGGATGGTACTAAAACCACTCATGAAAACCCCACCCCCACGATTCAGTCACCTCCTATCAGGCCTCATCTCCAACACTGGACTGCATTTGAACATGAGATTTGGGTGGGGATATAGATGCAAACCATATCAGTAGTGTACTTGAAATTTCAGCATTATGTATGTTATTACTTGGCCCTTAAATTCTGTGTCTAAGAGAGTCCCAAAGTTTTTATGCTGATGGTTGAAAGACGATGAGAACTGTCACTCTGATATATAAAACCTCTCTATATTTATCCTTAATTTTTCCCAAGTAATAGATGCCGAGTGAAACTTTTTAACAAGATTAAAGTTTGTTTATAAACCCTGTCTTGTTTTTTTTTTACTTCATTTGCGATAAAATACATATATCATGGAATTTTCTACTTTATTTAAAAATACATACAATTCAGTGGCATTGGTTGTATTTACATTGTTCAACCATCACTATTTTTCTTAGTATTTTAACATATTCTAATGAAACTTTGGAATTAAGCTAGATATTAAACATTTCTTCCTATAAATTTCAGAGTAGGAAAAATGTATATAGCTTAAGATGTATAATCAGAATCTTACCAGAAAATTCCAAATTTCAAAATTATTTGTACATTATATTCATGAAAATATTTTTATTCCACTTGAATTTTCTGTTATAAATTTATGTTTGGATCTACTGAGATTAAGAAAAATAGAACAGTGTTGTATACTGGAAACTGTTTAAACTTTTCTTCATTTACTCATTCAAAAATATTTATTGATCATTTCCTATGTGTGTACAAGGCTCACACTTCAGTGAACTAATTAAACAAAAGGAAAAAAAAAATAGAAACCTTGCTAGACATATCTAAGCAGGAGTGAGTTAGAAGAGGCAAGTATGAAGTGAGATTCAATTTGAATAACTAACCCAAAAGACACCTTCGAAGTGGTATGTTGAATGCATGTTAAAATGAATTTCCATGGATTGCATTTTACAGATGTTCCTCAACTTATGATGGGGTTACATACCAATAAACTCACCATAAGGTGAACATACATAAAATAAAAAAGGCGTTAAATACACCTAACCTATGGAATGTTGTAGCTTAGCCTAGCCTAGCTTAAACGTGCTCAGAACATTTATATTAGCCTACAGCGGGGCAGAATCATCTGGCAACACAGCACGCCATATCAGTTTTTCACCCTCATGAGTGCATGGCTGACTGGAAGCTGCAGCTCATTGCCACTGCCCATCATCACGAGAGAGTGTCCTACCGCGCATCACTAACCGGGGAAAAGATCGAAATTCAGAATTTGAAGTATGCTTTCTACTTCATGCATATTTGTTTTTCACCACTGTAAAGTCAAAAAATCGTATTGAGGCATTGTAAGCCAGGGACTGTCTGTAGTTGATTTTGTAGCTCTAAGATTAGTATATAAATTCAGACATGCCACTTGTATCGAAGTAAAGTTAGGACCTAAGTCATAGAAATGAGATCTTTTATAGGAAGCATCAACTTTTATGTGGATTGCACTTTCTAAACCTAAATTGTGCCAAATCTTGCTTCCCTGTGAGACATTTAATTTTATTTTTAGAGTGCAAGAGCAGAACTTGAAAGGCTGCGGCTCAGTGAAAAGTGTGATAAAGAGTCCGTGGACTCTAGCTTAAAGGAGAGAGCTTCCATGGTGGCCCACTGCCTGGAGCACAAGGACGATAAACTTCGAAATCGACCCCGAAAACATCGGAGTTTCAACTGCCTGGAGGACACAGAGCCTGAAGCCCCACTTGGGCAACCAAAAGGCCATAAAGGCCTAAAGACATTGAGGAAGACTGAGGACAGGAATAGCAAAGCTACTTTGGACTCTGATCATAAGTTACCATCAAGGGTAATTGAAGAACTTAATGTGGTTCTACAACGGTCAAGAACCCTTCCAAAAGAATTACAGGATGAGCAGATTTTGAAGTAGGAAATAAAATGAATTGCTCCCCAGATTATTTTTTTAATATTGTATGCAATCTTTATGTGTAACTCCAAAACTGAACTATAAGATAATTCATAAGAATTTGCCTATTGATAGGCAAATTTGTCTATGCTTAGGCATTTAAGGAGCATTTAAAAATATGTATATATGTGACTGAATGTAAGATTAACTTTATTTTGGTCTGAACAAACCTTGTAAAGTTCCATTGTATTAACGTGTGTAAGAAGACATTGGGTTACTTAGGTGGTCAGTCCTTTTAAAGTAGTTGTCTGTTAAGTGGTATAATTTATGAGCAGAAATCTCAAACTGTACTGTATTGTATAAAATGCTGTGTTTAAATGAAGCCTAAGAAACTATCTGTAACATATTTTGCACTTTGAGAAACCTTGTATATTAAATTACCATATGTTTTTAGGTTTACAGAAGTTCTACCTTAGGGAAAAGAAAGGGAAGTAAATTGAAAAAGGGGGGAGAATTTATTGTAGTGGCTGCCTAAAAACCACTGGAGTTTTTAAAAGAAGCAAGGAGTTAAATGTCCTGCAAAACAAGGAAGTGAGCTAAGATTCATTCTAGTTCACTAATGACCAGAACTTGTCAATGAGAAACCACTTGTTAAGAAAAAGTCCAGTGTTTATTTCTCAAGAGTAATATTCGGCCAACAGATGTAAATAATAGCACTAGCCACTCTTATTAATATTTATAGTGTTAGAAAACCAGCCACATTACAGATTCACTACGTTTGAGCTCATTGTTGGTGGCTGCTAAGAGGAAACTTACACTGCATTGGAGAGGTTGTGTACACAGGACCTGGCCTGGATGCTGATTGCACTGTCATTGTATGCAAGCATTTTGTCTTTTTTCAGAATTTCTGACTATACTTTTGGTACGAACAAAATTCATCACCACAGGGTCCTGTTGTTTTGTTTGATTTTTAGATTTTTTTAAATTATTATTAAGGTTGTAATGTTTTTCTCCGAGTTGTCAGAAATAACTGGAAGAATACAATATATGGCCATTATGGAGCCAGGGGCTAGTTGGTGGTTTACTATACATTTGGGGGCTACCTGGTCACATTTAATCTAGGTTTTTTTTTCTTTTTTTAAGTAAAGGTGTGGTCTCTTCCCTGTACTTATGAATAAGGACAAAGCCCTATTTTTGTTTCCACATAAAGATCAGCTACTGAATTGGTGAATTTCCTGACAGACAATGCTATCTAACCATAGTTCATGTTAGGGGAAGCATTTTTCCATCAGTTTCTTTAAAATTGGATTGTCTGGTGAGTTTTGATATTAAACATTATGTAGCTAAGTTTTTTTTTTTTAGCATTTCTTTTTTATTTTTCAATCTATATTCACAGGCCCATACTTCAGTCAGTCCAATCATAGTACAGTGATGTGGTGGTAGATGCTATGAATTTCTTCATTGTAAAATACGGATCATTTGTATTTTGGGGTGATAAAATAGTTCACCATGGGTATGAGATATTTATTCTTTAAATCAAAGTAAATTAGAATTTTTAAAAAGCACAAAACTGCAGGACAGTTTATGAAATAGGTGGCACTATTAGGGAATCTTCCTTTAAAGCAAGAAATCATGTTATTTAGAAAGAAAAACTAATCTTAAACATACTATTTCTAATAAATATTTATATTTTTATGAAATAAAGAGGTATGTGGAAATTAATATTTGGTGATGTTGGACAGTGGAAAAGTATCTAGAGTTTTTACCTGCCTTATCTGAATTCTTCTTGAAACTTGAGCTTAAACTCTAATAGCTGTTTCCCTTTCTATTCTGAACAACTGTCTCCATTTTTCAAGTGTGAGAGATAAGGGCTAATGATGACATCTCATTTATTTTGAGTAAACATTAAAATTGTTTTACAAGTCTACTTGAATGTGACTTTATTATTTTCAGAAGTTGAAGGTTGTTATTGTGAAATAGATCAAATAGATTAGCTTTCTTTTCTTTTTAAAAAAATTTGAATTTAATATATACTTCAAACTGGCTGTATTGTTTTTCCAAACAGGTCACTGTAAGTAGCTTTATTTATTTAAAGACCCACTTGCTGAGAACCAGGCACAATTACAGGCTCTGTGGCCTGTATTGACGAGAAGCTGCTGACCAGCCACATCCCTACAAGATGCATAGTACCACCCCTGGTTTATAGGCATCTCTGCCAGCCTTGCCACACCATGAGAAGGCCAAGGGACTGGCACAAGTGTCTGGCACCTCAGCAGTGCCACTTGGTCATTCATGAGCAGTCCCTCATGTTCAGGAACAGTGCCTGTCACCCAGGCCACTTCAGCTGCATCCACTGTAGGAAGGAGCTGACTGGTGAGGCCCATGAGCTGAAGGGTGAACTCTACTGCCTGCCCTGCATTGACAAGATGCTGTCCCCATTTCTAGGGACTGCAGCCAGCCCATCAAAGGCCACATAGTGAATACACTGGGCAAAGAGTGGTGGCATGCAGAGCTCTTTTCCCTGAGTGTGAGAAGCCATTCCTGGGGCCCTGGCACTATGAGAAGAAGGGCCTGGCCTACTTTGAGATCCACTACAGCCAGCTCTTTGGGACATCTGCTGTAGCTGCAGCCATGAGGTCAAGGGTGACATGGTGTTGGCCCTCAACAAGGCCTGATGTGTGTGAACTGCTTCTCCCGCTCCACCTGCAAGAGCAGGCTCACTCTGAAGATCAAGTTTGTGGAGTTTGACATGAAGCCCGTGTGTAAGAACTTCCCACTGGAACTGAAGAAGAGGCTGAAGAAGTCATTGGAGCTCACGTCTCGCTAGGCCTAGCCCAAGTCTGGGGACCTCAACTCTGAAGGCTCTCTTGCCTGGCCCTTCTCTCCCTCCCTTCCTTCTCCCAGAGGACCTCTGCCTTCTCCCTCTCCAGCTCACTGCCTTCTCACAGCCACCTCCCACTTCTATTGTCTGTTCTTGGACTCCTCATCTCCCTTTACCTGCTTCTTGTCCTCCCCTTGTCTCCTTTCTCATCATCTCCACCCTTTCTATTCTCTTATCTCTGCCTTCCCCAATGTCTTTTCTCTCCTTTATGGTGGCTTCTCTCTTTCCTTCTGTGCAGAGGCAGTGACCCAAGAGGTGGGGAGCCTGTGAAAGGCCTGGGCCCATGCCCTGTGACTGCATCTACCTGGGTCCATGGACTTCAGCCTGCAGAACTCCAGGGATAGCAAATCAGGGTCTGGGGTCACCAGAGCTCCTATCCTGACCTGTCCCTCCCCACAGGGAACCAGGTTGCACATATTCCTGTGGGACCCTCCACCTCAGAGTACACCCACAGCCAGAGCAGCCCACCTGAGCTGCAGGACCAGGGCCACCCTTCAATCTCTCACCATTCATTTAACCAAGTAGTATCCCTGTGCCCAAACTGGGCCAGCAAGTCCTGCCACCCCATTCACTACCTGCAGGGACAGGAGCCCACTTCCATCAAGAGGACTTTCTGAAATCCAACCTTGGCCCCTGCCTCTGGCTAGGCCACTTGGTTCTCCCCTCCCCCAGCCCAGAACCTGTGTTGAGACTTTGGGTGTGGCTGGGAATAGGAGGTGGTAGGGTCAGAGGTGGCTTATTTCCACCTCTAAGGAGGAGAATTCCTCCACAACCAGTGCAGACCTGAGGTTGGGACTCAGGCTTGCATAATGAAGGCTTAGTCACAGGAAAAAAAAAAAAAAAGAAAGAAAAAAACAAAAAAGCAAAGCACTCAAAGTGCTCAAAGGCACTCTCAATTTTATTTCTGTAGCCCTAAAATTAATTATTAGACATGGTTTTTAAATATTTGATTTCTAAAGAAATCATTACCTGATGATTCATCAAAGTGTCACTGAGAACTCAAAATCAAACAAAAATAATTGAAGCAAAAATATGACTTATGAACGTAACTATATTAGCTGCTGAATTGCATAATTTTTAATTCAAAAATATAATGCAAAAGCAATTTTGTAAATGCATTAAATGTATTTGAACAGGTTGTAGCATGCAGATATTTGCATCTTTTTAAAGTTTTAATAATCACTTTAGGAAGAAGATTAAAACTTTCACCATCTTAACAAAATTTGCATGAAGACTTACATATTCTTCCTTACTCAAATGAACTTGTAACCAACCCCAAACTCATTTTGCTTGCCTCACAACAGCCAGTAAGTTAAGGAGGTGGAACAAGGAACAAGGAAGGCAACTTTATTTTGGAAAGCCAGCAAACCAAGAAGATGGCCAACTAGTGACCTAAAGTACCATTTTAAGTCGGTACAAATTTCAAGCTGTTTTTATGTTTAGGGTAGCAGGAAGAGGAAAGGGTTGGGATCAAGATGTGCGCCACAACCGCAGAAATTTGGATACTAGTCAGAGTTTGAGGCAGCTGGAGCTGCTTCGTCCATGGTCAGGTCACAATGCTTCTGCAAATCTCTTTTTTTTTTTTTTCTTTTTTTAAATTTTAAGTTCTAGGGTACATGTGCACAACGTGCAAGTTTGTTACATAGGTATACGTGTGTCATGTTGGTTTGCTGCACCCATTAACTTGTCATTTACATTAGGTATTTCTCCTAATGCTATCCCTCCCCCAACCCCCCACCTCCTGACAGGCCCCAGTGTGTGATGTTCCCAGCCCTGTGTTCAAGTGTTCTCATTGTTCAATTCCCACCTGTGAGTGAGAACATGCGGTGTTTGCTTCTGCAAATCTTTAACAAAACATAGCTGTTTACATACTTTTCCTTTAATCACAGAGTTAGTTAAGAAAACTACATGACTGTTTTCTTTGAATTTTTTCTCAGTGCTCTAAAATTAGCCTGTGAGCAGGAATAGGTAAAGACCCCTTTAACAAAAAATGGAGTTAGTTATGTTAGTTTTTCTACTGTTTCACTGTTACCAATTAGTTAAGGCAGAATTAGTTGTAAAATGTGACCATTTTTCTGTCATGTGTACAATCATCACATTTAATTTCTAATGATCAGGAAATGCAAAGCACAGAAATGAATCAGGTAATTAAAGTTTATGTTTTTAAGTTGTATAATTATTTTAACATTTTTTATTTAAAATATTACAAATTACATTGTATTACCCCTTTTCTGCCACAGCCACTATATGTTGAATATAAAAGTTTTGATAATTGAGATACCTCTGCAGATTTAACCCTTTTTATGAGTTAAAGTTCAGAGCCCAAATGTCCTCATCTGAGAAGTAGGAATGTTAACTTGTTGACTTTTTTCAACAACTGTTTTATACACACACACACACACACACACACACACACTCTCACACAAATTACGAGCCAGGTATATGAAATAGATACATATATAGCAGCATAGTAGAGATACAATAAATGTTAGTTATTAATGTATTAGTCCTCCTAGCTCTCATTTGATCTTAGTTGACCCTAATGGTTTTCAAAACCGCTTCTAGCAGGCAGATCAAGACGGTGTAATAGAAGGCTCTTCCAACTGTCCTTCACTAAAGGACACCAACCTAATAACTATCTACACAGAAAACAAACTTCATATGAACCAAAACTCAGATGAGCACTCACAGTACCTGGTTTTAACTTCTTATCACTGAAGGAGGCACTGAAGGGGTAGAAAATACGGTCTTGAATCAACACCATTCCTCCCCAACCCCCTAGCAGCAGCAACATGGTGCATTGAGGAAACTTTTTAGGACAACGGGCTGGGCAAAAATTTCTTGAGTAATATCCCCATAAGCACAGGCAACCAAAGCAAAAATGGACAAATGGGATCACATCAGGTTAAAAACTTCTGCATAGCAAAGAGAACAACCAGCAAAGTGAAGAGACAATCCACAGAATGGCAAAAAATATTTGCAAACTATCCAACTGTCAAGGGATTAATAACCAGAATAAATAACAAGCTCAACAATTGTACAGGAAAAAATCTAATAATTTGATTAAAAGTTGGCAAAGATTTGAATATACCCTTCTTAAAAGAAGACATACAAATGGGAAACAGGAAGATGAAAAGATGCTCAACATAAGTTGGCAGAAAAATGCAAATCAAAACTACAATCAGAAATCATCTCACCTAAGTTAAAATTGTTTATACCCCCAAAACAGTCAATCATAAATGCTGGTGAGATTGTGGCGAAAAGGGAAACTTCTTGGTGGGAATGTAAGTACAATTACTATGGAGAACAATGGGAGGTTCCTCAAGAAACTAAAAGTAGAACTACCATATGATCCAACAATCCCACTGCTGTATATATACCCCAAAGAAAGGAAATAAGTATATCTAAGAGATAGCAGCACTCCCATGTTTGTTGCAGCAGTAGCCAAAATATGGAAGCAACATAAGTGTCCATCAACAGACGAATCGATAAAGAAAATGTGGTACTTATACACAATGGCGTGCGATTCATCCATAAAAAGAATGAGATTCTGTTATTTGCAACATCTGTGGAACTGGAGGTCAATATGCTAAGTGAACCACCTGTTATTTATTTGTGGGATCTAAAAATCAAAACAATTGAATTCATTGAGATGTGCAGAAGGATGGCAGCCAGAGGCTGGGAAGGGTAGTGAGAGGGTGGTGGGATGAGATAAGAATGGTTAATGGATACAAAAGAATAAAAGGAATCAATAAGACCTAGCATTTGATAGCACAACAGGGTGCCTATAGTCAGTTTAATTGTACATTTTAAAATAACTAAAAGAGTATAACTGGATTGTTTAACACAAAAGTACTTGAGGGGATGGATAACCCATTTTTCATGAAGTGATTAGTAAACATTGCTTCCCTATATTAAAACATCTCATATACCCCATAAGTGTATACACCTACTATGTACCCATAAAAATTAAATTTTTTTTTAATTAAAAAACTGCTTCTAGCAATGTTTTCTTCATCCTTTAAAACATATGTTATGCACTAATAAAGCAGATTACCACAAGTTATGGGCTGAACTGTCTTCTCCCAAAAATCATATGTTGAAATCCTAATTCCCAGTACCCTAGAATGTGACTATATTTGGAGGTAGGGCCTTCACAGAGGTGGTTGAGTTAAAATGAAGTTATTAGGACAGGCCCTAATCCATTCTGACTGGTGTCCTAAGAGGAAATTAGGACATACAAAGAGACACTGGGGATGCCCAGCCACAGAGGAAAGGCCACGTGAGGAAACAAGGAGAGTGTCTGCAAAGTGAAGAGAAAGACCTTATAAGAAAACAAACCTGCTGACATCTTGATCTTGGACTTCCAGCCCTTAAAACTATGAGAAAATAAATTTCTGTTGTTTAAGCCACCCAGGCGTTTTGTTATGGTAACCTTAGCAAAGTAATACATCACGTTTTTGTGTTAATTTGTTAATATTGATATATGATGAGCAGAATACCCTCTGGTACTTGAAATAATTAGTCCTTGTGCTCTTGTTGCTCCAAATCTCAGAATAACTTTCTGGCATCACATCAAAGTTACAATAACCATATGATTAATGGAGGAAAAGAAAGACATGTTGAGATGTAACTGCTTAGAAATCAGCTAGCTAAATAACATGAACACTAAAATAATATAGAATAAAATTCAAAATTGTGACTCAGCAAAATGACTGTTGGGGTCTGCTTGTAAAGACTCGAGTTCTCATATCAAGGCCACTCTTCCAGCAACGATGCCCTATCTTTCATAACATCTGATAAAGAATGTTGCTGAACCTTTCAAAGAAAGACCAAGAGAGCTTCTCAGTTAAACGACTGAGTAATCAACCAATACACTAGACTACAGAGACACACAAACTCACTTCAATCAACCCAGCTGACCCAAACCATGATTTTACAGCCTGTTGACTGGCTTAACAACAACCTTCATAAGATAGAAGTAGCATTTATATCTCACTGGGGAGGATCTCATCTTCCCCTCTACTATTGCCTCATTTGTCTGCTCCTGTTTGCAGCAAGACTCTTCATTACATTTGTCTAACTTGCTGCCTTCTCTTTTTAACCTCTCATTCTTTCTTTGAACCTTCTTTATTCAGCCTTTTGTTTCCCATTACTCTTCGAAAACTGCTCCTGGCAAGGTCAGAACAACCTTATTCATGACTGTAATGACCAGTTTTCAGTCATCATATTGACCTATCACCATCTACAGCATTTTACACAGTTAAGCACCCTCCTTTGTGTAATAATTCTACTAGTATTGGTCTCTAGGATCCTACTGTCTTGTGGTTTTCCTATTTCCTCACAAGTCAGTCTTCTCAGTTCCTTTACTGGGTAGCCTAAGTCCTAGAGGAATACATCAAGTCTTGTAACTTTGCATATAGTATATCTTCTGCACTACCCATATGTTTAACTTCAGTCTGAATCTACTCACTGAGTTCCAGACTGTAGTTTACATTTCCACTTGAATGTACAACTAGCATCTCAAATATATCTAAAGCTTTTTACTTGCTCCTCAGCCTTTCCTTGTCCGGGACTCAGGTGCAGAGATATTAAGCAGCATTATTCAGCTAATGATTGGCAAAGCTGGCATTCAAACCCAGGAGGTCTAGCTCAAGAGGCCACACTTTTACACTCTGCCGTTGATTATATCTTTTCTGAATTATGGCAAAAGATTCTCAACTTGTCTCCCTAATTGCATGCTACTATGTGGAAGGAAGCAAAAGACAGAGTGAACTTCTAAAATAAAAGATTATGTCTCTTCTCCTAATAGCTATTTCAGTAAAGTTAAAATGGAATGTCTTTATCAATGTCATGTTGCATTTATGAATATACATATTTAAAATATATTTAAATATAAATACAAGTTGGAAATGATTGTTCCAATGCACCACCTGCTATTTTTTAAACACTCTGCCTCACTCACTTTGCTATAAGCATACTGTTCCTCAGCATCACTAGGCATGAAAAGGCCTTAGAACTTTTCACTTAACTGTTTCTTCTGTTGGCCAACACTCTTTCCAGACATACACATGGATCACTCTGTTAACTACATGTTGACCACCTTGAATGTCTCCTTGCCAGGCAGACAATCTCTGATCATGCCATATGAAGTGGCATCATCATCTTTCTGCTATCCCCTTTATCTTCTTACTTCATTGGGCTTATCACCACCTGATAATTGACATATTTATTAGTATATATTTTAATGATCTACCTCCAGTAGAATATAACACTGCAAATGCAAAGTCTTAGATTAACCACTGTATTCCTAGAATCTAAAATAGTGCTTGTGCCTTATCTCATATTCACTACTGAAACATATATTGAATGAATGAATCATGGCATAATGAAGTAGCTTGAAGAAGAACAATGATTTCACTGAAAGCTAGAAACAATGGGAAACAAAATAAAAAATAAAAACAAAAACAAACTCGGCTGTTGCTGGAATGAGGAATAGGGGTGGCCAGATTCTGAAGAAGTAGGAACATTAAAGATGTGGGCTAATATTTTATAGCTGCTATTTTTCTGCATAAATTTAAAGAATCTGTACACAGGACAAAAAGTTGAAAATCTAGTCTTTGCTCAGGTTGAGATGATTTTTTAAGATAGAATGAACAGCAGAGCTTTTGCAGTCTTGTTCAGGAAACAACATTGGAGACTCAAGGCACTAAAATCCTAGCAAGAATGGAGGAATAGAAAACTAACTATAGCTAGTTTTCCTTTTAAGACATTTGTTGAATTGTGATGCCACGTATAACAGTAAGCTAATAAGCTTAGCAGAAAATCCCTAATAGTGCGGTGGAGTTGTTTGTAGTCTCATGATACTAAGCATACAAAAATTCAATTGTATTTACTATCATGCAGAGAGACCCTTGTGAGCATACAAGCTCTCATTTGGAAGCCTCGGGAAGCCATATGGTTGGAGCAGGTATGAATTGGAATCTTGACAGAACATCATCAAAACTGCCCACAACCTCAATTCAGCTCAGTCCCATTGGATCAGGATCATCAGCCTCCTCTTTGCCAGAAGATGGAAAGGTAAATCCTCTATGGAACTTCTCTATTTTTTTTTTTTTCAATTTCTGGCATTTAAAAATGAAGAAAAAGGAAAAAAATTCAAGACAATTGACCCTTTGACCAAAATGCTAAGATGAAAATATAGACAATAGAAAGAAATCCCCAAATGATCAAGCTGTTAGAATTACCAAAGAAGGACTAAATAACAGCAATGATTGATATTAATATTAACAAGAAAATAGACAAAAAATACAGAAAATATTGGATAATTCTGTCAGAGAATTGGAATTTTAAAAAATCAAATAAAAATTTTAGAAGTTAAAAACATAGTAACTAAAGTTAAAAACAAATGGGTTTTATAGCATAATTGACATGCACCAACGGTTAGTGAATTGGAGACAGGTTAGTAAAAAAAATCAAATATATCCAAAATGAACACACAGAAAAAAATATGTAGATAAAAGAAGTATGTGAGACACTGTTAAAATGTCAAACATATATATAATGTGTTATCTAGAAAATTGGGAGGAGGCAATATTGGAGGAGAAAATGACCAACAGTTTTTTTAAATGGATATGTTATTTATACCAATAGATTCAATATGTTAGCCGAACTCTAAGCAAGGTAAATTAAAAAAAAAAACCTACACAAAATTACATTGTAATAAAACAATGGAAAAGTCACTGAGGGACTCTTAAAATCATCCAGAGAATACCGAAACCCCAAACTTAGAGTAATAACAATACAATGACAGTGGCCTCTCACCATAAAAGAGGAAAGCCAAAAAAAAAACAATTACAATTATTAAAGTGCTATATGAAAATATATGCCAACTAGAATTCCATATCCCTTAAAATATTCCTTGAAAGAGATGGCAAAATAAAGGCTACTTTGGAAAAAGAGATTTCCTCAGTCAAGCTGCACTGAAAAAAAAAAACAACAAAAAACTACAGATAATGTTTTAGATAGAGAGAAATTGGTCCTATGTAGAAGTGCCAAAATGCAGTAAAACTAAAGAGCAAAGGAAAGTAAAAAAAAAAAATCAGGTAAACATAATATTGACTGTACTAAATGATGATATAATGTCTTGTGAATAAATGTGCAAGCATTGTCAGGGAAGAAGTGAATGTAATTATTTGTATTAGTTACAATGTCAAGGATGTGTGCTTTAATTTCTGAGGTACCTGCTAAAAGAAAAGTGAAAGAACATATGACTTTCATGCTTATAGAAAAGAAAAATGGAAAACTAAAATATATTTTAGTAATTCAAAGTAGAAAAAAAGAAAAAGGGACAAAAACAGGTCACACTGAAAACAATAGTAGTAAGGTGGTAGATATAAGGCTAAATATATCAGTAATTACATACAAAACTAAGCACTTCAATTAAAAGCAAACGACAAGAAAACCTATACATGTTCTGGTTCTCAGAGACACACATAAAATATATAGACATATGTTGAAAGTAAAAGTTTGAAAAAGATATATACTCTGCAGATAGTAATCTAAAGAAAACTGATTTCCCAAAACTAACAAAATACAAAGTTGTCTTTAAGGCAGGAAACATTACTTCAGGTAGAGACATTGCTTGTAAAGGAGTGGTCATTTCACCAGGGAGTTAAATAAATAAACTCTTTACAGTTCCAACAAAATGGTAAGCTTCAAGGGTCACAGTCCAGGTTTCACGTTCATGCTGTAAGAAGATGAACTCCAGACAAGGGAAGTGCCTACTATGGTACAAATTGAACTCTATAAATTTGCTCTGGCCCTAGTGCAAGTGTATATACCCCACATACTTTATACAAATGGTTACATTGATAAAAGAATTTGTATTATTATAGTTTTATATTGAAAATAGTTCAGGACCTATTGAAAGTAGCCAATATACTTGAGTACATTTGTATTAATCCCATGTTTCTTAATCATTTTCTGCCCAGCTACTCAAGTACCTAATAAAAATAGAGTAACATTTAATGAAATATATTTCTTCTTTGTTAGATGAACTTAGCTTTTGCTCCCAAGGAATTTATCTGGTTTGTGCTATCATGTATGTATTATTATTACTAAATACCAACTCTTGCCCACTCTGAAATAAAAGTGTGAAATTACCTTATAAACGTACCTGAAACTGGCTGGGCGCAGTGGCTCACGCCTGTAATCCCAGCACTTTGGGAGGCCAAGGCTGGTTGGTCACCTGAGGTCAGGAGTTCAAGACCATCCTGGCCAACATGGTGAAACCCCGTCTCTACTAAAAATACAAAAATTAGCTTGTCATGGTGGTACATGCCTGTAATCCCAGCTCCTTGGGAGGTTGAGGTAGGAGAATCAGTTGAACCCAGGAGGCAGAGGTTGTGGTGAGCCAAGATCACGCCATTGCACTCCAGCCTGGGCGACAGAGTGAGACTCCATCTCAAAAAAATAAATAAATAAAAATAAAAATAAAAATAAGTACCTGAAACTAAATGGTTAAATCAGTCACTTCCCACACTATGAGACTGCTGAGTTGAATCAGGAAATTAGACATATAACAACTATTTTAGAACAAGTTAGAAATCAAACATTTGACATGCTAAATCAAATTACCAGAGATGCGATGGTTCTTATGAGGATGATTTTCCAAAACACAATGACTTTCTGTTTTACTCCATCTCATGAATAAATAAACAGTGTGCATTCACGGGCAAAGAACAATATGGACACATTCCAAATAAAGCAGATCTTATCCAAGATTTTATAACCATATTACAAAATTACAGGATTGAGGTTTCCTATCAGGGCCTTAGTGGAAACGCTAAATCTCATTCAGTGACAGATGTTGTACCTATGTCTCGGGATTCAAAAACTTAAAATATTTTAAATGCACTCATAGATCCAATATAATCAAAATACTAGAGCTGTTTAAATCATTTATATCAGTTGACTGTACAAATGACAAAACCCTTAGGGTTATTACGTATTTTAAAAGACATAACCTGCAATCACTTAAAGTCATTAAACTTAAATAGTGAATTCCTAGCAATACACATTTTAAATTACTACTGCAAAAGAAATAAACTCCTGACCTCATTTGTAATCCATCACCAATCATTATAAAATGTCCTTAAAGTAGACTACAGACTATCAGGGGATCTTCTATTATGCCCTAGGACAAAGTACTTAAAAAGTATTTCTCTGATGACTGTGTAATATGAGTAGTCATCAGCTTTACACTTAGTGAAAAGTATTTCCAGATTGTGATAAAAGCTTATTTGGTAGTATGTGGTAATGATGTAATATTTTTTGTTTAATGTTATTTTGTGTATTCATTTGTTTATTTTGCCTTTTATGTTTGCTTTTTCCATTTTGTGCATGGTAATTAAATAAAAAAATTGGAAAGTCTCATTTGTTCTATATAGACATCATTTTATACTGGAAGTCAAGCTCTTGTCTCCCTGAATTATAATTAAAATCCATTTTCCAGCTTGATTTTGGAAGGTGCATATCGTTACTAATTTCTCATCTCACTTCCCCAATAGATTATCATTGAATCACCTTTAATAAGCAGCACTAGTAATGTATGTATCCCACTTATCAGAGATTTTGTAGGTCTCTCTACTTACCAATTATCTGATCCAGAAAAATTAGTTGCTATTTTTCCCATTTTTAGAATAATTGAGCAATAGATTAGTAAATGCCAATGGTGTATATTTATAAAATCTCTTTTAAGCTGCTCCTCTCTGGTCCAGACACAGAGAAAACTTTGGGGGTATAAAAAGGTTAGTTAACCTTACTGCAGATGACTAATGCAATTGCTGCTCTGATGTTCTTGGGGATAAAAACTCCTTAGTTAGGGCCTGTACATTCCAGCAGTTATAGTGGCGCATTTTAGTGGTTGTAGTGATGTATGAAGCATTCACGGTGTGAAAGGCATGCCTAATTTGCAGAATAGTTTTATGGAAAAACACCATTATTGAAAGCATGTAGCATTCTGTTAGTCACATGCCCTAAACACAGCAAGCATCAGTTCCCTTTGCATTCATTCTCTTGTTCTCATTCACTCTTTTATTCCATTTAAAAATATTTGTTGTGTATCTACTACACGGCTGGTATTGAGCTACTTAGCAATTTCATAAGTGGATCTAAATTTGTAAGATAATCAACTACTTGAAGAACAAGAAATGTGGTTGTTATTCATCCATAATGCGAATAAACTTGCCGGCCCTCTGGGATTTGATTAGAAGTTACCTAATTCACTCCCCGAGTAAACACAGCCTCCATTTTAATAAATTCCTTTTAGTTTAAAAACTCTTCAATTTTTACTCAACTACATTAAAGGTGCTTAAATATTTTACAAGGATAATTTGAAATATTTTTATTTTAATGAGAAAGGTGTCATTGTTGATATCTTTGGAATCTAGAAGCCCAGGAGTTGAAGATACAAGTAATTCCTTTATACTTAGTAGCTCATCACTTTTAGAAAAGTGCAGCATCTTGATGGAAAACATCATCAGTAGTTATCTTGGGCAGGAGTGGAGATTTCCTAGGAAGGTAATAAAGTAACTTTCTGGTTTGGATGGTAATGTTCTATATTTTGGTAGAAGTTTAGGCTACACAGGTGCATGTATTTAGCAACAGTTGAGGAATGTACACTTAAGATAGGTGTATTTCATTTCATGTAAATTTTTTTTTTTTTATAAAAAACTGCATGCTGGGCCGGGCGCGGTGGCTCATGCCTGTAATTCCAACACTTTGGGAGGCCAAGGCGGGTGGATCACGAAGTCAAAAGTTCAAGACCAGCCTGGCCAAGATGGTAAAACCACTCTCTACTAAAAATATAAAAATTATCCAGGCGTGGTGGCAGGCGCCTGTAACCCCAGCTACTCAGGAGGCTGAGGCAGAGAATCGCTTGAACCCGGGAGGCGGAGGTTGCAGTGAGCCAAGAACGCGCCACTGCACTCCAGCCTGGGCAACAAAATGAGACTCCATCTAAAACAAACAAAAAAAACCCTGCATGCTGAAGTATTTAGGGGAAATTGTTGAGATGTTTGCAATTTGCATTAAATGGATAGAAATAAGATGAATTCATGGTGCTATCTCGGCTCACTTGTAAGCTCCACCTCCCTGGTTCTCACCATTCTCCAGCTTCAGCCTCCAGAGTAGCTGGGATTACAGGCACCCGCCACCACGCCCGGCTCATTTTGTTTTTGTATTTTTAGTAGAGACGGGGTTTCACCGTGCTAGCCACGATGGTCTGGATCTCCTGACCTCGTGATCCGCCCGCCTCGGCCTCCCAAAGTGCTGGGATTACAGGCGTGAGCCTCCGAGCCCAGCCGTAAAATTTTAATAGTAGATCTGGGTAGTGAATTTTGGGGTGTTCATTAAAAAGTTCTTTCAAATTTGCTGCAAGTTCAAATATTTGCATAATAAAGTGTTTGAAAGAAAATAACGCAGCATTAGAAGTGCATATAATTTATTCATTCTCTTAGCAATTTTTATGTCAATAAAAGTATTCAGGACTGAATTAAATTGTATTTAATTTCAAAGCTGCCTTTTCGTATGTAGCTACTGTTCATAATACTGAAAGCGGTTTCCTGCATGCGTTGCTTTAGAACTCAATTAACATTGATTTGTCCACTGCTGCAGACTATGTGAACACTAACAACTTAGAATAAATTTAGGTTTGCTCTTTATGAATAAGTTCAATAACTTGCTTCTTTCATTCCTACTTCCTTTCCAATGCGTTCTAATTAAAAGTTATTAATGTTTGTGTTTCCTGGCAATTTTACTTTTATATTCCTATTCAAATTACCATATTACTGATATGTATATTTTTCCTAATAAATGTCGCATTTTATTGTTTGTTATTTCTATTTACAAGTTTAATGACTCTACTTGGATGTTCAACATTTAACTTTCAGAAAATTTTCATAGTTCATTAATTTAACTTGCTCTATTTTTCAGGTATGAACTGTTCTAACAGCAAGCGCTAGAGCAGTGGTCCAGAAAATGGTTAGTTTCGTTAAAGGTGTCAGAAGAGCATATAAAAAATACTATGTGCATTTTTTTATTTTTAAAAAGCTTTATTAATATTTAACATATAGATTGGCTAGGACATGCTCTGTTGGTCTTTATCAAACAGTCACACGTCACAAACAGCATTTGAATTGCCTGAAGAAAGAGTGAGTGCTTTACAATGTGGAAGAGTTAATAGTTAAGCTCATTGTACCATATTGTGTTTCATACTTGACCGTTTAAGTAGATTTATAAATATTCACTAATTTTAACTAAGTTAAAGCAAGAAGGATAATTGGTTTAAAACACTTCTAAAAGAGTATGCAAGAAAGGATAAAAGACAGACAATCTGTGGAATGGAGATAATACAAATAATGTAAACATTAGAAAACAACGAGAAAATTACAAAATCAATTTATCTTCCTGACCACAAAATTGGAGAACTTCATAGCCTTGTTATGTTTGTGTGTATTTATGTATTTATTTATTATTATTATTGTTATTATTTATTAATTTATTTATTTTTGAAATGGAGTCTTGGTCTGTCGCCCAGGCTGGAGTGCAATGGTGTGATTTCAACTCATTGTAACCTCTGCCTCCCGGGTTCAAGCGATTCTCCTGCCTCAGCCTCCCGAGTAGCTGGCAACAGGCGCCCGCCACCACTCCCAGCTAATTTTTGTATTTTTAGTAGAGAAGGGGTTTCACCATGTTGGCCAGGCTTGTCTCGAGCTCCTCAGCCTCCCAAAGTGCTGGGATTAGAGGCTTGAGCCACCGGGCCTGGCCCATTGTTATGCATTTGAAACAATGATGTTCTCAAGGTTATCTGACCAAAAGTTTACCTAAAACTAGTTAGTAAGAAGATTAGCTGAAATTATACCTACTACCATTAGTGATGAAATTAACCCTAAAGGAATTTTATGTCTTATAATATTAATTCATGATAATATGAAGTCTTCATGATACGTGAGATAGTTTTTAAACATGGAAAAAGCGAAGACAAATTTCTTTGATTTTTACAGGAGGAATTTAAAAAGTTAATACTCATTATGTTACTTTACCAAATGTTACTTCCACAAATAACTCATGTTTGTAAGTCAGATTTCAGTGATGGACATAAAAACCAAAAAGACTTAGGCAAATACTTGTCCTTCCTGCAATAGAGCGCTGGAATATCACATCAAAAGAAACATAATGCATTTCCTTAGAAGATAAAAATAAATTGCTAGAAGATTTGAACAAACAAGTACTTTGTGGGGGTACTCAGTTGTATGAAAGTACCTATATTTCAAATACGTCCCATTTTATGGTATTCCACTTGAGCAATGAAATGCATAAATAACTACTTTTGTGTGATCTTCTAGAAAAAAAGTACAAGGGAGAAAATAAGTTTTCAATACTGCCTTAAATAAAATCAATGCTTTCTTGAAACACTTATTTAAATAAAACTGCTCACAGAGCAGCTTCTTAGATTAGAATGAAAAGAGAATTCCAGGATGAAACAACGCCACACATGAAAATCCTTCTGTTCTTATTCAGAGACATGCTTTGCAGTGTAATACGTTTTTCTAGGTTTTTGTGCTTTAGTTTGGAATACCCTTATTTTGCGAGAGAATTCCAAAAAACTGCTGCAAGAGTTACTTTTGTACTAATTTTATACTAATTGGCTAAACCTAAAGGTAAAACAATATCAGACATGAGTTTCAGATGATATGGTTTTGACTTTCTGGCTGAAATAACTGCTTAGACATTGGCTGCAGATGCTCTCTGCCAAAGCATGCTGTATGTATTTAGAATACAAAGCATTTGGATAATTACACTGTTGTGGTTAGAGTTATTAAAGTAAGATTCTTCTAAAATATGGTAAAGTCTTGTCAATACATAACCAAGTTTAAGAGACTCCTTCCTAGGCATGAAAACCAAGTCTTCAGTCATCATGCAACTATAAAAACCTCTTTCTATTGAAGCTTTCATAAAGTCCACACTAAACAAATCTGGGTTAACAAATACATCAATAAGTAAAAAACTAATTACCGCAAAAATAAATTACCGTTTTAAATACAATGTCTTCTCTCCATTAAGATTATTTTAATAATGCATGTTTAATTCAAAGAGCAATGTAACTGTGAAAAATAATTTAAGATAAACTCTGTAGTAAGTCAAGATACATACTCATGTATCTGTCTACACTGAAATGAAATATAAAGCCTTATACTCCATGTTTATTGGCTTTTTGTAATCCTTTTTAGGTGGAGTGTTTTTCTTTTCCTTTTAGTTTTCTTTAACATTATTTAACTCTTAATGTGTACTAGGTTATGCATTGGCTTCACTCATCTCATTTCAATTAGAGATGAATACCAATCTATGAGACAAAGTCAAAGCTTTGAAATTTTAAGAATTAATTTGCAAACAGCATATTTTGAAATAGCAGAATTTGTGAATCACAAAATAACTACATAATTAAATCAATTGCAGGAAGTCTGTAATAATTAGTCATTCCTCAAGAAAATCAAATAGTCATAAAAGGCAAAGATAGCCTCTCCTTAGATGCCTGTGGCAGTCATTTTCAATGAGACTTGGGACTCAAATTAGGAGGCCCACATTTAGAACAATGAGAACAGTTTTGCCACCTGCTGTAGAGTTTTGTGGAAGAGTGTTTCTCCAAAGGACCAATTTTCTTAAAGAATGATTGAATACATTTCTTTTTTTGGAAAAGCAAACATTTAATTATACAGGAAGTTTTCTCCCAAAGATTCAGAAAAAATTTTTTGTCAACTTAAGCTTTAATTAAACTTAAGAATAATTTATCACTTTTAAAAACACAGTATGTTCCTATCAAAATCTCAAAGACTTTTTTTTTTACAGAAATAGATAAAAACAATGCTACAATTCATGTGGAACTACAAAGGCCACAAATAGGTAAATCAATCCTGAGAAAGAAGAACAAAGCTGGGGGCATCACACTTTCTGATTTCTAAATATATTCTGAAGTTACAGTAATAAACACAGTATGGTACCGGTTAGAGACAGACATATAAGACCAATAAAACATGCAAATCACAACCACAACAAGATACCATCTTACACCAGTCAGAATTGCTATTCTTAAAAAGTATTTTTAAAATGACAGATGTTGATGAGGCTGCAGAGAAAAGGGAATGCTTATACACTGCTAGTGAGAATGTAATTCAATTAATGTAATTAATTGAACCTCTAGGGAAAGCATTTGGATATTTCTCGAAAAACTTAAAAGTACCATTCAACCCAGTAATCCCATTGCTGGCTATATACCCAGAGAAATATAAATCATTCTACCAAAAAGGCATATGTACCTGTTATGTCCATAGCAGCACTATTCACAATAGCAAAGACATGGAATTAACCTAGGTTCCCATCAGTGGTGTTTTGGATAAAGCAAATATGATTCATGTATATCATGAAATACTATGCAGCCATAAAAGGAAGGAAATCATGTCCTTTGCAGCAACATGCATCAAAATCATCATCCTAAGCAAATTAATACAGGAACAGAAGACCAAATACCACATGTTCTCACTTATAAGTGGGAGCTAAACCTTTGGTACTCATAGACATAAAGATGGGAAAAATAGACACTGTGGACTACTAGAGGGAGGAAAGACATGAAGGCAAATATTGAAAAACTACCTATTTGGTGATGATAATTCATAACCTAAACTGCAGCATCATTCAATACACCCATGTGACAAACCTGCTTATGTACCTCCTGAATCTAAAATAAAAGTTGAAATTATTTTTAAAAGAAGAATAAAAATAATAAAGAGTTCGGAAATAAACCTGTGCATTTATAGTGAATTGATCAATGGACTTTAATCTTTTACTGGGTATATGCAGCATTATTCCTCATACATTTTACTTAGTAACTTCTAAATTAAAATTTGCTTTCATATATGTTGTGCTTACCAGGGAGACACAGCACTATCCATAAGAATCCAATGTCTGATTCCCATTGCATTCAGAGTTCTCAGTGCCATCTTCACTGTAATGTATATTCAGATATATTCTGAATAAAAGGAAGGGGCATGTTGGCAAGAAGATTCTGACTGCATATCAGGATTAGACTCAGGCTCTTTGAACTTTTTGTTTCTGTATCTTTCAATTGTGTGGCTTTGGGAAAATTTACTTGATCTCTGTGCTTGAATTTTCTCATCTGAAAAGTGTTAATAAGAATACTAATGAAATTTCAGAGATAATAAACCTAAAAGGCATTGGAGTATGTACTTGTTAAATATTAGTTGTTGCTGCTATCTGGATCTTAAGATATGTGAGTCACAAAAGAGTAAGGAGTGTCCACCTGAGAAGGATGAAGAAGTGGTAACCTCAGGAATAAGTTGAATTCAGTTATGCCAAATGGGGAAAATGAATATTGAGGAATAAATGAGTTAATTATCATAGAATTGGGGTTTCTGATAGCACAATAAATGAGTGCTGCTTCAATAAAGAAGTGAGCAATAAAAGAAAGCATGAATCTAAAATTTTTACATAACAGGATGGTTGTGTTGAAAAGACCAGATAATTAGATTGGCCTATAATTTAGATTATGGACAAAATTATGAAGACGGGAAAGTCAGTTAGCTTATATGGCCACTAGAATGAGTTTAGACCTCTCAAGTGTCAATTATGTTCAGATGAATTGTACCTTCTCTCAAGTGCTACACTCTCTTGGATGGGAGATAACTTTGTCCCCTGGTGAAAGCTTGCATTGGTTGCTCAGGCACTGGGAAGCTGTTTTTGTTTGGAGTGTGCTTATATGCGTCCTGTAGGAGGACAGCTGAAAACCTGGTCTCCACCTGCTAATCTGGTGGGCAGACGCCACAGTGCAGAGAAACCTGGTATGCAGAAGATGAAGACATAGCACAACGTAAGTCATGTCCTATAGATCTATATCACCTGTAAGGCATAATATCCCAGCATGTGCCTCTGAACTCACATTCTGAAGGTGCAGCAAACATGGATGGGATCTCTAGAGGAGTGGGCACCCGGAATATATGCTTCTTGACCATGCAGGCAAGAGTGGAAAATTGTTAGTATTTAGATTTATGTATATGGTAATATGATTTAAACATGTTTTGTTCACATATTTCTATCTAATGAAGTTATCTTCCTGTCCTAATGAGGTGGGTAACAATGTGTCTCACTGTCACTGTTTTGGAGATTTTGCTGAACTTGGTGAACTTGCTCTACTCTGGCCTGGACAGAAAAGAAAAGAAAAGCTTACACTTCTTGGTTTCCTTGTTCTGCCTTCCTATTGTGATGGGTGAGTGCTTTTGCTTAGGCTTGTAGGCCAGGGCTCTGGTTAGCTCTGCTGCCTGCTCCTCTTACATACAACTTTTGGGGATGATAGCCTTTAATTTTCTACAGCACTTCAAAATAGATTCTTTCTGTGGTCTGCATTAGAACTTTTTTTAACATCCATATAGGAATTTTATGCCCATTAAAATTCCTATATGCCAGGTGCAGTGGCTCACTGCACCTATAGGCCAGGTGCAGTGGCTCACAGCTGTAATCCCAATACTTTGGGAGACTGAAGTGGGAGGATTCCTTGAGCCCAGGAGCTTGAGACTGGCCAGGACAATATAGTGAGACCTTATCTGTACAAAAAACAACAATAAATAACAAAATTAGCCAGCCATTGTGGCATGAGCCTGTAGTCCCAGATACTCAAGAGGCTGAGTATTGTTGTTTCAGTCCAGGAAGTGGAGCTGCAGTGAGCTGTGACTGCACCACTGTACTCCAGCCTGGGTGACAGAGCAAGACCCTGTCTCAAAACAGAGAGAGAGAGAGAATACTGGTCAGGAGCTCACTTACCTATAGGCTGGTACAATGAATATATTTTGCAATATATGCCTAGTTTACAATGACCTGGTTAATTATTCCCTCCTCTACTCAGGAAAAGACAACATAGAGTAGAAATTAACAAAGGAATCTCTGGAGTGAGGCATTCTGAAATTTTACTGAAGCTCTAAAACTTAACAGCTATGGAAATGGGTAAGTTTCTCAATGCTTTGTATCTTAATTTCCTTATAGGTAAACTTCTCTGACAATTGTCCCCCTCTTATCCCCCTCTCTTACTTTATAAATTTTCCATTCATTTTGAGTTTTTTCTGTATTTATTTATTTATTTAATTTGATCATTGTCAATAATTGCATATCTTTTTGGGGTACAATGTGATGTTATGATGCATGTATATGTTTTAGAATGATCAAATCAGTCTAATTAGCATATCTATCACCTCACATATTTATACATTCCTTGTGGTGAGAACATTTAAAATCGATTCTTTTAACAATTTTGAAATATACAATACATTATTATGACCTATAGTTGCCATCCTGTGTAATTGATGACTAGAAGAATTTACTCTTCTTACCTAACTGAAACTTTGTACCATTTGTCTCACATTTCCTCTTTCCTCATTCTTTCCAACCCCCCAGCCTCTGATAACCACCATTCCACTCTGTATTTCTATGAATTCAACTTTTTTATATTCCACATGTAAGTAATATTACATGGTACTTATCTATCTGTGCCTAAGTTACTTCCCTGAGCATAATGCCCTCTAGATTATACATGATGTTGTAAAGGACAAAATTTCCTCCTTTTTAAAGGCTGAATGGTATTCCATTGTGAATATATACCATGTTTTTTTACCCACTTATCCACTGATGGATATTTAAATTGTTTCTATAGCTTGGCTACTGTGAATAATGCTGTGATGAATTTGGGAGTGCAGATAGCTCTTCAACATACTGATGTCAATTTATTTGGATATATACCCAGAACTGGGATTGCTGGATACCATGATAGTTTTGTTTATAGTTTTTTAAGGAAACTCCATACTGTTTTCCACAATGTCTGTATTAATTTCCATACCTACCTGCAATATATATTGTTTCCTTTCCTCTACACGCTCACCAACACATCTTTTTTATGATAGCCATTCTAACAGGTATGATGAGTTGAAAACTTGTTGTGGTTTTACTTTGTATTCCCCTGATGATTAGTGATGTTGAGCACTTTTTTTTAATATTATTGTTCGCCATTTCTATATCTTCTTTTGAGAAATGTCTATTCAGGTTCTTTGGTCATTTTTTTTTTAGCAGGGTTATTTCCTTGTTATTGAGTAGTTTGAGTTTGTTAAATATTTTGAATTTATCCCCTTATCAGATGCATAATTTGAAAATATTTTCCCCTGTTCTATAGATTGTCTCTTCATCCTGTTAATTGTTTACTTTGCTATACAAAACCTTTTTAGTTTTATCTAGTCTCATTTGTCTGTTCCATTTTTATTTTGTTGCCTGTGCTTTTGGGGTTTTATCCAAGAAATCATTGCCCAGACCAATGCCATGGAGCTTTTCTGCTATGTTTTCCTCTACAGTTTCAGGTCATATACTTAAGTTTTTAATCTCTTTTAAGTTGATTCTTATATATGGGGTGAGGTAAAGGTCCAGTTTCAGCAAGTGAATAGCCAATTATCACCAGCATACAAATATGTTATAATAGCTTCCATCTTAACCTAAAAAAGAAATGACAGAAAAACACAAACTCCCTCTCTTGACACCATATTCTACTGCTGCTACCTCCCAATATCTCAATAGCAAACCACTTTTAAAATCCTCTTTACAGTGTCTTGTTTACTTCCATTTTTCTCTTGAAGTTTCTCTAATCAGACCCATCACCACCAAAGAAACAAACTACTTCTAATCGAGATCATGAATGGCCTCTAGTTTGCCAAATAAATTGTCTAATTCTCATACCTTGGATAACTCATTTATTCAGTGGCCTTTGACATCGGTGGTTTATGATCACTCTTTCCACATCCTTTTTCACTTGGTAAACGGGACACTACATGCTAAATAAATGTAAACATAAACCACGAAATGTTCATTTGCTTATTCCTCTGAGTGCTTCTCTTCCATACTGGTGCGCATTTCCTGAGTTATGTCATCCAGAAGCATTACCTCAAATATCATATATTCACTAATTACTTGAAATACGTATCTCAGACAATTCAATTCTTTCTTTCCTTCTTTCTCTCTTTCTTTCTCTTTTTCTTTCTCTTTCCCTCTCCCTTTTTCCTTTCCCTTTTTCCCTTCCCTTCCCCTCCCCCCTCCCCTCCCCCCTCCCCTCCCCTCCCCTTCCCTTCCCTTCCCTTCCCTTCCCTTCCCTTCTCTTCTCTTCTTTCTTTTCTTTATTTTTCTTTCTCATGGTCTTCCTACATGTCCCAGCCCCAGAGTGAGGTGGCTCTTCACAAACACGATCACAGGGCACTACAGCCTCGAACTCCTGGGTTTACATGATCCTCACATAGCCTTCTGAGTTTCTGAAATTATATAGCGGAGGCAACAGACACGTGTCATTGTACCCAGCTTTAGACAATTTGCTTCATCTTCAAACTGTATGCCTTTAGCTTCTGGCAAATTTATGTGCATTCTTGTTATAAATTTAGAAAATGTTTTCTGTTACTTGCAATCTCAAAGTCCAAACACCGTTGGCTAACTAAACTTCTGGGAATGTTGCCCCGATATCTTGACTAAAGTTCCTGTTTAAATGTTGAGACATAGACAGGGCAATTTTCAGAAGACCCTAGTTAAACTACATAAGTGAAGTATGGGAAGAAAAATGCAGTTCTCTGAGTTTTTCTTCAGTTTTTTCATATTAGTGAAAATTAGCTGATCAAACTTACAATTATTTTATTTGGGGGAAAACTAGGGATGTCTTTGTTAGCATGGTAAAGCTACTTAACCATGGGTATGATTAGACTGTAAAGCCAGGAAGAAATAGGTGTCTGCACATGGTAGTACATAAAAACATTTAAAGAGAGTGCAGGTGGGGTGGCTCACACCTGTAATCCCAGCACTTTGGGAGGCCAATGTGGGCAGATCACCTGAGGTCAGGAGTTTGAGACCAGCCTGGCCAACATGGAGAAACCTTGTCTCTACTAAAAATACAAAAATTAGTCAGGCATGGTAGTGGGCACCTGTAATCCCAGTTACTTGGTAGGCTGAGGCAGGAGAATTGCTTGAACCTGGGAGGCAGAGGTTGCAATGAGCCAAGATCGTGCCATTGCACTCCAGCCTGCGTGACAGAGTGAAACCCTGTTTGAAAAAAAAAAAAAAGAAGAAAAAAACGCATTTGTTTATTGGATTTATTGATTGGATGAATAAGTGAGTAAGTGAGTGCCCAATGAACTCTGGACCAGAGGGAGCCATTAGCATGATATCCACAAAGGAGATGTTAAGTAGGTATCTACTGAACCATATTTAAAAGGTATACTTGAAAGTTTTCATTTTCAGCAAGATAAACATTTATCTTTTCATTTGAAGTTACCTTGCCAGACATCTAAAAAATAGAAACAGTGTAGGAAGTAAAAGAAAGACATTATAAAGTATTTTACAGTCAAGAATGATCTTAAAACAGTTACAAGTGCCTAATCTTTTGAGAAAATAAACACAAGAGAGCAAGGTATACTGGAACAGTCCCATAATTGTGTTAAGTCCCATAAGGTTAAAGTCCATCACATTAAGCATTTTATAATTGAACTGTTGAGAAACAAATTAAAATTTTAATGATCTTTCCGCCCTTTGGAAGTAAACGTAGTTCCTTACTACCAATGCTGCGAGAACACATAATATTATTGTCTAATCAGCACTTAATGACCTACCCTTAGTGCTTCTAATTTTACATAATTAATGTGCATGTGAAATAGGATTGCAAATGTTTTATTTTCATATGCCACATGTTGAAAAAATATAAGCCACCTATTCTTTTTGTCTGTTTTTTTTAACTTTCATTTTAGGTTTGGAGGTACATGTGAAGGTTTGTTACATAGGTAAACGTGTCATGGGGGCTTGTCATACATATTATTTCATCACCCAGGTGTTAAGCCCAGTACCCAATAATTATTTTTTCTGCTGCTCTCCCTTCTCCCACCCTCTCCCCTCAAGTAGACCCCAGTGTTTGTTGTTTGCTTCTTTGTGTTCATTAAGTTCTTATGATTTCATCCTACTTATAAGTGAGAACATGCGGTCTTTGGTTTCCCATTCCTGTGTTAGTTTGCTGAGAATAATAGCCTCCAACTTCATCCATGTTCCCACAAAAGACATGATCTCATTCTTTTTATGGCAGCATAGTATTACATGGTGTATATGTACCTCATTTTCTTTATCCAATCTGTCATTAATAGGCATTTAGGTTGACTCCATATCTTTGCTATTTTGAATAGTGATGCAATGAACATTCACATGCATGTGTCTTTATGGTTGAATGATTTATATTTCTCTGAGTATACACCCAATAATGGGATTGTTGATGGTAGTTCTACTTTTAGCTCTTTGTAGAATTGCCATACTACTTTCTGCAATGGTTGAACTAATTTACACTCCCCTAACAGTGTATAAAGTTTCACTTTTCTCCACAAACTCGTCAGCATCTGTTATTATTTGACTTTTTAGTAATAGCCATTCTCATTAGTGTGAGATGGTATCTCATTGTGGTTTTGATTTGCATTTCTCTAATGATCAATGATATTGAGCTTTTTCTTGATGTGCTTGTTGGCTGCATACACATTTACTTTTGAAAAGTGTCTGTTCATTCTTTTTCCCTCTTTTTAATGGGCTTGTATATTTTTCTCTTGTAAATTTGTTTAAGCTTTTTATTGATGCTGGGTATTAGACTTTTGTCAGATGCATACTTTGCAAACTTTTTCTCCCATTCTGTAGGTAGGTTGTCTATTCATTCTGTTGATAGTTTCATTTGCTGTGCAGAAGCTCTTGAGTCTAATTAGATCACATTTGTCAATTTTTGCCCTTGTTGCAATTGCTTTTGGTGTTTGTCATCAAATTACATAAAGAGAACTATCGACAAAACCCAATGATTATCTCAATAGATAAATGCAGGCTTTCCATAAAATTCAACATCTGTTCATGTAAAAAAAAAAACTCTCAATAAACTAGGTATTGAAGGAACATACCTCAAAATAATAAGAGCCATCTACAACAGGCCACGGCCAATACCATACTGGAAGCTGGAAGCACTCTCCTTGAAAACAGGCACAAGACAAAAATGCCTTCTCTCTTCACTCCTATACAACATAGTATTGGAAGTTGTAGCCAGAGCAATCAGGCAAGAGAAAGAAATGAAAGGCATCCAAATAAGAAGAGAGGAAGTCAAACTATTTCTGTTTGCAGACGACATGATTTCCTATCTAGAAACCCCGTACTCTCGACCCAAAAGCTCCTTCCTTTGCAGAAACTTCAGCAAAGTTTCTAGATACAAAATCAATGTACAAACATCACTAGCATTCCTATACACCAACGGCCAAGCCAAGAGCAAAATCAGGAAGGCAATCTCGCTCACAATTGCCACAGAAAGCATAAAATACCTAGGAATACAGCTAACCAGGGAGGTAAAAGACCTCTAAAATGAGAATTCCAAAGTACTGCTCAAAGAAATCAGAAAAGACACAAATGAATGGAAAAAACATCCTATGCTCATGGATAGAAAGAATCAATATCATTAAAATGGCCCTACCATGCAAAGCAATTTACCGGTTCAATGCTATTCCTATCCAAATACTAATCTAATTCTTCACAGAACTAGATTCTTTCTTAAGAATTTCCCAACAGTTAGTATTACTTCATATATATGGGCATCGTATGTGTTTTGTGTCCACATGGATCAATTTGTACACTGCAAGGATTTTGTTTTGCTCATCCCACTCTCTTGCCCAAGTCTCTTGGTTACCTCTTTATGTGTCATTGGAAGGAATAACAAAGTAAATAGACAGAACAAAAATCTATTTTGTGAGAAAAATATGATTCAACTTGCAAATGCTAAAAATGACCATTTTAAACTAAACACATTATTCTTCACTTATTCAGGGGCAATCATAGAGTACACATGTCCATTTATTCCTATGTGCTTTCTCATACAAATCCCTCTAGCTATGAGTCTACAACTTCTTCTAATGGTGGTCTCCTTCAGAAACTTTCCCTAAACTAAAAAAGTTTATTTCCTTTTCCACAATTCACTGTTTTCTTTTTTATCTGGGCCTTCATCTCTTGGCAGCCCTAACCAAACTTCTTCTGCTGAGTTAATATATTTTAGGGAACAAAGTTTGTCCTCAGAGCTCTTCCATCCTTATCTGACACCTGGTCTTCATGCCTTTCTTTATGACACCTCTTCCAGTCCTGCTGATCCTCCTTTATCACAGTGACTTGCTAAGTCAAGAGTATTTGGAAAAGCTTGGAATAATTTCAAGCCAAAGACCCTAGACATGGACTTGCACAGGAGATCGTTTTAATGGGAAGGGCTCAAATGATCGTCACAAGGCTTGGGAAGGAAGCAAATTTAGAGTGTGAGTATGAGGCCAGCTTAAAAATATGAGCAGGATTTTCAGGCTCAGCATTCAGTCCAGGAATGACTTCCAAAGCTTCAAGCCTACCAGGGGGCACAAGCAGAAGCCTATGTGGGCTGCACAGACCCAGATAGGTTAACCGCCAGTGGTCCAATTTGAAAAGGAAGGCTTAAGCAGGAACATGCCAATTACACAGGCACCAACCCAGTATTCAGGCTGGGCCTGAGAAAACTATAGGAAGCATATTTTTTAAACCAGATGACTAGTAACGGCTATGCAGAATGTGGAAGAGATGTACAGATTTATATAAACAGTGTGGGGCTGGTGACTCCAGAACAGGAAATGGTTTATTTTTTGCCTTTGTTTGTAGTCATTTTTCTGCATGTGACTAAGAGATGGCAGGTGCAGGATGCTTCCAGAGGGAGGCAGAGCTCTGCAGGTGCCACTGTTTGCAGCAGAGGGTGAATTCCCCATGAATGGTTTTCTTCCTTCTTATCTCCCTGCCCTTGACAAATATCCGAATTCTCCTTTTACTCCTTCACCTGATTTTTCCTTGTCTGTGTCTGTGCTGAAAAGAAATGATAATTATTTAAATAATATGACTATTTGTCAAAGGCATTTAGCCACATTATTTTCTCCTTTAATGAGGTAGGAGTGATATTGGGGAAATTTTACATTTAGTTGGCATAAATGTTCTCAGAAAATTAAAATAAATGCAAAAGATGACATTTTACAAGATTGCTTTCCATTCTTAACATAATGAACAATTCAGTCACTGTTGAATAGCCCAATCTATTTTATTTCTTTGAACAAATTCCATTGTAAGAGCCAACATTATCCATGTGCTTCCAAAGCAGAAAGTAATTATCATCACAATTAGCTTTTACAAAGATACACATTTTCCTTATGGTGTTGCTTCTCATCTTCACCTTCCTCTCCAATTTGTATTCATATCTTCAAAGTGGCTGTACAAAAAAAGATATATTCAAAGTGGCTGTATAAAAAGATTAAGCCTTCTGCATCTACTTTTATAGCTCTGTTGAGGAACTCTGTAGAGACAGTAAAATATAAATAACTGTTGCCTGAGTCACGGAAGTTACATTTTAGCCAATATATAAGGCCAAGACATATTGTCAGGGTCTTTTGAGATTCTGAAGTAACTCCAGAAATATAGGTGCTATTTTACACTGAGGAAAATATATTCCAAGGAATTTCTCTTTGGATATTTATGAAACACATGAGGCTTTTTAACTGCTTCTCTGACCTCCATTATTCCCTGATCCTTTATAGTCTTTTGAGACAAGTAGTACTTTTATCTAAAATTGGATATACCTTAGAAAAAATATTTGGCATAAATGCATATCTTCACTCTTCACAACAAAGCTGTGGAAGCAAATGGGAGGTTGGGCAGATGAGACCTCTTGCCCTCACGATAAAGCTGTGTAGGCCAAGATGGGCCAATCTAAGGTATTAGTGGTTGTCTAAGGTATGCCAGGCCATCCAAAGGCCTAATGTTATTCACTTGACTCCTATGGTTAGACTCTGCAGAACCCAGGATGTCTCCTGCTAAATGGTGGCCGAAGGAGAAGACACAAAAAGCACAAAAAGGATCTAGCTTCCGAATGCAGTCATATTGGATAATCTGTTTCATTGACTAGTTATTTGATCTTATAAATTCAGTAGTAGTGAGAAGCTCTCTAAGAATTTGGAAACCAGAGAAATAAGATTATGCTCTAAGAGTTAAATCATAAAATCCACTGCAAGTGAGAGATTCACAATCACCTTGAAGAGACTATTGGTTTTAAATCCAGAGCAATATAAAATAAAATATTGGTGAATTTTAAAAAGATTTTTTTTGAATGAGGGATTGATTAGCACAGAACAGAATACAGAAAACCAAAAACAGTCCACGAGGCAACCAATGATACCAGCCCCTCCCTCCAGTCCTGTTCTAGGGAAACAGTATAAGTACACAAAATCCAACCTGCTTAGTTTTAGTGCAGGTATGTTACTATTCTGATGGGGGATGAATCTGTCTATCAAAACAATTTTGATAGATGCAATTTAATATTGAAATGCTGAACTCATTCCCCTTGCCCCCATTCTATGCTTACCAATCAATTTTATGATTATAATTTTATTTTGAAAGACAGACTTTTTCTTCAGGGAAAGAAGACTAGGGGGAGTACATGCATGGCTAATCTCCTCTTTCAGGCTTAGTTAATGTCATCACATCCCCAAAGTACAGGTCCTGCCAAAGTCCAGTCACAAGGCAGGCAAAGTTGAGGAATGACAGTGGTGAAATGAATAAGGTAAATAGATATTTACAAGGCTGCTGACTGCCTGCCAGGCAGCTTCTATGATGACACCACAATGTCAGTGCATTGGTAGAGAAGTAGAGAACCTAGTTCAAAGTGAGGAGATATTCCTAGGCTACTTTTCTTTTTCAGAAATAACAGGCACCATACTAAAGAGTGTGAAGAGTGTATGGAGGTCTTGAAGTGCTTTCAGAGAACAGAGACCCATGAGGTGAAAAGACTAGAAACCATGCTGTATGAAGAATTAGGGAAGACACTTAGCCCAGAGAAAAGAAGAGGGGAAGAATAAGAACATGAAAACTACCTTTATAATCCAATGGGTTATCACATGAAAGAAGATGTAAACTGGCTGTATATTGATATTAAATTACATAAGAACCAAAGGGTGAAACTTATATGAAGACAGTTTTTAGATCATTACAAAGAGTATATAAAATGTAAGTATTTAATAGGTAGAGCTTCTCAATGATGAAAGGATCTGTCCCATGAGAAAATAAATTTTCTGGTTTTGTAGCTATACTAGCAAAAGCTATATAACAGAAACTTAGAGATATTGTGGAATAGATGCTTGGAGTAGATATTTTAGTCACTTTAAAATTTTATCTTGTATGATTCCATACTTAATAATTTTACGTATTTAAAAATATAACTGAAGGACGTAATTCTAAGCTATGAAATACTTACTGTGGTATAGAGATAATTTATTTTATTCCTAAGGTGACACTTTTTATCTTCATTTTAACATAATTATATTAATCATTATCATTGATTCATCAAGTATCTCATCATTGACTAAGAATATTTCTTTTTATTTATTTTGAAGAATGTAATAAATTCAAGCAAGCTACCACAACAACATCAAAACAACATCAAAAACTAACACACATCAAGTAAAGCAATAAACCTATAGAAAATATTGCAAGACAGCAAAAACAATAAATGTTATTGAGCCAAGTTAATGAAAATTTAAATTATATGCCACGTCCATGGATTAGAAGATTTAAACTAGTAAACATGCCGGTTCTCCTCAAATAATCTATAGAACCATTTGGATCCCAATCTAAATATCAATACCTGTAGGGAAAATATTTGTGTGTGAGTCTGCATGTGTATTTGTGTGTGTGTGGTGTGTATTGACAACCTGATTCTACCATTTCTATGGAAACATAAAAGGCAGAAAAAGTATTCAGTGTAATTTTAAGGAGAAGCAAACAAAAATGGACTTGCTTTGCAAGACAGCAAGACCTATTTTAAAACTATAGTAGCTAAGATAGTATGACGTTGCAGCATGAAAAAAATAACAAACCAATGTCACAGAGATTTCAGAAACAGACTCTGCAAAATCATCATCTGATTTTTCACAAAGTTAATACTGTATAACAGTTGAGAAATAATTGTATTTTCAATAATTGTTCATATTTTAGATGGACAGACATATGGAAAAACGTTTTGACAACTACCTTGCATCATATTCCTTCTGCCAAAATTCAGCAGATTCAAATCTAAATATAAAATGTAATACAATAAGAGAAAATATAGAACATCTTTGACATCTTGAAGTGAATAAAATATTTCTTAAACAAAAATTTAAAAAATGTATTGATGAACAAATTGATAAGTTGGATTCCTTATATATGCCATGGAAAACACTGAAAATATCAAGTTTTGGTAAGGATTTGGAGCAACAAGAAATCTCATAGACTCTGCTGGAGATGTAAATAGGCACATACACTTTGGAAAATTGACTTAATTTTATTACTAGGCATATATCCAAAAAATACATTATTGCTCATGTGAAAACATATCCTAGAACCTTCATAGCATCACTTTTCACAATGGCTAAAAACAGAAGATATACAATTAACCATCAATAATAGAATTTATAAATATATTCACACAATGGTACAACATACACCAATGAGAAGAAATGGTCCACAATAACCTAGAATAGATGGATAAGTTCCTGGACACATACACCCTCCCAAGACTGAAGCAGGAAGAAATGGACTTCCTGAACAGACTGATAACAAGCTCTGAAATTGGATCAGTAATAAATAGCCTACCCACCAAAAGAGACCAGGACTGATAGATTCACAGATGAATTATACAAGATGTACAAAAAAGAGTGGGTACCATGCCTACGGAAACTATTATTAAAAAAAGAAGAGAAACTCCTCCCCAGCTCATTCTATGAGGCCAGCGTCATCCTGATACCAAAACCTGGCAGAGACACAACACCACCAAAAACCTTCAGGCCAATATCCTTGATGAACTTTGATGCCAAAGTCCTCAGCAAAATATTTGCAAACCAGTCCAAAAGCACATCAAAATGCTAATTTACCACAATTGAATAGGCAACCTTGGGATGCAAGGTTGGTTCAACATATGCAAATCAATAAATGTGATTCATCACTCAAAAAGAACTAAAGACAAAAACCTCATGCTTATCCCAATAGGTGCAGAAAAGGTTTTCGATAACATTCAACATCCTTTCATGTTGAGAATCCTCAACTAGGCATTGAAAGAACATACCTCAAAATACAAAGAGTGATCTATGACACTTGCACAGCCAACATCATACTGAACAGGCAAAAGCTGCAAGCGTTCTCCTTGAGAACCAAACACCACTCCTATTCAACATAGTGCTGGATATGCTAGCCATATCCAGCAAATAAGAAGAGAGAAGTCTAAAGATCTTTGTTTGCAGGAAATATGATTTTATACATAGAAAAATCTCATAGTCCCGCCCAAAAGATTCTAGATCTGATAAACAACTTCAGTAAAGTTTCAGGGTACAAAATCAATATACAAAAATCACTAGCATTCCTATACACCAACAACAGCCAAGCTGAGAGCCAAATCAGGAAGGCAATCCCATTCACAATATCCACAAAAATAATAAGATACCTAAGAATACTTGTAACCAAGGAAGTGGGAGATCTCTGCAATGAGAATTCCAAAACCCTGCTTAAAGGAATCAGAGAAGACACAAACATATGGAAAATATTTTCATGCTCAGTTATAGGAAGAATCAATATCATTCAAATGACCATACTGTCCAAAGAAATTTATGATTCAATGCTATTCCTATTACTACCAATGACATTCTTCACAGAACTAGAAACACCTATTTTAAAATTTGTGTGGAACCAAAAAGAGCCTGAATAGTGAAGGCAATAGTAAGCATACATAACAAATCTGAAGGTATCATGTTACCCAAGTTCAAACTATACTACATTGCTACAGTGACCAAAACAGCATGCTACTAGTACAAAAACAGATATATAGACCAATGGAAGAGAATAGAGAACCCAGAAATAGGCTGAACACCTGCAACCATCTGATTTTCAATGAAGCTGAAAAAAACAAGCATTGGGAAAAGGAGTCCCTATTCAATAAATGGTGCTGAGAAAAATGGCTAGCCATATGCAGAAGATTGAAATTGGACCCATTCCTTACACTGTATACAAAAATCAACTCAAGATGGATAAAAGGCTTAAATGTAAAACCCCAAACTATAAGAGTCCTTGAAGACATCCTAGCTAATACCATTCTAGATGTCGGAATGGGCAAAGATTTCATGATAAAGATGTCAAAAGCAATCACAAAAAAAGCAAATAATTAAAAATGGGATGTAATTAAACTTAAGAGCTTCTGCACAGCAAAAGAAACAATCAATATAGTAAACAGAGGGTCTACAGAATTGGAGAAAATATTTGCAAGCTGTGCATCTGATAAAGGTCTAATATACAGAATCTATAAGGGGCTTAATCCAATTTACAAGAAAAAAAAAAACGACCCCATTGAAAAGTTGGCAAAGGACATGAACAGACACTTCAGAAAAGGAGACATACTTGTCAACAAGCATATGAAAAAAAGCTCAACATCACTGATCATTAGAGAAATGCAAATCAAAACCACATGAGATACCATCTCACACCAGTCAGAATGGCTATTAGTAATAAAAAGTCAAATAGTAGGGAATGCTTATATACTGTTGGTTGGTGTGTAAAGTGGTTTAACCATTATTGATAGTTAGAATGGCAATTCCTCAAAGAGCTAAAAACAAAATTACCATTTGACCCAGCAATCCCATTACTGGGTATATACCCAAAGTAAGATAAATCATTCTACCATTAAGACACATGAGCATATATGTTTATGGAAACACTATTTACAACAGCAAAGATATAGAATCAATCTCGATGCCCATCAATGACAGACTGGATAAAGGAAATGTGGTGCATATACAGTGTGGAATACTATGCAGCCACAAAAAAATGAGATCAGGTCTTTTACAGGAATGTGGATGGAGCTGGACATCAGTATACTTATCAAACTAATGCAGGAACAGAAAGGCAAATATTGCATGTTCTCAAGTATAAGTGGGAGCTAAATGTTAAGACCTCATGGACACAACGAGGGGAACAACAGACACTGGCGCCTACTTGAGTGTGGAGGGTAAGAGGAGGGCAAGGATCAGAAAACATAACTATTGGGTACTAGGTGTGGTACCTGGATGATGAAATAATCTGTACAACAAACCCTTGTGTCAGGAGTTTACCTATATAACAAACCTGCACATATACCTCTAAACTTAAAATAAAAGTTAAAAAATAAAATAAAATAAAATCTGTCATAAGGTAAGAAAATGTCATAATGATGCTGTTATAATTTTATAATCTTAAAATAAATTGAACAGTTAATAATAAATGCTTCATTATACTATTTAATCTCTTCAGAGGAGTAAATTATATTAACTCTCTTCTATTCTTGCTTGTAGTTTGTATTCATTAAGATTTCATTTACCTATAGCATTTAGTTTCTGTACTCAATTTAAGTATGATCACCTACTGTGAATAATAAAAAAGTGAATTTATTTTAAAGAGTAGAAACTAAGTTTTTGAATGGCTTTGACAAACACTCCCTCATTGACAAAACATTAGTTAGGCTCCTCTGAGCCCTTTCCTTGACTAGGCCTTGACCTTGGCCTGTCTTTAGCGAGAATCTCTTACCCTTGACATCTGATCAATTTCTTTACCTCCTACCTTTGGTGTCTATGTTCTTGACCTGTGAATGCTGTTAGGCCAATTTAGTAACTATCCCCTAGCCTTGATGTTTCCTATTAGTGAGTATTCTTCCACTGATTCCTTTATTCTGATAATATAAATACTCACATTTTGTCATATTGGAAGTTAAGTTCAGTCTTTCTTCACTATTTTAATAATGCATAAAATCTTTCTTGCTGTTTTAGCAAATATCAGAATAATTTTTCTTTAACAGCTTTTAATAAAAAATATGAATTAGCAGTTGAGAAACTTGGCCTGGCATGGTGGCTCATGTCTGTAATCCCAGCACTTTGGGAGGCCGAGGTGGGTGGATCACCTGAGGTCAGGAGTTCAAGACCAGCCTGTCCAACCTGGCGAAACCCCGTTTCTACTAAAAATACAAAAATTAGCTGGGTGTGGTGGCGGGCGCCTGTAATCCCAGCTACTTGGGGGGCTGAGGCAGGAGAATCACTTGAACCTGGGAGGCAGAGGTTGCAGTGAGCCAAGATCATGCCATTGCACTCCAGCCTGGGCGACAGAGCGAGACTCCATCTCAAAAAAGAAAAAAAAAAAAAGATTTTAAATCCTATCATGAAGACAAACTAAAGAAACATTTTTCTTTCACGTATGTCTGATTCCTTTCTATTTACCACATATGAGATCCAATTTAGCTTTCTGGTTAAGAGGCATGGTATAGGTATTTGTTATGTTAACTAACTTTGTAATGTTGCCAATATTTTGAAATATAAATACTTATTTCCTTCAAAAGAAAAACAAAACACAACACAACAAAAGAAATACCCTATTTTCCCAGTTCAGTAAAAGAGGAGTGAGTGAATTCAGTGACTAAGCTTCTTAGTATAAGAAGGCATTCGATTGCTACAATGGAGTACAGTTTTATTTATCTATCATAATGTATTTCATGGGGAATGGTTGTATACAAGGACAACAAGATATTATCAAATGAACTGAAAATGATGGATTATATCCATAGAAGGGAAATAATATAAATAATTTATGAAACGAGAATAAATTATTTCTGGTGAAAATTTTTCTTCAGAATCAATCGTCATGCAGATGAAAACACCATGAATCAGAAATTTATTTTTTCTTTGAGACGAGTCTTGCTCTGTCTCCACACTGGAGTGCAATGGCACGATCTTGGCTCACTGCAACCTCCACCTCCCAGGTTCAAGGGATTCTCCTGCCTCAGCCTCCCGAGTAGCTGGGACTACAGGCGTGTGCCACCATGCCCAGCTAATTTTTGTATTTTTAGTAGAGACAGGGTTTCACCATGTTGGCCAGGATGGTCTTGATCTTTTGACCTTGTGATCCACCCGACTAGGCCTCCCAAAGTGCTGGGATTACAGGAGTGAACCAACACACCCAGCCAGAAATTTAAATAGTTATAATGGAATAGTACCAAAAAAAAAAAAAAAAAAAACGTAGACAATGTCAAACAAGAGTTGACTGATCATAAGAAAGAATTGAAGGTAAAGACAAAGTAGTCATAGCAATTAAGACTAAATTAGAAGCTGATAAAAGTAGAATAGATTCAATTAAAAATACAGTGAAAAGATATGAGGCAATGTATAAATGTGCTTATGAGAATAAAAGAAAACAAAACCAAACCTTAAAAGTAGCTCAAAAGGGTCAGAGAGAATGACGATTTTTAATGAGTTAGGAAAACAGATCTACGTTTCAAGGTGAATTACATGAAGAAGAAAAACAAAACAATCCAACAAAATTAATAGTTAAAAATATTCTCCAGGAAAACCATAGGGAAATAAAAGGTCTATAATTATATATAAAAAGGATACATGGTGCACATGGAAATATTAACTCAGAATTGCCATCTTGAAGACATTAAAAATATTTAACTTTGGAGATAACAAATTCCCCTAGGACACCAATAAAATACAAAACAAAAAATAAGTCACTTACAAAGAAAAATAACTTTGAACTCAAAATTTTTATAGTTATATAGAAATAAAGATAACATTAAACAGCAGCTTCAAAAAAACTTGAGGAAAGAAAAGTGTGAGCCAAGAATCTTATTTCCAGCCAAGCTGTCTTTCAAGTATAATGGTTATAGAGACACAAATTTAAACATGTCAGAACTTGAGAATACTGTATCCAAAAGCCCTTCTGAGTAATTTACAAAAGGTTGAATATCATCCAACTAAGAGTTGACTAGTAAAATTTTGGCAAAAAAATTAAGATTACAATTGAATATATTTAATCATATTTATAATGGAGACAAGGGTGGAAGAATAGAATGTAATTATTATCTGTTCTGAATTAAAAAGTAATAATGCTACAAAAAGGAAAACAGGAAGATAATGAAGAAATGAGAATACACTCAGCAATGGTTACATAAATGATAGGTGTAGTCAGTGAGTAGATTGTAAACTGCTAAGTCAAAGAGAGGAGACCTAATTAAGGGAAAAGTGGACCAAAGACATTATTAAAGGTATTGTCAAAAAGGTACCCTCTAGAAGAAAAACTGAAATCTTTACAAATAACAACAAAGAAAAATAGAAAAGAAGAAAATAAAACAGAACACATGCAGAGAGGGAAAAGAATATATAAAATATTATACCCAGTTAAGAACAAACATATTAACCATATTCATAAGTAGAAATCAACTTAACTTGTGTATTAAAAGAAATAACATTTTACATTGCCTTCCAACCAAAATATAATTCTATGTTTTAGGTAAAGATAGACTAAAAATAAAGATATTCAATAAGACTGAAACCACGGGGGTGGACAAATGAATATGAGACAAATGTATAACAAAATGAAACCAATTGGAAACAGGTGTTTTAATCTTAATGCAAGTTGAGGTGGAATCCAGTTAAAAAGTATTACAATTTACAGTGACAAACACCTTAAAATATTATAGGCCAAAATGTACGATGATGATATAGTTATGAGTACTAGTGCAGCAAATACAGCAGTTTTTACATAGAGCAGAAGACATATAAGGTATAAGGAGAAATAAGTAGAAACACATAATCAAATATTTTGGCCTTCGACACACTATGCTTAGTCCAAGATAGGCTAACAAAGAATGAATAAAGATATAGAAGATATAAGTAACAGAATCAATAAGGTAGATTTTATTGTGATGTTTGTGTTGGTGTGTGTTTACATACAAATTTTACATGCATATAATACAGAATACAGCTTCCTCTCAAGCACTAGTTTCTCTTCACAAAAATTGATTATATATTCAGTATGAAATAATACCTCATTAATTTCCTTAAAGTAGAAATAATGGTAACAACATTCTTCAATCACAGTATAACAAAACTGGAATTAACCATGAGAAAAAAATGGCCCTTTCATCTGTGAGGAAAAATCTCTGTTATACAAATGTAGGGGAAAAGATAAAACAGAAATAAAATTTGTAAATAAAAATAGTAAAATTTCCAAAAAATAAAAATAACCAACCAAGGAGATAAAATAAAACACAAAACAAGTCCAAATTTCAAAATTAGTAAGAGAAAAATAAAGCAAGTAAATACAAGGTTTTAAGAAAAAAGTGTAAGTACAGGATTAGTGAAAGGGAAAACAGGAAAAAACATAATTAATAAATCAATAGACTGATTTTTTCAGGAAAAAAAACAGAAGACAAACATTAGCTAATTTAGTAAAGAAAGAAAATGAAAAAGTACAAATTTACAAATCGAATAGGAAAATAACCACTGAAACAAAAAAAATTAGAAAAATCAAGAAAGGTTACTTTGTATAAGTCCATACAAATATATGTGAAAGCCTAGATGAAGGAAAAATAACCAGTAAAAATAAAAATAATCAAATTTTACTAGAAGAGAGATAGAATTTTTAAATCAAGCTATTTCCATAAAGAAATTAAGAAGATTTTAAAAAGGAACTCTACTTGAAATAGCACCATATTTAGTTCCTTTCATAGAGGAGTTCTTACCGCATTGTAGAGACTAGATAATCATAATTATAACGCTACATACATTTTTCCATGCCAAAAAGGAAATCTTCTTTCTAATTCTTTTAATGAATCATACATAATTTTAATATATACGTTGAAAATAATAACACTAAGAACATAGATGTAAAATTATAAATAAAACATTAGCGAGTAAAATTCTGTACCACATTCAAAACATAATAAATACACTATAAACCAGTAACATTTATTCTGAGAATGCAAGAATAGTTCAATATGAGTATGCGCATTTATGTACCCCAATCCTCAAGCTGAGAACATGTTTAATGGGTAAATATTTATTTGCATTCCCAGTGGTCCCATTGGTTCCTGAAGAGGACTGGCTGCATAGGTATGCATCCAGTGCTGTCACACAGCTATTCATGCTTAAAAGGCACCCTCACTTAATGCTTTTGAAGCCATCTTGAAACTCTTAATCATTTTCTAACAAGGAATTATTGTTAAATAATTTATTGCACATTAGACATAAACAGATCTTGGCTCTGTCACTAATTATCCATTTATCTTTGGGTAAGTCACTTAACCTCTCTGTGTCATGATGTTGTGCCACACTATGGTGGAGATGAAGATGGTATGTCACAATACCAGGCAAATAGTGCCATATTAAGTAATAGATACATGATAATAATTATCATGCTGTTAAGACTGTAGTGGCAATCGTAGTTATTGTTGTGGTTATTTTTTCCCTAGGTGTAGTAGTATTGGCCAAAAAGAGGGAGTAGGCAACTCTGATTTGAGTGTCAGCGATTGCTTCGTAATGAAATAAATCCTGTAGCTGAGTCTTGACAGCTGAGCCCAATCAGCCATGAAGAAGAAAGGCATTCAAGATAAAGGAAACAGCAAATACAAAGGCACCGAGGGAGGCTTACAATCAGAGGGGAATCTATGGGAGGAAGCATGGTAGCCAGGAGCACGGGCTTAGATGGATTTAGGTTAGAATCTCACCTTCACCAGCTGCATGACCTTGAAATTACCTTTGCTCTCTGTGCTTTAGTTTTTACTCATCTTTAAATAGAGATGATAATATATGGTACCTACCTCATAGAGTTATTTTGAGAATGAAATGAGTTTACATACGTCAAGTACAGAGAAAAGCACCTAGCAAATTAGAAATGCCAAATATGATATATCATTATCCACGAAAATCTGAGTCTTGCAAAAGATTTAAAAGAATTATTCAAGGACCAGTTCACACTCGGATTAGTCCCCCACGCTGAAGTCCCTGAATGTGATCATACAGGCAAAGCAAGACAACTAAAGTGTTTATGCACAATTATGACATGATCTGACCTGCCTTGTAGAAAACTGCTATGGCCGCATTTAGAGACCTGAAGAATGGTAGAAGAAAAGTTGACTTCTAGTTGCTGTTGCTTGCCCTGCTGGCGCACGTGACAAAAACAATTTTAGTGTAAGCAGTAGTCAACATTGAGCAGAAAATTCTCAGCTCAAGAAAGTGCCTTCTGGCCACAGCATCTGTCCCGAGAGGCACCCTGATGGAGGCTCAGCCATAATTCACATCAAAAACACTGCGTACACCATGCACCCAAGAAAGAGTCAAACATGTTCTTGATTGCCAGCCCTTGTACTATCTTTTCCAAATCAACTTCAGGCTCCTAGAGGCAGAGTTAATCTCCTGCTGAGAGCTTTAACACTTCCAGTCCCGTGATATCCAGTGTGGTGTCCTCACCATTTGCTAAAGTTGCCAGAGGATCCTTGGATTCAGGCCTGTCAGACTCATTGTCACTCACAGCAGATGTAATGACATCCAATCAACAATGTTTATTGAGCACCCACTGTGCCTTAGAGCACAGAATTGAAGCTACAAAAAACCAGCACAGCAAAGCAAGCAATGGGAGAAGGTAGTGATCCTTGTGTCCCGTCTGACATCCCTGCCAATAGCATGAGTTCTTCCAGGTCATTAAGGATTATTCGATACAACTAAATATGTGAATCACAGGCTACAGCTCTGCCAATTTCTAAGGTGTCTGACAGTTAGGAATTCGCCAGGCATTGGATAATTCTAAGAGAGAATACTGAATTCTCTTTGTGAGTCAAAGTGTCTGAGAATTCATTATCCATAATCAATTATCTCTGGATTTCAATTTGATTTATGTATTTATTGGAGCCTATTTTCATTAGCAACAACTATTTAAAATAGTGAGAAAGAAATTTTTGAGTATTATATTACATTTAAAGACTTTCCATAGAATCAATGCTAAATTGTTGTTTTCCTTCAGCAATTTGAGAGGTTTTGTTTTGTGAAGATAAACCATTTCTAACTATTACAGAGGGGAAAAAAACATGATGCATACAATAAGACTGTATTTTACAAGTTTATTTCTCTCTAATTTATCCTGGCACCTTCATTCCATTTTTTAAGATACTCTTGGGGGAAAAAAATCATGAACATTTAAGACCAAACTTCTTAGTCATGAATAGAAATATAATGATCATTTTTTGATTTTTTTCCTGAGTATACAAAAACCATTTTACGTGATACCATTATCTCACTGTCAATCATAAGTAACGTGGGTGGTTACCTTCTGCATTTCAAGGTTTTTTTTTTTTCTTTCTGCAAAGTGTAATTCTCCACAGCCATTCCATAATTATATTTACAAAAATAGACGAAGGACCTTGCTACAGATCTCAAATTCGTCCAAAAATTGAGATTGAACGGGATGTCAGATTGTTCAGCTCTTCTGAAAGAAAAACATTCTGGAGATCCAGTTTGTGTGACAACAACATGCATTTAACAAAACAAAAAATAATCAATTCCACGCCAGTGACGAGACAGGAGGTGATTCAGCTAGCTGGCTGGCAGTAAAGGTTGTTTAGCAGGTTTCACATCCTAATTGGGTGTCCAGCTTGCTAAGTAGCAGCTGGTCTTTAATTAGTTGAAAAATTATTACCACTAAGAGTTGCTTTAAAAAGAAAAAGAACAAAATAATTAAAATGTTAAAATCCATATGGTGGGTGCTCATCCTCACTTGTCAATAGCTGTTTTCCTTCTTTATCACTAATAAGTTTAAAAATATTCCTAAGCCACTTACTTCTTAAAGTGTAACTCATGTAAATGTAAAATCCCCAAAGACTCCCAGAATGGCATTGCAAAATAATAGCTGCTCATCATTTAATAATTCTTTTTGACTATGAATTATCTCCAACACCCACCCCCTGCCAAAGTTGAATATGTGATTAGTAAGGGAATCTTAGAACAATTCTCATAGTTAAAGGGACTAGTACATTTTCTGACCTGATTCGTTATAAACTATAATGACACTGGAGAAAATATCAGTACCTTACAGATGACAGGAAGATGTCTTTTGCACACAGATTCCTTTCAAGGACTAGCAGAAAGTTAATTTTGCCTGTAATAACAGAAAACCCACATTTGGTATAATATTGTAATTATAATTCTATCCTATTTAAATATAAAGTTTTGTAAAAATATAATATATAGTATTTAGAGATAAATTAGCCTACATATTGAATAGGTTGTGAAATTCTGCATTTATTATACACATATTACAATCTTCCTACCTCCCATATTGACAAATTAGTTTTCTTAGACCAGCTGCTTTTAAAAAATATTTTACTTTTAAATATTTGTTTATTTTAGAGTTGAGTGGTAGTACAGTAGAAAGTGTATGAATTTGGTGCTAGTACAACTGGATTCAAGTTTTAGCTCACTCTTTTATGAACCTAATGTACTGTAAAACATCTTTGGTTGTATTATTCCTTCTACAATATAAGAATAATAAAATCTAACTTACAAGATTATTGTCAGCTGAACAAAGTACCTAGCATTGTTTGTGGAATGTGTCAATGACTTATGCATTCCAATATTTTCTTTTCTTACACTTATTTCAGTAGACATGTTATGCATTTCAGTTTTCTAGAAAAATAAATATTCGGTATACCATATGCTCTTATGATACAGTATCAGTGACATATGCTTTATACAGGTATGCAATGTCATTTTGAATAAACATATATATTCATAAATCGTTGTGACTTGATCAACTTTTGGAAGGTGAAGATCATCTGATTTCCATGCTATTCACCCTATAGTTGCTAGAGATAATGAGACTGATTTGGATGGAAACTCCGATATGAAGTTTACCTTTCATCCTTCTGAAATTTCTAACTCACATGAAGAAAAGAGTTACTATGCAGGTATCCAAGTACAAGTTTTAAGGTTCACCCAACCCTATGATCCCATGTGGTTGCTTGTAGGGAAATATGCCTGTCTCTCCTAACAGAATCACAAACGTCATTTTTTTTTTTTATTGATTAAATTGGAAATCATCATTCTCAGTAAACTATCGCAAGAACAAAAAACAAACGTCATTTTTTAAAATCTTTAAATTCTTCTTCAAACCACTTCTGTTCTTTATTTTAATGTGCACTCTTCAAGTTTATTACAGGACAATAAAATGAATAATTTCCAATTAAGTTTCGCATCAGCATTCATGCCCACTTTCCCGCTTGCTTTTCAGCACTGTCTAAGGTCTCTGCCCATGAAATCTCTCCATTATTATGTCCTGCATGTTGTCGAGTTCACTGCTGAAATTCAATAAATATCAAATTATCATATTCATTCAATGGCAATTTGGAAAAACACTAACATGTGGTACAGTAAGATGCAAATCAGGCAGTATAGATTAATAGCAAACATTTGGTTGACATCTCTAATCTCACATGGATTGAAACTAAAACTTTATTGCACTTCTCTGTGGTCTGCCATACTGCCAGCTGCCTTTCCTACGGATGTTCCCAACATATGAAAGGGAGTCTGAGCATTAACCCCCTGTTGCATACCAACAAGATGAAGATGATCATGCAATAATTTGCTCCCTTTTCAACTGAAGACCTAACTGTTGATATGACATGATGGAAAACCTCATTGTTATACATTGTTACAAATGTCTGTAATTACTTCTGCTATACAAGCAAATGATTCATCTCGTCCATTCCATCACACTCAAAGGGGACCCAAGTGACATTTTGTTTTCCTCTGTCTTTGGTTTTCCCCAACTCATAGCAAGTGCCGAACTCTTTGGCTGAATCACAGGCAGCCTAGTTAGGACATTTAAAGTTTTATCATATCTTGTCTGTGGGGTGATAGTGACTGCTTTTGAGTGGGTTAAGGACAAGATATAAACAATAATGGAGAATGCCTTGGTAGCTATGTCCTGAATTGACTGATGACAAGGAGAGACTGGCAACACTGCATGGGACTTTATGATAAACACAAATCCAAAAAATTCAGAGAAAGGATGCCTATCTCAGAGATTTTCATATAGTTTCTTGGATTTTCTTCTCCATATATTATTCTCTGATGTTACCTGAAGACACCAATAGTATAGGGAACTCACAGGTTCTAAGTTTTCTCTTTTTACAACCTTGAAATGTAATACAATATGCCAAATCTCTGTTATCCTTGTTCACTGATCAAAATGAAATTTTGGAGGGGTTATCCGTTCCTCCTTCTGAACCCTTTAGTCTGAAGATAGTATTTTTTCTTAAACTTAAACTCTTACTTTTCCTATCACCACTTCTCTATCATGCACTCTGGAATGTGACTCTTCTCTGAGGATAATGCTTTCTGTGACTTTCTTGAGAAAAGACTCTTCTAGAAACTGTTTTGTGATGTGTAGTCAATGGCCTTGTAACCTCTATGTTTAATCTAAATGATTACTTCTTCACCTTCATGTAAATGTAATTGCTTTTTTGCATCAGCCTTAATACCTCTCCAGGCTGCCATCCTGTGAGTGCCTGCTCACTCCCCGCTCGCTGAAAGCATAAGTATCTGGCTTCCAGTCTTTCTTTTCCTGCCAAGTCCTGCCGTTATGTTGGGTAAGATTTACCCAACATCTTCATCTCTTAGTTTTTAATCTCTTTATGTCAAATTATCTTTTCTTCCACTTCATAACAGCCACCTACATGTATGGCTGTGATCCTTAAACATAAGTGTAGCTGGAATTTCCCCACCTCTTAAATTAACAAAATAATTGTAATCCCAATTGCAGAGAGCAGTTTAGTCTCCTTCCTAATCTACCTCTCCACTATAGTCATGCATCACATAATTATGTTTCAGTCAATGATGGACTGCATATACTACGATGGTCCCATGAGACCATATTACATATTTTTGCTGAACCATTTCTATGTTTACGTAGGTTTAGATACACAAACACTTACGGTTGTGCTACTGTTGCCTACACTATTCAGTGCAGTACCATGCTGTGAAGGTGTGTGGCCTGGGAGAAATAGGCTATACTATATAGCCTAGGTGTAGTGATCTACAACATCTAGGTTTGTTTAAATGTACTCTGATGTTCACACAACAAAACTGTATAATGACTCATTTCTCAAAGTGTATCTCCATCATTAGATGATGTATCATTAGATATTTATGACATCAACTCATAAACTCATTGGCATGCTCACCAATGGTTCTCTTATTTTTCTCTATCTACTTGAAATCACCAATTTTAGTTTCTTGTTCAATGTATCACATATCCTATATTAGGCTGTTCTTGCATTGCTATTAAAAAATACCTGAGACTCGACAATTTTTAAGAAAATAGGTTGAATTGGCTTATGGTTCTGCAGCCTATACAGGAAGCCTAGCGGCATCCACTTCTTGGGAGCCCTCTGGAAGCTTACAATCATGGCAGAAGGTGAATTGGACCTTTCATGTCATATGGTAAAATCAGGAGTGAAGGAGGCAGAGGTGCCACACAATTTTCAATGACCAGATCTTGTGATAACTCATTTGCTATTGTGATAACAGTACCAAGATGATGGTACCAAACCATTCATGAGAAATCTGCTCCCGTGATTCAATCACCTCCCACCAGGCCCCACCTCCAACAGAGGGGATTACAATTGAACATGAGATTTGAATGGGGGACGAAGATCCAAATCATATTATATCCTATGATTTTTTTAAAAAATTATGCTTTATTTTTAGTACACTTAACACTCTTGCCATGAACCTTCTATTTCACTTGATTGAAAAACAAAAAACACTGTTGACTTTATTTGACTGCTTGCAACTCATATGCACCTGGATGATGAAATCAGTACCAGTATAACTTTATGTACATTTATCTCCTTTCCGAATAGCTGCATAAGCACAATTCACAGGTACCTCTAACCTATCATTTCCAAGGATACGTATCATCTTTCCTTCTTAACTGTTTCTTCTCATTTTTCTGATCTAATTGAATCACATGTACATTCACCCAGTTTTTTAAACATCGGAAACTCTCCCTTTCCTTCTTGCAATCCATCTAATTAGTAATTAAGTTTTGTATATACCATCTTGTAAAAAGTTCTTGAATCATTCACTATTCCAAACTTTGTTAGCACTACCAAGGTCTAGGTCACCATTATATCTAACTTGAATGTCACAGCCACTTATTGATCTTCATGCCTTAGATATCATCTCCATCCAGGCATGCAACCAAAGGTGAACTTTCAAAAATCCAATTTCCATCACCCACTCTGCAGTCTAACCAGCAGTCTCGACTTATCCACTGTTTCACTTTCTGTGGTTTCAGTTTTCTGCAGTCAACCATGGCCTGAAAATATTTCATGGAATGATGCAGAAATAAACAAATCATAACTTTTAAATTGTGCATCATTCTGAGTAGGGTGATGAAATCTCATGCCATCCACTCCATCCCTCCCATCCCAGCACCCATTCTGCTTCTCAACGTGAATTATTCCCTTACCCAGTGTTTCTGTGCTACATGTGCTAACCTGCCCATTAGTTGCTTAGTAGCCATCTCAGTTATCAGCTTGATTTACTTTTTTTAGGTGGGGGCGGGGGCCTTGTTTTGCTCTTTTCATCCAGGATGGAGTGCAATGGCACAATCTCAGCTTACTGCAACCTCTGCCTCCCGAGTTCAAGCAATTCTCCTGCCTCAGCCTCCTGAGTAGCTGGGATTACAGCCATCCACCAACACACCTGGCTAATTTTTGTATTTTTAATAGAGGCGGGGTTTCACCATGTTGACCAGGCTGGTTTTGAACTCCTGACAGCAGCTGATCTGCCCGCCTTGGCCTCCCAAATTGCTGGGCTTACAGGCATGAGCTGCCGCACCCTGTCTGATTGTCGTGGTATTATAATAACAGTGTTTGTGTTTAAGCCACCCTTATTTTACCTAGCAATGGCCTTCAAATACAAGAATAGTGATGCTGGCATATAGATATTGTTATTCATCTCTTACTATGCCTAAACTATAAATTCAACTCTGTTATGGGTATGTATTTACAGGGAAAAAAACATAGTATATATAGGGTTCAGCACTATCTGAGGTTTCAGACATCCACTGAGGGTCTTGGAAGATAGCTCTCTTGCATAAGGAGAGACTACTCTCTCCTACTAAGTTTGTCATGGGACTTAAGGAGAAACTATAACCTGTTCCTATATCTTATAACACCCAGTGACACCTTTTCCCTCCCTCTTTATAACCTATTTCTCACCACTCCTACCTTCACACTCTATAATTCAGTTCTTCATATACTATCTCATCTCATACCTTTTGTATTGGCCCTTTGATCTACCTTTGACTGTCTTCTTTCTTCTTTTCACCTAACACCTACACGTCATTCTTGTTGTGCAGGACCCAGGAAGCCTTTCCCTGGGTCCACCCTTATGTATATACATATACATACACACAAAGACACATCTACAGTATAAGATGAGGAGAATTGTATCCGATATTGTTCCAGGTCAATCTTCCATCATCGCGAGTATCACAATTCCTAAAATTGTTTGTAAGTTTTCTATTGTCTTTGTTAAACCAAAAGCTCTGTGAGATTTGAACTATGCCTGCTTTGTTTGCCATGTAACTTTGAGCTCCTAGTACATTGAAAAAACTGAGCCTTAATACATTAAAAGGGTTTATTTCAACGGAATAATAATGTGTGATATCCAACCATTAACAGTATATGATACATCAGCAAAATGCCGCTGTGCAGGAACAGCATCCCTTGAGTGATTGTGGTCTTCCTTGTAACTTCACTACTTATTCTACTACTGAACCAAGCATAATTAAAGATGAAAACAAGTGAACAGTATTATGATAAAGGTAACTTTCTTTTATGACAATTTTTAAAAGATGTATTTTAAATATATATGCAAAGTATATTAAATCTTTCTATATTAGTTAGGACATAAATTCAACAGCTGTTATCAGAAATCGCCAAATGGTTTCCTAAAAGACAGAATTTATTTCTCTTACCCCAAATTCCAAGCTGCTCTCCTCTGCCTATATGCCATTTTTCTTTAGCTTGGCCCTCCCTAGGATGTTGACCTCATCCACATTGTTCAAAAAGATTCAACCCTATCTACCTTCAAGACAACAGGAAGGTGGAAAGAGAAAAACAGAAATCCTACCAATTATTTTCCAGAGTACATGCTAAAAGTTGCTCATCTCACTTCTGTTTATATGTGAATGACCAGGACTTAGTCACTTAGCCACATTTAGCTGCACAGGAGATTGATAAATATGGCCTTTATTTTAGGAAGTATATGCTCAGCTAATGTTCTATTTAGATGGAAGGTGGGAAAAGTTGACGATGGGAGAAAATAATCAGTCTTACTCATATTTGCATGAATATAAGTGTTCACACAATTTATTTGCTAAATACCTCAGATCAGATCATTATGTGGTGGTGCTCTCATTTATAATGTAGTTCTGGAGGTATGTATTAACTTCATGATTTTTAGGCAGTTCTAATAAACATACATTTTACATTTCAGCTGAGTTTTTTTTTTTTTTTTTGAGATATTGAGTGAGTTGTCTCTCATATTCTGTGAAGTATGGTGGTTGCAACAGTTCTACATTGCTGTTGGTCAAGTGCAGAGCCAGGTGCTTTGTAACAAATACCAAATATCGGAGCAAGTGGGTTGGGTTGACAATTTCTCATAGAATATTGAGAACCCTAACGAACACCCAATTCAGCGTAGACCATTCCAACTCTTGAAACTCATGACCTCAGTCATGGTGCTCCCCAATAACTTTTGGGTCTTCTCTAACATAGGGACAAATAAGTGGTGAAGGCCCTGACATGACACACTTCATGGCCACAATAATTTAGACTTAAAACATTTTAAACTTTGTATACTTTAAGTCACACAGTGAAAAACTAAATAATTTTATTATAAACTTGAAATTGTATACATTTCATATGTCATAAAAGTACAGTAAATACATTCAACACAATTTATGTACAATCAAAATGGACTTTATCATAGATACTATAATAGAAGAATTCAAATAATCATACATGATTTTTGTTATTATTTCTTCCTCTACCCCCAAATATCTTATTATTTCCAGTCACTGTCATCTCTTGCCTCTTCACCAGTCTTCCTGCTTCCACCCTTTCTTCTTGTCACTCTGTTTCACTGCTCAGAAATCCCCTCAGCATAATAGCCAAAGTATACACACAAAGGTCTCTACAAAGTGTCTCGCAAGGTTTTGGTATGAACCCTTACCACTCTCTGACATCTTGCTACATTCTTCCTTCTCTCACTACACTGCAGTCATGAGATTTACTGTCCCAGGGGTATAGGAAACACATTTCTCCCCAAGACCATTGCACATTCTGTTTCTTCTGCCTGGAAGATTCCACAGAAAGCTTTTTTTTTTTTTTTTTTTTTTTACCACTTTCTTAGGTCTTTGCTTAAATGTTGGTGCATAAAGTGCACAGTCTCTGATCACCATTTTTTGTAAAAGAGTAACTCCTCCCATCTCCCTTTCTCTCTTATTCTCCTTATCCTGGTGTGTTTTTCTCTGTTTCTCATCATGACCTGACATACAGAATGGTTTAATTGTTTTCTGTCTCTTCCCCACAGTATGTAAGATGCATGAAGGAAAGAACTTAGTTTTTTGTTCAGTGCTGTCTCCTTAATGCCAAGAAAAGTGATTGGCATACAGGAGGCTCTCTACATTTATTAAATACATAAGTGAATGAGTCTATCTCATTTAAAATGTGTTAACATTAATTATTTAATAAGAAATAAATATCCATTTTTCATTTTTATCTTGACATCAAATTGAATATATATATATTTGAATATGAGTTTCATGAAAATTATGTGTATATATATATATTTAAGTTTTCAACTGTCTCTTTATGTGCTGGGCTTCAGGATTTTCAGGCTTGTGCAATTTCAAATAGCATATGGTAAAACAAATGAGCACGGATTTGACACAATCTGACCTTTAAATGACAATGAGAGTGAAAGGGCAGAATGAATGTGGCCTTGTCAGACTTACGAGAATAGAAAATTTCTAGCAGCCCCAGGAAGGTCAAAAAAAGTGTACCATAAATGGAATGAGGCTCCACCTGAAAGTTTTTCATTGAATAAGGGTGACAGACAGAGGTCTCTCAAAGAATATACAATGAGGAGCATCCAAGTCATTCAAATTGAAGAATGGCCAAGAGGTTGTGTGATTTATCTCACGTTTTCAAGCGAGGCATGTTCATTATGGAGAAATAATATATTTTTAACGTAACGCATGATCATGGTATAAAAATTAAAAGAGTATCAAAAAGTATAAAGTGCAAAGTCTTTTTTACCTGATGTACCCTTTAACTCTCTGATTCCCTTCCTCAAAGATACCCATTGGTACTAATTAGTTTTATAAATTTCTGAAGATATTCTATGCAAACACAATCTGGATTATATTTCACTTAAAATTCTCTTAACTCTGAAAGATTTCAAGCACGCAAGAGCTATAAAGGATAATATAACAGACATCAATGTACATATCAAATAGATTTTATGAATAATAACATTTGTGCAAAATGCTTTAGATATATATTAAGAAGCAACACGTTAAACACAGTGGAAATCTCTACTGCTTTCATACTCTTCTATTCACAGAGGTAAACATTATCCTGAAGCTTATGTGCATTTTTCCCAGTATATTTTTTCATATTCAAATGTACATATACACCCATAATAATATATAGTATTATATGGCTTTTTAAGTTTAAATAAGTCCTATTATACTATACATATTCTTTTGTAACTTGTTTGTTCATTAGAGATTTTAATTTCCAAAATTAATACTTATGGACATATGCCTGCAGTTCATTCATTTCAACTAACTACTATATAGTTTTTGGCTTATGCATGTACTCTAATGTGTGTATCTACTTGGCAGACTTTAAATTGATTTCTCGTTTTTCCATTTACAGACAATGCTGTGATTTTCTCCTTAAACTTGCTTTCCTTTACACATATGCAATGTTTTTTTAGAGTTCTTCCATGGAAGCGGAATTGCTGGTTTGGAGGATATGTGCATATTTATTCCTGAGGTATATTGCCAAACGCTTCTTGGGATTTATCAAACATTTTACAACACTATCAATAATCTCTAAATATTTTCACATATTCTTGCCATTACTTGGATAGAGATTGAAAACATGGCCAGAGCATATTGTAGCTTCTCACTTCAAGAGGTAGAATCTATTTTCCATCTATTGAATTTGGCTTGCTTTGCTAATAACAAACTTTGACCAGTAGAATGTGGTGGAAATCACATTCTGTGAGTTCCATAGCCTATTCCATGAATTACCTTGCAGATTTTGTCTTCTCCTATTTGGAACCCATATACCATATGTGAAGAATCCCAGCCTACCTTGCTGGAGAAAGATATAACTTGTGAAGAAGAAAATGGATGTCACAGCCAACTGCCAGACATCTGAATAAGGTCACCTTGGATCACTGAGCCCCAGTCAAACCATCAGATAAACACAACTGCCTGAATGATCCCAAAGAAGAACAGAACTTCTTATCTGCGCATAGCCCAAATTGCTCATCCTCAGTACTGTGAGCAAGTGATAGTTGTTTAAAGCACTGAGTTTAGGGATGCTTGTTATGCAACATAAAATTACTCAATAAACTTGATGTTGTTAGACATTTAACTTTGCTATACTGTTCAGGATCTTACTACCTATGAACAGGTTATTCATCATTTATGTAAGCATTTTGAATATCTTTTATATCAGAGGAATGATTTCAGATATAAATCAATAGAATGAAATAAATATAGTATCCAAATAATAGTTTCTTAAATAAGAGGGAATAACTTCTCTTACATAACAAGAAATCTGGAAGTAAGCTGTTTTAAACATTGATTTGTGACTCAGTAACATCATGTCTTTATGTTAACATCTCTGTGTTTCCCCTAACACTTTTTTCATACTCAAAACTTTAACAGGTGCACATACCACATCTGCATACATTAAAAGCCTGGAGTGGCATGAAACAGAGCAATTTTCCTAGTGCACTATGGCCTATATGTTATAATAGGAAAACCTTTTTATTTCAAAGAAATCTTTCACACAGGGAGAGAGATGAGTCTCTCTTCCTCTTCTTACAAAGATACTAATTCCATCATGGGGCCCCATGCACATGACCTGATGTAAACTTAATTATTCCTAAGGGCTCTGCCTCCAAGTATCATCACTTTGGGAAGTTGGGGCTTAGGACTTCAACATATGAATTATGGGGAAACACAAACATTCAGTGTATAACAGATAGAGAATTAGGTATTTTATTTAAATAACATTTGTTACCTGGTTCTTGCTGACGTATAGAAAAGCTATTGAATTTCTGATTTTGGTATTATAATAGCAATTTGCTGAATTTGTTTATTTGCTTTAATAATTTATAGAATTGTATGAATTTTATACAGATAGTGATGTAAATTGTAATTAAGGACAACTGTGGCTCTTCTTTTCATTACCCCAATTTCTTTTCCTTGTTTTGTGGCACTATGAATAAAATATTGACTAGAAGAAGTGGTGGCAGTGGTTGCTACTTACATTTTCTTTCTTTCTTTCTTTCTTTCTTTCTTTCTTTCTTTCTTTCTTTCTTTCTTTCTTTCTCTCTTTCTTTCTTTCCTTCCTTCTCTTCTTTCTTTCTTTCTTTCTTTCTTTCTTTCTTTCTTTCTTTCTTTCTTTCTTTCTTTCTTTCTTTCTTTCTTTCGATAGGGTCTCACTTTGTCACCTAGGCTTGAGTGTAGTTGTACAATGTCAGCTCACTGCAGCTTCAACCTCCCTCGGCTCAAGATCCTTCCACCTCAGTCCCCCAAGTAGCTGGCACTACAGGCACTCACCACCATGCTCAGCTCATTTTTTGTAGTTTTGGTGGAGATGGGGTTTCACCATGTTGCCCAGGCTGGCTTTGAACTCCTGGGCTCAAGCGATCTGCCTGCCTCAGCCTCCCAAAGGATTACAGGCGTGAGCCACCGTGCTCAGCCAGTTGCTACTTAATTTTATTCAACAGGTTGAGTTCCTACTGTTCTTGATGAGAAATATGTTCTAACTTATTTATTTAATGTTTTTGATGTAACTGCTGTCTCTTTCACTCATTAAGAGTCTCTGTCTTTGATGATTCAGTGTGGATTCTGTCATATATATGTTTTTCCTATAATTACCTGTTATCAGAATTGGTGTTGTCCACCAATTATTGCCTTAAAATAATTGTATTATATTAAATCTCTGGGTAGGTTATTATTCTCTAATGTATGTTAACTCTCCTTCATATGAGGTCATTTCCTGCTATGATCTGTCATAGTTTCCTTAAATTCCACTTGCTCCCATCAGCAAATATACTAACCTATCTTGATCTAAATCCATATACGCTACTTTCTTTCCTGTAATGTAAAATCTCACGTGCCCAAACACCCTGTATCCATAATTCTCTCTTTTCTTTCCATGCTCATGGTCTCTTCCTTTCTACTCTGTTATTTCAAGTGTCATTTAGGCATGGTAAAAATGTTGAAACCACATCATCACTCAACTAATTCCTCACCCTTTTTAGTAGATTCTTCTAGGGAGAGACATTTATACTAGCAGCAACTATTTATTATCCTCCTATTCTTTTGTGAGCTTATTCCAGAAAGGGTATTACGTCATTTAGTTAAACGGCAGTCATGTACACAGAGCTATAGAAGCCACCGTATAAAATTCTAAATTTTGATAAGTTCCTTGGTCTTTTTCTGGTCTTCCTACCTTTTTTCACTGGTCATAGACAAGGGCCACACTTTTTAAAGGAGAATGTTTTGTCTTCCTTAAAACCTAATGTTGATAATGCAACAAGAATAAACTTCATGGATAATAAAACTTCATTAGGCTACAAATATATTCAATATGTAACATACTCTACCTTTGTTAAGTCTTTACAAGAACAGTCTATATTTTGTTGCTTCAAAAGGCATTATATTTACAAAACTTTAGACTATAATTTTATTTGTATATATTTTAATGCATGTTACCTACATAAAGTTTGGTAAAGCAGGCAAGACAATGCCACCTTCTCATGATGATTTTACAGAGCTTGATACCATGAGTTCTTGAAAAATGTATGTCTTCCACAGGAAAGAGCCGAGGTCAGAATGAGAAACACATCCCCACAGGATTTCTGACCATCAGTAACATGAATTAGCTGGTGTGCACTCTGCTCTGTAACCCTGGAATCTCCTTTCTACTCGGAGGGAACCAGATGTACAGCATGAAGAAGTATGCCCTTTGGAAATGTAAATGAATACAGTTAAGAGGCTACACCGCCCTTTAAAGGAGTTCTTCTGATCTCTTAGGAGCTTTACATTTTGAAGAACATGGATGGATGAGAAACTTGATGTGGATTGTAAGTGATTTTGCTGTAGATTTTATAAAGTTATACAAATGTGCAGGACAAGCTATGCAGAAAATATGTCTGTCACTTTTACATTGAACTATACAGACCCACTTACATACATATTGATAAAGCAAAAGCACATTCAACACTAAGTAAAGTTGAAAAATAATCAGTATTATAAAGATATCAAAGAAGACAGGTGGCTGGTTGGAGTCTTTAAGAAAACATGTTAATCAAGGAAGAAATGGCATGTTTTCTACCAAAGCAAGTGTAATTTATTGACCTAAGGTCCAAGTTGCACCTGACAAGAATAAAATGTTTTAAAGTCATGAGACTAACACTTTTTGCTGAAGCAAAATTTTACATGTAGAGAGTTTCCAAATGAAAACCATAACATTTTCTAAAGAGCCTAGAAATCACAACTGACATATTATGAAGAATCGTAGACATTTTAATTTACACATTCTAAAAGTTTCAAATTAATAGTTCATTGGAAATTATTTAATAATGACATACCATGAAAGAAATGTTGAGGCCATTTCCTTTATGATCATTCCACAATGCTTTAGATATTTTAGAATAATTGATAAATCTAACACATCCCTGCTTTAAATTGTGAAATAATAATGCATTATTATCATTAATAATTTTGAAAGTATTTTCACCCCCATTAACTTGATAAGGAACTATTCTAAAGCTGATATCCATATCTTTTTCCCTGTGAAGACAGCAATATAGCTCTCTTGTGTTTCACTTTCCCTAATTCCACTAATATGCTGTGTTTACAACCTTTTAAAACTGTGATATATACTTCATATTCAAAAGGGGCATGTAATTATATGTATGATTTAAAGAATAATGATAATATAAATGCCTATATGTAGAATTATCAATATAAGGAGGAGAATGAGGGTGCATTTGTAGGTGTTATGTGTTCTTCTCAAGCCATTGCATTCCCTTCCTGCCAGAAGTGACTAGTCATCACAGTCACTATCTCTAAACCATCAGTGTGCTCTGTGGGTGTTTCTAAGATTCTCTGGAAAAAGAGTTTGGTGATAAAATAAGGCTGGGAAACTGAAGATGTGAGCTAGACTTTCAGGCAGACTTTGTCTACTGTAGAATTTACAGGGCCTTAATATACTAATCAGAATTTAAATCTACATGCAATTTTATTTTTAAAACTCTACTTTATTTTATGAAACATATTTTACAAAATATTGTCCTAAGTGTTTTATCAAACATTTGTATAATTCATCATGAATTAAAGGTCAGACAAATACAGACGTTCCCTTATAAGACTTGAAAAACGTGTAATGGTGGTTGAGGTTTTACAGTAGATGAGCGAAATGATGCTTCAGTAACAAAACTAAAAATCTCAGTAGAATAAAAGAGTAGGGTTATTTCTCACTCACAAGACAAGTCCATCGTAGGTTTGGTAGGGGTTCTTTTCTGAGCAGTCTTCACTTTGAGCCACTCTTTCTTGGACATTGCTGGATCAAGACACTTTTGATCAGACACAAAACAAAAGACACAAGACACAATTGACCTTAAAACCTCAACTACCATTAAATGTTCTTCAAGTCTTATAAGGAAATGTCTGTATTTGTCTGACCTTTAGTTCATTATGAATTATACAAAAGTTTGATAAAATACTTGGGCAATATTTTGTAAAACATGTTTGACACAAGGCACCAAGATATATAACACAATTCATTTGGCAGAACTAGTCAAACTGCTCCGCCCACAAAAGCCGGCCAGGAAATGCTATCTTACCATATATCCCGCAAGTCAGAGAGCTGGAAATGTTTGGGGAAGAGGATTAATGATTATTCTTAGAGGCGAGGGGGAAGGCCATTAATCTATGTAAGGGGTTGAATTTGTGGGAAAGGCAAGAGGATTCATTAGGTCATTTGGTTTGAAAAAAGACTTAGGTCCCTCATGAATCTGATGAGGGAGCAGCAGGATGGCAACTGGGTGAGAGAATTGTTGTCTTTGATAAGCACAAATGTATCCAGTGCCTAAGAGGCTGGTGCTTGTATGTGAATCAGTGTCATTTCACATATGGAGGTAAAACTTGGACTGGGAAATGAGGCACTTGACACATCCATAAAATGTACAAATAGGCAGTAGATGGCTCCTTACTGGTCATAGGGGGTTGGTCAGGGTGACTCTGGAAAGCATGCTAATTCATAGTAGGACTAGACCGTTGTATAGAATTAGCAAGCTCATTTCTTTCTAGCCTTTCTTTATTTCTTTTCAATGATTTCAAATAGTATATATATGTAATATGTGATGTATATTTATTTATATTTTTTCTAAAAATGCTCACCTATATCAGTTATATATCATATACAATATATAAAATACAATATATAGCATGTTATATAACATATAATATTTAACACATGACAACATATAATTATATTTATTTATTTATAATGTTTTCTCTGAAAATACTCCCTGATTTCAGCTGTGCCTTTCACCAAAGGAGGAAATTACTGTTTGCCTTTGAATCAAAGGATGAAAAGAACTTTTGAGTACAGTATACAACTGAGGACCTATGTGATGTTAGCAACAAAAAAATTAACAGAAGGGAAAAACAAATCTCAAGGAAAAAGAGAAATTTAGTATGAAATAACCTTGAACATTTAGAAATTTTCCACTGATGATTCCACCCCCCTACCCCCCGCCAAAAAAAACAAGGAGCTTCTGAATTTTACTTCAACAAGAGAGAGGGACTTTCCTATATAGAATTGCCTTCTCCATCTGGGAAGAGTTCCTTTTTCATCCCCTGGCTTCTATCAGAACTGCATTGATGTTCTCAGTGAAATGAGAAGGTACCAACTGTTAAGATATTCCTTTAGAAAGTTTTGATGCTTTAAATAGACTTAATGGACTCTGTAACTTCCTTTTTGTCAACTTTTATTTTATAATCAGGGGATAAATATGCAGATCTGATACAAAGGTATATTGTGTGATGTTGAGGTTTGGAGTGAATCTGTCACCCAGGTAGTGAACATAGTATCCAATCCTTACCCTCTCCCTTTATCCCCCCTCTTGTATTGCCCAGTGTCTGTTGTCCCAATTTTTATGACCAGACCATGTATACCCAATGTTTATCTCCCACATGTAATAACAAGCATGATTTGGTTATCTGTTTCTGTGTTAGTTTGCCTATATGTTGGTGCAAAAGACATGAAATCATTCTTTTTTATCGCTGCATAGTATTCCATGGTGCATATGTACCACATTTTAAAAATACAATCTACTGTTCATGGACACCTGGGTAGATTCTATGTATTTGTTATTGTGAATAATGCTGTGATGAACATATTGTTCTTTTTGGTAGAACAATTTATTTTCCTTTGAGTATATACTCAGTAATGAGATTGCTGAGTCAAATGGTAGTTCAATTCATAGGGCTTGGAGAAATCTCCAAACTGCTCTCCACAGTGACTGAACTAGTTTACATTCTCAGCAGCAGTGTATGTGTTTCTTTTTTTCCAGAGCCTCACCAACATATGTTATTTCTTGACTTTTTAACAAAAGCCATTCTTGTTGGTTTGAGATGGTATCTCACTGTGGTATTGATTTGTATTTCTCTGATGATTAATGACAATTAATATTTTTTCATATGCTTGTTGGTTGTATGTATGTTTTCTTTTGAGAAGTGTCTGCTCTTGTCCTTTGCCCAATTTTGAATAAGGTTATTTGTATTTTACTTGTTGATTTGTTAAAGTTTCTTATAGATTCTGGATAATAGACCTTTGTTGGGTGCATAGTTTGCAAATATTTTCTCTCATTCTTTAGGTTATCTGTTTATTCCATTGATAGTTTCTCTTGCTATGCAGAAACTCTTTAATTACATCCTGTCATTAGCCAATTTTTGTTTTTGTTGTATAAATTTTTGTTTGAGGATTTGTCCATAAATTTTCTGCCGAGGCTGATACTGAGAAGGGTGCTTCCTAGGGTTTCTTCTAGGATTTTTATAGTTTGAGGTTTTACATTTAAGTCTTTAATCTATCTTAGGTTAATTTTTTGTGTATGGTGGTATGTAGGAATCCAGTGTAATACTTCTGCATATAGACATGCTAGCTATCCCAGGAGCATTTACTGAATAAGAAGTCATTTCCCCATTGCTTATTTTTGTCAAGTTTGTTGAAAATCAGATGGTTATAGGTATGTGGCTGTATTTCTGGGTTCTCTATTCTTTTCTTTTGGTCTATATGTGTGTTTTTGTACTAGTACCATGCTGTTTTGATTAGTGTAACCATATAGTATAGGCTGAAGTCAGGTAATGTGATGCCTCCAGATTTATTTTTTGCTTAGGATTACTTTGGCTATTTGGGCTCTTTTTGATTCCATACAAATTTTAGAATAGATTTTTTCTAATTTGTGAAAAAATGACATTAGTAATTTGATAGAAATAGCATTAAATCTGTAAATTGTTTTGGGCAGTACGGGTATTTTAGTGATGTTGATTCTTCCAACCCATAAGCTTGGGTCATTTTTCAATTTATTTGTGTTGTCTTTTATTACTTTCTTCAGTGTTTTGTAATTCTGCATGTAGAGATCCTTTACCTCTTTGGTTATCTGTATTTCTAGGCATTTCATTCTCTCTGTGGCAATTATGAAAGAGATTGCCTTCTTGATTTGGCTCTCAACTTGAAAGTTATTGGAATATAGAACTGCTACTGATTTTTGTACACTGATTTTGCATCCAGGAACTTTGATCTGCCACTTTACTCTAACCTGGCTGACAGAGCAAGACTGTCTCTGAAAAACAAAACAAAACAAAAAAGAAATGAAAGCATAGTATATTTATGATTAATAACATTTAATATCATTGAGATTCAATGTCAGTTGAAATTACCCATTTATGGGCGTATTGAAATATCTATGTAGATAGCCACTGAATTAGCCTAGGGCTCCTGTAACAAACATCTTCAAATTTGATGGCTTAAAAAGTGCTGAAACTGATTCTCTCATACTTCGCGGGGTAAGAAGTCCTAATTAAAGGTTCAGCAAGTCTTTGCTTTCTCCAAAGAATATAGGAAATATCTTTGCTTGCCTCTTCCAATTTCTGGTAGCTTCAAACAATTTTTGGCTTGAGATGACATAGCTTCAATCTCTGCCTCCATTTTACATGAACTTTCTTCTTCCTTCTCTCTCTGTCGTCTCTGTTTCATTTGTTTTTCTCATCCTTCTTATCAATGGATGTCTTCTTTGTTTTTAAGGAAACTTGTGTTTTGATTAAAGGCCCACCTGGATAATTTAGTATAATTTCAAGTTACTTTACTTAATTGCATCTACAAAGACTCTTCCCAAATAAAGTCATATTCACAGGTTCTAGGTGGAATCTAGAATATATTTCGGGGGCCACAATTCAACCCTTTACAAGTATCAAGCTAAATACATTTTACTTTGACATGGTTCCATCATGTTTAGATATTTTATTCAAATTGATACAGCTATAGTGCTAATTTTAGTTTTATGTAACTCTCTCTCTTTTTTTCCTTCTTTAGAGAGAAGGACTCCTTCTGTCACCCAGGCTGAGGTGCAATGGCCTGATCACAGTTCACTGCAGCCTTGAATTCTTAGACTCAAGCTACTCATCCACCTCAGCCTCCCAAGTAGCTGGGACTACAGGCTCACACCACCTCACCTGGGTACTTTCTCTCTTTTAAAAATTTTATTTGTTATCTTTTTCAATTTTAATGAAAATTTTATACATATATATGTAACCCATCAGTTAATATACTTTGCTTGTATATGTTATATAAAAGGTCACTTCCTCTTGAATTTGCAAAATAGTTGTTTGCTTAGCACGAATGCCAACAATATTTTTTTAAATTTAAAGATAGCCTACTCTCATATAGAGCAGATTTTTTTAATATATAAAAATAATTCCAAATTTTATTTTATTTTCTGTTGCAAAGGCAAATAATCTTGGAAGTCTCTTTTAAAAGTTAAATCAATGCCATAATATACTCAAATTGTCACAAAGAACAGTCTATTGTAACACCCTGTGATTTACTGATAGCAATGAAGAGTGTGGACTTTGGGGCCAGGAATCCTTGCTTCAATTATTAGTTCTACTACACACTAACCACACGATCTTAGGCTAATGTCTTAACCTCATTTCCTATCTGCGTAATTGCATAAGAATGCTATCAACTCATGAGTCAGTGCTCCTCAAGTGTTTATGACAGCGATAATGTATAATACAATAAGAACTCACCAAACGTCTAAGACACTATTTCTTAAAAATCAAGACAGTGAAAACTTCTTCCTTAGCTGTCCGTTTTTCTGCTACAGTAGGTTCAAAATTATTTTTCAGGTAGCCCTACCCCTGTATAAGCTATTCATCTGACCTCTCTCAGAGGAGCTGGAATAGTCCTCTCTTCAGAACATGTCCATGTTGTGGTCCTTGGATCCCCTAACCCTTCTCCCTTCTCATCTGTCAGTTAAGGCTTTGCCTTTAAATGCTAACATAGAGCTACATTTTAAGAGCCCATAATTCAATATGGAAACAAACTCCCTGGCACACTCTATTTCTTGAAAGATTATCAAAGAGAATCAACAATTGGAAGGAAGTGTTGCCGAGAAGCTAGTTGCATCAAATGGTTTCTCTACAGGAACTTTTGTAGAAATTGCACTTGCTTGTAATGCCACTGGTCTACCCTGAGAGACTTTTTAAGAAAAAAGAGATCCTAAACCTTTGAAGATATTCACTCCATTACACAGCATCTTCTTTTTGAGAACCCTTAGGACACAACTTTTTTTCTGATACTAATATTAGAAATACTGTCACTTTACTGTATTTGGTGTTTGTCTTAAGGGCTATGTGAAAGACATGATTTACTAGATTTTCTTCCCTGAGTTTTCTGTTAAACAGCTTAGAGGCAAAATTGTGGTCAGTTTATGGCAAATGTATAGAATTGTATAATATAAAATTTTGACTAGCCTCATTTGTGGGTGGATTTTCATGTTTTATCTTGTATTTGCTTACTTTTCTTACCTTACTCAATTTATTCTATTTAGGTGTATTGTACATTTCTTATAAAGCCACCTGAATTTGCTTTTGGAACAATGTGACTTAGTATTTAATAACTATGTCACTTATAGTGAAAATTATAAGCCTCTTCATAATTTTATAAAGTACCATGGTATGTAACTAATAAAAAAGTAATAATTAAAATATAAATGTTCTGTTGTTGAGACGAAGTTTAAGGTATATTGGGAAACAATGCAATTCAATTTTATAGGCTTTATCATACAACCAGTGAAATACACTTTTTGATTACATGTTAGTTTGGATTCTAAGAATTATTCATACAAAACATTTTAAACTGCTTGGAAATACAATAAAGGAAGAAAACTTAATGATATTTGGATTTTCTTTTCACAAAATTTTATTTCTTCAGAACATACAAATTGTTGCTGTACAGCTAAAGATTTTTCTATACATTTCTTAGAAATAAAATTATAAATGTCAAATGGCAATAATATACAAGGATAAGGTAAATCAAACATAATTTATTAGGGAAATTGATTTTTTATCAAGTGTTTCTCTTCAATTAAATTTCACTGTGCCAAATTTAGGGTTAATATCACATGAAATATAATTTGTATGTTAATAGGAATATTTTAAGAAAAAATATGAGAGTATAGAGTTATGTGTCTTTTCTTATCCATTTTGACAAAATGCTAAACTGAGAAACTCAAGGAAATATGCTTCCTCAGAACCATAATTATATAAAGTGACTATCATAGTCTTCCTCCATAAACTGTGGATAAGTATTAATTTTAAAAGATGACATGACAAGTGAATCATAAGCAAAAAAGGTAGTTCCTTGTGTTGACATACATTTGTCAAAAGAAATTATCTTTCTTTTAGATCGTGCTCTTTGAGTACTCAGAAATGACAAGCATTTGTTACATATGTTCAGCTGACAATGAGTCAGTGTCACATGAAAGACAAGTAAAAAAATTGGATTAATTTTGTTATAAAGAGATTTACATTTTGCTATTTCTAACATGTCTTTTGGAGATTGATGAATAAGAAATGAGATAAGAGAGCCCTTCAGAAACTACTATTGCTGAATATGGTAGAAAAATTGCTCTTGCTAGAAGATGTATCAAGTTTTTGTCAGGTAAAGCTAGGGAAAATTCTCTTGTGTTATCAACTAATCTTACCAGAGAGGGAATATTATGCAAGATGAATGACATTGCTTTCTCCCTCTCTCAGAAGTCAGGCGGTTGTGCACTATGCCAATCTAACAAGATTTCTGCACCTTCTTTTTATTTATTTACCAGCTTAGCTGTGAGTCTAAAATATTATCTGACATTTCTCATCCACTATGCTTCTTCTGGAAGTTTTTCACCATTTTAGATTAATTATTAAATATTTAATGACAACAATAAAACAATCTATTGAAGTTATTTGCTTTGCTAATTTTTTTTCATTTTTTTCCTGATTGAAATATCTAACAGTGAGTAGAAGATAACATGTGAATTCAAGGATTATGTATTCTGTTACTTTACCTACTCAAAATCCAAAGCACACAACATGCTTTCTCATAGAAGAGACCTTGTCTATGTCATTCATTGCCCAGGATTGTTGGTGCTCACTAAATGTGTGTTTAATGAATAAATATAATTCCTAATTCTTTGAAGTACATACTCTTCTGTTAACCATAATCTTATTTTTTCTTCAATAGCCTTTATTGTTAGTGTTTACAATAGCACAAAATCACAAAACTCTAATTCTGTTTAATATTAATATGCTATGGATTTCATTAGTGTTTTGCTGAGCACAACACTTTCAATAAAAATCAACTTGGTGTGAAAACTCATTCCAAGAAAAACATTTAAGAAGCCTAGACTTAAGTATACCAGAGTAAACAAACATTAGAAAGAAAATGCCCATTGCAAACAGCCTATTTTTCAATCCCCATAGGAGGCATTTAGTGAAGTATTTCAGTGTCTTGACATAACGTTTGAGAACATTTGGAACATTTGGAAGATCTTTGGATACTTTTTCTTTTTTTTTTTTTTTTTTTTTTGAGACGGAGTCTCACTCTGTCGCCCAGGCTGGAGTGCACTGGTGCAATCTAGGCTCACCGCCCCCCAGGTTCAAGCGATTCTCCCGCCTCTGCGTCCCAAGTAGCTGGGATTACAGGTGCCCACTACCTTACCTGGCTAATTTTTTGTAGTTTTAGTAGAGACAGTGTTTCACTTGTTGGCCAGGCTGGTCTCAAACTCCTGACCTCCGTTGATCCGCCCACTTCAGCCTCCGGAAGTGCTGGGATTACAAGCATGAGCCACCGCGCCCGACGGATCTTTGCATACTTGTAATAGCTGATCCGATAGTGGTACCTCAGGGGGGAAGAAAAGATGCATGCTTCAAGCACCTTTGACTGTTAAAACAGATGAAAATGATTACAGTAAGTCATGTCATTCATTACCTAAAACCCTAAATGGCATCTTTTTTTCCACATAGAATAGAATTCATGTTCCTTATCCTGGCCTGCAAAGCTTTCTGCACAGTCACCTGCCCTCAGTTCGCCTTCCACTTAGTCCTCATTGTAAAGCTCCCTCCTTTAGACAAACTCTGTTTGCTACAATGGGCCTCTTTGTAGTCCTCTAACGTTCTGAGTTCCTTTGAAGGAGCTGTTCTCCCTGCCTGTAATAACCTGCCTTAAGATTCTTTACCTAGTTTGCTACTTTTGATATTCAATTTTCAGTTTGAATGTTACTTTTTCAGCAAATCGCTTTTTGATCGTTCAATCTAAAGTAGACTTTCAATCCCTTTCCATTACATCAGCCTGTTGAATTTTTTTTTTTTTTGTCAATCCACATATGAACTACCTGATATATACATTCCTGTTTATTGCTTATCTCCTACTATTACAACATATGCTTTCTCATAGCAGAGACCTTGTCTGTCATTCATTGCCCAGCATATTGCTGGTGCTCACTAAATATATGTTTAATGAATAACTATAATCCCTAAATTATAAAAAGATAGCTATCTTGATATTATATAATTTGTGTAATAGGATCTCACTGTGTCTCTTTTAAATGATCAGTTGGGTTTATGGATAGAATTGTTGAAATCTCGGCCGGGCGCAGTGGCTCACGCCTGTAATCCCAGCACTTTGGGAGGCCGAGGCGGGTGGATCATGAGGTCAGGAGATCGAGACCATCCTGGCTAACAAGGTGAAACCCCGTCTCTACTAAAAATACAAAAAATTAGCCGGGCGCGGTGGCGGACGCCTGTAGTCCCAGCTACTCGGGAGGCTGAGGCAGGAGAATGGCGTGAACCCGGGAAGCGGAGCTTGCAGTGAGCCGAGATTGCGCCACTGCAGTCCGCAGTCCGGCCTGGGCGACAGAGCGAGACTCCGTCTCAAAAAAAAAAAAAAAAAAAAAAGAATTGTTGAAATCTCTCAGTCACATATATGAAAATGTACCAAAATTTTTGTGTATTGCTGGAATAAACATTGTTGGATTTCTATACATATGAGTGGAATATAATTTACATCCCCTGATTAAATCTTTGGCTACATTTAGTATGTTCTGTAAATTTCAGGCTCTATCACTATTTTGTGGGTTTCTCCTATATGGCAGCTCTTGGCCTAAATGAGTCCACATATTTCAGTTCTACAGAGTAGTTAACATCATCTCATTTTATAAATGAATCTTAATGTAAGAAAATGGTATGCAATTCTTCCTATTTCAGGGTTGTGATGTTCTATAATTTTATGTTTTCCTGGCATCCATTTTGAATATAGGTTTAACTTTCTTATATTAGAAACAGAGTTTATTCACTCTTGACACAGTTTCTAGTCTTGCATCTCCTCCCAAGTCCTCAGTGTTGTCAATCCAGATATCTGGCTTATATAACCACCTCCTGGTGACCACCTCTCTCTGGGACATACAGGTACAACCTTCTTGACTGATTCCATCAACCCCCACAACCTTCATGGACTGGGAAGATATGTAACCACGTTTCAGTCACAGTGTGACCACTTAGAGTACATGCCTGCTACCTCTAAAGCTACTTATTAGAACTCCCCTTGGGAGAGCTGCTTGGGTAATACCCTGGATCACAGTAAAGTCCTCCACCCACATATCCATCTCTTTCTGGTTCCCCACCTTGCTGATTGAGCATATTGTCCCTGTGAACTTCCCATTGGCCCTTATCAGTCTCCATCTTCTCCCGTGGACCTGTGAGTAATAAACTGCTCCTGTAGTTTCATCTGTTTTTATTGTGTTGCCTCCTCTGGGTCTCACTTAGCTGACACATCCAAACCTAACTTTTCTCCCAGTCAAGAGGATATCTTGGCAGAAATAAACTAGACACAGGTCAGACAAGAGCAACAAGGGCATCTGCCAGTATAAACAAGTTTCCTGTGAGAGGGACACCTGGTCACCGGTCAAACACTCAGGCATCAGGCTGTCTGTCGGGTCAAAAAATATTTTGTGAAAGACACCTTGTAAACATCCATGACCAAATTTCCTGGAGGCCTGTCAGGGCAGGGCAAGAGTTTATAGCTATTCTCCAGAGAGACTTCTAGATAAAATCAGAGAGAAATCCAACAAAGGTGAAAGCTTTTTGCACAATATCAACAATCATTTCTTAAAAGTAAGGCACAATAAAAAATCACTTTTTTTCTGCATATTGTCATGACAATAAATGTGAGACTAGAGTAAGAAAATTAAATCATTTATGTAAATTATAACAGATACTAATGTACATATGTCCCAAAGTTAAAAAATCAAGGTGAAGACATGATACTGAACAAAATATTATTAATTTGGCTAAATAGAAAAATTGAGTTTGCTATCTGGAAACAAGGCAAATTTGTTTATTGGAAGAGAATTGGACTGGAGTAAAAATCAAAACCAATATAACAAGGCAAACTCTAGCCAAGCAACAAAGAAAAAAAATTCCACTAGCTTTTACTTTTGAATCTGAAAGCAGTGTTTTAATGCAAGGTTGCACGATTATTTTTATATTGCTTTATTCCTTCATTAAGAGATATGGATAATCCATTTCTTATTAATCTTTTAGTACAGCTAAAAGGAAGGATTGAAGTGACATATTTGCTTTGATAGAGCAGATGTATGATTCAATTAGAATGACAAATACAGAGATGCAAAGTTATAGGTCATACTTGAAGACTGTGGTCTCCCTTAGTGAAAGTCAAAGTTCATATCTTGAAGATGGAAATTTGACCCTTGTTTGGAGAAGAAGCTCAGAGAGTCTATTATAAGTGATTTTTAAAATTAAATATCAGTTTTGTTTTATATAGAGAGAGACAGAATTAGAAATATTTTAACACTATTTCTTCCTTTCTTCTGTGCTTCATATATACTAATTTAGTATAAAATAATTGAATCAAACATAATACAAGCAGTAAATATGTTTTTAAACAATATGTGTCAAGGAATAAAAAGTAGGGTAATATGCCTAAGACCTGCTTACACACTGTGTGTATTCCAAAGTCACATTCACGACCATTTAACTTTGTTTCAGGGACATAGCTGGTAGAAACACAGATCCACTTATTAGAACTATTTGCAACCACAGCATCAACTAATATGATTTTACCTGCTCTTTTCTTACATACCACTGTCACCAATGACTTCTTTCCTAGCGATGTGGTTCTAGCTAGTTTTTCTTAATAGAATAATTTTCCCCTTAAGCAGAAAGATATATGTTGAGATCATATAGACAAACAATTTCAGGTTGTAAATATGTAAGCAATTGTGTTTGACAGGCCCCCACAATAACTACAACGTAGTATTCTCTTTACAGTGGGCATCATCATGATAGAAAAGGACCCTCTTTTCAATGTTCCAAAGCATAAAGCATAGAAAATAAAATAATAGTTTTCATGTAATTATTATAGCATCTTTAGCTCCGTTTTCATTCTAATATAATTAACATGTAACTGGATTTACTTAAGATCATAAATGTGTAACTGAAAGCGATTTACTCATGAAAATGAGGTGGCTCATTTGCTTATGAATAAACTCCGTATTTCAAGGTTGATCGTTCCATTTCATGGTTTAGCATTATGATACAGGCAGAGTGTCTGTAGCCAGAGCAGTAACATTAAGTGAGACAAATATAAAAATGAATTTGTTGGTTCTGCAGTGAAAAGTCAACTTAGAAATATTTATTCTAGGCACTGAATCCATTTTTGTATGTCATACATTATAATTCAATATAAACCTTCATTTCAAATATCTATTTTTGTTTATTCCATACTATCTATGTTACCTTTGAGCAATGGTTTTCAAACTTGAGTGTCCATCAAGTATCAAGAGAGCTTGATAAAGCACAGACCTCTGTGGCATCCAGAGTTTCTGAACTTCTAGGTCTGAAGTGGGGCCCAAAACTGCATTTCTAACAACATCTCAGGAGATGCTGGTGCTTCTGGCTCAGGGACCAGAGTTCGAGAAACTGCTGTGGATAAATTTAATGTTTTGTCTCTCATCTATCTAACCTGTGAAATAACGATGTTAAACTAAATGATTGTTCAACAAACATATATTAAGTGACTCATGTGTCAAGTACTATGCTAGGCACGGCCCCTGCCTTTGAGAAGATCTCAGAGAAGAAAGTGATTAATTCTCCATGTGGTAGAATTGGGGAACACTTCATACTGGAGATGAAATGTTCAAAGGCTTATTGGTTTTTGAAATAGTCTTTGATATAGTTTGAATATCTGTCTCCATGAAATCTCATGTTAAATTGTAATCTCAGTGTTGGAGATAGGATCTGGTGGGAGGTGTTTGGGTCAAACGGGTTGGGGGGATCTCTCATAGCTTGGCACTATCTTTATGATAGTGAGTGAGTTCTCTCGAGGCCTGGTTGTTTACGTGTCACCACCTCCACTCTCTCTTGTTCTTGCTCTTGCCATGTGAGACGCATGCTTCCCCTTCACCTTAGGCCATAATTGTGAGTTTCCTGAGGCCTCCCCAGAAGCTGAGCAGATGCCAGTGTCATGCTTGTATATCCTGCAGAACCACGAGCAAATTAAACCTCCTTTCTTTAGAAATTACCAGTCTCAGGTATTCCTACAATCAACACAAAGAATGGCCTAATGCAGGCTTGTGGTAAAAAGTTAAATCATGTTGAAATACATAAATTTAGAAAAAATTATCTCTAGTCCTCTATCCTCACCTCTACTTCATCTCAGAATTCCCACTTTATAGGTATAAAACTATCAATAGTTCAATGAAAAATCTGCCAAAATGTTTCTAAGTTTTCCTGCCTACTGGAGTGATTTAATATAGCCAAATAAAATGACCTAAGCTCCATAGCTCTTATACTATCAAAAGTTGAGTAAATATTTCCAAACATTGCCTAGGATTCCCCAATATGTAGGGGATGTTTTGCTGTTAGCTCTAGCTCCAAATTCTTGATATTGGCTCCATTTTGATTCTGCACTCTTAGTTTTTGCTTCTTTGATTACTGTCTTTTCTTTGCCCTGCGTTGCTTAATGCACAGACATCTTTATAATTTCCTTCCCCAAAGCACCACACATCCAAGGCTGTTGTGTACAACACACTTAAAGTACATATTTTGAGTTAAAAATGAATAATTTCAACACTGAAAAGGAAACAAGTTCAAAATGAAATGTTAATAATTATAGTTTCAAAAACGAAACCAGACATTCCTCACAACAAGAAATCTATAAGGGCTGTGTATCTGTTCTTACCATGAGATCTACTGCTGTATCATTAGGAAATCTTCTCTTCCTATCAGAGAGCTTTAACTAATGTCCATGACACTCACTCTTAATTTAGGGGTAACCAGTGGTCACCCTCAAATTCCTGTTACTCTGTCATGTGAAGTATATTTCTATTATGCTAAACATCAATCTCTTCTCAATTAGACTACTTATGTGTCTTATATTTTATAATTAAAATCCATTGTTCTCTTAAATTGGGCCTATACCCTTAGAAACACAAAGCAGAAGTTTTAAAAACATCTATTTGTTCAATAGCATACATTATCAGGTTCATTCATATGTCAGTTCCAATTCATTTACAATATTTTGGATTGTAAACAATTTCTGTATAATACATTTCTAGAGGTGGAATTGCTGAGCTTATTTTTTAAATTGTATTTTTAAAAAGATTATTCAAAGCAGCACGGTGTGATGGCTTACACTTATAAGCCCAGCATTTTGGGAAGCCGAGGCAGGTGGATCACTTGAGGCCAGGAGTTCAAGACCAGGCTGGCCAACATGGCAAAACCCTGCCTCTACTAAAAAGTACAAATATTAGCTGGGTGTGGTGGCACATGCCTGTATCCCCAGCTACTTGATACTTGGGAGGCTGAGGCATGAGAATCACTTGAACCAGGGAGGTAGAGATTGCAGTGAGCTGAGATCATGCCACTGTACTCCAGCCTGGGTGACAGAACAAGAAGCTGTCTTACAAAAAAAAAAAAAAAAGGAAAAAAAGATCATTCAAAGCAAAGTTATAAGTTTATGGCAGAGATATCAGGCAACCTTTTGAGTGAGCATCTAAGAAATAATGTCAATGGTCTTGAGAAATTATGAAGATATGAATGAAAGTAGTGAATGTGAATATGAACTCTGGATTTACATTTAGGTGATAGAATTTATAATACTATAAGAAAGATTGTATATAAAGGATATAAAGAATGAGAAAGAGGAAGAGTTTGAAAATAACTTCCTTGATTCTTTTTGGGGTTATCAGATGAGTGGTTATGTCATTAACTTTTTTTTTTTTCTTTTTTTGAGGTGGAGTCTTGCTCTGTGGCGCTGGCTGGAGTGCAATGATGCTATCTCAGTTCACTGCAAACTCTACCTGCCAGGTTGAAGTGATTCTCCTTCCTCAGTCTGAGTAGCTGGGATTACAGGCATGCACTACCACACCTGGCTAATTTTTGTATTTTTAGTAGAGACAGGGTTTCACCATGTTGGCCAGGCTGGTCTTGAACTCCTGACCTCAAGTGATCTGCCTGACTCGACCTCCCAAAGTTTTTCATTAACTTTTTTACCTCTATTATCTCATATTTCAGGCTTTGTTTCCATGTCAATTATGTGATTGAGACTTGATATATATCAAGTATGTGGCTGTTGAGAGGTGGGCTCTTAACATACATTAGGCACAAAGTTAGACTGAGAAATGCAAGTCTTTTGTCTAAACTATTATAAGCACATTTTATGTATCAAAATAATATTTGTTTTTTTTTTTACCTGGCTGAAAATAGTAAACAGTTGATAAAAATTCACATTTAGAAAAAGAATAAAATGTTTACATTTTATTTCTTTGTCACATGATTTCTAGTGACAAAGAAAGCCAAGTGACGTAATAGGATCAAAGAGAGATGCTCCAATGTACACGTAGGACATGATGATACACGTCATCAGACTATATGTGAGATATGAGAGATCTGTAATGACACCAGGAAATCCAGTACACATTTGAATACATGCAGAAGTTGACAACAAAGTATAACTGTGGTAAATGGAAAAGTTGTTACCTAGACAGATTAAAAGTTTACCTAGAGAGATTGAAGAAGAATTAAATATATAAGCTATCAGAGGCAAGTTCATAACTTTAATTAAGTCAACTCTCTTTTTGTCTCTTAGGAGAACATGAGGTAGAATTTTAAGTGACTTGTGATAGATTAAGTTAAAAATTGCAGGAAAAATATAAAAGTAAAACAATAGTATAGAGCAGTTTTTCTTAACTATTGGAGTGTTCCCTTCTGCTGAAACTATGGTCGCTCTTCAAATTAATGCAAATATGCATGCAGACATATAGATTTGAAATAGTCCTAATAAATGCTGCTTTAACAAGGATTATTTCTGAATGTGTGTGCTAAATAACACCCTGTATAAATGTGTGGACTTTGAAGCAATATAGAGATAAATTATTTTCCACAACCTGCAACTAAAGTGGTTCGTCACACGATAAAAGGAAAAAAATCATATTGACTTTTCAAGGCATTTTTTAAAATAAAAATATATCACCTGTAACAGCTATACATAATATAATGAGAAGATTGCTGTGCTTTGGGGTAAGTCTCCACGGATTCAAATGCTTAAAAAAGGTTTAGGATTTCTTTGATTCCATTTTATGCTCTAAAATCAAGTATCTTGAGAATATTTTCCCTTTCATTAGACTAACCTCTTAAAGTTTTTTTAGTCTTAAAGAATTTATAGGCTCGGCACAGTGGCTCACGCCTGTAATCCCAGCACTTTGGGAGCCTGAGGTGGGCAGATAGACTGAGGTCAGGAGTTCGAGACCAGCCTGGCCAACATGGTGAAACCCCATCTCTACTAACAATACCAAAAAATTAGCCGGGAGTGGTGGCGGGCACCTGTAATCCCAGCTACTCGGGAGGCTGAGACCGGAGAATGGCTTGAACCCGAGAGGCGGAGGTTGCAGTGAGCCAAGATCCAGCCATTACACTCCAATGTGGGCGACAAGAGTGAAACTCTGTCTCAAAAAAAAAAAAAAAAAAAAAAAATCGAAATTTTATAAAAGTGGAAGGCAGTTTCTCTTGTGAAATTATATTTATTTCTTTTATGGTGTCAGAACAATAAATTATATCCTTTTCTAAAAAGTACATATGCTATTGGTTTCTGGTTTTTTTGTTGTTGTTGTTACTTAGGTAAAAGACTTCACCTATGAAAACCAAAATCTTGTGTTCTCTGAGGCATTATTTTTTCTGATGACATTACATTTTATTCCACTTTTCAAATGCGCTTATTGAGATACTATTCACGTACCATAAAATTCACTAGCTTTTACTATATAGACAGTTTAAAATATTTTTCCTGACCTCGTGATCCGCCCGCCTTGGTCTCCCAAAGTGCTGGGATTACAGGCGTGAGCCACCACGCCCGGCCGAGACCATCCTGGCTAACACGGTGAAATCCCATCTCTACTAAAGAAAAAAAATACAAAAAATTAGCCACGGGTGGTGGCAGGCGCCTGTAGTCCCAGCTGAGGCTGAGGCAGGAGAATGGCGTGAACCCGGGAGGCGGAGCTTGCAGTGAGCCGAGATCGCACCACTGCACTCCAGCCTGGGCGACAGAGCGAGATTCCGTCTCAAAAAAAAAAAAAAATTGAAATATTTTCATCATCCATGAAATGAACTTCATACCCATTTGCTATCACACCCATCACCATCTCTCCTGCCCACTCCCCAGCCATTGGCAAGCACTAATTTAAATTTTGCTTCTATAGCTTTGTGTATCCTGGACGTTTAATATAAGAGGAAACATACAATAAATGGTCTTTTGTGAACGGCTTGTTTCACTTAGCACAATGTTTTCAAGTTTCATCAGTGTTGTTGCATGTATCAGTACTTTATTTTTATTGCCAAATAATATTTTGTTTATTCGTTCATCAGTTGATGGATATTTGAGTTGTTTCTACTTTTGGCATTTATAAATAATGTTACTATGAACATTTATGTATAAGGTTTTGTGTAGAAATATGTTTTTATTTTTCTTGCATATGTACTTAAAAGTAGAATTATTGGGTCATATAATGATTCTATGTCTAACCTTTGGATGAAGTGCCAAACTGTTTTCCAAAGAGGTTGTACCATTTAACATTCCCATCAGCAATGTATAAAGGTTTCAGTTTATCCACACCCTCATCAATATTTGTTATTGCACGTCTATTTGTGCTGTTGTGTGTGTTATTGTATCTTGTCTCCTAGTGGAAGTGAAATCTCTTAGTGAAAGTGAAATTGCATCTCATTGTGCTTTGGATGTGTATTTGCCTAATGTGCTCTGGATGTGTATTTGCCTAATGTGCTCATTAGCCATTTAGATTTCTTCTTTGGAAACGTTTCTATTTAGTTCTTTTGCCCATTTAAAAAATTGGGTTATTGGTATTTTTATTATTGATTTGTAACAGTTTTTGTCTCTTATTATGTATATTATTAGTAAAAAAGTTTGTTTTCATTCTGTGGGTAGTCTTTTAACTTTTTATTAAAAGAGTTTTAACTTTTTTATGTGGCATCATTTGTAGCACAATATTTTTTTAGGTTTGGTATAGTCAAAGTATTATTTTTTTTCTTTTGTTTCTTGTGTTTTTGGTGTCATTGCAAAGAAACTCATGCCTAATCCAGCATAATGAACATTCACGCATATGAATGTTTTTGTCTAAGACTTTTATAGCTTTAGCTTTTAAAGGTAATTCTGTCATCCATTTTGAGTTCATATTTTTATATTTTTATGATGTAAGAGAGGGATTCAACTCATTGCATGTAGATATTCAGTTGTCTTAACATCATTGGTTGAAAACACTTCTTTCCTTATTTAATTGTCTTGGCACTCTTGAAGAAAATATATTGCCCATTAATGTATGGGTTTATTTCTATACTCTCAAATCTATTCGGTTGATTTAAAATTATATTTTTACACAAATACCATATTGTATTAATATTATAGTTGTGTAATAAGTTTTGAGATCAGGAAATGTGAATTCTTCAACTTTATTCTTCTTTTTCAAATTTATTTTCGCTGCACTATGTTCTTTGCATTTTTCCTATGAGTTTTAGGATTACTTCATCAATTTCTGCAAAAATAAATGGTAGTTGGTAATTTGATGGGATCGTATTGAATCTGCAGATGAATTTGGAGATTATTGCCATTTAAAAATTGCCTCCCAATTTATAAATATGGAATATCTTTTCATTTGTTTAGGTCTTTTAAAATGTATTTCAAAAATGTTTTCTAGTTTTCTGTGTATAAGTCTTGCATTTATTTTGCTAAATTTATTCCTGTTATGTTCTTTTTTATTATACACTACATAAATTTTTTCTTAATTTTTAAATTTTCTTAATTTCATTTTTATGCTCCTTATTGCCAGCATATAGAAACTTTTTTGTGTGTGTCGTTTCACAACCTACAATTATGCTAACCATATCTATTCTAATAGTTTAAAAATGTCTTCACATTTTCTACACACATTATGCCATCTATTGATACAGTTTTATTCTTCCTTTCAAATCTTAATGCCTTTATTTATTTTTCTTTTCTAATTGTCCTGGCTAGCATTTGAAGTACAATGTTGAATAAGTGATGAGAGTAGACCTTGTGTTCTTGTTCCTGATATCAGAGGGAAAGCTTGCAGTCTTTCATCATTAAATATGATTTTATCTATCAGATTTTATAGAGCAATTCCTAATTTATTGAGGGTTTTTATCATGATAGAGTGTTAAATTTTTGTCAAATGTTTTTTGCAGCATTTATGTAGATGATCATATGGTTTTTGTCATTTATTTTATTAATATGGGGCATAACACTGATTGACTTTTGTATGTGAAAGCAATCTTGCATTCCTGGGATAGAATACATTTGGCCATGTCATAGAATTATTTTTAAGAGTTGCTGGATTTGGCTTATTGAGTATTTTACTGAGGATTTTTGCAGTAAAATTGTATCGGTCTGATGTTTTCTTTTGATGTCTTTGTCTGGTTTCAGTATCAAGATAAAACTGGCTCCATAGAATGAGTTTGGAAGTAATCTCTCCTCTACTATTTTTTGGAAAAGTGTGTGAAAATCATTGTTAATTCTTTAAATATTTGATAAAATTGACCAGTGAAGCCACTTTGATCTCAACTTTTCTGCCTGGGACATTTTTGTTTACTAACTCAATCTCGTCAGAGATCTAGTCAGATTTTCTATTACCTTTTTGAAACAGTTTCTGGTAATTTGTGTTTCTCAAATTTTTAGAAATTTTATCTAGGCTAATTTGTTGGCATATAGTTTTTCATAGTATTCTCTTTATGTCTAATCTAGTTAAATGTCACTTTTTACAACTTTTTCAAAGAATCCAATTTTGATTTTTATTATTTAAAAATTAATTTTCCCTTCTCCATGGTATTTATTTTCTTTCTAATCTTTACTATTTTTATCTACTTATGTTTAGATTTAACTTGCTCTTCTTTTTCTATTTCTTTAGGTAAAAAGTTAGGTTCTTGAGTTCAAGTACATATTTTATTTTATTATAGGCATATACAGCTATAATTTTTTCTGTACCACTGTAGCTGCTTTCCACATGTTTTTGTATATTGTGTTTGTGTTTTCATTCATTTCAAGGTATCTTTGAATTTAACTTGTGATTTATACTTTGACACATTGTTTATTTAAGAGCAGTGTATTGTTTAACTTCTACGTATTTGTAAACTTTCCAACTTTCTTTTGTTATTGATTTATAAGCTAATTCCTTTGTGCTTACATAAAATACTTTATATAATTTCAACTCACTTTAATTTGTAGTGGCAGAATATACTCTGTACAATTTCAACCTATTCAAAATTATTGAGGCTTGTTTTATGTCCTTAAATAGTGTTTATCCCAAGAATGTTCTATATGCCTTTAAGATGAATGCTTATTTTGCTGTTCCTGGGTGAAATATTCCATAGATACGTATCTGCTAAGGATACATAGTTTACAGTGTTTCCCACATATTCCATTTCTTTTTTCTTTGCCTAACTTCTGTATCTATTGTTGAAAGTGGGGTAGGCTGGGTGTGGTGGCTCACACCTGTAAATCCCAGCACTTTGGGAGGTCGAGGCGGGCACTTTGGGACTTGAGGTCAGGAGTTTGAGACTGGCCTGGCCAACATGGTGAAACCCTGTCCCTACGAAATATACAAAAATTAGCCAGGCGTGGTGGTGGGCACCTGTAATCTCAGCTACTAGGGAGGCTGAGGCACAAGAACTGCTTGAATGCAGTGAGGGTGGAGGTTGCAGTGAGCCAAGATCACGCCATTGCACTCCAGCCTGGGGGTCAGAGCAAGACTCTGTTTAAAATAAAAAAAATGTGGGGGAGCTGCTTAAGTCTTTATTAATTTTGGACTGTCCTTCTTCCTTAAACTCTGTCAATTTTTACTTCATGTATTGTGGTGCTTTTTGTTAAGTGCTTTCAACCTTCTACATCATTAAATCTAAAGTAAGTCTCCTGTGAACATAACATAGCTGGATCTTATTATTTTAGCCAATAAGATAATTTTTAACTTTTAATTGGGTTTTTCAATTTATTCACATGTAATGTTACAATTGACATGTGTGCATTGACCTCTGCCATTTAGCTTTTTGTATTCTGTATGCCTCATGACACTTTGTTTTTCTATTCCTCTAGTGACTTCTTTATTATTAAGTATTTTCTAGTGTAGTAAAAACCAGTTTAAGGTTTTTATTATATTTTTCAACTATGTTTCTTGTGGTTTTTTCTAGGGCTTAAAATATACATCGCAAGTGACCAAAATTAACTTCAGATTTAAAAATAACGTTATTCCAATGGATGATAGAAACTTTCTCTAAAATATTTTCATTCCCTTCCCCTGTTTTTTGTGCTATGGTTGTTATCTATATTTTGTTACATACATTACAAGCCCAGTCAAACTGTTGTAATTACTGCTTTGTATATAGTCCTTTTATGCCCTGTAAAAAGCTGAGAACAGAAAGGAGAGCAAATATATATTTATAGAATTTTTTAATATTTACCTTCTAAGTTACCAATTTTGGAAGAAAATACCAATTTTCTTTCTTCCTATGTATTCCACGTGACCATTTTGTTCTAATTTCCTACTTCATTACAACTTTGTTCCCACCCATTACCCTTGGCTGTTATTGGTAAATACATTTCATTTTTGTATAAAAGCAACAATACAAATACATTCATATTGTCCTATGCACTTACTTTCATTTAAGTTTTATATAAGATTCAGGGATACATGCGCAGTTTTGATAAATATGTAAATTATGTGTCATGGGCGGCTGGTGTAGATTGTTTCATCACCCAGGTAATAAGGATAGTAGCGAATAGGTAGTTTTTCAATCTCCTTCGTCCAACCCTTCACCCTCAAGTAGACCCTGGTGTCTGTTGTTTACTTTTTTGTATCTATGTGTACTCAATGTTTAGCTCCCACTTACAAGTGAGAATATGTGGCATTTGCTTTTCTGTTTTGGGGTTAGTTTGTTTTTGATTATGGCCTCCAGCTCAATCCACATTGATGCAAAGGACATGATCTCATTCTTTTTTATGCCTGCATGGTATTCCATGGTATATATGTGCCACATTTTCTTTATCCAGTCTGCCACTGATGGGTATTTAGGTGGATTCCATGACTTTACTGTTGTGAGCAGTGCTACAACAAGCATGTGTGTGCATGTGTTGTTAGGCAGAACAATTTATAATTTTCCAGGTATACATCCAATAATGGGATTGCTAGGTTGAAATGGTACTTAGAGTTCTTTGAGAAATCCCCACACTTCTTCCTACAAGGACTTAAATAATTTGCATTCCTAAGAGGAGTGTATAAGCTTTCCTTTTTCTTTGCAGCCACACCAGCATTTGCTATTTTTTGGCTTCTTATGAATAGCCGTTCTAACTGGTGTGAGATGGTATCTCATTGTGATTTTGACTTGCATTTCTCTAATGATTAGTGATGTGAAGCATTCTCTCATATTCCTATTGGTCTTATGTATGTCTTCTTTTGAAAAGTGTTTGTTCATGTATTTTTCCCCACTTTTTAATGCAGTTGTTTGTTTTTGCTTGTTGATTTATTTATAGATTCCATGTATTAGTCCTTTGTTAGATGCACAGCTTGCAAATATTTTCTCAGATTCTGTAGACTGTCCGTTAATTCTATTGATAGTTTCTTTTGCTGTTTAGAAGTTCTTTCATTTAATTAGGTCCCACTTGTCTATTTTGTTTTGCTGCAATTGCTTTTGGCATCTTTGTCAGAAAATCGCTGCCAGGGCCTATGTCCAGACTGGTATTTCCTATGTTATTTTCAAGGGTTTTTATAGTTTGGGGTTTTACCCTTAAGTCTTAATCCATGTTGAGTTAGTTTTTGTATATGCTGTGTGAAAGGGGTCCAGGTTCAATCTTCTGTATATGGCTAGCCACTTAGCCCAGCACCATTTCTTAAATATGGAGTCTTTCCTCGTTGCTGATTTTTCTTGAGTTTGTTGAAAATCAGATGGTTGTATGTGTGTGGCTTAATTTCTGGGTTCTTTGTTATGTTTCTTTAGTCTATGTGTCTGTTTTTGTACCAGTACCATACTGTTTTAGTTACTGTATTCTTGTAGCATAGTTTGAAGTTGGGTAAAATGATACCACCAGCTTTGACCTTTTTGCTTTTAATTATCTTGGCTACTTGAGCTCTTTTTTTGTCCCATATCAATTTTAAAACAGGTTTTCCTAATTAATTCCTTGAAGAATGTTATTGGTAGTTTGACAGGAATAGCATTTGTCTATAAATTGCTTTGGGAAGTATGGCCATTTTATTAATATTGATTCTTCCTAACCATGAGGATAGAATTTTTTTTTTGCATTTGTTTGTTTCATTTCTGATTTCCTTTAGCAGTGTTTTGTAATTCTCATTGTAGAGATCTTTCTTCATTCTGGTTAGCTGTATTCCTAGGCATTTAATTCTTTTTGTGGCTATTGTGAATGGGATTACATTCTTGATTTGGTTCCCAGCTTGAACTTTGTTGGTGTACAGAAATGCTACTCATTTTTTACAATGATTTTGTATCCTGAAACTTTACTGAAGTTGCTTATCAGATCTAGAATCCTCTGGGTGGGGACTATGGGGTTTTCTATGTACAAAATCATATTGCCTACAAACAAAGATCTTTTGACTTCTGTCTTCCTATTTGGGTGCCTTTTATTTCTTTCTCTTGCCTGATTGCTCTGGCTAGCATATCCAGCACTATGTTGAATAAGAGTGGTGAGAGTAGGCGTTCTTGTCTTGTTCTGGTTCTCAAGGAGAACGCTTGCAGCTTTTGCCTGTTCAGTATGATGTTGGCTGTGGGTTTGTCACAGATGGCTCTTAGTATTTTGAGGTATTTTCTTTCAATGCCTAGTGTGTTGAGGGTTTTCAACATGAAAGGATGTTGAGTTTTATCAAAAGCCTTTTCTGCATCTGTTGAGATGATCATCTTATGTTTGTTTTTAGTGGTGAGTCACAATTTTTGATTTACGTATTTTGAAGCAATCTTGTATCCTAGGGATAAAGCCTACTTGATCATGGTGGATTAGCTTTTTCATGTGCTGCTGGATTCATTATTCTAGTATTTTATGAGGATTTTTGCATCTATATTCCTAGAGGATATTGGCTGCAAGTTTTTGTTGTTGTTGTGTTTCCGCCAGGTTTTTGTATCAGGATGATGCTGGCCTCATAGAATGAATTAGGGAGGAGTCCCTCCTTAATTTTTTCATATTCTTTCAGTAGGTATAGTATCAGTTCTTTTTACATATCTGGTAGAATTTGGCTATGAATCTATCTGGTCCTGGGATTTTTTTCAGTTGGTAGATTTTTTATTTACTGATTCAGTTTTGGAACTTGTTATTGTTCCATTCTGGGATTCATTTTAATTCTGGTTTAGTCTTGGGAGGTTGTATACTTCCAGAAATTTGTTCATTTGTTCTAATTTTAATAATTTGTGTACACAGAGGTGTGTTTTTTAGCGTCTGGGAGGTGTTTTTTTTATGTGGGGTCTGTGGTAACATCCCCTTTGGCATTTCTGATTTTGTTCATTTGGATATTCTCTCTCTCTCTCTCTCTCTCTCTCTCTCTCTTAATTAGTCTAGTTAGTTGTCTATCAATCTATTGATTCTTTTAAAAAAAATCAACTCCTGGATTCATTGATTTTTTTGTATGGTTTTCTCTGTCTCAATTTCATTCACTTCAGTTCTGATTTTGGTTGTTTCTGGTCTTCTACTAGCTTTGGGTTAGTTGGTTCTTGTTACTACAGCTCCTCCAGGTGTGATGTTGGGTTGTTCATTTCAGATCTTTCTATCTTTTTGATGTGGTCATTTAGCACTATCAACTTTCCTGTTAATACTGCTTTAGCTGTGTCAAAGAGACTCTGCTATGTCGTATTTTTATTCTCATTAGTTTCAAATAATGTCTTCATTTCTGCCTAAATTTCATTGTTTACTCAAAAGTCATTTAGGAGCAGGTATTTAGCTGTTATGTAATTGTATGATTTGGAGTGATTTTCTCATATTAATTTTTATTTTTATTGTACTCAGGTCCAAGAGTGTGTTTGTTATGATTTCAGATTTTTTAATTTGCTGAGGATTGTTTTATGGCCAATTGTGTTGTCAATTTTAGAGTATGTGTTATGTGCAGTCTAGAAGAATGTATATTTTGTTGTTTTTCAGTGGAGAGTTATGTAGATGTCTGCTAGGTCCATTTGGTCAAAGTTTTCTGCTTTGATGATCTATCTAACATGGTCAGTGACATACTGAAGTCCTCCAAAATTATTATGTGGTTATCTAACTCTCTTCATAGGTCTCTAAGAATTTGCTTTATAAATCTAGTACTCCTGTTTGTTTGTTTTTATCCATCCTACCAAGCATTTATCGTTTGTGTTACAAACAATCCAATTATACTTCTTTAGTTAGTAATTAAAGCCTATAGTCACCCTATGTGCTACCAAATAGTAGGTCTTAATCATTCTTTCTATCATAGTTTGTACCCATCAAATATCCAATCCCCCCACCACACTAGCTCCCCAATAGCCTTCCCAGCCTCTGAAAACCATTTTTCTACTCTATGTGTCCATGAGTTAAATTGTCTCAAAATTTTAGATCCCACAAGTAAGTGAGAACATGTGATGTTTGTCCTGTGCCTGGCTTATTTCAGGTTACATAATGATCTCCAGTTCTATCCTTGTTTTTCCAAATGATAGGATCTCATTCTTTTTTTAATGGCTGACTAGTACTCTATTGTGTGTATGTACCACGTTTTCTTTATCCATTCATCTGTTCATGGACATGTAAGTTGCTTCCAAAAGTGATGCAATGAATATAGGAGTGCAGATATCTCTTTGATATATTGATTTCCTTTCTTTTGGGTATATACGCAGCAGTGGAATTGCTGGATCATATGGTAGCTCAATTTTTAGTTTATTGAGTAACCTACAAACTGTTCTCCACAGTGCTGTAGTAATTTACGTTCCCACCAACAGTTTATGAAAGTTCCTTCTTCTCCACATCCTCACCAGCATTTGTTATTGCCTGTCTTTTTGGTTATAAGCCATTTAAACAGGGGGGAAATGATATCTCCTTGTAGTTTTCATTTGCATGTGTCTGATGATCAATTATGTTGATCACGTTTTCTTTTTTTCTTTTCTTTTTTTTTTTTTTTTTTTTGAGACAGGGTCTGGCTCTGTTGCCCGGTCTGGAGTGTGATGGCAAAATCATGGTTCACTGCAACCACTACCTCTCAGGCTCAAGGGGTCCTCCCACCTCAGCCTTCCTAGTAGCTGGGACCACAGGTGTATGCCACCACACCCAGGTAACTTTTGTGTTTTTTGTAGAAATGGGGTTTTACCATGTTGCTTAGGCTGGTTTCCAAACCCTAAAATCAAATGATTCACCTGCCTTGGCCTGCCAAAGTGCTGAGATTACATGCATGAGCCACTATGTCCAGCATTTTCATATGTCTGTTTGCCATTTGTATGTCTTCTTTTGAGAAATGTCTACTCATTATTGCTCATTAATGTCCTTTTCTTTCTGATTGAAGTGCTTCTTTTAAAATTTCTTGTAGGACAGGTCTGGTGTTGATGTCATCCCTTAGCTTTTGTATGTCTGAGGTGTCTTATTTCTCCTTCATGTTTGCAGGATTTTCAGCTAATATACTATTCTATGGTAAACTTTTTTTTGTTCATTTCCTTCAGCAATTTAAATATGTCTTGCCACTCTTCTGGCTGATAATGTTTCCACTGAAAAGTCTGCTGCCAGACATATTGGAGCTCCATTGCTTGTCATTTATTCTCTGTTGCTGCTTTTAGAATCCTTTCTTTATCCTGGATCTTTGGGAGTTTGACAGTTAAATGCCTTGAGGTAGTCTTTTTTGGATTAAATCTGCTTGGTGCTCTAGAACCTTTGTACTTGGACATTGATGTCTTTCTCTAGGTTTGGAAAACTCTCTGTTATTCCTTTGAATAAACTTTCTAAGCCTATCTCTTTCTCTCTGTCCTCTTTAAGGCTAATTACTCTTGGATTTGCCCTTTTAAGGCTATTTTCTAGATCCATAGGCATGTTTCTTTGCTTTGTATTTGTTTTTTTCTCTGTGTCTTCTGACTATGTATTGTCAAATAGCCTGTCTTCAAGCTCACTAATTTTTTCTTCTACTTGATCAGTTCTTCTATTAAGTGCTCCTATTTGGGGTATGTATATATTTAGAATAGTTAGGTCTTCTTGTTGAATTGAAGCTTTCTCATTATGTGATGCCCCTTTTTTCATCATTGTTGGTTTAAAGTCTTTTTTTGTCTGAAATTATAATAGCAATCTCTGCTTTTTTTCTGTTTTTCATTTGCTTGGTAGATCATTCTTCATCTCTTTATTTTAGACTATGGAAGTCATTGCATGTGATATGGTTCTCTTGTATTCAGCATACAGTTGTGTCTTGCTTTTACATCCAACTTTTAATTGGGGCATTTAGTCCATTTGCATTCAAAGTTAATATTGATATGTGCTGGTTTAATCCTATTATCCTGTTGTTAGCTGGTTATTATGCAGATTTTATGATGTGGTTTATTTATAGAGCCAATGGTCTCTGTACTTAACTGTACTTTTGTGGTGACCAGTAACAGCCTTTCTTTTCCATATTTAGCACCTCCATAAGGACCTCTTGTAAAACACATCTGGTGGTAACAAGTTTTCTTAGCATTTGCTTGTCTGAAAGAATCTTATTTCTCTTTTGCTTATGAAGCTTAGTTTGGCTGGATCTGAAATTCTCGGTTGGAATTTATTTTCTTTATGAATGTTGAATGTAATCCCCCAAACTCTTCTGGCTTTAGGATTTCTGCTGAAAGTTCTGTTGTTAGCCTGATGGGGTTCTCTTGGAAGGTGACCTGCCCCTTCCTTCTAGCTACTTTTAACATTTTTTATTTCGAGTTTAGAGTACCTGTTGACTATGTATCTTAGGGATGATCGTCCTGTGTAGTAACTTGCAGCTGTTCTCTGCATTTCCTGGATTTGAATGTTGGCCTCTCTAGCAAAGGTGGAGAAATTTTCATGTGTGATATCCTCAAGTATGTTTCCCAAATTGCTTGCTTTCTCTCCCTTTCTTTCAGGGATGTTACCGAGGCATAGATTTGGTTTTGTTACATGGTTCCATATTTCTCAGAAGTTTTGTTCTTTCCCCTTCATTATTTTTTCTTTATTTTTTTCTGACTGAGTTATTTTGGAGAACGAGTTTTTAAGCTCTGAGATTCTTTCCTCAGATTGGTTTATTGTGCTGTTATTACTTGCAATGGTATTATAAAATTCTTGAAGTGAGTTTTTCAGCTCTATCATTTCACTTGGGTTCTTTCTTAAAATGGCCATTTTATATTTTCTCTTTTATAACTTTTTATTGTATTCCTTAGATTTCTTGGATTGGGTTTCAAATTTCTCCTAGATGTTGACAATTTTTATGCCTATTTATATTTTGAATTCTATTTCTGACATTTTAGCCACTGCACCCTTGTTGAGAACCATTGCTGGGGAGCTGGTGTGGTCATTTGGAGGTAAGAAGACACTGGCTATTTGTGTTGCTAGAGTTCTTCCACTGTTTTTTTTTTTTTTCCTCATCTGTGTGGACCAATGTTCCTTCGATCTTTGAAGCTGCTATCCTTTGGGTGAGTTCCTTTATTTTTATCTTCTTTGATGCCTTTGGGGGTTTGATTGTGATATAAAGGTGAGTTCAGTTGACTGGCTTTGATTCTAGTTTGCTCATGGGTCTTGAAGGAGCCTATTTCAATGACTTTCTTCATGTGCATGTTTCTTTGACAGGTGTTCTTGTCCCTGGGGCTTCCTCAGTCTGGAGTCACAGTTGGGAGACAGGCTGTATTCTTGCTGGATTAGACCTAATCTGCTGTCTGAGTGCTTTCTGGGGAAACACTTGGTTTTACCTGTCCACAGAGTTCAGGCAGAAGTGGAACCACTGGGCTGGAAACTGTAGTGTGTGTGGCCCTTCTGGCTATGAGAGGCAGGTGTAGGTGGATGGTGTTGCCTGCCCTGCCATCTGGGTGTCTCCACAGTAACAGCAGGTGGTGCCCCTTAGAAAATTCAGGCAGAAGTGAGACTCCTGGGCTGGAAGCTCTAGCAAGTGAGGCTCACCTGGCGAGCAGTGGTGGAGGTTGGTGGGATCACCTGCTCTGCTGTCCAGGTGCTTCCCAGGATAACAGGAGTCTAAGCTTGATGGGTGATTTCAGAAAAAGTAGGATCACTGGGTCCAAAGCTGGAGCAAGAATTGTTTGCTTGGCTACCAGTGGTGGTGGGTGGTGTCACTTGCCCTGATATCTGAGTGCTTCCAGGGACATGCAATTGCTTTTAAAATGAGGGTAAGAACAGAGAAAATATGCTGTAATAATATATATATATATTTTAATAATTGCCTTCATACTTCCCTTTACTTCTTTGGTTTTTCAAATGTAGATTTGAAACTACAGCCTGATGTCACTAGCTTTTAGCCTGAAGAACTTCCTTTAGCATTTATTTTAAGGCAGGTATGATAGCAACATATTGTTCCAGCTTTGGCATATCTGGGATTAATTTTGTTTCATTTTCATTTTGTAAAAGACAGTTTCATTTCTTGTTTCTGTTCTTCATTGTTTCTAATAAGAAGTCAACTGTTAATCTTACTGGAGTTCCATTTAAGTGATGAATCATTTTTGTCTTACAGGATACAATATTTTCTCTTTATCTTTGGCTTTCAGTATCTTGGCTATGATAATTTTAGTTGTGGCTCTTTTTTCATTTATTCTACATATAGTTTATTGGGTTTGCAGATGTGTTTTTAATCAATTTGTAAGAATTTTCAGCCATTATTTCTTCACGGTTTTTCTCTCCCTTTCTCCTTTCCTTTAGGCAATCTCATGACATTCCTGTTGGTGTGTTTAATGGCACACTGTGCTCTCTGAGGCTCTATTCATTTTTCCTTATTTTTACCCACTGATCTGATTATTTATCCCTATTGATCTACCTTAAAGTTTGCTGATTCTTTCTTCTGTCACCTCAAATCTACTGTTGAGTTTAGTAAACTTTTTTGTCTTGGTTATTGTAACTTTCCACTCCATAATTTCTATGTAACTGTATGTTGACCTACTCACAACTTGATATTATATATTTATTTTCATTCAGAGAATTATACATTTTGGGTAAGAATTAGCACTTTTAAATTACATGATTAAAGATATAGAAAATGCTTCTGTTAAACCAAAACTTCTGGAATAATAATACAATGTATTTCATTTACTGCTTTTATTGTGTTTTTTTGGTGTGTGTGTGTATGCGTGTGTATGACAAATATCTGGCTGTTTTAATAATAGTTTACTGTAGCAATTTCTAAATGTAAGAGTGTCATTAAGACTAATTTAACATTATTAGTCTTTAAAAATGTTTAACATTGCTATAAATTGTTCACAAAATGTATGTATTTTGCCCTAATTTATTAATATTATTTACTAAGATTAAACATCTTCTGCAATGTTAATTTGTTTTAATTAAGCATAAATACTTCCATTTTAATTAAAATTCCCAAATAAAATGTTTGAATACAAAGTTCATGTCACCCTAAATAGAATCAGGATCAAGTAACAAATAAATTTATACAAGCAATAATAACTCATAGCCATTACCACAGAATCATCTAACTTAATCATAAATTATTTTTATATATTTTAATAACAATACGCAGATATAACTATTTTGAAGATGCATTGTTTCTTGTGCTTACAAAATTTATTGTGCAGATTTCTCAAGAGAAAGTATTGTGTGTGTTTGTGTATATCATTAGTTGTCTAGTGATTGAAAGTATTAGTTTTAAAAAGAGAAAAATTGTATTGCTTTGGACACAGTTTGCACTCTAGTCTTTAATGGCGATTCCTTCTAAATTTTTTCATTGTTTCTACTGGAATACACAAAATAGTAAACTGATATTATGGGAAAATGTTACTAGCTAGTTAGATAATTCCTAGTACCTTTGAAAATCACAACCACCACATATTTAATTGTTTTATTTCAATTTTCAGATATTGAATAAAGGTCAGCAACTAAGATTTTTTTTCAGATGATTACTTAATATATACCAAATTAACATTCTTTTTTATCTGTAATATTTTAGCTTTTCATATTTGTTACTTCATATACTTCTTTTTTATTGAGTCTATAGTAATACTTGAAATTAAAAAAACAAAAAAAATGTTTATTAGAAGCTAACTTCTTAATAAAATCACATAATTGGTACAAACTGAAAAGCAAGATTCTTACATTTCTCTTCCCTGGGTCCATGTAAGAGTCTGTGAATGCAACAGAAAAATAGACTGGCATCATTTCAGTTTTCTGTTTTTAATCCTATCAGTAATGGCAGCGTAACCTTGGAAATGGCCAACCTCCTTATAATTCTCTCAGCCTAATATGCAGAAGAAGGGAGAAGCCTTGATTTGATAATCCTTAGAGTACCTTCAATTTTCAAATCAAAGATTCCTTGACAATCTATTCAGTTGTGTGTGTCTGCCCCATGTGCATGTTCGTATGTGTGAGAGTCTACACTTCTGTGCATAAGTATATGCAATAAAATAACAGATTGTAGCGCAAAAAAAAAACTTTACTTGAAATTGTTTCTATTATCCCTGTTTATATGTAAGCACTTATAATAATTGTATGGCAAAGTGGTTACAGGGAAAGAAGAGACTATAATTTTGGAGACAGAGATATAAACTTACTGCAAATATCTTACACTAATGGTTGACACTGTATAGGTACCTTACTGTGTTGCATCACTAAATATCACAGAAATCCCAAGAGGAAAGTTGCCTGATCCACATTTTACAGATGAGCAAACTGAGTTCCAGAGACATCAAGTAACTTGACCAATGACAGACAAGAACTGAGGAAGGGAACAAAGTGTGTTGGAAAAGAGAGGTAATATGAGAAAGTCAGAGAGGCGATAAAGAAATAAAAGGAAACAAGTCAGAGAAACCTGATTAAGTTTTCACTTAAAATCTGATTAGTTGGAAAACTTAACTCATTGAAAGTAAAGTGCTTCTGTGGTCCACAATTTTCCCAATGCTAAAAGAAAAGCAGTCATATGTGGTCAGTACATAATAATGGAAAGAAAACAGGACTAGGGAGAGAGAGAGAAAAAAAAAAAGAGAGAGACACTTGTTCTGGCTCTGGCTCTGTACTCATTAATAGCATTCATTATTTATTAAGTTTTAATATGCCTTGTACTGTTCCCATATTCTTTTTTTTATATTTTATTTTATTTTATTTTATTTTATTTTATTTTATTTTATTTTGAGGTGAAGTCTTGCTCTGTTGCCCAGGCTGGAGTGCAGTGGTGTGATCTCATCTCACTGCAAGCTCTGCCTCCTGGATTCACACCATTCTCCAGCCTCAGCCTCCCGAGTAGCTGGGACTACAGGCACCCGCCACCACGCCTGCCTAATTTTTGTATTTTTGGTAGAGATGGGGTTTCACCATGTTGTTCAGGCTGGTATCAAACTCCTGACCTCAGGTGATCTGCCCACCTCAGCCTCCCTAAGTGCTGGGATTACAGGTGTGAACCACTGCACCTGGCCCTATTGTTAAATACTAGCTAATTGGAGCTAACTAGTTCCATATTGTTAAATACTAGCTAATTTAACCCCAGTAACAATCATTTGATATAGAAACAATTGTCATCATCTTTTCTTTACATGTAAGGAAACTAAGTATAGAGATTTCTGGTAATTTGCTCATGGTTACACTGCCAACAGAAAATGAAGCTGGGATGAGAATTCTGGCATTTTCTCACTATAACTGCACTGTGCAATATGGCAGCCACTAGCCTCATATGCCTACTGAGCATTTAAAATAAGGATAATCCTAATTAAGATATGCTCTAACTGTAAACACTGAATTTTGAATACTTCCTATCAAAACAAAAAGTTTAACTATGGATTACATACTGAAACAATCATGTTTTATATAAGTTGGGTTAAATACGACATATTATCAAAATTAATTACATCTGCTTACTCTTTTCATTTTGGAAAATGTGGCTACTTTAATTTAAAATTTTAAAATTAAATCTGTGGCTCATATTCTATTTAGTTTGGACCATGCTGCTCTAGAGCATGGTTAAAAGTGTTTTTTATTAAAATACAATATTCCTTCCTGTTATCTGTAGCAGAATAAATCTATGTTTCTGTTATTATTTTAGTTTATTCAGTAAATTCTCATATACCCTTGGTAGAAGTGAGATGCTGTACACTTTTAGCTACATAAATGTAAGGCAAATGGGCCCCCTTTGAGCTAGAGCTTGCCTAAAAATGGAATGGGTTAGCTAAAATTTCTTAGTTGAGATATTGACTTAGCAACTAGATGGAGAGCAACTCAATTTTCATAAGGATCTCAGGGCATTCTGGAGTGGGGGTAGGAAGCAATATCTCAACTTCAGTACTCCAGGCATATAAGTTAGAGAATTAGTTAGGTGTAAAACAAAGCGGTTTAGATTATGGCCAGTAGTAGAGGGAGTAATTAGTCCTGGAAGTTAAATGACCTTGAGGACTAGAAATCTAGACTCACAAAAAGGACTAAGATGTTGTGTAAGATGTTTGCTTTTGGCATAATCTGTTGCTGAAACCAAATATCCTTTCAAGATATAGCCAACTTTGGAGATGCTGGGAGACAATGAATGAGAGGGTAAATATGAGTAGACAGAATTGTGATTTTGGTCCCCAGTGTGGAGACCACTACAAAATATCAGCTGGGAGACAGAGGAGAAAGGCATCACTCCAGATACTAAGCATTTGTCTTACACTTGTTCCTCAACTTCAGTATTAATGTGAGTCAAGAAGAAGCAAGGGCAGTAGTTAACTGATCAGATTTGAATGCTTTCTCTGCTCTATTTTTGGATTCAGTCTCCATGGCTTCTGGTAATTTTTGCAAGGGAGCCCTCAGCGGGTATTTTGATCACCTGCTGTCTATCCTCTTGGTGAAGGAGGGATTCCCCTAACCTTAGTACAATATGGCTGAAAATTGAATATCTGGCCCCAGACAGATGAGATAGACAGCCATTTATCAGTCAAATATACTCATAGCCCAGGAAAGGAGGACACCTCACACCACGAAGAACCACATGGGGATTACACTTGGGAACAGTATAAAAAAACAACAACTATGGGGGGCAGGTTTGGTAGTTACACAAGAATGAGATATCCCCTGGTTTCTACGGGAGGATGTGATTGATTTCAATGATTTCTTGTGTTGGTAGGGAAGTAAAACTGGGTAGGTTGAGGACTGGATGGACTGTAGTTTGTCCATCTGATAAAGAAACTGGCTGTTCGGGTGGGAATCTTATCTGGCCAGAGCAGAAGAAGTCACAGTTAGGCCTTCAGGGCCCAGTGAGACTCAAAGATGTCAGAACAGCACATGATATTTAGGCTTTATAACACTACCAAAAACTTTTGGACTTCTATGACTGGCCAGGTGAGTACACGAGCAATTAATTGGAAAATGTATGAGGGGACTATATTTATAAACTTGAGCATAAATACAGAGATGGTGTATTAATCCATTTTCACGCTGCTATTAGGATATACCTGAGACTGGGTAATTAATAAAGGAAAGAGGTTTGACTCACAGGTCCACAGGTCTGGGGAGGCCTCAGGAAACTTACAATCATGGCAGAAGGGGAAACAACCCATCCTTCTTCACATAGCAACAGCAAGGAGAAGTGCCAAATAAAGAGGCAGGAAAAACCCATTATAAAATCATCAGATCTTGTGAGAACTCACTCACTATCATGAGAACAGCATGGAGGTAACTGCTCCCACTATTCAATTACCTCCCACTGGGCACCTCCCATGACATATGAGGATTATGGGAACTACAATTCAAGATGAGATTTGGGTGAGGACACAGCCAAGCCATATCAGATGGTTTCCTCTTAGTATATGTAGCCTTTTGGTTCTGCTGACTTCCCCGTAGGGTAGTCAAAGCAGGTATTTTTTATTGCTATTTACAAGTGAAAGACTGAATAATAACAGGTAAGCAGGTTTAGAACTCATCCTTCCTGACTCCTAGTCAATTAATTTTTCTTTACACTGCTGTTTAGAAGACTGTGTCACTTGTTTGTATAGAGTCAACCACATGTTTAACCTCCAGACCAATAAAACTGAGTGACAATAAATCACAGTTTATTTTGGTAGTATATGTTGAGTTTAGGAGAGTTCTAAAAAGAAACCAACAGGAAACTTGAGTTTCTCTGCTGTTATAATCTGAATGTTTGTGTTCCTCTAAAATTCATATGTTGAAGCTTAATCACCAAGATGATGGTATTAGGAGGTGGGGCATTTGAAAGATGATTAGGTCATAAGGATGAGACTCTCAGGAATGAGGTTAGTACCCTTATGAAGGAGGCCTTCCGGAGCTGCCTTGCCCCTTCTGCCATGTGAGAACACAGCAAGAAGGCAACGTTTATGAACCAGGAAATGGACCCTCACCAAATATTGAATACGCTGACACTTTATTTTGGATTTCCCAACCTCTAGAACTGTGAGAAATAAATTTCTGTTTATAAACCATCCAGTCTATAGCATTTTGTTATAGCAGCTTGATTGGACTAAGGAACCTGAAGAGAATGGCTTACTCTACTCCGTAACTTTACATCAAATATGACTCATTCACTACCCATCTTATTCCAATGACCTTTTTAATCTTGATGAATTAATAAGAATGAAAATGAAAGTGACAGCAGCTGAGAGCTGTCTGAAGGGATGTTTTATGTCATTATGGCTCCAACAAAAGTACAATAACTGTCATTAGCATTAGGTGGTAGCCCCCAGGGAGCAAATCCACTACCTGAAATGTTTCTTCCATTCTATCAAATTGTTTAAGAAGTCAGTTCAGAGTCTAAGGTCATTTCTATGACAAAAGAGCTTAGGAACTGTATGACAAAATATCCTAAAATGATATTTTTGTTGTTATAAACTAATGGATATATTTAATGGCTTATCTAGCATGTACACTTTGTCTAATAACATTGCAAAAATATTAATAAAATTAGGTTGCCTTTGTCTGATTTGTTTCCACTGAAATATCATAGCTAATGTGAGGAAACATTTTTTCCTCTGATCATTTAAAATTAACTTTTTTTCTTTCTAATTATATTGGCTGATTTTTTCCAAATGGCTCTTATGGATTTCTATTTAATGTCTCACACTTTCCTACTGTAGTTGGTTAAGCAGGCATTGTTATCCTAGTTTTCTCAATGAGGTAAGGGGGTATCAGAGAAGTTGAAATAATTCAAATATTTGGCACAGCTGTAGGAGTGAAGAAAAGTGGTAAACACCTGAGTCTGTCTCTTGAGTCAGTAATCTCTCCTCTACTCTAGTAAAATTCAATGTCTTGCTCCATAAACCCTTGCTCTCTTCTTGTAACTCCAAACACTCCATAGCAATGGGTTGTGGGCATTTGAAAAATTTCAACTTGCTAACAAATGGCCATTTGCTGAGTCCTAAATTTATGGTAGGCACAGTGCCAAGCACATTAGATGCATAATTAATGCTCAAGGTACACTATATTACAGATGTCTTCATCTCATTTTACAGATAAGGATAATTGACTTTTGAAGAAGTTAAATACCTAGCCCAAAGCCACATAGCTACTCTCAAATGAACACCAGGAAAATTTTATCTTCCCTAATACATGCCAGAAATTTGGGAAAGGAAGACCAAGAATTTATTCTACTCATCAAGAGTGAGGTTTTAAATGTGCATCACTTTTTCATATTTGAAAAAAAGAAATTAATGGAGAAGGAGGCAGAAGGATGCCTGAGAATCAAGGTAGCATTGTTTATTCCCTCAACTTTTCAAATGGGCTGTTAGTTCATTGAGTGGCAAAGCCATGCCTGATTTATCTTTTAGTTCCAATTGGTCTGTTAATTTGAGAACAGTAGAAGCTCATTACATATTTGTGAAAAGAATATTTTAGAAGCAGAATTTTGAAAAACTTGTGTATGTGTAACTGTCCCCTTCAGGGATCTGCTTGTATTTTCTTGGCTCTCCATTGCTCCTGTACACAACCTTGCCTTCATATTATAGACTTCTGCTGCTCCCTGCCTTAAGGCTTTTTCCTGGAACAAGAGCAGGTATGTCCCTTGTGCAAGGCAGGATGAGAACGCTGGAGAGTTATTCTTCCAGAGTAATGACAGGTGGCAGTCATTGGAAAAGTAACCCACTGTCTTAATCCTTGGGTGGGAAAAGTCTGAGGAATATTCTAGTATTACTTCGAGGTCCTCAGTTGGATTAAGTCCCTACTGCCCCTCTGGGATACCTGCTTCATTTACAACCCTGTTTTGTCACCCTTTTCTTCTCTGTCTCAACTCTGCAATCTACCTGTGTGTTCTGAGATCACCTCCCAAATAAAATCCTTGCACTAAAATTCAGGGTTTGCTTCTGGGGAAACCCCCAAAAGCTATCTTCCTCAAAGTTTCAAAATAAGCCATTCAGAAGGCTGTGTGTAATAGATAATAATAGCTAGCACTTATTAGTGAACATTTACTATTTGCAAGATACAACTTTTCATGTCTCACAATTCTAATAAGGAGGTAATAGTAATTATTAGAGATAATAGTAATTATTGCTATTTTACAGATGAGAATACTAAGGCACTAGTTGATTAAGCAGTGTGCTCGGACATCACAGATGATCAACATTGAGAAAAGGTCTTGCTCTAATTATGATTAAAATAATTGATTTACCATCAGAATGCTTGTTGAATATGATACTTTGGAGACTTGAGTATATTATTTTGCTTAAGTAATGCAAATGTGTGCATTTATTATTCAGTATATGTGATCACAACATTTATAACAAAAGCAACTTGTGTATAGGGATGCTGCCAAATATCTGGCAAACTTGGACTGTGAAGAGCTAGTTTGTGTAAATTTTGGCTTTCAATAAAGCACAAGGACATGTATTAACAGAGTTGATTCCTTCTGACTTGATACCCCATAGTATTTCAGTTATATAATTAATCAGGTCTTTCTTTTCTTCCCTCTACTCCTTCTGTTCTTCCTTCTCAGCTTTCCTCATTCTCTTCTTTCCACTCTATCCCTTCCCTTACTCTTCCTTCTCCTCTCTTTTGCTGTTTTTATAATGGTTCCAGAGAACTTAGTTTTCCTTTCTTCCTTCCCCTTCCTTCCTTCCTGCCTCCCTCCCTTTCCCCCTTCCTTCCTTCCTTCTTTCCTTCCTTTCCTTCCTCCCTCCCTTCCCCTCCCCTCCTCTCCCCTTCCTTCCTTCCCTTTCCTTTCCTTCCCTCCCTTCCTCCTTCCTTTCTTTTCTTCTTTCTTTCATTTACATTACAACGTTAGTTATTAAAATTCAACAATTAGTAAGAGTTAAGGAATTACAGAAAACTAAGAAAATCATTAGATATCTATTAATCATCACTGATTCAGATTGCCAGAAGGACTGCTGTACACATTAGATTTCACAGAACGGTGTGCATGGATTGGATTTTCTCTTTTTGCCACAGTAAGCGAAAAGGAAATGCATCATTAGCTATAAAGCACAAAATGATAAAGTAGCCAACTGTGAACAAACACTACACATTTAAAAATTATATTTTCAGAGCCAGTGGGAGAGAGGTTTTCTAAAACGCCAGAAAGTCAAATGTGAATATAATCCAAATAAGTGTAAAAAACTGTAGGATTGGAGGTAGGAGGGGGAGTGTGAAAAGCACTCTTAAAACAGTGACTATTCCTGGACATAAATTTTTTAACATTCAGATGAGTACACTACTTAATAAAAATTATTACTTGGAAATAAGTAGTTATTTAAATACTACAAATAATTTCTGGGCAAAGAGTTTACTAAGAGTTTAATTTATTTTTAGATTTAAATAGTTCTATTTCAGAATTAAAATGTAACCCACCATCGAATTTCCATAATGTACCCTCTTCTTCAGTATGAATTATTGAACTTTCCTTAAGTATATAAACATTATTACAAGTATATTTTTCACTCCGTCAATACACATTCTTATGTTAATTAAACCAGTATATTTTTAATAAAATAGAATTTTGTGAGGAATTTCTTATAGCATGAAGATGTAAAATTATATAATTAAAGGTTTATGGAAACTCAAGATTAACTTGCAGCCACATATACAGTTTAGAAGAATGCCAATCTACTTCACCGTCTATCTCTCTCTGTTGCTTTTTGTAGCACTAATATATAATCTTGTTACCAAAATATTTCAGGTTTCACAATATATATATACTGATACGTCACATCTTTTGATTCCTAGGAGATACGGAGCCGTCCTTGTGGCTTTTAAGCCTTCTTGGTTTAAATTCTTTGATGGAATAAAATGATTAATAATATATTCTCTAATTACTGAAAAGGGAACTCCTACCACATGGCCAATTGTGTTTGGTGTCCCTGAAACCCTAATTGGGAGATTGACTGGAAGATTCCTAGTTGAGGTATGGCTTGAAAATAGCTAATAAATATTTGTAACCCACGTTGAACATACACATTAAGGAACATGTTGCATAATACACATCTGAAGGAAAACATATTGTACTTTTTATGTAGAGATATGCTTTATGAAGTCTACTATGTTTTCAGTTTGCATGGTCTGATTTATCCTCATCTTTCTAGAAAAAGAAATTTCCTCTTAAGACACTTAGTAATTTTTACCTGATGTTATATTTATATTGTATATGAACATATATAATTCTCTACCAGACAAAATATGCCCTTGTATATATTACAGTAAATTAGCACAGTATTCTGAAAATGTTAGATACAATTAATGCATGTTGAAATAATGAATAAGAAAAAGATTTGATGAATGGGTTACCTGATTCAGAGCAGGCAGACCAGGAACATAGTTTTACTTTGCCACTCTGTTTTTGTTTTTGTTTTTGTTTGTTTTGACTGATGGCAAGTCCCCACATTTTTCTGCACTAGAGTTCCATTATTTCCAAAATAAAGGTCTGGGACTAGATACCCCAAAGGCCCCTTTTAGTGATGACTTCCTATGAATTTATGAGAGGGGAAAAGCAGAGTAATGAAAGTGCAGGGAAGAAAAGAAGAAAAGAGGTTATGATTACAAGCATTTTGATAAACAAATGTTTCCTCTCATTAGATTTCACTAGAATAAACTTCATTTTCACTGAGATAGTAAACATCGTGAGACAGAAAATTATTTTGACAGATTTAATGCAGTTTTTACTTATTTTAAGATTATTTCTGATTATAAAGATTACTTTCTGATATATGTGTGTATTCAATATCTTAAATATGGAGACAAAAAGGACAAAGAAGGAAATAGATTATTCATAATTTCACCACCAGACAGAATATCTGTTAATATTTTAGAGAATTCTATCATCTTAGTATATCTCTATATCCTTTTAAAAGTCAACATCCATGGTCTATCCATTTATGTATATATTTATTTACCCATCTATTTTCCTATCAATAAAGATAAATATGTTATTTATAGACGTGCACAATACAATATCTCATCTATTCATTTAAATCTATCCCAATTTTCTAATCTCAGTTAAATGACTCTGAAGACATTATTTTAATAGCCATTGTGATGACTAAAATTATCTGTTTGGCCACTTTGAATTTCTCCTCTTTCCTTCTTTTGGTAATAGATATTTTCTTTCTTTATGATGAATTTGTTCCGAGTAGTTCAGACCCAATGCCATAAGTCTGGGCACATGACTAAGCCATGGCCAGTCAGAACAGTACATTCCTGGCTGCAGTAGTTTAAGAGAAAGCAAATAAAACCAAAACAACTAGTATGGATGAATGCTTCTGTGGTGTTTTGGTGAAACCACTGAAAGATAGGTACCACTATTCCCTTGGAATGAGTAGTTATAAGATTGATGTAATCCTATTTGCCAAAGAAAAAAATCCACACAGAAAATAACAGTGCTGAGGGAATAAGACCAGTAAGACTTTGGAAGGTATCTTCTGATTCTCTGGTTCAGTCAATGCCTGAAACTAGTATAATTATGAACTTCCTATTATGAGTTGATGGAGTCCCCCACCACCTCCTTTGTTCAATGAGTTAGGTTTTCATGCCTTACAAAAGAAACTGTCCTGACTAGTACATTTAGATAAGTGGCATATGAAATCTAACATATTTTTCCTGTTTATAGTATTGGATGTATCCATCTTTCTTCTATAATAATATAACTGCATTTTTATAATTTAGTCTTTGCCTATATATCTGAAGAATGAAGTAGGACAGTACAGGGATAGTCTCCTGAAAACAAAATTTACAGAATAAAGTGTGTGTGTGTGTGTGTGTGTGTGTATGTGTTTATTCTATGTCTGTTAACAAAATGCTACTCAGGGACAGGCGCAGTGGCTCACACCTGTAATCCCAGCACTTTGGGAGGCCAAGGCACTGCAACAGCTTTAGACTCTATAGTCCCAACTTTTTAAAAAGACATCAAATCTAGTTTTTGTTTTTCCTAAAGTAAACCTCGAGTATCTGTGGCCTGGTGTGGTGGCTCATGCCTGTAATCCCAGCACTTTGGGAGGCCAAGGTGGGCAGATCACCTGAGGTCAGCAGTTTGAGACCAGCCTGGCCAACATGGTGAAACCCCATCTCTACTAAAAATACAAAAATTAGCCCAGCCTAGTAGCGCATGCCTGTAATCTCAGCCACTCGGGTGGCTGAGGCAGGAGAATAACTTGAACCCAGGGGGATGGAGGTTGCGGTGAGCCAAGATGGCACCCCTGCACTCCAGACTGAGAGACAGAGTGAGACTCCGTCTCAAAACAAACAAACAAACAAAAGGACCAAAAAAACAAAAACAAAATGCCATTCAGATAATTGGACAGCTTGATTGTTATCAACACTAATCTTTGAGGTATATGCTTCAGGGCTAATGGCTTGCAGCATGAAGCACCTCAAGTTTCATTATCTATTATACATTAAATTAATTGGATGGTGCTGAATCTTCCTTTGTCTGGCAATCCTGTGGTTTTCAGGCTCACTCCGTCATCATACAAAGCCATATAGCTGACAATTAAGTATCCCTCCCTTCTCTAGCTTGTTTGGTGGGGACACGGAAGCATCGAAGTCAGGAGGGACACACAAATGGCTACTTCTCTCTTTCTCCACCTTGATATTTAACCTTTTTTCTCTCTCACTTTACAAAAATAATTTTCTCTCATCTAAATATCACTCTCTCCCTCCCTCAAGGTGAACTGGGAACAGGAAGAAGAAATTCAAGAAGGGAAGGAAAGTTTTTATAATACTGCTATTTTTGTGAATAGACCTTGAATTATCTAGGGCCGGGAGTTTAAACACTCTTGAGAACTGTTGTGTTCTTTGAACTCCTCACCAACAGGAATCCCTCCACTCTTGCTCATCTCTCCTTTAGTTACATTGACAATGGCAAATACTCTCTGCTACCACTGGTTGCTTGTTCCTGTCACAGCCTCTATTACTCTGTTGAGATAGTCTCTTCTGCTAAAAAGAATGTTACTGTAACATATTAGATAGTACATGATTGGTAAATAGTGGAATGATATCAATATAACAGAAGAAGTTTCAGAAAGTCATATGTGAGTTTGTTTTTCGGCATATTTATATTTTCGGCCACCAGTATCAGCAGTTGAACACAAAGTACACTAACAGAGTTAATCACAGCAAACTACTGAAGTATGCAGTTGCAGATATGATACCCAATCAATGCACGTTCTCCTTCTTGGCCTAGCTTGGCCATATTCTCTGTCTGGGAAATGCTTATTGCATTATTATCTCTATTCTGTGTTCATTTTGCCCTTCTCTCCATAATTTCTCAGTCTCAAGCCTTCCTATGTGCCCTACCATTGTATTCCCTTTGTCTTAAAGGTAAAACCCTTCATTTACTATTGTATTTATTTATTCAGAATTTAACATGTGCTTTTACATGTTAGAATTATCCAGTTCCTTTGCAATTACGTGTGTGTGTGTGTGTGTGTGTGTGTGTGTGTGTGTGTGTATTTCTATTCTTTTTTTAGTAATAAGATTACAAAGGTTGCCTGGGTTTTGTCATCTCTCTCTAACCTTTTTATCTCATAAACTCAGGTTATTATTATTATTTTAATTTTTCTTTTGAGATGGAGTCTCGCTATGTTGCCAGGCTGGAGTGCAGTGGCTCAATCTCGGCTCACTGCAACTTCTGCCTCCTGTGTTCAGTTGATTCTCCTGCCTCAGCCTTGTGAGTAGCTGGGATAACAGGCACGATCCACCATGCCCAGCTAATTTTTGTATTTTTAGTAGAGACGGGGTTTCATCATGTTGGCCAGGATGGTCTCAATCTCCTGAACTCGTGATCTGCCTGCCTTGGCCTCCCAAAGTGCTGGGATTACAGGCATGAGCCACTGCGCCCGGTCAAGCTCAGGTTATTTTTGCAGGTCATTCAGGATGACATATTTTATTACTACAAATGCCTGTCCCTTTATCTTCTCTCTTGTGAGGCCTGCTGCACCTTCCAGGTGACCCTTTTTGACAGCAAAACCTAAGACAAGTTAATGTTGATTCTCTTTTTCTCCAACATTTTATCCATAGGAATGGTGATGGTATTCTTTTATCCACTTTGAGAGAAACTTTGAGAATGTGAACAGCCACAAATTTAGAAGTTTCTTTTTTTGCTTTGCTATATACATGGACAATAATCCTGTACCTTGCCTGTGATCTTCCAGGTAGGTGGCAGACACAAGTCCGCTGTGTTTCCCTGTGGGGATGCATATTAAGCATCTAAGTGGTATCCTTAAGGTCTCTCTGTTTACATGGAGTTAGAAAGTAGCACAACTGACACATCCCAGTTGGGGATATATGTCTCCCTGCACAGCTCTCTCCAATGACTGTTCCTCAACACTCCTGTTTTGTTTTGTTTTTCTCTATGATCATCTGACGCTTTTATATTCTTATTGTGGCATGGAATTTAAAAGCTTTTTAATCTATTATTGACAATGTACTTTTTAACTTCTATACCACCTTTGATATTGATTATTTTTCTTTTTTTGAGATGAAGTCTTACTCTGTTGTCCAGGCTGGAGTGCAGTGGCATGATCTCGGCTCACTGCAACCTCTGCCTCCTGGGTTCAAACGATTTTCCTGCCTCAGCCACCCTAGTAGCTGGGATTACAGGCATATGCCACCACGCCCGGCTAATGTTTGCATTTTTAGTAGAGACAGGTTTTCACCATGTTGGCCAGGCTGGTCTCGAACTCCTGACCTCAGGTGATCTGCCCACTTTGGCCTCCCAAAGTGCTGGGATTACTGGCATGAGGCACCACATCCAGCATGGATATTGCTGACTCTTATGTGTTCTGGAACTTTCATTCTAAGTTCCTTTTACATATATCTCTATGTACACACTTATCTATAACTATTTTGAACCATATTGCAGACAAGTTGGTAAATTGGTATATTTCATTTACATCAAGAAACATGTAAAGCCTGTATTTTCTTCCATTTAAGATTGCTTTTTAAGATATGAAGTGATTCAATTTAAACAGTCAGGCTTTTAATTTATTTGAAAAAGTGTTATTGCTCTGAAAGCAAATGGAGATACCTTAAGTGACTCCATGAGCTATGAACATGTGGCTCAGTGTTCTACAGTTGGCTATAAAAGGAGGCATCACATGCTTCAGAGTATATATGCTTCTTGATTACTTTGGTCAGAATAAATAAGTGCTGCTAGTAACCATGGACTGTCTCTCTAAATATTTACCATGTGATTTTTGTCTCACATTTTTCTCTTTGCTGGGGCATACTTATCCTGGAACTCATGGTTTCAGCTCATCACTTTCAGTTTCCAAAGGAATACATAACAAAAAGTACCAATGATAACAGCATATGAACCCTGGGTAGGTTCTGAATCATTCCCTTGAAATATAAATAATACCAATATTCAGAGATACTCTTCTGATTTAAGGTTTCTTTATCCACCTGTTAAGGAATAATTTTTTTAAAAAGCATAAAATTATGACTCTCATAGAGATATAAAATGATCACATGTCAAAGATTTTATTTGACTCATTAATTAATGAAAAAAGCAGTGAGATGTGACAAATGGTTTGTAAGATAAATCAAAAGCAGCACATTTATAGTCAGATAAGAGATGCTAAAACACATTTACAAATGGGTGCAAACTGGCAAAACTCTTGAATGTCTACAGGGCCATAATCAATTGCATTCAATAATATAATTTGCAGTTTTATGAACAGGAATTATTTACATCAGTATTAGTGCACTGTAAACAAATTTCTATCTCTATAGAGTAGTAAAATAGCCTAGTCAAAGACAAAGAGAAAGACAACCCTGATAAATGAGCCAGCCAAGACACGCACCAAATTTAAAAGCCTTTTGTGAATTTCTTTAGGGAAGCATATCTCAAATCCTTCTATGTACTACTTCATATATTAGGTGGAAATGCTAAATGCTTAACATCCTACATATACACTGTTAAAGCTTTGTGGTAAATGATCGCCATCATCGAGCATATCTGAACTGGCTACATAGTTTTGCCTCTGTAGTTGAGTTCTGATTGCCTTGTTGTCTGATCCCCGATAAAAGTTAGGGCACTTTGAGGTCAATGACTATGCTCTGTATGCATCACCTAGCCCGATCCCTGGTTCACATCAGGTACTTAGTTAATGTCCAATGAGGGCATAAGTGATTCGAGAGAAAATTATTCTAAGGTCACTCTACTAACTTAAAAGATAATTTTTTCTCCTTCTCTAGAAAAATTTAGTTATTCAAAAGCAAATACTGAAAAAAAGATCTCAAGGTATATCATGCTTATGTATAAAACAAGTCAGTATTTGGTTTTATAGTTTTATAAATATTTTTGCTTAGGAAAATATTAGTTGGAGACAATTTTATATACTTTCAGCTCTACAGCACATTATTCTAAGGCTCAAAGTATTCTTTGTCCTTAATTTGAAACATTTGGCATTTATGCTCCAAAGAGCAGCTCTGTTAATGAGAGAATATGTTTTGCATACTCCTGGTCCTGCCAGTAATGTTTTCAAACTAAAAATCAATTTTTAAACAGCAGGCTTCTGTGACCATGACACAGTTGTTAAAGTCTCTTTTTGGCACAATATCCTGCTTTCTTTAGTCTTTGTTGATGCTTTTATTTTTAAAAAGCTACGTTTTTATGCTACATTGGTAACTTTTTTCCAAAATTAATATTTAAACCAAAGTATATTGGAAAATAAAATAGAAATGCATTAACATTACATAAGCCTGAAGTTAGTAGGATCTTAAATTTTTATTTAGTAAGTTGGAACAAGGCACATTTTTTTTCTGGAAACAAATAAAAAAGAGAGTAAAGGAATGTCCTAAGAACAAATAGACCAGGGCATTCTACAATATTTGAAGACAAAGGTAAGATAATAATAATAATAATAACAATAATAATATTAATAAATATCCATGCATTTACACAATCAAAATAACAAAATATGTTACAAATTAGCATTTATTTTATTTTGTACATAACTTTGTGTTTTAGAGATGTTAAGATTTTCAAGGGAGAAGAATATCAACATTATTTCCGTGAATTACCTTGAAAATATTACTCATCGAAACTATCTCTCATTTTTAGTTTTAGAATAGTAATACTTGGCTTTTAAAAGCAGCAGTAAGAACAGTTAGTTGTAGATTATGAGTCCTATTAATAATAAAGTTAGTTTGCCCGAGGCATTTGCTGGTACTTTGTTTGAAATTTGACTCTCAGTTTCCAAATTGATTCATTCCCTTTTGGAAAAAAATAGAACCACCAATTTTAGTATGCTTTTTCCAGAGAAAAATTGCTGCCTAGTTCAGTTCAAGCCAGTTCATTAAGTATCTCTTGACATTCTATTATGTATCAGACCTTTTTGAAAGTATAGGGGTACAAAAATGAATGACATTTTTAGACTAGTGGGAGAGATGAACACAAATATAACTTCGTGTTCAAGGAAGTAGGATGCTAAAGAATCACTTAAAATCTCCATAAATTCAAGAAGACCTTTTTGGAGAATGTGACCCCTTGGCTGAGGGTTGAACAATAAACAAGTTAACAAAGTGGAAAGGTGAAAAAAGCTTTACAGATAGGGTGTGTGTTTGTGTGAGTGCGTGAGTGTGTGTGTGTGAAATGGTGAAGTGAAGTGTGGCAAGGAGATGTGGATGGTGAGATGGGAGTGGTGTGTTTCTAGAAACAGCTTCGGGTCCCACCTCGTTTCTCCTTTTAGGGAACTCCCACTCTACTGTGGGTATAAATATTAAAGAAGTTTTTTATTTGACAAAAGTGTGGGATACTGTCAGAATACTTAGGAAAGCCTCGTTATTTAGCTGGGTTTAGAGTAGACTTCTGGAATTTCCTGGTGGAAGACAAAAAGAATGAGGATGCATTAGTCATAGAGAAGAAGGTGGGAGGAAAGTTTTAGTAGAGGCAGTACAGAGGCAAAACAGAACATGTGATAATGGAGGAGCTGTTAGAAGTTTGCTAACAAGTTTTTGTTGGAAGAAGTTCGGTGTGCTGTGTACCAAGAGAAATTGGCAAGACATGAGGCTGGACCTCATGGGAACATTATACACACACATACCTACACACACACACACACACACACACACACACACACACACGTATACACATATGTGCATATATGATTGTATATAAATCTGAAAATTAGCTTTTTAACTTTACAACAGCATTACATTAACAGAATTATTGCCAAGAGAGTACAGAGAGTTCTCATATACTGTATTTCCAATTCCCCCTTTAGTATCAATTACATGTTACATTAGTACGGTGCATCTGTTATAATTAATGAGATAATACTGATACATTATTATTAACTAAAGTCCATATTTTATTCATCTACTCAATGCCCGTTTTCTGTTCCAAGATCCCATCCAGGATACCACGTGACTCTTAGCAGTCATGTCTTCTCAGGCTGTCTCAGTTGAGAGAGTTTCTTAGACTTCCCTTATCTTTTATGACGTTGGCAGTTTTGAGGAATGCTAACCAGATATTTTGTGGAATGTTCCAGATATTTTGTGGAATGAACAAATTCAAACTTGTTTTATTTTTTTCTCATAATTAGACTGGGTCACTATGTTTTAGAAGGAATACCAAAAAGGCAAATTTCCCTCATCATCACTTCATATCAAGAGTACATATTACCAATTTAAGTAATCACTGTTGATATTAACCTCGATCACCTAGCTTGGGGTACTGTCTTAGATTTATCACTGGAAGTTTTTTTTCCTCCCTTTCTATGCCATGCTCTTTGGGAAGAAGTCACTGTGCACAGTTTGGACAAGAAGTGGGAGCTGGATCCTCCTTTTTTGAAGGAGGAATACCTGCATAAGTTACCAGGAATTCTATGTAGGATATGTGTTGATTCTTTCCTCATCTAATTATTTATACAAATGTGTATTCAATCATTACAAATATTTGTATTTTCAAAATATTTTGAGTTATAACCCAATGGTATTTTCTTTTTGTTCTTCAAATTATTCCAGTTACAGCCATTAAAAGATCTTTCATTGGCTGCCATATCCTTTTGAAATACCACCAGCATTGTAGTTTTATTATTATTATTATTACCATTTTCTATGTTTTTGGCACTACGGTTGCTGCTGGTTCATCTTGTACATCTTTCTGCCACAGTCCTACAATCAGCCGTTTCCAAGAAGCTATGATTCCTTTTATTCTGGTCATTAGGTGTGCTCATTGCTACTAAGATGTGGTTGCTTCTAGGGCTTCTCAGCCGACAGAAAAAACGAATATATGCATGCATATCAGCCTAATATATCCACCTACCTACAGACATTTCTATATGCAACGACCTATATCTAATAGGTTGGTGCAAAAGTAAATGTGAGTTTTGTCATTAAAAGTAATGATATTAAGCTCAACATGAGTCCCCACTGATGTCTTCCACTACATTCCATTACCGCATGAACATTCTAGCTTCCTATCCTTGCTTATCTGTAAACTCTTACCCCCAACAGTGAGAAATCTGGCTCCTAACATCCACAATTTATATACTTAGCTCAGTTTCAGTATAAATGTATTGTCATTTCAATTGTTAACCCATTCTCTCTGAAAAACTACTCTACCAGTTAGAGTACAGTGCAAACACTTCCTGTGCTTCACACATTCAACCTCCCCACGCCCCACCAACTTGAACTCCTGGCAACCACTGACCTATTTATCATCTCTACAGATTGCCCTTTCCAGAATGTCACATAATTGGAATCATGCATTTTGTGGCTTTTCCGGACTGGTTTATTTCACTTAACAATGTGTGCTTAAGATTCATCTCTGTTTTGCCATGGCTTGATAGCTCATTTTTTAAAGTTGCTGAATATGGAGGTAAGACAGGTTTGTTTATCGATTTTGCTTATCATATTGAAGGACATTTTGGTTACTTCCATGTTTGGGAAATTATGCATAAAACTGCTGTAAACATTTGTGTGCAGGTTTTGTGTGGGCATAAGTTTTCAAATCAGTTTGGTAAATACTATGGAGTATGATTCCTGGATTTTAGGGTAAGACTATATGTAGCTTTGTAAGAAACTACCAAATTGTCTTTCAAAGTAGCTTTACTAGTTTTTATTCCCAGCAGCAGTAAATGAGAGTTCCTATAGCTTCATATCTTCATTGGCAGTTAGTATGGTCAATTTTTAAGGTTTAGCCATTCTAATAGTTGTGTAGCGGTATCATATTCTTGTTTTAATTTACCATTTCCTAACAACGAATCATGTTGAACATTTCTGTATGCTTATTTGTCATTTGTATATCTTTGTTAGTGAGGTACCTAGTCAGATATTTTGCTTATTTTAAAATTTAGTCTTTTTCTTATTTTTGATTTTTGTAATTTCTTTGCATATTGTGGATGCAAATCTTTTTCAAATATGTGTTGTGAAATATCTTCTCCCAGTTTGTATTTTTATTCTAAACAGTGTGTTTTGCATGGTGGAAGTTTTCAATTTTAATTAAGTCCATCCATTTTACTTCATGGATCAGATGCCATATTTAGAAACTCATCAGCTCTGAAAAGATGTTACACATCGTATGTCATCAGGGAATTACAGATAAAAATAACAATGTAATGCCACTACACACTGATTATAATGGGCAAAATTCAAATGCTGGCAAGAATGTAGAACAACTGGAACTCTCACTCATTGCTGGTAGAAATGTAAAATGGTACAGCCACCTTGGAAGACAGTTTGGCTGTTTCTTACAAAGCAAAATACACTCTTAACATGTGATCCAGCAATAGTGCCCCTTGGTATTCACCCGAAGGAGGTGAAAGCTTATGTCTACACAGAAACCTGCACACAGGTATTTATAGCAGCTTTATTAATAATTGCTGAAACTTGAAAGCAGCCAAGATGTTCTCATGTGGGTGAATGAATAAATAAAGCGTGATGCATTCATGTAAACGAATATTACTTAAAACTAAAAAGAAATTAGCTATTCGGCCATGAAAAGACATGGAGAAAAAATGTAAAAGGAGACTTCGAAAAGTTCATGGAGTAAATGGAATTAAAAGATAAAAATAAAAATATAAGATTTATTTCTCAACGTAAGCTTCATCAAGGTCAAGATACTTTTGTAAGCAATGATACCAGCCATTTAGTTCATCCCTAAAGAACTGAGGGTCATGGGAATTTAACCATGTCAATGTAGTCTCTTTTGCATTATTAACTGGAAATAAAAGGGTGCCTTTTAGAAAATTTTCAGATTATGAAACAAAACAAAGTCAGAAGGAGACAAATCAGGACCATAAAGTGGATGCCTAATGATTTCCCATCAAAACTCTTGCAAAATTGCTCTTGTTTGATGAGAGGAATGAGGAGGAGCATTGTTGTGGTAAAGGACTCTGGTGAAGGTTTTCCAGGCGTTGTTCTGTTAAAGCTTTGTCTGTCTCAAAGCCCCTCCCTCATAATAAGCAGATATTATTGTTCTTGGACCTTGCAGAAATCAACAACCAAATGTTTTGAGCATCCCAAAAAACTATTGCTATGACCTTTGCTCTTGACCAATCGATTTTTGCTTTGTCTGGACCACTTCCACCTGTTGTTAGCCATTGCTTTGCTTGTGATTTGTCTTCAAGATCACACTGGTAAAGCCATGTTTTATCTCTCATTACTATTCTTTGAGGTCCTGAAGAAATGTTTCAGGAGCTTGATCTGACTTGTTTGAAATTTCCATTGAATGCTCTGCTCCTGTCTGCAGCTGATTTCAGTGCAATGGTTTTGCCAGCGATCAAGTAGAAAATTTCCTCACCTTTAATTTTTCAGTCAGAATTTTGTAAGCTTAACAGATGGAGATGCCTATGGTTTCGGCTATTGTTTGAGCTGTAAATTGTTAGTTTTCTTCAAATAGAACATGAACAAGATTAATTTTTTCCTTGCAAATTGATGTGAATAGTCTACGTCTGCAATCTTCTACTTCAACATTGCTCCATCACTTCTTAGAATAAGTTATTGATCTGTAAACTGCTGATTTATTTGGGGCATTGTCTCAATAAACTTTTCATAAACCACCAATGATTTTATCACTCTTCCACCCAGGCTTCACCACAAATTTGATGTTTGTTATTGCTTCAATATTAGCAAAATTTATGTTGCTCTGACAGGGGCTCTTTTCAAACTGATGTTTTATCCTTTGTATTTCCTCAAATTAGGTCCTGCTCAGCAATGTTATTACAAGTTAGTACAAGTTTATTTTGGTCCAAAAAAGTTGATATCCATGCAGAGTTTTTTTTTTATAATACACACTTTCCATGAATTGTTTGAAGACCCCTTGTGTATTACTAAGTAAAAGAAGTCACATACTATTTGATTCTAACCATATGGCATTCTGGGAAAGGCAAAAACCATAGATATGGTAAAAGGATCAGTAGTTGCTAGGGGATAAGGGGAAGGAAAGATGAATCATCAAAGCACACAAGATTTTTATGGCAGTGAAACTATACTGTATGATATTATAATACATATCATTATATATTTGTCAAAACTCAAAGAATGTACAACACCAATGTACAACACCTAATGTAATACCATGAACTTTGGGTGATATTGTTAATGTAGGTCATTAATTGCAACAAGTATACCACTCTGGAGGGGAATGCTGATAATGAATGATTGATTCTATATTTTTATTATATATAGAAATATTCAAGTTATCTATTACTCCCATGTGATTTTAGTAGAGTGTTTCTTTTAAGAAATTGGTCCATTCTATTTAAGTTACCTAATTAATGGGCGCAAAGTTGTTCATAGTATTTTCTTATTATTTTTTAATGTCACTGAGATATATAGTGATGATTCTTCTTTCATTTTTGATATTAGTAATTTTGTTTTTTTCTTGGTTAGCTTTACTAGAATGTTTTTAATTTTGTTGATCATTTCAAAAAGTGTACTGTTGTTTCAATTTTTCTCTATTGTTTTTGTGTTTTAAATTTCATTGATTTTTGTGCTATATTTTATTATTTATTTTCTTCTTATTACTTTAGCCGCATATTGCTGTTCTTTCTCCAGTTTCCTGAAGTACAAATGTAGGTTATAGATTTTAGATCTGTAACACTATAAATTGTCCTCCCGTATTTGTCCGTTCTCATGCTGCTATTAATAAAATACCTGAGACTGAGTAATTTATAAAAGAAAGAGGTTTAATTGACTCTTAGTTCCGCATTGCTGGGGAGGCCTCAGGAAATGGGCTAGTATAATCTGAACACCCCACTGTCTACTGGCAGGGTTTCTGCCTAGTTGCACCCTCTTGCAAGGCAGCCTCAGGTGCCCTACTACAATGCTATCCAGGAGCCACCACTGTATCTCTTTCTCTAGCAGACCCTGCCTTCACATTGGGTGCTTTTTTCAGATGAAACTTGTATTAGTCTGTTTCACACTGTTGATAAAGACATACTTGATCCTGGGTAATTTATACAGGAAAACGGGTTTAATAGACTTACAGTTCCACTTTGCTGGGGAAGCCTCACAATCATGGTGGAAAGCAATGAGGAGTAAGTCAAGTCTTACATGGATGGTATTAGGCAAAAAGAGAGATTGGATAGGGAAACTCCCCTTTATTATACTGACAAATCTCATGAGACTTATTTACTATCAGGAACAGCATGGGAAAGACTACCCCCATGATTCAATTACATCCCATGGGGTCCCTCCCACAACGTGTGGGGATTCAAGGTGAGATTTGGATGGGGACAGAGCCAAACCATATTATTTCACCCCTGGCCCCTCCCAAGTCTCATGTCCTCACATTTCTGAACCAATCATGCCTTCCCAACTGTCCCTAAAGTCTTAACTAATTTTAGCATTAACTCAAAAGTCCACAGTCCAACATCTCATCTGAGACAAGGCAAGTCCCTTCCACCTATAAGCCTGTAAAATCAAAAGCAAGTTAGTTACATCCTAGATACAATGGGGGTACAGGCATTGGGTAAATACAGCCATTCCAAAAATATGTTGGAATTCAAAATAAGATGTGGGTGGGGACACAGCCAAACCATATCAAACCTCGGCCTACCTGCATCTGGCCACAGCTTTCACCTGCCTGCAGCCTTCCTCCACACCCGCCCCCCACCATGCATGTGTGTGTAAATCCCTGCCACCCTGCAAGTGTGCCTGCAAACACCCACTGCCCCACTGGTGCACAAAGTGTTATGGACCCCCAGCCTCCTCACTGCAGTGCTTTTGCTTTTGCTGGCAGCCCCTGTCAGAGTGTTGTTGCTAGTATACTGGCAATACCTTGGCCTCTCCACTGCAGCAGGTGCTTGACCTCAAAGGACAAGAGAACAAAACTGTGGGCCTCATCCCAGCACCCTAGGGTACAGCACATAACCCAGGACTGATGAGTTGAGCTTGGCCCTGAAAGCATCTAGAAAAAAATGTCAACTGACTGAACTCAACTTATGCCACAATCAAACCCTCAAGGGTATTGAAGAAAATAAAAGCAAAAAGCTCCATCCAGAAGACAGAAAGTTCAAAGATAACAGGAACATCAGCATACACAGAGGAGAAAAACTAGTAGAAGTATCTGGTAATTCTAAAAGCCAGAGTGTCTTCTTACCTCAAAAGCCAGAGTGTCTTCTTACCTCAAAAGCCAGAGTGTCTTCTTATCTCAAAACAACTGTAATGGTTCCCCAGCAATAGATCCTAACCAGATAGAAATGGCTGAAATGAAAGACATAGAATGCATAATCTGGATGGCAAGGAAGCTCAATCAGATACAGAAGGTTGAAACCCAATCTAAGGAAAGCAGTATATTGATCCAAAATTGAAAGACAAAATAGCCATTTAAAGAAAGCACCAACATGAACTTCTAATGAAAAATTTACTACAGGAATTTCATAATGCCATTGGAAGCATTGATAACAGTATAGACCAAACTGAAGAGTTTCAGAGCATGAAGACTCCTTCTTCAAATCATACAGAAAGACAAAAAAGGAGAAAAAAAATTTAAAAATGGGCAAACCTCCAAGAAATATGGGATTGTGTCAAGAGACTAAATCTACTACCCTTTAGAATTCCTGAAAATAGAGAAAGCAAGCAACTTGGAAAACATATTTGGGGATATGTTCACAAAAGTTTCCCTAATCTTGCTAGACAGATTGACATGCAAATTCAGGAAATTCAGAGAACCCCTGTGAAAAGCTATATAAGAAGACCATCCCCAAAACACATAGTTATCAGATTCTCCAAGGTCAACACAAAAGAAAACATCCTAAAGGCAGCTAGAGAGAAGGAGCAGGTTATGTACAAAAGAAAGACCATCAGGCTAACAGCAGAACTTTCAGCTGAAACCTTACAAGCCAGAAGAGATTGGGGATCTATTTTTGGCAACCTTAACAAAAAGAAATTCCAATTAAGAATTTTATATCCAGCCAGGCTAACCTTCATAAGCAGAGGAGAAACAAAATCCTTTTCAGACAGGTAAACACTAAAGGAATTTGTTACCACCAGATGTGCCTAGAAAGAGATTCTTAAGGGAGTACTAAATATGAAAACAAAAGAACAATACCTGCTACCACAAAACACATTTAAATTTAGTGAATTTGCCAGATGTGGTGGCTCACACCTGTAAACCCAGCACTTTGGGAGGCCAAGGTGGGTGGATCATGAGGTCAAGAGATGGAGACCATCCTGGCCAACATGCTGAAACCCTGTGTCTACTAAAAAGAATTTAAAAATTAGCTGGGCATGGTGGCATCCGCCTGTAGTCCCAGCTACTTGGGAGGCTGAGGCAGGAGAATCTCTTGAACCGGGGAGGCAAAGGTTGCAGTGAGCCAAGATCACGCCACTACACTCCAGCCTGGAGACAGAGCAAGACTCCATCTCAAAATAAATACATAAATAAATAAAGTAAGTGCATTTATGTACTTAATTATGTATTAAACTATAAAGCAACTATGCAATTAAGTATACATAACAAATAGCTAACAACACAATGACAGGATCAAATCTCACATATCAATACTGACTGAGAATGTAAATGGACTTCACACCATACTTAAAAGGCACAGTGGCAAGACCTAATTGTTTGCTGTCTTCAAGAGACCCATCTCACATGCAATGACAAGCAGAGGCTTAAAGTAAAGGGATGGAGAAAGATCTGTCAAGCAGAAAGAAAACAAAACAGCAGGTATTGCTTTGCTTATTTCTGATCAATCACTGTAAATCAACAATGACCAAAAGGACAAAAAAGGGCATTACAGAATGGTAAAGAATTCAATTCAATAACAAGACTTAACTATCCTAAATATATAAGCACCCAACATGGAAGCACCCAGATTTACAAAACAACTTCTTAGAGAACTACAAAGAGAGTTAGGCAGCCACACAATAATAGTGGAGGACTGCAACACCCCACTGAAAGTGTTTGACAGATCACAAAGACATGAAACTAACAAAGATAGGAGCTAATCTCAGCAGTTGACAAAATGCATCAAACAGACATCTAGAGAATATTCCACCTAATAACAACAGAATATACATTATTCTCATCTTCACATAGCACATACTCTAAGATGAACCATATGCTCAGCCATAAAGCAATCCTCAACAAATTAAAAATAACTTAAATCATACCAACCAAATTCTTGGACCACAGCACAATAAAAAAAGAAATCAATGTTAAGAAAATTGCTCAAAACTATACAATTACATGGAAATTAAACAACCTGCTACTGAAAGACATTTGGGTGAAAAATGAAATTAAGGCAGAAAGAACAAAAATTTGTAACAAATGAAAACTAAGATATAATATGCCAGAATCTCTGGGACACTGCTACAGCAGTGTTAAGAGGAAAGTTTATAGCACTGCATCAAGAACTTAGATCTCAAATTAGTAATCTAACATCACACCTACAGGAACTAGAAAAACAAGAGTAAACCAACTGCAAAGCTAACAGGAGAAAAGAAATAACCAAAATACCTAGGGATACAACTAACCAGAGAGGAGAAAGATCTCTACAATGAGAATTACAAAATGCTACTCAAAGAAATCAGAGATCACACAAAAAAATCAAAACAACATTCCATGCTTGTGGATAGGAAGGATTAATATTGTTAAATTGGCCATACTGCCCAAAGCAATGTACACATTCAATGCTATTCCTATAAAACTACCTATATCATTTTTTCAGATTTAGAAAGAAAACTATTTTAAAATTCATATGTAACCAAAAAAAAGTGCTCAAATAGCCAAAGCAATCCTGTGCAAAAATAACAAAGGTGGAGGTACCATACTATCTGATTTTAAACTATACTACAAGGATACAGTAACCAAAATAGCATAATACTGGTACAAAACCAGAAATGCAGTCCAATGTAACAGGATAGAGGACTCAGAAATAAAGCTGCACTCCTACAACCATCTAATCTTCAGCAAAGTCAACAATAATGAGCAATGGGGAAAGGGCTCCCTATTCAATAAAAGTGCTGGAATAACTGATGAGCCTATGCAGGAGATTGAAACTGGATCACTTCCTTTCACTACATACAAAAATCACCTCGAGATGGATTAAGACTTACACATTAGTCCTAAAACAATAAAAACATAGAAGAAAATCTAGGAAATGTCATTCTGGATACAGGCCTTGGCAAAGATTTCAGATGAAGTCTCCAACAGCAATTGCAACAAAAACAAAAATAGACAAGTGGAATCTGATTAAACTGAAGAGCTTCTGCACAGCAAAAGAACCTATCAACAGAGCAGACAACCTACACAATGGGAGAAAATATACACAAACTTTATATCTGACAAAGACCTAATATACAGGATCTATAAGGAACTTAAGTAAATCAATAAGCAAAAGCCTAATAACCCCATTAAAAAATGAGCCAAAGATATGAGCACACACTTATCAAAAGAAGAAATACACACATCCAACAAGCATAGGAAAAGGGGTTATTGTCACTAATTATTAGATAAATTCAAATGAAAACCAAATGAGATACCATTTCACACCAGTCAGAATGGCTACTATGAAAAAGTCAAAAAGTTACAGATGCTAGTGAGGTTGCAGAGAAAGGGAAATGTTTATATACTTTTAGAAGGAATGTAAATTAGTTCAGTCACTGTGGAAAGCAGTTTGGAGGTTTCTCAAAGAATTAAAATGGAACCACCATTCGGCCCAGCAGTTCCATTGCTGGGTATATAATCAAAGGAATATAAATCATTCTATCAAAAAGATCCATGCACATGTAGGTTCATCGCAGCAATATTCATAATAACAAAGACCTGGAGTCAACCTAGATGCCCATCAATGGTAGAGTGGATGAAGAAAATGTGGTATATATACACCATGGAATAGTATGCAGTCATAAAAAATACAAAATTTTGTCCTTTGCAGCAACATGATTGAGCTAGAGGCCATTATTCTAAGTGAATTAATGCTGGAAAGATAACCAAAATACTGCATGTTCTTGCTTATAAGTGGGAGCTAAACATTGAGTATACACTGACACAAAGATGGAAACAGTAGACACTGGAGATTTCTTTTTTTTTTTTTTTTTTTTTTTGTGATGGATTCTCGCTCTGTCACCCAGGCAGGAGTGCAGTGGCGTGATCTTGACTCACTGCAAGCTCTGCCTCCCAGGTTCACACCATTCTCCTGCTTCAGCTTCCCAAGTAGCTGGGACTACAGGTGCCCACCACCACTCCCAGCTAATATTTTGTATTTTTAGTAGAGGTGGGGTTTCACCGTGTTAACCAAAATGGTCTTGATCTCCTGACCTCGTGATCTGCCTGCCTTGGCCTCCCAAAGTGCTGGGATTACAGGTGCGAGCCACCTTGCACAGCCAACACTGGAGACTTCTTAAAGAGGAGGGTGGGAATTGGGTGAGAGTCAAAAAACTACCTATCGGGTATTTTGCTCACTACCTATGTGATGAAATCATTTGGACACCAAACCCCAGCTACATGCAATTTACAAACCTGCACATGCACTCCTTTAACATAAAATAAAAATTGAGAATGCATACACATGCACCCACACATTTGTATATATAAACACTTCCTGCTCGCATGGTTTCTGATGGGAAGTCCAAAGTGACTCTTATCTTTATTGCTCTATAGTTAAGAGTTCAGCCTATGCTCCAGCTTCTGTCATAATTTTGTTTTTGGTTGTCTTGAATATGATATTCCTAGGTGAAATGGTATTTTATTTGCATTTGTTGTGCTTGGTGTTCTCTGGGCTATTGAATCTTATTTTGTGTATGTCATTAATTTTGAAAAGTTCTTGGCCAATTATTGTTTTAAATATTTTTCCTTCTGCTCTGCTCTCTATTTTTCTTCTCCCACTATTCCAGTTATGAAAAGATCTTTTAATAATGTCTCAGAGTTCTTGGATGCTTTTGCTGCTTTTGGTTTTGGTCTTTCTTTTTGCAGTTCAGTTTGGGAAGTTTCTATTAACATCACTTTGAGGTTTTTTTTCTGATCTGTTTTGATTATGCTAAGACCATCAAAAATACTTTTTATAACAATGTTTTTAATATCTAGCATTTATTTTTGCATCTTAGATTTTCTGTTTCTGTGGTTTCATCACATATCTGCTCTTGTATGTGGTCCATTTTTTCCATTATATCCCTTAACACATGAACATTAGACATTGTAAATTTCTTGTCTGATGATTCCAACATTTGTTTCATATCTGAGTCTGGTTCTGATACTTTCATTGTTTCTTGTTATTGTATTTTTACCTGCCTTTTGGCATGAGACATGTTTCTTGTTGTTGTCGTTTTTGTTTTAACTGAAAGCCAGACATGTTATCTGGCAATAGGAACTGAGATAAATAGGCTTAAACTTGAGAATTTATGTTAATGTGGTAAGAAGCTGGGTTGTGTTTAGTGTTTGCTGTAACAATAGGTAGTAGAGGCTTTGAATTCCTCTTGTTTTTAGGTCTCCTCTTGACTTTGGCCTCTCCTACATGTTCCTTCTCAGTCAGAACCTGTGTCATATAGATTGTTTAGCTGTAATCCACTGTTGTTATACTACAGTTATGTTAGTGTGGTAGTACATTATGAAAACGGGATTATTCTATAATCTCCAATCTCCAGTAATTGAGACAAAAAGTTTAAAGGGAGCTGGAGAGAAAGGAATGCCCATCCCACATGGTCTGGGAGAAGGCTATGGTAAGATTTTTCCTTCTGAATACAAAGCTTTTGTTATGGAGAAGGCTCTGGGTACATTTCCCAATAAATACTCTTCTTCTCCTTTAGTCAGAGCTTGGAAGTGGTCTTTCCAGAATCTTTACTGTGAGTACCTGGTTACATTTCTGTACCTTCCTATGAAAGTTTTGGGATCTACCTATTATTACTCTGGTTTCAGTTTTTAAATCTTATGCTGTTCTAGCAATGCAGCCTCTAGCAGTTTTTCAAAATTACCATTTATCTTTAACATCATTTTATGGCTCCAGTGGCTTTTGTTCCAGGTAATCGGGTCTCTGCTGTGATTTTCTGGATTCATCTGTCTTCCAAATTTTTATGATAGTCGTTTGCCCTGCAAACTCAGCTCTTTTGTAAGTCCAAATAAAGTGATCATTTTCAGTTAATCTAGACTTTTATTATTGTAAGTTTCAGAATAAAAATTACTGAGATCTTTACATATTAGAGCTGAAACTAGAAGTCTTTATACATACTTTAACATTTTTATTCAAATTAAGTTTGATGTTGATCTTCATTTCACTAATATGGGGGAATTTTAGTTATAATCTTCATAGTGACATTTATTACTTAGAATAAGATAAAATAATCCCACATTTCACACAGTGTCAAAACATTGAGGTCTCTTAGGTACTGGCTTTTATACCCACAGAGCTTCTTGTCAAGGAGCCTATTACCCTGCACTGCCTAATGCATTTGGATGGCTGCTACCCTGCTGCTTTTGTTCAACTTGGGGCACAAAAATCTTGGGAAGGTTGGTAGTCTATGTACCTCAGGATTAAAATATTTCTCTTAGATGCTATTTGATATGGTTTGGCTCTGGGTCCCCACCCAAATGTCACCTCAAATTGTAATCCCCATAGTCTCCCCATGTCAAGGGTGAGACCAGGTGAAGGTAATTGGATCATGGGGGAGGTTTCTCTCCCATACTGTTCTCATGATAGTGAGTGAGTTATCATGATGGTTATACAAACATCTGGCATTTGCCCTGCTTGCACTCACTCTGTCCTGCTGCCCTGTGTCCTGCTGCCCTTCTCCTTTGCCTTCCAACATGATTTTAAGTTTCCTGGGGCCTCCATAGCAATGCAGGAATGCAAGTCAGTTAAATGTCTTTCTTTTATAAATTACCTAGCCTTGGGTATTTCTTCATAGCAGTGTGAAAACAGACTAATACAGTAAATTGGTACCAGGAGTGGGGTATTGCTATAAGATACCTGAGAATGTACAAGTGACTGGAACTGGGTAACAAGCAGAGGTTGGAACAGTTTGGAGGACTCAGAAGAAGACAGGAAGATGTGGGAAAGTTTGGATCTTCCTAGAGACTTGTCGAATGCCTTTGAACCAAAATGCTGATAGTGATACAGACAATGAAGTCTAGGCCTAGTGGTCTCAGATGGAAATGAGAAACTTTTTGGGAACTGGAATAAAATTCACTCTTGCTATGCTTTAGCAAAGAGACTGGTGGCTTTTTGTCCCTGCCCCAGAGATCTGTGGAACTTTGAACTTCTAGCCATTCTTTTCTCTTGTCTGTCCTCTCTCTTTTCTCATAACAAACACTCTTCATTATAGTTTCAATATATTAAATGTTTAAATATCTATTCAATATATTACATGTTAAGAAAATGAAAGAGACAAAAAGGAGTCATTTAGAAAACCTAACTTTCCCCTGGATTATGTCTTTAAGTTCAACAGATGTGATATTTTCTCAATGTAATATGCACCACAGGTCCACTAGCTTTGTGCATCTGTGTGTGAACACATACGTGAAAATACATACGCATAGGAGGCAAAGCAAAAACATGGGAATAATATTGGAAAGTATGTACATTTAACAGTAGTCACTGCTTTTTGTTTGTTTGTTTATTCCATTACACTGACATCTTTAACCTAGATTTTAAAAAAGGGGTCTACAGAATATTCTTTACTCTTATATTTCAACATACTTAGACTTCTAATGACTACAAGCCCTGATATATTGTGGGATTCAAAGTCTAATTGAATATGATATAAAGATTAAAATGTCTAAATTTCAGTGTTTTCCTCTCATTGTTTCCCACATGAAATCCGAAAATAAAACCTCTACAATTGTTTAAATAATAAATACCTATTTAAATTTTTGTCTTACTGCTCTAGTATTGAAAATAGCCATAGACATTACAAAATGTATGCTCAAGAATAAAGTACAAGATCCAGGGTAAACCAGAGAAATTTATTTGGAATTTATGAAGCCTATACATACTGTATTTATGGAATATAGATAAATTAGCTGCAAAAAATAATTAGTGAAGGGGAGTATTTAAAATACCCAATAAATTGCAGCACAATGGGAACAAAGTGCTGATGCTGGGAACTGAACTCCAGCCTTCTGTTTCCATAACCATTTCTGTTTTCACAATAGATCTCTGTTCACAAAGAACTCCCATGGCAATTTTAGTTAATATATGTGTAGTGTAGGGTTGGAAAAGAACATGTTTGTGTCTGTGTATATGTACAAACATACAATTTAATAGCAAATATTTATTTGTCCATGATAACATGCTTGAAGTGTTTTCTAGTGCATAACATATATTTTACTCATTGTATTTTTTACAACCCTAGTAATATCACCACTATATCATTCAATATTTACATATTGGATAGATGAAATAAGAGACTTGCCCAAGGCTAAATTGCAATAAACAATTCAACTTTAATTAAATACAGGATTTAAGTCCAGTAAATCTGTCTCCAAAGTCTATGCTCTTAACTCATTCATTTGGCTCACCATTCGGGGCTCATTGCGTTATTGTATTAATGTCTATGTGAGTAACAGCACAATATAAATATCATACACTATTTGTTTCTAGTCCATCAAAGTTTTTCTTTGTGAAGCAGTGATTTTAGTGTAGAATAAAAGAGGATTGTTTTTCCTCTTTTACAAAAAATATTCTATATTCTATTTTATTTTCAGTTTATTAAAGCTATAAAAAACACATCAAAATAAGGTATCAATATACTAATATTAGTTTATCAATAGATATTTATTAATATTATGTTATATTATATAAAGTAGATTGTTATAAGTAATAAATATGTATTATAATTATCTCTTGAGACAGAACATACAAGGACAAAAGGGTTTGCTTTATAACACAATGGATTGATTTGAGTAACACATTATCAGTGCTTCATTCACCTACACAACCTCTAGATGCCTTCCAGTAGTTTCTGTTAATTTGTCATTCAAATTGCAATCAAAAAACTAAACTCCAAAATAGTCAACAATTTTTCGCAATGAAAGTAATGTGAAAAGAAACCATATTTCTTAACTCTAGAATGTCAATGTGTCTTCTGGGATAAATGGTATTCTGAATATGTTCACTATTAACTTTCCCTTCCAGAACACAGATTGGGTTTGTTATCAGTTATATTGATGGGTTGTCCTCAGATGGTTGAAGACTGAGGCTGCAGGGATGATTGAAATCTGTAGGCGGAAGAGACAACTGCAATTCCTGGAGGTGTTAGAACTCTGCAGTGTTTTGGAGGTCTGGTGCTGCCATTTATATTTCTCTTCCCTGGAACTCTTTCTTCATAACAGATTTTGAACTAAAAATAAAGAAAATCTCCCATACTCTGTTAGGAGCTTGATTTTTCAAAGAAATCTTGCCACCTCCTTTGAGAAAATTTCTAATGAATTTTACACCCTTTCCTCCATTTATTATTTCTACCAATCTGGCCACATTTTTATTTTAAAATGAGAACATTAAGGTCAACGTTGTCTTTTAATTTTACAACTAACTTGTATGTTTTCTTTCTACTAGTTCTCTAGAAACTCTTAGTTCTTGGAGCCAATCTTCATTAATTGTATGCTTTGATTAATTTCTTGACTTTTACTTGATATTTAGTAAAACTTTCATGTTTAGTCACCCAGTATATTACTCTCTCTCTCTTTCTCTCTCTCTCTCTCTGTGTGTGTGTGTTTGTGTGCACATGTGTATCTCTGTGAGGCAGAAACAGTTGAGCTTTTTTGTTTGTAAATAGTATAAGCCAATGAGCTACAAATAAGTGCTTACATTTATTTTGCCATAGAGAAGATTTCTTTTGATAAATGTATATTTTCTCACTGGAAGTACATATCAAAATACTTGCACAGAATTTTTAAATATATAATCTTTGTTAATCTCTTGCACAATTTATATTGAAGAAGACTCTAAAGGCGAGATGATAAAAGCTTTTTCAGAAAGAGGATAGACCTTTATTAAAACTGTACCATAGAATCTATTTGGTTATGTGCAAAAATAATTTAATTTAAAATAACCACACTTTTAGAGATTAATTATTATAATATATGTCTAACACGTAGTTTTAACATACTCCAAATCCACAGTTTCAGGCCCGGGTACTCAGATGTTCTGCAGTTGGCAATTAATACTAATAAGCAGAGCAATTCGAAGAAAAAGTACACTAATAAAATACACCCAGCTTTGGGTTTTAAATGGAGAAATTCTAGACTAATTGGGAATTTTGAAAGTTAATAGTATTTTTTAAATTCTAGAATAATATCTTTTGAAATAAGAGAAAGAACCCTTTAAGCATCTACATTTGGGCTTTGGACATATTTCCTAGGCAAAATATTTTTTGAGACAGAAAATTATTTTGTCTTCAGGGGGAAATCACAGAATCTTAAGTTGAAAAGGGTCTGGGAAGTCACCTGGTCAACTGACAACCAAGATAGGGATTACCTTTGATCCATGCCTGATGGATTACATGGTGGTCACCTAGTTGCTCTCTGGACACATCTATGAAGAGTGTTTTGACCTCTTTTTTTTGAGATGGAGTCTCCGTCACTCAGACTGGAGTGAAGTGATGTGATCTCCACTCATCACAACTTCTGCCTCCCAGTTCAAGGAATTTTCCTGCCTCAGCCTCCTGAGTAGCTGGTATTACAGGCATGCGCCACCACACCTGGCTAATTTTTGTGTTTTTAGTAGAGATGGGGTTTCACCATGTTGCCAGGCTGGTCTCAGACTCCTAACCTCAAGTGATCCACCGACCTCGGCCTCCAACAGTGCTAGGATTACAGTGTGAGCCACCGAGCCTGGCCTTGACCTCTTTTAAGAGTGATTCTAATTGTTACTGAGTTGAAAGGAATGTCATTGGACAAACATTTCCCCACTGAGTTATATTCTTCCTTCCGAATATAACTCAGAATAAGTCTCATTCCTCGTTGATCTAAGATCCATTTTTTTTTTTTTTCTGAGACGGAATCTCGCTCTGTTGCCCAGGCTGGAGTGCAGTGGGTCTATCTTGGCTCACTGCAAGCTCCGCCTCCCAGGTTCACGCCATTCTCCTGCCTCAGCCTCCCGAGTAGCTGGGACTACGGGCGCCCGCCACAACGCCCGGCTAAGTTTCTGTATTTTTAGTAGAGACGGGGTTTCACTGTGTTAGCCGGGATGGTCTAGATTTCCTGACCTCGTGATCCGCCCGCCTTGGCCTCCCAAAGTGCTGGGATTATAGGCATGAGCCACCGCGCCCGGCCTAAGATCCTTTACTTGAGAATAGCTAAACTGTTCACATTATCTTTTCTTTTCTCCTTTAAACTTAGCTTAGTCATTCAGATGAAAGAATACTGAAGAGACTTTTAGTCACTACTCTTTGGAGTCCTGGTTCTCTAACTTTACTCCTTCTTAAGGCTCGTCTCTTCCTCATTTCCTCTTCTCCCTCAATTCTGTTAGTTACTGTGTCTAATTCAGTAGGTTCTTTTTGTTCCGAAATTAGGTGTAATTGAATTTCATTGTTTGGGATCAATGAACTTCATAGCAGGAAAGTTATCATCATCATAATCACATCAACATATATGGGTAAAAACATTATATATGTTTTGCATTGAACTATTTAATGTATTGATTTTATCTTCTAAAAATTTTGTTTTGTTTTTCCTTTGTAAATCCAGAGAAATAATGTATTTCTCCAAATGTTTTGACAGTCTCTTGACACACCACAGCACTGCTACTCTTGTGAGTAAGGCTACCACTATTTAATAAACACAATCATGGCCTCTTAGAAAGAGTCATGAGAAAAGTGGTGCAGGATTAGATTTTAACAAGTAGTCAGAGAAGGTGAATTTTAAGGTTGAGATACATGATTGTTAATGCAAAGTAGTATATTGGATTTTAGTAGTTAAAACATGAGTATGTTTGTGTTTTAGATGCTTTCCTTAACTAGAAAGCACATCACTGTCTAAACTGAATGCTATTTAAGGTATCCATCAGTAAAATTCACTAAATAATTCATTCTGGCAATGTACACTAACTTATATGAGCAATAGCTTCAGTATTTATGATTATTGCCAGATCGTCTCATCTTCAGAAATATCACATGCTGGCTTACACCTGAGGAAGGATGCTTTTAATTCCTGTTCATCAACAATTTTAATATAGTAGCTTTTTAGTATCTACTAAGATGCATAGGAAATAGTTAAGCCTGTCTGGCAGGCACATTCAACCTTGCATGTCTGACTGAGCTCAGCTGGGTTCCACCAGGAGGATTCAAAGTGGGATATGAAAGACAAAAAAAAAATGAAGATTTAGTTGGAAATAACACGATCATGAACATTTAGGTACTGCTGAGTATGGATGATGCTTTTATCTGTTTTACTCCTTATTTTCCAAAGAAATGACACCTGTGACCCCTGTCTAACAGTGAATATTTTACCTATCCAGAAGGAGTTATAAACAGCTTTTTCATTATAGATCTGTTCTTGTTTGTTTTCTCTTAACAAGTTCAGTCATACTCTAGTGCAACAAGAATAACTTACCATGCAAGCATAGTTATCAATACACTCAACTTTCCACTCTAATTTTAATGTTGGATGCAGATGATATGGCAAACAGATAGATATTTATTGGGAACATGTCTCTTTCATTCTCTCAGTGGCCAAATAACTATATGAATTTATGTTTTTGTTAAATGCTGTATAATTGACCCAAAGAGGGAGAATCTTCTTTAAACTTGATTTTTCCCCCTTGTGTATGTGTGTGTGTATAAGATTTCTGTATTATTCTTATAATTTTTCTGAAAGTTTGAAACTGATTAACATAAAAACTTAAAATAAACAATGTATTCAGATGTGTACCAAAAATAGACACAAAATCTCATAATGTCTGTTAAATCCGCCTACATCCAAGAATTTCAAAAACAATTTAACTCTTCCAAAAGAATATATTTGGGAGCAGTTTTTGTGCATCATAGTCTTTTGTCCCGTAACATGTCAGTATTTCCTAGGAACATGGATATTCTCTTACAAAAGGACTGTATAGTTATCTAGTATAAAAATTTAACACTGGTACTTAATTCTATGAGTCATAATCTGATTTTTGTCCCAGTAATATCTTCTATACCTTTGTACCTTCAAGAATAAGGTCCAAGACCACATATCAAATTTAGATGTCATGTCTGTTTAGTCTCCTTCAATCTGGAAAAGTTCCTTAGTCTTTCTTTGCCTTTCGTGACATTGACATTCCTCAGCCTCCCGAGTAGCTGGGACTACTAGAGCCTGCCACCATGCCTGGCTAATTTTTTGTATTTTTAGTAGAGACGGGGTTTCATCGTGTTAGCCAGGATGGTCTCGATCTCCTGACCTCGTCATCTGCCCGCTCAGCCTCCCAAAGTGCTGGGATTACAGGTATGGGTCACCACCATGACTGCCAGGGGATCATTTTTCTACAGAGAACATCCAAAGCACATCCTCCAACCCAACTATATGCTATTTTTCTTCTTTTAGTGTAGGTACAACATTGATGAAATGATGCAAAAATCTCCAACAATGAGACAGCTGCCCAGTGTACTCAGAGCAAAGACAGACCAGAGGACAGGCCCATGCAGTGTCCAGGGTGAGGCTGTCAGGAAGCAACACCATTTCTAAAGGGGCAAGAAACTAGCAGCTGTCATGTTTGTTAGAGATAAATATACTGATACTTAGAACCCTAGTGGTGAACAGCAAGCTACTGAAAAGTGAGATCTGGATTTAACTTGTATGTATTACCTATAGTGTTTTGTCTAGAGACTGGTTGTTTCTGACTTGTGGTTTTTCTAGTCTCTGGCATCTGAAAGTGAACAGAAGCAGGGTAGATTTGACCTAGACCTCTAATCCTAACTCCACACAAACTCCAGCTCTAACACTAGTTCTAACTTTAGCTCTAGCTCAAACTCTAACTCTAATTCACTCTAACTCAAATTTCCTCTTAATTTGGGCTCTTTTTACTCTTGTGTTAAAAAGATTGCAAGTCAATCCATAGTTCTTGATTTATCTGTCTTTCTCCACAAGTTCTAGTTGATCTGTAAGAATTTTTCCCTAAGTTGTATCAATGTAACTCCTTCACGCCTTTTGGTCTCTTTGCTGGATTTTACCACTTCACTACTTCCAAGTGACACACCATAGACTAGTCTTTATGTTATGCATGGAAAATTGAATCTGTTAATTCCTGAATGAGATGACAATTAAAAATATATAATCAGAAGACATACCGATCATCATCTATAGTTTGTAGTAAACAGGTCTATAGTATGTCAATCCTTTATTTTATCATCACAAAGTCTCTAGATAAAAGATGTAATGAAATGAAACAAATACCTAAAATACAATCAATCCTCCAGTGCTTATAATATGCACAATACGGTGAACAGAACCCTTTGGATAGTATCTTAATTTCTGTTGAGTTGTGACACAAGTTACAGCTAATTATGGGTGACACTAAAACAACTCATTTCTGTGCTTCAAGTGCTTAAAAAACTGGACAGAAATAAAAATTATTAAACACATATAAGACCAAAATGATCAAGCAACATTATATTTCTATATCTTATGTTTGTCAAGCCTTATTGGGTTGAGGTATCACACTTTACTATTGCTATTAATATTTATACTACTTGATATCATACCATTAAATATGCTTTAGAATAAGACAAAGAAACAGAATAATAAAAATGTAAAAGACTTAACAAAAATGCAAAATTATAACTGGAAACCTACTTCTGAAGTAAGTTGACAACACTTATCATAGTTATTTATGTTTGAACTAAGTGTTGAAATACAGGTTGTAGGGCACAGGTAATATGTGAAAGTTCAGATGACTTGGACAACAGTGAATCTGTAGCCCACATGATTATCTGTTGCATAATTTAAGAACTTGGGAAGTAGTGGACATCCCTTTAAGATGCAGTGAGGAAAAGTACTTATTTTTGCTTTTAATATCTTCAGCATTTTCATGTCAATGACTTTAGAGGGAACAGAATAAGAGTGTGACAATACCAGTAATGGTGCCATCACCGTTACTGGTGACATATTTTGCTCTGATGATCATGTGTTAGACAGGTATAAGAAAAACTGGTGTTCTCACTTTGTTTGTTACTCCCTGAGTGACCTTGATTAAGGCATATAAAAACACCAAAAAATCTTAGCGTTTCCTCATCTGTAACATAAGGAAGTTGAACCAGAAACACAATCTCTGAAATAATACAATTCAGGGAAGTACTTTGCAAAAGCAATGGCACTTGCCCTCTGCCTCAGATTTTCCTGTTGAGAAACTGACCATAATGGAGTGAAAGTGTAGGAGTAATTTTCCTAATGTAGGATCATCAATTGGGTCACTTGATTTCTTTTAAGCCCGCCATTTCATCTGAAATTTCACCATGTACCTCCCCTAAGAGAAAAAATTGCAAATCTGGCAAACTAAAACCTGAAAATGGAGCAATTGCTCCTAAAAGACACTTTCTATGTAATCGTACAATTATGAGCCAATTTTCTTCTTTCCATCTATTATATTCTGTAAGTCTAATGTATTTAAAAAGGTTCACTGCCTGAGAATGTTGTGATATTTATATAAGCTCTGAGTTTTTTTATGCCATTTGAGGAAGGTAATTAATGCACATCAAGTAAGTATTAATAGTGGCAAGACTTAGGCCCATTTCAAATTGTTGCATCAAAGGCTCATATTGGTTCCTTATGAAGCCGTATTTTTCATGTTGGACTATTCAATCAGGGAAATAATAGTTGTACATACTGGGTACTCACTTTATCTTGGGCAGGTTGGACCTATGATGAAAATCTCAAGTACTACTGAGGTGAGAAATGTGGCCCCCTGGGAGAGGGCAAGGAGAACCACATATAGAAATTAAAAATAGGTGAGTGATTAAGAAATGAGCCTGGGTGACTTTGAATGAGAACCACTGAGATTATAATTTTATTCTTTGTTCCTGTTTCTTGGTATTGCTTCCCACTTGCACCACAGCTTCTCTGCCACTCTTTTACCTGTTTTCCCAAAGGCAACTTGGCATGTAGATTGCATTCGTCAAAACAGTAAATATAATACTTTTGAAAATCAGTATATCATGATTATTGTATCAGTTTCCCAGGGTAGCTGTATCAATACAACACACAGAATCATTTAAACATCAGAAATTGTTATTTTCTCATAATTTTGGAGGCTAGAAGGCCAAGATTAAGGTGTTAGCAGGGCGTTGCTCCCTCTGATGGGGCTAGGGAAAGATCTGTCCCGGACCTCTGTTCTAGCTTTTGGTGGTTTGTGAGCAATCTTTGCATTCCTTTTTTTCCTCAGTCACCCTCATCTCTGCCTTCATCTTCACATGGACTTCTCCCAGCATGCTTTTCTTCTTCTAAGGACACTAATCATATTGGATTAGGAGCCCATCTTACAACAGTATGATCTCATCTTCATTTAATGAATTGTGTTTGCAACAATCGTATGTCCTAATAAGCTCATATTCTGAGTTATTGGGGTTTAGGACTTCAATATATATATTTTAGGGGAGATATAATTCAGTTCATAACTCTTATAGAAAATGATCACAAATTTGGTCATCTGCTTTGCTTTGACTCTTCTCCAAGATGAAGTCACACTTCACATTGCTGACAGTGCTTTCACCTTTGCTATTTAAGTTTTCCTGTTTTGCCTCTTTTGCTGTTATTATCGATTCCAAGTAACTAGTCCACTTGCTGTCGCATGGCATGACTGTGAAATTGAAGTGAAATAGTTAATACTGTTGAAACACAGCTTTCTTCCTATTTTGTCTATTTTCCCTCTATTTCAAAGACCACAGAGATTTATCCCTGTTCTATTCATCCTTTGCCTTTACTCCATCAGTCTTATTTCCATTCAGGTAAATGAAAAGTCAATATTATTAATCAGATTAGCATCTGTGTATGAAAGTCTCAGCAAATTTTTAAAAGCCTGTGAGATGATTACGGCTTTATGACATAATTTCCATTTCCCTTGAAATGTATAAATCAGGACAAAATATTCCCTATGATGTGAATACTTCCATGACCACATTGATCATAATAAATAGACTTAGACTATTTTAAAGTACTTTAAATATATAATAGATTTTTCTAACCTTGTGATTTAAAGCAAGAAATTTTGTCGATTATTAGTTCTTAATGGGTTCTTGTTGTCAGTTGTTCATTTGGTGTGGAATAACATAGAAATAATTGCAGCCCTTATCTGGTGGTGAGGACCTATGTTTTATATGACATTTGAATTTGAAATCAATATACTATTGATGCTTTACAATGTAATGGCTTGTAGAGATCCTAAACTGGAAGGTTAAATGTAAAATCTACTGACTATGACAATGAACTGAAGTCACTATTTATTAAGGTCTTCAAAGAAATACAAAGACATTCACACTCTTAAAAAGCAAAAAAGCAAACCTCAATAGTAGTTTTGCAATTGCATAATTTTAAATGCTCAAGGCAATATGGGAGATACTTTTGAATTAAAAGAGACTGCTCTGTTTGTTTTCCAAATGACTGTACTACCTTTAGCCAGTCAGGGGTGATTTTAAGTAATCTTATCTTGGCAGCAAGCCAATGAGCCCCTGCACACTTTGGTGTTAGACACAGGGCACTAGTGCACGCTTGGTCTGTCAGATCACTCATGAGACCAACACTGCTTAGTGCAATTTTTAAATTTCTACAGCAGCTTTTATCCCAGAAACATAGAAATGATAAGGATTTCAAAGACAGTACTAAAAAGTGAATGCTGCTTGCTGGTGATCCAATTAGAGAGAAGACATAAGAAATTTAGGAATTGTCTCTAATTCCTGATCATTATGTTTCATTTATATGCTGACTAGTTAATAAGGATTTTTTTATTGTTAAAAGAGAGTTGCCATAAATCTTTCCTCATTAATACCACATTAATACTATACCGATGTAAATAAACAAATCCAAAACAAAGCAAGAAGGACAAAAAACTGAATTGAACGTTTGTAAAATTCCAATGGAAGTTTATAATCTAAGAATTTGCTTTAAACCCTACTCCATTTCTGATTTTGGAGCTCATACTCAATTTGTCTGACATTTATTCATAATTAATATCTTTTTATTCATCTCACATATATTTCATTATATTTTCAATTCCATAAAAGACACAAAGTTTTGAGATATCTTTGTATAAACCTTGGTTTTCTCATCTTTACAATGGAAAGCACAGTCTCTTATACACTATGGGATTTTTTTGAATATCAAATGAACATCTATTCCTAACCATTTTCTGGGCATCGTTAAAACACATTAAAGACAATAATTCTAATGCATTACTACATAAATAATAATCGTTTATAATTACAAAAAAGATTCACTTCAGCCGCCTGATGAAACCAAAAGCTGATAAGCAAGCAAGATTCACTTGTTATTTCTTCTTCCTGTTTTTCTGGTTTACTAAAACTGGTGCTCAGAATTGTTCCTTTATTCCTCAAAGCAGTGTTGTTTTGAATGCTTTTAGTTCTTTACTCAAAATTTATAATCTGTACTATATTATAATGTAGATTGAAGGGTTAAAAAATAACTGTAGAGTTAAGGGTCTCAATTCTGGATCTGTCTTTTGTTTACTGTCATTCACACTGAATATGCTTTTCTGCCATACATGATTTCCAACAAAATCAAAAACATTAAATTTGGAAGAGACTTTAAAAATCCTGCACTTTTACAATTGCATTGAAAAGGTGGCAACTATAGCAGAAACAGTAAATGACGTTCAAGAGGTTACCTTTTTAGGAATAGCAGTCCTATCTGGAAACCACATTTCTTCAAAGTCCAGGCCCATTTCTTTTCTTCGCATTTTTTTTCCTCAAAAGATTTGTAATTTTAATATAATTAAGGGAAGTTTAAAAGCTCTACCAAGAACATCTAAATATTATCACATTACTTCAGGAAAATTATAGATTTTTAACTGATGTTTTTCTTATTAATAACAATAGCAACAAATCATTGTCTTCTTAGCAATCTTAGAAAAGAGTGAAGAAATCATGATAGGTCCTCACCCTTTAAAATGTAGAGGGAGTAAATGCATATGAACAAATAATAATAATTGTGGGATATAAATGTTATGTAATAAAAGCACTTGCAAAGTATTTTAGGTGGAATGAAATTAACACATGAAACAATAATGGAAAACGTTAAGACCAACCTGTAAACTTCTGAATGAATGATTTGGGGCTTAGTCAATCCTTGCTATGGGTTATATTAGTTGGAAATGTGTTAAGGAGAAGGTGAGACAGTGCAGGGGCTTGCAACATTTTAATTGCGACTCATGATGATTAATTTTTATATTGTAATTCAAACACACATATGTAAATGTCATACACGAATCTTAAAGAAGATTCATGAACAAGTCTCATTCTTATTAATTACGATACACTCTGATCTATTCCTTTCCATTCCAGTGTCTGGTTGTGAACCATGAAATTGATTTTACAATCTGCAGTCTGAAATACACTGAACTAACATGTATCGAACATCTGTTATGTATCAATCTGTTGGATAGGCATTGCATACATGCCACCTCACTGAATTTTGCCCGGATTTGGTAAGGCAGGTATTATTACATCTTTTTAGAAATGAGTAAGTTGAGTGAGTTCATGTCCTTTGTAGGGACGTGGATAAAACTGGAAACCATCATTCTCAGCAAATTATCACAAGGACAAAAAACCAAACACCACATGTTCTCACTCATAGGTGGGAATTGAACAATGAGAACACATGGACACAGGAAGTGGAACATCACACACCGGAGACTGTTGTGGGGTGGGGGGAGGGGGGAGGGATAGCATTAGGAGATATACCTAATGCTAAATGACAAGTTAATGGGTGCAGCACACCAACATGGCACATGTATACATATGTAACAAACCTACACCTTGTGCACATGTACCCTAAAACTTAAAGTATAATAATAATAAAATTAAAAATAAAAAAAGAAATGAGTAAGTTGAATTGCATTCTGAGAGCATCTTGTGATGCAAAGCTGGCACATCTGAATGGCACATTTTTTGCCCTGGTGAATGGTATGAAGGTCAAAAAAGCTTGGCAAAGGGCAAGACATAAGAAATTTAGAGCAAGCTTGGCCATATTTCCTGCACCCAGGCCCATCAGGCTTCATACAGACCTGTTGGCTTTTGTGGTAGCCTATCCTACATTTTTCAATTCTATAGCCTTCTTTTTTTCCCCCCTAATAAACCATTGTTCTTCTTACTCATAATATGGGGCATCTCTGCTCTCCACTCCAGTGATGCCACAATTCCGGTATTTGCAAGATTTGTTTATAACTAACCTCAAGCTAATGTACCTCCCACCACACGTAGCCCTCAAGAAAAGGTCAGGCATGTGTGCCTTAGGAACTAAGTTGACCTGAGTTCAGATTCTTGACCTAAAATTTTTGATTGTGGTGGTCTTGGCCATGTCATTCAATCTTTCTGAAAATTAATTTATTTACTTATAAATGTGCCAACCTTATGAAATATTCTGAAAAAAAAAGAATGAAAATAGAACACGAACTGGCTGGCACACAGTGAACACTCACGGCATTACTCTTCCTGGGACTAGGCTCAAAGGAAGCTCTCTTGTCCATGGCACTGAACAAGCCTGGGGGCCTCCTGAAGAATCTCAGCATCCTCATGGTGAGGAAGTTCCTCAGACAGACACTCTCTTTTTCCTTTGTGTCCATTTGTTCCTGGGACACATCTGTGATCATCAAAAATAGTCCTAATTCTCTATTTTGCTGACATCCCAATTGTAAATTTCATGTAAAGTGAAACCATATCAACCCTTACGTTTTCACGTCACGAGGTAGTTAGTACAACTCAAACATTAGAATGAAAGAAGGAAAGCTTTGAATTACTTTCTCTCTGAACTTCTGAATGCCTGAAACTCTCAGAACAAGACTCCTGAATTAGTAATAACTAACATTTCTTGAGGACTCACTCTACTCCAGGCAGGTACATTATGTTTCTGACCACAACTCTGTTAGACAAGTGCCATCATTATTCCCATTTTACAGATAAAGGAATTAAAGGTGGTAAGCAACTTGCCTTTGATCATATACCTAAGACCTGTTCAAGCCTAGCTTTTATCTTAGGCAACCTAACTTTAGACACTATGCCTTTAATCATGAAATGGCACCACTTCCTTTGTGGATTAAGAAAATCATTGTCTTTAGAGAGATCCTGGGAAAATGATGAGTACATCAGAAGGAAATATATAACACACTAGAACCCAATGCAATTATGTTTTTATTTTAACTGGGGCTCACAAATATAGAGTAGAACTGAGATACCAGGACAGAGGAGAAGTACATTGTAGTGGAATATGCTTCCACATTAAAGAGGGGCATAAGTTTCAACACTATCTGTCCTCTTGTTCGTGACTAAGTCAAAGAAGACTAGATCAGCAGAAACAACCGCTGAGTGGCAACTCATCCTTCAGGGGTTCTAGTGAAAGAAATTGATTGTGTCTCTTCTAATTGGTTAGAAAAATAAATTTTAAAAGGGTGGTTACATGAAGAGTGAGTACATGAAGAAGTACAGAAGAGTAAGTACATGAAGAAGGCTTAGACAGAAACTCTAAAAATCAGAAAGAAACTCACAAAGAGGCAGTTAGAAAGTGATTTTCTAATTTACCATTTACATATTTTAATTGTTGACAGTCAGCTAATAAGCATGTGTCTGTAGTAGCCAAACGTATATTTTGAAAAGTAGCTATTAATGACAACAGTCATTCATTGAATGCTCACTAAAGATTGGGTAGTTGTTAAGCACTGCCTGAGACTTCCTCCACTGATTTCTCATAACCGTCTACTGGGATATGTATTATTATTCCTATTGAAAACATGAGGAGGCTAAGGCTTATTGAGGTAAATCAACTTTCCTAATGAACATTTTATAGTTACATATAAAGTTAAGATTTTAATGTACAGGTGGAGCCATATGAAACTGTCAATATTTGACTTATTTTGATTTACAGAAAAAAAACCCGAACACCATTTTATATAATTCCACTCTACAAACATTATTGCAAAGTTCATGATCATAATCACTTGGCTATACTGCTTTATTCAAGGGAAAAATAATGGGATTTTAGAGTCAATGGAAAGAGACTCAAATTCATTTTGATTTCTCTGAGTGTTTCATTTTTCTCTCTTCCATTTCACCTGAAAAATTTGACCGTGATACCAACAAGATTATGAAAGCTGCTGGAAAATGTAATTATGGAAGTGCTCTTTATTTCTGTAGTATCTGTAGTGGCTTTTCACAAGATGCCCATTGACTAGAATGTAACGTATTTCCCATACTTTTTAAAATAAAAGGCTACAATTTTGTCCAATTCTTTGTTCTAAAAAGGTTGCTAAAATGTTATTTTTTCCAATGCCTTGCTTTATTTCCAGCTTCGATAATTAAGTACTTTAATTAAAAAAATTAAATGTAAAAGGTCATTAATAAAACCTTAAAAAGTCAGAAAGTCCTTGAAAAATCTGTTTGTGACTCATGATTACAGTAGAGTCACTGTGACTTTTTAGAGTGATCAATATTAAAAACATTTATACATATAAATAGATATATAAACGCACACATTCAACTTTAAATTCTGACGTAACAAAAGTAACAACCTTGTTTTTCTTGCTTTTACAACAGCAAAAAGTTGTAAGCTTTTAAACTTCAAGTTATGACCAGCATCCCTTAAAGTTCTATTTTAGAAACTGTTCCCATTTACACAATTTAAATTGTATACGATTTGTGCATAAAAATAAATTTTTAAGAAGGAACAAAAGGAAAGTTTAATTGTTTAAAACAGACTGATTGAAGTGGGGGTTTAAACAGCTCATCTTTGCTCACAAAACACAAGGAAAAAGTGGATAGAGCTGTAGAAAATATAATTTTATGCTGCTGGAAAAATGAATTATTCCACTAGGTGGCAATGTTGATTCATCTACTAATGTTTGAACAGAAATTTTTATCTTCTTGAAAGCAGTAGGAGTCTGAGTTTTTCCCTTTTTCTTTTTTTTTTCTTTTAATCTAATGAAAATTCCTGCATAGGAAAGAGCTGATTTGGGCAATTCTGAACTTGAAAAATGGGTGCTTCGTGCCATTAGAAACCTTATAAATAAGCCTGCACCAAATAGGTTAGTTCTTTTGGCATGCAAACGAGAAGATTGATGACATATGTAACTTCCATCTGGATTCAATAGGTTTAGAAGCAAACTGTTTTTATCTCATCTATCTCTCACTGTTTGGAGATTCTTTTAAATAGGAGCTGTGTCGTTGAAGTATCTTTCCTCCCTGTTATCTGCTTTCTTTGGTAATCAGAGGCTCTGGCATACCCAAGGAATCTCAATTTTGAATGGCTTTTTAGTCTGTGTTGAGAGAGGCAATCCAGCATACGCCCTGAGTGTCCCTGCATATTCTTGCTGTGTATTCCCAGAATGCAAGGCCTTGACCATCTGAGCCATCTCTCATCCTTGTTTTGTTTGCAACCCTTAACCTTGAGGGATGAGGTACTGTCTCCATCGGGCAAAGAGTAGGTTTACTTTCAATTACCATGAAAGTGGTGATGACCCCAAACTCAGCATTCTACCCTTTCAATGAAAGCAGCTGTCATGGATTCTTGATGTCACCACCTTGGGACTTGGACATAGGGAATTTATGCAAATAAGCATAAAGATCTGGCTACTGCTTCTGCCATGAGCAATGAAGTGTTTTGTCTCTCATTCAGGTTTTTTTATTTTTTTTTCTGATAGCATCCATGAAACAGTGAATCCTAGATCTTACACAGTTTCTGACAGTCTATCCTGTTGTTCTCCATCTATTTACAGCAGAATAGATTTTGGTTCAGAATAGACTGAAGAAGTCACCTAGTGGAGTTGAGCTTTCTAATCTGATATAGAAAGACTTTCTACAATTCTCTGAATAATAAGTTGTTCATTTTAGGTTTAACCACTCCAATGACAGGGAATTTAACATAAGTAGCTTATTGCAATGTAGAATGACTTTATTAAAAATTTGTTCTTCATTCTGATCCCAATTCTGTTACTGCATGTCTTTCTCCCTGTAGAACTAGTTCGGCTTTCCAAAACTACCTAGATATGAGAATATTTCAGTCTTCTTTCTTTTCCAGGCTAAATATCTAAGTAGACTCTCTTATTTCATTCATTTTTTCTATGCATTGGTTCTGAATTTTCTTTATATTGTGGCTTTTCCTCATTTATTATGTGCCAGTGCATTAGTTTTCTCTCAAGATACAGTCCTCAAATAGAGCCAAAATACATCACATTTTAGAAATGATCTGATTCTTCTTCACTCCAAGTGCTTCTTCCCATACCTTTTTTCATGAACAAATTAACAAAGTCAATGACTTATGCTACCTCATCTCTGTGTCATGGGTGTCAAGCACAATGCCTAGCACTTGGTATATTCTCATAAACATTTCTTGAAAGAATTAATGAATGAATGAGCTGCACAGATTGGACTGTTATCAGTGCCACCATTCTGAATATTAGGCTTCTATTAATGTGACCTGGCTTTTGTATTTATGAAGTTTCATTACTCTGTTGAATTATAGAGAGGAGCTAGGCAGGGAAAGAAAACAAACTCACACCCTGCTTCTGCTACTTACTAGAGGTGGGACACGGGGCAAATCATATTTTATTCTGCTTTAATCTCCTCATTTGTAAAATGAAAAACAAAGAATATCTACCTTATATGATTTTTGTGAAGATGATATGAAGATAAATCATGTAAAATGTGTAGACATTGGGTATGACATGCGATAGGTACTATGAAATGGTTGACTATATTGTTTTAAGTTTCTATGGGAACAATCATTATGTTCTATCATCTAAGTGCAGTTGAAACAAAGTAAAGAGTAGCACGTATATGTACAATGGAAAAGCAGATTTGGGGAAGGCTTCACAGAGGAGTTGCCACTTGAGAAGGTGTAGAAGAGAACGCAAATACTTGCCATGCTGAGATAGCTGAATGAGCACAGATTAGAATTGGGAAACTTTTTAAATTCTCCACCACCGTTATCTCCAATATAATATATGGTATGTATACTGTCAAAACGAGGCACAGATTTTATGCTGTACATGCAAACCGTCAAAATAAGGAATAATATTTTTAAAGAAATAATGAAAATATCACTTATAGACAGCACCAATATAAGGAAAACAATCATTTATAGTTCATAGTTATTATATAAACTACCATTCGTATAACCCTTTACAGTTTATAAAACCACTCTACCTATATTATGTCATTTGATTCTCCAAAACCAAAACTAACAAAAACAAAGGAGCTAATCAATACTGCCCCTGTAACGTAAGCTTCACTCCTTTTCTCCTTTATGAGAAACAATAATATTCCTATTAGCCAGATAGATAAATAGTGCAGTAAAAATCAGTTTACATTTATAAGAATAAAATACCAATGCACAGTGTACCAGACTTCCACACATAAAAGCCCAAGAAAGATTAATGTAAATAACTAAGAAAACTTGAATGACTACAGAAACAATTCTAAGTTTGTTTGGAATAGATAAGAAGAATAGAAGACAACATTAGAATTGACTTTTTTTTTTTCCCTAAGCAAATTGAGACTTGAATGCAATGCCAATAAAAACATGAGCAGTATCTGTGTTTCTATTTCTGTTTTAGTTCCACACTTTAAAATATGGTAAATTTTTTCTGGAATAAATCCATCAACAGATATTTATTGAGAACCTATTATGTGACAAACACTGTCCTAGACACTGGAAAGTAGCTATGAACAAGGCCAGGCGCTTGTTCTCAAGGAACTTATGTTCAACAGTACAAGACAAAAAAGCTAACGGGTAAACAAGAAATGGTGTAATATCAGATAATGGTAAAAGGTATCTAGAAGATAAAACAGTGTAATGTGGAATAGAGTATTGAAAGTGACATCCTTTATTAAAGGTGGTTTGTGAAAATTTTCTAAGGAATGATATTTGAGTTGAGATATGAATGATAAAAAGGAGGAGGAAATGTAGAGATCAGAAAAATACTAAATGCAATACTAAAATACAAATACCAAAAATAAAAATAAGCTTGAAGTGTTCAAGAAATCAAAAATTTTAACATAAATGGAGTGATTATAAATAAAGGTAGAACAGAGGCAGATGATGTTAAAGATATAGCTAGACTTTTAAGACATTATAGACCAAGTAAAGAATAGTGTTTTTTTAAATAAGACGTTGGTGAGGTGATGAATATGCTAATTAGCTTGATTTAATCTACCTATACATAGGTCAAAATGACACATTGTACCCTATAAGTATAAAAAATTATTATTTTTCAATTAAAAATCAAATAAATAAAAGAATAGTGTTTTTCTTTACTATTATTTGTAGTATTTTTACTTATCACTTATGAAACTCAGTTTGTTACTTACATATAAGTAAGTAACACAATTGTAACTTACATAATAAGTAAGTTATTTACTTAAAACTTTTAAAATAAAATTTGGGTGTGATGTGATTTGATTCACTCTGACTTCTGTATGAAGAATAAAGTTTGGGATGTGGAGGCTGATGGTTATGAGGGCTGTTAGAGCAGTTACAAGTCGATTGTTTTATATCAGGAGAAAGGAAAGATGGTTGGGATTCTAGGAGTGAAATTTGGGTTACATTACAGAAGAAGAGCGACAGACCTTCCATGTGGGAAGGTTAGGGATGTGAAAAAAAGGGAAGAATCAAGAAAGCTGCGGGCTTTTGTTCTGTATAATTGCAGAGATAGTGGTACCATTTCCTAGGGAAGTCTTTGGACAATGAATTTGGAAGGAAAAATACAAGGTGATGTTTTAGCCATGTTACATTAAAAGTGTTCAATATGTCGCCAAGTAGAAATGGCATATTGGCAGCTGGATATACCAGTATAGAACTCAAAGGAGACAGCTGGACTAGAGGCACAAATTTCATATTTATCAGGGCATTGATGATATTATGAATAATAGAAACAGATGAGTTTTCTCAAGGGAAGAATACAAGTAAGGGATTACAAAAAAAAACTTGTATCAAGTTCTGGACCACTTGGTATTATATTTATTCAAGAGGTAAAACTAGTAAAGGAGATCAAGAAGATAGAGCCTAAGAAGGAAGATACTGCCAATTTGTTTGAGGTATCGCAGAAACCTAGTTGCATGTTCAACCTGGTCAAATGCTGCTCGGATTATGTACAATGAGGACAAGAACTAAACATAACTCTGATCTACATTATGATCAAAGTTACTCATGGTTGAGTCTAAATTTAGAATGAAATGTACTAACAAGTAAACTGAGTTTCATAATAAGGAACTGTTTTGGATCTCAACTTATTTTCAATATTGATTCCCAAGTACTTTGTAATCATTAGATTTTCCAGTAAAGTTTTATCATTATTTATTTTAGGATGAACAAGAGCTTGGACTGATTAATTCTCATCTCTTTGGTGCCTTGGATTTAAAATGTGTTGTTATTACATCATAAAGAATAAATAAGCCAAGTACATTTTTAATTCAAATTAAAACAGATCCTCACCAAGCTATTTGTGCCTTAGTACAGTTCATCGTCTACCATTTTTTTTCTTTCTGTCCCACTCTTTTCCTACTTTTCCTTTCTGTTAAAGTTTTTTGGTAACTGCTTTTTAAAAAATATTTCCTTCTAGTTTACATTTTCCGAAAGCAAATTGAGAAAGCCAAATACACACACATACACATGCACACAAACACAACTTTTAAACAGCTATGATGTGCTTTAAGAAAAAGACAAGTCATACCATACACACACACAATTGCCCTAGAAGAAGCCTTTTGATTGAAAAGAAAACATTTTTAACTGCATCTTCAGGGTCAACAGATAGAAATAATACTTTTGTGAGAGAAAAGCTGAGTACAAGAGGCTACTTCAGAGAAGAATCGTCACTTTTCTTTTTCTTCATCGTCTAGATGGAGAATATAAATTCTTCAGTTCATTTGTTCTTCTTAGTCCAGTTAATGTTGTTAATAGAGTGAAATCTCCAAGAAAATCACAGTCTAAATATATATGAAGGTTTAGAAACTAATGAATAACTTTTGAGTATGCTCTGATAAAAATTGATCACATCCGATAGCCTGAGTTTCTATGCTCTCTAGGGCTTTTTGAAGTTCTCTTTAACATAGAGTTCTTCTCTTTGGCTTCTCACACACTTGTTTTCTACTTTTCTTTCCATGGCTTTAAAAAACAACATATCCTTTTCCTGTTATCTTTCTCTCCGCTTTCCTGTGAAAATAAGTGAGATACACTTCTCCCACCCATGTTATTTTCATTTAATTCCCAACTAAATTTTTTCCAATGTATGGACAGAAAAAAATGTCATGCTCTAGCAATAAACCACAGGAGAGTGATTTGTAAATTTCTCTAAGGCTCCAATCTTAGCCTCCTCTCCTATGATATACAAATAAGTGTAATATCTGCTTATCTTCTTCAAGGTTTGGGAAAGAATGGAACATGATCAGCTTCATATATGGGGGAAGTATGAATGTTAGTTATGTACATTTTCCTTAGTATCCTGGTTTTACATAAAAAAGGTTTGAAGTAAAGTACATGTTGACTTCATCACATTAATTTCTCTAATAACATTTGTCATTTTACTTATTTGTTTCATATGTTCAGGATATACTTTAATGAAAAGCAAAAAATGTCACGTTAAAGATTGCCAACTCTCTAGTCAGTGATGTCAAACTTTAATATGAGTGACGATTTTCTGAGATACCTGTTAAAAGTAGGTTCTTAGGTCCAGCTTGCAAAACTTTTTTATGGAGTAATTCCAGGTAGTATCAAGGTACACGCATTTTTAACAAGGTCCCCAGGTGATCTCTAGGCCATCTAGGAACCCCACTTTGACTAAATGCTGCTTGAATCTTGGTCTATTGAACTCTGCCAGTGTTGTTTTAGTCCATGTGCTTTGGAATCAATGGGGCCAGAGTTTGAAACCCTGCTTCATCACCTTCTATCTGAATAACTCAGGCGGATTGCTGAACTTCTCTGAGTCTCTTTGTCTGTATTAGTTTCCTAGGGTTGCCATTACAAACTTCCACAAATTGGGTGGACTTGAAACAAGAGAAGTGTACTCTTTCCCAGTTCTGGAGGCTAGAAGTCTGAAATCAATGTGTCAGCAGGACCATGTTCCCTCTGAAGGCTCTCTCCTTGCCTCCTCTAGCTTCCAGTGGCTCTGGGCAGTCCTTGGCGTTCCTCGGCTTGTAGCTGCATCACTCCAGTCTCTGCCTTCGTCTTCTCATGGCTTTCTTCTCTCCGTCTGTCTCCTTTTTTTATATGTATGTGTGCCCTCTCCTCTTCTGATGCTTACACCAGTCATTAGATTTAGCGTCCATCCTCATCTAGTGTAATCTCATTTTAATTACATCTGCAAATACCTTATTTCCAAAAATGGTTACATTGTAAGGGTCTGGTTGGATAAGAATATTGCGGGACACTATTCAGTACACTACAGTGTCCCTGCATTAAGAAGAATCATTATGATAGCATTTTGAAGCATCTAGTTAGTACCTGGTAGTAGATGCTCAGTAAATAATAGCTTTTCTTTCTTTGTGAGTATAGCTTAACCATTGGGTCTCAAAAACAAGTCTGCAGGCAAGGAATAACTGCATGAGATTCTCTATGGGAGCTTTTGAAAAATATAGATTCTAGGTATTTCTTGTGGGTTACTGCTATTCAACAAACCTGGAGTGAGGCCCAAGAAGCTGTATTTTTTAAAGGTTAGCCAGGTTATTCTGATATACATCTAGGCTCAGGAATTTTTTTTTTTTTAAGTCTGAGTATCTCATTGTATTGCTCAGGATGGAATGGAACAATTTATTTGACTAAGAATTTATATTTCATTCATAGAGCTGGAACTCAAAGGTATCTCATTTGCAAAAAAATTGCATAAAATTCTAAATATGTACTTCTTATAACCTACATTTGTCTACTAAAAGATGATGATAAAGTTCAATCAAAATTTTAAAGAGATGCAAAGGCTGTACACAGTTGTAATACTTGGGAATAGAATCTTACCATTCTGATTCCAGTTTCAAATTTCAAGGAAAGTCTTTCTTTTCTTGATTATGGGCTTAAATAAAACTAAATATGAATAGAAGAAAATTATAATAAGGGCCAAATATTATGAGTTTCACTTTCTCAAATCATTGTTTTCTTCTGCAAGTTCTGGCCATTTTTCATTGAGCTAATGAAGCCTCATATTTATTTCTTCCATCTCCCTTCTACTGAAGTCATTTTTACTAATGTTAAATGTCTTCTTTAGAGTCTCAGTAGTTTAAAATTTGCTTGTCTCTGGGAAGTCTCCATTTGCTTTCTGAAAAATCTCACACAAATTCTTACCAAATACTACTGAGCACAGTGGTTTCCTCACAGCCTAGTTGGCCTACTGGCATCAGAAATCGTTAGCATCCCAGGCAGTGAAAATCATAGTGACAGTGAAATTACTGAGAATGCAGTGCGGCTTGATGATTGTAACACTCATCCACTCCTGGGGTACCCTGTTCGGTTGTCATCATCAGTTGTCACACCTAGTTTGAAAGGAATATAAATAATTATGTCAAAATAAAAAATTAGTCTTATATAAGAATTCACATTTTAAACTACTTAGAACTTCAAAAAGAATATTCAGCTGTCTTTTCCATCACCCTTGTGTATTAGCTTGGCAAATGGATCTGATGCTTTAGAACAAAATGTGGATATCTGCTCTTTCAGCCAAACAATACACATTTCATGTGAATACTTGACTAGATTTTTTTTTTTTTTATGCTGAACTCAGGGAGATAAGCTAACTTTCCCTGAGTTGCCAAGGGCAACTTGATTGCATGTGAAATTAGATGCAACTCTGAGAAAATAATGTCTAGACTCATTCTTATATTTCTTTTGAGGGAAATATTCACCTAATATCTGTTATCTCCTGCTGTCAAAACACTGATGTATACTGCCTATCCCTGGAATCATGAATCAGAACTCTATGATGGAGTGAGCAAAACAGAAGTGATAATATTTTCATGTAGCAAGAAACTTCATTTCATCATAGAATTGTCAAGCAGCACTAATATATTTGACTTCTTATTTTATTTGTATTTAAAATTGTTGAAGTATGTTCAGGTTATGTCTCCACTTATTTCTTGAGAAATGTCACTATGTTGAAGATTTCCTTCTCTGCCACTCTCTCCTATTTTTGTTACTATTCAACTCCTCAAGTTGCGAGTTACAACTGTGACGCTTTTTCTTAATAGCAGGTAATTTATGTCATTTATTTCTTCTCTATACTTAACGATCATTCACTCAGAATGTGAATATTGATGTACATAAATGTGGCTTTGACATACACTGTGAAAGTCAAAGAGGAATAAAATGTCAGAGGTGGAGACTGCTGAGCTACTGGGGCAGCGCCATTTTTGTGCAGTGGTATCTTTGTGGCTTTCAAGTCTCAACTTTAGATATGGAGGTCTAAAGTAACTTACACTCAGAGTGAGTTAGAAACCAGCTATGACTCATTAAAACAAAACTCTGAAAGATTAATGTGTAAGCCACACACTGAGGGAGTACTTTCTCATGATAAGTAGCTGACAAGAAGATCCTAGTACTTATACCAACATCTCAGGGCAGAATTCGAATCCACCTGTTGGAAAGTCTATCAATAAATCAATTTATACTGTGGAAGTTGACAGGTAAGCTTGGATTAGAGCAAGGGAGCAGATCAGAGGCAGATGACCCATCTAGCTCTATCTGGGATGCTCTTGCTGACCCTGTGAGTATGTTCAGGACAGCATCCTTCACCGTCACTTGGGCAGAGTTGGGGACACACTGACAGTTGTTCTTTTTTGGCTTCTTTTGGAAATTGTCTTGGCTTTGGACTTCAGACAGGCCAACAATCTAATGTTTTTCTTGGATGCCACAGTATATAATGGAGTTTGACTTTATATGTCATAACTGGATTGTTACGTTTCACTAGACATATGTTTATATGTCATACCTAGATGTTTATACATCTGGACTAGATTTCCAGACCCTATCTTCCTGTATTGAGTCTTTGAGACACTGTATTTTTTTTTTTTGCATTATACTTTAAGTTCTGTGGTACATGTGCACATGTAAGGACATTTCACTTGCTTTAAATGATATTCAATCCAGAACCTCACAGGCTGCTACCTGAAGGAACTCACTCTGGATCAGAATAACTGAACATGGGGTACCAGCACTGTTCCTCTGGATGCCATTTCTTTTTGGAGTTTTCCAGAATTGTTTCATCTTAAATTGCTGACCCTTTTCTTTCATGTCTTTCAGCAAAGCTGAGAAAGGCTGGCACTTGCAAACAGGTTTAACTAAATACAATCTAGTAATATAAAGAAATTAAAGAATGAGGCCATTAGAAATCTAAACAATGTATGTATAAAAAGAGGTTTGCACTCCCAGACTTATTAGCTCTATCTTTTGAGGCATGGAATCTCAAGAAAGAGTCAGGTCATGCTGATGTCTCTTGCTTTCTCACTTTTGGCCACTGCCATTTTAACCCTTAGCATGGAGGGGCACCATCTTAGCTACACTTGGAGAGTATAGAAAAGTGAGACTAACCCTTCTATTGTTATCTAAAGCTTGTCCCCTGCTCTTCCAGTATGAATGACAACCACTTCTTCAGATGATGGATAATTGAATGATCTCACCCTTCAAGACAATCTTCATATTTATAGATATATAACTGTATAGAGCATAATACATAGACTATACCGTAGTCCTTCCTGATCATTGGTTTTGCTTTCCACGGTTTCAGTTACTTGTAACTGTGGTGCAAAAATATTAAATAAAAAGCTTCTTCAGTGAATAACTCATGTATTTTAAATTGTGTGCCTCTCTGAGTAGCGTAATGTCATCTGGTGCCCACTCCAGGATGTAAATCACCTTTTGCCCAGTGCACTCACACTGTGTATGCTAACCTGCCCCTGAGTCACTTAGTAGCCTTCTGTTATCAGATCAACTGTTGGGGTATGCAGTGCTGGTGTTCAAGTCACCTTTATTTCACTTCATAATGGCCTCAAAGAGCAAGAGTGGTGATGTTGGCAATTCGGATATACCAAAGAGAATCTGTAAAGTGCTTACTTTAAGTGAAAGGTGAGTATTCTCAACTTAATAAGAAAAGAAAAAAAAATAGTATGCTGAGGTTGCTAAGATCTAGAGTAAGAACAAATGTAACTGTGAAATTATGAACAGTATATTGTCATAATTGTTCTATTTTATTATTGGTTATGGTTGTTAATCTCTTACTGTGCCTAATTTGTAAATTAAACTTTATCATAGGTACATGTGCAGAGGAAAATCATAGTGAATATAGGGTTCCGTGCTATTCATTGTTTCAAGGATTCACTGTGGAGGGTGGGGGAGTCTTGGATAAAGGGGGAATACTATAGATATGTAGTCCATAGATTAATAGAGTAGTTTTGACATTCATGTGGAAAGAATTCTACCAAAGTTTTCTTCATAGATTGTCTTTAAGGACTTAGAAAAACAGTGCCAGCCTAGGTAACCAGAAATACTTCAAGATATAAAACTCATGAACATGTTGTGTAAGGTACAACAAGCATGAAATACTAGTAAATGTAAAAGAATTATTCAAAATGCAGAACTGAGCTATTATAAAATAACCCAAATGCAAAGAGAGAAAAATGAGGAGGAACACTCAAAGCCAGAACAAGAAGAATGATCTGAAGGTTGGGCTGCCTATACGTATCTCTGCTTTCCAGCTTTGTTTATTTCTGTTTAACAGTGTTCAACAATTTAAAATATGAGTTGACTAAGATAAAAGTTTGATAGAAGGAAAGGAAAAAAGAATGAATGAATAAATAAGCGTAGGTGCATATATATATATACACACACACACACACACACACACACACACACATATATATATAACTTAGTATTTAATGTACTTTTTGAGTGCTTACTAATACTGTAAGCTACCTTTTATAGCTGAAAACTTAATCTTAGTTTTAACTTAATAAGATGTCCATACTATCATTCAGTTTTTTCAATCTAAAAAATGACATTTGAGCCGGGCACGGTGGCTCATGCCTGTAATACCAGCACTTTGGGAGGCTGAGGCAGGTGGATCACGAGGTCAGGAGATTGAGACCATCCTGGCTAACACGGTGAAACCCCGTCTCTACTAAAAATACAAAAAATTAGCTGGGCGTGGTGTCGGGCGCCTGTAGTCCCAGCTACTCGGGAGGCTGAGGCAGGAGAATGGGGTGAACCTGGGAGGCGGAGCTTGCAGTGAGCTGAGATCGCGCCACTGCACTCCAGCCTGGGTGACAGAGCAAGACTCCGTCTCAAAAAAAAAAAAAAAAAAAAAAAAAAAAAAAAATAAGACGTTTGAGAAGCATGATTTATAACTTATTCAGTTAATATATATTTAATTGTTTCAGACAGTTCAAACTATGAAACACTCGACCTTTATAAGAAATCACTTAAGGCTCACATTCTAGCCCAGAAAATATTTTCAAAAAGAGTGAAAGTAAAATGAATCACTTTGGCCCTTCCAATGAAAAATTCAGAATTAGGAACAAGAAATAAAAAGACTGAAAATCTCTGAATATTGCTGGACTCAGCTCTGATTTTATTTCTGACCTTGTGAAAGTTCCCTCTTATCTTTTAGCTCTTTGCTCTTCAAAATGAAGCTTTTTTCCAGGATTGTTTCAAAGAGGAGATATGTAATGTCCTGCCTCAAATAGATTTTAGAATGAAGCAAAATATGAATTATTAAATAAATAACATCTGATGTTTACAGTCTGGAGTAAAAGGTATGGGGAAAAAAAAAAAAGAAAAAACAACAACAACAGCAAAAAACCTTTCTCTTTCTAATCCCTGAATGAATTTTTCTCTTCTATGATTCCATTCTCCTCCTGACCCTAAGGATTTCAAGGAGATTTATACTGGAATGAAAACTTCATAATTATCTGCTCATAATAAGGCTGGATCAGGGTGAGCGTGTGAGAAACACTACAGAAAAACATTAACAAATCTTTTCTACGCTTTTTTTGCCTCTCTTTTATGGACCCAATTAAAATGTTACTTGAATTGTATTGGAACAGTTGTTTCTACTTTTGACGACTGAGCATTTCAGGCTTTACAAGTAGGCACCAAGAAATAGATTGATTCTTCTTCCTACTCTTTAAACTACAAATATGTTGAGATTTTTCACAATTAAAAAAATCAAATGAAATGTCTATATTGGGCACAATTTTATCTAACAGATAACATTAAGCAAGATGCAGCAAAAAATATTAAATTACCCTGTACTTATGCCACTTGTTTTAGAAAGTCAGCCATGTATGTTTTATTTTACATATATATATTATATATATATATATCTCCATATATATTTACCCTTTTTAATCATAGATTCTGGTTGTATTAGAGTCTCTGACTTTTTCACTGTAAATTAGAAAGCATATAAAACAATTTGTTCGTTTTAACCTGGTCTTGTCCAATATGGACTTCTAGGGTGTTTATTAGGTAAGTTATTTTATAGCTTTTCTTGTTTATCTTTTCTCTGGGGTACATCGTCATAATATTTTGCTTAAACTTATCACAGGAATTTCCAGCTTTATTTTCTCAATACATTAGTATGGTCAGTAATGTCAGTAATTCTATGTGTCCTGAATTTGTTTTATATTCTGATCAGGGAAGCTCATAACTGTCTTCAGAATTTTTTTATTTTTATTCTGACTTATTAAATGTGTTTTTCCTAATTAATTTATAGAAAATACATTATTTTAAAAACAAAATGTTAAATAAAAACCTCTTCTTTAATATTCTAAAATTACCCTTTGAAATCAGTTGCTATATACCTTCTTTTTTGTTATAGGCACCCAGGCCATTTCTTCTCCATTATATCCCAGATAATTGCTGGCACTTTGAGTAAAGCTTAAAAAGGTATCACATCTTTAATTAGTGATCTCTTATTAAGTTAGTTTTCTCCTTCAAGAAAGGCACTAATTAAAGAAGGGCATGAACTTTCTTCTTTTGATGAATTTCACATGTAATTTTCAACTAAACTGTATTCATGGATAACATGGTATGGCTGTTCCAAGCTCTCAAATATTCACGTATTAGAAAAGGGTAAAATCTGCTTCCTTCATTTGCAGGCTTCTCAGTGATATAAGGCAGCCAGCCTTTTGCCTCCATATGTGAGTTGTGTGTTGACCCTTAAACTCTTATTAAATCAATAACCACTCCAAGTTTCTTTAGTAAAAAGAATCACCTAGAAAACATTTTATTATGAACACTTTTAACATACCAAAAAATAAAACAGAAAAGTGAATATCCATATATAATGATAATCTAGCTAAAACAATTATTAAAATATTGACAGTCTTATTTCATTGACCATACTCTTCTCACTTTCTTTCTTTCCTTAAGCCAAAGTATTTTTTTAAAATCCCACATACCATGTAATTGCTGCCAGAAGTTCTTCATCCTGCATCTTATTGACAAGTCTTTTAAGATAAGCTCATATTATATTATTATCTGGAGTTGAAACTAATTCTTTAATTCAATTAATAATCACCCACATTTATATTGACCTAATTGTCTCAAAACTGTTATTCTAAAGTTAATTTGCTAAGATCAGGATCCAAATAAGGTCCATACATTGTTTTTCTTTTTTTCTTCATGTCATTGTTTTGTTGAATGTATCAGGTCACTTTTCTTTGTAGCATAACTTAAAGCTGGCTTATTGCTTCTAGTGATGTCATTTATCTTATTTTTCTGTCACACGTGTCACCTGAAAACTGGTACTTAGATCTAGATATTTGATTAGATTTAGGGTCAATTAGTGGGGGAAACAAAAAATTTTCCTATAATATCATATCAGAAGTTACATGATATAATAATGTCTGACTTTTAGGGATGCCTCAGCTGATAAGTTCTAACAATGCTAAGTGATACTTTTTCATAAAATTCCTTGTCATATTCTATTCAGTGGTTTTATTGGATTATTATTGTCAAACTCCATTATTTCATTAGGTGGTACAAGATGATAATTTTACACTTCTATTGGGACTTTTGCATTTGTTAGCTGAAGTGATTCTTTAAAAAAGAATTTTTACACATCTATTTTCTCATCTTGAAATAGAGTTTGTTCAGGCAAGGTAGTATAAATCATTGGTTTGTTCCCTTTATTGTTAAGTTTTCAAAATAATGAGTTCATACTTTAGGAACTTTCAATGGAGACCCACAAGTCTGTATGTATGTGTGTAAAAGGACACATTTGGAATCCATGGGTTTCATATGTTAACGTGATTTAATTTTTGGAATTCAGTATTATTTTAACATTTCTTGCAAGGCAGATCTGCTGTTAATAAATTGTCTTAGTTTTTGTCAGAAAAAGTCTTTTTTTCCTTCAGTTTTGAAGATAATTTTGCTGGATTAGAATTATAGGTTATATTGTGTGTATGTGTGGATGTTTCTTAAGCACTCTAAACATTCTTCTTTACTTTCTTCTTACCTGCATAATTTCCTCTGTAGATAAGATATTTTTTCTCCTTTTTTTATCAAGAATTTTTCTTTGTCTTTGTTTGTCTGTAGATTGATAATGCTATGACTAGGTATAGTTTTGTTGGCATTTGCTTACTTGGTATTCTCTGAGTTTCTTGGATCTGTGACTTCGTGTCTGCCATTATTTTTGGAAAGTTTTCCACCATGATTACTTCAAATATTTCTTCTACTCTTTTCTCTATGTCTTCTCCCCTGAAACTCTGATTATATGTATATTATACCTTATGAAATTGTTCCAGTTTTTGGATGCTCTGCTGTTTTTTTAAACTTTCTTTTCTTTTTGCATTTCAACATAACCTCAAACTCATGATTTTTTTCTTCATGTTCTACTGACGTCAGTGTGAGGCATTCTTCATTTCTCTTGCAATTTTTAAAATTTTTAGCATTTCCTGTTGAGCCTTTCGAAGATTTGCTGCCTCTGTGCTTACATTACTAGTCTGTTCTTGCACATTGTCTACTTTTTCCATTAGAACTCTTCACATACAAATCATGGGTATTCTAAATGCCATGTCTGATAATTCTAATATCTGTGTCATATTTGAGTTTGATTCTGATGCTTCCTTTATCCCTTCATATTATATTTTTACTTGCATTTGTAGTGCCTTATGATTTTTTATTGAAAGCTAGACATGTACTGGGTAAAAGAAACTGAGCTAAATAGATCTTTAGTGTGAGTATTTATGTTAACCTAGTGGGGGAATTGGCTGTTTAATGTTTTCTGTGACTACAAGGGCCAGAGCTTTCAAATCTCTCTTGTGTTCTAGCATATGCCACTCATCTTAACTTTGAGTTTCCCTACGTACTCTTTCCAAGAGAGACCCTGTGCCTTGCAGCTCTTATAGCTAGCTGTAATAAATTCTTCCGATGATGCCCTATTGCTGTGATGGCAAGATGCTAGGAAGGGGAAAGATTCTGTAATTTATGATTAAGTCTCAGTCTTTTCATAGACATGTGTCTCTGGGCTGTGACCTTCATAACTGTTTTCTTAATAGAAATGCTTATTTTTCACTCCAGCTCCTTTCTCACTTCTCTGGCTGCAGCATTTCCAGTCAATTTTTCTTGAAGCCTTGACCCATACTCATTATGCCCTCCCATCACCCCTTATATAAGACAGGAAGGCTAAAAGGGACTGGAGGGTGAGGAAGGATTTTCTCCCAGCTGGAATGAAGCTCTGGTAGTCTTTTTCTTTGTAAAGTAGGTTTTTGTTATGGAGAAGGCTTTGAGAATATTTCACAATGATTCCACTTTTCCCCACACCAGAACCAGCAGGGGACCTGTCTCTGATCTTTACCCTAAAATCCTGGTGCAGTTCCTGAAAGTTTTGTCCATGAAAGTGTGAGGACCTTCCTGTGACTGTGGTTCACTGAGATTTTTTATTCTCACACTAGTCCACATTCCACGTCTAGGAATTTGTCAGAATTACCATTTAAATCTTCCTGTCAGTTCAAGGCTCCTGAAGATGTTTTATAAATAAAAGGATCTTGTTTGTGAACTCTCTGGATTCACCTGTCTCTAGACATTGGTAGCAGTTTGCTCTGTAACCTCAGTTCTCTGATAGGTCCAATAAAAGACATTAATTTTCAGTTTGTATCAATTTTTCTAGTTTTAAGAATAGGGGTGGTGAATTCCAAGATTTTGGATGTCAGAGCTTAAACCACAAGTCAAATTCAGTATTCTTGTTGAATCTTTAAATTCTTTCATCCTAGACTGATGAAAGTTACAGCAAATTGGATTGTATATTATTTAGATAGATATGACCTCATTTGTATTTGATTGATTCCTTTCTTTCTGGCGTAAGATATTGCAGGATCATTTTGTTCACTTTCTTTGCCAAATCTGGAATGAGACTTTTTTTCAAGGCGCCATGAAAATAATCACTAGAAAAAAAACAAACTAATAAATATAATATCCCTTTGATAATATGTGTATGTATTTGAAATTATACATTTATAAAGCATAAGCTATTGATGATTATGAAGCATAATTAATAATTCTTCTGTAATTCCAGGACTTTTGCATTTATGGCATGCCATTTCTATAGAAAGGATAAGAAAAACACAATAAACACTAATAAATAAATAAATTATACCGAATCCTATAATTTGCTAGGCACCACTATAGGAGAGAAAATGTAGAGCAGAATAAAAGGGATCTGAAATGTGCACATGTGCATGATGAGTTTTAATTTTATGAAGGCTGGTCAGAATAAGCCCTATTAGGTGACAAATAAGTCAAACTTAAAATATGTAAGAGGGTTAGCCATTACCTTAGGAGAGACAGTGTTCTAGGATCATTTCATGACATATATCCAACAAACTACTACATGTCCAATTGAACAATAATGATAACAACATTTCTTCACCATTAAATTTAGGCATCAATGAGGCATCCCATGGGAGATATCTCATTATCTCTTAGACTAAGATATGGGGGTCCTAAGAAGTTGAGAAATTTTGGCTATGGAGAATTTGGTGTTTTCAGCTTCAAACAGAAAGAAATCCTCATCTGTCTAAGAAGAAAAATAATTGTTATATAAAAATATTTATCTAATTTTTAAACAACATTTTTTAAAACTTTCCAAGTAATAATTTTTGTTGGATGTGTCTACAGTGAATTGATAATAATACCATGCCTTGGACCATCAGTTTCTGCCATTTCCTTCTCCGTCTTATTAATTAAAGAAAACGTTTTTGTTAAATAAAATTTTATTATGTGCATAAAGACAACAATGAAAAAGAACTAATTGTCACCTTCAGTGCAAGAAAATAATTATGACTTAATTATTAAACTGAAAACTAAGTTGCTACATATAAGAGTTTTCATTTTGTAAGACAGGATAAGTAAAATCAGTCAAGAGTAAATAAGGTATGTTGGCATAACCTTTGGAAAAATGAGATCCTGGGACACCAGCAGGATATGATAGCCTAAAGGAATGTAATCAATCAAAAAGAAATTACAGAGCTGGAAACAATAAGGCAAAATCATCAAGACTATGTCTTGCTTAACAGTTTTTTTCATGCATTTTCCCACTTGGACATTTAAACTTATTTTTGAAGTTGCATATACTAACTAGTAATGTTTGAAATTGGAATTTTGATGATTCCAATCATAATACTTCTTCATACATAAAAGTCAAAAGACTTTAATATACATGACCTTATTAACTAGCCATATTTCTAAGTTTTAGAGTGCGAACAGCTTATTATGAAACAAGAATCAGAGAGGCTAAAAGACTGATTCTAAGTCATAATAGATCTAAAATTAGAAACCATATCTTACTGTCTCTGGTCTAGGGAGCTCTTTTTCAAATCATTCTTACATAAAATTAATGTTTACCAGAAAGTCAGCCTAGATCACTGGCACTTTTAAAACAAATTGCTTTGGTTTAGGAAGTTACGGGGTGATAATGTGAAGAGATAGACAGATTGGCTGAAATAAGAAGCTTAATATAGAGCATCTTATTATTACATTAAGTAGTCTTCTTATGGGTTTCTTAAAAAGAACAAAAGCAACAACAGAACAGCAACTTTCCTGAGGACTGGGATGTGATTTCCAAAGGATGAGACAAAAAGAGATACTACAAAAAATCCTACTTACGTGGCAGTTAAAGATGGCCACATTTTTTTCTGAGATTCCTTCAATGAGAAATGGGGTCTATTGCCCTCTTTAGAAAAAAAAATGGAGAATGAGAAATGGAGTCTATTGCCCTCTTTAGAAAAAAATCATATCTATTTATGTATCTATTTCTATATTTATCTTGTAGAGATGGTGTCTACAAAAATTGCCTCAGCAATTCTCCCCCTCAGCCACGCAAAGCACGGGTATTACAGGTGTGAACCACCCTGCCCAGCCAGTCTCCTCCATTGAATTTGGGTAGGATCTGTGAGGGATTGACCATTAGAATACATGAGATGTAATGCTGGGCCATTTTCTGGGCCCAGGTTTAGGAAATCGGAAGCCATCACACAAATTGGTCAACTACTTCGCTGGAAAGACATGTATAGAGGCTCTGAGACAATATGGAGAGAAAGAGAGGTGCCCAAGTGAGTCCAGACTTCCAGCCAACCCAGCAGTATTGTACTCTCTAGACTCACCCAGGCAACATCTGAAATCCAGTGAATGGCCCTTGTCCATGCCAACTAAAGTATGATAAGAGGGAATAGAAGAATTGCCCAGCCATGCCCTGCCCAAATCCTGGCTTACCAATCAATGAAATGCAATACAATGTTGGTTGTTTTATTCACTGAGTTTTGGAGTGGGTTGTTATACAGCAATAAATAAGTGGAACACAGCCTTCTCCTGCTTGGATCTCTTACTGGGCTATAGCATTCACTCTGATATTTATAAGTAAGCTGTACTTGAAATCTAAAAAGGGAAAAACTTTTCCCTAAGAGATGAACATAATGTTCTTAGCTAAGTATTCCTCGTTCCACGATATAATCCTCTTTCATCTTTACACAGCTATTGACTCAGAGCTTTAAATTTTACTTCCATGAGCTGAGTTCCTCTGCCCTTTATTACCATATGTATCCTGGGCCTCCTACCAATTCCCTGCAGCCTGCACTCAGAGTAAAAGATACATAATCAGAATCTGTACACCTCATTTTTATTGTTAATCTCTGTGGTTTTCTTTTACTAGAAAATTATGCCTGTAAATGTTCTCTACAGATGATCAGTACAAGAAGAGATCATTGTGATGTGCTGAAGCGAATTGTTTTTAATTTTACTTTGCTAATCATTCTCTACCACAAGCTGTAAACAACCTATGTAACCAGTTCAAACCCCTGTTTGTGTTAAGAATGTGAATTCTGCAGCAAAGGCATTACCCCAGGAGGCCACTCTTAAAAGGTATACATATGACTGGAAGATTAGAAATTACTGAAGTTGTAGCTCAAGAGTAGCAAATACTCTTCGTCTTGCACATAAATTTCTGTTTATTGTCAATAGTCATATGCTGTGTCTTGTTTTGAAGAATTCTGATACTGGACTCAAAGGCAATGAATTCTGGGGTCAATTATTCATATATTCTGTGGGTTCAAAAGGAAGAGTTTGCTATTATAGATAGAGAGTCTTTACATAGGTAAGAGAGGTGCCAACAAGAACACAGATAAGAAATAAAGAAGCAAAGCACAGTGGTGAATTTGTTTTGCCTAGACCACAGCTTGAGTACTGAGTTCTTTGTGCTATGCCACAGCAAAACATGGGTCCCTTAGAGTCAGCAAGAAGTATAATTCTAACTATATATTTTGCTGAGAGGTGGTGTTCTCTGCAGCTTCTCTCACAGCATTCAGTGTTAAGGTGTGTAGATTTCCTATAAGAGCAAAAACTTTGTGTTTATCTTTTTAAGTGTATTTGTTAATACCTCATATACATTTTACCACAACACTGTGATCAGGCCAGGCAGGAAGTGATATTCTTTTACCACCAAAAAGAAATTAAACACAGAGAAGGGAAGCATCTTGCCCAATATGATACATCAAGATAAGAACTTTGATTTCTTGATGGTAGATTATTATGCTTCTTTTTCCGACAATAAAATCTTCAGTCTTGATGCTCTGTCAGGACACTCAAAATAGTGTATTAGTTGATGCTTTGCTCTAAAGTATGTATTATGTTTTTGCAGTGAAACAGAAGACTTAAAATGAAATATTCGTCTTTTATTAACATTTTCTAGCATGTTTGATGTGACAAAATCAGAAGTGAAAAAAACTTTAAAAGGACAAAATCTGTTAAATCTTCAAAGATTTCAAAGTAAATTGCTATAAACAACTAACAACACAAAACAGAAAGCACAATGTTCATAAGAGTGTAGATTTATATATAGGAAACCTGACCTCTCTTCCACTGAAATCTGATCAACAGTTGAAAAACACTTCTTGAAAAATTAATGTTACAACTGTCAACATGAAACACAATTCACTTTTATCAAGAAAATCTGAATGTCAGCTTCCATATCACATAAGTTTAAAGATAAAATTAAGTGGCTATTTCCTGACAGAAATGATATCCCAATGGCAATATTTCCAAATAAAATTATATTTTTTCTCTTTCCTGGTGTCTCTTTATTCTAAGGTTGTGGGTCTCTATAGTCGAGCCTTGATTAATTGTCTGAATTCCAGACTTCAGTCAATGAGGAATAAGGAAATAATATTGATTATCCTTCAAGATTCAGAATTCAGTATTATTCTTTCTTTCTAAGTTTTATCTCTTGCTGCCTATCTCTGACACTTGTTAGAAGTCTTGTTTGTTTTCTGGGTTCTTACCTTGCTATGACGAGGTATTTTTTCTCCCAGGTATTAGGACCCCACTCGTGAGTCCAAGTCTGATGTCTAGTGAATTCTTACTTTACGATGAGAACTGCCACGATGGGGACTATGTGACAGCCTGGCTCAAATTCTGTCTGTTTTATATACATCCATTATATATTTTGCCCACTTGACTGAGTAGCTGTGGTTTACTAGAAAAACCCACAGTGCCAGCAAACTTTGGAGACAGCGTTCTGCATGGTCACATAAACCTCAACCTGTATCTTTTTCCCAGCCATTTTAACATGAGCAAATGTGTTTTACGCCTAGAGCCATTCCTCTCCTGCTTTGTGTTTTATTTCCCCAGTAAATAAGCATGCTGTGTTGGTTGTGCGATAATGACAATTACTGTTAATAACTATTAATTAATCCTGCTTTACATATAGTGGAATCATAAACTTTCAGTTAAGAATTGCCTCAATGGTCTTTTAGTAGATTCCCTTTGTGACATAATTTGAATAGTAAAATGTTAGAGTACACAATTAGAACAAGGTGAATGTATACTATTGCTTCAAATGAAAAGCTTATTTTTACCTGTTTAGTTTTTAATGTGTTTAGCATTTTTCCTTTTTTTACATAAGTAACTCAAGGTAAATTAAGCAAATGAGAGTTTTAGACAAATGAGAGGGTTTTAATTTTTGTCAGGGGATTTATAACAATTTTATTAGTTTCAATGTTAGTAACAGAAAAATATAGTTTTAAAATTAAAGTTTTCTTCAGGAAATTTATCCTCAGTGTTGCTTTCACATGCTACTCATTTGTGAAGAAATTTATAGAAGTCCCTTTTAGACATTATTGTCAACATTTATTGAGCACCTACATGCAGTGCACAGTAAAAATAGAAAGTTAACACCTGATTTTAACACAAGACACCTCTCTTCAAAAGGATTATAGATGAATGCCTGTATTTGCAACTCAACCTTTTGATGCTTGATTTCGATCAGAAAATACACAGGAAAAGGTATACAACAAGGTTACAGTAGGTAATTAGTGCTCTAATAATTCTAGTAGGGCAATATTTTGGTCTGTTTTTCTGTTGCTATAATAAAGTACCTGAGACCTGGTAATTTATAAAGAAAATAATTTATTTGGTTCGTGGATCTAGGGCAGAGAAGTCCAAGGCATAGTGGCAGCTTCTGGCGAGGGCTTTCATACTGTGTCATAACATGGCAGAAAAGTGGAAGTGTGAGTGAACATGTGTGAAAGAAGCAAAACATGGGTGGTGGCTTTGACTTGCAACCCTCTTTTGTGGTAACTAATTCAGCTCTGTGAGAGTGAGAACTTGCTCACTCCCAGGAGAATTAGCTCAGTTTGTAAAGAGTGGCATTAATCCACCTTAATGACCTAATCACATCTTAAAGGCCCTGCTTCCCAACACTGCCACACTAGGGACCAAATTTCTAATTCATGAATTTTATGAGATACACTCAACTCTCAAACCATAGCAGGTAGTAAGTACTTTGCAGAGTTGTTACATAAAATTAAGTGAATCAATGGGAGAGAAAGGTGACAGAATTTCTAGCAAAGAAATGAAGAAGGAGCAAAGGTACACTGAGGTGACCTTAGATGAAAGACATTCAAGGAACATTTGAGGAACAAGAGGTAGAGCTGGCTTAGCTGCAATAGGAAATTGGAAAAATGAGAGAAAGGAGTGAAAAAAGGACAAGAAGTTTTACAAAAAAAAAGAGCTGACCCCAGATTTGCATCTATCATTTCTGCATTCTATCCTACTATGATTATATGATATGGACCTATGGATACAGGATACAGGTCCATATCATCTAATCATAGTAGGATAGAATAGGGAGAAGATGCTTGGAAAACGGACTTGTCTGGATATATACAGTTGATTTTGGAAGAGTTAGGTTAAAGGAGTAGAGGTTTAAGTCAGTTCTTCAATTTGGGAATTAGGATAAGCAAGAGGGAGAATCCTCAGTTTCCAGATTAGGCATCATGAGAGAGCTCCAGTACTAAATGTAGATTAAGGTTCTACTCAGACTAACTGGGACTCAGTAAGAGGGCAAAGAGGAGAGAACCTCTTGGACAGGATAAACCTGAAGGAGAAAAGCAGGACTAACGTAAGAACTGTAATGTATTAACGCAGGTGTCCAGAGATTACACAGAGACCTTGTATCCTGGCAACAAAAGAGATAGAAAAATATATCAGAAATTAGCGGTCAAGACTATATCTTTATACTCTATGTCTGAGTGCCCGATATAATTCTATGCTCTGCCACTTTAGAAACAAATCCTTATGTGACTGTTTTAGTAGGTTGCTTAACACAAGCTCTTTTCATTGGGGCAGTTATCTTCTATTTTTTTCAGGGCATAAGATTATCACTGTAGCACTCTGATTTTAGTTATTGAAAAAATAAGCAACCACATTTTTATCAGATGAAGATGAAATAAAAAAATATATTAAATCCCTCTTAATTGTTTCACAGAACTGGATGCTTGCCATAAATTAGATCCATGGCTGGAAGATTCCAGATAATTGCCACCTCTTATTTTCATCTTCGATGTGATTTCAAGTATCTTGTAATCAATTTTCAAATTGAGTTTTTTAGGTTCACATCAGATCTCTAGAGCCAACACATCAGATCATTTGGTGCTTTGCTGCTTGATTTATTGAAAGAAAATACACAAATATTATTCCTCCAATTTCTACTTGATTTGTTTTTCATAGGTGCTGGCTTAGGAACTTCTTTTAACTAGTTCTATTATGAACCTCCACCCCTCATACATATGACTTTCATGTTCAAATTGGATAAAATGTCAAAATACTGCCTACCTTTATTCTGTTCATCGTGCAAGCATTCAAATCTCGCCCACATTCCTGAGATAAATAATCAACTCACGGGTTAACTCCAATTTATTTACAATTTAATGAAATTTTCAAGCAACAATTGTATTTTTTCATTGCAGCAATGGTATACTTAATTTATATCTTGTTTCTAAGCCTAACAAATGTGTTTTCTAGAGATAAGAGGTCTATTTCCACTATACGTTTGTTCTCTGCATAGCCAAACCTTTTGAAAAGGTTTATAAACATTACATATGATAGGTTTGTTAATCATTTTTCCATTTTAATTGTGGATTTAGGCTCAATTTTGCATGCTGAAATTTCTCTTTGTTTTGTAACTTAAGTAATTTAACATGATCAGATTTGACTACTAATCATTTATTAACCTAATGCCAAATTATTCTTCCTCCTCACAAACACACATGTGTATTAACACCAATTATTGACAGTTAAAAATAAGTTAAATGCAAAGTCTCATTGTCAACAGGAAATTTTAGAAAGCACAATTTTAACTTGATTTCATGTCTTTTTAGAATCTTGCCTCTGAGAATGCCATATTTTTGATTTAAGTCCTTTTATCTATTTATCAGTAAACTTCAGAAACAAAGTTAATAATAATAAAAAAACTTTCTTGACATTCAATAGAGGCTGACAGTGGAGAGGTTGTGCAGATTTAAGTAAAATTTCCCATAAGGTGCTGAAATCCAATAACAATGAATATCTCATGTTTGCTTTTATCACATTTTAGATTTGATATAAAATGATTCTTTTGGAAAATAAAAATATCAGAATTACTAGCTTATAATTTTTCAATGTTTATCTAGTATTTTAATATATGCATGTGTTGTGCAATTGTTTATTTCATTGACCAAGAAGACAAGGCCTAACTACTAATATTTATTACAGTAATGAAAAGAGTTACCACTTACTGAACTCTTTCTATACACTAGGTATTTTGACAAGTGCTTTTATGTATTATCATATAAATCTTCATGAAAACTCTATGAAGGACAAGCACTTATTATTTCTGCTTTTATAGATGAGGGAATTGGGGCTTAGAGGAGTTAAATGGCTCATGACTGGTTGCATGAACCAGTAAGTGCTGGGATTTGAACACATTAATTTGTTTTCATGCTGCTGATAAAGGCATACCTGAGACTGGGCAATTTACAAAAGAAAGAGGCTTATTGGACTTACAGTTCCACATGGCTGGGGAGACCTCATGATCATGGTGGAAGGTGAAAGGCACATCTCACATGGTGGCAGACAAGAGAAGTGAGCTTATGCAGGCAAACTCCCCTTTTTAAAACCATCAGATCTCATGAGATTTATTCACTATCATGCGAACAGCACAGGAAAGACTTGCCCCCATGATTCAAATACCTTCCACCAGGTCACTCCCACAACATGTGGGAATTCAAGATGAGATTTGGGTGGGGAAAGGGCCAAACCATATTATTCCACCTCTGGCCCCTCCCAAATCTTATGTCCTTTCATTTCAAAACCAATCATTCCTTCCCAACAGTCTCCCAAAGTCTTAACTCATTTCAGCATTAGCTCAAAAGTCCACAGTCTGAAGTCTCATCTGAGACAAGGCAAGTCCCTTCTGCCTATGAGCCTGTAAGATCAAAAGCAAGTTGGTTACTAGCTAGAGACAATGGGTGTACAGGCATTGGGCAAATACAGCCATTCCTAATGGGAGAAATTGGCCAGAACAAAGGGGCTACAGACCCCATGCAAGTCCAAAATCCAGCAGGGCAGTAACATCTTAAAGCTCCAAAATGATCTCCTTTGACTCCATGTCTCACATCCAGGTCACACGGAGGCAACAGATGGGCTCCTATGGCCTTTGGCAGCTCCACCCCTTTGGCTTTGCATGGTATAGCCCCCTCCTGGCTGCTTTCATGTGCTGGCATTGAATGTCTTTGGCTTTTCCAGGGGCATGGTGCCAGCTGTCTGTGCAACTACCACTGGAGGACAGTGGCCCTCTTCTCAAAGTTCCACTAGATGGTGCCCCAGTACGAACTCTGTGTGGGGACTCTGATGCCACATTTCCCTTCTGCACTGCCCTAGCAGAGGTTCTCCATGAGGGCCCTGTCCCTACAGGAAACTTCTGCCTGGGCATCTAGGTGTTTCCATACATCCTCTGAAATCTAGGCAGAGGTTCCCAAACCTCAATTCTTGACTACTGTGCATCTGCAGGCTGAAACCACATGGAAGCTGCCCAGGCTTGGAGCTTCCACCCTCTGGAGCAACAGCCTGAGCTGAACCTGGGCCCCTTTTAGTCACAGCTGGAGTGGCTTGAATTCAGGGCACCAAGTTCCTAGACTGTACACGGCATAGGGACGTTGGATCCAGCCTGGGAAATCATTTTTTCCTCTCCTAAATCTCCGGGACTGTGATGGAAGCGGCTGCTGCAAAGGTCTCTGGAGACATTTTCTCCATTGTCTTGGTGATTAACATTAGGCTCCTTGTTACTTATGCAAATTTCTGCAACCAGCTTGAATTTCTGCTCAGAAAATGGGATTTTCTTTTCTATTGCATGGTCAGGCTGCAAATTTTCCAAACTTTTATGCCACATTTCCCTCTTAAAACTGCATGCTTTTACAGCCTCCAAGTCACTTCTTTAATGTTTTGTTGCTTAGAGATTACTTCCACCAGATACCCTAAATCATCCCTCTCAAGTTTCAGGTTCCACAAATCTCTAGAGCAAGGGCAAAATGCCACCAATCTCTTTGCAAAAACATAACAAGAGTCACTTTTGCTCCAGTTCCCAACAAGCTCCTCATCTCTCTCTTAGACCACCTCAGCCTGGATTTCATTGTCCATATCATTATCAGCATTCTGGCTAAAGCCATTTGACATGTCTCTAGAGAGTTCCAAACTTTCCCACATTTTCTCCTGTCTTGTTCTGAGCCCTCCAATTTGTTGCAGCCTTTGCCTGTTACCCAGTTCCATAGTCACTTCCACATTTTCGGGTATCTTTTCATCAGTGCCCCACTCTACTGGTACCAATTTACTCCATTAGTCTGTTTTCATGCTGCTGATGAAGACATGCCCAAGACTGGGTAATTTACAAAAGAAAGAGGTTTATTGGACTTACAGTTCTGAGGTCTCACAATCATGGTGGAAGGTGAAAGGCATGTCTCACATGGTGGCAGACAAGAGAAGAGAGCTTGTACAAGCAAACTCCCCTTTTTAAAACCATCAGATCTTGTGAGACTTACTCACTATTACCAGAACAACATAGGAAAGACTTGCCCCTATGATTCAATTACCTCTCATTGGGTCCCTCCCACAACATGTGGAAATTCAAGATGAGATGTGGGCAGGGACACAGCCAAACCATATCAAACACTAATCCAGATCTATTTTCATAACACTTTTCTTAACTAGTATACCAAGTGCCTCATTTAGAAATTGCCATGTTGATTAATATAAAATTAACTAGGTCAGAGGGTATAATGGAAACTTATGGAAAGTCAACTAATATCATGTTTCCCTTACCTATTGTTTTCCCATATCCTCCAGAAATCAGCTTGTATTTTTTCTTTCTTTTTGTATTGCAGAAAAAATTTCAGACTCTGGTTTTTTATTCAGTTCTATCCTGCACTATATGCTTCAGTATTGTTTTATCCTCACAACAATTCAATAGATGTTATAACTTTTATTTTATACAAAACTGTATGAAGACTCAAACTGGTTAACTGAGTTGACTAAGATCATATAAGTTATCAGAGAACTAGAATTTGAACCTAAGTCTTTGGACTCTATATAATAATGATTTTTCCCATATAATATTATGATGATTAATTTTATGTGTCAACTTGAAACGTGCTTTTTATGATGACACTGATGTTTAAATTGGTAAACTTAAAGTTGATTGCCCTCCATTATGAAGTGGATCTCATCCAATCAGCTGAATGCCTGAACAGAACAACAACAACAACAACCACAACAAAATCAGACTCCCTGTGGAAATTCTCTGGCAAAATATCTTTGGACTTATCTGTAACATTCAGTCTCCCGGGTCTCCAGCTTCCTAACCTATATGGCAATTTGGGACTTGTCAGTCTCCATAATAATGTGAGACAATGTCTTACAATATATCTTATTCTACACACACACACACACACCCACACCATATTGATTTCATTTTTCTGGAGAAGCCTGACCTATATACAGATAGTTTTGGCATATATAATTAATATTGGAAAACTTAAACAACAAGTAGTAAGTAAATCATACACAAAGCACTCACTTTTGGCCCCATCTGGGACCTCCAGTCAGGGGTCTACTTAGCTGTCGTAAATATGATCTTCAGGTTTAAAATAGAATTCAATAATAATAAATATTTAAAAAAATAGTACTTGCGGAGTATTATTTTTCAATTACAAATGCTAATAAAAATTAGCATACGTAAGCAACATCCTTCATGTAAATTCTAAAAGCTATTATACAGGAAAGTGAGGAATTACGGAGTGCCAATTTTTTTTTAAAGTTTGAATAAAGTACTTGGTAACTGAACATAAAAAATTCTGCAACGGTCAGGTCTTCATCTCAGTCCATCAAATCTTACCCATAATGCCTTGTCCATTATTGTCAAAAATTCAAGGAAGTTTCTCAGAGATTATTATTAAACATTGTTTTATATTTATTGGAAGGTTTACCAAAATAATCAATATAAACATGTAAAAGGGTAATGTATATGCTTTCTTAATGGCTAAAAATGGAGTGTTTGTCTCGAGTATTTTTTTCTCTTAGGTCTAGCATAGGCAAAATCAGGACCTTTGTGCATCTGGCTTTTGTTAAGACAGGCTTGTAAGTTATAAAAGAGGCATCACATCTATTGAATTTAGGATTAAAAAGCAAATAAGGTAAAGAAATTAAACCTGAGTACAATGAAGAACTAACATAATTTTAGGATGATTGGTCAGCACAAAACTGGAGGCAGGCTGGGCACAGTGGCTCATGCCTGTAATCCTAGCACTTTGGGAGGCTGAGGCGGGTGAATTGCCCGAGCTCAGGAGTTCGAGACCAGCCCGGGCAACGCAGTGAAACCCCGCCTCTACTAAAATACAAAAGAAATTAGCCAGGCGTAGCGGCATGCACCTGTAGTCCCAGCTACTCGGGAGGCTGAAGCAGGAGAATTGCTTGAACCCAGGAGGTGGAGGTTGCAATGAGCCGAGATGGTGCCACTGCACTCCAGCCTGGGTGACAGAGAAAGACTCCTTCTCTACAAAAAACAAAAACAAAAGCAAATAAATAAATAAATAAATAAATAAAAACTGGAGGCGAATCTATTGAACAGAGCAGATATGGAGTGAGTTTACTAAAAAGAATAGGAGGAGCCAAATAAATGAATTAGCTAATTTTTATTCACAATAAAATCTAGAATATTGACATTAAAAAAGAAAAAACATTAAGATCAGAAAAGAAAGTATTCTTGTGAAAACCATTATGACAAATTTTTAAACGGATGCAAGAGGAAAACTGCTACTCAACTCAACTCACAACACTTTGATACACAAATGTGTAGGTTTTCCACACCAAGTAATTTTAAAATATTCTGTGGACACCAGCTGGGGGATCTACAATTTAATTTCATTCTGACACTAACTACTCAGAGTTAGCACAGATCCCGCAAGCTAAGGACTCAGTCTCAAAAACTGCCCTCAACTTCAGACACCAATCACAAGTATTTGGATCCCCACGTGTTCTGTGAAAGGGCCATACCATGCAAAGGGACCCCAAATGCCAAAGGAACTGATAAACCAAAGAAGAAGGAAGACAAATCCAGTTTGTCGGAACAGTCTTTTACTGGGGAACTTACAGACAACAGTAGTCTTGGGCAGCCACAAGGCAGATAAATCTCTGCACTGTTACTATGCAGACCCATATGGTATACTCCACATACCATAGGGAAACGGTAAATTTGCTCCAGCGAGACAATTAAAGGTCACCCACCAAAAAAGGCAAGAATTCTATGTGCATCATAGCCTATAATATGTGTGATAACATCAAGCATGCTTTGTTCTTACGCTGGGGGCAGTAAATGAAGTAGAAATCTTAAGGTATTCATGAAACTGGAGCTAATCAGAAGTTAACATGGCGGATTAGCATCCAAGATGGAGCAAGATGGAGGCTCTTTTGTCTCTACACTCCACCCCTCTAATCTGGGTCTTACAATCTGAGGCACCCAAGTCTTCTGCAATGGTCCCTATACCTCCTGAAAGGAGAGGTGCTGTAGTCATTTCAATAGCATGAACCAATTGCATCAATTTGGCTTCTACTTGTAAGCAGAGGCAAAGCAACAATGTAAACAATAACAGGCAATGATACTCATGCCAAGTATAAGACACAAAATTAATAATGTCTTTTGCCACCATGTTCCCCAGGACCAAACAAAGAGACCTTTTGTAGGGCAGAGCAGCAACAGAAGCAGAAGACTATGGGAGGAAATATCAGCGGTTAGTAGGCATTTGATGGGGCAATTCTTCTCCAACAAACAAGATGACTGTAGTGTCATCTCAGTTATGACAGAGGCTGTCTGATTATGGGCTAGGGGCACGCACCAAACAATTTACCTGATGGGTGAAGGTGCCAGTGATAATTTTAAGGTAACAGGGGCTGCAAAGAATCATGTTAAATGGCTGATCAGAGTGGCTTTTAAAAGGAGCTATGTTTCAGTGTACTGGTATGTGGAGCGTTTTGATCCAGACTGAAACACGATCATCGGAGACCACTTTAGTTGGCCGGGGATTTCTTTACTCTCTGACAAGAAATACCCTATCCAACCTGGGGGAAATTGACAGTCTAATCTCCATTCAAGTATCCCCTCCCCTGTCTCAAAGTCTTGGGACATCCCAAATAATTGATAATATTTGCTATTGGCCTTTTATCAGTTCAGGTAGAAATGTGTCTGGTCAGTCTTTCTTTACCACTGTGGTTAAGAAGCCCTCCTCTGTGGGGGTCCCATGTTGCTGGTGTTGTGCCAGCCCTATGTTCACCTCAACTGAGTTAGGGTTTCTAATGGCTTGAGGCAAAATCTTTGCCCACCCATGAAAAGTATGCAAACAATGTGATGCCCACTATGCTTACGTACCCAATAAGCTAGTTCAGAGGATTGCCAGGGAGCCAATGTCCTAATTTTTGCTAGGGTATCAGCCTCCATGTTACCAGGGGATGAATCTAGCCAATGTGCTAAAACATGATACAAAATTAGGCTCACAGCATATTCTTGTAGCCTTCCCAAATGATTTTTTTACATGGCAGCTCTCCATAAGGGTTTCTTAAATACATGTTAGTTATCTCGGGCCCTTTGTGCAAGCCATGTTGTAAGATCTTAAATACTGCCATAGTGCCTGTACAGAGAACTATAGGTCACAGCTCTTGGGTACAAACCAGCCATGCAGCTCAGAGTTCTGCCCATTGACTGCATTGCTGCATTCCCATCTCAAACCAGATGGTATCTGTCTACGATTGTACAGCTACTGCCACCCATGCACAAGGGGTGCCTAGGCTCTACCCATCTGAGTAACAAGAGTTTTCAGGAATGGGGGCCATGCCTTTGTGTAGCATTGGAGGCTTCTCCTGTGGGGGCTCCACAACAGGGGCAGCACTGGTCTCCTTTTCTATTGCAGTTCATCCCCCAAGGCACTTGTGGAGAGGGTACTGTGTTATTGCAGGTTTGCTTGCCACTTTTGTAAAGTGGAGTCTTGGGCAATAGCTGAGGCATGCCTGAAAATTCCCTTCTATTCAGCTCTTGATAGGGAGACAGTTTTCACTGTTACTGGCAAAGTAGCAGTTATGGGTTCAACTTTCTGAAAAACTTTCTATAAGTCCTTGTATATTCCCAGGACCTGTTGTTCAATAGAGGAATAGTGGGTTTCAGCACCCTTCCATAGGTGTGGCCAGAATCCTAGGGGAACTGTTTTCCCATGCTAGACTTGTCCGAGTGCCCAACTAATCCCTTCAGGACTTATGGTCATATCTCAAGAGATTGGTAATCCAGAGAGGGCGGAACCCAAGACTTGTGCCTGAGCCACTAATAACAGCCTTCTCAAATGCTTCCTCTTGGTTTTTATTTTTTTTATTTTTATTTTTTTTTGTCACAGCACCAACTAGGTCTCTTATTTACTATTCAGTATAGGGGATGCAAATATTGAGCTAAATGTGAAATAAAAGCTTGCCGATATCCCAAAATACCTAGAAAACTTGGTAACCGTGTAACTGTTTTAAGCATGGAAGAAATTGTATTTTGTCAATGAGTGTGTGTAGGATAAGGCATATCTTACCTAATCGAGTAACCCCTAGGAACTTTATAGTGGGCCCTGGGCCCTGGATCTTTTGCAGGCTGATGGCCCATCATCTAAATTGAAGAAAGGTGCACAAGGCATTAAACTGTTGCCTGTTACCACAGCAATGACAAGTTTTCAGAAGTTAGGGTAATATCATCAATGTAATGCCTGTGAGTCAGTGTGTAAAGGGATGCTACCGGAGCGCTAGCCAAATCTAACACAGCATGGTAAGTTCCTGTATTTTGTATTATTTGCTCTATCACTTGAATTATATTAGACACAGCTGCATGTATCTTTGGAACCTCCCTATTTATTTCCTGTGCCTACTGTCATGATTCGGGTGCCATTTGGCTTTCTTACTGGCCACCCAGGACTCAAAGGGGCTTTGGGCTGGCTGGATAATATTAACTTTGGCCTGCTCCTATATGGTGGCTGTAATTTATTCTGTCCCACCAGGAAGATGGTACTGTTTCATATTAATAATACACCATAGATTAGGAAGAGGTACAGATTTCCATATTGCTTCCCTCTTAAAATAGCCATTAATGCTGGAACCCATAGGCGAAATTCTCCCACAGGTGTTTGTAGCATGCACCGTAACAGGACATCCATACCCAAGATGTTTTCTGGAGTAGGTGAGATGAAGACAGTATAATAAGTGGGGGAGCTTCCACCTGATAACAAGGAGGAGAGGTGTTTGTTTCATTCCGATTGTTTGGCACTGATAACCTGCTGCCTATTTACCATGTCTCTGGGTTGGCATGAATTAAGGTGCATTCTTAAAGCCACTGTATCTATGAAGTGATTTTCTCTGCTTGTTACTTGGATTCCAATAGATTGTGAGCTCCACAGGAGGCCTCTGTTAACCCCCTATTGCTCTGGCATGGAGGCACCCTTGGCACCACCCTAGTCTGTAGGCTGGGTAGCAGTCTACCGCTGGAACTCAGAAATTGAAGTCATTCTACATGGAATTTCTTCTTTTTCTTCTCTCTCCTCTAGTGGGGTTCTGGGAAGAGGTCTAAACTATTAATTGGAAGTAAGGGCATTCCAAAGGCCCACTAGTATGACATTAGATTGCCTGTGTATGTGTATGTTTCGTCTACTCCAGCTAAGATCAAATCATATCACATTTGTTTCCTAGTAATCCTAACTGGGTTTTACCTCCTTTTTTTTCAGTCCAGCAGACTTTCTTTCTCTCATTTTCCCTTTTCACTTAGTAACCTTTTCTCTTCCCTTTCAGTTTCTCCAAAATCAGAAATGGCTTTCCAGAGCTCATACACAAATTTCCCCAAAAGCGGGCCATGCCACTCCCAGATGGGCACTCTCTCATTTGTTCAGCTTTACTCCCTGCTAGGGAAAGCCCATCCCCACTGGTGTCCCATAGCCACACCATCCACGTAACTAAGTTTTCTCTCAGCAGCTGTTTAAAAGTGTTTGCTATGCCCAATAATCCTGCCCAGGGCTGCATGCGTTGGGCTTTTGCTTTGTGGCACATGAGCGTTTTTGCTCTCAAAAGGAGAGGATAATTATCTCCCACCTCTGAGTTAACCTCTGTGTCATCATGTGACTCACTAACTGGTTCCCCAAAATTTCAGATCTTTGCATCTCACTCTGATTTGGCAAGGAAAGCCTGCACTTCTGGCTGGCACAGGTTTCTCCCTCCCAGCCGTACAAAGCGGCAAGCTAAGGTTTCCAATGGTGCCTCCTGCCTTTAAAGCTTATCTGCCAAACCAGGCACTAACACAGATGTGGAAGTTCTCATAGCTCTTTCTAAGTGTAATTCTTTCTCCAGCTTTCCTACACTCCCCTCAGCCACTACCTGTGCTTCTGTGGCCACTTGCACAGCCCCTAACAGTGGCAAACGCACTATTGTGGCTGTTTTGTGATCTTTCTTATCACAGTGGGACATACGGCTATTTACTAACAAGATTTCTAAACTCTCTGGCATTTTCAGGGAATCCCTGTACTCATGCAACAGTCCACAGGCATCTAGCAAACAGGCAACACCACCCTACACAGTAACGATGCCTCACCCCCACCCCTCAGGATATCCCCTACAGATGGTTCCTTCCTCTTACCCAAACTTAGGTTTCCTGACCCCTTCTTGCTGACTTGCCATTTGTTCTGTGAAAGGGCCCTATAAGCAAAGCAACCCCCAAATACCAAAGGAGCTGAGAATCCAAAGAACGAGGCACACATATCCAGTTTTTTGGTATAGGGTGTTGTTTTGGGGATCCTACAGACAGAAGCATGGCTGCAAAGCAGGTTGATCCCTGCACTGTTACTCCCCAGATGCAAGGCTTATATCCCATAAGGAAAGGGGATAGGTACTCCAGCAAGACAATTTAAGGCAACCCTCCAGAACAAGCAAGAATGGTGTGCATGTCATAGTGTATATTGTGTGCAATGACACCAATTTTCTTTGTTTTTACAAATAAAATACAAGCAAGGAGGCGTTTATAGGACTGGGGCTATGCAGATGTCAACATGCTGGATTGGCATCCAAGATGGAGTCACTTTTGTCTCTGTGCCAGCTTACCCACACTTACTTCTGACTGGGCACAAATTTGGGGTTCCCATGAACTACTTTTTACTAATAATATTTTATTATTTGTTGTAACAAGTCACAGAACTGAGAGAAACATTTTACTTATGTTACCAGTTTATTACAAAGGATATTATGAAGTGTAAAAATGAACAGCAAGAAGAATTGGTACACAGAGAAAAGTCTGAATGTGTCTTGAGTGCAGGAACTTCTGTACAGTGGAGTTGGGGAGTGCCATCCTCTTGATATGTCAATGTGTTCACCAACCTGGAGCTCTCCCAAACCCATCATTTCGGGAGTTTTTATGGAGATTTCATTATATAGGCATGACTGATTAAATCATTGGCCATCGGTGATCAGCTCAGTCTCCAGCGCCTCTGCCTTCTTTGGAGATAGGTGTGTGTGGCTGAAAGTGTCAGCATTGCTTTGGTCCTTCTTTCAAGCAGCCTCCATCCTGAAGCCGTTTAGAGACCCCAGCAAAGAGTCATTCATTAGAATCCAGAAGACACTCTTACATTGTCAAAGATGCCAAGGGGCTTAGAAGATCTTTTGTCAGGAACCAAGGACAAAGATCAAATACTGTTTTAAAAAAATGCTGTTATCACCCCTTTCACTCAGTAAATTACCAGAGTTTTAGGAGCTCTGTGTCAGGAACCAGAGGCAGATACCAAATATACATCTCATTATGTCATAAGAAATTATAATCATTTGATTGAATTTTGCAGAAAAAAAGTTTCGATATGGAGACTAAGATTTGAGGGAGTTTGGTGAAGGATTGAGAAGTACCAACATGGTGGTACTTAGAATTAAACAACAAAAACGAATCATCAAACAAATACTAAAAAAAAAGTTTCCAGATCTGAAGAAAGATTTGAGACATCAGATCAAAAGAGGTCACAGAGTACCAAGCAAATTTAGTGAAAATAGACACCCCATATATCCAGCAGAAAAGACATGTTGCCTTCAAAGGATATAATTAGGTTGGTGTTAGATTTTTTCCTCCTGATCACTAAGGGTCAGAAATCAATATGGCAACATCAGCAGCTTTAAAAAGAAAAAAAGATTAAGGTCTAAGAACTGTATCCCCAGAGAAGCCATCATTTAGTTGCAAGGGCAGGAGAAAGGTATTTGCTGACATTCAAGGACATGAAAATTATACCTCCTAAGAGTTCACACTAAAACAATTTGAAGATATATCTAGCTAATTAGAACCGCCAACAAAATAAATTTCTCAAGAAGGGAAGTTTATGATGCAGATTTGAAAAAATGTGATGAGCACCAAAACCAGAAAAAAGGACATAGAAACAATTACTGTTAATACAATAAAACTTACTGAGAAGTTTGTAAATAGATTTCTACAAGAAGAAATTTGAAGGGAAATATTATAATTAATTCATAATAAGATTATTTTAATAAAAATAGAGTAAAACGTGAATTTTCAATTAATAGTAGAAGTCAATAATTTATTAATTACTTGATAATAGTTTTTTAAATAATGAAGCATGTGTTTCCAGGACTAAATGCACATTAGAATCATCTGGGCAAGTTATTAAATATATGTAGCCCTAAGATTCATCTCAAAGTATTGGAAAAAGAATTTGGATTTGGGGTCTAGGAATCAAAACTCTTAGAGAGCTCTGCAGTTTTTTTGTCTTTTGTTTGTTTGTTTTTAAATGCAGCAGTCAGGTAAACATTTATATACAGCTTAGCACAGCTCCCAATTGTTCTGGAAAATAGCCAATCAAATCTCTCAAAGAAATGAAGATCATCCCTGTACTATGTAACTGATAATTTTTTTCCTTATCTTTTCCTTGGCAATTGATAGGGGTGTGGGAAAATAAAATTGTGACTGTTGTGTATGACTTAAAAAGTTCCCAGAAGATAACAAGTCACAATAGGGGCAAGAACATATAGTGTCTTCAAAGATTCCAAAACAAATGATGTCATTCTTTTCTGTTCCCTATTTAAAATTTGAGTGAATATTGACTGTCCTTTAAGGTCTCATATGAGTTCAACAAACAAAAATGTACAAATGGGCATCACTATTGATCTCACATGAAATGAGGTAAGAAATTTGTGATTTGTGGTCACAATAGTTAATGTTTCCTATCCCAGAACACCTTCCTCCTTTGAGGCTGCAACCTGGTTGTGATTTGAGAGATTGGTGGTAGGTTATGGGTAGACAATTCTGGTTTTGCCCAAGATCAAATAAACACTGGTATTTACATGAATGCTGCTCAGGGAATAAAGATTAGCAGTACATTAGCTGACTGGACAAAGCTACTACAACAAATAGAGCCAAGAATCTGTGAGGATGCAAAACTCTAGAATCTTACCTAGGTAAATTACATGTGTCATGGAGGTTTCTTGTATAGATTATTTCACCACCCAGGTATTAAGCCTAGTACCTGTTGGCTATTTTTCCTGATCCTCTTCCTCCTACCACCCTTCACCCTCCAATAGGCCCTAGTGTGTGTTGTTCCCCTCTATGTGTCCATGTGTTCTCATCATTTAGCTCCCACTTATAAGTGAGAACACACATGACTTGGTTTCCTGTTCTTGCGTTAGTTTGCTAACGATATTGGCCTCCAGCTCCATCCATGTTCCTGCAAAGGACATGATCTTGTTTATTTTTATGGATACATAGTATTCCATGGTGTATATGTTCCACATTTTTAAGCCAGTCTGTTGTTGATGGACATTTCAGTTGATTCCATATCTTCGCTATTCTGAATAGTGCTGCAATGAACATACGTGTGTCTATGTCTTTATAAAAGAACGATTTATGTTTCCTTGGCTATATACCCAGTAATGGGATTGCTGGGTCAAATGATCTTTAGTCTTTAAGGATCACCTCACTATCATTCACAATGGTTGAACTAATTTACACTTCCACCAATAGCGTATAAGCACTCCTTTTTCTCCACGACCTTGCCAGCATCTGTTATTTTTTGACATTTTAGTAATAGCCATTCTGACAGGTGTGGAATTGTATCTCATTGTGGTTTTGATTTGCATTTATCTAATGATCAGTGATGTTGAGCTTTTTCTCATATGCTTGTTGACCACATGTATGTCTTCTTCTGAGATGTGTCTGTTCATGTCCTCTGCCCGCTTTTTAATGGGGTTTTTTTTTCTTGTAAATTTATTTTAAGTTCCTTATAGATGCTGAATATTAGACCTTTGTCAGATGCATAGATTGCAAAAATTGTCTCCCATTCTGTAGGTTGTCTGTTTACTCTGTAGATAGTTTCTTTTCTCATGAAGAAGCTCTTGAATTTAATTAGATCTCATTTGTCAATATTTGCTTTTGTTCAATTGATTTTGGCATCTTCATCATAAAATCTTTGTCAATGCCTATGTCCTGAATGGTATTGCCTAGGTTGTATTCCAGGTTTTTATAGTTTTCGGTTTTACATTTAAGTCTTTAATCCACCTTGAGTGAAATTTTGTATATGGAATAAGGAAGGTGTCCAGTTTTAATCTTTTGCATATGGATAGCCAGTTATCCCAGCACCATTTTTAAATAGGTAATCCTTTTCCTATTGCTTGTTTTTGTCAAGTTTGTCAAAGATCCGATAGTTTTAGGTGTGCAGTCTTATTCCTCCGTTCTCTATTCAGTTCCATTGCTCTATGTGTCTGTTCTTGAACCAGGACCATGCTGTTTTGGTTACTGTAGCCCTTTAGTATAGTTTGAAGTCAGGTAGCATGATGCCTCCAGCTTTGTTCTTTTTGTTCAGAATTTGTTTTGGCTATTCAGGCTCTTTTTTTGCTCCCTATGAAGTTTAAGATAGCTTTTCCTAATTCTGTGGAGAATGTCAATGGTAGTTTAATGGGAATAACATTGAAACGCTAAATTGCTATGGACAGTATGGCCATTTACATGATATTGATTCTTCCTATCCATAAGCATGAAATATTTTTCCATTTGTTTGTGTAGTGGATTTCTTTGAGTAGTGGTTTGTAGTTCTCATTGTACAGATCTTTCACTTACCTTGTTAATTATATCCATAGGTATTTTTTCTTTTTGTGACAATTATGAATGGGAGTTCGTTTGTGATTTGGCTCTTGACTTGACGGTTGTTGGTGTATAGGAATGCTAGTAATTTTTGCATATTGATTTTATATCCCAAAACTTTGCTGAAGGTGCTTATCAGCTTAAGAAGCTTTTGAGCTGAGACTATGGGGTTTTCTAGATATAGGAAATGTCATCTGTGAACAGGGTAGTTTGACTTCCTCTCTTTCTATTTGAATGCCCTTTATTTTTTTTCTCTTGCCTGATTACTCTGGCCAGAACTTCCAATACTAGGTTGAATGGGAGTGATGAGAGAGGGCATCCTGATCTTGTGCCAGTTATCATGGGAAATGCTTTCAGCTTTTGCCTGTTCAGTGTAATGTTGGCTGCGGGTTTGTCGTATGTGGCTCTTATTATTTTGAGGTATGTTCCTTCAATACCTAGTTTATTGAGAGTTTTTAACTGAAGGGATGTTGAATTTATTGAAAGTCTTTTCTGCATCTATTGAGATAATCAGGTGGTTTTTGTCATCAGTTCTATTTATGTGATGAATCACATTTATTGATTTGTGTATGTTGAACCAACCTTGCATCCCGGGGATGAAACTTACTTGATTGTGGTGGATAAACTTTTTGATGTGCTGATTGATTAGGTTTTTCAGTATTTTGTTGAGGATTTTTGCATTGATGTTCATCAAGGGTATTGGTCTGAAGTTTTCTTTTTGTCTTACATCTCTGCCAGGTTTTGGTATCAGGATGATGCTGGCCTCATAGAATGACTTAGGGAGGAGTCTCTCCTCCTAAAATTTTTGCAATAGTTTCAGTAGGAATGGTACCAGCTCTTTGTACATCTTGTAGAATTCAGCTGTGAATCTGTCTGGTCGTAGGCTTTTTTTTTTTTTTTTTTTTTTTGGTTGGTAAGCTTTTTTTTACTGCCTTAATTTCAGAACCAGTTATTGGTGTGTTCAGGGATTCAATTTCTTCCTGGTTCAGTCTTGGGAGGGTCTATGTGTCTAGAAATTTAACCAATTATTCTAGATTTTCTAGTTTGTATGCACACAGTTGTGTATAATATTCTTTGATAATTGTTTGTATTTCTGTGGGGTCAGTGGTAACATCCCACTTGTCATTTCTGATGGTGTTTTATTTGAATCTCCTTTCCTCTTTATTAGTTTAGCTGCGGTCTCTCTATTTTATTATTTTTTTTTTCAAAATCTAACTTCTGGGTTTTAGATTGTTTTTCATGTCTGTATCTCCTTCAGTTCTGTTCTGATTTTGGTCATTTCTTGTATTCTGCTAGCCGTGCAATTTGTTTGCTCTTGATTCTCTAGTCCATGTTAGGTTGTTAATTTGAGATCTTTCTAGTTTTCTGATGTGGGCATTTAGTGCTATAAACTTCCCTCTTAACATTGCCTTAGCTGTGTCCCAGAGATTCTGGTATGTTGTATCTTTTATCTCATTAGTTTCAAAGAACTTCTTGATTTCTGCCTTAAATTCATTATTTACCCAAAAGTTATTCAGGAGCAGGTTACTCAATTTCTATGTAATTGTAGTTTTGATTGAATTTCTTAGTAGTCTTGATTTCAAATTTGATTGCACTGTGGTTCAAGAGACTACTTTGTTTTTAGTTTTTCTGCATTTGCTGAGGAGTGTTTTATTTCCGATTATGTGATCAATTTTAGAGTAAGTGCCATGTGGTGAGGAGAAGAATGTATATTCTGTTGATTTTTGGTGGAGACATAACTCTAGAATCTTATTTTTCCCACAAACAGCAATCTAATGAGGGTGTATTTCTCATTGGTTGCCACCCTTTCACCTGGTGACCCAGACACTAGAACACTTTTTGTCTTATCACTCTGCCATCCTTGAAAGCCCCTCATTGTTGCCATCCAGCTGGCAGAATGGCGAACAAATCAGTACTAAAAGTGAGACAACAATTAGAAGTAAGGAAGGCTCTAAAACATGATTTTTGGCTGGATAGCCAACAGTAGATAGCTGTTTCTACCATGAGATATGAAAGACCTAGCCTGGTCTTTTTTGACATCTTTAAATCTTCATTTTATTACACTGAGAAAAGTCCAAATTGACACTAGCTCTATGAAGAATGCCACCTCAATAAGTATAGACTAAAAACTTATGAAATTAATTAGAAAAATAAAATAAAAGAATGAATCCTTTAATTGAAAAAAAATAGACAAAGGACCCAAATTCACAAAAAAAGACAATAAATATTTTTTAAAATAGTTTCAGTAAAACCACAATATGCAATTCGCTATTTCTCCCCTTCTCCCCAAACTGGCAAAGCATTTAACTCAGTAATATTCTTTGTCAATAAAATTTTGCCATCCCTTCCACCTTTTGCTATTGGACTTTGAAGAAAGTAAACTTTCTCTTTTTTGCTTTATGAAAAATAACTTGGAAATATGTATGTTTAGCCTTGAAACAATGTGTACTCTTTGACTCAGTAAATTCACTTGCAGCCACATACCCTAGGGAAATCAACAGAGATAGGAATCATGATTTATGAATAAGGACATTCATTTCAGCATTATTTATAATAATGAAAAATTGGTGGAAAACTTTAGCTATAGTGGAATAACTAAATAAATTACAGTATAGCCATATGGTGAGCTGTCACTCAGTGACTCCATAATATATTTCAAAAAAGTTATACACACAAAAAAGTCGCCACAATACAAAGTTAATTTTAAGCAGGTAAGCCACAAAACTATATATATATATATATATATATATATATATATATATATATATATATATATAAATAGTTAAGTATCATTTTGGTGAATAGAACAATGAAAACAAAAAAATGCAAATTAAAATATATAGAAAAAAGTCTAAAAATATGTTACAATATTAATAGCAATTACAATTGTAATTGTACTTAATTACAAGTTAATTATTTACAATTATTTTGTAGATTTTAATATAATAAGTGACAAATCTTTTCTCTTTTGTAGTTTCCCAGAATTTCTACAGCTAATATGCATTATTTTACCATTTTAAATATTCTGTGAAAGAATAAAATATAACATTTTATAGAGTGATAAATTTGAAATAGACTTTAGATGTTATATATTCAAAACTTTTATTGAATGTAATAATGCCCATCATACTAAATTAAATGGTTACTGACTAATGTTAATCATCATAAGTTGCTTCTTTTAAGTTAGATAATCACTTCTGTATGTAAGCCAGCAGTCAGGAAACCAGTAGCCAGAACCAGGGCACTAGCAGTTCACTTTTTAAAAATTTATTTTAAGCCTATTCTTTTTCATTAGTTAAGTCCTTTCAAATGATTATATTTTTTTCTCACCAAAGAAATATTCGAACACAAATTGAATATAATTAATAATTTACAATGAATATTTTCATTAGCAGATTGGATGTTTATAGACAGGAATTTAAGATATGTTTTCTTCTCTCTCTCCTTCTCTCTTTTTACTAAATGAAAACTGTCGAAAACTGCAGTGCTTATATAATAGGAACACCTATTTCCCAGTTCTGGAGATGTTGACTTTTTTAAAAAGCCATTTTCTATATAGAATTTCAGAAGATGCTTTTCGATAACTCTATTCTATTTGTTTTGAAAAGGTGCCTCTAAAGTAATCTATTATAAAGTATGTAGTTTTCCAAAAGCCATAGCTAGTTGCCTAGCAACGCACTTGGTTATGTCATATAATGAAAGCAATATGATAAAATGCTGTTTTTCAGGTATTAATTTTTAAACACATTTCTAACCTGAAAGACTATATTTTATGGATGGAAATTTTTGAGAAATGGGTCTTGTAAAAACAAAATAAAAGAGAGTGAATACCACACTAATTGACAGGCTTTTTCTTAATGAAACAATATTAAAATTTGAACGCAACTGTAAGGATTTGAGCACTTCTTGCCAGGCCCCCAGGCACTACCTTGTGCTCCCTGAAGCACTCGCTACATTAAGAGCCACAGTAAGAGGATAAAATTGCACATCTGTGAAGGGGACTTAATGGCGTTATGACATTCACAAAACACACAGGGTGTCTTAAATGTATCAGAAAACATCTAACTTTGTAAAAGTTCCTTATTGTTTTAAATATCAAAACCGTTAGAGCAGGAACATTTTAAAAGCTAAATTTAAATCCTAGAATAAAAATCAGAAGAATCAACTCTTGGATTTTTTTTGTTTGTTTTGTGTTTTTAAAAGTTCATTGCTATTTTTTCTTTCCATCTCTAAGTGTTAGTTGAAAAATTCCACACCTCCTAATTTTTTGTCTTTACTATTTCCCACAAGCCTGGACTTCCTTCTTCCACTGTCTTTGCGTGTGCTTGTGTGTGTGTGTGTGTGTGTAGTTGTGTATGGTGGTGGTCATGAGGCATGGTGGGAAAGTTCATAAAATATGGGAGAATCTCTTAAATAAAATACATTTAGGCCAGGAGCGGTGGCTCATGCTTGCAACCGCAGCACTTTGGGAGGCTAAGGCAGGTGGATCACCTGAGGTCAGAAGTTCGAGACCAGCCTGGCCAACATAGTGAAATGCTGTCTCTACAAAAAATACAAAAAATTAGCCAGGTGTGGTGGTGGGCGCCTGTAATCCCAGCTACTTGGGAGGCTGAGGCACAAAAATCACTTGAACCCAGGAGGCAGAGGTTGCAATGAGCCAAGATCGGGCCACTGCACTCCAGCCTGAGCAACAGAGCAAGACTCCTTCTCTAAAAAACAAAAACACAAAAACAAAAACAAAAACATTGAATCAGTAGTTGAAAATATGGTTCTTCCAGACATGTTTGTTTTTGAGGGCTTAGAATTTAAACTTAGGCTACTGGTTTGAACCTGTCCTTTTATCTGATTTCTATTCTGTTGACACTTAACAGTTATTGGCAAGCTGCTGTCCATTATACTTTCATGTTCCAAGATGTTGTTATTATCAGCAAGGGGTGGAAATGACAGGCAAGGCAAATTCCTGGCCATCAGTCATTTTAATGCTTTATTCACTGGCAATCTAGCCTTTAGTTTGATGTTACTGTTGCTACCAGGAGAGCCAATTTTTATTAAAGGCCCTACCCTCTCTTTCCGTCTTACAACGAGTTGGTCATAAAAGTCCTGGGGCACAGATAATGCTATGCATTCAGCAAAGAATTTCATCACCAGAGGACTTCATGTTTTAACCCCTTAATCTAGGTGGGCCACAGAAGTGATGCTTTCCACTGGCATGAGGGTGAAAGTGGGGTGTACCATTTGCAATTTGACACAGTAAAAATCCTTGTCTTATGCATCAACATTGTAGATTGAATATTGAGGATGGTGGAATCCAAGATACAGGTGGCCTGGATCCCTGAGGCTAAGTGACCACTGAGTTGCAAGTCACCAGGAAAATTGCCCAGCCAGAAACATCCATGTTTTGTTTTGCATGAAAAATAACTTTTATTGTGTCAAGTCATTTAGATTTGGAGAACATTTTTTGTGATAGCCATAGGAGTTACAGATGCTGGCTAATATAGGCCCATTCACTTTGTGTTTACATAACTAGATTAAGTCTGATGTTTAGACCTGCATACTATTATCTGCAGCAGCATAAGTCCTGTATATTCCCAAATATCTATTCTATGGGTTTACCTCTCACTCTTCCATAGCATCTCATCTATAAATCTTTCCAAAATTATCCATTTGTTATAAAAATTGCTTATTTCTTCCCCAAAGAAAAGTAGGCTATTGATATTCATTTTCACATTTGTATGGAATTTTTCTAAGAATTCAGCATTAAGGTAATATATACAGACTCTCAGCTAGATGTGAGGGCATGGCAAGGAAATCACTGATCATATTAGGAGGCAATATTTAAGGAGATTTGGGAGCATAAGAAGCCAGGTATCATTGTTGTATCTTCCATACTCCTCTACGTGACAAAATAGTGCATTTTGGAAATGTTATTTGTACCCCTTGCTGTCGTTACTAGTTTTCTTTCCCTTTTATTACCTTCCCCAATCCACTCTCCTTGACCATTTTGGATAGTGCCTATTTTGGCAAGGAAGAAATGCATAGATTTTTAAAAAAAAGAACGAGAATATAAACAGTAGGGAGAAACAGAAAGGACTCCAGTCAAAGACATTATCTTTTGGGGTAAACATGATAAAAGTGATGACTTAGAGCAAGACTTTTTGTCTCTGAGATTTGTAAAGGTTTCTAGTCTGGGAGTCAGGAAAGATCTAAAGGAAACAAGAATTTTGTAAGTCCCATAGGATCTTTGATATAAGATCAGAGGAGAGCTGGGTCCCCAAGAATATGGCTTCACAATATATGTACAAAGAACCAGCTTTAGATAGTCCTAAGAAATTCTGAGAAAAGTACAAATGCAGCATAACAGTGATCATGCACACAATAATGAAATGCATGACCTAGAACACGGTGTTTTTAGGAAGACAGCTGCATAGGATGTTCTGCACATGGCAAATAAACTCCATTTGTTTAAGAACAGCAGAGAAGTGGGAGTAGGAAAGGTTTCTCTACAACATATTAGAATTTTCACTAAAACTGCAAAATGCTAGCTGTTTACCAGATCGATTGAAGAGCTGCAAGAGCTAAAAAGCTGAAAATTGTAGAACACTAAGAATTGGCCACACAGGAAGATTTAACTCTTTGTTGATGCCTGACAGGTTACATTGAGTAAATGTAATGAATTCAATTGATAATTCTATTTCAACTCCACCACATAGCTTGTTATTATACAAAGACTCAGGATTTTGAAATCAGTTTCAATAACAAGGATGTAGAACACAAAAAGAAATAAGATTATTTTCTGCAGAACAGTGAAGTGGAGCTTTATATTCCAAGTTAATTCAGAAATGAAAATTAAATTATACTTACCATCCACTTGAGTTTCTTACATAGAATTATAATGGCTGTACTAAAATATGCTTACATAGATCCACTTTCTCAAACCTTACTTCTTGGCTTATGTTAATGCTTCAGGGATGCTTAAGGTTTGTTCTGACCTCTCTGTTTTCAGTAGAGTAGTTTGTTAGGCATTTTGAGTCTATCCATCATTTACCTACATCCTCCCAGATGAGTTATAATGCATTAAGTGTTTACTCTGAACCTTCATACTAACTGTGGTCTCATAACTCATCCTGTCTCACTAATTGATGTCAAAAGTAGTTCTTTGGTGACTGTGAAGCTCCATGAAGACAATTATGTTATGTGAAGCTTGTGGGAGCTCAAGAGTTTCACAAATCTGGGGGAGATATATTTATAGCAAAATAATCAAGGGAGTTGTGTCAGAGTTTTTCCCCACCTCCAAAATCTGATATAATATTTAAATGTAGCTAAAGAAAGACAGCAGTTTGAATAAATTTTGACAAAAATTCCCTTGACAAAGTCAATACTCCTCACTTACGGTTGTTGATACTGTTCCTGATGCTTTCATAATGTGTTTGGGAGGATTGATAATTCACTCAATGGATATTTATTTTGTATATCCTCTGTGAAAGATGCTGTTCTTGGGGCTAGAAATATAAAAATGAAGACAGTATACAAAGTCCTGCTGTCATGAAGCTTATAATGTAGTGTTGAGAGAACAAAAATGAAAGAAGTAAAAGGTGGGAAGCAATAATGTTTATAAAAAGAAAGGAAGAATGAAGAGAAAGCAAGTGGTATATGGTTTTCTTTATAGGATGGTCAAGAAAAACATATTTGAGGAGCTGGCCCTTTCTTGATATTTATAGGAAATTGGAGCCCAAGTCACATAAATACTGGAAAAGGCATTATGGGAGAAGAAAAAAAAATAGTAAGTGTAAAACCCAGACATGGTAGTGTGCCCAAGCCTGCTGGAGGAATGGCAATGACACCAGAGAAACTAGAGCTAAATTGTGGTGGGGGAAAGAGGTAATTAAATCACAGTGGCTATGGAATCTAGATCATATAAAGCTTTTAAGGAATTAAGCTTTTACTATGAGTTTGGTGGGAAGCTGCTGGAGTGTTGTAAGCAAGGGAAGACCATAATCTGATTTATGTCTTGACAATATTACTCATGGCCTAAAGAAGACAAAGGCAGAATTGGGGAGAACAGTTAGGAAGCTACTTCAACAAACCAGGAAATAGATGATGCTGCCTTGGGCTGAAACAGGAGCAGTGAAAATGGTGGAAAATATTCTGTTTCTGCATTTATTTTAAGGTAAAGCTAACAAGATTTGGTGGTGTAATGAAGAAAGTGGGTGAGACCAAAAGGATTTTGCCTAGACAACAAGGTACATGAAGTTGTCATTTCCTGGAATGGGGAAGACTGAAGGAGGAGCAGGTTGTAGCAAAGGTTGAATTATATTTTTTATATGCTAAATTTGAGATTTATAGTCTTGAATATTACGTATTAAAGAGAAAATGTTGAACAGGCAATGAGTTAGAAGTTCATTAGACAGTTCTTAGTTGCAGATGCAAATTTGGGCATTTCTAAGCATCAAATTGGTAATTAAAGTCATGGAACAAGATAATATCACCTAAGAATCTTAAGTAGTATAGATAGTGTAGATAGAGAAGATATCTAAAGACACATTCCTGGGACACTCTAATATTTAGACATAGGAGTAATAAAGATACAGAACAGAAAAGAAAGGAGCAGAAGACAGTGATATAAAGAAAAACTAATAAAAGAGTATGGTATCCAAGAAACCAAATGACAAAAAAAGCATTTTAAGAATATTGCAGTGATGAAATATAGATGATAGATTAAGGCAGAAGTGGATTAAAAATTGACAAATAGATTTAGCCAACGTGAAAATCATTGATAACCTTTATAACAACAACTTTAGGAGTTGGAGATAAGATGTTAATTGGTGCAGATTCAAGAAAGAAGGAGAAGAATGGAACCAGAAGTGTTTCATTTTAAAATAGAACAGAAGATCGAAAAGGTGTGTGAAGGAAAATTAAAGATAAAAGAGGTAAATTTTTAAGATATAAAATAATTTGTATGTATTTTATAAATATATATGAATATATATTATAACAAGTTGTAATACATATTTAATATAATTAATAATACCTATAATATGTATGCACAAGATTGATCGGATTGAAGGTTGAAAATAAAATCCGTGATCCGTGAGTGACCTTGAAGAGAATTGGTGTCTGGATGGATTGGTGAGTTAGCTTAGGTAAGATAATAAGAGTTCTACCAAGGAGGGAAGGCATGAAAAACCTGCGCGCAGATACAATGAGGTCGACAGATTTGATGGGGGTAGGTTGTAATAGCTTTCTATTGGCATCTTTATTTTCTCAGTAAAATAAACCAAGATTATCAGGTGAAATCGTGGTGGGAGGAATGTTGAAAGTTGAGAATAGCACAGATATGAAGCAGTCAGCTAATAAGAGAGGACGTACCTCCTGGAGATATGCAGTAACATTTTGGGCTAGCACTGAGACTGAGATTTCACCATGTAAAGAGAGACCAGGTAACACAAGGTAGCATGGTATTCCCTTTTTAAAAAAAAAAAAAAATTTTCTGGAGACATGCTCAGTTGTTTAGTTCCCAGAGCAGAAAGATGGATTGAACTAGACACATCAGTATGACTGAGGGAGAGGGGGGAAGGGTGTGGAGGCATATATTGGCTAAGATAGTCTAAGCTGCTCTAAGTAGACTCTTAATATAATGGTTCAACCAAAATAAAATATTTTGTTTCTCATACACATATCAGGTTGGTAAGTGTGTCTTTCCCATTAGATGATTCAGTGGTCTTGACTTATTTATTTGTTTATTTATTAATGCTTCTAATTAGGTCAAGGGGAAGAAAATAAAAGAAAAACCAATTAAAAAATCATTTCAGCAGTAGGACACATCACATTCTCTCACATTCTATTGGGGAGAGCTAATCATATGACCACACTTACTACCAGTATACCTAGGGAAGGTAATTCCTGGGTGGATACTTGCTTTTCAGTTACATGTTTGTTACTCTAGAAGGGTATAATATATTTTCAAAGACTTCTACTTATCTATCTCTGCCATACTGATTATAAGGATGGGTATGGAACTGAACAAGATATAGGGAAAAGTGGGACTCTAAGGGGTTACTGAGCACAGTTAAATGGATTGGAAAACTGGATGGTAATGAAAAAAATGTTGGAATTGGGCTCCTAGAGGTACTGGCCCCCAAAATATGATGTGTTAGTCAGCAAGTAGGATACTTTCAAAGATGAAGTAATAGTCAAAGCCAGTTAACCAGCCGACTTCTGTGTTACTCTGTTCTCACATTGCTATAAAGAAGTACCTGAGACTGGATAATTTATACAGAAAAGAGGTTTAATTGGCTCATGGTTCTGCAGGATATACAGGAAGCATGATGCTGGCATCTGCTTGGGTTTTTGGGAAGCCTCAGGAAACTTACAATCATGGCAGGAGGTGAAGGGGCAGCAGGGGTGTCACATGGCCACAGAAGGAGCAAGAGAGAGAGCGGGGAGGTGCAACACACTTTAAAACAACCAGATCTCATGGGAACTCACTTGCTACCATGAGGACAGTACTGAGAGGGAAGGTGTAAACTATTTAGGAGAAATCCACTCCCACCATGAAATTATCTCCCACCAGTCCCCACCTGCAACACTGGGAATTACATTTTATTATGAAATTTGGGTGGGGACACAGATCCAAACTATATGAACTTCCAATCTGTATGTCTCATAAAGCTAGTGTTGAGTAATCCTAGGGGAACACAGCATCAGAGCAGATAACCAATTCTGGTGCTAACTCTTGAACTGATAATATGAGTTCTGGGAACAAATTTCGTATCTTCTCTGAATTGTAATTTTCTCTTATAAAATGAAAATATTAAAAGTGATCCCACTTGGTTGTTGGAAATTAAGTGAGAGTGTATATATGCCATAAACTATAAAATTGTTACTGTTTATTTTTTCATGTTTCTAGTGTCATTTCAGGACACAGATAGCTCCTATGGTTTAAAAGGCTTGTAAGCTCTAGAGTGGAATAAGGGTTGCTTCTGAATTTTTATGTATCTTCCCTGACTTATGGAAGAATGTGCAATGTCTTTTCCAAAAGCTGAGTCAGAATATTACCATAGTAAATGGAGAATACAGGACGGGGTAAGGTAGGATTATATTTCTCCAGTGCAAAACTCTGTCCACTTTCTTAGAAAGAGCAATTCATTTATGAGGTTTGGATTTTCTCCTTAGGTATAATATGCCAATATTAAGTTCAAATGAGGTTAAAATACTTTTTTTAATAAATCGTATTTTCTCCATTTGTCATAAAATAAAACTAGTAAGCTGTTATAAAGTAGAATTGACATTTTCCAACTTCATGATACATAGGAAAATATATGCACCTAAATTTGAGCCATGGTAAGAAGTAAAAGAACCAAGTATGTACTTGTGTCCTCTCCACTTAAAGAAAAATAAATAAAGGTATTTGAAATTCCTCCTTCTCTTTCTTCTCCATTGCATGAGGAATTCTGTGTATTCTGTACATCTTTGACAATAAAAACAAACTAATCAACTAACAAACCTAGAGAAGATTGAAGATTGAGAGACTATCAGAATTTCCATTGTAAAAGAGGAGAGAATTTAGAGCAGAATATAATAAAATTTGCAGAGGAGAAATAACGGGAGAAAGAGAGTTAAGAGGCTATCAGAATTCCACTGGATTTTGATAAGAGATTTTAAGGGATTTCTAGAAGGGGGAGGAGATACATATTGAGGATATATAAGCATTTGTGGCTTGAATATGAAGGTAGTGCTATGATGATAGAAAGTAAAAGTGGTGGCAGAGGTGGAGATTGTAAATGGTGTGTACATGTGATACCTTAGAGAGAATTGGCTTAGAGGTCCATGATTTGGGGTCTGATTTGATGAGGGGAAAAGGGCACATGCTCTTCCTTCTGTCTGAAATACCCTCACTATTTAACCCTTTCTCCCTCTTCGCCCCTTTTTTTTCACTCTTTTATGTATTTCCCAATCTTCAGATCTAAATTTAGTCATCACTTCCTCAGGTCAGCCTTCTCAGGTGCCATGGTCTTAAATGTTATCACAGAATCCCATTGATGGCCTCTTCCAGACTAGCTATTATCCTTATTATTTTATTAAAATATATCTCTTTCGCTAGACTGTGAGCTACCTGAGAACAGGGACTCTCTTTTCATTTTGCTCAGTGTATTACGCAGTACGTGTATACAGTGTATAGTCATAAAAATGTGTTCAAGAAATTAATGATAAAAGATTTTCAAAGACATCTTTGTGTCTTTGGTAAGATATGGGTGTTGTTTGCTAGGATAGAGCAGGAAAAGACCAGGAGGTGAGAGAAAGACTTTAAATTCACTTTTGCTCGTGATGAGTTTGAGATGCCTATATGGCCCATGCAAGTGGCAATGTTGAGTCAGTTCTCAGGTGTTGTGAGGGTGTGTTTTAAATGCCAAAATAGATACTGTATAAAATCTACTCAGTTGGAGCAAAATCTAGGAAAATAAAGACTAAAAAAGAGTGAGCAGACAGAAAGGTAGGAGGAAAGTTAGAAAAGAACATTTTCACAGAAGCAAGGCTGAGAAGAGGGCAGAAAAATTAACTGACATTCCCTCACTCATAAGTGGAGCTAAAGCCTAGGCAGTTTAGGTGCTGCAGCTTCTTAACATCTAGTCTGTACTTAGCAGTAGAGCAATGTTAATGCTTAACCAGAGTTTCCAACACGTGAAGAAGTTACTTCTCCTATTTTTATTCATCTTTATGTGAATCTGAACCCTATAATTTTGCCAGACATGAAATAGCCAGAGACCTGAGTAAGCAATCATTTAAATGTACATCTGAACCAAATGAAAACCTGAGAAATCAGAGTATAAAATATTACCTTAGAATGTTTCTGCATGTATTAGCAGAAGAAATGGTTTCAGGCTAATTTGGATAACTTACTAGTGCAATGCAATGTAATTTGTTAGGTTGAAAGCCAGAGATCTTTTTTTTTTTTTCATCAGAAACCTATAAATGACAAAGTAATGATTTAGGCAATATATTTGTTAAATTGATGTAGCTAAACTTTTTGTTTTATGTTTGGTAATGTCTTGAATTGTGCTTCACTGTCTCTTTAAACTAACTGAAAATATTCCTCTGTTATTGTCCAAGCAAAATTTAATTCCTTATACAGCATTTTAAATGTTAATCAGAGACAAAGCCAGCACTTGCCAAGAGGGGCTATGCTCTAGAAACTAACATTTACACTGCACTTTTCATTTGAAAAGCCATTTAGGAACACAAATTAATCTTTACAACACTGCTGAGAAGTAGTTAATGACAGGAAGGATGATCATTACTCCCATATTACAGATGAGTAAAACTACACTGTAAGTTTAGCGACCAAATTAAAGTTATTACTCATGTGGCAAATCATTTATGACTATCCCCATCTGATATTTCATGCTTCAGGTTTTTTTAATGCATAATCATCTCTTGGATGAATAACTGTATTGCTCCCAGGTCTTTAAGGGAAAAAATACTGAAGTAATAAGACAAGGCGCATGGAGTTTGGTCAGCACACGATGGAATATCATTACCCTCTACTGCACACACAGTGACAGAGAAAACTTATACATCACTGATGTACTTCATCACTTCCCATACAGACATCATATTCAGTTAAGTAGGGAGCTCTCTGTCAACAAACTTGACATGCTCACCTAGGGAATGTCACAACCTTCCCCAAAATCAATATTTAAGTTATGATGGACCGACAGCTTCACAGATGAGTGAGTGTCCCTTGATTTTTACCTTTTTTTGCTGCAGAACAGAGAAAAGTGCTCAAGGCATGGACAAACAAATTTAATTAAGCTTAAGGGATATGGTTGAGTAATGTAAATCCGGAGCAAACGAAGTCATGGAGCATTAAGGAACAGCTTAATGAAATTCTGATCAACAAGAAAAAAATGAAGAGCTGCTTCTACTGATTCAATAAAGTTGGTTCTTAGTGATTTAGGAAAGCAAATGTTCACTTGTAAGTGGTTACTTTTGAAAAGTAATTTCCTAGACTCTTTAGACTGATGCATATCTTGAGAATTTCTATAGTTTCTAATATATTTGAAAAAATGCTGCTGGTAATTTTTTTCTTTCTTCTCTGGTCTATAAAATGATTTATAACAGGCTCCAGAAATGGAAAAGAAAAACATTTTAAAAGTTTAGTGGGAAAGCAGGAAGACTAGGGTTATCAGAAAACACAAGTTGCCCAGCTTCAGAAGTTTTGACAGATGTCATTCTCTGGGAAAACTTTTCTTTTGTGAGGAAAGTATCTCTTCTGATGAAATTGGGTTCCTCTAACTCACCTCTTTTCTGACCCATTCTTCTGTTCTCTGACCACTCCTTTTAGACTCTCATCTTCCTGGGGGGCTGTCACATTAGCCACTTCTTTGGGTTAAGACTTTCGCAAACTACATTAAATGGAAAAGGTTAAAGCATCCATGAACTAATTTAAATTACAAATGGTATTATTAATTTAAAATTTAGTTCAAGTTGACCCATGAGTCAGGTGGGAAGCCTTCCTGAACAGGGAGTATGGCAAGAAAGTTTTAATGGGAGAGAAAAAAGAGTGGGAAAGTGTACCCTAACATGCAAGATCTGCAGGATGCTAGTGTTTTCTGTTCAGAAATTACAGTTTCTCTAATTTTAAATTACAAAGCTGACTTTACTCTGTGGAAAACAATAAAGGTGAGATACACAGATAGAGAGAGAAGAGAAACAGAAACATTGATTTATCAAAAAGAATAAAGATTGATCCATAAGAAAATATCTAAATAATAAACAAGATTATGTTTACATTCAACTGTAAGTATAGACTTTTCCCTTTTTGGATTACTTCACTGCTTAGAAGAAAAATACATAGAATAGATATTTAACTTCATTATCATATACACCGGAAAAATAAAGTTAGAAATCTAGAAAAACTCAGATGTCCAGCTGTTTCCATTCTTCTAATATAAATCCAAGTCAGGAAGTTGAAAAAAAGTAAAAAAGAAGGCAGTGACTCATGTAAATGTCACAAAGTTTGATGCTTAATGACATATATTCATGTGCAAATGCTTTTTTGAAATTTAGGTTAGGTTAAAATTTTCCAATGCAGTATCAATTAGATATAGAAAATTAGAAGGAAAATGCATAATAGGGATTCTGATTTTGGAGATAATTTTCTAAGTTATCAGCAGAAGTTTAAATCCATCGTCCTTGTATTTTTCTATTATTCCATCTATTCTTTCTTTTATTTCTTCATTGATTCAATAAACTTTTTGGGTATGTAACATATCAGATGCGGAGCTGGGCACTAACGTCATACTTATTCAATTATACAAAGGTAGGACAGTTTAATAGGTCGATTTCTATAAAAATAGGTTAGAAAAAAGTCTAACTTATTTTTGTATTTTGTCTTTTCATTTATTCTTTTCTTTACCATCTTGGACAAGTTATTCAATATTTTAGATGTTTAGTCCTTTTTCTACAAAATGAGGAAATAATAGAGCTGCTCAGTACCTAGCATACAATAGACACGTGGCACAGATTAATGTCATTTAGTTTTAAAGCATACGTTTCAGCAATTCTGAAGATGTACATATTTAAACTCAGTTTACCCCCAAAGGGTTTATGTACCTAAATTTTATAATTTTTATCTATCTCAGTTTAGTTCTGTGTCCTTTCCTCCTTGTAAGTGGTTTCAAGTGTAAGGCACTTGGAAGATAAGTAGGGAGTTCAAGACAAATTCATGTTTCAGGGTGTTTGGAGGTATGGGCAATAAAACTTATCTCCACTGGGTGATGAATTCATTGTATAATTCCTCAAATTCTCTATTTCCTATTGTCTTTGGAAAGAACCTGTGCATTTAGAATTCTAGTTTTTGTGCAACTGCTAGCTGTTTGTCCCAGTTTTTATTTATTTCTTTTTGCTTGAAAAGAAAGTAGTGACAAACATACCAGCTTCCACCATAACAATATTGATTTGGATTCTTTATGATACATATTGTTGCTTCCAGAATCATTATATTCACCCATTAATTCCCAGAAGCAAACTCTCCTACCTTTTTTGAAATGTATCAAGCTATCTACAATGTCACCCAGAGCTGTAATTGTAATTATGGGTAAAAGATTTATGGCTTCAAACCAGTTAGATACATTTGAAGATAAACACAAACACAAACGTGGCACAGTATTAGTGCAATGCCCTGTCTCCTGAGTGCTGCCAAACATCTGTGTTGGAAAGAAAGAAGCAAACACATGACCAGGCCATGCTTTCTCCGTCTCTGCACGTGTGCTGAGATGACACACCAGGGTGTATGCAAACAAATAATGAGAGCATGTTCTGATCAGCACAACTCATTACCCAAATCTCATGCGGATTCTTATTGGCAGTTTTGTTGTCGACATGTGCCTCGCTAGCTCTGTGGTCCTAAACAGAAAGCAAGCTCAAATCTGTGTTAAATGTAATAATATTAGTTTATTTATAGGTATTTGAATGAAACCTTGCAGACAGTTTAGTTACTATTATCTGAAATAATAAAAGATCGACATCAATCTCATTTATAACAGAGCTCATTTCTTTGTTACTTCTAGTTGTGTGGCATAGTGTCTCTGAATATCTTCCCCATGAGCGATGTTTTCTATAGCACAAATTTGTATTACACAAAGCTTTGCACTTGGGTGCTCCACAGATATTGTGTGCTGATGGGGAGAATAAGTCTATTCATCAAGGCATATTCCTGCACCTGGGGTGAATCAGTTTGAGCATATGCCCTTCATCTTCATTGTCAAGTAGAGTAAGCGTTTATTAATTCATATTTATTATGTACTGAAAACTGGGATAAAATAAGGATCAAAACCAAACAAGATTACTGCCTGATGCAGCTGAGGATCTTGCGGGAAAGAAAACTTTAATCATATAATCAAAAACTACAACCTAGAGCTAATAAATGAGAGGTATGAAGTACTAGTTAACTAAGAAAAAAGGAGAAAGAACAGTTAAGGTGGAGGAAACAGCCCTTGTAAAAGTCCTGTGATAAAGGGACTAGAGGACGACAGCATAACTGTGGTTGAGAGACGGAAGGAGGAACATAACTCAAAATTAGGCTAAGGAAATAGGAACCAAATTGTATATGACATTTTGTTGTGAGAGAAATAGGTAACCATGAAGGATACATCAGTCTAGCAGCTGGGTGTAAACAGCAACGTTGATTAGAAGGAGTGAAGTGTGGATGAAGGTGAACAGTGTGTACTAAGGAAATTGGCTTCACCCCAAAAGTGCTCTGGTCTTTGTCCTAGACTCCTGTCAGTTGATCTCTAAATCCTTGGAATTTCCTGAGTAATAGGATTGTGGAGTGTCTTTGTTATTTACATTGGGTCCCCATGGACCATATCTGATGGTTTTATGATAATAACAGGACCTATAGTGGTATCCTTTGGCCATGTGGTATCAGCCTGACCTTCACGGAGGAGTGAGGACTGGAGATTGACTTTAACAACATGGGCAGTTAATCAATCAGTCTTGCCTATATAATGAAGCCCTAATCGTAACTCTGGACTTCAAAGCTCATGTGAGCATCCTGGGTTGTCAGTACATCATGCATACTGTCACCCATTAATACTGAGAGGGTAACATGTTCTAAGGAGTCTCTGAGAGGACTCTGTTTTATTCAAATCTTCCTTTGGCTGATTTTCTACATCTTTTGCCTGCAATAAATGTAACTGTGAGTATAATAGGTTTATATGAGTTCTTTGCACCTTTTTAGTGAATTATTGAATGTGAGGATGGTTTTGGGTGAAGCCCTTTGATGGTTAATTTTATGTGTCAGTTTGGCTGTGCCATCATGCCCAAATATTTGGTGAAACACTATTCTAGATATTTCAGTGAAGGTGGTTTTTGAATGAGATTAACATTTAAATTGGTGAATTTTGAGTAAGGTAGGTTATCTTCCATAATGTGAATGGGCCTCATTCTATCAGGTGAGGGCCCTAATAGAACAAACACTGACCTCCCTTGAGCAAAAATAAATTCTGCTAGCAGAGTGCCTTTGGATTTGAACTGCAAACCATGGCTCTTCAGCCTTCTGGCCTGCCTTTCAGAGTTTGGACGTACTAAGCCTCCACAATTGCGTGAGCTAGTTTCTTAAAATCTCTTTCTTGCTTTCTTTGTCTCTCCTTCTCACTCTTTTGTGTGTGTGTGTGTGTGTGTGTGTGTGTGTACACACACTCTATTGGTTCTATTTCTCTGGGAAACCTTGGCTAATATACCCACCAAACTTGCAGTTGGTGTCAGAAATGAGAGTGATCTTGTGTGGACATTTTCTCAAATTTTGTAGGTGGACACTAACTTCTTGCCATAGAGGTCAAAAATCCTGAGTAGACTTGTCAGTCTGGAGGATTGTGCCCTTAACTTCATAGTTCTAGGGTAACACGGTAAGAGGAAACTGGATAACAAATTAAGAGGAACTCCCATAGTCTTGGAGAAGATAAAGGGCAAATGGAGATAAATAGATGGATTTCAGAAGTATTTGTTAGAAAAAATCAACAGGAATCAGTGAGGGCAGTGAAGGAGGAAAAGATGTAATATTGACCAAGTCAAGAAGTGTATACATATTCTCACAGGCTCATTAGAAGAGTACACTAGTTTGCAAGGAATAGTCAATATGGATAATTAGTGTACTAATGTGATTTACATTGGTCACATAAGGTTCTCTGAAAGAAACCAACCATTTTGGTGGGGAGATGACTTTAATATCAAGAATTTATGGGAAGAACAAACATAGCCAAGAGTTAGACCCTTTGTCACTCTGCCATTGTTTTCTCCCTCCCATGCTCCTTAGCAAGCTGGAGGACCAGTTCACTTCAGCTCATTCAGAATGAGCAAATAGTCAGAAGAACAGATGTCACATTTTTAGGCAATTCTGAAAGGTGCTGGCTAGAGGAAAACCACCAAGTACAAAACCAAGTATATGAAATTAGTAAGACATTTGAAAGTAAAAGCACTGAGATTTGCAATTTATTGAAGGATACCCAAAGCAGATATGTTTTTAAAAAAGCAATTTGGAAAGTGAGGAGAGAAAGGAAAGAGATAAAGAGCTAGGGAGGTGCATGTGAAACACACTCAGAGGGGTAGGGGCCATCCCATACCCTCCTCCCACATTTTGGATGTACAAATGGGGAGGGTTTTGTGGCATGTGCTTGGTGGACCAGGGACACATAATCTGATTCTCCCTCTACACTAGGCTCTGTGCTTCTCACTACAATTTTCAGGGCCCCCATTTGCTTAGTGTAAAGAACTTGCTTGCTTGAGTAAAGAACTGATTAAAAGTACCTCCTTAAAGTGCCCAGAACACTTTCTGGCAGTATATGAAGGACTGAGTCAATAACTGGGATAAGTGAAGAAGTGATAGTTCCATTTTCCTTGAGCAGAGGCAAACTCTGGTAGCATCGTTTTGTGGATTGTGTGTCAGATGACATCTTCCTTTGTAGCACATTCTCATTGGAAACATAGCATGGTAGATTATTCAAATTCTGCTCTCTTATAAATTCTGAATGTCTAGTGATACATTCAGGAAAACAATGGCTCTACCACATTTGTTACAATTGCTTTCACCATGTTTCAACTTAGACTTACCTTTAGCATATCAAGTCTTTGAAGATAAAACACAATAAGAGGGTTGTAATTCTGTTACAGTCAGACAAGACACTATTGCCCTCCTGAGTTGAAATTTTGAAGTCATTTTGAAGTCAAAGAAGGAAAGGACATCAAGACAAACATAATTTCAGATGGGAGACAGAAGAACTATATTAGTAATTGTGTTAGTCTATTTTCACACTGCTATAAAGAATGACCTGAGACTGGGAAATTTTTAAAGGAAAGAGGTTTAATTGACTCACAGTTCCACCTGGGTAGGGATGCCTCAGAAAACTTACAATCATGACTGGAGGTGAAGGGGAAGCAAGGCACATCTTACATGGTGGCAGAAGAGAGAGAGGGGATGAGAGAGAGAGAGAGAGAAAGAGAGCAAAGGGGGAACTGCTAAACACTTTTAAAACCATCAGCTCTTCACTCATTATCATGCGAATAGCATGGGAGGGAAACCGTCCCCATGATCCAACCACCTCCTTCCAGGTCCCTCCCTTGACATGTGGGGATTACAATTGAAGATGAGATTTGGGTGGGGACTCAGAGCCAAACATATCAGTAATAATGCTAAAAGGGTTCTGAAATGAGAATCAAAAGACTGAGTTCTAATCTTATTTGTTTACCCCTCCCAACATCAGCACTAGTGATCAGTGACCTGATCCAACTACAGAAAATTTCATAGCTTGACCTCCACCCTCAGTCCATGAGGCACATCTGACCCTCTTGTCAAAGGATTCAGAATATTTCTGACATAATAGGCTCACCCTATTTCATAGAACAAAAGTGGTTGAAAGGAAAAATTCTAGTAAATAAATTAAGTCCAAATCATAGTAGATGTATATTTTTTGCTCTAAATAGCCCTAATGGTGGTAGTACGTTTTTTAAAATAAAGGTTAAGTTTGAGAAATATCTCCAAAGGAAAAATTCTAATTATGTATGTATCAAGTGAATTTATTGAAGGCAAAGGTTGAATACATAGAGGCTTTTAAATGTGTCTAAATTCAGTGATAAAATAGTGCAGATGCTTTAGTATTTTAAAATTGTTTATCATTTGAAGATTACATAGGCTGTATTCTCACATGCACATGTAATAAATAGATTCCCTCACCTTGTAAAACTCTATTTATCTAATATTCCACTAATGTAGAATACATATTTCTAGGCTTATTGTGAAAAATGATGGCGCCACAGCTGTCTACTGTAAATACCAAATGGTGTTTAAACCCATCCTCATACTTATTTTTAATGTAGATTTCTGATGAGAAAATATTAAAATGACTTAGATGCTTATTTAAAGTTAGTAGGTTTCATGTAAAAAGAAAGGATCAATTGTCATTTCCGCAGGGAGACTAAGTATTGTTTGATCTTCTTAAGGACAAGTCTAAGAAGGAAATATTTCTCCTGAATAATTTGGGGAGTCTGATAACTTAATAGTTTAAAAGTATTATAAACTCTGCAAAAATGGAGGTATATTTACTGAGAACCTTAAGAACATGTAATTGAGAGCATTTTGAACTTGCCTATGCTTTTAAAATACAAAAGGCCCCTATATAAGTAAATTATTTAAACTGTTCTAAGGCTGGTTTTCCTCCAAAATGAAAATGTGAAGATGACTTTTTCAAGACACTAAAGAATGAAATTTGACTGCTGTGGATCTGTCAAAATTGAGGAGCATGTGGGGAAATGATAGCTGTGACTCTATGACTTTAAGTTTTCTAAAGACAGGAATCTCTCTTGCTCTTCAGTGTGTATTGTGATCACCTGCAGAAGCGTGTAACCAACTGGTGTCAGGAGATTGGCTCACTATGTGAAAATGAACCTAAACCACCTAGGCTAGCTGTGCTTTATGAAACTGGGGCATGTGTCATATTTCTAGTTAGTATATTAGCATATTAATATTCACCAAGAAGAATAGAGAAAAATCTCAAAGAAGGTGTAAGGTCATACTTTAAGAGAATTAGCAAATATAGTTCATAATTCTGCCCCTCCTCCACCCCAGAAGCATTTAATATGTTGACACTAAACAAATGTTAGTTACTATTATGTATTGATCTTAAATTTCAGAGTGTAATCAATATCATAAAGTGCTCATAGATATTCTGCGAGATAGTCATAAGGTTAAAACTCTAAATTAACCTCTTCATCTAATAGGTGAAGAAATAAGCCCAGAGAGTTTACAAGACTTTACTTCCTGAATGAAGGTCACAATGCAAGTAAGTAGGAAATGAGATTAAAGTCAGGCTTTCTGTCACTTATTTTGAAATGATTTTTATATTATCACTAATATTCATTTGTTAAAAAATTGATATTGATATTAATTCTTGAGCTAAATCTCTGGTCTTACTGCAGAAGCCTACCTCAACTCTATATATTCCCACTTATCTATGTATCACTATGATGATGATAAAAGACTCAATCACATTTTAAAATCATACTGTGCCTCAATTCAATGAGTAAACTGAGGCAGAGACAGGTTAAGTGATAGGTAAGGTCACTGGCCACAGAGTTAGGACTCATGATGAAAGTTAAGGTGGAACCTCAGCAGAATCAGAGCTGTGGAAAGAAAAAGAGGGGACTTGGAAGGTGTTGTCAGTACTGGGAGGGTGTAGCGGAGTTCAGATCGTTAGGACTTGGAAATAAAGGAACATGATGATGATTGCCTTTCCATGCAAATCCCTTCTCTGTTGTGATCAGCTGAGCTGTTATATGGTCAGCTTCTTCCTAAAGGAAGGAGTCACCTGACCCAGGAGATGAATAGTTAAAAGACAATCATGATGTTTCCATTTCCTTTTGCTAGTGTTAGGATTCCTGGTAGTTTTGTGACACATATGTGGCCAATAAGATAAAAGGGGACTGTTCCAGGAAAAAAATACCATATTTAGAAAAAGAGAGAAGTAAAAAGAAAAAGCTGAGGGCTGGAGATGCCAGTAAGCTCGATGCTTTGGGAGGCCGAGGCAGGTAGACTGCTTTAGGCCAAGAGTCACAGACCAGCTTGAGCAACATAGTAAGACCCCCGTCTCTACAAAAAATACAAAAAATAGCTGGTTGTGGTTGCGGGCACTTGTAGTCTCAGCTACTTGGGAGGCTGATGTGGGAAGACCTTGAACCCAAGAGTCTAAGGCTGCAGTGAGCTATGATTGTGCCACTGCACTCCAGCCTGGGCAATAGAGTGAAAGATTATCTCTCAAAAAAAAAATGGTGAGAAACCTCACTAACTGTCTCCTTTTTGTAGTTGTGCTCACTTGTGTAATGATGTGATGTTTGGAAATGCAGGTCTTCTTCGATCGTGAGAAAAAATTAGGAGACTCTTGAAATTCAGCACCACAATAACTGCTAGTTATCTGAGTGTGGTCAAGCTGCTAAACCAACTCTAAAATTTTCTATAATCAAACATTTTTTATAAATAAAAAATTAATTAAATTTTGCTTAATACACTTTTAATTTGGCAATTTATTACTTATAGCCCCAAGGGTCGTAATGGACCTTGGATCCTGTTCTCTTCCCTTTGCCCTCAGATCTGTTCTCTGCCCATCTCTGTCTTGCTCTGTGCCCAGGAAGGCTTGCTCCTATGATCTGCATCACCTGGAACTCCTTTCCCTCTGGTTTCTGGTTGGCATCAGCTAACGGGAGACTCCTGTAGCTCAGAGTAGTTTTTTCCTACAACTGTATTTCTGATTCAATGTGGTTCTGGCTATGCCTTGCCAAGGGGCGGCTTCTGCCTGGTAGCATTTATATTATGACCCAGACTTTAGTGATTCCATTTTCTCTTCTTTCTCTATCAGTGCTAGGGGGGTGGTATCAGCTGATTGCTATTGCTACTTCTTGGGTGTCTCAACACATCTGTGGTTTTCCTTAAACTTGTCTATATCTCTTGCAGATAGATCTTTCATTTTCACAAACATCTCAGCTGTGAGTGTTGCCTGTTTCTTACTGGGATGCTGACTGATACATACACTTTCTGAGAGTTGAAATGTTACTAATAAATCAGAGTAGAGATGGCCAAAGTACATTAAAAAGCAAAATAATTCTAGGCCAGTACAAGTTGCTTTCAATTAAGTTGAAAGTTATACTCTACATAGGGCCCTCTAGAGCTGCTGTAAGAAAGTACCTGAACTACGTAGAAATGTGTTGTCTCACAGTCCAGGCCAAAAATCTGAGATGAAGCTGTTGGTAAGGTCACTGGCCACAGAGTTAGGACTCATGATGAAAGTTAAGGTGGAACCTCAGCAGAATCAGAGCTGTGGAAAGAAAAAGAGGAGACTTGGAAGGTGTTGTCAGTACTGGGAGGGTGTAGCGGAGTTCAGATCGTTAGGACTTGGAAATAAAGGAACATGATGATGATTGCCTTTCCATGCAAATCCCTCCTCTGTTGTGATCAGCTGAGCTGTTATATGGTCAGCTTCTTCCTAAAGGAAGGAGTCACCTGACCCAGGAGATGAATCAACCCAGGGTTGATTCTTCCTGAGGGCAGTGAGGGAAGGAACTGTCCCAAGCCTCTCCCCCAGCTTCTGGAGATTTGCTGGCAATCTTGGGCGATCCTTGACTTCTGCACTACCCTTTCTGCCTTCATCTTACTCTGTGCATGCCTATCTCCAAATATCCCTTATTATAAGGAAACACTTGTATGGAATTAGGGACCAACCCTACTCCATATTTCTAAATAAGGTCACATTTTAAGGTACTAGGAGTTAGAACTTCAATATACTAATTTTGAGATGATACAGTTTGATCCATCGTACCCTGTCTAAAGAAACCAGTACGAACTGGTTGTTCTGCTATGAAATAGAAAAAGAATTTAGAAAAACTTGTCTAATACTTGACATGGTTGATGATACTATGAACTAGGGATAAAAACTCTCCGCAGAAACTCTCTAATTTGAGTGGTAGATATGTCCCCACCTTGGAAATAGTTCTCTCTCATTCCTTTAACCTAATTCACTAAGAAACAGTCTGACTATAATTAACCTGCTCATTTAAAAAATTTAAACCTTTATTGAGCACTTAAATCACCATTCAAATACTTTATTATGTTTTGTTTAACTCAATTTTTACAACAGTCTTATAAGAAAGTTACCATTAGGATCATTATTTTTCATATGAGTAACTAAGATTTTAGATCAAGTCACTTGAACGAGGTCTCTCAGCTAGTACACTGTGAAGCTAGAATTAAAATGTAAAACTTCTAACTCCAGAATGGTTGTTCTAAACTACTATGTTTTGTTTGATCTCAGAAAGGGAAAGTTATAGTTAAGGATCCCAGTGTGACATAATCTCAGCTCAGTTTTTGTTTGTTTAATTATGAACCTGGAAATCTCGTATGCTCATCAATGTCAGCAGTTTATTAAATGTTAGGCTGTCCTGGGGTTGATTGATGCTTTGTGTTGCCAGTTCTAGTCTCCAGTACTTACGTCTCAGGTTCAATTGTGTCTGAGTTTCAACTGGTCTCTGCTCATTTTATTTAAACTTTCACAAAAGCTAATATACAGTGGAGTTACTCTGCAACAAATTTAGCTAAAAAAATTTTACCTATCCAAAATATAATTTTCTATGCTTAATTTTTTAAAAAATATTTTAATGTAATGATTATGGAGAGACTGTTCCTCAAAACCACTCATACGCAACTATGTGGGAAATTACATCCTTTAATAGAAGTAGACCAAATAGGTATGGGAAACAAGAGAAGTGGCATTAAATTGCAATAGAAATCAGGATGTTTGATCTTTGGCACTGACCAAGGGGAAAAAAAAAAGCATGGTAAAGAACACGTTTCCTTTTTCACTGAGAAACAGACAGGTAGCAAAAGGAGATGTCATTGTAAAGCAGACGGAGTTGGGAATTGAAAGATTAGCATAGCTCTAGCAATCAGACATTGCAACCTAAATTGTTTCTCTTTTCACAGATTACTTACTAATGGATGTAATTCCTGACACTTAGCTGGAGAAAAATTGCTTTATTGGGCCAGATAAACTTGCCAGGTAAATCTCGTTATCTTCAAGATGATTAGATGCCTGTGGTCAGAGTGGGTGTGTTTTTGCTGCTGTTTCACCATTTATAATGTAGTTTAAGAGAATTTGATTACATTTAAATCCATATCCTTAGCTTTCATCCTCCATAATTGGGCTTCAGAGACTTGAGGTACGAATTGGTCTAGATATAAAGTCATAAGTGGAAAATTTATGGAAGTCAAATAAACTGAGAAGTTTTGGATTTTCAGTATTATACAGAAATGAGAGATGCATGTTGGTGATATGCCAGCCCATCTCTTTCACATAGATGAGTTTCTTTAATTCCCTCAGCAAAGTTTTCAGATGGATATGCTTATATTTATCAAGTTAATGAGAATGCTGGCATTCACAGACATTAAGTTTTCTAAATTCTCATAGGTAGCAAACAAGAAGTTTTGGGAATAAATAAATAAATCTTAATCCTAAACTCTTCTTAGGTTAGCACTCTACCTTATATATCAAATTAAATTTCTTACTAAATACATGATAACACAATATTTACAAAAAGTGTGTTTTGTAGTGATTGGTTCAACCAATTCATATAAATATTTTTCTGCCTTTCCTCTTTCTTCCTTTCCCTGCCTCTCTTGCCCTTTCTCTTTTATTCCTTCCATTACACATTTATAGTGCAATGCAATGAAACAGATCATATTCTAGTTTCATGGGACATAGGTCCATTCATCTATATCTCTTCAGGCATGATTCAGGGCATCCTAGGACTTCATAGATTAGAGTTCCAGGACTATCTAGTAGGTAAGCTAAAAAAGTACATCCTCATGTTCTGGCAAAAGAATGTGGACCTGGTGGGAGCGAAGGAAAAGTCAGAGAATGGTGCACAGTCTAGACATCTCTAGCTAGAGCAGTGAGCAGTGAGCAATGTGACCAGTCCTCCTTTTCATATGGAAATTGTATTACTCTAATTTTTGCTAACAGAGCAAATTTAAGGTTAAATATAAGGTAACATTGACATCTTAATCTATGCTTCTTGATGAGGTATTTGGAAATGAGGGAATGACAGATTCCTAATTTGGAGGTGTGGCTGCTGGGCATTGCTTGGCCCCAGATCTCTGGAGTCAGATTCAACACTTTTTTGGCATATTACCCACAGGCCTATGAATGCTGATTAGAAATCAGTTACCCTAGATTTTTTATGTGTTCATAACACATCTTAAATTATGATTTGTGTGTGTGTGTGTGTGTGTGTGAGTGTGTGTCATTCATTTCTGTATCTATATACCAGTCTGTATTAAGGTTTAACTATTTTCCCAACCTACTGGTAGGTTCTGGAGTTACAGGAGAGTGAAATACAGGAAAGGATTCTGTTTTTCTGAACTCCATTCAAAGTGTGGCTGGATTATGCTTTCTGCATTTTCACATTCTCTATCCAGCTTTCACTAATAAGCATACCTATGGGCACTATCAGATTGTAGGTATCAGTGTATTCAGCGAAATGAAACACTTTGGCATATTTTTCATCTCTTAGAATTTGAGTGTTGAATTATTTCATCTATGTAATACATTGCACAATGATATAGTACTTGTGATTAAAAAAATACAAGCATTTACCTTGTATATTATACCTTGTATAATATATAAGCATTAGACCAAAAAGCTTCTTAATGGACAATCCCAAGGCACCGTTTAGAAAACCTTGAGAGGAATCTTGGATGTGTTGATTGTCATCTTGAGATGAAGAAGTGCTGAACCTTGTCAAGATTCAAACCCATCCAACTACCTTTCAGCTCTTCACTTTCAGAACTTGATTTTGCATTCAACACAATCTCTTGGCATTTGAAACTCTGTCAAACTAAACAGCTCTGTTTTAGACACATGTTTTGTAAAGCTTCACAGGTACTCTGTTTGCACACACAGTATATCTTTTAAATAATATAACCTTGAAGCAGCATTGAGCTATTATTTTCATAAAAGGAAAACTAGAAACCAGTGATGCTTACGTATTTGCTGTCTTCACAGAAAAAAAATGCACTGCTAGCTTTATTTTTACACAGTAATGTACTTCTTCCATTTTGAGACCATAAGCACGATTTTTTCACAAATAATTCAGAGCCAAGATATGAGTTTGCTTCATTTCTCCCTAAACCTAAGAGCAAAGTTGCTTTTTCATCCATAAAGCAAATGTTTTCTCAAAAAATTGAAATTCTGGGACATGTATTTTACCTATTCTTTGCAGCCCAGAATTCCAATGAATATTATTGGTAGAATATAATCTCAGTAACAATACAGCGCCCACTATAGAGTTTATGATTGGACTTAAAAGGCAGAGTATGAACAACAGCGGAAAAAAATCATTGTTTCATGTTCTTTTTGTTATTCCATGCACCTATCTACATTTGTATCTTAATTTTAAATTCATTATAGGATATCACACTGTCTCATATATTAAATTGTATAGAATATACAATGCCAGAAGTAGTACATTTGAAGTTTTAAGTACCATATGAATATGACAGGAGTAAATGTTTAAAATTTGTTGAAGGGTAACCTTACTCTGTGTGTGTGTGTGCGTGTGTGTGTGTGTGTGTGTGTGTGTTTACATTTACTTCTTTTACATCTGTATACATACATAAATTTATCTGCAGTACAATCAGCCTGAGAAAAACACCCATGTCATTTAAAGTCAACTTGGAATCATCAAGTTACACAGACCATTTCTGTAATTTTGTATAAATTTGAAATGAAATTACCAAAAACATTAAATAACAGGATAATTCCACTACATCAGTTTTTGTTTAGCCTTACTTTCTAGAATGGAGTTCACATTTTTAAAACGTATCTAGGTGTGATACAATTATTCTTAATTTATTAAACAGTCTGTTGAACAGGGTTTACCCTCCCCTTTAAAGATATTGCTCATTGCTTTATATACTGTTTTTCAAATAATGGAAAAAGGAGAAGAAAAATAAATACATTTGGAAACATTTTATTCTTTCATCTCAGTTCTGCCTCTCTTGGCTCCATGCTATGTTTGCCCTTAACAAATTTAAGTGTTATACTGAGTATGTTTTCCTATCAGAGGTTGCAAACTGGCAGCTAGAGGGCCACAGATGGTCCACAGATGTATTTTGTTTGACTCATACAGTGTTGGCCTACACAGTATTTATATCTCATTCTTAATTAGAACTGAGAGATTCCACTTATATGTGTGGATAACACTTCTCTTGAAAAAAATATCAGAAGTTTTGATACCAGTGATCTTTTTTTTGAGCATAGTGTTTATTGGCTGAGTTGAGGTCACCTTGCCTGTGGTTCATCACAGCTCCTACCAATCCCTATTGCACCCTAATACTGTGGCCAGTTGTCAATTGTTATTAGAGCACTTGTGCTATTGTTTTTCTTTCTGAGTCAGAGGGAAAATGGAATATTTCTTATAGCCCTTCCTTTGTCTTATACATGGCCAACATCCCATATTTATATTATCAGCCTTCCTCTAAAATTATATAATTTTAGGACCTCTATTTTATTGGATAGCTTTTGCCCAAAGTAGTAACAAGAATCAAGCAGATTTACAGTCTGCAGACCTGAGTTCCAAAATCCAAGTGCCATTTACTGACTATGTAATAGTATATAAATTAAGTCAAGTCATTTAACCATGACCAGCCTTTAAAGTATCTAAAATAAAGTATTACAACTATTTATATACTTTTAAAGAGTCAAAAACTACTTAAAGAAATTAAGCCCATCAGTTTTGTGAGGAATAAATGAGACAATGTTTGCATAGTATCCTTGGGGCAGAGTAGGTATTGCATACATATTTGCAGCATCCCTGTGCCTCAGTCTGTTTAGTGTTGCTATAAAGAAATACCTGAGGCTGAGTAATTTACGCAGGAAAGAGGTTTATTTGGTTCACAGTTCTGCAGGCTGTACAAGAAGTGTGGTGCCAACATCTGCTTGCTCTTCCAGTGGAGTCCTCAGACTTCTACTCATGGTGGAAGGTGAAAGAGATCCATAGTGTATGGCAATCACATGGTGAGAGAGGAAGCAAGAGGAAGAGGAAGGAGGTCCCTAGCTCATTTTAACAACCAGCTCTTATGAGAACTAATAAAGTGAGAACTCACTCATTACTGTGAGGATGGCATCAAGATATTCATGAAGTATCCAACCCCATGACCCAAACACTCCCCATTAGGACCCACCTCCAACACTAGGGATCAAATACCAACATGAGATTTACAGTCAAATATCAAAACATAGCATGTTCCCTTGCCCCCCACCAAAACTCATATTCTTCTCACAATCATTTTTTCTCAATAGTCCCCAAAAGTCTTAACTTGTTCCAGAATTAACTCAAAAGTCCCAAGTCCTAAGTCTCTTCTGAAACTCAAGGCAAATTTCTTACAGCTATGAGCCTGTGAAATCAAAAATGAGTTATTTATAACCAAGATACAATGATTGTACAGGCATCACATAACCATTCCTATTTTGAAATGGAGAATTCAGTAAAAAGAAAGGGGTGAGAGACCCCACCCAGCAGGGACGATATTAAGCCTGAAAGCTCCAAAATAAATTCCTTTGACTCCATGTCCTCCATCCTGGCTACACTGGTGTGAGTGGTCGGTTCTCAAGGCCTAGGGCAGCCCTGTCTCTGTGGCTTTTCTGGTGCTGCTTCAACGTGGCTGCTTTCACAGTTTGGCATCCAAAGCATGTGGCTTTTCTTTTCTTTTCTTTTCTTTTTTCTTTTTTTTGAGATGGAGTTTCTCTCTGTTGCCCAGACTAGAGTGCAGTGGTGCTATCTCGGCTCACTGCAAACTCTGCTTCCTGGGTTCAAGTGTTCAATTGATTCTTCTACCTCAGCTTCCTGGCTAGCTGGGATTACAGGCACCTGCCACCCACCCAGCTAATTTTTCCTTTTTTTTTTTTTTTTTCTGGAGAGAAAAGGTTTCGCCGCATTGGCCAGGCTGGTCTCGAATTGCTGACCTCAACTGATCTGTCCACCTCGGCCTCCCAAAGTGCTGGTATTACAGGTGTGAGCCCCTACTCCTGGCCACCTGTGGCTTTTCTAGGTTGAGATTGTATTCTCCTGGTGGCTCTATCATTCTGGGGTCTGGAGGGGAGTGGCCCCATTTCCATAGCTTCACTAGGAACTATCCTGGTGGGGACTCTGTGGGAGCCCCAACACCACATTTCTGCTCAGCATTGCCTTACTAAAGGCTCTCCGTAGGGCTCTAACCTTGCAGCAGGCTTCTGTCTGGGCATCCAGGCTTTCTGATTCATCCTCTGAAATCTAGGTGAAAGCTGCCAAGCCCCCACCACTCTTGCATTCTGGGCTCCTGCAGATCTAACATCATTTTGAGAGGTGAAGCCAGCTGGACTTCCTGGGTCAAGTGGGGACTTGGAGAACTTTTCTGTCTTACAAGAAGACTGTAAAATGCACCAATCAGAGCTCTGTGAAACACACTAATCAGCAGGATCCTAAAAGTAGCCAATCACAGGGATGATTGAAAAAGGGGCACTCTGATAGGACAGAAATGAAATATGGGAGGGGCCAATAAGGGAATAAAAGCTGGCAACCCCCAGCCAGCAGCTGGGGACCCACTTATGTCCCCTTCGATGCTGTGGAAGCTTTTTTCTTTTGTTCTTCACAATAAACCTTGCTATCACTCACTCTTTGGGTCCGTGCTATCTTTACGAGCTGTAACAGTCACTGCGAAGGTCCGTGGCTCCATTCTTCAAGTCAGTGAGACCACGAACCCACAGGAAGGAACCAACTCTGGACACACCTTGGTGGATTGTCCAGGAGTTTGCCATGCAGTGAGTACCATCGGATGCTTTTCGCTTGCTATTCTGTCCTATTTTTCCTTAGAATTCAGGGGCTAAACACTGGACATCTGTCGGCCAGTTAAAAGTGACTAGCACAGCAGCCAGACTAAAGACACGGGTGTTAGGCTTTCTGGGAAAGGGCTCTCTAACAACCCCTGATTCTTCAGAGTTGGGAATGTTGGTTTGCCTGGAACCAGCTTCTGGTTTTCCTGCATTTCTGGGCTGAGCCGAGGGTCAACAGAGAGGAAAGCCATTTGGCTCCAGGGTCCTGACAAAAGGTTGGTTGACCCTCCAGCCATGAGCGGAACTCTCAAAGTTATGTCACCCAAGAGAGACTGGCCCATCTATTCTATCTGGACCCTTGCCTCCTGGGTCCTAATGCCTGTTAGACAAACATCCTCCGGCCTCTCTTCCTCGAGGCTAGTCCTGCTTCTGAAACCCACTCCCTGTCTCTGGTGCTCTTCTAGTTTCTCCTATAAGAATGATTTCTAGTATAAATGTTGGGACTCTGTTTCCCATCTTTAGGCACCTGGGCTCACCATTCAGAAAGACATAATTTTTGCCTGAAGCCCCTTCGGAGTGGGGAGACTATCTGGAATTCTAGGATCCCTCCTCAGACTAACAGGGCTAACAAAGGGTATTCCTGAAGCTAAGATATGGGGAGCCTTTGTGGGGATATCCTTCCTATTCATATGATGAGAAGTGAGGACAAAAGGCATTCCAACCCTGGAGATCCCTTCCCTCCCTCAGGGTATGGCCCTCCACTCCATTTTGAGGCATATCATCTTTATAGGACAAGGATAAGGTCCCAATACCAACAGGAGAAAATGTTTAGGACTCTAACACATTTTCAAGAATGCACCGGTAAGGGCCACTAAATCTGACTTCCTCGGTCCTCTTTGTGGTCTAGGAGGAAAACTAGTGTTTCCACTGCTGGTTTGGTGAGTGCAACTATTCCAAACAGCAGGGTCCAGGTACTGTTGTGGGGTCTTTGGCAGGGAAAAAAATAAATAAAGAAAACAAAACCACGGGTGGTTTTTTCTTTCAGATGGGAAACACTCAGGCATTAACGGGTTCACCCTTGAAATGCATCTTAAGCCATTGGGACCAATTTGACCTGCAAACCCTGAAAAAGAAGCAGCTTATTTTTTTCTGCACTATGGCCTGGCCCCAATATTCTCTCTCTGATGGGGAAAAAGGGCCACCTGAGGGATGTATAAATTATAATACTGTTGTGCAGCTTGACCTTTTCTGTAAGAGAGAAGGTAAATGGAGTGAAATACATTATGTCCAAGCTTTCTTTTCATTGAAGGATAATCCAAAACTATGCAAAGCTTGCAATTTACATTCCTCAAGAGGACCTCTCAGCTTACCTCCATATCTTAGCCTCCTTACAGCTCCCCTTCCTAATAATGATAAGCCTCCTCTAATCTCCCCCACCCAGAAGGAAACAAGCAAAGAAATCTCCAAGGGACCACAAAAACCCCTGGACTATTGGTTATGTCCCCTTCAAGCTGTATGGGGAGGGGAATTTGGCCCAAGCTTGGTACATGTCCCCTTCTCCCTCTCTGATTTAAAGCAGATCAAGGTAGACCTGGGGAAGTTTTCAGATAATCCTGATAGGTATATAGATGTCCTACAGGGACAAAGGCAAACCTCAGACCTCACTTGGAGAGATGTCATGCTATTGTTAGATCAAACCCTGGCCTTTAATGAAAAGAATGCAGCTTTAGCTGAAGCCCAAGAGTTTGGAGATACCTGGTATCTTAGTCAAGTAAATGATAGAATGATAGCCGAAGAAAGGGGCAAATTCCCTACCAGACAGCAAGCCATCCCCAGTATGGATCCCCACTGGGACCTAGACTCAAATCATGGGGACTGGAGTCGTACACTTCTGTTGACCTGTGTTCTAGAAGGACTAAGGAGAATTAGGAAAAAGCCCATGAATTATTCAGTGATGTCCACCAGAGAATTAGGAAAAGGCCCATGAATTATTCAATGATGTCCACCATAATTCAGGGAAAGGAAGAAAATCCTTCCACCTTCCTTGAGTGGCTATGGGAGGACTTAATCAAATATACTCCCCTGTCACCCAACTCCTTCGAGGGTCAATTGATAGTAAAAGATAAGTTTATTACCCAATCAGCCACAGATATCAGGAGAAAGCTCCAAAAGTGAGCCACGGGCCCTGACCAAAATCTGGAAGCATTATTAAACCCAGCAACCTCGGTGTTCTATAATAGGGACCAAGAGGAACAGGCCAGAAAGGAAAAGTGAGATCAGAGAAAGGCTGCAGCCTTAGTCATGGCCTTCAGACAGACAAACCTTGGTTCAGAGAGGACAGAAAATGGAGCAAGCCAATCACCCGGTAGGGTTTGTTATCAGTGCGGTTTGCAAGGACACATTAAAAAAGATTGTCCAATGAGAAACAAGCCACCCCCTTGCCCATGACCACTGTGCCAAGGCAATCACTGGAAGGTGCACTGCCCCAGAGGGCAAAGGTTCTCTGGCCCAGAAGCCCCCAACCAGATGATCCAACAATAGGACTGAGGGTGCCCGGGGCAAGTGCCAGCTCATGTCATCATCCTCACTGAGCCCCAGGTAAGTTTAACCTTTGAGGGCCAGGAAATTGACTCCCTCCTGGACACTGGCGCGGCCTTCTCAGTGTTAATCTCCTGCCTATATGGTTGTCCTCAAGGTCCATTACCATCGAAATCCTGGGACAGCCTGTAACCAGGTATTCTCCTACCTCCTCAGTTGTAATTGGGAGACTTTGCTCTTTTCACATGCCATCCTTGTTATGCCTGAAAGTCCCACACCCTTATTAGGGAGGGACATATTAGCCAAAGCTGGAGCTATTATCTACATGAATATGGAGAACAAGTTTGTTGTCCCCTATTTGAGGAGGGAATCAACCCTGAAGTCTGGGCATTGGAAGTACAATTTGGAGGGCAAAAAATGTCCACCCAGTCCAAATCAGGCTAAAAGACCCCACCACTTTTCCTTATCAAAGGCAATATCTGTTAAGGCCTGAAGCTCATAAAGGATTATAGGATATAGTTAGACATTTAAAACCTCAAGGCTTAGTAAGAAAATGCAGCAGTCCCTGCAACACCCCAATTCTAGCAGTCCAAAAACCGAATGGTCAGTGGAGACTACTACAAGATCTCAGACTCATCAATGAAGCAGTAATTCCTCTATATCCCATTGTACCCGACTCCTATACCCTGCTCTCTCAAATACCAGAGGAAGCAGAATGGTTCACTGTTCTGGACCTCAAGGATGCCTTCTTCTGCATACCCCTCCAGTCTGAGTCCCAGTTTCTCTTTGCCTTTTAGGGTCCCATGGAACACACGTCCCAACTTACATGGATGATCTTGCCCCAAGGGTTTAGGGACAGCCCTCATCTGTTTGGTCAGATACCGGCCCAAGATCCAGGCCACTTCTTAAGTCCAGGCACTCTGGTCCTTCAGTATGTGGATGATTTACTTTTGGATACCAGTTCAGAAGCCTCATGCCAGCAGACTACTCTAGATCTCTTGAACTTTCTAGCTAAGCAAGGGTACAAGATGTCTAAATCGAAGGCCCAGCTCTGCCTACAAAAAGTCAAATATCTAGGCCTAATCTTAGCCAGGGGAACCAGGGCCCTTAGCAAGGAATGAATACAGCCTATACTGGCCTATCCTCACCCTAAAACATTAAAATAGTTGTGGGGGTGTTCCTTGGGATCACTGGCTTTTGTCAACTATGGACCCCTGGATACAGCGAGATGGCCAGGCCACTCTATATGCTAATCAAGGAGACCCAGAGGGCAAATACTCATCTAATAGAATGGGAACCAGAGGCAGAAACAGCCTTCAAAACCTTAAAGCAGGCCCTAGTACAAGCTCCAGCCTTAAGCCTTCCCACAGGACAAAACTTCTCTTTATACACCACAGACAGCAGGAATAGCTCTTGGAGTGCTTACTCAGACTCATGGGACAACCCCACACCCAGTGGCATACCTTAGTAAGGAAACTGATGTAGTAGTGAAAGGCTGGCCTCACTGTTTATGGGTATTTGAGGCAGTGGCCATCTTAGTATCAGAGGCTATCAAAATAATACAAGGAAAGGATCTCACTGTCTGGACTACTCATGATGTAAATGGCATACTATGTGCCAAAGGAAGTTTATGGTTATCAGACAACAGTCTGCTTAGATACCAGGCACTACTCCTTGAGGGACCAGTGCTTCAAATATGCATGTGTGCAGCCATAAACCCTGATATTTTTCTCCCAGAGGATGGGGAACCAATAGAGCATAACTGCCATCAAATTGTAGCTCAGACTCATCTCACCCGAGAGGATCTCTTAGAAGGCCCCTTAGCTAATGCTGACCTTAACTTATATACCAATGGAAGTTCATTTGTAGAAAATGGGATACAAAGGGCAGGTTATGCCATAGTTAATGATGTAAGAGCACTTGAAAGTAAGCCTCTTCCCCCAGGGACCAGCGCCCAGTTAGCAGAACTAGTGGCACTTACCTGTGCCTTAGAACTGGGAAAGGCAAAAGAATAAGTGTGTATATACACATAGCAAATATGCTTATCTAATTCTACATGCCCATGCTGCAATATAAAAAGAAAGTGAGTTCCTAACCAGTCAGGGATAGTATGAGATGCCACCCGGCATTTACAGGAAAAGGCTTCTGAAATCAGACAATGCCTTTCAAACTCTTATACCAACCTCTAGAGTTGGGTGACATGGCTTCTCCCCTTTCTAGGTCCTGTAACAGTCATCTTGCTATTACTCGCCTTTGGGACCTGTATTTTTAACCTCCCTGTCAAATTTGTTTCCTCCAGGATTGAGGCCATCAAGCTACAGATGGTCGTACAAATGGAACCCCAAATGAGCGCAACTCACAACTTCTACTGAGGACCTCTGGACCGACTCACTGGCCCTTTGACTGGCCTAGAGAGTTCCCCTCTGGAGGATGCTACAACTGCAGGGCCCCTTCTTTGCCCCTATCCAGCAGGAAGTAGTTAGAACAGTCATTGCCCAGTTCCCAACAGCATTTGGGGTGTCCTGTATAATGGGGGGATTGACAGGCGAAGCCAGCTGGACTTCCTGGGTTCAGTGGGGACTTGGAGAACTTTTCTGTCTTACAAGAGGATTGTAAAATGCACCAATCACTGCTCTGTAAAAACGCACCAATCAGCACTCTGTAGCTAGCAAGAGGATTGTAAAATGCACCAATCATTGCTCGTAAAAAGCACCAATCAGTGCTCTATAAACCGCACCAATCAGCACTCTGTAAAATGCACCAATCATCAGGATCCTAAAAGTAGCCATTCGCAGGGAGGATTGAAAAAAGGGCACTCTGATAGGACAGAAATGGAACATGGGAGGGCCAATAAGGGAATAAAAACTGGCAACCCCTAGATAGCAGTGGCAACCTGCTTGGGTCCCCTTCCATGCTGTGGAAGCTTTGTTCTTTTGCTCTTCACAATAAACCTTGCTACCACTCACTCTTTGGGTCCATGTCATCTTTAAGAGCTATAACACTCACAGTGAAGACCCACAGCTTCATTCTTGAAGTCAGTGAGACCATGAGGAACCACCTCCAGACACAATGTGAAAGCCATCCAGGCTTAGAGCTTTCATTCTCTGGAGCAGAAGCAGTGCCTAGTATCTTTCAAGCCATGGATAGAGCTGTCTGGGTCCATTCTCCCAAAAAATTTCTATCCTCCTAGGCCTCTGGGCCTGTGATGGCAGGGACAGCCTCAAAGATTTCTGAACCACCCTTGGGGGCGCTTTTTCCCAATTGTCTTGACAATTAGCATCTGGCTCCCTTTTATCTGTGCTAATGTTTCTAGCAAGTGGTTGCTCTGCAGCGTCCTTGAATTCCTCTCCTGAGAATGCTCTTTCCTTCTCTAACACACAGCCGGGCTGCAAATATACCAAATGTTCATGCTCTGCTTCTCTATTAATTATAAATTTCACCTTTAGGTCATTCCTTTGCTGCAATTATAAATTCTTTCTCTGTCCTTTTGAAATGTGCATAAGTCTTCTCCCAAGCATTGCCAGTTTATAACCCAGAGAATGTCTTTTTGCAGGACCTGGAACCATCTGTTTGAAATATGAATATTAAAGGAGATGGTCTATCTCTCAATTCTTTGAGAGTTTAAATGCCTAACTTCTATAAACACCATTTGGCAAATGCAGATGGCTTAATCACAGAGAAACATACTTGCAAACTCAGGAATAACTCAATGTGTTCCACATATCCCATTGACCAACTTCTCTCATAAAGTTCTCTGGTAATTTTCTACTAGCTCATGTCAGTGCTCAAAACTCTTTCAACCTCTGTTTCTATGGAGGAGTTGAGTTCAGTCTCTCTCCACTATTGCAACAACTTGAATAAATTCTTCCCATCCTGCTTAACTTTGTCTGGTACAATTTTTGCTTTGACACAACTTAGAAAACTTGAAGCCAAATTTGATGCCTGTTTCTAAGAAGAATACTGTAAATTTTGTACCATTTTCTTAATTATATATTAATACATTTTGAAATATGTTTTATTTTGGTTTTCTTATTTAACTTTTATATTTTTATTGTATTTGCTTTCTAGACAACGAATTAAATATTTTTGGAAGGATGGTGAGAAAAAATGGCTTTTTGTTCCACTTCCATTTGTCACAATAAGGTGGTGATTGCGTTGATGTGTAGAGGCAAAAAAAGTGAGTGAGGTTTTTTTTGTTTTGTTTTTTTTTTTTTTTTTTTTTTTTTGACACGGAGTCTTGCTCTGTTGCCCAGGCTGGAGTGCAGTGGTGCGATCTTGACTCACTGCAAGCTCCGCCTCCCAAGTTCACGCCATTCTCCTGCCTCAGCCTCCGGAGTAGCTGGGACTACAGGGGGCGCCAACACGCCAGCTAATTTTTTGTTTTTTAAAAGAGACGGGGTTTCACCATGTTAGCCAGGATGGTCTGGATCTCCTGACCTCGTGATCCGCCCGTCGCGGCCTCCCAAAGTGCTGGGATTACAGGCGTGAGCCACCGTGCCCGGCCGAGTGAGATTTTTTAAAATAGCAAAGGTTATAGAAAGTTATGGTTAGTAGACCAAGTGGTAACACAGAGCACCCTCAGAAAGGAAAACTTTCTAAAGTTCCACCACAGATACAAGCAGCTGTGAATAATCTATCTTGCCTAAAGGTGAGAGTGTGGAAAGCTTCTTTGATGTTCATTCTTTCAGTGTTTTTTAGAAACATCTTCCTAACATTTTGTAACTCATGCTTACATTACCACAATGGTCTCATATGTGCTTATCCTCCAGGGGAAAATAATTGCTGCAAAACCCTTTGCAGCAATTGTCTTTCCTTACTGAAAGATAAAGTGAGATGAACTTCAATTTTCTTAGAGAATCTCTTAGTCGGTCCAGAATTCAGCCAATCTGCAGTCCATTCCTGCATCTCATATCATGGAATAATATCTGGCAGTAACCCAACACTTGAAAAGTACACATTACCAGTAGGTATTAGACAGAATTAAATGAGGAATCAATTGATATTTTAAGCCTTCGATTTATGACTGTTCTCCTACCTAAGGATATTGAAACACATTATTTAAGAATTAAACTTGTGGAAATATCTCAGGAGTGAGTCCTCTAGGCAAAGTATAGGTAGAGTATATGACAGTTTTTTGTTTTTTTTTTACTGTTTCCTTCCTCATTTATCCAGAGTAGAATTTCTACTCAATTATGACACACTTTCTTTTGAGATCAGATATGGCTTGACTATCTTCTTCTGATGGCACCACCGAGTGAGCACAGTTGAAATGTGAGATGAAACAATCTGCCAACCCAGGATCTAAGTATGGTAAACTGGGGATACTGTCCTGCAGCAAGTTTCAGTTTTCTGGAAGCTTTCTCATTGCTGCTGCTGGTGACTCAATGAATGTAGTAAACTAGGTGGGAGGATGGAAAGGAGAGAAGTGCCTGGCTTTACAATTTGTTGCATAAAGCTGCCAAAGTTTTAGCCATATGATGAACCAACCCGTAAACATTCCCACCATTGCCGTGGTAAAGGAACAGACTCCATTCATGTGTGAACAGTCTCTTCCAGATAATCATAATGATTTGTTGTTTATTTCAAAAATTCCCTTGATGTTGATTATATTCTAATATCATCTAGATACAATCATAGGAGCAATTGAACAAGTATGGTGACAGTTTCACTTATCCAGTCATAATTTGTAACTACTCACATCCCTGCTATAGCACTGAATTCAAGAGATAAAAAAAGATCAAGTAGTGGAATCTAAAGACCTAACATATGATGGAACTTTCAAAATAATATTCCTAGTCATAACCAAATTATTTTGTTAGTTAAAGATTTAGACATTACTATCTCTGTAATGACAGCAGTGTACTAGACAGAGAGAGCTATAATGTGATATATAGTATACTTGAGGCATATTCATTTTGGAAACATTATTGAAGAACATTCAAGAATTATTAATATTTCAAAAATTTAATGTTTCCCAGAAAGTTATTATTTTAAAGTAACTTTAAAGTTTTGCTGAGTTTATTATTTTATTCTAAGAAATAATCTATTTATTTTAGTTGGATGCATTTGATTTTATAAAACACATAAACTAGAAAAAAGTGTTCCATTTATATAAGTTCAGTTTACAAGGAAATGTATGCTGGAGTCTATTTTTGTTCCCATTTTTTTAGTAACTTTACTTGCAAAAGGGGGAATTACAACTCTCTATTTGTATTTAGGTGTCATTTCGAAATAAAAAAAGACCAAATACAAACTAGTTGTAACATGAAAGGACACATCATTTTTCATCCCTGAAACTAGGGCCAGTCATGATTGGATTCAGGATTCAAATAATGTTAGCTCTCTCCGGCTGTCTCTCCCCTCCTCTCAGCCGCATGGGACTGGAGAGTCTTTCCCAGTAAGTGTAACACAAAGTCTCATGGAAGATTCTGATTGACCCAGCAAGAATAACATTACCAACCCTGGTGATTGTGATTGGCCAGGTTTGGGCCCCATGCTTACATTTATAATAAAAGAGATGAGTTGGGCCTGTTACAAGCTGAAGAATAAAAGACTGAAAAAAATGAAGGGTAATCTCAAACAGTTACTGCCACAGTAAAGTAAAGTGAAGGGACCATAATTCTTGTTTTGGGCCTGTTATCCTGGCATTTGTCCCAAATATTTCCTATTTTAAGGTAGTATTATTATTTGTATTACAAAAAACCAGGATACATTTGGTTAGTTTTCATTTTGTACTTCTCGCTTTTTCTGTGGTGTTTTCTAGTACTGTGTGGAAAAGCATGTGTTGTGAACAGGAAACTCACGTTAAATATAGTTAAATGTGAGAAACATAACAAAACTGAGATAGCCTCCCTGTCTATTCCTAATGCTTTCCCAGATGTAATATGACAAATACTTCCTACTCAGGGCAGCATGCCAGACAATTCTGGATGACATCAAATGAATTCAGACACAAGAAGGCAGCTAGAGTCAGCTAACTCCCAAGTCGGGGTAGTAGTAGGTAAAATGTTCAATGCTCACGTTCCTGTTTGCCACTATACCAGCTAGCTGTGTCATGGCTCATGCTTGGCTTGAGACATTCAGGAAGACTGCCAATTAATAGTGCCAACATTAAACATGGGAAATAATGATGTCTAGTACTCCTGAAATATGTGCATATGATAGGGACCAATAGGGACCAAGTTGTCTTGCCATCCTGGGTTCAAGCGATTGTCCCGCCATAGCCTCTCAAGTAACTGGGATTACAGGCACGTACTACCAGGCCCGACAAATTTTTTCTATTTTTTTAGTACAGACAGGGTTTCACCATGTTGGCCGGGTTGGCCTTGAATTCCTGACCTCAAGTGATCCACCTACCTTGGCCTCACAAAATTCTGGGATTACAGGCATGAGCCACCGCACCCAGCCAATCTAAACGCTCTTGCTAGAGTGATTTTGTGTGGTGCAAATCAAGTGGCTATTATTTACTTTTTGATAACACTTAAAAATTTTTTAATGCAATAACCCTTTCAGCAATACCGAACTAAATACAAATGAAAATGCATTTTTAATCATAAATTAAGATAGTGAATTTCTGTTTTTCAAGGTAAATACACAACTTGCAAAAATATTTTTTGACATTTACCACCCACCATTTGATCATAGTGATGTTGCCAATCACATGAAATTCAAAAGAAACAAATCTGTGAGGAAGCATCAGTGCCATGTTCACAAGTTACAGAAGACTGTGCTCAAAAAAGATGTAACCTCATAATATCTTGTTAACATCATTTTTAAGAACCATGACTTTCCATTTTAATCAGAAGACTGTTTTTCTAAACACAATTTGGTAATTTAGAATTCCAAATATCTTGTACATATATAACAAAGTGAGTGAGTATACATATTAATGTCTTTGTTACATTATTAGAAGAATTTAGTGGTTTCATAACTAATTTTACAAACAATTAAATGCTGCCAAGTTTACATATGTCATTAGGTGCATCTAATTAACATCAGCTAACACTTTTAAAAATGATTTGATTTTTCAACTCAAGGAATATATATTTGAATTCCATTGTGTTGAAGATGAAACATATGTTGTTATTGCAAATTCTCTTAAAATTATTTGCTTTAACAGTGACAATAAGGATCCATTATTTTTATTTGAAGAAGTTATCATGCTAGAAATCAATGTCTTTAATAAATTAAGACTCCTATAGAGCAGAAATGTACTTTGAATTGGTTGAGGTATACATAGAATTCATAATTGTCTCCAAAGGAACTGTGATATACAACCAATCAACATAGAAGCTATAGTTGTCAAGATTGACAAGGTCATGATACCACACACACATAAACACACATACAGAGCCGGTGAACTACACGTTTTTAAAACAAAGCTGATGTTGAATACAAAATAGTATGTCTGCACGAAAGCATGCGCTTTCTGTGGTGACTGCCATCGATATGATTTTACAAATATTTGACTTTTAGAAAGGCTTATAAACAGAATATAGAAGAACTCAGCAAAACCTATATCCTAAAATGATATTGGACATTTTAAGGTATCTTTTAAATTTGGTTTGCATTTTGGTCAAAATCATTTGGGGATCTTTTTTTATAGTATTGAATGAATCAAGCAATGTGCAGTTGTTAAAAACAAAGCTTATAAACAGAAAGGCATTGAAATTTTTGCACAAAATATGAAGGCAGGAAGTGCAAATTAACTGATGATACCTGAAATCATGTGTAAGATTTATTTCTGGAATTCTATAATTGCACTTTGGAATATCTGGACCTATGGAAAGTGTCTTTTATAGAACTCATATTTTTAATTAGATGAATTTATATTGTGTCTGTGTGAAAATTGTAAAAGCCTCTGATTTTGCAAATCTAACTTGGATGAAATATAATTTATTTGATGAATTTGTCTTGTTAAATATATTTGTCAACAAAAGCTACTCTGAATGGAGGCAAGGAGTATTAACTGTGAAAAATTTGCAAATAAAATGCTTGTACATTTTAATACAAGAGTAGAATGTAGAATATTGTCCATCGAGTGTACTGGCTGTTTACAGATGCTTCAGCACTTTCAGTGAAAAGAGTTCAGACCACTCATAACTGTCTCTGAGAGAAACTGCTGCAAGGAGTGTAGGTGTCTCACAGCCTTCAGCTGACACACCTATGGATCTGGTGTGTTTTTCATGCTGAAGTCACTGAGATTAACCCAGCTGCTACAGATGGGATTGTGTCTCCCCAGTCCCCAAATTTATATGTTCAAACCTTAACCCTCAATTTTACTATATTTGGAGATAAGACCTATACAGAGATACATATATTTAAATAAAATCATAAGAGTAGGACCCTGATTTGATATAACTAATGTCTTTGTAAGATGAAGCACCAGAGTGCTCTCTTTCTCTCTCTCTCTCTGACTTTCTCTCTTCCTCTCTCTGTGTCTCTCTCCCCCTCTGTCTGCTGTATAAGGATACAGGCAGGAGGTAGCCATCTCTAAGCCAGGAAGAGAGTCTTCACCAGGAACCAAATTGGCCAGCATCTTGGTCTTGGATTTCTCAGGCTCCATACCATGAGAAATAAATGTCTATTGTTTGAGCCACCCAGTCTGTAATATGTTGTTATATCTGCCTGAGCAGACTAACACACCAGTCAATAACTAAGCCCAGTTGGGGGATTAGAAATGGGTCATTTCTACTAAATGCAGGATCCTCTAATGGGTGATTTTTGCTTGGTGACTTCAGGAGCCTGTCCTAGGCTTTCTCAGAGTTTTGCTTTTTCTGCAACATCCTCCTTCCTTCCATCTCTCCTTTCACAGGTATGAAAGAGTGGCATGATCTTGGCTCACTGCAACCTCCGACTCCCAGGTTCAAGCAATTCCCATGCCTCAGCCTCCCAAGTAACTGAGATTATAGGCACGTGCCGCCATACCTGGAGAAGTTTTTGTATTTCAGTAGAGCCAGGGTTGCATCATGTTGCCCAGGCTGGTCTCGAACTCTTGAGCTCAGGCGAGCCGCCCCGCCTCAGCCTCTCAAAGTGTTAGGATTACAGGTGTGAGCCATTGAGCCCAGCCTCTAAAAAATTTTTTAAGCAGAAGTATTACATAAGCTTACCAATATAATACAACATGGTTTCAGTAAAAAAGTAAATATTTCAAAAAGTATATAGTTTTAATTATTTTGAATAACCTGGTCGTTTTAGAACTCAAAAGTGTCCTGGCTTAGAAAATAGATAATATAGTCAAACTAGCTGTAGAGTACTAATCATGATCACATTGACTATTTGCATAAAAAGACTGAAATTTTTAAGTTTTATATATATAAACAAGGTTATTCTTTGGTAACTCATAACCCTATATTGGATTTAAAGCACAAGCAATGGCCTATATTCTAGTCTTTTTTTCCTCAATTTCATCTTTTCCTTACATTCTCTAAATATGAATCACACATTTGTTTTATCCAGTGCCTTCTACTGTGAGCTGTAGAGCTACAAGATCAGCAATCTACAAGGAATTTTCTATAACCAAACCCTAAAAATAAAAATAAAAAACATAAAAAGCTTCAGTATTACAGAGATATAATTGAATATTTATTCAAAAATATTTACTGAAAATCTACTATATGCCAGACATTATTCTGGAACCAGAATACAAAAGGAGAAAAACTAAAAAAAGTATATATTTAGACCAGGCGAAGTGGCTCACGCCTGTAATCCCAGCACTTTGGGAGGCCGAGGCAGGTGGATCACGAGGTCAGGAGATCGAGACCATCTTGGCTAACACGGTGAAACCCCGTCTCTACTAAAAATACAAAAAATTAGCCAGGCGCGGTGGCGGGCGCCTGTAGTCCCAGCTACTCGGGAGGCTGAGGCAGGAGAATGGCGTGAACCCGGGAGGCAGAGCTTGCAGTGAGCCAAGATTGCGCCACTGCACTCCAGCCTGGGTGACAGAGCAAGATTGTCTCAAAAAAAACAAAACAAACAAACAAAAAGTATATATTTTGTTCATGGAGCTTACACTATAACTGGGAGAAGTCAATAATAAATAAGCAAGTAAAACTTTTTTTTCTTAGCACTGATAATTGCTTTATGATCAAGGAAAGCCTCACTGAAAGGTGACATTTAAGAACAGACATAAGGAGGTAAATGATCAGGCTATACTATATGTTTCTGGATGAACATTCAAAGCAGAATTAGTAGCTATTTTTGTCATAAAGAACTAACAAGGTTTGCTGATAGACAGAATTATCAAAGAATAAAGTTCCCATTTATTGACATAGGAATAGATTGTGGGAAGAGGAAGTTTGGAGGTAGGTGAGGATATCAGGAATGTGGACATCATAGAACTAATGTTGGTAGTTGAATTTATGTGCTTGGATTTCAGGGAATAGTCCCTGGGTAGAGATAAAAACATTGAAGTAATTAGTACATAGATGGTATTTAAAGTCAATGGGCTGAGTTAGATCAGCATCCTTGATTTAGAATAAGGAAATAAGCATAACAAAGGAATAGAAGTGTTTGCTGAGTGTGAATAAAGTCATATTAATCCATAGTTGTTGGGGCAATTAAGAGATACTAAGAAAGGAGACTGAGAAGGGAAGAAATGAATGAGAAGGAAAAGCAGAAGGAAGGGTTGTTCTAGAAGGCAAGTGTATGTTTCAAAGATAAATAATAAACTTTGTCCAATGCAGCTGCTAAGCAGGATGAGAACTAAAAGTTGACTGTTGGAATTAGCAACTTAGAGTCACTGATAACCTTAGTTTAATACACATAGTTGCAGTGGAATATTAGAGTCTCTGGTCTTATATGCAAGGTTCAAAACAAGATGCGTGGAGAAAAATTAAAAGCAGTGATTATATACAAGGAATGCAGGGAATAAAAGTCAGTAGCTGGAAGAGAATAGTGGGTGAGGAGCATTTTTATTTTAAGATGGGAAAAAAGTAAACCATGTTTGCTGCTGGGACCAATTCTGTCAAGAGGGAAAAATTGAAAGGACTTGAAGACAGTCAGGTAGGCGGGAGGCCGCGGAAACAGGAAACTGCAGCAGGAAGGATACAGAACCTGCACATGTGTAGAAACTGATAATTTTCTGTCTTTTAACAGGAGTTAAGATACTTTTCTTGCTTTGATATAATCCCATTTCCACTTGTACATATATCTGCAGCCAGAAAGCAAATGATCAGCATCACTATCATAAAAAAATCCTCCTCATGAGTGATGAAAGGTATCTTCTTTCATCTATTTTTTCCCTTCCTCCATCCTCAACCTTTTATTAAATCAAAAGGCTGATATTTACCTGTCTTCATTTCCTTGTTCCTGAATAGAAAACTACATAATGAAGTTTAATGTATAATCCAAGAGCAGTGATAGATAAGTGATGCATTTTGTATTGGTTCCTTCTTATTGTTGTCCTATTGTCAAAACTTTAAATATTTTAGAGTGTATACTTTAGCTCCTGCTTTTTATGCAGCTATTATGTCTGATGTAATAGATTAAAAGAATATTTAGATTTACAATATATGTGTCTGTGTTATTCTGCTCCCAGTTTTAGCTGCATGAAGTTTGGCAAGTCACTCAGTCACACTCGACCACAGTCTCTTCAAGTACAAAATGGGCATGTCATTTCTTGTTTCACTATATTAATGTAATAATTAATTAATTAAAATAAACATTTACTTTAGAAATGTTTATATTCAATTGAATTTTAAAAACTCTTATCACTGATAGTTTTTGAGATTATCTCTCATATTACTATCATTATTATTAATAAAGTACCCCATACTTTCAAATTCTAAAGTGTGAATCATAGGATAATAATGCCTCTAAAAAATAACAAAGAAATTCTGGACTTTAATTGAACACTTGGCCAATTGGACCTAATAGGCTATAGAATATTCCACCCAACAACCAAAGAAGATGCATTTATCTCATCTGCACATAGAATATACTCTATGATTGACCACATACTTGGTCATAAAGCAAGTCTCAACACATTCAAAAAAATTAAAGTCATATCAAGCATCACCTTGGACCACAGTAGAATGAGAATAGAAATCAATACCAAACTCTTAAAACCACACAGATGCATGGAAATTAAACAACTTGCTCTTGAATAACTTCTGGGTAAACAATAAAATTAAGGCAAAAATAAAAAAATTCTTGGAAACAAATTAAAATGGAGACTGAATATGCAAAAATTTCTGGGATACAGCAAAAACAGTTTTAAGAGGATGGTTTGTAGTGCTAAATATCTACATCACGGAGATAGAAAAATCTCAAATTAACATCATATGCCGACACCTAAAGGAACTAGAGAAACAAGAACAAATTAAATGCAAAGGTAGTAGAAGAAAGAAATACCTAAAATCAGAGCAGAACTAAATGAAATTGAGAGTGAAAATAAAAACATATAAAGAATCAATGAAACAAAAAGTGGATTCTTTGAAAGGATAAACAAGATTGATAGACTGCTAGCTAGATTAACAAAGAAAAAAATGAGAGAAGACTCAAATAAGCACAATCAGAAATGACAAAGGTGACATCACAATTGATCCCAAGGAAATATAAAACGATCCTTGGGGACTACTATAAACTTCTCTACGCACTCAAAGCTAGAAAATCTAAAGGAAATAGATAAATTCCTGGAAACATGCAACCTCTCAAGATTGAACCAAGAAGAAATAGATATTCTGAACAGACCAAGAAAAGCAATAAAATAGAATCAGTAATAAAAAAAAACTTACCAACACCTCCTAAAAAGCCCTAGACAACATGAATTCACAGCCAAATTATACCAGGTATACAAAGAGCTGGTACCAATCCTACTGAAACTATTCCAAAAAATTGAGGAGTACAGATTCTTCTCTCATTCTATTAAACCAGCATCATTCTGATACTAAAATCAGACAAAGACACAACAACAAAACATATATCCCTGATGACCATAGGCACAAAAATCCTCAAGAAAATGCTAGCAAACCAAATTAAGCAGCACATCAAGAAGTTAATTTGCCAGGATCAAGTGGGCTTTATTCATGGGCTGCAAAGATGTTTCACTATACAAAAAGCAATAAATGTGATTCACCACATAAACAGAAATAAAAACAAAACCATATCAACTACTCAATAGAAGCAGAAAAAACAACATTTGATAAAATCCAACATCCCCTCATGATAGAAACCCTCCACAAGCTAGACACCAAAGGAATATATCTCAAAATAATAAGAGAAATCTATGACAAACCCACAGCAAACATTATCCTGAATGGGCAAAAGTGGGAAGCAACTCCTCTAACAAGTAGAAAAAGACAAAGATTCCCATTCTCACCACTCCTATTCAACATAATAGCCAAAGCAGTCAGGCAAGAGAAAGAAATAAAAGGCATCCAAATAAGAAGAGAGAAAGTGAAATTCTCTCTCTTTGATACATAATTCTACACCTAGAAAACCCTAAATATCCTATGAAAAGTCTCCAAAACATGACTAGCAATGTCAGTAAATCTCAGAATATAAAATCAACATACAAAAACAGTAGCATTTCTATACACCAATAACATTCAAACTGAGAATCAAATCAAGAATGCAATCCCATTTACAGCAGACACACACACGCAAAAATAAAATACCTAAGAATACATCTAATGAAGGACATGAAGGAACTCTACAAGGAGAACTACAAAACATTGCTGAAATAAATCACAGATAACAAAAACAAATGGAAAAAGCATTCCATGCCCATGGATTGGAAAAACCAGTATTATTAAAATGTAAAATCTACAGCAATCTACAGATTCAATGCTATTTCTATCAAATTACCAATGCCTTTTTTCCCACAGAAATAAACAATTCTAAACTTCATATGGAACCAAAAAAAAAAGAGCTCAAGTAGCTAAGGCAATCCTAAGCAAAAATAATAAAGCAGCAGGCATCATGTTATCTAACTTATTCTTGAAACTATACTACAAGACTATAGTTAACAACATAGCATGGTACTGGTACAAAAATAAACACATAGACTAATGGAACAGCTTTGAGACACCTGAAATAAAGCTGCACATGTACAACCAACTGATATTTGACAAAGTCAACAAAAATAACAATGGGGAAGAAACACCCTATTCAATAAATGTTGCTGAGAAAACTGGCTAATTGTATGCAGAATAATGACTTGGACTTCCATCTTTTTACTATATACAAAAATTAACTCAGGATGGCTTAAAGACTTAAATGTAAACCTCAAACTATAAAATCCTAGAAGAAAACCTGGGACGTACTCCTCTAGACATTGGCCTAGGTAAAGAATTTATGATGAAGACCCGAAAAGCAAATGCAACAAAATAAAATATAGACAAATAGGATTTAATTAAACTAAAGAACTTCTGCATGGCAAAATAAACTATCAAGAGAGTAATGAGACAATATAGAGAACGGGACAAAATATTTGAAACTATGCATCAGGCAAATATCCAGAATCTACAGACTTAAATCATTGAGCAAAATACAAATAATCCCATTTAAGAGTGGGCAAAGGAAATTAACAGACATTTCTCAAAAGAAGACACCCACGTGGCCAACAAATATATGTAAAAATTTTAAACATCACTAGTCATCAGAAATGCAAATCAAAACCACAATGAGATACCATCTTATACAGTTGAATTGGCTATTATTAAAAAGTCAAGAAGTAACAGGTGTTAGTGAAGTTGAGAAGAAAAGGGAACACTTATTCACTGTTGGTAGGAATGCAAATTAGTTCAGCCACTATGGAAAGCAGTTTGGATACTTATCAAAGAACTGAATACAAAATTACCATTGGACCCAGTGATCCCATTACTGGGTATATACCCAAAGGGAAATAAATCATTCTACTAAAAAGACAGCTGCACTCACATGCTTATCAGGGGAATCAACTCAGGCACCTATAAACGGTAGACTGGATAAAGAAAAAGTGGTACATATACACCATGGAATACTACACAGCCATAAAAATGAAAGAAATCACATCCTTGCAGTAGCATGGATACAGCTGGAGGACATTATCCTTAGCAAATTAATGCAGAAACAGAAAACCTAATATTCCATGTTTTCAATTATAAGTGGGAGCTAAACACTGGGCACACATGGACATAAAGATGGCAACAATAGACATTGGGAACTCCAAGAAAGGGACAAGGGTTCTATGCTCGTTACCGTGGTAATGGGATCATTCACACCCCAAACTCAAAGTCACACATTATACCCTTGTAACAAATCTGCACGTGTACTCCCAAGTCTAAAATAAAATTAAAAATAAATAAATATTCATGCATCAGGCTTATTCTTTGTTACTCACAATATCATTATTTATTGAGGTTATTATTAATTAACCTAAGTGCAAGTATATGATCTATTTATGGAAATGATCAGTTTTTTGGTTTTTGTAGAAGTCATTGTGAGTTTTTTTCTCCAACATTCATACTTCTGAATTGTGGTTGGAATTGAATTGACACTCAGTTTGGGACTGATTTCTAATTTGTACTCACTAATCAGAAGAATCCCATCTCCCTAAGGCAATCAGCTTCTGGTGTTTCCTTAAGCACAGGAATCAGCTGAAAGATTGTATTATCTGTCCAAACCTCATTCTATTTGGTGGGAGAATATCATGTTGTACATTTGTCATGCCTGAAAATGTACAATAATTTTGCTGTCATGACCAAAGTCTGCTTGAGAATAAATTCTATTGTTAGAGTAGAGCAGAGATAGTTGTGGGAAATGGAGTAACCATATGTGAAACTAGCTCTACTTCTGGACTTTTTAGAAATATAGACAAATCAATACATATATTAAAGCAGTTTTAATTGTGCATTCTATCACTTGCAACAAAAATATCCTAATTGATTCATCAGGGCATTCAACAATGAAGGAAAAGCAGACTCCCTTTACCAGCATTATTCCCTTTGAATGTAGCCACTTGCAAACTTTCAAATGAAACTGTAGTCCCTATGTGCTCCACAACATGTCTAAGATATATCAGGAGTGGATTTTCATTATAAGACTGATTTCTCATGTAAGTAAAAGAAACTAGTTTGTATTAAGTTATAGTTCCCTGTTAGTAGATTTTTGGTACAAGATGTTTTATGGTGTGATGGACCATGTATGTCTAGAGAATATGGTTGGCTGTAGATTAAATTACAGACAACTAGCAATCAAGGGGAGTGACTTAAAACCATACTTTATCATCTGTTTATAATAACTGACAAAAGATCATTAAAATACTTTATTTTGTGATATGATAAATTATACATATTTACTTAGATACTAATATGCACCATGACCTATACTAAATAATCTTTAGAACATAAAAAGGAGTTTGTGGCAATCTCTTCTTTCAAGGTACTTATAATCTAGCCAGAAAGATGAAAAACTTATGAAGCATAAGAGAGAAATAGAAGTACACATCTAATTAGTTGCTGAATTATGCTTTATCCTTTAATTCAGAGCCAAAAAATCAGTAAAGACTGAATAATTCAGAGGAAGATGCCCTGAGTTTTATTGGGTTATGATCAGGAATGTTTTGATATGAAAGTGTTACATAGTAAAACATGACATTTAGTATCTTAATGATTGAGGGCTCTCTTTTCTGTAATGAAGACTGCTACTCTTAAAACAAGTGTTTTTGTAGTTGTACTTGTAACTGCATTTAAAGGGTCCGTAGTTAATAATTATGTGTGTGTGTGTGTGTGTATGTGTGTGTGTGTGTGTGTGTTACAGACTGTGGATACAACTTAGCACATATTCACTGATACTAACAGTGCTAAAAAGTGCTAAAATACCAACTCAAGTGTAATACATTGTAAGAAAGTCATTTCGCAAGGATAAGTTGACTTCATGAAAGGCTTATGGTTGGAGTGGAAAGACTTGAAAACTTGGAATATAAAAAGTCTGGATTTATTCCTGGCTCTTTCATTTATCAGTTTGTGAACTTGGTCAGGTTTTCCTTTGAGTTTTAGCATGCTCATATGAAAATGAGGATTGTAATAATAACTATTGCAGCAAAATTTCTGTGGTAATTATATTTTTGTATAAAATACAGATTATGAAAGAATTCGTAAACTTCACACACACACACATATATATGTGAATATTAGTTATTATTGTTGCTTGTCCTAGGAAATGTGTAAATTTCCATTTTAATAGCTGGAGTGAAAACTTACAAAGCTATTTTCTGGTGAACGATAGACAGAATAGAATAAAAAATCTACAAGAAACTTTGTCATTGATGGCTAACTTTTGTCTAAACTTTTAACTGCTCAGTGGAATGCCTCTACCCAGTCTGTAACAACAACAACAAAAAAAGTTTTAAAAAATACTATAAAGAAAATAAACTCCTTGGCCTTCTAGTATAAGAAAAAAATCTCCACACAATTCTTCTAAAAAATAACAGCACAAGTTGAAAGTTCAACTGGTTGGAGCTCTGAAGGTTATAGCAGGAAAAACTACACAAATAACGAAAGGAAGCAAGTCCAACACTGTATGGAAGAGTGCGTTACAAACTGTGACCTTCTCATTTCCAATTTTTATGTCAGTTTTGTTTAGTATTGTCAAGCCATGAAACCCAATTCCTAGAAATATCAGAAAAGGTGATATTAGAGCAAAACTGGTGAACTCCTGATCAGAAATTTCCTTCTCAAACTGAACAATTTCGGTATGTGGGCAACCTTGAAAACTCTGTTTAGAAGAGCCCAAATCCCTATTCTTTCAAAACAAACTTTTGCAAAAGGAGTATTTCAAACATCAATTAAACAAGTAAAGTTTTGAAATCTTGGTAACATGAAGCAACCAAATTCAAGAATAGAATAGCTTTGTGCTAAAGAGGTGCTGTGATACGAACATGCCTCTCAAAATTCATGTGTTGAAACTATATTGCCAATGTGAAAGTCTTAAGAGTTGAAGACTTTAGGAAGTGATTAAGTCATGAGTGTGGAGCTTTTATGAATCAAATTAGTAAACTTATAAAAGAACTGGAGAAAACTAGCTAGGATATTTTCCCTTCTGACATGTGGGGACACAGCACTCCTCTCCTCTGAACACAGTGTTCAAAGCACCATCTGAAAACAGACAACCCACCCTAATCAGACACTGAACCTGTCAGCAGCTTGATCTTGGACTTCCCAGACTCCATAATTGTGAGCAATGAATATATATGGTTTATAAGTTAACCATCTTAAGGTATTTTGTTATAGCAGCAGGAATGTACTAAGACAAGAAGTGTAGAAAATTGCATATTTGTTTTTACCTACACTCTCTGCTTACTGCTATTAAATCTAAATCTGAAAACCAAATAGTGCTCTTAGAAAATTGATGCATAATAATTTTAGTCTCCTCTTATTTTCACGCAAATTATTCTCATATTCATATGTAGAAGAACAGAAGACAAAGTGGATATGATAGTGGTATTTTTATTATTCATATATCACAAACTATTGCTCTTCTTAAAATAAAATATGTTTGTAAAGGAAAATTGATATTCTTTGAAAAGAAGATGCTTACTGTAATATTTCACTTAAACTGCAAAGAACAGTGAATGATGGACAATTCACTGGGAACTATTCTAGGGAATTTAAATGACTAGCTTACCTGCTATGTTATTGTTTAATTCATTCTCCATTGATTTATATTAGTCATTTCTTTAACATGCTTACATGCACAAACAGAATGGGCTTATCACACAGTGTTGAAGGATCACCCAATTCCAGATAACATTGAAATATGTTAAGCTTAGCACACAAACAGGAATACCAGACACATTTCCATCATGGTAACAACAAGGAAAGCACGCCCATCCCTTTTCTGTAAAAAAGAAAAAAATGTATTTTTGCCCTGTTTTCATCATAACAAAGTGATACAGAGTCTGTTTGTTAATGTTAATTAGAATCTTCCAAGTAGAGAAATATTTCCATGAAGAGAAATAGCATTTTTAAGAGGATTTCTATCCGAAATTAGATAGAATTTTTCTGAAGAGATAATATTTCTTTAATCTTCCTAATTAATCATTGGTACTTATAGTGTTTATTACTAAGATTGCATCTGAGTTTGGAGGAGCATTGGTAGAATATATCACAAACACTGTTAGACCACAGATTGAGAACACAGTCATAATTATGATTACATTTTATTGACTGTTGGAGATATGAGAAAATGCACAATTATTTTATTGGTAGAAAAATGTTTAACCCTCAAATAGACACATACATCAGGTGCTCCTGATCACTATCCATGCTACAATCACTCATGGAGCATCTCCTATGTGTCTATCACTTTGTTAAATTATGTAGACAATGCAAAATAAAGATGAGATGGTGGTGTGGGGGCAAGAAAAGCCAATAGTAGGGAAATTATGCTGCAACTGTGCCTAATGATATAAGTCAGTCTGTTTTTTTTTCTTATGAACCTTTTTGTGACTCTTATAGCCTAGTATGCCTGTAGCTCTCCCAAACTGTACAATTGAGCATTTTTACTATTTTTATTGTTTGTCATATTTTCACTTTGTAGCATTGTCACCCCAGGGTGCAGACTCCTTGAAAATAGCATTTTCAGGTATTCTCTGACCCTAGTACACTTAGCACAGTGCTGAATACAAATTGCCGTGTTAGGTTAAAATGGTATGTGACACTCCAACCCACCATCAAAGTAGATACAGTAAGTTGAAAATAATTCCGCTTTCATTGCAGTTTACAGAACATAAAGGTCTTCTAATGTAGTTCTTTTTTACAGATGTCATTGAAGTGCTTTAGTCCAGAAGAAGCTTTTCCAGCATTTGACTGAGTCTAAGACTGGCATGGCCCAGAGTTGAGTCATACAGAGATCAGAAAATAAATTGGACTGGAACATTCAGAACAGACTTTCTCAGGATTCTTTGTGTTCAGGCTAAGAAACAAAAAATGTTAAAAAATGCATTGTGCTATAATAATTTTCAAAGTAGTTATTTTGAGAATTTATAAGTAAGAAGGGCATAAAACTGCATTGTGATTGAAATAAGTTGGGGGTGCTTACTGCCAAATGAGTATAGCACTTTACTTAAAATTGGCACTATATCAACTGTCTCTGTGAAAGACTGAGTGGCTAAGCCAGGTTCTCCTACCCCACCAGGAAGTATCTCTAGGTTTGTACCTTGCTGGTAAGAAAAGGAGTAGGGTATTCTTTAATCTAGGTTTTAAAGATATTTATTATCGGAAAGTTCACAATTTCCTGGAACTCATACTATTGACCTCTTCCTGTAAGAATTACAAACTGCATAAATAAGCACTGTCTATTATTTTCATTTCTTGAAACAAAAGATGAGATATATCTTTCAAAATTCTTTGTTATTTTCTACATAGTGTCAATCAATATGTAAATGTCGTATTGTGTTTGTTGAATTTACATAAGTAAAATTTCTCTTATTATTAAAATTCAACCTCTGATAGGTGTTGACATTTCTCAATTCAAAAACTTGCATGTCTCTTTATTTAATATAATGCTGATAACTAATGTACAGTTAATAAGTGGCTGCCCAAAGTCTGAGGAAAAGTACTAACATTTGATTGGAAAAATCAAGTGTGCTTTCTTAAGCGTGTGAAAAAATAGTAGACAATCTCCCATCTCATTTGGTAGTTGTGTTATTTACTGTCTGGAATTGTGTCCTGAATTAAATTTCAGATAAAAATCAGTAATTATCCAATTTCTATAGGGATTATGGTGTCTTCCAGAAAACACAAATTCGTATTTTTTTTATAAGAGAGTGATTTGATTAACTTACAAAAGAAGGACAACATTTTTTCAAAAAGACATTTCTAATAGCAATGTCTAGTATTCATATGTATGTTTTTAATAATTAAGTTAGGCCCACTTGGTTGTTTTTGTTTATTACCCTTCTCTCTTAAAGCTTTTATCACTTTATAAATTTACAAACAAATGTATGTGTACATGTTTATGAGTTTATAAATTTATAAATTTTAATCTTCCTTGCATTTTTGTCTAGTAAAGAAGATAAATTTTTTTCCACCTGTGTATCCATGTCATCCTTTTCCCATTCATCAAAATCTCATTTGCCACTAAAAAGATCCTTATAACATGGAGGTACCTAATTGCATTCCTGTTCTCAGGAGCAGAACTCGTGACCTAGGATAAACCCTATCAGTGCATTTCATTCCGTGGCCAATGTGATTATCTTATAGAAGGCATACGACTTAATCTAATTGGAAAAACATCTCACAATTTGCTGACTATTTTGAAATAAAGATACTCTCCCATATTCACAGAATATGAAAGAGGAACTTACGCATCCTAATAGCTGGAGAAAGCATTTTGAGACCATGAGAGGAACTCCACATGGCAGAAGACAAAGTAGAGAAAAGAAAAAAGGGCGTGTCCTGGTTTGGTAAAACCCTTGTGATCATGGTTCAAGCCTCAGGATAAGCATTTGAAATTGGTTTGCTGTTACTGAAGCTGAATGCATACAAACAGAAATATCAGCATTATATTTTTTATTCTTAAATGAAATGCATTTATGATTCTATTTTAATTGGAACTAAATGTGCATGGTATATCCTTCTGTAATTGCATGAATTCCTAAGCCCTGGAGCTACTTAGCTAAGAGTAGAAATTAACTCTCTTGGTTTTCTATTCAAATTCCTTTTACTTACCTCAGCATTTCGCCAGTCAATGTCCCTCAAAACACCTCTATTAGCTAATAGGATTTCCATGAAAATATTCCTTTGTGCAAGAATAAATTAGAAAGTTTTATTCCAAAATTTTAAACATATTTAAGACAGTTTCCTTTCTGTGTACATCTCAGAGAGGAATATACTAAGTGAATCCACAGCAGAGAAATTTAGCTCAAACATTTCCCAGTCTTACATAAGCACCACATTTTTAAAGGTATCATTACTAATGGCTTTTAGATTAGGGCTCTAAAGAACAAAATTTTGGTAGTCCCAGTTCTACTTCATATTTAACACTTCATACTGCTTTTTAAGGGATGATGCTATTTGCCGTGTAAATGTCTTGTCTTTCACAATTTTATTTTATGTGATTTTGATATTTCAAGGGATGTTGTTTTGCTATGAGATCTGCATTAGTAATGAGCTGTGCCATAGTGGGGCTCTATTTATATTTTCATATTTTAAAATATAATACATTTTATTTGAATATCTTTAATAGGTTCACTCTTGGCTTGGCAAATGTTGGAGGTGTTTTCACAAAATAGCATTGGAAAAAAGTATATAGTAGTTAGATATGTTTATCAAATTATTGCTGTCACTACTAGTGGATTGGACACTAGAGGAAGCAGAATAATAATCACACAACAAGACAGAGCTAGAGAAGATTTGTCATCACTGCATCACGTAGTTATCATCAGAGGGTTAAGGTTAGAAATAAGGAGGTGATTTTAAGGTGGAACAGATCATTTTACAACCTAATAATTTTTACCATATTTTTAAAATGTAACATTTAGTTAGAGATAAAGGAATGAAAATGAAAACTTTGGTTAGTTTTTAAAAATCAACTAGTTTTCTTTAAGTACTTACTCTATGCTCCCACCTGTATGGGATATAAAGAAGTATGCGAATTTCACAATACTCTTGAGGAATTTAAGTTATATCTGCAAAAGAAGATTTCAGATATAACTTAAATTCCACAAAACCATTAGAAACAAATATCTAGTCACTAAGGGCTATGGAAATACCCACTTCCACACACATAATACTATGGACTTGTATAGTACGAAAACTTTCCAGGGGAACCACATGGACTGAGCAGTGAAAAGCTAATAGCATCCGGAGAGACGGAGGAATGATCACATCTCAAAGAGGAAACAATTTCCTGATATTTTGAAGCACTGTGGTTATCAGTAATTTATTAGACATTTCATTTACATATATTAAATACAAAGGACACATATATGATATATATTCTTCACTTACAAGCTGTTACTCTTTATTCATACCAGGCAAATTTTCATGAAAATTAACATGCTCAGACTCTTTTATAATTAATATTTTCACTTATTGTTTAGGCTTTGTTCATCAATCTTATCATTAATTCTAAGCCATAAAATAAAAGAAAAAATAATTTTGGTGCCAGGAAGATAGACATATACCATAAAATTCTTTACTGAGTTGTTACTAGCTTCTGATCATAGTTGAGAGGATGTAGCCATGATCATTATTTTTAAGGTGAAATTCACAGATCATTTAAAAAGTACATGGAACTGTCAGCCATTTTCCTCAAGATCAGAATTCTTCTACTGAACAAATGTATTTTGAACACCTACTATAAGACGTATGCTTAAGCAAGCAAAGAAAAAGTCTAGTTTACTGACAGAGAGGAAGATAACAACAACAACAAAATTGTCTCTGTAGCAGTCCTGTTACAAACTTGTTTTCTTGACTCTAGAATTTGAGGGAGATTTCAGAAAAATCTGAGGCTGTGCTTAAATTACCTTCTTTGTCTTCCGTGTGACATAGATTTATGCCTAAAAGAGAAGATATGGTTATTAGGTTGTTTTGGCATTATTCAATGTAAAGTATTTTTCAATAACTGGAGGGAGCACAAACAAGCTGGTCATCTAAAATGCAAGAGAACCCCTCTCACTACACCGAGTATGTTAAGTGTTGGCCTCAGCTTATTTAATAGCTGATTCCACTCTCTCAGAGCATTCTTCTACAGTGGGAAATGCAGATGATAGATATTTCTGGGCATGCAGATTATCTTACATTGATGGCCTCAGCAGACCCTCTTGTGTAGTAATTATGTTGAGAGAAGCAACAACAAAACAAATAAAAACAAAAATAGATTCATTCCTCCAAAGATCTATGGGAAGAGCCTTGGACATAATTGGGACAGTGAGGAAATTGAGGACAAGTGTCATGGTGTTTAAGCCATCAGTTTTATGAGAAGAAGTGTCAAAAGGCCATGTGACAATGTAACTAGATGAGCAAAATGAGAGAAGAAACACACAATTATGAAAAATCTAATAAAAGAAATATAAACTTTGATAAATGTTGTGCTTGGCTTCTCAGCATTTCATGCCTCTCCTTCCTTATTAAATAGAAGCTGAGCAGGAGGAGGAGGGACTTTTTTTTTCAAGAAAATGGGCCAATAAAGATACTTTCATTCCCCCTGACAATCATTTTCTTCAGGAACTCTCATCTAAGCCAATGAATGAATCACACTGCAGGGCTGGCAGGAGTTGATTTTGGAAGAAGCATGTTATCCTAATCAAACAATAAGATACAAGAAGAAACTTGTTGGAAAGTTCTGGGGAAAGACTTTTCCATTCTTAATTTTTTTTTGCCACAGGGAAAGACCATCTCATTTCTTCCAGACATGATTTTGCCATGCACAAGAACTGTCATTTTTTCTGCTGTTTCTTACTAGCTTTTAGATGAAGCTACACCAGGAGGAGAATAAAAGCTGAAAAGACCTCCAGCAAAAGGAAGCCAGAGCTGTTGGATTAAGTCATTTCAAAGGCCTGCCTTAATCTGTACTATCAGGGTTGTCTTGCTAGCTAAAATACCACAGGTGTGTTTTCTGCTATTCCTTTTAGTTGGAATCATTTCAACTGATATAAAGCCCATATAAGAAAATCCTGCCTATTTTTCCTGAAACTTAATCCTAATTCTCAAAGGCTAATGGGGCAAATAATTAATTATGTTATTCACAAAAATATCCCAATCTAAAGAAATGTTTTATTTAACCTGTATAAATCATTACTTTGTAGTAGTACAATTTCTTTAGAACTCTAATCAATCCATTGAGTTTTTCTTCTTTGTCACCTCAAGCAGTGCTTCTCAAATATTAACATGTATACAAATCAACTGAGGTGAAACTTGAGACTCTGTATTTTCTATAAGTTCCAGGAAATGTTGTTGCAGTTGGCCCATGAGCCACACTCTGACTATCAAAAAGAAAGTAGACAACAGACTTTAACCTTCTGCAGATATAAGATCAACAAATATGAGTAATTATTGGACTATGACCATGTATTGCATTATGTTCAAAAATACCCAAATGAATATATCTATGTAAAACTCAGTTCCACACAGATCTCCACATTCATCACCACCTAGATATTTTAAAAAAATCTTATCTCACAAATTTCTAATGCATTATGGGAAAGAGTGCTGGAGGAAAAACTTCTTGATTACATTTTCTTTTCCCATTAATTCAATTTTAATGAAATAAATTGAATGACTACGAAAAAAATGGAAAAAATTGACATATAAATTGGGCAAAATAAATAATCCCAAGATACACAGATTTATATGAAGAAGCAATGTACATATTTTGGTTACTCAAATAACTTAGGCTATTTTTTTTTTTGGATAGTTTTAACTAGGCCTTCATCCAAATGCTATCAATGCCTTAATTAGTTGTCAATATTTTCTGTACTCTATTTATTTGTATTGTTTTTTATTTCTTTCTTGAACAAAATAGTACTTTTAGTGCTGAAATAAAAAATTATTAAAATGGACAAATTTTATAAAGATGCAAATTTTGGAATATGTTTCAAATAAATATTCTGTAATTATTTTTTTCTATACTTGAAGGACATAACATATAATGAATCCTGAATCATACTGTACCACAGTATTTTGGAAAATGCAAAAGAAGAATCCTTTCCCTTTTCCTGTCTTCACACTTGCACAACAGTATAATCTGTATGTACATTATAAACATTAATTTCAAAATGTTTTATTGACTACCTACTGATACTAGTTGGGATAACTAGATGGTGCAAAACATTAAACAAATATACTCTAATGCAGTAGAAACTTATTCTCACTTACATTTTCCAATGAGTGTGTTTCTGGCAGAAAAGGTAGCTCAGTTCCACATTGTTCTTCAGGAACACAGACTTCTTCTGTATTTTTGCTGCTTCTTTCTCCAGTGCCTTGGAATACTCTGTATTCGGCAAGGGGAAGGCAAAAGCAAAAGGAGAAAATAACAAGTTGTTAAAATCCCTGCTCTAGAAGTGTTATATTGCTTCTGCTAAACTTTGACTGCTGAGAACTAGTCCCCTGCATTGTACAGGAGCTGGGAAATGTAGTCCATAGCTAGGTAACTCTCTCTGAGCAACAAATTAACCATATGGAAGGGAAAGCACACATTTTGGCAGACAGTCATTTCTTCTATAGTTCTATTTATACATTATTTGTTAGCTGTCCCAGATAAGCCACTAGAAAGATAAGTGAGACACTGAACATTACTATCTAATGAGGTAAACAAATATTCACATTAAAACAAAAGTATTACAATGTGGTAAGTACTAGAAGTTAAAGATAGCTAGAAAACAATGTTTCATCAGTAAATTTGCTTTGGAGGAAGTTAATTCTATTGACATTAGAAGAAAAACAGAGTAGGTTTAGAAGAGAGAAGACTCAAGAGGAAGTTTCTTATGTTAGCATTGTCAAGAGCTTGAAGTTAGATATTGACAATGTAAAGGGGGAGCAAATCCAAGAAACATTTACTCAGCAAACTTTTTTTTCTAAAGATCACATTCCAAAAAAGAAGAAGAAGGTGCAGTATGGCATGATTTAGTGCTGACCTTGAGAAACTGAATGGATTAAGACATTGCCTGTTACAGGGAATGAAGAAGTCATAGTGGAATTTGGGTGGGTGAATGTTAATCTGTTTATTTAGAAAGACCTAGTGAAGGGCTGGGCATGGTGGCTCACGCCTGTAATCCCAGCACTTTGGGAGGCCAACGTGGGTGGATCACAAAGTCAGGAGATCGAGACCACCCTGGCCAACACAGTGAAACCCCGTCTCTACTAAAAAATACAAAAAATTAGCTGGGTGTGGTGGCGGGCACCTGTAGTCCCAGCTACTTGGGAGGCTGAGGCAGAAGAATGGTGTGAACCCAGGAGGCAGAGCTTGGAGTGAGCCGAGCTGGCACCACTGCACTCCAGCCTGGGTGACACAGCAAGACTCTGTCTCAAAAAAAAAAAAAAAAAAAAAAGAAAAAGAAAAGAAAAGAAAGAAAGAAAGAAAGACCTAGTAAATATATGTAAAAGGTAATTCTGCGGTTTTTTTTTTTTTTTGGCTCATGAAAGAGGCCAGAGATTGAGAAAAAGAGAGAGGATTTAACATTAGAAAAATGGTACCTAAAACCAAGATGACAGCTGAAATTGTAAAACTGTGTGTATAATTAGAAGAGAAAATGACTAAAGGCAAAACTAAAATTCACGCAATGAATGTAAATGAAATCACATCAGAAATAATATAGATATATTACTAGATTTTTTTGATTAAAAGGAAATAGATCAAGTGACTCAGTCTTCAGAGAAGTAAGTATAGTTGGATAAATTTTCAAGGATTCTTAATGTTTTTTGTGTTATAGACATTGTTATGGTTAATTTTATGTGTTAACTTGACACGGCTAAGGAGTGCCCAGATAGCTGGGTAAGCATTATTTTTTAGTGTCTGTGAGGAATGTTTCCAGAAGAGATTAGCATTTAATTTGGTAGAAAACACTGTCCTACCCAGCATGGGTGGGCATCATCCAATCTGATGAGGCATGAATAGAACAAAGGGCAGAGGAAGGTTGAATTTTTTCCTTTCAGCCTGTCTGCTTAAGCTGTATCAGTCTTCTGCCCATGGACAAGCACCATTAGGTCTCTTGTTTTCAGACCTTTGAACTTGGATTGGAATTACACTACTGGTTTTCCTGGGTGTCCAGATTATGGATGAAGCTGGTGAGACTTTTCAGATTCCATAATTATGTGAGCCAATCCCTCATAATCTTTTTGTACACACACACACACACACACACACACACACACACACACACCCCTCCTAGTATTTTTGAGACCCTTGATCTCCTCTCCTAAAATATACACATACCCAAATACACATTAATAATTCCAACTAACTTTGGAATTTCATAGACTCCTGGATATCCATACATAGTACACTCTAGCACAGTGTACTTAGTGGACTAAAACTCTAAAATACTAAGTTTAAAGAACTTCAGTGAACTATTTCATTCAAGTCAAGGAAAGACCTGAATGTACTTCTGTTTCTTTTTTTTTTTCTGAGAGAGAGTCTCGCTCTGTCGCCCAGGCTAGAGTGCAGTGTTGTGATCTCCGCTCACTGCAAGCTCCACCTCCCAGGTTCAGGCCACTCTCCTGCCTCAGCCTCCCAAGTAGCTGGGACTACAGGTGCCTGCCACCACACCCGGCTAATGTTTTTTTGTATTTTTAGTAGAGACGGGGTTTCACCATGTTAGCCAGGATGGTCGCGATCTCATGACCTTGTGATCTGCCCGCCTGGGCCTCCCAAAATGCCGGGATTACAGGCTTGAGCCACTGCGCCCAGCCTTGAATGTACTTTTGACAAGTTGAAAACTTTAAAGAAGATACTATTAACTCCATTTCTTCTAGATTTTCTAGTTTATTTGCGTAGAGGTGTTTGTAGTATTCTCTGATGGTAGTTTGTATTTCTGTGGGATTGGTGGTGATATCCCCTTTATCATATTTTATTGCGTCTACTTGATTCTTCTCCCTTTTCTTCTTTATTAGTCTTGCCAGCGGTCTATCAATTTTGTTGATCCTTTCAAAAAACCAGCTCCTGGATTCATTAATTTTTTGAAGGGTTTTTTGTGTCTCTATTTCCTTCAGTTCTGCTCTGATTTTAGTTATTTCTTGCCTTCTGTTAGCTTTTGAATGTGTTTGCTCTTGCTTTTCTAGTTCTTTTAATTGTGATGTTAGGGTGTCAATTTTGGATCTTTCCTGCATTCTCTTGTGGGTATTTAGTGCTATAAATTTCCCTCTACACACTGCTTTGAATGTGTCCCAGAGATTCTGGTATGTTGTATCTTTGTTCTCATTGGTTTCAAAGAACATCTTTATTTCTGCCTTCATTTTGTTATGTACCCAGTAGTCATTCAGGAGCAGGTTGTTCAGTTTCCGTGTAGCTGAGCGATTTTGAGTGAGTTTCTTAATCCTGAGTTCTAGTTTGATTGCACTGTGGTCTGAGAGACAGTTTGTTATAATTTCTGATCTTTTACATTTGCTGAGGAGAGCTTTACTTCCAACTATGCGGTCAATTTTGGGATAGTTGTGGTGTGGTGCTGAAAAAAATGTATATTCTGTTGATTTGGGGTGGAGAGTGAAATTCTTCGACAAATACACCCTCCCAAGACTAAACCAGGAATATGTTGACTCTCTGAATAGACCAAAAACAGGCTCTGAAATTGTGGCAATAATCAATAGCTTACCAACCAAAAAGAGTCCAGGACCAGATGGATTCACAGCTGAATTCTACCAGAAGTACAAGGAGGAACTGGTACCATTCCTTCTGAAACTATTCCAATCAATAGAAAAAGAGGGAATCCTAACTCATTTTATGAGGCCAGCATCATCCTGATACCAAAGCCTGGCAGAGACACAACCAAAAAAGAGAATTTTAGACCAATATCCTTGATGAACATTGATGCAAAAATCCTCAATAAAATACTGGCAAACCGAATCCAGCAGCACATCAAAAAGCTTATCCACCACGATCAAGTGGGCTTCATCCCTGGGATGCAAGGCTGGTTCAATATACGCAAATCAATCAATGTAATCCAGCATATAAACAGAACCAAAGACAAAAACCACATGATTATCTCAATAGATGCAGAAAAGGCCTTTGACAAAATTCAACAACTCTTCATGATAAAAACTCTCAATAAATTAGGTATTGATGGGACGTATCTCAAAATAATAAGAGCTATCTATGACAAACCCACAGCCAATATCATACTGAATGGGCAGAAACTGGAAGCATTCCCTTTGAAAACTGGCACAAGACAGGGATGCCCTCTCTCACCACTCCTATTCAACACAGTGTTGGAAGTTCTGGCCAGGGCAATTAGGCAGGAGAAGGAAATAAAGGGTATTCAATTAGGAAAAGAGGAAGTCAAATTGTCCCTGTTTGCAGATGACATGATTGTATATCTAGAAAACCCCATTGTCTCAGCCCAAAATCTCCTTAAGCTGATAAGCAACTTTAGCAAAGTCTCAGGATACAAAATCAATGTACAAAAATCACAAGCATTCTTAAACACCAATAACAGACAAACAGAGAGCCAAATCATGAGTGAACTCCCATTCACAATTGCTTCAAAGAGAATAAAATACCTAGAAATCCAACTTACAAGGGACCTGAAGGACCTCTTCAAGGAGAACTACAAACCACTGCTCAAGGAAATAAAAGAGGATACAAACAAATGGAAGAACATTCCATGCTCATGGGTAGGAAGAATCAATATCATGAAAATGGCCATACTGCCAAAGGTAATTTATAGATTCAATGCCATCCCCATCAAGCTACCAATGACTTTCTTCACAGAACTGGAAAAAACTACTTTAATGTTCCTATGGAACCAAAAAACAGCCTGCATTGCCAACTCAATCCTAAGCCAAAAGAACAAAGCTGGAGGCATCATGCTACCTGACTTCAAACTGTACTACAAGGCTACAGTAACCAAAACAGCATGGTACTAGGATCAAAACAGAGATATAGATCAATGGAACAGAACACAGCCCTCAGAAATAATGCCACATATCTACAAGCTTCTGCACAGCAAAAGAAACTACCATCAGAGTGAACAGGCAACCTACAGAATGGGAGAAAATTTTCGCAACCTACTCATCTGACAAAGGGCTAATATCCAGAATCTACAATGAACTCAAACAAATTTACAAGAAAAAAACAAACAACCCCATCAAAAAGTGGGCGAAGGACATGAACAGACACTTCTCAAAAGAAGACATTTATACAGCCAAAAAACACATGAAAAAATACTCACCATCACTGGCCATCAGAGAAATGCAAATCAAAACCACAATGAGATACCATCTCACACCAGTTAGAATGGCAATCATTAAAAAGTCAGGAAACAACAGGTGCTGGAGAGGATGTGGAGAAATCGGAACACTTTTACACTGTTGGTGGACTGTAAACTAGTTCCACCATTGTGGAAGTCAGTGTGGCGATTCCTCAGGGATCTAGAACTAGAAATACCACTTGACCCAGCCATCCCATTACTGGGAATATACCCAAAGGACTATAAATCATGCTGCTATAAAGACACATGCACATGTATGTTTATTGCAGCACTATTCACAATAGCAAAGACTTGGAACCAACCCAAATGTCCAACAATGATAGACTGGATTAAGAAAATGTGGCACATATACACCATGGAATACTATGCAGCCATAAAAAATGATGAGTTTATGTCCTTTGTAGGGACATGGATGAAATTGGAAATCATCATTCTCAGTAAACTATCACAAGAACAAAAAACCAAACACTGCATATTCTCACTCATAGGTGGGAATTGAACAATGAGAACACATGGACACAGGAAGGGGAACATCACACTCTGGGGACTGTTGTGGCGTGGGGGGAGGGGGGAGGGATAGCTTTAGGAGATATACCGAATGCTAAATGGGGAGTTAATGAGTTCAGCACACCAGCATGGCATATGTATACATATGTAACTAACCTGCACATTGTGCACATGTACCCTAAAACTTAAAGTATAATAATAATAAAATAAAAATAAAAAAGATACTATTAACTCATTACATTTATATAAAATCTTTGCAACAGGGAATTTAAGAATATAATGAAACTCAGTTTTTAAAATTTTACTCTGAGTTTATCTTTTGTAGGAAAACTATGAAATATTATAGGGAAAATATATTTTATGTTGGTCTTTTAGAGCCAGAAATGTTGTCTCCTTCTTTTAGAATGATATTGTCAGATTCACTAATGTTTTCTTTTTATGCTCAGCTTAGTTACAAATTTCCTGATACAATTTATTGACTTTTTTTCCTTTATATTTTCTGTTAGTAACATTTGACTTCTGCTTCTGGTTTTCTGATTTTTTATAAAGAAAATTTTAAAAATCATATTAGAATGGATTGTTTGTTTATGCTCATTAAGAGAAAAAACATCACTGTAAAAAGTGATATCAACAATACCCATCATAGGCAAAGATAACATCTACTAATGACTGAGCCAGGGGAAAAATAAAAGAGAATCAAATAATTAGATTAATTTAAGACAGGCTGATAGAGTATTTTTCGCAGTGTGCTTTCTGGTGTTTTGTTCATTCTGATTTTAGAGGGCCAAAGTAAGTGATATTTTTCAATTTTTTAGAGAATTGTATTCTTTTGATTAATTTTCATCTTTTGATTTATATCACTTGTTTATTGCTACAGATTACAGAATATAAATTCATATATTTCAGTCCTTTCTTAAAAGTTAACATTTTTCTATATATTATAGATTATTGTAAATAATAGTAAGATCAAAAACTTTACAATGTCAGCTACTGCCAACTCTTGGTAATTTTTTGCTTCTCAGCAAGTAGTTAAATTTGTTGTTGTGGATTTTTGTCTTTTGTTTATTTCATTTTTATGTTTTTGTTTATTTAGCAATGGTTACTCCATCTGAATGAGTGATTACTGAACATCTGAAGTTCAAGGTGGCAGAGAATCAGAGACATAGAGAGAGAATTAGTTATAACACTCCATGATGAGTTTATTCCATCCTTAAACCCCAAAGGCAAGATCTCATTTATACTCCACTCACAAGCAGAACACATTTGTTCCTGTTTTTAATGATTATTCACAGTCACTATTTTTTAACTCACTTTTATTAAGTGCTAATCAGACACTAGGTATTATATTGAGAGCTGAGGAATAACTACGCAAGTTGACATATACTAAATGCTGAAAAAAGCATACAGAAACTCTTAGTTCCTCCTTATAATACGAACTCAGATTCTATGACCCATTTATTTAGCCACTTGTTATTAAACACCTTTGATTTGAGGTGCCCTCCCTTCCCATGAGCCCACTCTGTCAACATTCTTCAGCTTTCGTGGCTCAGAGCTGACTGGATCTTCCTTTGTAGTCACAACTGCACTTTGAGAGCAATCACTTTTAATGGAAGAATGACAAGGGGGCCATTTAAAAATGCAAAAGGACATCTCCCCACATAACTGGATTGGCGACAATTCCTCACTCATGGAGACCACAGCGAACATATTAAACAATGGGACTGGAAAGAGAAAGGTGAGCAATAGGAGTAATAGGAGTTTTCAGTTTTCAAACTGGAAAAAAAAAAAAAAAGCTTAAAGGAAAGTGAAAAACACCACCAGTGGGAGATCAAGTCTGTTTTCTCCCTGATTGCACATCCCAAGCCCTGCCCCCAATATACAGTACTCCTGTGGAGGTAGACTAATGATAGGATTGTATGAGAGACAAGAACAGAATTCGATCAGCTGTTGAAAAAACATGAGAGGAACTTTATGTGGGAAGAAGGAAGAGGTTAAAGCTCTGACTCTCCCATGGCATTTTCTTTTAGGATCTGTCTTCTGGAATGGTAGCTGGGAAATTGCTATGTAGATGTCCATTCCATTCTCCTTTGACCACAGATGCTGGAAAACTATAATCATCTATATTAGCAGCTAGGATTCTGAATGCAAATTTGGTTTCATCAATTACATTACATGCATTCAAGAGAGATTTGAAAAATAGGAATAGGAGTTATGTTGCTGCTCTTTTTATTGTTTTCTCCTGGTCATAAAGAGGTGAATATCTAGTTTACTTTCCACAGGCCTGCCTAGTGTAGGCAGAAGCTATCCTTGAAGCTTCCTGTGGAGCTAGATTTCCATAAAGGAGCTTGACAGGTGGCCAAACCCTCATAAATAGTAAACTGGCATTGTACTGAATATATTTATTCTTTAACTCCTAGTGGAATGGATGGTAATTAAACTAGGTGGTTGAACAAAACGTAAGTCACTGGGCATCCAGGACTTGCAAACTTTCTTTTCTACCCCAGAGCAACATCTCCTTCTTCTGTGCTGCTACTTTCTCATCACTATTAGTGTACATTTTTGTGTAAGTGGATAACTATCAGAATAGACTCTGAGCGCCTTAAGGGCACAGGTGTGTGGGTGCTTGTGTGTGTGTGTGTGTGTGTGTGTGTGTATATATATATATATATATATATATATATATTTATGTATGTGTGTGTGTATTCTTTGTTTAGGCCATTCTTCAAACTGTTTGCAGTTTTGCATTTGAGAATATATACTGTTTTCTATTTGTCATTTCTAAATGTATATAGGTATAAGACTGAATATTTTCAGGAGTGGAAAAGTATTTTTAGATATATATCACAGTATCATGCAGTAGAATGTAGTAATCTTCTTCAGTTCACATCTATTAACTTGGTTGGGAATTGCGGCAAGGTGTGGGTAAGTACCAGAAAGCAGATACAGGCCTTGGAAATATTGATTCCCTTCTAGGTTTTCCTTTTTGGACTTTTACATTGTTACCCATCTGCAAGACTTCTACTCCTTTTTTGAGTAAGTATTTAATGCAGCACTAATGCATCCACATTCTGTTTGCAAATGTGCTGAAGTTCTGCATGTCAGTGGACATAGAACACGGAGTTTTTGAAGTAGATGGAATCTGAGTGATCATTTAACTCAATCTTATTATTTAACAGCTCAAAAATTTGAGGCTGACCTAGAGTATGATATGTCCTCAAAGTTACATAGCTAGTTTTCTAGCAGAACCTACATCTGAACTCAGTTTTATGACATTCCCATTACCTGCAATCTTCTTGTGCTTCACACCTTGTAACCCATAATTTGTTGTCAGAATTGCACAATTTAAGGGAATATATATTCACATAAAATTATCTGCTTCATTTTTCTATGAACGCAAGGTATCAGAATGAGGAAACATTGGAAAAGGAAGAAAAAGTGTGATTATTGGCCATAGGAAAAGGTCTAATGACCAGGATTTGGGGAATAAATTGAATTTATTCACAGAATTATCACAATCTTATGAATAACTTTTAAAAGCAATTAATAGGCCAGGCGTGGTGGCTCATGCCTGTAATCCCAGCACTTTGGGAGGCTCAGGCGGGTGTATCACCAGGTCAGGAGTTAGAGATCAGCCTGGCCAACATGGTGAAACCCTATCTCTACTAAAAATACAGAAAAAAAAAAAATAGGCCTGGTGGCGGGTGCCTGTAATCCCAGCTTCTCAGGAGACTGAGGCAGGAGAATCACGTGAACCTAGGAGGCAGAGGTTGCAGTGAGCCGATATAGTGCCACTGAAATCCAGCCTGGGTGACAGTGCGAGGCTCTGTCTCAATTTAAAAAAAAAAAAAAAAAGAAGAAGAAAAAGCAATTAATAACTCATTATTTCTGCATTTTACTCATGTTCAAATATTTTTATATATTTTTCATATAGTGTTTAGAGTATAAAATTAAGTGAAAAATGATGACTTGAATCCAAATTTTTTTAAAAAGCTCATTGTATGCTTTCATAACATATATTGTTTAGGACGTAATACTTATTGAACGATCGTAAAACGTAGCCTTTAAATATTGTCTCCTTCAAATTTATTTATCACGCTTGCATACAAAACAACCCACTTAACTGTTTATTTGCCCTATGACTTTATTTTGATTTCTACGGTTTTTCCTCTTTCCCACAGAATTATTGTTTCAGTACCTTTCGTTGTTAAAAAAAAAAAGAGCTAATCAAATGTGTGAAGTATTATAAATGATTAGCAGAGAAGGCAATTATCTGCTTAGAGATAAATATTGCCATCTTTTATATGCAAAGATTATAGTACACTGACGGTAGGATTTAACCAATGCTGGGAAATCAAAAGATGTATGTAATTCTCTCAGCTCAAATGGACCACAGTAGTCTAATTTAATGCAATACTTGTGCTAAACTGGTGATTACAGATGGTGATGTTGAAAATTAAATTTTCAGTTGTGTGTTTTCTACCTGCTAAAGATTCAATGCAAGTAGAGAACTCAATTTATTCCCACCAATATGGTTTGGCTGTGTTTCCATGCAAATCTCATCTTGAATTGTAGTTCCCATAATCCCCATGAGTCTCCTGAGGGACCTGGTGGCAGATAATTGAATCATGGGGGTGGTTACCTCCATGCTGTTCTCTTGATAGTGAGTTCTCCCAAGATCTGACGGTTTTATAAGGGGCTTTTCCCCTTTTGCTTGGCACTTCTCCTTGCTGCTGCCGTGTGAAAAAGGATGCGTTTGCTTCCCTTTCCGCCATGATTGTACGTTTCCTGAGGCCTCCCCAGCCATACTGAACTGTGAGTCAATTAAACCTCTTTCTTTTATAAATTACCCAGTCTCATGCAGTTCTTGATAGCAGCATGAAAACAGACTAACACACCCCCCCAAAAGGAATAGTTTATTATGTGATTTTGACAATGATTATTTCTTTTTAAACATTGCAGGGTTTCTTGAGACCTCTATGTGCAAAGTTCTGAGAAATAAGTATATGAGTTTATTCATCTTTGAAGATTTATTGCCAATCTACGGATGCAAAGGATCCAACATCACACTATTGCCATTAAATTTTTAGAAATACTACCCACGCAGTAAGATTTTCTGACCTTGCAGGCTAATAAAATGTTTTAATGTATCAGAATCAGCAGAGCATGTGGGCGGATAAGTCACTGAGCTAATTAGTCAACCCTCTCCCAAGAGCTGTGTATGACTTAGTGGAGTGTGTTTAGCATTACGAGTAAATCACCATTGTTGCGGCAGGGAAGCATCATTTCTGAGGCATTTCGATAACTCTGCCACCTTGACTTTCCAATAAAATCCTCCAAGTTTACGACTCTTATAGATTGTAAAAACTGAATATAGCAGGAAGAAAAATGGATGCCACATATAATCGTATGATAACCATAGCACACACTAGCTTTAAAAATCCAAATGGATTCCTGAGTAATGGAAATAAAGGTGCAGTTCATGTACATAATGACAATGTTAAGTCACTTTTATTAGAAGTGACCCAAAGCTATTTTGCTGGCAGTTTTGCTTCTTTTCTACTCATATTATTTTAGGTTGTGGGCATAATTGAACAGAAGAAAAAACAACAAAGTTGCTGTGTTGCCAGAGGCAGTCGGGGTTGCATTTCAGGCAGACACTTAAAGGTAAGCAGTGAAGAGAACTCTCAAGGCTATCCTTGGGAATACTTCTAAAGAGCAAAAAATAAGCAATAATAATGTCACTAATAAGAAAACGGTCTATGTAATTATGTTTTAGTTTTTAAATGTTACCTATACATTTTATAATCTATTTCACAAACATTTCCACCTTTGTACACTCTGAGTGAGTGAGCCTATGAGGCAGACCAGGCAAAGCCTATTATGATTATTTAAATTTTGTAGTTAGAAAATGAGATACAGAAAGATAAAGTCAACTGTTAAAATTATGTGTTTGAAACTGTCACAACCCAATATACCTAATAATACTAAGTCCACAAGATTCTTGGCTACCTGAAGAGTTGAGAATAAAAAGGGGGATCAAAAGATTGCAATAAGGAAGGGTTGTCCTTCCTTATTGGGGAACTGAGCAAACAGTTCCTGATAATTAATGCTGTCTCTCTGGCCTTTTCAAGTCTGTCACTTTATCATTTAAATAAGACAAAACCTTTCTGATTCTAAAATTCATTTCCTTGGCTCCACTTTTTCTGCTGTCCCACCTATTCTTCCTCTTCAATTTCAAACATCTGAAAAGAACAAACAACCTTCCCTCTCTTGCCTTTGTAAACATTTGCAACCTGGCTTCTGCCTCTGACTACACTGAAATTGCTCTCTTGATAGTCACTGGTGTTTATTCTTAACTCCAATATTTTGTTCTCGTTAATCCCTCGTTGCTCCTTGAGCTCTCTACAACATTTAGAACTCTTGAAAACTTGCTTACTTAAACTTTTTCTCTGAACTTAAATGACACTGTTAATCCCAAAAAGAAATACCATTTTTCAGTCACCACTCCTGACTCTTCTCCTAGATTTTTAAACAGGGCCTTGTTTAAGTTTCTTTCTTTGGCCCCTTTTCCTATTTCTCAATTTCATATATTCCTCTGGCCTCAAATACCATCTTACTAGCCTCTTTTTAATTTCTTTCCTTAGCATCCACTTTTTTGTTGAGCAACTGGCTTATATTTCCAACTATCTGTTAGACATCTTTGTATAAACTCAGTTTAATAAAGCTAAACTTATCTTATTCTTCAAGACCATCTCAATTATTATTCCACCACCCACTGAATCACCTAAATCAAAAAGAAGATAAAACAAAAACAAGAAAACATGCTTGTTATGGTATCTTCTTTTAATTCTAATCTTTTATTATTTCCTTTTGATTCTATTTCTACCCTTTTTCATCTGTTTTTTGTCTATTCTATTTTTACTATTATCTCCCTATGTCAGATATGTCACTTAGAGTACTGAGCTTCTCTGTTGCCTTAGTTTTTCAATTATAAATATAATTTGTATTAGTATAGTGTCTTATCACTGTTAGTAGATTGAATAAGCTGATACCAGTAAAACACCTAGACCAGAGCATGGTCCAGAACAATTGTTTAACAAATTGTTTAAAAAGGTGAATAGATTTTGCTGCTACTCCTCCTCCTCTTCCCTGTACACCTCCTGCCACTCCTAGTACTACCAGTACTATTACCATTTCTGTTACTATTAGGACCAGCTTCATAATATATGGCACTCACTTTAAAATGAAAATGTGGGGGACCTTGTTCAACAGGCTGAAAAATAATTGTGAATAAGTTTGCATTGCCTTTTATGTTATTAACCACATTTCCAAGGTCAATATCTGTTTGATAGAGTGGCTGAGCAGTGTCAAAAAAAATCACTAGATACTTTTTAAAAATGCGAGACAGATTTCATTGGGACCGCTGCAGTAGGAGAGAAAAATTTCAGTGTAAATTGGGCTCAATTCCACCAAAAGAAATGGTGAGAGACTTTGTAAATGTTGCTGTATGCTAACGGAAAAGTATTAAAGGGTGTTAAAGTGGGTTGGTCAATGTGACTGGGCCATCTGAGTTTGTTCTGCTTTACCTTAACAAAGGAACTGCGAGATAGAAGAACTATCTTCCTGGATTATTGCATTTCAAAGAGATGACTCCCAGGTCCTTGAGGAGATAATGTGTAGGTAGTAGGAAATTTATATCTTAAAGGGACAGAGAAAGGATTTGTAATCACAACTTTTCTAAAGTAACTGCTCTAAGAAAAGAGAGGCCAGAGGCCTATAGATAGGTTTTGGCTGGAACAAATAGTAAGCTATTTTGGCAGCTGTATTTGTCAGAGTTCTCCAGAGAAAAGAGAAGAAAAGAACCAATAGAATATATATTATAATATGAATGGATACATATATATATATATATATATATATATATATATGAGATGTATTATAAGAAATCAACTGTCAGCTGACATGATTATGAATGCTCAGAAGTTCCAAGATCTGCAGATGGCAAGCTAAAGACCTGTGAGAGTTGATGGTGTAAGTTCCATGCTGAACACCAGAAGGCCTGGGACCCAAAAAGACTTGTTTCAGTTTCAGTCTGAAGGCAGAATAGGTCGATGTCATAGTACAAGGTAGTCAGTCAGGAGGACTCCCCTCTTACTCATGGGAGGGTCAGGTTTTTGTTGTTGTTGTTCTATTCTGGTCTTCAACTGCTTGGATGAGTCCTACTACTCACATTAGGGAGGGAAATCTGCATTCTTCAGTCTAGTCTACTGATTTAAATGTTAACCTAATCCAAAACCACCCTCACAGACATATCCAGAATATTTGACCAAATATCTGGGCACCTACTGCCCCAATCAAGTTGAAACATAAAAGTAGTACTAAGCTTTCTCAGGTAGGCATTTTTAGTGGGGGCGGGGCTTGGATTATCCTAGGAACGTGGTCTTGGGACAATAGAAACCATGCTAAAGTTTGGTGAACTCTCTTCATGCATTGAGTTGGTGAAGTCATTTGTGCCAAGAGTTTTGTAGTTCTTAACAGTCAGCATTATTATTACATAATCTTCTGTAGAAGAGTTTCATGAGATTTAACTGGTAAATGTTTTAAGTCAGTTTAGAATTCTGAGAAAAATTTAAATGGAGACTTGTTATGATAAAGATATTATGATGAAAAGAATACATTGATTTGTGTACCTGTGCAGAATTGTGAGTTTTAAAGTTGAACTAATTTCTTTATTTTAAAGGCCTGTATATTCAGTGTATATTTATTACATTCAGATTGCTACCTCATGATGTCTTTACTGACATCTAGCCATGCACGTGATATTAGCTACTTTGAAAAGGTGGGCAGAGGGGGAAGGGGAGGGATAGCATTATGAGAAATACCTAATGTAGATGACAGGTTGATAGGTGCAGCAAATCACCATGGCACATATATACATATGTAACAAACCTGCACGTTCAGCACATGTATCCCAGAACTTAAAGTATAATTTTAAAAAAAAGAAAGAAAATATGAGAACAGTGAATCCAGCAATACAGGTTTGTAATTTCAGAAAATATGCTTCTGTAAAATAGAGAAAGTTTTATGACATATATAGTTTTCTCTTTAAAAATCAATGTTCTTCAATTTACTATTGAATAATTTACAATTTCATACCTAAATCTTGTTGTACAATTTTATCACTACAATTAAATAAATAATGAGTATAATAAATATTTAGTAAGTGCATACATAGCAATAGGTACTATGGAAAACAAGTTTTATCTCATTTTGTACACATATCTTTTAACCTCATAACTCTTCTTAATTTGAAAGCCCCTTTCCAGGTATGAATGTTTCTTATTCTTCTAAATGAAACCTGAGACCTTAAGAATTTTAACCTATGCATCTAGCATTTATTTTTCCCTGGCGGATTTCCTAATATATGCATTATTGAGCCTGTTAAAATTCTTTTGCAGGAGAGGAAGCAATCCTGAGCCAAGTTCAGCCTCCAGAGAAAGTCTTTCTCAATACTTTATTTTATGGCCTCTCTTCTACATATCCAAGCCTCTTAATATTTTAAACTATGTCCATAGAATCAGGGTAATTTATAATACATATGACATTCCTTTTTACAGACCATAGTCCCACCCACAGAGAGTTTTTGCTTTAGCAGGAGAAGACTAGGAGTTGTCAAATAAATACATCAAACATATGAAAGGTTATAAGTATGATGAAAAGAAAGCAAGTAGGTAGGTAGGCTAGGGTAAGTGACAACTTTTAACAGATGAACTAGGAGGGTTTCACTCTTAAGGTAACATTTCAGAAAGGAGCCATGAGAAATAGATGAGTAGTTTTTTTTTTCTTTTTTTCTTTCTTTTTTTTTTTTTTTTTGATGGATTCTCTCTCTGTACTCAGGCTGGAGTGCAGTGGCACGATCTCATCTCACTGCAACCTCCGCCTCCTGGGTTCAAGCAATTCTCCTGCCTCAGCCTCCCGAGTAGCTGGGACTACAACTTCATGCCGCCACGCCCAGCTAATTATTTTGTATTTTTAGTAGAGATGGGGTTTCACCATGTTGGCCAGGATGGTCTCGATCTCTTGACCTCATGATCCGTCTGCCTCGGCCTCCCAAAGTGGTGGGGTTACAGGCATGAGCCACTGTGCCTGGCGTAGATGAGTAGTTTTTAAGGAAATTAAGAATACGAAGATTCTAAGCAGTTTATAGAAAGTGTGAGTGTCCTGAGGAAGAAGGGAACTTAGTCTATTCTAGGAATTGCAAGGGGACCAGTGTGGCTGAAACAGAGTAAACCATTGAAGAATGGTAAGAAAGAGGATTTGAGAAATAATGGTGGGTCAGGTCTCAGGGCTTTCCATACCATTGTAAGGATATTGTCTTTCACTTTATATTTAAAGCCATTTAAGTGTTTTGTGAAGAGTAGTGACATATTTGACCTACATTTTAGAAAAATTACCCTTGCTGCTGTGTTGAGAATAAATTAGAAGAGGGTAAGTTGGGAAGTAGAGGAGTGAATCAGATGCTATTGAGATAATGGTGGCTTGGATAAGGGTAGTAATATAGGAGGTAATGAGAAATGACTTGATTCTGGGTTTATTTTGAAGGTAGAGCTAACAAGGATGATCAGACATTTGAGAAATAGGGAAATTAAGAATGAATCCAAAACTGTTGTCCCGGAAAATTAAGAAAGAAACCACTTTATGTATTATTTTCTAAGAAGGGGCACTGTCCAGAGTTCCATAGTTGACACGATACTTCTGAAATTCTATTATTACTATTTTGAGAAGAAATAGACTAAGTAGTAGGTTGTGTGAGCTGACAAAGTCTTGGCCAGACATATATGTTTAGGAGTTGTCAGCATTTCAATGGTGTCTAGAACAATGAGGTTAGATGAGTCACCGAAGGAGCAAGTTAGATAGAGAAGATAAGAGGCCCAACACTTAAGTCCTGTGGTCGTCTCAATATCTGCCAACTGAAGACACAGTAGACTACGGTGTCTTTCCTCTACAGTGAGGAAATCAAGAGATTGTCCTGGAGCTCAGTGAAGAACTTCTTTCAAGACAGAATAAATGACCTGTGATAGTTGGCCACTGGATTTAGCAATGTAGAAATTGTTGGTGATCTTGACAAAAGTGGTTTCAAAGGAATGATTGAGTGAAAGCTTGAATAAACTTGTTTCAAAAGAAAATTTGAAAAAAGTTGTGGGACCCAGAAAATATCAAAAATATCAAAAACTCCTCAGATTTTGGGTTATGTTATCGCTAATAAAAGAGATCAGATATATAGGAATAAGAAAGAGTTTATTAAAGAAGGGAGAAATTCTATCATCTTTGAATGTCCCAGGGAAAGAATTTTCAATTCTATTTCTACTTATAGGAGAGAGTCTCCTAGGAATCTCAGTGTCATTTACAAAGTTATTCAGATAAAAGAAATGTCATCATGACCAGAGTCAGCTAGAGAACACAAAAGAAACAGTAACCATAGACAAGTCAGTACATTGGGCTGAAAAGTAATAAAGACTGACTATCATTAACTCTGGAAAGCTTGAATCTGAAAATTAAGAAACTTTCATCTACCTTAAATGTATATACTCTTTTTTCTAAGCACATGTGTATGAATTATTTTATATTCTCAATAATGCTGGTAGCAAGTGGAAGATATTGTGCTCTTACACTGAGGCAAGAAACTGCTACTTCCAAAGTTGAGTCTTAACCTAACCTCTCCAGCAATTTTTACTTTCATATAGTGCATTAATACCACAGGATAGACTAGGGCCCCTAGTTTTCCATTCTAAAGAGAAGATCCATATTCAAGGAAGATGACTAATAAAAAAGATAAACAGTCATGTAAAACATAAGCAAAAGGTGAATTGAAAAATATAGTAAAATATATTTATAGTTAAGTGAAACATAGTGCAGTTTACATAGGACAATCACATCATAAATATTGAAATCAAGGGTGATTTAGTACCAGATTGTCTCTAGGCCCACAGATAGAGCCAAAGCATCTAAGAAAAGAACATAAGATATAATTAGTTTAAGGACTCTGACAGAGAGTTAATTACAGAATAAACTCTGTTATCTGTTGTAGAGAGGAAATTTGCTGTCCTTGTTAAACAGATTTTTTAATTAATAAGGAATTATTACATACACTATATGGCAGGATTATCAATTTTCCAAGAAATTAGAAAACAATGAAATATATTTAACACTAAATTAAATCAAACACAATTTAATCTTTTTAATGACTCCAAAGTCCACGAGAAGTACTTTACATAAGTAAATGAGATTCAGTAGCAGTAGAATGTGACACAAATATATAGCAATGCAATAAGAAACCAGGTTATTGATTTGATTCTAATTAAGGGGTGGAGTTAATAATACTAAAGTCCAAATCAGAGAAATGTGTAGATATGTCAAGTGTTTGTTATATAATACCAGAAGATTAGTTGTGATAATTGAAACCACTCATTCATTCATTCTTTCATTTATCCCACATTTGTTCAATCTTCAGCAAGCTTGTTATTGTATTGTTATCCACTGGAATTATATTAACAAAGCATTATTTCTTCAGGAAGTTGACAGTGTAGTTCGGAAGGCAGAAAAATAAAAGACCCGATACCATGCCTGATGGTATGGAAGCAGAGCTGCTTCTTCTTCTTTTTTTTTTTTTTTTCCAAGAGTTGCGTTGGAAATAAGAGAAAAATTTCTGGAAAGGTTCATATCTCTAAGTTTGAAATCCTGGGATTTCTTGCCATTGTATCGATAAGACATACAGGAGCATATTTAACAGGAGAAGAGATAAGTGGACCCAGTTGGGTAAAGAATTGGAGGTGAAGGTCTTGAATGTTGTCCATTCAGACTAAAGTACATGAAAGGACAATTCCTCTTGGTGACCGTAAGTGATGATTGAAAAGGTATGGGAAATCATGTTTCACTGAGTTAGTAATGCCCAGAACAGCCCATTCTTTTTTACCTAGGAAAGCAAATGTCTATTCACATTGCAACTCTGGTTTCTTTATCAGTGCTTATAGGGATTAAAGTGCAGCTTAAAATTCATAAGAATTCATTGATTTCATACATCTATAAACAATGATATGCAGGCCAAAGGATTTAAGCAACCATTTATTAATCCATAATAATAACATATGTATCATTCAGAGTCCAGTGAGGAAACAGAAGCTACAACAGTTGGTTTTTATTGTCATTGTTGTTTGTTTTTAACCAAAAGCACTTAATATAAAGATTTGATACCAGTTTTTGGAGTTCTGCAGAGGGAGAAAGTTTCCACTAAAGTATTGGGGATAGTAACTACTGAAGGTAGTTTCCATCTAAGGCTGGGGCAATTAAATTTTGGGGTTACTAAAACTTTGGAGATGGAGTAGGGATTTTGCAAAGCAGAAACTCAGGTGTTGGAAACTTAGGTGTCTGAGGAGTTACTGCTCCCTGCATTGAAGTTGATGTCTCTGGGGCTGGGGGAGGGAGCGGCGGGGGGGTGGTGTGTGATGAAGTTGTTTCTGAAAGTGTTGGGAAACATGCAAACTGAAATCAACTGCTGTTATTGAAATGAAATGTCACTGTCAAGGTGAAAAAGTATTGCCACGGTGATGCTGAGAGCAGCAGGAAGCAAAATCAAGGAAGACAAAATAAACAGGAAGGAGTGTATTTCTTATTTTTCCTCAATTCATAAAGTGCTTTTCTAGTACCTTCTACTGGCTTACAGGAGAGACTTACAGAAGCCAAGAGAACACAGCAGAAATATGATTGGAAGGTGTCAGCCCCACATCACGAAGGGTGAGTTTGAAATTGAGAACAGTAACAATAACTGAAACTAAATTTACAACTCAGATACCCCAGGAGTTAACATATTTGCACATAATTCTTTATTAGTCCCATGTAATTTAAGTTGTGAGAAAACATTTGAAATTCATGAAGAATTTGATTTTTCTCCCACGGAATTAAATGCTGATTACTCAATATATTTACACTTTAAAAACGTTTGGTTTGACAAACGCTGTAGAATATTGTCAATTAATGTCTCAACATAGTTCAAAACACAGAAAACTTGGCTGAGTAAATGGTTCGGTGTTGATTATTTTATTCTTCTTTGCTGTTTTACTTAAGATTAATATTTAATTTTGTTTTTTGGAATTCAGTGTGAAAATTTTGCCTTTATTAGGTATATTAGAACATAAACTACAAAATGCGTATCAAGACAAGATAATGCTTTTGCATTTCTTTCCTTTTTCATGTTACTTAAAGGAGAATGCTTTTAGTTCCAAAATAGTCTCATTTCAGCCTTATCATGCTATTATATTTATCTCAAATATCAGTCAACAATTAGTAGTTGGGAGAAATGAAAGAAACTGGTTGTTTGACTATCTGTGTAAAAATCTGAAAAGAGCATGAGATTAGAACAGCCATAAGCTAAACTGTTAGAACTCCTACAAAAGCTATAGAAATTCCTCAACTCAAAGTCACTCAACGATGAAATAACATTTACAGGAAATTATTTATTTTACATTATTAATGTTGGTGTTAAATCATTCAACTGTGCTTCATGTCAAAACTTTGTTTCTTAAGCGGAAAAAGGTAGGCAGAAAAATTGATCAAGCAAAACAGTAAGAAATAAGATTTTGTAAAATAAGTAGATTTTAATTGCATGAATTGCTAAAGTATTATTTTCTCCCAAGTATTCTAAGTCAATTTTTCATATACATCACTGCATAACACCAACGTTACTTACAAACCCCACGTAGCTTTTTGCTTCTATTCTTAACTCTTTAAGCTAAACTGTTACATTTATATATTTTATCTGGCTCTCAATATGATGTATTACATTTTTCAAAATAATTTGGTTCAACAACTCTATTAGCTACTGTGGGTTTCTTAAAATTATTAAGGAGTTCTGTGAGTTTTCTGATTTATTCTCTGGTAATGTTTCTGCTTTGAAGGAAATTTAACACTAAGTTGAATGGTTGTACCTAACATAAATTATAATATATATTTTCAATATTGAAGACTAAAGAAGATACTATCTTTTTAGTTTACAGGGAGATATCTTTGTATGCCCTTTTGAATAGCTTTTTTTTTTTTTACTTTTTTAAAACTAAGAAAATCATGTTTATATTTTTGATGCAATTAATTAAACTAATAAGCATGTTAGGCTTGGCTTAAAAGGGAGAAAAATATAAAATGTTAAGATTATAATCTTAGTATTTAAATGTCTCAACAACATTTAAAAATTCTTAGTCACAGCAAAGAATAAAATATGGCATTCCAAATTTTTTATATATATTGAAAAACATGTTTTTACTGCCGAATAATAGCTTACCTCAATGTCATAAATAATAAAATATATAACTGATAGTAATATTAGTATTAGGTATACTAGTTGTCATTATTACTGGAGTACTCTTGTCAGCACTGTGCTAGACTTTTGCTTTTATAAACAAAGATTTATCGATTACTTTTTATGTATTACACATTAGGTGAGATAATTTATACCTCAAATATTAATAAAGAAATTTTCTGCCTTCAAAGGGAGAAAATAATGTGATATGTGTAGGACATAGAAATATGGTTTTTAACTTTCTCATTCATTTCTTTATGCATTAATTTAACAAGTATCCACTTTTTCAAGCATATGCTGAGTAGTGATAATTTAAAGGCGAACAGATCCAGACAACTTTCCAAAATGAGCCTGTAGTATGGTATAGGAGACTGAAATTAATGAAATTGACATTTAAATAAGCTTTAAATTGAACTGTTGTAAATACTACAATGGGGGCTGCATGCATTATGAAAGCATAGGATAGAGGTTTCTGTCCTATTTATCTAAGGAGGTTAGAAAAAGATGATCTAGCTGAGTTCTGAATGATAAACGAGAGGGTATTGAGTCTATCTAGTATGTGGGAATGACGCACTAGAGGGAGGAGACAGCATTTTTACAAATAAAAACAGCATATATTAAGGCCCTGTGGCAAGGGAAAGAATGTGTGTTGTAAAAAATGAGAGGAGAGAAATGTGAGTATTTTGGTATATACAATTCAAACTAATCAGAGCCTTTGAGTTCCAGTTAAGGATTTTAATATTTATCATAACTATTTAGAGAATGTTAATACGGTTTACTCAATCAACTATACTGGTGCTATGTTAAACCAATGTTATCTTTCATTTTAAAAAGTTGCTCTGACTCAGTGAAAAATTGGAAGAAAGAACTCAATAACGAGAAATCTCCTGCAGGGAGACAATGTAGAAAACTATGCTTACTGATATTTGCATTCAATTCAATAGGATCATGGATTTCTTGGAACTAATCCGTAAGAATCGCTAGAACCCGGGAGGCAGAGGTTGCAGCGAGCCAAGATCGTGCCACTGCACTCCAACCTGAGCTACGGAGAAAAACTGTGCCAAAAAAAAAACACAAACAAAAAACCAAACGACAACCAAAAAAACAAACAAACTGCTATTCTAGATACTTAAGAATTAAATGGTAAAAAGGAAATAGGTAAGACTAATACAGGAAGTTCAAGTCTATTTAATCATGGAGGTAATGAGTAGAACAAACCCATGGATTCTGATCTCTTTCTATGTAGTATGATTTTTATACAGGAGTTCAACACAGAAAAGATGAGATCATTCTGCCTTTTAGACATTGGTTTATTTTATAAAGATTTTTTTTGTGCCGAAGGGATTAAGAAACACATCTACAGAGGCATCTATCTCAGGTCTTTAATCATTATGGGTTTACATTTGTTTCTTACAATTTAGAATCCTGCCAGGATAGGGTAGATGACTTTAGTATTTATTTTTAATCCACAATAATGACTATGATGTCAATAAAAACAAAATAATAGCAGTACTTAGCTTGTACATACAATAAAATGAACACTTTTCTAAGAAGAAGTATCTCAAAAATAAAACTCCAAGGTAGAACTTTTTATTATTATTACCCTAATTTCAAATATGAGAAAAGTGAAGCTTGGAAAAGTAACACATATAAAATTATATGGCTAATAATAAGAAGAAATTGAATTCAAGCCAGTGTCTGTTTGACTCCAGAACTCATATTCCAACTTATTTCTTCATACTTTCCCTCATTAGGAAGCAGGTGGGGGGTTGCTGTAAATAGTGAGTAAAATTGTTCTTTATATTGCTTCTTTTAAGCCGACTACTTTATAGAGGTGTTAAGTACAACAGACAAGGGTGATTTGAGGCAGAGAATAAAATAAGTAAAATATGATTTTCATGAGTACTGGTAGAATCATAAGAAAATAAATATTCTGGATCAACACAAAAGAATGATGTTTTCAACTTCTTGTTTCAAACTGCCAGAAAATGTTTAAAACAATGAAAGCAATATTGTGAAAATATTTCTCCCCTTTTCTCATAAGAGATAGCAATGTAATATCTTTATTAAATCTTTGCCCATTCATTCACCAACTTAAAACTTTCCACAGAATATTTTATTTCTCTGTAAATAAGGGAAAAAATTTCACCATCGTTTAATTGTGCTTTTGTTTAGGCTTTCTGGCATATTGAAATAAGTAATAAAAATAGAATTAAGTTTGTTCAGATAATACAGTAATGATAGTGGAATACTTTTATCTCTCTAGAGATGAAAAGCACCACCATTGTTTCTTGTTATAGTCAGAGCTGTAAGGAGCTTATATGGTAGATAGAAGTTGAATACATTGTGTGGGTTTATAAAATATGAGCAGAACATGACATGCTTGGTTATGAATATTATTGGCTGATTCTGCATTCAATGATTTAAGATATTTTTAAAAATTTATTTGATGTTGTCTTATCTGAGCAAGATTTAAACATTTTTTCTTTTCCCTTTAATGCTGCCCTCTATATATGGGTGGTCTTATAAGTTAGATTTTACAGAAAGAGTTAAAAATAATCTGAGTATATTTGTTTAACTTTCCACAAATAGAAATCCATTCAGGTTAAAATGTCTTCGTTGCATTCTTTCTCTCTTTAATGTTATGTTCCAACCGCTAGAAATATCTAAAGCTATGTTCAAAGTCTATTTTAAGTTATGGAGCTAATGTGCAAGATAATGACATGGCTTATTTAATGCTTCAAGAGAGAATATATTCTCGTCACTGGAAAATTATATGTATAATACCTAGCATTTTATTAACACTCTAGTATATCCTCCAAAGAAGTTCATAATCTAAAGACATAAAGTTATTTTTTCTCTATTCATACATTCTTAAAGCACTCTGAAAAGAAAAATAATATGCTAAAATTGTTTTGTTTCTTGCGACTCTACTCAGGTTTAAGTGAAACCCAAGTCTGCATAATTTCCTCCATGATTTGGCAATTCTGTCTCTGCTTAGTGCAAACCTAATAAAGCTTTTCTGCAAAATAAAGGCTTGCTTTTGGGAAAGCAGTTGCAGAAGGCTGCTAAACAACAGTGAAATGAACAATGGTAACCTCAATTTGTTAATTGAGGTCATTGGTTAGCTTTAGAGAATACTGTATACACAATTAAGCAAGCATTTCAAACTGCTCTTCCTTGTTAACTGGTTTTGAGATATTCTCCTGGACAGAAAATTGATAGGCATGGTAAACACGCTCTAGTTGCCTAATTAGCTCAGGTAGTACAATTACTGGTGTTCAATATCTATCAACAAAGCAAAGGTGCTTTAAATGTCATATAAACACTAGAAATAAAAGTAAACCACAGAGGGATTTCACACAACTAGCCATGTGAATGAAAGTTGACTTCTTGATAATCCTGTCTTGTGATGTAGGAAACTAAACTTTGAGAAAGAAAGGCAGTAAGATAAAACCTTCTTTGATTTTAAATTGCCATTGCTGAGAGTTAGAAAGGAATTTTAGACGATGTTTTCTAGCTTTATGAAACCTCAAATTAACTTGAAATACTGAGATAGTCATAAATAAGCTTAAATAGTATCACCCCAAATTCTCCCATCCTGCAGTCTTTCCCACCATACCAGGGAGTTTATTAGTGGCCTTCAAGAAAAAAAGGATTCTGTCCTAGAATGTTATCAAGTCTACAAGTGCAAACATGTTGGGCTTTCAAACTCAATTTCTCTTCTGGTATAAATTGCTAGAATGTTGTTTTCTTCTAAAATCGCTTCAATGGCTCTTATATAAAGCCTTTCTGTTAAGCCTGCCTTTCATCATGTGGTCACTGCATCGGTATTCCTTAAGTAGTTACTTTGTGTTAGAGACAGTAGTAACATATATTTGAACTGCTTTGTGCTCTGAAGAATGTCCCAGTGTAATGCACAGGCTTTAATAGACAGGCTTGGTTGACTTTTAGCATCCCTCCTCCTTTCCCCTCTTCCTAGGAGAACCCTCTCCCTGTGTAGCTCATGTGACTTAGGGAATCTTGGCTCTTTCTTGAGCTCCAGGTGTTGAGTGATCGAAGGGTAACTCCATCTCCCTTCCAAGAAAAGTGAATAATGGGCTCATCACCTGTTGAGCAATCATCATTAATAGAGATTCACTGCTGCTTTTGGCAAAATTATCTCTAACTTTTAAATTCTTATGAGAGTTTCCACAATCCTTTTTTCTAGGATCCAGTAAAGTATAAACAGCAAGACAGAAAATGCTTTAGTCATTTTTTTTTTTTGTTTTTGCATGAAGAAAGCCACCCGAAGAAGAAAGAAACAGAGAGAGGAGGGCACATTAAAGGCAAGAGTAGTGCAAAGAAACCACAGCCGTGGGACTAAATTAATTCTCAGAAAACCCATCTTGCCTCCAGACTGTATTACTTTTATGTCAGTATATGTTATTTTTTTCTTTTACTTGGAGTCATAATACTTTAGTTGATAAACCAGAGGAATCCCTATGTCAAAAAGACCAATATAATGTCCCTCCAATTATTCAGAACTCTTTCATACTTCCTCTTATTGTTTTGTCATCTTTCAGCCACAATTTACCATAAAAAAACCCGAATATACTTTCTTTCTCAACAAGTCAGGACCACCTGCTTATTAGTATAATATGCAAATAAATTTGTTAATTAGTTTATCATTTTTGTTAATATAATACGTGCATATAGTTTATGTGCCAAATAGTACTGAAATGCTATATAACATAAGGATGTAATTCATTATTTAAAATTCTCTGAGAATATCAGCTGATACTTTTGAGAAATTTTTCTACTTCTGATAATGTCTGCATTTGCCCTTCTTTTTTTCTGTTTAGTTCAGTATTTATTTCTGAATATGAGACTTACCAGGTATCTGGTGATTCTTGGCTATTTGTGAAGATTAAGATACTAATAAATAAATGAAAGCCTTTTAGAAAAAAAACTTTGAAATACTTTCATCAAGTAACTTCTAGGTTTGTTTATGTTCCTTCATCATAACAGGTTTCTTCTATATTTTTATCTCTTTTGCTGGCTTCTCTTGTTCACAAAGTTTAAATTGCATTCCCTGCTGAAATGCCTCATTAGCAGAGAATTCCCTAAGCAGCCTATTGAAGATGCAAGTTGCCATCAGCCACTCGCCATCTGTATTAGTCTGTTTTCACACTGCTGGTAAAGACATACCCGAGACTGGGAAATTTACAACAGAACAAGGTTTAATGGACTCACAGTTCCTCATGGCTGGGGAGGCATCACAATCATGGCAAAATCCAAGAGGCAAGTATCACAAGGAGGCAGACAAGGGAAGAGAATAAAAGCCAAGCGAAAGGGGTTTCCCCTTATAAATCCATCAGTTCTCATGAGACTTATTCACTACCATGAGAACAGTATGGGGGAAACTGCCCTCATGATTCATTTATCTCCCACTGGGTCCTTCCCACAACATGAAGGAATTATGGGAGCTACAATTCAAGATGAGATTTGGGTAGGGACACAGCCAAACTATATCGCTATCCCTTAGATTCAGTCCTTTGAAACACTGGTCTCTATTTAAGATACTATTACATATCTTTATGCACTTATTTATAGTCTCTCCCCCTTCTCTTGGTGACTAAGTTCCAAGAGGGCACAGATAAGGTTCTTTTCAAATCTGCTTTGCCATTTACTACAGTGCCTGGTTCATAATAATTTCTCATAAAATACTCACTGGATGAATATATTATGCCTAAATCAGTACTAAGTTAAGTGTGTTCCTTCTTTTATTTTCTTTCTTTCTTTCTTTCTCTCTCTCTCTCTCTCTCTCTCTCTCTCTCTCTTTCTTTCCTTTCTTTTTTGAGACAGGGTCTCACTTTGTCACCCAGGTTGGAATGCAGTAGTGCAATCTCGGCTCACTATAGTCTTGACCTTCCTGGTTCAAGCAATCCTCCCACCTCAGCCTCCTAATTAGCTGGGACTACAGGCACACACCACCATGCCTGCTAATTTTTGTAATTTTGGAGAAATGGGGTTTTATCATGTTGCCTGATTTGGTTTGGCTGTGTCCCCACCCAAAATCCCATCTTGAATTGTAATCCCCATAATCTCCATGTGTCAAGGGAGAGACCAGGTGGAGGTAATTGAATCATGGATGTGGTTCCCCCATGCTGTTCTCATAATAGTGAATGCATTCTCAGGAGATCTGATAGTTTTATAATTGTCTGGTAGTTCCTCTTGTGTTCATTCTCCTTCCTGACACCTTGTGACAAAGGTGCCTTGCTTCCCCTTCACCTTCTGCCATGATTGTAAGTTTCCTGAGGCCTCCCTAGCCATGCAGAACTGTGAGTCAATTAAAACTCCTTCCTTTATAAATTACCCAGTCTTGGGCAGTTCTTTATAATATGTGAAAACAGACTAATATATTGCCCAAGCTGGTCTTGAAGTGGTCCTACTGCCTCGGCCTCCGAAAGTGCAGGGATTACAAGTGTGAGCCACCACACCCAGACTAGTGTGTTTCTTCATAAGGGAGGATTGTTTTTTATGAAAACTCTTTTCTGGAGGGAGGTGTGAGTAGAAAGATTGGCTCAAAGGAGATTCCAGAGCAGTCACTATACTTTAAGACCTCCTAGGTGTCATTTTCAGTGTGTGCCCTAGGCAGAGTAAACCATTGCATCAAAAATTACAAGGAAAGCCTCCCAGCATTTTCTATAAATTAATCTCAATGCATATATGTTTAGCATTAGGACCTAGATGATTGGAAAATAAAATAATCCCCTGCTGAAAAAATAGCGATGTGTTCAGTGAATCTGTCATTCTGTCAGATGAAGGACCAGAGACTCTTGATTCAGCCTAGGGAATTTTTAAAGCAGTTCCTTTGGAAAAGTATTCATTTTGCTTAAAGCTGCACTTGGCAAATGATGCCCAACAAGGTGAATACTTTAAATTCACTGAAAGTATTCTACGTGTTAATAGACAAAACATTAAGGAAGAGAAGAGAGCGTCCAGGTACCATTTCCAAGAAATATTGGGCAGTGAACATTTCATGTATTTGGGAATTCTATTAATGACAGAAGATGAAAAGTGGACTGAAAGCCTTTGTTATTCGTTTGTTTTTTCTGTGAATTCAGATATTAGACTTCGACTAAATGCTGCAAATGTTTATTGACTGGCTTCTGTGTGAAGGGTGCTATTGGATTTAGTTACTGGGAATACATAATATGGAAAACCTTTCCTTATAAGATCAATTCAATGCAAACAAATGTTTGCAACACAAATAATACAGTGGTATATACAAAGTAAAATGAAATTGAGTGAAAAAGAAGCAATTATTTCTGGTTTGGAGGATATGTGGCTAAGAGCATTCTAGGAAATTTGAAGAATACTTGTAAACTCCGCACTTGTTGGGGCTTTAAAGTCCATAGAGTGTAATTCAGATTGCACTATTCCAAATTTGATAGAGATTTTACTGGCTTTGACAATTTTGAGATTGAGTTTTCTGGGAGCAACAAGGGGTGTAGAACAGAACAGGTCATATGAGGGTATGCATGTATGTGAATGTTTGTGTGTATGCAGAGAGACCGACAGACCCACTGTAGTGGCACATATGTACAAGGACTCTGTTTCATTTCAAAATGTGCTTAAACTTTATAAAATTTGATTTACATATTAGACGTCTATAGTTCAGGCTTATACAGAAGGAATCAAAGAAGTTGTTTCAATATGTGACTCCTATTTTTTAAAATAATCAACAGGATTAAAAAGTCTCTATAATTTACATGCTTTTAAATATTGAAGTGGGACCCTTAGTAAGCAACCCAAACTATTTCTGACACATATGCTTATTCTCCTTGATTATATTTACAGTTTCTATAAAAGATATCTTGAGATATTAAAATAAAAAAAAAAAACACCAGGAATTACTTGTGTTTGAAGTAGGGAGGGGAAACAGGATTGATGTCCATAATGCTTCATACAAGTGCAGTAGTTAATTTTCCCAGATTGGTCGTCATTCCTCTGTCTTCTTTAACCTTGGAACATATTAGGTTTTACTCCTCTGTGGCTTACAAGGCATAACATTTATTAGCTGAATATTATGCAGAGTGGTTACCATTAATTACTTTGATAGTAAATCTGAATAACACTCACTTTTTAAATAAATTAAAAGTTGCTGTTTTCTTTTTTTCTGGAGTCTCAATTGTCAAGATAAAAAAAGACTCTCCTATGCTTAAAACGAACGAACATCTAAACAAATAATTTTCTATTATTGAAGCAAAACAAAAACACTAAAATGTTATTTTTGGCATCAGTTCAATAATTTAGATTGGAAAGATTTTTATAATATAGAAAAAGAGATATTAGTTATTATGTACTAAATACATGCTATGCATGCCAGTAGCTCATTTCTAGTAAAATATTAATATCCTCATGAGACAAAAGAAAATAATGCAGGCAATTCATGTGTCAGTGCTTGGGTTATATATTATTGTCTAAAATATTTCATTTTCTTTACTCTTTGTAATTGCTAGACCAGGGAAGTTTTCAACTTTGACCTTCAAGAACTTTAATTCTAATCAGGTAACTAAAGAAAAAAACGTGTCTGTGTGCGTACATATCAGTTTAAGAACTGTCAGACTTTTCTGAAAAGGTAATTAGTAATTCATGAAAAATAGAAATGTCTCTCATCTATGGGCATTTGGTCTCGGAGGTGTAGACTGAAATGTAAGACCAAAAAATTTATGGAAACGCATACAGCTACAGGCTTCCTGCTGATCTGGTTATGCACATCCTTGAAAAAGACAGGCTTCCTTCCTGCCCAGTACCAGGAGATGAAAACCCAAAGGCAAACAGTTTGTATGGAAAGTAAAGACATGGCATTTGGAAGTATTTTTACTTGCAGGAACAATGCTGCATAAAATGTGAAATACTTCATAAGACTTTATATCCTCTTAAGTATAGTTTATACATTTTCCTGAACTATAAATATGGGTTATAAAAATTATATTTGTTTTTCTACAATTATCAATTCCCTTTTCTCCTTGTTACCATCATTGTGAAGCATTTACATGATATACAAAATAAAAGAAAATACAGAAACCAAAACATATCTTGACACTCTGATATAAAGAACGATAATATTTTAGAAATTTGCTTTTTATATATTTTTCTATGGCTAGACACATATATCACATCGTATTTTCATCCACTTTAACAGCACAATTCATTCTGCAGATTTTAAAGTTTTTTGTTGAACTTCCTCCTAAACTCCTCTATAAGTTAACAATCTTTCATGAATCTTTTCGTAGCCTTTATTAGGCTCCTATCTTATGAAAACATCAGCATGTAGAAAATGTGGGTCATTTTTCAGTTTGTGGGGTCACATTGTACACACTGCTTCCTTGCATCTTTTCTCAAACACACTTTTTAGAAACCTTTTTTGAATTGCCTGATGTAAAACTAACCAATTCTATTTGATGGTATTGCCAGACCTCAACTTATCTAATCATTAAACTATTGATAAGCATATACTTAACTTCTTATCTCTTGTAACTAAGAAAGATGTTGCAATAAATCTTGTATAATAAATATCTTAAAGTAACTGTGTTTGTAATTCATTTTTAATTGGAATTCAGATTGCCAGATTGCCTTCTAAAATGATTACATTTCCAGAAATCATCTGTGACATACTACCTCCTATTTCATCTCAAACATCAGAAGTTTCTATTACTCTTTAATTTTTGTCAATCTGATGGATAAGTGTTAAATTATTTTTGTTAAATGTTCATTTCCCTAGAGAGCACTGAGTTTAAACCTGTTTTCATTTATTTACTGTCATTGGCTTGTCTCTTTTGTGATATGCTATTTTTTTACTTGTTCTCATAAGTTTTCTTTTAGCTTTTAAAAATCAGTTTCTTAATAATGTATTTTGTATTATAGATAATTTTCTTCATTAACATTGCAAAATATTTTTCTCAATCTCTCAGATGCATTTGATTTTGTTTAGAATATATTATATAGCATGTCAAAGAATTAATTGCATAGTAAATATGTTTCTTTATGGTTTCCTAGTTTTCTTACATACCAACAATATGCTTAACCTTAGTTTATATAATTCTAATTTCCTGCAAATTATTTATTTTATTCATTTAATATTTGAGTTTATAATTCATCTGATTTGTATTTTATATAGTATGTGATATGAGATACAATGTTATTTTGTTCTAGGCAGCCAGTTTTATTAACCCTATGGATTAAATAAGCATTTTCCCCACTAAATTGAATTCTAAACATTTTAATTAAAAAATTCCAATATATATGTGTATATTAGAATGTGTATATATGTATAAATTATAATATATAATCTTAATATATAATATAATAATATATAACATATAATTCTAATATATACACACCCACATGTGTATATATGATTTTATTTCTGGATTCTCTACTCTGTTTTACTAATTTAGTTTATTTTCCATAGCAATGCTATACTATTACGATTACAGTATATAACTTTATGGAATATTATAATAATAATTACAGAAAAGTACTTACAATTATCATTCTAATTTCAAAATATTTTGTCTATATTTAAACATGGATTTTCCCACTTCAGTCTGATTTTGATTTCATGCAATTCTCCCTTTCTTTTCCAACTAAAAATATTGAGACTTAAATTATAATTATATTAAAATCATATACTAATTTGAGAATGACTGATATTTTTATTATTAGTCAATATTATGGTAGGTCTCTCTTTTTAATATTTTTAGAAGTGACAAATATCTGTTATCAAAAATATTTAGGTGTTTTTAAAATTAATTTAGACATTTATATCATTGTGTTATGGGATCTTTGGTATTGTTATGGTTTGGCCATGTCCACACCCAAATCACATCTTGAATTATAACTCTCACAATTCCCCTGTGTCGTGGGAGGGACCTGGTGGTAGGTAATTGAATCATGGGAGTGGGTCTTTCTTTTTGCTGTTCTTGTGATAGTGAATAATCTTATGAGATCTGATGGTCTTAAAAATGGGAATTTCCCTGCACAAGCTCTCTTTTCTTTGCCTACTGCCATCCGTGTAATATGTGACTTGCTTCTCCTTACCTTCCACCATGATTGTGAGGCTTCCCAGCAATGTGGAACTGCAAGTCCATGAAATCGTTTTTCTTGTATAAATTGCCCAGTCTCGGGTATGTCTTTATCAGCAGCATGAACACGGGCTAATATAGTGGTGTCATTTTTCTGGCTAGAAACCTCTGTGGCTGGTGGTGCTTTTGCTCGAGTTTTGCTTGGGCTTGCTGGACCCTTTTTGCCCACTCCACCTGGAAGGCTGTGCTCAGCTCAAGCTACCAGGTGGGTTTCATGACTGCCAGTGGCGAGTAAGGTGTGGAATGGCAAGGGATGTGTGAGAGAGGGTGGGGTCCAGCCACTGTGCATTGTCAGATATGCCAGCAGCTGTAGCATGGTGGCCAGCTCCAGGTGCCAGCATGGGCACTGGCTTTCTGTGAGGCTGTGGCCAGGCCAGGTGCACTGCAAGCAGCTGCTGTGGCTAGCAACAAGGAACACAGTGGCTCCTGGAAGCTTGGAGACACCAGGTTCATGGGGCCCCAAAGGAGGAGTCACAGCCCTGGCTTAGGGAGCTCCCAAGTCTGAGCTCCCTGAAGTGCTGGAGCTATTCTTTCCTTCTCTTCTCCTGCAATGTGTTGAGCAAGAGGCATGTCTTAGCCCCGTTTGTGTTACAGCTCTTTTATCCTCGCATTCAGGGGGTCCTGAGTTCTTGTCATGTGACTAGGAAGAACAAGGTACACAAACAAGTGGAGGGTGAGCAAGATGAACAGGAGCTTTATTGAGTGATAGAGCAGCTCAGAGGAAACCCACAGGGGGCAGCTTCTTTCAGCAGCCTGGGTATCCTGAAGCGTGTTCAGCTATCAGCAGAGGGTTGTCCCATCATCTGCACAGCTCTCAGCAGACAGGAAGCCCTAGAGTGAGTTGCTCCTCTCTGAAGCTGGTTTTCCCAATACCTGCTCAGCTTTCACTGAGCCCAGAGCTCTTATGGGTCTCAGAGGCAAGGAAGTGCATACCAGTTGGTCCATGAGCAGCCATAGGCCAGCCCAGAAAGGGCACCACAAGTTCCTACTCTGCTCCACAGGACGGGCAGCCCAGCCCACAGCCTTCAGGCCACGCTTGGCCTGAAGGTGGGGCCTCACCAGGAACCCACCCCCTTCTGCCCAAGAACCTGCTTGCCTTCTGCTGCCATTCATGGCAACCAGACTGTAGGTGCCAAGGGGAGCCTGCAAGCCAGTGCCAAGCTGCCCTCAGCACCTCTCAACATCCCTCATAGGCTCATCAGTGCCCAAAAATCTGGAGGGAGCTGAGGCAACAGGGGGCTGGTGTGTCAGCACTGCCCTGAGTGTGTGCACACCTGGCTGTGAGAGGTGAAGCCCGCTGGGCTTCTGAGTCAGGTGGGGACTTGGAGAACTTTTCTGTCTAGCTAAAGGATTGTAAACACACCAATCAGTGCTCTGTGTCTAGCTAAAGGTTTGTAAACTCACCAATCAGCGCTCTGTAAAATGGACCAATCAGCAGGATGTGGGCAGGGCCAAATAAGGGACTAAAAGCTGGCCACCAGAGCCAGCAGTGGCAACCCGCTCGGGTACCCTTCCACGCTGTGGAAGCTTTGTTCTTTTGCTCTTCACAATAAATCTTGCTGCTGCTCACTCTTTGAGTCCACACTACCTTTATGAGCTGTAACACTCACTGTGAAAGTCTGCGGCTTCACTCCTGAAGTTTGCAAGACCGTGAGCCCACCGGGAGGAACAAACAACTCCGGACCAAACAACTCTGGATGCACCACCTTTAAGAGCTATAACACTCACTTTGAAGGTCTGCAGCTTCACTCCTGAAGTCAGCGAGACCACAAACCCACCGGGAGGAACAAACAACTCCGACATGCCACCTTTAAGAGCTGTAACACTCACTGCGAAGGTCTGTGGCTTCACTCCTGAAGTCAAGCAAGACCGCAAGCCCACCGGAAGGAAGAAACTCCAGACACATCTGAACATCTGAAGGAACAAACCCAGGACACACCATCTTTAAGGACTATAACACTGAACATGAGGGTCCGTGGTTTCATACTTGAAGTCAGCAAGACCGAGAACCCACCAGAAGAAACCAATTCTGGACACAGCTGGGCCACAAAAGCACCCAGGCTTGTCGCCAACTTTGCTCTGAGATCAGAGTGGGCTCCAAGAGCAGGGAGAAGCCAGGCAGCAACAGCAGACAATTCCGAGCCTGTGAGGGAAGGGGGGCCTTCCCAGGTGCCAAAGAGTGCAGGGATGCCTAAGTCCACAGCTGCAGTTTGGGTGGCTGCAGCTGCACCTGGAAGGTCAGGACTTCTGCCTGCTCTGTGGTGTGGGAGGCCCAGGTCTGCCGCCATGATTTGGGCATTGCAGCGGGGGCTCCTACCTGCTCCGGGGCCCTGAGAGCACAGGGATGCCTGGGTCAGCAGCCATGGCTTGGGTGGCTGCAGTGGCACCTGGGGAGCTCCTGCCTCAACTCGGAAGGATGAGGGCTTCAGTTTGTCCCTGGCTCTCACCTGCTCCATGGATAATGCAGCCCTGGCAGCATCTCCCTGTTGTAGCCAAAATGATGGCAGCAGCCGCTCCAGATGGGCTGCCACTGCCATCAGTTTGGTCATGGACTATTTGTAAAAATTGATGCTTACTTTGGAAGCCGTATGAAATGCTAAAATGTTTTCTCTTTTCATTTACAATTCTTTCCCATTTCAACCACAAATTTCTCGATTTTTGACATTAGTGTTATCAAATTATTGGATATATCATCAAACTACAGATAATCCCTGGTGCAGGTGTGCCTCTTTGGATTTGTGATGCCAAAGTGAAACTCATTTCTTCATTAAGAAAACACACAAACATACACACACACACATGCACACACACACACTTTTTCTTCTGATAGCTTTTAGTTGTTATTCTTTTCCTTTAATGGTACTTTTGAATGTCTATAATGCCATTTATTCTTTTATATAAAAAGTGTTAATCAGAAGAAGAATATTTTCCCTCAATTTTTAACTTAAGACTATTGAACCTCACAAATCTAAGATCTGAACCTCCCACGCTGACCTAAGTTTTCTGAGTTTTGTGGGTCATGCTGTTTTCACACCTGTGTTCAGTTTGTGAAGTCGTGAAGACCAAGGCCTTCCTGCAAATTCTCTGCATCTCCAGTCCAGATTTACTTATGGGGATCATGGCTTTCACAGCAAATACAGCTGACGCAATTTTGCACATTTATCTGATCCTGTAATTTTCAAGGAATCAGGGTTTTGAAGGCAGCTTCAGACCAGTATTGGCTCTGTACTCAAAATGTTTCTCCTTTATTCCTAGTGAATCAAAATGCTGTTCACTTATGTTTACATAAACATCACACTTTCTCCAAACCCTGTGTCTTAGTCTGCTGGGACTGCTATATAAAAATACCACCGACTGGGTGATTTAAACAAGGAATGCTGATTTCTCAGTTCTGGAGGCTGGTAATTCCAAGATCAAGGTATATAGATGCAGTTATAGATGCAGTTCTCAGTAGCGATGTCTTGGTGATGGCTGCTTTCTTGCTGTATTCTCACATGATAGATATAGTGAACTGCTCTCTGGTTTCTTCGTGTGGGGTCACTAGTTAATTTCCAAAGTCCTCACCTCCAAATACCATCACACTGGAGGTTAAGAATTCAATATATGAATTTTGGGGTGGCATAAGCATTCGGTCCATAACACTCTGTAATAACCCATTCTCGTTCTTGGTTAAGCAATAAATTACATTTGCTTGCAATTCTTCCTTTCCCAAGTAAGAAATAAATTTAGTTTTTATATGTGTGTGAATTATGATTTCTTTAAATTAGGCTAATAACCTCAAAAGTAGTCCACTGTAAATTATTTTGGACTTTTGAAATTCTTTAATTTTATGAAACTTTTCAGGAGTTTTAGAACCATGCTATCTAAATATATTTCTTTTTAATAGTCCAGAGTGAGTTTTGAAGTGGACACAGAGAAGCTTTAGAAAAATCTTTGTGTTCCATTCTCTCTTTTCCTTTTCTCTTGTTGACACATTTGCAGCTCAAACTGTGGTTCACTCCACATCCTCAGATGGTACCTAAGTGTTTCTATAAGACTGCCTTTTCCCATAAGCTCAACTTCTCCATAGTCTCCAAATTGACTTCCTCCTATACACTATTTCAGTAGGTGCTCTAAGGTGACATAAGAAAATCTGACAAACATTCTAATCAGAATGTGTGAAACAAGCATGGATCAATACCAGAAATTTTACATGACTATAAAGGGAAATTTTCCTATGGAAATTATAGGTTTGAGGCATTGGTTCTTAATACCAAATTAAGAAATAGGAACTCTCTCTAACGTTGAGTAAAATGTAGTCAATTTATTTGCACAAAGGTCATTATTTGTGATTATTTTTGTTGTGAAAAAGATGTGCAAACTGGTTGAAAACATTTTTTATTAAATTTTTTGAATTTATGATTGACACATAATAATTATACATATTTATGGATTTCAATGTGATGTTTTGATACATGTGCAAATTGTCTAATCAAATCAGAGTCATTAGTATATTTATCACCTCAAATATTTGTTTCTTTGCTATGAGAACATTCAAAAACCTCCCTACCAACTATTTTAAACTATACAGTACATTACTGATGACTCTAGTCATCCTTCTAACCCATAGACCACCAGAACTAATTCCTCTTTTCTAACTGTAGGTTTGTAACTTTTGACAAGTCTTTTGCAATCTCCCTTTCTCTCATCCCTTCTTCATACTCTGGTAATCATTATTCTACTTTCTACTTCTCTGAGTATAACTTTTGAGATTTCACATATGAGTGACAGCATGCAATATTTCTCTTTTTGTGCCTGGCTTATTTCACTCAACTTAATGTCCTCCAGATGCATCATGTGGCTTCAAATGACAGGATTTCCTTCTTTTTATAATTGAATAGTATTCCATTGGGTATATATGCACATTTTCTTTATCATTCATCTTTTGATGGACATTTAGGTTGATTCCATGTCTTGGTTATTGTGACTAGTGCTATAATAAACAGGAGTGCAGATACCTTTTTGATAGCCTGATTTCATTTCTTTCGGATGTATAACCAGTATTGGGATTGCTGGATCATGCAATAGTTCTATTTTTAATTTTTGAGGAGCCTCAACAACTGTTTTCCATAATGGCTCTACTGATTTACATTCTTATCAGCAGTGTGTAAAGGTTCCATTTTTTCTACATTCTTTCCAACACTTGTCATATTTTGATGGTAGCCATTCTGACTGGAGTGTAGTGGTATCTCATTTGTAGTTCTGGTTTGAATTTTCCTTATGATTAGTGATGTTAAGCATTTTTTAATATATCTGTTGGCTGTTTGTATGTATTCTATTAAGAAGTGTCTGTTCAGGTATTTTGACAATTTTTAAATTGGGTTATAATTTTTTTTGCTGTTGTTGAGTTGTTTGAGTTCTTTATATATTTTGGATATTAGCCCCCTGTCAGATGTATAGTGTACAAATATGTTCTCCTATTTTTTAGGTTGCCTCATTGCTGTGTTGATTGTTTCTTTGCAGAAGCTACTTAGTTTGATGTAATCCCATTTGTCCATATTTGCTTTTGTTGCTGGTTCCTTTGAAGTTTTATTAAAAATAATCCTTGCCTACACCAATGTCATGAATCTTTCCCTCATGTCTTTTTTTCTAGAAGTTTTGTACTTTTGGGTCTTATGTTTAAGTATTTAATTCATTTTGAATTTATTTTTATGTATGTTCAAAGATAAGGGTATAGCTCCATTCTTCTGTGCCTGAATAGTACAGTTTTTCCTGTATTATTTACTGAAGTGACTATTCTTTCTCCATTGTATGTACTTGGCACCTTTGCAGAAAATCAGTTAGCTGTAGATGTATGGGTTGATTTATGAGCTTTCTATGCTTTTCCATAAATCTATGTGTCTGTTATTATGTTAGTATCATGCTGCTTTGATTACTATAGCTTATGTAGTGTGATGTCTCCAGCTTTGTTCTCTTTGCTCAGGATTGGATTGGATATTTGGGGTCTTTTGTGGTTCTATGCAAAGTTTAGAATTTTTTTTTCTATTTCTGTGACAATGCCATTGGTCATATTATTGGAATTGCATGGAATCTGTATATGGCTTTCAGTAGTGTAGACATTTTAATAATATTAATTCTTCCATTCCATGAATGTAAAATATTATTCCTTGTTTCATGTGTGTCTTCTTCAATTTCTTTCATAAATGTTTCGTAGTTTTCACTGTAGAGATTTCACCATTTGGTTTACATTCATTTCTAGGTATTTTAATTTTTGTAGTGATTGTAAGAACTTGCTTTCACTTTCTTTTTGCTTCTTTTTTCAGATAGTTCACTATTTGAATATAGAAATGTTACTGTTGTTTATATGTTAATTTTATATTTTGCAACTTTGCAGAATTTGTTTATTGGTTCTAATAATTTTTTGGTGGAGTCTTTGGGGTTTTCTATATATAAGATCATATCATCTGCAAATAGGGACAATTTGACTTTCCATTTTCTAGTTCAAATAACTTTATTTAATTTTCTTACCTGATTGCTTTGGCTGGTACTTCTAGTTCTGTGATAAATAAAAGTGGTAAAAATGGATATCTTTGTCTTTTTCTAGATCAAAACAAAAGGTTTAAGCTTTTTCTTATTAATTATGATGTTAGCTGTGGATTTGTCATATATGGCCTTTATTATGTTGAAGTTATGCTCCTTCTATACACAGTTCATTGAGAGTTTTTATTATATAGGAATGCTGTTTTTTATCAAAAGTTTGTTGTGTTTCAATTGAGATTATTGTATATCTTTGTCCTTTGTTTATGCAATGTATCATGTTTATTGATTTGCATGTGTTGAACTATCCTTGAATCCCTGAGATGAATCCCACCTGATCATTGTATGTAGTCTTTTTGATGTGCCGTTGGATTTGGTTTGCTAGTGTTTTCTTGAGGATTTTTGCATCAATGTTGATTAGGGATATTGGCCTGTGGTTTTCTTTTACTGTTGTGCTCATTTCTAGTTTTCTTATTAGAGCAGTGTTGTCCTTGTAGAATGAGTTTGGAAAAATTCCCTCCCCCTCAATTTTTTGAACAAACTGAAATGAATTGGTATTTTTCTTTAAATGTTTGTTAAAATTCAGAAGTGAATCTATCAACTTCTGAGCTTTCCTTTGATGGATGACTTTTTAATACAGATTCAATTTCATTACTCATTTTTGGTCTTTTCAGATTCTCTATGTCTTTATAATTCAATCATGGTAAGTTGTATGTGTCCAAACATGTATCCATTTCTTCTAGGGTTTTGAATTTTTTGGCATATATTGATTGTAATAGTCCCTAATGATTTTTTGTATTTCTATGGTTTCAGTTGTAATGACTCCCTCTTCATTTCTGATTTTATTTATTTGAGTATTCTCTTTTTTTCTTAGTCTAGATGAAAGCTTGTCAATTTTGCTTTTCTTTTCAAAAAACCAACTCTTAATATTGTTGATCCTATTTTTTCTCTATTTTATTTATTTTTGCTCAGATCTTCAATTTTTTTCTTCTACTTATTGTGGGGTTGTTTTGATCTTATTTTCTAATCCCCTGAGTTGTAATATTAAGCTGTTTATTTCAAATCTTTTGAGTTTTTTTTTTGTTGTTGTCGTTGTAGGCATTAGTTACAAACTTTACTCTTAGTGATACTTTTGCTGTATTTCTCAGGTTTTGCTATTTTGTGTTTCCAATTATCATTTCTCTTAAAATTCCAAAGTAATTTCTTTTTATTTATTCACCCATTATTTGTTCAGGGTCATGTTGTTTAATTTTCATGTATTTGCATACTTTTCTAAGTCCTTTTTGTTATTGATTTTTAGTTTTATTGTATGGTGTTTGGAAAAGATAGTTGGTATGACTTCAGTTTTTAAAAATTTGTTGAGACTTGGTTTGTGGCTTATCGTATGATATATCCTGAAAAATATTCAATGTGCTGTCTAGAAGAATGTGTATTCTGAAGATGTTGGGTAGAATGTTCTATAGATGTTTATAGGTTTATTTAATCTAGAGGATATAATGTAACTTTGCTCTTTCTTTGTTGACTTTTTGTTTGGATGATCTATCCATTGCTGAAAGTGCAGTGTTTATGTCCCCTACTTTTACTGTACTGATCTTTCCCTTTAGATCGGTTAATATTTGCTTCATATATTTAGGTTGTCCAATGTTAGATGCATGTATATTTATAATTGTAATATCCTCTTGGTGAATTAACCCTTTTTATGTAATAATCTTCCTTTTATTATTTACTACTTTTTATTTAAAGTCTATTTAAATCAAAATAGACAGCTGTTGCTCTCTCTTTTTGCTTCTATTTGTATGGAATATTTTCCTTCCATCCTTTCACTTTTAGTCTATGCATGTCCTTACAGGTGAGGCAAGTTTATTGTAAGCAGCATATAGTTAGGTCTTTATTTTTAATCCATACAATTATTTTATGTCTTTTAATGGAGAATTTAATTCATTTGTATCTAAGGATATAATCAATAAGTAAGGTCTTACTATTCCCATTTTGTTATTTGTTTTTGAGAATTTTGTAGTTCCTTTCTCCCTTTTTTCTCTCTTGCTGTCTTCCTTTCTGGTTAGGTGATTTTCTCTAGGGTTGATTTCCTTTATTTTTATTTCTGGTATATATATTACAGGTTTTTGCTTTGTGGTTACCATGAGGCTTACAAAAATATATTGTATTTATGTATTATGACAAGTTATTTTAGGAGGATAGAAACATAAATTTGATTGAAAAATAGAAAAAAAAGCAAACAAAATAAAAACCTGTACACCTTAACATCATTCTCCATTTGAAATTTTAGATGTTTTACTTTACATCTTTTTATATCACATATCTCTTGACAAGTTAATGTAGTTATTATTTTAATAATTTTCTCTTTTAATCTTCATATGAAAAATATAAGTGGTTTAAACACCACAATTACAGTATGAGTATTGTGTGTTTGTTTATATACTAACTCTTACCAGTAAATTTATACCTTCAGGTATTTTCTTGTTACACATTAGAATCTTGTTTTTCAGTTTGAAGAACTCTCGGCATATTTTGTATGACAGGTCTGGTGGTAATAAATTATCTTAGGTTTTGTTTGTCAGGGAATGTTTTTCTCTCTCCTTTATTTCTGTAGGGTAGCCTTGCTGAGTGCTCTATTCTTGGTTGGCTGTTTTTTTGTTGTCTTTTAGTACTTTCAATATATCATCCTACTCTCTCATGGCCTGTAAAGTTTCTAGTCAGAAGTCTGTTTCCAGAGGAACTGGAACTTTCATGTTATTTTATTCTTTTCTCTTGCTTTCAGGATCCTCTCTTTATTTTTGAGAGCTTGATTATTACATATCTTGGGGTAGACTTGCTTGGTTTAAATCTTAGCTGGTGATCTTTAACCTTCCTGTACCTGGATATTGTTTATTAAATTTAAATCTTCAAAAGAAAATATTTCTATTCTCTTTAAAAACATTAATTATATAATGGAAAGAGGAGAGGTAATTATTAAGTTATGAGTCACCTATGACCACAGAGATTATTCTGTGGCATTTTTCAAAAAAAAAAAAAAGAAGAAATTCTGTTCCTTGTAGATGAGAGATAAAACACATCTGACAAAGACAGACCACAAATGGAAGGCAAAAATTAGAAGCAGCTAACAATACAGAAATGCTTACATAGCAGTCATTCCCTTCTTGGCTGGAATAAAGTATTATTCATTTCCTTCAATCATTAAGTGGTAAAGAGATACATTAAGTTTGGAGCCCATAAATAATTTTCTGGATCTCCTGGTGTTACACCAATTTTTCCAAATTTGAGGATGCCAATCTTTGCAAATGCATTTTCTAGTGAAGCACGTTTGTAAATCTAAGCACTGGAATTATTATTGGAAAGCCTGTGTTCAAATTCCAGCTCTGCTACTCATAGATCATGGGATCTTGAGAATACACAATTGCCCTGGGTTTTGATTTCCTCAAGCATAAAATAGGTATGCTGCTGCTGCTATAGCTACTTCTTACCTCACTATGTTGCACTATGTTCATAAGAAAACATTAGATGAAGAGAATGGTACTACCTAAATATTGGCTGTCTTATAATTGCTATAATTATTGCTAGTAATGTATATAATGTAGGCATTTAGCACAAAACTCACAGTATATAAAAAATTTATCTCAAAGCAGAAAACTTAGAAAAAGATACTGCGACAGACAGATTTTAAGGTGGCCCTATGATCCTCACCTCTTGTTATTCACACTTTCCTATTTTCCCCTCCCTAAAACATTGAAGCGGACTGTGACTTGCTCCTAACCAATGAAATATGACAAAAGTGATGGGATGTCATTTTTGTGATTGTGTTATGTTTAAGAAGAATGTTTAACTAACAGAATCTAGAGTTTTTCATTTTCAGCGCTAGCTCTAAAAAAGGAAATTATCATTTGCTTGGTAAAAAAGCAAATTATCCCTTGCTAAACGGGGAAATATGTCTAGTTTCCGGTTTAATCAGATTGTTGGTACAGTTCACTTCTCGACACAAGGAAGTGAACTCTGTCACCCTCAAGACTAAACTTGAAATTGGTTCTACCCCAAGTTGAGCCTCCAGATAAGCGCCAGTCCTGGCCAGCATCTTGATGGCAGCCTTACAGGAACCCAGATAAACCAAGCCCAGACTCTCTACCCACAGCAACTGGGAATAAATATGTGCCATTGTAAGCCATTAAATTTGTGGTAATTTGATATGCAGCATAGTAAACTAACGTAGGGAATATGTATATACAATTAACTAGAAAACGTCTGTTAACAATTGTTTTCATTTTGTTTTAGCTGAGTTATGGTTATTGACACTTGAAGACTGATCTATTTGTATATTAGCTAAAAATATACAAAAATCAATATATGTAACTGTGTGTAGGCTCTTTGAGGAGCTAAAGAGAATAAATTAATTAGAATTTTGAGAATATACTTCATAGGATAGCAACAGTGTCAGTAAAAGAACTTTCAGCAAGGAGCCTGGGAGTGGAAAGGAGGGTCATTGCTTATATTTCATAAGATGGACAATCAGAAGTTAGGTCAGGGTTGGCATTCTTCTCCCTTTGATTACAGTTTTAATGACTACTGAAAAGTTATTTAACTATTATAGAGGTAACTTTTTATCTCCTGACCTAGTTTAGTGACAGAAAGCTACAAGGAGCTATCAGGATTTAAAGTGATTGCACAAATATTCAATTAAACCTAATGCACAATAATCAAACTGCTACTAACATTATAAACCATCACAATACATTAAGAGCTTAGGGGTCCATATTAAAATATCAGCTTAAAGGTTACCTCCTAAGTGAAGTGTAATCTAGCTATCCAGTATAATCTAGTTTCTTTCAAGGACATTATCCTATGGCTTATTTTTATATATTATTCAAGCACTTTTCAATTATAATATGAGGTTGAATATTTTCTCATTAAATTTTAATTTTCTGCCCCTCATTACCTACAATAACAATAAAATATCCATGAGTAAATAGACCTTGTCTGTTGGGCTCAAATAAGTGAAGTAATGAAGAGCACACAGATAATTAGAGCAAGGAATCTGCCTCAAAGTGAATTACAGACAGGAAAATTGGCTTAAAGTGTGGAGAGATTACAACCAGTAGGATTGGTAGAAAAAGCACTAAGGTTTCCCATTTTTTTTATTATTCACTTATCTAAGGATGGTGTCCACACTTCTCATATGTCCAAAGCCCATATAGTTACAAAATTCTAGCATACATTCCACCTTTATACATATCTTTATAAAGACTTTTCCATTTTTCTCTACACTTTTCCAATGAAACCAGTATCTTTCATTTGTTTATTCTGCATATATTTATGATTCTCTTTTGTCCTAGCCACTGATGTAGGTTTTGGAGACAAATTGATGATCCTAAAACATGCAGTGTAGTTCATGAAGCCAGACATTAAATAATCACACAAATAAACATGATACGAGCAGTGATGGATACTAAGAAAGGGAGCTCCTAGGGGTTCACATTCCTGTAGCAAAGAGACACTTAAATTACTTTTAGGTTGGGATGCCAAGAAAGGCTTTCTTGAAAAAATTGGGCATTAGAGTCAAGATCTGAAGGATGCATTGGAGTTAAGTAGGGTGAAGGCTGGGAATGGAGTTTAGATGGACATTCTGGGCAATGAGAACAGCAGGTCAGGGTGTTAATGGGAACTGAAAGGAAAGTGGAAGGCATGGGAAAGGATAAATTACAGAAAACAATTATTTGTCCTTTATCTTGTGCTTTTGTGCTACCTGTGTCACAATTAAGATATGTTTTCTTACTCTGCTATTAGAAAAATATTTTTCAATGCCTTGTTCTAAAAGTTTTACAGACTTAAAATATTTAGGTCATTACTGCTCTGAAATGGGTGGATTTTAAATCTGATATGAGGAGGTGACTGATTTTTTTTTCTATATTGGATATAGGACACTAGTCCTCCTAGTGTCATTTATTGATGAGTCAATCTTTTATCCTGATTAGCAAAGCATCTATATGTAGGTATGTTTCTAAACTGGTTGTTTAATGTCATTTACCATTCTGTATATAACTATTCAGAAACCAGTGGCCATATTTATTTTAACTTTGGGCCAAATCTTGATATTTTGTTGAGCAAATTTGCAGACTTCTTCAAAGTTGCTTTGGCTGAGTTGCTATTCACAAGTAGATTTAATAATTTTTTTTCTTCATAGTTTTGTTATTTAGTGGCCCCACTCAGCATTCTCCTCTGGGCCTTGTGACTTGAAATCAAATCTATCCTTACAAAAACAGCTCACCTTGTCACAAAAAGCTGAATTAAATAACTAACTCCTTCCTCTCCTCTCATTCCCCCTCCCCTCCCCTCTTCTTCTCCTTTCCTCCTCTCCCAGCTCTCCTCTTCTACTTCCCTACCTTCCCTTGTCCTCCCCTCCTCTCCCCCATCCTCCCCTTCCCTCTCCTCCCTTCTACTCCCCCCTTCCCTCCCCCTTCCCTCCCTTCTCCCTTCCCCTTTCTTTTTCTCCCCTCCCCTCATCTGCTCTCCTCTCCCCTTTTCTCCTCTCCTCCCCCCTTTTCTCCTCTCTTCTCCTCCCTTGTCCTCCCCTCCTCCCCACTCCCTTACCCTCCCTTCCTCTGCCTTCCTTACCCACCCCTACTCTCTTCTCTCCTTTCTCTCGTTTTTTGGATCTTTTATAAACCAATTACTGAGATAAATAAGCTAAATTTACTCACTGTGATTATGGATTTATTATTTTCATCTCATAATTCTTTCAGTTTTCCCTTTATAAATTGAGATGCTTTCTTCTTAGGCATACACATAATTTAATTGCTATATTTTCCCAGTGAAATCTTTAGAATAGTCATTATGTATTTGTTGTGGCTAGTGTTCTGCTTTCCTATAAATATGGATTCCAAAATCAAAAAATAAGGAGAGACAAAAGGGATCACTGTTGCCTCAGTAATGAAGTTTTGTGTCACTTACACTTAACCCTTTAATTTTAAAGCATTAGAATTTTCTCTACGAATTGCTTTACATAAATATCCCCAAATTTCAATATATGGGGTTACTAATCTCAGTTCTAAATGTCTATATTTATTTTGATTCTTTGACTCCTGTTACAAGTTTATGTATTAATTTTCAAATAATTAAATTAGTTTAATAAATTTGATTATATGTTGGAAACATGATCTGTACGATATGGTCATTTTGATATTTGTTGAGATTTGCTTAGTGGTTGAGAATATGATCAAGTTTTGTAAATGTGCTGCATGTTTGCCTGAAAAGGAAATTCTTGGGCACATAAGTATAATTATTAGGTACATGGCACTATATTCTTATATTATTGTTTTTATTGTTTGTATCTAAATCCTTGTTCGCCTATCCTGCTCTTCCTTCTCCTCCTCTCCCCCCTCCCCTCTCCTCCCTTCCCTTCCCCTCCTCTCTCCCCTGCCCTCCTACCTACCCCTTTTCCTTTCCCATCCCCTCCCGTTCTCCTCTCCTCCTACCCTCTTCTCTTCCCTCTCCCCACCTTTCCTTCCCTTCTTTCCTCCCCTCCATTCCCCTCCTCACTTTCCCTCCCTTCCCCTCCCCTCCCCTTCCCCTCCTCTTGCATTCAGTATTGCTGGAAGTATCTTTCTCCTTTATTTTGCTTTTATCTGTTGTGTTTCTTTATATGTTTTTTACATCTTTTGTAAACACTATGGAACTGAATTTTAGGTTCTATTTAATTTAATAACCTTGCAATTCTTTTTCTCAAATTTATATTTGGTTCTTTTGTCACATTTAATTGAGTTGATCCCTGATTATTTTTTATTATTATTGCTAATATACCTAAACTTATTGCTACTATCTGGATTTCATTGAATTGTTTGAAATATTTTTAATTTAAATACATTTTTCATTTTCTGGTTTGGGTGTACTGCATCTCGATTTTCTTGGGTTTGTGTGCATGTGTTGCATATGTGTACTTAGACTTAACATTTTAACCTCACATTTGACCCAGTAAAATCTCAAACTAATTTTATATCATTTTTCAAAATAATATAAAATATTACAATTAAATTAAAAATACATTCAATTTGCTAAATATAATCATACCAATCTATGCCTTAAGCCTATCACCTCCAAAATTTCTCTTACTCTATTTGTTTATTATTATTTTTTCCTTTTGTTATAAGAATACTTAACATATCTACCATCTTAGCAAATTTTTAAACATAAAATACAGTATTGTTACATAGGCTCTATACTACACAGTAGGTCTCTGGAACTTATTCATCTTGTATAACTGAAATTTTGTACCTTTGACTAATACCTTTCAGTTCTGCACCTCCCCCGCCCCCGTGCAACCTGCAAACCCCTGGCAACCACCTTTCAACCCTCTGCTTCTGAGTCTATTTTAGATTCATTATATAAGTGGCATGATGTACTATTTGTCTTTCTGTGTGTAGCTTAGCATAATGTCCTCCGGGTTTATCCATTTTGTTCACAAATGACAGGGTTTCCTTCATTTTTAAGGTTGTAAAATATTCAATGGTATGTATATACCATATTTTCTGTATTTATCCATTCATGGACATTTCAGTTGCTTCCATGTCTTGACAATGGATATGATGTCTTGATTATGAATAAATCCTGCAATGAACATGGGAAGGCAATTATCTTTTTGAGATCCTGATTTCAATTTCTTTGGATATATATCCAGAAGTGAAATTGTTGGATCATATGATATTTATATTTTTCATTTTTGAGACACTTCCATAGTATTTTTCATAGTAGTGGCACTAATTTACATTCCCACCAACAGTATACAAAAATTCCTTTCTCTCCACATCCTGATCAACACTTGTTGCTTATTGAAGTTTTGGTAACAGCCATCCTAATACATGGGAGGTAATATCTCATTGCGTTTTTTCATTTACCTGATAATTAGAGATGTTGAGCATTATTTTCATGTACCTGTGGCCATTTGTACACCTTCATTTGAGAAATGTGTATTTGGTTCCTTAGGCCATTTTTAAATCAAGTTATTTGTGTGGTTCTTTGTTTGCTATCAACTTGTGGGAGTTCCATATATATATTTCCCATTGTATTGTCTTGGCACCCTTTTTCAAGATTAGTTGACTATAAGGCTCTGTATTGTAATTTATTGTTATGTATCTCTCTTTATTCCAGTAACATACTGTTTGGATTACTGTACCTTCGTATTATGTTCTGAAATCAGGATTTATAAAGCTCTCAACATTGTTCTTTGACAAGATTGTTTTGTCTATTCAGGGTCTTTGTGATTCTGTAAAAGTTTTAGAAATCTTTTTTCTATATGTATAAAAACACTATTGGGATTTCAGCAGGGATTGCATTGAATCTGTGGATTATTGTGAGCAGTAAGAATATTTCAACAATATTAATTATTCCATTTCATGATGAGCAGATGTTTGCATTTATTTGTGTCTTAATTTCTTTAATCAGTGTTTTATAGTGTTCAGTGTACATGTCTTTTACCTTCTTACTTACAACTGCTTTGAGGTATTTACACTTTTTGATGTTATTATAAATGTGATTAATTTCTTTAACAGATAGTTTGTTGCTAGTTTATAGAAATCCAAAATTAGTATGTGTTGATTTTGTATCCTGCAACATTGCTGAATTTGTTTTTTGTTTGTTTATTTACTGTAAAGTCTTTAGGATTTTCCACATTCAAGATCATGTCATCTGTGGAGATAAATTTTACTTCTGCTTTTCCAATTTGGATGCCATTTGTTTCTTTTTCTTGACTAATTGCTCTGGCTAGAAATTTTAGTACTGTGTTGAATAGCAGTAGTGAGGGTAGGCATCCTCAGCATGCTCTAGATCTTAGAGAAAAAGCTTCTAATTTTTTACCATTGAGCATGAAGTTATCTGTGGGCTTTCATATGTGGCCATTATTGTGTTGAGGCAAGTTTCTTTTATAAGCTAATTTGTTGAAAGATTCTGTTATCTTGAACATTGAATTTTGTCACATGCTTTTTCTGCAAATATCGAGATGATTATGTGATTTTTATGTTTAACTCTGTTATTTGGTGTATCATATTGATTGATTTATGCTTGTCAAACCATCCTTGCATCTAAGAGATAAATCTCAGTTGGTCATGTGCTTGTTGAATTCAGTTTCCTAGTATTTTTTTTGAGGGTTTTCTTGCATCCATGTTCATCACAGATTTTGGCTTGAAGTTTCTTTTCTTGTGTGTGTGTTTTTTTTTAAACCTTCTTCAGTTAGTTTTTGGAATTCACCTGTGAGGCCATTTTGTTCTAGAGTTTTCTTTTTTGGAAGTCTTTTGATTACTGATTCAATCTTCTTATTTGTTACTGATTTGTTCAGGCTTTCTATTTCTTTTTAATCCGGTCTTAATACATTGTACATTTCTAAAAATGTATCCATTCTTTTAGGTTGTCCAATTTATTGGTGCATGATTGTTACTCATGATCTTTTTTCTTTCTGTAGCATTGTTTGTAATGTCTTTTCTTCTATATATAATTTTATTTAGTTGAATATTCTCTATTTTACTTAATCTAGTTAAGAGTTGGTTGAATTTGTTTACCTTTTTAAAAAACAAGCTCTTATTTTTGTTACTTTTTTCTATTGTCTTTCTATTCTCTCATTTACGTCAACTCTAATATTTATTATTTCCTTTCTTGTGTTAACTTTGAGATTAGTTTATTCTTTTTTTCTTGTTCCTTCAGGTGTAGAGCTAGGTTATTTTCAGTCTTTCTTTATTTTTAATGTAGGTATTTATCACAATAATTCTATCTTTAGGTAATGCATTTCTCTAATAAAAAGTATTTTAGCATACATATTAAGGCATTGTATGTGCCAATTATCCAACTCTAGAATTTTGGTCAGAATTACATTTAACAGATATACTTGATAATTAAATGTAGAATGCCAAAAGATGATATTGAAGGCCCATTGACAATTTGTATCATTCCTTATAGATAATTTATATAAAAACAATAAGATACTACATATGATTTCTTATGTATGATAATGTTATAACATAATTAAAAGATTAAATGGGAATATTTTTATGCATACAGTGGTGACTGCTAAGTACAAGCTTAAAAACCATTTGTGTGTCTGTATGTGTGTGAAAAAATATTGATACAGGAATCTTGAAATCTTCTGAAATATGAAGGGGCAAATTTGCTTGTTGAGCCTAGGGGCTTTCTGTAGGAGAAAGAAACAGAACTCCTATTTTTCTTCCCTGAAATCTAAATAGCCCTGTCAGTATAAACTAGGTTTGTCCTGACAAAAGCTCAGTAAGAGGGAGAGTAAATGTGGCTGTTGGATTTAAAAAAAAAAGAACAAGGATGATGACTGTCACTTGGGCTTGCTTCTGTACAGAGTTGCAATGTCAAAGAATAATGATGGGTCAAAATCCATGAGCTGGAAGATAACCTGACATGAATACATGTTTTTAAGGTAGACTTGCCCTCTGAAGATAGAACCATGTATTTGATTTTAAAAGGCAATGATTTTGAGAGCATAGACAATGGTCATTCATGGCAGGACAGGCTGGACTCTTTTTTTGTCATTCTTTGAATAACCTAAGCAGGATCTATTGCATTAGGACCACACCAGGCCAGAAGTGCAGTGGCAGCCAGAGGTCCCAACTTCAGTGTTATATTTCAGCACCATAACAATTGCAAATGGAAGATCATTCTTAGCTTGGAATTCATAGAGGAGCTAAGCTGGCCATCATCAGTGGGTTGTTGTCCAGGGACAAAATGAGGACAACCAAAATGCATTCGCTGAATACAATCATCCCAAAACATAACTGCTCTGAATTAACATAGAATAAGTGCCCAAGAAAGAAAGGCCATTGTTGTTGGTTGAGTTGGAGAAGGCAGAGTGGGAGCCGTAAGCCATTTTGAATGGAAGATTAGATGAAGACTATTTTTTACTACAGTCATTTTGAATAGAAGATGAGATGAAGATTATTCTTTACTACAAGATGGTGACGTTAATCAAATTGTTGCATGTCTCCTGGATGAAAATCTCAAATACTGGCCTGTTCTCATTATCAAACCTGGGTGACTCACAATCTGATTGGGGTTGCCCTTTTCTGGGCCTTATTTTCAAATAGCTTAAATGTCTGTCTTCCTGACCCTGATTACTTTATTCATTATTATGGGCATTAAAGTTTTATATCAGACTAGATTCTTGGAATATGGTCTGGTATGTTTTTCAATACTGTTTTTCTATGCTGAAGTATTATGTGGCTTTGCTTCCTTGAATATTCTTTTACTGTCCTTTGATGCTTCTTATAAAAATATTTTTCTTCCCTGGCCATGCCATAAATCTAAATTTATTACTCCCTCTGCTATTGTTTAATGTTTAACACTAATAAAAATGCTACTTAGCATTTACACAAGGTTCATATTTTTAAAGTGCTTTACAAGGTCTATTACTTGGGTCTTTTTTAATGAGAGTATTTTCGGAAGCAATTTGTATGAATACTCAGGAGACATTATGAATGTGAAACTAAAGCCCTATTCCTGTAATGATTTGGAATTTGAATATGAAATGTACAGAAATAGGGAAGTATTGATCTGGGAATCATAAATTAAAATAAGCATTTATACTATATTGTGGTCAGTAAAAATAAAAAATATCTTTAGCTCTGTCTATATATGTATTTTTCTATCATATCCAAATAGGACAAGGTCTATGGAGTTTTAAACCACTTAAGTCTTTTCTTACTAATACAGCATTCATTAAACTTAGATTTTTTAATTGAAAAGAAGCTACAGTTTAATTTAAAGCCAGAATCTGTTACTTAAGTTGTTAGATTTTGTGTTTAGCTTAGTTCATTAATGGATGTGGTTTAATTTGCAGTAAACTGGTAGAGAAAATATTCTATTTTCCTATTCAGATATCTATAGGTGGTCTGAAAGTAAAATTAATTCCTCATACAGTGCACACAAATTCTTGTCAATATGTGCAAAAAATATACTTAAGATGTTAATAATTTGATTGTTGGTTTTGTCTGCATGTATAAATTCACCAGCAGTTCTCTAGAATTGGCAATCCCATGCATCAACCCAAGGCCTTCCATACTACTACAGAATATAAGTATAGAGCATAAATATAAGTGAAAGTTATGTTTTTGCATGTTTCTTTGTACTTGGAATTGAAATGTACTGAGAGTGGGGATGATGTCTCATTATTCTTTGATTCCCTTTTGATTAAATAGTCATTGTTATATATTAGGTACCCAATAAATGTCTGTGGGCTGTTACTGATCATATATAGAGGAATGTTGTATCAAATAATAAAAATAGATTGTGAGGGAGAATCCTGCTGGGTCCAATGCTGATTTTTTGGATTTATAAGTTGTCCACAGCTTGGAATCATTCAGGAGCTTTCTATCCCACTCAACATTAAATCTAAACTGCAAACCATGGTCTATATGGCCTTTTTTCAATCCTATCTGGTACCATCTCTTGTTTTCCTTGTCCCCAAAGCTGTAATCCCATAGCCCTTTGTTCTGTTCCTTGATTTGCCATCTCATTCCTTTCACAGACTATTTCCCTTCCCAGAGTCTGTCCCATGGGTGTTCACTTCTTGTCAAGCAGATCTGAACTTAAACATGACCTTGTAAGAGAGAAGTTTCTGACCACTCAAATCCCAAACTCTGGATCACATTACTGAATTGTGTGACGGTGAATTTTATGTGTCTGCTTGAGTGAGACATCAGGTGCCAGATATTTGCTTAACCGTTATTTGGGGGGTTTCTGTAAGGTTATTTTGGGATGAGATTAACATTTAAATTGGTGAAATACAGCAGACTGGTCTCCATAATATTGGTGGGCCTTGTCCAATCAGATGAAGGCCCTAAAAAGAACTGACTGAATACACCTTCTCTCCCTCCCCAGAGCTAGATGGCTTTCTTTAGACTTGAACTGCAAAATTGGCTCTGCCTGCTGCTCCAGCCTGGTAACCTTTGGACTGGAACTGCAGCTTCAGCTCCCCATGAGGCTCCAGTTTGACAGCCTTTGGACTGAAAGAGCAGCATTGGCTCTTCCTGGGTTTCCAGCCTGTTGGCCCATCCTGCAGACTTTGGACTTGCCAACCTTCATAATTGAATCAGCTAATTTCTTGTAAGTCTTCTTCTATCCATTTATCAGTCTAGCTGTCTATTTCTCTAACTACGTAACTAATAGGTTGGTGCAAAAGTAATTGTGGTTTTTTCATTACAAGTAATTACAATTAATGCCAAAAACTGCAATTACTTTTGCGCCAACCTAATTATCTATCTATCTATCTATCTATCTATCTATCTATCTATCTATCTATCATCTATCATCTATCTATCTTATTGGTCCTCTTCCTCTGGAGAACCCTAATTAATACATGCTATTTGTGTGTTATTTTTTCTTCTCCACTAGAGGTACATTAGATAAGAAGACAGGTTTTGACTGCCTTGTTCTGATATATCCCAGGGCCTAGTATGACTCTTGACCTAAAATATACGCAGTAATAAATATTGTTGATTGTTTTAATTAATGGTTTGGCCTACAGATTCCAATTATAAGGATACTTAATGAATAAATAGATAGGGTCCTTCATATTAGCATGCTTTCCATGTGAGTTATAAAACCAATTATATATTAACATGTATATAATGTAATTACAAACAAATCTGTTAATAAAAATATTTATTTTAAAATCATGCACTGTAATTACCTTGTGCAATTATTAATAGTAGCCAAAACAGCAATTGCTTATAGCATGACTGAAAGTATGCATTTAAGGTGAATTAGTATATTATTTGAAATATAGATCATATATGCAATATGATATATATTTAAGAACATAATAATATAAATAATTAGGCATTTTTAGTCTCATTTTAATCTATCTTTATCTCAGTTTATTCATATATTCAATGGGGACAATAATAGTATCTATATCACAGTGTTATTGTAAAATTCAAGTTGGAACAGTGCTTGCCCGGTTGCTTTAGCTATTGTTGTTGTTACTATAATGGTCATTAGTTCTCAAGACTTTTGCTCAACAAACTTTGTTTCTAGGTTAGTTGAAGATATTATTAATTACATCAATGAATCAAAGCTACTAAAGTGGAAATTAACTTTTATTTACTCTCTTTCTAAACTGAAATTATGATGTTTTCAGGGAAATATAAATATTTTTTCCTTTCGAGATTATTTTATTTTTCTTCTTATATTCCTATGAACTATACTAAATAATTGCTTTTACTTCTCCTTTCTCACATCACAAAATATAAAAAAAAAATTATAAATTTTTTCTTGCCAAGTTAAACAAATTTAGATCCTATACTTTTTTCAATTAGGACATTGTCTTGACTTCACTAATCACTTAAGTATTTATTCTCTGGATGCTCTCCAAATCTCTTAATTTATTTGGAAAAGACATGTTTAAAACTAGTTATGAAAAAATAAAATATATATCACAACGAAAGTGATTTTAAACTAATACTTTTCGAATTTCCAATAGAAATGTTTATTATGACCTTTACTAAAGTGGATGATGTCTTGGTCACATTGGGGTTTTAGTTATTTCTCCAAATATGTCTGTTGAACTACTTTATAAACACATACCCATACAGATACATACACAGACATGCATCTACATCTACAGAAACACACAAACATATGTAAGATTGGATTGGCAAGTGTATCAAATAAAGAATTTCCTTTGATCCTTAATAGGAAGTGCTGATTATCTTAAATTTTCAAGTATGATTACAGAGGGGTTCAAATCATGAACCCAGTGAAAATATGTGTTTACAGCTTTCTTTTGCTGTAAACAATTAGTGGATTTTGAGAAAATAAGAGAGTCCCTGTGTATGCATCAGTTTTCTGCTTTGTTATCTGTATTTGGATCCTAATTGCCTCAGAACTCAGCCCTCAAAAACATTTCTATGGAGATTTTAAAAATGCAGCAAAGATGCTAGAAGCAATAATAAATTCAGTAAAAATGACTGTGGCTTATATTCTTGGCCACCATTTAGCAAACTACTATGGAACACTTTCTAGTTGGGCTTCCATCACTGGAACAGGTCTGCCTAATGGCTTCCTTCTGGTCCACAGGGGGTTAAATGAACGCCTTTCTCTCTTGGCAGATTGAAGATCTGGCATGACAAACAATTTTATACATAAAATTATTACAGTCTCAATTTTTTTTAAAAAAAGAAACACCTACTACTCTTCCATCTCTAAGGAGAGTGTGTGTAGAGTTTTCCCCATTTTACACAAACCTGTCTAGTAGGCTTGATGTTGTATATATGCTTAACATCTTTTCTGTGGAAAACCTAGAAGTGATATTGCATCTCAAGGCAAAGTATTAAAAACAGTCTGAAACAATAACCAATCAGAATTTAAAAGGCATTGAACAAAGTACAGATTCTGTGGCATAGATTTTGTATTATAATATAAGCTCTCCAAGTGTCTCAGAAATTGTTTTTTTATTTGTGAAGTGAGGGTAAGAATGTTTGTAAGTGTTGATGTGATACTTAATTGAGATAATTTAGAAATATTAAAGGATAAAATTGGTAATGTATTCACTTTTATGAAGATATTATGATTTCTCATACATGTTCTTTATGCCAAACTGCATATATATTACTATAGAAATATGGTTATTTTAGCACCATTTTTACCCTGTAAATAACAAAAATGGTTTCTTCATTTTCTCATTTATATATATGTCACTTCTATTTTTGTTTCACTAGTTTTAATTAATCAATCATATCTATTTATGAAGATCTCTTCATTTCCACGAGTCTTTTGATATCAACCTAACATTCCTATAATTTGTCAAAATAATTAGAAATGTTTAATGAGTCTGAAAGACAGTTAACTTAATTCCATATGACAACTGCCATAGAGTTCAATTGATATGCCTATGTGGAATTCTTCTTAGTATGCCTTTTATCTTTCTGAAAAGGTTTATAACTTTGGAGAATTTTCTTAGTGTCTGGTGGCATTAAATTCAAATTTCAACTTTAAAATTTTAAGTGTGTATTTAATTATATTCTTACTTCTAATATTTTCAAATAATACCTTTCATTTTATTTCTCTTAAATTTGAGATTATCATAGTTGTATGGGGAAGAGGAGAGATAAATTTATATAAGCTGTTTTTTCCTAGCCTTGATTTTTCTATCTTGTGTTATTGTGCATTTGGACACCTTGGCAGATTACCTGTCATCAAAAACTGAATTTCAATCTCCTGCTTCACTCTTATACTTAGTGGATTACCTAATTATTTAATTTTTCACCTATTTGAATTATTCTCTTGCAATAATGAAATGTTTTTAAAGAGACAGAGTTGACAAAAACAAGCAACTTCAAGAGAAAATAGTTTGCATTTCACCCCAGAAAATTTCCTGTCTTGAGTAACATTACTATCTACCCACACCATTTGCATAAGTTAAGTAGGCCCTTAAATCCAGTTGCTCCTTGTAAACTAAGAAATACAGGCCCCTGTAATCCCAGCACTTTGGGAGGCCGAGGCAGGTGGATCACCTGAGATAGGGAGTTCGACACCAGCCTGACCAACTTGGAGAAACCCTCTCTACTGAAAATATAAAATTAGCCAGGCATGGTGGGACATGCCTGTAATCCCAGCTATGAAGGAGGCTGAGGCAGGAGAATCGCTTGAACCCAGGAGGCGGAGGTTGCAATGAGCTGAGATCGTGCCATTGCACTCCAGCCTGGGCAACAAGAGTGAAACTCCGTCTCAAAACAGAACAAAACAAAACAAAACAAAAACAACCAGAAATACAGGCCATAAAATGCTACTGGGCAACAACGATCTGGGGAATCACACTTTTTCCGCAAAACCTGAAATAAATCAACCGATTCTTAGGAAGGAAAAAAAATCCTCTGATTCTATCGTAGTTGGTCTTTCCCCTTTCTTGCTATTTATGTAAACATTAAAGAAAATACATTTTTTTCTATAAAATCCTTTCCTTGGCAAAATGAAACTCAGGTGGAAAATATTCAGATTTTTTTAGTGAAATGAATGAGTAAAGTACTCAATGTCATTAAATAATACTATCACTGTATCCATTATGCTTCTTAGCTTTGGGTCAAATAATAATTAACAGAGAATGTGTAAGATCATAGTGTTACTGGCAGTGAATCTGTATGGGTCTGCAACAGCCTCAACTCTTGCCTTCTCAGAAGAAAAAATTAAACTAGGGGCATAAGGCAGAAGGAGATACTGAGGCATGTTTTAGAGCAGGAGTGAAAGTTTATTAAAAATCTTTAGAACAGGAACAAAAGGAAAGAAAGTACACTAGGAAGAGGGCCAAGTGGGCAACTTGAAGGACAAGTGTGTGGTTTAATGTTTTGACTTGCCATTTTATACTTTGGCATATTTCCGGGGGTCTTGCCTCTCTTCTCCCTTGATTCTTCCCTTTGGTGGGGCTGTCCACATGCACAGTGGCTGCTGGCACTTGGGAGATGAGCATGTTCAGTGTGTTTACTAGAGTTGTATGCATGCTCACTTCAGGCGTTCTTTCCTTACCAGTCAAATGTCCCTACCCTAGGAGGTCACATGCCTGTTAGTGCCGCCATTTTGCTTCTTAATAGTACATGTGTGAGCCCACTTGCCCAGCTCCTGAGATCTTATCAGGAAGCTGCTAATCACCAGTTTCAGGTGTTAGCTATCTATTAGGAGACTCCTTTTCCCTGGTGCTGGCTGCAACCAATTACTATTTTAGAGAGACAGTTAACAACCACCTGACCATCACCTGATGGTCGCCTGACATTCCTCGTTGGGGGTTGGTGGGGGGCCCTTCTCCTGCCCTGTTCATGTCTGACTAGCTACCTACTGTAGCAAACAACAGCGTTAAATAGACACTATATTTTAGAGATTCACCGCATGGCCATTTGCTTCCGTGATATAGATTTCAAGATGATTTTATATTATCTAGAGATGTCTTTATTCTTGAAAAACCAAGACCAGGCTTGACACAGCTCCATATTTTCACATTACTTACGGTTGAAAAAGCTAGTCTAAACTTAGCTAAAGCACAACTACTAAAGGATTTTTCTTTTTTTTCCCCCCGTAGGTGCTGCTAAAGATTTTTTTTTCACTTTTTATTAGATAATGATAGCAGTCTATAATTAATTAGTGGTAGGTAAGGATTAGGTACTTTTCTGAAAATTCTCAACCAAGTTGTAATGAAGGGAAGTAGCAGATCAAATTTATCTTCACAGTTATCAGTAAACAGGTACTTAGCAGTCCCCAGCTTGTTCCCTGAGCTCAAAGAAATCCTAGCTAGTGCTCATTTTAGGTAATGTAAATCCACCTTGCATGAAAGGTTCCTCTCAAGTGAAAGCAGTAGTAATATTCTAAATATTCTAGCACAGCATGTATCCAACCATCTAGCAAACTAGATTGCTTCTAATTCAATCAGATATCCTTAGAACCAATGAGGAAACATAGCATCTGATGCCATCTTTAAGAGTATAGAAAAAAAATACATATATATATCACCAAGGCGAGTCTTTTAAATATCCATTTGACTCACTAACAGGCTACTTTTCACCCATAAAAATTTATTTCTAATGTTTGCTTTGTCAATTAGTAACATTTCTGGCGTTGTTCAAGATAAGAGTGCAAGTTCTAGAAGCTGACTCTGGAGTGGCCTTTCTGATTAAATGATAATGGATCACCTCTGAAGTGTAATTTTCTGATTAGAAATTGACCATCCTTGGAGTAGAGCTTAAACTTACCAACACCAACATAACGTCCGCCTTCTATATAGAAGGTATTTTAAAATAGATTATAGACATGGTAACATTGGTATTCTCTGAATAGGGTCATAACATGCCATGCTTTTTTCATTCCAACCAAAAACATTCCTTGGCACAGAGCAGAGCTGAAGCAGAGTAGATTAAATTGAATTTTATGTGGACAGAAGTAAATGATAAAAACGAAGAATTAGCTATGTATTACTCCTCATATCAATTTTGCCACTAGTATAAATGAAATTTGCATAGTCTCTTAAACATCTTTGCAGGCACTCTGCTTTATCAGATTTGTCATGGAGTTTTTTTTTTTTTCAATCAAAAGACATAGAGCTAATTTAGTAAACTAAAAATTTTTTAGTTTGTGCTGAGTATTCAAAAATATTTATCACAGAATTCTTACAGTATCACATCTGTGTATTAGATGTACTCATTAATGTTAAAGATAAATTTAAGACTTTCAATATTTCTAAAACCAAAGTAGTAATTGCTATTTAATAGATGCATTTCATTACAGTTTGTGATTTATTATGTCATAGCTCTTCCTAATTCTACTGAATTTCTGCATTTGCTTTTATTTGTGAGAAATTTTAACTTTGATGTGGTTATATTTCAAAGTTTTCATCATTCTATTATACTTAGTATAGATCAGGAACTGTACCCACAGTTGCCTCTTACAACTTCTTTTGCAGAGTATTTCATTAAAATAACTTACATAAGTATTTTTCTGCTTTAGTCTGTAATAAATATTATATAATTTAGATTATACATTTTTTTACAAGAGTAAAGAGACCCTATGTTTAAAGTTAATGTAAGATGACACGTCCTTGCCTAAAATGTTCTGGAAGGAATACAATAGTCTAGCTTTCATTTTGAGGTTAATATGATAGCATCTTAATTTTATAAAAATTTTTTTGAATATGTGAATGTGTCCTACATTACTAGAAAATGGAAACAGTTTGTGTGTGTCTGTGTGTGTATAAATAAGTGCATCAAAATAATTATAGCAAAGAGTCAAAGATTTTTGTTAACAGCAGACAATGTAGTTAATTGTACTGGGCTGTCTGGTAATAAAGCAAATTTCAATTTCAGAAGAATATTTTATGTTTGATATTATTTTTAAACTTCTTAAGATCCACTAGTGAGAAATATTCTAATAATGTTGCAAAAACACTTTCTGTTTGAAAAGTTATGCTAAATGACTTATCTATCCATTCACTCATTAACTTACTATTTTTCTGATATTTACTTGCTATGTTTTATAGGGTAGGGTACTAGACTCTACCATGGACAAAGGGATGAATGAAATCACCTTGTCCTAAAAATGCTCCTGAGAGGTCAGACATAAATTATGGGGAACTGGGAGAGCCCATTATACTATATCCTCTTCATTTTGGTTTTCAGCATATGGTCAATTTTAATAAATTGCTCCAGTTTGAGAATTCAATCTGATATTTGGTCCAACAAGATACATTTAGAAATATGTTGCATGTTATCTGTCTGGTTTAATACTCAAAGAATTATATTTTGCATTTTTGCTTTTTTAGAATTTAAATTCAGCAAAGCATCCACAAATTCCCATTATCAGCTAGATTCATAGGAGCATCATTTAATATACTAAACATTTTGAAAAAAAAATGCCCATAGAAAGGAGAGTAAACTGTGATATCACATAATATATACTATTATGTAACTGTCAAAATGAATGAACACAAATGGCATGCAATGAGATGGGTGGATCTCAGAGATATAATATTAAGTAAAAAAAGTAATGTGGGTCATAGGTTCAAGGTTGTACATTGCATTATTAAAAACAACTAGTTAACGACTGACTAAATAAAAGTGGGCCATGCTTCAATTAATCATCAACGATAACATATTATGGGTAAAACTCTCTAAACTTTTCTTACATTCTAGTTTTATTAGCTTTGTTCCATAGTTTTATCTTTCTTTTTCACACTTTTCAATTATATGTTTACTGGCTCATTTTTGCCTACACTCTAAATATTCTGATTTTTAAAAATTGTATTTATTTCATTTTTAAGCTGTTTTGATTCCTTTTAAATACCCCTATTATATTTTCAGATAAATAGTTCTCCATTGGTTATCTTATTATTTAATCTTTGGTCATATGATATTTTGTCTATTTTAAAATTTTCTTCCTTAACTCATCTGACTTTTCAAACATTCCTGTTTTTTCTATTTATTTTCTAAGTTTCTGATTAAAGTTATTCCTTCATACCTGCAAGTGCTGCTTAAGAATATTATTTTCACCAGGCACGGTGGCTAACATCTATAACCCCAGCACTTTGGGAGGGTGAGGTGGGCAGATCACTTAAAGTCAGGAGTCTGAGACCAGCCTGGCCAACATGGCAAAACCCTGTCTTTACTAAAAATACAAAAATTAGCTGGGCATGGTGGCATATGCCTGTAATCTCAGCTACTCGGGAGGCTGAGGCATGAGAATTGCTTGAACCCGGGAGGCAGAGGTTGCAGTGAGCCGAGACCGCGACACTGCACTCCAGCCTGGGTGACAGAGGAGGATTCCATCTTAAAAAAAAAAAGGAACTTGGAAATATTATTTATAAATTTGGGTACTGTACTAAAATTTTCCTATGCTGTATGTTTTGTTCCTGTGAGTATTTATAGATATTTGTGTTTTGATTCACATTTTCTATTTCCTCTTTATGACAGCTTTATATGAATGTTGCCTGTCTTTTTTGGTTATTTTAAAACATCTCATTCTCTCACCCATCAATAATAATTCTTCTATGTATTTATTGTGAGAGATTTTCATGGTTCACAAAGTTACTTAGGTTATGAATACCCTATTTGTGAAGACAATGTAGTGGAGTGTTAATAGATTCAGATTTTACCTTTTTGCGGAAGGTAAGATTTTGCTTTTGAGATAATCCCTTTTTTTCCCTTTGGTAATACCCTGATTTCCACCATTTTCTTTCTTCTTTTCTGAAGCTAGCCTCCGATGAACATACACCGGATTTTCAATGTGCTTCCTCCAATCCCACCACCAAATTAGCATCTTCAGAAGATGGCCACTTTCATTTTTCACACATTCAAGTACTTTTTTTTTTCAATTGCTTATTAGCACTGCTTTTATTCAGTGTGTCTTAGCTGTATTTTGAGCATTTTCCCACTTTGGGTGGGCATTTCTCTTTGTGGGGATGATGTTGTGTGCTTTCTGCTACCTCTAGGCCTTCAATAACTACCCTTATTTCCATGCAGTCTCCACCTGACTCTGCTCAGGTATTGACTCTGGAGACAGTTCTGCAAGATGTGGATGTTTATTTCTTGACTTAGATATGCAATTAAGCATGTAGTAGTCTCTGTCTCTAAGATATTTTTGAGAATAGTTTTATTGCTTTTCTTTGTGATTTGTGTAGTGTTAGAGGAATGTATAGAGATATTTGTATTTAGGCAGCTGCCATTATTCTTCAGGAACTCTGAAGCCCTGTATGGTTTTTACTCGTGAGTCTTTATTGACCAAAGTCAATGCTTTTATTTTCTTCTGTGTATTTTTCAATTCATGACTGTGCTGGTGTTATACTCGGGGTATCTCTTTAAACTAAGTATTCTCTGGTTGTTTTCTCTCTATAGTATCTATGCTCTTCCATTTACTGTTTTATTGGGAAGAAGGTTTTAAGCCTATGAATGTTGGCAGAATCAAAATGAAGTCACTTATTTTAAAATTTCTGATAAATAGAGGCAGGGAAGGCCATGAAAGGAGGATTTTCACTGCATGAATGCCTGATAACAGGAATTATCACAAAAGACTCCGTGAAAACCACAACCTTGCACAAAGCCTATTACAAACTTAGGCACACACAAAATACTTTCACGAGGACATCTGCCTAGAAACTGCTTGTCTAACCCATGGACTGATGCCACCCTTCTTATTGATTCTTGTAGCCAAGAATAATTATCTCAAAACAATTATGTAATCTACTTTTTCCTTTGAAAACCTTTATCGTCCTTTACCTCCCTGAATAGGTATATAGTTTCCTATGGTATACATATTCCCATTGCAATGCCTATTCCAAAATAAACATCATTTTCTTTCAGAGAGTCTCTGTTTCTGTTTGTTATTTAGGTTAACAAACTCTTTTTAGTGAAACACGAAACGTGTAGTTAGAGTCTCCGTTTCTGTTTGTTATTTAGGTTGACAAACTCTTTTTAGTGAAACACAAAACAAGACTAGTTACCTGCACTGTGTCAGTCCACTTCTGTGCACATCATTGAACCATGTAGTAAAAGCTCCCTTTCCCAAGGCTATTTGTGTGACTAAGAATAAGGGACTCCTTCTTTTCAGCTGACTGTGCTTGGAGCTATGAGTATCCAGCTTTGGACCTTAAGGTGGAGTGGATTTTGGAGTATTTTTACTCCGTCAGCCTTTGGTAGAGCACATCTTGGCAAAACCCTATGTGTCAGCTTCCGGTCTTCAATTCCTGATGGAACCACAGTGGCCTGAGTCATCTTTTCAAATGAAAAATACCATTTAGAAGAAGGAAATATGAAAATGATTAATTTGTTAACATACTTTTAAATACTAAAACTATCACTTCCACAGGTAGTTGATGAAAGATAAACAGGACAAGAAAAGTTTAAAGATAGAAAATAGAGTATTAAAGCTGAGCTTAATAATGCTGATGATGGGCAAAGCTGGATTAAATACCAGAGTGGGGGACTCTGAGATTTATTCCGAATGAATGAAATAGAATAGGAACACACATTTGAGAGGCAAGCCCTCTCAATATTTCCCCGAGCTTTGGATTGACAAGAAAACACCACGACTTTATAAAATAAGTTACATTTCTGCCTTCTGAGTGCTTCTAAGTGTTGAACAAAATAGAGAGCAGGCCCCACTATCACTAATTGACAGATTGATTTAATGTTGAGTGACTATTTCAGCAATAATTTTCAAAACTGGTAGAAAGAAATGCTCTGGAAAAATGCAGCTAAGGGCAGAATCACCATGAAAGTACTTTTTCAGTAAGTGACACTAATCGCAAAATAATGGCCATATACCTCACAATCAGACTTATGCTGACAGATGAAAGCTTTATTATTTTTAAATTTACCACCTTATAAATTCAGTTAGCCTGCCAGAATTCCTTTCTGAATTCTCTTGGAAATGAGCCTGGACATTGTTAGTGTGTCTCTCTCTGCTTAATAAGTGCCGACCTGTGGAGTCATCTTGATTTAAACCTTTATTATGGCAGCACCCCAAGTGCCCTAACTAAATCTTAAGGACCTATCAAGGTTTCTCTGAAATCTTGGTTTCCAGGGGTTCTTAACTAAGCTGTAAAAGCATGATTTCTCTTGACACTTGCCATGTTACATTTCCAGGGTAAATGTAACTTTTTAAAAGTATTTTCCAATTCCTATTCTTTTTCAGATGTTTCAAGAATACAACTTTGGGGCTGGGCGCGGTGGCTCATGCCTGTAATCCCAGCACTTTGGGAGGCCCAGGCGGGAGGATCACGAGGTCAGGAGATCGAGACCATCCTGGCTAATACAGTGAAACCCTGTCTCTACTAAAAATACAAAAAAATTAGCCGGGGGTGTTGGAGGGCGCCTGTAGTCCCAGCTACCCCGGAGGCTGAGGCAGGAGAGTGGCGTGAACCCGGGAGGCGGAGCTTGCAGTGAGCTGAGATCCCGCCACTGCACTGCACTCCAGCCTGGGCGACAGAGCGAGACTCCCTTCGTCTCAAAAAAAACAAAAAAAAAAACAAAAAAAAAAACTTTGTTCAATAAAGCTATGCACTGGGAAAATATTTATGTCATTAATGTTAATGATTCAAGTTGAAATATTGTCTTTGATGAAGTTGATATTGCTAGTATTAAATCTTATTTACTTAAACTGGACACAAACAAAGCATCTCCTTTAATGCATGCTTGCTTCGGTTGTTTGACTTGGGCAAAAGATAGTTCCTGAATTCTGGAGATATTTCTGGGAAAGTGATGCCTGTGGCACTCAGTCTAATAAAAGAGTAGGCTCGAGTCTTTTGATTTTATCTATTAATATCAGCTCTTTATTCCCCCATTTATTAATATTCATGAAACTGTGATATTTTTCTTTATGTTTTCTAGTAAGTGATGAGTGTCACTTTTTTAAAGCTTATATTTCAACTTGTCCTTGTGTACTTGCAAATTATTTTTCTGTGAAAAAAAATCATGCATGCAGTTGAAAAATGTATGTAAGTTGCCCTTCCATGGTAAATAATTTCCAAAAGTTTTTTGACTTATGTACATCATTCAGTGAAAAGAGCATGAGGTTTCCAGTGAGGCAGAAACAGATTTCAAATCTGACATGGTCACTTTCTAAAATATAAGAGAGAAATTTCTGTTTTCTTTTTGTCTCAATCATTTTAAATTTCTCTATTTAAAGGAACCATTATTAGCAAATAACTTTTGAGTAATTATTATGTGTCAGACATTATGCTAATTACTTTAGTGGATTTTCTCATATAATACCTATATCATTAAATCTGGTATGTATTACTATTTCCATATTACTAACGGAGAAACTAAGTCTTCAGTGAACTCAACTAGCAGCTAAGCTGGCTAACTATCAAACTCTTACCAGAGTTAAAATTCTCAAGCACTGGTTTCAATGCTCTAAGTCTCCATTTTTTCATTTTCAAAATCCAAATAAACTATCTAGATTTTTTTTTCAAATTTAGGAAAGCAGCATACGTAAAATATTTCACATAACATCTGATACACTGTAGTCCTATAATAAATATTAGTTTCCTTCTCCTATTTTATTGACATAAGATAATCAATGCTCCATTTGTTTCTGGTATTATTATCTCTATGTGAGAAAGATACTATGTAGTTTAAAATCTGCTTTCTTATACAACATCTTAATATATTTCTTACTAAAGTACTTAATTCATGCCACTTAATTGATGAGGAAATAAAGGCCTAGAAAATTCAGGCCGGGCGGGTGGCTCACACCTGTAATCCCAGAACTTTGGGAGGCCGAGGCAGGAGGATCACGAGATCAGGAGATTGAGACCATCCAGGCTAACAGGGAGAAACCCTGTCTCTACCAAAAATACAAAAAATTAGCCAGGCGTGCTGGCACATGGCTGCAATCCCGGCTACTCGGGAGGCTGAGGCAGGAGAATTCCTTGAACGCGGGAGGCAGAGGTAGCAGTGAGCCAAGCTCGCGCCACTGCACTCCAGCCTGGGTGACAGAGTGAGACTCCATCTCAAAAAAGAAAAAGAAAAAAGAAAATTCAGTAATGGTTCTCAGACTAAGACCAAACTCATTAAATTATATAGTCTGTACCTCTTCCATTCTTCATGACTTTAGTAAATATGGTTTCAGAAAAACTTAAGTCACTTTTATAGATTGTTTTGTTATCTAGTTTGTTATCAATATTTACTGATATAGTAAACATTGTGCAGTTTGAAGTAGGTAGCACAAGTATTCTTAGAACCTCATAAATCAAATCTGATTAAATGGATCCTTAAAGTATTTCAAGTTCTTAGCAGAGATAATACATTTACAAGCTTTTTTGTATTACATGTGGAAATGAGGAAATGACAGTGGGGCCAAGACTCTATTTTATATCACGAGGTTTCATGTAAGTGACATGGAGGAACATAGGAAGAGTGGCAGAGAATCAAACAGAAGTATGAGAATGTATATGTCTTTGCCTTTTTCACAATATTATAGGAAAAGTGTTAAATACTTCATTGTTGTGTGATGTGAGCTATAGAGTTGTCAGATGCTTTTAGCAGATTGACAGAAAGTACCCTTGTAGACCTAATTTGGTGAGGTTTTGCTGCTTTTTTATATGTGGATGTTGAATTTTTTGAATGCATTTTTCTGCATCTATTGATATTATATGATTTATTTTTCTTTAATCTGCTAACATGGTGAATTACAATGCTTGATTTTTAAGTAGTAAAATAACTTTGCACTCCTGGAATAAAACCTACATGAGCATGATTTATTTTCCTTTTTATATGTTACTACAATTCATTTGTTCGTATTTTGCTAGAGGTTTTTACGTCCATTGGTCATTGGCCTGTGAGTTTCTCTACTTATCATGTATTTGTGTGATTTTATTAATAGAATAATGCTGGTTTCACCAAACATGTTGGAGAATATTCCTATTCCTGAAAAAGTTTGTGTAACATTAGTGAATTCTATCAAATGTGATAAAATTTACCAGTGAGAATTTACCAGTGATGACATCTAAGTTTGAATTTTCCTTTACAGAAAGGTTTTATTATCATAATTCCTATTTGTGTAATAGGTATTAGGCTATTCTGATATCTAAGTTTAGTTTTACATAGAATTTGCCTACTTCATCTTAACTGTTAAATTCATTAGCAAATAATTATCAATAATATTGTCATATTACCATTTTAATGATTTGATATACATCTATCACCTCATTTATTTCTGTTATTGGTAATTTGTATTTTTTAATATTCAGACTCACAAGGGGGTTACTTAATTATTTTAAATATCCTAATTTAGCATTTGGTAATTTTCTTGAGTGTTTGTTTTGTAATTGTTGACTTCTGCTTTTATTTTTTCATTTCCTTCCTTCTACTAATTTTTGGTTTAATTTATTCTTCTTTTATTCATTGCTTAAAGTAGAAACTCAGTTTTAATTGCAGTCCTTGCTTATTGAATATAAGTATTTAAATTACAAATTTTCCTCTTAGCACTGTTTTATCTGCATCTCAGAGATTTGGAAACATCATGTTTTAATTATAGTTTCATTTAAGATATTTTTGTGGCCGGGGGCAGTGACTCAGGTCTGTAATCCCAGCACTTTGGGAGGCCGAGGCAGGTGGATCAGGAGGTCAGGAGATAAGAGACCATCTTGGCTAACACAGTGAAACCTCATCTCTACTAAAAATACAAACAATTAGCTGGGTGTGTTGGCACGCGCCTCTAGTCCCAGCTACTCGGGAGGCTGAGGCAGGAGAATCACTTGAACCTGGGAGGCGGAGGCTGCAGTGAGCTGAGATGGCGCTACTGCACTCCAGCCTGGGCAACAGAGTGAGACTCCGTCAAAAAACAAACAAACAAACAAAAGATATTTTTGGATCTGTCGTGATTTTTATTTGACAATTGAGATATTTAGCAGTTCTCTGTTTTTAGATACTAAAAAAAATTGAGATATTTTAAAATAATTGATTTTTAGTTTAATTCCCTTTTGGTTTGAGAATATATTTTTTAAGATTTCAGTGTTTTATATTTTTTAAGGCTTATTTCGTAGTTCAGCATATGGTCTAACATGCGATGTGTTCCAAGTGTACTTGAAAGTAATGCATATTCTTTAGCTGTTTGGTGGAGAGTTCATAAATATTAACTAGCTGATGTGAGTGTATAGTGTGGTTCAGATCTTCAGTTTCCTTATTTATTTATCCATATAGTTGTTCAATCAATGATGAAGAGATTTCCAAATCCAATTGTAGATTTATCTCTTTCTCCTCTGTCAGTTTTTGTTCATGTATTTAGAAGTTCTTTCACCTAAATAGAGGTGAAAGATCTCTACAAGGAGAACTACAAACCACAGTTCAAGGGAATCAGAGATGATACAAATAAATGGAAAAACATTTCATGCTCACAAACAGGAAGAGCCAATATTGTTAAAATGGCCATACTGTCCAAAGCAATTTATAGATTTAGTGTTACTACTATCAAACTATCAATTACATTTTTCACAAAATTAAGAAATATATATTTTAAAATTAATTTGGAAACAAAAAAGAGCACAAATAACCAAAGCAATCCTAAGCAAAATAACAAAGCTGAAAGCATCACGCTACCCAACTTCAAACTATATTACCGGATTACAGTAACTGAAATAGCATGATGCTCATACGGAAACAGACACACAGACCAATGGAACTGGTTAGAGAACACGGAAAGCAAACTGCTCACCTAATACTGTCTAATCTTCAAATGCTGACAACAACAAGCAATGGGGTAAGGACTCCCTATTCAATAAATGGTGCTGGGATAACTGTCTAGCCATATGCAGAAGGTTGAACCTGGATTGCTTCCTTCACTGTATACAAAAATCAACTCAAGATCTACTAAACACTTAAATGTAAAGCCTAAAACTATAAAAACTCTAGAAGAAAATCTAGGAAATACCATTCTGGACATCAGCCCTGGCAAAGACCTCATGATGAAGATGCCAAAAGCAATAGTAACAAAAACAAAAATTGACAAATGGGACAAACTTAAACTCAAGAGCTTCTGCTCAGCAAAATTAACTGTCAGAGTTACTGAGTAAACAGAATAAACAGAAAATCTACATAATTGGAATAAATATTTATAAGCTATGCATCCAACAAAGGTCTAATTTCCAGAATCTATAAGGAACTTAAAACAACAAGCAAAAAAGCCACACAATTTAAAACTGGGCAAAGGACATGAATAGTCACTTCTCAAAAGAAGATATATGACCAGGTGCAGTGGCTCACACCTGTAATCCCAGCACTTTGGGAGGCCAAGGCAGGAGGATCATGAGGTCAGGAGATCGAGACCATCCTGACTAACATGGTGAAACCCCATCTCTACTAAAAATACAAAAAATTAGCTGGGCGTGGTGGCACGCACCTGTAGTCCCAGCTACTTGGGAGGCTGAAGCAGGAGAAATCACTTGAACCTGGGAGGTGGAGGTTGCAGTGAGTTGAGATTGTGACACTGCACTCCAGCCTGGGTGACAGAGCATGATTCCATCTCATAAAAAAATAAAATAAATAAATAAAATTTAAAAAAGATATACATGTGGTCAATATACATATGAAAAAAATTATCAATATCACTACTCATTAGGGGAACACAAATCAAAACCAAAATGAGATACCATCTCAGATGAGTCCGAATGGCCATTATTAAAAAGTTAAAAAATAACAGGTGCTAGTGAGGTTGTGGAGAAAAGGAAACACTTGTACACTGCTGGTGGGAATGTAAATTAATTCACTCACTGTGGAAAGTAGTCTGGAGATTTCTCAAAGAACTTAAAGAACTACCAGTTGACTCAGCAGTCTCATTACTGAGTATATACCCAAAGGAATATAAATCATTCTATCTTAAAGGCACATGCACATGTATGTTCATCACAAAACTATTCACAGTATCAAATAAATGGAGTTACCTTAGATGCCCATCGGGGTGGATTGGATAAAGAAAATCTGGTACATATATGGCATGGTATGTTTTGCAGCTGTAAAAAATAATAAAATTATTTCCTTTGGAACATCATGGATGGAGCTGGGGGCCATTATCCTAAGTCAATTAAAACAGAAACAGAAAACCTGTTAATTCACTGTGTTAAAAACAGAACATGCAACATAATATTGCGTGTTCTCACTTGTAAATGGGAGCTCAACACTGAGTACACATGGACACAAAGAAGAGAGCAATAGATACCAAGACCTACTTGAGGGTGGAGGGTGGGAGGAGAGTGATGATTGAAAAACTATCTTTTGGGGGTTATGCTGATTACCTAGGTGACAAAGTTATTGTACAGTAAACTCCTAGAACATGCAATTTACCCATGTAACGAAAGCTCATATATACTCCTTGAAGCTAAAATAAAAGTTGGAAAGAAAAAAATTACAAATGCAATTATCTTCTTATCCGGTAATTCTACTTCAGAAAATTGACTGTAGATTTATTCTCACATAAATGAAATATCATAGGTATAATGTATCTTTGTAAAAGAAAAGTATTGGGAACTTTTATAAATGTCCATCAGAAAAGAATGAGATAAATAAATGTAATGGAATATGTCACATCCCTTAAAAGAATAAAGCAATTTGGTGTGTACTAAGAAGTGATTTTCAGATATAATATTAAGCAGAAAAAAAGCCAGGCACAGAAGGATATGCAAATTATATCACCATTTGTAAAAGGAATGTGTGGTAGGGAAGTAATACACATTTATTTGCTTATAGATGTATAAACGATCTTTGGAGAAATACTTATAATGCTGATAATATTACTTTACTGCAAGAAGGATAACTGAGTGGATATAAGAGGTAGGAAGAAGATTTAATTAATCTGAATACATTTGTATGTTTTAAGTTTTTTACTATCCAATATATCACGTTACATTTTAAAATGAGATAACATTCACATAACATAAAATTAGCTATTTTTAAGTAAAAAATCAGCAACATTTAATGCATTTACAATGTTGGACAACTTCCAGCTCTATTTAATATTCTAAATATTTTAATCACTGAACAGGTAAATCCTGTAACTTTTAAGCAATTATTTCCCCTTTTCCTCTCCCCTCAATCTTTGGCAATCGTTAATCAGCTTTCTGTCTCTATGGATTAACCTATTTTGGATATTTTATTTAAAAAAATACATGTGTTATGTTTTCTGTCGGGCTTCTTTCACTTAGCATAAAGTTTTGGAGGTTCATTTATTGGTACTATACTTCATTCCTTTGTATGGATGAATAATTTAATTGTATAGAAACATCACATTTTTAAATTTGTTCATCAGATGATGTACATTTGAGTTGCTTCCACCTTTTGGCTATTGTGAATAATGCTACAATGAATCTGAATGTACAAGCATTTTTTCCATATGTACCTAGGAGTGGAATTGCTAGGTTATATGGTAATTCTATGTTTAACTTTTTAGTTAACTTTTAAAATTTTATATTTAACTTTTTGAGAAACTGCCAAACTCCACAGCAGCTGAACCATCCACCAGCAATGAATAACAATTCTAATTTCTCTAAAAAAATTCCAATATGTTAAAACACTGTTCAAGTACACATGTAATTATAGTCCCTTATGACAGAAGAGAATGAAGCAGATGAAAACATATAAAGAAATATTGCCAAAGAGTTTCCCAAATTTGGAGAAAAACATCAACTTATAGATCCAAGCAGCTCAGTGTATCCCAAGCAAAATAAATATAAAGAAAATGATAATTCATAATTACATCAAAGTCAAACTTCAGATTACCACAGAAATGACGAAGTCATTAAAGCAACTAGAGAAAAAAAGTCACATTACACACGAGGAAACAAAAATATAAATGGTGGGATGCTTTTCTTCAGAAAATACTGGAGGCCAGATCACAACAAAAGTACATTGTTAAATGACAAGAAAAGATAATAATCGATCTAAAGTTTTACACCTAGAGAAAAATATCTGTTCAAATAAGGACATTGAAACCATTTCCAGAGAAAGAAATTCTCTGGCAATTTTCATCATGTGATGAAAAAAATCTGTTTTGAGCAGACTGACTCTACCAAATGAGAGTAGAAGATTTTTAGGCTATAAGAGACTGATACAAGATGGGAATTCAAAACTAATGAAAATAATGAAGGGCACTTGAGGTAGTAAATATGTGGGTAAATGCAGAGTTGGTCTCTTTAATTCTTCTTAATTTATTTGACAGTAGGCATTACTTAAATAAAATATAATAATTTTGGAGTAGACTCTTTTTATTAAGTATACAGATGTATAATATGACAAAATGATAGAATGGGTCTGAGAGGGGACAATAGAGTTTTGCTGCTGTAGGGCTCTAACATTTTACAAAAAGTGGTGCAATTAACTCTAAATACATTATGATAAATTACCATTGTATACTGAATAAATTTTAAGAGTACACATAGAGGTATAGCTAAAATTTCAACAGAGGAATTAATAGAAAATCCAACTAATCAAGGAAAAGCAGATGGAACAACTAGAAAACATACTGCAAATGGCAGACTTACCCAAGTATATCAAAATTATATTACATGTAAATAAACTCAATACTCCAATTAAAAGACAAGAGATTTTCAAACTTAGAGCACAAAAGCTGCATGCTGTTTACAAAATATGTCCTTTAAGTACAAAGAGAAAGATAGTTCAGAAGCAAAAGTATAATAATGTACTGTGAATATACCAATCATGTGTAAACATGTATTACTGTATTAATACTAGGCAAATTGAAATCAAGGAGTATTACCATTTTAAAAAAAAGAGTTAATTGATCAGAAAGACATAAAAATCCTAAATGTTTTCTAGGCATATAATTGTATCATCTATGAAGAGACATATTTTGACTTCTTCTCTTCCTATTTGAATCCTCTTTATTTCTTTCTCTTGTCTGATTTCTCTGGCTAGGACTTCCTGTACTATGTTGAAGAGGAGTGGTGAGAGTGGGCCTCCTTGTCTTTTTCCAGTTATTAGGAGAACTGCTTTCAGCTCTTACCTATTCAAGATGATGTTTGCTGTGGGTTTTTCATAGACAGCTCTTATTATTTTGAGATGCATTCCTTCAAAGTCTAGTTTGTTGAGCATTTTTAACAAAAGTGATGTTAAATTTTATTGAAAGCCTTTTCTGAGTCTATTGAGATGACTATGTGGTTTTCGTATTTTGTTTTTCCTTCTGTTCATGTGATGAATAACATTTATTGATTTGCATATGTTGAACCGACCTTGCATCCCAGGGATAAAGCCTACTTAATCTTGGTATATTAGCTTTTGATGTACTACTGGATTCAGTTTGTTTGTATTTTGTTAAGAATGTTTGCATCTATGTTCATTGCAACACTGACCTGAAATTTTGTTTTTTTTTTCCGTTGTGCCTTTGGCAGATTTTGGTATCAGAATAGTACTGGCCTCATATAATTAGCTGGGAAGGAGTCCCTTCTCCTGATTTTTTGAATGGTTTCAGTAGGATTGATACCAACTCTTCTTCGCATGTCTGAGAGAATTTGGCTCTGAATTTGTATGGGCCACAGCTTTTTCTGCTTTGTACATTTTTTATTAGTTGTTTAATATTGTAACTTATTATTTGTCTTGTCAGGGTTTCAAATTCTTGCTGGTTCAATCTTGGGAGGTTGTATTTCCAGGAATTGATTCATTTCCATAGGTTTTCTAACTTGTGTGCATAGAGGTGTTCAGGTGCATAGACTCTGAGAGTTTTTGGTATTTCTCTGTAGTTGGTAGTAATGTCCTGTTTATTATCTCTGACTGTGTTTATTTGGATCCTCTTTTATTTAATTAGCCTCACTAGTGGTCTATCAATATTATATTTTCTTTAAAAAAAACAACTCCTAGATTGGTTGACATTTTATATGGTTTTTGCAGTTCAGCTCTAATTGTGGTTATTTTTTGTCTTCTGCTAGCTTTGGGATTGGTTAATGCTTATTATTCTAGTTTCCCTAGATGTGATGTTAGGTTGTTAATTTGAAATCGTTCTATCTTTTTGATGTTGGTGTTTAGTACTATAAACTTTTTGTGCTCCCTCCCAGTGCTCTGAGATTATGGGCTCCTCTGCCACTTGAGTGCTAGCCACAGATCTTGGCTTGTTACTCCTGGGCAGTGCTCCACAGCTCTGGGGTGAGCTCAGTCTTCTTGTTCTCCCCCCAGCTTGGAGGCATCAGGACAAGGCATTTGGCAGTAACCATGGCAGAGGGACTTTATCTTTTGGGGCTCCACCCCAGATGCAGAGCCACTGCCAACTGGAATAATGAGCCATGGGTAGGGTGGCTGTGTTGCGGGCCTAAGCCAGGGGTCCCTGCCTGGTGAAGATTAGTTGGAGTGGAGGAAGGAGGGGCTTGCGAGAAGACAATCTGGCCTCTTCTCTATATGGTGCCTGCAGCAGTAAAGCCCTCAGGCTTTGTGTTCCTTCATCAATATGGTGACAGCAAGGGCGGGTATCACTGTAATGACAGTAGCAGAGGGGCTGTCAGTTATCTTTGGAACTCTGCCCTAGAGAGACACAAAGCCCCTGACAATGATAATGTGCAGCTGGGGATCCAGTGCCTGTGATACAGGCTCGAGCTGGGGGCCCTGCCTAATGAAGATAAGAGGTCAGAGGCTCATAGAAAAGAGAGACTGGGCTACTTCCTGTATGGTGGCTGCGATATGCTGGAGATGCCAGCCAAGCAATCAGAGTCTTTGTTCTCTCCACAGCCCAAGGGCAGCTTCACTGCAGTGACAGTGCAAAAGGTCCGTCAGTTGCCCCTGGAAACTCCACCACAGAGAAACACAGAGCCATTGCCAATGGGAACATTTAGCTGGGGGTGTGGCTGCTACACTGAGGTCCCAAGCCAGGAGCCCAGACTGGTGAAAAACAGAATGTGGGGGCTAACAGGGAAGAGAGACTGGGTTCCACGCCATATGGCCACTGTGGTGTACTGGAGGTGCAAGTGCAGTTCTCAGGCTCTTCGTTCCTTCCCCAGTCTGAGGGCAGCAAGGGCGGTATGACTGCAGCAGCACTGGCAGAGGGGCTGACAGCTGCCTCTGGAAACTTTATCCTAGAGAAAGACAGAGCTGCTGCCAGTGGGAATGTTCAGCCATAGGTCAGGTAGCTGTGAAATGGGCCCAAGCCAGGGGCCTGCCTGGTGCAGAGCAGTGGGTGAGGGCTAACAGGGAAGAGAGACTGGGCTACTCTCCTTATAGTGTGGCAGCTATGGTGTGCTGGAGGCACCTGTGAAGTGATCAGGGTATTTGTTCTTTCTTTTGAGTGGGACACAGTTCAGTCCATAGCACTTTAGTAGAAAACCTTTCATGTCAGAGTAGCTAGAATTTACTAACATGCCTAACCCAAGTCCATGGTCAGAAAAATTAGAACTCCATGATAAGCTTTTTACAAAGATTCAGCACTTGGATTGAAAAGCAGATTAACTCTTTTGAACTCATAAAAGGGTGTATATTTCAACAAAACTGAAATTCTACCTGTAAGAAAGAAGTGAAGATGCAATTTATGACAACAGGCCATGACACACAGTCTTGAGGTCTTTTGAAATCTTGCTCCTATTAATCATTAGATTTATATACTTCCACTTGTTTTATTTTCCACCTCTAGTCTCAAATTATTTTTTATTTTGAGCTTATCACACTCTGTCTTTAAGACTTTTATGTTAGTTGTTCCATCTAATTTGAATCTTGTCCCCTATGTCCTCACATAGCCAACCCATTTCTATCCTTTATATTTCAGCTTAAATGACAGCCTCAGGAAGACCTGCCTTTTCTTATAGAGTGTGTGTTGCTTGTGTAGAACATGTGTGTGTATATATATAAAATATATATATAATATATATATATATATAATATATATATATATATATACGTTCTAAATAACACTTGTGTTATTTAGACAGTGTTGTCTTCTATACTAGACCTAGAATATCTATGACAGGAGTGTCCTTATCTGTTTTATTTATTTCTCCAACATAGTTTCTGGCATTCAATAAACACTGATGATTGCTTTAATGAATAGAAATAAGAAATTAGAATATTAAGTGATAATTTTGATACTGAACTTAAGTATTTCAAAATGCCTCAATCTATTAGCTGAATTATGGAAGATAAGAAATAGAGAGCATTTATTAATTGTAGAAAGTGTCACCTTTGGTAAAGTAATAATATTCAAATAGAGATATATTTGTGATGAATTAAATATATAAACTAACATAAAGGAATATTTTTCAATACTGTTTACCTAGATCATGTTCAAATTCAGTTAATAATCAGAAGTCTAGATAAACTGGGTGTTTAATTTCAGGCATATAAATACATTATTTTACTGAATCTGATTATTTTCTTTTCTCTTTGGTTTGCAAAAACATGATGCCAGTGATAACATATCTTCTATGAACTATATTTAAATTAGACCACTTTTTATCTATAAAGTTAAGGGAGGAGGTGAAGCAAGATGGCCACATGATCCCCCACTCCCCACAGGAACACCAAATTGAACAACTATCCACATAAAAAAGCACCTTCATAAGGACCCAAGATCAGGTGAACAATCCCAGTACCTAGTTTTAACATCATATTAAAGGAAAGAGGAACTGAAGAAGGTAGTAATACAGTCTTGTGTTGTCTACATCACCCCTCCCCTATCCATGACAGTAGCCACATGGAGTAGAAAGAAAATCTGTGCACTTTGGGGAGGGAGATTGCAGTGATTGTGGGAATTTGCATCAGAACCTAGTGCTGTCCTATGACAACTGAAGGCAACAAAAGGCAGAACTCAGTTGATATCCATGGAGGGAACATTTAGACCAACCCTAGGCAGAGGCAAATTGTCTATTCCATCAGTCAGAACCTGAGTTCCTGCAGGCCTTGTCTCTGTGGTCTAAAGTGCCTAGGGTCCTCAGTAAACCTGAAATACAATATAGGTCCTTGCAATTCCTGGGCAAGTCCTGTTCTGTGCTGGGCTTGGAGCCAGTGGACTGGGGAGGGAGCACACAACCTAATGAGATACAAGCCAGCGGACTGGGGAGGCCAAGGGAGTGCTTGCATTACCCCTTCCCCAACTTCAGGAAGCATGGCTCACAGCTTTCATAGAGAAACGTTCCCTCTTCTTGAGGAGAGGAGAGGGGAGAATAAAGAGAACTTTGTCTTGAAACTTGGATACCAGCTCAGCCACAGTAGATTAGACAAACAGACAGAGTCCTGAGGACCCCAGTCCAGGCCCTAGCTTTAAGATTTCATTTCTAAACACAATCTGTGTCAGAAGGAAGACCACTACCTTGAAGGAAAGGACCCAGTCCTGGCAGAATTCATCATCTGCTGACTAAAGAGCTGTTGATCCCTAAATAATCAACAATGGTTGATTAAAGAGGAGGTAGAGAAAGAGAGCAGGGTAGAAAGTTTATTCAGTGGGATAATAACAGAGAACTTCCCAAACCTAAAGAAAGATATCAGTATTCAAGTACAAGAAAGTTATAGAACAACAAGCAGATGTAACCCAAAGAAAACTACGCCAGACATTTAATAATCAAATTCCCAAAAGTCAAAGATAAAGAAAGAGTCCTAAAAGCAGCAAGAGAAAAGAAAACAAATAACATATAAAGGAGCTCCTGTATGTCTGGCAGCAGACTCTCAGTGGAAACCTGGCAGGAAACTGCTAACAGAGAAAAACTTTTATACCAGAAATGTACATCCAGGGAAAATATCCTTCAAACATGAAAGAGAAATACTTTCCCAGACAAACAAAAGCTGAGGAATTTCATCCACACCAGACCTGTTCTACAAGAAATGCTGATGGGAGTTCTTCAATCTGAAAGAAAATGATGTTAATAAACAATAAAAAATCATCCAAAGGTTCAAAACTCACAGGTAATAGTAAGTACATTAAAAAACCACAAAATATTATAACACCATAATTGTGGTGTGTAAGCTACTCATATCTTGAGTAAAAAGACTAAAAGATGAACCTATCAAAAATAATAAAAACTTTTCAAGACACAGATGGTATAACAAGATATAAATAGAAACAAAAAGTTAGCAAGCAGAGGGGATGAAATTAAAGTGTAAAGTTTTTATTAGTTTTTTCCTTGCTTCTTTGTTAGTTTATATGTTTATGCAATTGGTGCTATGTTGTCATACTTTTAAAATAATGGGTTATAAGATATTATTTGTATTCAGTGGAATTTTCTTAGAATTTGTCTTTGGAGACCTACTTTTTACGTTGGGATAGCCTCTCTCACCCTTGCCCCGTCCTCACGTGGTCAACAAATGCCAGCAGCTAGGGCTGCCCACACCATCCCAGCTCCAACCTCCCTACTCTAGGACTTGTATTTGGGTGGAGAGACCTGACCTGGGCATCTTCATTGTTTAGCTTTTCTGTCTAAGGCTGATGTTCAAGTGTGGAGGGAGAGGCTGGGTCATTATTACTTTTAAATACTTTGGTGTAATTTGTTGTAGATTTTTAAATTTCCCTTTTGGAAAGAACCCATTAAAAAAAAGATTATTTGTAAGTCTCATGGTAATGACAAATCAAAAAACATGTAACAGTTACACAAAAAAATAAAAAGCAAGAAGTAAAACATACCACCTGAGAAAAACATCTTACTTAAAAGAAGGCAGGAAGAAGGAAAAGAAGGAAGAGTAGACCACAAAACGAACAGAAAAATAATAACCAAATGGCAGGAATAACATATTACTTATCAGTAATAACATTGAGTGTGAATGGACTAAGCTCTTCAATCAAAAGACACAGAGTGGCTGAATGGATAACAAACAAGACTCTTTGATTTGTTGCCTACAAGAAACACACTTCACCTGTAAAGACACAAATAGATTAAAAATAATGGAATGGAAGGTATTCCACAACAATGGAAACAAAAAACAGTAAGAGTAGCTGTACTTATAAGATGCAAAATAGATTTCAAGATAAAAATTATAAGCCAAAACAAATAAGGTCATTATATAATAATAAAGGAGCCAATTCAGCAAGAGGGTGTAACCATTTTAAGTATATATGCATCTAAAACTGGAGTGTCCCAATATATAAAGCAAATATTATTAGATGTATGAAGAGAGATGCACTGCAATATGATAATAGCTGGAGACTAACATCCCAATTTCATCATCGGACAGATAATCTAGACAGAAAAATCAAAAGAGAAACATTAGACTTAATCTGCACTATACACTAAATGAACCTAATAGATATTCACAGAACATTTCATCCAATGGATGCAGAATATACATTCTTTTCTCTTCAGCATATGAATCATTCTCAAGGATAGACTAAATGTTAGGTCACAAAACAAGTCTTAAATAATTTAAAAAAATGAAAATATATTAAGGATGTTCTCTAACCACAATGGAATAAAAGAATTTTATAACAAGAGGAATTTTGGAAACTGTGCAAATACATGGAAATTAAACAATATGCTTCTTAATGACTAATGGATCAATGACAAAATTAAGAAAGAAATTTAAAAGTTTCTTTAAACAAATAAAAATGGAAGCACAACATACTATAATCTATAGCATACAACAAAAGCGATACTAACAGGAAATTTTTATAACAGTAAATGCCTACATCAAAAAAGTAAAAAAAAAAACAAAAAACTTCAAATAAAAATATAATGATGCATCACAAAGAACTCAAAAAGTAAGAGCAAACCAAGCCTAAAATTAATAGAAGAAAAGAAATAATAAAAATAAGAGCAGGAATATATAAAATTGAAATGAATAAAGCAATACAAAAGATCAATGAAACAAAGAAAAAAAAACTTTAGCCTGGCTGAAGACAAAAGGAGAGGAAAAACCCAAATACATAAAATTAGAGATAAACATGTAGACGTTACAGCTGATACCACACAGAAATTCAAAGGATCATGAGAGGTTACTCTGAGTAAGTAATATGTCAATCAACTGGAAGACTAGAAGAAATGAATAAATTTATTACAAGAAATACACAAATACAACCTGATAAGACTGAACGAATAAATCTAAAACCTGAAGTGATTAATAACAATTAATAAAATTAAAGTGGTGATATATAGGCCCCCAGCAAAGAAAAACCCAGGACCTGATGGCTGAATTTCACTAAACATGTACAGAAAAACTAATACCAATTCACTGCTGAACTTCACCAAACATATAAAGAAAAACTAATACCAATCTTACTCAAACTATTCTGAAAAAGTATGGCAGAAGGGAGTACTGTCAAACTCATTCTATTGGGCCAGCATTACCCTGATAACAAAACCAGACAAAGACATGTTAGAAAAAGTAAACTACAGGTTAATATCCCTAACTTGTCTAGATGAAACAATTCTCAACAAAATACTAGCCAACTGAAATCAACAACACATTTAGAAGATCATTCTTTATGACCAAATGGGATTTATCCCAGGGATACAAGACTGGTTCTTGAAATATGCAAATCAATCAATACGATACATCACATAAACAGAATGAAGGACAAACATCATACGATCATTTCAATAGTGGGTGAAAAAACCTTTGATGAAATTTAATAGCCCTTTATGATAAAAAAAAATCCCTCAGAAAACTAAGTGTAGAAGGAACATACCTCAATAAAATAGAGGCCATATATGACAGAACCACAAATAGTATCATACTGAATGGGGAAAAAGTGAAGGTCTTTCCTCTAAGATCTGGGATAAGAAAATGGTGCTCACTTTCACCATCATTATTCAACATAGTATTGGAAATCCCAGCTAGAGCAGTCAAACAAGAGAACAAAATAAAAGGCAACAAAATTGGAAGAAGTCAAATTATTCTTGTTTGCAGATGATATAATCTTACATTTGGGGAAAAAAAAAAAAACTAAAGACTCCACCAAGAAACTTCAAACTGATAAACAAATTCAGTAAAGTTCCAGGATACAAAATCAACACCTAAAAATCTACATGTAGCATTTCTATATGCCAATAGTGAACAACCTGAGAAAGAAATTAACAATGTAATCCTATTTACAATAGCCACAAATAAAATTAAATACTGAGGGATAAATTTAAAGAAGTGAAAAATCTCTACAATAAAAGCTATAAAACATTGATACAAGAAATTGAAGAGGGCACAAAAAAATAGAAAGATATTCCATATTCATGGATTGGAAGAATCAGTATTGTTAAAATGTCTATATGACCCAAAGCAATCTACCAATTCAATGCAATCCTTATCAAAGTATCTATGACATTCTTCACAGCAGTAGAAAATAATCCTAAAACTTTTAAGGAACCATAAGAGATATAGACCAACCAAAGCTATCCTGAGCAAAATAAAAAATGGAAAAAACCACATTACCTGACTTAACTATTACTAAAAGACACCATTGATAAAACTATGCAGGACTTTGGACTGGGCAAATATTTCTTGAGTAATACCCCACAAGCACAGGCAACCAAAGCAAAAATGGACCAATGTGATTACATTAGGTTAAAAATATGCACAGCAAAGTTAGCAATCAACAAAGTGAAGAGAAAACCCACAGAATGGGAGAAAATATTTGGAAACTATTCATCAGACAAGGGATTAACAGCCAGAATTTATAAGGAACTCACTAACTCAATAGGAGAAAATCTAATAGTCTGATAAAAACACTGGCAAAAGATTTGAATAAACATTTCTCAAAGGAAGACATACAAATGGCAAAAATGTATATGCAAAGGTGCTCAGCATCATTTATAACCTGAGAAATGTAAATCAAAACTACAATGAGATATCATCTTATTCTAGTTAAAATAGCTTTTATCCAAAAGACAGGCAATAACAAATGCTGGTGAAGGTGTGAAGAAAAGGGAAACTTCATACACTTTTCGTGGGAATATTACTTAGTAACATTACTATGGAGAAAAGTTTGAAAGTTCCTGAGAAAACTAAAAACAGAGCTACCACATAATTCAGCAATCCCACTGCTGGGTATATATCCAAAAGAAAGGAAATCAGCATATCGGAGAGATATCTGTCTTCCCGTGTTTGTTGCAGATCTGTCTTCCCATGTTTGTTGCAGCACTGTTCACAGTAGCTAAGGTTTGGAAGCAAACTAAGTGTCCGTCAGCAGATGAATTGGTAAAGAAAATGAGGGACATGTACACAATAGAGTACTATTCAGCCATAAAAAAGAATAAGATCCTGTCATTTGCAACAACATAGATGAAATTGGAGGACATTTTGTTAAGTGAAATAAGCCAGGTGCAGAAATGCAAACTTCATATGTTCTAACTTCTTTATCAGAGCTAAAAATTTAAAACAATTGAACTCATGGAGATAGAGAATAGAATAATGGTTACCAGAGGCTGGGAAGGGTAGTTGGGGTGGAGAGAAGTGAGGATGGTTAATGCTTACAAAAATATAATTAGATACAATGAATAAGATCTAGTATTTGATAGTACAACAGGGTGACTATAGTCAACAATTTATTGTACATTTTGAAATAACTAAAAGAGCATAATTGGAATATTTGTACAGCAAACAAATGCTTGGGGTGATGAATACCCCATTTACTCTGATGTAATTATAATGCACTGTATGCCTATAACAAAATGTCTCATGTATCTCATAAATATATATAAATATATAATTTTTATGTATCTACATAAATAAAAAACAAAATATGTGTATATAAAACTAAAATCTACAAAATGAGGTATACTAGGGAATCTATTAAACTAGTTGTCATTTTAGACAAAGCTAATATTCCTTATGCTTAATCAGATTTTGTGGTGGTTTTTTAAAATGTAAGGGCACGACAGTGTACACTATTACAATCATAAAGAATTTACAGTAATTTGCTAATGCTTAAATGATGTTACTTTCTCTTACTAGGACAAGCAATTTCCAAATATTGTCAGTGTAATGTAATAATCTCCAATGGATGGAACATTTTCTTTACTTGAACTTTAATTTTCTGCTATTTCATAGCAAGAAAAGTTTCTTCTTTGTTTTGCTGGGTTGTAAAAGATTTGGGAAGGTTGTTTTTGAATGATTTCTTCTCCAAGGGCTTACAAGACTTTTTACTTATGAGAACCTCAAAGACTATCCATCAGCTAAGGTTTCAAGCCAGATTTTGTGGCTTGCGTGATCTTTAACCCTTGTCATATTAGCTTAAAATGTTGAAAGCTGGTGAGATGAAGCACAGGAGAAAGATGGCACATGGGGAGAAAAGAGCATCAGGATCAGAGCTACTCTAAGAAAGTAAATGGCTCTGAAAAAAAACCCTGAGAAATTCATGTGGTACTGTATGAACTTTTACCTTAATTCTTAATGTGAGAAGGAAAGTGCAGCCCTTGGTCTCACTACATTGGCTGTGTACTTATAGACAGCAAGTTTTCTGAATTTGTATTTATATATCAAGAACTGCACTTTTATTTATTCATTTTAAAGACATAATTTAATAATTTTAGTGAAAATAAATAAAGAAAAAATGTATTTGAAACTGTTGAGTTTTCAGTATATTTTGGTGGCTGTAAAAGAGTCATTTAAGAGTTGCTAATAATTTTGTCTAAAAGTGAAAATATTTGCAGCAAATTTCTTTATTTTGAGAAATCTGTAGGCTGGGCTAAACTTACACAAGTGTTTTTTTGAGAAATGTTAACAGACTTCAAATTAAGGTGCTAAACTTTCCATTATTGATGAAAACCAGGTATATAATTAGTAGGACTGTCCTCTGTCTTTGTGTAATTGTATAATGTCTTCCCCCAAATGTGATTATGTGGTATGTGCTTACATTTTAAGCAAGAATTTTCTACAGAAAACTGAGAGTAGAAACAGTCTCAGTTTTCTGCAGAAAACTGAGAAGGGGCAGAAATTTCCCCAATTCTGCCTTAGAGAGCTAAAGAGAAACAGGACAGGTAGTGCCAAAGCCCATTTGAACAGAATTCAACATATGAACAAGCCAGATTTGGGAAATAAACTTGATTATTTTCATTACTCTGTTTAGGCTGTAAAGGTTCAGGCCATATTTCTAACAAAACCAAATAAGAAGTAGAGGAGCACTGAGAAGAAACTAGTGTGAGATAACAAAATGTCCTCCAAACATTTGGAGCAGCAGCATTATGCTGTGAGGATATCTGACCTAGCTAGTAAGAAGCCAGTAGGACTGAACTGTGGAAATGTCAGGATTCCTCATAACTTCCCACAAATTTGCCACAGAACAACACTGAATTTAAATGTTTTATTTTATAAGGCCATTTGATGTAGTGTCTGACTATCTGGTTACCAAAGAGAACTAAATATTCTCAAGGATGAATAGGAAATTCTGTCTGTCTGTCTCTCTCTCTCTCTCTCTCTCTCTCTCTCTCTCTCTCTGTGTGTGTGTGTGTGTGTGTGTGTGATCTAGTTCTCAAACATCCAATTGAGAGAAGCCTTATACAGCTTGTTATAGAGAGATCAAATTTCAGGGTTGAAATGGAACTTAAAGGACATAGGGTCCACTACTCCAATCTGCCCTCTGACGTTTTATTGAATTCCTTCTATAGTGACTTGTTCAACTGGTTGCCAATATCTTCCTTGTCAGGGATCTCATTACCTATTGAGGAAATATAGTCAACTCACTGATGACATTGAATATTACACACTGGCCCCAGATCTGTCTTTTTGTGCCTACACCCATTTGTCCTACAACTCATGGCTATGCAGAAACACTGATGTTATTAAAATGACCTATCATAACCCGTATTTCTTCAATAGACTATATATCTCAAATTTTCTAAAATATTCCTGTGACAAAGGGTATTATCTCTATTTCTTACTTTACAACATCATACAATTTCCTGTTTATTGAAATTCCCTTTTTGATTACTGGGTCTAGCAGAACAATAAAGCCATGCACAAGCAAAACTATGTTAATCTCATCATGGTTTTTATAATCAGATATGAGTAAAATAATGAATTATAGTAATAATAGATTTAGAAACATTTATGAAAAACAGTTCTGAGGACTCAGAATCTCTGTACTCTTGTGTATTTGTCACATTTTAATTACTGTGTGCCAAAAATTTTGCTGACTGCTTTATCTGCAACTACCATTAATTCTGTGTTGTTGTTATTATCATCCCATTTTAGAGACGAGAAAATTAAGGTTAGGTGAAAGTATATACTTTTTCAAATTTACATGGCTAGAGCATATGCTGAGTTTCAAAGACTGATATTTTTGTTTTACTTCAAAGCCCATAACCTGCAATGTTCATGTAAAGCTCCACGAGGTTTAACCAGTCACACAAAATTCAGCCACCAATCTCAGTAGATTCTGACCTTGATTTTAGTTACACTTGGGCTTGGGTTGTAATCATCTGTATACTTTCTACAATGCCTGATTCATTTATGCTAGTCTCAATTAGCTTGGTATTAGTATCCAGAGTTTTATGATAGCAAAAGTAGACTTTGCAATTGAGTGGAAGGTATGTTTATAAACCTCACATAATTCCATAGCTAGAATTTCATAGTTAAATGAGTTTGGGGTGGTCTTTTAAGCACTTAAAGTTCTTTCTGCCAATGGAAATAAAAATTGACTATTAGTCAGCTTGTAGTTCTTTCTCCAAAAAAATGTTACAGTACTGACGACCTCATGTCCAAAATCCACAAGCTTGTAATGATGGTGAGAATACTGTGTGCAACCTCTCTCTTGTTCAAGATATTTATGACAGAGCCTATGTGAACCACAGAGAGCCTAATATAAGAAGAAGGTGGAGGAAGAATGACTTAGATTTTATATAGAATGCAGAATGGGCCAAACTTAGAATTTACATAAAAGCACAGCAAGAACCAGACTCTCACCAGGACTCATCACAATGCCACTGCTATTACCAGGAATTCATTTTGATTGGTTGACAATGACAAAAACTGTATTGTTTTTTATTTGATGAGAGACTCAAGTAGATTTAGAGAGCCGTGAGTAATCTTACAGAACACTTCATAGCACATTTTAGAGAGAGTGGTGCTTCAGAAACAAGGGTCCTCATCCACTTTTTTCCATCCATTCCTTCTCCCACTTTTAGTATAATTTAACCAACGTATATTTATTTTTGTATTTATTACTTCAATGAGTTTGTGTTTAGTAACTTAAATAGTATACTTGAGGTAATATATTTAATAAGGTAGTCGCTACCTTCAAGGAGCTTACAGACGGCTATAGGAGAAAGACAGGTATATTGGTAGGGGCATTATTGATGGTTCCATTAAAGGCAATTAACAGAAATGGTTTTTATAATTTATAGGGTATGTCCCATAGAATTCAAGATTGTGATTATTGCTGAACCTGGGGTATAGTAGGAATCAAAGATTGTTAGAACTCAGTGTCTCCCATACTATTCCCTGTGTATATGCTTTATCTCTCTTTTCTCTTTCACTCTACGTCTCAATCTTGTTCTTCCTTTATCTCACTATTTTCATTGCTCTAGTTTGTTTTATTACTTTATAAAGGGGTCATCAAAGTATTTTTGTAAAAGGATAGATAATATCTGAGGCTTTGCAGGTCATGTGGTCTCTGTTGTAGCTACTCAACTTTGTTGTTGTAGCATGAAAGCAACCATAAAAAATGTAGCAGTGAAAAATAAGTGTGACTGTGTTTCAATGCAACTTTATTTATGGACATTGCAATTCTAGTTTTGTGTAATTATTAACTTTTTTTTATTTTCATCAATTCAAACATACACAAACCATTCTAGTTCATGGACTATACAAAAATGGGCAGCTAGCCAGATTTGGACTGTGGATCCATACATAGTCTCCCAACTCCTTCTCTATATAGCAAAGAATGTGGTAGCTGGTAGCTCATCATCCTGTGTCTTACAACTTACATCAACATGAAGTTTTCAATTCTTGACTAAAAATCCTTATTGATGATGAGCCAGAGGTCAGGAACATGTACAAAATAATCTTATGTACAACAGACGTACAGAAAAGGATCTGAGCATGTGGGAATCAGTGGGAAACATGGATTGAGTTTTCATACAAGTGGGAAGTCTGAGAAGGTGAAATATTGTGTCCAGTTCAAACATTAAATAAGCTATTTGGTACAGATACTTGGAGAGATTGCAGTTATGGAGGCACAAACATAATTTTTATTTTTTAAAGCAAATCGGCCTAGAAATAGCCTTCAACTGAAAGGAGACACTACCATAAAGAGTGCAGTGTATAATCAGAGCAATTATAGTACCATTTGTTCAATAATCTGGAGTATAGATTGAGACGGGGATCATGCTAAAGATAAGGAGAAGAAGAAAAACACAGGGCAGATCTTGACAGCCTGCTCTATGCTGTTTAGGAGTTTAGATTTTCTCCAAACTCTTGATGGTTATCGTGTGAATTGTGTTACCCCAAAGATGTTAAAGTCCTAATGCTCAGTACCTGTGAATGTGACCTTATGTGGAAATAGGACTTTGGTAGATGATCAAGATGAAATGAAACCATTAAGGTGGGCCCTAATCCAGTATGACTGCACTTATAAAATGGGAAAATTTAAACACAGACAGAGACATGTATAGAGGGAAAATGATGCAATGACACAGGGGAAATGAAAGCCATCTTCAAGCCAAGGAACAATTGAGAATACCAGAAGCTCAGACATAGCCATGGAACAGATTCTCCCCTTCCAGCCCTCAAAAGGAAAAAAAAAACTCTGCTGACACTGATTTCAGACTTGTAGTCTCCAACACTATAAGGCAATAAATATCCATTGTTTAAGCCACCCAGTTCATGATACTTTGTTATGAGATCCCCAGAAAACTAATAAAGATAGTCAAAACAGAGGGCATCATCTCCTCAATTTTTGCTTTGCACAGATCACTGATGTTGTTGACCATAAGAATACTGACAATAAGTTCCAAGTTTGAGATTAGATGCAGTCACTTGAAATCTTAAACATAGAGAAAACATGATTTAGCACCAAGAATCTGGGACAGGTATCAGAGGATCAGGCTGTGGAAGTCAAAGCTGTTCACTTCAGCATTTTCTTCCCATTATACTGTGCTGGTTTCTTGATTTTACTGGAAGCAGCAACAGCAGTTTTACTGTCAAGCTGTATAGCAGATTCAGCCACACAGCCTACTATTAATTTCATATTCAAGAAAAATGTAACTTTAACAGGCTTTAGTATTCGTTGGCTTTCGGTTATTTTAACTGTTTTCATTGTTTAGGTTTGAGCAGCTCTAATTTTCTGTGCCAACTCTCTCTTAATTTTCTTAAAAAAAATTGTGAACTTGAGGCTTCTGTAGACAGATTGAAACATATTATCTGCCCTAAGCACTCAGTATGGTTGTCAACCTTTCATGGAGTCTGGCCCCCTGTGTAGCATGCATTGGCATTGCTTTGAAGTTAGTTTTGACTGGAGATTTAAGCAGCAAAATTCTGTGTACTTCATGGCTACCAACTTGAGCTTAATGATGAGATAATTTAGAGTAACTATATCTTCAAGAGGTAATAGTAATCACAGTGCTATCTTAAAAAATAAAATATTAAAATTGAAGGTTCAACCTATCTCCTAATATATTTATTCCCAAAGAACAAAAAATGTATTCCCTGGTAAATATTACCTGAAAAGATTATGTCCCAGGTTTAAATAAAATATTTTGTTTGTTTCTCTAAATAATCTATTTTGAATAGTGAATTATAATCAGCTTAAGATGATTTTTTTTTTTACCTTTTAAGTTCAGGATTATATGTGGAGGTTTGTAATATAGGCAAACTTGTGTCATGGTTTGCAGTACAGAATATTGTCATTCAGGTATTAAACCTAGTACCCATTAGTTATTTTTCATCTTAAAATCTTTGCCCATTCCTATGTCCAGAATAGTGTTGCCCAGGATGTCTTCCAGAGTTTGTACAGTATTGGGTTTTACATTTAATTCTTTAATCAATTGATATGATTTGGCTCTGTGTCCACGTAATTCTCATGTTGAATTGTAATCCCCAATGTTGGTGGAAGGACCTGGTAGAAGGTGATTGAATCATGAAGGCAGATTTCCCCCTTGCTGTTCTTGTGATAGTAAGTGAGTTCTCATGAGATCTAGTTGTTTAAATTTGTGTGGCACTTCCTCCTTTGCTCTCTCTCCTGTTGGTCTAGTAAAGATGTGCTTGCTTCCCCGTTGCTTTCTGCCATGATAGTAAGTTTCCGGAGGCCTCCCCAGCCATGCTTCCTATATAGCCTGTCAAACAGTGAGCCAATTCAATCTCTTACCTTTATAAATTGCCCGGTCTCAGGTAATTCTTTATAGCAATGTGAGAAAAGATTGTTACATCCATCTTGAGTTAAATTGTGTATATGGTATAATTTCAATTTCAATTTTCTGTTTATGTCTAGCCAGTTAACCCAGCACCATTTATAAAATAGAAATTGTCTGTTTTTGTCAGGTTTGTTGAAGATCAGATAGTTGTAGGTGTGTGACTTTATTTCTGGGTACTCTATTCTATCCCATTGGTCTATGTGTCTATTTTTGTACCAGTACCTTGCTGTTTTGGTTACTGTAGCCCTGTGGTATAGCTTGAAGTTGGGAAGCATGATGCCTCCAGCTTTGTTCTTTTTGCTTGGGATGGCCTTGGCCAGTCAGGCTCTGTTTTTATTTCATATGAATTTTAAAATAGTTTTTGTTTTTCTAGTCCTGTGAAGAGTGTCAGTGGTAGTTTAATAGGAACAGCATTGACTCCAAAAATTGCTTTTGGATGTATGGCCATTTTAACTAAGTTAATTCTTCCTATCCATGAACATCCTATCCATATTGGCCTGGAGCTTTTTGTTTTGCTGTATCTCTGCTAGGTATTGGTATCAGGATGATGATGGTCTCAAATGAGTTAGGGAGGAATTCCTACTCTTCAATTGTTTTGGAATAGTTTCAGCAGACGTGGTACCAGCTCTTCTTTGTATATCTAGTAGAATTCAATGATTCAATGTAAATGGTAGTCTAATACTAATAGCATTGACTTTTTAAATTGCTTTGGGCAGTATGGACATTTTAACAATATTGATTCTTCCTATCCATGTTTTCCATTTTTTTGGTATCATCTCTGATTTTGTTGAACAGTGCTTTGTAGTTCTCCTTGCAGAGATCTTTCACCTCCCTGGTTAGTTTTATTTCTAGGTATTTTGTTATTTTTGTGGCAATCGTGAATATGATTGCAATCCTGATTTGGCTCTCAGCTGACTGTTGTTGGTGTATAGTAATTTTGGTGATTTCGCACAGAATTTTCTATCCTGAGACTTTGCAGAAGTTGTTTATCAGCTGAAGAAGTTTTTGAGCTGAGACTATGGGGTTTTCTATATATAGTATCATGTCATCTGCAAACAGGGGTAGTGGGGTAGTGCTTCCTATTGGATGTGCTTTATTTCTTTCTCTTGCCTGATTACCCCAGCCAGGATTTCCAATACTATGTCAAATAGGAGTGGTGAGAAAGAACATCCTTGTTTTGTGCCAGTTTTTAAGGGGAATGCTTCTAGCTTTTGCCTCTACGGTATGAAGTTGACTTTGGGTTTGTCATAGATGGCTCTTATTATTTTGAAGTATGTTCCTTCAATGCCTAATTCATTGAGAGTTTTTAACATAAAGAGGTGTTGAAATTTTATCAAAAGCTTTTTCTGCATCTATTGAGACAATCAGGTAGTTTTTGTCATTAGTTTATTTATGTGGTAAATCACATTTATTGATTTGTGGTGTGTTGAAAAAACCTTGCATCCCGGGGATAAAGCCTACTTGATTGTGGCAGACAAGGTTTTGATGTGCTGCAGGGTTCTGTTTGCCAGTATTTTGTTGAGGATTTTTGCACGGATGTTCTTCAAGAATCTTGGCCCGAAGTTTTCTTTTTTAGTTGTGTCTCTGCCAGGTCAAGATGATGTTGGCCTCATAGAATGAGTTAGGAAGGAGTCCCTATGCCTTCATTTTTTTTTTGAAATAGTTTCAGCAGGCGTGGTACCAGCTCTTCTCTGTACATCTGGTAGAATTCAGCTCTGAATCCATCTTATCCTGGGCTTTTTTTGCTTGGTAGCCTATTTATTACTGCTTCAATTTCAGAGCTCATTATTAGTCTGTCCAGGGATTCAATCTCTTCCTATTTCAGTCTTGAGAGGGTGTATGTGTCCAGGGATTTATCCATTTCTTCTAGTTTTTCCAGTTTATGTGCACAGAGATGTTCATAATATTCTCTCAGTGTTGTTCATATTTCTGTAGGGTCAGTGGTGATATCCCCCTTGTCATTTCTGACTGTGTTTACTTGAATCTTCTCTGCTTTCTTCTTTATTAGTCTAGCTAGTTGCGTACCTATTTTATTAATTATTAATTATATATATATTTTTAAAAGAAACAGCTCCTGGATTTGTTAATTTTTAAAATATTTTTGTGTCTCCATCTCCACGTCAGATCTGATTTTGCTTATTTCTTGTCCTCTGCTAGCTTTGGGATTTCTTTACTCTTTGTTCTGTAGTTCTTTTACTTGTAATGTTAGGCTCGTTAAATCTTTCTAACTGTTTGATGTGGGCATTTAGTGCTATAAATTTCCCTCTTACCACTGTCTTAGCTGTGTCCCAGAGATGCTGCTATGTTGTATCTTTATTCTAATTCATTTCAAAGAAATTCTTGATTTCTGCCGTAATTTCATTATTTATCCCAAAGTCATTCAGTAGCAGGTTTTTCAATTTCCATTTAATTGTATGGTTTTGAGTGAATTTCTTAGTCTTGATTTTGCATTTGTTTGTGTTGTGGTCTGAGAAACGGTTTGCTGTGGTCTGAGAAACTGTTTGTTATGATTTCAGTTCTTTTGCATTTTCTGAGGAGTGTTTTACCTTTGATTGTGTGATCCATTTTGGAGTCAGTGTCATGTGGTGATAAGAATGTATATTCTGTTGGTTTTGGGTGGAGATTTCTCTAGATACCTATCAGGTCCCTTTGATCCAATGTTGAGTTTAGGTCCTGAATATCTTTGTTAATATTCTCTCTTGATGATCTGTAGAGTGTCAGTTGGGTGTTAAAGTCTTCTACTATTATTTTGTGGGAGTCTAAGCCTCTTTGAAGGTCTCTAAGAACTTGCTTTGTAAATCTGGGTGTTCCTGTGTTGGGTGCATATATATTTACAACAGTTAGATCTTCTTGTTGAATTGAAACATTTACCATTATGTAATGTCCTTCTTTGTCTTCTTTGGTATTTGTTGGTTTCAGGTCTGTTTTGTCACAAAAACTAGGATTACAACCCTTGTGTTTTTTTCTGTTTTACATTTTATTGGTAGGTTTTTATCCATCCTTTTATTTTAAGCCTGTGTGTCACTGCACGTGAGATGGGTCTCTTGAAGACAGCATACCAATGGGTCTTGATTATTTATCCACATTTCCAAACTGCCTTTTGATTGGGGCATTTAGCCAATTTACATTCAAGATTAGTATTGATATGTGTGTATTTGGTCCTATTATCATGATGTTAGCTAGTTACTTTGAAGACTTCTTTATATGGTTTCTATATAGTGTCACTGGTCTGTGTACCTCAGTGTGTTTTTGTAGTGCCTGGTAATGGTCTTTCCTTTCCATATTTAGGGCTTTCTTCATGAGATCCTGTAAGGCAGGTCTAGTGGTAATGAATTTCCTCAGCATTTGCTTGTCTGAAAAGGATCTTATTTTTCCTTCTCTTATGAAGCCCAGTTGGGCCAGATATGAAATTCTGGGTTTGAATATCTTTTCTTTAAGAATGTTGAATATTGGCTCCTAATCACTTCTGGCTTGTAGGCTTTCTGCTGAGAGGTCCACTGTTGGTCTGATGTGTTTTTCTTCGTAGGTGACCTGACTTTTCTCTGTGGCTGCCTTTAATATGTATTCTTCCATTTCATTCTTAGTAAATCTGATGATAATGTGTCTTGCAGATGATCTTCTTAAGTATCTTACTGGGGTCCTCTGCATTCACTGAATTTGAATGTTGGCCTCTCTAGTTATGTTGGGGAAATTTTCATGGATCATATCCTGAAATATATTTTCCAAGTTGGTCCATTCTCATCATCTCTTTCCTGGATACCAGTGAGTTGTAGACTTGGTCTCTTTACATAATCCCATATTTCTTGAAGGTTTTGTTTGCTTCTTTTTATTCCTTTTTCTCTATTCTTGTCTGATTGTATTATTTCAGGAAGCCAGTCTCCAAGCTCTGAGATTCTTTCCTCTGCTTGGTCTATTCTGCTATTAATGCTAGTGATTGCACCATGAAATTCTTGTAGTGTGTTATTCAGCTCTATCAGGTCAGTTATGTTCTTTTCTATACTGGCTATTTTGTCTGTCAGCTTCTGCCTTGTTTTATCACGATATTTAGCTTCTTTGGATTGGGTTTTAAAGTACTCCAGTAGCTCAATGATCTCTATTCCTATCCATATTCTGAATTCTCTGTCATTTCAAAAGCCATCTCAGCCCAGCTCAGAACCCTTGCTGGAGAGGTGACGCAGTCATTTGGTGGAAAGAAGCCACTTTGGCTTTTTGAATTTCCAGGGTTATTGAACTGATTCTCTCTCATCTTTGTGGGCTTATTTATCTTCAGTCTTTGAGGTTGCTTTTAGATTTTTTTTTCTTTTATCCTATTTGATGACTTTGAGGGTTTGATTGTGGTATAAGTTGAATTCAGCCAACTGGCTTCATTTCTGGGAGATCTTAGGGTGCCAATGCTCAGTTCCCAACTCCTGGACTATGTGCTGTCTCTCTGGGAGATTTATATAGGGCCCTGATTTTGTTTTCTGGCTCCTTGAGATTTGGAACCCACTGCACTGCAGAGGCTGAGTTTCAGCAACTGCAGAAGAGTGCTAGTGGATGCTGAGTGCCTGCCTCTTTGCAGGCATTCACCACAGTGGCAGCGACATTGCAGCTTGGGTGGCATGGGGTCCCCTGCTGGTGACTGTGTGTGGTCATGCTGGAGATGGTATTAGCTCGAGGTGGTATTTTGCTGGGTACAGGTCTGAGTGTCTTTTCTGTGCCCCACAAGCAGGAGTGATTGCACAGGGCCAAAGAGGATACATTATTCTCTGGGCAGTGTTAGCTCAAGGGATGGGCACCAGGGGTATCAGGGCTTGCTGGCTCTGCTGACCTAGACTCCATCGGCAATGGCCATCAGCAGAGGGAGGGGTCGAACTGCACTCCTGCATGCTGGTGGGGCAAGGAAAGAAAAACCTGCCTTTATTAGTCCGTTTTCTTACTGCCATAAAGAACTTCCTGAGACTGGGTAATTTATAAAGGAAAGAGGTTTAATTGACTCACAGTTCAGCACGGCTGGGAAGGCTTCACAAAACTTGCAATCGTGGCAGAAGGTGAGGACAAAACAAGCCACATTCTTCACAAGGGGGCAGGAAGGAGAAATGCTGAGGAAGTGGGAAGAGCCCCTTATAAATCATCAGATCTCATGAGAACTCACTCACTGTTATGGGAACAGCATGGGGAAAACCACCCCCATAATTCAATTACCTCCTCCTGGTCTCTCCCTTGACACTTGCAAATTATGAGGATTATAATTTAAGATGAGACTTGGGTTGGGACCCAAAGCCTAACCATATCACTGTCTGTGCAGACACAATCCAGCAAAGCCATGTGGGGTTTACTGAGGGCCCAGAGGAAGCTGTTCTAGGGGAGGGAGAGATTGAGCTGGTGTGTGGCTATAGGGACCACCACACTGGAGTTCTCAGGCATGATCCACCAGTGCAGAAACTATGGTGTGGACCCCTAGGGCACTCAAGACTGCCCTGCAAGCAGGTGTGGCTAGGGTAGGGGCCTGGGAGAGGCAAGCAGACCAAGAGGTGCTTAGGTTGTACCAGCCTCATCTGATGGGCAAGTCTGCCCTTCAGAGATTAGGTCTAGCAGTTCCTCTAGGGCTAAAGTCTCCTTTATTAGTCAGAGTTCTCCAGAGGAACAGGACTAATAGGATAGATGTGTATATGAAATGGAGTTTATTAAGGAGTATTGACTCACATGATCACCAGGTGAAGTCCCACAATACGCCACTTGCATGCAAGCTGAGGAGTCATTAAGCCAGTCCGAGTCCCAAAACCTCAAATGTAGGGAAACTGACCACTCAGCTTTAGTCTGTGGCTGAAGGCTTGATAGCCCTTGACATACCTTGATAGCCCTTGACAAACCACTGGTGTAGATTCAAGAGTCCAAAAGCTGAAGAACTTGGATCCAGTGTTCAAGGGCAGGAAGCATTCAGCATGGGAGAAAGATGGAGGCCACAAGACTCAGTCAGTCTAGTCCTTCCACATTCCTCTGCCTACTTTTATCCTAGCTGTGCTGGCAGCTGATTAGATGGTGCCCACCCAGATTGAGGGTGGGTCTACATCTCCCAGTTCACTCACTCAAATGTTAATCTCCTTTGGCAACACCTTCACAGACACACCTAGAAAATACTTTGCATCCTTCAATCCAATCAATTTGACACTCAATATTAAACATCACATCTCCTATGGAAGCAAGTCAAGCCTATGGGGATGGCCGTCCCTGGCCATGCTTTGCTAGTGATGCTCTCACACCAAACCTTCTGGGCTCCATATCAGGGCTTGCTGGCCCTGCTACTTCTCTAAGCAGCTCTCTCTGCCAACTTAAGTGTCCATGGTGGTCAAGGGATCTCCTCCTTCTGGGGTTCCAGAGGCCTGTGACTAGAGCAGGTTTTTCCTTGTTAGTTCAACACACCCAATTCCCTGGAGCTGTTGTGGGCCAGGAATGAGTGTTGATGTGTGTTAGCCCCATGTAGGGTTCTCAGCTGTCTTCCCCTTCAGCCCAGCTTCTGTGCTTTCCCTACATCCACTTTCAGTGCTTTCCCTCTGAAGATCTGTCAGGGGTATGCCAATCTGCATCTTGGTCCCTCAGTGGAAGCTGTTCCACCTGGCTGCATCTAGTCATCCTTCTTGCCCTCCCCTGAAGATGAGTATTATGTTCAAATCAGGAATGGAGTCTAATATGATTTTGATCTGTGTCCCCACCAAGTCTTATGCTGAATTGTAATCCCAATGTTGCAGGTGGGGCTTGGTGGAGGTGATTGGATCATGGGTGTGGGTTTCTCATGAATGGTTTAGCACCATCCCCTTAGTGCTGTTCTCATGAGGGTGAGTGAATTCTCACAAGATCTGATTATTTATAAGTGTGTGGCACCTCCTCCGTCTTGCTCTTGCTTCTGCTCTGACCATGTGATGTGTCTGCTCGCACTTCAACTTCTGCAATGACTGTAAATTTGCTGAGGCCTCCCCAGAAGCTGAGTAAATGCAAACATCATGCTTCCTGTATAGCCTGCAGAACCTTGATCCGATTGTACCTCTTTTCTTTATAAATTACCCAGTCTCAGGTATTTATTTATAGCAAGGCCCAAACAGTACCCAATGCACAATGTACACAGTGCCATACCCATTAGATTGGAGAAGGAGACTAAAGGATTGTTCCCAAAAAGCTGTCACATGCACTTGATAACTTGGCATCAACCTACCAGCTCTAAATCTAAAGATGAAACAGAATTAATTTAGAATACAGGATGTAAGAAAGGAGCCAGGGAAGGAAAGCCTGCAGGCAGAAGGATCATAGGCAATATATTGTTTGTTATGGTGGATATCTCTCTCCTAGGTTGGGAAGCAGGTTAGGCATAAGATGTAATAAGAAAAATGTTGGCAGAGGTGAGGGGTTGAAATAATAGCTTGTCTGCAAGTTTGGCTGCCAGTAATTTCTGTCAACTCTGTTTGTGCATTTTCCCATCCAGAGATGGAGTCTACTTTTCCTCCACTTGGATCTGTGATTTGTCTTGATCAGTAGAATTTGCCAGAAGTGACATTATACAAGTAATTCTTGGATTAGCCCTTAAAAGGTCTGGAAACTTGCACTTTTGCTCTCTTGCAACCTAGTTGCCATGTTGTAAAGAAGTCCAAGCTTTTCTGCTGGACTCAAAAGGTCCTGGAAGCTGAGGCATCATGAGGACAGACTGAGAGAGAGACAGAGAGAGAGAGAGAGAGAGAGAGAGAGAGAGAGAGAGAGAGAGACAGAGAGAGGAGACCAAGTGGAAGAGAACAAAGACACCCCAGTCACCATGAGCACTCAGGATCAGAGATGTGAAATAGGTCTCTTTAGACCTTCCAGCCAAGCCCATTCAGCTTGAGTGACCTCACATATCCCAATGGAGAGAAGATCTTCCCAGTCAGAACAGAGAACGGTGAGAAATAGTAAACAGAAATAGAAATAGTGGCTGTTGATTTAAGCTACTAAAATTTCGAATGATTTGTTATGCAGCAAATCATATTCTTTTGTGTAGAGAGAATATTAGTAGAGGTGTAGATGGCTGGAGTAGTGATGCATAATGGAAAATGATGCTTTTCTCCTTGAAAGGAACTATAATAACATAATAATCCTGGCTTTCTATGTTTTCTTTATTTACTCTGCCTAGAGGGAGGTGACACAAATTATATCTTGAATGAGTTTGATGGAGAAACAAAGAAACAAACAAACATTTGTGGCCCAGTCTTTCCTCTTCTTTTCTCTTAGAGTGAATCCAAGAGAAAATCCTCTGCACTTCTTCTGCTTTGCTCACCCACCTCTTAAATATTAAAGGGGATAATTCCCACCTGGAGTGACCTGTCCTGTTTTTGTACTGCTGCAATTATGTGGGTCCATCTCTTAAGATTTGAGGGTTGGTGTCAGGAAGACAACTTTCTTGCATATATAAACAATATCTTACATCAGCCCCATCAGTGAATATTTGCTACCCATCGACTGTCTCTCTTGTCCAATTCCTCAGTTGTTTAGAATTTGGGTGGACAAGAGGCATGGTACTCATTAACCCCAGATCTAAGAGTAAGGTCTTAAAACTCAATTTATATACAAACATTTTATAACTTGCTTATTAATTCCTGACTTTGTAATCAAGAAGATATTTAGTTTTATAAAATATTTATTTCCAAGTATTTGAAAATTATCTGCACTTAATAAATCACTTTGGTACTTTAGCTTTAAAATACATTTAAAACCACATTTTCTGATTTTAGGAAATATCTTAGTAGTTCAAAAAAGAGCAAACTATGGCAAGCCATATATTACTAAAAAGCAAATAATTTTGCAAGGATGAAAGGCTTTGTGGCATAATTTGATTTAAGTATATGGAATAGGAATCAGAACACCTAACACTTTCATTGATTGTCTTTTTTCATCTTCTTTCTTTTTATTTCTCAGTTTACTCAGTAAATCAGTGTAGAACTATCTAACTCTCTGGGTGGCTGCACATAAGAAATGAATTATAAATAAATATTCAGAAACAACTTAGAAAACAATCACAAATATTGAAATACACAGTGTTATTTAATGTATCATCACAAATATGTATTATTATGTTTTTCTGGGAGTTAGACGTCTTTGGGTATACTCTGGGCTGTGTGAAACCTTGAAGTGTTTTTCTATTGGGACTCAAGTAAGCAATAACTAGAAATCTATCTGGTAAAGTTGAATCATGATTAATACAAGTACAACAGACCTTTCTGTAGTTGTTTTGCTGTCAGTTCACGTTTTTAAGTACTATATATACATTCTGCTCTCTTAGACCTTATGGCTGCATTGTTGACCACTATGCTCTGAATAAAGTTAAAAACTACAGCAATCTTAACGGGTCATAAATCATCTCATTCACACAGGTGCAGATTACAACAGGGGTGCAACCTCATCACTTTTATGGATGACGGTTTCTGATTAGGGAAAACATACAACAGGTATATTTTCTAAGCCCGGCAGAATGCCTCCAGCTTGCAATGGTGCAAAGAACATCTGTCATTTTCTCTCTCAAACATCCGTCAGGCAAAATTATTAAATCAACATGCATCATTTTGTATAACAGAACTAAAATCTCAGTTACAGAACATAATTCTGGGATTGATTTTCCCTGCTTTGAAAATAAATAACTTGGCTTCACGTTCATGGTTATGTAACAGCAGGAGATCATTATCTTGTGACAAAATTCTATTTTATTGACATTATCTCTAAATGGTCCCTTGATAAGATATATAAAATTTAATATACATTCAATTTAGTAAAATTCCATTCACACTATACTGATCTATCTCTATTTTTCTATTTAATTTACAGACAACATTTGAATCCAAATATAATATTTATTTCAGTGATGTTGTTTACTTCCTTGCCTAAGTCATTCAGCAAATGTATAATCCTGATGAAAATTTATATAAAAATACACAGACTTTGACACCAAGATGCCTGAGGATGAATCCTGACTCTAGCAGTTTGACCTTGGACAAAGTGCTTACTATTCCCCTGATTGAGTTTACTAGTCTGTGAAATGAGGATAATAATTACAATGTATAATTCAGATAACACTTCCTGCATTGAATGAGTTTATACATTTAAAATGCTTAGAAGAATGCCTGGGCATGTAGTAAGAACAATATGACCAACATTCAGCTTATAGTATTCAAAGTTTTATTCATTTTCCATTCATTTTTTAAGCTGTGTGGCCTAGAGCAACATATTTAAATATCTTAGCTACTGTGTGCTAATAGTACCTACTACCATCCAGTTGCTTTGGATATTAGATAAGGCAATCTTTGTAATTGTACCATAAAGTGATATAGTAAAATGCATGTTCCTTGGATAAATTATCCAGAGCAGTTTTGAAGTTAATTCTTTAAAATTTGGGAGCGTTATAGTACTATAGAAAATAATATATTGTAATGCCTCAGTTGAAAGTTGTTTCCAAATTGACTATATATTGCCCCATGCATTTTATTTTTCCTCCTCTGGTTCCATTGTCTACTCTGCCTAATTCTGCTCTGTGCCTCAGAAGGGTGGCATGTGTGCATTGTATCAATTCACACCCTTAACCTATGGCTTCCTAGTGGATTTGGCATAAAGAGGATTAAAAATAAAAGTTGACGGCACATAGGATATGCATTATTTTGACTACTTTTCTTTTTTTGCCAGGTCACAGGAAATTATGTGATCTCTTTATTGAAAGCCACACTCCTTTCGCTGAGACTCTAAAAACAGATCTCACTCTTCTGGTTCGGATAACTACTTCCTCTCCACATCCATTTAGTCCTGCAAGACAGTTCTCCAAGTATTCTTGGACCAGCCCATTTCTCCTTCCTTTCTTTCTTGTAATTCTGAAGAATAACTGTTGAATGTTCTAGAAATGCAACATCCTGAGATAAGGAGGAGCTTTCTGGAACAACTTGGTCTGAGTTCCAGAGTCTCCTATAATAGGATGTTCTTAGAACAGACTTCAGTCCTTTAATCAAGCAAGTCACATTTTCCCAGGGTACAAAACCAGGTGTGGGCTGCTTTCCGGGGCTCCTAATCTCTAGTGCAAGTGGAGCACCTGCAGATAGGACTACATCTACCCCAGACAGCTTTCCTGATATTTGAGGGACAAGTTCATTTTGAATCCTAGGCTTCTGCTGTCCCTTGCTGCCTATCTAAGTAATAAATCTACTTCATTTAATTTGTTTTATATGTAGATGTTTCATCTCATCAGACTTGGGCATGTGGTAAACAGTGTACAGTGAACCTGCTGTACAAGACCTACAGGAAGTAAAGGCTTCCAGCTCTTGCCAGCATAGGGAACTTCACTATCCCTTGCTAGTTTCCCAGATTCACCCTTTTAAATACCACCTTTATTAGACTATCTTGAATTACTCAGTTTGAGTGTGCCATCTGTTTTCTGTCTAGATCCTCACTGCTACAGATACCCACATTTGAACTGTCGAGTAAATAGTCATATCTGAAGTAAGTGAAAATGTTAAGGGCTTCTGAGAGATGAATTTTATGGTTGCTAAAACTTTTCACTATGTTCAAGGTGATAGTTGAAGTGCTTGTTTAATGTGTAACCGTTTTGAAGATGTGAAAGTATTTGTCACCCTCAATTTTTAAAATAGTGTTAAAAAATATAGTGCCTTTTAGAAACATAAGGTCAGATTAGCATTCATTTAGATTTCACAAGGTAACTGAACATAGATTTGAATTGTAAAGTAGCTGTAATTATCTTTTTAACAGACACAGTAACTCTTTTTGGCATCTAGAACTATAATTATAGACATTGTGTTGAGCACAAACTTCCATGTTTTTGACAGGCTAGAAGATGAAAAGATACACAGAGACTTCCTGTTGTTAGTCTCACTTTTTGTCTCTTCACATCTCTTGACATCTGAAACTATGACCCAAATGGGATTTACACTTCATTATTTATAACATATTGTCACTTTTAGAGGAATAAAGAAACGATAACTTCACAGAATAAGGTTAATTTTGGTGTTAAGATGCAATTTATTATTTGGATTATGAGAATAATGTTTCTAAATAATAAAATGTACCAGGATATTGCAATTTTGAATAGGAAAAATAAATTCCAATATAAAATAATAATAGCGTAAATGAAATAATTTCTAATAATAAGATATATCAAAACTGAGACATCAGGAATAACAAAGCACATCATTCAGCTCAGGAACAATCCTACTGCATAAATTTAAAAATTCGTTTCTGCATGTGATACCATTTGGGGGGTTTATGATACATAGAAGTGGTTGGCAGAGCAATTATTTGTCATTCAAGCAAGTCTTCCCTAATTCAGAACAGGAATATTCACCCAAAGAAATTACGAACCATAGAAACAAACTTTATTATCTCTGACTTTTAGATCCCCAATTTATCTCAGAAGTTACCTTTGGAGTATATCTCACACTTCCTAGCTTCACTATACCAATTTGAGTGATAAATACTGACATATTCATGAACACAAGGAAAGATTTTGCTTCTTTGTAAAAATAAAATCAGATTTTAAAAAAGAAGTATCTCTATAGACTTCTTTTCTAGTCACAATAGCTGAGATATGGAATCAGCCAAAGGGTCCATCATCAGATGAATGGATAAAGAAACTATGGGAGATATTTATGTATATCTACAATGGAATACTACTGAGCCATAAAAATAATGAAATCCTGTCGTCTGTGGCAACATAGTTGAACTTGAACCTGGAGGACATTATGTTAAGTAAAATAAGTCAGGCACAGAAAGATAAATACCACATGTTCCCACTCATAGGTAGGAACTAAAAAAAAAAATGAACTTATAGAAGCAGAAAGTAAAATTGTGGTTACTAAAGGTGGGAAGACTGTTGGGGGGATGGGTGAAGTTGGTTAACATACAAAAAATTACCTCTAAATAGGAGGACTAAGTTCTCATATAGCACTATAGGGTGATAATAGTTAATTTATTGTACATTTTCAAATAGCTAGAAGAGAGTATTTTGCCTGTTCCTAACACACAAAAAAACTAAACGTTTGATGTGACAGATATGCTAGTTACATATAGATATATATATCTACTGTATTTGATTATTAAACATTGTATACATGTATCATATCACTTTGTACCCTGCAAATATGTACAATTATAATATGTCAATTTAAAATAGAATAAAATAAAAATAAAGATAAGGCTCATGAAGCAAGAAGAGCATAAATGCATAAATATTGTGTGTCAGTGTAAAAAATAAAATGCTGGGAGAAGAACAGATTAGGTCAAACAGCTCAGCAGGCAGAGCAGGCACCAAGTCAACAGGGATTTTTACCACAATGAAAACATTTGGATTTGTGTTCACATGGAAAGGGAAAGTTTTGGAAGATTTCAAGTAGAGATGTGACATGATCCGATTTATATTTTTTAAAGGTCACCCTGGGCTTTTTTGGAATTTTATGGAGAGAGTGTAGAAGGGCAAAGAGAGCTAGCAGACAGATCTATTGTATAGCTATATTGAAATGTGTATCATAAATGGTGACATATGGAGAGAAGAGGATACTTGAGGGCTATTTTTTGGGTAGAGTCCACAGGACATTTTTGTGGATTAGTTACAATGCAGGAGAGCAAAGAAGAATGTTAAGAGAGATTCTACAGTTTTGGATTGAACAGGTAGGTAGATTATGATTCTATTTACAAAGATAGGAAAGGTTAGAACAATGGTATTTGGTCAGAGGTGGGAGGAGAGAAGGTGGGAGGGAGGAGAGAAGGTGGGGCTTGCTCTACTTTGTATGTCAAATTGGAGGTTTCCTCTAAGACATCCATTCAACAGAGATATCAAGAAGCCACTTTAATACATAACGTTGAGGGCTGTGTAAATTTTACCTCCAGAAGGCTTTTAAATGTAAGTGCAGTATGTGTATTTTTAAAAATAGCACCAAAACCATTCTAACCTCAAAATTTATTTTTACATGATTTTCTGGGTTTTTATATCTCATCAGAGGATTTGCAACTCAAAACAATTCTAGGTTGAGGCCATAATTGAGACTTACCAGCAACTTTACTATTTAAAGCTGTTATAAAATTGAGGTCATATGGAAAGAGAAGGCCTGGAAAAATACATTTAAAAATTGAGTAGAGTAGGAGATGGAGTGGTTAGTGTCCTAAGAGGAACCCCAAGAAGAGGTGGTGGTGTGGAAGACAATGGGGGAAAGCACTTCAGGAAGCAGGGAGTGGCCAGCTATTGAGATAAGGGGATGGATTCAAGATATTCTCTCTATAACCTTCCAGATCCACTCTCCATCCTTCTCCTGCCTCCATTCTATCCCAGGAAGGTGAGATGGTGGCTTAATCATCATCGTCCTTGATCTCTGGCTTCTTTCGACTCAGCTAACTGGAATCTTCAGCATGACATTTGATAGAGAGAGGCAAGGAAATTCAGTGTTTATTCCCCTATCTCACTTCTGAAGGGCTTGCCTTGGACTGGCTAAGTTTCTCTACTAGAGGACGTAGCTCCTTTGGAAGTGGTCCCTTTTCCATGAAAATTTTCTTTTTGATTAGTAAGTCCATCTTCCTTCCTCATTCTGGGATTAGGGTCAATAAAATTCCCAATGTTAATTGATCTTAGGTGCTATATGATCCCTATGGTTTCTCTAGACTTTTCCTACAAGTTGTAAATACACCTAGTACTCAACTTTCCTTGAGTTACACTAGTTTTATTACATTATCTGTTTTCTGTTTCAACCCTGAGTGATGCAGTACATAAAAATGGCATTGGATTGTAGCATGGATGTCGTAGCTGTACTTGACAATAACACTCTCAGCACGTGATGGGGGTTGAAGCCTAATAGGAGTGTGTGTATAGGGAAAATGATGTAGGAAACAAGCAGAAACAGTAGGACATAATTTTAGAATGTTTTGCTATAAAGGGAGGAGGCCATTGTGGTAGTTTCTGAAGAGGGTGGCATGTGGTAAAGGAAACATTACTGAAAAGAGGAACAAACTGAAATAAATTTCAAAAACATTATATTCCTTACAGCAATAATATTTTTCATACATGGTACCCAGGTATGTTGTCTTCTTACAGAGAAGAATCTTTGATACTGGTACTTTCAGGGGGATCAAAAGTATGTCCTAGATGAACACTGAAAATAAAAAGCAGAAACTCTGCTTCTCAGCTAAACTCTTTTGCTTCATCCTAGAATAAGTAGAAAAAGGCAGAGGAAAGAACCTTTGAAATTCATTGTAACTTTTCTAGATTTTCACAACAGGAAAGAAAACAGGAATTAGGGGCAGAGGCTCTGTTCACTGTACCCTTTGTGGAAATTGTATTTTTCTAAGTTATTTGAATATTACATATCTTTGGAACATGAACATTAGAAATAGCATGATTCTGAATAGTCCAACCCATATTTTATCATTTATTCTATACATAACATACTTTAGCTTATAATATAAAATTGATTATACTTGGAAATAGTGAATTTCAGACTTTAAAAGTTACTTTCAATTTCTTAGAATCTACGCTTATGGCAATTTGCAGTTTGTCTTATAAGCAAAGATGTTGGTGTAGGATACATCTATGGGAAAAATGAGAGAAGTGGAATTTGCCATGAGATCAAGAATGCCTAGCGGGGAAAACTGGGTCATGTAGATATAATTGCTGAGAATCACCCCTTAGTTCTCATTTTTTATTTCCCAAGGAAATACATATGAGGCTTCAGTAGAGAAAGCAAATACAGAGGAGAGTAGATAAACAAAGCAGGTCTAAAGTTTAAAGTGTGGTTGATAAAAAAGAACAAACCCTTTAAGCTTTCTGCCTTGTCAAACAATGATCACAAAGATCTTGACCCTCTTCATGGGTCTCTTGTTACTAGAACAGTTCTGTGAAATGCCTCATTAGTTCAAGAGGGTTGGAAACGGCATGCTACTACATTTGTATTACATTCCATGGAGCTACTCATTTTTATACTAAGCTTGATGGATTCATCTGAAAATGAAATTCATTTATTACATAAGAAAAATAAAGTTTTAGTGATATATTTATTTCATTGACCTGTTATTGAAATTTTCCCCTAAAATCATTGCATAATAAATATAGATAACAAATGCAACCAATCTCGCTCAAATATTGAAGCTATGACATTCTGAGGATTGACAAACAAATACAGTTTTAAATTATATATTCATATATCTTTAGGGTGATGAAAGGCTAGAAGTACATTTGAAAATGCATTGGAAAACGTGGGAAGTAATAATCTATTTTACAAATGTGTTTAAGATTGCTTTAATTATTTGTCTATGGTGTGTCTTTCATTTGACCCCAAAATAATGAAAAAAAAACAAACACTTCATTATAATGTAATTTAAAAATTGTATTAGTAGTCCGTGTGTCAATTTCACTGTGACCTCCAACAGACTTGCTGACCATATAAATATTCAAAATTCATGATGTTAGCTTAAGAAAGCTGAGTAGTATTTCAGGTTAATTGGCTTATTTACTTCCTTCCAAGGGGAAGGCACAATAACAGAGCATCACTGCACAAAAGGACATTGCAAATTTATAACAATTAGAATCACCCAGATCAGTGTAAAAGGCAAAATGCAATATATCAGACATGACAGATTAAAGTTAGTTAATAGAAAAAAAAAAAACTTCATCACTCTGTTGGGGTTTCAGGAAACTCAAAGAATGGCATTTTTGTTTTGTTCACCAGAGTATGATACTCGTTAAGGAAACAAAAAGGTATGGCAGGTGAAAATCTGTGTGACTGAGCAGGAACCCTGGGGAGTCATACCTGGAGATCTTAGGTCCCTTGATGTTGCCTGTGCTTTCCTTCTCCCATGCCACCATATCTTTTACACCATCAAAGTCTTACATGAACACACCCTGAGAAGTTTTGTGAGTCCATCCAATCATCAGACTCCATGTAACTGATGTATACAAAAAGGCCATGAGTGTCCTGCTTTGGCTGTACCTCAACATGGGTGAAAGGAATATAGTCGATGTCCCCTAGCTCTTTGCTCTTAAATGCCTGGGCTTAGCCTTCAAACCTGCAGTCAGTCAGAGGCATAATTGAGGAGAGCAATTAGGGTTATAATTGAGGTGATCAATTAGGGTTATCAACCCTATCAGTTAGGGTTGTCTATGAGGATAACCCTGCCCCCACCTTCATGAACCTTTCTTCGGCATCAATTTTGCTCCTTTCTGGATCCTCTTGGACCCCCTCGTGGATTGTGTAAATTTTACCTCCTAAAAGTTTTGAAATGTAAGTGCAGTATGAAATGTAAGTGCAGTATTTTTTAAATAGCATCAAAACTACTCTAACTAATCTTAAAATCAGTTTTTAAGTTATTTTCTGTGCCATTACAGCCCATCAGAGATTTTGCAATGAGATCTTATAATATACCAAATATATTTCAATAATAGAATTTTAACTATAAGATGCCCCACTTTGAAGATAATGTCTTACCCACCGTGAATTTTCTGGTAATACATTAAAGTTCTATGATTAAATTTCCTTGCACTTTAATAGTATGAAATTAATAAATATAAAAGGTAAAACAATTTTATTATCTAAAATCAAATTATTTTGTGCTTGAATGTTCAGTGAAATTAAATTCCAATCTTCATCTTTCTCAACCACTTTTCTTTTTTTCTTTTTCTTTTTTTTAGAAACGGAGTCTCGCTTTGTCACCCAGGCTGGAGTGCAGTGGTGTGATTTTGGCTCACTGCAACCTCCACCTCCTGAGTTCATGCCATTCTCCTGCCTCAGCCTCCCGAGTAGCTGGGACTACAGGCACCCGCCACCACACCCGGCTAATTTTTTGTATTTTTATTAGAGACGGGGTTTCACCGTGTTAGCCAGGATGGTCTCGACCTCCTGACCTTGTGATCCACCCGCCTTGGCCTCCCAAAGTGCTGGGATTACAGGCATGAGCCACCACGCCCAGCCCATTCTCAACCACTTTTCTATAGGGTGGCAGATAGGGGAGCTCTTGATAGTTAGCGAGAGTTAGTTTTTGCAAATATTTTCAGCTTTATCTCTCATCGATTGGCTCATAACACTTACTGTGAGGGAAAAATGGTGTGGTTGACATTCTGCCTTCTCAATGTAGAAATTAAAACACAACATGAGAGAAAGTTAAGAGTTTAATTCTGGAAAAAATAGTCATAGCAGATGTCTTTCAAGAGCCATGAAGATGGCTTATTTAAAAAGAGTTTTAATGCTTTAGCTACATTTAATCAAGTAGCAGGGACCAATGTTTAAGGTACCAGTGGCAGCTTTTTCTTATCCTGTGAGAAGGGAAAGGAATATAAAAGCAGGTAAATGATTATTAGGGATAATTTCTCTTTTTTTTGTAGACCACAGAAGTTGGAATGATGTATTTTTGTTCAAAAGTATTCCATAAATATTCAATTAGATATTTAAAGTGCAAACATGACTTTCTACGTCCAAGTTATTCACAATCTAGTAAGGGAAACAAACACACAAAAAGAGATGATTACAGTAGAAAGGAATTACACTGGGTACTCTGAGAGCCCAGAGGAAGGAATCTAATATAAGCTAGGTGGGTAATAGCATATTAATTTGAGATAGTTTTAAAGTAATGCACAGGTTTTGATAGGTGAAAATTTTTGGCAGGGACAAAGAATATTGCTGATTATTACTGTAAATCACAGGCAAAAACAAAGGCGCCAGGAAATGTGGATCTTTGGCAACACAGTAAGTGTTTTCTTAAATCTGGAATTCATAAGATGTAAATATGATCATATTCTTTAAACTTTGAATGTCAACCTAAGAAATTGGCAATGGTAACCCAGATTATGTTGGATAATTTTATGCATTATCTCCTTTAGTCATGCAGAAATCTTGAGGACAGATTCATTTCTTTTTATGTCATTCTTCACATCTTCAATAACACAATCTCTTTCCAAAATCACAGATTGCTAGTAGAAAACTTAAGGAAGATTTTGTTCGAAGACAAGGGAAAGATTAATTTAACCTCACATAAAACAAACAAACAACAACAACAAAAAAAACTGCTTGTGCAACTGTGATGTAGTTTGGCTGTGTCTCCACCCAAATCTCACTTTGAATTGTAATAATCCCCAGGTGTCAAGGATGGGGCTAGGTGGAGATAATTGAATCATGGGGGAGTTTTCCCCATGCTGTTCTCCTGGTAGTGAATAAGTCTCATGGGATCTAATGGTTTTATAAATGGGACTTCCCTTGCACAAACTCTCCCGTCTGCCACTATGTAAGACAGGCCTTTGCTCCTCCTTTCTTCTTCTGCCATGATTGTGATGACTCCCCAGCCATGTGGAACTGTGAGTCTATTAAACCTCTTTCCTTTGTAAATTACCCAGTCTCTGATATGTCCTTATAGCAGTATGAGAATTAACTAATACATACTGCTATCCCGTAGGTATTTTTATGCAAACTAAAAATTATTTCTTCAAGGTGGATATAACCTCACAGGTATACATAAATTGGCGAGTTGGTGATGCCACTGTTCAATTTATAATGGCATCATTTGACATTAGTAGCCCTGCAGACTCATGATTTGGCAAGAATAGCAAAGCTTGTGTGTCTGCCCTTACTCTCTCCGAGCTAATTGAGAAAACTTCTCAATCAGATTCAGCTGCTCTTCAAACTACCTATTGGATATTTTTCATATAGTAGGCTTCCTACACTAAAGTCAGTATCTCTCATGTCCTGTCTTTCTTTGATAAAACACTCCACAATTTTATTATGGGAGTAATGTGTCCATGTATATGTGCAGGTGTATGTGTATTGTGTATGTGTGTGTCTGTCAGAGTCCAGCTTAAACATTGTTGGTAGATGTAATAGACATTGGACAAATAATGGGTTTATTTGTGTTTTTTTTTGATAAACATCAATCTAGGATTTAAAAAAGATTAAGTTTATAAAATAGAATTGGGAAGTTGATTCTATGTTTTAGAACTTTCCCCTTTCCCTACAACTAACACATTTCATGAAGTGAAAAGATTAAATGTAAGCACTTAATGACATAATAATTATAATTATATTAAATATAATAAAAGTTATAGAAAGTGGCTCATACATACATGACTAACTCTCAACAAATGCCAGTTCTATTTCCCCACTTTTCTCCTGATTCTGGACCATTAGAAAGGAAGCTTTTCAACTCTGAAATTCCAGTTGGGTTTTACTATCGAGTTTGTGGCTTTTGAAATTGTTAAGGTTTATTTTTTCTGTCTCATTTTCAAAATAGATTTGAAAAGTATGAGAAAAAGAACTAGTCCTGCCATAATTTGAGAAAAGGGCCTGAAGAGCACAGTTTTCTAAAATTTCTTTGTGCTCTTCAGAATTCAATAAGTTAACATATTTGTTCTTGGTGCTATCACTAGATTTTTAGTTTTACTTTTCAATTTTATGCTGCAGTATTTTTGAAAGGAAGTATGTAGCTTAAGCTTTATAAATATTTAACTGCTGCTATAAAGAGTTGAATTCTGGAGGCAGGTGGAAAGAAGAAATTGTAATTGGGGGGGAAAGACAAAACATTAGAATAAACCTCAAACAGTGCCTGGAGGAGTTAGCAGGAAAATATGTGGATTGGTAAAATTATCTCATTTAGGAGCTGATACCAAAGCATACCAAAGTTGAAAGAGTACAAGAAAATTCTTGCTAGGTTCCACTGAAATAATGTATTTATAGGTCTAGTATAATCAAATCCCCTTTTACAAATTTGAGCCTGGCATTGGGATCTTACAGTAGATAGAGTTAGACATCTAAATCGTAGGTATGATGTTAATAGCCAACAGTTGGATTATCTCACACAGTCATCCCTCTGAGGTAGCTCTTACTATTATCCACCTTTTATGTGTGAAAGGATGGCCATTTATAGACGGAAAGTGATATACCAACTTTACAAATTAACAGTAGACAGAGCCAAGACTCTAACCCAAGTGTATCCTGCCCGAAAGCCTAGGATTCCAACCACAAATAAACCTACACATTTATTATCCCTGGGTACAGTTGACAGACCTAATGTGGTCCCCATGATTCCTGCCCCCTGGTGTTCATACCTACAATAGTCCTCCAGATGAGAATGCAGAGCCCCATGACATTGATCACATTCTTGTGAAACCCTGAGCAGAGAAAGTACCTAAGCTGTGCTCACATTCCTGCCACAGAATCTGTGAGATAATAACTTTTTATGCTGATAAGGTCCTAGTAATTTGTTATGCAGCAATATAAGGTAAATATAAAATGATTATATCTATTACATTCATGATGTGAACACTTAAGATAATTTTTTATTTGGATAGATAATTTTTTATAATCTCCTTTAAAAGATAATTTAAAGAGCTAACATGAGGGAAATGGAAGAATAGACAGAGCATAGACAGGGATTTTAGGGAAATGAAACTATTTTGTGTGATACTATACTGGTGGATACTTGTCATTAAACATTTCTTAAAACCCATAGAATATACCACACCAAGAGTGAACCCTAGTGTAAACGATAGACTTTGCGTAATAAGAGATTGTCAACGCTCATATAGTAGATAGTAACAAATGTCCCCACTCTGGTGGAGGACGTTCACAGTGGAGGAGACTGCATCTATGGGAAGTCAGGGACTATATGGGAAATGTTTATGTCTTCCTCTCAATATTGCTATGGACCTAGAACAGCTCTAAAAAATAAAGTCTATTTAAAACAAAGCAAAAATGGTAAAATTGACTACTTATCCATCATTTATAGCTAATAATCTTTATGTACATTATGACCAGGAAACTAACTGGACTTAGGTTTGATTTAGAAGGCAGCAGTGATACATAACACAGACTTCTGCAGTTGTGCGGGTGAGAAGCATGTTCTGACAAGCATGAGTGTTTGAGCCATAGTGGACCCCACAATCTGCTGCCTAGTTTCCAACCTCTTGGGTGAGAGATGCTAATAAGGGTAACATCTGTCTCATGACCACTGGATTACAGCTGCAATTATGTGACTTGAAACTCAAAGTGCAGAGGCTTATTCTCTATTCTGCCAATGATTTTGTAAGAACTCCGTTACTTGTAGTAAATCTATTTCTGATTGTGATACTCTGAACAACTATGTGTCCCTCACTGAGCAGTTGTTGATACACCGGTGTAAGAAACATTAAACAAAACACCATTGCATAAGTAATTTTCAAACTGTAGAAGATGCATCAATGCCCGGACTTACTAAGCCACATATCTATAGAGTAGGTTCTACTGGTAAGTGACACATAAGTTCTTGGTGTCACTGATCTGACTCATATTTTCAATGAACTTTTGTTTTAGAACAGTTGTGGAATTACAGATCAATGAAGAAATGAGTGTAGAGAGTTCTCATAGATTCCACAATCATTTCTCCTATCATTAGTATTTGATGTATGCCATGTCTTATAACTAGTGAATTAATATTGATAAGTTATTACCTAATATCCAAATTGTATTCAGAATTCATTAGTTTCTGCCTAATGTCATTTTTCTGTTCTAACATCCTATGTAGGAGACACATTACATTTAGTTGTCATATCTTTTGTTGTTGTTTGTTTGCTGCCTAGTTTCCCACTTCCAACTTATTTGTAGAGATGAAAACTTTTTTCATTCACTTATCACCCACACAACTGCAGAAGGCTGTGTTACATATCACTGCTACCTTCTAAATCAAACCTGAGTGCAGTTTCCTGGTCATAATGTACATAAAGACTATTAGCTATCAGTGTGGGGTAAATAGTCAATTTTATCTTTTTTGATAAGTTGCCCAGGCTGTTCTCAAACTCCTGGCCTCAAGCAATCCTCCCACTTAGGCCTCCCAAAGTGCTGATATTACAGGAGTAAGCCACCATACCTAGCCCCTAGTTGCAATGTCTTAAGCTCCTCTTGGCCATGAGAGTTTCTTAGTCTTTATTTGTACTAATGTCCTTGACAATTTTGAGGTGTACTGACCAGGTATTTGGTGGACTGTTCCTCAACTGGGGTTTTGTTTATTTTTTTCATGATTAGACTCAGGGCATGTTTTTTTGGGGGAGCAGGATCAAAGAGGTAACGTGTCACTCTTATATGCTATCAGGAGTACATACTATCAACATGACTTATCATTATTGAAGTTAACCTTGATCATATGGCTGAAGTAGTGTTTTTCAGATGCATCTATTAAAAGTTGGTTTTACTCCTTGTCATGTACTGTACTCTTTGGAAGTAAGTGATTAAGAGCACTCCAGAGACTTAAGAAGTAAAGAATTATGCTTTACCTCCTTGAGGTCATAGTAGCTGCATAAATTATTTAGAATTCTGCTACCTTTCTATTATTAATTCTTTGATTCTGTTGTGGCTTAAGAACATACTTTGTATAGTTTCTATTATTTGCAATTTACTAAGGTACGTTTTATGGTCTTGAAGGTAGTCTAACGTGACGAATGTTCCATGTAAGCATGAGAAGAATGTGCATTCTGTGGTGTTAGACATCGTGTTATATAAATGTCAATTAGATTAGGTTAATTTACAATTCTGTTCATGTCACCTATATATGTATTTTTTTTACCTGCTTTACTTATCAATCACTTAAGGAGAGCTACTGAAGTCTGCAAATAAAAGTGGATTTCTTTGCTTCTTACTTCTATTCATCTGTGTTTACCTCTTATATTTGGATGTTCTGCTGTTATGTGTATACAATGTTAGAATTGCTATGTCTTTAAGTATGATTCTTTTATAATTATGCAATATCCCTCTTTATTTTTGATTACTTCCTTTGTTCTGAACTCTGTTTTGTAACTGTTTTCTGTTAGTTGCATTTGCTTTTTATTTCTGCCCCCTCCTGCCTGTTCTAATTTTAATTGAGCACTTTATGATTCTATTTTATCTATTTATCTTATCTTTTACCATATTATTATATATATCATTATCTATATGCATGATTATGCTTGCTCTAATATGCTTGCTCTAAATCCTGAAATATTTATTTCCAACTAATTTGAGGCCATCCTCAAGTAACACTTTACTGTTTCATGGGTAGTAGAGTACCTTAAACAGAGTATTCCAAATTTCTCCCTTCTGTTCCTTAAACTGTGATTCATGCACTTAAAATGTACAGTTAGTAGATTCTTCCAAATGAATTCTCATAGGATTCCCAATATCAGTGGCAGAAAATCCTTGGATTAGAAGCCAAGAAGTGCTCTGTGCAGCCGTGACCAGGTGCTATCAAGTCACTCCTACACATACCTGATTGCTGCCACAACGCAAGGAAAAAAGTAGGCAGCAAGGATGTAAGATAGGATTCAAGAGCTGTGCACGATGGCTCTGGAATCAGACTGATATAATTTGCCAGTTTTACTGTTTTTAGCTAGATAGTATTTGAAAACCTTGCTTAAAACTTCTGAACTAAAGGTTCCACCTTCATAACATGAGGATAATAATAAGACATAATTCCTAGATTCCTTGAAGAGATAAAAGTGTACACACGCGCACACACACACACAGTTCTTTATGTATTGAATGCCAAATAGTTTTGCTGTTCATTTTTTTTTACAATAAAACAATGAATAAAATTAATCAAAATCTAGATTAAACAACAAAACAAAGACAAATTATTGAATGGAATTTTTAGAATATTATCAACATGTGTGTGGGAAGATTGGTGAAAGTGCTTTGAGGAACGCAACCCTTACTAAATTCCTCATATTAAATGGCTTGTATGCAAATGATGCTAATTCTTTCCCAACTCTGAAAACTAGGTAAATAAGCTTTAATGATGCTTTGGAAATACTGTGAATTAACTATTAATTGAATTAGACATAGGTTCTATACTTTTAAAAGCACTGGAGAAAATAAAAGCTAGGAAGTCAGAACCCATGGAGAAATCTGCAAGTATTAAAAAAGGCAAGATGATCAGAGTAACACTAAATTAATCACTTATAATAATAAATGTAAATGTGATATAAACCACTTTTTGCAAATGAGGAAATTTAGTTGTAGCAAATGTAGTACTTTCCCCAATGTTATAAAATTAGTTGTCACATGTGTTTTGTGTGTGTATGTACATATGCACATATACTTCACAAATGAGTGTGGGTATATATCACATTTTCCCCAAAGGATTTGAAGAGTTATGCATGACAAGTTAAACTATGAAATTTAGTTTGCTTAGTTATTGAATGCTGAAAACTGTCAAACACAAATATGTGGAAAAATTATCTTCTCTCCATTGTGTCAGTATATTTTATGTACACTATATGTTTGTTTGAGGTATTTCTCTTTGGAAAAAACACATAGCATCATGGTCTTTAGAATTTCAGGATGTAATTTGATGAGGAAGAAACATCATTTTATTATATTATATAAAAGCTTTATGAACAGGTTGATATCACTGGTTTGATAACATTTATTGAAATTATAAAGCATAAAAGCATAAAGCAAAGTCATAAGGTTTATCTCTTACCCTTGGTAGCAGATACTCTCCAGATACTTACTGAACTAAAGAGAATACTACATCAAAAGTCTTACATAGTTTGATATTTTAAATCCAAAAATATTAGATTGAAAGTCCATGAAACACTAAGTCAAAGAATAATGAAAATGGAAAAAAATGCCACTGGCGATTGGTATGGACTGAATTGTGTCTCTCCTGGTTCATATGTTGAAGCCCTAATTCTCAGTGTGACTGTATTTAGATAGGGCCTTTTACGGGGTAATTTAAATTCTATAAAGTCATAAGAGCATGTCCCTAATACAATAGAACTGGTGCCCTTATATGGTAACGAACAGACACTAGAGATTACTTTCTCTTTATGTATGCACAGAGGAAAGGCTAGGTGAGGACGGAGGAGGAAGTCAGCTGTCTACAAGCCAAAAGAGAGGCTACACCAGAAACCAATCTTACTGGCACCTTGATCATGGACTTCCACCCTGCAGACACATGAGAAGATAAATTTCCATTGTTCAAGCCCCTCAGTCTGTGATAGTTTGTAATGGCAGTGCTAGCTTACCGATGTAGGAATAAAAATTAGACTATTCCGGAGAAGATGTGAACAGATGTGGAAGATACTCCGCGGAAAAATTTACAAACATAAAACCCAACCCTTAAGTTGGCAAATAACATATTATTAAAGGGAAGAAAATATCTTAAAAAATGGAAAGATTAACTTGAGTTTCAGGAATATGTCAATTAAGTCTTAGCATGAAAGCTTTTAATTAGATCTCTAATGTACATCAGTATAGCCAGAGGATATAACAAGAAACATGCCTAACTCCCAGAAGTGAAGACACTTAAAACTCAATGGATTAAATTTTTGTAAATTGCTATGTACACCCTAGCTTGTGAAATATCTAAATGAGCATCTCTGCTACAAACAGTATGTTTGTGTGTATCTGTATATGTAAGTATATATGTTCTATACTTTTATACCCAGTAAAATTTTTAAGTTTACAATGCATTTTAACAGAACACAAATATACCTTTTATCTTTCATGTAATCTTGTTATACATTATATTTGTACATATTAATGAGGTACATGTGAAATTTTGTTACATGCATAGAATGTGTAGTGATCAAGTCAGGGTATTTAGAGTAGAGTAATAAGTACACACTGGAACTTATTCCTTCTATCTAGCTGTATGTATATACCAATTACCCAACGTCTATTTATTCCCCTGCCCCATATACTCCTCCCAGTCTCTGGTGTCTATACTTCCACTCTCTACAACCATGGGATTAACTTTTTTAGCTCTGACATTTGAGTGAGAGCATGTAATACTTATCTTTCTGTGTCTGGCTTATTTCACTTGACATAAAAACCTCCAATTCCATCCATGTTGCTGCAAATGACATAATTTTATTCTTTTTTATAGTAAAAAAATTCCATTGTATGTATATACCAAATTTTCTGTATCAGTTCATCTGTTGATGAACATTTAGATTGACTTCATATCTTTGCTATTGTAAATAATGCTGCAATAGTCCAGGCCCAGTGGCTCATGCCTATAATCCCAGCATTCTCGGGGGCCTAGGCGAACAGACAGCTTTGAGCTCAGGAGTTTGAGACCAGCCTAGGCGAAATGGTGAAACCCTGTCTCTACAAAAATACAAAAATTAGCCAGGCATTGGTGGCTCGTACCTGTAGTCTCAGCTATTCAGGAGGCTGAGAATCCCCTCGAGCCCAGGAAAGTGGAAGTTGCAGTGTGCTGAAATCGCACCACTGCATTCCAGCCTGGGCAACAGTGTGAGGCCCTGTCTCAAAAAAATAAAAAATAAATAAAAATAATGCTGCAATGAACATGGGAATACATATATCTCTTTGATATAATGATTTGTTTTCCTTTGGATAATTATCCAGTAGTGGGATTGTTGGATCATATGGTAGTTCAATTTTTAGTTTTTTGAGAAATCTTGCTGTTTTCCGTGGTGACTGTGCTAATAATTTACGTGGCCGCCAACAGTGTTTGAGTTTTGTCTTCTCCATATCCTCACATACGTCTGTTATTTTTTGTCTTTTTAATTGTAGCCATTCTAAATGGGGTAAGATGATATTGTGGTTTTGATTTGCCTTTGCTTGATGATTAGTGATGCTGAGCATTTCTTCACATACCCATTGCCCACATATATGTCTTCTTTTCAGAAATGGCCACCCATGTCTTTTGCCTATTTTTCAGTAAGATTTTATTTTTTTCTTTTTTAGTTCCTTGTAAGACTTCGTACTGGATATTAGTCCCCTGTTGGATGGGAGGGGTTTGCAAATATTTCTCCCGCTCAAGAGATTGTCTCTTCACTCTGTTGACTCTTTCTTTTGCTGTGCGGAGCTTTGTAGTTTAATATAGTCCCACTTTTCAATTTTCGTTTTTGTTGCCTTTGCTTTTGAGTTCTTAACCATAAAATCTTTGCCTAGACATATGTCCTGAAAAATATTCCCTATAATTTCTTCTATAGTTTTATAGTTTTGGGTCTTACATTTAGGTCTTTAATCTACCTTGAGTTGATTTTTGTATATGGTAACAGATGGGGGTCCAATTTCATTCTTCTGCATATGGTTAGCCAGTTTTCCCAGAATGATTTATTGAAGAGAATATCCTTTCCTCAGTGTATGTTCTTTGCAATTTTCTCAAAGATCAGTTGGCAGTAGATATGTGGATTAATTTCTGGGTTCTCTATTTTCTTACATTGGTCTATGTGTCTATTTTTATGCTAGTACCATGATACATATTTGGATACTACAGCTTTGTAGTATATTTTGAAGTCAGGTATTGTAATGCTTCTAGCTTTGTTCTATTTTCTCAGGATTGCATTGGCTATTCAGGCTTTTTTGTTTGTTGGTTTCATACAAATTTTAGAATTATTTGTTCTATTTATTTGAAAAATGGCATTGATATTTTGATAGGGATTGTACTCTATCTGTAGATTTCTTTGGACAATATGGTAATTTTAATGATTTTAATTTTTCTGATCCACAGTGCTTTGTAATTTTCTCTATAGAGACATTTAATTTACTTGGTTAAATTTATTTTTATTATATGTGTCTATTGTAAATAGGTTTTTCTTTTTGATTTTTTTTAGCCATTTCATTATAGGTATATAGAAACACTACTAATTTTCATATGTTGATTTTGTATCCCAAAACTTTACTGAATTTGTTTGATAAATGAGCATGTGATGTCTATCCATTTGTTTATGCCATCTTGATTTCTTTCATCAGTATTTTGTAGCTTTCTTTGTAGAGATATTTAATTTCATTGGTTTAATTTATGTTTATTATATATATCTATTGTAAATAGGTTTTTAAATTCTATATTTGGCTATTTCATTGCAGGTTTATAGAAACACTACTGATTTTCATTTGTTGGTTTTGTATCCTGAAACTTTACTGAGTTTGTCAGTTCTAAACAATTTTTGAAAAAAATATTTTTGTTTGTCCAAATATAAGATCATGTCATCTGTAAAGAAGAAAAATTCGACTTTGTCTTTTCCAATATCTATTTCTCTTGTCTGACTGCTCTTGCTAGGACTTCCAGTATTATGTTGAATAACACTGGTAAAAATGAGCTTTCTTATCTTATTTCCATTCTTAAAGGAAAGGCTTCCAAATTTTTCCCATTTAGTATATTACCTGTCAGTTTGTCACGTACAATCTTTATTACTTTGAGGTGTATTGCTTCTATGTTTAGTTTGTTGACAGTTTTTAACATGAAGTGATGTTGAATTTTATCAAATGCTTTTTCTTCATGTATTTAGATGATCATTTGGCTTTTGTACTTCATTTGGTTGATGTGATGTATCATGTTTATTGATTTCATATGACAAATCTTCCTTTTATCCCTGGGATAAATCCCACTTAATCATGATGTATTATCTTTGTGACATGATGTTGTATTTAGTTTGATAGTACTCCCTTGAGGATTTTTGGATATATGTTTATTAGCAATATTGGTGCCTGTCACTCTTTTCTTTCTTTTGTTATGTCCTTGTCTAATTTAGGTATCAGAGTAATCCTGGCTCACAGAAAAAATTAGGGAGAATTTCCTTCACTTTAATTTTTTGAAACAGTTTCAGGATGATTTGTATCATTTCTTCTCTGTATATTTGATAGAATTTAGCTGTGAATCCATCCTGTCCTGGGCTTTTATATTGTTGGGAGACTTTTTTTTTTAACTGATGCAATCTTGCTGTCCATTATTGATCTGTTCAGGTTTTCTATTTCTTCCTGATTCAGTATTGGTAAGTTGTATGTTGACAGAAATTAATCCATTTCCTTTAGGTTTTCTAGTTTGTTAGCATGGAGTGTTGTTCACTGTAGTCTCTGTTGATCTTGATCCTTTTAATTTCTGCGGTATGAATTGTAAGGTCTCCCTTTTTATTTCCGAGTTTCTTTTTTGGTCTTCTCTCTTCTTTTCTTGTTAGTCTAGCTAATGGTTTATCAGTTTAATCTTTTTAAAGAACCATCCTTTTGTTTCATTGATCCTTTCTATTGTTTTTCTAGTCATAATATAATTTAGTTCTACTATACAATTTATTATTTATTTTCTTCTGCTAACTTTGAGTTTGGTTTGTTCTTACTTTTCTAATTCCTTGAAGTGCATCACTAGATTATTTGAAACCTTTCTACTTTTTGATATAGATATTTGTTGTTATAAACTTCCCTGTTAGCACTGCTTTTGCAGTATCTGACAGGTTTTATTATGTTGTATTTTTATTTTAATTTGTTTCAAGAAATGTTTTGATTTCCATCTTAATTTCTTCATTGGCCTAGTGGTTGTTCTGTAGTATGTTGTTTATTTTACATATATTTATATAGTTTCCAAAGTTTCTCTTGGTATGATTCCTAGTTTTATTCCATTGTAACATGAAATGATAGTTGATGTGCTTTGAATTTTTAAAATTTGTGGAGACTTGTTTTATGGCCTAACATGTGGTCTATTTTGGAGAAAATTTCATTTCCTGAGAAAAAAATATGTATTCTGTCATTGATAGATAAAGTATTCTATAAATTTCTGTTAAAGTCTAAGGCCCATCTTACATCTAACATTTTGTTGTTGATTTTCTGTCTAGATGATCTAATACTGAGTGGTATGTTGAAGTCCCCCACTATTATATTGGAGTCTCTCTCTCTTTTTATATCTAGTAATGTTTGCTTTATGAATCTGGGTGCTCTAATTATATATACACACATATATTATATATAAGTATATATAACATATACTTATATATATGACATATATATATATAACATATACTTATATATAATACATGTGTGTATATATAATTGTACTATCCTCTGGTTGTATTGGGCCCTTTATCATTACATAATGATCTTCCTTGTCTTTGTTTTACTGTTTCTGACTTAAAGTATCTTTTTTTTTTTTTAATCTAAGTGTGGCTACTCTGCTTGGTTTTGCTCTCCATTTGCATGAAATATCTTGTTCTATCCATTTACTTTCAGTCTACATGTGTTTTACAGGTAAAGTGTGTTTCTTACAGGCAGCATGTAATTGGATCATTTTTATAAAATTCCATCCAGCCAGTCTATGTCTTTTAAGTAAAGAATTTAATCCATTATGTTCAAGGTTAATATTGATATGTGAAGTTTTGTTCCTGTTATATTGTTAATTGTTTTCTGGCTTTTTTGTATATTATTTGCTCCTTTCTTTTTCTCTTGTTTGTCATGGTGGTTTTGGTGTTTTTTTCTTTCTTTTGTCATGGTATCATTTGTTTCCCTTTCTCCTTTGTGTGATTGCATTACCAATGAGTTGTATACTTTTGCGTGTTTTCATGATAAGAAATGTTGTCCTTTGGCTTCCAAGTGTAGGACTCCCTTTAACAGATCTGGTAGATCTAGTTTAGTGGTCATGAATCCCTCAGCTTTTGGTTGTCTGGGAAAGACTATTTCTCCTTCATTTATGAAGGATAATTTTGGTTAGGCATAGTATTCTTGACTAAAGGCTTTTTTTTTTCTTTCAGCCTGTGAATATATCATTCAATTTTCTCCTGGCCTATAAGGTATTTTCTGACAAATACACTGTGATTCTTTTGGGGGTTTATTTATAGGTGGCTAGACAGTTTTCTCTTGCTCTTTTTAGAATTCTCTCTTTGTCCAACAATGATAGACTGGATTAAGAAAATGTGGCACATATACACCATGAAATACTATGCAGCCATAAAAAAGGATGAGTTCATGTCCTTTGTAGGGACATGGATGAAATTGGGAATCATCATTCTCAGTAAACTATCGCAAGGACAAAAACCAAACACCGCGTGTTCTCACTCATAGATGGGAATTGAACAATGAGAACACGTGGACACAGGAAGGGGAACATCGCACTCTGGGGACTGTTGTGGGGTGAGGGGAGGGGGGAGGGATAGCATTAGGAGATATACCTAATGCTAAATGACGAGTTAATGGGTGCAGCACACCAGCATGGCACATGTATACATATGTAACTAACCTGCACATTGTGCACATGTACCCTAAAACTTAAAGTATAATAATAATAATAAATAAGTAAATAAAAAATAAAAAAAAGAATTCTCTCTTTGTCCTTGCATTTAGATACTTTAACTATAATATTCCACGGAAAAAACCTTTGTACAATGTATCTGTTTGGATATTTCTGCACCTCCTGTATAGGACGTACACATATCTTGCTATATTTGGAAAGTTTTTATCTGTTCTTTCATCAAATAAGTTTTCTAAAACACTTGTTCTCTTCTTGTCTTCCGGAGCAATAACAACTCACAAATTGTTTTATGTTGTCCCATATGTTATGAAAACTTTCCTAATTTATTTCTTTTTCTTTTTCTGACTGGGTTATTTTAAAAGCTCTTTCTTTAAGTATGAGTCTTTCTTCTTGTTGATCTAGTTTACTGTTGAAACTTTCAAATGTATTTTGTATTTCATTCAGTGAATTCTTTAGTTCTAAAATTTTGTTTCTTTCTTAGAATTTCAATATCTTTGGTAATTTTCTGCTCATATCCTAAATTATTTTTCTAAATTTCTGTATTTTTTTAGAATTATCTTGTATCTCACTGGTTTATCAACATTCTGAATCTTTAATTGGAATTTTGTGAATTTTTTATTGGGTTCTGTTTGCTGGAGAATTATTGTGCTATTTCAATGCTTTTTAAATATTCCTCATGTCTTTACATTGATATCTGCAGATGTAATGTTACAGATCCTTATTTCAATTTCCTGAATTTGCTTTCCTAGGGGAGTAATTTTTCCTGAAGTTGTCTCCATGCTGTTAGTTGGGTAGGGAACTTTGGCTTTGATTCCGGGTGCCTGTAGTAATGTAGTCTCTGTTTTATTTGTTTTGCTGTAAGCAGTGTTAGTGGTTCTGAGATTTCCTCAGTGACTTAGGATGCAGTGTTAGTGGGTGCTGTGGTGAAGCTTTGATGCGGACTGCGTCACCAGATTGGCCAGCTTTTGGGCACCAGTGGTGATAACAATGGGCTACCTTGGGCTCCAGGGCAGTGTACACTGGCACTGGTGTTAGAGCATCTGGGTAGGCCAATCTTGTGCATCCAGGTGGCTTTCTTTGGTGAGCAGGGGCCAGGTGGATGTGCAGGTTCTCAAGTTGCTGGCCAGCGTGTATGGCATAGGCAATAAGTGTAGCTGTGGTGGGACAACCTTCTAGAAACCAAATGGACTGCACTGTTGTTTACAGTGGCTGTGATCGGTTTAATGGACTAGTTCTAAGACATGCAGGTGGCACGTGCTGTTGGATGTTAGGGGAAGGTTGAATGGGCCCACTTGAACTGAGAACCTGGGAGCGGTGTTGAAGTATCGCTGGTGGTGGACTGGGTTGAACAATCCCTAGGCTTCTGGATAGTGTTGTCCTGTAATGGGTGGGTGGAGCCAGTTCAGGCTGTCCCCTTTGATGCATAGGTGGTTTGTATAGTGGCTGGCTGTGGTACGTAGGTGTGGGATGAGCCCCAGGCCACCAGCAGAATTCTCAGGAGGAGGAAGCAACAGCTCTGCTGTGGCCCTGATACTGGGGTGGGCAAGATTTTTGTCCTTGGGAGCACTTGTATGCAGGCTGCTAGACAGTGCAGTCATTGCTTATGTCTCAGCCTGGTGGTTGTACACAGCCAAGGTGGTTGTGGGCAGTGGAACTTGGAGTGCATGAATATGGACGCTCACCCCTCTGCAGGAGTTGGTGGGACTGCTGGCTATAGCTAACTTTGCCTTAGTTGTGGAACAGGATACAGTCCACTGTGGGCTGTACTCCTAAAATTGTGCTGTGCTGCCACTGCTTAGGACTTAGTGGTTGGTGGAACCCAACATGAGCACTCACTCTCTAACAAACAATGCATTCGCACAGTCTCCAGGAACCTCCCTGTTATTCTTGGAGCCCATGAAGTTTAAGGGGCTCTTCTGCAGCTGGGATTGCATAAGTTCTTGGTGGGAGCAGTGGACTGCTCTGTCTCCTACTTACCATTTCCACACATTAAGGAGTCTCTCCTAGCTTCCAGCCAATCCCAGAATAGCAGGCTGCCTTGCTTGCTTCTTCTTTGCTTTAGGGGTTTCTTGTCACTTCTCTGTGGAATTCCAGTTTTTTCTCTTGGATGGTCTATTCAAAGTGTGATCATCTACTCACTATTTTTGTTCTTCTTAGTAGAGAAAATAAGTAGAGAAAACGCCTCTAATCAGCCATCTTTAATGTCCTCCCTGTTTTATGTAATGATTCTATAAATTAATCTACAGAAAAAATTAGTATTTCAGAATATTAAGATATTTCTTAACAATTGGAAAAACTAATTTATTTTACATGATACTAAGAGGGTCAAATTATTTATTTGGGAATTTTCAAGCTAATCAAATCACAGCTGTCTTATTATCAGCACTACACATGAATTGAATGTTTCAGAATGTAAATCAAGAGTGTATGTGAAAGCTAGATTTCAGCATCGTATTTTGTATTTAATGTATATGTCCCTAGGGAATTAGTTCTAATAATTTATTTGTCCACTGGAAATAAAGAGATATATTATGTCTTAATTTAATTAATTAGAAGAGTTCTTATTAAAGTAGGCTGTGGGAGCAAGGAGGGTATCTCGCATATCCACATGCAGAAATCTGCATGGTGCTGTGCTTGCTATTGAATCATAATATTTGTGATGGTTAAGACTGAGTGTCAACTTGACTTGATTGAAGGGTACAAAGTTTTGATCCTGGGTTTGTCTGTGAGGGTGTTACCAAAGGAGATTAACATTTGAGTCAGTTGCCTGGGAAAGGCAGACCCACCCTTAATCTGAGCGGTTGCAATCTAATCAGCTGCTAGTGTGGCTAGAATATAAGCAGACAGAGAAATGTAAAAAGAGAGACTGGCCTAGCCTCCCAGCCTACATCTTTCTCTCGTGTTGGTGGATGCTTCCTGCCCTCATTGGATTCCAAGTTCTTCAGCTTTGGAACTTGGACTGGTTCTCTTTGGTCTTTAGCCTGTAGACGGCCTGTTATGGGACCTTGTGATCATGTGAGTTAATAATAAACTCCCTTATATACATATAGAGGAGTTTTATATATATTAAATTATAATAACATAATATTATATTAAATATAATAATGTATTATATATTATATTAAATATAATAATTAATATTAAATTAATCATAATATAATAATCAATAACTATATATTGAAATATAATTTTACATATATTAAATTATTAAAACTGTTAAATAATAATTTAGGGTTCTCTAGAGGGACAGGACTAATAGAAGACATGTATATATGAAGGGGAGTTTATTAAGGAGTATTGACTCACACAATCATAAGGTGAAGTCTCCTAATAGGCCGTCTGCAAGCTGAGGAGCAAGGAAGTCTGTCTGAGTCTCAAAACCTCAAAAGCAGGAAAACCAACAGTGCAAACTTCAGTCTGTGGCTGAAGGCTCAAAAGCCCCTGGCAACCCACTGGTGTAGGTCCAAGAGTCCAAAAGCTGAAGAACTTTGAGTTCTGGACACTTAGACCAAAGAGGGAGGAAGCTGAGAACCTTGCACAAACTTGCAAGCTCCTAAGGCAGGAGTGAGTGAAGCGACTGTGGACAACCTGGTCTTACCGTGGATGCCTGGGATTCTAGCTACAAGAGATACCATCATCTCCATAGACATTTGAATTGGCAGGGCTATCTGCCTGGAGAGAGGCAGAGACAGAGATCAAATGTAGGGAGATCCAAGAGATTTTTCACGTGGACCAGTTGCACCAAAATTGGGTCATAAGTGCTCATCTCCCAAGGCACTCCATTTTCCTCTGAGAGGTGCTAACCCCTGCTTCCTACTGGGCAAGAGAAAGCACGGGTGTCTTTCCTGTGCAATCAGAGTGCATCTAATCTATGCACTCCCCGGGCCACCAGCCCTTCCCAAGGCCGCTGCCTGGCCACTTTTACAAGAGTATGCACACAGCACAGCCTCCACTGCCCAGCCTATGTGTTGTATTGGTGGCACTGACTGAGTGCTTTGCTGAAGACCTGGAAGCACTTTGGCCCCCCCAGCATAGCTGATGCTCAACACCAGGAGATAATAAAACAAAGCAGCAGGCCTGGTCCCAACCTCTTCAGGGTTAGAGCCCACAGCTCAGGAGTACTAAGCTGAGATCTGTGGCTGGCACTCTAGTGAAGGAAGAACCCCCACTCTCAGAACACTACAAAGACTGAGACACAGGTTCATGGACAGGCCTGGGAGCTGAGTGCCTCTATGCACAGTGACCATCCAAGATGAATGTGCCCTGTCTTTCAGTTGCAGCCTTCTTCCTAGGGAGCCCCATGGCCCAGAACACCTAATAGCTCAGTGGTCTGGGAACAGAAGGTTTAGCACCAAACTAGATGGTGGAGCCAGCTACTAAGAGAGCAACGGGAAGGAATCCTGGTTGAGGAAGAGTAAACTGGGCAATCCCCACAGATATCTGCTGGGCAAAATACCCTAGACTATGGGCTCCACAGCTTCTACACACCAATTGCAATGCCACCCTGGCTGAATATCCTTTGCCCTTGAACTCCTGCAATATCAGACCACCTGCAGACATACTTCACAACCCAGTCTGGCTCTGCTAAGGACAAAGGACTAGTGTGCCTTCAGAGTGCTGTGGATCTCTTGGTAACCTAACTTTCAGCTCAGATCACCTCCAAGACAGCAAGGGGTGCAGCCCATTAGGATCCCCCTTGGTGTTAAGGAAACATGGATGTGACACCAGTGATTGGAGGGGACAGAAATCTAACAAATAAATTTTACAATTAAATTCAACAGTTGATCAATTGTACTTAAGAGACATCTACATAAAAAAAAAAGACAGCTACAGAATGCTCCACCCAACAACCAGAAAATACACATTCTTCTCACCTTCACACAGAAAGAACATATGTGATTGTTAATATTGAGTGTCAACTTGATTGGATTGAAGGGTGCAAAGTGTTGTTCCTGGGTGTGTCTGTGAGAGTGTTGCCAAAGGAGATTAACACCTGAGTCAGTGGACTGGGAGAGGCAGACCCACCTTCAATCTGGGTGGGCACCAGCTAATCAGAAGCCAGCACAGCTAGGATAAAACGAGGCAGAGGAAGGTGGAAAGACTAGCCTGGCTAAGTCTTCTGGTGTCAATCTTTCTCCTGTACTGGATGCTTTCTGCCCTCAAACATTGGACTCAAAGTTCTTCAGCTTTTGGACTCTTGGACCTACACCAATTGGATTGCCAGGGGTTTTTGGGCCTTCAGCCACAGACTGAAGTTTGCACTGTTGGCTTTCCTGCTTTTGAAGTTTTGAGACTCAGACAGACTTCCTTGCTCCTCAGCTTGCAGACGGCCTATTAGGAGACTTCACCTTATGATTGTGTGAGTCAACACTCCTTAATAAACTCCCTTTCAAATATACATGTATCCTATTAGTGCTGTCCCTCTACAGAACCCTAATACAACATACTCTAAGATCAACCACATGCTCAACCATAAAGCAAATCACATACATTGAAAAAAATCAAAATCATACCATGCCTGTTATTGGATCATAGAGAAATATAAACAGAAATCAATACAAGAAGTTATTTCAAAACCACATAATTACATGAAATCTCAACAACTTGTTCCTGAATGGCTTTTGGGTAAACAACAAAATTAAAGGATAAATTTAACAATTATTTGAAATTAATAAAAACAGATACAAATAGAAAAATTTGGGGGATGCAGCCAAAGCAGTGCTAAGAGGAAATTTTGTAGTACTGAACACCTAAATCAAGAAGTTTGAAATACCTCAAATTAACAATGATCACACCTACAGGAACTAGAAAAACAAGAAATAATCAACCCCAAAGCTAAGAGGAGAAAAAAAATAATCAAAATCATAGCAGTACATAATAAAATTGAGATGCAAAACATACAAAAGATCAATTAAGCAAAAATTTTTTCTTAAGGAATAAACAAGTTTGATAGACTCCTAGCTAAATTAAAAAAGGACAAAGAAGGGATATCTAAATACACAAGAAATTACAAAGATGACATTACAACTAATCATACAGAAATACAAAACATCCTCAGAGATTATTATGAACACCTACATATAAATAAATTAGGAAATCTGGATTTAATGGGTAAATTCCTAGAAACACACAACCTCTCAAGATAGAACCAGGAAGAAATTCCAACTGTGAACAGACCAATACTTACATCAAAAATTGAATCAGTAATAAGAAAACCCAGCAACCAAAAAAAGCCCTGGACCAGATGGAGTTTCTTCCGAACTATACCAGACATACAAAGAAGCACTGGTACCAATCTTACTAAAACTATTTCAAAAAATTGAGGAGGAGGGATTCCTCTCTAATTCATTCTACAAAGCTGGAATCATCCTGATACTAAGATCTGGTAAAGACACATCAAAAAAAGAAAACTACGAGTCAATATCCCTGATGAACATAGATGCAAAATTCCTCAACAAAATACTGTCAAACTGAATCCAGCAGCACATGAAAAAGTTAATTTTCCATGATTGAGTAGTTTTTATTCCTCAGATGCAAGATTGGTTCAACATACGCATGTCAATAAATGTGATTCACCACATAAACAGAATTAAAAACTAAACCCATATGATCATTTCCATAGATTCAAGAAAAGCTATTGATAAAATCCAACATCACTTCATAATAAAAACCATCAACAAACTAGGCATCAAAGGAACATACATCAAAATAATGAATCATCTATGACAACCCTACAGCCAACATCATACTGAACAGGCAAAACCCGGAAGCATTCCCCTGTCATCTGGAACAATATAAGGATGGCCAGTCTCACTATGCCTATTTAACATAGGACAGGAAGTTCTAGTCAGAGCATTCAGGCAAGAGAAATAAGTAAAAGACATTCAAATAGGAAAAGAAGAAATCAAACAATCTTTCTTTGTTGGAAATATGATTCTTTACCTAGAAAACTCTAAATACTGCACCAAAAGGCTCCTAGAAGTGATAAACAACTTCAATAAATTGTCAGGATATGAAATCAATGTACAAAAATCAGTGGAATTTTTATACACCGATAATGCTCAAGCTGATACTATCCAAATTAGGAATGTAATTTCCTTTGAAAATAGCTGCTAAAAGAATAAAATAACAGAATATAGCTAAGCAAGAAAATGAAAGATCTCTACAAGAAGAACTACAAAACATTGCTGAAAGAAATCAGAGAGGACACTAATAATATAAAAATATCCCACACTCATGGATTTGAAGAATTGATATCGCCAAAATGTCTGTACAGACCAAATAAGTTATAGATTTAATGCTATTCCTATCAAACTACCAATGCCCTTTTTTCCCAGAATTACAAAAAAAAAAAAAAAAAAGAAACTATTCCAACATTCTTAAGAAACCAAAAAATAGCCCAAATAACCACAATAATCCTAGGCAAACAACAACAACAAATCAAAGCTGGAGGCATCACATTACTCAGTTTCAAACTTTACTACAAGGCTACAGTAGCTGAAACCACTTTGTACTTCTACAAAAGATATGTAGACCAATGGAACGGAATAGAGATCTCAGGTATAAAGGTACACACCACACTCACAACCATCTTGTCCTTGTCAAACTCAACAAAAATAAACAATGGAGAAAAGACTCTTTATTCAATAAATAGTGTTGGGATAACTGGCTGTTCATATGCAGAATAAGGAAACTGGTCACCTACCTATTACCATATACAAAAAGCTATGCAAGATAGATAAATTAAGGACTTATATGTAAGACCTAAAATTATAAAAATCCAAAAAGAAAACCTGTTAAATACCCTTTTCAATATTGGCCTTGTCAAAGAATTCATGCCTACATTCTCAAAAGTAATTTCAACAAAACAAGAAATTGACAATTGGGACCTAATTAAATGAAAGAGCTTCTGTACATCAAGAGAAAGTATCAAGAGAATAAACAGTACCTACAGAAAGCAAGAAAATATTCACAAAACTGCGTATCTGGCAAAGTTCTAATATTCAGTATCTATAAAGTACTTAAACAAGCCAACAAGCAAAATACAAATAATACTATTAAAAGTGGGTGGACGATAGGAAAGGACACTCATCAAAAGAAGACATACAAGTGTCCAACTAACATACAGAAAAATGGTCATCTTCACTAACCATCAGAGAAATGCAAATAAAAACCACAATGAGATACCACCTCACACAGTCAAAATGGCTTTTGTTAAATATTCAAAATATAACATATTCTGGTGCGGCTATGGAGAAAAAGAAACACATACACAGTTAATGAGAATTTAAATTAGTTCAGCCACTGGGGAGAGCAGTTTGGAGATTTCTCAAAGCATTACAAGTTGAACTACCATTTGACCCAGCAGTTCCATTGCTGAGGATATATCTAAAGGAAAATAAATCACTCTACCAAAGAGACACGTACGTCTGTGAATACTGTGAATAATGTTCATCTCAACACTATTCACAATAGCAAAGACATGGATGGAATCAACTCAGGTTCCCATCAACACTCAGTTGGATAAGGAAAAAGTAGTACATATACACCATGGAATACTATGCAACCATAAAATAGAACAAAATCATTTCATTTGCAGCAACATGGATGGAGCCAGAAGCCATAATCCTAAGTGAACTAATGGAGAAACAGAAAACCAAATACCACCTGTTCTCACTTATAAGTTGGAACTAAATATTGGGTAAACATGGACATAAAGATGCAAACAACAGACACTGGGAATACAAGAGGGAAGTGAAAGAGAAGGGAGCATGGGGTGCAACTACCTATTGAGTATTATGCTTACCACCTAGCTAATGGATTCATTCATCTTCCAAAACTCAGTATCATGCATTAAACCTCTGTAACATACATGTTCAAGACCCCTCTGATTTTAAAATAAAAGTTGGAAAAAAGTTATCATTGTATGAATGACAGACTTTTCTTTAGGAAACTAGCAATAATATTTTAAGTAACTTACTTAACTTTGTGTAGGGATTGGCATTAATAAAACTGACTGTCACATTTCTTTGGATATATATTTATATTAGGCACTATAGAAGGTATTTCCATATTTGGAAAACTAAAGCTAAACTAAACTAAAGTTAACTAAAAGATTATTTTATGCACTAACACTAAAGTGATAAAACATTTACATTACACTTTTGAAGCCAGAGAAGTTCTCCTTCAAAGTGATTAGAAGCAGGTATTAATTATATCATGCACTCACATACTTTTGTCTAAGCACAATGAATTTGTAGCCTTTTGGATCCATGCAAAATGGCTCATTTTGCATTACTATATTGATTGTGAATTTGGACCATTCCATAGTAATATCACAACTTAATCCACAGTATAATGTCTTGCCATTTCTGCCAATGCTTTTAGTTGAATAAACTAAGAGTAATAAAAATTCACTTAAGAATTGATAGAAAAACCTAAAGATTCTACCAAACTTTTATAACTGATAAATGAATTTAGTAAAGTTGTAGGATACATAGTTAATATACAAAAACCAGAAGAGTTTCTATACACAACAAACTCATTGAAAAAGAAATCAAGAGGTCAATCCCATTTACAATAGCTACAAAAATATAAAAATACCTAGAAACAAATTTAGCCAAGGAGGTGAACGACCTCTACAAGGAAAACTACAAAACACTGATGAAAGGAATTGAAGAGGACACAAACAAATGTAAAGACAGCCCATGCTCATAGATCAAAATAACTAATATTGTTAAAGTGACAATACTACCTAAAACAAGCCACAGATTCAATGCAATCCTTACCAAAATACCAATGACATTCTCCACATAAATAAAAATAAAATCTTGAAATTTGTATGGAACTACAATAGACCCCAAATAGCCAAGGCAATCCTGAGCAAGAAGAATATAGCTGGAGGTATCCCAATACCAAACCTCAAAATATACTACAAAGCTGTTGTATCCCAAACAGCATTGTACTGTCATAAAAACAGATACACAGACCAAAAGAACAGAATAGAGAACCAATAAATTAATCCACATATCTATAGCCAACTGATTTTTGACAAAGATACCAAGAATACTCATTGAGGAAATCACAGTCTCTTTAAGAAATGATACTGGGAAAATAAAATATCTATATGCAGGAGAATTAAACTAGACCCCCACTTTTTACCCTATACAAAAATCAACTCAAAATAGATCCAAGGCCTAAATGTAATACCTGAAATAATAAATCTGCTACAAGAAAATATAGTAGAAATGCTTCAGGACATTGGTCTGGGAAAATATTCTGTAAATAAGACCTCAGTTATTTCCTCACTGCATTTTCCTTTTCTCTCATCTTTTAAATACTAATTTACTCACAACATTTACTTTATCCTTTACTTTAACTTCTCTCTTGTCTTAGTTTATCCAGTGATTTCATTAAGTGGAAGTGAGCAGAAGTACATCTTAACCTCAAACAGAAACAGTATAGTCTTCTTGCCTTTTAGCTACATCTTGTAGAGAAGGCCAAAATAATGTTACACATATCAACATTTGATATTACGAAACTTTAAAATGGCAGATTTAATACTGATAGAAAATATGTTTTGTAATTTTTTTCTACGTTGCAAAAATGGAAAAAAACTACTTATATTTTATTTTTAAAGTTATCTAATGGTAATCTTATGTCTATAATGCACAGGAATTCTAGGTCTGATGACTCGTATATGAAAAATTTATTGTTTAATTTTTAAAATGGTCTACTATCTTATTTGTTCTGCTTTATAATATTTGCGAGTTGCTTTTGAACTACTTTTTGAAATTTCAGTTTTTTCTCTATTGATATACAGAGAATAATCTAATATTATTACTTGACTGTTTTTTGAAAATGAAGACATACAGGCTCTTTGAGTGCTGATCCAAATTCAATGGCATGCAAGTAATCAGAAAAATCAGTGTATATGGTCATTTATATAATCTCACAGTTGAGAAGGATCCTAGCCATGTAAATACATTTTTAAAGCATTGTACTCTATTAAACACTTATGTAATCATATTTCTCCTTTTTGAGATGTCAAAACTAAGATTCAGGGAGACTAACAAACTCCTATGAATCATTCTGACAGTGGAATTGATAGATTCAACACCCAGCTGTACTGACTGCTTTATTTAGTAGCTTTTGAAATTTACTTCTGCTGCAAACAAAAACTCCGTAAAATAAATATAAGTATTTAAAAATTATATCTATCACTATGGAAACCTAAGTTAGTATCCTAATCAGTAGTTCTCATTTTTATATCCCTCAATAATTGAACTCCATAAAAATTTAAGCTGTGTTCAGTTCTGTTCCTGTTTTTTGATGGCTGCGTGGTGCACATAAACAACTTCTAGAGATAAACAATTATGGAATGATCCTGTTTTACTGTGAAATGTTTGATGCATTTGCCTATCTTTCAGAGATTTCAGTATGGTTTAGATTTAGAAAGATATGTCAGCATTTTAAACTTAATTATAGCTATAATAAATAGAATGCCTTGAGAAACTATGCTAAATCTTTATAATGTCCATTAGCCTGTAACCACTTAGATTTTACTGGAATGTTTGAGACTTCCTTTCAATCTGTCCTTAAGTGGAAAGTATCTTGAAATGATTCCATCTCATAAATTCATAATTAATTAAATTCACTACTAAGATTTAGTACATATAATTCATTTGTATAGCCATCTGCTGTGTTTGCATAAACATGGCACAGGATTTGTAACTTACTGAAAGCAATGTACAGGATTTACCAAAAAAAAGTTGCTCCTCTGGGGGCTTGCATAATGTTCAGGTAGTGTTTGCATTTCCGTGATCACATTGGTGATTTAATTCCAGGCTGTAACCAATCTAGGAATTTGAGTATGATAGACCTTCTATCTATCTATCTATCTATCTATCTATCTTGCTTCACATCTGTTGGACCTGAGTCACAACTTCAATTTTCACTTGCTGATGCAACTTATTCCTGTTCTCGGGTCATGTTGTATGTTTGCAGAGGGCGGCTACTTGTTACTGTCAATTCAGTTTTAGATATATTAAAATTGAGATGTCTTTTTGCTGTCTATGTTGTGGTTTCAGGTACACATTTGATCAAATAACTATAAGGCTATGGGGGAGATATATTTGATGAAAATATACATTTGATAAATTTGGTAGATGGTATTTAAATCACGGGATTATTGGAAGAATACATTTAGAGAAACTAAGGAATCTCCCTTTAAGTATTAATACTTAGAGATAGTATATAAGGTAGGAACAAGCAGAGGAGAATGAGAAGGTGTGTTCAATATATAAGGAAGAAAATGAAGTGACTGAATTCCTAGAAGCCAAGTGAAGCGGATGTACAATTGGTTTTCATGCTGCTGACAGGTCAAGTAATGCAAACTCAAATTGACCTTTGGGTTTTGCAACATGAATAATATTAGTAATATTTAAAAGAGTAGTTTTGTGATGGGAAGGCAAATTTCTAGTTGGAATGGGCTTAAGAGAATGGGAGGGGAAAGTTACAGAAAATGAATATATATATGATGTATGCATATATATATGACATATGCATATATATGATGTATGCATATATATGACATATGCATATATGATGTATGCATATATATGACATATGCATATATGATGTATGCATATATGTGACATATGCATATATATGATGTATGCATATATATGGTATATGCATATATATGATGTATGCATATATATGGTATATGCATATATATATGATGTATGCATATATATATATATATATATATATATATATATATATATATATATCTTTTAGGGAGATTGCTATAAGAGTAAGAGCAATAGGTAGTACCAAAGGCTGAGGTAGGAATTGAGAGAGGGTTTCTTATTAAGGTGAGGAAATACATATCATGTGATTGAACAAGTATATGGGGAAAATTAGAGGTGCAGAATGGGGGCTGGAGGAGGATTTTTTGGTGCGTTGTTCTTAATTAGGCAAAAAAGAATGAAACCCGGTATAGCAGGGGAGTGGTTGCATTAGGCAGCATTACATACGGTCCTTCCACAGAAAAAGAAGGTAACTTGACGTATACTTTAATAAATGCATGGATGTGTATGAATGCATGCATGGAAAGTTTTAAAAAACCTTCTCTGTTTCAATTTTTTCTTTTAAAATTTGAAATAAGTTCAAATCTGAGAAGGAGAAGGAAATGACAGTTGTGAAGAAATAAAGAGAAAGAAAAGGTATGAAGTAGTCATTTAGAAAAGTAGAAGAATGAAATAGGGAAATATGAGTTTTTCAGGAAGTAGTAAGGATGACTTGACCTTACTGATCTACATTAAAGATATGACAGTCAGCACTGTCTTCTTTTTTTTTCCCTCAGGTGCATTCAGTTATGGGGATACTCACCTGAAGTTAATTTACTTTGAATTTAACCAGTGCAATGTTTTAATCAAGAAAATATGCCAACAAAAGGGAGACAGGCAAAGATGATGATGTACGCATATGACTAAAATAACTGGTTAAGAGGAAAGTAAGACCATGAGGAGTTTAAGGTGATAAGTGTACTCTAGGTTCTGGTGGAGCCAAAGATTTTTTAGAGTATGCAAATACAGTGAGCAAACTGAAAAACGGGAAGTGGTAGTTGGGTAGTTGAAGGTACAAAATTAAGATTAAGAGTTTGCAGTTATTGTTAATAAGAATAGCTAAAAGAAGGAAGAGGACACAATATTTGGAGGATGGAATATACAGAAAGGGAGGTTCAATAACTACAGTTTTACAGTACTGTAAGAATTCTCATGATTTCAGTAATGCAGAAGAGGGTGACGATCCTGGAGATAACATGTTTAAAAATGTGCCGAGGAGCCTGAGGAGGCAGCAAGAAGGTGGAGTAGATGGAAGAGCCTTAAGACATGAGATTGAATTTTAAGTACATGTCACTTATTTTCTTTGCTTATTGCTACTCTTCTTTTAGCAGGAAATGAACTGCATGAGGACACAGACTTTTGTGATTTTTTTAAAAACTAATGTCTCTCCAGTACTGGAAAAGGAATATACTGTTATATACTTGTAAAATATTAAATCATTACAGAAATAAAAATTTAAAAGACAGAAATATCTCAAAAGCTGTGTGTGGGGGTGTGTGTCTGCGTGTGTGTGTGTGTGTGTGTGTGTGTGTGTGTAAGAGACAGAAAGAGAGAGAGATGGTTAATTTCGGATATTTTATGCATTTGATCAAAGTTCACTGGTGACCCTAACGAAACAGGGAATAATTCTACTAGTAACAGTGAATTGTAAAACTTTCTGATTCCAAGCAGATGGAGGCTGAACAAAAAGGAAAGAGGCCGGGCGTGGTGGCTCACGCCTGTAATCCCAGCACTTTGGGAGGCCGACGCAGGTGGATCACGAGGTCAGGAGATCGAGACCATCCTGGCTAATATGGTGAAACCCCATCTCTACTAAAAATACAAAAAATTAGCTGGTCGTGGTGGCGGGTGCCTGTAGTCCCAGCTACTCGAGAGGCTGAGGCAGGAGACTGGTGTAAACCCGGGAGGTGGAGCTTGCAGTGAGCTGAGATCGCACCACTGCACGCCAGCCTGGGCGACAGAGTGAGACTCCGCCATAAAAAAAATAAAATAACAAAAAAAAAGAAAGAAAAGAGGAGCTTTCTGAGAAGATGTGACTCATGAACAGAATTTCTGGAATATGGTTATGTGCTGTCAAGTAAAAGTAAAGGGACAGGAGGGATGACCACTAATCCAGTAAAAGGAAATTTCTGGAGCAAGAGATATGTGAGAACAGGCATGAAACATTTTATAATTCTGAAAATATATTGTGTTATTATTTTATAATAGTCATTGAAAAAATAAACTGATAAGATAAAAGATAACAGTTACAATCTACTTGTTCAGAGATCATTGCTATCATTTTTTATATCTACACATATACATAAACGGGTTTGTAAAATGTCTGTAGTACTAGGCCAGCAGAAAGTTTTTCATGACTTGCTTTCTATTTTAATACATTAACAATGTGCCTCATTATTTTTTGATACAAGCATAGTAGTGATGAGGGATTTGGTTGTGAAACCTATGATAATATACTCAAATATTTTATTCTTCATTTTATTTTAGGTAATTATGTTAGTCAGGGTTGTCCAAAGAAACAAAACCAATAGGGTTTATATGTGTCTACGTATGTATAACTCTTTGTCTCTCTCTCTGTCTTTCTCTCTTTATCTGTATCTCGACCTCTCTCTCTCTATATATGTATAGATATAGATATAGATAGATATATCTAGAGAGAGAGAGAGAAAGGAATTTTAAAATATCAATTATTATCAATCGTATAAAAAAGTATTTTAAGATATTGAGCCAATATCTTAAAATCATTTTCTCTCTCTCTATATAAAACTATATATACATAATGTATAATACTATATATATAGAAATCCACATCTATCTCTCTCTCTCTCTATCTCTCTCTCTATATATATATATACATACACACACACATATATAGGTAGATAGGTAGATATACATGATATATAATGTTTCATCATGTTTTTCTATATATTAAGTTTCTGGAAAAATTTTATATGTTAAATATGAAAAATATTGCCATCCAAAAATGCTGCATCAATTTAAACTCCAGTCGTCCTTGAAAGTACAAGATACATTTAAAGATTTTCCAGTTATTCTCTGTATTACTAACCAGAGACTATATTCATTCATTTTCTCACTGTTCAATCCAATACATATTTATTGAGTGCCTTCTATTCTTCAAGCATTGGGGAGGAAGGTAGTCATATAATTAAGTCATTGTCTTTAAGGATCTTAAATCTATTGGGAGAAATTTATAAAATCATATAATTATAAATGATGTGGAAAATGCTATCATAGATGTTTGCGCATGATATTATGGCAGCATGCAGTAAGTGACCTCACCTTTCTTAGAGTTTGGGAAGGAGAGGTATTGAAGTTGAGACTTAAAAATGAGAAGAGAGCCTGTAAAGTGAAAGGGATAGCATTTCAAAATTAAGACCATGTAAGGGCAGAGACTCAGGCACTAGGAATAATATTGTGTCCCTAGGGACTGTATACATAGTTTCATGTTGTTAGACCATAAAGTGTAAAGTCAATCATGACAGAAAATGGAGCTGCAGAGTTCAGCAAGGGTCAGATCTTGGGTGACCTTGAAAGTTATTTTAATGAGCTTGCAATTTATGTGCTAGATGATAGGGAAATTTTACAAGGTTTTAAGCAGGACATGGAATGATCCTATTTAAATTGAGGACGCATTGTGTGGAAAGTAGGTTTGAGGAGTGCAAGAGTGGTGACAGAGTAAACAGAGTGAGAAATAAGGTTGAGATGGTAGTCAATGGCCATACAAATGGAAACCATCTTTAAATAAGGAATTTCAATGTTATTTTATCTGAAATGAATTCTTCCAAGCATAGGATTCATATAACCAAATGGAAATTTTAGAAAGATCACTCTTAAAATGATATGAAGGATGAACAGGAATAGTTACCAATTTGATATAATGCTAGTTAATCATTTTTTGCCAGGCAAAGATTGCTGTCCATAAATATCAAAGACATCCTGTTAGTAAGAAAAAGAAAAGCAACTCAGATTAAAAGAACACAGATTGGTTTCTTGTAGTTTCCACATTTTCTACAATCAGCCTATATTCCCTTTTCAATGTAGCAAGTTGTGACAAATTTCGAGAAATATTTACCTCTTTGAGGTTCTGAGATACTTAGGAGCTGCAACAAAAATCATTAGTGAAAGAGTTCAATTTTAACTTTTATATTGATGAAGACGAAGTATCTGGGGAAGGTGGTTTTTTATCTAGGTGACTGCATTAGAGGAAGAAATACTAGGATACACAATGGATGAGTACCAATTTGCTTTATCCCCCCCCCTGCTCCTGGGCTACATCACTTCCCAGGAAGATCAAGAAGCAAAGGGAGGCAGCAGAGTCATTTCTAGCTTTTATTTTTTACTTTTGACCCATTGGACTTAACCACAAGTCAATAATTGGCCAGTAGTGTCGTAGCTATGGTTACCACCTATTAGAATGATATGGCTCCAACCACATGAGGCCATTCTCAAAGGGCCAATGATTGCTCTTGTAGGTGTCTTCCTTAGACAGCTTCCTTAGGTCAGCAGAGTACATTAAGTTTATACCCTAAGAAAGCTCTGAAATGGTTCAGATTTGTCTTTTAGTTGTTTCTTTCAGGATTACTCTATTCACAAGGCTGAAAGTTTGTTTTTTATTCCGTTTCCTATCACAAGTTTTGTTCAGGCACATTGTCCAATGTAATCTATTAGATGTTCTCTAATGAAATGAAATAAAGAAGCTCTAATATCAAAGTACTCATCACTTCAGTAATAGAATATCAGCCACATTGAGATTCCCAAAATTTTAATAAAATATTATTCTATTATTGCATTCCAAAGACAAATGGAACGTGAAAGATTTGAATTCTCTTGAAAAATTAAATCCAGAAACAAAGTCTGAAACATTTAAATTTTAGAGTCAAATTCTATGGCTTTTAATTAAAAGTCTAGAGTCTAAAATAATTAATTTTTTTCCAGAGTCCATTCTCTCTACTTCTTTTTTTACTTTTTTTTTTTCTTTTTTTTTAAGATGGAGTCTCACACTCTCGTCCAGGCTAGAGTGCAGTGGCCCGATCTGGGCTCACCGTAAGCTCCGCCTCCTGGGTTCACGCCATTCTCCTGCCTCAGCCTCCCGAGTAGCTGGGACTACAGGCGCCCGCCACCACGCCTGGCTAATTTTTTGTATTTTTGTAGAGATGGGGTTTCACCATGTTAGCCAGGATGGTCTCCATCTCCTGACTTCGTGATCCACCTGTCTCGGCCTCCCAAAGTGCTGGGATTACAGGCGTGAGCCACCGCGCCCGGCCCTCTTTTTACTTTTTATTTTGGACAAACTGAACAAGAGTGTTATCAATGCCAGGGTGGGGTTGGGATTTTTTAGAAACTATTTTCTGAGGTGTCTTCCATTGCAATGCATGTGGTAATTTCAGGGTCTCAAAAATGGTATTAGTTCAGCATCAATTTTTTCTATTTTGAAAGAATATAAAGAGTTAGTATGTGCAAGAATATCCAAGCCCTGAGCCTATGCTTCCCAAATTAGAAAAAAAAGAAAAAAGAAAAACAAAAAAACACATATTCTAAGTTCCCAGGCTAAAAATCCCAAGCACAATTACATGATTATTTTCCCGAAGCTATAGTTATGTTTTTTAAACATGTGCGTGTGCACATGTGTGTGCATACACACACACACAGACACACACATACACACCATGGTACAAAATCAGCGGTACCTAAATTAAGGAGAAAAAATGGAGGAAACTTTTTCTTTTTACCTTATTAGAATGCTAGTTGGCCTATGCCAGTTGCCTGAAATTTATGACCTGCAAAACTAAACTTATTTGGGATCTATACATTCTTAGAGGGTAAAAAATCCACATGGCTACTCTCAGTGTAAAAATTGAGACTTTTGTCACAAAGTTCAGAAGTTTGGGGTGACTGTACTTCTGGTAGTTTTCCTTCATACTCATTATTTTCAATAATATCTGTCTTCCCCTACCAATAAATTGTGTGTAGGCCCAAAATGTAAAAAAAAAAAAAAAAAAAGAAAAAAAGAAAAAGAATAAAAAAGCCTCCTTTTTTTTTTTAAACTATAAAAGGCATTCTAGGGTCCTATGTTGTAGGGTTTCTACTAAATCTTGTCATCTAGGCTTGAGAAACCTGCCTTCTTAGAGAGGATCTTCTTCTTATGTAATTAATCCCTCCAGAGCCAGTGGCTCTTGAGCATGTGTTCAAGTCACAGGAATTCAAGCTCAGTAAGCTCTTCTGCAGTTGCCTGTTTGGACCAGAATGCTAATTGAATTTAAGATTGGGGGTCGGGAGGTGCGATATCCTAAGTGATCCTCTGTAGGGCTTTGCAGTGCAGATAGATCAACTCCTCCCAGTTTAATTCAGAAAATATAATTCTATAATGTCTCAAAGGCTTCTAAATGAGATGACTCTCTTCTACTTATAATAAAACCTTTGCCTCTGATTAATCTGTTTACTAATACTTCCATGGATCTATTCAAATCTGCTGCCAGCTGCTCACATTTGCTGAGCAAATGGATGCTTTAAGTTCAAGATATAACATCTGGAGTCCTAAAGTCCTTTTGCACTGGTTAAGCCTTCATCTTTGCTGAAGTCTCTGAAGCTACGCAGTCTGAACTTTGAGGTTGCCCGTATTATGGACTTACATATCCTTAAAAATTATTCATTGCGTATTTAAAATTCAAATTTAAGTGAACATCTTGTATTTTTATTGCTCACTCCAGCAAGCCTACAACACTTGTTTGCTTATGTTTGCATATCCATGTCTTTTCCATGTCTGTTGAGACCAAAGAAGTCCCTACCTTTGGTTTCAATCTCAGTTTTTATTTAATCCTGGGGCAGCTCAAACATCATTTGCCTGATGCTGTTTACAGCTACACCTGCAATCCATTCTCTTTAAAAAAAAAAAAAAAAAGTCACCTTGGACAAAATTCCCAGAAACTGACATGACCTGCTAATGTTAAAGTACCAAGTGCCCTGAGGCCCCAGGATTCTTTTTTTTGCCTTGGTTATAGCAGTTAGACGATTGAATACAAAATTCTACCCACCACTTTTAAAGAATTTGCTCCATAAAATGTCAGCTATGTCCCCCAAAAGTTTTTGCCTTTGAACTAGACTTTAGTGTGTTAAGGGCATTTTTTTTTTTTTTGCACAAAATTGCAGCTCACCCAGTGCCCATGGAGGAAGCCACCTGCCACTGTATAATTTATCAGACAGAGGCTTGTCATGGGGAGCACATGCTTTCTGTAGGGAAGCACGTCAGAGCTTAGTATACCCCTGTTCATTCTCCCCAAATTGACCTATCAAAGAAGTGATAAAAAAGCCAGAAAGATAAAAGGAACTAACTCCATTGAAGTCTCTATACACTGAAAAAGAAGCATTGCTACTTAATTATTATCAAGGAGTAAAAGTTGAAGAAACACAGTAACAACAACAACAACATAATAAACAATACAGAGGGTGCATATTTTGGGGGGTAGTGGAAAGAGCAAAGTTACAGAGAGAATACCTGACTCAGCAGCCAGTGTATGGTATGGGGAGAATGTTAAGCCAGGCAACCTAACTTTCAATCCAGGATTTTCTTCATAAACTAGGTGATCTTGTGAAAGCTACATAATATCTCTGTGCCACATTTTTTTATATTCAAAGAAACAGAAACATAGTCATGTATATTAAATGAAATAATAAGAGTAAAATATTTAGACCAGTTTCTAGTGCTTCAGCACCCATTTTATAATTAAACTCTCATAAATAACACATTTTGCCAAGTACTTTTATTCAGCCACATATTCAGTCATTCATTCATTTGAGCTTGAATTAATTAATTAATTAATTAATTTTTTCAGACTGAGCCTTGCTCTGTTGCCCAGGCTGGAGTGGCTGAAATGCAGTGGTGCCATCTCTGCTCACTGCAACCTCTGCCTCCCGGGTTCAAGTGATTCTGGTGCCTCGGCTTGCGCAGTAGCTGGGATTACAGCTATGCACGACGATGCCCGGGTATTTTTTGTATTTCAGTAGAGATGGGGTCTCACTGTGTTGGCCAGGCTGGTCTCAAACTCCTAACCTCAAGTGATCTCCCCACCTCAGCCTCCTAAAGGGCTGGGATTACAGGTGTGAGCCACTGCGCCTGGCCAAATTCATTCAATTTTGCTGTGGCTATATGTGATTACTCACTTGTCCTCCTCCCTTTTGTCTTTTATCCTGAAGAAAAAGAAAGGGTTAGAGCAAGTTTTCTCTGGTACCACTAAGTGGGGGAAAAAAATGGGTGAGCTATATGCCTCAAGAAATCTGGATGTGGAGAAGACAGAAACTTTCTGGGATCCTAAAGAGAGTTAGACTCATTAGTTACCTTACTAAGTAAAAGAGAAGATGAACAGATGCCTGCCTATTTGGGAAACTTATTAAGATGTGTTAGTGAGAGTTACTCACAGTACAAGATGGCATAGTGTTCAGTATATGTTTAATTAAATTGCTCTCTAGAAGCTCCATGTGTCTACTCCCATCTCTCAAACTAGTTGTGGTGCTAGAGATATATTAGTGTCTTAGTAGATTTAGATAGAACATTTTTGATAGCTTCTAATAGCTTTAAATAGCTAAGAAAATAGAATGTTTCTTCATTATCCCTGTCCCAAATAAGTTGTCAGAGAATATTACCTAGGTTGGTCAGCTTGCTGGCTCATATAGTGGGCTTCTACTCCCTAATGTGAATGCACTCAGCCATGGTATATTCTACCTGCTGTTCTGTTTCTTAACCTCGCTACTTTCTACTTTATCCATAATTACCTCTTCAGTTTGTTATTTCTAACTAAACGGAGATCTAAACAGCGTTGTGGCAATAATGGAGATAACCTGTCCAATAAAATTAAGTAAAAAATAGTTACAGAGGTTGACCATCAAATTTATGTAGCCCAATATTATCTTTTTAATACTTTTTGTTGTAAAATAAAGCACTTATACGGGCAAGCCATAATAAACAAATGTTTAGCTTAATGAGTTATTATAAGGCGAACCCCCTTATAATTTATTTTTATCTAGATAAAGAAATACGACTTTGCTACCCACCCCAGAAGTTCCTCATTTGTCCCACATAATGGTACCTCAAGCTACAATCAAGCACTAGAAATTCCCATGGCGTCCAAGTCAGTCATTGTTGCCAGGACTCCTCAATAATTTATACAAATAACCTCCAATGTATATTGAGGGCTAGTTTTTTTTTTATTTTTATTTTTTGAGATGGAGTCTTGCTCTGTTGCCCAGGCTGGAATGCAGTGGCGTGATCTCGGCTCACTGCAAGCTCCGCCTCCCGGGTTCTCGCCATTCTCCTGCCTCAGCCTCCCAAGCAGCTGGGATTTCAGGCGCCCGCCACCACGCCTGACTAAATTTTTGTATTTTTAGTACAGACGGGGTTTCACCGTGTTAGCCAGGATGATCTCGATCTCCTGAACTTGTGATCCACCCACATTGGCCTCCCAAAGTGCTGGGATTACAGGTGTGAGCCACCGCACCCCGCCCTAGGTTTTTAAATTTAACCTTTTGTATTAAACCTCTATGTATTTTTCCACTCTAAAAATTCCCATTCTAAGGACATGATAGATGAGTGAATTAAACTATTTTCTTACATTTTAAAATGTAATGATAAACTATAAATATTAAACATTAATGTTAAAATAAAATTAACATAAATTTAATAATTCAACATCTATTAAATTTATTTAATACTTATTAAATTTATCCCATATTATGCACACATAGAATTTGAAGCATCTGTTCTGTTTAAGAAACATTAAATCTCCCTGGCTCTTAATATTAATTGTCTGTTGAAATTACCAGAAAGTAACATTTTGGTAAGTAAGCCATTCGATATTGTAATTGGTCTATCTTTTTATGTATTCATTTATCCAAAGTTTTTCTCTTCATTTTTTTTGTTTTTTACATTTGAATCATATTCCCAAACATATGAAGAAATACGTATGTATATACATACTGTGTGAGTGATGTAAGATGGCCAGCTGTCTTGGTTATCTGGTACTCAGGAATTTTACTAGTAAAACAAAGATAGCCTTGGGAAAAGTAAGATGACTGGTCATCCCAGCGGACTGAGTATATTTTATTCAGTGGGATAAGTATATTGTATTTGGGGTGATTATACTGTATTTGTCTCTGATATAAATATATATTACGTATTATCACTTTTAAAATGCACTCATAGTAATTATATGAGATGAATTTTATTATTATCTTCATAATCTAAATAAGAAAGAGCATTTGCTACATGTCCTACTCTATACAATTAATCTCTGCTAATGCTTGAATTTGAGCCTAGCTTTATCTACTTTTAGAGGCTGAGATCTCTAAATTGTACAGAAATAGACAAACTCCAACTAGATAAAATGATCACTCATTAAAAGAAACCTAAAGAAAAATTGCCCAGCAGAAAACAGATTTTCCTGTGGTTTGAGTATTCTTATGATTTGTGCAGATATTACCAATTATTTATTTATAATTGTCTCATTTATACAAAAATGAGAAATATAAAATATAAAATTTTATGAAGTCTGTTCAAAATTAAAGTACGTTTGTCAGAATGGGTCTATCTTTCTCTGAAACCAGTATAGATCTTCTTAAACTCCTGCAATCATGTTAATATTCCATTAAAAAGCTTAAGTATAATTGAACAAGAAATTAATATCTGGATTTCATCTTGAAAGTTACTTGGTCTCTTAAGGTTAAAAAATATATATTCTCATATATTTCTATCCAAAATACTATTTAGAACCAGGCTGCAATAAAATGAGTTGATTAAAAATTATATGTCACAAATTGAACAATTTAGACTATCACTAAATTAGCTGTACATATTATGTACACATAACAGCTTGAAACTGAAAAGTAGAATGCAATAATAATAAAATTGTTACATTTCATATTACACCTTAATTATAAGAAAATTTCTTAAGTGGTTAGTAATTTAGAGAAATATTGCATATCATTAATATTTTAAATATACTATAAATATATTTTGTATTTGGCACAAAATAACACACAATGAATTCAATAACCATAGACAATATGTAAATATTTGAATTATAGTTTTTAAACAACTTAAAATTCAAAGCATTCATGCATATTTGTTTATATTTCTTTGAAGAAAATATTTCCAATGTTTATACATCTGTCTAATATGTGTGTGTATGTGTATATATATATATATATATATAATTATTATTTTAAAATCAGGAACATAGCCTCTATGCCCAGACAGCATGTGTTGGAATCCCAGTTTGGCCACTTGTGAAATATGTAGCCATGGATAAGTTTCTTAACTTCTCGGTGTCTTGGATTGCTTGTTCTATTGTTCCTACTCCTTCAAGAGGTTGATTAAGTGAGTTAATATCTGCAAGTCACTTAGATCTGTGGCTCACATAATGAGGTTACTTACATGTCATTTGATATATAGTGTTTGATTTTTAAATGAACTGACAGATTATACCATGACATTGTACTATTCTAAATACAGGCTTTATATTAGTATTATTGTTAGCATACTTTGAAATATCTCCAGTATATTGTTGGTGAAATTAGAACTTAAGTAATAAATGGGTTTGTATTTCTTTAGTAAGGCTGACCATCAATATTCACTTTCTTACATGCAAATTGAAACAGAAGTTGCTATTTCTCCCTGTTAAGTGTATAGCTGACACATTCCACACACTTGGGGAAGGAACTGTTACTAAGCATGTCCCAGAGGCACAGCAGTCAGCAAAAAGGTTCTTAGTCCTGTTAGCCTGAGGAATGTATGTCTCTAACAGATTGCCAGGAAAGATTAACTGCTGAGGGTAGAACAGCTGCTGGTTCAAACAATTTTGATCTTTTTATATCTTGTGTTCATTCTGTTTCCAGGTGGAATTGGCCCACTTGTTAAGGAAAGCCGCAGGTAGTCCAGCTGCTGGTTCAAAAAGTCTAGTCTTCTATATGTTTTGTTCATTGTGTTTTGAAGTGGAATTGACCCAGTTGTTTTCGGAAAGCCCCCAAGGGAAACTTTTTACAAAATAGTTTTATAACCTTTTCAAGGAGACAAATATACCTCCCATTTTTACTTCTTTTGGCTAGTAAAATAGGCCATTCAGGAAACCCCATTGTAAGACTTCTGTCTTAGAATGCATTGAAAAGAGTGGTACAGAGTTCAATAATTTAATCAGGGAATGAATAAAGACTTCAATGTTCTACTTTTTTTTTTTTCAATGGGACATTTGGTCATTACAGTGGTGAGTCCTGTCTTTGTTTGTGTGTAGGAAGAAATTGGTATTTGTAAAACACTGAAAGGAAATTGTTTTGCTGAAGCATGTCTTAGAGAAAAATAGTTCTTACTACAAGAATGTTCTATACTCATAGTACAGTAGAATGGCTTTGGAATTGTGTATGTTAGTCTTTTAAACATTTTAAATCATTACAAGTAATGTATATTTTATGCGTGTATATTTGTATATAGGTATATTTTTTCAATAATAATGTCCAGATGCTACATATAGCTGCATGTTATTAAGGTGAAAATCCATCTGCTCCTCTGAGTTTTAGATTATAGATATTTTCCAATCCAATTCTGAATTTCATGACTCACCTCCAGTGAATAAAAACCACATGCAAAATTATTGTCATAATGACCAGAAAAATAACTTTCTAGCATATTTATTATTCTTTCTGGAAAATTACTGCATTGTAATACATCTGTATACAAATATCTTACCTATATTAAAATCTTCAGTTGACTCTAATATCATTTATATATTTTTGGCATGTCTGGTACCATTGTATTTCTCAAATAACAGATCGTGTCTGAATACTGTGATAAGAAATATACAACAAAAGGCTAATATCTTTTCGTTATTTTTAGAGACAGGGTTTTGCCTGACGCCCAAGTTGGAGTGCAGTGGCGTGATCTTGGCTCACTGCAACTTCTGCCTTCCAGGTTCAAGCAATTCTCATGCTTCAGCAGCCCGAGTAGCTGGGATTTCATGTGTGCACCACCATAACTTATTAATTTTTTGTATTTTTAGTGGAGACAGGGTTTCACCATGTTGGCCAGGCTGGTCTCGAACTCCTGGCCTCATGTGATCTGCCCCCTACAGCCTCCCAAAGTGCTGGAATTACAGGCATGAGCCACTGTCCCTTGCATAAGGCTAATAACTGAGTTAATATTAATAGTGTAACATAGTGTGCGTGTAGCTTATTAACTCATTTAGTTTCAAAATAAAAGTTATAATTTAATTAGCGGTTAGATAAATGACTCATGATAAATGCAGAGAAAAAAGATGATGACATATGTTTCTCCCCATGACTGTTTTGAATACCAGTATATACCTAGCAAGTCACAGCTTCTGACATAGAGTGAATGCTCAGTAATTAATAAGGCAATTGATAAGCAAGTAAAATCATTTCTGATTCATTTCAGGTCTACTCCTTAATATAGGAATTGGTTACTCTATAGGTAAATAGCTACCTCTAAAGATACTATTAAACAAATATCTAGCTTCACAATTCTATATTTCTGCTAAGTCCCTTAAAAGAGTTAACCTAATTTTCTGGTAAATGAACTGGGGGTGGTAATTTATTTAAAAATATAAGCAAAGACATTCTAGAAATAACAAAGTAGTTGGTATTGGATGAATACTGCTGCAGAAAGCAATTGCAATCACTGTACAAAATATAAATGACTCTTCAAAGGTATTGAGAGATGACCAAAGCAAGCAAATATAAAAGAGAATCAAGTTTCGAAAGAAGAAAACCATAGACACAAAATTACTATATTTCCTCAAAGTCACTCCTCAGTTGGTGTGACATTTGGCAGCTTAATCTAAGAGGTAGAATGTCCCAGCTTTATTGACTTGAGATGTCAGAAGAGAGAGTTTAGGGATGTTGGAGTGTCTGACTATTGAAGGGAGAATTCAGGAAAGAAGGGAGTCCTAAAATGTGTGTGTAGCAACTTTCTTCAAATTATCCTTGACCCTGAAATTTATGTGTTTGGAATTCCTGCCTTTTACTGTCAGTCTAGGCACTATGACAACACCATAGACTGGGTGACTTAACAGAAATTCATTTCTCCTAGTTTTGATGGTGGCAAAGTCAGAGCTTAGGGTGCCAGCATGATTGGAACTGGTGAGGGCCCTCTTTCTGGCTTGCAAATGGGCAGTTTCTTATTGTCATCATATGAATTTTTGGAGGACAGCAACATTCAGTTCATAGTCCTTCTAAGTGATAGCTGGAAAGGCAAGAGTACTAGATAAATGTATCACCTATGCTTATTGCAGTAGAAACAAATTTTGCTGTTTGACTTCTGTCAAGTTAAATGGACTTGATAAATACCTCAGGAACCACAGATCTGCATTACCCAATGTTAAAATCAAACCTCTACACATTCCTGGTGGTCATTTAGTAATTTACTTGCTTGCCAGGACAATAATCAAGCTTCCTTTGAAAATATAACAGAACCAAGGGCTCTAGAATGGTTTATCCATAATGTCCACGGTAAATAAAAAGTCACCAGGCATGTTCAGAACAAGAAAATGTGGTGTGTAGTTAAGAGAAAAAGCAATCAATAGGAACAGATCCAAATATGACTCAAGTGTTAGAATTAGTAGACAAATAATTTAAAGCAGCTATCATAAATACACTCAGTGACTTAAAAGAAAAGACAGTCATAATGGCTAAATTGATGTCTCACTATGAAATGAAACTACCAGAAAATGTAAAATTGAAATTTTAGGAATGAAAAATAAAAACTATTGGATGGGTTGAGCAGTATATTGGTAATGGCAGAATAAAACTGTCCTAATAAAGCTGGGACAGTATCAATGCATTTAAGGACAGAGCAATAGGATTTATCCAATATGAAGAAAAGAGAGAGAAGGAATTTTTAAAAATCAACTAAAAAACTTGAATGACTAGCAGAATAGTGTTAGGCAAACTAACGTGTGATATAATTTTATGACAACAGCTTATGCCTATCTATACTTTACATCATTTCATTTCCTATTTGTTTTGCTTTTAAATTTTAAAGATATCTATAATTATCTCACATAAAAACATGGTTTATTTTTTATTATTTTTATGTCTATACTACATAAGTGATGTTAACTTTGACAACCTAGAGTTTTTCTGGGGCTACCCACTTTTGTTGGTCTAGGAAATCACACAGTCTGGCTTCTCTATAATATTAAAATGGAAATCCAATGCAGAAAGTGTGTGCACCCCTAAAAAATTTCAAACTCTGGGACACACTTCACTTTCTATGACTATTTGCTTCACAAACTTTCATGCATTAAGAAACCCAAATAAAATGATACTGTTATTACAGAACACCAGGGGAAATGAAGAGCCTTCTTTGTGGCTAGAGGTGTCTGGACTGAGCTGGTCCCTCACATCTCTCAGATTTGGACTGAGAAAATGGGTATCTTGGCTTTTCTTTAAATCATTTGTAGCTCCTTGATTGGCATGGTCTGCCTAATTGACCGCTACTGACCAGCTTTAGCATTTTGAATGTTCTAAAAGCTACTAATTTATTCAATCAATCGACTATTCCTTTGTTTATTACACAGATGTTACTAAGTTCCACTATGTGCTAGCACTGATTTTTTTATTTGTATTAATATCAGTGTATAAAATCCTCCTATGTGGAATTTTCATTGTGATGGTAGTTAATAGAAAAAAAGAAGTAAGTTACATAAAACAATAATTAGTGCTTTAGAAAAAAATCAAACAAATAAGAAAGATTGGGAGTGTTGGGCATTAACATTTTCAATAGATTAGTCAAAGGAAGACTTCATTGAGGAGATATTACTTGAGTAAAGACTTGAAGAAGAGGATGCAAAAAGGGGGAAGATATGAGCATATGAAAGGAAAAATATTATTTGTAGAGAAAGAGCCAGTGTGAGACCCTGAGGTGTACAGGGGAAGATTAGGAGAGGAAGTCAGGAAGGGGTACAACTAATTAAGTTCCTGTTAGACATTATAAAGTGTTTGGCTTTTACTCTGACAAAAGTGGTCAGCCATTGGTGGGTTTGAACAGAAAGATGTTGTTTAAGTTGCATTTTGAAAAAGGACCACTATAACTGCTTGATTAAGAATGGACCATGCAGGAGTTCAGAGTAGGTACAAGGCTATGTTAGGAGCCTATTACAATAATTCACAATGGACTTACCTTTCTTCTTATACAATGGCATTGAGATTGTTAAATTGTGTTTGCTTCTCTGGTTTATAACGCAACCAGTTTAGATCACTTTCCAATTGTTTGTTCTATAGAAGGCCTCAGAACTGATTTATATATTAACTATCTTTCAAATGATTAGGATTTGTCACTTGACATAGGTTAGATGAAGGGACCAACCACTGTATCATTTTTTTTTCTCTACTTTTGATATCACTTTCAGTGTCCTGGGGGAGACAGATTTCCTTTGATGTATGGTGAAGTTACCAGTTTTTCATATTCAAAGATGGTGAAGGCCTTCATTTTCCCTTACCAAAAGTTATGGCAGTTTCTTATAAGTTTAGGTTGGCCCCTTGTCTTGCAAATACAGAAGAATTTGGAAGTGCTCTTCAGGTGGAAGGGGAGCACAATTTTCAAGTATTTAGATTTCTTATCACTCAGCTCTTATAAGCTTATCCCAAAAATATGTGGATGCGTTTTATATTCATTTAATAATACAGAAGTTTTTGGCTTCTATTTGTGCCTTGACAAATGAATTGATGTTTGATGGTTAATTAATTTGTAGAATGGCAAATGTTCAATCACTTAAGCAAAACTGTGTGAACAAAGCTCAGCAAAGCTACCAACACATCAGTCAAGAATGCTATAAACACACACACACACCACACACACACAGACACCCTACTCACACCAATGACCTCATCATTATGTATTCTAATGCAAAAGGGAAGTTGTCTTTGACAGTTTACATTTCTTCTGGGGTTACTGGCTTTTCCTGGGCTAAAAGTTATTAGCTATAGAATGAATTCAACTTTAAAATGCTTTTATGTCCTGTTCTCGGAGTGGTTAAGTATGTTCCTTTTATTATTACACAGATACAAGTTCAAATTAAAATTTGTACTTTACATATGTGTCAACTTGGAAAATCCACTAAACTTTTCTAAACTTTAGTTTCCTAGCCTATAAAATGGAGATATTACAGTCACTGTTTTATAGGCATGAAAGAAATTAAATAATATAATACATTTAAAGAGCTTAGCACACTTTCTATCATACAGGAGATATATCATCACCATTGTTATTATCATCAAAGTTCTTTATGTTAGGATTATAACTATTATTATGTGTAGAATTCTCACCACATAGGGAAAAGCAGCATATATATATATCTCAATAAAGATGACTTAGCTTGAAATAAATATGTAAGTAGACAATAGAGGTAATTTTAAGTAGTTGTACAAAGAGAAACAAAAATATATCACATTAACTTCAAAGCAAAGTATGTATTTAAAGAGAGATTTCAAAATATTAGGCTATGCTTTCTCCAGCACGTATTTATACCCTTGGTTTCAAGACACCTAGTTGAACAAGGACCAAAAATATCTGTCCATATTCCATTTGTCAAAGAAATAGACAAAGCTTGCACATAACATAGAGGAAATTCACTCTCAGCTCTCAGGATGAGAAAGACGAAAAACATACATACATATACATATGTTTTTCATCTTTATACATTTATATGTATTTTGTCTTTCTCATTATATATGAGATATATATACTTATACTGTGTACAATGTGTATAATGTATACTTATACTATGTACAATATGTGCTATAAACATTTTCATAACAAAAATGTTCCTCTTCAGTTTATCAATAATATATTATGGATAATTATTGATAATTATTCAGTTTATTAATAATATATTATGGATAATCCTTGATAATTATTGATCAATAATTTATTATTGATAAACTGAAGAGGAACATTTCTGTTATGAAAATGTTTATAGCACACATTGTACACAGTTGTACACTTATTATTTCTTTGGCTTAAACAATTGTTTTAGAAAAGATCTAGTAGGATGAAAACTCAAAATATCTGAACTGTAGGTCATGTGTAAATTGTTAGATTGTGATGAAGTAAGGATGGACTACATGTATAGTGTTGACAGAATTTCTCAATTAAATAAAAGACTAAAATAATAGGTTTGTAAAATGTACTGCAGACTTTTTTTATTGTAGAACTAATAGATGATCCACCAACTTAAAATTTGTAAACAAGAAATCTGTATTAACTACTATAAAGTTTAAAAATCGATTATATAACTTTATTTTTAAATTTCCCATATTTTCAATATTTGCAAGAATATTAACATGCACTTGTAAGATTTTTAACCCCATTATTTTAATCTTTGTGATTTACTTGAGAAAGGACAGTTGTGAACTTCTGATGATTTAGTATGTGTTGTTGAGGAGGTGTGAACTGAGTAATTAAATGTCACTTGAAAAAGAAAATAGAGCTGGCAGCCAAGATGGCTGAATAGGAACAGCTCCGGTCTACAGCTCCCAGCGTGAGCGACGCAGAAGACGGGTGATTTCTGCATTTCCACTTAAGGTCCGGGTTCATCTCACTAGGGAGTGCCAGACAGTGGGCACAGGACAGTGGGTGCAGTGCACCGTGCACAAGCCGAAGCAGGGCGAGGCATTGCCTCACTTGGGAAGCACAAAGGGTCAGGGAGTTCCCTTTCCTAGGCAAAGAAAGGGGTGACAGACGGCACCTGGAAAATTGGGTCACTCCCACCCTAATACTGCACTTTTCCGACAGGCTTAAAAAATGGCGCACCAGGAGATTATATCCCGCACATGGCTCGGAGGGTCCTATACCCACAGAGTCTCGCTGATTGCTAGCACAGCAGTCTGAGATCAAACTGCAAGGCAGCAGCGAGGCTTGGGGAGGGCCGCCCACCCTTGCCCAGGCTTGCTTAGGTAAACAAAGCAGCTGGGAAGCTCGAACTGGGTGGAGCCCACCCAGTTCAAGGAGGAGCCCACCACAGCTCAAGGAGGCCTGCCTGCCTCTGTAGGCTCCACCTCTGGGGGCAGGGCACAGACAAACAAAAAGACAGCAGTAACCTCTGCAGACTTAAATGTCCCTGTCTGACAGCTTTGAAGAGAGCAGTGGTTCTCCCAGCATGCAGCTGGAGATCTGAGAATGGGAAGACTGCCTCCTCAAGTGGGTCCCTGGCCCCTGATCCCCGAGCAGCCTAACTGGGAGGCAGCCCCCAGTAGGGGCATACTGACACCTCACACAGCCGGGTACTCCTCTGAGACAAAACTTCCAGAGGAACAATCAGACAGCAGCATTCGCGGTTCACGAAAATCTGCTGTTCTGCAGCCACCGCTGCTGATACCCAGGCAAACAGGTCTGGAGTGGACCTCTAGCAAACTCCAACAGACCTGCAGCTGAGGATCCTGTCTGTTAGAAGGAAAACTAACAAACAGAAAGGACATCCACACCAAAAACCCATCTGTACATCACCATCATCAAAGACCAAAAGTAGATAAAACCACAAAGATGGGGAAAAACAGAGCAGAAAGACTGGAAACTCTAAAAAGCAGAGTGCTTCTCCTCCTCCAAAAGAACACAGTTCCTCACCAGCAAGGGAACAAAGCTGGACGGAGAATGACTTTGACAAGTTGAGAGAAGAAGGCTTCAGACGATCAAACTACTCCGAGCTACAGGAGGAAATTCAAACCAAAGGCAAAGAAGTTAAAAACTTTGGAAAAAACTTTAGACGAATGTATAACTAGAATAACCAATACAGAGAAGTGCTTAAAGGAGCTGATGGAGCTGAAAGCCAAGGCTCGAGGACTACGTGAAGAATGCAGAAGCCTCAGGAGCCGACGCGATCAACTGGAAGAAAGGGTATCAGTGATGGAAGATGAAATGAATGAAATGAAGCGAGAAGGGAAGTTTAGAGAAAAAAGAATAAAAAGAAACGAACAAAGCCTCCAAGAAATATGGGACTATGTGAAAAGACCAAATCGACGTCTGATTGGTGTACCTGAAGGTGACGGGGAGAATGGAACCAAGTTGGAAAACACTCTGCAGAATATTATCAAGGAGAACTTCCCCAATCTAGCAAGGCAGGCCAACAGTCAGATTCAGGAAATACAGAGAACGCCACAAAGATACTCCTCGAGAAGAGCAACTCCAAGACACATAATTGTCAGATTCACCAAAGTTGAAATGAAAAAATGTTAAGGGCAGCCAGAGAGAAAGGTTGGGTTACCCACAAAGGGAAGCCCATCAGACTAACAGCGGATCTCTCGGCAGAAACTCTACAAGCCAGAAGAGAGTGGGGGCCAATATTCAACATTCTTTTTTTTTTTGTTTTTTTTTTTGTTTTTTTTTGAGACGGAGTCTCGCTCTGTCGCCCAGGCTGGAGTGCAGTGGCGCGATCTCGGCTCACTGCAAGCTCCGCCTCCCGGGTTCACGCCATTCTCCTGCCTCAGCCTCCCAAGTAGCTGGGACTACAGGCGCCCGCTACCACGCCCGGCTAATTTTTTGTATTTTTAGTAGAGACGGGGTCTCACCGTGTTAGCCAGGATGGTCTCGATCTCCTGACCTCGTGATCCGCCCGCCTCGGCCTCCCAAAGTGCTGGGATTACAGGCGTGAGCCACCGCGCCCGGCCTCAACATTCTTAAAGAAAAGAATTTTCAACCCAGAATTTCATATCGAGCCAAACTAAGCTTCATAAGTGAAGGAGAAATAAAATACTTTACAGACAAGCAAATGCTGAGAGATTTTGTCACCACCAGGCCTGCCCTAAAAGAGCTCCAGAAGGAAGCACTAAACATGGAAAGGAACAACCGGTACCAGCCGCTGCAAAATCATGCCAAATTGTAAAGACCATCGAGGCTAGGAAGAAACTGCATCAACTAACGAGCATAATGGCAGCTAACATCATAATGACAGGATCAAATTCACACATAACAATATTAACTTTCAATGTAAATGGACTAAATGCCCCAATTAAAAGACACAGACTGGCAAATTGGATAAAAACTCAAGACCCATCAGTGTGCTGTAATCAGGAAACACATCTCACGTGCAGAGACACACATAGGCTCAAAATAAAAGGATGGAGGAAGAGCTACCAAGCAAATGGAAAACAAAAAAAGGCAGGGGTTGCAATCCTAGTCTCTGATAAAACAGACTTTAAACCAACAAAGATCAAAAGAGACAAAGAAAGCCATTACATAATGGTAAAGGGATCAATTCAACAAGAAGAGCTAACTATCCTAAATATATATGCACCCAATACAGGAGCACCCAGATTCATAAAGCACGTCCTGAGTGACCTACAAATAGACTTAGACTCCCACACAATAGTAATGGGAGACTTTAACACCCCACTGTCAGCATTAGACAGATCAACGAGACAGAAAGTTAACAAGGATACCCAGGAATTGAACTCAGCTCTGCACCAAGCGGACCTAATAGACATCTACAGAACTCCCCACCCCAAATCAACAGAATGTACATTTTTTCCAGCACCACACCACACCTATTCCAAAATTGACCACATGCTTGGAAGTAAAGCTCTCCTCAGCAAATGTAAAACAACAGAAATTATAACAAACTGTCTCTCAGACCACAGTGCAATCAAATTAGAACTCAGGATTAAGAAACTCCCTCAAAACCGCTCAATTACATGGAAACTGAACACCTGCTCCTGAATGACTACTGGGTACATAACGAAATGAAGGCAGAAATAAAGATGTTCTTTGAAACTGATGAGAACGAAGACACAACATACCAGAATCTCTGGGACACATTCAAAGCAGTGTGTAGAAGGAAATTTATAGCACTAAATGCCCACAAGAGAACGCAGTAAAGATCCAAAATTGACACCCTAACATGACAATTAAAAGAACTAGAAAAGCAAGAGCAAACACATTCAAAAGCTAACAGAAGGCAAGAAATAACTAAAATCAGAGCAGAACTGAAGGAAATAGAGACACAAAAAACCCTGCAAAAAATTAATGAATCCAGGAGCTGGTTTTTTGAAAGGATCAACAAAATTGATAGACCGTTAGCAAGACTAATAAAGAAGAAAAGAGAGAAGAATCAAATAGACGCAATAAAAAATGATAAAGGGGATATCACCACCGATCCCACGGAAATACAAACTACCATCAGAGAATACCACAAACACCTCTACGCAAAGAAACTAGAAAATCTAGAAGAAATGGATGAATTCCTCGACACATACACCCTCCCAAGACTAAACAAGGAAGAAGTTGAATCCCTGAATAGACCAATAACAGGCTCTGAAATTGTGGCAATAATAAATAGCTTACCAACCAAAAAGAGTCCAGGACCAGATGGATTCACAGCCGAATTCTACCAGAGGTACAAGGAGGAACTGGTACCATTCCTTCTGAAACTATTCCAATCAATAGAAAAAGAGGGAATCCTCCCTAACTCATTTTATGAGGCCAGCATCATCCTGATACCAAAGCCGGGCAGAGACACAACAAAAAAAGAGAATTTTAGACCAATATCCTTGATGAACATTGATGCAAAATTCCTCAATAAAATACTGGCAAACCGAATCCAGCAGCACATCAAAAAGCTTATCCACCATGATCAAGTGGGCTTCATCCCTGGGATGCAAGGCTGGCTCAATATATGCAAATCAATCAATGTAATCCAGTATATAAACAGAACCAAAGACAAAAACCACATGATTATCTCAATAGATGCAGAGAAGGCCTTTGAAAAAATTCAACAACCCTTCATGCTAAAAACTCTCAATAAATTAGGTATTGATGGGATGTATCTCAAAATAATATGAGCTATCTATGACAAACCCACAGCCAGTATCATACTGAATGGGCAAAAACTGGAAGCATTCCCTTTGAAAACAGGCACAAGACAGGGATGCCCTCTCTCACCACTCCTATTCAACATAGTGTTGGAAGTTCTGGCCAGGGCAATTAGGCAGAAGAAGGAAATAAAGGGTATTCAATTAGGAAAAGAGGAAGTCAAATTGTCCCTGTTTGCACATGACATGATTGTATATCTAGAAAAGCCCATTGTCTCAGCCCAAAATCTTCTTAAGCTGATAAGCAACTTCAGCAAAGTCTCAGGATACAAAATCAATGTACAAAAATCACAAGCATTCTTATACACCAATCACAGAGAAACAGAGAGACAAATCATGAGTGAACTCCCATTCACAATTGCTTCAAAGAGAATCAAATACCTAGGAATCCAACTTACAAGGGACGTGAAGGACCTCTTCAAGGAGAACTACAAACCACTGCTCAAGGAAATAAAAGAGGATACAAACAAATGGAAGAACATTCCATGCTTATGGGTAGGAAGAATCAATATTGTGAAAATGGCCATACTGCCCAAAGTAATTTATAGATTCAATGCCATCCCCATCAAGCTACCAATGACTTTCTTCACAGAATTGGAAAAAACTACTTTAAAGTTCATATGGCACCAAAAAAGAGCCCGCATCGCCAAGTCAATCCTAAGCCAAAAGAATAAAGCTGGAGGCATCACACTACCTGACTTCAAACTATACTACAAGGAAACAGTAACCAAAACAGCATGGTACTGGTACCAAAACAGAGATATAGATCAATGGAACAGAACAGAGCCCTCAGAAGTAATGCCGCCTATCTACAACTATCTGATCTTTGACAAACCTGAGACAAACAAGCAATGGGGAAAGGATTCCCTATTTAATAAATGGTGCTGGGAAAACTGGCTAGCCATATGTAGAAAGCTGAAACTGGATCCTTTCCTTACACCTTATACAAAAATTAATTCAAGATGGATTAAAGACTTAAACGTTAGACTTAAAACCATAAAAACCCTAGAAGGAAACTTAGGCATTACCATTCAGGACATAGGCATGGGCAAGGACTTCGTGTCTAAAACACCAAAAGCAATGGCAACAAAAGCCAAAATTGACAAATGGGATCTGATTAAACTAAAGAGCTTCTGTACAGCAAAAGAAACTACCAACAGAGTGAACAGGCAACCTACAAAATTGGGGAAAATTTTCACAACCTACTCATCTGACAAAGGGTTAATATCCAGAATCTACAATGAACTCCAACAAATTTACAAGAAAAAAACAAACAACCTATCAAAAAGTGGGTGGAGGACATGAACAGACACTTCTCAAAAGAAGACATTTATGCAGCCAAAAAACACATGAAAAAATGCTCACCATCACTGACCATCAGAGAAATGCAAATCAAAACCACAATAAGATACCATCTCATACCAGTTAGAATGGTAATCATTAAAAAGGAAACAACAGGTGCTGGAGAGGATGTGGAGAAATAGGAACACTTTTACACTGTTGGTGGGACTGTAAACTAGTTCAACCATTGTGGAAGTCAGTGTGGCGACTCCTCAGGGATCTAGAACTAGAAATACCATTTGACCCAGCCATCCCATTACTGGGTATATACCCAAAAGACTATAAATCATGCTGCTATAAAGACACATGCACACATATGTTTATTGCGGCACTATTCACAATAGCAAAGACTTGGAAACAACCCAAATGTCCAACAATGATAGACTGGATTAAGAATATGTGGCACATATATACCATGGAATGCTATGCAGCCATAAAAAATGATGAGTTCATGTCCTTTGTAGGGATATGGATGAAATTGGAAATCATCTTTCTCAGAAAACTATCGCAAGGACAAAAAACCAAACACTGCATGTTCTCATTCACAGGTGTTAATTGAAGAATGAGAACACATGGACACAGGAAGGGGAATATCACACTCTGGGGACTGTTGTGGGGTGGGTGGAGTTGGGAGGGTTAGCATTAGGAGATATACCTAATGCTAAATGATGAGTTAATGGGTGCAGCACACCAGCATGGCACATGTATACATATGTAACTAACCTGCACATTGTGCACATGTACCCTAAAACTTAAAGTATAATAATAATAAAAGAAAAAGAAAAAGAAAATAGAGTTAGCCACTGCTCACACTTCTTCAGCTGCTCTTCTAAAGCTTTAAGAGCTGCTCTTCTGAAATAATGCTGCCATTTCTGTCAACCTCAGTATATAGTTTTAGGAGAAAAAATAATAATGTTTCATATGCTGTTAAGAATTATTTTATGGACTGCCTCTTTTTCTAGTTTGGAGAGTAAAAATCAGCACAAAATCATTTTGCTTACAAACACTTCAAGTCGTTACAGATAACATACTGAAAATTTCTCAAAATGTCTTACTTTTTGTCCTGAAGATTGCTTATATTTGATATTCTTGATAATTTTATGTGATATTTGAGTATTAGAGCATTTAACTAAGGAATTCAATTTTAGTAGAGAAATGTTGGCTCTCCCTTTATATCCTGAAGCATGAATACTAATTACCTTTATTTTATTTAGATGGCTACTAGCAGTAAAATTGGTCATAAAATTATATGCTCCTTTTCAAAATTTAGACATGATATTTGACTCAGCCTCCTGCATCAGAAATTTCATTAGCAGATAAAATTTTTGTTTTGAAAACAAGCCATTTTGGGGGGCATTTGCATGTATAAGATTTATTTACATTTGGCTTCACTTACTGAAATAGATTTTGCAAGATAGTAAAAAAAGGCACGAATTTTTTTGTTATAGTGTAAGCTGATTGGTTATTTACAATAATCCATAAACTAATTTAGAAACAGAAATATGAATGCTAATTATTGCAAAGAATGACTATTTCACTTCTTTTATATCTATTTCTCACACATTCTCATTCACAACCTTTTCTGTAGATGATCATGTCTCTTTTTTCCTAAAGAAATTAGAAATGACTATATGGAAATTCCACAAATCTCTACTACAATGCCCATGACTTCCAGGCCCCCTGCTATAAATATTTTTTTTATTAGAGGAAGTGGTCTTTTACCAGTCCAGGATATCTCCTAAATTGTATTTTGAATCCCATGATCTCCAAACGTATCTAGAATTTTATGCTAATTAATTATCCTGAATACTTTTTTGCATAATTAACATATCTTTTACAACTGCACTATTCCAATCAATATTATTACATGGGCTATTCTGTGTGCTTGAAATATATTGTTTTAAATATTTGTTTATTTGTTTATTTATTTATTTGTTTTAGAGACAGCATCTCACTCTGTTACTCAGGCTGGAGTGCAGTGTCATAATCATGGCTCTCTATACCTTCCTACTCCTGGTCTCAAGCCATCCTCCCACCTCAGCCTCCTGAAGAGCTGGGACTACAGGAATGCATGAGCATGCCAAGCTAATTTTTAAAAATTTTATTCCCAGGCAGGTCTCAAACTCCTGGGCTCAAATGATACTTCCACCTTGGACTTCTAAAATACTTGAAATGTAGGCAGAAGCCACTGCACCTGGCTTCTCTGCCTAAAATATTAAAGATATAATTCTTCATTAGAACGCACACCTAACTACAGAAAACGTATTATCTCTTTTCTGTCTTTTTGACTAACTTCTCATTAAAGTTCTCATCACTATTCAATTCATCGAAATGTGAATTTGCTTTCATCACTTCATTGAAGCCATCCTTACTTATTCAAGAATAACCTTCATTTTTCTTATTCAAAATACATTTTTAATGCTTTTTATTGTTTATCTTTCACTTTTTAATGAAACCTTCTGGACTTCTGAATTTCATAAGATGACACTCTCTTCTTTCACCTTACATCTTGCTGGCTACTATTTCTAATGGCTTTGTGTGTTCCATCTCTTCTATATCCAAAGTCTGAGTCCCTCTAGGAATGATCCTAGAAGCTTTTTCTGCTATAGACTTTCCTTAGGCAATAACATACACACTCAGAACTTAAATTTCAGCTATAGAATCTAAACATCACTGTATTATCTGATTTTGTTTCCATATGCCTCAATTCTCACCAAGCTAATTCTAAATCACCTTATCTTTGTGAAAGTTCCAAATAGATTTAGATTTTCTAGAAAAAAGAATAAAAAATAACTCCCCAAAGTGAAAAGAATGGAAAATATGTCTTGTTTTTTCCACTATTGAATAGACCACATAAAATTAGGGTATAAATAATTGAACAGTCTCTCAGCAGAGATCCTCTACTCCAAGGGAATTTTTAATGATCTTACACAGGTAGTAAGATAGCTATCCATAGTTCACCCCATATGAAGTCCCACATTTAGTTGTAACCCTAGTTTTAAAATTGTGATAGGAGTTTAAAATACATACCACTTTTATTCCTCTTAAGCCTGGGAGGGCAGAAGTCTTTCCAGAATCTTGGTTTAGAAGGTAAAATGTAGCAATGTGTAAGTTAGGGGAAATCAATCTTTGAAATATACGTAATTAGTAGCATTTAATCCTATTGAGTTTATAATTTTTAAAATATGAATAAGAATAAAATAATCATTTTGTAAGGTAGGAATTTTTTAAAGATGAAGAAAAGATTTTTTTGATTCAGATAAAGCTGGGCTTGAATTTCATCATTGCTTCTTGGTAGCAAGAATTTTTGTGATGACCTCTTTGCCTCTCACTTTTGAATGAAGATCAGTTTGCTTGTTGTTAATAAGGAGACCATGAGGTATCTCTAAAATTCTTTTAGAAATAAGCCAGCTAATTTGCATTAAATCCCTAGCATAGCATTGTGCCAGGTTAATATTAGAATCCCATTAAAACTTTGTTGTCTTTCTTGGTTTTCCCGTCTCAGTATTCTCCCTTCTCTCTTCTCCAAGATGCCACTTAATGCCCCTTTTCTCTCATTTTTGCCTGTTGCCGGTTCTCTTTGTCTTATTTATATCATATGTATCTTCTTTTATAGAGCATCAATTATTATCCACTTAGATCTTAGTTGACAACATCGTAAGTTTTTTGTGACCTCATCAGAGAGGAATAGAAGATAGAGCTGGATGAGGATCGTTTCTTAATTACTCATTAAAAAGTTCAGACTATGGTGTCAGCAGGAGGTGAATCCCAATTCAATCATTATAACTTTGGATAAGCTATATTATCTTTCTAAGCCTTCGTGTGAAAAATTAAAATAAAAATTTTTTGAATTGCTTGTAATGTGCACAATATCTGACATACATATAATATAAAGCACACAATAAATGCTAGCTATTATTTTCATTGTCATACATGAAACTACTAGATTCATGATACACCTGACAATTTCTTAATCTGTCTACTTATAAGGTTATCTTAATACAAATAAGAGGCACTAGAAGTGCATAGATAGTTGTGCAATTTTAATAGTATGCTTATAATTAGTGCTTTTGAAAGCTTTTAAGAGTTTCTATAATATCTGAGTTAATTCAAGTTTTATTTCCCTAGATTTATCGAATTAATAAATGAAACTATGAAAGTTCTAGAGAGATTTAGCCAAGGTCTAATTCTTTAAGTTCATACCAATTCTCTCATTTGTTTTTGATTTATCATGGTCTTGGATTTTATACCTCTCTACTTGCAAATTTAAATTAAATTGCTTAGTCTGCACTTATTGTCCTGTCCCAGGCTCTCTACCCAGTGGACTTATGATATTATTACTTATTCAGACTCAAGCTTCCCATTAAAAACAAAAAAGGTTTAATTAAGGCTTAAATTAAAGAAATAAAGTGTCCATAATATGTATATAAAACTATTTCATATGTTTCCTGCAGTTTCTATGTCAAATATTTTTTTCAGTACTGCTTCATACCGTGAGCAATAAGCTGACGCATGAAACAAATGATAAATATATTACATTATTACTTCCTTTTTTGAGCTCAGTGATTTTATTATAATTCTCTTATTTGAGACAAACATTATTTAAAATAACATTAAAGGGAAAGAGTAGAAAGCAGCTATTTTTTAAGTTCCATTAACATTTCATAATCTATCTTAGCGTGCTTTAATTATTTTAAAGGCTGAAATGAAAACAAGCATGACTAGTATAACCATGTTATACACAATTTTAACTGTTATAGACAATGAATAAGTTACCATTTATTGAAAGAATTCCTCTTTTTTCCAGTACTCAAAACAAAATATTTCTTATGCATGTGTCTATTTCCCATTCTTTTAAGTTTTACTGATACATGAAAGAGTGTAGCTCTGCTATTATATATATATATGTATATGTATAAATGGATATATACACATGACATTTGCAGAATATATATATATGTACATATTCAGCATTAGTCCAGTCAATATATGAATGCCAATTCTCTATACTTCTACTTGAGCATGTTAAAAACTGAAGTGAATATATATTTTTTAAAAAAGTAAACACAATAAAAATCAAAGATCTTATTATCAGTTAGTGTATATTATATTCCAGATATTCTTCTGAGCCTTTCTATGTAGTACTTCAACAGTGCATTCTACCACCCTATAGCTTGGTTATATCATTACCTTCTTTTACAATTAAGAAAATCGAGTCATAGAAATATTTAAGAGCTGCTTAAGGACACTAAACTAGGAAGACACAGAGCCAGTTAATAACCCAGATTGTGAATCCCGCGCCCTTATAATCATTACACTTGTTTGTCATGTTATAATATATGCTAAGTGAGTGACACTAAATAGACTTTCAGCATTTAGCTTGCTATACATATCAGGTATATCCTATATAAATTCTATGTGTAATAACCAATTATGAAATATAACTTACGTATTATATTGTTAGTGATTAAACATTGAACCTCAAAGCTTGGAATAATATGTGAAAAATAAATCTCTCTCTATATAAAAATATTTATCTTTATCCATTGACAAATGCTGACAACAACATTGCAAATTTGAAATGTACTTGGGATAGGTATTATAACACTTAAAATAAAATTGTTAATGCTTGGATATCATTTTAAAGGCTATGGTTCTGCTGGATTTATCATCCAGACATAGGAAGAAGAGTTTTAACATGAGTCATCTAAAACCTGGGGTAGGAAAAGATTAAATTGTTCCTGTTTTGCATCCCATCAAGCCAGATCCTTCCATAAACCAGTAAAAAGGGTAATAAGTTATGAGAAGACAGTAGAAATCTTTCATGAGGCTATGCACCGTCAGTTCCAAAAGCCAGTAAGAGTGAGTCTGTTTCCCAGCATGGGTTTATTCTATGTTGTGTTCATTATCTTAAGTTTAAGTTTCTAAATAAAAAAAAAAAGTCTCTGTGAAAGGTGAAATAAGAGCCCCTAATCTTTTATTGAAAAGCTTGACATGGTAGCTTTTTATATCCCCAAAGATGTTCACATTCCAATTCCTGGTGTTAAGCCTGTGAATATGTCAACATTACATAACAGGAAATTATGCTTGTAGATAGAATCAATTGCTAGTAAATTGACCTTAAAGTAGAGAGAGTATCCTGGATTATCCAGATGGGTCCAAAGTAGTCACATGGGTCCTTACAAGTGAAGAAGGAAGGCCAAAATGTGGGTTAGAGAAAAGTAGCCATGAAAGAAGGGGCAAGAGAGATGGCAGCACGGAGGAGACCTCAGGACAATTGGATGGAACTGAATTCTGCCAACGCCTGAGCGAACATGGAAATGAATGTTCCCCTATAGTCTCCAGAAAGAAAAATCAGTGTGCTGGCATCTTGATTTTAGCCCAGGGAGACGATGTTGGACTTCTGACCTCCACAACTGTAAGATAATAAATTTGTGCTGTTTAAGCCACTAATAGAGTTTTCCATAAGTTGTGGTAATTTATTTTGTTTTCACAGTAATAGGAAGCTAACAACACTCAGAACTCACAAATATCCACTCTCAAAATCTTTTGATTCCTTATAAACTCTCATTATTTTTCCTTAGGAAAATTTTAGCATATAATTAGTGACTCAAACCACCCTCTGATTAGCAATCAAATGGTCAAACTAAAAAATTGTTCTTTAAAAGTTATTAGCTAATATTATATTTTCAACAATAATTCGAAAAACAATCACACTCAGAAAATCTAAAATATATATTTATGTGCTGCCAGGTCTTTGCATAGAAAAACCTAATTATCTTTTCTTCCCTCACAATATCTTTAGGGTTGTCTGAATTTGTCTAGACAAACTTCATGATATCTGGGTTTCATTTTAGCAAAGAAAATTATTTGGGAAGTTATTAATTATCAATTCAATTTTTCTAATAGGTATAGATGTATTCAGATTATCTATTTCTCCTTGTGTGAGTTTTGGTAGTTTGTGTCTTTTAAGGAATTGGTTTACTTCTCCTAAATTCTCAAATTTGTGGACATGGAGATGATCATAATATTATTTATTATACTTTCACAGCCATGGTATCAGTAGTGATGACTTCTCTTTCATTTCATTTAATTTCAGTTCTGATTTGACAATTTATGTATTTTCTGTTTATTTTTCCTAAGAATGCCCATCAGAGGCATTCTTCATTTCTGTTACAATTCTCATATTTCATGTGGATTTCTTCTTAGGGTTTCCAGCTCTATACTTTCATCACCCATCTATTCTTTTTGCATGTTGTCTACTTTTTAAATTAGAACTCTTACGATATTATTTATAGATATTTTAAACGTCCTGTCTAAAAATTCCAGTTTCTGTATTATAGCTGAGTCTGGTTGTGATTCTTGTTTCTTCTCTTCACACCATATTTTAGCTTGCCTTATGACATGCCTTATAAGTTTTTGTTGAAATCTAAACATATTGTATCAGGTAACATGAACTAAAGTAAATAGAGTCTTAGTGCGAAGTTTTATGTTAACCTGACTAGAAGCCAGACTGTATTTAATGTTTGCCCTGCATATAGAATCAAGAGGTTCCAAATTACTTTTGTGACCTTGTTTTTGTCTCCGTTTTGACTTTGCTCTTTCAAATATATTTCTCTTCAGTGACAGTCTGTGTCTTTCAGCTCTTTCATTTTCAAACCATAAAATTGGGAAAAAAATTCTTTTTATATATTGCATATATTTAAGGCTCAAAAAATCCTGATTTCCTTCCCATATTGAATTTTATGGATGTAACTAAGAAAATTCAAGGCATATTGAAGAATATTGGACTATAATTTTTAATTCTGATTTGATTAGACTTACTTTAAAATGTTTTTGCCAGTTGAATTAGATGTTACTAGATGTTTAACAACTTCTTTTGCAAAGCAGCCAGCAGCTATGACACATAGATATTCAGAATTTGAATGATAGTCTCAATTCATAAACTGTTCACAAAACCCCCTTTGGGCCTTATGAATTCTTAGAAATTCTTTAAGTTTTCTGAACTATTTGACAATTACTTTGCCAATTATTACATTGTATGCCATATGACATGCCATATTCTGAGTGTCCTGTAACATTACATAGTATAATCATTTTTAAGTCATAATCAGGGATCCAAGTTCATTTACATGTGCTTCATCTAATATAAATAAGATGACAATCTGGTGAGAAATTGTTTCCAGGTTTGCCTTTTTTAAGCAGAAGGAGAATTAATCACAAAATACTAGGTAACAAACAGGCTCTATAGGAGATCATGAAAAACATGTTTGCATGCTACATACTCATGAGAGCTACAGAAATTGAATGGATCCAGTGAAATCCCCTAGGCTGCACCCCAGTGAATTAGGGGAGATGACACATGTAGTACTGATACTGGAGACTGGACACAAACTCTGTTACTGTTACTGGCTGCAGAGATGCTATTTTAAACCCCATATACAGAAATGATCAAAACTGTGTATACTTTCTTCCTCATATATCTTGTTTCTTTATGTTTCTCAAGTCCAAAAATATAAAGCATAGACTTCCCTGATTGAGGGATCCCAGATTACATGCTTCCACTCCAGCTGCAAGCAACACATGGGGAATCAAGCAGAAGAAGAAATTCTGCTTTGAGAAGGCAGTATTGACTATGTGAAAAGTTTTGTTGAATAGAAATATTATGGCTAGGCATGGTGGCTCACGCCTGTAATCCCAGCACTTTGGGAGGCTGAGGTGGGCAGATCACTTGAGGTCAGGAGTTCAAGACCACCCTGGCCAACATGGTGAAATCCGGTCTCTACTTAAAAATATAAAAATTAGCCAGGCATGGTGGCAGGCGCCTGTAATCCCAGCAACTCAGGAGGCTAAGGCAGGAGAATCGCTTGAACCTGGGAGGCAGAGGTTGCAGTGATCCAAGATCACGCCACTGCACTCCAGCCTGGGCAACAGAGCAAGACCCCCTCTCTCTCTCTCTCAAAAATAAAAAGTCTTTGCACTTCAAAGGTGAGTTAAGTGTAGACTGTAGATATTTTCAAGGAATGAAGCAATTTAATACCTAAATGGCTGGTAAAAATTCCCTTTTTACACTGACTGTAAGGTAAGTGTTGATTTGGGGAAGTTTCAATATATATATATATACACACACATATATATATGTTCACATATATATATTAGATTCAACTAAATAAGCTATTGTATCATTTATTTTTCAACTTTATGAAGAAAGTAAAAGTCTAGCAATGAAATTATTTCTATAGCATATGAGTTGTAGAATAAAGACAATTGTTTCTTACAGTTGAATACAAGTTTCAGGTTAAGTAAAAAGATATATACTATTTGGTGAACCAACTGTAGATATAAAAATCATGTTTTAAGATAGTCCCCTTTTTGTTATTTACAGGTAAATAGAGACTGAGTCTTTGGTTTATATGACACTTATGGTGTAGCAACTGTAGATTTTAAAATTAAGACCTTGGATGCCTTGTATGGTACACATAAGGTTTAATATTCTTAGTATGTAATTATGTTTTCTAAGTAGCTAGTAAATAAATGCCTAAGTAAATGATTTGAATCCCCTCTAGGACTTCAGGATGAAAGAGAAAATTTCTAACTGCAGTGAAAATTGAAAAGCATATTGTGATCTTTATAGAAGTTATCTATTTTAGCAATTACCTGTCATCTGCCTAGATAAAAGGATAAAAATGGAGCCAGAGAGAAGTAAGATTCCAGAGATAGTTTTTTATAGATCCAAAAGAACTTGTATAATTGGAATTTTTGGTCAGTAGAGAATGATCTGCAATTAATCTTTCTAGCTATAAAATTGACAAGCTTTTTTCTTGAGAATTAAATGCCTAAATGAATGGTGAATCTCAGCGGATAGACTAGGAAAATTTTATTTCTGATTTGGCATACCTTTTTCCATATTTAGACATAGCTACTTGTGAGTTTTGAATTCCCTTATTGTAATAAAATCTATTAAATAAATTGTGACATTGAGATAACATGGTTATAATTGTTTTATTCTATACACTAAGAATTTACAACATGCAATACTTTCAAAATACTGAGAGGCAATGAGCCTCATATATTATCCCTTTGATAGAATCACAATGTAGTTAGACACATTTTAATCAGATTTAGAGAGTGATATTTGGGGGTTCTTAAAATGTAGACTTCTTATAGACACTAAAAGCATCCTAATGATACAAGCAAAAAACTTTTTAGCAAATAACAGAGACTTGTTTTATGACTACAGTCACAATCATATGGCTAATATTTCTTTAAAGCATTTTCAATAGATGAATGGTAATATGGTTTGGCTGTGGGTCCCCACCTAAAACTCATGTTGAGTTGTAATCCTCAGTGTTGGGGGAGGGACCTGGTGGGAGGTTATTGGATCCTGGGGGCAGATTTCTCCCTTGCTGTTCTCATGATAATGAGCGAGTTCTCATGAGATCTTTGAAATTGTGTAGCACTTCCCTCTTTGCCTTCTCTCTTCCTCCTGCTCTACGTCTGAAGATGTGCTCACTTCCCCTTCCCCTTCTGCCATGATTGTAAGTTTCCTGAGGCCTCCCAAACCAAGCTTCCTGTATAGCCTGCAGAACTATGTGTCAATTAAACCTCTTTTCTTCATAACTTACCCAGTCTCAGATTGTTCTTTAGCGCAGTGTGAGAAGAGCTAATACAAATGGTATGACTAGACAAGTTGTTTATTTCCCTCTGGCTGCGGTGTGTGGGATGTATTTTTTTCCAGTAGAAAGCCTGGATTCAATAATAAGGAAGATTTAAAAATAATCCAAGGGGGGAATATAGCCCAAGATATGGCCTCTTTTACCTATTTTTCAACATTTTAGGAAAAAAACCTTAGTAAATAAGATTGTTTTCTGTGGTTAAAAACAAGCAAACAAATAAACAATAGAAAAAGTCTTAACCCACAGTAAACTTATTAAATGAATTACCATAAATAATGTCACTAAGACTGGGATAATTATGTAACATCCAAGTAAAGTCCTTGCACTGAACACATGGACACATGCACTCTAGAATTGTTAATGCTCATTTCCCACTATTGTGTAATTAAAATTGTCAGTAAATAAGATCTAAAATTTCTGTATATATATATATATAATGTAAGGGAATATACATTGTTATCCTTATTCCAGCAATCTACATAATCTGAGCCAAGGATTGTGTCTGAAAAACCTTATTAGGTTAAGTAAACTATGTCCATCTGGTGTTTGCTTGCCTCATAACAGCTACAGTAGATAGACTAAAAGATTGCAGAATTAGAAGATAGACTGAGAAAATAATTTGAATGAAATACTGTTAGTGAATGGCATACAAAGAATAGTTATACACTTTAATTATACTTTTGGTTGTATTTTAGAAATAAGATCTAGGTTTGTTTTTTGAGCAGAATAGACTTCTAAACTTTTGATAGTAGCATCGTTTTATAAATTTTTAAAATTATAGATTGACAAATTAGAGTTATATGTATTTATGGCACACAAAGTGATGTTATGATTTACAAATACAGCATGGAATAATGAAATCAAGGTAATTAACAAATATATTACTTCAAATACTTATTTCTTTTGGTAATTTTGAAATGTACAACACATTTTTATTTACTATATTCACAACACTGTTGACACTAGTATCTTGAATCCAACTTGACTCTTCTAAATTGAGTAAAAGAATATCTATCTTCTCATTATGGAATTATGATAGTGATAATCATAGTTATATAATAATACATTATAATACAGTTATTATAGTATTACATATTGAAGGGTTGGCAAAGTTGGCAGTTTATTCTGGTTATATATCAGAAAGGTATCAAACATCTCCATGGACTAAAAAAGATCAAATAATTTTTCAGTCTCTTCAGAGGCTGAGAGGCTTTCAAAATACTGGGAAACATATGCCATGTATATAATGAAAAAGGTGGCTTAATATAAGGTAATGCTGTAAAGATAACTGGAAAATATTGACAGTAAAATTAGCATAAGACAACAGCTCAAGCATATTAAAACAGCATCTTAGTTATGTAAAATTTATAAATGCATGCTTCCAGTAGAGTAACTAAAGGTATATGCTGTTGAAATTTTATTCCATTATGGAGTCAAATTTTTTTTTGTATTTCCACTGGGAAAAATTCATCCCCAGATGTTTATTTTCCCTCTTTCCTGTTAGTAGAATTTTCTTTTCTTTTCTTTTCTTTTTGTTTTGAGACAGTCTCGCTCTGTTGCCCAGGCCGAAGTGCAGTGGCGCGATGTCGGGTCACTGCAAACTCCACCTCCCGGGTTCATGCCATTCTCCTGACTCAGCCTCCGGAGTACATGGGACTACAGGCTCCCGCCACCACGCCCGGCTAATTTTTTTTGTATTTTTAGTAGACACGGGGTTTCACTATGTTAGCCAGGATGGTCTCGATCTCCTGACCTCGTGACCCACCCACCTTGGCCTCCCAAAGTGCTAGGATTACAGGCGTGAGCCACCGCACCCGGCCCAGAAACTTCGTATTTGCATCTGAGCACAGAAAAATTCATTTTACTGAAAGCCTTAAGAGAAATTAATCATATATTATTTTTCAAAGCATTGTTACAAAATCCAAGCAATTTTTCATTATAAAATGATGAGGAAATGTTTAGGTCTCATTATGTACAACTATTTACTTCTCATGCTTTTATTTAGCTCAGTGGAAGAAGCTCTCTCCCTCTATGCTGACTGTTCATATTATGTAATGCGTGTAAAGGGCTATTGTGTGATGCGATTTTAGAGTAACAGTTATGTTCAAAATTCATTCTGAAGGTAATTATTTTTTTTCAACTTCCTATCATAATTTCAAGGACACAGATGTGCAATCATTCTCTGAAGATTTTCTACATATTGTTAATGAAAGAAAGAAAATCTTACTCTGAATACTTGTGAATGCTTGTATCTTTTCAGTAGTACACTGGTGAGAAACTAGTTTATATCATTTAATTATCAAACAACTCCGTAAAGTAAATATTATTTAAGACATTAGGTGCTTTAAATACACTTTGTAATATGAAAAGCTTTATACTGTGTCGTTATTTAATTACTGGTTCCAATATTTTCAACTATGTTTTTTCTTTTGCCTTCTTTTTGTATCCTGAGACATTGCTGAAGTTGCTTGTCAACTTAAGGAGATTTGGGGCTGAGAAGATGGGATTTTCTAAATGCACAATAATGTCATCTGCAAACAGAGACAACTTGACTTCCTCTTTTCCTATTTGATTACCCTTTATCTCTTTCCCTTGCCTGATTGCAAGCATTCCTATACATCAATAATAGACAGAGAGCCAAATCATGAGTGAACTCCCATTCACAATTGCTCTAAAGATAATAAAATACCTACAAATACAACTTACAAGGGATGTGAAGGACCTCTTCAAGGACAACTACAAACCTCCGCTCAAGGGGATAAGAGAAGACACAAACAAATGGAAAAATATTTCATGCTCATGGATAGGAAGAATCAATATTATGAAAATGGCCATACTGCCCAAAGTAATTTATAGATTCAATGCTATCCTCATCAAGCTACCATTGACTTTCTTCACAGAATTAGAAAAAAAAGCTACTTTAAATTTCATATATAACCAAAAAGAGCCTGTATAGCCAAGATAATCCTAAGCAAAAAGAACAAAGCTGGAGGCATCACACTACCTGACTTCAAACTATACTACAAGGCTACAGTAACCAAAACAGCATGGTACTGGTATCAAAGCAGATATATAGACCAATGGAACAGAGCAGAGGCCTCAGAAATAACACCACACATTTACAACCATCTGATCTTTGACAAACCTGACAGAAACAAGCAATGGGGAAAGGATTCCCTATTTAATAAATGGTGCTGGGAAAACTGGCTAGCCATACGCAGAAAACTGAAACTGGACCCTTTCCTTACACCTTACACAAAAATTAACTCAAGGTGGATTAAAGAGTTAAATGTAAGACCTAAAATCATAAAAACCCTAGAAGAAAACCTAGGCAATACCATTCAGGACATAGGCATGGGCAAAGACTTCATGACTGAAACACCAAAAGCAATAGCAATGAGAGCCAGCATTGACAAATGGGGTCTAATTAAACTAAAAAGCTTCTGCACAGCAAAAGAAATACCTAATGTAGATAATGGGTTGATGAGTGCAGCAAACCACAATGGCACATGTATACCTATGTAACAAACCTGCAAGTTCTGCATATGTATTCCAGAATATAACTATATAACTATATATATAAACTATTTGATCACACTCCATTACCCTTAAAGTGAAATTTAAAATTATCTAATAAACTTTGCAGGGTCTTTCCTGAAGTCTATTTTGCATCATCTCTTATTCTTCTTCTCCTCACATTATTCACCTCAGGTATACTGAACTAATATATCAGTATGCTTTATTCTCTCTCACTTAACATGCTTTCATCAAGAATCTCCCCTTTGCCTAGCACATTCTCTGTGCAAACCCCACTTTTCTACACATACTGTATATATGCACAGAAATACACACATACACACACACACTCCATTCACTTGTCTGCCTAGATCCTATTTACCATTATGGTCTTATTTTAGCTACCACTCCCAATAGATGGTCTTCTCAGACCAATCCTGAGCCAGCCCCCCACTTCTAAATCCATGGTAGATATGTCTCCTGTGTGCTTTCTCAGTATCTTGTCTTCCCTCATTATAATTATCACAACATTTTATCAGAATTGTTTATTTACTTATCTAAATTTCTGTATCACTATAATTTTGGTGGGACAGGGGTTATGTTTGCTACTGTTTGTCATTTATATTAGTCCATTTTCATATTGCTATGAAGAAATACCAGAGACTGGGTGGTTTATAAAGAAAAAGAGGTTTAATGGACTCACAGTTCCACATGGCTCATAATCATTGTGGAAGGTGAAGGAGAAGTAAAGGCACGTCTTACGTGGCAGCAGGCCAGAGTGTGTGCAGGGGTACTGCCCTTTATAAAATCATCAGATCTTGTGAGACTTATTCACTATCATGAGATAGTGAATAACCCACTCCCATGATTCAATTACTTCCCACCAGGTCCTTCCCACAAGATGTAGGGATTATGGGAGCTACAATTCAAGATGAGATTTGGGTGGAGACACAACCAAGCCATATCACCATTTATCATTATTATTTTTTTTTGTCGAAACAGTGTTTAGCATGTAAGAGTCTTTCACTTTCCAGTTTGGGTTGCATAATTCTAAATTATATTTCAGTTATAATTCAACTTCATTTATATATTATCGTTTATATAATGTCAGCTTCATTTGTCCCGTATTCTTCTGTCTCATATTCACAGCGTTAGTCCAAATTTGGAGAAATCCTACTGGCACCCATCCTATGATAGATTTTCAATTGATTTGGGGGTACCTAATAATAAATGAAAAAATAAATTCTTCTTTAAAAAGCTCCATCTATTTGTGAAGAGAAGGCTGATGTGCAAAATATTATTGAACAATATATAAACTGTATAATTATATTATTTGATACAGATAATTGATAGTGTTGGAGAAATAAGATAATTTGGGTAAAAATAATCTTCTTTAATTATTTGGCTTTTATCCCTTGTGCACTTTATATTTTCTAGCCCATTCCTGCCACTCGCTTCTCTTGAATTAATGAATCCTGGAAGAATCAAGGATGGCATCATGAAGGATTTGAATTCTCATCTGTGTCTTAGCGAATGGTTCGTTAGTGACATTTTACCTTTCTGTGAAAAGGTAAATGTGGTAGCAAATGGTTCGTTAGTGACTTTTTACCTTTCTAAGAAACGTTAAATGTAGTCTTCCAAACTCTGAAAAGACTCTTGCTAAGGCTGTATTATCCTCTAACTGCCAATCCCTATTCACTATGCATTCTATTTGAAGTCTGTGCCAAATCTTGAAAGTTTCTTTCGATGGCTTTTCTTCACTCCCAGAAATGTGTGCTTTCTTATTCAACTATGCTGCTATTTTAAAATACATTTTAGAATCTCACTGATTCTTAAATACGATTTCTTCTGCAGGGGCTTATATTCATCCATTCTCTATTTTCAATTTAAATGTCTTTCTCTCCTTAGTTACTGACTCTTTGTAATTTCCCAGACCTTTTTCTCCCATGTATCTAACTGCCAAATGAACCCTTCACCTGGATAAAAGCATGTAGAAATCAACCTATCACATAGTGAGTTCCATTTTTATCTCCCAGAAAATTATCCTAAATTTTGCATTAGTAAAAACTATATTTGATTTTTATAATCAATTTATGTGTAAATGTCAGATAAGTCATTCCTTAATAGAATATTTTATTTGGGTGGTATGATGTATATCTAAATAAAGAAAACATATTTCTGTAGACAGGTGGATCTACTTACTAGAATTGAACAAACTCTGGAATGTGTGTGTGTTAGGCTATTAGTTTTGTTTATTTGTTTCTGTGTTTTTCCAATCAAATTGCAAGACAAACCACTAAACTGTGAGACAGGTTCTTAATCCTTAAGCAAATGTAATCAAAACATCATCAGGAATTTTGAATGGACCAATGATCACATGAGAGGAAATTAAAAAGCAAAGCAGAGACACAAAATTAAAAGTATGCTTTAAGGTCATTTAAAATTAAAAGTACGTTTTAAGGTCCACTACTTCTCCAAACTCACTTCATCTTTTATTCCTCTAGCTGAACAATTTATGTGACAGCTATATTTTGCAGAGTAGGTTAGTAAACTTAAGAGAGACAACATTTCCCATTTATGCTTGAGGGGTTAAAATAAAGGAATGAATTTAAGTACAAGCAACAATAAGAAAGCAGAAATTATAATTGAATGTATATATATGTATACACACACACACACACACACACACACACACACACACACACACACAGTACCAAAGTAAGGGCTTTCAATGGTATTGTGTTATATTGCTATTCCCAAAAAGCCAAATAATGAGACAGTTATGTATACAAGGGACTATTAAGTACCCAAATATATTATATGCATATTTAAATTCAACAGAGTATAATATGGCCCAACATTTATCTTGTAAGCATCTATGATATTATAAAGTGCATTTGTTAAGCAAATTCTGTAGCTTTTAAGTTTGGAGAATGGTAACAATTGGAATCATGTATTTTGAAATTGTTGTTTTAGAATTATAGTATTTGTAACATGTAAGTAATTTTGTTTAGTAGCAGAAGTGGACTAAAAAGTAAGTTAATATTTTGTACAAAAGGGAATTTTGATGAGGATATTTGATATCAAGAGTACTGAGCCTAGCAGTACTTTTCTACTGTTTTAAATATGTGCTTACTAATTGAGTAAATGGCTGGTGACATGGTAACAACTACATATATATATGTATAGATAGATTATTACCATATTACAGTTTCATTGTGGACCATTTTATTCTTAATATACTGCCAAGAAACATACAAGTGAATTGATCAGGCATGATCTTACCATACTGGAGAATTATAAAGGACATATTGATTTCATAACCTAAAAATGTATCTACAAACATAATAATAGACTATCAATGTAACATGTGATCTTAATTTTTACCTGAAATGGCATATGCCTAGTTATACATCTAAATAATTTGTTAAAAAATCAATTTAATCTTCTTTATATATTTCAGCCTTAGCTTTCTCAGATATAAAATGTGAATAATCATAATCTTTTATAACATGAATGTAGTAACCATTAAATGAGCTATAATAATTATTATGGCTACTGTCTAGGCTTACAGCAATGAATGAGACAGACAATGTTATTTTCATAGGGCTTAAATACCAATATAACGTGAGATTTCTCATCTTAGATTTGATGGCATTCTAAGGAGTCTATAAATAGGCTTTAGTACTTCTATAAATTGCATGATATGATACATTTTTATGTGTATAGTGATTTTTTTTTCAGATTCTCAAATTGATCACTGAGCACCCAGGCTGACCAAAACAAATAAACAAACCAAAACTATTTCAATTATGAAAATAAATTTTTATAAATTGAAAAATACTTTTTATACTTTAGATGGTATCGTTACTAATTTATACTCTGTGACTGAGAGAGTATCTAAGTCACATAATATTATGTTACTTAAAATGACACACCGGGGCCTGCCAGGTGGTCGGGGGAGGGGGGAGGGATAGCATTAGGAGATATACCTAATGTAAATGACGAGTTAATGGGTGCAGCACACCAACATGGCGCATGTATACATATGTAACAAATCTACAGGTTGTGCACATGTACCCTAGAACTTAAAGTATAATAATAATAAAAATAATTATAAAAGAATGACAACAGAATTTTTTGTGGCAGGGAATGTCGCTTAGGCTAGAAAAGATGCAAATCACTAACTTTTTTTCCTCTTTAATAGTAGTAAGGTTAGGGCAATTTTTACTTCCTAGGTTTAAAATTATAAAAAAATTATTACATACTAACAGGGATAATGGAAATATGAAGACGGCAATTGTTAGGTCTGGCCTACTCTGTGATTCTGAAGACTGCCTCTTTTTGTTCCCTTCTTCTCTACCAACAAAATTGCAGAGTAGGCACCTTGGATTTCATTTTGAAGTGTGTAAACTACATCTCATCATATTCCACATCTCTAAGCACTGCAGAGTCAATTAGCCAACAAGGGGCTAAATCATTATTTTCTATGGGTATCTGGGTTTTTTTGTATGGATGGAGAGTTTAGATCTGTCTTTGGGTTGTTGTAGCTGGACATTGTGAGGTGTTCACCTTGCACCTGATCAATACAATGGAAAAGCAGAGATACTGTGTCATATAAATGAGAAAAGAATGATGCCATGAAACTAATATCCAAAGAGAACACAATTGAGAAATAAAGAAAGTGTGAAGAGTGTTTTTTATTTCCTTGTTTTATTCCAATATTTCAGGCTTTGCTGTGGGTTTCGGTGAGACAACTGTTTACTCTTTCTTCTTATAGATCACTGCTTACTTCTTAACCTTAAGCTATTTTATTTATGCTTATCTCTTAAAAGAGTTTTAGCTAACAAAATGTAGGTTTTGATATTCATTGCCAAATGTATTGATTGTATCAATAACAAAATTTCCAACATTTTTTCATAGAATATTATTGATATTAGGTATTTAATGAATTATTAGCTAGAATTTTTCCAAATACCTCAAATAATCCCTGATATAAAATTAAATATTTAGCAAAGTAAATTCACCTGTATTTCTATGTATTTCTATGAAACAGAATGGATTAATGATGTGTTGACTTGCTTCTATGAGAGACAATTTTTTATAAGTTTCTCGTGTTTCTGTACATCTTGTGAGCCTAAAGTAATGACTGTACTTTGTCCTAGACTAAAGTTTCAAGATGTTCATATAGTGAACAGCCTTGGGAGAGAGAGAGAGTGCACGTGTATGGAGCAAAGGGCAGATTTGCTAGCAGTCTTTCAAGATAGATATAGTCGTTTCTGGCACAAAGAACAAGCATGCTCACTGTTCATTATAAAAGATTTGGGTTCTCTAAATTCAGGGAACACAACCCACCTTTAAGCAGACTATCTGACCCTCTTTGTCTCATCCTATGGGAACTGAGCCTCTGAGAATGAGTGAAGAAAATGCTAATACTCTGTCTACTACTATTTTTGTGGGTAATAAACTGTCCTTTATCTCTTACCCAGGAGTCTCATGTTTTCTACCATCATCCATGGAACAGTGACAGCCACATTTGTTAGCTTGTAGCACTATTCATAATATCAAAGACACGGAATCAACCTAAATGTCCACCAATGATAGACTGTATAAAGAAAATGTGCTACATATACACCATGGAATACTATGCAGCCATAAAAAGAATTAGATAATGTTTCATTATTTTCATGTCCTTTGCAGGGACATGGATGGAGCCGGGGACCAACCTTAGCAAACTAACACAGGAACAAAAAAACCAAATACTGCATGTTCTCACTTATAAGTGGGAGCTAAATGATGAGAATACATGGACACATAGACGGGAACAACACACACTGGGAACCAACAAAGGGTGGAGGGTGGGAGGAAGAAGAGGATCGAGAAAAATGACTAACGGGTACTAGGCTTCATACCTCCCGGGTGATGAAATAATCTGTACAAGAAACTCTCGTGACAAAAGTTTACCTATGTAACACAAATGCATGTATAACCCTGAACTTAAAATAAAAGTTAAAAAAAGAAGAAGTAGGGTAAGTTCTCAGATCCTTTTCTGGTTCTTGATACCTATTTCTTGAAAAGTTTTAAAGTAAAATATTTATTCTTAATTAAAATTTTATCTAAACATATGTATATGTACTCTTGAAAGCAGTATGTTTTGACTGTCTCTGTGTCCCCACCCAAACCTCACCTTGAATTGCAATCCCTAGCTTCCACTTGTACATGCTCATGGCAACTTCCCTTTCCCCAAACTGTGACAAGCAGAAATGTCTCCAGATACTGCCAAATTCTCCAGATACTGCAAAATGCCTGCCATACACACTGTTTACAATCACTGTACTAGACTAAGCTCTCAAAATATACACTGCAAATATTTCCCTACCTTTTTTTTTTCTCTAGTATCCTCCATAGTGTTTGATCAATAATAAGGGCTCATTAAGAAATATTGCCAAAAAAAAAAAAAGAAAAGAAAAAGGATAAACTTCCCTTGGAATTAAAAGATTCATTATAAAAGTTTATATAAAAAGTCAGATATACTTAAAAAGTCATTTACAAATTATGTTTGTCACCTCATCTGTTAAATTTTGATTACTACTATTGTGGAAATATGTTTCCTTTTTCTCATTTTTAAACTACTGACCTCTACAGAGAAAAACAGTCAAAAGAAAATCTATGGTTGCTTTTTTCTTTCTTTTCATTTTTCTGTTTCAGCTAAAAACTTTGAATTGAAGATTAATGACTGAATACAATGAATTGCATTATTTTCAAGTGACTGTAAGCTTGTGTGCGCTGAGAGAAAAGCTTCAGTTATAATTGTTTATAACTTGTGTTATTCCCATATTTTTCGTGAATATATCTTCCATCAAAGTTTCTTCTCCTTCCATAAAATAAATTTCCATTTATTCAATAGTGTAAGTTTTTCAACACACAGCAATTTTGATAGCATTGTATGAAAATAAAATGATAAATCCGTAGAAAATTAGTTGTAGTTAAAGCTGAATTCCCATGATGTATGAAGTCTGCAGGATATCTAGGAGGAAGATCTATAAGGTAACTGCTGCAGGATACAATTTTGTCACTTTTTTAATACTTAAAAATATAGTAATCTCATACAATTTATCAGCAAGATGTGTTTCAGTGTTTTCATGATATCTGAGCACTGAACTCAGCATTCTTTTCTTGTTTCATCAGAAGGTCGATGCACTTGTTCCCTATTTTCAAAATATGGGATGTTATGTCTTCAGAAAATCAGTGGTTTAGATGCCATGACATAGTATATTTGAATAAAGTACATTTATTAGAAATGTATATTAAAATATGTTCCAGAGATAATTTTTTTTAATTACTTTCTTTTACTCTTGGTACTTGCTTCTGTAGAAGCAAAGCAAAACAAAAATTAGTAGATTAAAGCAGGGTTTAAATATATGGTTATGATTGTTTACTGATAGGGGATCGTAAATGTGTTTTAATAAGATATAAATTTCTACTGCTTAAAATACCTTTCTTTTTAAATGCAACTTGTAAGCTTTAAATTAAGGCGACACTTATTACATTTATTCAGAGATAGGATAACCATAGGAGGCCTCTGAAACTTGACTACCTGGCTTCAAATTCCCATGTTCCCCAACCAAAAAAATATAAATTTCATGAGAATAAATTTTTAATTTTTTTGTTCACTGATGTTTCCCAAAGGCCTTGAATAGTGCCTAGCACAAAACAAGAATTTAACAGACATTTTAAAAAATTATAATTATTATTTTTGAGATACGGCCTTGCTCTGTCACCCGGGCTGGAGTGCAGTGTTATGATCATGGCTCACTGCAGCCTCAACCTCTTGTGCTCAGAAGATCCTCTTACCTCAGCCTCCCGAATAGCTAGAACATAGGCAAAAACCACCACAACACGCTAATTTCTGTTTGTTTTGTAGAGATGGTGTTTCACCACATTGCCCAGGCTGGTTTCAAACTCCTAAACTCAAGAGATCCGCCTGTCTCAGTCTCCCAATGTGCTGTGATTACAGGCATAAGTCACTGTATCTGGCCAACAAAGATTATATGCATTAATTAATTAAGTCCCTATTTGTATATTAGTTTTCTATTCCTGCTGTATCAAATTAGCACAATCTTTTTTGTTTGTTTGAGACGGAGTCTCGCTATCGCCAAGGCTGGAGTGCAGTGGCGCGATCTCGGCTCACTGCAGGGTCCGCCCCCCAGGTTCACACCATTCTCCTGCCTCAGTCTCCCGCGTAGATGGGACTACAGGCGCCCGCCACCTCGCCCAGCTAATTTTTTGTACTTTTAGTAGAGACGGGGTTTCACCGTGTTAGCCAGGATAGTCTCGATCTCCTGACCTCGTGATCCGCCCGCCTCGGCCTCCCAAAGTGCTGGGATTACAGGCGTGAGCCACCGCGCCCGGCCAAATTAGCACAATCTTAGTAGCTGAAAACACATGAATTTATTATCATTCAGTCTTGAAGGTCAAATATCTGACATAGGTCCCACTGGGTTAAAAACAAGGTACTAGCCAGGCTGCACAGCCCCTGGAGGTTATACAGGAGAATCCATTTCAGTGCCTTTTCCAGCTTCTAGAGTCGCCTTCGTTCCAACGCCCATGGCCACTTTTCACCTTCAAAGCTAGCAATGGCTGGTTAGGTCTTTCTCACATAGCATCACTGTTGACACTGACTCCTTCTGCCACCTGCTTCTTTATTTAAAGATCCTTGTAATTATATTGGGTCCACCTGGATAATCCAGGGTAATCTCTCTATTTTAAAGACAACAGATTAGCCACCTCATTTTCACATGCAACCTGATTCCCTTCTGTCATATATGTAACATACATTCACAGGCTTCAGGGACCTGCAGGTGCACATCTTTGGGTTATAATTATTCTGCCAACGAGACTTTCCTAATTTTGCAATATTAAGTAAATTATTTAACCACATTGTACTACTTATCATATTTGTAAAATGTAGATCTGCAAAATGTTGAATACCTATTTCATTAATTTGTTGTACGGAGTTATTGCATGTAAAATTCTTGGAACTGTGTATAGTGCATTGTTGTCACACAGTAAAATGTAGTTTTTATGATTATAAGTGTGTCCTTTAGAAGCTAATATTTTATGTTCAATAATTTAGTTCCACTCTTCTTTAAAGGAGGATGAATTGATGACATCTGCTTAAGGTTCTGTGAATGCTTAATGATATTCAAACTTTGAAAATGGAAAAGGTGACTTCAATTTCAAGATTCTATTCTCAAAAGGTATATCTTTCTGGCTTTATGTGCTGAAGTAAGTCGCCTAAAGATATCATCAGAAAACACAAATGGTTTGCAGTGTAAATGAAGTAATGAAATTCTTAAGTACTTTTAAAATCTATTTGTCTGTTTGTGATCTATCTATCATCTATCTATCTATCTATCTATCTATAACGAAATATATAAAACTAGATAATCTTCAAATATAGAAAGGTTTGGGACCCTCCCTTGAATGTGTCTCAAACAGTAAGTTTAAGAGTGGTCCTGGAGGAATTAATCAGATTAAGCAAGGGACTATCACTCAGATTAAAACCATAGAAAAATGCTAGTCATAACTTATTCCTGGAGAATGAAATTTAGGTACATGAATGAATCTTTTGTACTCTCAACTAAACCAAGTAAATTATCCCTGCATCTTAGTTGGGGCAAGTTTAAGATAAAATAATGGCAGTATTAGTTAATATGAGTAAAGGTTATGTAGCAATAGTATAGCAAAGGAGAAAAGTCTCAAACAGCAGTCATTTCCTCACTGATGCAAAACATTATGCAATTTAATTCATTACAGAAAAATTAAGTCATTGGTAGTATTTTTAATGTGAGTTTAATTTCAAGTGTGTGCTTATGTGTTCTCCAGTAATCTTGTGAAGTATAAAATGTAAGTATTCTAATTGCTTATTTTCATTTCTCTTGAAAGAAGAAAATTATTTTCACACTCTAACTGTATTTACACCACACACTGTTGTATGACATTTATTTTCAAAATAAAATGTTATTGTGCGTCAAAGAAACTGAATTCAAAGGGAAAATTGCTATTAAAATATAAAATCTTTCCATTCTTCAAAAATGTATATTTTTATTCAAAATAAATTCTAGTATTTTTCTCTTAAATTGAGACAAAATTCTTTGTCCAGAGCAAGTTGTGTGATTTTTGGTCATGCATTTAATGGTAACCGGTCTCTTCTTTCACATTTGTTAAATGGGCATATTATTATTATTATTATCTTTTTACATTTTCATTATAAACATCAAATGAAATGATGACAAAAAACTTTGGGACTAAAAAGTTTATGTCTATGAATCATGTTATTTAGCATTTTAATCCTTCTATTGAGTTACATTAGCTCTGTGAATTAACCATTCATTTGAACTCCATGGTAGCATAGCGTGGCAGCTCTGTGGGGTCAGCAAATTAGAGTTGCAGATAAAGGCGGCAATGAGAGTCATCAAACATGTGAAGGTATTTAGTGTGTAAATATTGTCTTTAAATTTTTTTCTTAAGAGATAGGATTATTTTTGTTTTTCAAGGAAGAAGTGGGTAGAAAGAACTGAAAACAAAACAAAACAAAAAGCCAGGTGCAAGTGACTCATGCCTTTAAGTAATTCTAGCACCAGGCAGGGGAATTACTTCAGGCTAGGAGTTTGAGACCAGCCTAGCAATATTGTGAGACCCCCATCTCTACAAAAAGAAAAAAAAAAAAAAAAAGAAAGAAAAGAAAAAAGAAAAACACACAAAATAGCTGGGCATGATTGTGCACACCTGTGGTCCCAAGCCATTGAGGAGGCTGAGGGAGGAGAATTGCTTGAGGCCAGGAATTCCAGAATGCAGTGAGCTATGATCATGCCACCGCAATAGAGAATGAGAGACCCTGTTTCTAAAAAAAAGAAAAAGAAAAAGAAAGAAAAGAAACCCTATAACTACTATTTTTACTGCTACTATTACACATACTACTATTGGTACTGCTACCTCCAGCACTACCAATAATAACAGCAACAACAACACCTTTTATCTGGCCGAGCACAGTGGCTCACCCCTGTAATCCCAGTACATGGGGAGGCTGAGGCCAGCAGATCACTTGAGGTCAGGAGTTCGAGTAGTCATAGCTATTCAGGAGACTGAGGCAGGAAAATTGCTTGAACCCAAGAGCCAGAGGTTGCAGTGAGCCGAGACTGTGCCACTGCACTCCAGCCTGGATGACAGAGCAAGACCCTGTCTCAAAAACAAACAATCAAACAAAAAACTTTTATTATGCCGGAAAGTGTTCAAAATGCCAGAAAGTACAAATATAGTGTTTTTTTCATAACTGTAGATAATCTGTATTATTATTATATCACTTCCTTTAAATTCATGCATACCTAATATTTCCACTTCAATCTCCTCTTTAAAAATGTTATTTTTGAAATAAGTGGTATGGTATGACTAATTTTCTTTTCTTCCTAATTTACATTAAAATAAAAAAATTATGGAATTTTTAAAAAGTTCATCAGGTATTATTTCTTAAAATAATCTCTCACCCATCATTAGTCCGGCCAGCTACTCTTTGGAAAGTCTAGATTAATTTTTTATATGCATTTCACAGATGTAAGGAGAGAGGTTTACAGAGGTCAAGCTGCACAGCAAGTGAGAGGTAATAGAGCCTTTTATCACTGTGGAATTTGCCGTCTAGTAATGGGGGAGCTTATGTCTCTTGGGATAATACCATCCACACTAATACCATCTCATCATCTATTGGGGTTTTTCACAGTGGTTTCTCATGTGGCTTTTTCTTTTGAGAAAAAAGACAGGGCCAGATGTCCACTTCAGTCTTTCAAAACTTTAAGATGCTAAGCAAGAGAGCTTGTGTTGTTTGTCCTTGCCTTTTGCATTTTATTTCTCACATGTCAAATTATGCATTTGTTTGAGAACACCGTGGCATTTATTAATTATCCCAAGCCAAATTCTCATTTTCAGTAAATGGCACCTTACACAGTGGGGCCATGTCATGCAGGAGCTTTGACTGAGGAACAAATGTCAGTGTGGTGAGGAGCCTGCTGTGTGTTTAATAACTACAAATGAAGTGCACTGTTAGTGTTATAAAGCATCATTCCATCACCCAGTAGGTTTTCATTGTAAGTAAAGATAAAATGACTTGGACAATCTGTACTAAATCCATCAGTTTTAATTGTAAAAGCACCAGGCAAGGCAAAATTTCTTTATAGAATGGATGTTGGAGAGGAAAGCACAAAAGGATGGTTATCTGACTAGAAATAAAATAATTACTATTTAATCAAATACACAATATCATGTTTGGGTTTGAATTTTTATTCTCCCCCTGCTTTCCTTTTTTTTATTATTATACTTTAAGTTTTAGTGTACATGTGCACAATGTGCAGGTTGGTTACATATGTATACATGTGCCATGTTGATATGCTGCACCCATTAACTCATCATTTACATTAGGTATATCTCCTAATGTTATCCCTCCCCCCTTCCCCTGCCCCACAACAGGCCCCAGTGTGTGATGTTCCCCTTCCTGTGTCCAAGTGTTCTCATTGTTCAATTCCCAACTATGAGTGAGAACATGTGGTGTTTGGTTTTTTGTCCTTGCGATAGTTTGCTGAGAATGATAGTTTCCAGCTTCATCCATGTCCCTACAAAGGACATGAACTCATCCTTTTTTATGGCTGCATAGTATTCCATGGTGTATATGTGCCCCATTTTCTTAATCCAAAGAGGAAGTCAAATTGTCCCTGTTTGCACATGACATGATTGTATATCTAGAAAACTCCACCGTCTCAGCCCAAAATCTCCTCAAGCTGATAAGCAACTTCAGCAAAGTCTCAGGATACAAAATCAATGTGCAAAAATCACAAGCATTCTTATACACCAATAACAGACAAACAGAGAGCCAAATCATGAGTGAACTCCCATTCACAATTGCTTCAAAGAGAATAAAAGACCTAGGAATCCAACTTACAAGGGATGTGAAGGACCTCTTCAAGGAGAACTACAAACCACTGCTCAATGAAATAAAACAGGATACAAACAAACGGAAGAACATTCCATGCTCATGGGTAGGAAGAATCAATATTGTGAAAATGGCCATACTGCCCAAGGTAATTTATAGATTCAATGCCATCCCCATCAAGCTACCAATGACTTTCTTCACAGAATTGGAAAAAACTACTTTAAAGTTCATATGGAACCAAAAAAGAGCCCGCATTGCCAACTCAGTCCTAAGCCAAAAGAACAAAGCTGGAGGCATCTCCCCCTGCTTTCTAAATAACTTGCACAAAGCCCCTAAGTGCTCTTAAGGACTTTCAATGTCTTTCTGTTTCAAAGAGGGATATAACCAGTTCTCAAGGGATGGAGCTGAGCACCAAATAAAACAATGCACTTCTGCCCTAATAATGAGTAGCATATGCTTACTATTACACAAGGGTTACAGAGTTTCATTCTCTTGCACAATCAGAAGTTTTCTGAATGTAGTGACTCTCAACTTGGTGACAGGAAGAGAGTGGGGTGTTTTCTTGCCACTGAAATACATTGTAAGTTATAATATACAGTATTGAAGCTCATGACAAGTTTTATCATCTTTTAAAATAAACAAGTGACAGCAACATATACATATCCTTATTTAAGCTGCAGTCATGAAATATAGGAGAAAAAACGCTTGAAAGTATATAGTAACTTCATGAAATGTAGGCATAAAAAGGTGCAGTCCCAAAATTTACCAGCTTTTCTCATTTATTCTAGTAAAGTGTTCAATTTCTATGCTCTTATGTTCTTTCAAAATCATTAATATTTCTGAAATAAAGAATAGGCTATTATGGATGACTATATATAGAAAAAAGGAATACATAGAGACTTTTATCTGCTCTCAAGTCTAATAATGCAGTTACTATAATTAATAAAATTAAGAAAATAGCTATAAAGTTTCTGAACAATAAAGAAATGGTACTTTTTAGGAGTCCACCCTCTGAGTCAGAAAATGATACTTTTTTCTTAAAAGAACACAATTGTATGTTGCATCTTGAAAAGCATCATTTTATGACAACTATTTGTACTTAAAGAGATGGGGAGTGTATTAGTTAGGGTTCCCTAGAGGGACAGAATTAATAGAATAACTGTATATATAAAGGGGAGTTTATTAAGGAGCATTGACTCACACAATCACAAGGTAAAGTTCCACAGTAGGCCATGTGCAAGCTGAGGAACAAGGAAGCCAGTGGAAATCCCAAAACCTCAAAAGTAGGGAAGCCAACAGTGCAGCCTTCAGCCTGTGGCCAAAGGCCCAAGAGCCCCTGGCAAACCACTGGTGTAAGTCCAGAAGTCCAAAAGTTGAAGAACTTGGAGTCCAATGTTCGACGGCAGGAGGCATCCAGCAATGGAGAAAGATGAAAGCGGGAAGACTCAGCAAGTCTGCTCATTCCACCTTTTTCTGCCTGCTTTATTCTGGCTGCACTGGCAGCTGATTAGATGGTGCCCACCCAGATGGAAGGTGGGTCTACCTCTCCCTGTCCACTGACTAAAATGTTAATTTTCTTTGGCAATTCCCTCACAGACACACCGAGGAACAATACTTTGCATGCTTCAATCTAATCAAGTTCACACTCAATATTAACCATCACAGGGAGTGAGTTGGTTATTTTCTTTTCTGAAAATTTAAAACCTAATAAGTACATCAAGCTCTTCTCTGAAGTTGCTCTATAAAAATTCTAATTTTTATTAAAATGGTACCTGAATACAAATTGCAATCTTTCTTTCCTCTATTCTTTGTCAGCAATTCTAGAAAACTACTTGTTAGCATTAGCGACTATGTTGTTTTTACATATCTTGACATCAGATTATTAGAATAGAAAGGAAAAATCTGAGCTCTAAGTGATATAAAACCAATAACATCTTAGTTGTCTCGCCAAAAAAATGAACATTTTATATTTAAAATGAATATTTTAAAACTACTGAAGTTTCCTTAAAATTTTATAAGAGCAATGGTATAATTTTTTTTAAAAGTTAACACTTTCTGGATACTTTAGTTTATAAGAATATCATTGTGATGCGATGTGTCTTTTTCAAACTGTTGGTTATATAGAAATATAAAAGATAAGGGTTATTATTTATTTGTAATTATTTGTGCCTTACCTATACAGATATATCTAAAAAGAACCACTAAAAAAGAAAGAAGAAAGTGCAACATGAAAGCCAGAGTGAAGACAGAATATATTTTGTTTGATGTTTTGTTGATTCTAATTAATGATTTATAAAGCTTTTTTAAAGATTATTTAAAGAATCAGAGTCTTGCTTTTCACCGAGGCTGAAGTGCAGTGGCATGGTCATGGCTCACTGTGGCTTCAAACTCCAAGGTACAAGAGAAACTCCCACCTCAATCTCCCGAGTAACCAGGACTACAGGTGTGTGCCACCACACCCAGATAATTTGTTTTATATTATTTTTATTTTTTGTAGAGACAGGGTCTCCCCATGTTTCCCAGAATGATCTTGAACTCCTGGTCTCAAGCTATCTTCTTGCCTTGGCCTCCCCAAGTGCTGGGATTACAGGCATGAACCACTGTGCTCGGCCAGCTCCATTTTTAATGTCAAAATGTATATCACATACTTGTTAGATATGTATATTGTTCCATATATATCTTTGTGGTAACAGAGATGTAAGCAGAGCAGGGTCAGAATAAATTGGAAAGAGACATTTGTGTTTACCCGGTCTCTTTACTCTCTTTGAAACCATATGGGAGAATTTAGCATTCTTTCAAATTACATTCAGTTTGTAAAGAGATTAAAAGAAAAGCTATATATAGGGAATATGGTTTCTTTTAAATGTGAAGTGCTTTGATGCTGATCTCTCAATTCTTCCCAATAAGTGAGTTCTTGTTTTCAATCAAGAAAGTAAGTTAAACTTGACTGAACTGTTTTTTTTTTTTTCAACGAAGAATATCTTTTTTCTTTGTCAGTAAAGATATACTGGAATGCCATTTTTTGAGAGGAATTAATTTGAGTGTATTAACTTGTGGCTATCTTGAGATCTAATAAAATAATTTCTAAAATATATACAACTTTACTAAAGAAGTAATATTTGTAGAGAAAGTAGTAATATCATCCACAGAGAATAAGATCTATGGGAAGGGGGTCATGCCAATTGTTGTACAATACAGAATAAAAGATGGGTTGTAGTACTACATAGAAGTGTCCTGGGGCAATATATTGTATTCTGTTGTTACCACTAAAACACTGTGAATGATTGTCCTCCTTCCTGCTTCATATTCTTTTTTAAAGTTATCCTTTAAGGCAGGGAGTGCCAGATAGGTATACTGTAGATGACACTTCCTGCCAGTGTTATTGAATGAATACTTAAACCCAAATAAAAAAAATCCAAATTAATAACAGTATGTGTATCTAGTACAGTCACAGAACATAAACTGATTTTTATGTGAACATGTTTTCATAATTGTGGATGATCAGATGCATAACTCAGAAAATGTAAGAAATTTTTCATCGAGAAACTTTAGGAAATGGGAGGAGGTAGTATTTTTAAAATTTTTTATATTGCTGTGTGATGATTAATATTGAGTGTCAACTTCATTGGATTGAAGAATACAAATTATTGTTCCTGGGTGTTTCTGTGAGGGTGTTTGCCAAGGAGATTAACATTTGAGTCAGTGGACTGTAAGGGGCAGACCCACCCTCAATCTGAGTGGGCACCATATACTTAGCTGCCAGCGTGGCTAGGTTAAAAAGCAGGCAGAAGAATGTGGAAAGACTAGAAAACCAGAAAGCTGGCTGACTCTTCCAGCTTTCATCTTTCTCCTGTGATGGACGCTTCCTGCCTTTGAACATTGGACTCCAAGTTCTTCAGCTTTTGGACTCCTGGACTTACACCAGTGCTTTGCCAGGGGCTCTCAGGCCTCTGGCCACAGGCTGAAGGCTGCACTGTTGGCTTCCCTACTTTTGAGATTTTGGCACTCAAACTGGCTTTCTGGCTCCTCAGCTTGCAGACAACCTATTGTGGGACTTCATCTTGTGATCCTGTGAGTCAATTATCTTAATAAACTCCCCTTCATATATTCATCTATCCTGTTAGTCCTGTCCCTTTAGAGAACCCTGACTAATCCGTGCTGTAATTACAATATACAATACTGTGTCTTGATCTTCTACTTATAGAATATAAACACTTTCTCTATTACTTAGCTTTTGCAAAATAAAATTTAAATTAAAAAATTGGGATAAAATTTGAAGATTCTCTCTTTGAAAACCATGTTTTTTTAAAACTATCCTCTTCGGTTTAAATATTTTACTTTGCTTATACATTTCTCAATTATAGATTATACTGCAATGAAAAATCATGGTAAGTAGGACATTCTCTATAATTAGGACTTTCTGTGTCTTAATCTCATTCAGATGGCATCTGTGACCATTAATAATGAGAAATGTTTGTGGTCAAACAATGAACTAAGGCATATACACACAAAAACTTAGTTTATTATTTCAAATATTCTATTAAAGATAATTTACAATAAAAAGAGTTTATGTCCTTTTGTACTTTATTAATACTATAAGTTGAAAGGAAAATGAATAGTGAATATCGATCATGCATACTTTATATTTATTTAGTGATTTACGGTTAAACATTTAAAATTCTTAATGATTCCACACCGTTATTTTATTTGCTGGTATGAGTCAAAAGAAAGCTTGGTGAATAAGAAAAAAACAGAAATAAAGAAGTTAATAAAGGAAGAGTAACAGAACATTGATAAGTTGATAGAGTAGTGAAGATAAAAGATACACAAATAGGGTATGAAAAGTTAGTACCTTACATTTGTTCACATACATTTTATAAAGAACTTTGGCATGATACTTTATTCTTTATGATAACTGATTGTGATGTTATCACCATTTTGTAGGTCAGGAAACCAAGGCTCAGAGGTACAGAGCTTCTAAGTAGGAAATCTGGGACAATTATTTAAGTCTTTTTTTTTTTTCCTGCAATCAGAAAAAAAAATATTTTTCTGAAACATCAAACTGAGGAATCTGGGCAACAGCAGGGAGAAAGATCTGTTGGGGGAGAACTGGGCGGGGGAAAAGTTTTCATTATATAGTTGAAAAGCATTGCATTGACAGAAGAGCAAAATCATATGGGTTCTTTCAATACTTGCTCCATTATTCCTTCTCTTTCTCATGGTTGTGGAGAATCACATCCAAGTGCAGAGGGGACACAGGGGATAAGAGAAAATTCTGTAACTCCGAATATCACTATACCATTTTTTAAATTTAATTTTTTTGCTGCCTTAGATTTAAATAATGTAATATATAAGAATTAAAAAAAAAACAGAATATATTCCATTATGCCCACATATATCCTTTTTTGAAAGTCATTAAGCACAGAAGATTTGAAAATGTCCTGAAAATGACATAGGATATATGGAAGTCCCAGTTTCATAGAAAGTATAAATAATATTTTAAAACACTTTTATATACCAAATAAATTTATATTTAAACTTTACTTTAACTGTCTCTGCTTATAAATCAGTTTCATGAGCAAGAGCAGAGATATTTACCAAGGTTTTGTCATGCCTTCTTCAGATACTCTAATCCTACTGGCATGTTTCCCAGCTCTGAATTTTTACTGGAAATAATGTTTTCCTTGATTTTCATAGGAAAGCAACAGAATACAGAAAATATGCTTAGGATGGTTCATTCTGTAGCACTCTTTTATAGGTAATATTTTATCAAGTATGAACTTTTTCTGTTGCTGGCTATGTATTGTGTATGTTAATTTGTTTGGTAATATATTTGGGCTGCATGTGCTCTTGAGATATTTTTTGCTTTAGAATACACCACATATATTGCAATATAAGGTAGAATGATGCAGAAAAAGTATAATGGTGTGGTATTGTTCAGATGTGTATTGAAATTTAGGAACTTTTAAAATTATCATTATCTAGTGTGCAAAAATCTTAGCTGTAAAAATAAAAAGGGGAGAATATAGTGTTTGGAATGAATAGCTGAAGGTGGAGCCAGCAACACTCACTACACAGAACCCCACAAGCCAAGGGAGAGAAAACAGAAGTGTAAAAGTATTAGAGGATTTGATTCAAATAGCAATAGATTAGAAATCTCTTAAAGCATAAAATTTGTCATCCCACCCTGTTCTTCTCTCCAATATGTATTTGTAGTTAATAGATATTCTGTATAAATTGTGATCAAGGGTTATGGTGATTGTTTACTAAGAAATCTTGGACATATGTGGATTAACTGTTTTCTCACTGAAGGATAAGAAATCAGATGGTGAAAAAGAGAGTTGAAAGGGTAAATTCAATCATCTTGGGGGTTCTGCTGGAACTTGAATTCAATGCTTTGCCCATCTTTAAAATGATGTGTATAGAATGATAATCTCACTGGGCTATTAGCTCCATTGAATTTAAACTTCTGAATATATGGTTAAAAGTTCAGCTCTTTGAATTAAGTCTCTGTGGTTTGATTCTTCCTTGTCTATAACAACCTCCTTGGAAATGCACTCAATCAAGAAAGGAGACAGAAAGGAAGAAATGAAAATGAAAAGAGGAAATTGGGAAATGATTAAAAAAGGAAATGAGTAAAGAATGAAATAAGGAAGTAGTGATAAAGAGGAGTATGAAGAGTGCTAGAAAGAAAAGGAATGAAATAATGAGAAGAAAAAATCTGTAAACTAACATTTATTGAATATCTGTTCCAAAATTCTTCTGGATGAGTTTGCATAGTTATCTCATTTAATTCTTACAGGAACTCTGTAATCTTTATTATTTTAAGTAAAATGCATGTCAAGCTGCCTACTAAGCCTACACTTTAATGACAATCTGCTTTTCTGTCCTATAGTGAGTGCCCTGGATTATGTGCCCTTGTCATTATTAGCCACCGTGAATTAGACTAGACTTGGACCAGTTGTCTGCTTTAGACAGATCAGTTTATTTCATAAGCTTTTGTCTTCTAGCCACATCATTCAAATTAGTCTTTGCCAAATGCTTAAATTTATAAAGTTTTTAAGGTAAAAACTGGGGCAAATAAGTCCATGTGTAGACAAAGAAGACTAGAAGATAATTATGTGGATATCCTACTTGCTCCACATTTTCAACAATGTTTATCATCAGTCTTCTTATTTTAGCCATTCTAATGGATGCTTAGTGCTTTGTCTATGTTGGCATTAATTTGCATTTTTCTGATGACTAATGATGTAGTGCAGGGGTCCCCAACTGTAGGCCATGGACTGGTTACAGGCTGCAGCCCCTTAGAAACTGTGCTGCACAGCAAGAGGTGAGCAGGGGGGCCAGCGAGCTGTGCCATTAGATTCACATAGGAGTGCGAACTTTATTGTGATTGCCCACATGTGAGGGATCTAGGTTGCACACTCATGAGAATCTAATGCCGGATGATCTGAGGTGGAACAGTTTCATCTTGAAACTAACCCCCCTACATGCTCTGATCTGTGGAAAAATTGTCTTCCACAAAATGGGTCCCTGGTGCCAAAAGGTTGAGGACTGAGGCAGGAGAATAGGGCCTGGAGGCAGGGAACCTAAGGACTTCCTAGAACTAAATCAAATGAAAACCCTTCAGCTATGACAGAAAGTATCCTATTCATTTAGGTAGGATGCACACTCAGTAAATGACTTTGTAACTTTACTTCATCCTCTTCATTTGCATGGGGCATGCACCAGGTAACCAATGGAAACCTCTAGAGCACATTTAAACCCCAGAAAATTCTGTATCAGGACTCCTGAGCCCCTATGCTCGGGCCTGCTCCGACACTGTGGAGTGTACTATTGTTTTCAATAAATCTCTGCCTTTTTTGCTTCATTCATTCCTTGCTTTATTTGTGCATTTTGTCCAATTATTTGTTAAATACGCCAAGAACCTAGACACTTTCAACCAGTAACAGGGACCACTCAGTAGAGCATCGTTTCATAAGCTTCGTGGGCATTTGTATATTATCTTTTCTTTGAAGTGTCTGTTCAAATTTTTTTATGTTACTACTAAATTAAAGTTTGTTATTCTAGATAAGATAATTTGCCATATACATGTCATGTCATGTTGATGGTTCATTAAGAGGTCCGAATACAATGTTGGACATACATGGATTAACTGTTTTCTCATTGAAAGATAAAAAATCAGCAGGTGAAAAACAGTTGAAAAACCATAATATGAGGTATATTTATCCTGGTTCTGTGTTTTTCCTTTTTATTATTAATGGTACATCATAAATAGAATTCTTTAATTTTGAAATTTTCCATTTTATAAATTATTGAATGGATGGATATTCTTTGTCTGAGTGTATCTTAATATTTGCCTACTCCAAGGTTATAAAGTCTGTTATGTTTTCTTTAACAACTTTACAATTGAAGAATTTTTTTAGATCTATGACCTATTCAAGTTCATTTTTGTGTACATAGTGAGATAAGCATTGAGTATTTTATTATTATTATTATTATATATGTGTACCTAATTGTTTCAGCACTGTTTTATAAAAAAATAAAATAAAATAAAATCTTTCCCACTGAAATACTTTTCTATCTTTGCCATTGATTTCTGCTCACATTTTTATAACTTCCTTTATTTTATAGATTATATAATTATTTAGAAATCTCTCTAATTTTTACATATTTGAAAGTATTCCCAATCTTATTTTTATTTCTGACTCAATATGTTGTGGTCAGAGATCAAACTTTGTAATTTCATTTCATCTAAATTCATTGAGATTGATTTCTTGTTCTAACATACTGTCTATCAGTGTTTTGCTGTTGGGTAGAGTGTACTCTTAATGCCATTTGAATCAAATTGATTCAAATTGATTGACTATTGTTGATAACATTGGTCACCAGATATCTTAGCTTTTATTTCTCTGAAAATTTCTTATTTTCCCTGAATTTTAAAAATATTTTTTGAGTATAAAGTTCTAGGTAACCAAAATATGTAAAATACTTTTTTCTCATCACTTTAAAGATGAATTTAATTTCACTGGGCTTGCTTAAGTTTTTTTTTTTTTTTTTTTTTGGTGACAGAGTTTCACTCTTGTTGCCCAAGCTGGAGTGCAATGGCACAATCTCTGCTCACTGCAACCTCCGCCTCCAGGGTTCAAGCAAATCTCCTGCCTCAGCCTCCCAAGTAGCTGGGATTACAGGTGTGCACCACCACAAACAGCTAATTTTTTGTATTTTTAGTAGAGACAGAGTTTCACCATGTTGACCAGACTGATCTCAAACTCCTGACCTCAGGTGATCTTCCCACCTTGGCCTCCCAAAGTGCTGGGATTACAGGTGTGAGCCACTGCGCCGGCTTGGGCTTGCTTAATTTTTTAGGTGAATGCTGTAGTCATTCTTATCTGTAGCATTCTGTATAATTTTTCCCCTTCTTGTTATTATTAAGGTGTTCTCTTTATAACTTGAGTCTAGGAATTTTATTGTGCTGTATTTTGATGTATTTTCTTTGTGTTTGTTCAAATTTGTGTTTACTGAACTTTGAGCATTGCATTTATAACTCTCAGAAATTAGAAAATTTAATGTCATGATATCTTCAAGACTATCTTCTGTCCTCCCTCTCTTTTCTCTCCATTTAAAACTCTGATTGCTTATTGGTTAATCAGCCTGAATTTGAGCCCTGTGACACCGTGGTGCTTTATTTTTCCTTATTTTATTCCTCTTTGTTCTTCACATGGAAAAGTTTCAGTTGTTAGCTCTTAAGATTCAATGAGTTTTGCTTTTGCAGTGTCAAATCTGTAAATTTTTAATTTCTGATTTTTTCTTCTTTATATATCATAGTTATTTAATTATGCTCACTTTTGCCTTTATATCCTTGAACATATTAGGCATTACATTAACTAATTTAATGTCATTGTTACTAATTATTTAACTTTTATTATTTCTTGTTCTGTATCACCTGCAACTTTTAGGCTATAAGTTACATTTTCCTGCTTATTCTTATGTCTAGTAATTTCTGACGGATTCTATATTGTAAATTTTGCATTGTTATGTGTTAGTTTATGTTGTAGTAATGTAAAGAGTATTGGACTTTTTCTTCTGGTTGGATGTTAAATAACTTGTAGATCAGGTTGACCTTTTCATGACTTGTATTTAAACTATTTTAAGTCGGGCCTAGAGAAATCTGTACTCTAGGGCTAATTTGTCCCCAATTTTTAGTTAAAATTTTCTGGTTTTGCCACTGAAGGCCCTACGTGTTAAGCAGAGTCTCTCTTTAATGAGTGGGAACTTAATTGGTCTTTAGCACTCTGTGATCTCTGAGAATTTTCCAGCTTACTGGGAAGCACCTCTCGTGGTTTCCTATGCTTTAAAAATCTTTGTCAGTCTTTTTTTTTTTTTTTCTCTCCTATTCACATGCCCCATTTCTGGGTCAGAATCAATGTCCCAGGGGAAACAATTAATTTCTTACATTGGTGATCAGCAGCAATCAGAGAATTTCTTTCCTGGTTATATTCTTCACCATTCTCTCTTCACTCCTTTTTTTCTTTCCTCCTTTTCCCTCTTACCAATGCTCCCTTCTCCCATTTGTATAGTTTGTATAGTTCCAGGTGCAATTTAGCATCCAAAATAGACCCACAAATAGTACATTGTCTACCCATTATTTTTTAATTGATCTTTATGTTATATAAATTGTATTTTATTGTTTTATCTAGATTTGTTGATACTTCTCTTTATATTTTTACTTATATTATTATTTTTCCTTATGATATTTCATGCTTCTTCTAATAATTTTTTCTGTCAATTAATAAATGGCTGATTAATTGGAAACAGAGATAAAGAAATGTAATCAATTTGATTCTTCAGGATTATGTTGACCCTGTATTTGTTTTAGGATTGCACTTTTGATTTCTATCCATGAACCATTCATGTATAGAAAATCCATAATATTAGAGCCAGTATTTTATTTTTGAGTATCTGGTTCTATTTTAATTTCATTGTGTGGATATAACTTGGGATAGTTTAAAATCTATAATTGTTTATAAAAAGCTTCCAGATTATATTGTTTTCAATGAAAATGTGATTTTTATTTTGAGAAACAAGTAGCTAGATAGTATAAGAGGCAATTGTGACTGAAGGCTTCTGATATATTAATTTATACAAATATTTATTTATTTTAAGGTTATTTGATGAGATACATATTTTTGGAGAAAAATCTAAGTGCTAATTATAACTTTTTATTCAGTATATGCCATTTGTAAAAATGCAATTCCTTTTTACATTCTCTACTTAGATAATGGAATAATTCATGATCACTACAAATTCTTTTTATGAGTATTATTTAATGGCTATAAAATAGTATATATGTAAATGCAGTTTGTTAGCATCATGTATAATTCATTGCACAGCTGAATTTCTGTCACAATTTAAATTTACTAAGGAAATAGGAAACATCATTAATAAATCATCAAATTGTCTTTTAATAGCAGATTTTATTTTTGCTTTTCATATAAATTATTTCAACATAAAGCCTGTAATGATGATGCTCAACTATGGTTGCCTGTCACTGACAAACAAGCCACTCCAAAACTCAGTGGCTTAAAAGAATAAAAATTTACTTTTTAATGACTTTGTGGGTTGGCACTGTGGGTACCACTCAGCTGGGGCATCTGGTGTCTGTTCTGCACAACATCAGCTGGCTTCACTCAACATTTGGGGTCACTAGGTGTGTCAGCTGGATAAATAATTACAGCTTTCATATTATCCCAAGGTATGTCCACATAATGAAATTAAAACTGAACCAAATACTAAAAAATAAAAAAATGAAACCAAATACTAAAAAATAAAATACTGGCTCTAATATTATGACTTTTCTATACATGAAGAGTTCAGGGTTAGAAAACAAATGTGTAATCCTAAAACATATACGGAGTCAGCACAACCCTGGATAATCAAATTGATTAAATTTCTATGTCTCTGTTTTCAATTAATCAGTCATTTATTAATTTACAGAAATTATTATAAGAAAAATTATGAAATAGTATAATGAGAAATAATAATGTAAGTAAAAATATGAATAGGAATATCAATGAGTGTAGAAAAAATAAGAATCAAATGCAATTTATATAACACAAAGATCAATTAAAAAACAATGGGTAAACAATGTACTATCTTTGTGGGTCTTTTCTGAACTCTAAAGTTCACCTAGAACTATACAGAGGGAGAAGAAAGCATTGGTAAGAAGCAAAAGGAGGAAAGCAAAATGGAGCTAAGGGAGAATGGTGAAGACTATAGGCCCAGAGGCCTCAATCACACGTGTGGGGCCTTAGCTCCAATGGCTGGCAAGTCTGTGGCAGCTGAGCTTTTCTTCACATAGTTTCTTTTAATCCCTTCTCCTGAATGAGTCTCTCTTTAGCAATGGTCTGATAGGACAAGAGTAGAAGCTACCAGACTTCTTAGCTCTTGGGTTGAGACGTCATATGTCTTCAGACACACTCTGTGGTCATATCAAGTCATAAAGGCAGTTCATATTGAAGGCCTGGGAAAACAGTTTCTGCCTATTTAAGAGAGAATTTGTGGACCTCCTCTATCTACCACACTATCTCATTTTAAAACCATTTTTTTTAATCTGAAATAATGCCATGGCTTCCCCTCTGCTGCAAGATTTCTTTCTAAAATTCATTTCCTTCTCAATTTTAATGCTTCTAAAAGATTTCAGGGAAAAAAAAGAAAACCTCAGCATGTTTTCATAAATCCAAGGGGAGGTAGTAGAAAAAATCTTTTTCAAAACAACTTTTAGTTTAGATTCAGGGGTATATGTGCAGGTTCTTTATGTAGATAAGTTCATGTCACAGGGATTGTTGTACAAATTATTTAATCACCCAGGTACTAAGCCTGGTAGCCAATAGTTTTTTTTTTTTTTTTCTCATCTTCTCCCTCCTCCCACACTCCACTCTCAGGTAGGCTCCAGGGTTTTGTTGTTCCCGTTTTTGTGTCCATGTGTTCTCATTATACAGCTCCCACTATATGTGAGAGTATGCACTATTTGGTTTTCTGTTCCTGCCTTAGTTTGTTAAAAATTATGGCCTCCAGCTCCATCTGTGTTCCTTCAAAGGACATGATCTTGTTCTTTTTTATGGCTGCATAGTATTCCATGGTGTATATTACTACATTTTCTTGATCCAATCTGTCATTGATGGCATTTAGGTTGATTCTATGTCTTTGCTATTGTGAATAGTGCTGTGATGAATATATGTGTGCAGTGTCTTTATGGTAGAATATATTTCTCTGGGTGTGTACCCAGTAACAGGATTGCTGAGTCAAATGGTATTCCTGTCTTTAGACCTTTGAGGAGTCACCACACTGCTTTCCACAATGATTGAACCAATTTACACTCCCAGCATTGTATTAGTGTTTCCTTTTCTCCACAACCTCACAAGCATTCATTTTTTTTACTCTTTAGTAATAGTCATTCTGACTGGTGTAGATGGTATCTCATCATGGTTTTAATTTAGGTTTTTCTGATAATCAGTGAGGTTGAGCATTTTTTCACATGCTTATTGGCCTCAGATATGTCTTCTTTTGTTAAGTGTCTGTTCATGTCCTTTTAAATGGGGTTGATTGTTTTTTTACTGTAAATTTGTTTAAGTTCTTATAGATGCTGGATAGTAGACCTTTGTCAGATGCATAGTTTGCAAATATTTTATCCCATTCTATAGGTTGTCTGTTTACTCTGTTTACATTTTCTTTTGCTATTCAGAAGCTCGTAAGTTTAATTAGATCCCATTTGTCAATTTTTGCTTTTGTTGTGATTGCTTTTGGTGTCTGTGCCATGAAATCTTTGCCCATTCCCATGTCCAGGTATTATCTAGGATATCTTCCAGGGTGTTCATAGTTTTGGATTTTACATTAAAGTATCTAATCCATCTTGAGTTGGTTTTTGTATGTGCTGTAAGGAAGGAGTCCAGTTTCAAGCTTTTGCATATGCCTAGTGAGTTAACCCAGAACCATTTAATGAATAGGGAGTCCGTTTCCCATTGCCTGTTTTTGTCAGATTTGTCAAAGATCAGATGCTTGTAGGTGCGCAGCCTTATTTCTGGCTTCTCTATTCTGTTCCATTGGTCTATATGTCTAAAAACAAAAAACAAAAAACCTTTTTTGAGATAGAAGCCTCAGCTTGAAATTGCAGTTACATCTCTTAGTGACTATGTGATTAACATCAAAGCAAGCAATTTATATGAGTCTTTCTTTTCATATTAACAAAATAGAGATGTAGACTTGCACCTGCATTATAGAAGCTTATAAAATTCACTAAGAAATACAGATAATTCATAAGGAGCAATTCTAAATGCAGAGAGTGTTATGCAAGTATAATGTGTTCATTTTATTTCTCTGATACTTTCAGTTTGAGCCACACTCCCTATACAGGATTCGGGATAAACAGACACCATTTGCAACTACTGTATAGCTTATTCCTACAGATGGCTTTAATTCTTTTTATGGATGCGATATTGCTTATAATTGGTGACGGTTTTCTCCTAGTCCTCTATTTAGAAGAGGTCCACTCAGCAAAACCTCAAAAAAAATATTTTTGTACTTTGAGCTAGAATTATTGCAGGGTTTATGGTCATTTATTGTAAAAGAAAATATTTAGTGTAAGACCTACTCTAAGCATGACCATTCCTTTTTGTATCCCTCTTTATTATACTCTAGTGATGGATGACAGATAATGCCGTTTCGCCGGAACATTCTTCTTGCCTATTTCTCTCAAATTGGTAGGCCTTGCAACCTTTATGTGACTTCTGTCTCCTTGTCATATTGTATTCAAAGTATATTCAAGAGATTTTCCAGTATTTATTTTATATTTTTCCTTGTAAATACCGTGATGTATCATTATAATTTATATTTTCTGGATTAGAAAACTAAATCAAGGCATTCAGTGAAAGTTCCCAATAAGATAATATTAATTATTTCATACTTTAGCAATAAAGTTCTTCACAATTTAATTTTTTTAAATAAGCATTTTTAAACAAAAAACTATAATATGTAAATTGTAGAAATTTATAAGATAAAGAGGGAACTAAAACAAAGAGCTCAATAAACAAAAAAATGAGCAAATGATTACTAAGATAAAAATACCACTCAAATTATATATATATATTATATATATATGTACTATATATAAATATCTCTCTCCAGGCTACTTAAATCAATATGTGTATGGACTCTAACATACATAGAAGTATCTATATACTGTATGTCATTTTGTATTTTTTTATTTATTTTATTTTATTATTATTATACTTTAAGTTTTAGGGGTACATGTGCACAATGTGCAGGTTTGTTACATATCTATACATGTGCCATGTTGGTGTGCTGCACCTATTAACTCGTCATTTAGCATTAGGTTTATCTCCAAATGCTATCCCTCCCCCTCCCCCAACCCCACAACAGTCCCTGGTGTGTGATGTTCCCCTTCCTGTGTCCATGCGTTCTCATTGTTCAATTCCCACCTATGAGTGAGAACATGCGGTGTTTGGTTTTTTGTCGTTGCGATAGTTTGCTGAGAACGATGGTTTCCAGATTCATCCATGTCCCTACAAAGGACATGAACTCATCATTTTTTATGGCTGCATAGTATTCCATGGTATATATGTGCCACATTTTCTTGATCCAGTCTATCGTTGTTGGACATTTAGGTTGGTTCCAAGTCTTTGCTATTGTGAATAGTGCCACTATAAACATACGTGTGCATGTGTCTTTATAGCAGCATGATTTATAATCCTTTGGGTATATACCCAGTAATGGGATGGCTGGGTCAAGTGGTATTTCTAGTTCTAGATCCCTGAGGAATCGCCAGTGATTTCCACAATGGTTGAACTAGTTTACAGTCCCACCAACAGTGTAAAAGTGTTCCTATTTCTCCACATCCTCTCCAGCACCTGTTGTTTCCTGACTTTTTAATGATCACCATTCTAAATGGTGTGAGATGGTATCTCATTGTGGTTTTGATTTGCATTTCTTTGATGGCCAGTGATGGTGAGCATTTTTTCATGTGTCTTTTGGCTGCATAAATGTCTTCTTTTGAGAAGTGTCTGTTCATATCCTTTGCCCACTTTTTGATGGGGTTGTTTTTTTCTTGTAAATTTGTTTGAGTTCATTGTAGATTCTGGATATTAGCCCTTTGTCAGATGAGTAGGTTGCAAAAATTTTCTCCCATTCTGTAGGTTGCCTGTTCACTCTGATGGTAGTTTCTTTTGCTGTGCAGAAGCTCTTTAGTTTAATCAGATCCCATTTGTCAATTTTGGCTTTTGTTGCCATTGCTTTTGGTGTTTTAGACATGAAGTCCTTGCCCATGCCTATGTCCTGAATGGTATTGCCTAGGTTTTCTTCTAGGGTTTTCATGGTTTTAGGTCTAACATGTAAGTCTTTAATCCATCTTGAATTAGTTTTTGTATAAGGTGTAAGGAAGGGATCCAGTTTCAGCTTTCTACATATGTCTAGCCAGTTTTACCAGCACCAGGGAATCCTTTCCCCATTGCTTGTTTTTCTCAGGTTTGTCAAAGATCAGATATTTGTAGTTATACGGCATTATTTCTGAGGGCTCTGTTCTGTTCTATTGGTCTATATCTCTGTTTTGGTACCAGTACCATGCTGTTTTGGTTACTGTAGCCTTGAGGTATAGTTTGAAGTCAGGTAGTGTGATGCCTCCAGCTTTGTTCTTTTGGCTTAGGATTGACTTGGCGATGTGGGCTCTTTTTTGGTTCCATATGAACTTTAAAGTAGTTTTTTCCAATTCTGTGAAGAAAGTCATTGGTAGCTTGATGGGGATGGCATTGAATCTATAAATTACCTTGGGCAGTATGGCCATTTTCACAATATTGATTCTTCCTACCCATGAGCATGGAATGTTCTTCCATTTGTTTGTATCCTCTTTTATTTCGTTGAGCAGTGGTTTGTAGTTCTCCTTGAAGAGGTCCTTCACATCCCTTGTAAGTTGGATTCCTAGGTATTTGATTCTCTTTGAAGCAATTGTGAATGGGACTTCACTCATGATTTGGCTCTCTGTTTGTCTGTGATTAGTGTATAAGAATGCTTGTGATTTTTGTACATTGATTTTTGTATCCTGAGACTTTGCTGAAGTTGCTTATCAGCTTGAGGAGATTTTGGGCTGAGATGATGGGGTTTTCTAGATATACAATCATGTCATCTGCAAACAGGGACAATTTGACTTCCTCTTTTCCTAATTGAATACCCTTTATTTCCTTCTCCTGCCTAATTGCCCTGGCCAGAACTTCCAACACTATGTTGAATAGGAGTAGTGAAAGAGGGCATCCCTGTCTTGTGCCTGTTTTCAAAGGGAATGCTTCCAGTTTTTGCCCATTCAGGATGATACTAGCTGTGGGTTTGTCATAGATAGCTCTTAATATTTTGAGATATGTCCCATCAATACCTAATTTATTGAGAGTTTTTAGGATGAAGGGTTGTTGAATGTTGTCAAAGGCCTTTTCTGCATCTATTGAGATAATCATGTGGTTTTTGTCTTCGGTTCTGTTTATATGCTGGATTATATTTATTGATTTGCGTATGTTTATTCAGCCTTGCATCCCAGGGATGAAGCCCACTTGATCATGGTGGATAAGCTTTTTGATGTGCTGCTGGATTCGGTTTGCGAGTATTTTATTGAGAATTTTTGCATCGATGAGAGAAGAATCAAATAGACGCAATAAAAAATGATAAAGGGGATATCACCACCGATCCCACAGAAATACAAACTACCATCAGAGAATACTTTAGACACCTCTACGCAAATAAACTAGAAAATCTAGAAGAAATGGATAAATTCCTAGACACATACATCCTCCCAAAGCTAAACTAGGAAGAAGTTGAATCTGAATAGACTAATAACAGGATCTGAAATTTAGGCAATAATCAATAGCTTACCAACCAAAAAAAGTCCAGGACCAGATGGATTCACAGCCGAATTCTACCAGAGGTACAAAGAGGAGCTGGTACCATTCCTTCTGAAACTATTCCAATCAATAGAAAAAGAAGGAATCCTCCCTAACTCATTTTATGAGGCCAGCATCATCCTGATACCAAAGCCTGGCAGAGACACAACCAAAAAAGAGAATTTTAGACCATTTTGTATATTTTAACACATAATAAAAATTCTTACATATTATTAGAAATTTGCCATCAATATATTTTATATTCTGTATAATATTTCATTCTACAAAGTAAGTGAAAGTGGCTTAACATTTTCCCTATGCTTAGGCATTAGGTTGTTTTCTGTCACATGGCATAAACTTTCAATATAATTTTCTGTATACATATCATTGTTCACACTTCAGGTTATGTCATTAAAATCTTTCTTTAATAGCTATATTGACATAATTTACATCATACAATTCACCCATTTAAAACATATAATTTAATGTTTTCTTCCAGAGACTTGTTCACACATTACTACAACATAATTTTAGAACATTTGTTAAACCTCCAAAAGGAGCCCAAAAAGAAACCAATGCCTATTTGCAATCATTTCAGCCTCAGACAATTAATCTTTAGGTCTCTCTATATTTGCCTATTCTGAACATTTGTGACTTGCTTCTTTCACTTAGAATAACATTTTCAAGGTACATTCATATTGCAGCATGTTTCACTACTTCATTTATGTTTATTGAAAACTAATATTTCATCATATAGCTATGTCATATTTCCTTTGCTTATCTATCAGTTAGTGAACACTTTTTTCCACCCACTTTTTCGATGTTAGTGCTGTTAGAATACTTGTGTATATGTTTTTATGCAGATGTGTGAATTCATGTGTCCAGAGAAATTTCTGTCTTATGATGACTCTATCACTAACATTTTAAGTACCAAACTTTTCAGAGACTGCCATTTGTCATCCTTGGGATAATAATCTATTCCAGGAATAAATTCTTATGTACAGTATTACTGGAGGAATGGTTACAATTCTTTTAAAAATTCTTGGTACATATTGATAACTTGCTTCCAAAAAGAGCATCTATAAATGTATACATCTGCTGTTTAAGATTTTACCAGGTCAGGCCTGGTGGCTCACGTCTGTAATTCCAGAACTTTGGGAGGCTGAGGCAGGTGGATAACCTGAGGTCAGGAGTCCGAGACAAGCCTGGCCAACATGGTGAAACCCCATGTCTACTAAAAATACAAAAATTAGCCAGGTGTGGCATCACATGCCTGTAACCCCAGCTACCTGGGAGGCTGAGGCACAATAATTGCTTGAAACTGGCAGGTGGAGGTTGCAGTGAGCTGAGATCCTGCCACTGCACTTCAGCCTGGGCAACAGAGCAAGACTCGATTTCAAGAAAAAAAAAAATTTACGATACTCTCTCCTTCACTGAAGAGTACCTTTAAAATAAGTGTTAATTTGGGAGTAGGAAAGCATTCTGTCAAAAAGCATTAATAATTATCATTGCAGTTGATTTTTTTAGGTTCATTAAAATTATAATTTTTTTCTGTAATTTTTCCTCTTTAATTTATATTTTTGTTATCAGTTTTATTACCAAGTTCCATCAGTTTTCACAATTCATAGTTTATTTAATTTTTGGTATATTTTGTGTATAATGGTTTATATTTCTATTTATTAACTATTTTAATCTTTTATTTTGGCATTTCTGCCATTGGATTATTGTTTAAGTTTTAATTGAACTTTTATTTTAAAATAATTGAAGATTTCCATGCACTTATACGAAGTCATATGAAGAGATCCAATGTACTTGGTTTCACTTTCTGCTTGCAATAACATCTTGCAAACTTACAATACAATATCACGTCCAGGCTATTGATATGATACAGATTTCTATCACTACCAGAATTGCTTTTTTTTTACCATTTTATAGACACACCTACTTTCCTCCCACTTTCACCCTCCCTTAACTCCTGGCAACCATTTATCTATTCTTCATTCCTATTATTTTGTCATTTCAAGAATGCTATATAAATGAAGTAATGTAACATTTAACATTTTGTAATTGACATTTTCATTCAGAATAATGCTCTGGAGATTTATTCAGCTTGTTGTGTGCATCAATAGTTAATTTATTTTTATTGCTAAGTAGTCTTCCATGGTGTGGATATACCACAGTTTAAGTATTAACCTGTTGAAAGCTACCTGGGTTGTTTGCAAGTTTGTCTATTATGAATTAAACTGTTATAAATACCCATGTACAGTTTTTGCATGAACATAAGTTTTCTTTTCTAAGAAACAAATGCCCAGAAGTGCAATTACTGAGTGGTATAGAAGTAGTATGCTTAGTTTTGAAGAAAATGTTAAATTATTTTCCAGCATGGCTATATGATTTTTATATTCTCCAAGATAATATGCGTGTAATCCAGTTTCTCTGCATCCTTACTGGCATTTGGTATTGCTGCTGTATTTTATTCCACTTATTCTGATAGGCATTTAGTGATAACTCATTGTACTTTTAATTTATAATCCTTTAATGGGTGATGATGTTGACATCTTTTCTTGTGCTTATTTGCCATTTTTATATTCCCTTTGGTCACATTTTTGTTGGTCTGTTTCTAGCTAGGTTCTCTACTCTCTTCTATTAATCGATCTCTTTATACACCTCTACCAATCCCATATTGTCATAATTATTGTAGCTATATAAGTCTTGAAATCAAATAAACTGATTCTTCCCATTTTAATATTTTTAGAGAATTATTTTAGTATTCTTGTTTATTTGCCTTTCCGTATTACATTTCAGAATAATTTTTTCTCTATCTACCAAAATATTGTGCCAACGTTTTCACAGGAATGCTATTAAACCTATGAATTCATTTGGGAGAATAGGCATGTGTTTTTTTATGTTGAATCTTCGTATTCATAAACATCGTTGTGGTAGGCATTCTAATTCCCAGAATCTGTGTAATTTTCAGTTGTAAAACTTCCGTTAGGTTTCTGCTTTATGTTATCTATTCATTTATAAAGTTTCTATATTTTGCTGGGACTATTTTTCTCATTTGTTTCAAGCATGTTTGTAGTTGCTTGTTGAAGCATTTTTGTAATGGTTGCTTTAAAATTTCTATCAGATAATTATAACATCTCTGTCATCTCAGTGTTAGTATCTTGATTGTCTTTTTTCATTTATTTTGAGATTTTCCTCGTTCTTTGTGTGTATGACATGTAACTTTAAATTGTACCTGGATATTTTGAGTGTTATGTTATAACACTTTGAATCTTATTTAAACCTTCTGTTTTAGCTGGTATCCTCTGACAACACTTTGGCAGAGGAATGGGGTTTTTTTCTCTTTATTATCAGACGGAGGTAGAAGTCCAAGTGCTCCACTTGGCTATTGTTAGCACACGTGGGTGAGGGCCCCTCATTACTGCTGGGTTCAAGTGGTAGTTCTGGCTCTCTGTTAGTCCTTCACTGTACCTCCATGGTTGGGAAGGGTATGAATGCCTCCTTATTGCTTGCCATGTGGCCTCCTCCCCCATCATGTAGAGACAGAGGCCTCATTAATGCTGGGTCATGATAAAAGTTCTGAGTCTTCACTAGGACCACTCTGACATCACTCCAGTGAAAAGTGGAAGGGGTACCTCACTACTGCTGAATGGGTATGGAAGTCCAGGTAGCCTCATGGTCTCCAGTAACTTCACAAGAGAGATTGCTTGTTACTACCTATGGGGATGAAAGTCCTGGCTCCTTGCTTAGCCTTCTCTGATGCCACCCTAGTGAGAGGTGGGAAGGGTATTGGCTGCCTTTTTATAGCTTCATCAGGATGGAAATCATATTATACATATCATATGATGATAATATCCATTTAACATGTCAAACTAAGTTTGTATTTTTAAATATTGTAAAGCTTTAATTGATAGAAGAGTGAATACTGTGTATAATGAGTCATGTCAATGGGCATAGATAAGAATGGCCCCACCAAAAAGCCAGCCCTCTAAAGCTAAAGAACTAGGAACAGAGCAGCCTAATTAGACAAAAACTTACAGACAATAATCACTCTGTTCCAGTCAAACACCACAGGAAAAACAAAAATGTAGCCCCAATCCATGAGAACACAAAAGTAAAAAGGCCAAGTAGAGAGCCTTAACTTTTTGGATGGGAAAGGAGGAAGGGGTCAGATGGAGTGAAAGAGAGGTGAGACAGCCTCACAATGCAGCTACCAAGCCCGTCAAGCCCTTCTTATTGAAGTGTATCTACCACACATCAATGACACTTTCCTAAATTTTCAACTTTGATGAAGGTTTAAATCTATTTTTTTCTGATCATTTACTCCAATGGGTAATGAGACGTGAGAAATATGAATGCTATGTTTATTCTTATATCCCACCTAAAATGTCTGCAGATGTTTATCCAGAGGATTATTTCTCAATTACATAAATATAAATAAAATAGAACATCATTTCTTCATCAAATTTACCTTAATTCAACCTTTTATTTCTTTATAGCTCTCTTTTGAAATTTATATATTATAATTAACATCTAACAATGTACTGTCAAATTTTGAGATAGAATCTAGAGAAGAATATACATTTTATGATTTCATTCTGTCATTATGTACAGGGTTGTACTGAGTGGGACAATTTTCTCCACTTCTTTTTGCATTATTCAACTTATATTTTACTACTTCTTAAAAGATGAGTTGTACCTATTGTCCATATTGCATATCCTGCTCTGCTTCTCTTTCATTCATGGTAAAATCCTGCTAGTATAAAAAGTAGTTTGTTATCTTTAAGGTGTCTGGTGCCTGAAACAGGTTAAAAATGAATTAATTTTTGAATATGAATGACCTTATTAAAGAACCCCCTAGTCAACTGCTATCAATTAGTATCTTCTCTGAAGTTAAGAAAAACAGTTAAGAGGAAACATTACACTTAATCAAACCTAATTCTGCTTTAATCACTTGATTTTCTGTTAGTTATTCTAGTGACCTGGAGAATAAAATGGTGAAGGTCATTCTAAATAGACCTTATGCAGTTACTTACTTTCCCTGACTATTAAAACCCTTTATAATCTATGAAAAGTCTAATGTGATAGTTACCAGTGACAGCAACACCTTCATAAAGTGTCTGAAGACCTTTGATCCTTTTTGAAAATTCAGTTTTTATTCATCATAAATAAACTTCGATGAATTAAATAACTAGACCTGGATTTCTATATAGTTTGGTAGTAACCTCCAAAATAGACTTTATGTTTCTACAGAACTGTAGAATCTCCCAGTACTGGAAATAAGCTCTGAGTTTTAGAAATAAAGACAGCAAAGTATTTCACAAAGATGTTTTTAGTTGATACAGTTAGGTTTATAGAAACTCTTACAGTATTTTTGTCTCAGTGTTAATATCATAGGGGATAGACTTACTTAAGAACAAAGATATGCTCTTATTTTTATTCCTAACATAAAACCGAGAAGAAATTCCATATGAAAAAGAGAATTTTAATGACATTTTAAGTAACATTTATTTGTAAAAAAATTACAATGCAATTTAACTTATCTTTGATTTCTTTGTGATTCACAGTTTTGATGACCATATCTCATTCTTGATGCTGGGGAAGATAATCATTGATCAAGGAGAAACAGATGAATATAGATTATAATGGAGAAAAATAACTTTTCCACCCATTTTATCCTATAATTCGCATATCTTAACTTTTACAGAGATGTCCTGATTTTATTGTTTATGAGAATCCATGTGTATATATAAAGTAGAACAACATGTCTAAAACATAGCCCTATGCTATGGTAATTCTAGAGGACAGATGATCAGTGAAAAACAGTCTTTATAGGAAATTCAAATTTGAGAAATACAGGATTTAATCAAATGCAGTAGCTTTTTCAGTGCACCAAATTTCAGAGACTAACCTACTAATATTTGTTTTTACTTGATAAGAAATAGAAATGGTTGGAGCATTTTCTTAAATTATTTTACTGTGAAATATGACATCTTATTGGCCCAGTTTTGAGAAATAATTCAGGCTTTCTGAATGTGTTTTTCCTTTTGAAGAATGGTTATATGCTGAATGGTCTTTTTGAGAATCTTTTGTACTTCATTCTATGCTTGAAGCAAACCACTTATATTTTTTGTCTAAAGTTTTATATTTCAACTGTTTTTAGTGGTTCCTTAGAACAACGTGTCTGAATATACTAGAGTATGACTAGCAGGACAAAATGCAAATTTGTTTTATTCAGGTACGTATTTGCCCCCAACAATGCCTGTCACAAATATTAATTTTAGTGAAGGAAACAGTAAGTTTTATTTATTAGTTTTTGAAGAGGGCTTTTATTTTCTTTGTTAACTCCTGGAAAACATTACTTTCTTGGTCTGCTGATGTTATAACTCTGCTGGACTCACCTGAAAGCATGGCATCTTCAACCTAAAGTACAGCGGAAATTTGTCTCAATGAGATAAATATTCTGCTACTGTATATAATAGACAGCTAGTAAGTATAACTTTTTTTTTCTTTGAGACGGAGTCTTGCTCTGTCACCCAGGCTGGAATGCAGTGGCATAATAATCTCAGCTTACTGCAACCTCTGCCCTCTTGGTTCAACCTATTCTCCTGCCTCAGCCTCCCGAGTAGCTGAGACTACAGTTGGGTACCACCTGGCCAGGCTGATTTTTGTATTTTTAGTAGAGATAGGGTTTCATCATGTTGTCCAGTCTGGTCTTGAACTCCTGACCTCAAGCAATCCGCCCACCTTAGCCTCCCAAAGTGCTGGAAATACAGAAGTGAGCCACCGCGCCTGGCCTAATAAGTATAGATAGTATTTCACTTTTATATTCCTAGAGCCCAGCAAAATGCTTGGTAATTTGTAGGTGAAGAAAAATGTTTAACTTAATAGAAATCTAAAATTTTCCTTGGTATCCACCAAGATTGGTTACAAACACACTCACACACACACACACACACACACATTTTATCTTATTTATCTCACTGAGATACATTTCCACTGTTTTTTAAGTTGGAGATTTTTAAGTTGGAGATTTTTGGCTGCTTTAATAAACACTGTTAGAAATACGCATCTATAAATATTCATAGAAATAAGTAATCTGAACAGTGTGGAGGACATTTATTTCTTGGAACACAGTGTTAACAATAGCAACTACTGTATTGTCTTTACCACTTGTTATCTTGTTAATGGCTTTCTATAAACATTGTATGAACTTCTAGGGAAAATATATCCAAAGAAGCCAAACTTTGTTTGCATTTGATTTTAGTAAAAAAAAAAAAAACAACAAAAAAAACGAAATGCCTTTTTTTAGTGGATATCACAGTACAATAAAATAAAGTTAGTGTATGTACATGAATCAATTTTCTTCCCAAATATACGTATGTTGAGAATTAGAAATTGAACCAAAACTTAGTGTTACTATTAAAGCAAACAGGGAATTTTTTAAATTAATTAATTGATGAATGCTTGCAGATATTAATTTTATTTGAATTCTTAGAGGATACATAGTCGAACCTTTGTATTTGAAATCATTCTGTGAGGTCCAAAACTAAATAATGGATAGTACAATAAAAGAGAAACATATTAAGAATTCTACTGTTCAGAGTATCATGAGACACGTACTGCTTTTGAAAACCATCAGGTGTCATGAAGTAGAATTCAAGTATTGGAATTTGTACCAGTGGTAGAAAGACATGGCTCTTGTTTAGGGTTGAGTATGGTTGATTTAATCTTTATTTTAAAAATCAATGGCCCAAGAAATTGGTAGTTAAGAAACATCATCTTTTGATGTTTCTTCAATTGATCTTATTTATACTTCATTAACTTTTCATTTCATAACAGCAATAAGGACAATGAAAAGGAACATCTGTGGAATACTTACTATGTGACAGGCACTTGTCTAAACACCTTTAGAAAGTAGAATTATTATTTTTCATATTTTATAGATAAGGCAATGAAGATCTGAAATATTTGAACAGCTTGTTTCAGCAAATTGATGTTTGAGTAGAGATCTGAGCTCTAGTCATCCTGATGCCAAAGGTCTTTTTTCTTCAGTTTTGCCCTTTAGTTTGTCCATGTCACACTTCTGAAAAAATATGTCTGATCAATGCACACTGGAAACAGAACATAAGGATGGATTTCTAAGGGAAAATTAGATGCAATGAATGAAAATATTTTCACTTTTTGTAAATGTTCATTCAAAGTCTATTTTTTTATTGTTCTAACAAGATTGTCAATCTTATTTGCCAGGGCACAGAATACAAATAATACGAAAACTGTGTCTTACAAGTGTGCCAAATACAGGGAAATTGAAAATGGTGTCACAAAATAAAAGTTAAATATTTTTAGGCAAATCAAGGAAAATAATAACATTGTTGGCTGATGTTACTTTAATTAACATTTGATATGCCTGATTATCACTGCATTTCTGCACACAATTTATATTTTTTATTGCAGTAGGATGTAATGAACTCACAAAAGGAGAAACTTAATTACAAAACAAAATTGTAAAAACAACAAAAAACTTGTTTAAAATGTTTGAAAGCCCAAAATTCTGTTCCATAATTCATCAAAATAACCAATATATAAGACACAGAAAAATGGAGCGTGTTAATTTTCAAATAAGTATTTGTTTAAAAAAAAGAGCTATCACGAAGAACACCTTGTTTTCCACCAAATTGTTTTTACCCAAAATTCATTAGCAAAATTTTGTGTAGCAAATGTATGAGTTACTACTACATGCTGATGATTTACTTATTTCTATATCTCATGTATATTGAGCATTAATTAATTTCTATTATTATTATTTTAACCATTTAGTAGCTTTATCATTATATTTTACATATGTCATCATATTCAATATAATATAAAAATATTATAATAATATTATCCACCTCACAGGGTGGTGAGTTGACTTTCTATATGAGAAATACTTAGTTCAGTGCATGGTACACGGTGATTTCTCAGGGAATAATACTTCCATTACTGATGAATTCGTTGATAAATGTGTTTCTTGAAGAATTAGTCAGTATTACATATTGACTCTAATATATCTAGGCAGTTCTGAATAACTTTTCCAGATTACTGGATGGAACAAATGATTGATTATATTCCAAGATTGTTATGAGTGTTCCATGAACCAAATGGACTCATTGGAGTTCTTAACTTAGGTATAATAATCATTTATATTTATGTTGGTAAAATAATGCTGAAAATAAATTTGGACCTCTTTTTAGAAGAAGTGCTTGTTTTGAAAAGTTAAATGTGTACATATATGTATATATATAGTTATTTATTGTTATACACAATTATACATATACACATATATGTATATGCATATGTGTGTACATATTTATATACATATAAACTAAAGAGATACCTCTGCAAATGTAATAACTCCTTTTTTTAACCTGCTAATTACTCTTCATGAGAAATCTGAAGTGATCAAGTGGCTGACCAGGTTTAGTGGGAATTTTAATGTGTCTCCTGGTGAAAGTTTTCCTCCTCTGGGAAGCAGGATTTGACCCGGAAGGTACAGTATTGTGGGGACAGAAGTACAAATTATTCAAGTGGGTCACTGGAAATAATGGGGAACAGAGACACTATCACTTTCAATTTAGATCCATGTAGTCTAATTATTGGTGACATAGCACCATGTAATACCAGATGGTTAAGCTGTATACCAAATCCTGACAGCTTCTTAACCTCATAAAATGTCATCTCCACTGGCGTATTTCCTGCACTCTCAAGAGGCTATTTCAATGTTTTATCAGGCTGTCATCTTCAGAGAGATGCAGTGTCTTAGTTTTGGCTGCTATAGCAGAATACCATAGACTGGGTGACTTAGCAGAAATTTATTTCTCAGAGTTCTGGAGGATGGGACAAGTAAACCAGCTGATTCAGTTCCTAGGTGAGGGCTTTCTTCTTGGCTTGCAGGCTTCTCATTGTATCTTCACATTGGGAAAAGAGAAAGGTTGTCTTTCTTGTGTCTCTTCTTTTGAGGGCACTAATCTCAGCGTGAGGGCTCTACCCTCATTACCTAATTACTTCCCAATGGTCAATTTGGAAATATCATCTCACTGAGGATTAGAGCTTCTTTGTATGTATTTTTTGGGTGGTGGGCATAAATATTTAGTACATATCATGTGGTATATGGTAAGAAGAGTGGATCCATGATCTTATTGTCAGTTGTCATACTTTCTTAGCCTTGAAATTGGTCCCTTAATCCAAGGTGATTATTTGGAATCCCATGCTAATAAATCACACATTTTATGATCCCTTGAATAACGATATTAGCTAAAGTGTTGTAGGCAGGAAAAGGAAACTATACCCAGAATACCTGAGAGTCATATTTAGAAATAATTTCTGTTCGTTCCAGAGTGGAGGAAGTATAATATAAACTATTTTTCACAAGTGGCTAGTAATTATGCACAGTAGCAAGAATTTTCAGATAGCTCCTAAAGATGTCTTACCCTAGACCCTAGTCCCCATTACTGTGAATATGACGAGATATCACGCCTGTGATTTTGTTACATTACATGAAGAAAATAATTTTGAAAAGGTAATTAAGTTACTACATCTTAACCGCCTTTATGTAGTTAATGTGCATGGATATCAGTAAACTTTAAGTCAATCATAAGGAAGAGTATCCAGTTAGGCCTAACTGAATCATATAATCCCTTTAAAAGCAGACAGTTTTCTCCTACATATTACAGAATGAGAGTCAGAGACACGTGAAGGACAAGAAGGATTCAACACACCACCTGGCTTTGGAGATGCAAGGGGCTGTATGCGAGGCCAGAACACCCCTGACCATCAGCCAGTCAAGAAGAGCCTACAGTCCTACAATCACGTGAAACGGAGTTCTTCAAAAACTTATATAAATCTAGATGTGGATTCTTCTCCCACATGTCTAGATAAGACGTAAGCCTGGCTGATACTTTAATTTTCACCTTGTGAGACTCTACAAAGAGAACCTAGCTAAGCCCACCCAGAATTCTCACCTATATAACTGTGAGTTAATAAATGTATTTTTTAAAAAAAACACCAAATTTGTGATTTGTTATGCAGCAATAGAATGATACGTTATTCTTGAGGCATTGTACCACATTGTGAGCTCAGTGTTTTCCTAATCTCCTGACTATTCAGACATTCCCAAGGGTCAGTAACTAGATCAGTCTTGGCAAGAGAGAACATGTGCTGTTGGGCCCATACGAAGCTTCAATGACCCCACCTTTCATGAGCTTGTGCAATTACATGAGAGTCAAGACCAGACACCAGTTCATATCTTCTGACTCAGTCAACATTTCCATTTGGTTGTTTGTTACTTCTTTTGCAGTTATTTTATTGTGGGCATTAGCTGAAGGTTAAGGGCAAAATTATTCAGTTCAAGATGTCAAAGGGTAGACAATATTCAAAGGAATTACTGATAACACATACACTTGGTTAGTGAAACACATACATTCATTTTCTTCCACAAGCTAAGCAGCCAGTGAGCTAATTAGAGTAGAAAGGGCAATAGGGGTACTTATTCATTAAAAATGGTTAGTCTGTCAATGCATAAGGCACTCTGACTCCTCCTGCTAGCATGTAATTACCTTTACTAGCAAAATTATTTTCTTATCATCTGAATAAGGAAGTTGGAGTTCATTTACAGTGTTCTAGTCCACAGAAAACCTAATTCAGCACAATCCATGATGATCACAGAGAGATTTATGCCTAGGTGCTCAATGTTTATTCATGGTATGGCTGATTGAGCTTTTCTATCGGTTTCTTTTACAGGGAGATTTAAGTTTCCAGCACCTTGATGTATTAGCAGAGATCTCTATCAGTACTTCTTCAGGCCCTCTCTGAAGCACAAACAACAGACTTACATTACTTTTTTTTAGGTAAAAGTTTTAAGAAAATGCATTCTCAACAATAGCAGTTTCAAAACAAGTTTTACATGAATAAGTTTATGAAAGTTGTTAATGACAAGATTTTTACAATTTGACAAGTTAGGGGTAAAATTCTATCAAATCAAGTTTAATCTGGGGGCAAGTTAAACATCATTCTTTATAAATTCTTATACAAATCATACACATGACAGCAGCCATTGCTCCCTGGTGAACATTAATGTATCAGTGCTTACATGTGTAAGTGTTAAGAATGATGCTTAACTTGCCCGCAGATTAATTCCCGCAGTTCTGTCAACATTCCTTTGACCTAAACCCATTTTTTTCAATTGTATAATCTTGTTTCTTCCAAACTTAGACAAAACTCAACCCATTCACTGATGCCCAGGGGCCCAGTCTTATCCTTACATCAGGTTGCTTTTCTCTATTCACAAAATGGTCAGACCCACTGCTTGAAGTTCTGCCTACTGGTCCAATTTCCCCATGTTTTTGTCTGTCAGAGTTACCCTTGAGTGGGTCTTCACTGTACCATAATTTTATCTTTGATTTACCCCAACTTTCTGAGCCAACTCCTTTGTGAAAAAGGCCCAGTACTCTTTTCTTCTCTGTTTTTTGTTTGTTTGTTTGTTTGTTTTAGATGGAGTTTTGCTCTGTTGCCCAGGCTGGAGTATTGTGACATGATCTTGGCTCACTGCAACCTCTGCCTCCTGGGTTCAAGCCATTCTCCTGCCTCAGCCTCCCCAGTAGCTGGGATTACAAGCATGCACCACCACACCCAGCTAATTTTTGTATTTTTAATAGAGACAGGGTTTCACCATGTTGGCCAGGTTTGTCTCAAACTCCCGACCTCAGGTGATCCGCCCACCTTGGCTTCCCAAAGTGCCAGGATTATAGGTGTGAGCCACCATGCCTGGACTGTTTCCTCCTCTTATAGTTGTTCATAGGGAACTATCCATGAGGTCATGGTTATGAGTTGAGTGAGAGGCATGGGTGACATAGTGATAGGTAAAATGGGAGTTGAGACCACGTATTTATGCAGTTTACTCATGTCCTCTGGTCTTCCTGGGGGATATTTCTGAATATATCATTTCCTGTGTTACAATCCATGGGGTCTGCCTAACTCATTGACTTAGTGGCTCTGCCAAAACTGAACTTATGATGGAAGATTTGAATGATCAGTCACTTGGTAATTGTTGCTTAGCATCCCAAAGACCACAGGATTCTCATTTCCCCAGCATATAATTCATTTTCTGGAGGACCATATGTCTCTTTGGGAGGGACTAGAAGAAGATACATATATATCTAAATTTTAAAAGTTTGTGTCGGTTAAGTATACTTTGTGTTGCATTAAAGGTTCTTCCTCAAAAATAATAAACACTCTCGCATAAAAGAAAAGGTATGAATACCTCCACATGGGAGAAAACATATTTTTTCCTCAACCTTCATGAGTTTTTAGTTAGGATGAACGCTGGTAACAAAACACAGATTAGCAAGAGAAAAAATAAATTTATTAATGCATATAACTCACATCATCTGGGAGAAGACTTAATAAAAAGCAACTCAAAGTAGTGGCTTAGAACTCTGGCGTTTTCAATAGAAAACAATAAACTTGTGAAGAAATGATAGAACAAAGGGCTTTAGGCTTCCACAGGACAGAACACTGTGGGATGTAACCATATGGAAGGAAACTGATGGAGTAAGGTTTGTCTGTAGATTCCTCTTGTACCTTCTCTGGGCTGTTAAGAGTCTAGAGTTGTCTCTAGTCAAGGAAAATGTATATCCTGACTATAGGCAGAAAGGGAGGAGAATATACAGAGCTTTTTCTCCATTTGCTGCTTCTTAACTGCCTTCAGTTAAAACGTTATTTTTATGTCAAAGAGGCATATTTTGTGCTGAAATATTCTGGCTTCCTTTACTCCCATCTTATTTAGGGGGCTGGAATAAAACCACATGGTTTATTCTACATTAACAGTTGGCATCGATTACAGGAATGTATGGTTAGCTTAACATATGAAAACTAATTCATCACATTATCTGTACAAATCATATGATTATTTCCATAGATACAGAAAAACTTTGAATAAAATTCAGCACCAACCAGAGATTAAAGAAAATTTCCTTGATTTGATAAAACATATCTATATTAAACCAACCATCAACATCATATATAATGGTGACATATTAAATACTTTCTCCACAATATCAGGTAATCAGCAAGGAAGTTCTTTCCCAGCAATTCTATTTGACATTTCACTAGAGATCATAACCATTTCAATAATAAACAAAAATAAAATGTATAAATGTAAAGACGTGAAACTGTTTGTATCCATAAATAATATAATGTATACCATAGAAAATCCTAAGCAGCCTGTTAAAATAAAAAGACATATTAATTAAACTTAGTATACTTACAAGATACAGCAACAATAAACAAATAAGTTCTCTTTTTACTTTTTAATAATGGCCATTCTCACTGGTGTGAAATGGTGTCTCACTGTGATTTTGATTTGCAATTCCCTGAAGATTAGTGATGTTGAGCATTTTTTCATACATTTGTTGACTGCATATATGTCTACTTTTAAGAAGGGTATGCTCATATCCTTTGCTCACTTTTTAATGAAGCCATTAGTTTTTCGCTTGTTGAATTGTCTAGGTTGTTTATATATTCTTGATATTAGACCTCCATGGATGTATAGTTTGTGAATATTTTCTCTCATTCCCTAGGTTGTCCATTTACCTGGTGATAGTTTCTTTTGTTGTGCAGAAGCTCTTTAATTTAATTAGATCCCACTTGGCACTTTTTGTTTTTGTTGCAATTGCTTTTGAGGAGTTTGCCATAAATTCTTTCCAAGGTCTATGTCCAGAATGGTATTGCCTAGTTTTTTTCTAGGATTTTTATAGTTTTACACCTTACATTTAAATCTGTAATCGATTTTGCCTTAATTTTTGTATATGGAAAAAGTAGGAGTCCAGTTTCATTCTTCTGCATATGGCTAGCTAGTTATCCCAGAACCATTTATTGAATAGGGAGTAATTTGCCCATTGCTTATTTTCGTTGACTTTGTCAAAGATCACATCATTGTAGATGTGTGGCATTATTTCTGGGTTCTCTCCTCTCTCTTATTGGTCTATGTATGTGTTATTGCATAGTCAAAAAGTAATATATACTGGCAAGGCTGCAGAGAAACGGGAATGCTTATACACTCTCGGTGAGAATCCAAATTAGTTCGACCACTGCAGAAAGCAGTTTGGAGATTTCTCAAAGAACTTAGAACTGCCATTCAACCTAGCATTATCATTCCTGGGTATATAACTAAAGAAAAATAAATCAGTCTACCAAAAAGATACATGCACATGTATGTTCATCACTGCATTATTCACAGTAGCAATGATACGGAACCCACCTAGGTGCCCATCAATGGTGGGTTGGATAAAGAAAATGTGGTACATATACACTATGGGATACTTACTACACAGCCATAAAAAAGGAGCAAAATCGTGTCCTTTGCAGCAACATAATCCTAAGTGAATTAACACAGGAACAAAAAATCAAATACTGCATGTTCTCACTTACAAGTGGGAGCTGAGCCTTGGGTACATATAGATGTAAATATAAGAACAAAATACACGGGGCACTACTGGCGGGGAGAGAGGGAGAGGAGCAAGGGCTGAAAAACTAACTCATGGGTACTATGCTCACTACTGGTTTACAGTGTCATTTATACCACAAACCTAAGTGTCATGCAATATACCCATGTAATAAACCTGCATATATAACATATGTATAATAAATGTATAGTGTTCTCTATATATTTGTGTTCATATGTATATATAAAATAGATAAAATGCTAACTTTCTCTAATTCAATCTATAGATACAAGTTAATCCCAATCATGATGACCAGATTGATTTTTCTTAAGAAACTGACAAGGTGTTTTATTACTTTAATGGAAAAGATAAGGACCTAGAATAGCCAAAACTATCTTGAAATGTTAAAAAAGAAAGTTTTACAAATTTCTCTATGTAACAAAAGATTAATTATAAACCCTCATAAATTGCTAGTGGAGTACAAAATCATATAGCCACTTTGGGCACTCATTTTCCAGGTTCCTATAAAATTATACACATACAATTTCCTTATGATCCAGCAATATTTCTTTTAGTTATTTAACCAAATACACACTTATGTGCACTTGGTTAGATAACTAAAATATCCTCAAAATGATTTGGCACTCACATGTGTATAGCAGCTTTATTATAGTAGTCTCAGACTAGAAACACTTCAAATGTCCATCTACAGATGAACTGAATAACAAATAGTGTGTAGGGAGGGAGTGGTTAACAGTTGACATTGATTTACTGGATGTCACAAGGAAACTTTTCCTGAAGGATGGAAATGTTCTACATCTTCATTGGTGTATTGGTTACTTAGGTTTATACTCTTTCAATACTCTTAACCACACAACTTGAGATCTGTGTATGCCACTGTAGATAATTGTAAATCAGTAAAAATAAAGTAAAATGCAGGTCATGTCTGTGTGTCTGATGGTGCTGTGTGTGTGTGCATACATGTAAATTAAATTAATTAAATTAGTTATTTTTAACAACAGAATGATTCATCCTTTAGCAAACACACAATTTTACTTTTTGGACACATAAATGGACACCACGCGTTTTTATAATTATGGAAAAATTATTCTGTTTTACAAGTATTGTTTTGACTGTAAGTGGTTTCAACCCTTTAAGTAAATGACGTCTGATAAATTACTCACTGTAAATAGGCAAAAAGGCTTACTCTTCAAGTAACAACAAAAAAAGAAGTCTTTCTTGAATTAGATATGAAAATTGTATCAATTATTAATATGATTAAAAAAATGTTTAAAATGTAAGCATGCTATTTTCGCTCATTTTCTATTGCATACTGTATTTGTTTAGCTTTCTATTGCTGCCATAACAAAATACCACACTTAGTGGTTTGAAAAAAACACAAATTTGTTATTTTTAGATTGGAAGTCCAACATAGATCTCGGTGGTATAAAAATCAAGCTGTCAGCAAGCTGCATTCCTTTCTGAAGGCTCTAGGAAATAATTTGCTTTTTTGCCTTTTTTAGCTTGTATAGGCCACCCATATTTCTTGGCTCGTGGTCATCTTCTTCCATCTACCAATGAAAGCAGGTTGAGTTCTCCCATTGTATCGCTCTCACACTAAATCTTCTGACTGCCTCTTTCAATTTTAAGGACCCTTGTGGTTACATTGCATCCAATTGAAAAACCCAGTATAATTTCTTTAAGGTCAACTAATTAGTGACTTAATTTCATCAGCAACTTTTATCTCTCTTTAATAGGAGTCATTATTCTACCTATTACAAACACACACATGATCATGTATAAAATGGAAAATATTTATACCACAATTACTTTTTTCTAGGTTCATTTTATAGCCTAATAAAATTTCATCTGTGAAATTGTCTTAGCTTTTTTTTGTTTGAATATATCGCTTACTTTTTAAATAGATAGTTTTATCCTACATATATGTGTATACACAAATCTACTGATATACCTGTAAAATAATTTTATCATACTCTACATAATGTTTTATAACGTTGTTTTATTATTTTAAATTTATATCAATGTTATATAGTTCTAAAGCCTAAATGACTCACTGGAATTATTTGTACAATATAAATTGTTGTTCTGGAATGCTAGACAAAAAAAAAAATGTTAGACAAAGAATTAAGGGAACAATTTTAAAATGAAATTTGAATTTTTCTTAACTAATGTTACTCATAATGCACAGTATGTACTGTGAATTATGTATGTATTATTAATTGCAGCACTATAATAATTCAAAATACAAGCTTAGCTTGATTTGCTGAATGGATATCATCACTAGATGATATTTATAATATGACATTTAATTACAGATATTGCTTCAAATCTTGGTAGTTTGAAGCATACCAAAGAAAAACTGAACAAATCTTTGGTTGGTATTGAATGAGAAATAATTTCAATTCTCAGGAATTTACTAGCAATTTAGAGTAGTATAATTTATTATTGGGTATGATCATTAAGAAACTTTTTTTACAGCAAGTTGAATTAAATGGTAGTATGGATAAAGTGAACTAATGTTATTTTTTTTCCTTCTCTCAGTTCAAGTGATTAGAGTGCTGACATGTAGTTTTTTCTTGATGGATGAAAGGAGGCAGTGAAAAAGGAGATGAGCTAATAACAGTAAAGTCAGTATTGAATCAGAAATATATTGAGATTCTCAGAGAAATCAAGATACGTGCTTCAATCACTGAAGTTTGTCACTACTGAGATTTGTTGGTTGATGAGCTGTCAATGAACCTGGAGAAAATGCTTTTATAATAAGCAACTAGACTTGCAGAAAAAGCAGTTTAATACCCAAAGGACTCTGTATAAATAGAACTTATAAAGTACAAATGGCAATAACGTTTGTAGATCAAGAGAGATAGATTTTAACTTAATTCCAAAAAAGACAGCCTCTATATTTTCTCCTAAGTACCTTAAGTTTTTGATAGTGACATTTAAATATGATGATTTTCAGGTTTTTTTCTTCAAATAAGGAGGAAATGTATATGCAGAACATAATAAAATATAACATGTCATTTTACCCAAAGCAGTCCATTTAAATTTCATTACTATAAATATTTTCTATAGTCAACTTAAATCAACTGTTTATTATCTATGGGTCATGAAAAATTTTAATTCACAGACTTTCCATGATTTTAACTCTATTGAAAGTGTTGAACAAAATATCCAATGAAACTTTCACTAGAGAGGCTAAACGTAGTTCTAGTTAGATGCTAAATCTTTTTTAACCTGCATGAAAAAAAATGGATTATTACAGGTCATCATACAAAACAGAGAATCTGAATCATCCACATGACATTGTTTAACTTTCTTTATTACCTGTTTCTCCAAAACTTACTATTATACTCATTGTTTTCTTCAATAAAAACTTATAGTAGAGTCTGAGAATTGTGTCTTCGCTTTAAATTGTCCATGTATATCCCATTCTCTAAAAATCCTCAGAAATCGAGAACTGACTTAAGTGATGTGATTTACTTTTTAATCTGTGTATCTATGAGGAAAATGAATTATTGAAGAACAATCTACACTTGAGATTCTTTGATTTGTGGACTTTCCCTTTAAGGAGATTGTCAGTTCTTCTTTATTGAGTAATTTGTCTTGGATTGTTCATGTTTATCCCCAGGCCAAACTCTTCTCTGAACTCATTCTGCTTGATATTATCTAACACTGCTATTCAAGGTCTCAGAGAGGAAAACAGCCTGTTCATTTTGGTTCCAGGCTTTACTTAAAACCTTCAAACCCCCATGTCTGGCTTCTTCAGAAGAAATAGTTATTATTTTATAAGAAACAGAGCGGATAGCAACAGGGTTGTGTTAAACCTGCTGTCTTCTCAAAATTGTTGGCTAGTGCAATCTGTATAGAAAAATGAGTGTTTCCACTTATTTCAATACTAGTTATTTAAGCCATAAAGAAGATTCAATGAACTAATTAAAATAGATTTCTTTTATACTTTATTTTCCTCTAGAATCAATAAAACATGTTAATAGCTGACATTTTAAATTTTAGAAGATTATAGGAAATTAAAAAGATAATCTTTTCATCATCGTTTATATGTAGATGAAAATATAATTAAATTAATTTAACTTTAATTAATTATTAAATTGTAGCATTGATAGCTGGGATCACAAATTTCCCTTATTTAATATACCAAATAAAACTACACAAAATTATTTTGAATAGAGTTCAGTGAATAAATCAAAATATATGATTCATGTATAGAGTAAATTTTCAAATAAAGACACATGGTTGTGGCAGAGAGATATAGTATAAAGGAAATTGAATCTGATGTTGAACATAATAGAGTTTCATTCACAGTCCCACCACTTGCTATACGTTCAAGGTACTTAAGTTGCTTAAACATATGGGAAGCTCAGAAATGTCTGGAATTAGGCTTTCTGCCCACAAACTAACTTGATCAGGTAAAGTCTACTCTGTGCTGGTTAGGAACGCTGAATTTGATGTTTGATCCTGCCTTACATTTTGTTTGGTTTATTCATTGAGCAACTAGAATGGACTAGTCAATGTACTAAGCATTTGAGATATATAACAAGGAATGAGAGTAGAGGGTCTCTGTCATTGTAGAATTTATAACAGTTGACAAGAATGGCATTTAAAACATATAGTTTTAATCTGAATAATGTTTGATTCCAGACATATTTCATTTCCTCCCATATTTTTTATGTTCAGTGTCTTCTTTATCTATTTTTGATGAATCAAAAATGGATTTTTAGCCTAGAAGTATAAGAACTTGAGCATTAGCTTTGGCATGGTATACATAACAAGTTGTAATGTAAAAAGTATTTTGAGATATATTCACTTTTGCAAATGTAAAATGGGTTTGAAATATGTCTTCGGCTATTCCCCTAAAGCTATTCTTGTATAAGTAAGAATTGAAACTCATAAATTAGATCACTAATATTGATCTCCATTATATTATTTATACAAATTCAAAAATACATGACAGGGATAGATTATAATGGTAAAGTTGCTTAATGAAACTCAACGAGTCAGTTTCTTCATCTGTGGAATGAAGTATAATAATAGATTTTTTGAAGGATGGTTTGTGTTTAACACAAAAACAGTCAAGTAAAGTAACTAACAGTATGTGTAACATTTAGTAACTGCTTAATAACTATTACTTTCGTCTCCTCTTTTTCACGTGTCATTTAGCAACAGCTTATTGAATAACTGCTGCATATGTTGTATCATGTAAGACTCAGAAAGCACCCCAAAGACTATTAAACAATTTGACAGATAGTGTTGGGGCTCAGGAACCAATAACCCAAAATATGGTGCTTTGTATATGCTGGTCTAAAAAAAGAACATCAAGGTCTTTCTGACCTCCTGGGTTCTCCACCGTCTCTCCTAGCATAGCCTTCTCTGAAGTTCTCTTATCTGCTTGAAGTCCAGACCCACCAAAGAAGAAAACGATTACCTCTGGGTAATTGAATCCCTGAGATTCATTAACTGAATTCATATCACAGGAAAGAAGACTAAAATCTGTCAACTAAAGTCTGTCAACAAGACTGTCAACAAGACAAAAAGTCTGGACAGACAGTTGTGACAACCCACTGTTCTATGTACCCAACAGACTTTGTCCTGGACTACTGTATGTTCTCTGAGTCCATTGAATTCTCCATAGTAATCATTTATTGTTCTTCAACAGAATTGCTCATCTCATCAGACGATCACCTCTTTTGCCAGAATCCAAGTCCCTATCTTTTCTGTAGTCTCAAAATGGTATCGAAGTTTTTGCTCTCCACTGGGGGTGGGGGGTGGGTCTTCATTCAGAAGGCTCTCCTGTCATGTATGATCAAATAAATTAGAATGCCTTTAATCTGATTAATGTTTCTTTTGTGAGTTAATTTTTCAGAAATCTTCAGAGAGAAAAGGAGAAATTCCTTTTGCTCCAACATTAGAAATTAAATTATTAGAAAAGTAAGGTCAAAGGAAACAAAGTATGTAGACTGGTTATAGCAGTCTGAAATTTCTTCCAGGAGCAGAAATCTACAGATAGTCTTTTAAAATGTAAAGCTAAATTCTCAGGTTATTAAACTAGGCCAAAGAAAGTTATCGAAGATGGTTATAAAATTATGCTACAGAAAACACTTCTTGACTTTTACTAGAAGTTTTATGCCTATCCCCTCTCTCAGAGAATTAAGGGGAAAGAATCAAAACCAATAAATAATGGGTAGTATATAATCTCTCTTGCTTATTTCTTCTTCTCACTCCCAACGCAAACATTATATCACGTGAAAAATAGGAGGTGCTGGCCAAATTTAGATTCCCCTTAATATTCTTTGGCAGTTACATGGATTTTCATTTCCAATCTCCCCTTGAAGTTCTATGGGGCTACATTTTCAAATTTTAGACTATGATATGTTAATGGAAGTTGACTGTGCCTCTTTCAGATATGGGATATATAAACCTTTTGCTTTTATAATGGTTAATATTGCTGTATAAAAATTACCCACAAAACATAGCAGCTTAAAATAACCGTTTTATTTTTCTCAAAAATTTTTGGGTCAGGATATTGGGACAAAATCAACTTACAGCCCTGTAGTAGAGTCTCTGTGAAAGTTTGCCTGGGCTGGTTATCTTATACAGACCATTCACATGGGTACTACTCTTGGCTTCTAAGAGTTCAACTTTTATCGAAACCACTTATAATTGAGATCATGCAGGATTTGTCTTTCTGTGCCTGGCTTATTTTACTTAGCAGAACATCCTACAGGTTTGTCCACGTTATTGAAAATGGGAAGATTTCATTTTTGCTGAATAGTATTCTCTCTCTCTCTCTTTCTGTGTATGTGTGTGTGTGTGTGTCCATTCATCTTTTGATGGAAACTTAGTTTGATTCCATGTCTTGTCTACTGTGAGTAATGTTGCAATGATTCTGAGAGTGCAGGGGTAGATACCTCTGCAACATTCCGATTCATTTTCTTTGGATATATATCCAGAAGTGGGATTACTGGATCATATGTTAGTTCTATTTTTAATTTTTTGAGAATTCTCAATACTGTATTTCATAATGGCTGTACTAATTTACATTCCCTCTAAGGTTTACAGTGATTCCCTTTAATCTTCATTCTTACTAACAGTTGTCATCTTTCGTCTTTTTAGTAATAGTCATTCTAGCAGATGTGAGGTGATCTCATGGTTTTGATTTGCATTTTTCTTATTATCAGCGATGTTGAGCATTTTTTCACGTACATAGCCATTTGTATGTCTTTTGAGAAATTTCTATTCAGATCCTTTACTCATTTTTAAATTGGTTTACTGTTTTCTTCCTATTGAATTGTGTGAGTTCCTTATGTATTCTAGTCATTAACCCATTATCAGATGTATTGTTTGCAAAAGTATTTTTCCATTCTATGTTGAATCCTCATTCATTTTTTTCCCTTTCTTGTTGTGCAGAAACTTTTTAGTTGGATGAACTCCCGTTTGTCTCTTTTTGCTTTTGTAGCCTGTGCTTTTGGAGTCATATCCCAAAACATCTTGCCCAAACAAATGTAATTAAGCTTTTAACTATACTTTCTTGTTGTAGCTTTACAGCTTCATGTCTTACATGTGTCTTTTGTCTATTTAGATTTGATTTTTTATATATGGTGTGACATAAGGGTCCAATCTCATTCTTGCACACATGCATATCCACTTTCCTCAACATCATTTATTGAAGATAATGTCCTTTCCTTATTGTTTGTTTGTGGCATCTTTGTGAAGATGAATTGACTGTAAATGCATGGGTCTATTTCTAGCTCTGTATTCTGTTCCATTGGTCTATATGCCCATTTTTATGCTACTATTATGCTGTTTTGATTACTGTAGGTTTACAGTAAATTTGAAATTGAGTCATATGATGGCTTGAGCTTTGTCCTTTTTGCTCATCATTGCTTTGGCTGTTTAGGATCTTTGTAATTCCAAAAAAAATTTGAATTTTATTTTCTATTTCTGTGAAAAATGTTGTTGGAATTTTGATAGGGATTACATTGATTTTTTAATTTTTAATTTTTGTGGATACATAGTAGATGTATACACATTGAATATGTAGATTGCTTTGAGTAGTATGAACATTTTAACTATTAATTATTCCAGTCCATGAATATGGGATATTTTTCTATTTACTTGTGTTTTCTTCAATTTCTTTCATCAGTATGTTGTAGTTTTTGTTGTACAGATCTTTCACCTTCTTAGTTAAATTTATTTCTAAGTATTTTATTCTTTTTAAATGTTATTATAAATGGATTGTTTTCTTGATGTTTTTCAGATGAGTTTTGTTAGTGTATGAAAATACTACCAATTTCTGTAGGTTGATTTTTTTTTTATCCTGCAACTTTACTGAATTTGTTTACTTTTTCTAATGTTGTCTGGATGGAATCTTTAGGCTTTTAGATGTAAAGTAATGTTATCTGCAGTGACAATTTTACTTTTTCTTTTCTAATTTAGATGCTTTTTATTTCCTTTTATTACCTAAATGTTCTGGCTAAGACATCTACTGCTGTGTTAAATAGAAGTGGTAAGAATGAGTAGCCTTATCTTGTTCCTGATCTTAGAAAAAAGCTTTCAGCTCTTCACCATTATGATATTAGTCAGAGTTTTTAAATGACATCTGGATTCCTCTAGAGCTAATATGTGAAGAAGACCAGGCAGAGATAGCATCTTCTTTCTTGAACTAGATTCAGAAGTCATATAAGCATAATTTGTACCAGATTGAATTGATGAAGATACAGGTAAATTGAAATTCAGAGAACTTAAATTACTTTCAAAAGCAGTATAAACATTATTATAATATTTTTTCCACATAAGATTGTTGTTCATTTGTGCATTCTAGATCTGCTTTCACTTTATCAATTGAAAGTATATTTCTCTTTTGAGAACTCTCAATAACAAAAACTCCTACTAATCCTACAACAAAATGATTCCTTCTTTGTAAAATGTTCACATAGTGTGTTTTAGTACTTATCCCTTATTACATAGAACTTATTTGTGTATTTGTGCATATTTGTATGCGTATTCTTGTGTGCATTCTATACTAATGTGTAACTTCTCTGAAGTTAGGAGCTATGCTTTATTCTTACTCTTATTATTTTAGCTATAATTCTTCCTAGGTCATATATTTCATACAGTAAGTAATCACTAAATATTTATTATTTGAATTTCTGAAACAAATGCAATTGCTGAAAACAGAGAGATAATGGAGAATATTCATTCTTAAAAGTTCTAAGATAATGGAAGAAACATTAAATTAATGACTTCTCTACATTAGTAGGCAAATTCACTGTAATTTTTTGGAGTATTTGCATGAAAATTTATAAAGGATTATAATAAACCCTAATTTAAAAATGGCTAATTACAGTTATAAAATTCTTAATTATTTGCTGTGTAATACTGATAACACTTTCTTATGCATTATGGGTAAATGAAAGTGTTTGCAAATAATGGTAACCTCAGGGATTATTCTACTTAGTGGAAAATTCCCACAAGGGTTTATCAGGGAAGGATATTCATGGAGCACATGACATTTGCCAGGGAACTGTGGAAGATGCTGGATTATAAGCAACTTTGCACTGAAAACTGCCAGAAAAGCACAGGCGTCCTAATACCTCCCAGACTACCCATTCCCACTTTTCTTTCACATTTAATCTCTCATCCCAAAGCACTCATTTACTTGGCTATGCTAGTCATTGCTCTACTACAATAAGACTAAGCTGGTCAATCTAATAGCAGACAATATTTTATTTATGGGAAGTGTTTGTTCTTCTAATATAAAGGGGTAATCTTTAAGACCGAAAAACGAGTTTATCTTCTCATTTCTCTTGCCTTACATACATCCTTGTGATCCTTCCCTCATTAAATAAAAACAATTTCTGATGCCTTACTTGGCTAAGACAAAGATAATAAATTAACAAAGAGACTATAAGAGATGAATCCCTTGGTTCAAAGACAATTGTGAAAAGACCAGAGTTTTGTAGAAAAAAATACAATTTAACAGTGGAAACAAGTGAATGTGATAGAAGGCAATATAAACCTATATCTTATTTAAAAATAAAGGAATTAATAAGTCATTAAGTGTTTTAAAAATAAAAGTAATCAGGCTACAGTAACCAAAACAGCATGGTACTGGTACCAAAACAGAGATATAGATCAATGGAACAGAACAGAGCCCTCAGAAATAACGCCGCATATCTACAACTATCTGATCTTTGACAAACCTGAGAAAAACAAGCAATGGGGAAAGGATTCCCTATTAAATAAATGGTACTGGGAAAACTGGCTAGCCATATGTAGAAAGCTGAAACTGGATCCCTTCCTTACACCTTACACAAAAATCAATTCAAGATGGATTAAAGACTTAAACGTTAGACCTAAAACCATAAAAACCCTAGAAGAAAACCTAGGCATTACCATTCAGGACATAGGCATGGGCAAGGACTTCATGTCTAAAACACCAAAAGCAATGGCAACAAAAGACAAAATTGACAAATGGGATCTAATTAAACTAAAGAGCTTCTGCACAGCAAAAGAAACTACCATCAGAGTGAACAGGCAACCTACAAAATGGGAGAAAATTTTCGCAACCTACTCATCTGACAAAGGGCTAATATCCAGAATCTACAATGAACTCAAACAAATTTACAAGAAAAAAACAAACAACCCCATCAAAAAGTGGGCGAAGGACATGAACAGACACTTCTCAAAAGAAGACATTTATGCAGCCAAAAAACACATGAAAAAATGCTCATCATCACTGGCCATCAGAGAAATGCAAATCAAAAACCACAATGAGATACCATCTCACACCAGTTAGAATGGTGATCATTAAAAAGTCAGGAAACAACACGTGCTGGAGAGGATGTGGAGAAATAGGAACACTTTTACACTGTTGGTGGGACTGTAAACTAGTTCAACCATTGTGGAAGTCAGTGTGGCGACTCCTCAGGGATCTAGAACTAGAAATACCATTTGACCCAGCCATCCCATTACTGGGCATATACCCAAAGGACTATAAATCATGCTGCTATAAAGACACATGCACACGTATGTTTATTGCAGCATTATTCACAATAGCAAAGACTTGGAACCAACCCAAATGTCCAACAATGATAGATTGGATTGAGAAAATGTGGCACATATACACCATGAAATACTATGCAGCCATAAAAAATGATGAGCTCATGTCCTTTGTAGTGACATGGATGAAACTGGAAATCATCATTCTCAGTAAACTATCGCAAGAACAAAAAACCAAACACCGCATGTTCTCACTCATAGGTGGGAATTGAACAATGAGATCACATGGACACAGGAAGGGGAATATCACACTCTGGGGACTGTGGTGGGGTGGGAGGAGGGTGGAGGGATAGCATTGGGAGATATACCTAATGCTAGATGACGAGTTAGTGGGTACAGCGCACCAGCATGGCACATGTATACATATGTAACTAACCTGCACAATGTGCACATGTACCTTAAAACTTAAAGTATAATAAAAAAAAATTAAAAAATAAAAAATAAAAGTAAAATTAAGTATACTTTCAGCTAATAGAGGGGATGTTTATTTATTGAACAAAACAAGATTTACATCAGTGACTCACACATATTATTATATTAAACTGAATCAAAGTGAAATTGCACATATTTTAGCCAGCATCCTTCTCAAACCGTAAATTTATAGTAAAATATTTATATTTTCTCCTTTACTTTTATTTTTTTTAACAGAGTTGAAAAAAAAAAACATTTTTTCCTCTTGGTGACTGATTCAAGCATAGCTCATAGAAGAAACGGTCCCAGAACAGACTGTATGTCTAAAAGAATTGTGTTCACATGGTAAACATTTGTCCACTCATTAAATAATAAGTATATTCAATGGTAAAATTTATCCTAGGAAAAGTATTAAATTGACATAAACTTCTTCATTTGAGGAGTAAATAAGTAATATCAGAATTTTGCTTAATATATTGGCAGTAAATGAAAAAGTTTATTACACAGCAAATAAAAAAAGAAAAGGGCTAAGACAAAGTAGGAGGAAAGTAATAACTTCTAAAGTTACATATGTTACATAGAGCAAATATAGCTATGGTGACTCTGCCGTTAGGGTTGAAAATGAAACCAGAATTTTCTCTTTTGGTAAAAAAAATGAACATGCTATTTGTAAATTGGTGTTTAGTAACTAATGATAAACCTGAAAAACTATAATACATTATAAGCCTTAATCCTAGGTAGTCTTACAAAATTGAATGTCTTTTACTATCTTTTGAACCTAGATTCACATTGGTTTTTCAACCTATTTTAAGATATATATTTTTCTCATTTCCTCAGATCTGCTTCTTATTTTGGGGTAATGGGTTGTTTTTATTTTTATTCTTATTTAGGTACCATTTTAAAAGGGTTGCATTTCTTTGACAAGGCTTCTTATAAATATGGCTGGATGTTTTGCTCTAGCCTTCTTAGAAGGGCGATTTTACTTTTTAGAATCACTTCTAAAGTTATGTGGTTATTAATTTTGGAGACTAGTTTGCATATGAGTGGTGATACAAATCAAAACCCAACTAGACCTCACTGCATATCACCCTATAAATGTTGACAATGGAAGAAACACCTTGCACCTTGCCTGTAGTATACTGTCACTTCTGGGCTGAAAAGCCGGGGAAGAAACTTAATTTTCTTTTTTGTGTAAGTCAGAAAAAACTCACTGCTAGTGCGCCCAGTTTCCCTGTTAATCTCAGCAGATGAGGTTAGCAGATAGTATTAATTCAGATTGAAGAAATTACCTGAATCTTGAAGATTTTGTGTAGATTTACAATCTACATAAGATATTTACTAAGTCAGATAGTTTTTCCAGTTCCACATGTGCACATAGACCCCTTTCCATATCCATTAGTTGTTGAACTTTGTAAATTGGCATTGAAACATTACAACAAAGTTTTCTAACACTAATTTTATAAACTTATACAGTGTGATTATTACTTTTCTTTTATTTTTGGCAAACCAAAGGTAAATTTTTCAAGGTTCTTTCTGCCTTCTTTTTTTTTTTTTTTTTTTTTTTTTTTAGGCAAAGTCTCGCTTTGTTGCCCAGACTGGAGTGCAGTGGTGCAATTTCGACTCACTGCAACCTCTGCCTCCCAGGTTCAAATGATTCTTTTGCCTCAGCCTCCCAAGTAGCTCACGCCTGTAATCCCAGCACTTTGGGGGACTGAGGCGGCAGATCATGAGGTCAGGAGTTCAAGACCAGCGTGACCAATATGGTGAAACCCCATCTTTACTAAAAATACAAAAATTAGCTGGGTATGATGGCACGCACCTGTAGTCTTTCTGCCTTCTTTAACAGCATTTGATGAAGGAGAATTTGTACATTTGAAATAAATAAAAATAAACCAGATTGCAAATACTTTTTAAAAATCTCAAGTCACATACCAACTTTTTGGTCCAAATTGCATAGAATAAGTTAAACTTAAATTGCATTCTGTTAACCAATGAGTGTATTTCTCTAAACACAGTCATGCTGAAATGAAGTTTTAACAAGCAAAAAGAAAATGAGTAAAATGAACCAACCCTGAATATTAGCCTCTAATTATAGAATATGAGTTTGGAAATGCTATTAAAAAGAAATAGACAACTATAAAAGTGAATGATATAAAGAATAAAAATGTCAGTAATATAAAACAAATATTTTCAAGAAATATGATACATTCTACCATCTCTTATGCTATAACATTTTCTGTAATGACCACCAAATTGCTGCCTTTTTTTTTTACACAAAGCATAGAGTGCCCTTTCTAAGAAGTTAAATAAGTTCTTCCAGAATACACATAACATTGTTTTCCAATATGAAGCTGATTGATTTTGTTGTAAATGTGGAAAGGACGTCAAAAGCATGGTATCATCATATAAGGTCGATATGGAAAGGAGATACATCACATTTTTTTGGAAAGTTTATTTAACCAGCCATGACAAATGTGTGTGAAGTGAGAAATACAAAGCACTACTGGAAAAATTTTTTAGTAAATAGCACAGGTAGAGGATGCATAATTTCGTTATCATCAACTGTACAATGAAATGACTATCACATGTTTGTTTTACCAGATACCTTAATACAGAGGTGGAAGAAATTACTGGTGACTAGATTGTTAACCAGTTCTTGGCACTGACAGCAAAGTGCCCAGTTAATTACCTTTGTTCACCATTGAAATTCCATGCTAAATAATATTGATAGCTTTTGAATCATGATGCAGTCTCTCTCTCTCTCTCTCTCTCTCTCTCTCTCTTTCTGTCTCTTTCTGTACTCTGAATCTGCTTTGATTATATAATGAGGTCTTGAACTCCAGATTGGTAGGGCTGGATCAACATTAACTGTATCACATATTTTGATGCAAATAAATAATTCTCCCCAACAAAGTGATGGTGATGAGCTGAATACTATGCTGAGTAAAGCAGCATATGAAAATACGTGTTATATCTTGACTGCCCAATTCATATGCAACTGTCACTGTGAATGACTGATACAGTACTGTGATTGGTCATTAGTGGGTTATATATCCACTCACTGGCACTAAACAAAGAATTGTGCTTAAATGTCCCCCAAATTACATATAATTTTAGTAGGAAATAAGCAGTGTTTTCCAAGAGTTGAGAAAAATGGCGTAAGCAAAAGGGCAGATAGGAACAGTAAATGACTGTTGCAATATATAATAAAGATTATGGATATATATCTGTAAATATAGTTATCTTTTGTTCAAAATTTAGAAAAAAAATCCCTGTGATAGTTTTAAAAATCTGTAAATCAAATGCAATAAAACAAATATTCTGTCTGATATTGTGTAACAATTGAAATGACAGGAAAATGTCTTCAATGGATTTCCATAAGACGAGCCAACACTTAAAATGTGGCTTCTGAAAAAATACTTTTGTTAGGTGTTTTAGCATAATAAGAATTCTGTGTAAGAATATGTTTAGAAAAGAATTTGTATTCTATTCACTCCCTTCTTCAGAGATTAACAAAGGCATTCATGTGGTTCTGCCAAGTAATACAGAAAGACTAGTGATTTAATTTATTTACCTAGAATGTACTAAATGTATTTGACCAAAGTTTCTATTTTCTGGTATTAAAATCCTATATAGAAATGTTATCTGGCATACAGTTCAGGAAAAATTGTTTTAGGCACTCTTTGGCTTTATTCTAATATAAAAAAATTATGTCTTCCATTTTTCTTAACAGTGAAAATGGAATTTTGAGACTGAAAATATTGTTCAGTAGTGCCAACTGAACTTGGCAGCTAGGAGAATATTTTTATCATGACTTTTGAAGCTTAAGAACTAAGATATCTCTGGTAAAATCTTACCTCCTCATAATTTCTTAAAGCTTCAAAAACATGTATAAAGGCCAATGAATAGCCACAGGGTTTCCAAAATGAATGCTTTCATGTGTGGAATCCCACTGGATTCTGCGAACTTTTACCATATTTTCGATCTCTAGATTTCAATGCTTATGAGACACTGACGTGTGTGTGTGTGTGTGTGTGTGCACGTGTGTATAAATGAGACTGAGACTGTAAAGTTAGTTTTCTTCAATCTATCAGTAATCTCAGCTGTTAAATCTGAAGTATTAATACCATACAATTTTATTTCTAGATGACATTTGTTCTGAAGCTGTTGACTAGGATTACAAATTGGACAGATTGATAAAATACATTTTGACCTTAAGATCATATTTAAGTATAATTATTTGTGTACTTTTTTGGTCTTTACCTTTGGTGGCAGGCTATCAACATGTGGGTATGGGTGTACATGGGATGGGTACTTGTGGATTTTTTTTACAGTTATTTCTTCCTCTCGGAAGAAAAACTACCTTATTCCAGTGAATGTTTCAGCAAACTTGGACTCGGAATAAGTATAAATCTGTATCAAAAATATTCATTAATTTCCCTGAAAAATGGTATATAAATGAAAAATATCAGGCTCACTTATTACCATCCTATATGGCACATATGTAATCAAGTTAGAAATAGGTGCTCTTGAAAAGAATGTACAGGTGTGATTCCTCCACATTCCTCATGCATGATGCCCTTCTAAAATGTTCTTTGGAGCTGGTTATCCAGGATCAACAGCAAAACATTGCTCCACATTTAAGAGTGATGGCTCTGGTGTTGATGTCCAGGTTGGAATGCTGATTTAGCCTTGTCACTCAGGAAAATATGTTTCATCTCTTTGAGTCTCTGTTTATATATCAATAAAATTGATGTATAATATAGAATACTCCATCGTATTGTTTTATGTAAATGGGATGCTATACATAAAGATTTTAGGGCGCACATTCAAAAAAGATGTGCCCGGTAAGTGGTTACTCCTTATATTACTGTCTAAAATGAAATTTCTCTCTAGCTCCCTGTTTTCCCTTTAAATCCTAAATAAAGTTAGAATTTTACGTGTCTTCCAAACTTGGCTGTGCATCAGAATAATCTTAAAAACTTTTTTTTCCTGTAAAAAAGAGACAAGGTAAACAAAAATAACAAAAATAAAAACAGATCCTTTAGATCTACCTATATTCGTCCTGAAGCCAAACACTGAAGTGAGGTTCTTTGCCATGTGAATTTACATGAAGCTTTCTTGGTAAATCTCATGCAAGAACTTGAAATTTGAACTGAATTTTATATGTGTTTGACTGTCAAGTTATTCTATTATTTCTAATCCCAGACAAATATCCCCAGTCCACTTCTTCATTATCATATCCCCGGCCAGTAAATTTCCTTTCATAGAGTCCTTTGTTCCTTTGCTTTTGTTTTCAAAACATTTCATAGACATCATAGTTTTAAAAAAACATAAAAATACTTTTATACATAGTATTTAAATTCATATATTTCTCTATTTATATTCAATAGATTTTCCTGCTAATCAATGAACATGCAATTTTTTCTACGCTCAAGGTCAACTCTTACTGTCTTCTGCTGCAAATTCTTATAATTTACTGTTAAGGATCTCTACTCAGAGGTCTTCTTAAAATTATGTCTCACTCTTCTTAAATATAGACTTTGATTTTCTAGTAAAGCAAATCTTTGCTTTCTCCCAAGCATGGATTATTTTAGCCATTTTTCCAAACTATAAATTTATTCTTACTCTTTTTAATTAATTCAACACATTACATCTTTTAAAATATGGCTGAAGAATATTCCTATTGAGATATATGACTGTCAGCACAGAGGTTTTATAGAAGTGGAAATTAAATTTTGAGTACTCTGCTTAAACATGCTGAAGAACCTAATTTATTTAATAGTGTGGGTAATTTTGCTATCAAAATAAGAGTTGGGATGTCACGTGCTAATGAGGATTATTCTATGTTAATTTTTACTTTATAATTTGTTTAATAGACATCCAAAGAATAAAGGAAATAGAAGTATTGTTACCTGGAGCTACCTAAGTAAACATGAAGATAGTAATACATTTTTAAAATGAGAAGCAAATAGAAGTTTCTGAGAGAAGGAACCACATGTAGAAATATGGTACAGCATACATATGTTTCAGAAACTGACATTTTTTCTGAAATATGGAATATTGATACTTCATAGAAGAGTGACAGGAGGGAAAACAAAGAGATTGGGTAGGTCCTAAATTCTGCTTGTAAAATTGATTAAATAATCCTAAATAATCCTTATTAAATGATCTTAATCTAATAATTAGAGCAGAATATGAAGCACATGTTGCAGAGATTTTTTAGGCCCAGGGTAACTGATTTCAGATGAGCCTAAGGGAAATGTGGTCTTTTTAAGAGGCTTGTACTGTTTTAAGCTACTAAATTTGCAGTGATTTGTTATAGCAAGCATAGAAAACAAATGAACTAGGTTTATAAAGAAAGAAGAATGAGAATTGACTATATTCTGACAAAATAGGTCACATAATAGTGTGGATGAACAAGAAGCCTAAATTGAAGTAATGAGTAAGAGATAATTGAGTTGATGAGGAAGTAAGATAATTTATTAAGAATAAGTTGAGAATAGTAGCCACGGCTGTGGAAGTGAGATCTGGGGAGAACAGACAGGAAGGCATTGGAAGAATGCATGATGGGAAAGAAGAGGTTGAGTGACAGTAACACTTGAGATTTGGAGGAATAAACTTGTTTAGTAATCAATAATTCTTTGAATTTTAGAATCCACAGTTAGAGACTAGGATGAAGTAATGAAGGGACATTGAGGCCCACATAGTGAGGATTATCAAGGCGCTGAGAATTGAGTATGCTATTCTCGATTCTTTATCTCTTTTTTTTCCCCAGTTGACATCAGATAACCTTAAATTAGCCAAAAAATAAAAACAAAATAAAAAAAAATAAACTCAACTTCTAAAACTGGAAGTTGTGCATCTGGTTATATTTATTCAATTAATAACAAATTTTGTTTTAAAGTATTTTGAATATTATATATATGTATATCTTATATATTTTACATTTAAAAAACACAACTACATGAAAAAAGTATTTGAGATTCACAATTTATTAACTAAACATGTTTATAGGAATATGGAAAAATCTGGTTTGTATGTACATAGTTTAAGTTTAACTTATTAAATTCATTGAATGCTCTTTATTTCCTAAAGATTAAGTGTTCTTTTTTTGTTGTTCTTTAAAACAATAATGCAAGATGGAAACTGGCATCCTTTTCTTCTTAAAAGGTGCTCACATATAAAAAGAGGATTGAGAGGAGACTAAGAGGATTTATAAGACTAGCAAGATTTGTAAGAGATCAGCAGGAAGTAAATAGTACTGAAATAAACTCTTTAATGAAAAGGCCTTCTTATTCTTCCTGGCCTTTTGAATCCAATTCTTTTTTACTCATCCTAGTGATTACTGCAAGAGTAAATTATTGTACCCTAGTACACAGAATTGAATTGTTGTGAGTCAAGAAGTATTCAAAAATATTAAAAGTAATATGCCCTTGTGTCATATAAATAAATGCCTTATATCATTAAAAGGTAATTATTTCTCATATTATAGATGTCTAAGTTTTAGGTGGGAGAATTCTGGTCATGCTTGTATCCATTATATACCATTTCTCTACAGAATATGGTATTTTACCTACAGGTATTTTTAGATTACTTACAAAACTTCCAAACACAACAGTAAGATTTAACAGTATAACTCCTCAAAATAATATCAAATTTCCTGATTTTTAAAAAATAAATGAGGTTTACCTTTTTCTTTTTTACAAAGAAATAAATAAGCTCCTCTAATGTCACTGACTCTTAAATAATCTTTTCATAATTATTTGAAGAATTTTATAAAGTTAACACATTTTTCAAAAAAGTATAGTTAGCTTGGTTATTGTTTACCATAAGTAATGTGAAGCAAGGAAAACGTGTAGTTTTAATGAAAATGTATTTAATTTTACTACAAAAGTAATATAATCTGTATAAACTAAAAATATAGATATATAAACACTGAAAGTAATAGTCAATAGTCCTCTAGGTTGTAATCCATAATAATCATTTTATAACGTAACTTCTAACTATTTTCGTATCTGTTATCTATCTATCAACTAGTCTTATTCTACATTGTCTTGCAATATGATTTTTAAATTCATTTTTTAAATTTAAGAAAAATATTTACAAATGTATATATTCTCAGTGACTCCTTAATATTACATATGATTTGTTACTCTAATTTTTCAAAAGTTTCTATTGATGGATACTAATTAATTTAGTGCTTTATTAACACAGACAATGTTTCTAACCTTTTTTTTCCTCTTGCTCATGTTGAATTCCTAGAAGAGAAGTTTTCTTGGAAAAGGCAATACAATGTTCTTACATTGTACTCTTGCTTCACTGTAGCTTTTGATGTGGAACCTGTATGTATTTTCCATTGAATATTTTACTGCTCTAGAAAGGGAATGGTGAATAACATTTGACACTACTAGTATATAAAGAAACACCTTGCATACTAAACTCCAATTTACTCTATTGTTAAATGAAATCAGATGTAAAAGAAAAATTAAAGGACGTATATGGTATAATTTTGAAACCTTCTGTTTCTTGACACATTTACATTTTGAAATATATTCATATGTATCAGTCTAAAAGCATATTTTTTGGTTGATCGTGACTGAAGTCATATGACTTGAATGATATTCAAAATCTCATGTCTTCTATAGTGTACACTTTACTTTCAAAATACCAGGACACATAAATTTTGGAGTTTCATCTGGCTAAATAAGTTCCTTGTTTTCTAAATATTATGTATTTTAGGATATCTTTCACCTGTTCATAATTTATCTGTTTATAATAAACATATATTTATATATAATTATAAAAGCATTTTTAAAATGTATTCTACACATATACAATTATAGTGTCTATAACTTAAGCTTCAGGGGACGTTTCTTTTTTCAATTAACTAAAACTATTTATAAAGTACAAATATAACATAATAATTATTTACATACTTATAAATCTTCATATGACCCAATGTTAAAGAAGAGAACAGTGGAAGAAGCTATGGTATGGCTAGGCTTTGTGTCCCCAACCAAATCTCATCTTGAATTATAACCCTCATAATCCCCATAATCCCCAAGCCTCAAGGGAGAGATCAGACAGAAGTAATTGAATCATAGGGGTAGTTTCCCCCATGCTGTTCTTGTGACAGTAAGTGAGTTCTCACGAGATCTGATAATTTTATAAGAGGCTCCTTCCACTTCACTCAGCACTTCTTCCTGCTGCCTTGTGAAGAAGGTGCCTTGCTTTCCCTTTGCCTTCTGCCATGATTGCAAGTTTCCTGAGGCCTCCCCAAACATGCTGAACTGTGAATCAATTAAACCTCTTTCCTTAACAAATTACCCAGTCTTGGGCAGTTCTTTATAGAAGTATGAAAATGGACTACAATATTTTATTTTTTCATAAGTGAAGGATAAGCATTTGACATATCTGATGTTGATTGAGATTATAAATATGTTGATGGATAAATCCTGCCCTGTTTACATTTGAATTTATAACTTTGATTAAATGCCATGATATTCCTTAGAGAAAAGACAAGCAGAATCATTTCGGTGCATTTCTAATTCAATTTACTCATTTTTGATTCCCTATGATTTTCTCTTTTTCTGATTGTGTTTCCTTACACTAACTCTATCCCATTGACGCCAAAGGTGTAAGCTGCCTATTGACATTTCATCAATGTATCATACACCTTGAACTATTGCTTTATGAATGTTTTCTCCTAATATCCTTGTTTATGGCTAATAGGTGAAATACAAATAAAAATGTCAGATTGATGTTTTGAGGATAATGGGAAGGGACAAATCTCAGTAGAAGTCATCAAAATTTTAAGAAAGATTCTAATACATGGTGTATAAGTCTGACAACTTTATGAAAATCCCATTTTTTTAAATTATAGCTATTACTACACCAGGGGTATTCAATTATTGGCTTCCCTGAGCCACATTGGAAGAATATTTTATTGGGCCACACATAAAATACACTAACACGAATGATAACTGAAGAGCTAAAAAAAGTTGCAAAAAGATTTCATAGTGTTTTAAGAAAGCTTATGAATTTGTGTTGGGTCACATTCAAAGTCATCCTGGGCCTCACGCAGCCCATGAGCCGCAGGTTGGAAAAGTTTGATCTAGGCATTACACTTGGTGTTACATATTGATAAAAATATCAGTCACATTGGTTTTAAGAACTAGAGAGTTAAGACCTGAAGGAGATTGAGGTAACAACCATCTCATTTTTTTTAGGGAACTCAGACAGTTTCTCAATATAACCCTACATGACGGGGCATAGAAAGAGGTCTTCTAGATGAGAAGAGACATCCTGAAGTTGGGTACCAAAAGGGATACAAAATTGATAGGTAAAACTAGAGCTTATCTGCAAGCCCCTATTTACCACAATAATGAGCCTACAGTTAGTGATTTACTTGCAATTTTAATTTGTTGATCAAGTCTTTTCCTACTTAGATATTTATTTTAAATAATGTCTCCATCTACATCATCCCTAAAAAGGAGACATTTTCTGAAGTTTTTCCTCATACTTTACTGTGTGATATGGTTTGGCTGTGGCCCCATCCGAATCTCATCTTCAATTCCCACGTGTTGTGGGAGGGACTCAGTGGGAGGTAACTGAATCATGGGGCAAGCCTTTCTTGTGTGGTTCTCATCATAGGGAATAAATATCACATCTGATGGTTTTTAAAACAGGAGTTTTTCTGCACAAGCTCTCTCTTTGCCTGCCACCATCCACGTAAGAGGTGACTTGCTCCTCTTTGCCTCCCACCATGATTGTAAGGCCTCCCCAGCCACATGGAACTGTGAGTCCTCCAGTTAAACCTCTTTCTTTTGTAAATTGCCCAGTTTCAGGTATGTCTTCATTAGCAGCGTGAAAATGGACTAATACTGTGTCCAAACCTTATCCCAGTTCTTCTTTTCTATGTTACTCTGTCACAGTACATTTTTCTTGTGCTTATTTCCCCTTGGCAATGCCCATTAGAAGAGAGACTGTCAGATTTAGATGGTATGGGTACAATTGTGGAAGCACAACAAAAATAAAAATGAATAAGGGAAATAAAAGTGTAGTGAGATTCAGAATTATAGTTGCCAAAAATTAATAAAGAAATTAAAATTTTACTGAAAGTGACTACATAGCCATTTTAAAATGTATAAAATATATAATTAATATTTTTTGATAATTTATTCTGATATTTGTTTGACCTTAAGTCAAACATTTTCTAAGTCTTAACAACAATGTTATGAAATAAACACTATAATATTTTATATTTTACAGGTAAGGGAAAAAAGATACAGAAATTATAAGAAGTAGTGCATACTGCAATAGTTAAAGAGTACAGAATCATCTAAAGTCAAACTGCTTGAGTTTGAAAATTGGCTCTTTTTTGTACCAGCTTCTTAAATTTGGGCAAGTCCCTGAAATCATCTGTGTTTAATTTTCATTAGCCATAAAATGGAAGTACAATAATACCTAACACACAGGGATGTTGTGGGGCTACTGAGTTAATATAAATATTTAATACAGGACAGTAAGCACAATAGAAGTGTATGTTATTATGATGTTTGCTGTCTAACATTACAGACTTAGTGTTGGAGCTGAAATAAGAACACAGGCATTCTAAATGTGGAAATCATGGCCAAAATATCCCACCAGCATAACAAAACACTTTCTCTCTTTCTCTCCTCTCCCCCCAACACACACATAAACGCACACATAAATACACTCAATTTATATAAAGCAGATCTTATTTACTGTCTCCATTTTGTAGTTTAAGGCACTATGACTTGGAAATGTTAAATGGCTTCTCATGGCTCATGAAATAAAGATAACAAGCTCTTTGGCCTCACAGACTGTGTTTTTCAAGTTATAAATCTCTGGTATCTTTTGTAGTACATGCTGTATATAACCATAAGCTATATTTCTTGAATAATACATTAATTAATTAACGGCCAGAATGGGGTTAGAACGGTAACACAAGAACTTTTATTGCAAACATAGATTGTTTATTTTTGCTAAATTTGTAGTCAGGACAAGACTTTGATACCAAATCTGACTTTATATAGCTTTGGAATCTTGAATAAATGAATCATTTATATGACAGTGAATCCAAAAATACCATGAAAAATATATTACATTATTCAAGTGTAAAATAGTATCCATGTAGTGCATTGTGGTTTATGGAATAAATTTCACTATTTGCTATTTTATATGTTCTGTATGCAGTCGTTCTCAGTATACGCAGGAAATTGGTTCCAGGACCTCCGTGACAGCGTCCGGCCGTACTTGCAAAGTTGGTTCTCCAGATTCACCATCCCACAAATACTGTATTTTCAATCCACTTTTGTTTAAAAATAATTCACATGTAAGTGGACCAGCACAGTTCAAATTGTGTTGTTCAAGGGTCAATTGTATATGTGTGTGACTGTATATATGTGTGTGTGTGTGTGCTTGTGTGTGTATACACGCACAGTGGCTATGTATATGTATAGTTATAGATATTTAAGTGTGTTTTATATTTGTGCTTGTGTGTGTAAAATAAGTCTATAATGGATGAGTCTGGATATGTGCATCACGTTTAACCATTGAGATAACAACCAAAACGAGGTAGTAAATAGCTACCTGAAATGCAAGTACAGATATGTGAATTCTCAAACATTGTCTAAGTCATAGGATTGAAGATGCTAAGGAAGGAGGCAGAAACCGAGGTAACAGTCGACGAATTCATGATATTCCCCAGTCACAATGTGCTTCTCCTCCAGTCTTTTTCATCTTAGTAAATGCCAACCGTACTCATCAAGTTGCTCATGCAACAAACCTGGACTTCATCCTTGATTCCGCCCACTCCCTCAACCTCACATCCAGTTCAGATGTGTCTGCAAATTATATCTCTAACTCTGCAAATATTTTATTTTTTCTGTCACCTGAAATACAGACATAGCTTTCTGACTTCTTTTCTTGATTTTATCCCAGCCTCTATCCACCTGCAAAGCAGTCTATAATCTTTTTAAGAAATATTTTGATTCTGTCACTCAATGGGTTTTCCTTCCCAGCTCTTATTCTAATCCTGGTGGGATTATGCCTGCAGTGCTCAAAAATGGCTTACATGATATGGCCCTGGTCTTCCTTGGAGCCAACCCCTTCCTTTATCACAAACTCCTTTCCATGTTAGGGTCTTGCTGCATGCTGCTTCTGCCACCGGAATGTCTCTGATATGTCTCATTCTCTGTGTGTGTGTGTATATATACATAGATAAATTTTTGTAGACTTAGGGAGTACAGGTGCAGATCTCTTACATGGATATATTGTGTAGTGGTAAAGTTTGGGCATCTAATGTAGCCACCACATGAATAGTGTCTATTAAACCCAATAAGTAACTTCTCATCCCTCACCTCCCTCACCCCTCCCACCTTTTTGAGTCTCCAATGCTTATTCCATGTCCACATGTACCCATTGTTTAGCTCCTACTTATAAGATAGAAAATACGGTATTTGACTTTCTGTTTCTGAGCTATTTCACTTTGGATAATGGCCCTCATTTCCATCCATGTTGCTGCAAAGGACATGATTTCATTCTTTTTATGGATGAGTGTTATTGTTGATTTTCATATATCTTATTCATTCTTCTCATCCTTAAAGACTGTTTAAGTGTCAAATCTCCAAAGATCCCTACTATACCTTTTAAAATAGACGTTTTAATTTTATTCTTACTTTGATTGACTTTAATGCATAACACTCATGCAGTGTGTAAGTACATTAACTGTGTGATTGTTAATATCAGGCCTCCCACAACAGGAAATCAGATCTAAGAGAGAAGGCACCGTGTAACATATGCTAAATACTGCATCCCTCATTGGTAGGACAGTATTTGCTCCAGAGTAAATAGGCAACAAGTGTTTACTGAATTAATAAAGAAATTCAAGTTTGAAGTTATCTTTGTGAAAGAAAGGCTGATGGAGCTCATAGATATTATTAAGAGCATAGAGGGTTGTAGACTATTTCAGATGCCTGGGTGTTATTTCCATAAGCAGTGAATATTCCAAGTAATGGTGAACTGCTGCAGATTGTCAATCAGATTGAATGATCTAAAATTAAATTTTACATGCCTTAAAATCATTTTCTGAAAATTCCTACATTGTATATCTTTGCTAAAGGAAATGTTTTGATAGGCTCATTGGGGATGGTGGGAGGGGGCAGTGGAATTGAACAGATAGCTAAACTATTCTGCAGCAGAAATACTAGGGCTAAGAGAAATTGCAGAGAAGAAAGAAAGAGGAAGTGAAGAGAAGAAAGGAGGTAGAGCAACATGGCTCAAGCCCAAGTTAGAAGAAAAGGCAGGTGGGTATTTTTAGAATTGGGGAGTCTAAACTCAAATGAAAGAGGTTTGTTTTGCTGTAATTTTAACCCATCTTTTCCCTAGACCTACAATAAAGTCAGCCCCACAACCAAAAATAAAATAACATAACATAACATAAAATAAAATAAAATAAAGATTGTAGGTTGTCAAAATGATGGAATAAGAGAGCTAGAGAGACAGAGTGAGCATTGGATTTAGAAATCAGTGATTTCAAAATTAGGAGACTTCCTGTTGTTGGTACATCTCCTGAATATTTATAGGAAGGTGTGTATAAAATGGAACTTATGTGAATGTCCTTGATGAATGAATAGGGAATAGTTGGCAAAGTTGGTAGATAACAAAAATGTGTTAAAGTACAGGATAGTTAGACAGATGACAAGACTCCCAGATACAGAAATTTTGCAGAGTGTGGAAATATAATATTCTGAAAACAAGAAGTTAAAAAAATTACCCACCTCACCACTATACTTCATGAAACATAGGGTATGAGAAAAGTCATAATAATGATGTTATTAATACCAATTTTATATTTGACACTGCAAAGAAATTAACATCTGAACATTAACACTAATTAACTTGTTATCATCCATATTTGCATATTAGGAACCAGAGGCCTTCCTATGTTGTGTGCCAAAATCAGGCAGGAAACAAGAAGAAAACTTGAGATTTCAATACAGGAGGTGTAGACAAACTTATGTATTTAACTGTTTTATGTATTACTATCAAGCCCCATTCCCCTTAATTAACAATATTTGAAATAAATATATGTAAAAATGTAACCTTAGCTTATGTAGATTTATGACCAACATTACAGAAATATAACATTGCTCATTGCTTCTCAGCATGAGGCTTGAAGGTGCTAAGGTATTAAATGCCCTCTAGGCTTGCCCAATATCCACCTTAGCAAAATGTTTTCCTGGGGAGATACGCAGTTTCATAGACTGAGTATTTTGTTCATATTGAAAACACATGAATGACATAAACTTTATTAATTTCATTTGCTCACTGAATGAGAAAACAGAACACAGATACATTTTAGTTTTAACAAATTCAATAAGAATATAAGTTTTTTCAATTTATGTTATCTCCATCATTTAAACTAAACAAGTATTTAAATGAATGTAGATTATATATTTTGCCCCCGCCAACTTGCCTTTTTATTTTCACCTTTTAACACTTGAAAAAGAGTCACAATGACATTGCAAAAGAAACTGTCCTCTTGGTATTTCTGGTTTGGAACAGAAGTTAAAGTATAGTAAATCTCATGAGAAATTCTGCTTTTTGACATTTACAGCTCAATTTTACCGATTCAGAAGGTTTGAATAAGCTTCAGATAAGCATCAAAGCTTATCCAGGGTGAACCTGAATTCTGAAACTTCTAAATTTCCGTATTGGTAATCCTACCCTACTTTTGAAGATGCCAGTCATAGCCTCCCAGTGGCAATCCTGGTTTGCCATTGTACCACACATTCAAGGATGAATAAGGTCACACAGCAGCCACTTTATTAAAAATATCAGATAAGGTTAGGCCATGAGGAAAATTCCTTAAGAAGTCAATGATGGAAAGCAGTGAGAAGATCTTAATAACTAGGTAATATAAGGTTGTGCAATTCAGCTAGTACATTTAAAACAATATTAGATAAAACAATAATGACATTGAATAAATGTAATTTTGTCAACAGAATGCATGTTTTTATGTTTACAGACTAATAAAGTCAATAGATCATGACTTGGAAGAGTAGATACTATATGTAGAATAAATAAACTGACAGCTACAATAAAGAATGGTTTAATTTTATATGTGCAGAAAATTTCAATTAATATTAAATCCATTTAATTAAGCCTCTCTCTAATATAAACACATATATGTAATGTATGTCCTCTGTACTAAGACAAACTTGCAGTACGGTTAAGTTAGAAATAATTAAATATTTATACAAGATTGAGGTTTATAGTTAACTTTCTAATGGTGTTCACAGTTGAACTTATTTAAAACCATTTCAACAAAGAAAAGATGTCTCATATTTAAGTTCTTAGAACTTGGTAAAGCTGAATGGAAAATAATTTACTTTGGTTTTCTTTCTTTATGTAAGAGTAAGGGATAAAAAGAGGGATAAAAATCATCTGCAATGGTATATTATGTCTTTCATAATTACATTTTTTCCCATCTACTAATTAGTTTTCTAACTTGCTTAGGCTAATTTCAGAAGCTCAGAAACAATTTTCCATACCACACTTTTATTAAGCCGAATTTACTGTATACAATTTAAAAAACAGAGTTATAAGAATTATCAACCAAAGAAGAATTTAATGTGTACATATTCTTGTCTCTATTTTCCTTTTGAAGGAAACTCTCAGAATCCTGCCATTCTTTCTACTGTAGCCAACTAACATCTGTGCAATTATACAAACCTGCAAATTACTTTTTTTCCTTGTGAGTTAATTGCTTCAAAATTATAATGAAAAAAGATTCCAAAACCTAAATGCAGAGCAATGTTAGGCAAAATTAAATGGTAAACATTCTGATTAACATACAAAATTTAATGAGACTGTTTTGATGGAAATATCTTAAAAATAAAATAAGTGGGTAGAACTGTTGGCAAATATTTAACTCAATTAATGAATTTCTGTAATTGATAGTTGTATTTTACATTAAATGGTTATTATTTAACCCACATTCATTTTCTTTTGTGCTTTATAAATGAGACTATTCTTAGGAATCTGAGGGAAAATAAAATAGTTAATTACGCTTCTTCTTTCACATACAAAAGAAAAGAATCAAAATACACAAGTTTAAATAACAGTATTACTACATGTTTTAAATAACAGAATTAAAATATACAAGTTTAAATAAAAGTATTATTTTGATATATTTGAAGTAGAGAAAATTAGCTAAAAATGTCCATAGCACAAGTTTGCAGATAGGACTGCTTAGGGTCTGGCCATGAGCATCAGTCTGGTGCCATCTTCTGCCATTCCTTTCTTTCATTTCAAATTATCAATAATGATCCACTTGCACTTTACCATGCACATCTGTATCTGTGTCCCACCTTTGGCATACACAGTGCCTATCTAGAAGCTTTTTCATCCCTTTTTGTTGTTGTTGTTCCAGGTAATTCCTACTCATCCATAAAGTCTTAATCTAGATATTATTTCCTTCCAAGTGATTTTTCGAAATCTTTAACTCCACTGTGTAAATAATTTATACGTAGCTGAATTTTCCTACATATAAAGTATTAGTTTCCCCATCTTCTGGATATGGGATAGAGTGGCTCTGTAAATTACAACTATTATCATATCTTCAATTATAATTAAGCAAAGTGGTAACAAGCTGGAAACCACCTGAATTCTCATGAAGGAGTTGTTGAAGTAATTGTACTATATACTTAGGATAGAATAGCATGACACTATTAAATAAAGAGACGTTGACATTTTCTAGATTTTAACAATTTATCTGAAGGAATAGTCATAATGTTTTATTAAACGAAGAGAGCCAAGTGCAGAGCAATAAGTACAATATAATAGTAATTTTTATAAAACCAACATACTTTTGTGTTTGTGTGCATGTATGAGCATAAATAAAGGTTAGAAAATATATTCACCAGGTAAATAATGCTGAATACCTCAGAGGGAAGGGGATGAATGGCAGGGAGTAAAGTAAGATTATTATTTTTTCTTTCATATTCAGGAAACAAGAAAGCGCTAAACCTAAAAAAAAAAAAGCTTGCCACATATAAATTATTCAATGACTACAACATATTACAAGATTTTCAGCAAACAATTGTAAGAATACAAACAGGCTGGGCGCGATGGCTCTTGCCTGTAATCCCAGCTCTTTGGGAGGCTGAGGCAGGTGGATCACCTGAAATCAGGAGTTTGAGACCAGCCTGCCCAACATGGAGAAACCCCATCTCTGCTAAAAATACAAAATTAGGTGGGCGTGCTGGCACATGCCTGTAATCCCAGCTACTCTGGAGGCTGAGGCAGGAGAATCACTTGAACCCGGGAGGTAGAGGTTGTGGTAAGCTTGAGATCGCACCATTGAATTCCAGCCTGGGCAACAAGAGCGAAACTCTGTCTCAAAAAAAAAAAAAAAATACAAACATGCAAACTAAGAAAATCACACCTGGGCACATCAAAGTCAAGTTGCAGAAAACTAAAGATTAAAAATGAAAATTTAAAAGGCACTAAAGAAAAAAGACACATTACATAAAGGACATAAGGATATGGGCCAATTTCTCATAAGAAAACACAGGTAATGGAAAACAGTAGAATAACAACTTTCACATATTCAAAGGGAGAAAATTCTGTCATTGAAAAAATTCTATACTCTGCAAAAATTTCTTTTGGAGACTAAGGCAAAATGAAGTCCTTTCCCATAAAGAAAAACTTAGATAACTCTTTGCCATCAAATCTTTACACAAGAAATGCTAAATGAAGTAATTCGGACTAAAAGGAAATGACTAGATAAAAACAGATTTAGAAAAAGAAATAAAAACACATTAGAAATGGTAAATATAAAGAGATACGTACAGCATAGAATTTTTTCCTGTATATTTTTAAAATATAGTACAGCTTTAGGAAACAATTATACTAGCTGTATTACATTAGGCAGTTTGTAATATACGTGGATGTAATGTGTTTGACAGCAATTGCACTATTAACAGGGCATATTAAAACTATGCTTTTGCAAATTTCTAACATTTTACAATAAATAGTACAGTATTGTATTAGTCCATTTTACACTACTGTTAAAGACATACCCGAGACTGGGAAGTAAAAGAGGTTTAACGGATTTACAGTTCCACATGGCTGGGGAGGTCTCACAATCATGGTGGAAGGCAAGAATTCACATCTTACATGGATGGCAGCAGGCAAAGAGAGAGCTTGTGTGGGGAAACTCCTGTTTTTAAAACCATCAGATCTCATGAGACTCATTCACTATCACGAGAACAGTGCAGGAAAGACCTGCCCCATAATTCAATCACCTCCCACTGGGTTCCTCCCAGGAAACGTGGGAATTGTGGGAGTTGCAATTTAAGATGAGATTTGGGTGGGGACACAGCCAAACCATATTAAGTGTTAACATTAAATGTATCATAATAAATTAAAGATGCCTATTACGATCCTAACAGCAAAATCTAAAAGTGATTGCCTAAATGTAAAACTAAGAAGCCAATATAGAAATAAAAATGAAATACCACAATTAGACTGAAGTCAGAATATAAATACTTAAATATGTTCTTAGGCTCAAATAAGTAATTATTTTATAATATTTATGCTTAGACTCATTAATATTATCTTAAATACCATTCATCGTGATGATGTTTCATTAATAATTCTCTAAATGACTAGGTAAAATTATGGAGAAATTTAAAGTACAAAGAGAAACCTTACAAAAAAATTCGGTGTTTTCAAAGTAAAGATACTATTTTATAATAAAATTTTATTATACATAAATATTAATCAACTTGTATACAATTAAGTACAAATTTCAGAAAATAATATTATTTTTCAAACTTGCTCCCATATATCATCACTTTAATAGTTTGTTCAGCATAAGAGTTTCTTACGCATGCATGAATATACACAGTAGGAGATCCAGAGAAAATGTTGGGATAACAACAACAAAAAATACAGGTTTGTTTAAAAACAGAGGAAATGTTGTGGAACAAGAGAAGGGAAAAAAGGGTTGCCATTTAGGGCATGCTGGAAGACCTTGACACTTAGCTCTTTAAATATTAGCCACTTCGTCCATGAGGAGGTGTGGTGTCTACTAGATTTTAAGACGGTAGTGTGCCAGTCAATAAAGCAAGAGGAGGAGGCTTTCATCACAGACCAATTCTAGGAATTGGTGAAATAACCAAGGTCCTTTTACTTACGCTATTTCTGCCAAACACAATATATGAATTTACATTTGTTGGAATACAAGGTAAACTCAAAGGAGTCACACAAATTATATGTTCTAGTGGGCTGAAGTAATATGACTTCGCCAACCTTGAAGTTATTTCTCATTACCTCATGGCAAACAGCAGAGATTTAATAAACGATGAAACAGACCAAGTTCAAGTCGCTTAAATATGTCCTATCTCTATTTGATTTTTTTTTTTTTTTTTTTTTTTTTTGAGACAGAGTCTTGCTCCGTCACCCAGGCTGGAGTGCAGTGGCTCGATCTCGGCTCACTGCAAGCTCCACCCCCTGGGTTCAAGCCATTCTCCGGCCTCAGCCTCCCGAGTAGCTGGGACTACAGGCGCCCGCCACGACGCCCGGCTAATTTTTTGTATATTTAGTAGAGACGGGGTTTCGCCGTGTTAGCCAGGATGGTCTCGATCTCCTGACCTCATGATCCACCCGCCTCGGCCTCCCAAAGTGCTGGGATTATAGGCGTGAGCCACCGCACCCGGCCCTCTATTTGATTTTTAAGTGTTCTCTGTAATCACAGTGCCTTGTTGCCATTATTACTAAATATAACAGTACTAACCTTAAACATTCAACCCCCAGCAGCTATATTTATTTCTCTTTTTACCTTAGCATAATAAAAAAGTAAAATATTCTCTCTCAATTCAAATCAATAATATATTGATCAGTTTAGGTGATTCTATAAAATATATACAAAAATATTATTTTAACCCACGTAGCAACAAAATGAAATAAACTATGATGATAATGGAAAAACTGGCAGCCAGTTCCATATGCCTTCTTATCAGAGATATGAACTAAGCTTCCTTTTGTTTTTTCTTTTGTAAGATGGGAGATAAGTTTTAAGAGACAGGTTCTTATTAATTGAGATTGGTTAATGCATGGCACCTGAATCTGCCCATCTTGTGTTCAGGGCAGATATTGTTAATTGATATTAGTACTTTTCACTGCTAAATCATAATAGTGATTTGGAATTTCCATACAATACTTTAGTCCATCATTATCAATTATTTAGAGTTTCCAATAAGGACTGAAATTTGTCATTTATGGATGAGATGACTTTCAAAATTTCTTTATGGTCTCTTATTCAAACACATTATCTTTACTTTATAAAAGTTATCATCAGTGTATAAAAGTAGCCTATAGAGGTGTCTTCAATTGTCCAGCGTTATGTAGATAAAATAAGTACTAGGACAAGCATTCAATTTAGATTAATCTGAATTAAAAGTTTATGTTCTGATATATACTACCCATTTTACCATCTTTAATTATTAGAAAGTTTAAAATTTCCAAAGATAAAATTAAAGCCGTAACACTATTTTTTCTTTCTTATTGTCTGAATAATTAAAGTATTTATCGTAATCTTTGGATATATTCTTTCTTTTAATCTCCTAACCTGACATAGAATTATATTTCCTTCTTTGGAAGGGTTGCTTCCACTTAAAATTCAAGCCTGTTGCCATCTCTTCACAACTTTCTAACATTTCTTCATCCTTTCCATTTGACCTTGCTATATGCCACTTGAGAGCTTGGGGCAACACATACTAATCCTCCTTTTTATATTCTGCAAGTGTTTATAGGTAATAACACTAATAGCCTCTATGCTTCATTAAGTATTATATTTAATTTTCTCTACAAATTCATCTGCTGTGAGCCATTAGCTGTCTTCTGAGCCTATTATAATTGGAAGTTCAAACCATCAATAATATGACTGATTTTCAAAAAGCTGCAATCATAATTCAGATTTTAAAATCAGGGGAAATGATTATTTTTAATAACTTAATAATTAACTTTAGTAACAATTAACATTTTTATTAGCTTTCCTACTATGAGTCTTTTCCCTTTAAAGTTTTTTCTAGACCCAACACAGATAGAAGTGCCCCAGATTCACTGCTCATCACTGAAAAAACTGATGAACAAAGGCATGAAGTCTTAGTGCTAATTTTTCATTCTCATTTCCCACCTAAGGTGGGTTTTTACTTTAAGGTTCTAGTCAATTTCCCTGGCTTCTGCGTGAATATTTACAGTGAAATGGAATCGTGTATTCCACAAAGCTATTTACTTTTTTATTATAGAGTTATAATTGATAGATATGTTTTGTTTTTTTGTTAACTAAAGCCCCTCCTTACTTTTGGAAATTATCACTGGTCTTTTCCTTTTTATCAACCTATTCTCCAGTCTAAGAGTCAGTTATGAAAATTTGCTTAGTAGTCTTTTTAATAAAACATTTTATATTTAAAGGAATAGATATTTAATTACATCTTTACATTTATTTTTTGCATTATTTATAATTCACAATTTCTTAATATTTTCAGTAATTTATGGCTGATCTTAGTTCAATTTTGGATTAGTGGCCATTTATAATGGCATCTGGGAGATAGATTCCTTTTACTTGCTACACAAGGGTAAAAGTTAAAAGAAAGGGTAGGTAATTCTCAAACCCTATCTCTAACAAACCTCTAAGAAGGTGATGCTGATTGATCTTTAGTTGCATTTTTTTTGGAAACTGCTACCTCCTTTTCAATAATAAGCATTTGTGAGTTTTGTTTTTAGTGCAAAACTTCAAGTGTCCTCATAATTCTTCCATATTTTAAATACCAAAAATTAAACTTTAAAGGTAACAAGAAATAGAAAATATTTGTTTTTATATTAACCATTTTTAGTATGTATGTATATTTAAAAAGTATACTGAAGGAAAATTGATGAGCAATAATTGTTTTTAAACACGTCTAATTTTTAAAAATCAATTAATATAACACATACATGTACTCATTTACTTTTATAATACTATTCACTATAAGTATATGTCTTTGGACTGTAGCTTCTAAGTACATTTACACACAAATATTCTAGTGCAGCATGATTAAACACATGAGAAAAGAATTAAAAGAAATCAATTTGACTCTGTATTTAATATGCATTTGCTATGTTACCTTGAGCAATTTGCCAGACAAGATGAGAAAGTGCCTAGGGAAAGTAATACACGAGGCAGATTCATTCTACTCTAAATTAATGATTATCAACTTCAATAGACTCTCAGAAATGTTGGACAGTCTTACTATATTTTCCATTTACTTTAATTCCTGTTTTTCACAGCATCTTTCTCACACTTTATCTACTAAACCTCTACCACTTTTTTTCCCTCATCTCAATAGATAATCAAAACTCCAAATTTACATGAAACTTAAGTCTATAAAAAGACTACTGTATAGATGCAATGAGATGAGCGATATTTACCCACCTTGGTACACATCTTAACGTCCTTTCTCCCACCTCTTTGCTTGCCTTCTCTCCAATCAAAGCAAGTCTTTTAAGAAAAATAACATGCCCCATGCCTTCTTTTGGCTTTAAACAATAGTTATAATTTCATCAAAACCAGGAAGAGAATGAGATTTTTTTCCTCTAATATGGCAAAGCGTAGGGGTTTAGGGAAGATATGATGCTGTATACTTAGTAGATTAAGGACTCCAGAAAAAATAGGTAATTTTTTTGTCAAATCATATCCGCAAATGATATGCAGAATAAGAGCAATAAAAGTATGAGATTACATAATGCAAGGAATTCTTAATTTCATGTTCCCCCATTTGCTAATATCTTCTGATAAGTGATATTCAGAACTAAATCCATATCTCCAACTTGGTTCACCAAAGTTTGGACCAGGTCTGTACTTCACATCTGGAACCCCAATCATTTCAGTAAAGAATAAAGTCTTACTGTTGTATGCTCAAAATCAGGAATACTCCTCTTCATGACACTCCCTGAGAAGGTATATCCTGCATAAAGCTCAGATTTCTAATGTGTTATGTGAAAACTCTAAGTCTTCATGATTGTTGTTGTTTTGCCTTTAAATTTTTTTTCTAGGAGATAATCATAGTTTCTTGGCCTAGAGGTTGGAATGGTGGTTCTGACAAATGTTAGGCAATGATGTCCCCCAGCTTGTTAGTGAACTGGAGCTTTACAGCAGACAATAATTACCTGAATTTTAAATGAATGGCTGCCCCTAATCTACTCTTCACTGAGAACAGAAGCTTCAGTGTTTTGCAATTTGATTAATCTTGTCATAGCAAATCACTAGAAAATGGTACAACTTGCTTTCTTAGTAGAAAAACTTTACTGTGAAGAAAGTTTTGATACGATGATTTTTGTTTGCTTTTATTCTTATCTTTTTGTTAATAGAACTTAATGTAAAAGTTAAAATGATTTATGTTTATCTTACCTAACAATTCATACATATTTAATAAAACTGTGTCAATATAATGTTATTATCATTTCTATTATTCTCCACAAGTGATTTGTTCCTCAATAATAACTCCCCATAGCTTGTGAAAACTGCTAGAAACAAGAATACTTAGGTTATTTTATGGCCAATGTAGTTCTTCACCTCTTCACTTACACAGTTAAAAACTTAGGGGAAACTCTGGTGGTATTATATTAGAACCCAGAGTTCTGAAATGGAGGAGCTGTGCAGAAAATAGCTCCAAAAGTCTTCCTGGGAATTTCCATGAGTTTCTACTAAGTATAAAGTCTTGAATAAATAGAATGAAACTCCATAAGACAAAGCCCAACCCATCAGGATGTTATGAGCTGAACAATTCCCAGATCTCACACAAGGAAGTTAGATGTGCTGATGAGGGTACAGAGGCCACAATGATTCCCAGGTGTATTCACTAGTGAATCCACAGGTGCCCTAATTTAGCAATAAGGGTTAATTGTACCTGGAGTAAAGACTGATCTTTAACTACGTTAGTAAATCCTTGTACCTGTACTTGAAGTGATTAAATGGATATGTGTATATAGTTTGTTCAGAGGGACAATTATAGGGGTTACTCCAGATTGTGCAAGACTGAATACAATAAAATAACTTAGAAACTTAGAATGAGGAAGCAAACAAACCAACAAAAACAAAAAATCTATCAACTTAGAATATTATATTCAGTTAAAATATACATTAAAACAAAAGGAAACTAAATGTTTTTCAATAAATAAAAGCCAAGAAGTTGTCACCAACAGATCCGCAATAAGATAAATGTTAAAGAAAAGTTAAAGATAAAATACAATAAATGTTTAAAAATTAAGTATTCCGGCAAAAGGAAAATGATAGCAGGTAAAAGATGGAGATATATAGAAAAGAATTAAGAGTGGACATGTTGAATAAGTAAATAAATGTAAAAAAAATTTAAAAATTATTAACCCACATAACTTAATTGACATTTATATAATACTCCACTGGACAAAAGCTAACATTTTTCCAAGTATTAATGAGGCACTCAAGAACATTCAACAAATTAGACCATAGGATGAGCCATAAAATATGTATCAAAAAATTTAAATCATTTTTAAAAAATCATATAGAGGATGTAGCTGTTTAATAGCACTTAATTTAAAAATCGCTGGAAAAATTCTAAACATTTGGAAATACATAATTAAACCATCACCACCACCACCATCACAGTAATTTTGAAATACAAAATAAAAGGAAAATTAGAAAATATTTTGGAACTGAATGAAAATGCAAACATAGCCTATTCAAATTTGGGGAATATTGCTGAATCATTTTTAGGATAAATTTGTAGCTTTAAATTCCATAAATTACTGTTATTCAAATGCTTTCGAATTAAAAAAATAAATGTATTATGTCCATGACATAAGTGCTCACCTTAATAAGTCATAAAGAAAGTGCAATTTAAACCTTACATTTAAAAAAGAAATAATACTGATATAGTGGAATCAATGAAACAGAAAACAAGGTCCAAGCTGTTTTTTGAAAAAAAGTCTATAAAATTGACACATATTTTAAGTAAACTGAGTATTTGAAAGGAAAGAGAGAAACACATATTACCAGTATTAGAAAAGGAAGACTGAGTACTAACCTTACAACATTATAAAATATTATAAGTATAGTAAGAAAGCATTGTCAATAATGAAACGTAGGAAGTAGCATTGTATTCTTTCAGCAGAAGCAAAATGAACCACCCTTCAAATTTGCTTCACATATAGAGGTTAATAATGCCACACACAAAGACACACACAAAGAGGATGTGGAAAGACTCACTATTTGGCCAGGCGCAGTGGCTCACACCTGTAATCCCAGCACTTTGGGAGGCCCAGACGGGCGGATCACGAGGTCAGGCGATAGAGACCATCCTGGCTAACACGGTGAAACTCCATCTCTACTAAAAATACAAAGAAAAAAAAAAAAAAGAAAAAAAAAATTGCCAGGCGTGGTGGCGGGCGCCTATAGTCCCAGCTACTTGGGAGGCTGAGGCAGAAGAATGGCGGCGTGAACTCGGGAGGCGGAGCTTGCAGTGAGCCGAAATCGCGCCACTGCACTCTAGCCTGGGCGGCAGAGGGAGACTCCCTCTCAAAAAAAAAAAAAAAAAAAAAAAACCTCACTACTTACAGAATAAGTCTTTCTGAGGAGAGCAAGGCAGCTCTCAAGCAGGCTGCAAAACTGATTTCAGAGCATAGAGAAGGGAGAATGACCTGGAGTTTGTTTTTTTTTCTTTTTAATTATACTTTAAGTTTTAGGGTACATGTGCACAATGTGCAGGTTTGTTACATATGTATACATGTGCCATGTTGGTGTGCTGGACCCATCAACTTGTCATTTAACATTAGGTATATCTCCTAATGCTATCCCTCCCCCCTCCCCCCACCCCACAACAGGTCCCTGTGTGTGATGTTCCCCTTCCTGTGTCCATGTGTTCTCATTGTTCAATTCCCACCTGTGAGTGTGAACATGCGGTGTTTGGTTTTTTGTCCTTGCGATAGTTTGCTGAGAATGATGGTTTCCAGCTTCATCCATGTCCCTACAAAGGACATGAACTCATCATTTTTTATGGCTGCATAGTATTCCATGGTGTATATGTGCAACATTTTCTTAATCCAGACCTGGAGTTTTTAGTGGTGGTTAGGTACTGCACCTGGGTTGAGGATTTCTCTGCATAGGCAGAGATCTGTATGGTTTGAACTTCCTGCCAGTGTGGAAGGAGAAAGCACCTGGGCTTGCTTATCAGTTTGTACAGATATGGGGCAGAAGGCAAAATTTTGAGTATTGAAAGCTATCAGCAAAAATGATGTCAGACTCTTTATTACAAATCGACAGCTTCCTTGAAAGAAGTGGATTAGCCAAAGTGACTTAAGAATAGTAAAATACTTGTTTAGCAATATCACACTACAACAATTCCAACTCTTTACTCATAATGAAAACCCCAGGCCATATAGCTTAACTGGTGAATTCAGTCAGACCGTTAAGGAGAAACATCTATATTATGCAAATTCTTTCAGAAAATTAAAAATGCCAGTATTTCCTGTTATCTTAAACACACCAAAAAAAGTAGCAAAAGAAAACCACTAGCCAATATTCCCTCATGAATCTAGATGCAAGAATATCCTTAACAAAATGCTAGTAAATGAAATCTAGCTAATATGTAAAAGGATAATATATCATCACTAACTTGGGTTTATTCCAGGAAATCAAAGTTAGTTAACATGTTAAAATCAAATAATGCATGTTCCCCTCTTAACAGATTGACTAGGAAATCATATAATCATCTCAATATATACAGAAATATTGTTTCCCACATTTTGACATTTCTAGCTGTTAAAAAAAAAACTCTCAGGAAAATAAGAGATGGAAATTTTCTTAATTTGATAAAGAGTATCTACAAAAAGCCTAAAGCTAGTATTATATTTTAGTAGTAGAAGACTAAATGCTTTTCCCTAATTATTTTTATAATAAAATTAAGATAGAACAACAAGGCTAGAAAGTCCACTCTCTCTACTTCTGTTCTCTACTTCTACAATGTATTGGAGGCTCCAGTCTATAAAACAAAGCAAGAAAATTATTAAATGTATAATTAAAAGTATTTAATTATAGTAATTAAATATATAATTAAAAGTATTAAAGTATTGAATGTACTAAAATTTAAAAAGGAAAAAGTATGTCTACTAATATATTCCTAAAATATCCTAAAAAATTATTTTAAAAGCCAGTAAAAACAAGTGAATTTAGGAGGCACAGTCAAAATCAAATATTGTATTTCTGTGTATCCACAATGAACAATTATAAATTAAAAGTTTGGATGCATTTAACAAAATGTGTGCAAGGTGTGTGCAGTAACAACATAATACCAAGAGATTATCTTAATACCAAGATTATCATAATGCCAAGAGATCATCTCTTGGCAATATTTTCCAAGAGGAAATAAAAAACTGAAATGAATAAAAAAACAAAATAAATGAAGAGTTTCACCACATTCATGAACTGAGGACAATTCAATATTGTTAAGACTGCTATTCTCACCAAATTTACTAAGATATTTGATGAAATCATGTTCAGATTTCCAGGAGACATTTTGTATAAATATAAAAGTTGATTTCAAAACTTATATAAAATGCAAATGACCTAGTGTAGCCAATGTGATTGCTTAAAAAGAAGAAATTGAAGGATTTATGTGACCAGATTGTAAAACTTGCTGTAATGCTGTATTGTTCAAGACAATACTATCTTGTATCTGGTAAAAGTTTAGACATATTCTTGGATGAAAAATCAATAAAAAATACAGAAATAGACAATCTAATATCAAACAAATGTGCCAAGTCAGTTCCACTTGGAGAGAAAAGTCTTGTCCCCAAACTGTTTGGAAATAGTTGAACATCTTTATAGAAAGAAATTAATTTCAACTCTAATCTCATACCACATATAATAATTCTCTCAACATGGGTGACTGATATAAATTTAAAAATTAAAAGCCTAAACTTATAGAAAATAACATGGGAGAAAGTCTTCATAAACCTAGAGGAGGAAATATTAAAGGAAACATAATATATTGGAATATATTAAATTCATGAAATTTTGCTATTTGAAAGACACTGTTAAGAAAATGAAAAGGTTACAAATTGGGATAATATATTTACAATATATCTGACCAATGATTGGTATCCAGAAAATATAACAAAAACTTTTACATATTCGTAGTAGAATGAGAAATGACCCAATAAATCGAGGTAGAAGATTTGAATAGTCAAGACATTTCACGAAGTATATACTACCAACTATGAAAACATAGTTTAAAAAATAAAGTATCACACCACAAGCTGGGAAAAATATTTGCAAAATATATCTCACAAAAAACTGTATATTGAATGTGTAGTTAATTAGAAGACAACAATGCAACTCAAGAAAAGGCAAAACTTTTAAATAGACACTTCACTGGAAAAGATATATGGATATCAAGAAAAAGCGCATTAAAATGAACTCAACATTATAAGTCTTTAAGGAAATATAACTTAAAACCACAATGACATATAATTTTACACTCTTTTTTATAGCTAAAGTTAAAAAGCTGACTAGTGTTAACAGTGGTATGGAACAAATAGTTCTCCATACCTTGCTAGTGGGAACATAAAATAGTACAAATTCTTTGGAATAGTTAGACAGTTTCTTATTTCTAGGCAATTATCCAAGAAAATTACTCCATAATTTCATTCCTGTGTAATCTACCAAGATAGTTAAAAACCCATGTCAACACAAAGTCTTGTACATAAATGTTCATAGTAACATTGTTTATATTATCAATTTTTTAAAGGTAAATCTAGTCAATAGTAAAAGAAAGCACATTGGTGGTTACCCAGGCACAGTGGTTGAGAAAAACAGATTTTAAATGTGGCACAAGGAATATTTTAGGATTATAGAAACATTCTATATCTTCACTCAAATTAATGTATTATATGGGTCAGAATGAAATCAAATGTACACTTAACATGGGTGTATTTTATTCTATGAAAATTATACCTCAATAAAACTAACCTGCAATACAGTTTGCCTAGAATCAGAGCCAAGTCATTATCCACTACAGCTATATTACATATTAAAGACAGTACTACTTTAATGAATACAAATTAATCTAGTGTAGTTAATTATCCTAGTTGAAGTTAAAGATACTTTTGTCAATTATTTAGCTTTAGAAAAACAACAGGTATGTCATCACAATTATTATAGATATAGAAGTAAATTTGTGAAAAAGAGGTTTACATTTTTCTAAACGAAAAGAATAAACAATTTGTACATCCTAATTATTTGAACTTTTTGTAATGATAGATAATTTTTTCACAAACATGATTAGAATGCAAAGGAGTAATAAAAAATGAAACTCATTTTTTCTTATTGATTTCTACAATGCTGAGCTTCTGTTACAGGTATTTGAATTAAATACATCATTCATTAATTCTTTTATAAATGTTTATTTACTATCTCTACTGTAATGATATCTATCATAATATCTATCATGTAATGATACCTGTATCAATGTAGTAGATAATACTATGTAGAGGGTATAAACAGTCATATTAAAAACAGGTTCACCTTGCCTTGAGAATACAAATGAAGGATTTTGACTGGTCTTTGATGCCTTGATGATAAAGTAACAACACATTGACTGGTTAACTATGACCCTCGAAAAAGTTGATTTAAGGGACTAGAAAAGGAAAATGATATACCATACTGCCACAGGAAGAGAAATTTTTGCTATGTATAGATACAGTGTAGTTTAGTACAGATAATTTTAGGTTTAGTGTCGTAAAATTTAGGTGATAAATGTGGTTCTTTCAAAATAATAGCTGTTTCACTTTGAATAAGTAAGTAAACCAATCAGCATCACTTTATTTTTCTACTCTTCTCTAATTTTTAAATGTGGACATAATAATGGCTATCATATGTATCTCATAACATTTGTTCATAACCAAATGCCCTTTGAAAGCTTGTAAAACTATTGTGAATAGCGCTACAATGAACATACACATGCATGTGTGTTTTTAATAGAATGATTTATCTTCCTTTGGGTATACACCCAATAATGGGATTGCTGGGTTGAATGGTGTTTCTGTCTTTAGGTCTTTGAGGAATCACCACACTGTCTTCCACACTGACTGAACTAATTTTCACTCCCTCCAAAAGTGTAAAAGCATTTCTTTTTCTCCACGACCTCACCAGCATCTGTTATTTTTTGACTTTTAATAGCAACCATTCTGACTGGTGTTAAATGGTATCTCATTGTGGTTTTGATTTGCATTTCTCTAATGATCAGTGATGCTGATAGATGGAATAAAGAGAACATGGTACATATAAATCATGGATTACCATGCAGTCATCAAGAAGAACAAGATCATGTCCTTTGCAGAGACATGGATGCATGGATGGAACTGGAGGCCATTATCCTTAGCAAACGAACACAGGAATAGAAAACCAAATACTACATGTTCTCACTTACAAGTAGGAGCTAAATGATGAGAACACATGGACACATAGAGGGGAACAACACACACCAGGCCTTTTTGTAGGTTGGAGGGTGGGAGGAGGGAGAAGATCAGGAAAAAATAACTAATGGGTACTTGGCTTAATACCTGAGTGATGAAATAATCTGTACAACCAACTCCCATGGCATGTTTACCTATATAACAAACCTGCACTTGTACCCCAAACTTAAAAATTAAAAAAAGAAAAAAATGTAAATGAACAAACAAAAAAAGCTTGTAAAACATTGCAAAACTTATCTTGCATATTCCCAACTAAAGCTTGGTCTTTGCAGTAGGTAGTTCTTGGTGCAAACCTAATTTTTTTTTTTTTTTTTTTTAGACTTTATCTTGCTCTGTTGCCCAGGCTGGAGTGCAATGGCCCGATCTCTGCTCACTGCAACCTCCGCCTCCTGGGTTCAAGCGATTCTCCCTGCCTCAGCCTCCCGAGTATCTGGGATTCCAAGCTCCCGCCACCATGCCCAGCTAATTTTTGTATGTCTTAGTAGAGACAAGGTTTCACCATGTTGGCCAGGCTGGTCTCAAACTCCTGACCTCAGGTGATCCTCCTGCCTCAGCCTCCCAAAGTGCTGGGATTACAGGGATGAGCCACCGCGCCTGGCCCAGAAACCTGATTTGACCTATGACAAGATCTTTAATCTTAGGCAAGCTATCTAGTCTTAGCAAAGGCATTTGTGAAATAGAGATTGTAACAGTATAAATTCCTATAGGCACTTTAAGGATTACATGAGTCAAATCAAATAAATTTTTAGTAAGACATCTGGTACTTCATATAAGCTCATTAAATGATATTAAATGTTATCCCTATTTATCATCACAAACATCTTAATTTAGGTGTTTTCTATTTTAAGTTTCTTTAACTAGCATATTTCCTTGCACACAAATATTTATTAAAAGTACATAAAAACTAGTCTGTTTAGAGAAAACTGTACTGATTATTGAATTTATGCATGGTTTTGATAATTTAGAATGAATGATTACTCAGAGCATTTTTGCCTTGAAATCAATTATTCTTCTGTTATGCTAGATGTGAGTTGTAAGGATTCTTCATTATTTTACCTTCCTAAAAGTTCATTTAACAGCAGTTACAAAAAATATATCCTAGTAAGTAATAGTCTTAAGAGAATAACTGATTCTTTACTAGTCTTCTTTATGATTTTCAGTTATGGTTCATCCTAGTCAACAGAGTTAGAATTTGGAGCCCTAAACTTTGGAAAACCTACTTCATAGAAAATGTCTGAACTCACATTCTATCAGTTTACATGGAGATACTACTTTGTTTTGATGATCATTTGTTCAAGGCACTCACAAGTACAAGCTCAGTCAGCATGTAAGTATTTTATAACATTAGGTTTGGAAGGTTTTTTTTGTTGTTGTTTTATTTCAATAGCAATGTCTGAAAAAATGAAGTTGTCCATTGGTACAAAAGAATAATACTGAATTTTAATTTTATTTGAATGTAAAATATTTTGGAAATAAAATATTAGATAAAACATTTTATATGCATAAAAGTGAATACACTTTTTGAAGTAAAGTTTGATTAAGGATTACATATGAATATACATGATGTATATCTAGCAGCGAAATTACCAAAAAAATTGAACTTTAGGTAATCACTAATTAAGCTTGTAAATAAGAATTAATATCAGAGATAGTCATTAAAGTGCAAATATGATAGACCAACTTTCATATTTTTGCTATTTAGGGGAGTTACTCATTTTAGGAAGAGCTTTACATATTTATGACCTGTTTAATCAATGGTAGGTAATAATTCGCTGAAAAACTTTCAGTGTTCTCTGGAAGGTGTGTGGATATCTGAAAGTGAGCAGATTCTTTTAAGAAAAAGAATAAATAATTCATTGTATAAAAGCCCCCAAATACATAATGATAAAATAGATTATAAACCATATTGATAATAGCACTGGGAATAATATTTAGACTTCAAATATCTGCTGACTTTTGTTCTCCTTCTTCATGCTAGATATGATCTTATGTAGTAATTAAAATTAAAAAAATTTCTTACGTAAAAAAGTTCAAAACGTTCATAGAAATAATGACTTCAACGAAAGTTCTGTTTAATTTTTGAAGTGTGATATGACCTAAATATTTTTCAACAAATTTATTTTGCAAATATTTATAGAATACTGCAACACATCAGTTACTATTCTAGACAGAAAGGATAAGATACAGCAGACAAAATCCCTATTCTGCAATGTTCTTCTTGATATTTGTTTAAAATAAAAATAAGTTTTGACTTAGTCATCTCAATGCAATATAACTTAATGGTATTAGAAATGTTGCAGAGTATATCGAAGGACAATTTACTCTGCATGAGGTTATATTAAATGTAAATAAAATATTTATATAGAAAAGAACTCATGCTTTCTTTGGCTTGTTCCAACTCTCTTCTCCATAGTTCCCTCAATATTTTGCATCTTGTGCATTTCTATTGTTTGTTTATTGTGTTAAATTGTGTTTGTCATAACTTCAAAATATATTCATAAGATGGCAACTTCTTACCGTGTCCAAAACCCCACACAACCTACCTCCCATTGCCTCCTTGCCAGCCTCTATTTCTGCTATCCCTTTTGGTCATTTTGGTCCTTATAATTCTGTTTGAAATAGTATGCTAGCAAGAAATTCAGAAATTGTAAGCTATAAGAAACTTTAGGGGTTAATTTGTTCAACACTCTTAAGTTATCAGTGAGGAGATAAGGTCCAATAGCAACTTAACACTTTGCTTAATGTGTTCCAGTACAGCTGAGTCATCACGTGCCATGATGTTGTAGGGGAATTTCTGTAGAAGAAAAACATGTTTTTTATATAACATGCAGATTCTCTTTCAAACTTAGAGATTTATGATTCCATGAAAATAAGTCAGGGTGCAGCTCAAAGTGAACACAGGTAAACATGGTGGGATTTAAGAAAAAATGAACAAGAAAACTAAAGGCTTTGAGGCCATAGAAAGAGAAAACATGAAAGTAGAGGTGGAGAAAATACCATATTTAATTAACTCTAAAAGTTTACTCATCCGTAAGAAAAAGTGTTAAGTAAACTAGGACAACATGCCTTAAAGATATTATGATGAATTGGTCACATTCAATGAGAATCTTATTCTCATTGCTTTGATATTTTCCCCCTCCAAGGAGTTTGCCACTTTCCTCTACCTTTAGATTTGTTAATTTTGTTGAGATAGAAAATTCTTGCATGAAGTTCAATAGCAAAACAGAGCATACAGAGTTTCTCATTGTGGGCATCCTCTTAGATACCATAAAGCACTCAATTGTTGTGTGCAAAGGAAACAACAAAGGCAAAGGTAAGTTGTTTGCCTTACTAATGTTAACTTACACCTTATTGCTCTGTTACTATTTACACAGTAATTCTAAATTTTAATGTCCTATAGAGTACAAGCTCTCTGAAGATATTACAAAGGCAATTAAACTCAAAACACTTTATAATACCAATGTACGTAACTTAATTGATATTGAAAAGATGAAAGGCTAATACCACATTTTGTTTGTCAAGATCTTCCAGGAAATAGACCATAAGAATTAGGAGGATGGTGCAGTTATCTTTTTAGGGGGAATGTCTGTAAGTAGGGAGGGAGTTGGGAGAAACTGAGAGAGCATTCAAACTGCAATACAAGTCTTACTCAATTGAAGAAGACAAGGAAGGAAATTTAAGAGTCTCCATCCCACTTTTCAGTGCAGTCAAAGGGAAGTACCACATGTCCTGTGGTGAGCATGGTTTCAGTGAAAATGCAGTGATAGACTTTAAAATATAACCACTGGAGCCCTTGGCCAATTAAGCTCCCTGTTCTTGAAGATCTTGAAGATATGGTGGGTATATTCTCATCACCGTCACAAACATTCATGTAAGTCCACTGATAATTGCTACATTGCTACTGATGCCACTGATTGCAAAATGTGTTCTATCCTAAGACCCATAATGATTTTAGAACTGTTCAAGTGAGAAGATGTGCATGTTGGAATCAATCTCACAAGGTAGTTGAGGAAGAAGCTATTAATGTACTTTTGGCTACTGTAATGTAGCTAAACAGAGGGAAATTTGAGCAGTTTTTTCAAAAAGAGGAAGGAAAAATAAAGTAATGGAAAGGAACTATTACCACCACCACTGCCACCCATTAAAAAAGTCCAAAACACTTTATTACTTCTCTAATATGTCAAATATGTACCTAGGCTTTTTATCTCAGGACTTCTGTATTTCTGAAACAGCTTTTTTATGGTTCTAATTTGATCTCAAAAGCAAAAATAAACAATATTTTTGAAATAATGGATCCACTAAGAGGATGTCCATATTTATTAAAACCTTATTATAATTGGCTTTTATATCTTTTAATTTTTTGAATTTTTTGGCATCCCTTCTTTCCCTATTAGAAAAATATTTCTTGAACTTCATTTCAAAAAATGAAAATAACTTTGGTTTTCTGACCCAAAAACAATTGATTTTCATATTTAAAACTTTTAACGGAAAGTTTTGAAGGAGAATGTGACCGTTTTAATTAACATCTCTCCAACACACAGTTAACACATCAATTATCATTTTTCATGCATATGCCAATATGGACATACAAATACTTATATTTTCAAAAAAATAAAATCAAGTCTAGCCTACTATTTAGTAAATCTCTGTCTTTTATGTATATTTAAAAAACAATATTATTTAAATAATTATTTTGAATAGATATGATTATTCTGTAGTTTTGGATTTAAGCAGAACAATATAGGTGTTTTAATTTAGAGGCTTGCAGCTCTTGAAGTAGGGATTGAAAAAATACACCTAAATTCTTGCATCTGTTATACATTGAATTATGGCATTTACATAAGAACCAGAATAAGTTTTCAATTGCCTCTGTATGCATTTTTATGCATTTCGGATCAATACATAAATTTAGAGTTTTAGATCTTGCACTTTCATGTAAATCATTTGAAGAAAATAATATTCCATAATAAAGTATTTTCTAGCTCACAGTTTTTAAAAGAAAATTTTAAATACAATGGGAAAGTAATATCCAATACCTCTCTGTTAAACAAAAATTAAATACAAATATATAGTGGTTTTAATAATGTAATTAATAGAACCTGACTATTAGTCCTATGTAGTATAATATATATCATATATTATGGCATAATAAATGTGTGTGATGTCTTCTATTCATTTCTGAAGTTATATGTGACAAATAAATTCTAAAATTTGCATATTACAAATTAAAAATAACTTAGAACAAGCAATAATGATCTCTAGATAGCCCTTATAATCCTTAGCTAATACAAGTTACTAGTAAATAGCAATTGTTTGAAATTTATTACAAAAGTCAACCTTATTTTTATGGAAGGTTAGGAATGCACAGGGAAAGAAAACAATATGAATAAAGAGAGTTGGGGTACTAAAAGAAAAGGTGAAAATACCAAAAGCATGGCAAATGCGAGGGCAGCTGTAAGACAAAGAAGGTTAGATTAGAATAGTCAAGTTATGTGGCAGGGTGCAGGGAGATGGCTAAAATGAGTGGAGGAGCAGATACATGGCTAACTAAGAAAGTAATAGTGGTGAAAGAATTGGAGACAGGCTAATTCTTTGTTCTTTCGGGTTAGATGGAAACAAAAACTATTTGATATTCAATCACCTTATAGGTTATTGCTGCATGTCCCATGGTAGAATATCGTATGGAAGATGAGAGGGTAGTGTCTTGTTGAGATGACCATGTTCAAGTGAACATTTGTGTACGGAATATGTGGGTGTTTAGGGAATTTAATGATGCAGCGATATAAAAAGAAATAATATCTATTAAACATATTATTTGTATGCCACATAGTTTAAGGTTTACCAAGACATTTTGCCCAAGTGTAAAATTGCATCTTTGGTTGTTTTATAATTTTATCATTTCTAAGGGATTTGGGATATATGACTCTGTTATGTAATATCCTAAATGAAAGTGATTTTTCCAGTGTGCACATGACAGAAGTATTCTCTTATCGAGACTATGAAAGTGAAGACTATTTCCAGAGACTTCTATAAAACTCAAGTGTATCTACAACAAAACTATTCTTATTCTAAATGGGATATTATTTTCCTCTTTGAAAGGTTTGGAAAGGTGTTTTATTGTTTGTTTCTTTCCTTTTTCACAGTTAAGTAAATGATCACTTGCTTGGTCCAGATTCTTAGAATTTTAGACAATTTTGGCTTCTGTTTATTATCACTATCCAAATAGACATCTGTATCCCACACATTAATCAATTCAGAAAAGCAAAGACGGTAATGATTTCACTTAAATAAGTACCCCAAAAAACAATGGGAAAGCAACCATCTAACTGATTTCCTGCTTTCAAGTACTATTCAGAATAATTTGCTCTCTAATCCACTAGAACTGTATAAATTTGTCAATTGAAACTCGGCCTTCTATCAAGTATAAAGGAAATTTCTGAGATCAATGTAATGTTTGGCCTGATTACAAACACTTTGATTTGAGTCCACTTACTGTTTTTTCACCTTTTTTTCTTCTTAAAAAAAATTTCTCAATAATTGACTTTACTTCAGCTTATTTCATTGTCAGCCATTATATAGTGAAATATAAGATGGCTACATTGACTTCTTATATTTCGCAGTAACTGAGTTGGATTCTGGGGCATATTATATCAAACCTCACCTCTTTTGATAAAGATAATAGAGATAAAAAATAGAAATATTAGAGTTATTAGTATATTGAGATATCAGCTTGGGTCTTCGATGACATGACATCACCTCTGCACATTCATATTGAGTTGTTCTTCATTAAATTTACACTCAATAACAAAAAATTAAAATAAAAGTTATCCATAAACTTGGAATATTTGTAGCTACAGTAGGTAAAAGTGGTGTTTATACTTTATTGAATTCTTGATGAACAATCCATAAAGTTTTTCAATGCTACACTCAACTTTAAAAAGTAAAGAAACAGTGAAAAAGTCAGAGGGTAAGAAATTGATATGCCATATGTTAACAATGGATCTGGCAGAAGTTTTTCTATATTCTACTGACCAGGAAGTTACATTCAGTTTTGTGAATCAGAAATAGACAGATAAACAAGTTGTCATTGGAGAATTTTGCCCAAGATTCATAGTATGTCCTTGCTAACCATGAATCTCACAAGAGCTTCAACATATCCACAGCAATATCCTAGCAAAATTGTGAAGTAAAAAAAAAAAAAAACCACTAAATTCAGTTCCACAAAATTTGTTTCAGAAGTCAGAGAAGGATACTATTTAAAATGTTCTCCTTGAAACTGTTTAAATTTAAGAAATATCACCTAAGTGGTTAAACTTTAGTTGTCAAACAGTTAAGTTTTCTTATGGATTCCAGGCCCTGACAAAATTGGAAAAAAAATAAAAGGCATTAGTGAATAACGGTATTTATAATTTATATATGATATATACCCTGGGCAAAGTAGGTTCCAGAAACGGAAAGGCAGAACTGAGAGTGGGAAAGGTCAGGAATGTTTTTCTCAAATGGCACGTCCTATAGAAATGGATATGAAGCCCCTGTCTGGGAGAAGTGGTATTTTGGTGATTTTTCTTTTTGACGTTGAATAGAGCACCCTGGGACACAGAAGGACACAAGGACTAATCTGCTGCTCATTGTGCTCCTCTTGTTTGCAGTTTGACAAATTATTGGCTTCAGTGGAAATGGCTGGAAGTCTCTACTTTTAATGAAATCACTCTTATTATTTCTCTAGAGTTTCATTTTATTAACTTTCAGACATAGATAAATGTAAAGAATTAATATATGCAATGTGTCATGGTTAGCACATACTTTTGATTGTAACAGCTTTTCAGAGAGTATAAAATGTTTTAAGAAACATAGACTATAAGCAATGATTATAAAAAATTTATCTTATATCATTTGTTACTTGGTACTTAATGTAATATTTTATGTCAAATTGTGCATATCTTCAAATGACAATCAAAAAGCTATTGACCATGTAATATGTTAATATATTAAATAATGTTGAAACTGGCACAAGGTGCAGTGGCTCACACCTGTAATCTCAGGACTTTGGGAAGCTCAGGAGGGAGGATCCTTTGAGCCCTGCAGGTCGAGGTTTCAGTGAGCTACGGCTGCCCCGCTACACTCCAGCATAGGTGATAGAATAGGACTCTGTCTCAAAGAAAGAAAAATAAAAGACATTGAAACTAATACCTGAGCCTAGATTTTGTTTTTGCATCAGTTAAAATTTCCATGAGCAGACTTATAAATTATACAACTTTGATTTGTATAATTCATGAGATTTTACTGGAGCTAGATCAGCAGTTAGTCCGACCCTGATTTAATAACCATATTAACAAGAAAGCTAAATTATTTTACAGAACTATTGAAGCTGGAAGTAGAGATGCCTACGCTAGAACTTTTAACTCAGTGTGTGATCAAAATTTAAAATGTAGCAGAACCATTTGAGGGAGCAGTTTAAACATTACACCAGGCAACCGTACCTAATTAGTGCATTATTAAATTGTATGTTCAAATTTGACCAGAAACAATTTTCTAAGTGCTCCCTTCAAAAATACAATTTATTTTCTTTATTCTGTGTAAAAATTATTTTGGGAGTACATGTTTATGAGTACTGGTTATAACTGCTCTTTAGAAATAGTTGTGCTTGGTTTTGCTAGGAAGTTTACTATGCTGAGGTGTATATCTGAACTGCTATTATACTGTTCAGATACTTGAAAGTGCATGTCCCAAAATTTAATGGAACATATTAAAGGATAGTTTTTTCTTCCCCCAAAAAGGAATATTTCTCATTGATTTGCTAAAAGTTTTTAATATCGATGTGATGATTAAAATATAAAGCACAATTATTTGGGAGTAAGTACAATGTTTCAAATTATTAAATCATGTGCAGACAACATTCTGGAAATAAATGTCCTTATTATTTTTTATTTATGAACAAATAGGTATTAGTTTCAACTTAAGCAACTGTCAACCCAGAGTTAGAATTATATCTGCTGTGATTCAAGACTTTTGGACACCAATGGATATCCAGAGATCGATATTGCAGTGCATGGGCTTAGGACACATGAGCAGAAAAGAAAAAATACCACAACCAAACACAAACATAAGCACAAACAGGCCCCAGTAAACTCTGACCCGGAGTTTCCTAGTACCCAGACAAAGAAGACTCATTATATTAAAAACTCATTGTGATTATGACATGTTATTTCATTAAACATAAGTCTGCATTAGTCTTTATGTATGTCTAAACTGATACACAATTGTGTGAATTCAGAGCCATTTAATGTATTTTAGTGCACTTTCCCATAGCTTAAATGTTAATAATAATCTAAAGATTTAGTTTTGTACTTATCATGTGAATGTACAGATATTTATTTTTATCTTCCTTACTCAAAATAAGCATCTTGAACTCCCCTATTTAATTCTTTTGTAGATCCAGTTGCTTAGTAAATTGTTTGGCACATATAGTATGTAGTGATTAAGTGGGGATGTCAAATAACAAATAGACTCCATTATAAAAGTACAAGATAGTATAATATAATCATATACATTTTATGCAAGTTATTACATTAGCTAGTTGGTTTTAAATTTACCAGCTAAATTGGTGGTAGTGGAATTAAGAGCATCCAATAACAGAACAGACATATGATTCCTGTAAATACTTAAATAATAATAGTTTATTCCTGATATGTGCACTGTACCATGCATTTCCTATTTTATATTATATAAAGACTTTTCTCTCTATATATATTTTTTGGGTTTCTTCTCTCATTTTTCAATAAACTATTTCAATAGAGAGCAGTCTTCTCTCAACTAAATAAATACAATATTCTTTAAACTGTAATATTATCTTCTTTTCTTTATATGTGCTTTTATCCATCTTCAATCTCATGAATTATTTGTGTCATGTTCTTTTTTGTGTACAAATGGTTTTTTATTTAATTGGAAGATTAGATCATCATCTATCCTTTTGTAGCGTAAGAGGAAAGAAATGACAAAAGAATTCTGTTAAACACAAGCAATTGCTATAAAACGTTAAAGCAATATTAGAGAAGGCGAATATCAGAATGCTTTTTAGGCATCTATAGAAAAATAATTATGTAGATATACATTTAATATGATTGCATTAAATATGTTTCCTACTGCTTAAGAAACACAAAGCTGCTTTTCCAGGGATATATTTTATTTATGGGCTACATCTATCTGACCTAATATGAAGGATTTAGAAATTTTGTCTAAATTACAAAAAGAAAAAGAAATTTATACACATTGCTTTTTGTTTGTTTTTGTTTTGCTAATCCTACTTAATTATAAAAGCATCTATAAATAAATCTTGCCTTATGAATAAGTTAATATTCCATGTGCGGTAGAAAAAAATTGTTTATCTTTTATTAGAAGATATTTTTCTTATTTTTGTATTTTTTTCAATTTTATTTTATTTTTAATTGCCATAAAATGATTGTATATATTTATGGAGTATAGTGTGATGTTTTGATACATTTATACACTGTGGAATCATTAAATCAGTCTAATTAATGTCAGCTGAAAAAGTCAAGCTTTTAAAGAACTAAAATTAGTTTCAGTCACAAGTTTTACTGAGGATTATATCTTGAGGACGACAGCCCAAGCCTGGGAGAAATCTTTCAGAGATTTTCTGTCAGACTGTTCCAAAAAGATGATTTAGCTCACAGTTTATCTAAAGGTAGTGGAGGGTTCAGTATGTGTAAAATCACATCAAAATTTGGGCGCAATGATAACATATGATTATAGATTAATGAGACATAATTATTAACCCTGTCAGATGTTATTTTATGTGCAGTAAACAGCAAGGACTCTAGGGTCATTTATATTTTAAAGAATGTAATGACTCAGGCAAGAGGGTCATGTGTTGCAGCCCGTTTTATCTTCAAAGAGCCCCTCCAGAGACCTGCATGTTCTCACAGAGTTAGAAGCTATGTGAAATTATACTGATAAGCAGAAATGAGCAAACATAGATTGTATGTTTCCTACTTTGTCTCACATTAACATATTTATTACCTCATATACTGACAATTTCTTTGTGGTGAGAGTATTTAAAATTCGCTATTTAGCAGTTTTGAAATATATGATACCATATATTTTTGTCAACTATAATCAACACAGTGTGCCATAGATCAATGTTTCTCCTGTCTAACTCAAACCTTGTGCCCTTTGGCTAACATATCCCCTTTCTCCATTCACCCCTCTTCCCTCCCCCAGCCTTTGGTAACCAGCATTCTACTCTCAACTTCTGTGATTCCTACGTTTTTAGATTCCACATAAAATTGAGATCACATAGTATTTGTCTTTCTCACCCTGGCTTATTTCACTTACCAAAGCATAATGTCCTATCGATTCATCCATGTTGTTGCAAATGACAGAATTTCTTTCTTTTTTTAAGGAGGAATAGTATTCCATTCTATACATAATGCACTTAGGTTGTTTTCATACGTTGGCTATTGTGAATAATGCTGAAATGAACAAGAGAAGTGCAGAAGTCTTTTCATCATACTGATTTCAATTCCTTTGAATAAATACTCAGAGGCGCAATGGCTGGATTATGATAGTTCTATTTTTAGTTTCTTAAGGAAATTCCACACTGTTTTTCAAAATGACTGTTCTAATTTGTATTCCCAAAAACGATATGCAAGGTTTCCCTTTTTTCCACATCCTCACCTAAGGCACTTATCTTTCACCTTTTTGAAAATAGCCATTCTATGGCAATCATTAAAAAGTCAGGAAACAACACGTGCTGGAGAGGATGTGGAGAAATAGGAACATTTTACACTGTTGGTGGGACTGTAAACTAGTTCAACCATTGTGGAAGTCAGTGTGGTGATTCCTCAGGGATCTAGAACTAGAAATACCATTTGACCCAGCCATCCCATTACTGGGTATATACCCAAAGGACTATAAATCATGCTGCTATAAAGACACATGCACACGTATGTTTATTGCGGCTCTATTCACAGTAGCAAAGACTTGGAACCAACCCAAATGTCCAACAATGATAGACTGGATTAAGAAAATGTGGCACATATACACCATGGAATACTATGCAGCCATAAAAAATGTTGAGTTCATGTCCTTTGTAGGGACATGGATGAAATTGGAAATCATCATTCTCAGTAAACTATCGCAAGAACAAAAAACCAAACACCGCATGTTCTCACTCATAGGTGGGAATTGAACAATGAGAACACATGGACACATGAAGGGGAACATCACCCTCTGGGGACTGTTGTGGGGTTGGGGGAGGGGAGAGGGATAGCTTTAGGAGATATACCTAAAGTGAAATGACGAGTTAATGGGTGCAGCACACCAGCATGGCACATGTATACATATGTAACTAACCTGCACATTGTGCACATGTACCCTAAAGCTTAAAGTATAATAATAATAAAATAAAATAAAAAGAAAATAGCCATTCTAACAGGTATGAAGTGATATCTCCTTGTGGTTTTAATTTGTATTTCCCTGACGATTAGAGACACCTGTAATCCCATGCTCACTGCGGCATTATGTATAGTAGCCAAGATATGGAAATAACCTAAATGCCCATCGCTGGATGAATAGATTAAAAACATACCTTTATTTTAATGGAGATCAGAGATCTTGGGAACCATGATCCCAAGATGGAAAGATGACAGTGCTGATTTCAGTCTGGATATCAGAGTACTTTGGTGAAACAGAGCCTACTGCCAACCTAAAGTATTCACTCTGAGCATGATTGATCACAAAATAAACCACACAAAATGAGCCATTTAATTTGGACTTATTATACAATCTAGGCTTTTCCCTAACTACAAAAATTTGGATTATTTTTAGCTATTAAACACTATTGCTGAAATAAGCTGGTTTGGAGTGTATGTGGAAACAGTGGCATTGCAATGACAGACATATTCTGATTGGCCTATATATTTTACTTAGAAAGACCCACTATGATACATGGGGCCAAAGCATCTTCTTTTGGTTTCATATATTGATATAAATCTAATGACCTGTATTAAGGATTTTTTTTTTTTTTGAGACAGAGTTTCTCTCTGTTGCCCAAGCTGGAGTGCAGAGGCACAACCTTGGCTCACTGCAAACTCAGCCTCCTGGGTTCTAGCGATTCTCCTGAATCAGACTCCTGAGTAGCTGGGATTCCAGGTGCCTGCCACGACACCTGGCTAATTTTTGTATTTTTAGTAGAAATGGGGGTTCACATGTTGGTCAGGCTGGTCTCAAACTCCTGACCTCAGATGATCCACCCATCTCAGCCTCCCAAAATATTGGGATTATAGGCATGAGCCACCACACCCGGCCTAAGGATATTTTGTATTTTGAATAACTAAGCTAAATTTTTTAGAATATACACTTTTAGCTAGTATATTTCAAATATTCTAGTACTATGTACCTTCTTTGTTAAGTATGTCAAATATTCTAGTACTATGTAGCCTTCTATGTTAAAGGGAAAACCAAAAGAAGTACAGAAAGAAACCTTTTGCCATTTGTACACAATATGATTCCTTCCCAGATTGAAAGTACCAGATTCAGAAGCATTTGCAGAGGATTCTTTTGGTGTCGCTTCACCAGGTGGAGATTTCCATGGCCAGCAGCACCTCTGCACAGACTTTGCTGGAGCCTGCTGGTCTCGCTCCTCCCACTCAACCTGGCAGGCTGCTATCGGCTGGTGCTATGGGCCCAGATCCCGCACCCACTGTGGCTCTGCGCTTAGCCTGCGGCTGGTCCAAGCATGCAGGGACCGGATTCTGCCTTGAGTCACTGTCTGGACAAGGAGGACATGGCAGCCGCCAGAAAACTTGGAAACACCAGCAACCAAGAAGCCGCAAGGGGTGTCACAGCTTCTGCTTCAGGAGGCCTGAAGTCTGAGCCACCAGGGAATGTCACAGTTCTCTCATTCCCACTGCTCACAGCTTGGCAAACGGGGGCTTGTTATAGCCTGTTCGTTCCCACCACCCACGGATTTGCAAACAGGGGCATGTTACAGCTCTCGGTCTGGGAGTCTAGAGGTCTGGGCCCCTAGAAGGCTCTTCACTCCTGTAGTTAGGCTACCGGGAGCATGTCACAGCTCTTTTCATTCATGCTGCCTGCAGCAAGGTGACCCAGCCAGAGAGTGTTACCGCCCTTTTCCGCTCCCGCCTTTCAGCAGGTTCTGGGGTATTGTCCCACGTCCAAGAAGAATGAGGCACAATGACAACAGAGAGTAAGCAAGGCAGAGAAGAATTTTATTGAGCTATAGAAAAGCTCTAGACAATGAGAGGGGACCCAAAGTGGGTAGCCCTCTGTGTGAGAGAGGGCCTGAAAGCAGGTAGTCGCCTGAGTGCCTGAGTCCAGGGTTTTTATAAGTTTGGAGTGAGGAGGTGCAGGCTGTGGGTAGCCCTGGAAAAACATTATTTAGAAAGAACCAATCAGGAAAGAGTGGGCAATGAATAGAAGTTCCCTCTGGTCATGGACTCTATGAAGAACCAGCAACTCGGTTTTCAGGCTTTAAATTGTCTTTGGTCGGGTTTCACCAAGTACTTGCTCCTGTCTGCCTAGGAATTTGTCTCCTGCCACTATCTCATTTAGGATGTACATACTTTTGATGCTTATAATTTGGCTAAAATTTGTATTTTCCCCTAAAGCAACTACTGGAATGACATGTCTTTTATGTGAGCAAAAACATTTTCATTTTTGTCTAGTTTTGATTTCATGTGTTGTTATTAGATTTAAGTTCTAGTTTAATAAGTTATTTAGTTAATCTTGCATTCGGTTGTTGAATATTGCCATAAAAAAGGAGATGCAAATTATTGGCTCCATATTTTCTAAAAAGAAAATTTGCTAATGGCTTAGTAGACATTAATTCTTTTGTTCAAAATTAATGAAAAACACATTTTTATCATTTTTTACAATTAAAACTTGGAAGTGCTTTGCATATTGTCTGTATACAAGATATTTATTGTCCTGAAAGAGAAATACTTCATAAATGAGTTCTAAAAATGTTACCTTAGCTTAACTGGCAGTTCTGAGCTTTTGATGGCAGGAGTGAGTCAGCATGTGATTAGTGGGATGATACATCAAAAAATATTGAAAATAACTTGAGATAGAGATATACGTGAAAAGACGTTCTGTTCAAAGGTAGCAATCAATTGTGTCTTCATTTGAAAAAAGAGGAATAAACTTGAAATAATATTTCACAATCAAATGAAGCTAAACCCCAATTAAAATTATTGTTCAATATTTAATTTTTTATAGGCCTCTTAAGGATTCCAATTTAGTTCTTTCATCATCTACTGTGTACTGCCTTTTATTTTAATGTATTTTCTTACTACTTTTAGTCACTTTAATAGTGTACTTAAAAGTTTAGATCTTATGGCAATATGTTGTGACCTCTCATAAAACTTGCTATTTTATTTTATGCTCATTTTATAGAGGAGGTAACAAAGTGGTATTGAAAATGGAGAATTTGTCCATCACGGTAGAAATTATTAAGGTACTAAATTTACTAAGATCCTATTTGCAATATATTTAAGGTGTAACAAACCAAAAAAAAAAATCTGTCTACTTTAAACCTAATTGGTCTTGATTTGTCTTATAATGTTAACTAAATAAAAATCATCTTTTGAACTTAATATAAATTTTCAGAATCAAATGCAAAGTCAGCATCCAAATGTCAGAACAATTCTAATATTTGAATATATTTTTGATCATATTATATTAGGAATACAATTTTTCTTTCATCTAATTATATAATCAATGCTGTTAATACAAAAATATATCAAAATTATCTCTCAAAAGTCCTGCGATATTTACCTTTTTAACTAGCTGACTGTTTACATAGTGTGAATTACCTTTCTTTTTTCTACCTATTTTTCTTCATGTTGAAAATAACATTTACTCTATCATACCTATTATTCAGGAATTTATTTGTGTGGGTTTTTTTCTCACTTGAATATCTTGCTATTTCTCTTGACCTCTTTTATGATCTTCACTTTCTACTCCCAAAGTCCTTTCAGTTAACCTCTCTTTAACATTTTTGAGCTCCATTAGCTATGTATCTGGCTCAGATATCACCTGATGTCAAAATTCTTTTACTCCAACTTTGCACAAACTTTTCAAATGCCACATTTGAAAAATATAATTTATCTTTCCAACTCTAAAACTCCTTTCATATTTCCTATCTTCATGAATTATTTAAAATGACATGAAGTTATTATGATGCATATAAATATCCAGAGATTGTTTTCATAATCAAAAAATGTTTTACATTTTTATTATCCTTATCAGCATCCCATCTAAAGAAATATATATTTCTTTACTGCTGGGAAAAGTCAACAAAGCTTGAATATTATGTGTAGTGATGAATTTATAATAGATTAAAAACCATGTTCTGTTATGGCAACAATACTTGTATATAACAAACCTGTGGTATTTCTCTTTTAAATTTTACTTCTGAGCTACAATGAACATGTATGAATGCATGTCCATTCATGCCTAATCTTTGGGTTTCCAGGAGTGACTATAAGGATATTTTTAAAATAAAATCCCTCTAAGATCTTTCATGTGGTGAACATGAGCTAGAGCAACTTATTATGGTGAGAGAAATGATAATGCCACACTCTAGTCTCAGTAAGTCCATACTATGCTAAAGCACTAATACAAGGGATGGGTGGCAATTAATAAATAACAAACTCTACTGTGGAAGTGGAAGTGGTATGGAAGTATGTTAGATAATATAATATGGAGATTAATCCTGATTTCCAAATCAAAAATTTTTTCATGAGAATTAGAGTAATTGCTCAGCCAAGCCAGAGGAGGAATGAAGAACCCACTTGTGGACAATCAATGCGTTGTATTCAATTCAAGAATTTGAGCATTTGAAGGTAAGTCAGAATAAAGATAAAAACAGCCATACTGTTTTTAGTCAAAAATAGGATTAGGAGCTCACATTGAACTAGAAATAATCTACCTTAAACATGCTAGCCACTCACCTTTTGGAGCTCCTGAGAATAGAAGAGTTTTATTCATAAACCCTTGACCTGTATAATAGCTATCTTTCATTGGCACATGTTTCTAAAAAGCATAACTAAGTCAATCATAACTTCTTTCCATTGTCTTCCTATAGATAATTAAATTTCTAGGGGATGCTAATGATAGCATTCATTCTTTGAAATAAGCCATTGTATCTTCTGAATAGAGGCAAAATCAGTAAAGCACTTGGGTGGTTTTATACATCACTAGAAACTCATCAGTCAAGAGACGGTAATCCTGCTAAGCAAATGACTGACATTAAAGAGGTTTATTACTTGTGAAAATGCCAACTCCTTGGAAGAGCTAACTGAATGTCCCTGCCACTAGAAAGGTCAGTGTGTAGGATGTGACTAATACTGTAGTCAGACTGCTCAGATATTTCAATGCTACCTTTTATTCCACCTTTTGTTTGGCACACATTGGGTGAAAGCAGTATAATTTTTCATCCACTTAAAAAAGTAGGTAATGAATACAATTCATTTATAATCACAATGCTTGACTAAAAGCATTCCTCAATAAATGAATAAAACCTGTTGGCTTTATTTCTGTTAATTTCTTTTGAAGTGTTTAGTGTTTTACTATAAGTGATCAAAATATGCCTCTCAAAAATGATATTATGTCAAAACTCTTGACATATTTAACAATGATTTCTCTGATAAGCTGTGTCTTAGTCTGTTCAAGACGCTGTAACAAAATACTATCTATAAAGTGGGTAGCTTATAAAAAATATAAATTTATTTCTTATAGTTCTCGATCCTAGGAAATTCAAGATCATGGTATCAGTAGATTTGGTGTCTTGTGGGAGCCAAGTTTCTGGTTCATAGATGGTGACTTCTACCTGTATCTTTACATGATGGAAGGAGCAACTGAGCTCCCTTATACATCTTTTATAAGGGCGCTAACCCCATTCATGAGAGTGAAGTTTCCAAAGGGCCAATCTCCTAATACTACCTATTGGGGGCTCAGGATTTCAACATATAAATCTTGGGGGGATGGGGGACACAAATATTCAGACCATAGCAGCCTGCCTCTAGATGAATGTCTATGCTTCAACTATGGAGTTTCAATATCTAAGTTTGACTAGAAGGGGGGAAATAATATTTTACCTATAATTAGCATTTTTGTAGTTGTTTTCATTTGTAATTATATAAATGCAAGAACACAGCTCTATATAAATGTTTGTGGTATTTGCATAATTCCTGGAATATTGCGCATGTACAATGCATGTTGTTGAGTGGAGGAATATGCATAGGACATATAAAGAAAATATCAACAAATAAGAGCTTTGGCTGTATTATTTTCCTAAATTTGGGGCATGTTAGGCTCAAATATATCGAATAAATCAAATGTTTTATATCCCTTGGCTTCAATGTCTCCAATTCATATTAGCAAAAGAGAGTGATAATTGATGCCTTAAGGGATCATTACTCCCTTAACCTGACTGAAGTGTTACTCTGGTGAGGAATGGGTAATGATCTTATAATGTTTCTCTGAAGTTGGTTTATATATTTGAATGTTATTTAAATATACTTATCCTTAAAAGAAAGTACAAAATATTCTCTGGAAAAAAATTTTGTCTGACATTCCGTACCTAAAATGTCTTTCTTATACTCTCCACTGGCCTTCAGTTTTCAACCTGAAAATAACTTTAAAACTTTGTAAGATATAAAAGAGTAGCTATATCTTAAAGTCCAATACACTGGCTTACTCTGAATAAATTGTTACTATCCACTTTAAGAAAGCTGTCTGACCCTGAAATCTGACAGATTAAAGTACACTGAAAAATATGGCGATTTTTTTAAAGAAGTAAATTATATATCCTAGGAATAAAGTGTCTGTTACATTAATACAGTTGACCCCTGGTCATAGTCTGTCCTTAGATAGTCACCGCTATATCATTTATATCAAACAAAGAAACATTTCAAAGGAGGTAAGAGAGGTTGGTGGCATTTGTCACATGGTCCTGCAAAGACATCTCAGGTAATTTCTTGAGCCTCTGATGTATTGTGCTATCAGTCTTAATTTTGCCCTGCCATTTCTGCATCGACTAAAGAAGGGGAGAAATTACTCCCTTAGGATCTACAAGAGAAGTTAAAAATAAGATCAAATAACTTATATTTAGCCAAGAAAGTTAAAAATGAGTAAAAATGTGATGGCTTTTAATTTTAAAGATAGAACTGGAATATTATGAGTCCTCTTTAACGGTTTTTTTAAATATGTTAAATGTTTCCTCATTAGTTACACTTTTTGTTAATTTATAAAGAATGCTAAGATAGAACTTTTATGTATCTTTAAATCAAAATGAACGACTTTATATGAAGTGAAATGCACATTACATAGAGCTCTCAGTAATTTTTTTTGCATATGTCACCCAGTCCATGTTACTGAGAGATAGTATTATTTACCTCAAAAAGTAATTCCACAAGAAATTACATTTCTTGTTAAAAGAAACAGCCAGCAAAACTTAACAATGTGTTCAAGTGATGACTTTGTAGTATGTGATAAACAGAGTATTCATTGCTAGCTCTTTTCAAGGCAGACGATATGGGAAGAGAATTAGAGTTCAAACCATGAAACTTGGGCTATAGAGCAATCTGCTACTATCTAGTTATAAAATCTTGGACAAGTGAACCAATATCTCTGAGTATCAGATGAATCTTTTTTAACTGAGCAGATTGCAATAAACAATAGTTGAAATCCTGTTAGAAATAATATCTGTAATTTTAACCTCTTGAGAACTAGACCAAACTATAGGCTAAAATCGTACTTGAAAGTGATTTTTTAATTGCACATTTATATTTTTTTTATCTCTGACTCTCTGTCCCTACTATATAAACATATATACTGGGAATACATAAAAAAGGCATATGCACACACATTGTATTGGTTAATAAGTTATTTGAATCTGCTTAAATAATCATGTTATTAAACTATTTGGTTAAATCAATTAAGTGCAGATTTCTTATTTGCATCTGAATAGACAATTTGATCATATTCTTTGGTAATAAAATGATGCAAACATGATTCTAAACTGTTTAAATTTGGAATATAATACTAAATGGTGGAATAAGGCACTGATTCAAATTCTTTCCCTGGTAAGCCCTAAAGATAATAAGCTAGATATTTGTAGGAAAGATCTTCAGTGATAAGAGATTGGGGCAGATGTGAATTTATAGTCTCTCACCTCTAAAACTAGCCTAAACCAAGTTTTATTAACGCTGTACACATCTGCTTTGCTAGCTGGTACATTATTAGAATTTTTTTCAGTAACTTTTCTTGAGTGACATTGTGAGGTGGTCATGCAAGAAAGCATTTCCCTTCTGGGTCAGTGTTGCTTCCATATTTTATTTAGTCCTGGGGTTGAGGCTTGGTAGCTCTCACCTTATCAGCCCTCACAGACTAGTTGTAGCCTCAAGCTCTCCTTCACAATAGCTGTGCCCTTCATATGAAGCCATACTCTCCCTATCTGGCTGGCTGTTTTCATGGATGATGCCAGTCATGGTCAGATCCTCAGGCAGCTGACCCCCATTAGGCGGTTGTTTCTACAGAGGGTCCAGCTGTGATCTCAGGCCACTGTGTAACCTATGAGCAGTATGCTTCTAGAGACAAGCGCACATCTGCTTACATCCTTTGGCAGCGATCCCATTCTGTTGGTCGGCCCTGGTCTAGATCCTCTGGAAATCCTTACCACTGACAGACTGTTCCTAGGTAGCCATGCCTTCTTCAAAAAGTCTGAAACCTCAGCCTGGGGTAGAGGACTCTCTTCTACGCCCTCCACTTCCTCCATTATCCCGTATCTCTCAGCCTGTTGGTTGTATATATGCATTTATTTGCACTTGCTAATTCTGGCCTTATTAGAGTCCCCTTTAACTTTTTTAGTAGTTAACTAATTTGTATGTTAATGATTTTTTTTTAATGACAAAGATTCCATGTTTACGTTACTGGTGCATTTTTGTGTGTGTCCTGACTGGACCCTTATTAACATAAAGATATAAAGGAAGAATTACGTTTGTCAAGTCTTTCATTTTTCATATTTTGGGAAAGTATATGTACAAAAGCAAACAAAAATGCAGAAAGTAAATGAGTTTTTCAGAAAAGAAATTTGCACCAAAGTGTACAATATTGTAGAAAAAAATACCAGATTTATCAGAAGAAGAAATTAGGGTTTATAGACACTTTCATGGCTTCCTAAGGAATAAATATCTTTTTCCCTAGCAAAACTAGGATACCTATGTATGGCTTAGGCATAGAGCAAATGAATTTATTATGCTATCTACTTTTATAACTAAAATCATCTTTCTTCAAGTATAAAAGTAATTCAGATATTTTTGACAATTCCAGGCAATAACACTTTAATTTTCTCTCTTGTCAGTATGAGGTAGGAGATCAGGAGAACTTCTTTTGTGAGCCTATGCCATGACTTGACTGATCAAAATAAGATGTAGTGGAGAAACCTGCTGAAATCAGCAGATGGCAATGACAGTGACCTCCAGTCATCCTCCCTATCAGGAGCACAGCATGGGAAAACCCCACCCTCATGATTTAATTAACTCCCACTGAATTCCTCCCATGACATGTGGAGATCATGGGAGCTACAATTCAAGATGAGATTTGGATGGGGACACAGCCAAACCATATCAATGCTAGTGTGATGTTTTTAGATCAAAAGGGTCCTCTCATGGTTTTCTAGAAAATCCTCAAATATTCATTCTTTCCTTCATTCTATAAGCAAATATTGAATGAACTTGATGTGTTCCTGGTATAGGCTAAGCGCTAGAGGAGGGGAAAAGAAATGAATAGAAAAAACAGAAATGTTGATTCTTTATTTCAAAAATCTTAAAACCTGTATTTAAAAGAAAAATTCATAAGCATATTTGACTGGTATTAGTACATTAAAATTCTATGATTTTAAGTGATAAATTAGGATATATGTCATAACTTCTAAACATGAAGAAAATAAAGGTATAATCATAGTGGGATAGATTTAACTGGGGTTTCTTAGAAGGTTGAATAACATAGTCAGTACATGGGAAGAAAAATCTTCCACAAAGTTAGGAAGAAAAGATTATAAGGGAAATGGTAGGTAAACAAATGTAGATGAAATAGAATTAACGGTTTTAGTAATTTTAAACAGCACTATCAATCTGCAGTATAACAAAGAAAACCTGGTTAAAAGTTAATGTACATAACCCATGATTCTATTAGATGACAAATAGATAGACATATAGATAATAAATAGGTATATAGATGCTAGAGAGACAGACAGATAGACAGATAGATAGATAGATAGATAGATAGATAGATAGATAGATAGACAGACAGACAGATAGCCAGACAGGAGATAGAGCTACATTTGCACTTGTACCCACAGCTACATTTATCTACTGTATAGACTATTTAAGACTATCTGTACCAAAGAGTGTAGGTGCTCTGCTTCTGAGGACAAGCTTCTGGCTTGATTTTCACATACAACATTGAGGATGGTGTTGAAAAAGAACATTAAACTCACCATACCTCAGTTTTCTCGTACGTCAAGGAAGGTGACTATGTTACCTACATATAATTTAATTGTGGCTGGAATGAGGTAATTTCTATAATGTTTAGCATGGTAAATGGGACCCTGTCAGAATCCCATTAATGATAACTATTTTAGTAAAATTAAAAATAAATTATTAAAATATAAATTTGAAAAAAAGTTCAATTTCATTTACTTAATAAGTAGGAATTCAAAAGGGAGAACTTAAAATCGCAAAGTTTACAAATAAAAGTGCATATCTAGTTCTAAAATAGGTTTATTTATACCAGAAATAATTTTTCCCCAATATTTAAGAAATTGAAAACAACTGACACCTAAAAGTTGACTTCTTTGGTGTAGCAGCTGGCTGGGGCTGAGGAGCAGCTGCTCATTTTGGTCAGGATGTCTGTGTGCTTTTTCTTATTATTTTTCACACCTCCCAATCAAACCACTAGTTATTAGTGTTTGACTACTAGGCTCTCTTCATTTATTTTTTTATTACCTGCTTGATCCTAGGAGGCTTTAAATTTGCCACCTCCAATTAATCTAATTCTGAAGAGTCTCCCAAGTATACATCTGCGTGTAGCTACTGCAGGAAAATAAATGCAGAAAATATTCTGAAAGAAATGGTGTCACTATAGAAAACTTAAAGCTACATTTATATTTGAAGACAAAATCCCCAGAGGTAAACTTTAGTTCTCTTACTTTAATACATTGCATACAATACATTTTAATCAGGATATAAGATGATGTTATCATAAATAATTCAATCTAGTAATCCACTGCACAGCATTTACTACCAAAAGAGAACTGATAAAACATGCAGAGTGATCGTTTACAATTTGGACAACATAAGAGTATTAAGCAAATCATGCAATGATGCTTATTTTCTGCAGAATGACACTATGTCTCTGCCTACGTTGATTATTACAAAGAGGACCATTGTTTCTTGAGCTTATAATCTTCTGAATAGATTTGATTTTCTGGTGAGGCAAAGGAAGAGAATGAATTCTTCTGAATGCATGTTTTCTGATATACGTGCTATTTCCAGTTGTGAACTTCCATAAGGGCATCATAAAGATATTCTAGGTATCCCAAATCCAGAGGTTATAAATTGGATGGTTGTTATGGTCTGAATGTGTCCCCAAAATGTGTGTGTTGTAAACTTATTCCCCAATGTGACAAAGTTATGAAGTGAGGCCTTTAGGGAAGTGTTTAGGTCATGAGGGTGGAGGATTTATGGATTAATGCCACTGTAAAAAGGGGTTTGAGAATGGGTTCACTTTTCTTGCTATTCTGCCTTCCACCTTGTGAGGGTGAAGCAAGAGGCTCTCACCAGATACTACTACTTTGATCTTGGACTCCTCAGCCTCCAGAATTGTGAGAAATTAAATTTACACCACCTATCAATTACCCAGATTAGGGTATTCTTTGTAGCTGCACAAAGAGACTGAGATAGGGTCTAATACTTTACTTATGACAAAGTGTAAAATTAGAAAAAAATCAACTACTTGTTTGTTTTCTAGCCTCATTTCTACAAATAAAAGCATTGAAATGGAGGACCAAGTGTTAGCAATGAGCATTTCCAAGGATAGGTGGTTCCTCAAATTATGTGCATCAATGCGATGAGTATGGTTTCTTGAATTCCACATATATTCTCATGGCCACGATATGAATACCAGAAAGAAATAATAAGCCAGTGAAACTGTATCTACAGAAATATATATTATTAGTGGTGGCAGTGCTAATATGTTTTAACTATACTGCCAACTATTATTATGAGGTGTATCTTGTATATCTTTAACAAATACAATTTGTATAGATCAGGAAAATCTATCAAATTACTTATATGGCACACAGATGAAAAAATAAGCCAATGCCTTTTTGCTGGAAACTTAGAAAATATACTTTAAGTGATAGCACTACATTAAAACTCATTCATACCTAATATTAAAATTAAACAAATTTTAAAAATGAGCCAAGAGTGGTGGTGTTTGCCTTTAGTCCCTGTTGCCCCACAGCCTGAAGTGGTAGGATTGCTTGAGCCTGGGAAGTTGAGGCTGCGGTGAACCATGGTTGCGCCCCTGCCTGGGTGAAAGAGTGAGACCCTGCCCCCCACCCCCCCAAAAAAAAGCCCATTTTCTGACTTCCCTATAAAACTCCATGATACTGTCTCCCTTTTACTTCTACCCACTTCTCTGGCTGAGCATTTTCTACATTTTCTGCTCTTCAGACACAATTTCTTTCAGTTCCCCTTTTGCTCTGATCCCTCTGTATTCAGAGTTAATGTCTATGCTGTTTGATGTGCTTGGACATCCCCAGACCCCAGTTTTATCTCATACTTATCCATTAAATTTCAGTGCAAGCATAAGTTCCTTGGGTAAGCCTCAAAACACAAAAACACACGAAGGATCAGGTCTCCTTGTTAAAAACTAGTATATCAACTTTGGAAACAAAAGAGATCATTCCACTTGTAGCGTTCTGTTTTTAATGGTGGCATTTCCATTTTAAAAAATGTAGTAATTAGTCCCATAAATGTCAAATTCTAGAAAACATAGCATTCCTACACGTGATGTTAACATTGTTATTAAGAGTTGTTGGCCAAAGATTCATTTGATGAATCTGATTTTTCTGAAACAGACAATTCTGATGATTCAGATGATTCTGATGTTAGTTCTGTTTAGAAATAACTCCAATGATAATTTTTATATTTTATTTTCACATTGAAAATCAGTCAGATTTGCTCCAGCCTCAAAGAGCATTTTAATGTAAAATTAAATGAACGCTGTCAGTGAGCTGTAGTTAAAAAAAAAAACAAAAACAGACACAAACAAACAAAAAAAAACAGGAAAAGGATTAAATAGATATCATTATCCGGAAAATTTTATTTTTTTAATAGTTAAGAGATTTTATTCTAATAGCTATAATTACAATGCTTGTTTGTCAAAATGAAAACTGAAAACAAGTATACAACATAGTTGATTACTAATTGTGTATTGAAAGCAGTAAGAGATTCCACGACACCAAATAGAGGTTTCTCCAAGATAAATTTAACAGCTCCAGCTTCTTCAGTGTTTATGAAAATACAAAAAGAAAAAAGTAGAGGTTGTCTTTTTCTATGGCAAATCCGGATGCTTGCGGGCTGAAGGAGAGAAAGCTATGGTGCAAGCAATTATACTATGGTTTTCTGCTTTTAATTTTAAAAAATCTTAACTAATTAAATATCCGCAACTACTTTATTATTGTGTGTGTTAATCCAGAATAGTTGTTGATTTTGGCTAGCTACCTTTTCAGCATTTGTGTGATGATCATTTAATTTTTCTCCTTAAATCTATGAATGTATTATTTTATTTGTGTATTTTGGATTCAGAGGGTAGGTGTACAAGTTTGTTACCTGACAATAGGGCATGATACTGAGTTTTGGGGTAGAGATCCCATCACCCAGGGAATGAGTATGCTACTTGATTTTCAACCTGCATCCCACTCCCTCTCTCCCTACCCTAGTAGTCTGCAGTGCCTATCTTTTGATCTTTATATTCGTTTGTACTCCCTGTTTAGTTTACACTTATAAGTGAGAACAGGCAGTATTTGGTTTTCAGCTCCTGTGTTAATTCACTTAGGTTTATGGCCTCCAACTACCATGGATGCCCTTTGCATCCATGTTTCTGCAAAGGACATGATTTCATTCTCCTTAATTCTTTTTTATAGGTGCATAGTATTCCATATTTATGTACCACATTGTCTTTTTCCAATCCACTGTTGATTTGTAAGATTGATTCCATGTCTTTCCTATTGTGAATAGTTCTGCGATGAACATACATACAGGTGCATGTGTCTTTTTTGTTAGAATGATTTATTTTTCTTTGGATATATACCTGGTAATGAAATTGATGAATAGAAAGGTAGCTATATTTTAAGTTCTTTGAGAAATCTCCAGACTGCTTTCCACAATGGCTGGACTAACTTGCATTATCACCACCATGTATAAGTGTTCCTTTTTCTCCACAGTCTCACCAGTATGTGTTGTTTTATGACTTTTTAATAATCCTCATTCTGAATAGTGTGTGATGGTGTCTCATTGTTGTTTTGATTTGGATTTATCTGACGATTCGTGATGATGAGCATTTTTTCATAGGTTTCTAGGCTATTGCTATGTCTTCTTTTGAGAAGTGTCTATTCATGTCCTTTGCCCATTTTAAAATGGGGTTATATGTTTTTTGCTTGTTGATTTGTTTAAATTACCTGTATATTCTGGATATTAGGCCTTTGTCAGATGAATAGTTTGCGAGTATCTTCTCCTATTCTGTAGGTTGTCAGTTTATTCTGCTGATAGTTTCTTTTGCTGTGCAGAAGCTCTTTCGTTTAATTAGGTAACAATTATCTATTTTTGATTTTGTTGTAATTGCTTTTGGGGACTTAGCAAAAATTACTTGCCAAGGCTATGTCAACAAGAGTATTTCCTAGGTTTTCTTCTAGGACATATTTATTTATTTACTTACTTTATTTTATTTTATTTCATTGAGATGGTGTCTCACTCTGTCAACCAGGTTAGAGTGCAGTGGCGTGATCTTGGCTCACTGAAACCTCCGTCTCCCGGGTACAAGATTGTTTTAGCCTCCTAAGTAGCTGGGATTACAGGCACATGCCCCCATGCCTGGCTAATATTTGTATTTTTAGTAGAGATGGGGTTTTGACATGTTCGCCAGGCTGGTCTCGAACTCCTGACTTCAAGCGAAGCACCCACCTTGGTCTACCAAAGGGCTAGGATTACGGGAGTAAGCCACTATGCCTGGTACTCCTATAATTTGTATAGTTTGAAGTCTTACATATAAACCTTTGATCCATTTTGAGTTAATTTTTGTACATGGTGAAAGGTAGGGGTCCAGCTTCAATCTTCTGCATACGGCTAGCCAGTTATCCCAGCATCATTTGTTGAATAGGGAGTCTTTTCCCCATTGCTTGTTTTTTGGTGGCCTTGTAGAAGATCAGATTGTTGTAAATGTGTGGCTTTATTTCTGAGATTTCCAGGCTGTTCTATGGACATATGTGTCTGCTTTTGTGCCAGTACCACATTATTTTGGTTAGTGTAGATTTGTAGTATAGTTTGAAGTCAGATAGTGTGATGCCACGAGCTTTGTTCTTTTTGCTTAAGATTGCTTTGGATATTCAGGCTCTTTGTTGGTTGCATATGAATCTTAGAATCCTTTTTTTAATTATGTGAAAAATGATATTGGTAGATTGATACAATAGTGTGGGCTCTGTAGATTGCTTTGGGCAGTATGGCTATTTTTACCACATTGATTCTTCCAATCTATGACCATAAAGTGTTTTTCCATTTATTTGTGTCATTTCTAATTTCTGTCAGCAATTTTCTATAGTTTTCTTTGTAGTTATCTTTCATCTCCTTGGTTAGCTGTATTCTCAGATATTTCATTTTCTTTGTGGCAATCGTAAGTGGGATTGTGTTCTTGATCTCACTATCAGCCTGGACATTATTGACGTATAGAAATACTACTAATTTTTGTACAAATTGATTTTGTATCCTGAAACTTTACTAAAGTTTTTATTAGTGCCAGGAATCTTTTGGCAGAGTCTTTAGGATTTTCTTGGTATAGACACATACAGTCAGTTAAGAGAGATATTTTGACTTCTTCCTTTCCTATTTTGATGCCATTTATTTCTTTCTCTTGCCTGATTGCTGTGATTAGGACTTCCAGTACTATGATAAATAGAAGTATTGAGGATGGGCATCTTTGTCTTTTTCTAGCTCTTGAGGGAAATGGTTTGAGCTTTAACCCATTCAGTATGGTGTTGGCTGTGAGTTTTTACTAGATGGCTCTTATTATTTTGAGGTATGTTCCTTCGATGCCAAATTGGTTCAGGGTTTTTAACATGAAGGGATGTTGGAATTTATCAAAAGCTTTTTCTGCATCTATTGAGATGATCCTATGGTTTTTGGTTTTAATTCTGTTTATGTAGTAAATCACATTAATTAATTTGTGTATGTTGAACAAGCTTTGTGTTTCTGATATAAAGCATACACGATTGTGGTGTGTTAACATTTTGATGTGCTCTTGGATTTAGTTTACTAATATTTTGTTGAAGATTTTTGCATCTACATTCATCAGGAATACTAGCCTGAAGTTTCCTTTTTTCTTTTGTTTCTTTTCTTCCTTTTTTTTTTTTTTAATAACGTCTCTGCCAAATTTTGGTAAAGATGCTTGCTTTATGAAATACAATTGGGCTGATGCTGGCTTCATAAAATGCATTAGGAAGGAACATCTTCTCCTCCATTTGGAGGAATAGTGTCAGTAAGATTAGCGTCAGTTCTTCTTTGAGCATTTGGTAGAATTTGCATGTGAATCCAACTGGTCCAGGACTTTTTTTGATAGATATGTTCTTTATTACTGATTGAATTTCAGAAGTTTATATGGTCTCTTCAGGGTTTCAGTCTCTTCCTGATTCAAACTTGGGAGATTGTGTAAGCCAGAAACTTATACTTCTCCCCTAGATTTAAAAATTTCTGTGCATAGAATTGTTCATAGTTGTCTCTGAGAATCTTTTGTATTCTATAAGTTTCAATATTGCCTTTGTCATTTCTGATTGTGCTTATTTGGAAAATTCTCTTTCTTTTTCTTTGTTAATCTAGCTAGAGGATGTCTATCAGTTGTACCTATTCTTTCAAAAACCAACTTTTGGTTTCAAGATTTTTTGTATGGATTTTTTTCTCGTTTTTTGTATGGATTTTTGTGTCTCAATTTAATTCTGTTCTTTTCTAATTTTAGTTATTTACTTTATTCTGCTAGCTTTGATGTTGGTTGGTTCTGTTTTATTTCCAGTTTCTTTAGGTGCAAACTTAGATTGTTAATTTGAAATCTTTCTAACTTCTTAATGAAGGCATTTCGTGCTATAAGCTTTCCTCTTAACACTGCTTTAGGTGTGTCTCAGAGATTTTAGTAAGTTGTGATCCTATTTTTATTAATTTACAATAATTATTTGATTTCTGACTTAACTGTGATGTTCAATAAAAAGTTATTCAGTAGTAAGTTTTTCCATTTCCATGTCTTAGTGTAGTTTTAAGAGATCTTGAAAATTTCATTGCACTCTGGTTTTAGTGCTTGGTATAATTTTGATTTTTAAAAATGTTATTTAGACTTGCTTTATGACCAATCATGTGGTCTATCTTGGAATACGATCCACATACAGATGGGTAGAATGTATATTCTTTGGTTGTTCAAAGTGTGTGTTAAGTCCAGAGTTTCTTTCTTAGTTTTCTTCCTTGATAATCTGTACAATGCCATCAGTGGGGTGTTGATGTCTCCCACTCCTATTGAGTGGTTATCTAAGTCTTAGGTCAGAAATAACTTGTTTTGGCCGGGTGCAGTGGCTCACGCCTGTAATCCCAGCACTTTGGGAGGCCGAGGTGGGTGGATCATTTGAGATCAGGAGTTCAAGACCAGCCTGGCCAACATGGTGAAACCCTGTCTCTACTAAAAGCACAAAAATTAGCCAGGTGTAGTGGCATGCGCCTGCAGTCCCAGCTACTTGGGAGGCCAAGGCAGGAGAATTGCTTGAACCCAGGAGGCAGAGGTTGCAGTGAGCCGAGATCGTGCAACTGCACTGCAGCCTGGGCGACAGAGTGAGACTGTCAAAAAAAAAAAAAAAAAAAAAAAAAAAGAGAAAGGAAGGAAGGAAGGAGGGAAGGAAGGAAGGAAGGAAGAATGAACTTGTTTTATGAGTCTGGGTGCTGCAATGTTGGGTGTGTATATACTTAGGACAGTTAAGTCTTTTTGTTGGATTGGATCCTTCATCATTATATAATGTCCTTAATTGTTTAAGGCTTAAAGTCTATTTTGTCTGATATAAAAATAGCAATTCCTGCTCTTTTTTTGTTTTCTCACTGGATGGTAGATCTTTCTCCAAGCCTATGGATTTTGTTACATGTGTGATGAGTCTCAGGAAGACCACAGACAGTTGGGTCTTATCTTTTATCTAACGTACCACTCTGTCTTTTAAGTGAGGCATTTTGTCCATTTATTTTGGAGTGAGATTTTGATGCTATCATCATGTTTTTAGCTAGTTTTTATGTAGACTTGATTGTGTAGTTGCTTAATAGTGTCTGTGGGCTATGTGCTTAAGTGAATACTTGTGGTAGCAGGTGTCATTCTTTGGACTCTATGTTTTCCACTCCCTTAAGGAACTCTTGTAAAGGTGGTCTAGTTTAAACAAATTCCCTTAGCATTTGCTTGTCTGAGATAGATTTTTTTTTCTCCTTCATGTATGAAGCTCAATTTAATGCAGTATGAAATTTTTGGTTGAAATTTATTTTCTGGAATGATGCTGAAAATAGGCCACCAATCTCTTCTGGCTTGTAAAGTTTCTGCTGATAAGTCTGCTGCCAGCATGATGGAAGTCACTCTGTATATGATCTGACCTTTTTAGCTGCCTTTGAGTCTTTTTTCTTTTGTTTAATGTTGGTGAATCTGATGACGATCTGCCTTTGGAGTGGTCATCTTGTGTACTGTCTAGCTGGGTTTCTCTATATTTCTTGAATTTGCATGTAAAACTCCCCAGGAAGATTAGGAAATTTTTCATAAACTATATCATCAAATATATTTTTCAAATGGCTTATTTTCTCTCCTTCTCTCTCAGGGATACCAATGAATAATATATTTCATACCTTACATAATTCCATATTTCTCTGAGGTTTTTTTAATTTAAAAAATTATTTTTTCTTTATTTTTTTCTGAATGAATTGATTCAAAGAAGCAGGCTTTGAGCTCTCAGATTCTCCTCAGCTTGATCTATTCTGCTGTTAATATATCCTATTGCATTATGAAATTTTTGTAGCAAATTTTTTAACATGAGAAGTTCAGTTTGGGTCTTTCTTAAAATGGCTATTTCATCTTTCAGCACTTGAATGGTCTTATTTGATTGTTTGACTGCCTTGAATTGCTTTTCCACTTTCTTCTAGATCTCAGTGAGTTTCCTTTCTGTCAACATTTTGAATTCCATGTCTGCCATTTCAGTTATTTCAGATTGGTTAAGAACCATTGCCAGGGAGCTAGTGGGTTCCTTTGGAGGTGAGGGGACACTTCCTTCTTGAATTGTCAGAGTTCTCTTGGTTTATCTTTATCTTCTTGAAGGGTGGGTGTTCTTTCAGTTATGGTAATTGAGTATAATCAGTTGTCTTTGTTTCTGGAAGTTTTTAGAAGGCAAAGGCTCTGTACAGTACCTTTGTTGTTGAATTATTGCCCTTGGTTTCTCAGGAGGAAAAATTAGCAGTTTTTGGTGTAGTTTAGTCTGCGATCCAGTATAGGGCACTGGAGAGCAATAGGCCGTAAATAAGCTCTTAGCCGCGCAGCGCTGCTCTTTTGCATATACTCATGTTTGCTGCTGTGTTCTGCAGTGCAGGAGGAAGAGAAGTGACTCTTTCACCAGGTCTGCTCATGGGCCTTGGGAGAGCCACCTCTGATCATTAGCACTGTGTCTGCAATTTTGTTTATCTAAGTGTTTTGGGCCATTAGGCTCTCTCTTGTAGAGGTCCAGCAGGGAGACAGGCCCCACCCTTATCAGACCAGCCCTGTGGAGGGAGGCATGCCTAGGTCTCACACCAGCCCGTAAACCTGTGTGACCCCTCACTTTCAGTTTTCTGTGAGTGTGAACTCCTCCCCTGCTTGAGTGATGGTACTCCCCAGCCATGGGCTGCAGCCCTGGGGTGGGCGCCAGGGCGTGCCTGCTCCTCACTCCTTCAGACTCTCAGGGTTGGGTTCCTCGTGTACTAGGGGATCCGAAGGGGTCCCAGGCTGGCATAATGCACTGAGGTGTAGCAAAGCACCTGGACTGGACAGCAGAGGCAGCACCGTGTACACACGCCTGCGTGCAGCCAGGCAGGAGCCCTGGGATGGGCTGGCAGGCAGGGGAGCTGCAGGACAGAAGTGCCACAGACCCGCAGGGAAGCTGTCCCTGATTCTTCAGGTCCAGCATTTAGCTGGGGCCAGAGCCTTTCAGTGGGATCCAGGGAGGCCTGGGGGATTGGCACTTATGGCCAGACTACAGAACTGTCCCACACACAAAGGTTTCCAGCTCCGTGTCTGCTGAAATCCCGTTTCTGTCCAGTCTCTGGACAGGTTCCCCCTGCCAGCTCAAACATCTATGGGATGCGGGGGATCCCCTGCACCTAGGATCCTAGAGGCCCATGGCAAGAGGTGGTAGTCCCCCTATCCCTTCACTCACCCCTTCCCCAGGAGCTCGCCCAAGCATTCAGGCACGCCATGCCGGGTTCCCAGCTTCCTCCCTCTTCAGCCTCAGCACCTGCAAATTTTCTCCACCCACAGTTGTTTTTTCTCCAAAGATTTGTTCAAATTGTGTTAGTTTAGTTGAAATCCCAGGCCTTCTCAGTGGGAATGGCACTTCCTGGCTGCATCTAGTCAATCATTTTTTCAGAGCATTAATTTCATGTTTTATATAAACATTTCTAGTATTGATGCATCTGTGACATACTGAAATAATCTCTATTTGGCAAAAATCAATTCAGTTTTGCCAGTCTTTTTCTAGAATTTTTCATTGAGATATATAAATAAATTTAGAGTATTTTTATCTTTTATGTCATAGTGTAGTTTAACTGACATGAAATTATCAACTAGAGGTTTGTTAGAATAATTCCCTTATAAATTTTTTCTAATGTTTTAATATTTATTTATCTATTTGCTTTTATAATTTTTTTATTTCTGTGGAAATAAGTCAACTTGAACTTAATATTTCCTCTGAGATCAGTTTTAGCACAATTATTATCCTACAGTATTGCCCATTTAATTTAGGTTTTAAAATACTCTTATGGATTGTAAAGGTTTCTTTTTCTTTTATTCTATGAACAATTTTCTCCTCTTACCATTCTTTATTGTATATATTTGATATTCTTATTTTTTCTTTGGTTTAAACAGTAGTTGGTTTTTTATATTTTTTTCCAGTAAATCGATTATATAATTTTTTTAATTCTGCTGTAATGCTTTTGATATCTAATTCATTTAATATTAATTTTATAATTAAGTCCTTTCGTATTTTGGCTTAATTTCTTGTTATTCATTTTTTGAAAAATAATGCTTACTTCTTATTTTTAAATCAGTATGTGCTTAAAGTTTTGAATTTTGCTCTGAACACTGATTTAGATGCATGATAAATGTTCTTCTATATGCTATTTTCATTTTCATTGTTTTTTAAAATTATTCAATTATGTTCTATGTTTTATTTTTAAAGATTTGCTTTTAATTGGTAGATTTTATATTTTGAGCAATTTTAGAGTTACAAAAAATTGAACATAAAGTACAGAATTCTTCTTTGCTTTGTACATTTCTTTGCTTTGCACACTTCTTTGCTTTGCACATTTCTCCAGGTTTTGACAAATCGCTATTGTTATGCATTTACCATTTCAGTGTCATAGAAAATAGTTTCACTGCTCTAAAAATACCTTCTGCTCCACTTATTTAACCTCCCCTCATCCATCAAACCACCAGCAACCACTGATCTTTGTACTGTCTATAGTTTCGCCTTTTCAAAAATGTCATATAGTTGGAATCATACAGTATGTAGCCCTTCGGGGCTGACCTGTCACTTAGCAGCATTTATTTGAAGATGATCTTGGTCGCTTCTGCATTTTGACAATTTTTTTAATGAAGTTGCTGTAAATATTTATGTACAAGTTTATGTGTGGACATGAATTCTTAAGTCCCTTGGGTAAACATATATAAGCCTGATTGCTACATCTTATGGTTAGACTATTTTTAGCTTTGTAAAAGGCTGACAAACTGTCTTTCAAAGTGACTGCGCCTTTTGGCACTCTCACTAGCATTGATGATAGTTGCTATTTCTCAATATCCTTGCTAGCATTTGATTTTGTCAGTGTTTTGGATTTAGCTGTACTAATGTGTGTAGTAGTACCTCCTTGTTGTTTTAACTTGCAATTCCCTAATGACATATGATGCATATTTCATATGCTTACTTGCTATCTGTATATCTTCCTTGATATGGTATTTATTCAGATATTTTGCCCATTTTGTTTCTTATTGTTGAGTCTTAAAAGATCTTTTAGTAATATATTTTTGATACAAGTGCTCTACCAGATATATGTGATTTGCAAGTATTTTCTCTCAGCCTGTGACTTTCTTTTGATTCTTTGAACATATATTTTTTCTCTCAAGGTTTGTTGACCAGGCGCGGTGACTCATGCCTGTAATTCCAGCACTTTGGGAGGCTGAGGCAGGAAGATCACTTGAGCCCAGGAGTTTGAGACTACCCTGGGCAACATGGCAAGACCTTGTTTCTATGAAAAAAGAAAGAAAAAAAAAATCAGCCTGGTGTGGTGATGTGTGCCTGTGGTCTCAGCTACTTACAGGGATGGGGTTGGGGGATATCACTTGAGCCTGACAGGTCGAGGCTGCAGTGAGTCATGATCACGCCACTGCACTCCAGCCTGGGAAACAGGCTGTCTCAAAAAAAATTTAAAAATTGTTTAGCATCTGGCACAAGGCCTGAATCACTGAAGATTTTTACTGGATGCTGCTAGAATTAATGAATAATAATTATTGTATACAGAAAGCAGGTGAAGAAATATACGGTCTTTGGATATCAGATTATTTCTTTCAAATGCAGAAGTAGAAAAAAAGAAAAGTAATATAATTCGGAAGAATGCTATTGATATATTCAAAGCATAACTTTTTAAATGAATACAAGAACAGAAGTAAACATATTTCTAAACTCCTTCCAAAATTAAGATTCTAATAAAAACAATGCTGATAATTGACATTTCTCAAGTAAGACTCCTGAATAAAGCTGAAATTTTTAACTTCAAAGAAAAAAAGTATACAGTTTTTTTCCTCTATCTTTCTATCTGCAGTTTATTCATAGAAACACCATGGTATAATAGCCACCCAGATTTTACAGATATTATTCTCTTCTGCTTGTAATTCACTTGTTTGTGTTTTTTTCTTAACCATCAGAGACACTTCCAATTTTACTTGAATAATTCATTGTATTCATTTTTCTATGAAGTTTTTCTCCTACTATGCAATTAATTATTTATTCATCAGTATTTACTAGCAGTACATGAAGACTTCTGTCAACATTTTTCTTCATTTATTGCATTTTTTTTTTTTTTACTATGTTGTATCCTCAAATAGCCTATTTCTCTTGGGATGGTTGGAATTACTCTTATTCTTCTTTCCATTCCAATGACCTTAGACAAAGACTGGAATATATAAAGTTCTCACTAAATATTAGTTTAACATAAAATCAGTGAAAAATACTTTAAACAATATTTTTAATACAATAAGACTTGGTTAATTATTAAAATTTTATACATGAAAGAGTAAAAAATGAAGCTCATGACTTTAGATATTTTATCTTTTTTATACTTAAATATTATTTTTAATTATACAGTTAAATCCTGAAATCTGAAAACACATATATTAAATTTTTTATATATAACTGCTAAACTCAGAGGTATTTTAATATAGAACATTAAAACTGGCACACTGATGAGAAATTTATATTTTATTTTAATAAGTGGATGAGAGGAAAGTTATATTTATTGACCACCTATTTTATGTCAGGCAATATACTAAGTATAACATTGAATTTGCAGGAGAAATAGTATAAGTATTATAATCTGCACTCCATACACAATAACATTCAGACTCAGCAAAAAAGGTGACTTGACCAATGGATCTTACAATATAGAAAGATTCAAAACAAGGCCTCTCAGAATTTTATCCCATAACATTTTGCTTCAAACTGCTTTCAAACATCATCTTCAATCAGCCTCCTAATTAACAAAAAGAATATTTCATTGAGTAAGAAATTTGCTCAAGGTATCAGGATAACTAAAATAAATAGAACTCAGTTCTTTTCATTTTGCAGTTTCTGGTTATTCTGTTCACTCATTGTTAAAGTAGGAGAAATATATTAATAATAAGTAATAAATACAATTATAGAAAATAATACAATGATAACCTACCTGAATTAAAGTGAGGAGGAAGGAAAATGTTTACCACTATGTGTTCATGAATGTGTGTGTTTCTGAAAACTTTATTAAATGGGTAACTTTGTATTATTGTTCACTTTTCCTAGTTGTGTTTGAGAAAATAATAAAACTATATGAAGATTTGACTCAAAATAGTGAAAAACTCAGTAGGCTTCATTGAGAATAAATGTTTCTCAGAAGCTGGTAAGTGATCAAGTCTTATCACTGTGGTCATTTATCTTTTGTTGATAGTATCCATTTATCAAACCTCTTTTGCTTCCTTCATTTTCTTTTTTTTTTTTTAGTACAAGTCAACTTCCTTACCAGTCAGTGATAAAGTAACATTACATGATGCTATTTTTCTTTAAATAATTACTTTCTCTGATCAACCTTAATTTCTTCATTTCCTGGTCATTGTTTTAATGATAGGGGGTAGTTAAAACCAAACAAATTGAAAAAGAAAGAACTGATACTTTGTGGTAAACTCATTAACTTTATTCCGTGTTCGTCATCCTGGGAAAGAAGAATTTCTTAAAACATTAGGATGCGACCAATAAAATTATTTATAGGCTTTTTCTAGGAACAATGATAGTTTTATCTACTTATTCATATAGAAAGTTAAATTATGATTACATGAAGATTAATCACTTTATGTTTATTATAAGAAAAGAGAATTTATATCAATATAAATATTTGAGATTGTAGCTGAATTTTCTGTTACTATTGTTATATATTTATGTAGAAATAACTACAGATTGCATTTGAAATTTTAGAGATTTTTTAGTGTAGTTGTGAAAAAATTGTGAATGTTTCAGATGATAGTCTTGTTTCCAAAAGCAAAATGTGATATTTGAGAGTTTAAACATTGGAGGTAGTTTTACCTATACTGTGGAATATTGAACTAGGCATTTTATGTAATGACAGAAAATGTAACTAAGAATAAACTTTTACTGAATTAAGAAAGCATGATTCTGAGCAAACTATCGCAAGGACAGAAAACTAAACACCGCATGTTCTCACTCATAGGTGGGAATTGAACAATGAGAACACTTGGACACAGGAAGGCGAACATCACACACTGGGGCCTGTCCTGGGGTGGGGAAGTGGGAGGGGATAGCATTAGGAGATATACCTGATGTGAATGATGAGTTAATGGGTGCAGTACACCAACATGGCACATGTATACATATGTAACAAACTTGCATGTTGTGCACATGTACCCTAGAACTTAAAGTATAATAATAAATAAAAAAAAGCATGATACTTAAAAGTTAGTATCTAATAGAAGATAAATTAAATCACACGCAGCAATAAAACTGGCTCTGTAATTCCGTTAAAATGTTCCTAAAGTTTCTAATGTACTCAGTGGATCAACTGCAACAACAACAGAAAATAACCAGAGTCATAATGGAATACAAATCAACGTATATCATAAAATTATTTCAAAATATTGTGACACAAATGTAGATTTCAATAGAGGTGTCTAGCTTTAAATCTCATATAACTCTTCAAAGTACATAATTGTTTTCCAAAATTTTCCAGTGAGGAGTGAAGAGGGAGAAAAGGACATTTTAAAAAACCCACAACATTTCACAGTAAAGTAATAGCAGTAACCTGGTATAGATATAAAAACACTTTTTAAAATTATTTAAAATTTGTCTTGTGAACTATAAAACATATAGGAAAAAGTACACAGGACATTTTACAACACAATGAACTATTAAAAAATAAACACATATAAACTGACTGAAATCTAGTAAAAGTCTAGTAAACATTTAGTATTTTCAAAGACACTTTCATGCATTTTCCAATCACTATGCTCTCTTTGCCCGCAAAATGTGAGCACAATCCCAGCCTCTAACCAAGTATTGTTTTGGCTATTTTTGGAAATGCACAGAATGGGTTCAGACATTAGTTTTCTTGGCTATCTTGCTCAACTTGGCATTAGTGAGATTTAACTATGCTGTGTTGTTACATGTGGATGTCATCTGTTCGTTTTTACACTGGAGGATATTTTTTCTCAAAATTTTAATATATTCTAATGTTAATGGACATTTGTGTGGTGTCTTATTGAATACTGATAGATTCTTGTATAAGTCTCAATGCACAATTACACCCATTATCATTAAATATACATCTAGCAGTGGAATTGCTTCGTCTTAGAATTTGTATAGGTTAAACTTTAGTAGATATTGCCAAATGCGTTGCCATGGTTACCTAAATTACATTGCCACCAAAATGAATGAATATTGCCATCCGTTCTCCCTAGTAGCGTCTCTTTTGGTAGTAATCACTCTTTTAATGTTATAAATATGAAGGTTTTATAATAATATTACATCACGTTTTTCTTTTGAATATTTCTGTGTCCTAAGAAGGTTGTGGATTTTTTCCATATGTTTCTAATGAGTTCAATATTCTGTTTTCTGATGTGCTAGCTTAAGTATTTTTCTCATTTTTTTATTATTTTCTCTTTGCTTAATAGGAGTTATTTTATGTTCAGGATATGAACCTTTTTAAAAATAACTTACATGTCGCAAATAATCATACTGTTAGAGACAGTTGCAAATCATTTCCTATACTGTATCTTGACTTTTTATTCTCTTAATTGTATTTTATATTGAAATATGTACTACAAATAATTATGCTGTTAGAGCAGCTGCAAATAATTTCCTGTACTGTGTATTAACTTTTCATTCACTTAATTGTGTTGTTTGATAAAATTCTTAGTTTTAATATAGTCAGCTTTACCAGTTGCTTGGTTCTAGAAGTCTAAACTTACTTGAAAGCAATATAACTCATGTTATCCTCTAGAGTTTTATTGGTTTTGAAGTTACTTTTAATTTTCTCTTTCAAGAGAAATTATTTTTAAAATAGTTTGAGAATAAGAAAAGTACACGTTTTTTTTCTAATAGTAGTGAATTGGACTAAAGTTATTTATTGGTAACACTGTTCTTTCTTTACTTCTCTGCAATGCCATCTTTTCCCATAAATTAAGTATCCATGTTTCCACTGGCCAGATTTTGCGCTCTCTATGCAAGATCATTGGTCAGATTATCTAATGGTAATTTACTACAGATATGATATAAGAATTGTTTTTCATTATAGTTATTCCATTATGTCAGTCTTTCCCATAATTTTAGATTTAGTTTGTCTAGTTTCACATATACATAGATACTTATAAATGCAAACACATCCACTTATACAGATTTTGACTGGGATAGCAAAAATGCCATTAACTAAAATAGCTACAAATAAAATCATTTAAAATATTGAATATTCAAATTCATAACATGCTTCCATTTATGTATGTCCTCATTTTTTGGGGGGTGGGGGAAGGGGCAGGACAAGAGTATTGCTCTGTCACCCAGGCTAGAGTGCAATGCTGCAATCTTGGCTCACTGAAACCTCTGCCTACCAGACTCAAAGGATTCTCCTGACTCGGCCTCCCGAGTAAATGGGATTACAGGCACCTGGCACCACGCCCAGCTAATTTTTGTATTTTAATAGAGACAGGGTTTCATCATGTTGGCCAGGCTGGTCTTGAACTCCTGACCTCAGGTGATCCAGCTGCCTCAGCCTCTCAAAACGCTGGGACTACAGGCATGAGCCGCCGCGCCCAGCCTATGTAGGTCTCCTTTAGTTTATTCTGTGATGTTTTAGAATTTATAAAGTTTTTCTCACTATTTGTAGTTGTTCTTATTGTTATTTGACATTTTGATGCAATTATAAGCAGTGTTTTTTTAATCTTGGATTATTTTGCCTGTTTGTTTCTGATATTTAGATATGCTATTAATTTTATATTTTCATATATTGAATTATTTTGTACTAATGGAATATATATTTAAATGCTGTACAATAACTTATAACACATTGTATCTTGCTAAATGATTATATTCATTCTAATAAATTTTTGTATATACTTACTATGTACACAGTTATAAAGTGCAATTGGAAATTAATGAGGCCTATTATTTTACCCTTTGGAAAGGGACTCTCAGGGATTTGATTAAAAGAATGAAAACCAAAATTACATGGGAGGAAAAAAACACTTTTTTTTGTAAATTAAACTACTTCAGTGTTATTATATTTCACTTTAATGTATCAAGGAATTTTTTAAATGTATTCTGAAATGATTGAACAGAATTGCAGAGTAATTCTGGGCATCTCTCCCAATCCTTCTCATCTTCTCCATGTTTTAAAATGATTATTTAATGCAATTGACATGCAATTGACATATGTATGTTGACCTACCAGTCTCATTTTGACTTTTTTCTCAACCTGGGCTTCAGCGGACTGCACTGAAAACTCTCTTCCTACTGTCCATGGAAGCCAACTACCAGCCAGTCTCACATTTCCCAGGCAAGGGGGCGGGAGCAGGAATTACTGAGGCACTATCATTAAAGGCATAGAAAATCTGAAAGCTGATCTCAGAGGAATTTGTTACTTGATCTTTCTGCCTACCTGAATGTTGTTAAATAGGAAAAATAACCCTAATGTACAGAAAAATTATGTTAAATCTTGAGAAAAAATTTGTTTTACTTCAGCTATTAATAAAAATTAAATATGCTTTACATTGTTTTATATGGCATACTTCTGTGAATGAATAAAACATAAAACAGATGTATAAATGTATATTCCATCTGATTATCATTATATGGAAATGTCTACTATACACAATAAAAAACAAAGAATAAGATTAGTGATATAATATGTGATTGATCACAAATCTCAGAAACATGGTGGGATATAATGATGCCAGGCTCCCTATTATTTTCTATGGACCAATTTGTATACTCTTTCATGGATAAGTTTCAGTTATGCCAGATGATTAAATTGTAAAGATCTGCCACATAACATTTTTCCTATAGTTAACAATACTATATTATACACTTAAAATTTTGTTAAGAGAATGTATATCATGTTCAGTGTTCTTACAACAATAAAAATGTTACTGTGATCAAGCATATTTGAGGAAATCAATTTGGACAATTAGTCGAAATAAATATGAAAACTGATAATGAACAAATTAGATTTCAACGTGAATTGACTTTATGCATATACAATATTGCATTATTTTACATTTATGTGTATACAGTTGTATTTGTCCATTTTCATGCTGCTGATAAAAACATACCTGAGACTGGGTAATTTATATAGGTAAAAGGATTTAAAGGACTGACAGTTCCACATGGCTGGGGAGGCCTCACAATCATGGCAGAGGACAAGGAGGAGCAAGTCACATCTTACATGGATGGCAGCAGGAAAAGAGAGAGCTTGTGCAGGGAAACTCCTTCTTATAAAACCATCAGATCTCGTGAGCATGGGAAAGACTTGGCCCCATGATTCAATCAACTCCCACAGGGTCCCTCCCACAACATGTGGGAATTGAAGATGATATTTCAGTAGGGACACAGCCAAACCATATCAACAACTTATAATATGTTAGAAAAAATACTGGATTTAGAGTCAGAATTTTTGTATTCCCATATTAAATTGTCCACTTAATAGCTTTTTACTTTAGAAAAAGATACTTTAACTCTTTGAGACATGCTTTTCCACATTGTGAATGTTTCTTCTACTGTTTCATTTTCTTCATTCTAAACAGGTAATTATATCTCCTATATTTAGGAAATGAAAGGAAAATAGCAACAACTATATCAATAAATCATGAAAATAAAACCTTCTTTTGCTTTGCCATCTACCTTTTGGTATAGACTATGCTACAGCTCTCTTTCCTTCCCTCCCTATCCTTCTTCCTTCATTTATTTTTATGGCACAATTACAAATAATTGAGTCAATAATTTTTATTAGTGAGCAGAACATTACTGCTATTAACGTAATGCCCTTCTTATTTTTTATATTTATTATTGTTAATTATATTGCTTTTATACATAAATATACTCTGCTCCCCACTGACATTTAGTCAAACACCTATTTATGTATTTGTAAAAATATGTGTCCTTGTAATATATGTAGTTTTATATGTATATTACATATATTTAAATATACATAAATGGTATTTTGCTATTCTAACCTTGTTATTCATTTAACATAATGATGTGAAAATGTAGGTATATTGCTAATTACATCTAGCTTGTTGCTTCTGTCATATAAAATTCTATAATGACGTTTACTGTGTTTTCCTTACTCAGTTGTTCAGAAATGAGCATGGAGGCTGGCTCCTACTCACTGCTGAAACAAAGAATCCTTCACTGAACATTCTCTGACCTATCACCTCTTGAATCAGTACAAAATGTTATCTGGGCTATGTATTACAAAGTGGAATTTCTAGGACATATTATGTTAATAGCAATGCATAAAGGTTTCCATTTGTCCATACTTTGTCCAGTACTTGATGCTATGGTCTGAATGTTTGCCTCCCCTCCACCAAATTCATATATTGAAATTCTAACCCCAAGCTATTGGAAGGCTATTAGGTCATGAGGGCAATGCCCTCATGAATGAAATTAGTACCCTTATAAAAGAGGCCAAAGGGAGCTCATTTGGCATTCTGCCCTGTGAAGACAGAATGAGAAGTCACCATCTATGGACCTTGAAATAAGCCCTTCCCAACACTGAATCTGCCTTGATCTTGAGCTTCCTATCCTTCAGAAATAAGCTTTTCTTGTTTATAAGCTATCAAGTTGATAGAATTTTGTTATAGTAGCACAAATGGATTAACACATGGGTATTGTATAAGTTTCTTATTTTTTGTCATTCTTCTGGATTTGAAGTAGAATCTCAGTTTAAATGGCATTTCCTTGAACATTAGGCTTTATCACCTTTTGATACTCTTTTTTATCACATTGAGTTCTTCCATTAAACATACTTTATAAAATTTATTTATTACCTTTAATGACATCATGGGGAAATTTCAGAGCCTTTTGTTTGAGAAGCTGGGGTTAAGGAAGCTTGTCTGGATATCATCTACTCTCTTACAGCGGGATAATACCTCCAGAGAGGAGGGAAAAACATAAAAGAGATAAACCACACTAATATTTTTGCCACCTATACTCTCATGTCAATGGAAAAATATGAGTAAAAATATGACCAATAAAATTTGGTAACAGATTCACAGTATGAAAAAAAGTAAACTCTAAGAATCAAAATGTGCATTTGGGAGGGGGTATAAGTGCAGAGTTTTAAAATACAAATGAACTTAAATTGTTACAAAATTAAAACAGATGTTTACGGGAAGATACATACAAGCCTCATGGTAACCACAAAAGAAAAATCTATGGTAGAATTTTTAAAAAGATAAAGACAAAAGAATAAAACAAAATCACCACAAAAATGATCAATTAAAAAGAAAAAGACAGCAAGAGAAGTAGAAAGGGACAAAAGAATTTCCAAACACAAAATAATTAACAAAATGGCAACAGTAAATTCTTAACTATCAATAATAACTTTAAATGTAAATGGATTGAATTCTCCAATTAAAAGTTACATAGTGTTTAACGGATTTTTTTTTAAACCAGGCCCAATGACATGCTGTCTACGGAAGACTTTAGTTATGAAGACACACATATAGACTGAAAGTGAAGGGATGAACAAAGATATTTTATGCAAATATTACCCATAAGAAAGCAGGAGTGCAGGGCTATCTATATTTATACCAGAAAAAAATAGACTTTAAGTACAAAACTCACCACAGACAAAGTTGATAATTATATAACGATAAAAATTTCAATTTAAAAGAAAAATAAAATAATTGTAATTATTACAATTAGAGTAATTAGAGCACCAACATCAGAGTACCTAAATATATAAAATAAATACAGAGAGATCTTCAGGGATAAATAGGCAGCAATATATGAAGCAGGAGACTTTACTACCGCACCTTCAATGACAGACAGATCATGCAGGCCAAATATCAACATGGAAATAGCTGATTTGAACAATGCTGTAGACCAAATGGACAAAGCAGACACACATAAAACTTTCAACCTAACAGCAGCAGAATACCTGTTCTTTTCAAGAGCACAGGATTCTTCAGAATTGATTATGATTAGGTCTCAAAACAAGTCTAAACATATTAAAGAAGATTAAACTTATAGCAAGTATCTTCTTAAGACCACACTGGAATGAAACTAGAAATCAATAACAGAAGAAAAATAACACACCCTAGAAAACATTACAAACATGTGGAAACTAACTAACACACTCTTGAACAACCATTAGGTAAATAAGGAAATTTAAATGCCTTTTGACAAATGAAAACTAAAACAAAATTTACCAAAATGTACGGCATGTATCAAAAGTACTTAGAGGGAAGTTTATAGGATTAAGCATCTACATTTAAAAAAGAAAGATCTCGATTAAACAACCTGAATTTGCAACTCAAAGAATTAGAAAAAGAAGAACAAACAAAACCCCAAATTAGCAGGAGGAATGAAATAATAAATATTAGAGCAGAAATAAAATAATTTGAGAATAGAAAAAAGAAATAAAAGGCATTCAAAATTGAAACAAAGATGTAAAATTATCTGTTTACAGATTACATAATCATATGAATGAAACTATAAAGACTCCCTCACACACACACACAAGAACTATTAACTAATGAAGGAATTCAGTAAATTTGCAGGAAATAAAATTAACATAAAAATCTGTTGCATTTCTACACACTAACAATGAATTATTTAAGAGGGATATTAAGAATAAATAATCCCATTTACATTGGCAACTAAAAGAAAAAAAAATTAGGCATTAACTGAGCCAAAGAGGTGAAATACTTGTATAAAAATATTATAAAACCTTGATTAAGAATGTTTTAAAATATATAAATGAACAGACATTCCATATTCGTGGATCGGAAGAATTAATATTGTGAAAAATATTCATACTTCCCTAAGCTATCTACAAATCCAGTAGAATCAAATCTATAAGTCCCAGTGACATTTTTTACAGAAATAGAAAAAAATAATGCTAAAATTGCTATGGAATCACAATGATCCACATAGCCAATAACTACTGAACAAGAGGAACAAAACTGAAGATTTCACACTTTCTAACTTCAAATTATATTATAAAGCTATAGTAATTAATAAAGTATGATACTAACATTAAAAACACAAACATTAATCAATTGAACAAAATAAATTTTCCATGAAAGGGCTGTGTGTAGAAAGTGACCCCCAAACACAGAAGGAGCTGAGAAACCAAAGAAGGCAGAAAAGTCCTGTTTGTTGGTTTTGGGTCATTTATTAGCGGGACTTACAAAGATAAGCATGGCCTTGGGCAGCTGCAAGACAAGATCTCCACACTGAAACCCCCAAGACACAGGGCTTATATTTTGTGGAAAATACACATGCTCTAGAAGGAATGTGTAGGTGGCTATGAGTGTTAAGGGCTATAATTTCTGCAACAGCATCAAGAGTTATTTGGGAGGTAACTTACAGTGAACAGCTTTTTCTCCATAAAGAATAATACATCAACTAGACATTTTGGAAGCACTCCCAAACTCAGGGTTGGTCAGGAGATACATGGCAGATTAGCATTTAAAATAAAAATCCCTCTTGTCTTCACTCTAGAAAACCCAGAAATAATCCCATGCATTTGCAGTCCACTGATTTTTGACAAGGCTGCCAAGAGCACACAATAGGGAAAGAATAATCCGTTTAATAAATGGTGCTAGGAAAAGTGGATATCTACATGCAAAGAAAAGAAATTGGATCCTTATCTCACACCAAACAAAAAAATCAACTCAAAATTGATTAAAGACTTCAGTGTAAGACCTGAAATAGTAAAATTCCTCAAAAAAGAAAATATAGAGGAAACATTTTTGACTTTCCTCTTGGCAATAATTTTTCAGGTATGATACCAAAAGCACATCAACAAAACCAAAAATAGACAAGTAGAATTACATCAAACTAAAGACCTTCTGCACAGCAAACGAAACAATTGAGAAAATGAAAAGGCAACCTAGAGAATGAGAGAAAATATTTACAAACCATACCTCTGGTGGGGGATTAATACCCAAAATATAAAAGAAACTCAGAAAACTCAATAACATAAACACCAATAACCCAATTTAAAAATGGGCAAAAGACCTAAAAAGACAGTTCACAAAATAAGAAATTTATTGGCTAACAGATGTATTAAAAACGTGCTCAATCAACATCTCTAATCATCAGGGACATGCATATCAAAACCACAGTGAGATATCACCTTGTACACTTTATACCCATTAAGATGACTATTACCAAAATGAAAAGAGAAAACAACAGATTTATTTAAAAAAACAGAACCGTTATACACTCCTGGTGGGAAGGTAAGTACACACATTATGCAGTATAGCATGGTTGTTCCTCAAAAAGTTAAGAATAGAATTACCACATGGTCCAGCAATCTCATTTCTGGGTATATAACCATAGGAATTGAAATCAGGATCACAAAGAGGTATCTGCATTTCCATGTCCATTGAAGCATTACTCGAAACAGCCAAGATATGGAAACAACCTACATGAATAGAGAAAGAAAATGTGGTATATATTTATGCATTGAATATTATTCAGCCTTTAAAAAAAGAGATCATGCCATTTGTTTCAACATGTTTGGAGCTGAAGGATATTATGATAAGTGAAATAAGCCAGATACAGAAAGATAAATATTGCCTAATCTTTCATATTTCAAAGCTAAAATAGTCAAATTCATAGAATCGGGGAGTAGAATGGTGGTTGCCAGTGGTTAAGTGGAGGCGGAAATGGTGGTAATGTTGGCAAATAGTACAAAGTTTCAGTTATGAAACATGAATAATATCTGGAGCTCTAATGTTCAACATGGTGATAATAGTTAATAATATTGCATTGTATACTTGTAATTTGCTAAGGAAATAGATCATAATCTTTTCACCAGAGACACACACACACACACATAACTGTACGGTGATAATGAAGATATTAATTAGGTTGATTCTGATGTTCATTCCATAATGTTCATGTATATTAAAACATCAAGTTGTATATCTTAAATATGTATGACTTTCATATGTCAAAGATTGTCTCAATAGAGCAGTTAAAATACAAAATAAATAATAAGGATATTTGTTCAGATGAAGAAAGATTACCTTTAAAAGATCTTATTGTTTCTGCCTAAGAATAAATAATAAGTAGTATTAAAAAGTAAATGGTATTAAATACTATTACATAGTATTAGATAGTCAATAGTAAATAAATAGAACATAGGATCTCTGAAACATGTTATGTAATCTATGCAATTCTATGTAATCTATGCAATTGTCTGATATAAAATGGAGATGTATCGTAAACATTATTCTCACATCCTATTCAAAGTCTCCCAATTCCCTTTGGTAACGATACAGGAGGGGGAGGGAAGGGCTGGGTAGAGAAGGGCGGGGTCCCTGGCAAGGGCTCCACCATCAAGCTTGTGCACCAGACCTAACAGAGAATAGGCACTCCTGATTTCGCGCCCAAAAATTGCTTTTTCCAAGACCACTGGGGGCCGCCACGCCCCGCATCCTGTGCACATAAAAAAACCCGAGACCCTAGCAGGCACAGACACAAGGGGCTGGACGTCGAGAGGAGCAGAGGAGCAGAAGAGCACACTGACAGACGGCAGCAGATGCCAGCAGGCCATCAAGGGTGGGATGACGTGCAATTCGGCTGGGGCCAGTCGGAGGAGAATCCGGCTGCTGGGTGACCAGACTCCAGGGGAAGACCACCTTCCTACTCCATCCTCTTTCTGGCCTCCCCAACCATCTTACTGAGAGCTACTTCCACCACTCAATAAAACCTTGCGCCCATCCTCCAAGCCCACGTGTGATCCGATTTTTCTGGTACACTAGGGTAAAAACCTGGGAAACAGAAAGCCCTCTGTCCTAGCGATAAGGCAGAGCTAACTAACACAAGCCGCCTTGTCATGGCAAAACTGAAAGAGCACACTGTAACACAACTCCCACTGTGGCTTCCGGAGCCGTAAACACTCAACTCTCCACGCTGCTGTGGGGTCGCAGCCCAAAACGCTCCCCACGACCTGCCAGTCTGCACGCTCCTTATAAGGGTTTGAGCAGCAGGACGCCAAAGAAGTGAGCCGCACCCTTGTCACAAGCCCTGTGAGGCGGTTAAGGCAACTCCTCCCATTTCAATTGGTGCACCTGGGCCTAAGGATATGCAGCAGGGAAGAGAAGCACTGGCTCTTTCATTCTTTTCTTTTCCACTGCCTCTCTCTGTTTCTGCACTGGTGGCTCCTCCAAAGTTGGGTTGAGATGATAAGGAATTCATGTAAAGAAGTAAAATTCCCTATATGACTGCTACTGTGTTAATTCAAACGTCAGTAATAGCTCGATTGCAGGTGTTCACATGTTGCTGTTTTCAGGCTTTTCTATTTACATTTTTGGAAGCCACATGAAAACTTAAAAAGCCACACTTCACAGACCCCAGATGCGAAAAGAGCGTATTCATGAGAGCTGGACTCTTGAGATTCCATCCTCTACAATTCCTGAGAAGGTCACCTCGAGGTTTGGGAAGGGTCTGTAAGGCAGCCTCTTGGAGAAGTCTGACTTACCTGTAAGGATAGGAGACTATTAACTGATTATCTGCAGAACCGTTCAGGCTTAACTGAATGAATCTTCAAATGTGTTGCATAGAAAAGTGTACTTTCTGTTCACAAAGAGCATTGATATCCAAGTGAAAATTACTACCTGCATCACATAAATGAAATGCTTTTGCCCCCTTCTTGTTTTCTATATCATGCTCCCATGCCTCCCCGTCTGAAGGAAGCTAAGCTACGGTTCTTGTGTGAGCCCAGAATAATAGAGAAAAATTTTATTTGCCGTAAGATTAAAGTTTGATACAGGAGTGAACAGAACCTTATTATATCTGAAAGTAAGTAGCAACTACCAAAATAAGACTACTCATATAAATAAAAGTAAAGGAAAGGCTCTGGGATTCCTAGAGATCATCGACGGGTAGATGTGAGAAATTTGGCAGAGCCTGACTGAACATAGTAGTGGAATAAAAATAAAGTCATTTCTTATTTTTGCCCCATTAAAGCCAACAGACTCAATGCATCAGTTACGTATGTGAGTCATTTGGGTTTCTTGTCAAAATTGCCTCTTTATAGGCTCCTTATATTTTTCTTCTAGGTTTCCTGTATTTTTTGACTCCTCTGTCAGCCAAGTATTATAAGACTCATCCAGGAAGTAAGAGCTTCACTATTCACTTCCCATACTTAAATATATTAACTCAGTTTCTATTTCTTCCATTATATTACTGCTGATTTTCTAGAACGGATTCTTCAGTATACATCTTATTGAGACTTTCTGATGCATTTGATGCTCATTTTTCAAACTCTTTCTTCTTCTATCTTATAAACACTATCTTGTCTGGTTTTCCCCCAGTCCTTTGTATTCATTTTATGGGATTTTATCCCCATATTTGACCTTGAAACATTTTATATTACAAAGAGTTGTAAACTAGTTAATTGTGCTTTACTTTTTAGCAGATTTTATTGTGTATATTTAGGGTATTCAACATGTTAAAGGATCCACATAGATAGTAAAGAGGTTAGTGAAGCAAACTAACATATCCATCGTCTCACCATTGTGCCACTTTTTCTGTACTTTCTCTTCCATTGTTTTAATTTACACACCTGATTGAAAATTCCATCATTATGCTAATGACTCCCTAATGACTCCTGCCTGGTGTTTCTCTTTCTCCCTGACCGCATCCTACATTTCTACCTCCTTTATGTCCTCATACATGTTGTGTGTCATGTCTGTCTCTCAGTTACGTTAAGCTCCTAAGGTTCAAAATAAAATTGAATTATCTAGTATCATAAATCTCTTAGCTTTCATATACGTACAACTTACAATAATGGCAAAAACGTATCCCAAGTACACAGACCTGAAGTCTATTTTATAAGTTTTCACCTCCCCACACTTTCAATTAATTATCAATCCCTCTGGGAAGCTCTTCCTAAATTGTCCTTTCCTTTCTTTGCTCTCATATCATGTTGCATATGCATTTATTTTAATGACTATATTGGAGTTTGCCTGTTTATATGTTTGTTTCTTTCATTACAATGTATGCTTATCTAGGATAAGAAACCTTGGGCACTTCTATAGGATACTACCTAACATAGAGTCTGCAACCAAATGGTAAATGTCCCATACATATTTTCTGCTCTTAACTGACTTTCAGTACCCTCTTCTCAGTTTTCTTTCCTTTCTCACAAAAGGATTTCAGTGGGTCTAAATGTTTATGTAAAATACTTTGTAAATAAGAATGGGATGTGCAAATATTAGCTGTCACTAAGCATCTCAATTCCTCTGTGGAATGCAGCACAATATAAATAAACAAACAACAAACAAATCAATCACTAAATAATTTATGAATGCATTTTAATTGTTCTTTAGCCATATATGATGCCAATTTTTATAAAATTATTGAGTCAATTAGGAAAATATTATTTTGCTTAGAATATACAATAAAAGTACAAAAACACTTAAGTGAATTTCCATAAAAATAAATTTCACAGGTTCTTTCTCTGTCCATTCCTGCTACATAATATACTATTTTCTTTCTTTGGCATCAACAGAAGACTTCTAGCTTGCAAACAAGCTTATTTGCCCTTGCTGTGCACTGAGTTTCTGTAACCAGTTTTTCACCTCTATTTTCTACAAAATGTATGAATTTGTTGTTTACACCTACTGCTGTCCTCAGGATGTATTAACTTTCTTTCCAGTTATAATCAGGCTTCTACATCCTCTTGATCTTTATTCTCCTTAATCACTTTGCAGCATGTAGGATTGTTGATCACTTCCTTGTGGACATATTTCTTTCTCAGTTAAATATCGTTCTCCTCCAACTGCTTGCTCTGCCTCACTTTCTCTTCATAATAGAGAAAACAATACATTTCCATTTCGTAGCCAGTCAACAAACACATATTCAATATCTCCTGTGAGTCAGCATTTTGCAAATGATAACATGAAGACTGTTCCCAAGGCATTTTGCAGGGAAGACAAATCTGTAAGAAATACAAAAATTGAGTTTTTTATGGCAGTGAGATCACAGGGAAGAAACTGAGAGACATCGGTATTCTGAGTGAATGAGGGTTAATATGACTATTTAATCAAAATAACATTAAAGGAAGAATTACATATCATACACCAATAAGTTTCTCTTTAAAATATTTATTTCTGTATAAGACAATGAGAAATAAATTCAGCTATGAATCACTGATAGAAAATCAGAAAATATAAATCAATAATAAACAGGTTTACATTCACAAATAATATTGCTTTAGAAATGTCTATGCTAATTTCTCACTGTCTGTAATTAATGTTTCCTTTAATAATCAACTCACTTTGGCAACGAACTATGTGGTATTTATATATTTTTTAAAATCTGATACACAGTACACCTAATTTAAGTGCAGTAGTCTGTTGTAGCCCAAAGCTTTTATCATTGCTTTTGTGATATTTCAGACTGATAGGATGTCTCCTGTCACTCAGAATGATCTTGCACAGTCTTGTTTTGAGTAGTTATGCATATGAAAAATAATCCTTTGTGACAATTTTTCTCCAATTTAAAGCAGCAATTTCTTTTCTATCTGCCTGTTTCATTGATAACTGTCATTGGTGAAAGGGAATTGTCTGTAACCCAATATAGATGAAAATGAATAGTGTTGCAGATTAACTATAAATATAACCCAGCTAGAGAAATTATATCAATTTGAGAAATATTGTTTCTAGAAGAAACACTAATACCAAAGAGGTGAAACACACAGTTTATGATACAATGTAGTATTTTGTCCCTTTAAGAAAATCAAAGCTAACTTAATTTATTCCTCTTTCCATCTTTTTCTCTTCTCTTCTTTTCATTTTTGCATTGTATTGACTAATCTTCATTTCAGTTTATGTGTGTATAAAACCGGGACACCAATCATACTTACCTCACATGATTGCTGAGAGGATTAAATATAGGATGTTCACAATAGTGATTGGCACACAGTAACTGCTGTTTTTGTGCTGTAATGTTATTTCATTATAACCTCATCAATTTCTTATGGGCCATTTGAATACTTTGTACCTTTCAAAACTTCTGATACTTACACTTTGAGTCTGGGACTCTGATTCTGTCTTTTACACTGTGTATGATAGATAGAAATGCTCCCAAAGCTGTCTATGCCCTACTGGCTGAAAGCTGTATATGCTACCTCACATGACAAACATGATGCAGATATGATTAAGGTTAAGGACTTTAAAATCTGGAGAGTATCATGGAGTGTAAGGGTGAATTCTATCTACTCACATGAGGTCTTAGAATACTCTCTGTCAGGAATCAAGTGTGATGCAGCAGAAGGAAAAAGAGAGATATTTTTACTAAGACAACTCAATGGCTGACATCACCACTGGCATTGAACGCCAGAGGCAATAAGCTGAGAGAAAGACAGGCAGAGAGCAAGAGCAAGAACCAGAGAGTGAGGAACAGCGATAGCATAGAAAGAGGAGGAAAGGAGGAAGAGATACATAAAAACCATTCATAACTAGTTAGAAAATAAAAAATCTAGAGGAACACCATTTAAAAGAGCTACAAAAATCTAAAATATTTAAGAATAAAACTACCAAAAATTACAGAAAACATGATTAAAAGAATTGAAAATACATGATTGAAAGACAGTAGATTTCCCTCTGAGGAAAACAAACCAAAAAACAATCCAATAGCAGTAAGTTAGATGGCTTTCAAAGACAAGGCCACTCTGAAAAAAAAAGAATACATCAATGGAGGAAATTTTTTACTACATATCAAGACTATATGATAAAACATACTAATTAGAATCAATCGGTTGCATAGGATTCTAAAAATAGACTAATGTGATGACATAAAGAATCAGAAAGATAACTATATACATATATTAGACTTCAATTTGATAGCAGAAGCATTAATCAGGAAAATACTATTTAATATTTTTTTTCAAAAAAATAAATTGAACAAATATGAAAAGAACAAAATGATAGAGGCAAGAGACAGCCAAAAGCCTAGGAAGGTAGGGAAGTGTTCCTGGAGGATTTCCAACTTGCCCCACAGGTGTTTACACAAGATATTTTGTGCACGTAAGGGAACCTGCACAGCAGGCTTGCCTGGGCATGCCCACAGTGGACTGGAGGCCCACATGCTCTAGGAGAATGGGCTGGAGCCACCAGGAATTTGGTCCTTATGCAGGGGAGGATCCTGGCCTCTTAAACTTGTAGGTGGTAGCCCTGGTATTCAATTTGTGAGGTGGAAACCTGCATGCAGTACCCCTCTCTTTGTTGAGAGCTTTCCTTTCACTTAATAAATTCTGTCCTCCTCACCCTTCAATGTGTCCACGTGCCTAATTTTTCCTGATCATGAGACAATAACCTGGATTTAGGTGATCTCAGAAGCAAAAATCTTGTATTGAAATTAGATATCAAATTGCTCAATATGGTGCAAACATGAAAATTAAATAATTTGGTATTTAGAGAAAAACCTAAGGAAATATCTTTTTACCTTGACAAATGGAAGTATGTGTTAAAAAAAAGCAGAAAGCAAGTATCTTAAAGAACTGATCAATTTTAACATACTCAAAATATAATTGTCATAAAACAAAAGCCCTACTAAATGTTCAAAGAAGAAAAAGACAAATGGATCAGTATCAAAATGGCTATAAAATTATGGACAAACTATAATGAATATTAATTTATATAAAAAAAGAGATAACCGATGATCAAAGAAAGAATTCCTCATGATCAAAGAATGGACTAGTTTAGAGAAAAAAAAAGAAATCCCTAATGCACATGTATCAACCTGGATGTTTTTGCAAAATATTATAAGAAATGGTAATAGCAAGTTGGTAAGAGACAGGATAATAGGACATAACTCATGTGCATTAAACACTTATTCATCAAACTTACCAAGTTTATTATGCAAGATAAATAAGTTCTGGATGTCCGTTATACAGTGTAATAGTGCCTATAGCTAAAAGTACCGTATTGCACACTTGACATTTTTTAATAGAGTAGATCTTAGGTTTTGTTCTTATAATAAAGACAGAAAGAAAGAAAGAAAGAAGCGGTAGGAAACTTTAAGAGGTGATGGATATATCTATACCCATGGTGTGTTGTCATGGTTTCACGGGTGTGTATACTTATTCTCAAACTTATCAAGTTGTATACTTTAAATGACTATAACTTTTTACATGTCAGTTAAACTTTGATAAAATGCTTATGGATATGCATATATTCAATATGTAAAAATATACACTGGAACAACACACATTTTTTTTTCTGAAATGTCTTTTGGGAAATAGAACCAGAAAAAGTATTTATACATATCAATTTTGGGTGATGTATACAACTTGTGGCTATTTTAACAGCCTCTTTACTTTTTATATTTTAATAAAAGTAAAATAGGTGGAGGATAATCTATCAGTCTTTTGTTCCTTTTTACAAGACTATAGTCCCATTAAAAAACACCACAACCCACTTCAATTTTCACTATGAATTGTGGAAAAGTCTGTAGTTTTAAAGTTTGACTTGATTTCTGTGAAAATATTTGTATTCTGAATTGGCTTAAAATTAATTTTTCCTGTTAACCACTGAAAATGTAACATAAACTGAAATTCGCATTTAAAATATTTAATTATTATTCAGTTGAATTCTGCTTTACGTTTGTAAAGCTACAAGAGGCAATAGAAGTTTTATTTTATTCTCAAATAAAAATCTGAAAATTATTCTAATTTTGAGAACTTTTAAGTAATTGACTGATTAATTCATGTGTTCATGATGGCAGTACGCATCTATTGATCTAAGCAGAGTGCTGAGCTTTGGACATCAAACACTGTTTAAGAAATTACTATCATGATTTCTAGACTGTTTAATGTGTTTGGAATATTTTCTATCCATCTTATGTAGACATAAGAAATTATTTTTCTAACTAATGTTGAATATCTGCTTGGGAAAGACCAGGAAAATTTTTACTCTGCAAAGTGACAGGGATTGAAAAGAGATATGTAAGTAACTGTACGACAACTGAAGAGATTGGCAGGTTTATTGAATAAATACATATCTGTTGATTTTAAAATCATTATTATTTTGTCATTGTTAAGTACACCATAAAATGCCATCAAAATGACCTCTTTACTGAGGTTTAATGAAATAATATATGTAAATGATCACATCTGTTCATTATAAAAATTAATACATTTATATTTTTAGAGTAATAAAATTTTTAAATGCTAAAATTCCCAACTCTTTTATTCTTTTATTCATAATAACCAGAATCCTGACTCCTCTAGCAGACAAAATTGTAAAAATGTAATGCGTGTGTGTAATTATAAAATATAAGAGTCATGTTTAAAACAATTGTAATCATTTTCTCTTGACAATAAAAAGTCATAATCACTCATTTTGACAACAAAATGATAGCTTCTTTTCATAGGTGATTCAGATGGTCTAAGAACTTAAGGAATTGCAGTTAAATTACTTATACTTAAATATCATTTATAGAGCATAGATCTGTTCAGATATTTTTATCAATTTTGCAAATGGAATTCAAATGCGTATTTTTAAAAATTTAGGTATGTCAGTTTTAAAACTGACTTGAACAGAAGTGCTATTTACAAATCAAACATCTTTTTAAAGTTGATGTAAAATAAACTCCTCCTAAAAATGGCCTTATATTTTTGCTATGTATTACTATAAAGTATATGATTTTTAACTTGCTATAATTTTTTCTGCTTAATCATATTTTGTGATAAATATAAAAACATTACAGACCTCATTAAATTATCTAGTACTATTTTTTGACTACATATTTTAATATCCATGTAAACTTCAGTGGCAAGCGAGCATTTTTATATAGCTTGAAATTTTTTTGGCTAAGAAAGAAACATCTTTTGTGGGCAATGGACACCCAGGGTTACCACAGAATTAATGTCATGTATTTTAATATGTGTATTTGAAAAATTTTGCCTATGTTCTAGAAAATCTTAAAGATTTGTATTTTGCTATTCTTCAAATATTTAGAGGTGGCTGATATTAATATTTTTTCCCAAGTAAATTTATATTTTTGTCACCAAATTAAGTACATTCTCTTTCAATGAATACTGACAGCATGAATGATATGAGGTGGTAGTCTAAAATATTTAGAAATAAAAGTGTTCTTTGCATTGAACCAATGAAAAGATATTCCATTATTTGCTCATTTTTAGAATTATCATCTTTTTATTTGTTCAATGTTCTCTTATTTTTATGAAACATTTTATTATGATGTCTGTATTAAAATTATTTTTCTGCAAAAAGTTTATATTATGATTAGTCTCTGAAAACAGCAAATATCCATAAGCAAAATTTGTTTCTATTGGAAATAATAAATCACATTTAAAAAAAGAGATGGTCAGAGATAGGATATTCACAATATGACATGTATATTTAGTCATAATCTAAACAACAAATTATTCCCCTGCATTTCAAACCTATTTGCCTTTTAAATAGATGAAATGGGTATCTACTACTGCTATCATCTCAGTATTTAGACAATTTTTATGACAATTAACCGGTGACTGTCACCACACAGGATGCATTTCTATGGAAGGTGTAACATATTTCATGTTGTATGATAGTATAGTACTCAATGATGTATTTTTATGTTGTTTTATAATTTGATAAGAAGAGTTCACCTACTTATCTTAATACTTTTGGATTTTTTTTCATGATATACATGGCATATGATAGTGTGGCCTGATAATTTACTTTGTTTACTTTTTGAGTTTTAGTTTATTAGTCATTTATATTTTCTCATTTATATAATCTATAATCCATCATATACAATTTTAATATAATTATTTCCCAGCTCTCAGATTAAAATCTATTCATGTGAAAAAGCATTTTCTAATTAATAGAGCTAGATGTTTCAATATTCATATTCCACCAAATGGCATACTGCTTCTCATGAAAAGTCACGTGTGTGTGTGAGTGTGTGTGTGTGTGTGTGTGTGTGTCTTCCTCATGGTTGGCTTGGTAAATTTACAACCTTCTCAATTGTGAGACACATGGCCTCCTCATAAATGATTCACAGGATGCCCAGAGGTATAGTTAAAGAGGACAAACTGATGTCATGAATACATTTGTATAAAGCTCTATTAATAATACATTAGTTCTCTCTTGTAGAGCTCAGGATATAGTGCCTAAGTCCAGTAATGGTGAGCATAAAACTAGGCAATTATTTATTAAGAAAATGTGTCTGCCAGCACTTCCTTTCACTCTTTGTAATGATTGCCTCAGAAGAATAATGATGAAAGTACAAGAAGGCATTTAAAATAAATGTTTTACTATACTATTGTTAAAAACCAGATCATCTTTATTAATTTCTATTTTAGTAAATTGTCCTTATTTCTTAATCTTTGCTGGTGGAATACTACTAGAAATTACACATTGTGATAAAAATATGCCAGCAAAGGTGTAGCAAGGAAGAAAATGTTACATTTAACCTTCCATTTAGCAGATGTCTTATACCTTGATGACTTTATAACATGTTTGAGAATCATTTTTATATGTACCTTTTATATGGATATATATAATAGCTGTAGTAATACTTGTAACGTGTTATACACATTTTCCTCAAAGTTGAAATATTTTACCAATCTATCATGAAAATAAAAATGTCCCTAAGAAAAGCAAATCCTCTGATTAAAACAAGTGTCTTAAACACATCAATTTATATCCACAATGTCTGCAAATCACTAAAATGACCATAATGAGATTTTTAAAAGTATTGCCCACAAGGACAAAAACAAAGATGAGGAAAAAATGGCAATATACAATGAGATCTGGAAGGAAGATAAATAAGAATTGGCTTATTTGAACCAAAAGTTTTGAATTCAAGACAAAATGAAAATCAATTTATATCATAAAATTCCAAAACACTAAGGAAGATATGGCTGTGGAGATTTTATGAAGAATTAAAATGAAAAGATTATGTGGCAGCATTTTTAAAGAGGCCAATGGGTCTGTTTTACAGATATGAATTTTCTCTAAATCCCTGAAAGAAGTGTGGAGGTTATACCCTGCAAAGGATAAAAGGGAAGTTCTCCTGATGTCAGGTAAAATAGGGCACTCAGGTGTCACACAAAAGAACAGACATTGAGTATGTAATTTTGAAATGTAAAAGCCACAACCTACTTTCTTCATATGCTAGACAAAACATTTGTAACTAGGAGGTTTAAAATTAATGTAGGATACTGGAAGTTTTCCCTTTAAATGTATTGAACCCAAGAGAAAATGCATAAAGGTAATCTTATGGAGTGTTTGTGTGTTGGGGGAATAGAAAATGGTCTTTTTGGAGCAGTTTCTTAATTTTCTATCACTGAATACAAGTAACAGCTAAGGGTCACCAAGTATTTATGAAAATATCTAAAATCAAAAGCAGAAGTAAAAAAAACAAAAATAAGTACAAATTAAAGAAAAGAGAGATAAGGCTAGAATAATAAAACATTAAAAATTACTGTTAATATTCTTAGCCTCTTAAGTACATGTGATAAAAGAATACTGTATTAAAAACTTACTTGCCCAAAAATGAAAGTTAAAAATATGATAATAGAAATTTTAAATTCTGTAGAAATATTGGAAAATAAAGACACTTTAAAAAGTCTGCACAACTCAGTAACATGAAATTACAAATATTTCATTTTCTAATAACACTTTTTGTGCCTACATACATTATTGATAAATACCATTACAGCTATGTTTTATATTATTTTTATTCACAATGAGATTAATTATAAACATAAAATGTACAAGCCACATAAAAGTTCACATTTTATTCTGGAAGTAATCTTTGACCAGTGTGATTCTGTCTTGCTAACTTACCTTGAATTATATTGTTACCAACCAATATTCAATAGGTAATATTCCAGTTTGGGACACAGCCAAACAGTTTAAAAATATGTGAATTTTATTACTCCATTCTCACACTGCTATGAAGAACTACTTAAGACTGGGTAATTTACAAAGAAAAAAGGTTTAATTGGCTTGGTTCTGTGGGCTGTATAGGAAGCATGACTAGGAGGCCTCAGGAAACTTATAATCTTGGCAGAAGGTGAAAGTGACACAAGCACCTTATTCACATGGTGGCAGGAGAGAGACAGAACGCAAAGTGGGGAGTGCCATACACTTTTAAACTATTAGATCTTGTGAGAACTCACTCACTATCATGAGAACAGCAAGGAGAAAATTTGCCCCCATTGATCCAATCACCTCCCACTAGGCCCCTCCTCCAATTTGACATGAGATTTGGGAAGGGACACAAATCCAAACCATATCATGAAGATATAATGGAAGTACAGATTTAGGTGAGTATTATAAAGGAAATATACATGCGTTATGTTTCTTCTTCATGTAGTTTTCAAGGAAGGCCTCTTGGAGGGGGTGACATTTAGCTGCAGATATAGAAGATGAGAAGAAATTGTTTTGCAAGATGGCGGTGGAATTTTTTTCATGGTTGAGGTATAAATGATGCAAAATCTCCGAGGTGGGAAAAAGCTCAATGTGAAATAGGACTTCAGAAGCCAGTGTGATTAGATTGCTATGAGAACGTATCATGAGATAAGAAAGAAAAGCTCAATAGGGATCAGACCACACAGATTCTTATAAGCCATGGCATGCAGTTTAGGTTTCCTTTTAAGTGAAAAAAAAATCCCCTGGAGACTTTGTAAGGAAATATTATTATTTAATTTGTTTTAAAAATGGTCCTTGTTTTAATCAGTTAGAGCTTCTATGACAAAATACCATAGACTGAATGACATACACAACAGGCATTTATGTCTCTGGTTCTGGAGGTTGGGAAATCCAGGATCATGATGCCAGCAGATTGAATTCCTATTGATGCCTCTCTTCCCAGCTAGCAGATGGGTGCTTTCTTGCTGTGTTCTCATAGGTGGATAGAGAGAGCAAGTTGTTTGATCTGTTTTTAAGAAGGGTACTAATTCTCACTCTCAATAACTCATTTAAACCTTATTGTTGCCCAAAGACCTCACCTCTAACCACCATCTGTTTGGGAGTTAAAACTTCAACATACTGATTTTCGGGGAACACAGTTTAGTTCATAATAGTCACTCTGTATGCTTAGTAGAGAAGTGATTGTGAAAACAACAGAAAGTAAGCAGGAAAAAGTTACATTTTCTTCATATGAAAATTAATAGTTGCTTGGATATTTGCTGATTGAATAGGAGAAGAGAAAGTGATTGATTAAAAATGTAATCTGCGAGTACAACAGAGAGATTTCTAACTGACTGTGGGTGGCTGTTGGACAAGGTAATTCTTTGATCTCTTTGGAATTCATTTGGTTGTGATTTATAATGATTATTGTAATGAAAGGTTTTGTTAAAAAGTTGCTAATTTCATAATCCAGTTGATTATAAAAATCTATATTATCATGCAATTCTTAAAATAATATTATAGATTTATATATATTTAAATTAAATTTTTCCTTCAAGACTTTAATCTGGCCCCAACGACACACTCAGGGATAATAGAGAGCTATTACCTTGTGCATCTGTTTCACTTTTTAAAATATTGCATCTGAACGCGTCTATACTGGTTAGTAAATACCCACTGCCCCAATCCCTAGAGTGTTCACTCTTTCTCAGTCAGAACTTTTGGACTTTCTTGTGATCCAATAATTAGAGAATTAAGCCCTGGCATAATAAGGGGTATTCAAAAGCCTGTTCTAGTTTTATGGTTTAGTACTTGTGTTCACTCAGAATGGAAGATACCCAGTCACATATTTTGCATACCACACAAACCAATTTTATTTAATTTTTCTCCAGCTAAACTTTTCTGGCTAGACCCATTACATCTTTTGAAACCATTTTCTTAATTTATGAAAAATACTTTAATAGAATTTTGTATTGTGATTACAATAAATATGTAGATAAATTTATGAGACAAAATCTTTACAAAACTGTAAATTTTGTGTCAACAACACAGTTCCCTCATATATTCAAATTCCTTCTTAAGTCTCAAAATAAACTTCTGTAATTTTATTCATGTTAAATTCGGCACATTCCTCAATTTTCTAGTGGTTTTTATTTGCTTGTGCTTTATACTTATGAAATTAAATTATTTTATTGGTAAATAATTATCAGTTTACTTCCTTTTTTTCTATACTTATATCTCTTGTGTGTATATTACATACATCGGTGTTTTTGCCAAGAATTTTATGGTATGCTTCTGAGCAGATGAGTGATTGCACTTCTGTACTTCCTTCAAATCAAGTATGACTAGTTGACTGGCTTTGAACAGTATCTGTATATGCCATTTCCAGGTAGGATGTCTAATAGCCAGATAATAGTTGGTCATGTTTCCTACTCGCTGACTCAGTCATCCGTAAATAACATGGAGAGGTGATTGCTACATTAGCCTGGGTACCTGAGTGATTATAATGTCATACGTTCAAAGAAATCATTGGGCTTGTGATATAAGACATTCACATTTTTAAAAAACACTAACTTTTTTTTCCTAAATCATTAAGATATGACATTATTTATTCTTTATTGTGTTTTCTTAACTTTTGACAATAACAAGGATTCCAGAGTAGATTCAAATATTTCACTGGGGGTGCCTTAATTAAGGAACACAACATAATCTTAGATCTTGCATGCATTCATTATGCTACAAGTCTAGAATAATTTCTACAAAATATGCTAACTGTGGTTAATATTAATCTGTACTTTCAGTTCAGAGAGAATTGTCATTTTTGTAATGTTTTCTATAAGGAAATATATATAAATTATTCTACTAGAAAAAAATGACAACCAATTTTTGTCTATAATATGTGCATGTGTATGCATACATATTTATTTCTTTTTAAAAAATAGTGTTTCTAAGAAGACATACAGGTGGCCACTAAATATAAGAAAAAAATGCTCAGCATCACCAATCATCAGAGAAATGCAAATCAAAACTACAGTGAGATACCATCTCACACCAGTCAGATGGCTATTTATTAAAAAGTCAAAAAACAACATGCTGGTGAGGCTGTGGAGAAAAGGGAATGCTTATACACCGTAGGTGGGAATGCAAATTAGTCCAGCCACTGCGGAAAGCAGTCTAGAGATTTCTTAAAGAACTTAAAACAGAGCTACTGTTTGGCCTAGCAATCTCATTATTGGGTATATACTCAAAATAAATCATTCCACAAAAAAGATACATGCACTTTCATGCTCATCGCTGCACAATTCACAAAAGCAAAGACATGGAATTAACCCAGGTGCCCACCAATGGTAGACTGGATAAAGAAAACGTGGTACATGTTCACCATTGAATATTACACAGCCACAGAAAAAGAATACAATCATGTAAAAAGAATACAATAAGGTTCTTTGCAGCAATGTGAATGCAGTTGAAGGTCATATCCTAAGTGAATTAACACAGAAACAGAAAACAAAATACTGCATGTTCTCATTTGCAAGTGGTAGCTAAACATTGAGCACATATGCACGTAAAGATGGGAACAATAGATACTGTGGAATACTAGAGAATGAAGGGAGGAGGTGTGAATTTAAAAACTACCTATTGGATACTATGCTCTCTACCAAAGTGACAGGATCCATATTCCAAACCTCAGCATTTTGAAATACTCTCCTGTAAAAAATCTGCACATGTGCCCCCTGTATCTAAAATAAAGGTTGAAATTAAAAATAATAGTATTTAAATTTGAAAAAACTAACTCAAACTATATATATAGTTTGAATATATATAAAAATACATGTACATTTCTACTATATAATGAGTTTATTGAGAGGAGAAAATAATTTTTTAAAATTTACCTTTATATTATCACATACGTGGTTCAGGAAAAAAAAAATTTTGACTGACGTTCTAACTGTAAATGCTGCTATGCATCTTATAGTTTCTGTACTTCTGATGTAGTCAAATACTTTGTACTTATAATATAAAAGGATATAAAACTTGCCTTTGTTTAGAAAAGAAAAAATTAATTTCATTTTCAGAGATAATAAAATACTGACATAAGAGAGCTTTAAATGACTATATATATGTATAGTAATCTGCTTATATTTGAAAAAGTAGTTATTATTTTATGAGGCATCATTAACTTTAATGGTAGTTTTTCTGCACATATCAAGTCTCTGCCCATTTATTGTACTGAAAATTCTTATTATAAAATTAGTATAAATAATTTCACACACAGTGCTCCAGTTATCTTTTTGTAAGAGCATATTTTAGTTAAATTTGAATGCCTAGGCAAGGAGACAATAATTAGGATGCCAAACATAAAATCAGTCATCTTTATCCAGAACTGTTCTTTTTGCTGATTTTAAGATTTAAGTCATGAACACATTATTACATATATCCTGGCATACAAATCTGAAGACAAGTGATTTATCCTGTCAAGTGTTTTTAACTACTCTTACTGGAATTCTTTCTCAAAACACGTATAAAACATGGTGGTGTGCATGTTGGCCAACTACTGTAACTCCAGACCTACTTGACTTTGCCTCTAGATATTCAAGACCAAAATGTTCTTTACAAAATTGTCAGTTTGAGGTAGAAAATATATATTCTTTCCTTCCTAGGAGGTAAGTGAAATGGGCTTAGTAAATAAGTTTTAAAAATGTAATGTGCCAAATACAAGAATAAAGTAAAATGAGATGAGTATATGGTAATGATGGATGAAACATGGTGATAAAGATTTGTATGGCAAAATAGCTAAATAAAATACCCAAATCACAGGCACTGTAAAAAGTGAAGTAGTTAAATTGTAAGAAGGATAAAGGTAATTCTCATTCATTTTTATACATCTATCATATCCAGAAAACATTCTTGTCACTTGTTGGGAAGGTATAAGACAAAGATTTTAAGAATGAAAATATACAATATGGATTATTATGGTCTCATTAAAATATATAAATTAGGGGCCGGGTGTGGTGGCTGGTACCTGTAATCCCAGCACTTTGGGAGGTCAAGACAGGTGGATCACCTGAAGCCAGGAGTTCAAGGCCAGAGAGGAGCCTGCCAACATGATGAAACCCCGTCTCTACTAAAAATACAAAAATTAGCTGGGCATGGCGGTGCATGCCTTTAATCCCACCTACTCGGGAGACTGAGGCAGAAGGACTGCTTGAACCCAGGAGGCGGAGGTTGTAGTGAGCCAAAATTGTGGCAGTGCACTCCAGCCTGGGCAATAGAGTGAGACTCCTCACAAAAAGAAAAAAATATATATATGTGTGTGTGTGTGTGTGTGTGTGTGTGTGTGTGTGTACGTGTAAGGACTGTCTTGACATTTTCAGCTTAAAGGGCATTGGGAAAGGTATAATTTATCACTGTATTCATTCTGTCTTCTCTTTAATACTTAAAAGTCCCAAATTATTCTTTTACGTGTTTCAGGGTTCTCATTTGAAGAAGCTCATGGATTGGATGCTGTTAAGACATCAGCTGTTAATGCCTCAGCTCTCCACAATTCCCAGACATTGTGTTCCATATTATTAATTCTACATTTCTAGAAAGGTAAATGTGAATGTCCAAGATGAACCAGTCAATTGTAAATGGAAGGCTGGGTCCAAACGCAGGGATCTGACAAGAAGCCATCGCTGTGTAAAAAGAAGCAGACATTTCCACCAAAGAAATAGTGGGCTCTCAAACATATTTGTGTCTTATTCTGGCTACCTCTGCAATTTCACCTTGAATCATTGTCACCATATCCCACTACGCTACAGGTATTTTGTCTCCCAGCCTCTTGACTATACCAAACAATGGTTTCAAATGTCGGCTCCTTTCACTTACTTCTTCTAACTGGCATGAGCCTCCCTTTACTTCTTGCAGCATTTACCTTAGGAGTCTCCTCTGCTTGCGTGCCAAGTTTAAATTACCATGTTGAAACTAGCATTCTCTCCATGTTTATTCTGTCAAATAATCCTTTAACCATCTCTGCAAATAATTTATTGCAATCTATGATATCCTTTATTCTTTTTTGATACTTTTTAAAAATTTGCCGTTAGAATTTAACTTCCAGGGAGAGAAAATCCTTTTTGTCTTCATACCTGTTATATCGCTAGTGAATAGCACAATAATCAATACATTTGTAAACAAATAAATTTAAATATTTCAATAGTAAAAGCAGATTTGAATTTATGATTCCTTATTTTTTCTCTTTCCATTTCACAATTTTAGAATATAAAGAATTATCAGTTATGTTAAGCTATTAAGTGTAATTGGTAAATATATATGTTATTAATGTAAAACATGAGAAAAATCATATACTATTAGCATTATTTGGAGTTAATGTTGCTATCTGGAAATCTTCATGCTCCTAATAACACTAATTTTTAAATTTTTATACAACACCTAAGAAATATAGTAAGATGCTAAGTGTGTATGGAGTGAAATCAAACTGTAGTTTAAATCCTAACTTGACACTTTCTATTTATGTTGTTTGATATCTCAGTGCCTCAGTTTCTGTGATATGAGGAGATAAAAATGGAACCTATGAAATCGATTTTATGACATTAAGTAAAAAAATACAACACAGCGTCAAAAATATGTTGTCTATAATTATGTTTTCTTCTGAAGATTAGAATCTTCACTAATCATTTGTTTACCTCTCTTAAAATGAAACACACAGAAAACTACCCAGCTTCTTCTTAGTAAATTGGTTGGAAATGTTATAATCCAATGAGAGAATGTACTATATTTTATTGTAACAGATTCCAAAGCAACTGTGAAAATATTTGCACGGAAATTTGCACCATACTCAATATAAATAAATTGTAATTACAGTGGTGATTTATTTTGTAAATCATGGATTTTTTTCCGTAATACAATTTTAAATTTTAATTCTCTTTTTCAACTGCTTTACAATAAACAATAAACTTTTCTTCAGCTTGAACACACACAAAAAATACTGCTTTTTAACAGTATGTGGTTATCTTTCTTATTTATGCCCACAGCGAAAAAGTTGAATTTGCTGTTTAAACTATATGACAAATCTTCAACTGTTACTGGCAATAATTGTCATTCTACAGCAGAAGTCTCACTTTTATTTTTGCTAAAGGCAGAATATGTCTCTTTTATGTCTAAAACAGAGAGGATGGAAATAATTTATCTATATAACCATTTGAATCCTAGGGAAAATATTAAAAAACTATGTTTAGGAATTCAGTGTCTCATTTTCTTAAATGTAAGTTTTTTCTTAAATTTAAGTTTATTATAATAGTAGGATGTATGATTCAAATGATTTGCTAACTTAAGAAAAATCATTTATGGTTTTACATAATTGGTGTTAAATTCTGTTTTTGAAAAACGAATTCAGCAGATTTCACATTTTAAATAGATTATAAGGATCAACAGAGATGTTAAATATACATAGATGAGAGAAGGGAACGTAAGATTAAAGCTTAAGTTATTTTCTCGAGGTCCCAGAGGTGGTCCCTAACAGAACTACTACTTATTGAACCCAAGACTGTTGATTACCAATATTATAATTTCATTACACTGGGTATAAGATTTATTACACCAAGTAAAATATGTTTTTAAATTTGCAATTGTATATTTTGAGACTCTGTTTCAGCTGTGCTATTACACGTGCCATTTTTCTACAGATGCTTGAGACCATTATAGAGATAGCATTAAGATACTCAACATAATAACTTGTATTTTGTTTTAAGTGTGAAAGTACTTAAAACACCTTGTTGAAATAAAACCAGATCATTACAAGATCATACATTTGAAGAATCGACTGACCCTTGTCTACCTCCTAGACTTTTTTCTTTTTATTACCAAGTGGTAACAAATCACACATTTTATCCTTCACCAGATCGAAAACAGAACTCAGGTTGTGTTAGTCCATTCTAACGCTGCTATATAAAACTACTTAAGACTGGCTTATGTATTAAGAAAAGAGGTTTAATTGACTCACAGTTCTGCAGGCTGTACAGGAAGCATGGCTGGGAGTCCTCAATAATTTTACAACCATGGTGGAAGGCAAAGGGGAAGTAAACAGGTCTTCACATGTTGGAGAAGGAGAGAGAGAGAAGGGGGAAGTGCAACACAGTTTTAAACCATCAGATCGCCTAAGAACTCACTCAGTATCACAAGAAAAGCAAGAGAAAAGTCCACACCCATGATCTAATCACCTCCCACTAGATCCCTCCTCCAACCTTGGGAATTACAATTCAACCTGAGATTTGGGTGGGGACACAGAGCCAAACTATATCATACACCTTTGCACATCAATCCTCCTCTCATGACTACCCATTTTTATTTTTCTTACTTTGATAATTCATTTCTAATTCTATATCCTCTATGAAGGCTTTCTTACTTCCCTAATTAAGTTGAAGCCCCTGTCTTCTAGCTCTCCATCACAGTTGTCACTAGTCCACTAAACAGGTCCCCAGACTCTGGATGGGGCAGGACCTATGTCTATCGCGTTCATTCATTTACTGTTAATAACTCCTTAGTGCAGTTGTTGGCATGTGGTAAGCATTTAATCAACATAATACACTGAATACATCCAGCATATATTTTCACTATAATAATATATCATAGCTGTAGATAGGTAGAGATTTCAACTTTGAACAGACCTGTGTCAGATATTCACATTAGTTGGGACCACTCAGTAAGGTTGTTTCATCTTCATGAGCTTCAGTTTTATACTTTTTTAAGAAATAAAGGATATAATGGTTAATAACAATTATCTGGCAATTTGTATGGAAGACTAAATAAACTAATATAAAAAGCATGCTTACATGAAGTCTGGTAGATAGTAAGTACTCAGTAAGTACTTAATAAATGGTATTTGTTATTGTGCTTGTGATATAACATTATTATGTGTTTTTAAAGTTATTTTTATTGGAGGATAAATTCCTGGATACCCAGAATCTAACCACCTAATATATAATAAGTATTCAATAAGTATTTATTGCATTAATATTTATTGATTAAGTTTGTTCAAATATTAACAAGCAAACTATAAAATATATGGAAATAAATTATAAAATGATAAAAGATGAAATTTATTAATTATAGAATTGTACTTATTTGCTCCATAGTTGTCTATTTTGTTAATGCTAGAAATTTGAATATACATTTAGTGAGGTAATGTATGTAATATAGTTTGTCTCTGTGTCCTCACTCAAATCTCATCTCAAACTGTAATCCCCATGTGTCAAGGGAGGGACCAGGTGGAGGTAATTGAATCATGGAGTGGTTTCCTCCATGCTGTTCTCGTGATAGTGAGTTCTCATGAGATTTGATGGTTTTATAAGGGGCTCTTCCCCCTTTGCTCTGGCTCTCTCATCTGCCCCCGTGTAAGACATGTCTGCTTCCCGTTCCACCATGATTGTAAGTTTCCTGATGCCTCTTCAGCCATGTAGAACTGTAAGTAATTAAACCTCTTTTCCTCATATATTACCCTGTCTTGAGCAATTCTTTACAGCAGTGTGAGTAGGGACTAACACAATGTCTAACTATGACAATGTATTAAATAAATATTTTATGGGAGTGTGTGAAAAAAAAACTAAGCAGGGACTTGTGGTAATGAAACATAGGGATACTGATCAATTCCTCTTCACAGAAAGTAAGTATACATGTTGATGAAATTATTGAAAACAGAATTCAAGACAACAGAAAATAAGCAAAGTCAAGTAAAAATACATATTTAATCATTAATATGGTTTTTTATATCAGGCAAGATTGTATTGCCTTCTTTCTATTTCAATTTTCTTACTATATTTTTCTTTCTACTGCTATTGCCTGCTTCCAATTTATTACTAGGTCAAGTAGTGAAAACTCACAGCTTTCCACTCTGGAGGTGACAGACTGAGTTAGAAGAAAGTAGCAGATTACTTGGAAAAATAAAGTGTATGATTTTGAGTAAGAGAGCTTTAGAAGGACTGTACTGTACTCTTCACACATCACTGAAGGGCTGCTAAAAAGTACATGCATAAAAAGAACACTGGGAGTCCAGCAAAAAATTGAAAGAATGAGAAGTTTTGAAAAGTTTTTGGACCATTGTATGTGTTTCTCAATTTACACATAGCTCAGGCCTATAGGCTTGAGGTATTAAGCATAAAATAACCTTTTCAGAAATTAATTTTCAGTAAGCTATGAATATGCTTAGGAAGTCAGGCAAAAGTGAAAACAAAGAGGAGAAAGAAAGAAGAAAGGAAGGAAAGAAGGAAGGAAGGAAGGGAGGGATACAGAGAGGAAGGGAGGGAGGGGAAAACATGGAAAGAACATCAAAGACATCAGAGAATGAACACCATGAAAAAAATTTTACTGTTTGATTAAAGAAAAGGTAATTGTCTACTTATTTTTTTATTTTTATTTTTTATTATACTTTAAGTTTTAGGGTACATGTGTACAACGTGCAGGTTTGTTACTTATAAAAGCAAAACAATAATGAAACCATAACAGTAAAACAAAACTGAAAAATCGTTTTGCAACAACAAAGTATATAATTTTTAAATGGTATAAAATCCAAGACATGGAAAGAAACAAGAATCTATAAAGTTTATTAGACCATTTTCACACTGCTACAAAACCTTACCTGAGACTGGATAATTTATAAAGGGTTTTAATTGACTCATAGTACTGCATGGATGGGGAGGCTTCAGGAAACTTACAATCATGGCAGAAGGGAAAGGGGAAGAAAGGCACCTTCTTCTTTAGGTCACAGGAAGGAAAATGAACACAGGTGGAACTACTAAACACTTATAAAACCATCAGATCACGTGACAACTCACTCAATATCATGAGAACAGCATGAGGGAAACCATGTTATCCAATTACCACCATCTGGTCTCTCTATTGACAAGTGGGTATTATGGGGATTATAATTCAAGATGAGTTTTGGGTGGTGACACAGAGCCTAACCACATCAAACATATATGCAGGGAAAAAGTCACTGGAAACTGACTCCAGGTGGGCACCGATGTTGCATGTTAGCTGACCAAGACTTCAGTGAAGCTATGATAAATATGTTCAAATAAAAAAAGAAAATATTTGGAAATAATTAATTAAAAATATGTTAATAATGAGTGAAAAAGCAGAAACTCTCACCAGAGAAATATAAACTATAAAAAATAACCAAATGGGAAATCTAAAGTTAAAACGTAAAATAACTCAAATAGAAAAATTACCCAATGGGCCCAAGACCATATTAGAGATAGCAGAAGAAATCAGTCAACTTCAAGATAAATTAATAGAAATTGTCCAGTGTAAGAAAAAGGAGGAAGAAAAGATTAATTAAAGGAAAATAAACAGAATCTCAGAGAACTGTGGGATAATAGCAAACATTTACATGCCTGAGTAATGGCAATCTAAGGACAAAAGAAAGAAAACCGGGCAGAAAAGTATCTGCATGAATAATGGCTATCAATTTTCCAATTTTGGGGAAAATATTGGCTTACAGATACAAGAAGTACAGTAAATATGTAATAAAATAAAACCACATGTGGACACAGCATAACAACATTGCTTACATGGAATACTAAAGAGAAAATACGGGATGCAGAAAGAGAAAAGTGACACACATTTGATATATATATATATATAAAAAAACAATTAATGAAATTATAGCAGATTTCTCCTCAGAAATAATAGCAGCCAGAAAATAGTAAAACGTCATATTTAAATATTCAACCATAAAAAACCTGTCAACCAAAAATTCGTTATTGAGTATAACTGCTCAAAAATGAAAGAAAAACAAAGATATTTCTAGACAAACCACCAGAGTTTATAATACATACTTTTATTTCAAAGTCTTAGAAATGTTTAAAGTAAAATAAAAGAAATGAATATTCCTAATGATATTGTCCCACTTAATTAAAATATTTTGAAAAATTTAGGAGAAATAAATATGCCTAATGTTATTATGCTTAATTTTACATAAAAATAAATGTAGTGTTCTGTGCTTAAATTGTTATAATTTCTTTCATTAATTTATAGCATATATTTTATATACATTAATTTAAAATCTATATCTTTTAGAAAACAAACATAAATAATTTTAAACATATGCTAATAAGCAAATATCTACAAGTTTCCTCCTTTTATCTAACACCCTTATCTTTGTAGATAAGTCAATTTTGTATTGTGTTTTTGAAATAATTTTATTTGAATAAACAAGCTAGAGTTCCTTTCACAAACATAACTTTATTAACCCTTTGTAGAAAATCAGGTGAAATTTCAAAATTGTGTGATATGGTTTGGCACAAAACTCATCTTGAATTGTAGCTCCCATAATTCCCACATGTCGTGGGAGGGACCCAGTGGGAGATAATTGAATCGTGGAGGTGGGTCTTTCCTGTGCTGTTCTCACGATAGTGAATATATTTCACAAGATATGATGGTTTTATAAAGGAGAGTTCCCCTGCACACGCCCTCTTGCCTGCTGCCATGTTAAGATGTGACGTTGCTCCTCATTCATCTTCACTTGTAATGAGAGACCTCCTCAGCCATGTGAAACTGTGAGTCAATTAAAACTCTTTCCTTTATAAATTACCCAGCCTTGGGCGTGTGTTTATCAGCAGTGTGAGAACAGACTAATACATTGTGTTTTTAAGAAAGCACAATGACATGTTTTGGGCTAAATTGTGTCCCCAAAATTTATTTGTCAAAGTCCAAACCCCTAGAATGTGACTGTATTTGCAGATAGGTAAATAAGGTAATATGAATAGGCACTAATAAATGTGACTGATGTCTTTATAAGAGGAGATCAGGATATTGACAACAGAGACCAAGGAATGGCCACGTGAAGGAGAAGGCAGCCATCTGTAAGCCAAAAAGAAGGCCTCAAAAGAAACCAAACTCACCTACATCTTGATCTTGGACTTCTAGTCTTCAAAACTATACAAAAATAAGTTTTGTTATTTGAGCCACACAGTCTGAAATATTCGTTATGGCAGCCCTAGCAAACTAAGTTTATTTTTCTTCTGGTTAAAGCTAATTAGTCAACACAGATGGTCATCCTAAGTACAAGTGAATTTAGGATGATGTGTGACAAATGGTGCTGCTAAATCCTCTAACTTGAGGGCTAGTCATTATTCATTCTGAGAACATGTATATAATGATTTTAATTTAGCTACCAATATAAAAAGGTGAGATTTTCTGTCTTTGCAATTTCCTCATGGATTTTCTGTGATACACATTACATTCTAGTTTAATGCTCATTCAATAATAAAATTATGTTCCCTCTTTTTACCTTTGTGGGCACTTTTTCTGGGTTAAGAAGACATTGTGTTTCTTATTACATTTCCCCCAAAGACTCAAGAAGCATCACACGGTTATGTTTGCTGTTAGAAGCTTTTGTTCCTCTTTTGTCAACAAGGCATGCCTAGACTAGTCCGTTGTTCTCAAAAGGAAGATAAAAAATAGGTGGAGAAGAGCCTCTGTGGCCAGGTGCACCTGCAGAAATCATCTCCTTTAGCCACCCCCATTCTCCCCCTAAAGCATGAGCAAGATTGGCTAAGATCAGCAGAATCCACAGGCATTCCTAGCCTAGATCAGCTAACATTCAGCCAAGCCATGATCTTAAGAAATGCATACTGTTATATACTTATCAAGTTTTTGGTTATTTATTTTACACTGTGGCAAAAGATAACAGAAGGAGGTAATAGAAGAGTCAGGGTTCAAACACTATGTCTTTTCTTACTTATTGGCTATTTAACCTTCAGCAAGTTTCTTAAACTCTTGAGGTTCCTCATGCATGTCATATGCATAATACTTAATTCAAGAGCATTAAATGAGATGAGCACACAGTTGTTGCATACTAAGGAAATAATATGTGCCAAATGCAGCAGTAGTAAAAAATATAAATATATTTCAGATACTAAATATTCAGTGTTTTTATTTGCCAAAGAACTTTCTTTTTTTGTTTGTTTTTTCATTTATTTCGTCATTTGTTTCATACACCTACTATGAAATATATAGTTTCTACTATGTGTCAGGCTATGTCCCATGCACTGGGAATAAATCAATAAGTAAAATAGCCCCAATATCTGTTCTTATGTAGCTTATAGTTTACATAAGAATAATATGAATTGTTGTAATAAAGATAATAGCTTCTAAGATTGATAAAACATCTAAGTATAATGGGAAAATAGTAAGATCTTATTTTTCTGTCACTTGGAAGTATGTATTATAGTTTAGTAGAAGAGATAGACCACAAACAAATGATAATATGAACATACATACTTAATTGCAGCAAGTATTACAAAAATAACATTTTTATAAGTGTTATAAAATTTTTAACAGTGAGATAGTCTGGGATGAAAGTATTAGAGATTTAACAAAGGAATGCTGTTTGAATTAAACTAAGCAGGGATAATTTCATTCAGAGAAAATGGCCTTAGGGACTTTGCATACGCTAATGCTTATACCTGGAATCCACAGATATTCTTCTCTCTGGTTAGTTGTCTCTTACTCTGTGACATAGAAAATGGCAAATACAATAGACCAGATTGGAATAGTCTATTGTTTACTGGAAATTCTCAGTGGATATTTTTAAGTATATATGTCTGAACTATGGAAATGGCAAATACTTTTGCCCTGGTGTCCAAATTATTGAGTATATTATATCAAGACATATGGCACCCACAGAGCTAACTAAATGTGCTATGTATTTTTTGTTTTTGTTTTTTGTTGTTGTTTGTTTGAAGGGGAGAGTAGAGGCAAGGGTAAATCACTCTTTCCACAGAGGTAACCGTGACTAAATACAAATAAAAGGAAACATAAAGTCTGAAATCCCTGCTTCTTTTGAGGAAATCTATACAAGCAAAGTAGAATAGTCAAAAAAATGCTGCATAGTAAAACAAGGTTCACTATGTGTGATTGAGTTATTTGGAAAAAATCCAAAATTGTGATGTCGTCTAATAATATATTTTATCTTTAAATTTCTGAAGGGATTAAAAGTTTCTCTTTTGTGAGTTTCTCTAAATCATCATTTTACTAATTTGGTTTATATTGAAATAGTTATAATTGGGCCATTCCCAAAGTTAATCACCTCACATAAAAATCCTTGTTTATGAAGAGCAGAGAAATGACTTTGTAATTTAGAAGCATATATTTAAGATATCTAAGTCCTATTAAAAAGAGAACAATGAAATGGAAGCTATTAAAATTATGCTAGAAATGTAACTTTGTTAACAACATTAGACCTTTTTATTGAAGTTGCTTGCTTTAAACTGTATTATGGCTTCTGAGATGTGCTCTACCATTGCAAATTCTGAGATTATATAATTCTTACCACATTTCAGACATCACAAACCAGAAAAAAAGCATTACCCCTGCTATACACAGTAATCTTTAATTAATGGACTGGTACTCCAGTTGCAAAATAATAAATCCATATCCTTTGCATCCTGGAACTATTATATGAGTGATATGAAGGAGCACTATCCCAGATACTTCTTTGTTAATTGAGATCTGGTTTATTTACTTTTATCTTATTCTTCATTGTTCATATTTCTTTGAATAGATTACTCTACTTTGTAGTCTCTAAACTCTAAATACATGAACCAAGACTTTAGAGTGATCGAAATCATGAGTTGTCAAAGAAATAGGACTAGAGTTGAGGAAATACTGTTGACAGTGAAATTTTTCAATACTGATGCATTTATGCATGTATGCATACCACACATTAGAATAAAATGAAGCATTACACTGATTCCATGTATTTATTCCAATACATGTCTAACAATTAGCATTCGAGTACAAGTTGAGTATCCCTAATCTGAAAATCCAAAATCTGAAATATTCCAATATCTAGAACTTTGGGTGCTGACATGATGCTCAAATAAAATGCTTGTTGGAATATTTCAGATTGTGGATTTTCAAGATAGGAATGTTGAACCAGAAAGTACAATGCAAATATTCCCAAATCTTAAAAATCCAAAATGGGAAATATTTATGGTCCCAAGCATTTCAGATAAAGAATATTCAATCTGTATTATTTCTTTGAGCACAAGAAAGAAAAAAATAAATAACATTATTATACTATTGTCAAAACAAAAGTTGCACATGGCAAAGTTAAACAGGCTAAAAAAAAATTTATTCAAGTTATTGAAGTGGTCTCGTTGTCTGGGGTGATACCCGAGGTTCGTTGTCTCACAGCCAGAGAAAACTAGGACACAGACACACAAAGAGTGAAGTTCAGAGCGAAAGATGAATAGGCGAAAGAAAGAGTTGTATATCTTAAAGTGATAGAGTAGAATTTGAAATTGTAAGTTTGCTAATGTCAACGGACAATTGAAAGGGAAATCAGGGCCAACAGGTAGGAAAAAGGTTGTCTTAAGTTTAGTTAAATTTAGGGAAACTTAAAGGCCCATTTGATAACTATGTTTATGCGGTTTTAGGGAGCTTAATAGGTTAACTTTTTTGTGCGTGCTAGGTTCAGAACATCTACAACTCAAGAGGTTATGACATATTATGCTGAATTTCCTACTAAATAAATGACTGTATATTTGCAAATTTCTCATGATCCCACACCTGAAAACAGTATTTATTGTTCCAGGTTTTATTTGTCCTTACAAAAAACACTTACAGTTTTTCTTTCTTTTTTAAGATATTTATTTATTTATTTATTTTCTTTCCAAAATTTTTTATTATACTTTAAGTTCTAGGGTACATGTGCACAACGTGCAGGTTTGTTATATACGTATACATGTGCCGTGTTGGTGTGCTGCGTTAAATCCGTGCCATGGTGGTTTGCTGCACAAATCATCCCATCATCTAGGTATTAAGCTCAGCATCCATTAGTTACTCTTCTTGATGCTCTCCCTCCTCCCACCCTTCCACCCTCCAACAGGCCCCAGTGTGTGTTGTTCCCCTCCGTGTCCATGTGTTCTCATCATTTCGCTCCCACTTATAAGTGAGAACATGCAGTATTTGGTTTTTTGTTCCTGCATTAGTTTGCTGAGGATAATGGCTTCCAGCTCCATCCATGTTTCTGTAAAAGACATAATCTCATTCCTTTTTATGGCAGGGGAGTATTCCATGGTGCATATGCACCACATTTTCTTTATTCGGTCTATCGTTGATGGGCATTTAGGTTGATTCCATGTCTTCGCTATTGTGAATAGTGCTGCAGTGAACATACGTGTTAATGTATCTTTATAATAGAATAATTTCTATTCCTTTGGGTATATATCCAGTAATGGGATTGTTGGGTCAAATGTTTTTTTCTGCCTCTAGGTCTTTGAGGAATTGCCATAGTGTCTTCCACAATGGCTGAACTAATTTACACTCCCACCAACAGTATGAAAGTGTTGCTTTGGCTCCACAACCTTGTCAGCATCTGTTGTTTTTTGACTTTTTGATAATAGCCATTCTGAATGATGTGAGATGGTAGCTCATTGTGGTTTTGATTTGGATTTCTCTAATGATCAGTGACGTTGAACTTTTTTTCATGTTTGTTGGCTGCATGTATGTCTTCTTTTGATAAGTGTCTATTCATGTCCTTTGCCAATGTTTTAATGTTTTTTTTTTTGTACATTTGTTTAAGTTCCTTGTAGATGCTGGATCTTAGACCTTTGTCAGATGGATAGATGGCAAAAATTTTCTCCCATATGGTAGGTTTTCTATTCACTCTGATGATTGTTTCTTTTCCTGTGCAGAAGCTCTTTGGTTTAATAAGATCCACTTTGCTCATTTTTGCTTTTGTTGCAATTGCTTTTGGCATTTTTGTCATGAAATTTTTGCCTGTGCCTATGTCCTGAACGGTATTGCCTAGATTTTTCTCCTAGGGTTTTAATAGTTTTGGGTTTTACATTTAAGTCTTTAATCCATCTTGAGTTGATTTTTGTATATGGTGTAAGTAAGTGGTCTGGTTTTAATTTCTGCATATGACTAGTTAGTTCTCCCAGCATCATTTATTAAACAAGGAATCCTTTCCCTATTGCTTGTTTTTGTCAGGTTTGTTGAAGATCTGATGGTTGTAGGTGTGTGGTCTTATTTCTGGGTCCTCTATTCTGTTCCATTGGTCTATGTGCCTGTTTCTGTACCCATGCCATGCTGTTTTAGGTTTTAGTTACTGTAGCCTTATAGTATAGTTTGAAGTCAGGAAGTGTGATGCCTATGGCTTTTTTTTTTTTTTTTTTTTGCTTAGGATTGTCTTGGTGGCTATACAAGCTCTTTTTTGGTTCCATATGAATTTTAAAATAGTTTTCTTTTTCTAATTCTGCGAAGAATGTCAATGGTAGTTTAATGAGAATAGCATGGAATCTATAAATTGCTTTGGGCTGTATATTGCCATTTTCACGATGTCGGTTCTTCCTATGCATGAGAATGGAATGTTTTCCCATTTGTTTGTGTCATCTCCAATTTTTTGAGCAGTGGTTTGTAGTTCTTCTTGAAGAGGTCCTAAAAATATGGAATGTTTCGTGAATTTAGCATCATCCTTGCACAGGGGACGTGCTAATCTTCTCTATATTGTTCCAATTTTAGTATATATACTGCTGAAGTGAGCACTATAAAAGTTTTTCTACAAACGATGCCACATATATAAGTAGCCATAAAATTCTATCTTGCATAGCTGCATTTTCAAGATGATATTATTTCTTAATCATATGCTATCTTTTCCTACACCCAATGTATTTTCTTTTAGTGAAAAGTATTTAAAAAATGGGACTTGAAGGCTATAGTTGTAGGACACAATTGTATTTGCTTCTTAATTTTTCAGTATGATAGTTGAACTTATTTGTATGTGTTTATACAGTCATGAGCAGTATAACAATGACAGACCATATAAACTATGGTGGTCCCATAAGATTACAATAGAGCTAAAAAATTCCTGTCACCTAGTGATGTCATAGCCATCTAAACATAATAGTGCAATGCATATTTGAGGTGATGTTGGTATAAACAATCCTACTACACTGCCAGTTGTACAAAAGTACAGCTTGTACAATTACATACAGTATATAGTATGTGATAATGTCACGAGATCATTCGGGTGTTGCTTTTCCAGCCAGAAACCTCCGTGGCCAGTGGTGCCTTTGCCTGAGTTTTGCTAGGGCCTGTTTGTCTCATTTTACCCATTCAGCCTGGCAGGCTGTGTTCAGCTCATCCTACTGGCCTGGATGCCACACCTGCCAAGGGTGAGACAGGCACGGAGCAAGGAGGGGTTTGTGAGTGAGCAACTGTGGGGTCCAGCCACTGCGCATAGCCAGGCATGTTGGTTTCAGTGGGGAGGGCAGCTCCAGGCACCGGCATAGGTGTCAGTTCCCTGTGAGGCTGTGGCTCGGCCAGGCATACCACAAGCAGCCTCCATGGCTGGCACTGGGGAATGTGGTGGCACCAGAAAGCTGAGAGATTCCAGGAACCACAGAGTCCCAAAGAGGGTGTCACAACCCGGGTCAGGGAGCTGCTAGGTCTGGGCTCCTCAAATGGCCACAGCTCTTCTCTCCTTTTCTCTTCACTCCTTCTCATTACCTGCAACATGGCAAGCAAGGGGAGTGTTTCAGCCTGTTTGTGTTACAGCTCTTTCAGCCCTGCCATTTGCTGAGTCCCATTTCCAGGAAGAATGAGGTACATGAACAAGCATAGGGTGAACAAGGCAAAGAGGCGCTTTATTGACAGAACAGCTCAGAGGAGACCCACAGTGGGTAGTTCCTCTCTGCAGGCAGGTCATCTCAATGAATGTCCACCTCTCAGCAGAGGCGAGACCCACAGTGGGTAGCTCCTCTTCACAGGCAGGTCCTCCCAACATCCCTTTAGCTCTGGGCAGACGAGGCAGAGAGGAGACCCACAGTGGGTAGGTCCTCTCCACAGGCAGGACATCCTAACTTCTGTTCAGCTCTCAGCAGAGCGGGGTTTTACGGGCTTCAGAGGGGAGGAAGTGTGTGCTGATTGGTCCATGGACAGCCTTAGGTGGGCCTGGAAAAAGCACCATATGTTCTCACTCTAGTCCATGGAACTGGCACCCTGTACCAGGCCTGAAGGTGGGGCTTCACTGGGAAACCACCTCTTTCCACCCAGGAGCCTGTCAGCCTACTGCTGCCATCAGCATGCCATCCACAGAGTCCAGGCTGTTCAGGCCAAGGGTTGCCTGCAGGTCCGTGCTGAGCTGCCCTTAGTACCCCCTCAGCCTCTCTCCTGTGCTGTCAGGGCCCAAAGTCTGGAGGGGGCCAGGGAAGCAGAGAGCTGGCACGTCAGCACCACCCTGCGCACAGGCACACCTGGACGGGTTGCAACAGTGTCTGAGCTCAGCCTCAACTTTGCTCCAAAATCAAAGTGGAGGACAGGAGGAGGGGGTGTCCAGGCACTGGGGGCAGGCCCTTCTGAGCCTGCAGGGGTGGGGGCCTTCCCAGAGAGCACAGGGATGTCCAGGTCTGCAGCTGTGGCTGGGCAGCTGCAGCTGCACCCAGGAGGGCAGGGCACCCACCCCTCCAACTTGGAAGCAGGCAAGGCTTCCCCCTGTTCCCAGCTCCTGTTGGCTCCATGGAGCACACAGCCCTGGCCACGCCTCCCTCACTGCAGCCAGTGTCATGTTAGCGTCCACTGCAGATGGGCTGCTGCTTCCATCAATACTGATAATGATTGACTATGTTACTGGTTTATGTATTTACTATATTATACTTTTCATCATCATTTTGAAGTGTACTCTTTCTACCTATAAAAAAGTTTACTGTACAATAGTTTGCTGTGTTATGTTGGCAGCAGCCTCATACATCTCATTTATGGTGTAACTTGATTGCTTCATTTTCTCTTGTGCTTGGTTTAATCTTTTGTTGTTTTGTTCCTCATGATCCAAGGGATACAAAATCCATGACTAATGTTGTCAATAGGTGGTGTTGTTAATAAGTGATTGACTGGGAAACAAAATTAAAAGTGATTAAGGACTACAAAGGTGGAAAATCAGGGGTGGTTATTGCTCATCAGTCTCATTTTATCATAGCTATAAACATGAAGAACAATAACAAAGTCATAGAAGGTGTTTAAGAATCTGCTTGATTAGGTCAAGAGTTTGAGACCAGCCTGACCAACATGGTGAACCACGTAAATACTAAAAGTACAAAAATTAGCCAGGCATGGTGGTGTTTGCTTGTAATCTCAGCTAATCAGGAGGCTGAGGCAGGAAAATCGCTTGAACCTGGGAGACGGAGGTTGCAGTGAGCAGAGATCGAGCCACTGCACTCCAGCCTGGACAACAGAGCAAGACTTCGTCTCTAAACAAAACCAAACCAAACCAAGAAACAGAATCTGCTTGATGGAAGGCAAAGAAGCTTACAAAACTTTGAGAATGACTTAGATTAGATATGGAGAAACTTCTCATGACCTGGATTTAAAAGCAGACACAGAAGTGTATCCTTCTCAGTATTATGACAATCACAGCCAACGCAAAAAGTTTGTTTGCAACATTGAAAAAAAAGATTGAACCCATTTCACAGGTTCTAGCTTGGATGCAATTCTGGCTTTGATGCAATTCTGGCTTTGATGCAAGCTTATTTATATGTATTCTTTTAAATTTTATTATTACTATTTTATTTATTTGAGACAGGTTCTCACTCTGTCATCCAGGCTGGATTATAGTGTCACAAACATGACTCCCTGTAGCCTTGACCTCCTAGGATCAAGTGATCCTCCCACCTCAGCCTCCCAATATTCTTGATTCTGGTTTCTTTGGATTTCTCTTGCTATCTCTCCAGCTCAACAATGTAGCTGAAAATAATTGTTAAGATATATCTTATGAAACATGTTAAAATATAAGATAACTGCTATCCTAGAACTTATCTTCAGACATCTGGTCTATCATATTTTCAGAAACTGACAACCTCTTTTGATGTAAAACAGTGTTCTATTTTATTAGGAACAGAATATTTTACTCACTCCATTATATTTCCGTCCTAAGAACCAATTAATGGAATCAAAACTAATTTGGAAACGTAAATTGATTTATGAATCTTATTTATGCCATGCCAATTCAGATTTCTTAAATATAGAGTCCATGGATTTTCCTCTCCTTCAAATAATATAAAGAGGTTTTAGTTGCTTTATTCTAAATTCTAGCTGTTCATGTTAGAAAGCCCTAAGTAATCTAATATATTAAAATATTTTATTGTGTTATATTCCACCCCTAGATAACACAAAGAATGTAACTAGGAGGTAGTAAAACTATGATATTTGCAATAGTTAATAAAAATTATGGGCATAAAGGTCTTTTCTAGGTTACCATTTTATCTCTAACATTTAGCTCAGAATAAATCCAAATTCAGAGCTAAGTTTTTATTTTTAGGGCAAAATATCTTTTAAAAAATGTACTACATTATTTTTCCCAACTTTAAAATATACGTTTTTGAAAGAAAGTTATAGAGGAACTCTTAAACATAGTAACACTAAAAAAGTGGCAATACCTTGTAATGCAAACAAAATAACAAATTTGATCTATTATTCATTCAAGTTAAATATTTTCTCTATGCAAATATTATCAAATTTTAGTTATTTAAAGAGATAATCAAAATATGCAGTCAAGATGTAGGAGAAATACATTATTGATGTGTGCTGGGCAGTTAGTTAATAAAAAATATATATTATCTTAATAATGTGATTTGGGGATTTTTAAAGTTTTTTTTTTAAGTTGCAATTTTGTGGGGTTTTTGGTATTATTCTCAAGAGCTTTAACAAAAATCCTTTCACCTTTTTCCATTTCCAAATTGTATTTTCAGCTACTTTAATAACATAATTAATTAGTAAATTTGAATATAGTGTCCAACTTTTGAGTAAACAAGGTCACAAATTTGTGTTCTACTACAGTACTGTTGCCTTTGTACTTTTAATGAAACAAAATAATAATATTCCTTTGGATCAATGTGTTGTAATCATTTCTGTAATATTGTAAATTTGTGATTACTCAAGATTTAATAGTAAATTCATTAATCTTACATAACTGACTCATTTGCATAAATGTCTGTTTTGTATAACAATTATCCTTACAAACTGCACTGTTTAAAGTGGAAACTCATGCTCAAGTGTTTTCTATACTATACAGAGACATTAGTACACTTATCTACAGTATTTATGATGCTTGATTGCATGTTCAACTTGACTGGGCCACAGGGTGCCCAGATATTTGGTCAAACATTTTTTTCTGGGTGTTTCTGAAAGGATGTTTTTGGGTGAGATTCATATTTAAATCAGTAGACTGAGTAAAGCAGATTGCCTTCCATAATGCAGCTGGACCTCATCCAATCAGTTGAAGTCCTGAATAAAACAAAACTGCCATCCCTCCCTTGGATGAGAGAGAATTTTTCCTGTTGATGGTGTTTCAACTGGGACATTGGCTTTTTTTTACTGCTTTCACACTTAAACTGAAACATTGGCTTGCTCTGGGTCTTGAACCCGCCAGGCTTCAGATTAGAACTATACATTTAGGTCTCTTGGTTCTCAGACCTTTAGATTCTGACTGGAACTAAACCATAGCTCCTCTAGGTCTCTAGCTAACTGATTCACACTGCAGGATTTGGTAATTGCCAGCCTTTATAATTGTGTGTGCCAGTTGCTTATAATAAATCTCTCTATATATATGTGTGTGTGTGTGTGTGTGTGTGTCTGTGTGTGTCTGTGTGTATTCTATTGGTTCTGTTTCTCTGGAGAACCCTGACTAATACAAAGTTATAAATATTTCAATTGGAAAAAAATATATAAGTGACTTCACTGTATATATTCATTTTGGTGGAGAGAAAAAGATGCCATCACAAACATAACTCAAGGCAAAGATTTTGACTATAATTCAAGATAAGGGAAAAATTTTAAAATGTTTTCTTTACATGCTGTGTTTTTTCCTCGAAAGAGTTTCTGTTAACGACAGAAACTCTATTAAAAACTAATATATATTTATACATTTATATTGTACATTTAATAAAATGTACAAATAAACCACTAACTTCAGATAATACATTATCTCATAATCTTTTATGCATTTGGCTTATGAAAGCATTAGATTTTGCATTGTTTTGCTGAAATAGAGACATTCTGGCTTTATTGGGTCATTTTCATAATTTTTTGGTAATTGTATAATTAAGCAAAGGCACATTCCAAAATGTAGCTCTTTATATTATGTAAAATATAAAAAAATGCTAAGTGATCACCATAGTAGTTTAAAAAAGAGTAAAGCTGTGAATGAAGCTTTTATACATATGCTTATTATAAATATCCTACAAATAAATAAAATAAATAACAGCACTTATGAAGAAATTAAAATTTAAGCAGATGTTACTGAAAACATACTTGAGGTGTTTACGTTAAAATGTTTGCAAAATCGAAAACAGAATGCAAATGGTTGCTCATTTATAAAATGCTTTTCACATACTTTTTTTTAAAACTGGGACTATAAGTTAATCAGACAACACACAGTCCACATTTCTAGATACACAATTTAAAAAATGACTTTTCATGATTTGAAATCAAACAAATATACTATACTACACTTTAAAAGCTTTTATAATCTTTAAGCCATTTTCAGGCTTTACCAAGACATCTCCACTGCCTAATTTGTTTAGGGTAAATATTTCTGCTAAAAAATTGAATACTTTCCTTCAAATCAGTTCTGTGCTATCTACAGATTATTATACATTCCTAAAACAATAACATTTTGAAATGCACGAAAACATTATCCTACTTCTTAAAGTGATCTTCAAAGTGCTAATTCTTGTCCTGGTCTAGGTGATCCTATGTTCCCCCCGCTGTGTTTGATTTTCTATATTGACAATTTCCAGGTTTACCTGGTGAAGAAATCTCCAGTTCTCTTTTCCTTATACATTTGATATTCATGCGATATCACCTAGATATTAATCTGTTCCTTCGTAACTGTAATATATAGCTACCATCATTCTGGTTAGTTCTCAGGAAAGTACAGACTATAAATAAGATGATCTGATTTTCAGTAAAGCTCTCTTCTTCCCTTGTATACTTTGATGTACTTCTTGCCACTGTGTTGCACGAGCTTTGATTTCTTTTTCATCAAAATCTCTGCTACTACCATCATCATTTTTATTTTGGGAACCTCTCTTCTTTTTCTGCTGTTTTTTCTTTTTTTTTTTTTTTCTTTATCAAAATCAGTGTCATCGCCTGACACTTTTACTTCATCTTTGTTTACTGCAGTTTCACTCTCAATAACCCCATCTGCCTGATTCTGTAGATCCTATTTCACTGGAACAATGGCATGAGCACTTATATATATATATTTTTGATTTAGCAGTTTTCTTAGATACTTAGGATTCTATTTCCAACCTCTTCTTTGATCTGTTCTTGTCAGTATCAACTTGCCTATTTTATTCTGGTTATTTCTCTGCAGTGCAGATAAGCTGATCTTTCTCAAACGTCTGCCATTGCCTGCCTTGAAAATTTAATCAATTCTGCATGGAGGAGTCTTCTGTGATACTATCTTCTTTCTCTACCACTTGCACTTTTTGGTTTACAATCACATAAGAAAGTTTCTCAAGTATAGTTATACATATTCATATTTCTCATCTTCAAAGTCAATAGATTGTGATGATACGATTGTTTAGATTTCTATAAATTCTGTATACTTGCAACATCCTAATTTATTACTACAATCCATTTCAACCATCCTCTTCAACAACAGTGACTGGCAAAATGTCAATTGAAGAGCTGAAGCTACATGAGTAATCTCATAGGAAAGCTTCATAAAGTTTCTAAGGATGCCAAGTTTGAAACAAAAGATTTGCTTCTCAACTTTGGTTCATTTTTATTTTTTGGGGAGATTATATAATTTTTTTTACTGAAGTACTCCATGATATTATCTTAATATACATTGTTGAACATCTAAAGATTTTAATCCCAGCCATATGAGATAATCATAGAATTCTATTCTTCAAACTGGGTAGCTAAAAGGGGCTTCATTGTGAAAGGTAATCATCTCTGATCAGCTGTAGTATTAGAATATTATCACTTAGTATGCTAAGTAGATTGTTGTTATATTGGGGCTCAAATTCAGCTAAACTTAAGGGCAAAATATTATATACTTATATTTTTATTTCGATGAACAAATAATACACAAATCTGTCTTATAGACATTAGGATCTGGTCTCCTCTTTAGCACATTGATATAACCAAGAACATGGAAAAACTGAATAGATAACCATAAATTTCAACATGCATTGAGTAAAAACTAAAAATTGTGTCTTTCTTATTGACTTTCAAAACTATCAAAGCACTGCTAAAGTTTATGGCTCAAGTACTTGCTATGTCGTCAAATTCTTTCTATGTTTTCAGGACTGTTCATCAGTTAAAGTAGTGAAAGCTTCGGCTGTCCTCATGAGTATCACTTTATTTCATCATTTTCTTGGATAGTATTTTGTAACAGCCTTGATAATTTTTAAAAACTTTCTTTTACGGTTCTTTTTTTTATCTTTAGAAATAATATTTTGCTAATGATGCCACACAGATCTTGCCTACATTTTCTAATATTCTTTAGCTGGATTTTCTCAGTCTTCTGGTCAGGGTGTCTGACGGTGTCATGTTTGGACATGAACCTCATGAAGGAGGTGAAGAAGTCGTTCCTACTGACATTGTATTGGAACTGCTTCCTGCCCATGGCATCCTCCTTTTCTTTTCATTCTTACCCCTCTTGCTGCATGATCCTGCGTGCTGCTGCTGCTGCTCCCAGCATGCCAACCCGGTGGGATGTACCTCTGACTGCGTGGTGCTGCTGTTGCCATTTCTAGCTCACCTATTTCTCTTTTAATTTTAACTTTTATTTTAGGTTCAGGGGTACATGTGCAGTTTTATTATATGGGTAAACTTGTGTCACAGGGGTTTATTGTACAGATTATTTTGTCACCCAGCCTAGTACTGGGTGTACTAAGCCTAGTACCCAATAATTCTTTGTTGATCCTCTCCCTCCTCCCATCCTCCACCCTCAAGTAGGACCCAGTGTCTGTTGTTCCCCTCCATGTGTCCATGTGCTCTCATCATTTAGCTCCCACTTACAAGTGTAGCTCACCTATTTCTAACATTCAGCTCAGGACCTTGTTGTAAACGTTTGATTTGTGCCACAGCAGTGTTTCTCAAAATGTCCGATGTCAGTATATTTGTCTCCTCGGATGTTCCCCAAATATGTAAATTTCAAGAAGTCAGACCAGCTGGATCTGAATCATTTAGAGTTGGGTCTGCAATGTAAAAGTTTAATAGGACTTTGATAAAAAGCATGAGGTATGCTGTACTTGTGAGTGAAAACATACTATGATCAGTCAAACTGATCATTGCGTTTAATGAGCAATGTGAGGCAGTTAAGCTGCTGAGAAGAGAGGGGAAGGTGAACTTGAGGCACAGCACGGAACAGAAAAGTACTGCACTCTTGTCTAAGTAATTTAGTTATGCACCTATTCAACAAATGTTTATCAAGTCCCTATTATATTTTAGACAGAGCTCAAGGAGCCAGGTATCTTACCATATGTGCTAGTGAATAAAATGAAAAGAATACTTCTCTTCATGGAACATGGAGTGAGCCTGAGGAGTGAGAAGATTAAGCGAATAATTTTACAATTTCCTTCAAGTAGTTTGGTAAGTTGCACAGCAACATTTCTGTCTATCTATCTATCTATCTATCTATCTATCTATCTATCTATGTAACTGTTTTACCTGAGTATAAACTTCTGCTCCAAAACAAAAGAACTAGCCAATATCTAAGGGTTGCTGCCGACACTATCATTTCCCAAGGGAAACAGCAACATGGAAAACTAAAATTTTTAGCTACAATGACTCAAATAGTTTTTCTAGGAGATGTCTGAAGTACAACCCTAATGCTATTTATGCAACTGAGATCACTATGTGTGGCTGTTAATCCAGGAACGGCAATAAACACAGAACACCAGTCAGGAGTTAAACCTACCCTGGTGACTGTGAGAGCCTGCCAGTGCAACAGGTCAAGGGCAAAGGAACAAACGTGGCTTTTTTATTCTTCAGTGCTCCATTATCTATACTTTTAAAATATGTTTAGTTGTATTGAGGTACTATTGATGTACAATAAAGTGTACAGTCTTACAATGATGTCTGTAAGTGTGAAACCACCACCACAATCAAAATTATGAAAATTTCCATCAATCCCAAATGTTTCCTCATGTTTCTTTGAAACTCATCTTCCCTTCGTTACAGCTCCAGATTCCAATATATACATAATCTAAATGTCACTGTATACTAGTTTGCATTTTCAAATATTTAATGCAAATGGAATCACACAGCCTGGCTTTCAAAAAAGGCGCAGCCTAATGATTTTGAGAATTGTCCATGTTGTGTGTACCAACAGTTTATTTATTTTGTTGTGGTGAAAAAAGCACCATGAAAATATGGGTTTCTCAGTTCTACACAACATAAAATATAGCTTTTAACAAAGCTTTTGGGGTTTAGGACATTATTGCTAACTGTGAGAACGTTTTACAGCAGAAGTCTAGAACTTCCTCAGTTTACATAGCTGAATAGTTTGTATTGCTCTGTACTATTTTTTCTTCTAAAGTTTCTAATATTCTGTTAAAATATATCTTTAGCTCCAGAAGATTAATTTGGGAATTTTAATTTTTGATCTTTTGCTTCTGTCATCTTCAAACTAATGCTTTCCTTCACCTTCTTAAACAGATGTAATATACATTTAATAGCTTTCTTAATGTTTTGGCTACTACCTCTATAATCTCCATTATTTTTGAATCTGTTTCCAATAATTGATTTCCTTACCATGAGTTGAATATACTGACGTTTTCTCATGTCTGCTAATTTTTTTATCAGATGCCAAACATTATGTATTCTGCATGGTTGAATGCTGAATACTCAGTATCCTTTTAAATATTGTAGAACTTTGTTGTGGAATTTGGTTATGTGAGTAGGAAATGCTTGATCCTTAAGAGGTTTGCTTTTAAGCTTTGCAGATACAACAAAGTCTAGGGCTACCTCCGTGCCAGTACTAAGGCAATGTCCTTTTCAGAACTTCACTTGATGCTTCTCGTGTAGGAGATATTTCTACTCTGACTTATAAGTACCTGAATTATTTGCAGGTCTTCTTGAGTCTGAGGATTTCTCTACGTGCTCCTTTTTAGTGGTTGTTTCCCTGGCTCTGTTTCTTTTCATCCGTGACCTGTTCACTATTCAGCTAAAGACTTGAGAGGAACTCTCTTTGGATCTCCAGAGTTCTCTCCACAGTTTTCTCCCCTTTGGTACTCTAGCATGCGATCTCTGGATGTCTGGGCTTATTGAGCTCTGAACTTCGTGTTCTCAACTCTGGGGAACCTCTGGCCTTTTCTAGTGTTTCTAATCCGCATCAGTGTTACTGCTGCCTGTAATCTCTCTGCAATCGGTTAGCTCAGCCAATTCTGTGGTTCATCCCAGGTACTTCCATTCTCTCAGGAGTAAATGTCCTGTATTATCTATTGTCCAGTATGTGAAACTCTTGTTTCACATGTTTTGTCTTGTTTGTTGGTTATTTAAGGTGAGGTGATAAATATACTCTATTTTACTACATCATGGAGAGAGGTAGAATTCTCAACATTATGTTTGAAAATTAATTTGTTAAAATTTCTCCTCTGTTTAGTGAAATAGACTTTGCAAGAAAGAAAACATTTCACACATATGTTCCTACTTCAAAAAATTTAAACACAGAGATTTTAGTAATGGCTGAATTTATTAAAACATCAGTTATATTCATCAGTTAAACGTCACAAGATTTGTTAGCAAATTCAACCAAATATCCCTTTAGACAGATGATAATAAACAAATGACAGTTATATGTAACATAAATGAATTTCATAATGTTGAACCAAAAAGCTATGTACAAAAGAATTTATATTGTGTGAGTCCATGCGTGCAAATATCAAAAACATGCAAGAGTAATCTATGGTATTAGAAGGTATAATCACAGTTAATTTGTACACACACACAAAAATGTGATGATCATACAATAAGAAACTTCTTGGGTGCTGGTAATGTATTTCTCAATATACCTTGCAAATATTTTCTCCAGTTATTTTTAGCTTATGTGGATTTGTTATATTTTAGTTGTATGAGAAATTTTCATTTGTAGCTGGTAACATTTATAGATATTATATCTTTTTCTATTTTAGCATTGAATTCTTCTAAAATATTTTAGATTCAATCTTTTATAATTGTATTTAAATATTTGCTCCATCATAGCAAAAATCTGTGCTCCAACAACATATGTTTTGAAAGCAGGAGTGAGATATCCTTTCTATTACATGTTTTTTGTTTTGTTTTGTTTTGTTTTGTTTTTATGCCTATAGAAAGCAGCTACTTGGTTCAAAACCATTTTTTATATCTTAATTTTATAGACAGATTCTTGCTTTCTTGCCCAGACTGGAATGCTTCAGTCTAACAATTCAGATGCTTATATCCTATGGAAACACCTTCAAAAACACACCCAGAAATAGTTTGCTAGCTATCTGAGCATCCCTTAGCCCAGTCAAGTTGACATACAAAGTTAACCATCACAGTGATAAATTAAATGCTTCTGGAGCATTTTACACTGTGTAAACATACAGATATATATGAGGCAATACTATATACATACAGTATGTGGATGTGTATATACAGATCTGCATATATATTATATAGACAAACATACAGATACTATATATATGTATAATATATATATATATAATTGCCTCATGTGTTATGCTAGTTATGAGTTATGCTAGTTTCCGAGTTTCATTAAATAGTTCTATTGTACTCTTTGTCTATTTTATTGTATTAGATGACTTTCAGGAAGGATGGTATGTTACTGTGTTAGTTTAACTAAATATCTAATCAGTTTAAATGAACTTGATTTTACAAAATTATCTTCATTGCTTATAAACGCATGTACTTATGAAAAACCAAAATCCACTTTTAAAAATTTTTATTTATCAAAAAATGATCTAAAAAAGGATGGAAATCCAGGAGATAAAAGAATAAAATTTACAAAGAATCCCAGTGTCTTCTTAAAGGTACAATATGATTTTTTTAAATCAAAAGACCCTAATTCAAGTTTTGTGAAGTGTTACATGAGGGTTTAGCTGTGTGATTCCTGATAAAGTCAGTGATCCTCATGGACTATAATGGGAATCACACAGCTACAACCCCAGGAATCACTTTGCACATTCAGTTATGTCTATAAAACTGTTTAGGCAATTTAGATATTATTTTGCTTCAGTAAGAAGAAATAATTTAGTGTTTCTAAAAGCTTTTAGTCTCCATCAAAAAGCACAGACTAAAACAGTTTAATATAATTTTAAAGAAAGAAATGATCAACATAATTAAATGTTGTGAAAATGTTTTGGCACTACTTAATTTCATATCATGTAATAAAATGAAGAAATGTAGTACAATGACATGAACATTTAAATGAGAACGCAGCATCTACCATGAATACCTGGTCTGGTGACTCCAGAGTCAAAGTACTTTTGGAATTTTATTATTTTCATCATTTGTCATCTTTTCCATGCAAATAACAGTGATCATAAAACAATGGTACATTCCCTTAGAAAATTCAGAGGAGAAAAAGAGAAAAAATAAATCCTGTGTTTAAAATTTATTCATTTACAAATAAAAAATTGGGCAAGTTCATATCTAATTTGTCAAATATCTTTTACTCCTTTTCAATTTTACTGTATTTCTTTCTTTTTATTTTCTCACAACGCACACATATGCTCACACCCAAGCACCTATGCACACACATGAATGACTGTGAAGATACCCAAAAACTTTTATTTCTATATATTTTGGTAGCTAAGAGGGTTTTTCTAAAGCCAGATTTCTCAAAAGGAAATCTATCCCAGACCACTTTATACATAAGTAGGCATCAATAACAGCCTAACTTCTTTGTATGTCAATTTTCTCTAATCTGTAAAATAGGGATACTATTTGATCTATATTGTAGCATTATTATGAAGAATACATGTGTTAACGTGTGGAACAGAACTTTTACATGTTATAAGATCTCTAAATAAAAGCTAATACATTTAGATTATTTACATCCACATGTCAACTAGACATTTTACATTATGCATACTTTGCCTAAGAGTAGTGGTAAGGTATTTAAAAATTTGGACGCTAATCGTAAGCATCAAGCATAGTGCTTGACATTATATCGTGGATTCTGTAAGTGTGCTATAAATTTGTATATATTAATATGCTTATTTTGACATATGAGGAAACAAGTGCATAATAGTTAAGTGTGTTATTGAAGGTCATGAACTTAGTTACTGGTAGAGCTGTAAATCAGACTTTGATTTTCTGGCAGCATATTAATTCATGCCAAAACAATTTTTTTTTTTTTTTTTTTTTGAGACGGAGTCTCGCTCTGTCGCCCAGGCCGGACTGCGGACTGCAGTGGCGCAATCTCGGCTCACTGCAAGCTCCGCTTCCCAGGTTCACGCCATTCTCCTGCCTCAGCCTCCCGAGTAGCTGGGACTACAGGCGCCCGCCACCGCGCCCGGCTAATTTTTTGTATTTTTAGTAGAGACAGGGTTTCACCTTGTTAGCCAGGATGGTCTCGATCTCCTGACCTCATGTTCCACCCGCCTCGGCCTCCCAAAGTGCTGGGATTACAGGCGTGAGCCACCGCGCCCGGCCGCCAAAACAATTTTGTATATGTTGGATAGGTGCTGCACAAAAGCTCTGAACAAAGATAACAAGGTCCCTTCTCTGATACTTCTCATGTTGCAGCAAGAAGTGAGAAAAAACAAATATGTTAATAAATACAAAAAAAATTTAACAATGATAATTTTCAAAGAAAATAAAATGAGATAATTTAGAAGAAATAAATAGATAAAGAAGGGTTATTTTAGATTAGAGTTATCAGGAAAAAGCTGTTAGCAGAGTTAACGTGTGAACTGAGAAGTTAATGATGTGAGGGACTTCCCAGTCGATCTAGGGGTGAGAGTGCAGGGTCAGGTTTCAAGACAATGAGAACTATAAGAATAAAGACCTTGGTGAGAGAAATAGTGGGATTAAGGATGCCAGCTTGAGTGAGTGAGTGAATACTAGAGATTATTGGGAGCCCGGTGGAGTGGCTCAGGCTTATAATCCCAGCACTTTAGCAGGCTGAGGTGGAAGGACTGCTTCAACCCGGGAGTTCAAGACTAATCTGGGCAACATAGGGAGACCCATCTCTACAGGAAATTAACAGCAACAACAAAAAAAGACTACTGGGAAGGGAAAGAAAATGATTGGGAATTGAATCAACTATAATAGGTTGATTTTGGACAAGTTAAGTAGTTAAGTATGCAATATCTGAATAGATTATTTAAATGGAAACATTGGATTGGGAATTGAAATATACGTGTGATGCGTAAGAGCAAAGTTATCTTTGAATGTATGATGTTAATTTCATTGACGGCACTGAATGAGGGAACTCTTACAAAGAAGTGTAGGTGGAGAAAAGAAGAGGGCAGTGGGCCAAGCTTTGGGGTACTCTAAATTTTAACAATAATTTTTTCAAATGATCCAGCAAAATAGATAGAGATGAGGCAGTTGGATCTAGACAGAAAACAGATCATATTGTCATAAAAGCTAAATGAAACTTTTTTTTCTCAAAGAGATAAGAGAGATCATGCCTACAAGAAGCAGTTAAATAGTCAAGGATGATGAACATAGAAGATAGTTTACAACACAGATTTTAGTGGAATGATGTGGTAAGAGGTCTGATTTCTCTGGATTAAGGGAGGACAAGGAAGTAGGAAATTAGAGGATATTGTTTGGGACAACTCTTCCAACAGGTATTCTAGAACAGGAGCAGAGACCTGCTTTAGTGGCAAGTAAAGAAAGGCTATGCATTAAATGTGAAAACATATTAGTAAAAGTAATAGACCATGTTAGCTAATAAAAATGATCAAATAGAGAAAGTTAATTTGATGATGCAGGAGAAAGACAGTAAGTGGAAGAGCAAAATATTTAAGATGATTAGAATATATTGAATCTTGGACACAAAGAGAGGAGTTGGCCTTAGATTATCAGGAATGTATTATTCACTTGAAGAGGAGGAAAAGAAGAGAGTGATAGTCTAGTTACAGCTGTTAGGCTCATTTAGGATGTTTTCTAACACCAACCACCAATTGTCTGAGACACCAAGTACGTGCCCTATGAATTATTAATAGTTGAATTCTGACACTATAATTGGAGTTAGAATCAGACTCAACAAGTCAAGGGCTCAGTATCAAAAGAGTACCCCCACTTCAGAGGCCAATCACAAGTCCAGGTCATTTATACTTCTGACTGCCTAGCTATAAAATGAGGGTTCTTGCAATCTCCTCCTCAGCTTCCATAATTTGCTAGAATGGTTCACAGAAATCAGAATAGCATTTTACTTACATTTACTGGTTTATTATAAAAGATATTATAAAAGACACAGATGCACAGCCAGATGAAAATTATGTAGGGTGAAGGTCTGGAAGGATCCCAGTGCGAGAACTTCTGTCCCTTTGAACTGAGGTGCACCACCTTTCTAGAACATGGATGCATTCACTAACTCAGAAGTACATCAAATCTTGCTGTCCAAGAATTTTTGCAGAGTGTAATCTCCTGCTCTCCACATTCCTTCCCAGAATTGGTAGGTGAGGGAAAAACTTTCAGCCGTCTCTTCACTTGGTCTTTCTGGTGACCAATCCCATTTGGTTTTATCAACGGGCCCCACACTAAGTCACCTCAATGACAAAAATTCAGGTATGATCAAAATGGAATTCTTAGACATAACAAAAGACATTTCTATTACTCAGGAAATTTCCAAGGTTTGGGGTGCTCTGGGCCAGGAACCAGAGGCAAAGACCAAATATATTTCTTATTAATACCATAGCTGATATATTTGCACTATGGGATTACAGAAAAAACATTTAATTATGTCCCTGTTCTTAAGAGTAAAGTGAAGTTGTTGAATTGCTTTGGTGGGTTAGACATTGAAGGAGGTAAGAGAATGTACAAAATATTTGTTTAGCCAACTAAGAAAGTAAACATACTCATTGAAATGAAGCAGAATTCCTGTAAAATGTCAAGTGCATGAGCTAAATCAAAGTATCAGATAATCAGTATTACTTGAATCAGGGATGAAGATAATGTTAAAAATTTCAAGTAATTGGTAATTAAAGGGGCTCAAAAAATTAAGGAGAGATCTAGGACAGTGGGGAAAACTCCCTAGGTCCTGTCTCTCCACATCAGACATGTGCTATCTGGCCCAGAATAACAAACTGAGTCTCTAATTATGTCTGCAAATCATTTCACACAGAAAGCAGAATTTTAGGGAATGAAATGTATGCATTTTATATTTCAGACAATTGTGTAGGTTATGATATTATTCAGAAAGCTCCATTTCAGAGATTCTGGGGTTTATTTAGTATAAGAAATCCTTTGGGGAGGGAGCATCTTGGTAAGTTTATTCAATAGATAATGGTCTTTTCTCCTAACAAACATTTACCTGGAAGTTCAGTTGCCAAGGGCCTGGATCTGTGCCTACTTCTCTTCCTTTTCCCTCAAAGGGGTTCCACCACCCTCCCAAAAGGAGCAAGACAAACATAGACCAACTGTTTTAACTCCTGATTTTTCAGTGCTTATCTTCAATTTGTGCACTTAGTGGTTTTTAAATGAGAGAAGTCATTAAGATTTTGCTGTTGTTTGTTTTGTAAGAGGAGTAGGGTTAATGGACTTGAAGCTTTGAAAAGGTTTAGAAAATATTAGCATGGGGATAACAGAGAAAAATGCTTAGGAGGTAGTGGTCTAGTAGTGGAGTGATGAAAGCCAAAACTTTAAAAATGGTGTATTTATTGGTAACAAAAAATTTAAGATATGAAAGTGGAAGGTAGAAGTAAAATACACAAGAATACTGTAGAAGGTTAGTGAAAATTGAGAATCTGATTGAAGAGAAAGATATATATATTCCTCAGTTAAGACTTAACTGCTATAGAGAAGTTAAAGTGGCATGCATTTACACTGAACTCTTGTGAAATATTTTGTGAGTTAAGTGTCTGAAAACTATTGTGTTCAGTGTTATTATTCTAAAGGCATAGACCTTTTAGGGCTGAACCATGTTTTTTGCTAATGAAATCTACCTTTTAATGTTTATCCATAAGGTCCTAATTAATTGTCAAGTGCAATCCATCAAAACAAATTGAGATACATTTGCAGAACGTTGTGCAGAATCTGACCTTCACTAAATTTTACCTAGCTAAATCTTCTCTATACTCCTTTGAAAATTCCATCATTAAGCCAAACGTGTTTCCCAGTTGGCTTGGATGTCAAGGAAAACTATAATGTGAGCAATTGAATAAGTTTATATTATATATTTAATAATCAACCCTCTTCTACTCAACAGCCAACTCTAGCAGTCCTATAATTACTAAGAATTAATAGTGGGGATAACATTATTTGCTCCCCATAGAACTAGAAGATTTTCTCCCTTTTAATCAAGTAAAAAACAAACTAGGTTAGAATCTGTGCATGACACATACATGCATTTCATACCCGTGACATAACCACACCATCAAAAGAATAGAAAAGAGTATGGGGCTATATGTTATAATTGGTGAAATCTTCCAATAGCAAAAAAGTTACACCAGGCCTACTGAATTAATAATAAAAATATATCAATTAAGTTGTATGACAAATACCTATTGAACTTAAGAACAGCTTAGGTAATTCTAGTAAAGCAGAAATAATTTTGACCAGTAAAGCATTCTGGATACTATTTTAAGTAGTTTGGCATTAATTGCAGATTAAAGTATGTGATAGTAAATTAGGCAGTTCAGATTATTAAAAATGTCCTGTTTTCCCCCAGTGCTGAATTAACCTGTAAAGTATAAACTGCATGTTTACTTGCTTCACCTGTAAATATTCAGTATTAAGTACTGAACTAATTATTGATCAGGTATCCTAGGAAAAGAAAAATGATTAAGACAGTAACTATTAATATATTTATATTTACATAATTTGCAATGTCCTGGGAAGAGAGACAAGTATAATATTAGCAATATAACATCTGTAGATCATATCACAGATTTTAATGGAAAAAAAACAGTCATGGTGGAAGCTCAGATCACAGCAAGATCAACGCTCTTAGAGTCTTGAAGAACTATTTATTTTAGGAAATGGTGCCTGTATGTATGATTAAACTTTGTTAGCAAAATTCCCTGAGCCAGTCAAAACATGGAGGGAGTTATACAGTCATGTGCAACATAGTGATAGACTGCATGTACAATGTGGTCCCATCAGATTATAATGGAGCTAAAAAATTCCAATTGCTTAGTGACATAAAAGCCATCATAAAGTCCATCTGAAATAGATTACTCAATGTTTTGTGATGATGCTGGTGTACACAAACCTACTGGGCTGTCAGGGTGTCAAAATATTGTAAGTACAATTATATAAAATATGTAATACTTGATAATGATAATAAATGATTATGTTGATCGTTTGTGTATTTACTATCGTTTTTTATCATTATTTTACACTGTACTCCTCTATTTATTAAAAAAAAAAAAGATAACTGAAAAACTAGGCAGATTCTTCAGGTGGTATTCCAGAAGACATTGCGGCTCCATGCATGTTATTGACCTAAAGGCCTTCCAATGAGAAAAGCTGTGGGGGTGGAAGACAGTGATATTGATGTCCTAACCCTGTGTACGCCTAGGCTAATGCATGTAGTTGTGTCTTAGGTTTCTGCAAAAAAGTTTAAAAAGTAAAAATAAAGAATGAAAAATATTAGAAATAGAAAAAAGCTTATAGAATAAGGATATAAAAAGGGAAATATTTCGTATAGCTGTAAAAAGTGTTTGTGTTTTTAGCTAAGAGCTATTACAGGAGTCAAAAATTAAAAAAAAAAATAAAAATGTTTAGTACTTTGGAAGGCTGAGGCGGGCGGATTTCCTGAGCTCAGAAGTTAGAGCTTCTGAGCAACATGGTGAAACCCCGTCTCAACTAAAATACAAAAAATTAGACGGGCATGGCGGTGTGCGCCTGTAATCCCAGCTACTTAGGAGGCTGAGGTAGAAATGCTTGAACCCGGGAGGCAGAGGTTGCAGTGAGCCTAGATCGCACCACTGCACTCCAGCCTGGGCAACAGCGAGACTACATCTCCAAAAAAATAAAAACAAATAAAAATGTTTTTTAATGTTTAATTTTTTAAGCAAAAACGTTACGGTAAGCTAAGATTAATTTATCAAAAGAAGAAAAATTTATTTTTAAAATATTTAGAGTAGCCTTAGTGTATAGTGTTCGTAAAGTCTACAGTAGTGCCCAGTTATATCCAAGGACTTCACATTCACTCACCGCTCACTCATTGACTCACCCAGAGCAATTTCCAGTCCTGCAAGCTCCATTCACGGTAAGTTTCCTATACAGAGGTTTTAAAAAAATCTTTTATATCGTATTTTTACTGTACCTTCTCTATGTTTAGATACACAAATACCATTGTGTTATAGTTGTAATGGTTTGTATCTTCGTGCAATACAACATTGTGTACATTTGGTATCGGTATTCAGTACTGTAACATGCCACACACGTTTGTAGCCTAGGAGCAATAGGCTATACTCTATAGCCTAGGTGTGTAGTACCATATATCATGAAAACTTGTATAAGTACACTCTGTGTTGTTCACACAGTGATGAAATTACCTAAGGATACGTTTCTCAGAACATATCCCTTAACATTGTAAGGCAATGCATGATTTATTTCAGGTTGAGACAATGTGAACTGATTCCCAGAGTGTACATGAAATGTTTAGGGTGATAATATTAAGAGGGTGGTTTGGGCCCATAATTTCAAGCATTATGAAATATACTCATTAAATTGTTTTATATCCATTTTAAATATCATCACAAGTCAGAGAGAAATAAGATGCCTACTGAAAATTGTAGAATTCTGTAAGTAGTCAAAATAATGTTTCCTTCTTTTCTAGATATAATGTTATTTATTTTATAAATGATATTATAAAAGTAAATTATGCCTCAAAACATTTAATTAAATATTTACAAATGTGCTTCTCCTTAATAAAACAATAAGATTGTGGGAAAACAGCATTCTACCATTTTTATAGTTAACACCATTAGGAAAAATGAAATGTGACTAGCAATTGCAGCAAGGCAAGGTACTAAGGGTGCAAGCCAAAGCAAAAGAGGGAATTGCTCAAATGTAGAAATAACACTTCCTCATAGAAAGTCAAATGTTACACTTTTTCAATATACAGAATATATTATTCTAATATAAAATAATTGTATTCTTTGATTCAAATGTCAGAAATAGGTATATTAAAACTGTAAGCTTAGAAATTGAAGGGAAAATTGATCCAGATAATTGATCATTTTGACACTGAAAGAAATAGGTTTTTAAGGAAATATTCATTCATTAAAGGATTCAGATTCTGAAAGGTATTGATAACTGTTTAAAATAAAATGAATATCTATGAAACAGTTCCAGTGCTAGGTTGGCAATAAAAGGAAGAATTCAATAGAGCAAGATTTATCACCAGAATGAGGAAGATCATTGACAGGAGGGCAATGGAAATATAATTGTGTTAGATGGTGTAATAATAAAAACGTAATAAAAAGGTCAAAGGCTTATAGGCTCATAAAACATTTTGAAAGGTGAACAATTCATATTCTATTAGCCAGACAAGAAAAAATGTGTATATGATATAGCTACTTTTCCCCATAGTTTAGGAAAATGTTCTTTGCTAACCCATGCAAAGCTTAAGAGATTTGTACGCTATAACATTATCCTGCAAACCTATTTCTTCTCTGATAGAAATGAAGGCAACATTGTTTACCAATAGATGTTGATAAAATATAAGAAAGTCCTAGCCTACTATAATATTGTATTATAATTTTTATTCTGTATTTTTGATGCATTATCCTGACCACAATGGTGGTTAGCAAATATTTTCTTTTGTTTTATTACTAGCAGTAAAGAATTTCAGTCCTAGGGCAAATTCACATGGAAATTTATTATAAGGATAACTCCTAAACTTAGCTAAATAATTTTAGATATTTAAGGTTAATACTAACAGTAGCATAGAAAGACTATGCACAGTGATGCAACAGGGAAAATCTATTTGGCTTCCCCACTGTCACTTACACACACACGCACATATAACATTACATGCTCATCATATATACTTTATTTTGTGTCTTATATATTATATTTCATGCATTCAAAGTGACAGAATGAATAAGTCAGTAATTAATTCCAAGAATAATAAACTCCTAGAAAGCAATAATACAAAAAATAAATAACAAGTGAAAACTGGAAAAATAAAAAGTCATGAAAAGACGTTCATAGAAGAGCAAACACCAATTGCTGAAAAAAAAATGATATGAAGAAAGGCTAAACCTCTTTAATTTTAAGGGACATGAACATCAAAATTTCTTTTCAAGTAAGATTTTACATGCAGTCCATTGGCAGAAATTCAGTCTGACAACACCAAATATTAGAGAAGATGTGGATCAGTAGGATTATTTGGTCATTGTGAAGGGATAGGAAGTGCTGAACACTTTAAAAACAAAATTGGTACTGTTTTTCGCATGGGAACATCTGTACCAAAGGACAAGGACAATAATGTTTATAGCTTTGATCTGTTGGTGGTAGTTTAAAAACTAATTATCTGAAAACAATCAAAATGTCTGTTGATAGGAAAAATGTATACATAAGTCGTATATTCACACGATGGCATATATTACAGTAGGTGCAATTATGCAATGATATGAAAGAATCCTAGTAACTTAATCGTGAGTTGCCAAAAAGAAAGTCCTGAAGTAGTAACATGATATTTTATAATGTCCAATCAAAACTAATCTTATATCATTAAATCATACATATATGTGTAATAAAACTATAAAAATTTAAATAGGAAAGAAATCATGGTGTCCTCAGACAGGAAAACCTCTGTGGAGATGGTAGATTGAAGAGTTAGCGAGAAAAACATGAATAGATATAAGAAACAGGTCATTTCATTGTTGTTTGGTTGGAAAGTCAGTTTATTCATGTGAATCATGCTATAGTAAGTTCTTAATTGAATCGTTTGTTTGCTTTTTAAAATAACAAAAGGCCATATATGGAAAAAAAATAAGCTTAATGTAATCAGTGTATCAGGAACAAAAACAATCACCATAATAAAACCTGTCATATAAATTCATATTGTATGTATAATTATTAGGTAAATAAATAGTGAATAGAAGAGCCAAATTTGTCAACAATATTTTTAAGTTGTTTTAGTCTATAAAAGTAAAATGTATGAGTAGGCCTCCAAGTGTCATGGCTCCATTTTTCTATAAATCAAATTCCTCAAACTTTCTTAACTCCACATTCTGCATATAGAAAATTGGCATAATTATGTCAATTTGCATAGTTATTTGGGGAGATTAATTGCAATTATATGTGTGAAAAAAATGGGGAAGTATATTTCCTCAATAAATATTAACCTTAAAACTCCTAATGGTGGCAGACTTTCCCCTCTACTAATATTACCTGGAGATGTTCCATTTTAAAATCAGATGTTTTGGATTAGCAACAGACACTATCTATTATGTAAGCACATCTTCCTGATCATGTCCTCAGAAGAAAATCACAGACAGCCCAGTTGTTTGTAGTGGGTATCATACCACGTGTAGTGCTGTAGAAGTTCTTATTTTTTACTCAACATTAATGTTACCAATATTCACCTAAAATGTTGCATGTCTCTTTAGTTCATTCTATTTTTATTGCTATATTATCAACCATTGTATTATATACCAAGATATGTTTTTACTTTCCTGTCAGTAGGCATTTTGTTTGTTTTCAAGCTTTTTAATATTAATAACATTATTACCATAATAACAATTTCCTGTTAATGTCTTCTTTATGTGCAAAACATTCTCTTGAGTGTTTACCTCAAAGAATGCAGGCCAGAAGGTATCAACATATTTATCATATAATGTAACTTTTTTCCATTTTGTTCTGTCCATTTTGACTCCTACCAGAAATGTGTAATAGATATGATTAATTTACATGCTTTCCCTTGTGTGTTTTTCTCATATTTCTTATTTAGCAAATTGAATATGAATAAGATAGTATTGCATTATAGTCTTTATTTGCATTTTCTTGTTTAATAGTAAAGTTGAAACTTTATTTTAAAATCTGTTAGTTATAACTGTTTCACCTGTGAAATTCCTGTTCATTTTTTCTACCAATTTGTCCATTGGATATGTATGCTTTCAAATTGGTTTTACAGGATTTATGAATATTACTTCTTTGTTGGTTACAGATGTTATGAATATATCTCCTAGTTATTATCTTATAGTTTTAAGGTGTCATTTTATAAAACAAAGTTTTAAATTTTAATGTAGTTAAATGTATCAATCTTTGTGTCTTGTCTAAGCAGTTACTTTTTTCTTGATGAACAAATGCACCTGTATATTCTTAAATTTATTAAGTTTACTCCTGATATATAAAACAGCTATAGTTAATTTTTCACATGCAATTAGGTACAGATCTAATTTTACATTTTTCATGTCTTTTAATAGATGGCTCATGATTTATATTCCAGTTATTCTATAGTCCTTGCTTTGCTCAGTGGTCTTCCAGGACATCTTTTGTAGCAAAGTTTCATAAACATAGGGGTCTGTTTCTGGGCTTTCTACAGTTTTTACTTTTTATTTTTATTATACCTTAAGTTCTAGGATACATGTGCAGAACATGCAGGTTTGTTACAGAGGTATACATGGTGGTTTGCTGCACCCATCAACCCGTCATCTACATTAGGTATTTCTCCTAGTGCTATTCCTCCCCTAACCCCCACCCCCTGACAGTCCCCAGTATGTGATGTTCCCCTTCCAGTGTCCATTTGTTCTCACTGTTCAACTCCTACTTATGAGGGACAACATGTGGTATTTGGTTTTCTGTTCCTGTGTTAGTTTGCTGAGAATGATGGTTTCCAGCTTCATCCATGTCCCTTCAAAGGACATGAACTCATTCTTTGTTATAGGTGCGTAGTGTTCTTCTGATACTTTTCATTCAGCTTATTTTACTACTCTCCATCCCATTTATTCTTTTCATTCACTTTCCTGTATTTCTACAATACTACAATAATTTTTTCATAAAATGTTGTTAATTTTAACTTTATTTTTCCATAATTAATTAAAAACTTTATTCAATAGTATGATCATTTTAAATATTGTCTGCTTGTCTACCAGTTGATAATAAAATTAAATACCATCATCATATTTATATTATTATATCAAATTTGTCCCCTGAGCGGAAACAAAAATATGATCATATCTATTTTATTTCATAATTTTCATTTTCTGAATAATATTATTATTTTTCTACATCTTGCATGATTTTAATGTAGACAGCTTCAAAGTCTAATAGACACTGGTAAATATTTTTAATGCCGTTCCTCCCCAACACACACACACAAATATCTTCCTCCAGAAAAAATCTGTCCATCTCCTTGCATCTCAATGGATGAATCTTTGGGCCCCATGCACTTTTATCTTGTTATCATGTCCTGTTCTGTTTTTCGCTTTTGTTAAATTTGGGTTTATCAAGGGCTCTGTGAACTTGAAAGTGGCTTTGCAAACTGCAAGATTTACTTTGCACAGCATTACCTGAAAGCAAAAATATAATATGCTCAAATATCATGATACATGCTATGTCTATCAACCCTCCCATAATAGCACTCTTAAGCCTCCTCTCTAAGTTGCTTTAAGTTATTTAGAAAAAAAAAATCCTTCAATTTGTATTGCAAAGAATGGGTGTAGAGAGAGGATACAGTGCTTGGCTGCTAAGCACTTCAGTTTAGATATGCAATAGGTAGGTGAGATAATTAATTATCTGCAAAAGAGTTGATACAGTAAGATAATTATGAGATTGAAATGTTATCCAGATTAGGAAAATACTATTTAAATCAGAGCTTTATAGAGTAGTAAAAGCTTGGCAAGACCTATAATTTTCAAAAGAGTAGATGTTCTTAGTCTTTTAGAGTTGGTGGGTGCTAAACTTGAGCATCTAAATTTGTACTTGGAAAGACACATTTATAGACCCTAAGCAAATCATTTTAAAAATTTATTCAAATTATTCTTTTAAAGTTATTTTAATTTTTTCCAAATACTTGGAGGATTCATATTGAGTTAACCAACTATTGAGCAGAAAGAGTGTAGGAATGTCTTTCGGAAGATGTTAAAACATGTTTTGCTTTGTCAGGTAAAGGAAAGTTTTGCGAAAGAATAACGTTATTTATTTCTCAATTTCTTCAAAATTTTTAGCAAAAGTTCTTAAAACAGGTGTCTATACGAGCTGTCTGCAATGTATTTCTCACCTTTTTTTTAATCCAAAAATACTCCATTTATCCTCCTCCTACGGCCACTCATACAAAGATGAGCAATGAGCTCGGCATGCCAAATTTAGTGGTCAATTCATAGACTAAACTTATGAGAATTGTTTAATACATTTGATCATCCTTCCTCTTTGAAACACAGGTTTACCAGGGCACCATATATTCCTACTTTGTTTGTTTGTTTGTTTGTTTTTACTCATGTAGTCACTGTATCTTAGATTTTTTGATAGTTTCTTTCCATCATTCTAAAGTCTACCATTTGGAGATCCTTCATGAAAGACAAATCTCTAGCTGGCTTTGGCCAACTCAGTTCTTCCTCCTTTCTCACTTGTAGTTCTCAAGAATAACTGTAGAATATGCCTGGAATGCAAAATTCTGAGATGAAAAGACACTAGCTTGAAAAGCCCAAAATCTGTTTTAATCTCTCCTAGAGTAGGATGTCCTTTAATGCTATAGCCCAGTACAGGTTGTCCCCTGGTATAAAACCAAGGGAAGATTATGCTTTTACCACCTCTCAGCTGTGGTGCAAAGTGGGGCATGTGCAGACAAAACTTCATCCACAGTGGACAGCTTTCTTAAGTCTTAGGGAATTGGCTTACCATGAACCCTAGGCTTCTGTTGTCCTTTGCTGCCTGTCTGTGAATTAAAAAGTTGCTTTGCTTAACTTGTTATGTGAGTGTTCTGTCTCACCAGCCTCATGCAAGTGGATTGATACCCATGCCTGGAATTTAGAGAGGTGTTTAGAGCCCTGGTATTGACACTGGCACATAGTAAAGGACTTCACATTGAGGATTCATATTGAAGCCTGTGGTCTCTTTAAGAAATTTTAAATCTGATGTTAACAATGGTCAAATTTCTATCTACACTTACGACTTCTGAAGTCTAGATTTGTCCATCCCATGAACCTGCTATTTATGCAGCTTTTTCCCTCTCTGCAAAATCAATACTTTTCTTTCAGTTCCTCAGATCCAAACTTTTTATTCTCCCTTGATTGTTTTCTCTCACAACCCACTACAAGTTCATCAGCAAAATTGTGTAATTACTACCACTGGAATACAAAATAAAGAGGAGAGACTTATTTTAAATAATTGATTCACATGACTGTTGGAGATGTCTGGAATTCTACTGGCTGGAGGCACAGTGGGGAGTTGATGTTGCAGTTTGAGTCCAAAGGCAGTTGGAAGCAGAATTTCTTCTTTCTCAGTCTCAGTCTGAGCAGTCCTCAGTCTTTTTCTCTTAAGGCCTTCATCTTATTGGATGAGTCCCACCCACATTATGGGAATGTAATGAGCTTTACTCAAAGCCTACTGATTTAAATGTTAACATCATCTAAAAATACACTCCCAGGTGACATATAGACATATTTTACCAAATATCTAGATACCATGGCCTAGCCAAAGTTGAAACATAAAGTTAAACATCACATGAAGAATGAAGGTTCATTTGCCTTTATTGAATGCCCAAATTTCAACTAGTTAGTACTACAGTGGTCTAGATATACACTCATAGATTTTCAGACCCATTCATGGGAAGACTAGAGGTGGTGTCACCTCTTTCCTCTCTGAAAATCATTTCACATAAACAGCACATTTATCTGGAACACTGAGAATGAGAATTTCAGACACGGCACAGGACTTGACTTGAAGGCAACATAGGTTGAATATTTTTCAGGCTAAGGGTCATTGCCTTTCCCAGAAATAAATTAAGAAAATAAAATATGCAGATTTGGATTTCTAAAGATAAACTCAGTGCTTTTTTCTAGTTGCCTGCTCCATTGTTCTAGCCTTGATATGAAGATATATATTTTAAAGATGATTCCAGTTTACAAACCTTTAAGTGCTAGGTTTGGTAACAGAATGTAAAGAGCTGTAATCATGAGAGAAATGGTTAAGTCTCTTAAAGGTGATCTCTTTCCTTTTTTTTTGTCTTTTCTTAGTCACATGTTTTACTAAAATCTTTGGAAACTCCTCTCTGTACCTCCTCCCAACACACACACACACACACACACACACACACACACAAACACACACACACACGTATACACGTGTACATTCAGATCTGGTGGAAAATAGATGTATATCATACTTTAATTAGGTTTGTAGGAAAGACTTTGCCTTTCCTTCCTTGTTTTCTTAGTTATTATACATTGAATTTATCTTCAGTTGTGGCAGAGTAGAATTCAGGAAACTCAGGCAAATGCCACCATTTCTGTCACAGTGAAGCAGATAATTTATAGGAATTATTAATATGAAACAATTTAGTGATGAGCTATTGATGTGGAAGTTATGGGAAACACCTGGTAAGAAGAAAAAGTAGAAGCAAATGTGGAAGAATTATTTGGTTAATGAGAGGGAAAATGTAATATTTGCTTGTAAGTTTCCTGCAAACTTGAGATGAGCATAGAGGAATCCTTAAAAGCAGCAACTTGGGGGAAGATATACTGAGAAACCTATCCTATTTTTTATACCTTTGTTCTAGGATACAATGTGTTGAATGATAAAACACATCACTTGAATTTCTTGAAGTTCTGGTTCAAGCTTACAGCTCTAAGCACAATAACAATAAGTGTTAGCTACATTAGTGAAATAAGTAGAGAAAGAATTTATGCAATTTTCAATGGCTAGATATAGACTACATATATTTTTCTTTTTCTCATCATTGCTGATCTTTGAAACTGTAGTTCATATAATTTTAGTTTTAATTTTTTCTAGCTGATACCATAACTCTCCAGGTTCTTTCCTGTTCATAATTCTTATGATTAGTTTTGATCTTTGGCCTTATTACTGAACATTCTCATATATCTAATCATATTAGCTACTTATTTAGCCTGTAAACTTCACCTAGGAGATTTGAAAAGATGATATAAATTGAAATTCACAGTTTCCCTTTGTGTTAATTTGTGTCTACTATAAATGCAGGGGCTACATGTTATTTAATTTAGTTTTTATAATTATATACAGCATTATTTTGCTCTGAGAAGTCTCTTTTGGTTCGTTTAAATCAATGTTTTAATTATTTTTCTACATAACAAGTTCTTTAACTTTTGGTTTATTAAAAACTAACAGTAAATTGAAACTTACCACAGCTAAGTTATGGGTTACAAGAATTAAATGGAAGTCACAAAAATAAGCACAGAATTGAATGTCTAAATTTTATGAATACATAAAGTTACTTAAAAGTCATCTTTGATATGTGTTCTAATTAATCTTGCATCATGACAAATTGCTTATCAGTAATTTCTTGATTAGTTAATAACCCTCACCCAACCGCTTCATCATATTTCATGTGTCCACAAGGCATTTTCTTGTATCCGTCTCATCTCAAATTCACTAGCAAATATTCCACCAATTTATTCTTAACATTTAAATTTAAAGGAGAATTCACCAAAGCCAAGCAAAACTAATCTTAAGAAGGCAGCAATTAAATAATTAGAATTTTTAAAATTCTCAGTGTAAAATAAATCAAATCATATAGCAATATTCAAAAGTCATTTGATAGAGTTAATTCTTCACACTCTGCTAATAAAATAATATTCCCTGACCAATCAGTCCACCTAATATTGTTAATTATAATTCAGTCTATAATGTTTTTTCTCTCAATAGTAAAAAACTAGAGGTTTCCTATTAAAGTAAGGAATAAACAAGATATCTGATAACACGACGTAATTTGAAATTTTTGATGACTTTATATTAGTGCCATAAGGTGTAAAATAAAAATATAATGAAATTACTTGTATTTTCCTAAACTGAGGCTGTGTTTACATTCATTCTCTATATACTTTTTTCTATTCATTTTGTATTATATTTATTGTCATGTTTATTAATCTCTTACAGGACAATGTCTAAATCTACAGTGTTTTGTTTGTTTTAATTTCAGACATTTTAGTCTTTATTACAAAAAGTTTCAGTTAGTTCTTTTCTATATTTTCTATTTCTCTCATCACTGTGTTCATGCATTTCTTTAAGAACCTGTTCACAGTAATAATGGTATTTTTAATTTCTTTGTCTGCATGTTCTTTCACTTAATTTACTTCTGAGTCTGTTTCTATTGACTAATTTTTTTTCTTATTACAGATCATATTTTTTTTGCTTCTAGGTATATCTAATAATTCTTTAGTGTGATGATGGACATTGTATAGTTTACATTGCTAAGTGTCTTGATTTTTTGTTTGTTTGTTTAAAGCAGGGATGTTCAATCTTCTGGCTTCCTTGGACCACATTGGAGGAAGACGAATTGTCTTCGGCCACAAACTAAAACTAATGATAGCTGATAAGCCAAAAAAATTATTAAAAAATCTCATAATGTTTTAAGAAAGTTTATGAATTTTTGTTGGGCTGCATTCAAAGCCAGTACAGGTTGGAAGAGCTTGGTTTAAAGAGTACTGGTCTTTTTTCTAGGAAGCAATTAAATATTGTACTTCAGTTTTATAAATTAAAATCTTATCTTAAAAAGCTTTATTAGGGAGGGTCTAAGCTAGCTTTTACTCTAGAGACACTTCAGCCTCTGTACTAAGGTGTGACCTTTATTTGATCTCTGATAAATACCCCGATATTCTCTCTAGCTTGTCAGAACCTGCAAAATTACCAGCAATTTGTGAATTCTTGAGATTAGTTAGCTCATAGCTTCCCACTCATGTTTTGCTTAGCCTATTGATTCTGTGTTCAAGCACATCTTCATACTCTACAAAGATTCAATTGTGACTGTATGCAAATTTCTGCAGCTGGTTATTATTATTCATAGTTCCCTTTTCTCTGGGAAACTGCCTTGCAAATTCTATAATTGGAAATCAATTTCAGTCTCATGCACTTAGTGAAAACTTTATGCTCTGCTTGGGGGTCTCAATCTCTACTAAGAATTCCATAATGTGCTTCCAGACAGAAGAAACAGAGTATCACAGGAATTACCTCATTACTTTCCCTCTCTCATGAGTCATAGTCCTATGCTGGCTAGAGCTCAGTGATGAAAAAATTGTTTCATATACTTTGTCTAGTTTTCTCACTGTTTAAGGGGCTAATTTAATTTCATAATAGCTGAAAATTTTACAGTAATTTGGGAGCAATTATGAATACCCAGAATATGTATATATGTAAATGTAAAAAAGTATACATACACACACACACACACACATATACATTAAATATTGTCACATTTCAAAAGATTGAAATTTTGCTACTTAAAGAACAGATTTTTGTGTACTTGAATTATGTAAAGTTAGTTAGAAGGATATATATTTAATCTAATATGTAGCATGCATATTTAACAGCTTTAGCAGAAGCTGAGGTTAGTAATTAACTTTTGCATCTTTAGGCAGAAAATATTATTATAAAGGTCTAGATTCTACAATATTGTAAACTAGAGTAGAGGGATTAAGTGTTGGTAACTTTTATAGTGCCTGCTGTGGCTTTCAAACACTGGACCAAGATACAGGAAGAAATGAGTAACCCTAGAGTTGGAATTTTAAATTCAAATTATTTGTGATATATCTTGAGAAAAACAGTGACATAAAATATTTTCAATATCAACATATATCAAAAAAATCAGAAACAATCTCATAAATATATGAGTGAATGTTAATAAATACAAACCACTTTGATTCATCTTGATCCAACCAGGTCAATACTAAAGCAATAGAACTAGGAGAATGGAATGTTACGACAGACTGTGGAATCATTGGCACCATTTTTTGACTAAGCAGGAAAAAAATCCATTAACAATTTAAAATAAAACATAGAATTAGTCCTCTAAATTTAGAGACCTGGATTTCTATAAATAATTTTTCATTGTTTTATTATAAAAATAAATTTATACTTCATTATAAATGTTGACTTAAGTTCAATTTATTTTACAATAAGGGAGAGTTTTTAATCCTGATAATGGCTATTGTAAAAAACAATATAAAACCATATATTCAAGATTTGCTCAAACTATAGACTATTGATGTTGGAACTCAAAGAAAATAACTGTGATGTTATTGAAGCTCTATTATATTGTGCTCTATTGAAGCAACCTTTTTTTTTTTTTCGAATAACACAGGAAGAACAGTGCCTTACATTTTTTTCTTAATTTCCCCATCCTGACACCATAGGAAAAAGAATTGAGGTAAATGAAAAAAGGAGGAGTTTTATTTATTTCCTAATATGCCAGTGAAACAGGAGAAGGAAGTTCCCTTATCCCCCTCGCAGGGCCTGCAACAGGGTTGTGGCTTGCTTCTTTGGTGCCCGCTGCTCCAACTTTCAGGTCTTGGGGAGCGTTTTTTGGGCTCCAACCCCACAGCAGTGTGTAGGATTGAGTGCTTACAGCTTCCGAAGTCCCATTGAGCGTGTTACAGGATGCTCTTTCAGCTGTGCCATCTGCAGGCAGTTTGTGTTAATCACCTCAATTAGATCCTCTACTTTATGGCAAGGACAGAGGGCTTTCTGTATCCCGGGTTCTTGCCCTAGAGTATTGGAAAAATCGGATTACACGTGGGCTTGGAGAATGAGTGCAAGATTTTATTGAATGGTGGAAGTAGCTCTCAATGAGATGGATGGGGAGGCAGAACGGTGATGAAGTGGGAAGGTGGTCTTCTTCCGGAGTCGGGCCACCCAGCCGCAGTACTCTCTTCTGACTGGCCCTTGCTGAATTCCCCTCGGTGTCCGCGTCGTCGATGGTCTGTCAGTGTCTGCTGGTGTCTGTCGGTGTGTTCTTCTGCTCCTCTAGATGCCCAGCCACTTGTGTGTGTGCCTGCTGAGGTCTCTCAGGTTTGTATGGGCACAAGATGGGGAGCATAGCGGGCCAGAGTGGTCTTGGAAAATGCAACATTTGTGCATGAAAACAGGAGTGCCTGTTCTCACTTAAGTCTGTGGACACAGGTCTGAGGGTGGAGCCCTCGCCAGGGACACTACCCTTCTCTCCGCAGCACTTCCCTGCCCCGCTCCCATATCATTAGTCCTGTTCTGTTTAGGTAGGGCTTCAAAATGACTCTACATATAAATAGTGTCCATTAGTGATAATGCCCTAAATAAATGTTTATTGTTGACAATCAAACTGGTAAGCAAACCAGTTAAATACCACTATATTCCTGGGTTCCTGGAAGGAAAACTCTTTCTAGAGAAGTTCCACCCCCATTTCCCTCTGTCTCCTTATCCAGAGGGAATGTGACCTATCTTACACTATAGGTTACGTATTTGCAGTATTGCTGATATTTTACTGTATAATTTGCTCTGTTAACACAATCTAAGATCTTTCCCTTGTGAAAGAGTATTTATTCAGGTATATCTGGTCTGGATAAGTCAAAGATCTCTAGGAGTTAAAATAATACATTATAAGGTCTTGATTTTCATGTAGCTGTTTGGGAAGAATTTTAGCCATATTTAATGAAGACTTATGATGGAAGGGAGACAGAGCAAGACAGTGGAATAGAAGACTCCACCATTCATCATCCCAGCAAGGACATCAATTTAATAACTAACTACACAGAACAAAACACTTTCATAAGAACCAAAAATTAGGTGAGCCCTCATAGTACTTGGCTTTAACCATGTATTGCTGAAAGAGGTACTGAAGAGATAGAAAAAACACAGTCCTGAATTGCAGATGCCACCCTCCCCCACCTCCAGATGGCAGCCTGGTTCAGGAAGCTCCTATGGGCACTGGGGGAGGGAGAACACAGCAATTGTGAGGCATTGACGTCAGTGCTGTCCTGTTAGAGCAGAAAAGAAAACCGGTGCAAACTCTCCTGACACCCACCAATGGGAGGAGCATTTAAACCAGGCCAGAGGGGAATTGCTAATCCCAGTGACTGGAACTTGAGTTTGTGCAAACCTTGCCACCAAGTGCCAAAGTGCTCTGGATCTCTAAGTAAACTGGAAAGGGAGTCTAGGTCATAAAGACTGCAACTGTTAGGCGAGTCCTAGGTCTGAACTGGGCCCAGTGACAGTGGACTGGGGAGGTACATGACCTACTCAGACATGGCTAAGGGAGTGCAGGCATCACCCCTCCCCGGACCCCTGGCTGCACAGCTTGCATCTCCAAAAGACACCCCTTCCTTCTGCTTGAGGAGAGGAGAGGAAAGGTTGGGGAGAACTTCGTCTTGCATCTTGCATACCAGCTCAATCAAAGCAGGATAGGGCACTGGTCAGACTTGGGAGTCCCTGTTCCAGTTCCTAGCTCCTGGAAAACATTTCTAGACACACTCTAGGCCAGAAGAAAACTCAATGCCTTGAAAGGAAGGACCCAGTCCTGGCAACATTTATCACCTGCTAACTGAAGAGCCCTTGGGTCCTGAACAACCAGCAATAATACTCAGGTATGACATTAAGGACCTTGGGTGGGCCTCAGAGACTTGCTGGCTTCAGGTGAGACTCAGCACATTACCAGCTGTGGTGGCTATGGGGCAAAACTCCTTCTGCTTTAAAAAACCAGAGGGAAAAGTAAAGGGGACTTTGACTTGGACCTTAGGTACCAGCATGGCTACAGGGGTTTGGAAGTAGAGCACAAAATAGGCTCTTGCTGTCCCTGAATTCAAGACTTGACTCTTGTATGGCATCTTTGGAGCTTGGCTGGGCCAGAGGTGAACCCAATGTCTTGAAAGGTGAGTCTGAGGCAGGCACAATACACCGCAAGCTGACTTAAGAGCCCTTGGGCCTAAAGAGAACATTGGCAGTAGTCCAGCAGATCTCCTCATGGCTTGTGGTGTCAGTGGCTATGGGGTGACACTTCTGTGCCTTTGAAAGGGAAGGAAGAATGGGAAGGACTGCATCTTGTGTGTGAGTGCCATCTCAGTGGCAGTACAATAGAAAACTAGTAGATATCTAAGGTCTTTAGCTCTAATCACTGACTCCTAGACAGCACCTCTGGCCCCACCCAGGACTGGGAGAACTTGCCGCCTTGAAGGGAAGGACATAGGCCTGGCTACCTTTGCCACCTGCTGATTAAAGAGCCCCAGGGCCTTGAGCCAACATAGGCACTTGCTAGGGAGTGGTTACAGCAGGCCCAGGGCAGGACTCAGTGCTGTGCTAGCTTCAGGTCTCACCCAGCACAGTTACAGTGATGATGTCCACAGTGGGTGCTCGTGTCACTCCAGTCCCAGCTTTACATAGCTCAGAAAAGAGAGAGAGACTGTTTGGGAGTAAGTGATGAAAGAACACAACAGTCTCTGCCTGGTGACCAAGAGAATTCTCCAAGATCTTTTCCAAAATCATCAAGGCAGTAGCTCTGTAAGTCTTCAAGAACCACAACATTACTGGGCTTTGGTTTCCACCTAAAGCAGATACAGCTTAGATCACAACACCCACGTCCTTTCAAGTATTTGGATACCCTCTACAAGAAGGATGGGCACAAATGAGCCAAGCTGATGAAGACTAACATAAATATAAAACTTTTTAATGCCCAAATAATGAAGAACAACTACTAGGATCAATACCATCCAGGAAAACATAACCTCACCAAGTGAACTAAAGAAGGCACCAGGTGCCAGTACCGGGGAAACAGATATGTGACCTTTAAGACAGATAATCCAAAATAGCTGTGTAGAGGAAACTCAAAGAAATTAAAGATAACACAGAGAAGGGATTCAGAATTCTATCAGAGGAATTTAACAAAGAGATTGAGATAATTAAAAATAATAAAACATATTCTGGAGCTGTAAAATACAATTGGCATACTGAAGAATGCATGATAGCCTATTAAAAGCAGAATAGATCAAGCAGAAGAAAATAGTAGTTAGAAGATAGTCTACTTGAAAATATGCAGTAAGAGGAGACAAAAGAAAAAAACTATAAAAAACCATGAAGCACACCTACAGGATCTAGAAATTCTCAAAAGGGCAAATCTAAAAGTTACTGGCCTTAAAGTGGAGGTAGAAAGAGATACGAGTAGATAGTTTATTCAAAGCAACAATAAGAGAGAACTTCCCAAACCTAGAGAGAAATATCAACATTAAAGCAGAAAAGGTTTAGAAGACTACCTCAAGACATTTAATAATCAAACTGCCAAAGATCAAGGATAAAAGAATCCTAAAAGCAGCAAAAGAAAAGAAACAAATGACATAAAATGGAATTCAAAGAAGTCTGGGAGCAGATTTTTCAGTGGAAACCTTACAGCCAGGAGACAGTGGCATGACATATTTGAAGTGCTGATGGAAAAAAAAATACACACACACACATTTACCCTAGAATAGTATATCCAGTGAAAAAATCCTTCAAACATGAAAGAGAAATAAAGATTGTCCTAGACAAAGAGCTGAGAAATTTCATCAAAACTAGACCTGTACTACAAGAAATGCTAAAGGGAGTACTTCTATCAGAGGAAAAAAAAAGAATGTTCATGAGCATAAGTAATCACCTAAAGGTACAAAATAATAAGTACACAGAAAAACCTAGAATATTATAACCCTGTAATGTAACTGTCATATGTAAACTACTCTTATACTAAGTAGAAAGACTAATGAACCAATCAAAAATTAGAACTACAACATTTTTTCAAAAATATAAACGAACAATTAAAAAGTGGAGAGACAAAATTGACATGTAGAATTTTTATTAGTTTCCTTTTTCTTCGTCTATTTGTTTATGCAAACACTATTAAATTCCTATCAGGTTAAAATAATGGCTTATTAAAATGGTATTTGCAAGCCTTATGGTAACCTCAAAGCAAAAAACATGCAATGGATATACAAAAAATATAAAGCACAGAACTAAATCACAACACCAGAGAAAATACCACCTTCACTAAAAGAAAACAGAGAGGAAAGAAAGAAGAAAGAGAAGACCACACAACAACAAGAAAAATAATAACAAAATGGGAGAAGTAAGTCCTTAATTATCAGTAATAACATTAAATGTAAATGGACTAAACTCTCCAATCAAAAGACATAGGTTGGCTGAATGTATGGCAAAACAAGACCCATTGATCTCTTGCCTACAAGAAAAAACACTTCAGTTATAAAAAACCTGTGTAAAATGAAGATAAAAGGATGGATAAAATGTTTCACACCTATGTAAACCAAAAAAGAGCAGATGTTTCTATTCTTATATTAGACAAAATAGATTTCAAGACAAAAACTGTAAGAAGAGACAAGGAATGTCACTATATAATGAGAAAGGCATAAATTCATCAAGAGGATATAACAGTTTTAAATCTATATATATATATATGTACACCAAACACAAAAACACCCCGATATATAAAGGAAATATTATTAGAGATAAAGACAGAGATAGATCCCAATACAATAAAAGCTGGAGAATTTGACACCTGACTTTCAGCATTGAACAGATCTTCCAGCCAGAAAATCAACAAGGAAACTTCAGATTTAATCTGCACTGTAGACCAAATAGAACTAATCAATATTTACAGAACATTGTATCCAAAGGCTGCAGAATACACATTCTTTTCCTACTCACATAGATCATTCTCAAGAATAGACTATATGTTTGCTTACGAAACAAGCTACAAAAGATTAAAAATGGAAATAATATCAATCTTCTTCTCTGACCACAATGGAATAAAACTAAAAATTAAAAACTAGAGGAATTTTGGAAACTATACAATTACATGAAAATTAAACAATATGCTTCTGAATGACCAGTGGGTCAATGAAATAATTAAGAAGAAAATTGAAAAATTTATTGAAATAAATGATAATAAAAACACAACATACCAAAACCTATGGGGTCCAGTAAAGACAGTACTAAAATGGAAGTTTATAGTTGTAAGTGCCTACATCAGAAAGGAGGAAAAATTTCAAATAAAAAACTAATGGTGCATCCTAAAGAACTAGAAAAGCAAGAGGAAACCAAATCCAACATTAGTAGGAGAAAAGAAATAATAAAGAGCAGAGCAAAATAAATAAATATGAAATAAAGAAAATACAAAAGATAAATAGAACTAAAAGTTGTTTTTTTTAAAAGTTAAGCAAAATTGACAAACTTTTGGTCAGACTAAGAAAAAAAGAGAAAAGATCCAAATAAAATCAGATATGAAAAAGAAGACATTCCAACTGATATTGCAGTAATTCAAAGGATTATTAGTTGCTACCATAAGCAACTATATGCCAACAAATTGGAAAATATAGAAGAAATTGGCAGATTCTTTGTTACATACAACCTACCAAGATTGAACCAGGAAGAAATCCAAAACCTGAACAGACCAATAACAACTAATGAGATGAAAGCCACAGTTAAAAGTCTCCCAGTAAAGAAAAGTCCTGGAACCAGTGGATTTTCTGCTGAATTCTAGCAAACATTTAAAGAATGGCTAATATCAATTTTACTCAAACTATTCTGAAAAATAGAGGAAGAGCGATTACTTCCAAATTCATTTTACCACTCTTTTCTCTTCCTGTCTTCCTTCCTTTCTTCTTTTCTTTCTTTCTTCCTTTCTTTCTTTTCTTTCTTTCTGTCTTTTTCTTTTCTTTCTTTCTCTTTCTTTCCTTCTTTCTTTCTCTCTCTCTCTCTCCTTCCTTCCTTCCTTTATTTTTTTTTGAGACAGAGTCTTGCTCTTGTCACCTAGGCTAGAGTGCAATGGATGTTGAAAGAAGTGGAAAAAGTGGACATCCACTTTTCTTGAGAACATTACCTTGCTCACACAAGGTCCCTCTAACTCCTCCCTGTGCTTGAGATGTAGCAGTGGGCACCATACTGGGTGTACACCATTTTTTTACTAAGGGATCTTCAACACTTGTGTCTTCACATCACTGAATCCCTTGCAGAAAATGCCCAGACACCAATGAACAACACCCAGATACCAAAGAACATTCACAAGCATCAAGACCATCTAGGACAATATGAATTCATCAAACAAACTAAATATGGCAGTAGGGACCAATTCTGGAGAGAAGGAAATTTGAATTTTCAAACAGATAATTCAAAACAGCTGTTTGGGGGAAACTCAAAGAAATTAAAAATAATACAGAGAAGAAATTCAGTAATCTATCAGATAAATTTAACACAAAAATTGAAATAATTTTTAAAAGTCAAGCTGAAATTCTGGAGTAGATTAATGCCACTGGCATACTGAAGAATGCATTAATCTCTTAATGGGAGAACTGATCTAGCAGAGGAAAGAATTAGTGACCCTGAAGACAGACTATCTAAAAATACACACTTGAAAGATGAGAAATGAAAAAGAATAAAAGACAATGAATCATGCCTACAAGATCTAAAAAAATTATCTGACTCATAATAGACTAATATTAGAATTTATAGAAAAGTCTATATATAGACTAATATATATAAATATATATTAGATACATTTATATCTAATATAGATAATAGACTCATAATAATAGACTCATAACCAAAGCAACATGGTGCTAGTACAAAAGCAGACACATAGTCCAATGAGACAGAATAGAGAACCCAGAAATAAGGCCACACACATACAATCATCTAATATACGACAAAATTGAAAAAAACAAGCAATGGGGGAAATGCCTGCCTATTTAATACATGGTGTTGTGATAACTGGCTAGCCATATGCACAAGATGAAACTAGACCCCTCTCACCATACACAAGAATTAACTGAAGATGGGTTAAAGATTTAAATGTAGACATAAAACTATAAAAATTCTAGAAGAAAACTAGGGAATACCCTTCTTGACATTGGCTTTGGCAAAGAATTTATGGCTAAGTCCTCAGTAGCAATTGCAACAAAAACAAGAATTGACAAGTGGGACCTAATTAAAATAAAAAGCTTCAGCATAGCAAAATAAGCTACCAATATATTAAACAGACACCTACAGAATGGGTGAAAATATTTGCAACTACGCATCTGACAGAAGTCTAATACTGTCCAGAATCCACAAGGAACATAAATATGTCAACAAGAAAAAAAAGCAGATAATCCAATATAAAAACAGGAAAAGAACATGAGCAGACAGTTCTCAAAACAAGATGTACAAGTGGCCAAAAAACATAAAAACCAGCTCAACGTCACTAATCATAAGATAAATCAAATAAAATCCACAATGAGATACCATCTCACATCAGTCAGAGTGGGGCTGATTAAAAAGTCAAAAAATAGCAGATACTGGTGAGGCTTGGAGTGAAAGGACTGCTTATACGGTCTTCGTGGGAATGCAAACTAATTCAGCCACTGTGGAAAGACATTTGGAGATTTCTCAAAGAACTTAAAATAGAACTCTTATTAGAAACAGCAATTCTACTATTGGGAATAAACCCAAAGGAAAACAATTCTATCAAAAAGACACATGCACTCATATCTGTATCACAGTGCCATTTACAATAGCAAAGACTCAATCTAAGTGCCCTTCAAAAGTGGATTTGATAAAGAAAATGTGATTCATATACACAGTGGAAAACAATTCATCTATAAAAATGACAAAATCAAGTCCTTTGCAGCAACATGGATGGAGCTGGAGGATCTTAAGTGAATATATGCAAGAAGAGACAACCAAATATCACATGTTCTTATTTATAAGTGGGAGCAAAACACTGAATACACATGCACATGAAGATGAGAAAGAGAGACACTGAGGACTGCTAGACAGGGGGTGGAGAGAGAGGGGCATAGGCTGAAAATCATCTGTTGTTTACTATGCTCACTACTTGGGTGAAAGGATCATTTGCACTCCAAACCTCAGCATTATGCAATATACCCATGTAACAAACCTCCACATGTACCCTTTAATCTGGAATAAAATGGAAATTATAAAAAAAGTATTAAACTCTATGTCCCTCTCTCTTTGCTCATTTCTTCATTCTACCAAACTTCTAAGCACCTCATCCGTTGAGGACTTTGATGCCAAACACGCCATAATCCCTCATGAATGACATATAAATGTAATAGATCATAAATGATGTCTCAATTCTTTCACCTTTTTCATTCCCAAGCTCTATTTTTTTACCACTTGGATATGTTTTATATGTATTTGTTTTCTCTGTGTCTTTCATATTTCAACATATTATCAGCTTTTGCCTGGACTTTCTTGGAAATTTCTATCTTGATTTGAAATTTGTTTTCCCCCAAGATATCTTCCAAATTACAGAGATAATATTTTCGGTGTAAATCTATTTAATGCTTAAGCTCCTTTAATTAATGTCTCTTCTCTTAGGAAAATGACTGAAAATGCTATTTAAACTGGTCTATGGAACATGCATGTTTTCCTTCTTGTTTACCTATACAGTCTTATAATTTTTACCTTTCTTCATCATTATCTGGACTCTAATACCACAATATCTTTGAGAACTTCGAATAAGACATGCTTTTATTTCATCACACATATTTTCCACATGCTACTCTCCATGCCTAGACTATATCCACCATTGTATTCTACATAGTTAGCTTCTATACATCCATCTCTCAACTCAATTTTCTAATCTTCACAAGGGCTTCCTTAACCTCTAAACTATGTTGAGCTCTTGTAGTACTGTTTACATTTCTTTTAGACTACTTAACATTGCTTGTAATTAAACAGTATATTGACTAATAATGTCTTATTACTGTCTCCATATGATAAGCTCTATGACAGCAGAAGTTGTGTTTGTTCTAGTTTACCATTTTGTGCCAAGTGCTATCACATAAAAATGATGTTATTTTAAAATTAATTCATAAATGTTACGCTTTTGAGCTGCAGTTTTCTTATCTATGATGCGTAAGTTGTAGCTAACTCAAAGCTTTGTTATGATGACTACATTTACCCAAACTACCATACTACATAACATACAGCAGCTCAAAAATATGTGTCAAGTTTCCTTTCTTTCCTTTTTAATACATTATCTCTCAGTAATGACATGCATATGATGAGAAAATACTGAAATGAACATAGAATTTGAATTTATTTAAAACTGAATCCACATTTATAGATACCACCTTTTGAAGCAAGTGCTTATAATATTCTGCTATTTTGTATGCATATAGGAATTCTTGTTAATATTACCCTTTTGGAATCTTAACTTTTTAGGAAAAGAAAATAGCCTCAGTTGATTCTTTACAACACATGCTGCATTAAATGTAAGATCAGAGAGATATTTTGGAACTTCATTTTGCCATAAAAATGAATAAACAACTCCAGTGTTTGAGGTGCTAAAGCTATTAAAGAAACCTCTGAAGAGCTCTTGATTTTATCATCATTCAACCTTTAGAGTTAATAAGAGATGTTGTTATCAAACATCCATGAAGTTGAGAAAATATATTTTCTACATGGTTTATTGTAATGTGAAAGCCAGTATATTGGAAAAGATAGCTTGCTGAAAATAAACTATTCTGCTTAAAATATTAACTTTTCAATTCTGAGCTCATTTATACAAGATGACGTGAACAAATTTAAGTAGCATGAGATAAGAAATTCGCACAATGCAAAGGTGAGAATCATGGTAAAGCATGTGCAAATTTGATGTTGTACTTTGTCTTTCTTCTAACTGAAAAAGAAGAAGAGGAAGACAAGGAGGAAGAGAAAAGAAGAAATAGCTTCATTGACCAAATAACTTTTCTTCCTACCAACTTCTGCTGTTACACATTGATTTGTATTTAAATAATTTATTCAATCATCACATATTTATTGAGAACATACAACATGTCAAAAGCTGTCCTAGAATTTAACGGTGGACAAGATGGACAAGATCCCTATCATGGTTCTAATATTTTAGATCAGGTGGATGTTTATGCTAAGCAAAACAGCTTCTAAGATGGCCCCTCCTGACATTTATGGCACTGTAATCTCCCCCTACAAATTAAGTAATTTCAATTTGACCACTAGAATATCTTGAAGTAGAGATGCTATTTCTATGATAATATTTATTTAGTTGTATAAGAAACCACCAAATGCCATTTTGCATTCCTAATAGCATTGAGTTAAAGTCCCAGTTTCATATTCTCACTATCATTTGATGTTGCCAGTGTTTTGAATTTTTGCCACTCAGTCTAGTATTTGATTTAATTTGTAATTCTCAGATGACATACAATGTAAGCATCTTTTCAAACATTGATTAGTCATCCATATATCTTCTTTGATGAGGTGTCTTTGATATGCTTTGCCTCTGTGTCCCCACCCAAATCTTATCTGAAATTGTAATCCACACATGTTGAGGGAGGGAGGTGTTTGAATCATGGGGGCAGTTTCCACCATTCTGTTCTCATGATAGTTAGGGAGTTGTCATGAGATCTGATGGTTTCATAAATGTTTGGAAGTTCCTCTTTTGTGTTTTCTTTCTCTGGCTGCCTTGTGAAGAAGGTGTCTGCTTCTCCTTCTCCCATGATTGTAAGTTTCCTGAGGCCTCCCAGCCAGGCGGAACTGTGAGTCAATTAAACCTCTTTCCTTTATAAGTACCCAGTCTCAGGGAAGTTTGTTACAGCAGTGTGAAAACGAACTAATACAGTCTGTTAAGGTCTTTGTCTTGTTAGATTCTTTGTCCCATTTTTTAATCGAGGTGTTTGCTTTCTTATCGTTGAGGTTAAGAAATCTTTGTATATTTTGGAATGCCGTCCTTTATCAGATGTGTATTTTCAAATATTTTTTCCCAGTCTGTGCCTTGTCTTCTCATGATATTGGCATTGTCTTTTGCAAAGCAGAATATTTAATTTAATGAAGTCCAGCTTATCAATTAATTATTTTGTGAATTATTTCTTTGGTTTTATATATAAAACGTCTTTGCCATTTCCAAGGTCACTTAGGGTTTATCCTACGTTATCTACTAAAACTTTTATAGCTTCTTTTTGTTTGTTTTCCATTTTGGTCTGTAATCTATTCTGAGATAATTTTTGTGAAAGGTTTAAGGTCTGTGTCTCTATTTACTTTTTTTGCATGGAGCTGTCTAGTTGTTTCAGCACCATTTGTGAAAAAGACTATTTTTGCTCTATTGCAGTGCCTTTGCTTCTTTGTCAGAAATCAGTTGACTTATTTATTTGGTTAGATTCCTGGGCTTTCTGCTCCGTTGATATATTTGTCTGTTCTTTTGTCAACACCATACTGTCCTGATTACCATAGCTGTAGAGTAAGTCTTGAAATCTATAGTGTCAGTTCTCCAACTTTATTCTTCTCCTTCAAAATAGTGTTGGCAATTTTGGCTCTTTTGCCCCTGCATACAAACTTCAGAATCAGTTTATCAATATTCACAAAATAACTTGTTGGCAATGGCACTGGGTCTATACATAAAGATGGGAAAAACTGACATCATGAAAATATCGAATCTATCCATGCTTATGAAATTTCTCCTCATTTAATTAGTTCTTTGGTTTATGTAATAGGAAACTTATCTTTGTTTGTTTTCCTTATGTAAATTTTATACATATTTTATTAGATTCTATCTCAGTATTTTGTTTTTGGGGATGTTAACACAAACCGTAATGCATTTGAAACTGCAAATTCCATTTGTTCATTGCTGGTATGTAGGAAAGTGCAATGTATATTTGTATATTAATATTGTAACCTGCAAACTTGTTATAATTATAAGTTTCAGAAAATTTTTGTCAATTATTTTGGATTTTCTACATAGTCATATAACCTGCAAACAAAATAGTTTTCTTTCTTCTCAATCTGTATACCTTTTGTTTTCTTCTCTTGTCATAGGAAATTAGCTAAGACTTCCAGTATGATGTTGAAAGGAGTGGTAAAAGTGGACATCCTTCCCTTGTTCCTAATCTTAAGGGAAAACACTCTAGTTTCTCACCATTAAGCTTAATGCTCCCTGTAGGTTTTTGTAGATATTCTTTATCAAGTTGACCAAGTTTTTCTCTATTCCAAGTTTACTGACAGTTTTTATTAGGATTGTGTGTTGGGTTTTGTCAAATGCTTTTTCTGCATTTATTGATGTGATCATGTACTTTCTCATTTTTTGCCTGTTGATGAAATGGTTACTTGATTTGCAAATATTGAGTCTGCTTGCATACCTGGGATGAATCACACTCGGTTGTGGTATATATTTCTTCTTATATGCTGCTGAATTCAATTTACTAATATTTTGTTTAGGTTTTTACATATGTGTTTCAAGACTAGTTTTCTTGTAATGACTTTGGCTGGTTTTGATACGAGGGTAATTCTGGACTCAGAATGAGTTAGGAAGTATTTCTTCTGCTTCTTTCTGCTGAAAAATATTATAGAAAATTGGCATAATTTTTTCCTTAAATGTTTGGTAGAATTTACTCTGACCCATCTGGCCCTGGTACCTTCTGTTTTGGAATGTTATTCATTATTGATTAAATTTCTTTAATAGATACAGGTCAATGCATATTGTCTATTTTAATGTAAATTTTGGAAGATTATGTCCTTCAAGAAATTGGGTTATTACATCTCGGTTTGCAAATTTGCAGGCATAGAATTATTCTTAGTACTTCTTCTTTGTCCTTTTGATATCCCTGGAATGTGTAAAGATGTTCCCTCCTGCATTTCTGATATTAGTAAATTGTGACCTCTTTTATTTTTTCATAGTTAGCCTGACTAGAAGCTTATCAATTTTATTGATCTTTTTAAAGTACTCGCTTTTTCATCATCTAGATGACGAGTTAGTGGGTGCAGCGCACCAGCATGTCACATGTATACATATGTAACTAACCTGCACATTGTGCAAATGTACCCTAAAACTTAAAGTATAATAATAAAAAAAAGAAAAAAAATAAAGTACTCGCTTTTTATTTGAGTTGATTTTTTCTTGATTTCCAGTTTTAAGTGTTATTGATTTTTCTTCTAGTTCTTATTATTTATTTTCTTCTGCATACTTTGGGTTGGATTTACTCTTTATTTTCTAGTTTGCTATGTTGAAATTTTAAATTATTAATTTTATATCTTTTTGCTTTTCTAATACAGTATATGCATTCATTGTGACAATTTTCCTTTAAGCACTGCTTTCTCTGCATACTACTAATTTTGATAAGTAGTGCTTTCATTTTTCACTTAGTTCATAATGTGTTCAACTAACACTTAGATTTCTTCTTCTACTTATATGTTATTTAGAAGTGTTTCGTTTAACCTCTATGCATTTTGAGATTTTCTGTTACTGATTTCCAGTATAATATTATTGTGTTCTAGGAGAAGACATATGATTTATATTATTTTACTTTTGTTATGATGTGTTTTATGGGCCAAATTGTTGCCTATCTTGGTGAATGTTCCATGCCAACTTGAGAAGAAAATGTATATTCTGCTGCTGTTGGATGAAGTAGTTTATAAATGTCAATTACATCCAGTTGAGGGACAGTGCTGCTGAGTTCAATTCTGTCTTTTCTGATTTTCTACCTGGTGGATCTGTTGATTTCTGATAGAGAGATCAGAAATAGATAAATTTATCATCACAGTTGAAGTCTCTTTATAAGTGTGTAATGCCATTTATCCTTTTGACTTTCCTTGCTTTGATGTCTGCTTTGTCTAAAATTAAGATACCTATTCTTATTTTCTTTTTATTAGGTTAGTATGGTACATTTATATTCATCATTTCCTTTAAGCTGTATGTGTCTTCATGTATTTTTTAAATTTTATTTTATATTTCAATAGCTTTAATGATACTAGTGGATTTTGGTTACATGGATGAATTTCATAGATGGGTGAATGAATGAATTGTGAAGTCTTGGCTTTGTGTGTACCTATCATGCAAACAGTGTACATTGTACCCAATAGGCAATCTTTCATCCCTCATCCCCTCTCACCTACCCACTTTCTGAGTCTCCAGTGTTCGTTACACCGCTCTGTATGCTTTTGCATACCCACAGCTTAGTTCCTGCTTATAAGTGACAACATGTGGTATTTGGTTTTCTGTTCCCGAGTTACTTCACTTAAGATGATGGCTTCCAGTTACATCCAAGTTGCTGCAAAATATATTGTTTTTTTTGTGTGTGGCTGAGTAGTATTCCATAGTGTGTGTGTATACATATATGTACACACACACACACATACACACATATACACACATACCATGGAATACCATATTTACTCATATACATGAGCAAATGTGATATATATGAGCAAATGTGACATTTACTCATATATAAGTAAATATATATCTATATTCAACTTGTGCATGTGTGTGTGTGTACACATACACACACACATGCTATGAAATAAATATCACATGGTATGTCCCTGCATTTTTTAAAGTAAAGAAAGTAAACATCAATAAGTACTTTATCCACTCATTGGCTAATGGGCACTGGGGTTGATTCCATGTCTTTGAAATTGTGAATTGTGCTATGATAAATAGGCACACAGGTGTCTATTTTTTTTTTTTAATAAAATGACTTCTTTTCCTTTGGGTGGATACCTAGTAGTGATGTTGCTGGATCAAAGGGTAGATCTGCTTTCAGTTTTTTCAGGAATCTTTATACTGCTTTTCATAAATGTTGTACTAATTTACATTTTCACTAACGCTGTATAAGCATTCCTTTTCATCACATCTTCACCAGTATCCATTGTTTTTTGCGTTTTAAATAATGGTCATTGTGGCTGGGCAAGGTGGTATCTCATTGTCTTTTTAATGTGCATTTTCTTTATAAGTAGTGATGTTGAACATTTTTTCATAAGATTGTTGGCCTTTTGTATACCTTTCTTTGGAAAATATCTGATCACATCCTTTGCCCACTTTTTAATGAGTTATTTAGTTTTTTTTAATTGATGATTTTAGTTCCTTGTGGATTTTTTATATTATTCCTTTGTCAATGTCTACTTTGCAAATAATTTATTCAATTCTACACTGTCTATTTATGCTCATGATTACTTCTTTGGCTGTGCAGAAGCTTTCTAAGTTAAATAGGTCACATTTATTTATTTTTGTTTCTGTTACATTTGCTTTTGGGGTCTTAGTCATAAATTATTTGCTTAGGCCAATGTCCAGAAGAGTTTGTCCTAGGTTTTCTTCCAGAATTTTTATCATTTTGGGTTTTTGATTTATGTTTTCAATCCATCTTCAGGTAATTTTTGTCTACGGTGAGAAACAGGGATCAAATTTAATTATTCTACGTGAGGATATACAGTTTCCCAGCACTATTTATTGAATACTGTGTCCTTTCCACAGTGTATTTTTTGTCTGCTTTGTCAAAGATCAGTTGACTTCCTTTCTTCTTTCCTTCCTTCCTTCCTCCCTTCTTCCTCCTTTTTCCTTCTTTCCTTCTCCCTCTCTCTCTTCCTTCCTTCCTTCTTCCTTCTTTTCTTCCTCCCTCCCTCCCTCCCTTCCTTTCCTCCTCCCTTCCTGTGTTCTTCCCTCTTTCTTCCTTATTTCCTTCCTCTGTTCCTTCCTTTTTTCTTCCTTCCTCCCTTCTTCCCTCCTTTCTCCTTCTTTCCTTCCTTCCTTATTTCCTTCCTTCCTCCCTTCCTCCCTCCTTCCTCCTCCTCTTCCTTCCTTTTTTCCTTCCTCCCTTCCTCCCTCCTTCCTCCTCCTCTTCCTTCCTTCCTTTTTTCCTTCATTCCTTCCTTCCCTCTTTTCCTTCCTTCCTTCTTACCCTCTATCCTTCCTTCTTTTTCTTCCTTCCCTCATTCCTTCCCTCTTTTCCTTCCTTCCTTCCTTCCCTCCTTCCTTCCTTCCCTCTTTTCCTTCCTTCCTTCCTCTCTCTCTCCCTCCTTCTGTCCCTCCCTCCCTTCCTTTTTCCCTTCCTTCCTTCCTCTCTCCCTCCCTCCCTTCCTCTCTCCCTCCCTCCCTTCTTTCCTTCTTTCCTTCCTCCCTTCCTCCCTCCTTCCTCCTCCTCTTCCTTCCTTCCTTTTTCCTTCCTTCCTTCCCTCCTTACTTCCCTCCCTCCCTTCTTCCTTCCTTCCTTCTTTCCTTCCTTCCTTCCTACCTCTCTTCCTTTTTGTAATGGATAGTTTCTCTGGTGGCATGCTCTAATTTCTTGCTTTTTATTTTTTGCATATCCATTGTATATTCTTTGATTTGAGGTTACTGGAATGCTTGCAAATAATATTTCATGACCCAGTATTTTGAACTGATGATAACATAACACTGATGGCTTAAACAGACAAGCAGTCTAACACAGGAAAACTAATAAAAGCTCTGCACTTAGTCCTTCTGCTTTTTAACTTGTTGTTTCTATTTATATTTTCTTGTACTGTCTTATGTCTTTAAAAGTTGTAGTTATTTTTGATACGTTTATATTTTCACCTTTCTGCTTAAGATAAGGGTAGTTTATATACCACGATAACAGAATTATAATATTCTGTGTTTCTCTGTGCGCCTAATTATGACCAGTGAGTTTTGTGCCTTCAGATGATTTCTTATTGCTCATTAATATCCTTTTCTTTGGATTGAAGAATGCTTTTTATCATTTCTTGTAGGACAGGTGTGGTGTTGGTGAAGTTCTTTAGCTTTTGTTTGTCAGGACAGTCTTTATTTCTTTTCAATGTTTGAAGGATATTTTCGCCAGATATTTTATTTCAGTGTAAAAGTTTTCTTTTATCCTTCAGCGCTTTAAATATGCCATGATACTCTCCCTTGGCCTGTAAAGTTTCCACTGAAAGGTCTACTGCTCTATGTAATGGGTCACCATTGAAAGTTATTTATCACTTTTCTCTTGCTGTTTTTAGCATACTGTCTTTATTCTTTCCATTTTGGATTTTATTATTAAATGCGTTGAGGTAGCCTTCTTTGGGTTATGTCTGCTTTGTATTATATAACCATCTTATACTTGAATATTGATATCTTTTTCTAGGTTTTGGAATTTCTCTGTTATTCTCCTTTTGAATAAACTCTCTCTCTCTCTCTCTCTCTCTCTCTCTCTCTCTCTCTCTCTCCCTTTTCTCTTTGGGCAATATCTATTATGAGTCTGCAAAGTCTAATATTATCTATATTTGTCTAATATGATATATATAGACTAATATATCTATCTTTTATCTATTTTCTAATATCTATATTAGTCTTATATCTGTTATCTATTATGAGTCTGCAAAACCAAAATCAAGTTAGTTACTTTCTAGATAAAATGAGGGTATAGGCATGGGGCAAATACACCCACTCCAAATGGGAGAAAGTGGCCAAAACAAAGAAATCACAGTCCCCATGCAAGTCTGAAATCCAATACGGCAGTCATTTAACCTTAAATTTCCAAAATAATCTCCTTTGACTCCATGTCTTATATCCAGGTCATGCTGATGCAAGAGGTGGGCTCCCATAGCGTTGGGCAGCTCTGTTCCTGTGGCTTTGCAAGGTACAGCCTCCCTCCTTGCTGCTTCCATGGCTGGTGTTGAGTGTCTGCAGCTTTTTCCAGATGCATGGTGCAAGCTGGCAGTGGATCTATCATTCTGTGGTCTGGAGGATGGTGGCTTTCTTCTCACAGCTTCACTAGGCAATGTCCCAGTGGGAACTCTGTGTGGGGGCTCCCACATTTCTCATCTCCACTGTCCTAGCAGAGGTTTGCCATGAGGGCTCTGCCTCTGCAGCAGACTTCTGCCTGGATATCCCAGTGTTTGCATACACCCACTGAAATCTAGGCAGAGGTTCCTAAACCTCAACCTTGTCTTCTGCACACTTGCAGGACCAGCCCCTCTTGAAAGCTGCCAGGGCTTGGGGATTTCACATTCTGTAGCAATGGCCTGAGCTGTACCTTGGCCCCTTATCCATGGCTGAAGCTGAAGCAGCTGGGACACAGGACACCATGGCCCAAGGCTGCAGAGAGCAGGGGGCACCTGGGTTTGGCCCAGGAAACAATTTTTCCTCCTAGACCTCTGGGCCTGTGATAGGAGAGGCTGCCGTAGAGGTCTCCGACACGCCCTGGAGACATTTGCCCCATTGTCTTGGTGATCAGCATCTGGTGCCTCATTACTATGCAAATTTCTGTAGCTGGCTTTAATTTCTCCCCAGAAGATGAGTGTTTATTTTTTATTTCATCATCAGGCTGCAAATTCTTCAGACTTGTATGCTCTGCTTCCTCTTGAACACTTTGCTGCCTATAAATTTCTTCTGGCAGATACCCTAAATCATCTGTCTCAAGTTCAAAGACCCACAGACCTCTACGACCAGGGCAAATTGCTGCCAGTCTTTTTGCTAATGCAGTTCTTAACAAGTATCTCATCTCCATCTGAGACTACCTCAGCACTGACTTTATTGTCCATATCACTCTCAGCATTTTAATCAAAGCCATTCAACAAGTCTTCAGGAAGCTCCAAACTTTCTCACATTTTCCTATCTTCTCCTGAGCCCTTCAAATGGTTCCAGCCTCTGCCAGTTACCCAGTTCCAAAGTGTCTTCCACATTTTCGGGTATTTTTATAGCAGTAGCACTCTCTGTGGTACCAATTTACGGTATTAGTCTGTTTTCACCCTGCTATAAAGACATACCCAAGACTGGGTTATTTATAAAGGACAGAGGTCTAATTGACTCACAGTTCAGCAAGGCTGTAGAGGCCTCTGGAAACTTACAATCATGGGAGAAGGGAAAACAAATACTTCCTTCTTCACATGGTGGCAGCAAGGAGAAGACCGAGAACTGAGCAAAAGGGAAAGCCCCTTATATAACCATCAGACCTCATGAGAACTTACTATCACAAGAATAGCAAGGGGGAATTGCCCCCATTTTTCAATTACCTCCTGCCAAGTCCCTCCCATGATATGAGGGGATTATGGGAACTACAACTCAAGATGAGATTTGAGTGGGGACACATCCAAACAATATCATTTGTTGATTGTATTAATAGTGTGGCCTTGTATAAATGAAATTATCATTAGACATGGAAAGGCAACACCTTTCAACAAAAGCATTCTTTTACAGAGAACATAAATGAATTCATCTTCTTTTTATATTGAGCAATATATTATGCTTTAATATTTATAAAGAAATTACTCCTATCCCTGGCATTAATCAAGATGAAAATTCATTTATAATATTTTTAAAATAGGAAAAATGTATTTTCAGTTGTAATTGAAACTATAACTTGCTTAATTTTTTAAACGTCTATTCTTCATTTGGAGAATTCTTCCCTTCTTTATTTCTCTATGTCCCCGTAATTGTATTATCTTTTTCTCTGTGTATAGTTCACAAGTATTGAGTCATACTAAGGATTCTAATAGGTATCTATGAGAAATACCTGCATTACTTTTATCTTGTCAATCTCAAATGAATCATCCAAATAATTACCAGAAGAATTTAACCAAATATTTGAATATATTTTTCTATTTAACAAATGACAGAAAATCTTCAATAATACAAGACTTTTGTTATTTTAGTATCCTATCTGCTTAAATTATATGATACGCATTAGCAACATCAAAATTTTTGAGTGGTTCAAAAAAATAACTCACTAGTCTTTTCTTCCTGTTTGGCTTTACTTATACCATGTTCTCTACCACCATTGAACAGCTCTCCAAAATATTACTTTTGCCTAATTAAACTCAAACTCAGTTACCATTTCCCTCTGGTAGTGAGGTATTCTTTAACTATCTCCCACCAAAAAAATATTGCTTAGATATTCTTCAATCACCTCTAGAATTCTGTGTGGAAAATTGTAGTATTTTATTCATATCAAGTGTTTACAGTCAAATCAAATATCTCTATTAAAAGTATCCTGAAGTTGCTCTTATAATTCCCTACATACCCCCCATTCCTTGACAGTATGTATGAAGCATTCTTATTTGGTAAAGATTGGGGGACTAATTATACAGCTCTCCTTTGTTCAGGGAGAGGTTGTGAGAAACTGGGGCATTGAGAAAGAGCAGTGCCTCTAGAAGAATTAAGGAATTTGCAGAAAATTGTTGTCCACAGGAGCCAATTAAATATAAAAGCAATGTAGTGGCCTGAATGTTGCGCCCCACGCCCCCAAAAGAGATGTGTGTGACATAATCCTCAGAATCCGTAAATGTGAACTCATTTAGAGAAAAGGTCTTTGCAGATGTAATTAATAATATAAAGATAAGATGATTCTTGATTATCCAGGTGGGCCTAAGTCCAATGACAATGCCCCAATAAGGGACAAACAGAGGGGAGACACCACACACAGGGAAGAAAGCCATGTGAGGATGAAGATACATACTGATGTTATGCAGCTCAAAGCTAAGAAAGACCTCAAGCCACTAGAAGCTGGAAGAAGCAAGGAAGGATTCTTCTAGAGCCTTCTGAGAGAGCAAGACCCTGATAACAGCCTGATTTCAGACTTATGGCCTCCACAAATGGGAGACAATACGTTTCCATTGTTCTGAGCCACTTAGTTTGTGGTAATTTGTTACAGCAGAGCTAGGAAACTAGTACAAATTGTACAGTTAGATATTATTTTCTAAAGATTATGATGGCAGATTTTAAAGGAGCATAAATGTAGCCAGTGAGCAAGATGGCCCTAACATTTTTCTAAGCTGACTAAATTTTAGTCAAAGCTTCCTTCTGACTCTAGGCCCCTGACTTTCCTTCTCTTAGTGGTTACTTTAAAAAACATGTAATTGTAAATTATGTCTTTGTCCCTTTGAGATATAAGTCTTTTAATAAGTTTATTGTCAACTTTAAAACCCCTGTCTTTCTCAAGAACCTAGGATCCGTATCTTTGAAATGTAAATATTCAGGAAAATAATGCTCTCCTCTCCCTCTACACCCTTATCTTCCCTTTTTCTCTCAGTTTCTGTATGAGGGTAGGAGCCTAACTTCAGTGGGTGGTTATAGGTGCCTTGCTCCAATTTAAGAAATGATCTCCCTTTATAAAGATATAAGAAGATTAGTTTTTCTTTGGATGAAGCCAATTAGCAAACTCAGATAGGCTAGCACCCTCCAGTACTTTTTCACTAGCTCAGTCTTTAAAATACCTATTGCCCATTGTTTCAGCAGAATTGAGTTCCACCTGAATTCTATCTCTCCCCTATTGCTATAGTATTGAATAAAGTCTTCCTTGCCTGTTTAACATTGTTAGGTGCAATATTTGCTTTGAAACCAAGAACAGTAGTACTTTTGTTATTGCCATATCTGAGCACAAACATTTTAAGGATATTAATTGTGGGAATTCAGAATTAAAGTCCTGTCCTTAAACAGAAAAAATCCAAATCAACCATTGGGACTTAAGTGAAATATAAAAACCCTGATATCACTTACCTGTAAGAAAACTCATTCTTTAAAATATATCAAATCAGAGCTAGAAATAAAGATAACAAAGCAAGCTACAGCATCCGGAGAACACAGATGGAAAACAGTTAATATAGCTATAGGAGCCTAGGCTTGACATGTACCTGTGTTCTGTCTTGTGGCAGATAGTGGAAGCTCAGAGGGTGACAGAAAAAATGATGCGATTTGAAATTTGGATTGGATTTGCAACAACAAACATACTCACTCTCCATGCTCACATGATGTTCACTGTAAACTGATCTCAGCTAAAGTGGAGCTCTGCCTTCATTTATGGGCACTAAGGCAGTTGAGACTATCTCCTGTCATAAAGTCTTACCTTGCTCAAATTAAAAATCTCAAAAGGTATCACTCTCATATGCATGCTCTGCTTTTCCTGTGGCATTTATTATCTGTAAAATTGATTCTGAACATAATGTTTTTATATTATAAAATTTGGGCTAAGGATGTTGGGAGGAACCTAAATGCAAAGTTACTTTTATTTTTTTACAAGAAATCAAAGATGTGGTAAAAAATATATTGTGTATTTATTTAAGTTACGGATACTTCTGACTACTTCCTGAGAATGTAATATCATGAAGGCAGGGATTTGTCTCCTTGGTTCATTAATATATTTTTAAAATGTTTGAAATTTTTTTGAAATGTTTGTAAATGAAATGTTTTTAAAATTATTACTAATATGTGTGTATATGTATGTATATATGTGTATGAATATATATTGTATATGTATGTATATATGTGTACGAATATATATCATGTATGTATGTATATATGTGTATGAATATATATTGTATATGTATGTATATATGTGTACGAATATATATCATATATGTATATATGTGTACAAATATATATTGTATATGTATGTATATATGTGTATTAATATATATGTATGTATATATTATATCTATGTGGATATATAGATATATACAGTTGAACTTTGAACAGCATGGGTTTGGTCTGTGTAGGTCCACTTATATGTAAATTTTTTTTTACCTCTGCTACCCCTGAGACAGCAAGATTATCCTTCCGACAGCAAGATTACCCCTCCTCTTTCTCACCACTCTCAGCCATCTCAACATGAAGATGATAAGAATAAAGTCCTTTTTGATGATTCACTTCCACTGAATGAATAGTAACTATGTTTTTTCCACCTTATAACTTTCTAAATAACTATTTCTTTTCTCTAGCTTACTTCGTTGTAACAACAGAGCATGTAATACATACAGCATACAGAATATGCATTAATTGACTGTTTATGTTATTGGGTAAGGCTTTTGGTCAGCAATAAGTTGTTAGTAGTTAACTGGGGGAAGTCAAAAGGTATGTACAGATTTTCTACTGTGTATGGGGTCACTACTCTTCTCCCCTGGGTTGTTGCTCAAGGGTCAATGTGTGTGTGTGTGTGTGTGTGTGTGTGTGTGTGTGTGTATAAATCAGTTCTGTCTCATACAAATTGTACGATTCTGAACAATGCTTTCTTAATGCCCAACAATGGTCACTGGATATGAGCCATTCAGCTAAATTTGCTTATTCACAAAAGAGGGATTAAAATCTCTTTCTCCTAAGCTTGATTGCTGGAGTGTGAGAATTAACAAGGGGGATAAAAATATCCTTCTGCTAAACTTAATTATAAAAATTAAATAGAATAGGATCTTTCCATTTCCTTTAAAACTGTTGGAGCTCAGTTAAAGATTTTCCTTTCTTATTCCTTCATATGTACTAGAAACCTTGTTAGCAACAGAGATCACATTTTTCTTTTCTTTTTTACTTTTTCTTTTTCCTCCTACAAAACTTAGCCCAAGCACTGAATTAATATTTAATGATTTTGAGTTACTGGAGTTTCAAACTTTACTGGACCTAAAACACACAGAGTAAACAGAATTGCTGCTAATTACAAGTCATAAATTAGCACTTTGAAAGTCTGTTTTCTTATTTTAAAACACGTTTTGATCCTTCTTTCCAAGTGACTGACTCATATGTGTTCAATGAAAGAGGACCTGAAATTAGTACAGATCCCCTTGAAACCAAATCAGTAGGATATATTTATCACACATTTCAGTTTTATTCACATGCATAGCCCACTCACTTGGTTAGCATGAAACTTTAATGGGATCTTAAAGTAATTATAGCACAAAATCAAGTCTTAGATAATGAACAAGGTGTCAAGTTTACTCTAGGGCAATGACTATTTCATTTCCCAATTAAAACGTCTGCAACAGCTCCACTAATGATTGTGTTGTATCTCTGATGCTCTGAGAACTTTTAATTTGAAAGGCTCATTCTATAATGTTTTAGTTTGTATCACGTATATAAGGATAATACTCTTTACAGACTTGAATGTAATCTCCAAATATATTCTGTCATTAAAATTTATATTAATACTTGTCAAGATTCTATGTATTATTATAACTTTCAATAGTGATTAAAAATTTTCAAAATAAATTCATATTCATTATCTCATTTTTACCTTACAACAACCCAGTGATCAGGAAGTGATTCTTGTCTTCAGTTTGCAATGGCAAAAAGAGTCTACAAAAGACACAAAGTATCACACTATGAATTGTAAATCCAAGATTAGAACACAGGTTACTCTACTTACTTAGATCACTTCTTGTCACCATGCAAACTATACCCTACTGTCCATGTGACAAATGTAGCAGAGACATTTTATAAAGAGAAAAATAGAGGTAGAAGTTCCAGGAATGAATTTGGATTGCTTAGGGAGACCTACATAAAACGGAGGGGTGGAAATTGTAAAGAGATTATTAGAGATCAAATCTTGGTAGCTGTATTTTATAGGAAAGAGAGGGGGAAAGGGGGACACTTTCCAGAAGCAAGAGGATTACAGGGGCACCCTCTTGACTTCTACAAATGGAGGTATAAATGTTGGGGATGGAGTTGTCTTATCTAGAAGTCTAGGAGCTCTGGTACTCCCTATTGCCCCCAGAAGAAAATACAGTGCATTGTTCAGTAGTCAATGTAAATTCGTAGAACTCACATTTGCTGTTTTAAGGAAGATACCTTTTTAACCAATGTAGAGATGACATCAATGCATCTCATAGCTCACTGCATTGTGAGCTCTTTGAAGTGGTCTATCAATATCAATTTACCCTGAAACTAATGCTGCATGGTATATATTCAACAAATGGTTGAATGAATGAATATGTTGGCAAGTACTAATAAGAGGAAGATGACTGAAAACAGAGACTGAAGACAGAGCAGAGAAACATCTCACTTTTCAATTTACCCCTCTAGTTGACTATACAGGAGAATCATTGCTTGCTAAAGCCTGTATCACTGTATTTTTTCTGCAAAATATATTTATAAGAGAATGAGATTCTTTGAGTCACACACATAAATATAATCTATTATCCTTTGAGTAGAGTTCTTTTAATTTTTTTATGTTTCTGAGACATGACTTCCTTACAAATTTGTGAAGAAGAACTCATCATTTGCTTCTAAGTTCCCCCACAACATGGAGTATTCTGTATGACAGACACTAAATCAGCTTTACTCTTATAGAAAAGGGACACAAATATATTTTTTAAAAAATATTGGAGATCAAGCAATTCTATAATGTTGGATGAATTAAGCCTTTATTCTAAAGGAGCTCTCTGTAGTAAAAAAAATTCCAATTAAATTTCATTTATGACCAAGTGAATTCATTTTTAAAAAGCAGTTTCTTTTTCCTTATTTTAAGAGTACAGCAAAATATACAAAATATATTCCCAATACATATTCTAAAAAGACAACTTTAGAATGAAAAATGCCTTCGACTATTGTTGGAAATGCAATATGGCATTATATTTCACATTCTGTTTCCTCCATACATGACCTGAAACATATAATAAAAATAAAATAAGAATATGAAATAAAATAATAAGAATAATCACCAACATAGAGACATAACACACTTTGAATTAAAATTTTGGCAGATTATTTGCTATAATCTTGTGGTTCGTGTCTTTCCAAAATACATTTGTTGGAATCTTAACCCCTAAGGTGATGGTATTAGGAGGGGGGCTTTTGGGAGTTAATTAGGTTAGGAGGGCAGGTCCCTCATGAATTAAATTAAGGCCCATATAAGAGACTCTTAGCAAGCTTCCTTGTTCCTTCCATCATGCAAGGAAACAGCTGGCAGGTGCGATCTATTGACCAGACCCCAAATGAACTAATGTTTTGATCTTGGACCTTCCAGTCTCTAGAATTGTGAGAAAGAAATTTCTGTTGTTTATAAGCCACCCCAGTTTATGATATGTTGTTAAAGCAGCCTGAATAGACTAAAACAATATTGTACTATTTATGCACAATTCAAAATATACTCTATATAAGTTATAGTCACTGCATAATAGGAAAAAATTATAAATACTTGTGAGGAAGTGATGTTCAAAGTCTTCAGGATATTATTTCTGTATAGTGAGGGAGAGGACTAGAATGGTTGTATTTTGGGAAAATCAAAAGTCTCAATGCTGTCTATAATACTTCATTTCTCAAATAGCTAATCATAAAAATGTATGCAAAATGTATACATTTGTTATATGTAGCACAAGTGGGTTTCTTTGAGCTTCTTAAAATACTATCTCCTTTCTTTCCTTTTGACATTGTTCATAGTTATTAAAATAACTGCACTAACTAATACAAAAACATTTTGGCAAGATGATGTTCTAAATGTTGACATATTCATTCCCTATAACTAATGTTCACTAAGATAACTAAGAAAATATACAAATAATCATAAAACAGTGTATCAATAATATAAGCAAGATGTGCATATCGTCTATATAATACACTGAATATCTGGAAGAAGTTCTGCTAAATAGTGTCCAAGAGAGCATTTTAGTAAAAAGTAATGAACTACTTAGAGGATCAGTAGGTTTCTGAAGAGGGATAGATCTTCAGGAAAAGATTCTTGATAATAAAAATTGGGAGAATAACAATTTTACGGATTTTTAAGAAACTGTCTACCTCAGAAATATATTTACTGCTAGGAAAATTTATTTCTCAATAATATACAAAAGACTGCATGAACAAAAATATAGGAAGCCTTCTGGAAAATATAACACCTTAAGACAAATATCTCAGGAAAATAAAAACCATTTTGGTGTAATTTAAATCACAGTGGTAGAGCTTTAAGATTTAACATATTAATATTGGGTTTCTTTAGATGGAGCTATTTCAAGAGAATTTTATAAATAATTCTGTGTTTTCATGACATTTTGTAATAAAAATAGTATTTTTAGAGTCAGACATAACTTTTTTTTCATTCAGAAGTAAATACATCTCTCACAAAATTTTCCTATTTAAGATCAAGTACACTGATGTCACCAGACAAGAGATGTTCATTAAAAGTATTTAATAGTGGTAAAAATGTTAGACTGTGCAGTTACAGAGAATGGAGTTCAAATCCAGGCTCTGTGTCTTCCTTAATATGAGACATTAGACTTGTGATTTAGTCTTTCTCAATATCATTGCTTCATTGGTCAAATGGGTATAATAGAATCAATGTCATAGGTTTGGATGAAGATTAAATAAGCTAATTCTCATAAAACAGTGTCCCAACTGAAATGATTAAAAATCAGTAACTATTAGTTTCTTTTAAATAATATATAGAGCTAAAACACGACACAAAAACTAGTACCTGAAAAAGAATAAAAATGTTTGTAAACTATTCTGTGATGTGAAAGGCACTATCAATCATGTGAAATCACTGAACCCTATGATAAATGAAATGGAAATAATTTAAGCCTATTCTAATTTCATTGTCCATCCATTTAAGACAATTTCCTGTGTAATGTTCCTCTGACTTCCAGTCATCAGATGTGTTTGTTCACACAAACAGTATTCCTCTCAAAGATCTCATAGATGAATACAAACTTTTTTAAGGTTAAAGCTTGTTACATTTGGTTATTTTGTAGTCATAAAGAGTGGAATTGTTTAAGTGGATTTTTAAAAATATTTTAGAGACAGGTCTTGCTCTGTTCTGCAGGCTGCAGTACAGTGGTGCCATCATAGCTCACTGTAACCTTGAACTCCTGGGTTCAAGCAATCCTCCTGCCTCATTCTGAGTAGCTGGGACCACAAGCACTTGCCACTTTGCCACTTGACACCCAACTAACTTTAACTTTTTTTTTTTCCTTTTTCAGAGATGGCGGGTCTTGCTATGTTGCCTAGACTGGACTTAAACCCCGGGCCTCAAGCAATCCTCATGTCTTGAACTCCCAAAATGCTGGGATTACTGTCATGAGCCACCATTCCTTGCCAAAATTTAAGTTATACATACAGGAGACTCTTACCTGCATTGTATACAACACTAGACCACTACTTGTATTAAAACAAATATATCTACATAGATAGATATTTTCCACACATATGCACAAATGTGTGCATATCTAAGTCAAGAAATGTGTGACAGTGTATATTGGGTCTATGGCCAATGAACTATCAGCCATGTTTTGTAATAAAACAACTAGTTGGAGAATTAATATCTTCCAAAAGCAAGAATATACATTTATGTTGTTTGATTTTTCCCTTCAGAACTTCATGACTCAAGAAAAACATCAACTATGTGTGACTAAAATAAATTCATAAGAAATAGTCTAAAAGGGGATAGATGCTGTTGTTTATGTACTTAATGCTATTCTAATTTTAAAAAATGTGGTCTGCATTCCATTAAACCAATTTTATAAACCAATAATGTGTCATGTCTTATATTAATAATCCTGAGGTCTAGGTGTGTCAGTGTGTTCAAGGAGTTTTCAACTAAGAGGTATGTCTACTCCTTAGAATCTCTTTTGGAATAGTGGATCTTAGCTATTTCTTTATTCAATAAAAACTGAGGCATTCAGGTGTAGAAGTCCATGGATATATTAATGGCATCAAATAAAATGAAGTATTTAAAAGAGCCTTCCTGTATGCAGCAATCGTATCTCCTATTTTTTTCATTTTCATTAGAAAGGTGATTATCAAGCTAAAATAACCTAGGTAGTAGCGGGTGAACAAAAATAAAAGCTAGATTATAATTTCTAGTGGGAAAGAAGGTAATATGGGCCACCTAATTTTTCTCTAGTGATGAATTAGGATCTTCTGTAGGGCCTACAGGTGAATGAAGGGTCCACTTAGTTATCTCTCTTGATTTGTGAGCTCAATCCTGAGGAATTTGCTGTGATCCTGATCAAATAATCTGCTTGAAATTGAAAAAATGCTAAATTAGCATTTAGAAAAATAAATATACATGAAGTAAAACTATCATGTAGCATTTGAATTCTAATTTTTATAAACTGCAACTTTAAGAAATTTTGTCTTAATCTTTTCCTTAAATCATGTGATTATTTTGTCACAACTTTAACAATTTGGAAAGAATAATAGTAAGCATTATAATATACGCTAGCAGTGTGTAACCTCACTGGTCAGCATAAAGCAGAGCATAAAAGTAACACAAGTTCCCAAAGTACTTCTATTAAAAACACTTACTACTACGACTACAATTTACTGAGCTCCTACTATATGCTAGCAACTGAAGTGTTAAACTTACATAAATTAAAGTATAATCTCATTTTTGAACAAATCATAAAGGTGACCAGTAAGTTGTAGAATAACAAATGTATAAATGAAATGACAATAATAGAGAATAAAGAACAATTTTTCAAATCAGAAAATGTTACATTTAATAATAATAAATTTATTTGGTTTCCAATGCACTGTACAGTATAGATTTCATCATTTTAACTTATTAATAAATATATGATGCCATTGAGTTAATTCAAATTGTCAAGATTTATACTGATTATCATTGTGGCTGATTCATTGTAGAAGCCAAAAATTGTTAGCATTTAACAAGGAATGTTCTTTGCTAACAATTTAAAAATTGTATGATTTATTTCTTTAATTTTGGCATAGAAAAATAAATCTGTCATTAATTTAATATTTTATTGTAAATTTGGAAATAATAGACTAGATTCCTACTTGGAGATATTATAAAAGCATTGTCTAATTTTGTTGTATTACTCAGTTTCATTTAGTTCATTTTTAATGATATTTTTATTCAATTTTATCTCTTGCAGCAATGGAATTGTTTTACATATTGCAATTTATAGTCTAAAGCAAAATTAGAGGTGATGTCTTTATTTTTCCACATCTCACAATACTCGTGTTGCTCTCTTTTAATAAGAAATAATTTAGTTAAATTATTTTTCTTGCTAGCTACTGATTATATTCTAAAAAGAAAATAGAAAAGATGGGGGAATGCAAGAATGTAGTTTTGTTATTATTTCTCCCATCATTTCAATTGCTAAATTCAATTATCAAGGTAAATGAATCCATGCAAGTTTTTATATTAATGAAACAAGGTTTCATCTCAAGATTACAATTGATTATTATAAAAATGGTTTATTAAAATGCAAGAAAATACAGATAGTCTTATATGTGTTCATTACCAGTTGCTTTATAAATATAGATTAGATATTGTTCTAAATTAAAGGACTCAAAATATTACCCATTGTTATATCTTGCTACTTCTTTTAAACATGTGGACACATTCAGTTTTGTATTCCCCATTGATTCAATGCACTTCAATATTTTCAGCATTTCTTCATTTTTTTTCTATATTTCCAAAGAACAAAGATGCTACTCTTTCTCATTCTTTCTGTTAGGGCTCTTCAGCACAAGAGCAAATTTTTCATTGAGGCAAGAGGGTATGGATAGTTATAACAATTCATAAGTTCTGTGTTGACCCAAGTACCAGAATCATTACTGTAATAACCGTGCTGACATATTTTATATCATAGATCTATCTTAAATACATTCTACATGTTTTCATGAAAATATGTACATCACAGAAAATAAGAGTACCTGTTTAAATTACTGAATATACATTTTTGAATAAGTAATAGAAACTACACAAAGTACAAGTGTTTAATGAATGAATGAATGCTTGAAAGAATTATCACCATATGTATTCATTTTTATTGTGGCTGTAACAAATTTCCAAAAAATGAGTCCTTTAAAAACACTAATTTATCATCTACTTTCATCAAAGTCAGAAGTTTGAGATGGATCACAATGGCCTAAATCAAGGTGTTGGCACATCTGCGTTCCTTCTAGAGGCTGTATGGGAGAATTTATGACTTAGTGTCTTAAAGCATCAAGAGGCTGCCTGTATTCCTTGGTCCATGGCCCTATACTTTAATTTTCGTCACAATGCCATTTTTCTGATTCTTTTTTTCTGTTTCTATTTTCTAATTTTAAGGACTGTATTAGTCCGTTTCCACACTACTATAAAGAACAATCTGTGACTGGGTAATTTTTAAAGAAAGGAGGTTTAATTGGATCACAGTCAATAAGGAGGAGGCCTGGCTGAGGAGGACTCAGAAAACCTACAACCATGGTGGAAGGTGAAGGGGAAGCAAGACACGTCTTACATGGTGGCAGGAGAGAGAAGGTGGGAGGGGGAAACTGCTACATAGTTTTAAACATCAGATATTGTGAGAAGTCAATCATTATAATGAGAACAGAATGGGGGAAACTGCCCCATGATTTAGTCACCTCTCACCAGGTCCCTCCCTTGACATGTGTATATTACAACTCAAGATGAGATTTGGTTGGGAACACAGAGCCAAACCATATCATTCCACCCTGGCTCCTCCCAAATCTAATTTCCTTTTCACATTTAAAAACCAATCATGCCTTGCCAACAGTACCCCAAAGTCTTAACTCATTTCAGCAGTAACTCAAAAGTAGAAATCTAAGGTCTCATCTGAGACAAGGCAAGTTCCTTTCAGTTATGAGTCTAAACTCAACAGAAAGTTACTTCCAAGATGCATTGATCTTTGAAAAAGAAAATTTAATTTTTCTGTGGATTAAATGATTTAATTTTTCCCATTTGATATACAATCTAAAAATTATTATCATGATATACAGTTTTTCCTTCTAGAATCTTTCTCCCTTTTAAGTTATTATATAGAGAAATGATATGGTAGACAAAATAATAATATCCTCACCCCAATGATCTCTATGTCTTAATACCCAGAACTTGTGAATGTGTTAGCATATATGGCACAGAAGGAAATCATATTCCAAGAAGCATTAAGTAGATTCTTCTATTCCAAATGAAAGTCTAAAACCCAGCTAGGCAGCTATTAAATCTTAAAGCTCCAAAATAATCTCCTTTTACTCTATGTCTCATATACAGGGCATGCTGATGTAAAATGTGGGGTCCCAAGGCCTTGGGTAGCTTGAATCCTATGGCTGTACAGGGTACAGCCCCCATGGCTGCTTTCATGGGCTGGTGTTGAGTGCCTGCAGCTTTTTCAGGCACATGGTGCAAACTGTAAGTTTGACCTACCATTCTGGGGACTGGAGGTTGGTGGCCCTCTTCTCACAGCTCCACTAGGCAATAACCCAGAGGGTATTCTGGGGACTCCAACCAATTTCCTTTCTGAACTGCTAGAGTAGAGGTTCTCCATGAGGGCTATACCCCTGCAGCAGACTTCTGCCTGGACATCCAAGTGTTTCCATACATCCTCTGAAATCTAGGCAGAGGCACCCAAACCCTAGGCTTCTGCATATCTTCAGGTCCAACACCACATGGAAGCTGCCAAGGCTTGGCACTCACATTCTCTGAAGCAATGGCCAGAGCTGTACCTAAGCCCCTTTTAGCCACAGCTGGAACTAGAGTGGCTTAGATGCAGGGCATATGTCCTGAGACTGCACAGAGCAGCGGGGTCCTGGGCCCAGCCCATGAAACCATTTTTTTTTTTCTCCTAGGGCTCTGGGCCTGTGATGTGAGGGGCTGCCTTGAGAAGATCTCTAACATTGGGATCCTTTTTACTTATGCACATTTCTGAATTTCTCCCAGATTTTTTTTTTCTGCATGGTTAGGCTGCAAATTTTCCAAACTTTTATGCCCTGCTTCCCTTTTAAACATAAGTTACAATTTCAGATCATCTCTTTGTAAATGCATACGGCTGTATGCTTTCGGAAAAATCCAGGTCAGTTCTTGAATGCTTTGCTGCTTAGAAATTTCTTCCATCAGACACACTACATTATCTCTCTCAGGTTCAAAGTTCCACAGATCTCTAGGGCAGGAGCAAAATGCCACCAGTCTCTTTGCTAAAGCATAGGAAGAGTGACCTTTGCTCCAGTTCTCAGTAAGGTCCTCATCTCTATCTGAGACCACCTCAGCCTGGACTTCATTGTCCATATCACTATCAGCATTTTGGTCAAAACCATTCAACAAGTGTCTTGGAAGTTCCAAACTTTCCCACATCTTCCTGTCTTCCTCTGAGCCCTCCAAACTGTTCCACCCTCTGCCTGTTACTCAGTTCCAAAATTTCTTTCATATTTTCAGATATCTTTATAGCATTTCCTCATTCCTCTCTGTACCAATTTTCTGTATTAGTTTGTTTCCACACTGCTATAAAGAACTACCTGAGACTTGGTAATTTATGAAGAAAAGAGGTTTAATTGATTCATTGTTCTGCATGGCTGGGGAGGCCTCATGAAACAACCATGGCAGAAGGCAAAGGGGAAGTAAGACACATCTTACATGGTGACAGAGAGAGAGAAGAGTGGGGAACTGCTACATAATTTTAAATCATTAGTTCTTGTGAGAATGCACCCACTATCTTGAGAACAGCATCGAGGTAACCACCCTCATGGTCCAATCATCTCCCACCATGCATCTTCCTCAACATGTGGGGATTACAATTCAAGATGAGATTTTGGTGGGGACACAGAGCTAAACCATATTAAGGACGCTTGTAATCACACTAGGTCTCCTGGGATAATCCAGAATTATCTCTTAAGGTCAATTGAATAGGAACCTTAATTTCATCTGCAACGTTGATTTCATTCTGTGCCATATATGCTAACACATTCACAAGTTCTGGGTATTAAGACATAGAGATCATTGGGGTGAGTATATTATTGTTTTGTCTACCATATCATTTCTCTATATAATAACTTAAAATGGAGAAAGACTCTAAAAGGAAAAACTGTATATCATGATAATAATTTTTAGATTGTATATCAAATGGGAACAATTAAATCATTTAATCCACAGAAAAATTAAATTTTCTTTTTCAAAGATCAATTGCATACAGTGTAGAAAATTAATAGAGAGGGTGAAGAGTGGATTTTCTGGTAAATTGGACGAAGGTATGAGAAAATTAACAAAGCATGAACCATAGTTCAAAATACTTAATTCAAATTTTGGGTTCTCACTTAACTAGCTATGTCCTCTTGGAAAATTCTATCTGAGTTCTCACTTGAATAAGTTGAGGATAATAGTGGGACCCACTTCATAGTTTTGTTGTTATTTCTAATAAAACTATAGTAGTGCATAAAAAAACTTAAAATAATATGAATCTCTTAACAAATGCTAACTATACTAATAATTATTTTGGAGCTAGAACATACTAAATGAATAAATATAGATTAAGGCAAACGTTGATAATGACTCCAAGTTTCTGAAATTTAAGGTATTTTTGTTTTGTTCTGTTTTAATGGTAAAGATTTGAATTAAAGTAGATATGGATAACGTATCCTAAGTATTTCTTTCTTTTTGTGTATAACAAACTCATGATGTTTGAGACAAATCTAAGTAAAAAGGCTGAGAAGTTGGATGTAACCTATTTTACACAAATATAGGTTTGAATTTGAGAGAAGAATCAGCATATGCGGCATATGCCAATGCTAGCATACTTCACATAGAAGATGTTATAAATTGTAATATGCACTAGTATTGCTTATATACTGAGAAAACAGAAAAATAAACATTGTCAAGAGAAATATGACATGCAATTAATTTACAGATGAATCACTTTTTTAATGTTAATATGTGAAGAAAATTTGCAGCTTAGAGTCAATATAACAGCACTGACAATTTTTAACAACTTGTAAGGAAATTAAATAATCTAGATAAGAAATATAAAGTGAAAAGTGAAGGCTTTGGGGGAAATATGACATAATAGGGTTGAGGCTGTGAAATGGAAGACGAAGGAATAGAAACGATGGGTCTAGTCAATTCCGCTTTGAAGATTTACTGCTAAAGAAAAGGAGTAGGTGGTAAGAGGACATAGTGTATTATGAATCTTCTTTTCTATTATTTTTTAAAGATAATAGCAGTCGGCGCTGCTATTACATCAGCATGCCCTGTATGTGATGTGTGAACACTGAGGAATGATTCAAAGAACCTCTAGGAAATAAAAACTTAATTATGTCAAAGAAAAAAGAATAACAAATTGAATATAATTCTGTAGGAGGCAAGTTTTATGAATATTAATAGATAGATTCCAGGACACATGTGGGGCAATTTTTTTCCCTGATTATGGTACAGGTTATTCTACCACTTCAACAGAGAGAAAAAGAGAGGCTGGAGTGAGGTGGAGTCAGGAAGGCCAGGAAGTTTCAGCGAATGACTTCAATTTGGTAAGTGAAAGATGAGGCAAGGTCACACACTGAGAGTAATGCAAAAGAGATAAGATTCAGGAGATCCATGAGAGAAGTAGTATACAAAAATCATATCAGATTGTGAATAAATAAGTTTAATAAGAGAAATGTAGAAACATGGACAAGTAAAATTGAAAACTTTATTGAATGTCGTGAAAAAGATACCTTTAGAGATATTATAAAGATTTACTGCCCTGGCATGCATTAAGTATAGCTATTATTAATAACAGTATGTAAAAAATTCTGGATTATATAATATTCCTCAGTAGCATTAAGCTAGTTTAATGTAAAAAAAGCTTTATTTAATATTGAGATTTAGCAAATAGAAAAAATAGTAATGGTTTTAAAAAATTTACCCCAGTAAAGATGATGCTGGACAACGGAGTCCAAGCTGGGCAAAAAGAAGAGCAAAAGCAAGAGTTTGTGTATATTCTGTCCATGTGGATGGACATGAGTATACCTGGGCTAATTGCAAGAATCTGGATGAAGAAGTAGACTGCAAGCCATGTGTTAAAATAAAAATAAGTCAGATTATACAAGAGTCTAATAGGTGACAATACTAAAGTCACCTTTGCAATTAGATGACAAAAGCATCAAAGGAGTCTACAATTTTATGAGAAGTTAGAAGGGTGATAGCCAATGGGTGGAAGTGTGAATATTCTGACAGTTTAACAACATTTAAATTCTGTTTTGGATTGAAAAGCCTATAAAAAAGCAAAGAAAAAGGTTAAACAGGTGGCATGCCATGCGTAATGATGCATAGTTCTATATTATGTATTTATTGCTTCAGGGAACAAACATATGGTAGGAACTTCGTGATCACTAAGCTGGGTCTAGGAACACTAGGAAAGACAGGAATGGCAAGTTTCTAATGTCAGGCATCTGCTTTGCTGGTGCAAAAACCAGACGGGAACGATGGCCATAGAAACGAGGGAGACATACCAGATTTTGTGAGGTCACATCAAGGAAGATCCTGAGTCTCCCTGAGATCTAAGGGCCCAGCAGGTGTCAGCCAAATATACATTCCAAAATAGTGTCTTAGGCAGAGGAACACCATATGTAGTGGCCATGAACAGGACAGAATGCAAAACGTTTACAAAATTAAAAGACATTTGGACAAGCGTGTTGAAAGGAAGAAGAATGAATGTTGAATAATTAGGCTGGTGAGGTAGACAAGGGCCAAATGGTATAACACATTGCAATTTTGGTGAATATTTTGGATTTATACTAAAACCATTGGGAGGTATGTTATACTTCTACACAGCAAAGACATGATGAGATATTTCTATTAAAAATGTATATTACAACTGCTTCATTGTGAAGACTAACCTGGGGGCAGGTGACATTAGAAACCTGCTAAGGAAGTTTAGGCAGGGTGATGATAGAGATCAAGAGAAGAGAATGAGGTGTGGAATGTGTGTGTTTGGTGTGGTGTAAATATGCATATAAGTATACACACGGGAAATTTTCTTTCTTTGTGTATCTGTTTCTATCTATTTCTGTTCTGTCTGTATCACTCTCTTTACGTCTTTTTCTGTCTATTTGCCATCTGTTTCTCTTTCTCACATAAACACACAGTGTAACAACAGGAATTGGTGATTAATTGGAAGTGAGAGAAAAGATTACAACTAAAATGAGTTAGACATAGCAGACATTACCTGAACAGTAAGGATGAACATTTCATGTTTATCCATAATAAGTGTAACTCAACTGAAATTAATATTCAACGAAAGGATATTGTAAGTATTTTTGAAAATATAAAGGGCAATTTTACATAGTGATATTAAAATCTAAGGAAAATTCCACCTCAGATAAGTGGAAAATGAATCAGTTTAGATAAAAGAGCTGGAAACAAAGAAACTTAAGTATAGTTTACAGAAACACTCTTCAGCCAGTACTGAAAAAATAAACAACTTAACTTAATCCATAACAGCCTTCAAAGATAGACTTTGCCAAAACACGGTTCCTCTTCTGCCTCTCTCTTTACTGGAAGGTTTTTACACTACATTCCTCTATAACTCTTTAACTTATTAAAATATTTATACCGTAAAATGTCCATAAAAACACTTCTCTTCATCCCATTTCACCCCAGGATCTATCATGAGACACTTCAACTCTGAAATGTATTATGATGCTTGGGTCATGTCCTCTTGCTCACATATTTCATGTATGAGAGAATATTTTCTCTATTCCTACCATGACATTGTCTTTTAAAATATCATGAGGTTGGCCCAGTGCAGTAGCTCAACAAAAAAGTGCTGTAATCCCAGCATTTTGGGAGGCCGAGGAGGGAGGATCACGAGGTACAGGAGTTCGAGACCAACCTGGCCAATATGGTGAAACACTGTCTCTACTAAAAATACAAAAATTAGCTGGACATGGTGGTGGGCACCTGTAATCCCAGCTCAGGTAGCTGAGACAGAAGAATCGCTTCAACCCAGGAGGCGGAAGTTGCAGTCAGCTGAGATCATGTCACTGCACTCCAGCCTGGCGACAGAGTGAGACTCTGTCTCAAAAAGCAACAATAACCAAAATCATGAGGTGTCCTTACTAGCTAGTTTCTTTCAGCCCAAATCAGTCTTCATGCTAGATTTTATCTTGAAATCTTTCATTTAAATATGTAAAAATTATTTTTACTAGCATGATAAAATTATTTTTACCACAATGCACTAGTCACTTTCTTTTTTCTTTTTTTTAAACAGCATCTGGCGACATCGCTCAGGTATGAGAATGGTTCACTGTAACCTCTGCCTCCCAGGCTCAAGCAATCCTCCCACCTCAGTCTCTTGAGTAGCTGGGACTACAGGCACATGCCACCACACCTGGACAATTTTTCTAATTTTTTGATAGAGATGGGAATCATCAGGATCCCCTGGCTCAAATGATCCTCCTACTTCAGCCTCCCAAAGTGCTGGGATCACAGGTGTGAGCCACCCTGCCTGGCCCAAACCACATTTTTTAATATTTTATTTTGTATACATTTCATTCAGATCATAAACTGATGCTGAGAAACAAGTGTTTAGTTGATGAAAACACATTTATAAAGAGTAAACAATGTGAGATTCAATCTCTCACCTACTTCTCTGTTTTTCCAGGCAGTCAGACTTTGAGTAAAATTAATTTATTTTCAAAGTTTAAACATTTATTAATCATATTTTATCACCTTCATCACATTTTTTACTAACATTTCTAAATATTTCAGGAAGAGAGAAAGATTATCTTCATGGACTGAGCATGAGAATCAATAAGCCTCATCTTTTAAACTGCACCGTGTTCATGATTCCTGACAGTGAGGGCAAAGAGTGGCAGATTGCACTCCTATCAATAATGACAGTTGAGAGCTTATAGAAGAAGAGAATAAAAGTCAATGAAAAGTCTGCTCTACTCTGAAGACGGAGTTTTAAAATTGTGGTGTACTCTGATGAGTCCAGTCACTCTGACATTACAAGAGGGGTTCTTAAAAATAGAACGTACAAGGTATACAAACACATAAAGACCTAATATATTTATAGACTAGAAGAATCCATGTACATTTTATTTAAAAGGTATGTAGGGCCAACTGAAGCAGGTTACATTTGACAAAGGAATGCATTTATGTAGTAATTCAGATAGCTGCAGGAGCAGGCTTGTTGTCTTCCCTATAGAAATATCCTTATTTGAATTCTCATTAAGCCCTGTAAAACTTCACATTTTCTAATAACATGTATTCTAGAAATAAAGGCTATTAACTTTTCAGCAGCAATGGAAAGACTATAATTTATATCATAGATGACGAGTCTTCTGATGTCTAGAAAACTGATTGCATTAACATTTTTAACTTAATAATTTCTGTTAGCATTACAAAATGATACTGCATTGTTGTATACTTAAAAAGCTATTCTTTCTGACTTATGAAAAATAAAAATAGTAGTAGAAAGTGCCCCTTGTTATGCTTCCTTCTATATTAATGTAAATACCTGAAAGTGTATACTATTTATTTTGAAACTTGCACCAATTTTTTAGTCTTAAATTCAGTGCAATGGCCATGAACTCTACAATTCAGCATGATTCTCATCGTAAAATGAGAATACAATGATCTGGTATTCAAATATAGATGAAACTAAACACTGAAAAGCTAATTTATCATATAGTAACTTAATGGATTTAGATTATGAAATGTTTAGATTATATGTTTTGATTATGAAATGTTAATTCTGTAACACCAAAATAACACAAATGTGTCCTAAATTTCTGTTAAAAGTATGATTGTATGCATATTTTATGTATTTGGGATAGAGAACTCCACTTAAAAAGTTTTTAATGTTTTCTGGATGTTTTACGTTTGAGGGTGTACTATGATGATTTCCCAAATTGAGAACATATAACCAAGAGAGCATAAGTAAAAGTTATTGTGACTTTTAACAAAAATGCATAAATGTCAATCCTACTCAAAAAATGGGTATAGTGATGTTAATAAAACAGTTGTGTTCATTTTTACATATAAAACAAAACTGAATGAGTCAATACAGACACCTGAGTTTTCATCCAACTAATGACTATGTGAATATTCACAAGAAGTTTAATTCAACTTCACCCTCTATTTGAGGTGAAATGAGGTGCATTTTTTTTTGTATAGTATTAACAACATACTTGATCATTGTTCTCTGAGAATCATTTCATGCTGGCCCCTCTGTGGCCGATACATAAGAGATAAAAATGGAAAATGGCTCATGATTTTTTCTTAAAATGCTCTAAAATCTTCCTTGCATAATTAGAAAAAAAAAAAAGCATATTCTTTACTATTGCCTTCAAGGCAGAATACGAGCTGTACCTAGACTCACTTATTTCCCTACCACATTTCCACTTATTCCCAACTAACACCCCACAATGTCTTTGTGTCCTATTCCAAACATGCTCAGCTATTTGTAGACACAATGTCCTGACGCCTCCTGTTTTCTTTTTTAAAATTTGCATACATTTAAGAGGTACAATTGCAATTTTGTTACATGGCTATATTGCCTACTGGCGAAGTGTGGGATTTTAGTGTATCCATCACTGGAATAATATATATGGTTCCCAGTAAGTAATTCTGCATATGTGATGTATTGATTTGTGTATGTTGAACTATCCTTGCATCTCCGATATAAAACCCACTTGATCACGGTGTCTTCTTCTGTCTGTAAAGTTATCACTAAGGATCTTCACAACCACTTCCTCTTCCATTTTAAGAGAACTCAGTCCAAGAATTGCTTCTTCAAAGAGGCTGTACCTGATTAATCTAAAGTTACATCCCCAACATCATTTCTTCTTTGTTATTTTGCTTAAATTTCTTCAGAGTATTTATGACGAGATACATCCATTGTATTTATATTCTTATTGTATGTGTATTACAGGATGGTTGTGCTGACTCTGCTTTATTTACTGTTGCCTTTACCAGTATTTAGAAGAGTGCCTGGGGGCTAAATGGCAGTTAGTTTTGTGTTGAAAGTTTACATGAAATGAAAAATCACTCTTACTTTGTTCAACAAAAACACAACTACAAACATTAGATCATGAGTATATTTCTATAGGGCTATGCATACATGTAATGTTTTACTTAAACTTTATTTTTTTTTTATAATTTAAAAATAAAAGGGAAGTTCTTTGGAGACATCGCATGAACCTGAATCCTGATACCTGTGGTGGTGTCTTACCAATAAAATTCACCCTAATATGTATTTGTGAGTTTTTAAAGCTTAATATCAAAAAGTAATTATAGTATTCAAGATAATACATGTCAGTATTGGTGAAATTAATTGATAATATCAACTTTCAATAATTGGCCTCTTAGCTTCAGCTGGTTTGACTGCGTCTAAGAAGCCAATTTATTCATGAATACTTATTAAGCATATGTTGTCTGAATAAACAATTAAACAAAATTCCACCAGATTTGTAGAAGATAACATATATGTACAAAGCATAATTTTTATTTTTGAAAAGTGAAACTAGAGAAGACAAAAAAATGTAAGTAACATTTAAGTAACAATATATCTGAACACTTACTCCTTAATTTCATTCAACAATATATTCACTGAGCAGTCATCATGTGTCAGTACTGTTTTAGGCCCCTTTCTACAGGGATCTTAAATTCTAGTTTGGTAACATATCAATAAGCACAAAGACAAGTAAATGAATAACTCAGTTTCATAAAGTGAGAAGTATAATGGAGAAAAGAAAATAGCACATTAGAGGAGAATGTAAGTTTGGAATGGTAGCTGGAGATGAGTGGAGTTACATTGTCTTTAAAACTGTGAGCTTCTTAAGGAAAGACATGTGTCTTCATTATTACTGATTCTTCAATGACTGAAATGCCAAAAAGTAATATTAAATTATACGCATATTGGAACTGTACTATGTATGTTTTTATTGTGTTGCACTGTTACATCCCCAATATCTAGAAGAGTATCTGGAATATTGCAGATGTATTCATTGAATGAATGAATAAATGAGTGAAAAAAGCACATTTGCTGAAAGAATGAATGAATAAACACATGAGAAGGCGGCTGAATCAATCTGGGGCCAAATAGAGAAGATTTGATCTGTAAATTTATAAATTATATTCAATTATTTATCTTAATAGAAATACATTTACAAATTGCAAATTTTTTTAACTTTATATTTATTTTCCTATTTTATTTATGATATTTACATTCATATTGGTATAACTTTGGCTTTATATATGACGGAACACACTGGACTCAAACTACACATGCACACACATACAGATACACACACGAATCATGTCCTTGAAGACAAGAGACACATTTTATTCAACATTTTAAGTGATTTGTTAACTAAATGAGTAGATATCATTAAAATTCAAAGTGTCAGTAGTCGCTGTGTTCTATATTTTAGGGTCTGAATGAATAGCATAAATGGGATATAAAAATTATCAGTGACAATGTTAGTGAACATTTTCATCAGTTTGAGATTAATGATTGTACCTCATACCATAATCCACATAAAGTCAAAATATACAGAAACACACAGGTGTTGAGCCAGGAAATAAAATAGAGAAGACTTTTGAAATTCAATTACCATATATACAGAAGCAATAGGTAATTGATGCATAGCTAGCAGTAAAGACCACTTAGACCTTTTGAACTAGTCTATTAGTAGTAAATTTGGGAATCAACAAAAATATTCAAAAAGTATTTTGATGGAAGTTATGAGAGTAGTTCAAAATAGAATATTGAAAATAGAAGGGAAGAAAGAGAAAAAGTGACCTCCAACATGGTAACCAAACTATTGATCATGGGTTTCATGGCAGATTGATGGTTTCATCCCTTAAAATAGGGAAATAAATACAGAGCACAGTTTTTATCAGACAAATATGAAGTATAGTTTTGCCTAATAATTAGTCATGAGAATAATTTTTCAAAAATTTAAACTGCTTAATGCAACCACACAACTAATAAATTGTGTGGTGTAATTTCCATCCTTTATGAGCTAATCTACCATGTTTCAAGTATATAACTCTGCCTCTCCATGCCATCTGGGAGATTACAATTTAGATTATCATAGGCAAATACAAACTCATGATGAATTGTAGATTAGCCTATCACAAAGCAGAAATGAATTATTTTTAAACTGAACATACTCAGTTGAAGAGATATTGACTAGACTGGTTCAAAGCAATGCTATCTCTATCATTTAAGAACACATTTCGACTAAGAGTAAAATGCATCTCAATCTAAACACATTATGTCATGTATTTCACCTGGGTATTTTCTTATAAATATAGCGTTTCATGTTCCTAACATTTTAAAAATAATTTATTAGCCAAAACTTTCTTCAGAAAAAAAAATGTTAGTTTAAGCAGAGTTTATATTTTTACCCTGGAACTTTCTCTTTGTTATTCTCATGTTGCTAATTTGTAAGCATGATAGAAGTAGTAACCTCATTTTGTAAAAAAAAAAAAAAAAAATGCAAGAACTATAATTTTATACTCTCTTCTAAGCATAAATTTAGTAAATGTAGTGCCATATGGCTCATCATTATAAAAGTTAGTATTTCCACTTGCTTTGTAAATCTCTTCAATTTTATGGAGTATAGAAAGAAAACTAATTGCTAAGTGAGGTCACAGCATTTCTCTCTCTGAAGCACTAAACATTCATAAGCTTAGTATATTTTTTTCAAGATAAAAGTAAACTACATTTGTAAATGAGATATTATTATGATGTAATTATTATTCCAGCTTTTTATAAGACATGTTTACTGGGCAACTATCAAACAAATTTCATTACTGTCCTTTTCAGCCAAATAAAATGGATTTATTAAAAAATTACAATGATCAGCCATTTTAGTAATGCAATGTAAATTAGTTTTTATATAAATGAGGACTTTCACAAGGCCAGAATTAAACTCTTTATAAAATTTATGTAAAGTGATTTGGTAATGTAAAAATTGTATCATCTTAATTTTTTAAAATGTGGAATTAATTTGAATTTTACAAATTATATTTCTTTTGGAAGATAATTTTTCTATTTACTAGTTTTATCAGTACATGCAGATATACTTTACAATGAAGTAAATAACATCGCATACAGTTTTTGACATAAGGAAATAAAAAGCTGTTTCCATTGCTCCCTAATTATTATTGTTGTGATTCTAACTCCAAGTATGGTCAACAAGAACATTGTCATAATATTTTAGGAACATTGCAATGTAACTTTTCAGTATCAGTCTTAAATAAGACTGCCTTAAATAGACATATTCTTAGCTTCAGGTTTTGATGGTAGTGGTGGTGGTAGTTGTGTTTGCGTGTTTGTGTGTGTGTGTGTGTGTGTGTGTGTTTTGAACAAAATTGGCAATATTACTTCATCTAAAATTTGATTAGTCATTAATTGTGTTACAAAGATTTACAAGTGTTGATTGCATGTTTTAAACAATGTTACTTAGAAAATGTGCCATGTGTTGTTCATGATGTTAAACAGCAAAAATATATTGTAGTCAGTTAGCTTTCAACAATTTCATTGTAATTTTATGTCTCAAAAGACTGTTATTGTCTTTGTATTATTTGTTCTAAAGAAAGTGTGTATCTGTATATGTGTGTGTATATATATGTATATATATATATCCTAAGAATTACAAGGATTAAGTAGTCTTGTGTTTGATCTGCACAAGATGCTTAAAAAAACTTTTTTCTGAATCATTGAGTGAATGAATGGATTTTTAAAATTATTATTATACTTTAAGTTCAGGATACATGTGCGGAACGTGCAGGTTTGTTACATAGGTATACATGTGCCATGATGGTTTGCTGCACCCATCAACCCGTCATCTACATTAGATATTTCTCCTAATGCTATCCCTCCCCTTATCCCCCACACCTCGACAGGCCCCAGTGTATTATGTTCCCCTCCCTGTGCCCATGTGTTCTCATTACTCAGCTCCCACTTATGAGTGAGAACATGTGGTGTTTGTTTTTCTGTTCCTGTGTCAGTTTGCTGCGAATGATGGTTTCCAGTTGCATACATGTCCCTGCAAAGGACATGAACTCATCCTTTTTTATGTCTGCATAGTATTCCATGGTGTATATGTGCCAAATTTTCTTTATCCAGTCTAACATTGATGAGCATTTGGGTTGGTTCCAAGTCTTTGCTATTATGAATAGTGCTGCAATGAACATACATGTGCATGTGTCTTTACAGTAGAATGAATCATAATCCTTTGGGTATTTAATCAGTAATGGGATTGCTGGGCCAAATGGTAATTCTAGTTCTAGATACTTGAGGAATTGCCACACTGTCTTTCACGATGGTTGAACTAATTTACCCTCCCAACAACAGTGTAAAAGCGTTCCTATTTCTTGACATCCTCTCCAGCATCTGTTGTTTCCTAACTTTTTAATGATCACCATTCTAACTGGTGTGAGATGGTATCTTATTGTGGTTTTGATTTGTATTTCTCTAAAGACCAGTGATGATGGGCTTTTTTCACATGTTTGTTGGCCACATAAATGTCTTCTTTTGAGAAGAGTCTGTTCACCTCCTTTGCCCACTTTCTGATGGGGTTGTTTGTTTTTTTCTTGTAAATTTAAGTTCTTTGTAGATTCTGGATATTAGCCCTTTGTCATATAGATGGATTGCAAAAATTTTCTCCCATTCTGTAGGTTGCCTGTTCACACTGATGATAGTTTCTTTTGCTGTGCAGAAGCTCTTTAGTTTCATTAGATCCCATTTGTCAATTTTGGCTTTTGTTGCCATTGCTTTTGGTGTTTTAGTCATGAAATCCTTGCCCATGCCTATGTCCTGAATGGTATTGCCTAGGTTTTCTTCTAGGGCTTTTATGGTTTTAGGTCTTACATTTAAATCTTTAATCCATCTTGAGTTAATTTTTGTCTAAAGTGTAAGGAAGGGTTTCAGTTTCAGTTTTCTACATATGGCTAGCCAGTTTTCCCAATGCAATTTATTAAATATGGAATCCTTTCCCTGTTGCTTCTTTTTGTCAGGTTTGTCAAAGATCAGCTGGTTGTAGATGTGTGGTGTCATTTCTACAGCCTCTGTTCTGTTCCATTGATCTACATATGTGTTTTGGTACCAGTAACATGCTGTTTTGGTCACTGTAGCCTTGTAGTATAGCTTGAGATCAGGTAGCATGATACCTCCAGCTTTGTTCTTTTTGTTTAGGATTGTCTTGGCTATACGGGCTCTTTTTTGGTTCCACATGAAATTTAAAGTAGTTTTTTTTCTAATTCTGTGAAGAAAGTCAGTGGTAGCTTGATGAGAATAGCATTGAATCTATAAATTACTTTGGGCAGTATGGCCATTTTTACGATATTGATTCTTCCTATCCATGAGCATGGAATGTTTTTCGATTTGTTTGTGTCCTCTCTCATTTTCTTGTAGTTCTCCTTGAAGAGGTCATTCACATCTCTTGTAAGTTGTATTCCTAGGTATTTTATTCTATTTGTAGAAGTTGTGAAAGGGAATTCACTCATGGTTTGGCTCTCTGTCTATTATTTGTGTATAGGAATGCTTGTGATTATCAGCTTAAAAAGACTTTGGGCTGAGACAATGGGGTTTTCTAGATATACAAAAATGTCATCTGCAAACAGAGATAATTTGACTTCCTCTCTTCCTATTAGAATATGCTTTACTTCTTTTTCTTGCCTGATTTCCCTGTCCAGAATTTCGAATACTATATTGAATAGGAGTGGTGACAGAGGGCATCCTTGTCTTCTGCCAGTTTTCAAAAGGAGTGCTCCTAGCTTCTGCCCATTCAGTACGATATTGGCTGGGGGTTTGTCATAAATAGCTCTTATTATTTTGAGATACGTTCCATCAATACCTAGTTTATTGAGTGTTTTTAGCATGAAGGGGTGTTGAATTTTATCGGAGGCCCTTTCGGCATCAATTGAGATAATCATGTGTTTTTGGCATTGGTTCTGTTTATGTGATGAATTACATTTACTAACTTGCATATGTTTAACCAGTCTTGCATCCCAGGAATTAAGCCAACTTGGTCATGGTGGATAAGCTTTTTGATGTGCTGCTGGATTCGGTTTGCCAGTATTTTATTGAGGATTTTCCCATCAATGTTCATCAGATATTTGCTTGAATTTTTCTTTTTTATTGTGTCTCTGCCAGGTTTTCGTAACAGGATGATGCTGGCCTCATAAAATGAGTTAGGGAGGAGGCCATCTTTTTCTTTTGTTTGGAATAGTTGCAGAAAGAATGGTACCAGCTCCTCTTTGTACCTCTGGTAGAATTCAGCTGTGAATTCATCTGGTCTTGGGATTTTTTTTGGGTGGTAGGCTATTAATTACTGCCTCAATTTCAGAACTTGTTATTAGTCTATTCAGATATTCGACTTCTTCCTGATTTAGTCTTGGGAGGGTGTATGTGTCCAGGAATTAATCCATTTCTTCTAGATTTTCTAGTTTATTTGCATAGAGGCGTGTGATTAGATATTTTTTAAAAAATAAATTCATTGGATACATTTCTTCCTTTCAAATAAGAACCAAAAAAAAGTACCACATTTTTTATTGTTTCTAGGATTGAAACTAATGCATAGAGTTTCTGGCAATAGATGTGTTCTTTAAAGTTTGCTTATAATGAAATTTCACATTCCAATTTATCCTTCCCCATAAATTTCATTTAAGAATGAAACTTTTGTGGGAGAATCATTTATTAAATAGAAAGAAATCTCAGGTTCAGTGGTGCAGTTCTTCAAGTGTTACATTTACAAAAATAGGCCAGTCATTCGTGCCTGCATGCAATAATCAATTACACAAGTATTTGGAATGTGCCAGAAACTGTACTTAAGGCTCAGTGTACACAATGGTAGGCAGAACGACAGAAGAAGATGTAACCCCTGCCTGCATCATGATTGACATTTAGTGCACTAATTAAATAATCATAGAAAAATAAATCTTCATTTGGCCTACACATCATTAAGGAGAGCTAATATAGAAAATTCTGACTGGAACCCTCCAGTCCATTTTAATAAGGCTGTCCCAGATACTCAAAATCATATCTTCCCATTGTTTTGAATAGTCTACATTCAAATAGTCTCTACAATGTTGCTTGCCTTTATTATCTTAGAAGGGATTGATTTTCTAATCTGCCACACCAATTTTGATTAAAATGACAAGGTATTTATATTTTAACAAAAATTTATATTCATTGTCACAAAAGTATCTACTGGTAAGAATTTTTGCATCGTCATTGTAGAACAATGAGAAAAATGTATGGTAGAAAGAATATATATGTGTGTATTTACAGCTTTTCTAACTAATAACATTGTGCTGCTTTAGACCCATGTCTTAAATGACAAAAGGCACTAAAAATTGTTTTTTGAATTATTAAAATCTTCCACTGCACTACTTCAATATAATGTAACTGAATTAGAATAGGATTTAGTGAAACACAAGTAATAAATTATTTACACAATAGCACTACATCCTGTAGAACCCTGAAACAACCCTGGATCGTAGGATCCCAACACAGTGTACTTACGCCAAATAATACAGAGTAGTTTATCACTTTTACTTACACTATGAGTTCAGCCCTTTCACTTACATGAATATGTTTGAGTATTCTTTGAGCAGTCCCTATAATTTTTAAATTACTTATATTTGGCATATTACTATTTTTTTGGTTCTATGATAAAAATGAAATTGAATAAATCCTTTACATATAATAATCATGTGGGAAATATATATTTTAATTTTAATTTAAAACTTGAATCAGATAATAAAATTAGAACATTATAGTGGCACTATGAGAAATGTCAAATTTTCAAAGTGTACCAGAAAAAGTGTAAATTGTATTTTGTAAAGCTCTAAAAATAGAATGTTAATACTTTTATCTGTTTAATGTAACTTTTTTTCTATTTGATTTGAAAGCAGAAGAAGACAATTTGGATAATGCTACCATATGCAAATAAATTTTGTTTTCATTTATGTAATTGATCTCATTAAGACTTATTTTGGAAAGATTCATCTGAATTAATAGAAATTAGTTAATTATAATCTTTATAAGTTAATATTATTTAACTGGAAAATAAATTAACAATGTGTGTCAATAATTCTTATATTATTTATAACTCCAATCCAGTAATTGCATATCTATTAATTTTTCCTATGCAATTTTATGAAATACGTATGTATGAAGATCTTTATCAAAACACTATTTTTGCTTTACATCACGCAAACATGTGGAGCCAGAACCATATTTGAACATGTTTATGCTGCTGAAAGCTAATCAAAAGACTCAGAAAAGTTGATACACAATGTGGTGTGTTGTTTTTAATTTTCATTTCCTTTAACGTAATTATTTATTTACCATAGTATTTACTCTCTAACTTTCAAATTTTCCACAGTGTTTCATATATATTTATTGTGTAAAATACATAATACTAGTAAGAATTGTTTAGATATATTAAATACTTCAAAATTAAATTTATCAATGTTTTTAATGAAAATACATTTTTATTACTAAAATAGTCTATGTTGAGCCATTGCTGAGCTTCAACTTAAAAAGAAAAAACATTTCATCTGCATACACAATTTATAATCTAAACATATATTATACTTGTTATGTCACTTGGAACACGTTCTGTAGTGCGACATTTAGCATGTGTCCTTTAGAGAATGAGAAATACTAAGTCTGGGCACAGGGATGCACGCCTGTAATCCCAGCACTTTGGGAGGCCCAGATGGGCAGATTGCTTGAGGCCAGGAGTTCGAGAACAGCCCGGCCAACATGGCAAAACCTGTCTCCACAAATGAAAAAAAAAAAAAAAAAAAAAAAAGCTGAGCCTGGTGGCATGTGAACCTGTAGTCCAAGCTACTTAGGAGGTGGAGGTGGGAGAATTGCTGGAGCCCAGGAGTTTGAGGCTACAGTGAGCCGAGATTGTGTCACTGCATTCCAGCCTGGGTGACAGAGCAAAACCCTTTCTCAAAATATAAATAAATAAATAAATAATATTTAAATATTCTTAGATAATCTTATAATAATAATCATTTGTATCTTCTACAATGCCTTTTAAATCAAATTTCAACTACTAATGTAGGCCTTATTAGTATAGTTAGCATCAACGAAAACTAATAAAATTGGCATCTTGTATTTCTCACACAGTGAAGGAACAAAAAGCTTCAAAATTTGAGAAAAAGCAGTTGAATATTATTATTTTTAATGTTTGATAATGTTTCTTTTTAAACAGAACTAAATCAACAGAGACTTTAGGAATGTTAACGTTCTATTCATAAGCACTTCCACTTAAATAAGACTTGTAACTGAATATTAGGCAAGAGCGTTTACTGTATGTCTTGAGAACCCCTTTCATTTAGAAAAAACACTATTGAGGAATAACAGACATACACAAAGTTGTACACATTTAATGTACACAACTTAATAAGTTTGGAGATCTAATGTTGAACACCCTTTGACATGCTTAGTGAAACATAGCCCCTCCCTTTAACTAGGAAGCTAGACCCTGTAACACTTAGCTGCTTTTGGAACATTAAAAAATAAAAAAAATCCTACTAGAGTAGTCAGTTGTTTACTTTAGTAAAGAAAATTACCTTCATTTTTTAATAGCAAATATAGAAAATTGTCCTTGGGGTACTTTAATTATACCTCAGGATTTTTCGTGATTAAAACTTGTCCCCAATATAAAAAATAAATTTGTGAATAAATTAAGTTCAATAATAAAAATAACCCTGTAAGAGCTATAATAAGAAAATACTTCCAATTATTCTTACTTTTAGAAAACATTTTTTACACAGTGTTTTAGTTGGATTTATCCCTAAGTAGGTCATATTGTATGCCACTGAAATTTTTAAATTTTATTTTTCAATTGTATATTCCTGGTACATAGAAATAATTTGAGAGCTACTCTGTATTTCTTTTGTCTCCATTTTTGAAATTTATAATGACAAATAAATAAAATTATCTAATACAAATCTCTGTTTTAATAATTTTATTTCAATACTTTTTCTGAGGACACACATTTCGCTATATTATTACATCTGTAATTCCCTCATTTTTTGTTTCTTTATTGTACCATTACCTTTGGTTTCCTGCTGCTTTTTTTTCCCTTATTTTCCCCAAAGTTACAGTAAGCACACACTAAAAATAAATTATATAGCATGGTGGCCTTTTTTTTTTTTTCCTGTGAGCATGATCATACTTCCTCATCAAATGGCATTAATGTATCTGCCTTGTCTTAAAACAGGAGAAAAGGCATACAAATTTAACTAACAGGTAGGCATGAGAGCCTTCGGAATGAAGATCCAACTTTCCAATGAGTCCCAGAGACTTCCAAATGAGTTACAGATACAAATGAGTTCCTGAGGCCACAGTCAAGAATGCAGGCTCAGAACATGGCTCAGAGTTTGACAGCCTGGAACGAACAAGAGAACTGCAAGATAATTTACAAAAAAGGAGCAACTGATGGCCTTTAGAAAAAGAACTGAATTTGCTAAAAGTCATAAAAAGTAGTCTTAAACTGTCTTATTTGAAGAGTCTTTTATTGTTACAGTTTTTAGAAAAAATGTCTTTGTCTTCCAGGAATTGTAGTGAAATTTTCCTTTCATGTTATAATTTTTGGAATAATTGTAACATACTAACAATTTTTTTTCTGTTTTCCAAGTTCATATTAGTAATGCTTTGACAACCTTATTTCAAATAATAAATGCATAAGAACATACAACACGGTACTCTCATTCATGAAATTTCTATCCTCTATCTTGAATATTTCAATCCTGAAATATTACTGAGATATATAAAGTTGTTCAAATAAATTAAATTAAGTTTTTTGAATAACATATTATTTCTCACTAAATATTAAAAGTCAGTCTGAGATCCTGGTACTTATCAGCTTATTAGCTAATAATTCTGTTCTAGCATATGCACTACTGCCATTATTGGAAATTAAAGAGGTTTGCTGACAGTTAAACAGTTTGATAAACTTATCTTTGGGAATGTTTTCTAGATTCCTAAAATCTTCTTACAGCCTTATACTTTTTCAAGTAACTTAAACAACGTATCAAACTGCATGATACATAAATTTAACAAGAAATGAATCAGATCAAAACATTAGATACACAGGGACAAAAAGATGGGAACATTAGACACTGAGAGTTCCAAAAGGGAGGAGAGTGGGAGAGGGATAAGGGTTGAAAATCTACCTATTGGGTATTTTGTTCACTACTTGGGTGAAGGGACAATTAGAAGCTCAAACCTCTGCATCATGTAATATAGCCATGTCACAAACCTGCACTTGTACCCTCTGGTCCTGAAATTTTAAAAATAATTTAATTGAAAAATGGAGTATGTAAATAGAAAAAAATGAAGAAAATTATAAGTTGTCTATAATATCATTCCCACCCCAATATCATCTTTATTTACATTTAAGTGTTATCTCTTCATATATTTTATATGCATATAAATGCATTATTTTGAAAACTGAATTTTCTGTACAGATTGCTATGTAGGGATAAATTACAAAGGAGCACAACAAACACTTGTGGAATTTATATGTTTGTATCTTGATTGGCTTATATTATAGTGTTCAATAATGTCAAAAATGATCAAGTTGCACACTTTAAATATTTGTAAGATATTATATATCAATCATATCTTAGTAAAGCTGCTAATGTTCTTGAAAAAGAAATATTTATGGAAATCAATTCTACATAAGTGTGCAAAGGTAATTGAATGAATTTTTATGCATCAATTTGAGTAATGAAAGGAATTTTTAATGAGAACAATGCTTTTCCTCAGTATTATGTGAATAAATAATTTGCTTATCACTTTAGATGCCATAAATTCTAAATAAACAATTTTATTTCTTGGAAGTCAGTTTAGAATTCTAATTAAAAATGATATATTTTAGCAAAATATCTCTAACAAGCAAAAGGTCAGTTGCTAAATAATAAGTCATTGTGTATGTGTCTATGAATATTTAATTGTAAGTATTCATTTTGTTATGTTAATTTTAATATTAACTCATTCTGACAAAATCATATTGGTATCTTTGCTCTAATCATACAATCATTCCCCTTTTTGGATAGTGTTTTAATTTACATAATGCTATTTGCTTACTAAATTTTGAAATATCTTAGCTAGAAAATATATAGATATTCGAATAAAAAGGTTTTTTTCAAATTTTTTGTTAAAGAGCTACATAATATTGTGGTTAGATACACTTGGGCAATGATAATTAAAATAACTTGGTAATCATGGGCATTATGTCTGTTTTATTATCTCAAATATAGAACAACAATTCCATGCATCTTCTCCAACATCAACATCTGTAGTAATAAAGTACAAGTTCATTTATTTAAGTGCAAATTTGGGGATCTTTCACCCAAAGAAAGAAACTTTACCATGTTACTACAGCCAGTGCCCCCAGATACCACTATAATTTTTTAAACAATAAAAAATTCTCCAAAGTTTAAATATTTTGTTAGTATTAATATATTAATATTGTATTAATGTCAATATTGTATTATTGTACATAGTTACCATCATAAATATTTCTAATTTTTTCCAATCTTTAAAGATTTACTGATTAGTCATCAAATAATTATACAAAGCATATATTATGAAACTTAAATAGATCCTGATATGCTATGAAGTCTTAGCTGAATAGAGGTTGAGAGGTGCCAGAAAGACAATCAGTTTGATTGCAATAAGAAAGGTGTATTTAGATTCTGATTCCAAAAATGTGAAAGGGGCAGATGTTATTTAAGTCCCATTGCAGTTTCCTTAAAATAGCTGATGGCCCTAATTTGAGGAAGTCCATAGGGATTTATTTATTTAAAAAAAAAACTAGTTTATTTGTCCAAGGTCTCCCAAATTAGCCAGGGAAGAAAGAACTATGTTACAGGTGGAAGTAGGCAGCAGCAATTTAATTCTACAGATGGAGTTGGGACACATCTTAATAAATGAACTTATGTAAATCAGACAATAATACTAGATTTGGTTTGAATTTCAGAGTCTATTGAGGTATCCATAAATCATCTCAACCCAAGACCTCCTGAATCTCCTCAAATTTTATAGATACCACTATTTGAAAATGCCATTATGATACGTGTGTCTGTGTGCACATTTATGTGTGTGCACATGTGTGTCTGTATGCCTAGGGATGGTACATCTAGACATTTTAAATTACAATATTAATTATAGTAAGCTTCAGAGGGCAAAATAAGTTGCAAGAGTAAATGCTTTGAGGAAATAAATTCAAGAAAATGGGATAATAAAAAGAAACTCTCCCAACATGTAAGCCATAAGTTTAAGTGTGCATTCACTTTGGAATGGTTGAAAATGTATTAAGGAAGGAATTCTTCACAAGTACTTATTTTTTGAGCATTACCTATGAATAACTTATAAATATTTTATTAAAATAAATGAATAAATAGTATGAATGAATAAATGCACAATTAAAGTGGTTGTAATTAATTTTCTATACCATATGATATGGTTTGGCTGTGTCCCTACTCAAATCTCATTTTGAATTGTAACTCCCACAATTTCTACATGTCGTGGGAGGGACCTGGTGGGAGGTGACTGAATTATGGGGGCAAGTCTTTCCTGTGCTGTTCTCATGATAGTGAATGAGTCTCACAAGATCTGACGGTTTTTAAAATGGGAGTTTACCTTCACAAGCTCTCTCTTTTTGCCTGCTGCCACCCATGTAAGACATGACTTGTGCCTCCTTGCCTTCTGCCATGATTGTGAGGCCTCCCCATCCATGTGGAAGTGTAAGTCCATTAAACCTCTTTTTTTTGTTTTTTGTAAATTGCCCAGTCTTGGATATGTCTTTATCAGCATCATAGCAGTAGCAATATTATAACTGCAAAGACCATCAAATTTCGTATCAAAACACCACAATTTTGTACCTGGCTTTGCCTTAGCTTAGGTAAACATCCTTTAGTTAACAATTTAACCCAGTTAAGGAAAGGCACATCAAACCAATATTATTTGCCTTTTCATTACTTTATAAAATATGTACCACACTGTTTGCTTCTTCAGAAAGTAAAAAAAATGAGAAAAGCTCAAATGGTTGAAGGAGTCACAGATTAAAGAGGCCAAGAATAAGTGCAGAATGGTGGAGATAGTGACATTCAGGAAAATTTATATCCATCTTAAGAGAAAGCCACACTGACTTCTAGCTAATTCTTGCGGTGTGGGAAGGTAGTACCAGCATTGACAGTTATGATTATATTTAAGAGAAGTAGGGCTAGGGCATCTGAATGTGTATTTAAAGGTTGTCATTCTTATAATATCTGAAACTAATTTACTTTTTAGACCACACAAGAGACATGATGGAAACTAAATAAAATACATCTCTGGTCAAAAAAACAACATAAATAAAAGTTTGTAATTGCTGTGATTGTACAACTGTAGGAGGTTGTATTAGTCTATTTTCATGCTGCTGATAAAGGCATACCTGAGACTGGGAAGAAAAGAGGTTTAATTGGATTTACAGTTCCACAAGGCTGGGAAGAAAAAGAGGTTTAATTGCATTTACAGTTCCATGTGGCTGGGGGGGGCCTCAAAATCATGGCAGAAGGCGACAGACACTTCTTACATGGAGGTGGCAAGAGAAAACGAGGAAGATGCAAAAGTGGAAACCCCTGATGAAGCTATCTGATCTTGTGAACTTATTCACTACCACAAGAACAGTATGGGGGAAACCACCCTCATGATTCAAATTATCTCCCACCAAGTCCCTCCCACAAAACATGGGAATTACAGGAGTACAATTCAAGATGAGATTTGGGTGAAGACGCAGAGCCAAACCATATCATTCCACCCCTGGCCCTTCCAAATCTCATGTCCTCACACTTCAAAACCAACCATGCCTTGCCAACAGTCCCCCAAAGTCTTAACTCATTTCAGCATTAACCCAAAGGTCCACAGTTCAAAGTCTCATCTGAGACAAGGCAAGTACCTTTTGCCTATGCACCTGTAAAATCAAAAGCAAGGTAGTTACTTCCTAGGTACAATGAGGGTACAGGTATTGGGTAAACACCGCTCTTCCAAATGGGAGAAATTAGCCAAAACAAAGGGATTACAGGGTCCCTGCAAGCCCTGAAAGCCAGTGGAGCAGTCAAATTTTAAAGCTCCAAATGATCTGCTTTGACCCCAGGTCTCACATCCAGGTCATGCTGATGCAAGAGGTGGGTTCCCATGGTCTTGGGTAGCTCCACCTCTATGGCTTTGTAGGGTACAGACTCCCTCCTAGCTTCTTTAATGTGCTAGCATTGTCTGCAGCTTTTGCAGGCACACGGTGCAAGCTGTAGGTGGATCTACCATTCTGGGGTCTGGAGGACAGTGGCCCTTTTATCATAGCTCCACTAGGTGGCGCCCCAGTATGGACTCTCCGTGGGGGCTCCAATCCCACATTTCCCTTCTGCACTGCCCTAGCAGAGGTTCTCCACAAAAGCCCCAACCCTGCAGCAAACTTCTGCCTGGGCCTTCAGGTATTTCTATACATCTTCTGAAATCCAGGAGGAGGTTCCCAAACCCATTCTTGACTTCTGTTCACCCACAGGTTCAACACTACGTGGAAGCTGCCAAGACTTGGGGCTTGCACCCTCTGAAGCCATTGCCTGAGCTCTATGTTGGCCCCTTTCAGCCACGGCTGGAGGTGCTGGGACATAGGGCACCAAATCACTAGACTGTATACAGCACAGGGAACTTGGGCGCTGCTCGGGAAACCAAACCATTTTTGTTTCTCCTAGACCTCCAGGCCTGTGATGGAAGAGGCTTCCCTGAAGACCTCTGACATGCCCTGGAGACATTTTCCCCATTGTCTTGGGGATTAACATTCAGCTCCTCATTACTTATGCAAATTTCTGCAGCTGGCTTGAATTTCTTCTCAGAAAATGGGGTTTTTCTTTTCAATCACATTGTCAGGCTGCAAAATTTCCAAACTTGTATGCTTTGCTTCCCTTCTAAAACTGAATGCCTTTAACAGTACCCAAGTCATCTCTTGAATGCTTTGCTCCTTAGAAATTTCTTCTGCCAGATACCCTAAAACCTCTCTCTCAAGTTCAAAGTTTCACAAATCTCTAGGGCAGGGGCAAAATGCCACCAGTCTCTGTGCTAAAACATAACAAGAGTCACCTTTGCTCCTGTTCCCAAGTCCCTCATCTCCATCTGAGACCACCCCAGCCTGGATTTCATTGTCCATATCATTATCAGTATTTTTGCCAAAGCCATTCAACAAATCTCTAGGAAATTCCAAACTGTCCCATATTTTCCTGTCTTCTTCTGAGCCCTCCAAACTGTTCCAACCTCTGCCTGTTACCCAGTTCCAAAGTATCTTCCACATTTTCAGGTATCTTTTCAGCAATGTCCCACTCTTCTGGTACCAATTTACTGTATTAGTCCATTTTCATGCTTCTGATAAAGACATACCTGAGACTGAGAAGAAAAAGAGGTTTAATTGGACTTACAGTTCCTCGTGGCTGGGGAGGCCTCAGCATCACGGCAGCAGGTGAAAGAAACTTCTTACATGGTGGTGCCAAGAGAAAATGAGGAAGCTGCAAAAGTGGAAACCTCTGATAAAGCCATCAGATCTTGTGAGACTTATTCACTACCATGAGAACAGTATGGGGAGACCTCCCCCATGATCTATATTATCTGCCACCAGGTCCCTCCCACAGGATGTGGGAATTATGGGAGTACAATTCAAGATGAGATTTGGGTGGGGACACGGAGCCAAAACATATAAGAAGTAGGAAGAAAACTTGTATAGAGGCAATTATAATAAAATATGTAAGTGAACACAACAGTGAATTGAGTATTTAGAAATAATATAAAACAATGATTTTGCAGAACCAACTAAGAATAAAGAATACATTGATAGTGCAAGAATCAGTGATGTGGAGAATCTACTTAAAATGATGCCTCAGAATGCAGAGAAAAATTACAAAATTATGGCGGGAAATACAGAGTATATGCAGTAACAGAAATTAGACACACATAGCTTGCATATGCAAATTTTTGTTGTTTTTTAAGCAAGTAAATAATTGCAAATGATAAAATACTCAAACAAATAAGAATCTGTATCTAATTAAATGGCTTCAATTGTGTTTAGATGCACTCCAGCCTGGGTGATAGAGTGAGTCAAAATAATTCAGATTTCAAATAAAATAGTTTGAGCACAATTGGCAGTGCCCCAGAAAAATTCATTATAGGGTGGGGTAAAATAAATAATGCAGAGGAAGATGTCACAAGGGTGAAAATAACTCCAGGTATGATGATACCCATAAAAAAGCAGTTTTTATCCTCATTTTACAAATATGTGAATGAAATTCAGCAATATGGTGTGACTTTCCCACGGTCACCAACAATTGATAGCTGCTAAAACAAAGTTTCATAAATAAATGTTATTTCATGCTACAATGTCTCATTGAATAATTCTACATTTCAGAACATTAACCACACTAAAATTTGTAAGCAGAGCATTGAATGTATTAAACAGCAATTATTTGAAAATAGTTACACAATATTTCTGTTCTTTGTTTTATCAAAGTTTCAGTTAATTTATTTATTTTTAATCTCCTTCTTTATAGCATTGAAGAAAGTGCCATAAAACATTCTTATCAATCTTTTTCATACATTATTATTATTATTATTATTTGAGACAGAGTTTAGCTCTTGTTGCCCAGGCTGGGGTGCAATGGCATAATCTCGGCTCACTGTAACCTCTGCCTCCCAGGTTCAAGCGATTCTCCTGCCTCAGCCTCCTGAGTAACTGGGATTACAGGCCCACACCACCATGCCTGGCTAATGTTTTGTATTTTTAGTAGACACTGGGTTTCACCATGCCAGGCTGGTCTTGAACTCCTGACCTCACGTGATCCTCCTGCCTTGGCCTCCCAGAATACTGGGATTACAGGCATGAGCCGCTGTGCCCAGCCTCATACATTCTTTTGCTTCTTGATCTATTTATACAAGGCATAATCAATTACTTTAAGTAACAGGTGACTATTTTTAAAACATGATTATTCTATAATTAGATTGTGTAATTAATCATGGATTTTAAAACCTTCATAGGAAGAATCCCTATTTTCTATATTGTTCTCCGTTTAAAAATAAAAATATATCGGAAAATGACCAGAAACTAATATATAATTCTATGATTTTCTGTGCAAACAATAGTCTCTTGACATCTAAGATTACTGCAGTGAAAATTACGTTTATCAGAAAGCTCTTAGTGACGATTGATTAAGTATTGCTCACTTATTGAAAAGTAATTGAAAATATAAATGTGAATTTTCTGATATAAAGTGAATCTCTCTAAAAATACAATATATATAACATTCATCAGAAATGTTATACTGTAAATAACTTTCATTTCTGATGAATGTTATATATGCTGTATTTTTAAAGTAAAGAGCAAAAATCACTCTGGACATTACAAAAAATGTCTTTGGACTTGAATATTTTTGCGCAGTAACCCACTAAAGAAAATGATGTGACAAAAATACAACAACTTTAATCCAAAAAGGAGAAAAAACATTAATTTATCATTCAACAAATGTATTGAATATTTTACACTTTTGTCCAGCTCTACTCTAGACACTGAATTACAGGGACAATCACAACAGATATTGCTTATTTATATACTTTGTTATACAGAGATAAAAATTGAACAATAAACCAATGACTGGATAAGATACTTTAAGACATTTGTCAGTGCAGTAAGAAAACGCAAAATGTAATACTTTAGACAGCAAATGTCTGGGGCATAAGATTCTTTAGATTGGTATGAGGAAACTGTTCTTTTCTTTTTTCTAAAGGAAGCCTATGATCTAAGACCTGTGTGATGATACAAATTCAGCTGTATGGACATCTGGAGCCAGAGTGCTCTTAGCAAAGGAAAGGCATAGAGGAGACAGGAGCTTGGTGAGAATGACATGATGCTTACGACAGCACCCTGAGCAAGGGCAGACTATGGGACCTGAGTTCTCAGGGACAAACAGGGGTCAGACTGTGAAGCCCCTGGGGCCCTGATAAAGAAGTTAGATTTATATTTTAAGCATAATGGGAAGATAGTGGAGGATACTGACATAGGGGATAATATGATCTGCTTAACAATTTTTAATAAAGCCACTGCAGCTGCTAAATAGGTACTTTGATAGGAAAGTAAGAATAGAAACAGAAATATTTGAAGAGAGTTTTCAGTACTTCAAATGAAAAATGATGAGTTGGACAAAGAAATTATTTGAGAAGATGGAGAGGAGTAGTTGGGCTAAAAATATATTTTAGCAATAGAGATGGCTGTCTAAGGCTTGCTGAAGGATTACATGTCAAAAAGTGTGGATTCAAAGATGGTTCCTAGGGTTTGCCTGAGAACCTAGAAGCATAGAGGTGGCATTTACTGAGATGGGGGTACTGGGGAACGAAGAGACTTGTTTGGGAATGAGGCCCAAAGACATGCCAAGAATTCTGTTTATGCCATTTACATTTGTTATTTATTAGATATTTAGGTTCAGTCATGCCAATTCTTTGTAATTATGATAATAGAGAAGCACAAATGAAGAAAAAGAATTCTTAAACTCTAGGTCACAGTAATGACTATTTGACTACTACAGCTCTAACTCCTAACTATTGACTACATGATCAAATTATCTTGAAGAAAATAATTTTTTCTATTTTACAGTGACTCATTAATTATGATATCGCTATATACCACACACTTAGAAACACCATTATAATATTCCTAAATTATTAAAAGAACTTGTGGAGCATTAACATGCCCTACATAAAACCTTGAAAAATATTGATATTGTTAGATAGGTCTGACCAGCTTTGTTTTCAATAAACTAATAAAGAGAACACCAAGATGCCAGTAATATAAAACACATTGTATTATACGTGATTAAGAACCAGATGAAATAATTATGACATTTTGTAATAGTCAATATTTTCCCAAATTCTGTTATAACAGAATTAAGAAATAAACAAGGCTAGTATTATCCTCATTCTGTAGATGAAAAACCTGTTATACTGAAGAATTACTTATCTTCACACAATAGCATATTGTAATCAAACAAAGTGTCTTTCTTGAAATCCTGTAATTTTTCCACTAGATCACAATTCCAAAATATGGCCTCAGAAAAAGGAATACCTACACACATACACACACACACACACACACACACACAAACTTGTACAAAGCTATACCAAATTGCAGAAAGTATAGAACACCATACACAACATATACGTGTTATGAACAAATTTTATAAATGAGACTAGAAATAAGGGAAAGAAATGTCTCAAATAAAATTTGAATCAACACATTTGTATCAGAGATTTCTCAGTCATCTTTAGGAGGACAAATACCGGACAGATCCCTGGTACTTGATTTTAGGATAAATGATTTTATTAACATATTTTTAAGAAAGAATGCCACTCAGAGGACTGTTCAGGTTGCAGCAACACAACACCACCAATGATGATACTGATATTAGGAAGCCTTACTAAGCTCTTGCTATGTACCAGGCATCTTCACATATTGTTCCTTTTTCCTCTTACAATGACCTTTAGTTAGGTATTTGGGAAGATGACAGAACTCAAATTCTATACCTAGGCAGTGTGGCTCATGATACTATACAACAATTTATGACAGAGTCATAGAGGTATATATCAGCTTGCTCAACTAATATAGTCCTAGAAAGACTGTCTGCAGGTCACAGGAAATTACTTACTTAGTTGTATCAATGAAAAATACAAAAATTACTACCATTTATTTAGCATTTTCTAGTTGCTAGGGACTGTGTTAATTTTTTATGCATATTACTTTCCTCAATCCTTAATAATTCAAGAGTTAGCTGTAGATACCAGTTTTAGTTCCAATTTTTGGGGAGAGTAAAATAAGCCTGAAAAAGTTAAATAAATATCAAAGGTTACATAGCTAGAAATTTGCAAACACAGGGCTCACACCCAAACTATCTGATTTCAACCTACATACTTAAATACTGCTCTTCTTTAAGTTTGCTTCAGCTTGATGACAGTAAATGACTGACTTATACTCTATTTTCATATCTGATATATGCATACGTCTATACCCAAGCTGCCCAAGGTACAGGATGCCCAAGCTCTAGAACCAGAGATCCTGGGACAGTTTTTAGAAACTTAGTTAAAACGACATAAAATAGTGACATTGACGAATGTGTTTTTTTAGGCTGGCAACTTCCTTGATTTTGTTTTTTGCTATGGTGCTGTAATTTAATGAGCCTTGCCACTCAGTTTTGGCTTTTGGTTGAACTAATAATTTCTTCTTCAGGTCTTTCTTTCTGCAAGTCTTGTAATATCCGGACTTTATTATTTTGCATTTCTTCTTACATCTTGTCGATTACTTTTTTTTTTTTTATTTTACTTAAAGTTCTAGGATACATGTGCAGAACGTGCAGGTTTACTACATAGGTCTACATGTGCCATGGTGGTTCGCTGCACCTATCAACCCATCATTTAGGTTTTCAGCCCTGCATGCATTAGATATTTGTCCTAATGCTCTCCTTCCCCTTGCCCCTGACTTCCCGGCAGGCCCCGCTGTGTGATGATCGCCTCCCTGTGTCCATGTTCTCACTCATAAGTGGGAGTCAGTTACTTTCTAAACTGATTGGTTTCTTTAAATATTTTGTCAAAGGGAACCAAGAGCAAAAATATTACCTAACAACATTGTTTCCCTTCTCTTCACCTCAAACCACATTTATCTGTTGTGTTTGATTTTAATTTATATGTTATTGCAAGAAACATTTTACAAATATGTTGTGACTACAGAGCAGCATGAAGTACCAGTTTCCAGATTCCAACAACCATATCCTCAGTACACACTGCATGATTTCGGTCAATAACTCATATAGATTTTCTCATATTGAATGCACTCGCTCATTTCTGTATCAGTAAACATTGGATAAGTTACGTAATAGTGAAAAAGAAAATCTTTGTGACATACAATAAAGATGTTTATTTCTGTCTCATTTTATACATATATTGAGGATTAGATTTGGATCTATTCTACATCTCCTTCTAAATAAGGTGCTATCTGAAGGGCATGTTATCTGGGACATACCGAGACTTATTGTAGAAAGAAAACTATGAGCTATGATGGAGTCACAAGAGGGATCTCAAAATTTCTGCCAAAAACTGGCATATGCTACATTTGCTCAGATGTGGTTTACCAAAACAAGTCATATGACTGATTATGACAAAATTAGGAGGGAAAATTTAGTATGCTTTTTGGGTGAGAAATCACAAGTCACATGGCAAAATCTGATATTAGCGTATTAATTGAATATGAATCTCTTAAGAAAAGAAAATAAAAACTTGGGAAACATATTACAGTTTACTACAATCCCCAAATTAAATTCTAGTGAAAAATAATTTTAGGTCAAAACAAGAGAAGAATACGGGAAAGAATTAGAATGTCTATCTTAAGAGATATATCTCCAAAATCAATTCATATAGAATAACAATCTATATTAACAAAATAAAATCCAACTTAAATATTTATCTTACTTTCATTTACCTTTAATCAACCATATGGTCCCCTTAAATTGAGATTCAAAAAGAAAAATCTAAGTACCATGAATAGGCTCAGCTTGTAAAATAAACATCACATCAAACTTAAATCCTCTGTAATTTATTAAACAATAGAATGAATTTTTATAAATGTAGATACAAAATAAATAAGTAAAATAATTTGAATTATAATTTTTGATTATGAAATCTGAATCACAATTTCAATTACAATTTACAATTTTAACTCCTTTTTAACTCATAACAATTGATTTTTATTTTAAAATAGAAAAAATGAATATAGTGTGTTGTAGCCACAAGTTCTTATGTTTCATACATCAAATTTTTATTATGAGTCTTTTTAGCTCATTTTATCAAAATATAGAGAGTTCATTACTCCTTACAAGGCCTTACAAGAAGGCCTTGTCATTTGCTTTGGCAAATAGGAAATTAGCCTCTTTCACACAGGCTAAGCTAAAAGTTTGTGAATCTCGGGGCCTGCACTCTCAGTGCTGTTTGAATTGATCTGCCATGTGAACAAGTCAAGGCTAGGTGAATCCCTGGGGTGAGGAATGATGTGGCCTCCATTGTCTCAGCCAAAACCAGCAAATATAAAACATATAAATGAGGCCATCCAGTGCAGCCCCAGCCCTAGCCAATCTGCTAACTGCGAGTGTAGGGGAGGCAAAAGTTTACCTCTACCCTCTTAGGGTCCCTGGCTGGGTATGAGAATTAAATTAATTAGACAGACTAAGCTGAGAAAAACATACAAATTTAAGTTTATGTGACACAGGAGCCAACATAAGGAAGTGAAGACTGAAAGAAAGGACAAAACTTACAAAGAAAGACAGGCTATGGAGAAAAAGTAACTAAATTACGTGTGGAGGCTAACAGAAGATAAGAATTATTTTAACCCGGTCTGTGTATACAGAATTGTCTCAGCTACGACTCCCTTTTGAATAATTGTATTTATCCTTGCGATACAGGGAGGGCATCTTTCACATAGGAGTTTTTAATCTTCTGTTTCAGGAAGAAAAAGAGAAGAATAAAATATCTTTCTTATGTCTGCTATTTTTTAAGTGCCTTAGAAATAGTCCTTAGGTCAAAGTAACATATTTTGGGGTGGCATATTCTGGCACCCTTCAAAGCGACTCGTAAGTGAGTCCAACTGAAAGTAGCTAAGCTTGACCAAGAGGTGAAAAACTATGCAGATTCAGAATGAAAAAAATGTGGTATTCTTTAAGCCAATACATTTAAAGATCTTTTGTCATGCTGCCAAACTTTCTCACCATTATGATGTCATATATTTTAATAGAAATATAATAATTTTCAGGCAATTCTCCAAAATATGTAAGAGCTTCTGGTTGCTGTCTTACTATAGAATAGCATAAAAGCTTTCAGGTTCTTTAATGTATCTTTATCCTACAGACGAAAAAATATAGAGCACAGTATATCTGATAACACATGCTCTCAAGTAACATTGTTTGACGGTGCAAATGTGTTATAAATAATCTGATAATTAGAGAAGCATTTTTATTTTATTTACAATAATTTAGATATAAAGTAGGGGTTAAAGTTGTGTCCTATCATTTTAGAAAATGGAAGAAAATAAAACCGAGTTTTATATGAAGTTAGCTACTAGTGACACTGAAGAGTAAGGGGAGGAAAAAAGAGATAGGACAGAGTTGAGTTTATCTTACAGAAAAAAAAGTGCTTTATACATACCTATATATCTTTCAAAGCCTCATCAATTTAGTATTAATTAACCTAGTTTTTTTTTCCTCTAATTATCCTGATCAGTTTTGGCCATATGCGAAATACAGAGAAGTTAAAACATAGGTGACCAATAGAAAAGAAGCATATAATCAGCAAGAAATGACTATGTTTTTGCAAGACTGCATTTTTAAACGTATTCTAATGTGCTTGAGACCTATAATAGACAAGAAGAATTGAAGTTAGCTTGTGCTTTAAATTACCTTAAGGTTATCTAGGACATTCTTTGAAGGCAACCTAATAGGACACTGAGTGTTTTGTTAGATCTGCAATAAGCAGTTTTATTTTACATCAAACAGAGGTGAATTTAATAGTTTGACCCAATTTCTCATGAAAAGAGCTCTTTGTGTAAAATACTTGAGTAGACTTTGTTCTAGTACACTCAAGGACATGAGGAAAATCGCACTTCGTTATGGTTTTGCTTGCAGGTTCAGGAGTTGAACTATCCTAAATGACCTGTTCTTCATAAAACGCCCTTTTAATTTGCTGATTTTGCTCCCAAGACTTACAAGTCTGCAGTCTGCTGAGGTACTGATCACTACGTTCTGTTGGGATAATTATTTCAAAATAATTTTTCTGAGTTGCAAGGCAGGTCAAAAGGGAAAAAAAAACCTTACAAAGTTTAATGCCTAAAGGAAGGGCACTAGTAAATGTTTTAAAATAAATTGTGTAGGCAGAATTTAAAAGGCAAACTAACCACAAATAGTTACTACATTAAAATCATTGCTTACTTCTAAATAAATACTTTATTCTGAACCCCTGAAGGGAATGATCTCAAAAGCATTTAAGATAAAATGTTTTATAAACCAACTTATGTGTAAAAATTGGTGCCAAAAATGTATTTCATCAATGAGACAAATCAGAGCAGGCCATGGAAATGTTCAGTCCTAAGATCTTTTATTAATGTGTTTTCTTCCCAGTCAAATTAAATATTCTTTATAGGCATAAAGGAAACTGAATATCATCATTCCGTATGCAGTTTTGCCTGCCCATACATTGAGGGATTTGGTTGCTTAAACCCTTTAATCTTAAAATTTCTGTTTGTCTCACAAAAAGAAGAAACAAAAGTAATGTGAGTAATGTGCCACCAGAGAACACATTTGTTACCTCTGATGAACCTTCCTTGACACATCATAATCACTCAAAGTCCATAGTTTATATTAGAGTTAACTCTGGGTGTTGTACATTCTACAGGTTTAAAAAATATATAATGATATGTATCCACCATTATAGTATCATAAGCATGTGTTTTCGCTGCCCTAAAAATTCTCTGTGGTCCATCTGTTTATGGGTCTTTCTGCCTACCCTCAAACTCTGGTAAACCATTCATTCACTATGTTCCTATTTTCACCTTTTCTAGAATGTCATATATTTGAAATCATACAGTATGTTGTCTTTTCAGATTGACTTCTTCATTTATTAATAAGCATTTAAGGTTTCTCTATGTTTTTCATGGTTTGGTAACTTCTCTGTAGCACTGAGTAATATTACTTTGTCTATTCACTGACTGAAGGACATCCTGAGTGCTTCCAAGTTTTGGCAATTTTGAAGAAAGTCGCTATAAACATTTGTGTGTACGTTCTTGTATAGACATAAATTTTCAACTCCTTTGGGTAAATAATACAGAGCACAATTACTCGATTACATAGTAGGAGTATTATAATAATACTGATTTCTGTCTTACTATCAGACTCTCTCTGCTACTGGCTTTATTGAATAAAGTTGTCATTTTGGGGATAGCCATGTTCCAAACAACTGAGGTTGGCCTTTTCCCAGCAGCTAGCTAGAAACTGAACTCCTCAGTACAACATCCTGAAAGAAACTGAATCCTTCGAACCACTATGTTAGTGAGCTTAGAAGTGTATTGTTCCTTAGTCACACCTTTGGATGATACCCCAGCTTTGATCAACATTTTCATTGCAGCCCCATGGAAGCCCCTGGAGCAGAAAGGTTAGAATTTCTGACCCATAAAAACTGAAATAACAGATGTGTGTTCAAGTTGCTAAATTTGTGGTAATTTGTAACTGAAACAGTACATGACCGTTACAGCTATACACAAAATAGCTTACAAAGGAACAAATGAGTGAATATTGGTTTATTTATTTCTTTTTTTTTTTTTTTTCTTTTGAGATGGAGTCTTGCTCTGTCTCCCAGGCTGGAGTGCAGTGGCGTGATCTCGGCTCACTGCAAGTTCCACCTTCTGGGTTCACACCATTCTCCTGCCTCAGCCTCCCAAGTAGCTGGGACTACAGGCACCCGCCATCACGCTCGGCTAATTTTTTTGTATTTTTAGTAGAGACAGAGTTTCACCATGTTGGCCAGGATGGTCTCGAACTTCTGACCTCGTGATCTGCCCGCCTCGGCCTCCCAAAGTGCTGTGATTACAGGCTTGAGCCACTGCGCCCGGCCGGTTTATTTTTTTCTATACAATTTTTATGACTGTTAAATAATATAATAATAATAAGATATTTAGTAAATTGGCATTGTATTTCATGGCTTACTAAATGTTTGCTTTTATTATTAGTTCCAAAATTATACTTATTATTATTGTACCATAAAAATCTACACCAATTTCAACTTAACAAAACATAATCATGTAAGGTATACTTATCTCTAATACAACTGAAACTACAGAAAATGAAGAACAAATAATTTAAAAACTCCAACCAGAAGATAAGTAAATTTTAGGAGTTCTGTACTATAGTAAATATATGGGATCTGATTCTTAAAAAACTAGAGCGGTGGAAATTACCATCCAAAACTGAAATGAGCAATAAAACTGTGATAGAGGTGAGAAGCATTTTTACCAATAACAAATATATCAATATATAATACATATGTGTCATTATTATTCTACACATTTTAAACATACAGAAATTCATTTAAACCTCATAATAACCATATAAGGTAGGTATTGGTATACTTCACATTTTCCAGATAAGAAAACTAAGTTTTCTTACATGAAGTTTTTGGTTTCCCAGTGCATTTAAAAGTTATGTTTACACTCTACTGTAGTCTACTAAGTGCACAATCGCATTAAACATTTACATAACATATCTTAATTTGAAAAATTTTTTTATTGCTAAAAAATACTACTGATCTCCTGAGCCTTCAGCAAATCATAATCTTTTTGCTGGTAAAGAGTCTTGTCTTAATGTTGATGACTGCTGACTGATCAGGGTGATGGTCGCTGAAGGCTGGTATGGCTGTGGAAATTTCTTTAAAAAGGACAACAATGAAGTTTGCTGCATTACTTGACTCTTCATGAAAGACTTTTTTTTTGTAACATGGGATGTTGTTTGACAGCATTTTACCTGCAGTATAATTTCTTTCAAAATTGGCATCAATTCTCTTAAACCCTGCTGCTGCTTTATTAACTAAGTTTATGGAATATTTTAAATCCTTTGTTGTCATATTAACAATATGTATAGCATCTTCAGCAGGGGTGGATTCACCTCAAGAAACCACTCTCTTTTATCATCCATAAGAAGCAACAACTCATCTGTTCAAATTTTATCATGAGATTACAATAATTCTGTCACATCTCCAGGCTCCACTTCTTCTCAAAGTCTCATGAGGATTGGAATCCACTTCTTCCAAACTCCTGTTAATGTTGATATTTTGACCTTCTCACATGAATCACAGACGTTATAATGACATCTAGAATGATGGATCCTTTTCATAAGTTTATCAATTTGTTTTTCCTAGATGCAGAAGAAGAATCACTATTTATGACATAAGCTTTGCAAAATGTATTTCTTACACAATAACACTTGAAAGTTAAACTGACTTCTTGAAGAATGTGCTGCAGAATGGATGTTGTGTTAACAGGCATGAGAGCAACATTCAGGTCCTTGTACATCTGCATTAGAGCTCTTGGGTGACTAGATGAATTGTCAATGAGCAGGAATAATTTGAAAGGAGTCTTTTTTCTTTTTATTCTGAGCAGTAGGTCTCAAAAATGGGCTTAAATTATTCAATACATTATACTGTAAACAGATGTGCCATCATTCAGGTTTTATTATTTCATTAATAGAGCACAGGTAGAGTATATTCAGTATAATTTTTCAGAGCCCTAGAATTTTGGAATGGTAAATGAGCATTGGCTTCAAATTAACATCGCCAGATATATTAGCACCTAACAAGAGAGTCAGACTGTGTTTTGAAAATATAAAGTCATGCGTAGACTTATTTCTACCTATGAAAGTCTTAGATGGCCTCTACTTCCAATAAAAGTTTCTTTCTTTTACATTGAAAATCTTTGATTTAGTGTAACAGCTTTCATCAATGATCTTAGGTAGATCTTCTGGATAACTTGCTGCAATTTCTCCATCAGCACTTGCTGCTTCACTTTGCACTTTTATTTATGCAGAAGGCTTCTTTTGACTTCCGTTCAGACCATTAAACTCTCTCCACATTAGCAATAAGGCTGTTTCACTCTCTTATCATTCATGCATTCACTGGAGTGACACTTTCAATTTATTTCAATAGCTTTCCATTTGCATTCACAACTTGATCAATTGTTTGATTCAAGACGCCTGGCTTTTGGCTTGTCTCTGCTTTGGTCATGCCTTCCTCACTATGTTTAATCATTTCTAGCTAGATTTAAAGTGAGAAACATGCCACTCTTTCTTTCACTTGAACACTTAGAGGCCTCAGTAGGGTTATTAATTGGCCTAATTTCAATATTATTGTGTCTTAGGAAATAGGGAGCCTGAGGACAGAGAGAGAGAGATGGAGGAATAGCTGGTCAGTGGAACAGTCAGAATACACACAACATTTATCAATTCAGTTCACCATTCTATATGGGCACAGCTCATAGCTCAAAACAATTACAACGGTAACATCAAAAATTACGGATCACAGTTCACTATAACAGATATCATAGTAATTTTGAGATGTTTAAATATTGAAATTATTACCAAAATATGACACAGGGACATGAAGTGAGTACATGCTGTTAGAAAAATGGTGCTAATAGACTTGCTTGATGCACAGTTGCCACAAACCTACACATAGTAAAAAAAAAAAAAAAAATGCAATATCTGTGAAGCACTATAAGGTGAAGTGCAATTAAATGATGTATGCCAGTATAAATATTATAATATATAAATCATCAACCTGCAATAAAAATCTTTTTTATAAGACTCCATCTTTAAGGCATTATCTTGATCATCAATTTGAGGTAGAACCTAGGCCCTAATATCCATAAATTAGAAGAAATCAAGTTTAACAAATGAAATGGTTAAAGTGCTCTCTATTTAAAACATTGAAGTCAGAAATTACAAGGACAAAAGAAAGAGAAGAAAGCAAAAGCAGAAAGAAGAGAGAAAACAATTACCAAACATTATGGTGGGGAAAAAATAATCTTAAAAGCACAATGTCAATTCTATTTTATTTACTCTGGTTTTCTATAATGCTTCTCCACCTTTACCAAAATTCTACTAAAGTCTGATTTTTATGAAAAGGCATGGCATGTGGGACATTTTAAAAAATGTTAATAATAGTATATTTGAGTTTTAGTTTGTTCTATATGTAACATCCTTCTCAGGCTTTTCTCATGGCTGGCTCCATCTTAAAATAAAAAGATGAGTTTAACTTCTTCAGAGAATCTCTACCAAATCCTCTCTCATTATTTTAGCACCTTACTATTTTTAGGTACAGCACATATCATAAACCACAGTTAACTAATTTTGCTAATTTGGTTATTTGCTTATATACTTTCTTAACCAACCTAATACAAAGCATGAAAGGAAGAACGTTATCTATCTTGTTAAGTCATAATGTCAACAGTAATAATTACTAAGTGTAGAATTTATTAGATACTCAATAAAAATTTGTTAAAGTAAAAGATGAAGGAATGAAAGTATGAAACTCATAGTACCACATTGTTATTAAGTTTAATGCATATAAAAAGGCACACACCCTAACATTTCTAGGTAGGAGGGCACAAGATCCCTAATAATAAACACTGGGGAAAATGTTAAGTCTCTATGAAAACTCACAGACACTTTAGGGGCAGCAATAAAGCTCAATCCAGTAATGGATGTAAGATGTATGTAAGTTTAAAGAACACACACACAGACACTCACACTCAACTCACACTCACATAAATATCCTATGTAACATAAAACATATGGCCAGGCACAGTGGCTCACGCCTGTAATCCCAGCATTTTGGGAGGCCGAGGTTGGTGATATCACTTGAAGTCAGGAGTTGAGACCAGCTGGCCAACACAGCAAAACCCCGTCTCTACTAAAAATACAAAAATTAGCTGGGCATGGTGGTGGATGCCTGTAATCCCAGCTACTCGGGAGGCTGAGGCAGCAGAATTGCTTGAACCTGGGAGGCAGAGGTTGCAGTGAGCTGAGATTACACCACTGTACTCCAGCCTGAGTGATAGAGTGAGACTCTGTCTTGAAAAACAAAAACAAAACAAAAAAACCCACCATATATCTGGGAAGTATTTTAAGATTTTTTTGGCCAGGCATGGTGGCTAATGCCTGTAATCCCAGCACTTTGGGAGGTCGAGGCAGGCGGATCATCTGAGGTCAGGCGTTCAAGACCATCCTGGCCAACATGGTGAAACCTCGTCTCTACTAAAAATACAAACAATTGGCCGGGCGTGGTGGCACGTGCCTGTAATCCCAGCTACTCAGGAGGCTGAGGCAGGAGAACCACTTGAACCAGGAGGTGGAAGTTGCAGTGAGCTGAGATTGTGCCGTTGCACTCCAGCCTGGGTGACAGAGTGAGGTTCCATTTCAAAAAAAAAAAAATTTAAAGATTTTTACATATATTAATTATTTATTTATCATAACAACCATATAATGGGTTGCCTATGCTGTTATCTCTCTTTTTTTTATAGATGATGAAACATAAGTACAGAGAAGATATGTAACTTTCCCAAGTTTCATACAGCTATTAATGGCTAGGGCTAGGATTCCAATACAGATAATCCATAACTGATATCTCAATTAAAAATTATCAACACTATAGCTGGACCGGGAGGCACCCTGATAAAGCACAATTACTACAAAGAATGAGTAAGCAGATAGCATATATGACCAGCAGTCTCCCACATCTGGGAATTCTTGAAAGTTCATTCACTAGAAAGTGATAAAAACTGGGTTAGTGAACTTGGACTCAAATGAAAGCTGAGTATAAATATCCAGAAAATATGACATCTATTTTTAAAATATATTTGAAAAAAACACAAAGTCATAGGGAAAAAAGAGATTAAAATAGTTAATTTTGGATAAAGAATGATTTGAGCAAGAGATTGACATAAATCTTAAATTCTAGATATGGAGGTTAGAAGATAGAGGAAACGGAAAGACAGTGATATTATAATTAAGCATATAATGAAAAATCAAATTGGCATTTGACCACTAGTTCACCGTAACAGTGTCTTTCTTACAATGTTTTCAGTGAAAATTAAATTGCTCCTAGATCTCTATTTAATCATTCTATTATGCAAGTTTTAGAACAATAAATACATTTTGTAGGCACAAACATGTATAATATTTATAACTCACCTTCCTTTCTGCATACAATTAAGCAGGTAATTTCTTTTGCAATTTGTATAAACAAAGGCATGAAAGTAAGACATAGGAATCAACAACATCATAATTATCATCAACAACAAAAGTGAAGCTGACCAGGTGGGTAATAAAAAGAAACTGAAAATAAGAAGCCTTTGCGAAAATTTTATCTTCAAATTAGCATACATAAATTCATAATTAAGAATCTAATAATTATGTAATAGCTTTCTGAAAATATAACCACCTCACAAATATACATCTGCAGATTAGGTAAGTTAATTCTGGTGAGAGGAGAGGCATAATTGATTTTTCGAAATCATGACCAATATTTTGGGGTTTATAGTTGCTAAAAAGCTATGCGTTAATTTCCAATGGTGGCCAGGCATGGTGGCTCATGCGTGTAATCCCAGCACTTTCGAAGGCTGAGGCGGGTGAATACCTGATGTCAAGCGTTCAAGACCAGCCTGGCCGACGTGGTGAAACCCTGTCTTTACTAAAAAATACAAAACTTAGCCAGGCGTGGTGGTAGGTGCCTGTAATCCCAGCTACTTGGGAGGCTGAGGCAGGGAGAATTGCTTGAACCTGGGAGGCGGAGGTTGTAGTGAGCCGAGACCACGCCACTGCACTCCAGCCTCGATAACAGAGTGAGACTCCATCTCAAAAAAAAAAAAAAGTATTTGCTTTATCATCTATATTTTTCCAGAGCATGATATGTTATTTTTGTAGAAAATGATGCTAAGGGATCAATAATTAATACATATAAATATATATATTCTCTTTGATCTTCCTTCTATATCTTAATTTTCTAGAATTATTAGTCTAGAAAAATTATTTGCATTCTAGAAAATAATAATGTTGCCCAGGCTGGTGTACAGTGTGATCACAGGTTACCGCAAAGCTCAACCTCCTGTACTCAAGTGATTCCCTTGGGTCAGCCTCTGGAGCAGCTGGGACTTACAGGCACGCACCGTACTGCCTGACTTTTCTTTTTTTTTTTCTTTTTGTAGAGATGGGGCCTTGCTATGTTGCCTGGGCGGTCTTGAACTCCTGGCCTCAAGTGATCCTCCCACATCGGTCTCCCAAAATGCTGGGATTACAGATGTCAGCCACTGCAACGATCCTATATCTAGAATTATTTTGTTCTGATTAAAGGATGATAGTTTTATCTTATTTGTATGATATAATAACAAATTTCTCTGCCTGGAAATATATACATATTGTTATTAACATCTATCATATAATTTTAAAATACTAATTTCTCTGAACCTTTTTAAAAAATCTTTTAAATCTAGTACAAACTCTTTGGAACTAATCTTTCTGATTAGTAGTTTTTACACAAAATGTTTATTTTTACTATCTTCATTCTAACCAAATGTCATTTAACCTTTTTATTTTAATATGTTAACTATTGTTAGATTTCATTATAAGTAACAACTTTTCTAAACCTTTCTGTATTTTACAATAGCTTTTTTTTAATACTCCTATTACTACTAAAAAATGTGTTAACAGAAAACATTTAAAAACTCTAGGATGCAAAATTGACAGAGGCTTATTAATCTGCTCGAGTTTATGGGTTTTATAGTATCTGTGCCCATGAAGACCATTTTGTGACAGACAAAAAGGTTTTAGAAACCATAAGTAAAGTAAAAATCACCATTTAACTTTAATTTTAATAATTAGAATGTGCATTTTATGACACATTTACATGTATCACTCTTTTCTATTTACTACCCAAAAATAAACAAAGATAGATGTGCCTGTTCTGGCAAATATACTCTGATATTTAAGAAATAGAAAAGTAAAATAAAAATCAGTTGTTCAAAATAGACCCTTGCACAATGAAATATATGAAAAAAATTCCTTTTAAATCTTCTATCTTACTCTGTGTTCACATTCATTGGTTTATGGTCCTTCTACATGTATGTGTCTGAAATTAATGACCATGCAAATATGGTATATGTTCTTGGCTACAATAATAAACTTTACTGAGTCACACAACCTAAAGTGTTAAACAGAGCAGATCCAGCAATTTGAAGATCATCTTAGGCATGGCATGCAGAAAACATGAGATGATATATTTTAGTTGAAGACAAAAAATAAGAGTCACAAAGATAAATTGAGCTATAAAATCTTAGCAATAAATCTGAAGCCACAAGCTGTGGAACAGATTTAATTAGTCAGTTAGTGAATTTGCAATGATTGAAAATATAGTATAGACTCTGTATCATATTCACACAAAAAGTGCAATCAATTCCCTGCCTTCAATGAGCTTAGAATGCACCGAGAAGACTAAGTCACCTTAAACGGTAAATTAGCAGACATTAAATATCACTTATAATTACATGTAAATGTAGTACTTATTTGTTATAATGTAATCAATCACCTCCATTGTAAGTCCTAATAAAAGCCCTGTCCTTTATTCTTAATTGTATATAACAATTCTTTTAGTATTATTTTACTTATCCTACACAAATGTGGTTTATTATTATTACTGGAAGTTGTCTCAAACTTTCCTTGAAAGTCTGTGAAATATTGATTGCCTAACTGTTAATTGAAGCCACCGGAATAATTCAGAGGAAAGAAGGGTGGGAGGTAAGATTTGAAATTTGGCAGAGAAATAACATTTAATTCTGGAAGTGGGGAACAGCAGGGAAGGAAATGAAAGTAATGATCAATGTAATATTCTCATAAGAAAGAGAAGACATAGAATAACAGGAAGTGGGAGAAGTAAAATCTGAGTGCAGCCAACTAATTTTTATTATTTTATAATTTAAAATTTCATTTTAGATTCAAGAGATATGTGTGCAGGTATGTTCCATGGGTATATTGTGTGACGTTGAGGTTTGTGTTATGAGTGATTCCATCACCCAGGTAGAGGTAGTGAGCGTAGTACCCAATTAGCTTTTTAGCCCTTACTGCCCTCTCTCTCTCCTCCCTTCTGTAGTCCCCAGTGTCTACCTTTATGTCTATGTGTATCAAATGCTTAGCTCCCACCTAAGAGTGAGAAAATGTGGTATCTGGTTTTCTGTTCTTATGTTAATTTGCTTAGGATAATGGCTTCCAACTGTGTTCATATTGCTACAAAGGACATGATTTATTTTTTCATGGCTGTGTATTATTCCATTTTCTTTATCCAATCCTCTGTTGGTGGACAGTTAGGTTGATTTCATATCTTTGCTATTACGAATAGTGCTAGGCTTGCTAATTGAGGGCCATGGGCACCAGGAAGATGTAGGCAAATAAGACAAGATACAAAATAGCAAATCAATAAGAAGTATTATTATCTTGGGAACCATATGATAAAATGTGTGCTAAAAGTTTAATTTTACAGAATCTAAGACAAAAAAAAAATAGAAAAAAATAAAGAATTAAAAAGTTATAATCACAAGTATCAATAATCATAAGTAGGATGCTTTTAAATAACTAAATTTGATAATATATTTTCCTTTGAATTCTTACAGAGAATGGCATTTGGACTAATAAACAGAGTCAGGATTTTAAATGACACAGTTCTAAGAAAATGAAGAAAAATAAGTTTAACCATATTGCTTCAAATATAATACAATAATTACAAATTTATTTCATCATGAGCTTGAAAGAAAAATTTGGCTATACTCATTTTTTCTATAATGCATTTATACAAAGATATAAGAACTAGCTAATGCTTAGTTGTTAAATGGGGTGTGTCCAGAATGAACATTTTATATCTTTGATATATTATGAAAGCACAAGTGCTTATTTACTTGTAAATATCTTTTCTGCAATGTATAAAAATACACAATTGCATTCCAATACAACACATTTTTATATGCTAACCTTGAATTAAAGATACATAACTTCACTATAAAGTTGTACTAAATAAGTGAAGAAAAGTATGTGCTTATAGATTTTTTCTATATATAACTTATATAGAAACAATATATGTATATTATATATAATTATACATGTTGTTACTTTCTCTCATATATGAGAAAGCAATTACTCTGAACATCTTGAACTAGCTAATATAAAAGAGTAAAATTGTAGTGCAACACAATTATGAGAAAAATTGCTCTACAGATCAATCTGTATAGAAAAATACAGCAGTGATGGAGCTGAAAGAAGAAATATCATAAGTTCATTCTATCATCTCTCTGATCTCCTCATGCCTCTCATTGACCAATCAGCAGTCAGAAAGTAAGGACAGCCTTTGTTACATCCTAGAAATGTCAGCCTCATGGGGTACAGGATAGGTTGGGAGAACAGTGGAAAATGGATCTAGATGAATCTATAGAAAGGGTTCAGCATAGTCACGTTATGTTGTCTATTTCATAACTTAGGTACTGTATTTTTAATGTATTTATACACCACATTAGAGATGTCTACACAAATTTTTTAAATAGTTATGAGTTGAAAAATAAACCAATGCAATGAATTTTATACTGCTGTTTAATCAAAAGCAAAACTGAAAGAAAATCAAGATAATTTCCACAAGATTTGATGAGTGCTTTTGTGAAGGTACCATAAAATTCAAATGCAGAAATGAGAGAGAATAGACTCTTGCCTTCTCTACATTTCGGCTCTGTCCAAAGGACATAGCAATTTTACATAGTTTAAACTTATATTATTCTCTAAGTTATTCATTTTTCTCTTTGAAATGTAAGTTATTTTTATTGTTTCTTTTCAAATTAAGCATTGCAAAAACTCAATTTATCGTAAAAATTATGTTTCTTTCACAATAGAAAATATAGCTATTATTCATATTGATTGGATCTAACTTATGATGTTTATTGATATCTTTCTTATTGTACAATTTTGGGAAAGCCATGGTCTTTCTATTTTTATTTTTATTTTTTATTTTATTTATTTATTTATTTTTTGAGACAGAGTTTCGCTCTTGTTGCCCAGGTTGGAGTGCAATGGCGCGATCTCAGGTCACCACAACCTCCGCCTCCCGGGTTCAAGCGATTCTCCTGCCTGAGCCTCCCAAGTAGCTGGGATTAAAGGCATGCGCCACTACGCCTAGCTAATTTTTGTATTTGTAGTAGAGACGGGTTTCTCCATGTTGGTCAGGCTGGTCTTGAACTCCCGAGCTCAGGTGATCTGCCCGCCTCGGCCTCCCAAAGTGCTGGGATTACAGGCATGAACCACTGTGCCCTGCATCATTTCTTAAAAGTTAAGAGAATGATGTATAAATGTATATTATAAATGCAATCTGTTGGAAGTCTATTGCTAGTCATTGGGATATAAAGATAATTAGTAACTAATAATGATTCTCAATAAACTCATGATCTGGATGCAGAATCTAAGTAGAAAGCACATAATGCCTGATGTTGTATATTGTTATAGAGGTATCAATACAATGTTTTCTGTGTAAATAGGAAAATAAATGCTGATTAAACTGGGGAAAGTAGAAAGAAGTAGAAAGATGTCATCAAAAATGTACTTTAAGTAGAGATTAAGTAGTATTTTGAGAAGATATGGACTTACAGACAAAAAAGAATTTTGTGGCCAAAGACAGGCCAGGGACTTTTGAGACATTTATTGTTTGAGAATGTATGGAGATCAGAAGTAGGACATGGTTGTCAGCCTTGGTAATTTCAAAGGTAGAATGTGGCCTGCATTTTAGGTATCTTGTATTGTAAGCAATGACTTTTCAACTTCATTTTTTAATTTCCCAAGAACTAACAGAGGTTAAATAAAAAAGGAATACTGAATCTATACTTCATGTATTTAGTATTTTAAATTACTATTTTTATTTGTATGTGTAGCAATAATTATTAAAAATAATAATAATGGCTACTATAATGTTTATTCTGTTTTGAATACCTGAAGGGTTAGAAATTTTAGAAAAACACACTCAATTTAGTGATTTTTAAATTTAATTCTCAGAACAATTCCATGCAGTAGGTATAATTATCATCACTTCATAAATTTAGACAGCTTGATTCAAACAGGTTAATTATCTTATCCAAGTTGCCAGAACTAAAAAGATTACACAAAAGATATAATTAGCCTGATTCAAAGTCCTTACAATTTCTTTAAGACCAGTATTTTTAAGCTCTCAAATACAAAAATATAATATGTTTATTCCAACACAGGTTGAACTAGTAACTTTCATTAAATTACCATTGGGGGATATGTTGTGGTGTCTGATCAAGAATTTACTGAATTCAGATTCAATATTAATAATTCTTAGAGGATTATACAAATTAAAAATAAAACTATTGGTGTTGTAGGTTTGTTTTCAATTCAAGCTAAATGTAAGGTGACTTGGTTTCCACTAGTTTTTTTTTTTTTTTTTGTGAAAGAACAAGAGCCTTAAGTTATCATGTTCTATAATCTTCTAATAGTAATATCTTCAACAATTTAAATGGAATAGCAAAACAGGACTATTTCCAAACTATCAGAGTAAATTAATCTGAATTTTTCAGACTGAAATCAAAATTGGTGTTGTTATTGAGAAACAAACACAATTTCTCAAAGAAATATAGGTTATCAGATGTTTTTAGAAAGATATGTGTAAATTAACTTTTTCTGGTCTGGACTTTGTTTTTAAATACAATGAGTCAGTCTGGATTGTTTAGAAAATATAGAAAAATACTGTCAAAATCTTCAGTATTGGAAACTTGTTGGCTAAGGAGAATGAGTTTTATTCTTGGACAGCAAATCAATCTGTACATAACAAAAACAGAGAGAGAAAGAGTAAGTAATTTATGGTTAAGATTTAGTCAGAGCTACATGAAAACTAAATATTTAAAAATTCCATTTTGAATAGAAACATTCTGCTTTAAGTGATTTTGCTAAAAAGAAAATAAAACTTTGCTAAATGTCAAGTATAAATATATGAAGATAGTAAAATTCCAAAAAATGTATTTAATAAAAAATGAACAACGTGACAATTAACTAGATGGATCAACTCTAATTTGTCGAAATGTATACTTTTGACAATTAGCTACTGGTTGTATCAAGCCAGTTCTAGTGTCATTACCACTATTATTCATCTTATCCATTCCCAGTATGATCATGGCATTCTAATAAGCACCACGGACTCAAACAAAATGCTGAATCCTGTTGCATACGTTGAACTTAATAGAAACAAGGTGAAAAATAACATTTATTTCTACCATCTGTTGCAAAGTATATTCTTAAGGAGAAAATTATTTATGTTTAAGGAATAATATGAATATCTTTATGGAATTAGAATTCTAAGGGCTTCAAATGGGTATTAGTCTGCTTGGGATTTCATAACAAAATACCATACACTGGATGGCATAAACAAAAAACATTTATTTCTCACAGTTCTGGAGGCTGGGGAGTGAAAGATCAAGGTACCAATTTGGTTTCTGGTAAGGCTTTCTTCTTGGTTTGCAGATGGCCACCTTCTTGCATTGCCCCCACCTTACCTTTCCTCAGTGTGTGCAGGGAGAGAGAGAGAGAGAGAGAGAGAGAGAGAGAGAGAGAGAGAGACCTAGACAGACAGTTCTCTTCTTATAAGGCCTCCAGTCCTACCAGATTATCAGATTACACCATTCCCCCACCAGGACCTCATTTAACTTTAATTACCTCATAAAGCCCTATCTACAAATAGAGTCAGACCGGGGCTATAACTTCAACATGTTAGTTTAGCTGGGGACCAGTCCATGTCAGGTATTGGTAAGGAAAAGCAAGGAGCTTGCCAAGAAATACTCTATAGAATAAATAAAGAGAAGTTTTAAAATGGAAGAGGAGAAGGAAGGGAAAGGAAAGACTAGAGAGAAAGGGACAGGCAATACTGTAGTGACAACAAACCCTACAAGGGGAAGTGTTCAGTAGGCAAGAATTTTTTAAGTCTGGGACAACCAGAATGGTCTATTAAAATATTTTATTTAATACCCCTGCTCCCCATCTCTTTCTCTCTGTCTCTCATTTCAGAGAAATGGAGGGCAGTGACTGAAATGCATGTCCAAGTCTGTGTAGCACAGTGAGAAGAGACTGGAAGTAGGTAGTCACAATAAGAGGTGATACATGTGTGAAATTTGGAATCAATGGGCAGCAGTGTAAAAGCACAAGATTGTACATTCCTGTGAATTAATAGATATATTTGTTAGAGTATTTCCCTACGGAAAGACTGAGGTAATTTATGTGTCTTAAATAACAAGATAACCTCAGCTGATAGAAACACATATTTTATGGTAAATTCGGGAGTACAAATATATGCTGTGTATATACATGCTCTCACATACCTATCTGTGGGCATACACACACTCCCCCCACAGGTAGGCATGTGAGAGCATGTATATACACACACAGACACACACATGCACATACACAAACACACACTATAGATGTATAATGTGGTTTATTGAGAATTTGTGGGAACATATACAATTAATCATATACATTGTTATTATATATATGTAATACATGTACTTAATTATTACATATATAATTAATATATTTTCAAAATAGTAAGTCCCATTTGCTTTCAAAGGGAGTGATCAGATTATTTTGGACTCAGATCCAGAATAAATACTTTCTACAAAGGATTAAGTAAAAGGAGATAAGACTAGGAAAACGAAAGAAGAGAGGAAAATGCTGCAAACAAAATTTCCTGGGTATAATAAACAGAAGTATGTTGGAGGATCAGTATAGAATAAAAATATCGGAAAATAAGGGTAAAGAAGTAAATGTGGGCTGAATTGTGCAGGGACTCTACTGCATTTGAGTATGACATTTGTCCCTCAAGTTAATAATTCTTATCTCTGACATTGTAATTCATTCGAATATAAGAAAGATTTGTCACTAATTAATTTCGAATGGGGATACATAATTTATATTTGTAAAAATATAAATTAAAATGGGTTTCAATTTAGCCCATTGGTAAGTCAGAATTATTCTCTTGCATGATAGTATACTTATGTAGTGGGAAATAAATCAGTTGATCAGCATATCTTTGCCATGAATTATAAACAGCACCCATATAATTATAGCCATATGGTTATAGGCATATTTTATTTATATAAACAGTATTTGTTGTAGTTATTTTCAGAAAAAGTTAAAGCAATGTTGAAAATTTCTCTTTTAGGCAAAAGAGAGCCATCAGAATTATTTGTACAGAGTGTGGAAATCATAGATTAAAATTTTTATGAGGGTCAATCTCACAACAGCATGTAGGATGTAAAGAGGAAAGTATAAAACAGAGGAAAATATTTAATTCATGTAGTATTCTAATTTGTCCTGATTACTTTACCTGATCTCAAGTCTGATATGGATTGACTCTGTGTCCCCACCCAAATCTTACCTCAAATTGTAGTTTGAATTATAATTCCCATGTGTCAGAGGAGGGGCCTGGTGGGAAATGATTGGGTCATGAGGGCAGATTTCTCTCTTGCTGTTCTTGTGATAGTGAGTGAGTTCTCAGGAGAGCTGATGGTTTAAAATTGTGACACTTCCCTTCTCTTGCTCTCACTCTCGTGATGCCATGTAAGACATGCCTTGCTTCCCCTTCGCCTTCCACCCATGATTGTAAGTTTCCTGAGGCCTCCCCAGCTATCCTGAACTGTGAGTCTATTAAACCTCATTTTTTTACAAATTACCCGTTCTCAGGTAGTTCTTTACAGCAGTGTGAAAATGGACTAATACACAGTCCTATCAGAAATAAATGGCTATGATGAACTATCTCTTAATGTAATCCAAATGTAGGTATTATTTATACACATACACATAAATACATATAGATATAAATGTGTATGCTTGTATACATGAACATATTTATTCATATATAGATATTTGCATTTAGGTTCTGAGTGATCATATAAACAGGTATTTTTCTTAAATTAAGGATTTACATTATTCAAAGTTCACAGCAATATACACTTTTAGCAATACAATCAAGTAAGATGGTATTCTTAAAAATTCAGGATATCTGGAAAATTGAGAAATTATATAGCACTTTTCACCGTGACAGCTCATTAGCACAAATGAAAGATAAATCAAATAACATCCACAACTCAAATGAAGGATGCATTCAAGTCCTGTTTCCTATGATCTAGCTTCAATTTACCCCTCCATCTTAATTTGTGTGTGTGTCAGAACAAAAGAGGAAAAATGCTACGGTGAAAAATCCAAAAGGAAAGTTCTAATTATTGTTTAATATTTTGGGGATCAAGCCAAAGAAGAAATTGCATTGACATGTTTAGTCTGTTTTGCATTGCTCTAAAGAGACATGTGGGACTGGGTAATTTATAAAGAAAAGAGGATCATTTGGCTCTCAGTTCTTCAGGCTGTACAAGAAGTATGGTGGCAGCAACTCCTCAGCTCCCGGTGCGTCCTCAGGAAAATTTTACTTATGGCTGAAGGCAAGGCGAGCTGGCATGTCACATGGCAAGAGAGGGTGCAAGAGAGAGGAGATGCCAGGCTACTTTTTTAAGAGTCAGTGCTTGCGTGAACTGATAGAGTGAGAACTCACTCATTTCTGCAACGACAGCACCATGCCATTTCAGGAGGCATCTGTCCTTATGACCCAAACACTTCCCACTACTCCCCACTAGCCCCTACCTCCAATGTTGGGAATCAAGTTTTAACAGATTTGAAAGGGGTAAAGATCCAAACTAGGTCATCTGGGAAAAGAAGGGAATAAAGGTCTTAAAACTTCAAAGTTTAAAAAACTGGGGAAGATAAGTGGCTGTCTTTACCTAAGTGATATTGGATTCCAGGAGACTGAAGTGTCAGAAGTTGCAAGTTCATCAGCATCTGCACAAAGGTGGACATGTTCAGTGGAGGATCCCATCAAAGACTGTGGAGACACAGGTGATGGCAACTCCCTGGAAGCCACAGCAGCTGGGAGCCCAGTGAACATCTCCCAGGCTGGCAAAGCAAAAAGTGAAGGCACTGCTTAGAGGTATCTTTCCATAGCCCGTTCAGATTTGGGAATTGTGCAAAGACAGACTGTCTGTGCTATAGAAAAGGAAAGATAGACCTGAAAAATGACAGAGTCAAGACCATCCACAGTGTTATTAAGGGAGAGACCAAGCTAAATTGAAGACAATGAAGTATGGTATCACTTATGCTCCAACTGTATTTAGCAATTACTGTCTTTGTATAATTAAAAGCTTACAGAATTAACAATTTCATAACTTTGGGACAAAAAGGCAAGTGTGAAAAGGAAAGACTCAGAAAGGACATTTTATTTAACTTAGAGTTATTTTCAAAATTGAAAAATAAGAAACAAAGTTAAATTTATGCAGTATTTTATGTATGATGAATTATGTCTCACAATGTGACTACAATTATATAATTAACAGTTATTTTATATCAATAAAAATAGCTTAAATTCTATATGTTCTTTATTTATGTCTAGCCTAAAATCAAAACAAAAAAGCAGTTGGCAAATGTGTGAGAAAATGATTTTTTCCCCTCAAACTAAAATATAATTAAAAAAACAAGAATGTTAGTGGTATATTGCTTTTTCTATTGATTCAAAAATAAATTATTTTACTTGTATTCCCAAATAATTTTTCAAAATGAGAAATAGCAATGAAAAGTGACGCTCAGAGGACTATGGGAAGGATTATTTTTAAGGCTGTTATAAAAACAATGTAAAGAAGAGCTATGTTAGTATTATCTGCTAGCGTTTATTACTAGATCATCCCTTGATCTCTGAAGTGACCCCTTGTGTTATGAACATAGACACAAGATAAGTCATACTTTTGCTATTTCCAAAGGAAGATGATATTGGTATAAATTCTGTATTCCCAATTCAAACAAAATGCATAAAAATAATTCAGTCTAATGAAATTAGTGAGATTAGTGCTAATGAAGTTTCTAAGTATTATAATTCTGTTTTGCAAGTGGGGACAGAGCCTATGAAGTCAGTTCAGGGACACGTGCTGAAAACAGAATTCCTCCCTCTCTTGATAGTGTTTTCAGAGAAAAGAAATGACGAGAGAGACAGAATTTCAATTTACTTTGGTTCCTTAAATTAACACCTTTAAATCCAATTATGTTGATAAGTAAAACTGTATTTCTATGAAAAATGAACATCGACTTTTTCAAGATATATTGTTCTTTAAAAAAGTTAGAGATGTGATATAAGACAGTAAAGAAAAAAGCTAAAAAGTAGATTGAGGTAGTTTTATTAGCAGGAATTATATATACTGAGGGTTTGTTTGTTTGTTTGTTTGAGATGGAGTCTTGCCCTGTTGCCAGGCTGGAGTGCAGTGGCACAATCTCGGCTCACTGCAATCTCTGCCTCCTGGGTTCAAGCAATTCCCCTGCCTCAGCCTCTCGAAGAGCTGGAACTACAGGTGCCCGCCACCTCGCCCGGCCTTTTTTTTTTTTTTTTTTTTTTTTTTTTTTTTTGTATTTTAGTAGAGACGGGGTTTCACCATGTTAGCCAGGATGATCTCGATCTCCTGACCTTGTGATCTGCCCACCTTGGCCTCCAAAAGTGCTGGGATTACAGGCGTAAGCCACCACGCCCGTTCTTATATATTGAGTTTTTAAGGTAAAGAGACTTTTAATCTTCATTGTTATTTAGCTCACACAAATCTAACTAAATACTTTTGTGAAAAATATGCTTGAGAAAAGTTATCATGGAAATAGAATTTCTGGCTTAGTTGAGGATTACACTGAAGTTATAGACATGGAGTAAAAGGGAAATGATTATATAGCTAAAATAGACTTTTTCTGTATTTTTTTCTTATATATGCCTTCTATACCTTCAAATGTAAACCCATTACATTATCCCAGAAGATAATAAAGTAGTTTGATTGAGATTGGTTGAAAAAAGTTTTGTTCTCTTTTGTGCTATATGAAACACTCTATTTGACTTGTGCATATCAAATCTATTTTAACTAACATGCCCTATTGAATGTGTTCTGACAGCTTCCTTCATACATAAAATATACACACATATGACAATAAAAATGCTATGCATTCATTATTATTGTATGAAAAGAAAAGATGATGTCTTATGATCTCATACTGAGATAAATTTACTAAAAAAAAAGGATCAGGTAAATCCAATTACTTATAAAGTGTTCTTGAGAGGATAAAATGAAGGATTACTACATAACTCATTATACAATGCAGTTAAAACCTTAAAAAACAAAATCAGAGGTCAATATGAGAATTGAAAATTATAAACAAATTTCATTTATAATCATATAATGACCAAAATAAATATTTAAAAAACATATCCAAAAGTTTAAAATAATGCATAGAAATATAGTGTCATCAATTGGACTCATCAGAAATAGATGAACAGTGTAATTATCTATTAATATAACTTAACACAGTATAGATTTAAAGAGGGAAAGTATGTAATTTCTTTCTTTTTTTTAAATTTTTTTGAAATGGAATCTTACTCTCTTACCCAGGCTGGAGTGGCGCGATCTCGGCTCACTGCAAGCTCCACCTCCCAGGTTCAAGCAATTCTCTGCCTCAGCCTCCCGAGTAGCTGGGATTACAGGCCCCCACCACCATGCCCGACTAATTTTTGTGTCTTTAGTAGAGGTGGAGCTTCACCATCTTGGCCAGGCTGGTCTTGAACTCCTGACCTCGTGATCCACCCGCCTCGGCCTCCCAAAGTGCTGGGATTACAGGCGTGAGCCACCGTGCCCGGCCATAATTTCTTAATAAATGCAGCAATAGAAAACTGTTACAGGGACCACTTCTCTATAGTGATCAGGAGAAAATGTCCTAACAATTGATTTTATTTACACTTTTCTATGCCTGTCAGAAAAAGAAAGTAGTATTCATTCTTTATAACATATAGAACTTTTTGGAGCTCTCTTTATATGATAAAGTAGCAAGTGCCAGAAAGACTACAATTTAAAAAGATAAGATTAACCCTAAGTATTAAACTCTAGATATTTTGTAACCTGGTTCCTTCATTAATGAAGAGAGATTAGAAATTGTATAAAGAATAAATGCAATTGCAATATTTTTAGTATTCACCTAAACCAGTTTTTAATTGAGGATTACACTGAAGTTATAGACACAGGATAAGGGAGAAATGGTTTATCTTGCCATGTGAGCTAGTAGTTTCTTTATCACTAACTTCTTTTTTAGTAACTTCTTTATATTGACAAAATTATATATATTTACCATGTAAAACACATTTTGAAATACGTGTATTTTGCAGAATGGCTAAGTTAACATATGCACTTTCCATATCCTTATCATTTTTGTGGTGAAAACACTTAAAATGTACTATATTCAAGATTTTCTAGAACACAGCACACTGTCATTAACTAGTTATCATGTTGTAAAATAGGTCTTTCAAATGTATTCCTTCCATCTAAGTGAAATTTTGTATTCTTTGATAAACATCGCCACAACACTTTCTCCACCCCTACCTGCCAGTCCGTGGTAACCACTATTCTACTTTGTGTTTCTTTGAGTTCAAATTTTTTAAGTTCTGCATACAAGTGAGATCACTCAGTATTTGTCTTTCTGTGCGTATCTTATTTCACTTAACATGCTGTCGTCCAGGTTCATCTATGTTGTTGCAAATGGCAGGAGTTTCTTCTTTTTTTAAGGCTAAATAGTATTCCATCATATACCACATTTTTTTACCCATTCATTTGTTGGTGGCCACTTAGGTTGATTCTATATGTTGACTATTTTGAATAATGCTGCAATGAACATAGGAGGGTAAATATGTCTTTGAGATACTGATTTTGTTTCCTTTGGATATATACCCAGAAGTAGAATTGCTGAATCATATGGCACTTCTATTTTTAATTGTTTGTGGAACCACCATACTGTTTTCCATAATGGCTGTACTAATTCATATTCCCAACAACAATGTTCGAGAGTTATTTTACTTTACATTCTCATCAACACTTGTTATTTCTTTTTTTTTTATTGTAGTCATTTTAGCGGGTGTGAAGTGGTATCTCATTGTGGCTTTGTTTTGCATTTCACTGATGATTAGTGATGTTGAGCCATTTTTCCTACACCTGTTGGCCTTTTTATGACTTATTTTGAAAAAAAAAAAGGCCAACTCAAATTGCTAGTTTGTTTGTTTATTTGTTTGTTTTTGGTACTGAGTTGTTTGAGTTCCTTAGATGTTTTGTCTATTAACCCCTTATCAGATGTATGGTTTGCAAATATCTTCTTCCATATCATAGGATTCCTCTTCATTCTGTTGATTGCTTCCCTTGCTGTGTGGAAGTTTTTAGCTTGATGCAATCTTATTTGTCTATTTTCTATTGTGTTGCCTGAGCTTTTCGGGATCACATAATAACAGTTCCTTTTTTTTCTTTAGATATTTTTTCCTACTTAAACCTAACTTTCTTAATAAAAAAGAAAATTGTTCTCCTTCCAAAATCTTAAGTTCCTTGATTATCTTTTTCTTTCACTATGCCCTTGAAACTACCACCACCATTTGCAAAATATATATCAAAATAATTTAACTTTCACATCTCTTTCTTGGAAGCAAGAAAAATGACACATTTGTACCAATTAGAGCCATCACAAATTTATGATTTATAACTTCGGCTAGAACATAAATATACTTGATAAAATTTAAAACCAATTAAGCAATTAAACTTCACAGTTCTGTAGTTCAGAGACCTAACATAAACCATAAGAAATTTTAACATTTAAATAGAAATAAAGATACGCATACATACACTCCTAACTGTCCCTTGTAGTCTCTAACTTTAAACTGTAATGTGAAAAAGATATAAATGTTAAAGAATTTGCAAAATAGTTTATTTTTAATTTACTTTTCTTAAGTAATTGGATTTGAAAAAGAAAAAGAAAAAAACTTCAGTTTTAGTTTGTGCTGATGCCCTGAACGTGATGAACGGTACAATTGTTGCCAAGAACCCTAAAGCATAAAACCTATAAAACCTATCCAGGACATGCTAAGAGATGGTGAAATTGTTCTTACAAGTGTTAGTGAACTTGTATTTTCAAAGCTAAAGTGGTTGAAGTTGCAGAGGCCAGGAAATCCAGGAAATGAGCATTTATCTTTGCAGAATTATTGTATATCAGTGGTCATCTTCTTCCCTCTCTTATTGAAAATATCATTATTTCCCAGAGTAATGCTTATCTGCTTTTCTCTCCTTTTCTTTTTGCAAATAGGCAACACCTTCCACTCACCTCTTTTCCCATTATGTTTCTTTGAACTTAGTAGACACATTATCGTTAACACATTGTAGACCCAACAAAAAAATACTGCTTACTAAATGAAGTACCACAGAACAGATATACATATTTTAAAAAAAAGACTTTTTGAAACTGAGATGAATATCTAGTAAATAGAATCTTGGAGTCAGAGTAGGCTATATATATCATTGGCTGAACTTTCATTTTATAGCTACGATTCTTTGCTTAAACAACAAAAAAAATTCACCCAAGCTCATTTAATTAAAAATGAAGAATGGATAAGAGGCATAGTTAGTTAACAGTAAAGAATAGACTATTCAGTTGATTAACAGAGAACAGTGAGTGAATGATTAGTTAATTACCAGTTCGTGAATAATAAATAATAGATATCGTCTATAACAAGATTGTTTTGCCAGTATCATGCCTACATGCTATCTAGCCATTATCATCTGAGATAAAATCTGATGTTTATCTTATGAAATATATACGTGCAATCTCTATTTTCCTCAACCAGAAATGAATTCAGCTATGACATGAAATCAGAAATTTGGAAAATTAATCTTGTGAGCTAGCATCTTTAAAGATCACAAACTGGTAAGTCCAAAAATGCTTCACAATTTGAATACTGCATTTGAGGTTTAATTCTTTATCATGGTGGTTTAACATTTTCTCAGTGACTGGTTACTCAGAACATGTCATTCTTTAACACGGCATATAATAGTAAAGTAGCTTATGTTTCCAATGTGTACCTTTTCATGGGTGCAGCTAAATTAGAGGCAGTATGTAATGTTAACTAAATATGTCTGCAAAGTCTTTTGATGAGTCCTTGCTGTGTTCCAAATGTCTGTATAGAACAAATAATCAAGGATAAAGTAGCATTTTGGTACTTATCTTCTACTACTGGTTTACTTTATATATTCTATAACTGGAAGTAGGGAATCAATTTAGTAAAATATTAATAATTATTTTAATATATGTCAAAAATGCACTATGAGGTAGAAGAGAGAATATGTACAAAATAATTAGATTATTTTTTGATAAACCATATAACATGAAAGCAAAAGGTAGAAAATGTGTTAAGTTCAGTTAAAACTATTTTATGATAATCCATATAATAAATAAAGGAAGGCTATCATGAACTCCCTCGATTATGGTATTATTATTATGTTAGCAACATATGCTTCTTGTCGGCTTCCACTCTATCTTAAACTAAGTGAATCCTCAAATTTTTATCAAAATTAGTTCCTTAAAAATTTTTGATCTTGCCAATCTGCTGAGGGGGAAAAATTACATGTCAAATCTGAAGCTGTCTTATCTCTACGGTTTTATTTCCTACCCCCACCTCCTTTCATCTTCATTTCTTATTTCTTTATAACTCATGTACATGCTTAGACTTTAACAATCCTGCAATTTGATGGATGTTTTCCCTTTATGTATTGAAATTGTCTCCTTTTCTGCTTAGGCAAATAATTTACCTTTCCAGATGCAGCTCAAATATCACTTCTGGGAACTATTTCTAAATCCTCTTAATCCTCTTTGATTTCACTTCAGTACTTTCGTTATTCTCCTGTTGTTTATTCTTTTTTATTTAATCAGTTTCACAGACACTCAATTCTTTGAAGATAAGGGTCATCCCTTAAAAATCTTTCTATCGTCAACATCAAACATTGTACTGGAAACACTGAAAAACATTCTCTTTTTCACAAAACTTTAGTCAAAATTTTTGAACTCTCTTCTGAAACAGGCTCCAACTTTAGGGCTTCCATAAACATCTCTGCATTGTTCAATTTTAGCATAAATTCTGTAAAGTCAGTTTCAGTTTAGCCAGTATATATTACACTTGATATCTGATTACCCACAATATTTGACTAGGTTCCTCATCCTCCACCATCCCTCAAGTAATATTTGATGATCTGGCCTGCCTTTAGCAAGAATCTTGCTAGTTTGATTTAGCCACAATCCTCTTTTTCTTGTTGTATTCAAAACTGAGCCATATTCTGTATGAAATCTCTTCCCCTATTGCAATAGTTCCTGAGTAAAATCTGTTTGTACCGCTTTGCTGACCAGCTATACTTTTTTTTGACATCATGCATACTTCAATTTATTTTTGAACTGAATTGAATTGAAGGAGATTTTATAGAATTAATCTTTACCTAAATTGATAGTGTATTGAGATGGGGGAAAAAAGTAAAATGAATTAAAAAATAAATTTTGTAAACAGTTTTAAGATGTCCAGTATCTGGCAAATGATTTGGAATGGAAAGTGAGAAATTAATTGTGGGTTATTATGGGAGAAAAGGCACGCATTTGTATCATAACATGATTTTTAATGTAAGTTCATTCAAAGTCAGTGCAAGTAAAATATGTACTAAATAATCAGAGGGAAGAACTTTGATTTAGACCAAATATCTCTTATAATCATAGCATTTTAGAGATGTAAGGTGCTTAAATAATTATCTGTCCCTGTCAAGAACAATTATTTGAATAATCTTCTTCGAGGAGAAGAAGAACATTTTCCTTATTATTTTTCCCAATAATTAATGAAAGCATTCATTTCCATATGTTCTATTGAGCCACAGGAACTAACTAATACCATTTTTCTCCTCCTCATCATCTACTCAACAATAAACTCACAGAAATCATGATAATATTATTCTTCATCATTTTAATAATATCTTTGCACTATATTCATATTACTTTACATACTATTAAATTATAAACCATGCATATTACCAATCTTGTGTAAGAGATAATTATTCAGATTAATTAACATCAATATATTACTTTTACTTTTTTCATGTGGGCACTCCATACCAACTCAGTTTCAAATGATGTGGTATATAATACTAAAGAATTACTGTAAAAGGTGACAATGCTCATAATTAGCAATGAATATATCTAAGGAATTATAACTTTGCTCTTTTTTTGAATTTTTTTTTTAATTTTTAAGATAGGATCTCATTCTGTCACCCAGGCTGGAGTGCAGTTGCACAATCATAGCTCACTGCAGCCTCAAACTCCTGAACTCAAGTGATCCTCCTGTCCCAGCCTCCCAAGGTAGCTAGGTGTTTTCTTCTTTTATAGAAAAATTAAGTAATATTTTAATCACACATAATTTTTTAAATTGTTGTAGTTAAACTGAACATGTTTTTCAAGCTAATGGATACATGATCAATGACCAAATTTCATTAACCCTTCAGTGACATCGCTTTTATATAAGAAGCAGTAAGAAATAATTTTCTTCCTGAGCCCTTCCAATCTGAGCCCACAAGTAACACAACCTTGCACTCAGTGTAGCAGTGATGGTAGAAAGGAATTAAGGTCGAAAGAAGGTGCATATTGACTTTTCTGTCCAAAAGCCAGACTTTACAGTTAATGAGTGTTGCCAGGAGTGGTGGCTCGCGCCTGTAATCCCAGCACTTTGGGAGGCCAAGGCGGACAGATCACTTGAGGCCAGGAGTTGGCAGCCAGCCTGGCCAACATGGCGACACCACATCTCTACTAAAAATACAGAAAAATCAGCTACATATGGTGGTGCACACCTGTAAATCCTAGCTACTCAGGAGGCTGAGGCAGAAGAATCACTTGAACCTGGGAGGCAGAGGTGGCAGTGAGCCGACATCACGCCACTGCACTCCATCCTGGGTGACAGAGTAAAGCACTGTCTCAAAAAATAAAAAAATAAAAAAAAATAAAGTTAATGAGTGCTTAACAGAGAAATGACAGAGTTACTTATAATGTACATATGAGTAGAGTCTTCTATTTGAAATGCATTCAGTTGAGGTGATTTTTTAATACCTGCCATCAGAATCCAAATAATTGAGCAGAATTTCTTCTATTTTTGGTTAATTCTATTATTATGAAAAAAAATTCATTTATTCTGAATTTTAGATATCTTATCTGCAAATTAAAGGCAATGATCATTTATACACAACAAGTAATTATGACCCTACCTTATGAATTTTTTTGTACTGTATTTTGTGAATGTATATTTGAATCTATTGCTAATGTTTAGTGTTTTGGAGAGGCAAACTCATGTAGTTCTAACATGGGTCTTTAAGTTAAAATAGGAAGGTTCGGATTTATTTTACTTATATGAAGAGTGGAAGCTTCCAGGGGCTTTGGGAGATAATTTGCTATCTAAAAATATTTAGATTTCCAACATTACCTAAGTCACTCTCAAAGAGTCATTACAAAATATATTCAATCAGACTACCTAATATTTCTGCTCTCTACCGTTTTGTGTGAGTATATAAATGAAAGTAATACAATAAAATGGAAATACAATTACTGAATATAGAATTTGAAATAGAGAATGTATATGTTTCCACTTATAATTTTTAAAATCAAAAATTGTAAGTACCTAGAATTTTACATGAGCCCTGCCTGTATGGGAAAGCAAGTAATCATGTGTGTCAGATATCTACGGAGGAACATCCAAAGAGGTGATATTTCACTTTGGATAAAATATCTCATGTTTTATTGTTCACATAGTACTTTGATTGACAAGTATTAGTTCCTTTGATCCTGAGAGTAATTCCATAACACACACAAGGCAAAGATCAGTATCTATGCTTTGCAAATAAAGAGAGAAAGACAGAATGGTAAACTGGCTTACCGAGGAGTAAAGCACCGTTGGTGTCAAAAGAAAGCAAAGCTTAGGATATACACTATCCTGTAGTTCACCCTACGTGACATGAAATGGTCAGTTTGAAAGGTCTGCCACCCAAGGCATGATATCTTTCATTTGAAAGAAGTATATTTATTTTATAATTATGAAACTAAACAAAACCAAACTATGGTTGCTATAAGTTCTATATGGTGCTCAGCACAGTTACACAAGTAATTAAACACATTTTATTGTTTTCAGGGCACAATGATATGTTACAAAACTCTCTATCACTTCCACCAATGCTGGAAAAACTCAGGAAAACATATCAGAATACATGAGTGCTATGGTCTGAATATATGTGTCTCTCCGAAATTCATATATTGAGATACCAACCGCCAAAGTCATGTTAGTAGGAAGTGGGGTCTTTAGGAAGTGATCATGGTAGCAGTGCCCTGAGGACTTGGATCAGTGTCTTAACAAAAGAGGGCCCTGAAAGCAGCCTTACCCCTTATGTCATGTGAGAACACAGAGAAAGTGCTATCTATGAATCAGAAAGAGGGCCCTCACCAGATACCAAATCTGCCAGCACCTTAATATTGGACTTACAGCCTCCAAAACAATGATGAATAAATGTCTATAAACTAATAGTTTTTGATGTTTTCTTGCAGTAGGCCAAACAGACTAAGACAATGGGTAATATGTGTGATGGTAGAGTGATAAGGTAAGGACAGAGGAAAGGGAACAGAAAGAGGTGAAAGTTCTGTTTATTTATTTGTTTGTAAAACCCAATGATATATTATATAAAGGGTGGTATGCAGATTATAGTTTTTGTTTACTGTTTTGCTGATGCATGATCAATATTCAGTAAGTTATGGGCATGCCAACTTAAAGGAACTAGGTTCGTTTGGTAGAAAATTATTCAATCGTAATAGGCTCCTAATTTTTTATAAATGAATTTACCTTTTATTTTACTTATTTATTTTGATACATTGTAAAAGTTTATGGGGTACATGTGAAATTTCGTTACATGTTTAGAATAGTAATGATCAAATCAGGATATTTAGGGTATATGTCACTTGAGCATTTATTATTTCTATGTGTTGGGGGTATATTTCAAGCCCTCTCTTCTAGCTATTTTGAAAAATACATTACATGGTTGTTAACTATAGTCACCCCACTCTGCTATCAAACATTAGAACTTATTTCTTCTACATAACTATATGACTGTACCCATTAACCAATCATTCTTCACCCCCAGAGCTCCTAATTTCTAACACTCTGAATGAATTTAAGCAGATCTTAGGAGGCTGGCTTTTAAGAGATCTTAGGGAATACTACATAACAGCAATTCATTTTATAAATGAATAAACTGAACACCAGGGACATGTAGGTAAAACAATTGCAGACAAGAATGCCCTCTCTCACCACTCGTATTCAACAGAATATTGGAAGTCCTAGTCAGAGCAATCAGGCAAGACAAAGAAATAAAGGGTATTCAAACAGGAAGAGAAGAAGTCAAACTATCTCTGTTTACAGATGCCATGCTTCTGTATCTAGAAAACCTCATAGTCTCAGCCAAAAAGCTCCTTCAGCTGATAAATGACTTCAGCAAAGTTTCAGAACACAAAATCATTTACAAAAATCACTAGCGGCCGGGCACAGTGGCTCACACCTATAATCCCAGCACTTTGGGAGACCGAGGCGGGCGGATCACAAGGTCAGGAGATCCAGACCATCTTGGCTAACACATTGAAACCCCATATCTACTAAAAATAAAATAAAAAAAAATTAGCCGGGCGTAGTGGCAGGTGCAAGTAGTCCCAGCTACTCGGGAGGCTGAGGCAGGAGAACGTCATGAACCCGGGAGGCAGAGCTTGCAGTGCGCCGAGATCGCGCCAGTGCACTCCAGCCGGGGCGACAGAGCAAGGCTCCGTCTCAAAAAAACCCCATAAAAACAAAAAGCAAACAACAACAACAAAAAAAAAACCCATCACTAGCATTTCTATACACCAACAACAACCAAGTCAAGAACCAAATCAGGAAGGCTATCCCATTCATGACTGTCACAGAAAGAATAAAATACCTAGGAATACAGCTAACCAGGGAGTTAAAAGAGCTCTACAATGAGAATTACAAAACACTGCTCAAAGAAATCAGAGATGACATAAACAAATGGGAAATCATTCCAGGTGCATGAATAGGAAGAATCAATATCATTAAAATGGCCATACTGCTCAAAGCAATTTATAGATTTAATGCTATTCCTATAAGACTACCAATGACATTCTTCAGAGAACTACAAAAAACTGTCTTAAAATTCAAATGGAACAAAAAAGATCCCAAATAGCCGAGGCAATACTAAACAAAAAGAACAAAGCTGGAGGCATCATGCTGCCTGATTTCAAATGATACTACAGTGGTACAGTAATCAAAACAGCTTGGTACTGGTACAAAAACAGGCACATAGGACAATGGAACAGAATAGAGAGCTCAGAAATAAGGCCGAACACCTATGACTATCTGATCTTCAACAAAGCCAACATAACAAGCAATGGGAAAAAGACTCCCTGTTCAATAAATGGCGCTGGTATAATTGTCTTGCCACATGCAAAAGATGGAAGCTGCACCCCTTCCTTACTCCATATACAAAATTTAACACAAGATGAATTACAATCTAAATGTCAAACCCAAAACCATAAAAACCCTAGAAGACGACCTAGTCAATGCCATTCTGGACATAGGAATGGGCAAGATTTCATGATGAAGACAAAGTAATTGCAACAAAAGCAAAAATTGGCCAATGGGATATGATTAAACTTAAGAGTTTCTGCACAGCAAAATAAACGATCAACAGAGTAAACAGACAACCAACAGAATGGGTGGAAATATTTGCAAGGTATATATCTGAAAAAGGTCTAATATCCAGCATCTACAATGAACTTAAACATATTTACAAGAGAAAAACAAACAACTCCATAAAAAGTGGGTAAAGGATATGAACAGAAAATTTTCAAAAGAAGACATACATGCAGCCAACAAATATAGTTTAAAAAGGTCAATATCCTTGACTACTAGAGAAATAAAAAACAAAACTACAATGCATCTCATACCAGTCAGAATGGCTATTATTAAAATGTCAAAAAATAACTGATGCTGGTGAGGTTGCAGATAAAAGAAAACACTCATACATTGTTGGTGGGGATGTAAATTAGTTCAATCAATCATTGTGGAAAGTAGTATGGCAATTCCTCTAAGAGCTCAAAGCAGAACTACAATTTGACCCAGCAATCCCATTACTGGGTATATGCCCAGGGGAATATAAATCATTCTACTATAAAGACACATGCATGAAAATGTTCAATGCAGTACTATTCACAAGAGCAAAGACATGTAATCAACCTAAGTAACAATCAGTGATAGCCTGGATAAAGAAAATGTGGTACATGTGTAAAATGGAATACTATACAGCCATAAAAATGAGATCATATTTTTGGCAGGAACATGGATGGATCCAGAGCCCATTATCCTTAGCAAACTAATGCAGCAACAGAAAACCAAAAACCACATGTTCTCACTTACAGGTGGGAGCTAAATTGTGAGAACTCATGAACACAAAGAAGAGAACAATAGACTCTTGGATCTATTTGAGGATGGAGGATAGGAGGTGGGAGAGAAGCAGAAAAGATAGCTATAGGGTCCTGGGCATAATACCTGGGTGATAAAATAATCTGCACAACAAACTCTTGTGACACAAGTTTACCTACATAACAAACCTTCACATGTACTCTTAAACCAAGAATAAACGTTTTTAAAAAATTAAAAAATTGCACATAAATACTAAGGTTTAGGGTTGCTGGATTTTTGCAATTTCAACTATGTCTTAACTCTCATGATGTTTAATGGTCTCTCAGTGTTGGAGAAAAATACTTTGAAATACAGTGATATTGCTGCTTTATAGTTTAAAAATATTTTCCAATTGTCTTTATTCTGCAAAAAGATAATTTTCATAAAAGAAATTTAAGAAACCAAAACAACAACAACAAAACTTTGGGTCAATATCATTGACGGCCAGAACTGAAATGAAAAGTAAGCTAACCAATGGCTCAGACAACATCAATAAGGATATTCTAAAGTTAAATGAAGATCAATAACTTAAATGGGATCTCTTAACTCAAGGCTGAAAACATAGGTGTGACATAAAATTCAACTTTTAAAAAGTCCTTGATATTGTTCAGTATACAAGTAAATTTATTAGTAATTGATATGGTTGGCCCCTGATTAAGCTAACAATACTTACAAATTTAAGAGTTAAATAACATACTACCTCTTGTCAGAAAAATTGTGTATGAACTTTAAAACACCTGAAAAAATGAAGAGAATTTATTAGAATTAATGAGTTTGTATCCAAAATATTTTGTTTCCTCTAGTTTATAATATATGGAATATGAAATATAATATAAATTAGATTGATTTTTGATACTAAGAAGCATGCAAAGAAATACATTCAGGTGAGCCTGTCCTTCAACATGAGAAAGGAAAAAGGAAAGTTAAAGAACTACTCTAACTTTGAAGCATAAACTTTAAAAAGATCTGTCTCGGTTTGAAAAGATAAATGAAGAATGAAACTGCTACTTCTCTGTGTTACAGAAAAAAACATCAAAATGTTTTCAGTCTTAAAGATTCGTAATTTAAAAATACTTTCTTATGGCAAGATCCATTCTATAGCCTCAAGATAGTATAATTTTTCCTCAACTTCAATTAAAGACACTTTAATTTCAGGTTCAGATTACAGCAAGCTTCTCTCTCATTAAAAGACTTTTCCTAAATTCTTTATTTCCAAATAAACACTTATTTATTTATTTCCAAAATAACATCATGTGGTATTTTATAATCATATAAAATGTCATGATCTTAAAGTGAATTTTATTTAACCCTTGAAATATATCATTTTCCTTATATTGTTTTGTCTAGTATAGTATTCATTATCGTTTAGGTAATTATTCCTGGGTTGCTTGAAGGTCTTTTAAGAAAACGCTTAGAGTCAAGTTAAAAAATCAGCAGTGCTTATGTAGAGTTATTGCTGGCTAAGTTTTATATTTTTCTATTAACCTTTTATTCTTTTCTGCAGAAATAATCACAGTTGATAATCTTCCAAATATTTTAAACCTTTCTTATAAGATAGGAGCTGTTTAGAGTGATCAGCAGCCTGTGGAGGAGAGCCCTTTATAGACAAAGTAAATGCAATATGAGGAGACTTTGCAAGTTTCTAATCCCTTTCATATGCATTAGTCATTCAATCCTTTCAATATCCCTGGAGGGAGGACTTGTGATTCCTGCTTCAAAAGGAAAGAAATTCAAGTCTCAAAAGTTTTATGACTGAGAGAGAAGGAAAATGGCGGATAGAAAGCAGGACTAAGTGGCAGCTCCCACTCAGACAGACAGAGCAGCATGTGAAGACTCATATTGTGAACTTTTGCTCCAACAACTACTGAAGAAATATACCATGAAAGCCAGAAGAACCCACAGACCCTCTGAAGGAAGCAGATTGCCTGTAAGCCCCAGAAGACAGCTAAAAAACTGTGAGTGCCCAAAGTGTGAAAGTGTGAAAGAGGGATCATCTGCCCCCGAACAAACATCCTCATTGGGGAACCTGAAGGTCCAGATCATGGGAGAAGGATTTGATCTTATCTGGAGCTGAGAGAAATTTAGAGCACAGTATTAGGAGAAGTAGCAGGGAAGCCATTTCTGACTTTGTCTTGCAGAGGTCCTTGGGGAGGGCTGCCAGAGGAACTGGGAAGAGACCACAGGGAGAACTTTCCAGCTGAACTTTTTAACAATTTTGAACTAACATGAAGTTTTCTGGACAGAACCTGGGGGAAGGGGTGAAATGGGAGTGCAGGCACAGCACAGAAGCCATGGCAGGTGGGGGAGGTGCAAAACCTGAAAGCCCTGCTTGCTTTCACAGCCAGGAGGCTGGTAGCCTGGGGCAACTTCTGAGCCCTGCTCATCCATTGCCTGGAAATAAACTTAATGCTGTTGTTGGGGGCATGGTGGGAGTGACACTGGCCTTTTGGGCTGTGTGGGAGCTGGGTGAGGCCTGTAACTGCCGGCTTTCCCCTGCTTCCCTAGCAACCTGCATGACACAGCAGAGGTACCCATGTTCCCAGGAGGATAATAAATCCTCCTCAGAACATAACTCCATTGGCCTGAGAACCACATCCTCAATCCCCACAGCAGCCACAGCAAGCCCTGCCCCAGCAGAGTCTGAGCTAAGACATATCTAGCCCTGTCCCCACCTGATGGTCTTTCTCTACTGGATCTGGTAGTGGAAGACAAAGGATATAATCTCTTAGGAGTTCTAAGGCCCCGCCCACCAACTGATCTTCTCTATACTACCAGGGGTGATGCACTCCTGAAAGCCCCACCTCCTAGCAAGAGGCCAGCCAAAACAAAACTAGTGCAATAAACAACACTACAAGTAAAGAATCTCACAGAGTCCATTTCACTCCCCTGCCACCTCCACCAGAGCAGGTGCTGGTATCCATGGCTGAGAGATCTGACCATGGTTCACAACACAGGACTCCATGCAGACACCCTCCAGTACCTACTCGAAGCCTGGTTCTAGATGGCTAGGTCCAGAAGATAAATAACAATCACTTCACTTTGGATCCTAGGATGCCACATCCCTAGGGGAAGTGGGAGAGCACTGCATCAAGGGAGCACCTCGTGGGACAAAAGAATCTCAACAGCAGCCCTTGAGTCCAAGATCTTTCCTCTAACATAGTCTATCCAAATGAGAAGGAGCCAGAAAAACAATTCTGGTAATATGACAAAACAAGGTTCTTTAACACCCCAAAAAGACCACACTAGCTCATTATCAATGGATCTAAACCAAGAAGAAATCCCTAAATTGCCAGAAAAAAAATTCAGAACATTGATTTTTAAGCTAATCAAAGAGGCACCACAAAAAGGTAAGGTCCAACTTAATGAAATAAAAAAAAAAAAAATACAAGATATGAAGGGAAAAATCTTCAGTGAAATAGATAGCATAAATAAACAATCACAACTTCTGGAAATCAAGGACACACTTAGAGAAATGCAAAAAAAAAAATACTGGAAAAACTCATCAATGACATCAAACAAGCAGAAGAAAGAACTTCAGAGCTTGAAGACAAGGTTTTTGAACCAACCCAATCCATAAAGGCAATGAAAAAAGAATTTAAAAAGTGAACAGAGCCTTCAAGAAGTTTGGAATTATTTTAAATGCCCAAACCTAAAAATAATTGGTGTTCTTGAGGAAAAAGGGAAATCTAAAAGTTTGGGAAACATATTTGAGAGTATCATCGAAGAAAACTTTCCCAGACTTGCTAGTGATCTATACATCCAAATATAAGAAGCTTAAAGAATACCTGGGAAATTTATTTTAAAAAGATAATCACCTAGGCACTTATCAGGTTATCTTAAGTCAAGATGAAGAAAATAATCTTGAAAGTTGTGAGGCAAAAGCACCAGGTAACCTGTAAAGGAAAACTTAGCAGATTAAAAGCAGATTTCTCAACCGAAATCCTACAAGCTAGAAGGGAGTGGGGCCCTATCTTCAGACTTCTTAAACAAAACAATTATTGGCAAAGAATTTTTTATCCAGCTGAACAAGAATTCATAAATACTGGAAAGATACACTCTTTTTAAGACAAATAAATGCTGAGAGAATTCACCAGTCCAAGCCAACACTAAAAGAACTGCTAAAAGGAGCTCTAAATCTTGAAACAAATATTTGAAATACACCAAAATAGAACCTCTTTAAAGCATAAGTCTCACAGGACCTATAAAACAAAAACACAATAAATAATTTTTAAAAGGGTATTCAGGCAACAAATATTAATAGCATGATGAATAAAATAGTATCTCACATCTCAATACTAATGTTGAATGTAAATGGCTTAAACAATCCACTTAAAAGATACAGAATGGCAGCATGGATAAGAATTCACCAACCAAATATCTGCTGTCTACAAGAGACTCATTTAACACATAAAGACTCACATAAACTTAAGGTAAAAGGGTGGAAAAATATATTTCATGCAATCAGACACTAAAAGTGAGCAGAAGTAGCTATTTTTATACCAGACAAACTTTAAAGCAACAGCTATTAAAGAGACAAAGAGAGACATTATATAATGATAAAAGGACTTGTCCAACAGGAAAATATCACAATCCTAAATATATATGCATCTAACACAGGAGTTCCCAAATTTATCAAACAATTACTATTAGACCTAAAAAATGAGATAGACAGCAACACAATAATAGTGAGGGACTTCAATACTCCACTGACAGCACTAGACAGGTAATCAAGACAGAAAGTCAACAAAGAAACAAAGGATTTAAACTATACCCTAGAACAAATGGACTGAACAGATATTTACAGAACATTCTACCCAACAACTGCAGAATATATATTCTATTCATCAGCATATGGAGCATTCTCCAAAATAGACCATATAATAGGCCACAAAACAAGTCTCAATAGATTTTTAAAAATTGAATTATATCAAGCACTCTCTCAGACCACAGTGGAATAAAATTGGAAATCAATTCCAAAAGTAACTCTCCAAACCATGCAAATACATGGAAATTAAATAACCTGCTCCTGAATAATCATTGGGTTAACAATGAAATAAAGATAGGAATTAAACAATTATTTGAACAGAATGATATCAGTGACACAACCTATAAAAACCTCTGGGATATGGCACAGGCTGTGCTAAGAGGAAAGTTCATGGCCTTAAGTGCCTACATCAAAAAGCCTGAAAGAGCACAAATAGACAATCTAAGATCACACCTCAAGGAGCTAGAGAAACAAGAACAAACCAAACCCAAGCCCAGCAGAAGAAAAGATATAAACAAAATCAGAGCGAACTAAATGAAATTGGAACAAACAAATAAACCAAAAAAAAAAAAAGAAAAAGAAAAAGATAAATGAAATAAAAAGCTTGTTATTTGAAAAGTTCAATAAAATTGATAGACCATTAGAGAGTCACCAAAAGAATAAAAGAGAAGATCAAAATAAGCTCGATTAGAAATGAAATGGGAGCTGTAACAACAAATACAACAGAAATACAAAAGATCACTTAAGGCTGCTATGAGCAGCTTTACACACATAAACTAGAAAACCTAGAGGAGATGTATAAATTCCTGGAAATATACAACTCTGCTAGAATAAACCAGGAAGAAATAGAAACTCTGAATGGACCAAAAACAAGCAGCAAGATTGAAATGGTAATTAAAAAAATTGCCAACAAAAAAAAGACCAGGACCAGATGGATTCACAGCTGAATTCTATCAGCCATCTGAAGAAGAATTGGTACCAATCTTATTAACACCATTCCACAAGATAGAGAAAGAGAATCCTTCCTAATTCCATGAAGCCAGTATCACCCTAATACCAAAACCAGGAAAGGAAATAACAAGAAAAGAAAACTACAGATCAGTACCCCGATGATTATAGATGCAAAAATCCTTAACAAAATACTAGCTAACAACATCCTACAGTATACCAAAAAGATAATCCACCATGATCAAGTAGGTTTCATACCAGAGATGCAGGGTTGGTTTAATATCTGCAAGTCAATAAATGTGGTACACCACATAAACAAAATTAAAAATAAAAATCAAATAATCATTTCAATAGATGCAGAAAAAGTATTTGACAAAATCCAGCATCCCTTTATGATTAAAATCCTCAGCAAAATCAACATAGAAAGGACATACCTTAGTGTAATAAAAGCCGTCTATGATAAACCCACAGCCAACATAATACTGAAAGAGGAAAAACAGAAAGCATTCCCCCTGAGAACTGGAAGGAGACAAGGATGCTCACTCTCAACATTTCTATTCAACATAGTACTGGAAGTTCTACCCAGAAGACTCAGACAAGAGAAAGAAATAAAGGACATATGTAAATCAGTAAAGAGGAAGTCAAACTGTCACTGTTTACTAATAATATGATCGTATACCTAGAGAACCCTAAAGGCTCATCCAAAAACTCTTAGAACTGATAAATGAATTCAGCAAAGTTTCAGGATACATAATTAATGTACACACATCAGTAGCTCTGCTATACACCAACAGCAGCCAAGCTGAGAATCAAATCAAGAACTCAAATCATTTTACTATAGCTGCAAAAAAATTAAAATACTTACGAATGTACCTAACCAAGGAGGTGAAAGATCTCTGCAAGGAAAACTACAAAACACTTCTGAAAGAAATCATAGATGACACAAACCAATGGAAACACATCCCATGCTTATGGAAGGGTAGAATCAATATTGTGAAAATGACCATATTGACAAAAGCAATCTACAAATACAGCGCAATTCCTATCAAAATACCACCATCATTCTTCACAGAACTAGGAAAAACAATCTTAAAATTAATATGGAGCCAAAAAAAGAGCCCGCATAACCAAAGCAAGACTAAGCAAAAACAAACAAACAAAAAACAAATCTGGAGGCATCACATTACCTGACTTCAAACTATACTAATACTGCCATAGTCACCAAAACAGCATGCTACTGGTATAACAATAGGCACATAGACCAATAGAACAGAATAGCGAACCCAGAAACAAAGCCAAATACTTAGAGCAAGCTGATCTTTGACAAATCAAACCAAAACATAAAGTGGAGAAAAGGCACCCGATTCAACAAATGGTGGTAGGATAACTGGCAAGCCACGTGTAGGAGAATGAAACTGGATTCTCATTTCTCACCTTATAAAAAATTAACTCAAGATGGCTGAAGGACTTAAGTCTAAGACCCAAAACCATAAAAATTCTAGAAGATCACATTGTAAAAACCCTTCTAGATATTGGCTTAGGCAAAGACTTCATGACCAAGGACCCAAAACAAATGAAACAAAAACCAAGACAAATAAATGTGACTTAGTTAAACTGAAAAGCTTCTGCACAGCAAAAGAAACAAACCACAAAGTTAACAAACAACTCAAAGAGTGGGAGAAAATCTTTGAAATTTATACATCCAGAAAGGACTAATATCCAGAATCTATGAGGAACTCAAACAAATCAGCAAGAACAAAACAAAAAATTCCATCAAAAAATGGGCTAAGGACATGGATAGACAATTCTCAAAAGAAGATACACAAATGGCCAACGAACATATGAAAAAATGCTCAACATCACTGTCAGAGAAATACAAATCAAAACCACAGTGCAATACCACATAGGGTACAGTGTACACTGCTCAGGTGATGGATGCACCAAAATCTCAGAAATCACCACTAAGGAGCTTATTCATGTAATCAAACACTACCTGTTCCCCAAAAAGCTATTGAAATAGAAAATAAAATAAAGAACCATTGATTGTTTTTATTCCTTTCCTGGGGGAAAATGCTTCCACTTCCTTCAAGACAAGATTCTTTTCTTCAGAGCCAGATCTATTTCCCAGCGAAATCACCAGAAACGCTGGCTGTCATTGCCAGTTGTTAACGGGTACTAACAATAGTATCTGCTCTAACAGAGCCAACCACACAAATAGAAGGATTTGATGGCCTCTCCTTGGTATGACTTAAGGACAGTGGAGATATCTCCATGCAGAAATCCCTCCCAGACTACCTGAGTCCTGCTGCCTGAAACTCTGTTAGTGAATCATTTCTTTACATTAAGCATTGCTTTCTGGAAAACATTATTCAAAGAGGTAACATATTTAAGTCAGTTTGGTGGTCAAGAGAATGGGAAGGAGGCACTAAAGAAAGAGGAAAAGAGGAAGATAATTGAACGAAAAATAATTTTTTTAAGTTTTATTATTTAACCAAGGTCATACCAACTCATAAGAGGTAGAGCAGGGAAATGACTTCAGGTTTTCTTGTTTTTAGTTTATGTTTCTATGAGCAAAGCAATCATGAAAATGTATCATGAAATCTTACCTTAATATCTTCAGTAATTGCTTTGTGTTCCCACGTGACTTCCCTTTTTAGTTTTCACTTTTCTCTCGTCAAATGAAAAACAATTCAATTTATGTAAAGAGAGATTTTATCGCAAGAGGGAAGGAACGGATTATTGCAATAGTGGGAGGGAGACAGAGCAGATGACTGTTGAAACAGGGAGACTCTGCAAGCCTCTTAAATGTTGGGTAAAGAAGGGCTTTTCTTTTGTGAAAGGGAATAACCAAGGCCTGAGAGAACCTGGTGTCGGGGAATAGGATGAGCAAAGGTGAAATCATTATACAGCCGATCAGGAAATGCTGTATCCTAAGGTCAGTCTTTTCTTGAGAGAGACCTATAAGGAGGGATTGTTTGCTGGTTGCAGGGTCTAGAGGAGAAAAGAATCTTAACAAGCATTTTGCTCCAATGTGTCTGTGGGGAAGAAAACAATTGAGCTAATTGTTTATGAGACATAGAACCAGAATTTAAGGAATCTGTGTCTGGCTTTGTCATAGGTAAACAAGGAAGCATCTGTGAGGCTAATGTAAGTCCTATGGGGATGGGAGGTTTGTGTGGTAAGCTATTTCAGAAAACAGAAAAGTGGGAAATTTCTCAACCATTGCTGTATCCCAGAATCACAGGACTCTGGTAAACTTTAACAATTCCACTCTTCGGGTTGTAAACATTTTTCCTGATAAGAAAATCCACTGAAGTCCTGAGATATAACAGTCTTCCCATGCTCTCTGGCATTTATGAGAGCTTCCTATTAATAAATGTATCGCACACAGTGGTATATCCACTCATAAAGTCTCCTAATGCATGTCAGGGTAGGATCAGCATTTATAAAAAAAAAAGTAAAGTCGGGGAAATTTGAACAAATCACCACAGAAGTGAAGTTAGTAAATCAAAGTAATTTAGGGTCCACATCAGTTTCTCTTCAAATTTCTAATCATAAATATTGCTTTGTTTTTGTATATTTTTATTTTCTCTTGGGCAAAAAAATGCTATCTATGCATACTTAATATATTAAATACGTTTGTTAATTCAATTAAAACTTGTAAAATATTATGCAAATATAAAATATATTTAGTACTTATCCTAGTGAAATTGAGTAAGAAGTATCAATCTGATATATGAGATCCACTGCTTGGTCACATATGACATTCACTGCTTGGTCAGTCTGCAATATTTCAGGCTATTTCTGTGATATTTCAAATAAATTTTAAAAATAGAAAAGAAAACATTCTGCAATGTTTCCCACTATGCATGTTACTAGCTGCTGCATGTCATAAAAAGGATAATGTTGATTCTTCAAAACTTGTATTTCATTACAGGCCAAAACCTTTACTGCACTGCAACATAGTCAATGACTCTTTTCATTGTGTTGCCTCTTAACCACAAACGTACTTCTATTATTTTACTTACCACAAGGTCTTGATATTTAATCACAATTCTGACTTGACAAAGATATGAGGAAAACAGAGGAAATCATGTTTGACATAGACAAGTTAATTTATAATGATAGTGTATACATTTTATTATCTATGATCATTGCATTACTAATATGATAATTAATAATTGCTTAGCTTAGTGTCTGTTCCTACTTATGTCCCAGCCATAAATAATAATGTCAATAAAAAAAATAATAAGGAAAAATAAGAAGAAAATGAAAAGTTTATTGAACATCGTATAACTTGCCTTTTTTAATTATTACTAAAATCCTTCTAGGCAAGTACTATTATTTATTTTCAATTTACAGATTATAAAATCTAGGCTTAGAACAAAGTCACCAGGATAGGACTATAACTCAATAATTTGTGCTGTTAGTATATCATATCTAAATTATATAATCAAAAGAGAGCATTAATTCAGGCCAGAAAAATGAGAAAAGCAAAGTCACTTTTTAACATTTCTCTAAACCTCTTGATCCTGAGTTTCCTGGGAGGTACACAAGATTGAATTTTATTTTTTCACTTATTTTACTTTTGGCCTTATTTCTTCATTTCCAGTTTACTGGTTTTATATTCAGTAGTTGTTTTATAATAAAAATAAGGATAATAAAATTAGCTAACATTTGTCCAGCACTTGTTTGCCAGATACTGTTCTAAGCACTTTACATATATTAATTCGTAATCCAACTCAAGCCATCTGGCCCCTAATGCATACTCTTAAAAATAATACAATACAGACTCATCTAATAAATGGTATACAACTATTTTTTTTACAAAGGGAAGCATAAATAAAATCAAATGCCATAAAACATTTTTAAATAAAATGGTGCATACCTCTCTCCAGTCTTTGTACATGATAGTCATTATCTCTTTATACTTACACTAGTAAGTAGAAAAATGGGAAAATGTGAACACTCACAAGTCATATACTTTAATGCTACATTGCCTGAAAACTCATGCAAGCCCAAGTAGACAATATACACATTTCCTATTTTATTTGACAATTAAATTATTTTCAAAATAACTTTTCTTAGCCACTGCCCTACTATGGGTATCAAATACACATGAAAAATGTGGTCTCTTTCTTTAAGTGTGGAGAAAGTAAATTAAACAAATTCAAACTTCTAGCTTCTGTTTCCATAGAATAATACAATGGTCCTTAATTGAGAAATTTCAGTCTAATGAAGAGCGTTTTATAGTTCATACTATTTTTACGTGTTTTTCAGCAAGGTCCAATTTGTGTAGAAGTCATGGAGAACTGGGAAATAATCATTGGTTGAGTGTTTACCTTATGTTCTTAGTTTGCACAGTGTCAGACAATTGTGGGAAAGAAAGGACACAATTGTTGCTCATATGTATACAGTTTGGAGACATTGAATATGCCTAGAACTAAGAACTGCTAAAAATGCAAAGTTAAAGTAATAAAAATCCTGTGCAAATGCCAAAATGCTGAAGAGAAAGTAAAAATAATTCTAAATATAATAGAGTTATCAGGAAAAAATCCCTAGGATCTGGGTTGTTTTATTATGAAATGGAATGATAAAACATTATAGAGTAGATAGGAAAGTCTACATGAAAATGAAAATGGCATAGACAAACAGGTCTGTGGCAACAATTTAGGATATTTGTTATTCATGAATAAGAATCTCTGCACTCTGTTGGGAATAAGAAATTGATGTTTTCATAGCTACAATAAAACCGACCAAAAATATTTTATCAAATAATAACATGTGTAGTAGGTTTACAGAATGGGAGATTATAACCTTACAGCTTTGTTTTCTTATTTCTACATTCAATAGTAATTTATTGTATCTTATTCCTCTGGACTTGGTGATGTCTCCGATTAATGTTTGTGCATCCATTATTTATTTCATTACTACACTAATTTTGAAATATGTGAAGATTTTATCTCCCCCTCAGTTCCTTGAATGTTTTTCCTCCAATTGTTTTCCTTAGAATTTCATCTTTTGAATCCCACTCTTTGATCATCACCTCCCATTTCTCCAGATCATTACTTTGTTTTTTGATCTCATTGGAAAGTTAACCTATTGATCCCACCACATTTTTACACAATCTCGTCTACTTTATGTCCTCTTTTTTATCCTTTTTCAAATTCAAAGTCATGGCCAATCATAACATGGACTACAGTATCATATAGGCCTAGATAATAGATACATTATCACACAGATTATTATTAGTGCGCCTTCTAGTTCAAACTTCCCAGTATTCTTTTTTTTTTTTTTCTTTTTTGAGACGGAGTCTTGCTCTGTCACCCAGGTTGGAGTACAGTGGCGCTATCTTGGCTCACTGCAAACTCCACCTCCCGGGTTCACGCCATTCTCCTGCCTCAGCCTCCCCAGCAGCTGGGACTACAGGCACACACCGCCACACCCGGCTAAATTTTTTGCATTTTTAGTAGAGACTGGGTTTCACTGTGTTAGCCAGGATGGTCTCGAACTCCTGACCTCGTGATCTGACCGCCTCGGACTCCCAAAGTGCTGGGATTACAGGCGTGAGACATCGCGCCCGGCAAACTTTCCATTATTCTAAGCTTCTATGACTCAGTTTCAATCAAGGAAAAATATGGTTTCAGAGTGATGATTTACCAGAAAAGGAAAGATCAAGACACTAAGAGAGCAACCCACCTGTGTTTATGACTGCAAGAGTCAGTACTTCTGTTTCCTAGAAAAAGACCAGTTTATAAGACAAACAGCTCTTACATTGCTTATATTCAGAGCACAATTGTTACCTCTAATTGTGGCCTTTATTTGGTCTAAATACACGTTTTTCAAAATCAAGTACTATAAAAACTATGAATTTTATATAATAAAATAACATATACAATATTTATCACTGCCTAAATTGTGCTTATTTTCATTGCACTAGAAAGCTATATTATTTTCAAATATCTGAAAGCAGCTTTAACATTGTGTAACTTTCAAACACAAATTTGGAACTCGCAAATGAGAAAGCTAAAAGACAATTGATTCTCTAATTAGAGGATTCACATGGTATAAAACAGAGGTGACTTCTTCCTCTACCTTACATTCCAAATACTCGATAAAAGTGCTCAGTTCTGGGAGAGATGGAAGGTCGTAAGTTCATCTCACAGGGTTTTTCTTTTGTTAGTGCTGCCAGTCAAGGAACTTATTAATGTCAATCATCATGACAAATGTTAAAAACTTGAGCCTTGTCCAGATAGAACTAGCCATAGACCATCAGCTCAATTCACCAATGTACAAAAGTTTTCAGTTTTCAGGGGTTAATGTGTTTTTTTACTAATGTCTACAGAAATAGAAATCACATTTTGATATCAAAATTAAAAATGGGCATTAAATGAATTTACTTATTAGCATTTAAAATTGGACCACAAATATTCAGCACAAGATTTATAATTTTTATTGTTTTTTACATTATCAAGTTTTTTCTCCTGCGGAGGGCATGGTTATCATCAATATCTGTCATAAACATGCATCTGTCATTTGTCTATCCATCTATCCATCTATCCTTTTATCCATCTATCTATCTATCTATCTATCTATCTATCTATCTATGCATTTATCCCTCCATCTACCCATCAATCCACTCTTTCTTGGACACCTACCTACCGTGTGCCAAATATCCTCTTAGGTAAGAAAACAAAAATAAACCCTGCCTTCACAGAGCTATGGATTAGAGAGAAATGGAGGCTGACAAAAAAGACTTGGTAAAGTATAAAGCTGCAATTTTAACAAATACCTTGAAGTGGAAGTAGTCAAGGCTATGAAGGCAAATAACAAGATCTGAAGTCTGGGGTGGATGGGATTCTAAAGGAAACATTACATGAGCAAATAACTATCAATAGCTCACACTTGTTGAACACTTACTAAGTGCCAGACACTTTGCTAAAGGCCTTACTATGTATCCAAGGATGGAAGGCTTGATGGATAGATGGATGGATTAATGGATAGAGGGATGGATGAATGAAAGACACATGTTTATGGCTGTTATTGATGTAAGACCCCCACCCCCACCAGAAAAAGAAATACAATAATGTAAAGCAAGCTATTATTGTCTTAAGTAGTAATTTATATATACTATTGATATTTTTATAATGGCTTTAATGTTATTATAATTTTTTAACATACATTTTATTGTGTATATTTAAGTTATACAACATGATACCTGATACACAGAGATAGTAAAAGTTTACTAAAGTGGGTCAAATTAACCTTCACCTCATCCTACAAGTTACCTTTTATTTTTGGTTTTGTGGCAAAATATCTTACTGAGTTACATGTGATAAATGTTGGGATTTTTGATGCTACAATATTTTATAAAAATCAATTGGTAATATTATTACCAACTGACAGATAAGGTTTTACAGTTATTTTCTAAAGGTGCAATTGCAGGTTTCAGTTCATCAAGATATATATGAGTTGAACAAATGAATATTTATTTACAAGCATGAGGAACTCATAAATGAGTAAACTAATGTACTTGGGACACAAATCTGGCATCTGGATGATACTGTTACTCTAACAGAAAGAGGAAAAGAGTTTAATACTAACATATGTAAGATTAATAACCACTTTTAATCTGGAAAGTTTGCCCAATAAACTTTTGAGTTATTTAACAGATGTGAAAGAACCTTGTTATCACTACTTGAAATAATGTTGCATATACTTTTTGGAATTGAACTAAAATGATCTTTGATGAGTCATAAAATACAGCAAAATCTGAAAGAATAAAATAATCCAGAAGTCTAGAAATTTTAAGTTTCAGCTTAAGTCTTGTTCCCACATTAGCATGCTGAGAAATAAGAAAATAGGTGGAATGGTATATCTGAACACTTATTAAAAAGGCTTTCTCTTGTAGATATTCTGTTTTTTTTTGTTTTGTTTTTTCTTTTTTTTTTAAAGATGGAGTTTCACTCTGTCGCCCAAGCTGGAGTGTAGTGGTGCAATCTCGGCTCACTGCAACCTCCACCTCCTGGGTTCAAGCAATTCTCCGGCCTCAGCCTCCCAAGTAGCTGGAACTATAGGCACACACAGCCACGCCCGCCTAATTTTTTGTATTTTAGTAGAGATGGGGTTTCACTGTGTGGCCCAGGCTGGTCTTGAACCACTGAGATCAGGCAATCCAGCCGCTTTGGCCTCCCAAAGTGCTAGGATTACAGGCATGAGCCACCACGCCTGGCCTCTTGTAGATATTCTAATTTAGATATGCCTCTGGGTATAATCAATAAAGTAGATACACATATTTTAGAAAGAGTATATACAATTATATATACACATTGAGAAAATCTTGCAATATGCAAACATCATAAAGGAAGACATTTCAAAATGCATTAGTCCTTGTAAAAATTCTGCAATGTACGCAGCCATTATCTTTCCATATATATGGATCCCAGTTGTAATAAAACCTATGAAATAAAATAGAACTTCCAGAAACCCAAGAATGTAAATAAATAGATATGGTTGTGGGAATAATGAAAATGTTTAATGAATGATGGGACAAATAATTATCCTAATGAGGGAAAATATCGTTGCAAAATATACTAAAAAGTGATACTCAGACATATAATAATATAAATTGATAAGCTTTTAAAAACTTTATATAAAATATAATGATTGATATTGTTTGGCTGTATGTCCCCAACCCAATCTCATGTTGAATTGTGATCTTCATTATTGGAGGAGGGACCTGGTGGGAGGTGACTGTATCATGGGGGCAAATTTCCCCTTTGCTGTTCTCATGAGAGTTAGTGAGTTCTCACAAGATCTGGTTGTTTGAAAGTGTGTAGCATTTCCCCCTCCTCTCTCTCTCTCTCTTTCTCTCTCTCTACCTCTCTCTCTCTCCCTCCTCCTGGCCACGTGAAGAAGTGCTTGCTTTTCCTTCATGTTCCACTATGATTGTAAGTTTCCTGAGTCCTCCTCAGAAGGACAATTCTGTACAGCATGCAGAATTGTGAGTCAATTAAGCCTTTTCCTTTCATAAAATACCCAGTCTCAGATAGTTTTTTATAGCAGTGTGAAAATGGACTAATACAGAAAATTCATATCAAGAAATGGGGCATTGCTATAAAGATACCTGAAAATGTGGAAGCAGCTTTGGAACTGGGTGATAGGCAGAGGTTGGAACAGTTTGAAGGGCTCAGAAAAAAATAGGAAGATGAGAGAATGTTTGGAATTCCCTAGAAACTTGATGAATGGTTTCCATTAAAATGCTGATAGTCATATGGACAGTGATGTCCTGCCTGAGATTGTCTCAGATGGAGATGAGGAACTTATTGGAAACTGGAGTAAAGGCGATTTTTGCTGTGCTTTACCAAAGAGATTGGCAGCATTTTGCCCCTGCTGTAGAGATCTGTGGAACTTTAAACGTGAAAGAGATGATTTGGTGTATCTGGCAGAATAAATTTCTAAGCAGTAAAGCATTCAAACTGTAACCTGGCCACTTCTAATAGTGTTTACTCATGTGTGTTTGCAAAGAGATGGTCTGAAATTGGTACTTATATTTAAAAGGGAAGCAGAGAATAAAAGTTTGAAAAAGTTGCACTTTACCATGTGGTAGAAAATAAAAACCCATATTCTGGGGAGAAATTCAACCAGCTTCAGAAGTTTGAATAAGTAAAGAGTAGTCAAATATTTATAGCAACAAAAATCAGGAAAATGTCTCCAAGGCATTTCAGAGACCTTCAGAGTTTCCCTTTTCATCACAGACCTGAAGGCTAAGGAGTGAAAAATTGTTTCATGGGCCACGCACAGAGCCCTGCTGCTCTGTACAGCCTTGAGACATGGTGCCCAGTGTCCCAGAGTCTCTAACTCCAGCTGTGGCTAACAGGGGCCAAGATACAGCCTGAACCATTGCTTCAGACTTTGCAAGCTCCAAGAGTTGATGGCTTCCGTGTGGTGTTAAGCCTGTGGTTGCACAGAGGGCAGGAGTTCAGGATTAGGAGCCTTCATCTAGATTTCAGAGGAAGTGTGGAAATGTCTGGATGTCCAGACGGAAGTCTGCTACGGGGTGGAGCCCTCATGGAGAAGCTCTATGAGGGCAGTGCAGAGGAGAAATGTGGGGTTAGAGCACTCACACAGAGTCCCTACCAGGACGTTGCCTAGTTTAGCTATGAGAAGAGGTCCACTGTCCTCCACACCCCAGAATGGAAGATCCACTGACAGCTTGTGTGATGTGCCTGGAAAAGCCACAGCCACTCAATGTCAGCCAGCAAAAGCAAGCATGGGGGCTGTACCTTGCAGAGCCACAGGGGCGGAGCTGCCCAATGCCTTGGAAGCCCACTTCTTGCATCAGTGTGCCCTGGATGTGAGACATAAAGCCAAAGGAGATTATTTTGAAGCTTTAAGATTTAATGACTGCCCTGATGAGTTTCAGAATTGTATGGGGCTTTTAGCCACTTTGTTTTTGCCAATTTCTTCCATTTGGAATGGAAACATTTATCCAATGCATGTACACTTTTGTATCTTGGAAAAAACTAACTTGTTTTTGATTTTACAGAATAATAGGTGGAAGGGGCTTACCTTGTCTCAGATGAGAATTTGGACTTGAACTTTTTTTGTAATTATTTTTAACTTTAGTTTTAAGTATAGAGGTAGATTTGCAGGATGTGCAGGTTTGTTACATATGTAAACATGTATCATTAGGGTTTGTTGTACAGATTACTTCTTCACCGAGGTGTTAAGCCTAATATCCATTAGTTAATTTTTCTGACCTTCTTCCTTCTCTCATCCTTCACCCTCTGATAGGCCTCAGTGTGTGCTGTTCCCCTCCCTGTGTCCATGTGTTCTTATCATTTAGATCCCACTTTTATTATTATTATTATTATTATTATTATTATTATTATTTGAGACGGAGTCTCCCTCTGTCACCCAGGCTGGAGTGCAGTGACGCCATCTTTGCTCACTGCAAGCTCTGCCTCCCAGGTTCACACCATTCTCCTGCCTCAGTCTCCCAAGTAGCTGGGACTACAGGTGCTTTCTACCACACCCAGCTAACTTTTTTGTATTTTTAGTAGAGACGGGGTTTCACAGTGTTAGCCAGAATGATCTCGATCTCCTGACCTTGTGATCCTCCTGCCTCAGCCTCCCAAAGTGCTGGGATTACAGGTGTGAGCCACCATGCCTGGCCCCATTTAGCTCCCACTTATAACTGAGAAGATGTGAAATTTGGCTTTCTGCTCCTGCATTAGTTTGTTAAAAATAATGGCCTCCTGCCCCATCTATGTTCCTGCAAAAAACATGATCTCATTTCCTTTTATGGCTACATAGTATTCCATGGTATACATGTACCACATTTTCTTTATTCAGTCTATCATTGATGGGCATTTGGGTTGATTCCATATTTTGTTATTGTGAATAGTGCTGCAATGAACATATGCATTCATGTGTGTTTATAACAGAATGATTTATAATCTTTTGGTTATATACCCAGTAATGAGAATGCTGGCTTGAGTGGTATTTCTGTTTTCAGGTCTTTGAGGAATTGTCACACTGCCTTCCACAATTTACAGATTTACACTGTAAATTACAGTGTGTAAACCCAATTTACACTCCCACTAACCAGGTATAAGTGTTTTCTTTTCTCAACAACCTTACCAGCATCTGTTATTTTTTGACTTTTTGATAATAGCCATTCTGACTGTTATGAGATGGTATCCTAATGTGATTTTGATTTGCCTTTCTCTAATGATCAGTAGTATTGAAATTTTATTATTTGCTTTTTGGTCACAAGTGTGTCTTCTTTTTAAAAGTGTCTGTGAATGTCTTTTGCCCACTTTTTAATGGGGTAGTTGTCTTATCCTGTAAATTTGTTTAAGTTTCTTATAGATACTTAAAGAAATAGATACTTGGACTTCTCAGTTAATGCCAGAATGGGTTAAGACTTTGGAGGATTGTTGGTGTGACATGATTATGTTTTGTAATGTGAGGACATGAGATTTGGGAGTGGCCAGGGGTGGAATGATGAGGGTTGGCTCTGTGTCCCCACCCAAGTCTCATGTTGAATCATCAGGTTGGAGGAGGGGCCTGGTAGGAGGTGACTGGATCACGAATGTAAATATCCCCCTTGCTGTTCTCATAATAGCGAGTAAGTTCCCAGAATATCTGGTTGTTTGAAAGTGTGTAGCACTTCCCTCTTCCCACGCTCACTTGCTCTCTCTCTCTCTCTCGCTCTTTCTCTCTTGCTTGTCATGTGAAGATGTGCTTGCTTCCTCTTCATGTTCTGCCATGATTTTAAGTTTCCTGAGGCCTCCCCAGAAGAAGCAGCCTGCAGAATTGTGAGCCAATTAAACCTATTTTCTTTATAAATTTTCTACTCTCAGATAGTTTCTTTACTGCAGTGCAAGAATGGAGTAATACCATGATATTTTTATGTAATCACTGTAAGTTTTTTAAACAATAGCCATGGCCAATATTGTAGAGCTTTTTAAATTCTTGTTATTCTTTAAATTTAATTTAATTCAAATTTTTCAAATTTGGGATGACGTTATCTGTACTGCTAATGACATGGATTTTCCATTCTTGAATTTTTATTTTTAATTCATCTTTTAATTATTGTGAAATGTACATGAAGAATTTTTAATTAAAGTATGTGTGAAGCAGGTTCACTGGTTACCAACCTGTTTGACTCTGGTGAGTCAGAACACTTCCTCTACAACAAGTGACATGAAGTAGATTGATTACTCACAAATAGGCACAAGGGACAACAAAAGATTAGAATTCATTACCAGCCAGCTCCTCAAGGCTCAGGAAAGCTGCTTGGCATAGACAGAGACTGTCTGTGCATGCACTACTTGCACCACAGCTTAGGGACCCTGAAAAGCAGCGTGCCCTGGGTTTTATATCTGAAGGCTGAGACAGTGCACTGGGCTGCAATGTTGAAAGGCGTGGTGTTACACAGGGCACTGGAGCAGAGCTGGAGCTGTTTCAACAGTCCCTCTCTAGCTCAGGATGCTACACTCCCAGAGCATGCTGCAATGTTATCCTTGAAAACTGCAAGTGAAAAAGTGGGGAGAACTGAGTTGGTGCAAGTCTATGAAGATAACTAACCTGCAGTGTTTTTAAGCTTTTGTCACTGAATATTTTATGTTGCCTTTATAGATGATTGACAATTTAACTTTAAAGAAGATTCTTTCATTACAACTCCATCCTACAAAGCTTTATATAAGTTTACTTATATAGTTTACAATTCTGAGGAGATGTCATTGTACAGAATTTTTTAAGCATTACTCTTCCTTTTTTATTTCATTTTTTTGATGTTCTACCTAGGTATAGTTGGGCATTATCTTTGAAATTTGAGAATAATATACCCTCTCTCTATTTCTAGAGAGAGGGTATATTATTTCTCTAGCTCTTGATATTATTTGCTAAAAATTGATAGATACTGACTGTGACTTTGGGGAGGGCAGAGGGAAGAGGAGACAAGAAGAAAGGGAAGAGAATGCAGTTGCAGGGTAACAGACATGAAACACTGCTAGCATTGAGACATTGGAAGGGGGTCACCACCAGAGCCAAGGGATGAGATGGCCTCTAGACACTAAAAGGCAACAAACAAACAAAGAACAACAAAAGCACAGACTTTTGCCTAGAGCCACCATAAAGGAATATAGCTAAGCCAACACCTTGATTTGAGCCAGGCGAGACTGGTGCCTGACTTCTTAACCTCCAACACTGTAAAATAATAACTTTGTTTTGTCTAAATTGCTAAATTTATGTTACTTTGTTACAGGCATACTAGAGAACTGACGTAATATAACGTGTTTTTCCAGTGTTACCTACAGTCTCTTGCCCTCTGGGTTCTGGCTGACTGTGGCTTATAAGGAGCACCACCAGCAAGACCTAGTGTGCCAGCAGGAAGGGCCAACAGCTAGTTATTTCATGAGTTTCCACCCAGAGGACTTGGTTGGAAAGTGACTGGGATTTTTTTGTTGTTGTTGTTTATTTGTTTATTTTTTCTCCATATTAGGCAAGTGCTTTCATTAGATAGTCTTTTCTTATAGCTTCTGCTGGCTTCAGGCGATTGTTACCTACCTTTCCCTATCAGACCTGGAACAGTTAAAGGCTTTTCCCTTGTCCTTAGGTTATGACTCCCCTTTTGCTTTCCTGACCATACCTATACTTTTGTAACTACTTCTTTTATTAGATACTCTCCAATTACCTCTTGTATTTTCCATCTGTTGACTGCCAGAATGCTATTAATATGCAATACACAATAATGAAGAAAGTAATAGAATCTACCTTTTCAGAAGTCTTCATATCTCAAAATAGTGATGATGGTATTGCTCAGTTAGCTTTTGTAAGAGGATTCTGGTTGCACCATCTATTATATTATAACACTGGTTTGAATATTACTTATAGTTTATTACCATTGTTGATCAATTATTTCTGTTGTTAGTCTATTTTCTACTTTTTTAGAGAATATATAGCTTATTTTAAATCTCCTACTTTAAAAAATGGAGGAATATTGGTTGTGAATTTATAGAAGTGTATGTAATAAATATAGCAAATCAGTGCCCTTTTATAATAAGATATATATCTATATTTTATGAAAAATAATTAACTTAATAGAAAAATATAACTATCTATAAAAATAAATCTATTTAGATCACATTTTTTGATCAGCTTATTCCTAGCAATTATATTTTGTTGTGATGTTTAAGATTATTTGTGTCATGAAGTGTATTAGGATTCTCTAGAAAAATAGAAATAATAGGAGATATATATATATATATATGAATTTATTAAATATTAACTTACATGACTACAAGGTCCCACAATAGGCTGTCTGCAAGCTGAAGAGCAAAGAGAGCCAGTCTGAGTTCCAAAACTGAAGAACTTGGAGTCCAGTGTTCAAGGGCAGGAAGCATCCAGCATGAAAGAAAGATGTAGCCTGGGAAGCTAGGTCAGTCTAGCCTTTTCACAATTTTCTGCCTGCTTTGTATCTGCTGGAAGCTGATTAAATGGTGCCCACCCAGATTAAGGGTGGGTCTACCTTCCCCAGCCCACTGACTCAAATGTTAATCTCCTTTGGCAACACCCTCACAGACACACCCAGGATCAATATTTTGCATCCTTCAATCCAATCAAATTGACACTCAGTATTAACCATCACAAGCTCACCCCTTGTCAACTTGAACTCATACACATCTTTTAAGATCATATATAATCTTCAAATAAAGACAATAGTAAGGTCATAATTATGCCTAACATAATACAACTATCCTTCCTACAACCAGAAAAGCACCAATCTCCAACCCAAATGCTATTACATAAAGTTAACAATACTTAAATGCTGATATGAAGTCAATAAATTTTATGTCACATGATAAAAGAAAAATAAAATAAAATGAAGATATTTTCTTAGCACAAGTGTATACATGCACAATCATGTTTTTAACAAAAGAAGGAGGACATATTCATGATAATTAACAGTCCTCGTTTCTGCAACTGGTCACATGATTGTAGCTGGTATTGATGGCTACCTTCTTCTTCTACCCATTCTGTATTCCTTTTGCTTTCAGCAAGCACCTCAGCAGGTCATGTTTTTTTTTTTTTGCTGGTGGAGTTACGTAAACCTTCACTCCTGAAGTGTGTGGGCCATTTATATTCCTGCCTGGTTTCGGCTAATGTAGTTTCCCATTGACCTTCATCTCAGGGAATGGTAATACTAAGAGATGCCCTAATGGATCTCCTGTATTCCCTGCATACTCTTCCTTATCTCTATTGTGGAGAAGTAGACTGATTTCATCTTGATAGTCTGGGTCAATCACCCAGGCCAACACTGAAACTCCCTTCTTAGTCTATTGACATAAAGGTAGGAAAAACCCAAAGTATCCAGGTGGCAATTTTTTTTTTTTAAGACGCGTTCTTGCTATGTCGCCCAGGCTGGAGTGCAGTGTCATGATCTCGGCTCACTGCAAGCTCAGGTGGCAATCTTAACTTCCAGTTTAATGGAATCATTGTTGTGTCTCCTGGTGGCAGTGTTCCTCCCTCTGGAACTAAAACCTCTAAGCCAGCCGAATGTAATGTTGCAGGAACAGGAAGCAAAAATTTTGTTAGTGGATCACTAGGGGGGATGATGAGTAGTGCCACTTCCACTTTAACCTCTTGAATCCCGGACCCGTGAATCCTGGCTATGGGAGAAAGAGTACCATATATTGGATACTTATTCAGAGTATACATGGCCTTCTGGAGAACTTTTCCCCAGCCCTAAAAAGTACTGTCACCTAGTTGGCATTGTAATTGTGACTTCAAAAGGCCATTCCATCATTCTATCAATCCAGCTACTTCAGGATGATGGGGAACATGGTAATTCCATGTATTCCATGAGCATGAGCCCATGAATGACCAGTGAATTCCATGAGCATGAGCCCAATGCTGCTCTTCTTTAGCAGTAAAGTGAGTGTCATGGTCAGAGGCAATGCTGTGCAGATAAAGCATTCCATGAGTCCATGGATGGTAGTCTTGGCAGAAGCACTGGGTGAAAGTTAGGCAACCCCATATCTGGAGTAGGTGTCTATTCCAGTGAGGACAATCCTCTGCCCTTTCCATGATAGAAGAGGTCCAATATAATTAACCTGCCACCAGGCAGCTGGCTGATCACCCTAATGAATGGTGCCATAGTGAGGGCTCAGTGTTGGTCTCTGCTGCTGGCTAATTGAACACTCAGCTGTGGCCGTAGCCAGGTTAGCCTTGGTGAGTGGAAGTTCATGTTTCTAAGAGCATGTGTAACCTCCATCCCTTTCACCATAGCCACTTTTTTCATGAGCCTGTTGGGCAATGATAGGAGAGGCTGGAGAAAGAGGCTGAGTGGTGCCCACAGAGTGTAGGTCATCCTATCCATTTGATTATTAAAATCCTCTTCTGCTGGGGTCACCCATTGGTGAGCACTCACAAGGGATACAAATATCTTCACAGTTTTTTACCACTCAGAAAAGTCCATCCATATATTTCTTCCCTAAATGTCTTTGTCACCAATTTTCCAATCATGCTTCTTCCAAGTCCCTGACCATCCAAACAAACCATTGGCTGCATCCCATGAATCAGTAGATAGACACATATCTGGCCATTTCTCTTTCGATGCAAAGTGCACAATCAGATGCACTGCTCAAAGTTCTGCTGACTGGAAAGATATTTTTTCACTGCTGCCCTTCATGGATGTCCTAGGAAGGGGCTGTGGTGGTGCAGCTGTCTACTTTCAGTTGGTTCCTGCATATCCTGCAGAACCATCTGTGAACAAGGCCCTAGTTTTCTCTTCCTCTTTCTCTGATCATAGAACACTCCCCATGATGCCATCAGTACAGGCTGGGGGAGAAAAGGCAGGGTGGCAGGAGTGGAGACCATGGGCATTTGAGACACTTCCTCATGTAATTTACTTTTGCCTTTAGGACCTGCTTGAGACCAGTCACGTATATACCACTTCCATTTCATAATAGAATGCTGCTGTGCATGACCTACTTTATGGCTAGATGGGTCAGAAAGCACCCAGTTCATGATAGGCCCTTCTGGTTGCATGGTGACTTGATGACCCATAGTCAAATGTTCAGTTCCTACCAAAGCCCAGTAACAGGCCAAGAGCATTCTCTCAAAAGGAAGAGTTACTTGCAGAAGACGGCAGGGCTTGCTCAAAATTCCTAGAGACCTCCACTGTGATTAACCTATACAGGCCTGACAGAGGCTCCAAACAGCATTTCTCCCTGACTCTGACAAATTAAGCACCATTGGATGTGCTGGGTCCAATCACAGAGTGGTAGAGCAAGTAATAGATCAGCTTTCACAGCAGCCTGGAACTGTTGAAGAGCCTTCTCCTGCTCTGAACACACTCAAAACTGGCAGCCTTTTGGGTCACTTGATAAATATGCCAGAGTAACACACCCAAATGAAGAATGTGCAGCCTCCAAAATCCAAATAGGCCCACTGGTTGGTGTTCCTTTCTTTGGCTGTAGGAGGGGCCAAATGCAGCAACTTATCATCCACCTTAGGAGGAATATCTCAACAGACCCCACAGCACTGGAATCCTAGAAGTTGTACTGAGGTAGAAAGTCCCTGAATTTTAGTCAGATTTGTCTTGCATCCTCTGGCACACAAATGTCTCATCAATAAGTTCAGTGTGTTTGCTACTCCTTGCTCACTGGCTCCAATCAGCATAATGTCATCAATGTTATGGACCAGTGTGATATCTTGCAGAAGCAAAAAGCAACCAAGGTCTCTCTGAATAAGATTATGACACAAAGCTGGAGAGTTGATATACCCCTGAGGTAGGAGAGCAAAGGTACATTGGCGGTCTTTCCAGCTGAAGGCAAATTACTTCTGGTGGGTCTTATGGACAGAAATGGAGAAAAAGATATTTCCCAAGTCAATGGCTGCATACCAGCTTCCAGCAGATGTGTTAATTTGCTCAAGCAATAAAACCACATCTGATAGACCAGCTGCAATTGGAGTCACCACTTGGTTAAACTGTCAGTAATCCACTGTAATTCCCAAGATCCATCTGTCTTCTGCACAACACAAATGGGAGAGTTAAACATGGATATGGTAGAAATCACCACCCCTGCATCTTTGATGGTGGCACTAATCTGAAATTCCTCCTGGGATGAAATATTGTTTTTGATTTACAGTTTTTCTAGGTAAAGGCAGCTCTAATGGTTTCCATTTGGCCTTTTCCACCACAATAGCCCTCACCCTACCACTCAGGGAGCCAATGTGGTGGTTCTGCCAGCTGCTAAGTATGTCTATGCCAATTGTGCATTCTGGCACTGGGGAAATGACCACACAATGAGTCCGGGGATCCACTGGACCCATTGTAAGTTGGACCTGAGCTAAAACTCCATTAATTTCTTGGCCTCCCTAAGCCCCTACTGTAAATGGAGGACCACAATGATGTTTTGAGTCCCCTGGAATCAACATCAGCTCAGAGCCAGTGTCCAGTAGTCCCCAAATGCCTGATTATTTATCTTTCTCCAATACACAGTCACCCTGGTAAAAAGCCACAGTTCTCTTTGGGGAAGGATGGGAGAAAGTTTCACTGCATAAATTGTCCCATAATGTAGTGGGGTCCTTACTGAAAGGGACCTGGCCTTCCCTTCATTCAAGAGGTTCTGGGTCTCTAAACTGGCTGAAGTCTGGAAATTAACTGAGGGGCTGTGATTCTCTGCTTTTTTAATTCAAATTTGTCTTTTGTCCATTTGACATAGAAGTTTTCTGCTTGTATAAATTAAGCAGAAATGCAGTAGGTTTCCTATCAATTTCACTTCCAATAACACTGTGATTAATTAGCCAATGCCAGAGCTCTATATAAGTAAGACTATTCTGATTGCTGCTTTGCCTCTTCTGTCCATTAGGGTAGCTACACCCACCTTGTCTTTGATGGTTTAATGCCTCCACATGGCCCCTGCCACTGTGGGATCCAATTATTCCTATTGTATTTAAATTTTGTAGTTGATCGACTGCTGTTCCCACTGTAAGATCAGACATATAGAGAAGAGCAATTACAGGGCTCTTCAAAGATCCAGGTGCTGCCCTAACAAATTTATTTCACAAGGCATTGATCAAGAGTGTATCTTCTGGACCCTCATAGCTGGGATGAGTAGGTCTAAAATGACTAATTCACTCCACCATCCCAATCTCCCTAAGCCTTCGGATCTCTTCCTCTACATTAAACTCAGGGAGATCAGCATTTCCAGCTAGCTCATAGTGGGCCATCTCTTAATCCATATTTCAGATAACCAAGTAAATAAATTATTAGAACCTTTTTAAACTCAAGCTGCAACATTAAATGCAGACTCCCTACTTAGAGGGCCCAAATCAATAAATTCAGCATGATCCAGCTCTATGCTCCTTCCTCCATTATACCACACCCTTCATATCCATTCTCATGCCAGTTATGCAGATTTGTGTTTATATAAACTGGAAAACTCAAGCAGTTATTTTTTAGTGTAGCACATCTCCTCATGGGTCACACTCTCGACCTCACCTCTAAGGGCCCACTGGTACTTTAGTCTAGTTATAGGTATAGAAGCAAACAGGTGTTGGGGATGGCTCCTGAAGAGAATAAACATTATCTTGCCTGGCAACTGCCTTAGGGGAGGCCATCACTGTTGCCTCAGGCAGCACAGGGTTTATCTCCTCAGACAAAGGTGAAGAGACTGATGGCAGCATGGGTTGGGGATGGGATATTGCCACTACTGGGGATGGGGAAGTTGTTTCTTCTGGCAAAATAAAACAAAAAAAGTTTTATTAGACTTTACAAACTCAGAGTCCATAGCTTCATCAGGGTCCTCCCACACATCCCCTTGCCAAGTTTCAGGGTCCTATTCTTCGATCAATACCCTCGCTTAACAGTAGACACATGGTGAGGCTGTGCATGCACCTTTTGTTGCAGGTCAGCCACTTGCATGATAAGAGCTTGTGTCTGTTTTTCCACAATTTCAGCTCTTTTTATGCAGGAGATAAGACTCTCACTCAGGGTAATCTTAGCAGATTTGAGGCTCAGTATCCGCTTCTGAACCTGGGAGATAGAATCCCTGAGTTCATCATTTTCTTTCATAATTTTGTTCACTGAACTTAGGAGCAACCAACAGGCTTCATTACGTTTCTTGGTTCTCCACATATGGTCAAAGATATTAGGTATAGATTTCCTAAACTCCTTGCCTTTCGTGAGCAGAGAATCAGGAGTGTCAAATTCATTTATTTTGTATAACTCTCTAAACAGTTCACACAAAGGACTATCATTGTTCTCCATACTATTAGAAGTACAGTGCTTAGCATTTTTGTATCCAATCCTATTAAGCAGCCAACTCCATAAACCCCCAAACCAGTGAAAGCCCTCCATCCTTAATATTCTGTTCCTCTAGAACCACTCCTTATACTTAAATCTGTATTAGTCTGGGTTCCCAGAGACATGGCACTAATACGATAGACATATGTGTATATACACACACATATATACATATGTGTGTGTATATATACATATATGTATATATACATATGTGTGTATATATACGTGTGTGTGTGTGTGTGTGTGTGTATATATATATATATATATATATAAAGGGGAGTTTATTAAATATTAACTTACACTATCACAAGGTCCCACAATAGGCCATTGGCAAGCTTAGGAGCAAGGAGAGCCAGTCTGAGTCCCAAAACTGAAGAACTTGGAGTCTGACATTTGAGGGCTGGAAGCATCCAGCACAGGAAAAAGATGTAAGCTGGGAGGCTAGGCCAGTCTAGCCTTTTCACAATTTTCTGCCTGCTTTATATT